>NW_021160017.1:0-2750224 GCF_000001405.40 Homo sapiens
CAAACCTGCTCTATGAACGGGAATGTTCAGCTCTGTGAGTTGAATGCAAACATCACAAAGCAGGTTCTGAGAATGCTTCCGTCTAGATTTTAAATGAGGATATTCCCGTTTCCAACGAAATCCTCGAAGCTATCCAAATATCCATTTGCAGATTCCACAAAAAGAGTGTTTCAAAACTGCTCTGTCAAAAGATAGGTTCAACTCTGTTAGTTGAGTACACACATGGCAAACAAGATTCCGAGAATGCTTTCGTCTAGTTTTTTTGGGAAGATATTTCCTTCTTCACCATAGGCCTCAAAGCGCTCCAAATATCCATTTCCACATGCTATACAAAGAGTGTCTCAAACCTGCTGTATGAATGGGAATGTTCAACTCTATGAGTTGAATGCAAACATCACAAAGAAGTTTCTGAGAATGCTGCTGTCTAGATTTTATATGAAGGTTTTCCCGCTTCCAACGAAATTTTCAATGCACTCAAAATATCCTCTTGTAGATTCTACAAAAAGAGTGTTTCCAAACTGCTGTATCAAAACAAAGGTTCATCTCTGTTAGTTGAGGACACACATCACAAATAAGTTTCTGAGAATGCTTCTGTCTAGTTCTTATTTGAAGACATTTCCTTTCTCACCTTAGGCCTGAAAGCGCTCGAAATACCCACTTCCAGATACTACAGAAACAGTGATTCAAACCTGCTCTATGAAAGGGAATGTTCAACTATGTGACTTGAATGCAAACATCACAAAGCAGTTTCTGAGAATGCTGCTGTCTACTTTCTATTTGTAATCCCGTTTCCAACGAAATCCTCAGAACTATCGAAATTTCCAATTGCAGATTCCACAGAAACAGGGTTTCAAAGCTGCTCTGTAAAAAGAAAGGTTCAACTCTGTTAGTTGAATACACACGTCACAAACAAGTTTCTGAGAATGCTTCTGTCTAGTTTTTATGGGAAGATATTTCCTTTTTCACCGTAGGCCTCAAAGCGCTCCAAATGTCCACTTCCACATACTACAAAAAGAGTGTTTCAAACCTGCTGTATGAAAGGGAATGTTCAACTCTATGAGTTGAATGCAAACATTACAAAGAAGTTTCTGAGAATGCTTCTGTCTAGATTTTATATGAAGGTTTTCCCGCTTCCAACGAAATTTAAAATGCTCTCAAAATATCCACTTGTAGATTCTACAAAAAGAGTGTTTCCAAACTGCTGTGTCAAAACAAAGGTTCAACTCTGTTAGTTGAGGACACACATCACAAATAAGTTTCTGAGAATGCTTCTGTCTAGTTCTTATTTGAAGATATTTCCTTTCTCACCTTAGGCCTGAAAGCGCTCGAAATATCCACTTCCAGATACTACAGAAATAGTGATTCAAACCTGCCCTATGAAAGGGAATGTTCAACTATGTGACTTGAATGCAAACATCACAAAGCAGTTTCTGAGAATGCTGCTGTCTACTTTCTATTTGTAATCCCGTTTCCAAAGAAATTCTCAGAACTATCGAAATTTCCAATTGCAGATTCCACAAAAGTGTGTTTCAAAGCTGCTCTGTAAAAAGAAAGGTTCAACTCTTTTAGTTGAATACACGTCAGAAGCAAGTTTCTGAGAATGCTTCTGTCTAGTTTTTATCGGAAGATATTTCCTTTTTCACCGTAGGCCTCAAAGCGCTCCAAATGTCCACTTCCACATACTACAAAAAGAGTGTTTCAAACCTGCTCTATGATAGGGAATGTTGAAACCTATGAGTTGAATGCAAACATTACAAAGAGGTTTCTGAGAATGCTTCTGTCTAGGTTTTATATGTAGATATTCCCGTTTCCAACGAAATCCTCAAAGCTATCCAAATATCAACTTGCAGATACTACAAAAGGAATGTTTCCAAAATGCTGTATCCAAACAAAGGTTCAACTCTGTGAATTGAGGGCATACATCACAAAGAAGATTCTGAGAATGCTTCTGTGTAGATTTTATATGAAAATATTCCCGTTTCCAATGAAATCCTCAAAGCTATCCAAATATCTACTTGCAAATGCCACAAAAAGAGTGTTTCCAAACTGCTCTGTGAAAAGGAAGGTTCAACTCTGTTAGTTGAGTACACACATCACAAAGAGGTTTCTGAGAATGCTGCTGACTAGTTTTTATTTGAAGATATTTCCCTTTTCACCTTAGGCCTAAGAGTGCTCAAAATGTCCATTTCCACATACTCCACAAAGTGTGTTTCAAACGTGCTGTATGAAAGGGAATGTTCAACTCTATGAGTTGAATGCAAACATCACAAAGAAGATTCTGAGAATGCTTTTGTCTAGATTTTATATGAAGATATTCCCGTGTCCAACGAAATTTTCAAAGGTCTCCAAATATCCATTTGTAGATTCTACAAAAAGAGTGTTTCCAAACTGCTGTATCAAAACAAAGGTTGAACTCTGTGAGTTGAGGACACACATCACAAATAAGTTTCTGAGAATGCTTCTGTCTAGTTTTTATTTGAAGATGTTTCCTTTTTCACCATAGGCCTGAAAGCGCTCGAAATGTCCACTTCCAGATAGTACAGAAAGAGTGTTTCAAACCTGCTCTATGAACGGGAATGTTCAGCTCTGTGAGTTGAATGCAAACATCACAAAGCAGGTTCTGAGAATGCTTCCGTCTAGATTTTAAATGAGGATATTCCCGTTTCCAACGAAATCCTCGTAGCTATCCAAATATCCACTTGCAGATTCCACAAAAAGAGTGTTTCAAAACTGCTCTTTAAAAAGATAGGTTCAACTCTGTTAGTTGAGTACACACATGGCAAACAAGATTCCGAGAATGCTTTCGTCTAGTTTTTTTGGGAAGATATTTCCTTCTTCACCATAGGCCTCAAAGCGCTCCAAATATCCATTTCCACATGCTATACAAAGAGTGTCTCAAACCTGCTGTATGAATGGGAATGTTCAACTCTATGAGTTGAATGCAAACATCACAAAGAAGTTTCTGAGAATGCTGCTGTCTAGATTTTATATGAAGGTTTTCCCGCTTCCAACGAAATTTTCAATGCTCTCAAAATATCCTCTTGTAGATTCTACAAAAAGAGTGTTTCCAAACTGCTGTATCAAAACAAAGGTTCATCTCTGTTAGTTGAGGACACACATCACAAATAAGTTTCTGAGAATGCTTCTGTCTAGTTCTTATTTGAAGACATTTCCTTTCTCACCTTAGGCCTGAAAGCGCTCGAAATACCCACTTCCAGATACTACAGAAACAGTGATTCAAACCTGCTCTATGAAAGGGAATGTTCAACTAGGTGACTTGAATGCAAACATCACAAAGCAGTTTCTGAGAATGCTGCTGTCTACTTTCTATTTGTAATCCCGTTTCCAACGAAATCCTCAGAACTATCGAAATTTCCAATTGCAGATTCCACAGAAACAGGGTTTCAAAGCTGCTCTGTAAAAAGAAAGGTTCAACTCTGTTAGTTGAATACACACGTCACAAACAAGTTTCTGAGAATGCTTCTGTCTAGTTTTTATGGGAAGATATTTCCTTTTTCACCGTAGGCCTCAAAGCGCTCCAAATGTCCACTTCCACATACTACAAAAAGAGTGTTTCAAACCTGCTGTATGAAAGGGAATGTTCAACTCTATGAGTTGAATGCAAACATTACAAAGAGGTTTCTGAGAATGCTTCTGTCTAGATTTTATATGTAGATATTCCCGTTTCCAACGAAATCCTCAAAGCTATCCAAATATCAACTTGCAGATTCTACAAAAGGAATGTTTCCAAAATGCTGTATCCAAACAAAGGTTCAACTCTGTGAATTGAGGGCATACATCACAAAGAAGATTGTGAGAATGCTTCTGTCTAGATTTTATATGAAAATATTCCCGCTTCCAACGAAATCCTCAAAGCTATCCAAATATCCACTTGCAAATGCCACAAAAAGAGTGTTTCCAAACTGCTCTGTGAAAAGGAAGGTTCAACTCTGTTAGTTGAGTACACACATCACAAAGAGGTTTCTGAGAATGCTGCTGACTAGTTTTTATTTGAAGATATTTCCCTTTTCACCTTAGGCCTAAGAGTGCTCGAAATGTCCATTTCCACATACTCCACAAAGTGTGTTTCAAACGTGCTGTATGAAAGGGAATGTTCAACTCTATGAGTTGAATGCAAACATCACAAAGAAGATTCTGAGAATGCTTTTGTCTAGATTTTATATGAAGATATTCCCGTGTCCAACGAAATTTTCAAAGGTCTCCAAATATCCATTTGTAGTTTCTACAAAAAGAGTGTTTCCAAACTGCTGTATCAAAACAAAGGTTGAACTCTGTGAGTTGAGGACACACATCACAAATAAGTTTCTGAGAATGCTTCTGTCTAGTTTTTATTTGAAGATATTTCCTTTTTCACCATAGGCCTGAAAGCGCTCGAAATGTCCACTTCCAGATAGTACAGAAAGAGTGTTTCAAACCTGCTCTATGAACGGGAATGTTCAGCTCTGTGAGTTGAATGCAAACATCACAAAGCAGGTTCTGAGAATGCTTCCGTCTAGATTTTAAATGAGGATATTCCCGTTTCCAACGAAATCCTCGAAGCTATCCAAATATCCACTTGCAGATTCCACAAAAAGAGTGTTTCAAAACTGCTCTGTCAAAAGATAGGTTCTACTCTGTTAGTTGAGTACACACATGGCAAACAAGATTCCGAGAATGCTTTCGTCTAGTTTTTTTGGGAAGATATTTCCTTCTTCACCATAGGCCTCAAAGCGCTCCAAATATCCATTTCCACATGCTATACAAAGAGTGTCTCAAACCTGCTGTATGAATGGGAATGTTCAACTCTATGAGTTGAATGCAAACATCACAAAGAAGTTTCTGAGAATGCTGCTGTCTAGATTTTATATGAAGGTTTTCCCGCTTCCAACGAAATTTTCAATGCTCTGAAAATATCCTCTTGTAGATTCTACAAAAAGAGTGTTTCCAAACTGCTGTGTCAAAACAAAGGTTCATCTCTGTTAGTTGAGGACACACATCACAAATAAGTTTCTGAGAATGCTTCTGTCTAGTTCTTATTTGAAGACATTTCCTTTCTCACCTTAGGCCTGAAAGCACTCGAAATACCCACTTCCAGATACTACAGAAACAGTGATTCAAACCTGCTCTATGAAAGGGAATGTTCAACTAGGTGACTTGAATGCAAACATCACAAAGCAGTTTCTGAGAATGCTGCTGTCTTCTTTCTATTTGTAATCCCGTTTCCAACGAAATCCTCAGAACTATCGAAATTTCCAATTGCAGATTCCACAAAAACAGGGTTTCAAAGCTGCTCTGTGAAAAGAAAGGTTCAACTCTGTTAGTTGAATACACACATCACAAAGAGGTTTCTGAGAATGCTTCTGACTAGTTTTTATTTGAAGATATTTCCTTTTTCACCTTAGGCCTAAAAGTGCTCGAAATGTCCATTTCCACATACTACAAAAAGTGTGTTTCAAACGTGCTGTATGAAAGGGAATGTTCAACTCTATGAGTTGAATGCAAACATCACAAAGAAGATTCTGAGAATGCTTTTGTCTAGATTTTATATGAAGATATTCCCGTGTCCAACGAAATTTTCAAAGGTCTCCAAATATCCATTTGTAGATTCTACAAAAAGAGTGTTTCCAAACTGCTGTATCAAAACAAAGGTTGAACTCTGTGAGTTGAGGACACACATCACAAATAAGTTTCTGAGAATGCTTCTGTCTAGTTTTTATTTGAAGATATTTCCTTTTTCACCATAGGCCTGAAAGCGCTCGAAATATCCACTTCCAGGAAGTCCAGAAAGAGTGTTTCAAACCTGCTCTATGAACGGGAATGTTCAGCTCTGTGAGTTGAATGCAAACATCACAAAGCAGGTTCTGAGAATGCTTCCGTCTAGATTTTATATGAGGATATTCCCGTTTCCAACGAAATCCTCGAAGCTATCCAAATATCCATTTGCAGATTCCACAAAAAGAGTGTTTCAAAACTGCTCTGTCAAAAGATAGGGTCAACTCTGTTAGTTGAGTACACACATGGCAAAGAAGATTCCGAGAATGCTTTCGTCTAGTTTTTTTGGGAAGATATTTCCTTCTTCACCATAGGCCTCAAAGAACTCGAAATATCCATTTCCACATACTATAGAGAGCGTTTCAAACCTGCTGAATGAAGGGGAATGTTCAACTCTATGAGTTAAATGCAAACGTCACAGAGACGTTTCTGACAATGCTTCTGTCTAGTTTTATATGAAGGTATTCCGCTTCCAACGAAATTTTCAAAGCTCTCCAAATATCCACTTGTACATTGTACGAAAAGTGTGTTTCTAAACTGCTGTATCAAAACAAAGGTTTAACTCTGTTGGTTGAGGACACACATCACAAATAACTTTTTGAGAATACTTCTGTCTAGTTTTTATTTGAAGACATTTCTTTTCTCACCTTAGACCTGAAAGCGTTCGAAATATCCACTTCCAGATACTACAGAAACAGCAATTCAAACCTGCTCTATGAAAGGGAATGTTCAACTATGTGACTTGAATGGAAACATCACAAAGCAGTTTCTGAGAATGCTGCTGTCTACTTTCTATTTGTAATCCCGTTTCCAAAGAAATTCTCAGAACTATCGAAATTTCCAATTGCAGATTCCACAAAAGTGTGTTTCAAAGCTGCTCTGTAAAAAGAAAGGTTCAACTCTTTTAGTTGAATACACGTCAGAAGCAAGTTTCTGAGAATGCTTCTGTCTAGTTTTTATCGGAAGATATTTCCTTTTTCACCGTAGGCCTCAAAGCGCTCCAAATGTCCACTTCCACATACTACAAAAAGAGTGTTTCAAACCTGCTCTATGATAGGGAATGTTGAAACCTATGAGTTGAATGCAAACATTACAAAGAGGTTTCTGAGAATGCTTCTGTCTAGGTTTTATATGTAGATATTCCCGTTTGCAATGAAATCCTCAAAGCTATCCAAATATCAACGTGCAGATACTACAAAAGGAATGTTTCCAAAATGCTGTATCGAAACAAAGGTTCAACTCTGTGAATTGAGGGCATACATCACAAAGAAGATTCTGAGAATGCTTCTGTCTAGATTTTATATGAAAATATTCCCGTTTCCAACGAAATCCTCAAAGCTATCCAAATATCCACTTGCAAATGCCACAAAAAGAGTGTTTCCAAACTGCTCTGTGAAAAGGAAGGTTCAACTCTGTTAGTTGAGTACACACATCACAAAGAGGTTTCTGAGAATGCTGCTGACTAGTTTTTATTTGAAGATATTTCCCTTTTCACCTTAGGCCTAAGAGTGCTCGAAATGTCCATTTCCACATACTCCACAAAGTGTGTTTCAAACGTGCTGTGTGAAAGGGAATGTTTAACTCTATGAGTTGAATGCAAACATCACAAAGAAGATTCTGAGAATGCTTTTGTCTAGATTTTATATGAAGATATTCCCGTGTCCAACGAAATTTTCAAAGGTCTCCAAATATCCATTTGTAGATTCTACAAAAAGAGTGTTTCCAAACTGCTGTATCAAAACGAAGGTTGAACTCCGTGAGTTGAGGACACACATCACAAATAACTTTCAGAGAATGCTTCTGTCTAGTTTTTATTTGAAGATATTTCCTTTTTCACCATAGGCCTGAAAGCGCTCAAAATGTCCACTTCTAGATAGTACAGAAAGAGTGTTTCAAACCTGCTCTATGAACGGGAATGTTCAGCTCTGTGAGTTGAATGCAAACATCACAAAGCAGGTTCTGAGAATGCTTCCGTCTAGATTTTAAATGAGGATATTCCCGTTTCCAACGAAATCCTCGAAGCTATCCAAATATCCATTTGCAGATTCCACAAAAAGAGTGTTTCAAAACTGCTCTGTCAAAAGATAGGTTCAACTCTGTTAGTTGAGTACACACATGGCAAACAAGATTCCGAGAATGCTTTCGTCTAGTTTTTTTGGGAAGATATTTCCTTCTTCACCATAGGCCTCAAAGCGCTCCAAATATCCATTTGCACATGCTATACAAAGAGTGTCTCAAACCTGCTGTATGAATGGGAATGTTCAACTCTATGAGTTGAATGCAAACATCACAAAGAAGTTTCTGAGAATGCTGCTGTCTAGATTTTATATGAAGGTTTTCCCGCTTCCAACGAAATTTTCAATGCTCTCAAAATATCCTCTTGTAGATTCTACAAAAAGAGTGTTTCCAAACTGCTGTATCAAAACAAAGGTTCATCTCTGTTAGTTGAGGACACACATCAGAAATAAGTTTCTGAGAATGCTTCTGTCTAGTTCTTATTTGAAGACATTTCCTTTCTCACCTTAGGCCTGAAAGCGCTCGTAATACCCACTTCCAGATACTACAGAAACAGTGATTCAAACCTGATCTATGAAAGGGAATGTTCAACTATGTGACTTGAATGCAAACATCACAAAGCAGTTTCTGAGAATGCTGCTGTCTACTTTCTATTTGTAATCCCGTTTCCAACGAAATCCTCAGAACTATCGAAATTTCCAATTGCAGATTCCACAAAAACAGGGTTTCAAAGCTGCTCTGTAAAAAGAAAGGTTCAACTCTGTTTGTTGAATACACACGTCACAAACAAGTTTCTGAGAATGCTTCTGTCTAGTTTTTATGGGAAGATATTTCCTTTTTCACCGTAGGCCTCAAAGCGCTCCAAATGTCCACTTCCACATACTACAAAAAGAGTGTTTCAAACCTGCTGTATGAAAGGGAATGTTCAACTCTATGAGTTGAATGCAAACATTACAAAGAGGTTTCTGAGAATGCTTCTGTCTAGATTTTATATGAAGGTTTTCCTGCTTCGAACGAAATTTTCAATGCTCTCCAAATATCCACTTGTAGATTCTACAAAAATAGTGTTTCCAAACTGCTGTATCAAAGCAAAGGTTCAACTCTGTTAGATGAGGACACACATCACAAATATGTTTCTGAGAATGCTTCTGTCTAGATTTTATTTGAAGGTATTTCCTTTCTCAACATAGGCCTGAAAGCTCTCGAAATGTCCACTTCCATATATCACAAAAAGAGTGTTTCAAACCTGCTCTATGACAGGGAATGTTCAATTCTGTGACTTGAATGCAAACATCACAAACAAGTTCCTGAGAATGCTACTGTCTAGTTTTTTACGTAATCCCGTTTCCAACGAAATCCTCCAAGCTATCCAAATATCCACTTGCAGATTCCACAAAAGGAATGTTTCCAAAATGCTGTATCCAAACAAATGTTCAACTCTGTTAATTGAGGACATACATCACAAAGGAGATTCTGAGAATGCTTCTGTCTATATTTTATAGGAAGATATTCCCGTTTCCAACGAAATTCTCAAAGCTATCCAAATATCCACTTGCAAATTCTACAAAAAGAGTGTTTCAAAACTGCTCTCTCAAAAGGAATGTTCAACTCTGTTAGTTGAGTACACACATCACAAAGGGGTTTGTGAGAATGCTCCTCACTAGTTTTTACTTGAATATATTTCCCTTTTCACCTTAGGCCTAAGAGCGCTCAAAATGTCCATTTCCACATACTACACAAAGTGAGTTTAAAACGTGCTGTATGAAAGGGAATGTTCAACTCTATGAGTTGAGTGAAAACATCACAAAGAAGATTCTGAGAATGCTTTTGTCTAGATTTTATATGAAGATTTTCCCGTGTCCAACGAAATTTTCAAAGGTTTCCAAATATCCATTTGTAGATTCTACGAAAATAGTGTTTCCAAACTGCTGTATCAAAACAAAGGTTCAACTCTGTTAGTTGAGGTCACATCACAAACAAGTTTCTGAGAATGCTTCTGTCTAGTTTTTATTTGAAGATATTTCCTTTTTCACCATAGGCCTGAAAGCGCTCGAAATGTCCACTTCCAGATAGTACAGACAGAGTGTTTCAAACCTGCTCTATGAAAGGGAATGTTCAGCTCTGTGAGTTGAATGCAAACATCACAAAGTAGGTTCTGAGAATGCTTCCGTCCAGATTTTTTGTGAAGATATTCCCGTTTCTGACGAAATCCTCCAACGTATCCAAATATCCACTTGCAGATTCTACAAAAAGAGTGTATCAAAACTGCTCTATCAAAAGATAGTTTCAACTCTGTTTGTTGAGTACACACATCACAAACAAGATTCAAAGAATGCTTTCGTCTAGTTTTTTTGGGAAGATATTTCCTTCTTCGCCATAGGCCTCAAAGAACTCGAAATATCCATTTCCACATACTATAGAGAGCGTTTCAAACATGCTGAATGAAGGGGAATGTTCAACTCTATGAGTTAAATGCAAAAGTCACAGAGACGTTTCTGACAATGCTTCTGTCTAGTTTTATATGAAGGTATTCCGCTTCCAACGAAATTTTCAAACCTCTCCAAATATCCACTTGTACATTGTACAAAAAGTGTGTTTCTAAACTGCTGTATGAAAACAAAGGTTTAACTCTGTTGGTTGAGGACACACATCACAAATAACTTTTTGAGAATACTTCTGTCTAGTTTTTATTTGAAGACATTTCTTTTCTCACCTTAGACCTGAAAGCGTTCGAAATATCCACTTCCAGATACTACAGAAACAGCAATTCAAACCTGCTGTATGAAAGGGAATGTTCAACTATCTGAGTTGAATGGAAACATCACAAAGAAGTTTCTGAGAATGCTGCTGTCTACTTTTTATATGTAATCCCGTTTCCAATGAAATCCTCAGAACTATCGAAATTTCCACTGGCAGATTTCATAAAACGATTGTTTCAAAACTGCTCTGTAAAAAGAAAGGTTCAACTCTGTTAGTTGAATACACACATCACAAACAAGTTTCTGAGAATGCTTCTGTCTAGTTTTTATGGAAGATATTTACTTTTTCACCGTGGGCCTCAAATCCCTCCAAATATCCACTTCCACATACTTCAAAAAGAGTGTTTCCACCCTGCTCTATGAAAGGGAATGTTCAAACCTATGAGTTGAATGCAAACATCACAAAGAAGTTACTGAGAATGCTTCTGTCTAGATTTTATATGTAGATATTCCCGTTTCCAACGAAATCCTCAAAGCTATCCAAATATTAGCTTGCAGATTCTACAAAAGGAATGTTTCCAAAATGCTGTATCCCAACAAAGGTTCAACTCTGTTAATTGAGGACATACATCACAAAGAAGATTCTGAGAATGCTTCTGTGTTGATTTTATATGAAGATATTCCCGTTTCCAACGAAATCCTCAAATCTATCCAAATATCCACTTGCAAATTCCACAAAAAGAGTGTTTCAAAACTGCTCTGTCAAAAGGAAGGTTCAACTCCGTTAGTTGAGTACACACATCACAAAGAGGTTTCTGAGAATGCTGCTGACTAGTTTTTATTTGAAGATATTTCCCTTTTCACCTTAGGCCTAAGAGCACTCTAAATGTCCATTTCCACATACTACACAAAGTGTGTTTCAAACCTGTTGTATGAAAGGGAATATTCAACTCTATGAGTTGAATGCAAACATCACAAAGCAGATTCTGAGAATGCTTCTCTCTAAATTTTACATGAAGATATTCCCGTGTCCTACGAAATTTTCCAAGGTCTCCAAACATCCATTTGGAGATTCTACAAAAATAGTGTTTCCAAACTGCTGTATCAAAACATAGGTTCAACTCTGTTAGTTCAATACACACGTCACAAACAAGTTTCTGAGAATGCTTCTGTCTAGTTTTTATGGGAAGATATTTCCTTTTTCACCGTAGGCCTCAAAGCGCTCCAAATGTCCACTTCCACACACTACAAAAAGAGTGTTTCCAACCTGTTCTATGAAAGGGAATGTTCAAACCTATGAGTTGAATGCAAACATCACAAAGAAGTTACTGAGGATGCTTCTGTCTAGATTTTATATGAGGATATTCCCGTTTCCAACGAAATCCTCGAAGCTATCCAAATATCCATTTGCAGATTCCACAAAAGAGTGGTTGAAAACTGCTCTGTCAAAAGATAGGTTCAACTCTTTTTTTGTTGAGTACACACATGGCAAACAAGATTCCGAGAATGCTTTCGTCTAGTTTTTTAGGGATGATATTTCCTTCTTCACCATAGGCCTCAATCGCTCCAAATATCCATTTCCACATATTATACAAAGAGTGTGTCAAACCTGCTGTGTGAAAGGGTATGTTCAACTCTATGAGTTGAATGCAAACATCACAAAGAAGTTTCTGAGATTTCTTCTGTCTAGATTTTATATGTAGATATTCCCGTTTCCAACGAAATCCTCAAAGCTATCCAAATATCAAATTGCAGACTCTACGAAAGGAATGTTTCAAAATGCTGTATCCAAACAAAGGTTCAACTCTGTTAATTGAGGACATTCATCACAAACAAGATTCTGAGAATGCTTCTGTCTAGATTTTATATGAAGTTATTCCCGTTTCCAACGAAATCCTCAAAGCTATCCAAATATCCATTTGCAGATTCCACAAAAGAGTTTTTCAAAACTGCTCTGTCAAAAGATAGGTTCAACTCTGTTAGTTGAGTACACACATGACAAACAAGATTCCGAGAATGCTTTCGTCTATTTTTTTTGGGAAGATATTTCCATCTTCACCTTAGGCCTCAAAGCACTCCAAATATCCATTTCCACATACTACAAAGAGAGTGTTTCAAACCTGCTGTATGAAAGGGAATGTTCAACTCTATGAGTTGAATGCAAACATCACAAAGAAGTTTCTGGGAATGCTTCTGTCTAGATTTCATATGAATATTTTCCCGCTTCCAATGAAATTTTCAATGCTCTCCAATTATCCACTTGTTGATTCTACAAAAATAGTGTTTCCAAACTGCTGTATCAAAACAAAGGTTCAACTCAGTTGAGGACACACATCACAAATAAGTTTCTGAGAATGCTTCTGTCTAGTTTTTATTTGAAGGTATTTCCTTTCTCATCATATGCCTGAAAGCACTCGAAATGTCCACTTCCAGATACTACAGAAACAGTGTTTCAAACATGCTCTATGATGGGGAATGTTCAACTCTGAGACTTGAATGCAAACATCACAAAGCAGTGTCTGAGAATGCTGTCGTCTACTTTTTATAGGTAATCCCGTTTCCAACGAAATCCGCAAAGCTATCCTAATATTCACTTGCAGATTCCACAAAAAGAGTGTTTGAAACTGCTCTGTAAAAAGAAAGGTTCAAGTCTGTTAGTTGAATACACACATCACAAAATGTTTCTGAGAATGCTTCTGTCTAGTTTCAATGGGAAGATATTTCCATTTTCACAATAGGCCTCAAAGCGCTCCAATTGTCCAATTCCACATACTACAAAAAAAGATTTTCAAACCTGGGCTATGATATGGAATGTTCAAATCTATGAGTTGAATGCAAAGATCACAAACAAGTTACTGAAACTGCTTCTGTCTTGAATTTATATGAAGATATTCCCGTTTCCAACGAAATCTTCCAATCTATCCATATATCCACTTGCAGATTCTACAAAAAGAATTTTTCAAGACTTCTGTATCAAACCAACAGTTCAACTTTGTTATTGGAGGACACACATCACATATAAGTTTCTGAGAATGCTTCTGTCTAGTGTTTATTTGAAGATATTTCCTTTCTCACCTTAGGCCTGAAAGCACTCGAAATGTCCACTTCCAGATACTACAGAAAGAGTGTTTCAAACCTGCTCTATGAAAGGGAATGTTCAAACCTGTGACTTCAATGCAAACATCACAAAGAAGTTTCTGAGAATGCAGCTGTCTAGTTTTTATATATAATCCCGTTTCCAAGGAAATCCTCAGACCTATCCAAATATCCACCTGCAGATTCTACAAAAAGAGTGTTTCAAAACTGCTCGTTCAAAGGGAAGGTTCAAATCTGTCAGTTGAGTATAGACATAACAAACAAGTTTCTGACAATGCTTCTGTCTAGTTTTTATGGGAAGATATTTCCTTTTTCACCGTAGGCCTCAAATCGGTCCAAATGTCCACTTCCACATACTACAAAAAGAGTGTTTCAAGCCTGCTGTATGAAAGGGAATGTTCAACTCTATGAGTTGAATGCAAACATTACAAAGAAGTTTCTGAGAATGCTTCTGTCTAGATTTCATATGAAGGTTTTCCCGCTTCCAACGAAATTTTCAATGCTCTCCAATTATCCACTTGTAGATTCTACAAAAATAGTGTTTCCAAACTGCTGTATCAAAACAAAGGTTCAACTCAGTTGAGGACACACATCACAAATAAGTTTCTGAGAATGCGTCTGTCTAGTTCTTATTTGAAAACATTTCCTTTCTCACCTTAGGCCTGAAAGCGCACGAAATATCCACTTCCAGATACTACAGAAACAGTGATTCAAACCTGCTCTATGAAAGGGAATGTTCAACTATGTGACTTGAATGCAAACACCACAAAGCAGTTTCTGAGAATGCTGCTGTGTACTTTTTATATGTAATCCCGTTTCCAACGAAATCCTCAGAACTATCGAAATTTCCACTTGCAGATTCCACAAAAAGGGTGTTTCAAAGCTGCTCTGTAAAAAGAAAGGTTCAACTCTGTTAGTTGAATACACACGTCAGAAACAAGTTTCTGAGAATGCTTCTGTCTAGTTTTTATGGGAAGATATTTCCTTTTTCACCGTAGGCCTCAAAGCGCTCCAAATGTCCACTTCCACATACTACAAAAGGAGAGTTTCAAACCTGCGCTATGATAGGGAATGTTGAAATCTATGAGTTGAATGCAAACATCACAAAGAAGTTACTGAGAATCCTTCTGTCTTGATTTTATACGAAGATATTCCCGTTTCCAATGAAATCCTCGGAGCTATCCATATATCCACTTGCAGGTTCTACAAAAAGAGTTCTTCTAAACTTCTGTATCAAACCAACGGTTCTACTCTGTTATTGGAGGACACACATCACAAATAAGTTTCTGAGAATGCTTCTGTCTAGTTTTTATTTGAAGATATTTCCTTTCTCAACTTAGGCCTGAAAGCGCTCGAAATGTCCACTTCCAGATACTACAGAAAGAGTGTTTCAATCCTGCTCTATGAAAGGAAATGTTCAAACCCGTGACTTGAATGCAAACATCACAAAGAATTTTCTGAGAATGCAGCTGTCTAGTTTTTATATATAATCCCTTTCCAACAAAATCCTCAGACCTATCCAAACATCCACCTGCAGATTCAACAAAAAGAGTGTTTCAAAACTGCTCTGTAAAAAGAAAGGTTCAACTCTGTCAGTTGAGTACACACATCACAAATAAGTTTCTGACAATGCTTCTGTCAAGTTTTTAAGGGAAGATATTTCCTTTTTCACCATAGGCGTCAAATCGCTCAAATGTCCATTTCCACATATTACAAAAAGAGTGATTCAAACCTGTTCTATCAAAAAGAAAGGTTCAACTCTGTGAGTTCAATGCACAAAGCACAAGAAGTTTCTGAGAATGCTTCTGTCTAGTGTTTATGTGAAGATATTCCCGTTTCCAATGAAGGCCTTAAAGCTCTCCAAATGTCCACTTGCAGATTCTACAAAAAGAATGTTTCAAAACTGAACTACCAAAAGAAATGTTCAACTGTGTGAGTTAAAGGTACACATCACAAAGAAGTTTCTGAGAATGCCTCTGTCTACTATTTATGTGAAGATATTCCCATTTCCAACGAAGGCCCCAAAGCGTTCCTAGTCTCCACTTGCAGATTCTACTAAAAGAGTGTTTCCAACTTGCTCTATGATAAGGTAAGTTCAACTCCGTGAGTTGAAGGCAAATATCACAAAGAAGTTTCTGAGAATGCTTCTGTCTAGTTTTCATGTGAAGATATTTTCTTTTCCACCATAGGCCTTAAATCGCTCCAAATGTCCAATTGCAGATTCTACAAAAAGAGTGTTTCAAACCTCCTCTATCAAAAAAAGTTTCAACTCTCTGAGTTTAATGCACACAGCACAAAGAAGTTTCTGAGAAACTTCTGACTATTGATTATGTGAAGTTATTACCGTTTCCAAAGAAGGCCTCAAAAGGTTCCAAATAACCTCTTGCAGATTCTACTAAAAGAGTGTTTCAAACCTGGTCTATCAAAAGAAACAAAGGAGTTTCGGAGAATGCTTTGTCTAGATTTTATGTGAAGATATTTCCTTTTCCACCATAGGCTTCAAACCTCTCCAAATGTCCACATACAGATTCTACAAAAAGAGTGTTTCAAAACTGCTCTATCAAAAGAAAGGTTCAACTCTGTGAGTTGAATGCACACATCAGAAAGAAGTTTCTGGGAATGCTTCTGTCTAGTTTTTATGTGAAGATATTCCCATATCCAACGAAGGCCTCAAAGCAGTCCACATATCCACTTGCAGATCCTGCAAAAAGAGTGTTTCAAAACTGCTCTTTCAAAGGAAATGTTCAATTCTGTGAGTTGAATGCTCACATCACAAGGATGTTTCTGAGAATGCTGCTGTCTAGTATTTATGTGAAAATACTCCTGTTTCCAACGAAGGCCTCTAAGCGTTCCAAATATCCACTTGCAGATTCTCCTGAAAGAGTGTTTCAAAAATGCCCTATGATAAAGTATGTCCAACTCTGTGAGTTGAATGCAAACATCACAAAGTAGTTTCTGAGAATGCTTCTGTCTAGTTTTTATGTGAAGATATTTCCTTTTCCACCATAGGCCTCAAAGCTCTCCAAATGTCCACATGCAGATTCTGTGAAAAGAGTGTTGCTAACCTGCTCTATCCAAAGAAAGGTTCAGCTCTGTGAGTTGAATGCACACATCACAAAGAAGTTTCTGAGAATGCTTCTCTCCAGTTTTTTGTGAAGATATTTCCTTTTCCACCATAGACTTCAAAGCTCTCCAAATGTCCACTTGTGGATTCTACAACAAGAGTGTTTCAAATCTGCTCTATCAAAAGAAAGGTTCAACTCTGTGAGTTGAATGCGCACATCACAAAGAAGTTTCTGAGAATGATTCTGTCTAGTGTTTATGTGAAGATATTCCCATTTCCAACGAAGTCCTCAAAGCGGTCTAAATATCCACTTGCAGATTCTACAAAAAGATTGTTTCAAAACTGCTCTATCAAAAGAAAGGTTCAACCCTGTGGTTGAATGTACTCATGAAAAACAAGTTTCTGAGAATTCTGCTGTCTCATTTTTATGTGGATATATTAACGTTTCCAAGAGGGCCTCAAAGCATTCCAATTATCCTCTTGCAGATTCTACTAAAAGAGTGTTTGAAAACTGCTCTAGGATAAGGTATGTTCAGCTCTGTGAGTTGAAAGCATAATTCCCAGAGAAGTTTCTGAGAATGCTTCTGTCCAGTGTTAATGCGAAGATAATCCCGTTTCCAACAAAGGCCACAAAGCAGTCCAAATATCCACTTGCAGATACTACAAAGAGAGTGTTTCAAATCTGCTCTATCATATGATATGTTCAGCTCTGTGAGTTGAAGGCAAACATCACAAAGGTGTTTTTGAGAACTCTTCTGTCTTGTTTTTATATAAAGATATTTCCTTTTCCACCATAGGCCTCAAAGCTTTCCAAATGTCCACTTGCAGATTCTACAAAAAGAGTGTTTCAAACTGCTCTATCAAAAGAAAGGTTAACCTCTGTGGTTGAAAGTACACATCACAATTAAGTTTCTCAGAATGCTGCTGTTTAGTTTTTATAGGAAGATATTCCCGTTTCCAACGAAGGCCTTAAAGTGTTTGAAATATCCACTTTCAGATTCTACTAAAAGAGTGTTTCAAAACTGCTCTATGATAAGGTATGTTCAACTCTGTGAGATGAATGCACACATCACAAAGAATTTTCTGAGAATTCTTCTGTGCAGTGTTTATGTGAACATACTTCCGTTTCCAAAGAAGGCTTCAAAACAGTTGAAATATCCACTTGAGATTCTATGAAAAGAGCGTTTCAAAACTGCTCTATGAAAACGAAGGTTCAACTCTTTGAATTGAATGCAAACATCACCTAGAAGTTTCTCAGAATGCTTCCGTCTAGTTTTTATGGAAGACATTTCCTTTTCCACCTTAGGCCTCAAAGCGCTCCAAATATCCACTTGCAGACTCTACAACAGGAGTGTTTCAAACCTCCTTTATCAAAAGAAAGGTGCAACTCTGTGAGTTGAATGCACACAACACAAAGAAGTTTCTGAGGAAGCTTCTGTCTAGTGATTATGTGAAGATATTCCCGTTTCCAACTGTTGCCTCAAAGCGGTCAAAATATCCACTTGCAGATTCTTCTAAAACAGTGAAGCGCTCCAAATATCCACTTGCAGATTCTACGAAATGTGTGTTTCAAATCTGCTCTGTGAAAAGGAAGGTGAACTCTGTGAGTTGAATGCAAACATCACAAAGAAGTTTCTGAGAATGCTTCTGTCCAGTTTTTATGTTAAGAAATTTCATTTCCCAACATAGGCCTCAGAGTGCTCCAAATGTAAGCTTGCAGATTCTACAAAATGAGTGTTTCAAACCTGCTCTATCAAAAGAAAGCTTCAACTCTGTGCGTTTAATGCACACATCAAAAAGAAGTTTCTGAGAAAGCTTCTGCCCGTTTTTATGGGAAGAAATTCCCGTTTACAACGAAGGCCTCAAAGCCTTCCAATTATCCAATTGCAGATACTACCAAAAGAGTGTTTCAAAACTGCTCTATGTTAAGGTATGGTCAACTCTGTGAGTTGAATGCACACATCAAAAAGCAGTTTCTGAGAATGCTTCTGTCTGGTGTTTATGTGAAGATATTCCCGTTTCCAATGATTGCCTCAAAGTTGTCCAAATATCCCCTTGCAGATTCCTCTATAAGAGTGCTTCAGAACTACTCTATGATAAGGTATGTTCAAATCTGTGAGTTGAATGCACACATCACAAAGTAGTTTCTGAGAATGCTTCTGTCTAGTATTTACCTGAAGCTATTCCCTTTTCCAACGAAGGCCTCAAAGAGGTCCAAATTTCCACTTGCAGATTCTACTAAAAGAGTATTTCAAAACTGCTCTATGATAAAGTCTGTTCAACTCCGTGAGTTGAATGTACACATCCCAAAGCAGTTTCTCAGAATGCTTCTGTCTAATTTTTATGTTAAAGTATTTTCTTTTCAACTTAGGCCTCAAAGCGATCCAAATGTCCACTTGTAGTTTCTGCAAAAGAGTGTTTCAAACCTGCTCTATCAAAATAAAGGTTAAACTCTGTGAGTTTAATGCACACATCACAAAGAAGTTTCCGAGAATGCTTTGGTCTAGTTTTTAAGTGAAGATACTAGCCTTTCAAACAAAGGCCTGAAAGCGGTTCAATTACCCACATGCAGATACTACTAAAAGAGTGTTTCAAAACTGCTCTGTGATAAAGTTTGTTCAACTCTGAGAGTTGAATGCAAACGTCACAAAGAAGTTTCTGAGAATGCTTCTATGTAGTTTTTATGAGAAGACATTTCGTTTTCCACCATTGGAATAGAAGCGCTCCAAATGTCCACCTGCAGATACTGCAAAAAGTGTGTTTCAAACCTGCTCTATGAAAAGGAAGGTTCCACTCGGTGAGTTAAATGCACACATCACAAAGAAGTTTCTGTGAATGCTTCTGTCTAATTTTTGTGTGAAGATATTCCCTTTTCCACCAAACGCCTCAAAGCTCTCCAAATTCACACATGCAGATTCTGCAAAAAGAGTGTTTCAAAACGTGCTCTCTCAAAACGAAAGTTCAACTCTGTGAGTTGAATGCACACATCACAAAGCAGTTTCAGAGAATGCTCCTGTCTAGTTTTAATGTGAAGGTATTCCTGTTTCTAACGAAGGCCTCAAATTGGTCCAAATATCCACTTGCAGATTCTACGAAAAGAGTGTTTCAAAACTGCTCTATGATAAGGAATGTTCAACTCTGTGAGTTGAATGCAAACATCACAAAGAAGTTTCATAGAATGCTTCTGTCTAGTTTTTATGAGAAGATATTTCATTTTCCACCATAGGCCTCAAAGCACCCCAAATGTCCAGTTTCAGATTCTACAAAAAGAGTGTTTCAAACCTGCTCTATCGAAAGAAAGGTTCAACTCTGTGAGTTGAATGCACACATCACAAATAATTTTCTGAGAATTCTTCTGTCTAGTGTTTATGTGAAGATATTCCCGTTTCCAATGAAGGTCTCAAAGCGGTTCAAATATCCACTTGTAGATTTTACAAAAAGAGTGTTTCTAAACTGCTCCATGAAAAGATATGTTCAACTCTGTGAGTTGAATGCACACAACCCATAGAAGTTTCTGAGAATGCTTCTGTCTAGTTTTTGTGTGGAGATATTTCCTTTTCTGCCATAGGCCTCAAAGCTCTCCAAAGGTCCACTTGCAGATTCCACAAAAAGAGTGTTTCAAACCTGCTTTATCAAAAGAAAAGTTCAACTCTGTGAGTTGAATGCATATATTACAAAGAAGTTTCTGTGAATGCTTCTGTCTATTTTTTATGTGGAGATATTTCCTTTTCTGCCGTAGGCCTCAAAACACTCCAAATGTCCACTTGCAGATTGTACAAAAAGAGTGTTTCAAAATTGCTCTATCAAAAGAACGGTTCAAATCCATGAGTTGAATGCACACATCACAAAGAAGTTTCTGAGAATGCTTCTGTCTAGTTTTTATGTGAAGATATTTCCTTTTGCACCATAGGCCTCAAAGCGCTCAAAATGTCAACTTGCAGATTCTACAAAAAGAGTGTTTCAAACCTGCTCTATCAAAAGAAATTTCAAATCTTTGAGTTGAATGCACACAGCAGAAGGAAGTTTCTGAGAAAACTTCTGTGTCGTGATTATGTGTAGGTACTCCCGTTTCCAATGATGTCCTCAAAGCGGTCCAAATATCCACTTGGAGATACTACTAAAAGAGTGTTTCAAAACTGCTCTAGGATAAAGTATGTTCAACTCTGAGAATTGAAGGCAAACATCACAAAGAAGTTTCTGAGAATGCTGCTGTTTAGTTTTTATGTGAAGATATTTCCTTTTCCACCATAGGCCTCAAATCGCTCATAATGTCCACGTGTAGATTCTGCAAAAAGAGTGTTAAATCTGCTCTATCAAAAGAAAGGGTCAACTCTCTGAGTTGAATGCACACATCAAAAAGAAGTTTCCTAGAATGCTTCTGTCTAGTTTTTATGTGAAGAAACTCCCGTTTCCAGGGAAGGCCTCAAAGCTGTCCAAATATCCACTTTCAAATTCTACAAAAAGAGTGTTTCAAATCTGCTATATCGAAAGAAAATTTCAACTCTGTGAGTTGAATGCACACAGCACAAAGAAGTTTTTGAGAAAGCTTCATTGTGTGAAGATACTCCCGTTTCCAACGAAGGCCTCAAAGTGGTCCAATTATCCACTTGCAGATACTATTAAAAGAGTGTTTCAAAACTGATCTATGATAAAGTATGTTAAGCTCTGAAAGTTGAATGCAAACGTCACAAATAAGTTTATGAGAATGCTTCTGTCTAGTTTTTATGTGAAGATATTTCCTTTTCCTCCATAGGCCACAAAGTGCTCCTAATGTCCACTTGTAGATTCTGCAAAAGAGTGTTTCAAACCTGCTCTATCAAAAGAAAGGTTCAACTCTGTGAGTTGAATACACACAGCACAAAGAAGTTTCTGAGAAAGCTTCATTATGTGAAGATACTCCCGTTTTCAACGAAGGCCTCAAAGCCCTCCAATTATCCACTTGCAGATACTACTAAAAGAGTGTTTCAAAACTAATCTATGATAAAGTATGTTAGACTCTGAGAGTTGAATGCAAACGTCACACATAAGTTTATGAGAATGCTTCTGTGTAGCTTTTATGTGAAGATATATCCTTTTCCACCATAGGCCTCAAAGAGCTCCAAATGTCCACTTGCAGATCCTGCAAAAAGAGTGTTTCAACCCTGCTCTACGAAAAGGAAGGTTCAACTCTGTGAGTTGAATGCACACATCACAAAGTAGTTTCTGAGAATGCTTCTGTCTAGTTTTTATGCGAAGATATTCCCGTTTCCAACGAAGACCTCAAAGCGGTCCAAATATCCACTTGCAGATTCCACGAAAATAGTGTTTCAAAACTGCTCTATGAAAAGGGAGGTTCAACTCTGTGAGTTGAATGCAAACATCACAAAGAAGTTTCTGACAATGCTTCTGTCTAGTTTTTATTCATAGATATTTCCTTTTCCACCATAGGCCTCCAAGCTCTCCAAATGTCTGCTTGCAGATTCTACAAAAAAAGTGTTTCAAACCTGCTCTATCAAAAGAAAGGTTCAATTCTGTGAGTGGAATGCACACATCACAAAGAAGTTTCTGAGAATGATTCTGTCTAGTGTTTATGTGAAGATATCCACTTTTCCAAGGAAGGCGTCAAAGCGGTTCAAATATCCACTTGCAGATTCTACAAAAAGAGTGTATCAAACCTGCTTTATTAAAGGAAAGCTTCAACTCTGTGAGTTGAATGGACACATCACAAAGAAGTTTCTGAGAATGCTTCTATCTAGTGTTTATTTGAAGATATTCCCATTTCCAACGAAGGCTTCAAAGTGCTCCAAATATCCACTGGCAGATTCTGCAAAAAGAGTGCTTCAAAACTGCTCTATGAAGAGGTATGTACAATCCTGTGATTTGAAAGCAAACATCACAAAGTAGTTCCTTAGAATTATTCTGTCTGGCTTTTATTTAAAGATATTTCCTTTTCCACCATAGGCCTCATAGGTCTAAAAATGTCCAGTGCCGATTCTACAAAAAGAGTGTTTCAAACCTGCTCTATCAAAAGAAAGATTCAACTCTGTGAGTTCAATGCACACAGCACAAAGAAGTTTTGGAGAATGCTTCTTTCTAGTGTTTATGTGAAGATATTCCTGTTTCCAACAAAGGCCTCCAAGCGGTCCAAATATACACTTCCAGATTCTACAAAAAGGGTGTTTCAAAACTGCTCTATCAAAAGAAAGGTTCACCTCTGTGAGTAGAATGCACACATCACAAAGAAGTTTCTGAGAATGCTTCTCTCTAGTTTTTATGTGACGATATTTACTTTTCCACCATAGGCCTCAATGCTCTCCAAATGTCCACTTGCAGATTCTACAAAAAGAGTGTTTCAAACATGCTATATCAAAAGAAAGTTTCAACTCTTTGAGGTGAATGCAAACATCACAAAGAAGTTTCTCAGAATGCTTCTGCCTGTTTTTGTGTGAACATATTCCCGTTTCCAACGAAGGCCTCAAAGTGTTCCAAATATCCACTTGCATAATCTACCAAAACAGTGTTTCAAAACTGCTCTATGAAAAGGCATCTTCAACTCTGAGTTGAATGCAAACATTGCAAAGAATTTTCTGAGAATTCTTCTCTCTAATTTTTATATGATGATATAACATTTCCACCATAGGCCTCAAAGCTCTCCAAATGTCAACTTGCAGATTCTACAAAAAGAGTGTTTCAAAGCTGCTCTATCAAAAGAAAGGTTCAACTCTTTGAGTTTAATGCACGCGTGACAAAGAAGTTTTTGAGAATGCTTCTGTCAAGTGTTTATGTGAAGATATTCCCGTTTCCAACGAAGGCCTCATAGTGGTCCAAATATCCACCTGCAGATTCTACAAAAAGAGTGTCTGAAAACTGCTCCATGGAAAGGTATCTTCAACTCTGTGAGTTGAATGCAAACATCACAAAGACGTTTCTGAGAATGCTTCTGTCTGTTTTTTGTGTGAAGATATTTCCTTTTCCACCATAGGCCTCAAAGCTCTCCAAATGTCTACTTGCAGATTCTACAAAAAGAGTGTTTCAAGCCTGCTCAATGAAAAGAGAGGTTCAATTCTGTGAGTTGAATGCACACATCACAAAGAAGTTTCTGAGAACGCTTCTCTCTAGTTTTTATGTGAAGATACTTCCTTTTCCACCATAGGCCTCGAAGCTCTCCAAATGTACACTTCAGATCCTACAAAATGAATGTTTCAAACCTGCTCTACCAAAAGAAAGGTTCAACTCTGTGAGTTGAATGCACACATCACAAAGAAGTTTCTTAGAATGCTTCTCTCCAGTTTTTATGTGAAGATATTCCCGTTTCCAAAGAAGGCCTCAAAGCCTTACAGATATCTTCTTGCAGATTCTACTAAAAGAGTGTTTCAAAACTGATCTATGTTAAGGTATGTTCAGCTCTGTTAGTTGAATGCAAACATCACAAAGAAGTTTCTGAGAATGCTTCTGTCTACTTTTTATGTGAAGATATTTCCCTTTCCACCATAGCCCTCAAAGCGCTCCAATTATCCACCTGCATATTCTTCAAAAAGAGTGTTTCAAAACTGCTCTATCAAAACGAAGTTTCAACTCTGTGACATGAATGCACACATCATAAAGAAGTTTCTGAGAATGCTTCTGTCTAGTTTTTATCTGAAGATATTCCCTTTTCCACCACAGGACCCAAAGCACTCCAAATGTCCACTTGCAGATTGTACAGAAAGAGGGTTTCAAAACTGCTATATCAAAAGAAAGGCTTAACTCTTGGATTTGAATGCACACATCACAAACAAGTTTCTGAGAATGATTCTGTCTAGTTTTTATGTGAAGATATTCCCATTTCCATCGAAAACCTCAAAGCGCTCCCAATATCCACTTGCAGATTCTACAAAAAGAGTGTTTCAAAACTTCTCTATCAAAAGGAATTTTCAACTCTGTGAGTTGAATGCACACATCACAAAGTATTTTCTGAGAATACTTCTGTGTAGTTTTTATATGAAGATATTTCTGTTTCTACCATAGGCCTCAAAGCATTCCAAATATCCACTTGCAAATTCCACAAAAAGAGTGTTTCAAAACTGCTCTATCAAAAGGAAGACTCAACTCTGTGAGTTGAATGCACACATCACAAAGAAGTTTCTGGGAATGCTTCTGTCTAGTTTTTATGTAAAGATATCTCGTTTACACCGTAGGCCTCAGAGCGATCAAAATGTCCACTTGCAGATTCTACAAAAACAGTGTCTCAAAACTGCTCTATCAAAAGGAAGGTTCAACTCTGTGAGTTGAATGCACACATCACAACGAAGTTTCTGAGAATGCTTCTGTCTAGTTTTTATGTGAAGGTATTCCCGTTTCCACCGAAGGCCTCAAAGCGCTCCAAATATCCACCTGCAGATTCTGCAAAAAGAGAGGTTCAAAACTGCTCAATGAAAAGATACGTTCAACTCTGTGAGTTGAATGCATACATCACAAAGAAGTTTGTCTGAATGCTTCTGTGTAGTTTTTATTTCAAGATATTTCCTTTTCCACCATAGGGCTCAAAGGGCTCCAAATATCCACTTGCAGATTCTACAAATAGAGAGATTCAAAACTGCTCAATGAGAAGATAAGATCAACT
The DNA here is from genome assembly GCF_000001405.40 of Homo sapiens. NCBI lineage: Eukaryota > Metazoa > Chordata > Mammalia > Primates > Hominidae > Homo > Homo sapiens. The sequence continues at coordinate 25,229 of NW_021160017.1, forward strand.
CTGTGAGCTGAATGCACACCTCACAAAGAAGTTTCTCAGAATGCTTCTGTGTAGTTTTTATGTGAAGATATTTTCTTTTCCACAGTAGGCCTCAAAGGGCTCCAAATATCCACCTGAAGATTCTGCCAAAAGAGAGATTCAAAACTGCTGATTCAAAAGATATGTTCAACTCTGTGAGTTGAATGCATACATCACAAAGCAGTTTCTCTGAATGCTTCTGTGTAGTTTTTATTTGAAGATATTTCCTTTTCCACCATAGGGTGCAAAGGGCTCCAAATATCCACTTGGAGATTCTACCAAAAGAGATATTCAAAACTGCTCAATGAGAATATAAGTTCAACTTTGTGAGTTGAATGCACACATCACAAAGAAGTTTATCACAATGCTTCCGTGTAGTTTTTCTGTGAAGATATTTGCTTTTCCACTGTAGGCCTCAAAAGGCTCGAAATATCCACCTTCAGATTGTGCAAGAAGAGAGATTCAAAACTGCTCAATCTAAAGATAGGTTCAACTCTGTGAGTTGAGTGCACACATCACAAAGAAGTTTCTGTGAATGCTTCTGTGTAGTTTTTATTTCAAGATATTTCCTTTTCCACCATAGGATGCAAAGTTCTTCAAATATCGACATGCAGATTCTACAAAAAGAGAGATAGAAAACTCCTCAATGAGAAGATAATTTCAACTCTGTGAGTTGAATGCACACCTCACAAAGTAGTTTCTCAGAATGCTTCTGTGTAGTTTTTATGTAAAGATATTTCCTTTTCCACAATAGGCTTCAAAGCTTTCCAAACAACCACTTGCAGATTCTGCAAAAGGAGAGATTCAAAACTGCTCAATCAAAATGTAGTTTCCACTCTGTGAGTTGAATCCAAACATCACAATGGTGTTTCTTAGAATGCTTCTGAGTAGTTTTTATGTGAAGATATTTCCTTTTCCACAATAGGCCTCAAAGGGCTCCAAATATCCACTTGCAGATTCTACGAAGAGAGTGTTTCAAAACTGCTCAATCAAAAGAAAGTTTCAACTCTGTGAGATGAATGCACACATCACAAAGAAGTTTCTCAGATTGCTTCCTTCTAGATTTTATGTGAAGATATTTCCTTTTCTATCATAGGCCGCAAAGTGCTCCAAATGCCCACTTGCCAATTCTACAAAAAGGGTGTTTCCAAACTACACGTTCAAAAGAAAGGTTCAACGTTAGATGAACGTACATATCATAAAGAAGATTCTCAGAATTCTTCTATCTGTTTTTTTTGTGAAGATATTTCCTTTTCCAACTTAAGCCTCAAGGTGCTTGAAAAGTCCCTTTGCAGATTCTCCAAAAAGAGTATTTGAAAACTGGTTCTTCTAAAGAAAGGTGGAACTCTGGGAGATGAATGCAGACATCACAGAGAAGCTAATAAGAATGCTTCTATCTACTTTTTATGTGAAGATATTTCCTTCTCCACCACAGGCCTCAAACACTCCAAATGTCCACTTGCAGATTCTACGAAAAGAGAGTTTCCAATCTGCTCAATCAAAAGAAAAGTTTAACTCTGTGAGATTAATGCACACATCACAAAGAAGTTTCTCAGATTGCTTCTGTCTGGATTTTATGTGAAGATATTTCCTTTTCTACCATTGGCTGCAAAGAGTTCCAAATGTCCACTTGCAGATGCTACAAAAAGTGTGTTTCCAAACTGCTCAATCAAAAGAAAGGTTCAACTCCGTGAGATGAACGCACTCATCACAAAGAAGTTTCTCAGAATCCTTCTGTCTAATTTTTATGTGAAGATATTTCCTGTTCCACCATAGGCCTCAAGACTCTCTAAATGTCCGCTTGCAGATTCTACAAAAAGAGAGTTTCAAAACTGCTCAATCAAAAGAAAGGGTTATCTCTGTGAGATGAATGCATATATCCCAAACAAGTTTCTCAGATTGTTTCTGTGTAGATTTTATGTGAAGATATTTACTTTTCTACTATAGACCGCAAAGCGCTCCAAATGTCCACTTGCAGATTCTACAAGAAAGAGTGGTACCAAACTGCTCAATCAAAAGAACAGTTCCACTCTGTGAGAAGAATGCACACATCACAAAGAAGTTTGTCAGAATTCTTCTGTCTAGTTTTTATGTGAAGATATTTCCTTTCCCACCATAGGCCTCAAAGTGCTCCAACTGTCCACTTGCAGATTCTACAAAAAGAGAGTTTCAAAACTGCTCAACCAAAAGAAAGGTTTACCTCTTTGAGATGAGTACACACATAACAAAGAAGTTTCTCAGATTGCTTCTGTCTAGATTTTATGTGAAGATACTTCCTTTTCTACTATATGCCACAAAGCGCTCAACATGTCCACTTGAGATTCTACGAAAAAAATTTTTCCAAACTGCTCAATCAAAAGAAAGGTTCAACTCTGTGAGATGAATGAACACATTTCAAAGAAGTTTCTCAGAATTCTTCTGCATAGCTTTTATGTGAAGATATTTCATTTTCCACCCTAGGCCTCAAAGCACTCGAAATGTCCACATGCGGATTCCACAAAAAGAGTATTTCAAAACTGGTCCATCAAAGGAAAGGTTCAGCTCTGTTGAATGAATGCAAACATTACAAAGAATTTTCTCAGAATGTTTCTGTCTAGATGTTATGTGAATATAGTCCCTTTTCTACCATAGGCTGCAAAGCGTTCCAAGTGTCCACTTACAGATACTACAAAAAGAGTTTTTACAAGCTGCTCAAAGGAAAGGTTCAACTCTGTGAGATGAACCCACACATCACAAAGAAGTTTCTCAGAATTCTTCTGTCCAGTTGATACGTGAAGATGTTTTCTTTTCCCACATAGGCTTCAAGGCACTCGAAATCTCCACTTGCAGATTCCACAAAAAGAGTATTTCAAAACTGGTCCTTCAAAAGAAAGGTTCAATTCTGGGAGATAAATGCATACATCACAAAAAAGTTTATCAGAATTCTGTCTAGTTTTTATGTGAATATATTTCCTTTGCCACCATAGGCCTCAAGGCGCTCGAAATGTCCAGTTGCAGATTCTACAAAAAGAGTATTTCAAAACTGGTCTTTCAAAAGAAAGGTTCACCTCTGGGAGATGAAGGCACACATCACAGAGAAGTTTACCAAATGCTTCCATCTAGTTTTTACGTGAAGATATTTCCTTTTCCAACATAGGCCTCAAAGTGCTCCAAATACCCACTTGCAGATTCTACAAAAAGGGTGTTTCAAAACTGCTCCAATCAAAAGGAAGTTTTAATGCTGTGAGATGAATGCACACATCACAAATAAGTTTCTCAGATTGCTTCTGTCTAGATTTTATGTGAAGATATTTCCTTTTCTACCATAGGCTGCAAAGTTCTCCAAATGTCCACTTGCAGATTCTGCAAAAAGAGTGTTTCCAAACTCCTCAATCAAAAGAAAGGTTCAACTCTGTGAGATGAACGCACACATCCCAAAGAAGTTTCTCAGAACTCTTCTGTTTACTTTTTATGTGAAAATATTTTCTTTTCCACCATAGGCCTCAAAGCACTCCAAATATCCACTTGCAGATTCTACAAAAAGAGCGTTTCAAAACTGCTCCAATCAAAAGGAAGTTTTAACGCTGTGAGATGAGTGCACACATCACAAAGAAGTTTCTCAGAGAGCTTCTGTCTAGATTTTATGTGAAGATATTACCTTTTCTACCATAGACCATAAAGCAATAAAAATGTCCACCTGCAGAGTCTAAAAAAAGAATGTTTCCAAACTGCTCAATAAAAAGAAGAATTCAACTCTGTGAGATGAAAGCGTACATCACAAAGAAGTTTCTCAGAATTCTTCTGTCTAGTTTTTATGTGAAGATATTTCCTTTTCCACCACAGGCCTCAAAGCTCTCCAAATGTCCACTTGCAGATTCTATGAAAAGAGAGTTTGAAAACTGCTCAATCAAAAGAAAGTTTTAACTTTGTGAGATGAATGCACACATCACAAAGAAGTTTCACAGACTGCTTCTGTCTAGATTTTAAGTGAAGATATTTCCTATTCTAACATAGGCTGCAAAGTGCTCTAAATGTCCACTTGCAGATTCCTCAAAAACAGTATTTCCAAACTGCTCAATCTAAAGAAAGCTTGAACTCTGTGAGATTAATGCACGCATCACAAAGAAGTTTCTCAGAATTCTTCTGTCTGGTTTTTATGTGAAGATATTTCCTTTTACACCATATACCTCAAAACGCTCCAAATGTCCACTTGTAGATTATTCAGAAAGAGTTTCAAAACTGCTCAATCAAAAGGAAGGATTATCTCTGTAAGATGAATGCACACATCACAAGTTTCTCAGATTCCTTCCATCTAGATTTTATTTTTAATATTTCCTTTTCTACCAGAGGCCACAAAGCTCTAGAAATGTTCACTTGCAGATTCTACAAAGAGAGTGTTTCCAAACTGCTCAATCAAAAGATAGGTTTAACTCTGTGAGATGAATGCACACTAACAAAGAAGTATCTCAGATTGCTTCTGTCTAGAATTTATGTGAAGGTATTTCCTTTTCTACCACAGGCCGCAGAGCACTCCAGATGTCCACTTGCAGATTCTACAAGAAGAGTGCTTCCAAACTGCTCAATCAAAAGAAAGTTTCAACTCTGTGAGCTGACCGCACCCATCACAAAGAAGTTTCTCAGAATTCTTCTCTCTAGTTTTTATGTGTAGATATTTCCTTTTCCACCATAGGCCACAAAGCGCTCCAAATGTCCACTTGCAGATTCTACAAAAAGAGAGTTTCAAGACTGCTCAATCAAAAGGAAGGTTGCCCTCTGTGAAACGAATTCATACATCACAAAAATGTTTTGCAGATTGCTTCTGTCTAGATTTTATATGAAGATATTTCTTTTTCTACTGTAGGCTGCAAAGCGCTCTTAATGTCCACTTGCAGATTCTAAAAAAGAGTGTTTCCAACCTGTTCTATCAAAAGAAAGGTTCAACTCTGTGAGATGAATGCACGCATCACAAAGAAGTTTCTCAGAATTCTTCTGTCTAGTTTTTTTTTGTGAAGATATTTCCTTTTTCACCACAGGCTTCAAATCGCTCCAAATGTCCACTTGCAGATTGTACAAAAAGAGTGTTTCCCAACTGCTCAACGAAAAGAAAAGTTCAACTCTGTGAGATGAATGCACACATCACAAAGAAGTTTGTCGGAATTCTTCTGTCTAGTTTTTATATGAAAATGTTTCCTTTTCCACCACAGTACTCAAAGCGCTCCAAATGTCCAGTTGCAGATTCTACAAAAAGAGAGTTTCAAACTGCTCAATCAAAAGAAAATTTTAACTGTGTGGGATGAATGCACACATCACAAAGAAGTTTATCAGATTGCTTCAGTCTAGTTTTTATGTGAAGATATTTCCCTTTCTACCATAGACCACAAAGCGTTGCAAATGTCCACTAGCAGATTCTACAAAAAGAGTGTTTCCAAACTGCTCAATGAAAAGAAAGGTTCAACTCTGTGAGATGAATGCACACATCACAAAGAACATGGTCAGAATTTTTCTGTCTAGTTTTTATGTGAAGATATTTCCTTTTCCACCATAGGCCCCAAAGTGCTCCAAAAATCCACTTGCAGATTCTACAAAAAGAGAGTTTCAAAACTGCTCTATCAAAAGAAAGTTTTAACTTTGTGAGATGAATGCACACATCCCAAAGAAATTTTTCCGATTGCTACTGTCTAGATTTTATGTGAAGATATTTCCTTTTCTAACATAGGCCATAAAGCGATCCAAATGTCCACTTGCAAATTCTACAAAAAGACTGTTTCCAAACTGCTCAATCAAAAGAAAGCTTCAACTCTGTGAGATGAACACACACATCACAAGGAAGTTTCTCAGAATTCTTCTGTCTAGTTTTTAATGTGAAGTTATTTCCTTTTCCACCGTAGGCCTTAAAGTGCTCCAAACGTCCACTTATAGATTCTACAAAAAGAGAGTTTCAGGAATGCTCAATTAAAAGAAAGTTTTAGCTCTGTGAGATGACCACACACGTCGGAAAGAAGTTTCTCAGATTTCTTCTGTCTAGATTTTATGTGATGATATTTCCTTTTCTACCACAGGCCACAAAGCGCTCCAAGTATCCACTTGCAGATTCTACAAAAAGATAGTTTCCAAACTGCTCAATCAAAAGAAAGCTTCAACTCTGTGAGATGAATGCACACATCACAAAGAAATTTCTCAGAATTCTTCTGTCTAGTTTTTATATGACGATATTTCCTTTTCCACCACATTTCTCAAAACACTCCAAATATCCACTTGCAGATTCTTCAAAAAGAGTGTTTCCAAACTGCTCAATCAAAAGAATCTTTAACTCTGTGAGATGAGCACACTCATCACAAAGAAGTTTCTCAGAATTCTTCTGTCTAGTTTTTATTTGAAGATACTTCCTTTTCCAACATAGGCCTCAGATGGCTCCAAATGTCCACTTTCAGATTCTACAAAAAGAGAGTTTCAAAACTGCTCAAACAAAAGAAAGGTTGAAATCTGTGAGATGAATTCACACATCCCAAAGAAGTTTCCCAGATTGCTTCTGTCTAGATTTTATGTGAACATATTTCCTTTTCTACAATAGGCTACAAAGCGCTACAAATGTCCACTTGCAGATTTTACAAAAAGAGTGTTTCCAAACTCCTTAATCAAAAGAAAGGTTCAACTCTGCGAGATGAATGCACACATCACAAAGAAGTTTCTCAGAATTCTTCTGTCTAGTTTTTATATGAAGATATTTCCTTTTCCACCGTAGGCCTCAAAGCGCTCCAAATGTCCACTTGCAGATTCTACAAAAAGAGAGTTTCAAAACTGCTCAAAAAAAAAAAAAAAGATTTAACTCTGTGAGATGAATGCACACATCAGAAAGAAGTTTCTCAGATTGCTTCTGTCTAGATTTTATGTGAAGATATTTCCTGTTCTACCATAGGTCGCAAAGTGCTCAAAATTTTCACTTGCCAATTCCACAAAAAGAGGGTCTCCAAATTTCTCAATGAAAAGAAAGTTTCAATTCTGTGAGGTGAAAGGACACATCACAAAGAAGTTTCTCAGATTGCTTCTGTCTAGATTTTATATGAAGATATTTCTTTTTTCTAACATAGGCTGCAAAGTGTTCCAAATGTCCACTTGCAGATTTTACAAAAAGAGGGTTTCCAAATTGCTCAATCAAAAGAAAAGTTCAACTCTGTGAGATCAACACACACATCACGAATACGTTTCTCAGAATTCTTCTGTCTTGTTTTTATGTGAAGATATTTCCTTTTCCACCAAAGGCCTCAAAGCCCTCCAAATGTCCACTTACAGATTCTACAAAAAGAGAGTTTCAAAACTGCTCAATCAAAAGAAAGGTTTTACTGTGTGAGATGAATGCACACATCATAAAGAAGTTTCTCAGATTGCTTCTTTCTAGATTTCATCTGCGGATATTTCCTTTTCCACCATATGCCTCAAAGTACTCAAAATGTCCACTTTCTGATTCTAAAAAAAGAGAGTTTCAAAACTTCTCAATCAAAGGAAATGTTTAACTCTGTGAGATGAATGCACACATTTACAAAGAAGTTTCTCAGATTTCTTCTGTCTAGATTTTATGTGAAGATATTTCCTTTTCTAAAATAGGCCTCAAAGCGCTCCAAATGTCCACTTCCAGATTCTGCAAAAAGAGTGTTTCCAAAGTGCTCAATCAAAAGAAATGTTCAAGCCTGTTAGATGAATGCAAACATGACAAAGCAGTTTCTCAGATTGCTTCTGTCTAGATTTTATGCGAAGATATTTCTTTTTTCTACCATAGGCCGCAAAGCACTCCAAAGGTCCACCTGCAAATTCTAGAAAAAGAGTGTTTTCAAACTGCTCCACCCAAACAAAAGTTCAGCTCTGTGAGATGAACGCACCCATCACAAAGAAGTTTCTCAGAATTCTTCTGTCTAGTTTTTAAGTGGAGATATTTCCTTTTCCACCATAGGCCTCAAAGCGCTCCAAATGTCCACTTGCAGATTCTACAAAAAGAGAGCTTCAAGACTGCTCAACCAAAAGAAAGGTTTAACTCTGTGAGATGAACGCACACATTAGAAAGAAGTTTCCCAAAATACTTCTTTCTAGTTTTACTGTGAAGATAAATCGTTTTCCATTGTAGGCCTCAAAGCGCTCCAAATGTCCACTTACAGATTCTACAAAAAGAGAGTTTCAAAACTGCTAAATCAAAAGAAATGTTTAACTCCGTGAGATGAATGCACACATCACAAAGAAGTTTCTCAGATTGCTTGTGTCTAGATTTAATGTGAAGATATTTCCTTTTATGCCATAGGCCGCAAAGCGCTCCAAATGTTCACTTGCAGAATTTAAAGACAGAGTGTTTCTAAACCGGTCAATCAAAAGAAAGGTTGAACTCTATGAGATGAACGCATGCATCAAGAAGAAGTTTCTCAGAATTCTTCTGTCTAGTTTTTATGTAAAGATATTTCCTATTCTACCATAGGCCACAAAGCACTCCAAATGTCCACTTGCAGATTCTACAAAAAGAGAATTTCAAAATTCCTCAATCAAAAGAAAGTTTTAACTCTGTGAGATGAATGCGCACATCACAAAGAAGTTTCTCAGATTACTTCTGTCTAGATTTTATGTGAAGATATTTCCTTTTCTACCATAGGCCGCAAAGTTCTCCAAATGTCCACTTGCAGATTCAACAAAAAGACTGTTTCCAAACTGCTCAATCAAAAGAAAGGCTCAACTCTGTGAGATGAATGCTTGCATCACAAAGAGGTTTCTCAGAATTCTTCTGTCTAGTTTTTGTGAAGACATTTCCTTTTCCACCATAGACCTCAAGACACTTAAAATGTCCACTTGCAGATTCTACAAAAAGCTTATTTCAAAACTGGTCCTTCATAAGAAAGGGTCAACTCGGGGAGATGAATGCACACATCACAAAGCAGTTTCTCATAATACTTCTATCTAGGTTTTATGTGAAGATATTTCCTTTTACACCATAGGCCTCAAAGCTCTCCAAATGTCCACTTACAGATTCTACAAAAAGACATTTTCAAAACTGCTCAATCAAAAGAAAAGTTTAACTCTGTAAACTTTTTTAGGCCTCAAAGCTCTCCAAATGTCCACTTGCAGATTCTACTAAAAGAGAGTTTCAAAACTGCTAAATCAAAAGAAAGGTTTAACTCTGTGAGATGAATGCGCACATCACAAAGAAGTTTCTCAGATTACTTCTGTCTAGATTTTACATGAAGATATTCCCTTCTCTACCATAGTCCACAAAGTGCTCCAAATGTCCACATTCAGACTCTACTAAAAGTGGTTTTGCAAACTGCTCAATAAAAAGAAAGTTTCAACTCTGTGAGATGAAGGCACACATCACAAAGGAGTTTGTCAGAATTCTTCTGTCTAGTTTTTATGTGAAGATATTTCCTTTTCCACCATGGCCTCAGTGCGCTCCAAATGTCCACTTCCAGATTCTACAAAAAGAGTGTTTTTAAACTGCTCAATCAAAAGAAAGGTTTAACTCTGTGAGATGAATGCACACATCACAAAGAAGTTTCTCAGATTGCTTATTTCTACATTTTAAGTGAAGATATTTCCTTTTCTACCATAGCCCGCAAAGCCCTCCAAATGTCCACTTGCAGATTCTACAAAAAGAGAGTTTGAAAACTGTTCAATAAAAGAAATCTTTAACTCTGTGAGATGAATGAACACATCACAAAGAAGTTTCTCAGGTTGCTTCTTTCTAGATTTTAAGTGAAGATATTTCCTTTTCTACCACAGCCCGCAAATCGCTCCAAATGTCCACTTGTAGATTCTACAAAAAGAGTGTTTCCAAACTGCTGAATCAAAAGAAAGTTTCAACTCTGTGAGATGAACACACACATCACAAAGGAGTTTCTCAGAATTCTTCTGTCTAGTTTTTCTGTGAAGATATTTCCTTTTCCACCATATACCTCAAAGCGCCACAAATTTTCACTTGCAGATTATACAAAAAGAGAGTTTCAAAACTGCTCAGTCAAAAGAATGATTAACTCTGTGAGATGAATGCATACATCATAAAGAAATTTCTCAGATTGCTTTTGTCTAGATTTTACGTGAAGATATTGCCATTTCTACCATAGGCCGCAAAGGGCTCCAAATGTGCACTTGCAGAATCTACAAAAAGAGTTGTTTGCAAACTGCACAATCAAAAGAAAGGTTCAACTCTGTGAGTTGAACACTCGCATCACAAAGAGGTTTCTAATAATTCTTCTGTCTAGTTTTTATGTGAAGATATTTCCTTTTCCACCATAGGTCGCAAAGTGCTCCAAATGTCCACTTGCAGATTCTACAGAAAGAGTGTTTCCAACAGCTCAATCAAAAGAAACGTTCAACTCTGTGAGATGAACACACACATCACAAAGAAGTTTCTCAGAATTCTTCTGTCTAGTTTTTATGTGAAGATATTTCCTTTTCCACCATTGGCCTCAAAGCACTACAAATGTCCACTTGCAGATCCTACAAAAAGAGTTTCCAAACTGCTCAATCAAAAGAAAAGTTTAACTCTGTGAAATGAATGCAGACAACATGCGGAAGTTTCTGAGATTCCTTCTGTCTAGATTTTACGTGAAGATATTGCCTTTTCTACCATTGGCTGCAAAGCTCTCCAAATGTCCACTTGCAGATTCTACAAAAAGAGTATTTCCAAACTGCTCAATCAAAGGAAAGTTTCAACTCTGTGAGATGAACACAGACATCTCAAAGAAGTTTCTCAGAATTCTTCTGTCTAGTTTTTATATGACGATATTAACTTTTCCACCACATGCATCATATTGCTCCAAATGTCCACTTGCAGATTCTACAAAAAGAGAGTTTCAAATCTGCTCTATCAAAGGAAAGCTTTACCTCTTTGAGATGAATGCACACATCACAAAGAAGTTTCTCAGATTGCTTCTGTCTACATTTTATGTGAAGATGTTTCCTGTTCTAACATAGGCCACAGAGTGCTCCAAATGTCCACTTGCAGATTCTACCAAAAGAGTGTTTCCAAACTGCTCAACCAAAGAAATGTTCAACTTTCTAGATGAATGCACACATCACAAAGAGCTTTCTCAGAATTCTTCTTTCTAGTTTTTATGTGAAGATATTTCCTTTTGTACCATAGGCCCCAAGGCACTCGAATGGTACACTTGCAGATTCTACAAAAAGAGTATTTCAAAACTGTTCCTTCAAAGGAATGTTCAACTCTGGGGGTTGAATGCACACATCACAAAGTAGTTTCTCAGAATGCTTCTATGTACTTTTTATGTGTAGATATTTCATTTTCCACCATAGGCCTGAAAGCCCTTCAAATGTCCACTTAGAGATTATACAAAAAGGGAGCTTTAAAACTCCTCTATCAAAAGAAAGGTTTCAACCCATTAGATGAATGCACACATCACAAAGATGTTTCTAAAAATGCTTCTATCTATTTTTTATGTGAAGATATTTCCTTTTCCACCATAGGCCTCAAAGCGCTGAAAATGTCCACTTGTAGATTCTACAAAAAAAGAGTTTCATAACTGTTCAATCAAAATAAAGGTTTAACTCTGTGAGATGAATGCACACATCACAAAGAAGTTTCTCAGATTGCTTCTTTCTAGATTTTTTGTGAAGATATTACTTTTTCTAACGTAGGCTACAAAGCGCTCTTAATGTCCACTTGCAGATTCTACAAAAAGAGTGTCTCCAAACTGCTTAATCAAAAGAAAGTTTCAACTCTGTGAGAGTAACGCACACATCACAAAGAAGTATATGATAATTCCTCTGTCTAGTTTTTATGTGAAGATATATTCTATTCTACCATAGGCCTCAAAGCGCTACAAATGTCCACTTGCAGATTCTACAAAAAGAGAGTTTCAAGACTGCTAAATCAAAAGAAATGTTTAACTCTGTGAGATGAATGCACACATCATAAAGAAGGTTTTCAGATTACTTCTGTCTACATTTTATATGAAGATATTTCCTTTTCCACCATAGGCCGCAAAGAGCTCCAAATGTCCACTTGCAGATCCTTCAAAAAGAGTGTTTCCAAACTGCTCAAACAAAAGAAGTGTTCAAGTCCATGAGCTGAATGCACACATCACAAAGAAATTTGTCAGAATTCTTCTGTCTAGTTTTTATGTGAAGATATTTCCTTTTCCACCATAAGCCTCAGAGTGTTCCAAATGTCCACTTGCAGATTCTACAAAAATAGAGTTTCCAAAGTGCTCAGTCAAAAGAAAGGTTGACTCGGTGAGATGAATGCACACGCCACAAAGATGTTTGTCAGATTGCTTTCATCTAGATTTTATGTGAAGATATTTTGTTTTCTACCATAGGCCACAAAGCACTCCAAATGTCCAGTTGCAAATTCTACAAATAGAGTGTTTACAAACTGCTCAATAAAAAGTAAGGTTCAACTCTTTGATATGAACGCACACATCACAAAGTAGTTTCTCAGAATTCTGCTGTCTAGTTTTTATGTGAAGATATTTCCTTTTCCATCATAGGCATCATAGCTCTCCTAATGTTCACTTGCAGATTTTACAAAAAGAGAGTTTCAAGACAGCTCAATCAAAAGAAAGTTTTAACTCTGTGAGATGCATGCACACATCACAAAGAAGTTTCTCAGATTGCTTCTGTCTAGATTTTATTTTAATATATGTCATTTTCTAACGTAGGCCGCAAAGCACTCCAAATGTCCACTTGCAGATTCTACAAAAAGAGTGATTCCAAACTGCTTAATCAAAAGAAAGGTTCAACTCTGTGAGATGAATGCACACATCACAAAGAAGTTTCTCAGAATTCTTCTGTCTAGTTTTTATCTGAAGATATTTCCTTTTCCACCATAGGCCTCAAACCACTCCAAATGTACACTGTAGATTCTACAAAAAGAGAGTTTCAAAACTGCTCAATCAAAAGAAATGTTTAACTCTGTGATATGAATGCACACATCATAAAGTACTTTGTCAGACTGCTTTTATCTAGATTTTCTGTGAAGATATTTCGTTTTCTACCAGAGGTCACAAAGCGCTCCAAATGTCCACTTGCATGTTGTACAAAAAGAGTGCTTCCAAACTGCTCAATCAAAAGAAAGGTTCAACTCTGTGAGATGTAAGCACAAATCACAAAGAAGTTTCTCAGAATTTTTCTGTCTAGTTTTTATGTGTAAATATTTACTTTTCCACAGTAGGCCTCAAAGCACTCCAAATGTCCACTTGCAGATTTTACAAAAAGAGAGTTTCAAGACAGCTCAATCAAAAGAAAGTTTTAACTCTGTGAGATGAATGCACACATCACAAAGAAGTTTCTCAGATTCATTCTATCTAGATTTTATGGGAATATATTTCCTTTTCTAACATAGGCTGCAAAGCGCTCCAAATGTCCACTTGCAGATTCCACAAAAAGAGTGTTTCCAAACTCTTAATCAAAAGAAAGATTCAACTCTGTGAGATAAACGCATGTATCACGAAGAGGTTTCTCTGAATTCTTCTGTGTAGTTTTGATGTGAAAATATTTCCTTTTCCTCCACAGGCCTCAAAGCGCTCCAAATGTTAAATTGCAGATTCTACAAAAAGAGAGATTCAAAACTGCTCAATCAAAACAAAGGCTTAACCCTTTGAGATCAGCGCACACATGACAAAGAAGTTTCTAAAAATGCTTCTGTCTAGTTTTTATGTGAAGATATTTCGTTTTCCACCATAGGACTCAAAGCACTCCAAATGTCCACTTGCACATTCAACAAAAATAGAGTTTCAAAACTGCTCAATCAAAAGTAAGAGTTAACCCTGTGAGATGAATGCACACATTCCAAAGAAGTTTCTCAGATTGCTTCTGTCTAGATTTTGTGTGAAGCTATTTCCTTTTCTAACATAGGCGGCAAAGTGCTCAAAATGCCCACTTACAGAATCTACAAAAAGAGTGTTTCAATAATTCTCAATGAAAAGAAATGTTCAACTCTGTGAGATGAATGCGCACATCACAAAGAAGTTTCTCAGAGTTCTTCTGTCTAGCTTTTATGTGAAGATATTTCCTTTTCCACCATAGGCCTCAAGTGCTCCAATTGTCCACTTGCAGATTCAACAAAAAGAGAGTTTCAAAACTGCTCAATCAAAAGAAAGGTTTAACTCTGTGAGATGAATGCACACATCACAAAGAAGTTTCTCAGATTGCTTATTTCTACATTTTAAGTGAAGATATTTCCTTTTCTACCATAGCCCGCAAAGCCCTCCAAATGTCCACTTGCAGATTCTACAAAAAGATTGTTTTCAAACTGCTCAATCAAAAGAAAGTTTCAACTCTGTGAGATGAACGCACACATCAACAAGAAGTTTATCAGAATTCTTCTGTCCAGTTTTTATGGGAAGATATTTCCTTTTCCACCATAGGCCTAAAAGTGCTCCAAATGTCCACTTGCAGATTCTACAAAAAGAGAGTTTCAAAACTGCTCAATCAAAAAACAGTTTTAACTCTGTGAGATGAATGCACACATCACAAAGAAGTTTCTCAGATTACTTTTGTCTAGATTTTATGTGAAGATATTTCCTTTTCTACGATAGGCCTCAAAGCACTCCAAATGTCCACTTGCAGATTCTACAAAATAGAGTTTCAAGACAGCTCAATCAAAAGAAATGTTTAACTCTGTGAGATGGATGCACACATCACAAAGCAGTTTCTCAGATTGCTTCTGTCTGAGTTTTATGTAAAGATATTTCCTTTTCTACCATAGGCCACAAAGTGTTCTAAATGGCCACTTGCAGATTCTACAAAAAGATGGTTTCCAAACAGCTCAATCAAAAGAAACGTTCCACTCTGTGTGATGAATGCACACATCACAAAGAAGTTTCTCAGTATTCTTCTGTCTAGTTTTTATGTGAAGATATTTCCTTTTCCACATTGGCCTCAAACTGCTCCAAATGTACACTTCCAGATTCTACAAAACAGAGTTTCAAAATGCTCATTCAAAAGCAATGTTTAACACTGTGAGATGAATGCACATATCACAAAGAATTTTCTCATATTACTTCTGTCTACATTTTATGTGAAGGTATTTCCTTTTCTACCATAGGCCACAAAGCACTCTAAATCTCCACTTGCAGATTCTACAAAAAGAGTTTTTCCAAACTACTCAATCAATATAAAGTTTCAACTCAGTGATATGAACACACACATCACAAAGAAGTTTGTCAGAAATCTTCTGTCTAGTTTTTATGTGAAGATATTTCCTTTTCCACCATAGACCTCAAAGCACTCCAAATGTCCACTTGCACATTCTACAAACAGAGTGATTCCAAACTGCTCAATCAAAGGAAGGTTCAACTCTGTGAGATGAATGCACATATCACAAAGAAGTTTCTCAGATTGCTTCTGTCTAGCTTTTATGTGAAGACATTTCCTTTTCTACCTTAGGCTGCAAAGCGCTCCAAGTGTCCACTTGTAGATTTTACAAAAACAGTTTTTCCAAACTGCTCAATCAAAAGGAAGTTTCAACTCTGTGAGATGAACACATACATCACAAAGGAGTTTCTCAGAATTCTTCTGTCTAGTTTTTATGGGAAGATGTTTCCTTTTCCACCTTAGGTCTAAAAGCACTCCAAATGTCCACTTGCAGATTCTACAAAAAGAGAATTTCAAAACTGCTCAATCCAAAAAAAGTTTTAACTCTGTGAGATGAAAGCACACATCACAAAGAAGTTTCTCAGATTGCTTTTGTCTAGATTTTATGTGAAGATGTTTCTTTTACTACCATAGGCCTCAAAGCGCTCCAAATGTCCACTTGCAGATTCTACAAAAAGAGAATTTCAAAACTGCTCAATCCAAAAAAAGTTCTAACTCTGTGAGATGAAAGCACACATCACAAAGAAGTTTCTCAGATTGCTTTTGTCTAGATTTTATGTGAAGATGTTTCTTTTACTACCATAGGCCTCAAAGCGCTCCAAATGTCCACTTGCAGATTCTACAAAATAGAGTTTCAAGACACCTGAATCAAAAGAAAAGTTTAACTCTGTGAAATGAATGAGCACATCACAAAGTAGTTTCTCAGATTGCTTCTGTCTGAATTTTATGTGAAGATATTTCCTTTTCTACCATAGGCCACATAGTGCTCCAAATGTCCACTTGCAGATTCTACAAAAAGAGTGTTTCCAAACAGCTCAATCAAAAGAAATGTTCCAGTCTGTGAGATGAACGCACACATCACAAAGAAGTTTCTCAGTATTCTTCAATCTGGTTTTTATGTGAAGATATTTTCTTTCCACATTGTCCTCAAACCGCTCCAAATGTAGACTTCCAGATTCTACAAAAACAGAGTTTAGAAAATGCTCTGCCAAAAGCAATGTTTATCTCTCTGAGATGAATGCACACATCACAAAGTATTTTCTCATATTGCTTCTGTCTAGATTTTACGTGCAGGTATTTCCTTTTCTTTTTTTTTTTTTTTTTTTTTTTTGGATATTTATTTATTTATTTATTTATTTTTTTTTTTTAATGTGCAGTTGAGTGGCTTCCTTTTTTTTTTTTTTTTTTTTTTTTTTTTTTATTATACTCTAAGTTTTAGGGTACATGTGCACATTGTGCAGGTTAGTTACATATGTATACATGTGCCATGCTGGTGCGCTGCACCCACTAATGTGTCATCTAGCATTAGGTATATCTCCCAATGCTATCCCTCCCCCCTCCCCCGACCCCACCACAGTCCCCAGAGTGTGATATTCCCCTTCCTGTGTCCATGTGATCTCATTGTTCAATTCCCACCTATGAGTGAGAATATGCGGTGTTTGGTTTTTTGTTCTTGCGATAGTTTACTGAGAATGATGGTTTCCAATTTCATCCATGTCCCTACAAAGGATATGAACTCATCATTTTTTATGGCTGCATAGTATTCCATGGTGTATATGTGCCACATTTTCCTAATCCAGTCTATCATTGTTGGACATTTGGGTTGGTTCCAAGTCTTTGCTATTGTGAATAGTGCCGCAATAAACATACGTGTGCATGTGTCTTTATAGCAGCATGATTTATACTCATTTGGGTATATACCCAGTAATGGGATGGCTGGGTCAAATGGTATTTCTAGTTCTAGATCCCTGAGGAATCGCCACACTGACTTCCACAATGGTTGAACTAGTTTACAGTCCCACCAACAGTGTAAAAGTGTTCCTATTTCTCCGCATCCTCTCCAGCACCTGTTGTTTCCTGACTTTTTAATGATTGCCATTCTAACTGGTGTGAGATGATATCTCATAGTGGTTTTGATTTGCATTTCTCTGATGGCCAGTGATGATGAGCATTTCTTCATGTGTTTTTTGGCTGCATAAATGTCTTCTTTTGAGAAGTGTCTGTTCATGTCCTTCGCCCACTTTTTGATGGGGTTGTTTGTTTTTTTCTTGTAAATTTGTTTGAGTTCATTGTAGATTCTGGATATTAGCCCTTTGTCAGATGAGTAGGTTGCAAAAATTTTCTCCCATGTTGTAGGTTGCCTGTTCACTCTGATGGTAGTTTCTTTTGCTGTGCAGAAGCTCTTTAGTTTAATTAGATCCCATTTGTCAATTTTGTCTTTTGTTGCCATTGCTTTTGGTGTTTTGGACATGAAGTCCTTGCCCACGCCTATGTCCTGAATGGTAATGCCTAGGTTTTCTTCTAGGGTTTTTATGGTTTTAGGTTTAACGTTTAAATCTTTAATCCATCTTGAATTGATTTTTGTATAAGGTGTAAGGAAGGGATCCAGTTTCAGCTTTCTACATATGGCTAAATAATCAATGTACAAAAATCACAAGCATTCTTATACACCAACAACAGACAAACAGAGAGCCAAATCATGGGTGAACTCCCATTCACAATTGCTTCAAAGAGAATAAAATACCTAGGAATCCAACTTACAAGGGATGTGAAGGACCTCTTCAAGGAGAACTACAAACCACTGCTCAAGGAAATAAAAGAGGAGACAAACAAATGGAAGAACATTCCATGCTCATGGGTAGGAAGAATCAATATCGTGAAAATGGCCATACTGCCCAAGGTAATTTACAGATTCAATGCCATCCCCATCAAGCTACCAATGACTTTCTTCACAGAATTGGAAAAAACTACTTTAAAGTTCATATGGAACCAAAAAAGAGCCCGCATTGCCAAGTCAATCCTAAGCCAAAAGAACAAAGCTGGAGGCATCACACTACCTGACTTCAAACTATACTACAAGGCTACAGTAACCAAAACAGCATGGTACTGGTACCAAAACAGAGATATAGATCAATGGAACAGAACAGAGCCCTCAGAAATAATGCCGCATATCTACAACTATCTGATCTTTGACAAACCTGAGAAAAACAAGCAATGGGGAAAGGATTCCCTATTTAATAAATGGTGCTGGGAAAACTGGCTAGGTATTTCCTTTTCTACCATAGGCTGCAAAGCGCTCCAAATCTCCACTTGCAGATTCTGTAAAAGGAGTGCTTCCAAAATGCTCAATCAAAATGAAGGTTCAACTCAGTGAGATGAACGCACACATCACAAAGAAGTTTCTCAGAATTCTTCTGTCTAGTATTTATGTGAAGATATTTCCTTTTCCACCATAGGCCTAAAAGCGCTCCAAAAGTCCACTTGCAGATTCTACAAAAAGAGAGTTTCAAAACTGCTCAATCAAACTAAAGTTTTAACTCTGTGAAATGAATGCACACATCACAAAGTAGTTTCTCAGATTGCCTCTGTCTGAATTTTATGTGAAGATATTTCCTGTTCTGCCATAGGCCACAAAGTGCTCCAAATGTCCACTTGCAGATTCTACAAAAAGAGTGTTTCCAAACAGCTCAATCAAAAGAAAGTTTCAACTCTGTGAGGTGAACGCACACATCACAAAGAAGTTTGTCAGAATTCTTCTCTCTAGTTTTTATGTGAAGATAAATTCCTTTTCCACCGTAGGCTTCAAAGTGCTCCAAATGACCATTTGCAGATTCTACAAAAAGAGAGTTTCAACACTGCTCAATCAAAAGAAAGGCTCAATTCTGCGAGATGAATGCACATATCACAAAGAACTTTCTCAGAATTCTTCTGTCTTGTTTTTATGTGAAGATATTTCCTTTTAAACCATAGGCCTCAAGGCGCTCGAAATGTCCACTTGAAGATTCTACAGAAAGAGTATTTCAAAACTGGTCCTTCAAAAGAAAGATTCAACTCTGGGTGATAAATGCGCACATCACAAAATCTTTCTCAGAACGCTTCTATGTAGTTTTTATGTGAAGATATTTCCTTTTCCACCATAGGCCTCAAATTGCTCCAAATGTCCACTTGCAGATTCTACAAAAAGACAGTTTCAAAACTGCTCAATCAAAAGAAATGTTTATCTCTGTGAGATGAATGCACACATCACAAAGCTGTTTCTCAGATTACTTCTGTCTAGATTTTATGTGAACATATTTCCTTGTCTACCATAGGCCACAAAGTGCTCTAAATGTCCACTTGCAGATTCTATAAAAAGAGGGTTTCCAAACTGCTCAATCAAAAGAAAGTTTCAACTCTGTGAGATGAACGTGCCCATCACAAAGTTTTTCAGAATTCTTCTGTCTAGTTTTTATGGGAAGATATTTCCTTTCTCACTGTAAGCCTCAAAGCGCTCCAAATGTCCACTTGCAGAGTCTACGAAAAGAGAGTTTCAAAGCTGCTCAATCAAAAGAATGGCTTAACTCTGTGAGATGAATGCACACATCACAAAGAAGTTTCTCAGATTGATTCTGTCTAGATATTATGTGAAGATAATTCCTTTTCTACCATAGACCGCAAAGCGCTCCAAATGTCCACTTGGAGATTCTAAAAAAGAGTGTTTCCAAGCTACTCAATCAACAGAATGGTTCAAATCTGTGACATGAATGCACACATCACAAAGAAGTTTCTCAGAAATCTTCTGTCTATTTTTATGTGGAGATATTTCCTTATCCACTATAGGCCCCAAAGTGCTCCAATTGTCCACTTGCAGATTCAACAAAAAGAGAGTTTCAAAACTGCTCAATCAAAAGAAAGGTTTAACTCTGTGAGATGAAAGCACACATCACAAAGAAGTTTCTCAGATTGCTTCTGTGTAGGTTTTATGTTAAGATATTTCCTTTTCTACCATAGGCCGCAAAGCGCTCCAAATGTCCACTTGCAGATTCTACAAAAAGAGTGTTTCCAAACTGCTCAATCAAAAGAAAGTTTCAACTCTGTGAGATGAACGCACACATCACCAACAAGTTTCTCAGAATTCTTCTCTCTAGTTTTTATGTGAAGATATTTCTATTTCCACCATAGGCCTAAAAGAGCTCCAAATGTCCACTTGCAGAGTCTACAAAAAGAGAGTTTCAAAACTGCACAATCAAAAAAAAGTTTTAACTCTGTGAGATGAATGCACACATCACAAAGAAGTTTCTCAGATTGGTTTTGTCTAGATTTTATGTGAAGATATTTCCTTTTCTACCATAGGCCTCAAAGCGCTCCAAATGTCCACTTGCAGATTCTACAAAATAGTTTCAAGACAGCTCAATCAAAAGAAATGTTTAACTCTGTGAGATGAATGCACACATCACAAAGAAGTTTCTCAGAATGCTTCTGTCTAGTTCTTAAATGAAGATATTTCCCATTCCACAACAGGACTCAAATGGCTCCCAATGTCCACTTGCAGATTGTTCAAAAATAGTGTTTAAACCTGCTCAATCAAAAGAAATGTTCAACCCGGTGAGATGAATGCACACAACACAAAGGATTTTCTCTGAATGATTCTGTCTAGTTTTTATGTGGACATATTTCCTTTTAAACCATAGGCCTCAAAGTGCTTCAAAAGTACACTTGCAGATTCCACAAAGAGTTTTTCAAAACTGCTAAATGAAAAGAAAAGTTCAAATCTGTGTGAAGAATGTACACATAACAAAGAAGTGTGTCAGAATGTTTCTGTATAGTTTTTATGTTAAGGTATTTGCTTTTCCACCATAGGCCTCGAAGAGCTCCAAATGTCCACATGCAGATTCTACAAAAAGAGTGTTTCAAAGCTGCTCAATCAAAAGAAAGGTTCAACTCTGTGACATGAATGTGCAAGTCACAAAGAAGTTTGTCAGAATGCTTCTGTCTAGTTTTTATGTGAAGATATTTCCTTTTCCACCATGGGCTGCAAAGCGCACCAAATGTCCAAATTCAAATTCTACAAATAGAGTCTTTCAAAACTGCTCAATCAAAAGAAAGGTTCAACTCTGTGAGATGAATCCACACATCTCAGTGAAGTTTTTTGAATGTTTTTGTATAGTTCTTGTGTGAAGATATTTCTTTTTCCACCATTGACTCAAAGCGCCAAAAATGTCCACTTGCAGATGCTACAGAAAGAGTGTTTCAAAGTTGCTCCTGTCCGATTTCTTCTGTCTATATTTTATGTGAACATATTTCCTTTTCTACCATAGGCCACTAAGTGCTCCAATTGTCCAACTGAAGATTATTCAAAAAGTGTGTTTCCAAACTGCTCAATCAAAAGAAAGGTTCAACTCTGTAACATGAAGGCACACATCTCAAAGAAGTTTCTCAGAATTCTTCTGTCTAGTTTTTATGTGAAGATATTACATTTTCCACCATTGCCTCAAAGCGCCAAAAATGTCCACTTGCAGATACTACAGAAAGAGTGTTTCAAAGTGGCTCAATCAAAAGAAAGTTTCAACTCTATGAGATGAATGCACACATCACATAGAAGTTTCTCAGAATGCTTCTGTCTAGTTATTATGTGAAGATATTTCGTTTTCCACCATAGGCATCAAAGCGCGCCAAATGTCCACTTGCAGATTCTACAAAAGGAGTGTTTCGAAACCGTTCAATCGAAATTAAGGTTCCACTCTGCGAGATGAATGCACACATCACAAAAACTTTGTCAGAATGCTTCTGTCTAGTTTTGTGTGAAGATATTTCCCTTTCCACCACAGGCCTCAAAGCTCTCCAAATGTCCACTTGCAGATTCTACAAAAAGAGTGTTTCAAAACTGCTCTATCGAAAGTTAAGTTCAACTCCGTGAGATAAATGGCAACTCCATGAGATAAATGACAAATAAGCTTGTCAGAATGCTTCTGCCTAGTTTTAATGTGAAGATATTTCCTTTTCCACCATAGGCCGCAAAGCGCTCCAAATGTCCACTTGCAGATTCTACAAAATGAGAGTTTTCAAAACTACTCAATTAAAATAAAGTTTCAGCTCTGTGAGAGGAATGTACACGTCACAAATCAGCTTCACAGAATGCTTCCATCTAGTTCTTAAATGAAGATATTTCCTTTTCCACCATACGCCAAAAAGTGCTCCAAATGTCCACCTGCAGATATTACAAAAATAGTTTTTTTTTGACTTTGTATCTTTATTTATTTATTTTTATTTATTTATTTTTTTTTATAATTTAAGTTTTAGGGTACATGTGCACATTTTGCAGGTTAGTTACATATGTATACATGTGCCATGCTGGTGCGCTGCACCCAATAACTCGTCATCTAGCATTAGGTATATCTCCCAATGCTATCCCTCCCCCTCCCCCCACCCCACAACAGTCCCCAGAGTGTGATATTCCCCTTCCTGTGTCCATGTGATCTCATTGTTCAATTCCCACCTATGAGTGAGAATATGCAGTGTTTGGTTTTTTGTTCTTGCGATAGTTTACTGAGAATGATGATTTCCAATTTCATCCATGTCCCTACAAAGGACACGAACTCATCATTTTTTATGTTTGCATAGTATTCCATGGTGTATATGTGACACATTTTCTTAATCCAGTCTATCATTGTTGGACATTTGGGTTGGTTCCAAGTCTTTGCTATTGTGAATAATGCCACAATAAACATACGTGTGCATGTGTCTTTATAGCAGCATGATTTATAGTCCTTTGGGTATATACCCAGTAATGGGATGGCTGGGTCAAATGGTATTTCTAGTTCTAGATCCCTGAGGAATCACCACACTGACTTCCACAACGGTTGAACTAGTTTACAGTCCCACCAACAGTGTAAAAGTGTTCCTATTTCTCCACATCCTCTCCAGCACCTGTTGTTTCCTGACTTTTTAATGATTGCCATTCTAACTGGTGTGAGATGGTATCTCATTGTGGTTTTGATTTGCATTTCTCTGATGGCCAGTGATGATGAGCATTTTTTCATGTGTTTTTTGGCTGCATAAATGTCTTCTTTTGAGAAGTGTCTGTTCATGTCCTTTGCTCACTTTTTGATGGGGTTGTTTGTTTTTTTCTTGTAAATTTGTTTGAGTTCATTGTACATTCTGGATATTAGCCCTTTGTCAGATGAGTAGGTTGTGAAAATTTTCTCCCATTTTGTAGGTTACCTGTTCACTCTGGTGGTAGTTTCTTTTGCTGTGCAGAAGCTCTTTAGTTTAATTAGATCCCATTTGTCAATTTTGGCTTTTGTTGCCATTGCTTTTGGTGTTTTAGAAATGAAGTTCTTGCCCATGCCTGTGTCCTGAATGGTAATGCCTAGGTTTTCTTCTAGAGTTTTTATGGTTTTAGGTTGAACGTTTAAGTCTTTAATCCATCTTGAAATGATTTTTGTATAAGGTGTAAGGAAGGGATCCAGTTTCAGCTTTCTACATATGGCTAGCCAGTTTTCCCAGCACCATTTATTAAAGAGGGAATCCTTTCCCCATTGCTTGTTTTTCTCAGGTTTGTCAAAGATCAGATAGTTGTAGATATGCGACGTTATTCCTGAGGGCTCTGTTCTGTTCCATTGATCTATATCTCTGTTTTGGTACCAGTACCATGCTGTTTTGGTTACTGTAGCCTTGTAGTATAGTTTGAAGTCAGGTAGTGTGAAGCCTCCAGTTTTGTTCTTTTGGCTTAGGATTGACTTGGTGATGCGGGCTCTTTTTTGGTTCCATATGAACTTTAAAGTAGTTTTTTTCCAATTCTGTGAAGAAAGTCATTGGTAGCTTGATGGGGATGGCATTGAATCTGTAAATTACCTTGGGCAGTATGGCCATTTTCACGATATTGATTCTCTTTGAAGCAATTGTGAATGGGAGTTCACTCATGATTTGGCTCTCTGTTTGTCTTTTGTTGGTGTATAAGAATGCTTGTGATTTTTATTCATTGATTTTGAAGGACATGAACAGACATTTCTCAAAAGAAGACATTTATGCAGCCAAAAAACACATGAAAAAATGCTCACCATCACTGGCCATCAGAGAAATGCAAATCAAAACCACAATGAGATACCATCTCACACCAGTTAGAATGGCCATCATTAAAAAGTCAGGAAATAACAGGTGCTGGAGAGGATGTGGAGAAATAGGAACACTTTTACACTGTTGGTGGGACTGTAAACTAGTTCAACCGTTGTGGAAGTCAGTGTGGCGATTCCTCAGGGATCTAGAACTAGAAATACCATTTGACCCAGCCATCCCATTACTGGGTATATACCCAAAGGACTATAAATCATGCTGCTATAAAGACACATGCACATGTATGTTTATTATGGCATTATTCACAATAGCAAAGACTTGGAACCAACCCAAATGTCCAACAATGATAGACTGGATTAAGAAAATGTGGCACATATACACCATGGACTACTATGCAGCCATAAAAAATGATGAGTTCATGTCCTTTGTAGGGACATGGATGAAGCTGGAAATCATCATTCTCAGTAAACTATCACAAGAACAAAAAACGAAACACCGCATATTCTCACTCATAGGTGGGAATTGAACAATGAGAACACATGGACACAGGAAGGGGAACATCACACTCTCGGGACTGTTATGGGGTGGGGGGAGGGAGGAGGGATAGCATTGGGAGATATACCTAATGCTAGATGACGAGTTAGTGGGTGCAGTCCACCAGCATGGCACATGTATACATATGTAACTAACCTGCACATTGTGCGAACGTACCCTAAAACTTAAAGTATAATAATAATAAATAAATAAATAAATAAATAAAAACTGCTCAATGAAATAAAGGTTCAACTCTGTGACATGAATGCACAAATCAGAAAGAAGTTTCTCAGACTATTTCTGAATCGTTTTTATGTGAAGATATTTCCTTTTCCACCATTGGCCTCAAAGCTCTCCAAATCTCCACATGCAGATTCTAAAAAAAGAGTGTTTCAAAGCTGCTCAATCAAAAGAAAGGTTCAACACTCTGAGATGAATGCACACGTCTCAAAGAAGTTTCTCAGAATGCTTCTGTCTAGTTTTTATGTGAAGATATTTCCTTTTCCACCATTGGCCTCAAAACACTCCAAATGTCCTCTTGCAGATTCTATGAAAAGAGTGTTTCAAAGCTGCTGAATCAAAAGAAATGTTCAACTCTGTGATATGAATGCATCCATCACAAAGAAGTTTCTCAAAATGCTTCTGTCTAGTTTTTATTTGAAGATATTTCCTTTTACACCATAGGCCTCAAAAAGCTCCAAATGTAAACATCCAGATCATACAAAAAAAGTTTTTCCAAACTGCTCCATCAAAAGAACAGTTCAACTCTGTGAGATGAATGCACACATCACAAAGAATTTTCTCTGAATGATTCTGTCTAGTTTTTATGTGAATATATTTTCTTTTCCACCATAGGACTCTAAGCGCTCCAAATGTCCAATTCTAGATGCTACAAAAAGAGTGTTTCAAAGCTGCTGAATCAAAAGAAAGGTTCAACTCTGTGAGATGAATGCACACATCACAAAGAAGTTTCTGAGAATGCTTCCGTCTAGTTCTTAAGTGAAGATGGTTCCTTTTCCACCATTGGTCACAAAGCACCCCAAATGTCCACTTCCGGATTCCACAAAAAGAGAGTTTCCAAACTACTCAATCAAAAGAAAGGTTCACCTCAGTGAGATGAATGCACACATCACAAAGATATTTGCCAGAATGCTTCTGTCTAGTCTTTATATGAAGATATTTCCTTTTCCACCATAGACCCCAAAGGGCTGCAAATGTCCACTTGCAGATCCTACAGAAAGAGTGTTTCAAAATTGCTCAATCAAAAGAAAGGTTCAACTCTGTGAGATGAATGCACATTTCACAAAGAAGTTTCTCAGAATTTTTCTGTCAGGTTCTTAAGTGTAGATATTTCCTTTTCCACCACAGGACTCAAAGCTCTCCAAATGTCCACTTGCAGATTCTACAAAAAGAGTTTCCAAACCACTCTATCAAAGAAAATTTCAACACTGTGAGATAAATGCACATATTACAAAGAAGTTTCTCAGAATGCTTGTGTCTAGTTATTATGTGAAGATATTACCTTTTCAACAATAGGCCTCAAAGCGCTCCAAATTTCCACATGCAGATTCTACAAAAAGAGTGTTTCAAAGCTGCTCAATCAAAAGCAAGCTTCAACTCTGTGAGATGAATGCTCACATCACAAAGCAATTTCTCAGAATGCTTCTGTCCAGTTTTTAGGTGAAGATATTTCCTTTTCCAGCATAGGCGTCAAAACGCTCCAAATGTCCACTTACAGATCCCACAAAAATAGTGTTTCAAAACTGCTCAATCAAAACAAAGGTTCACCTCTGTGAGATGAATGCACACATCACAAAGAATATTCTCAGAATGGTTCTGTCTAGTGTTTATGTGCAGATATTTCCTTTTCCACCATAGTCCTCAAAGCGCTCCAAATGTCCAATTGCAAATCCTACAAAAAGAGTGTTTCAAAACTGCTCAATCGAAGGTAGGGTTCAACTCTGTGAGGTGAATTCTCACATCACAAAAAAGTCTGTCAGAATGCTTCTGTCTAGTTTTCATATGAAGATGTTTCCTTTTCCACCGTCGGCCTCAAGGCGCTCCAAATGTCCACATGAGGGTTCTATAAAGAGTGTTTCCAAACTGCTCAAGCAAAAGAAATGTTCATCTCTGTGATATGAAAGCACACATCACAAAGAAGTTTGTCAGAATGCTTCTGTCTAGTTTTCATGTATAAATGTTTCCTTTTCCACCATAGGCCGCAAAGCGCTCCAAATGTCCACTTGCAGATTCTACAAAAAGATTGTTTCAAAACTGCTCAATGAAAAGAAAGTTTCAACTCTGTGAGATGAACGCACACATCACAAAGCAGTTTCTCAGAATGCTTCTGTCTAGTTCTTAAATGAAGATATTTCCCATTCCACCACAGGACTCAAAGGGCTCCCAATGTCCACTTGCAGATTCTACAAAAAGAGTGTTTAAACCTGCTTAATCAAAAGAAATGTTCAACCCTGTGAGATGAATGCACACAACACAAAGGATTTTCTCTGAATGATTCTGTCTAGTTTTCATGTGAACATATTTCCTTTTAAGCCATAGGCTTCAAAGCGCTTCAAATGTACACTTGCAGATTCCACAAAAAGAGTTTTTCAAAACTGCTCAATGAAAAGAAAGGTTCAAATCTGTGAGAAGAATGCACACATAACAAAGAAGTTTATCAGAATGTTTCTGTATAGTTTTTATGTGAAGGTATTTCCTTTTCCACCATAGGCCTCAAAGAGCTCCAAATGTCCACATGCAGATTCTACAAAGAGTGTTTCAAAGCTGCTCAATCAAAAGAAAGGTTCAACTCTGTGAGATGAATCCACACATCTCAGTGAAGTTTTTCAGAATGTTTCTGTATAGTTTCTATGTGAAGATATTTCCTTTTCCACCATTGCCTCAAAGCGCCAAAAATGTCCACTTGCAGGTACTATAAAAAGAGTGTTTCAAAGTTGCTCAATCAAAAGAAAGTTGAAACTCTGTGAGATGAATGCATATATCACATATAAGTTTCTCAGAATGCTTCTGTATAGTTTTGTGTGAAGATATTTCCCTTTCCACCACAGGCCTCAAAGCTCTCCAAATGTCCACTTGCAGATTCTACAAAAAGAGTGTTTCAAAACTGCTCAATCGAAAGTAAGGTTCAACTCTTTGAGATGAATACAGCCATCACAAATAAGCTTGTCAGAATGCTTTTGTCTAGTTTTTATGTGAAGATATTTCCTTTTCCACCATCGGCTGCAAAGCGCTCCAAATGTCCACTTGCAGATTCTACAAAAAGAGAGTTTCTAAACTACTCAATCAAAAGAAAGGTTCAACTCTGTGAGATGAATGCACACATCACAAAGAAGTTACTCAGCATACTTCTGTCTACTTCTTACGTGAAGATATTACCTTTTCCACCTTAGGCCCCAAAGCACTCCTAATGTGCTCTTACAGATTCTACAAAAAGAGAATTTCCAAACTACTCAATCAAAAGAAAGGTTCAACTGTGTTAGATGAATGCACACATCACAAAGTAATTGGTCAGAACGCTTCTGTCTAGTTTTTATGTGAACATATTTCCATATTTCCTTTTCAACCATAGGCCTCAAATCGCTTCAAATGTACAATTGCACATTCCACAAAAAGAGTTTTTCAAAACTGCTCAATGAAAAGAAAGGTTCAACTCTATGAGATGAATGCACACATCACTAAGAAGTTTGTCAGAATGTTTCTGTATAGTTTTTATACGAAGATATTTCCTTTTCCACTATAGGCCTCAAAGCGCTCCAAATGTCCACATGCAGATTCTACAAAAAGAGTTTTTCAAAGCTGCTCAATCAGAAGAAATGCTCAACGCTATGACATGAATGCACACATCACAAAGAAGTTTCTCAGAATTCTTCTGTCTAGTTTTTATGTGAAGATATTTCCTTTTCCACTATAGGCCGCAAAGTTCTCCAAATGTCCACTTGCAGATTCTACAAAAAGAGTGTTTCCAAACTGCTCAATCAAAAGATAGGTTCTACTCTGTGAGATGAACTCACACATCACAAAGAAATTTCTCAGAATTCTTCCGTCTAGTTTTTATGTAAATATATTTCCTTTTCCACAATAATTCTCAAAGCCCTCCAAATGTCCACTTGCAGATTCTACAACAAGAATGTTTCCAGTTTCAGTTTTCTACGTATAGCTAGCTAGTTTTCTCAGCACCATTTATTAAATAGGGAATCCTTTTCCCATTGCTTGTTTTTGTCAGGTTTGTCAAAGGTCTGATAGTTGTAGATATGCGGCATTATTCCTGAGGTCTCTGTTCTGTTCCATTGATCTATGTCTCTGTTTTGGTACCAGAACAATGCTGTTTTGGTTACTGTAGCCTTGTAGTATAGTTCGAAGTCAGGTAGCGTGATCCCTCCAGCTTTGTTGTTTTGGCTTGGGATTGACTTGGCGATGCGGGCTCTTTTTTGGTTCCATATGAACTTTAAAGTCGTTTTTTTCCAATTCTCTTAGGAAAGTCATTGGTAACTTGATGCGGATGGCATTGAATCTATAAATTACCTTGGGCAGTATGGCCATTTTCACGATATTGATTCTTCCAACCCATGAGCATGGAATGTTCTTCCACTTGTTTGTATCCTCTTTTATTTCCTTGAGCAGTGGTTTGTAGTTCTCCTTGAAGAGGTCCTTCACATCCCTTGTAAGTTGGATTTCTATTTATTTTATTCTCTTTGAAGCAATTGTGAATGGGATTTCACTCATGATTTGGCTCTCTGTGTGTCTCCTATTGGTGTACAAGAATGCTTGTGATTTTTTTACATTGATTTTGTGTCCTGAGACTTTGCTGAAGTTGCTTATCAGCTTAAGCAGATTTTCGGCTGAGACAATGGGGTTTTCTAGATATACAATCATGTCATCTGCAAACAGGGACAATTTGACTTCCTCTTTTCCTAATTGAATGCCCTTTATTCACTTCTCCTACCTGATTGCCCTGGCCAGAACTTCCAACACTATATTGAATAGGAGTGGTGAGAGTGGGCATCCCTGTCTTTTGCCAGTTTTCAAAGGGAATACAAAAGGACAAAAAACCAAACAACATGTGTTCTCACTCATAGGTGGAAATTGAACAATGAGAACACATGGACAAAGGAAGGGAAACATCACACTCTGGGGACTGTTGTGGGGTGGGGGGAGGGGGAAGGGACAGAATTATGACATATACCTAACGCTAAATGGCGAGTTAATGGGTGCAGCACACCAAGACGGCACATGGATAAATATGTGACGAACCTGCACATTGTGCACATGTACCCTAAAACTTAAAGAATAATAATAACAATAATAAAAAAAAGAGAAAGCCAAAAAAAATAAAAAACAGAAAAAAAAACGGTGTTTCAAAACTGGTCAATCGAAAGTAAGGTTCAACTCTCTGAGAAGAATGCACACATCACAAAGAAGTTTGTCAGAATGCTTCTGTCTAGTTTTTATGTGAAGATAGTTCCTTTTCCACCAGAGGCCTCAAAGTGCTCCAAATGTACACTTGCAGACAGTACAAAAAGGGTGTTTCAAAACAGCTCAATCAAAAGTAAAGTTAAACTCTGTGAGATGAATGCACATATCACAAAGAAGTTTGTTAGAATGCTTCTGTCTAGTTTTTATGTGAAGGTATTTCCTTTTTTACCATAGGCCACAAAGCGCTCCAAATGTCCACTTGGAGATTCTACAAAAGGAGTGTTTCCAAACTAGAAAATCAAAAGAAAGTTTCAACTCTGTGAGATGAATGCACTCGTCACAAAGAAGTTTCTCAGAATACTTCTGCGTAGTTAATACATGAAGATATTTCATTTTCCATTACACTCCTCAAAGCGCTCCAAATGTCCACTTGCAGATTCTACAAAAAAAGTGTTTCAAAGCTGCTCAATCAAAAGAAAGGTTCATCTCTGCGAGACAAATGCACACATCACAAAGAAGTTTGTCAGAATTCTTCAGCCTAGTTTTTATGTGAAGATATTTCTTTTCCACCATACGCCACAAGGCTCTCCAAATGTCCACTTGCATATTCTACAAAAAGATTGTTTCAAAACTGCCCAATCAAAAGAAAGGTTCAACTCTGTGAGAAGAATGCACACATCACAAAGAAGTTTCTCAGAATGTTTCTGTCTACTTCTTATATGAAGATATTTCCTTTTCCACCATAGGCCTCAAAGTGATCCAAATGTCCACTTGCAGATCCTTCAAAAAGATTTTCCAAACTAGTCAATCAAAAGAAAGTTTCAACTCTGTGAGATGAATGCACACATAAAAAAGACATTTCCGAGAATCCTTCTGTCTAGTTTTTATGTAAAGATATATACTTTTACACCATAGGCATCAACGCACTCCAAATGTCCACTTGTAGATAGTTCAAAAAGGATGTTTCAAATCTGCTCAATCAACAGTAAGGTTCAACTCTGTCAGATGAATGCACACATCACAAAGTATTTTCTCAGAATGATTCTTTGCAGTTCTTAAGTGAAGATATTTCCTTTTCCACCAGGGGCCTCAGAGCCCTCCAAATGTCCACTTGCAGATAGTACAAAAAGAGTGTTTCCAAACTGTTCAATCAAAAGAAAGGTTCAAACCTTTGAGATGAATATACACATCATGAAGAAGTTTCTCAGAATGTTTCTGTCCATGTTTTATGAGAAGATATTTCCTTTTCCACCATAGGCCTCAAAGGGCACCAAGTGTCCACTTGTAGATTCTACAAAAAGAGTGTTTCAAAACTGCTCATTGAAAAGAAATATTCAACTCTGTGAGATGAATGCACACATCACAAAGAAGTTTCTCAGGATATTCTGTCTAGTTCTTAAGTGAAGATATTTCCTTTTCCACCATAGGCCTCAAAGTGCTCCAAATGTCCACTTGCAGATTGTACAAAAACAGTGTTTCAAAACTGCTCAATGGAAAGAAAGGTTCAATTCTGTGAGATGAATGCAAACAACACAAAGAAGTTTGTCAGCATGCTTCTGTCTAGTTTTTATGTGAAGACATTTCCTTTACCACCATATGCCGCAAAGTACTCCAAATGTCCCTTTGCAGATTCTACAAAAGGAGTGTTTCAAACTGCTCAATCAAAAGAAAGTTCAACTCTGTGAGATGCATGCACACATCCCAAAGAAATTTCCCAGAATACTTCTGTGTAGTTTTTCTGTGAAGATATTTCCTTTTCCACCGTAGGCCTCAAAGAATTCCAAATGTCCACTTGCAGATTCTACCAAAAGAGTATTTCAAAATAGATTAATGAAAAGAAATTTTCAACTCTGTGACATGAAAGCACGGATCCCAAAGAAGTTTGTGACAATGCTTCTGTATAGTTTTTATGTGAAGATATTTCCTTTTCCGCCATAGGCCTCAAAGCGCTCCTGATGTCCACTTGCAGATTCTACAAAAAGAGTGTTTCAAAGCTGCTCTATCAAAAGAAAGTTTCAACTCTGTGAGATGAATGCACACATCACAAAGAAGTTGCTCAGAAAGCTTCTGTCTAGTTTTTATGTGAAGATATTTCCTTTTCACCACAGGCCTCAAAGCACTCCAAATGTCCACTTGCAGATCAACAAAAAGAGAGTTTCCAAATTATTCAATCAAAAGAAAGGTTCAGCTCCGTGAGATGAATGCACACATCACAAAGAAGTTTGTCAGAATGCTTCTGTCTAGTTTTAACTTGAAGATATTTCCTTTTCCACCATAGGCCTGAAAGCATTCCAAATGTCCACTTGCTGATACTACAAAAAGGGTGTTTTAAAATTGCTCAATCAAAAGTAAGGTTCAACTCCGTGGGATGAATGCACATATCACAAAGTAGTTTGACAGAATGCTTCTGTCTAGTTTTTATGTGAAGATATTTCCTTTTCCAAAATAGACCTCAAAGCGCTCCAAATATCCACTTGCAGATTCTTCAAAAAGAGTGTTTCAATACTGCTCAATCAAAAGAAAGGTTCAACTCTGTAAGATGAATGCACACATCACAAAGAAGTTTCTCAGAATGCTTCTGTCTAGTTATTATATGAAGATATTTCTTTTTCCAATATAGGCCTCCAAGCACTCCAAATATCCACTTACAGATTCAGCAAAAAGAGAGTTTCCAAACTACTCAATCAAAAGAAAGGTTCAGCTCTGTGAGATGAATGCACACATCACAAAGAAAGTTGTCAGAATGCTTCTGTCTAGTTTTTATATGAAGATATTCCTTTTCCACCATAGGCCTCAAAGCACTCCAAATGTCCACTTGCAGATAGTACAAAAAGGGTGTTTCAAAAATGCTCAATCAAAAGTAAGGTTCAACTCCGTGATATGAATGCACATATCACAAAGTATTTTGACAGAATGCTTCTGTCTAGTTTTTGTGTGAAGATATTTCCTTTTCGACAATAGACCTCAAAGAGCACCAAATGTTCACTTGCAGAATCTACAAAAAGAGTGTTTCCAAACTTCTGAATCAAAAGAAAGGTTCAACTCTGTGAGATGAATGCACAGATCACAAACAAGTTTCTCAGAATGCTTCTGTCTAGTTTTTATGTTAAGATATTTCCTTTTCCATCATAGGCCTCAAAGCTCTCCAAATATCCACTTGCCGATTCTACAAAAAGAGTGTTTCAAAACTGCTCAATTAAAAGGAAGGTTCAATTCTGTGACTTGAATACACCCATCACAAAGAAACTTGTCAGAATGTTTCTGTATAGTTTTTATGTGAAGATATTTCCTTTTCCACCATAGGTCTCAAAGCACTCCAAATATCCACTTGCACGTTCTACAAAAAGAGTGTCTCAAAGCTGCTCAATCAAAAGAAATGTTCAACTCTCTGAGATGAATGCACTCATCACAAAGTAGTTTCACAGAATGCTTCTGTCTAGTTATTAAGTGAAGATATTGCGTTATTGACCATCACCCTCAAAGTACTCCAAATGTCCACTTACAGATTCTACAAAAAGAGTGTTTCAAAGCTGCTTAATCAAAAGAAATGTTCAACTATGTGAGATGAATGCACACATCAGAAAGAATTTTCTAAGAAGGATTCTGTCTAGTTTTTATGGGAAGTTACTTCCTTTTCCACCATAGGCTTCAAAGCCCTCCAAATGTCCATTGCAGATTCTACAAAAAGAGTGTTTCAAAACTGCTCAATGAAAAGAAATGTTCAACTCTGTGAGATGAATGCACACATCACAAAGAAGTTTCACAGAATGCTTCTGTATAGTTTTTATGTGAAGATATTTCCTTTTCCACCATAGGACACAAAGAGCTCAAAATGTTCACTTGCAGAGTCTAAAAAAGAGTTTTTCAAAGCTGCTCAATCAAAAGTATGGTTCAACTCTGTAAGATAAATGCACACAACCCAAAGAAGTTTCTCAGAATGCTTCCGCCTAGTTGTTAAGTGAAGATATTTCCTTCTCCACCATATGCCTCAAAGCGCACCAAATGTCCACTTGTGGATTCTACAAAAAGAGTGTGTCAAAACTGCTCAATCAAAAGAAAGTTTCAACTCTGTGAGATGAATACACATATCACAAAAATCTTTCTCAGAATGCTTCTGTTTAATTATAATATGAAAATATTTCCTTTTCCACCTTAGGCCTCAAAGCTCTCCAAATGTCCACTTGCAGAACCTTTTCCACCATAGGCCTCAAAGCTCTTCAAATATCCACTTGCAGATTCTGCAAAAAGAATATTTGAAAGCAGC
This sequence comes from Homo sapiens, assembly GCF_000001405.40. Classification (NCBI taxonomy): domain Eukaryota; kingdom Metazoa; phylum Chordata; class Mammalia; order Primates; family Hominidae; genus Homo; species Homo sapiens. Next base: position 59,595 of record NW_021160017.1, read on the forward strand.
TAAATCAAAAGAAATGTTCAACACTGTGAGATGAATGCACACATCACAAAGGAGCTTCTCAAAATACCTCTGTCTAGTTTTTATGTGAAGATATTTCCTTTTCCACCATAGGCTGCCAAGCGTTAAAAATATCCACTTGCAGATTCTACAAAAAGAGTGTTTCAAAACTGCTCAATTGAAAGTAGGTTTGAACTCTGTGAGATGAATGCACACATCACAAAGAAGTTTGTCGGAATGATTCCGTCTAGTTTTTATGTGAAGATATTTCCTTTTCAACCTTAGGCCACAAAGCGCACTAAATGTCCACTTGCAGATTCTGCAAAAAGAGTGTTTCAAAACTGCTCAATGAAAAGAAAGGTTCAACTCTGTGAGATGAATGCACACATCACAAAGAAGTTTCAGAGAATGCTTCTGTGTAGTTTTTATGTGAAGATATTTCCTTTTCCACCATAGGCTGCAAAGAGCTCAAAATGTCCACCTGCAGATTCTACAAAAAGAGGGTTTCAAAACTGCTCAATCAAAAGTAAAGTGCAACTCTGTGAGATTAATGCACACATCAAAAAGAAGTTTCTCACAGTGCTTCTGTCTAGTTGTTATGTGAAGATATTTCTTTTTCCACTACTGGCCTCAGAGCACTCCAAATATCCTTTTGCAGATTCTACAAAAAGAGTTTTTAAAAACTGCTCAATCAAAGGGAAGGTTCAACTCTGTGAGATGAATGCACATATCACACAGAAGTTTCCCAGAGTGCTTCTGTCTAGTTTTTATGTGAAAATATTTCCTTTTCCACCAGAAGACTCAAAGCACTCAAAATAACCACTGGCAGATTATACATAAAGAGAGTTTCAAAACTGCTCAATCTAAAGAAAGGTTCAACTCTGTGAGATGAATGCACACACCCCAAAGAAGTTTCTCAGAATGCTTCCGTCTAGTTTTTATGTGAAGGTATTTCCTTTTCCACCATAGGCCTCAAAGCCCTTCAAATATCCACTTGCAGATTCTGCAAAAAGAATATTTGAAAGCAGCTAAATCAAAAGAAATGTCCAACACTGTGAGATGAATGCACACATCACAAAGGAGCTTCTCAAAATACCTCTGTCTAGTTTTTATGTGAAGATATTTCCTTTTCCACCATAGGCTGCCAAGCGTTAAAAATATCCACTTGCAGATTCTACAAAAAGAGTGCTTCAAAACTGCTCAATTGAAAGTAGTTTGGAACTCTGTGAGATGAATGCACACATCACAAAGAAGTTTGTCGCAATGATTCCGTCTAGTTTTTATGTGAAGATATTTCCTTTTCAACCTTAGGCCACAAAGCGAACTAAATGTCCACTTGCAGATTCTACAAAAAGAGTGTTTCAAAACTGCTCAATGAAAAGAAAGGTTCAACTCTGTGAGATGAATGCACACATCACAAAGAAGTTTCAGAGAATGCTTCTGTGTAGTTTTTATGTGAAGATATTTCCTTTTCCACCATAGGCCGCAAAGAGCTCCAAATGTCCACTTGCAGATTCTACAAAAAGAGGGTTTCAAAACTGCTCAATCAAAAGTAAAGTTCAACTCTGTGAGATTAATGCACACATCAAAAAGAAGTTTCTCACAATGCTTCCGTCTAGTTGTTATGTGAAGATATTTCTTTTTCCCTACTGGCCTCAGAGCACTCCAAGTATCCTTTTGCAGATTCTACAAAAAGAGTTTTTAAAAACTGCTCAATCAAAGGAGAGGTTCAACTCTGTGAGATGAATACACATATCACACAGAAGTTTCTCAGAATGCTTCTGTCTAGTTTTTATGTAAAAATATTTCCTTTTCCACCAGAAGACTCAAAGCACTCAAAATAACCACTGGCAGATTATACATAAAGAGTGTTTCAAAACTGCTCAATCTAAAGAAAAGTTCAACTCTGTGAGATGAATGCACACATCACAAAGAAGTTTCTCAGAATGCTTCTGTCTAGTTTTTATGTGAAGGTATTTCCTTTTCCACCATAGGCCTCAAAGCCCTTCAAATATCCACTTGCAGATTCTGCAAAAAGAATATTTGAAAGCAGCTAAATCAAAAGAAATGTCCAACACTGTGAGATGAATGCACACATCACAAAGGAGCTTTTCAAAATGCCTCTGTCTAGTTTTTATGTGAAGATATTTCCTTTTCCACCATAGGCTGACACACGTTAAAAATATCCACTTGCAGATTCTACAAAAAGAGTGTTTCAAAACTGCTCAATCAAAAGAAAGGTTCATCTCTGAGACATGAATGCACACATCACAAAGGAGTTTCTCAGAAGGCTTCTGTCTAGTTTTTATGTGAAGATATTTCCTTTTCCACTATAGGCCACAAAGCGCTACAAATATCCACTTGCAGATTCTACAAAAAGAAATTTTCCAAACTCCTCAATCAAAAGAAAGTTTAAACCCTGTGAGTTGAATGCACACATCACAAAGAAGTTTCTCAGAATGCTTCTGTCTAGTTTTTAATTGAAGATACTTCCTTTTCCACCACTGGGCTCAAAGCACTCCAAGTATCCACTTGCAGATTCTACAAAAAGAGTGTTTCCAAACTGCTCAATCAAAACAAAGTTTCAACTCTGTGAGATGAATGCACACACCCCAAAGAAGTTTCTCAGAATGCTTCTGTCTAGTATTTATTTGAAGATATTTCCTTTTCCACAATAGGCCTCAAACCGTTCCAAATATCCACTTGCAAATACTAGAAAAAGATTGTTTCAAAACTGCTCAATCAAAAGAAATCTTCAACTATGTGAGTTGAATGCACACATCACAAAGAACTTTCTCAGAACTCTTCTGTGTAGTCTTTATTTGAAAATATTTCCTTTTCCACCACAGGCCCCAAACTGATCTAAATATCCACATGCAGATTCTTCAAAAGAAGTGTTTCAAAACTGTTCAATCAAAAGAAAGGTTCAATTCTGTGAGATGAATGCACACATCAGAAAGAAGTTTCTCAGAAGGCTTTTGTGTAGTTTTTATGTGAAGATGTTTCCTTTTCCACCATAGGCCTCAAATCGCTCCCAATGTCCACTTGCAGATTCTACAGAAAGAGTGTTTCAAAGCTGCTCAATCAAAAGAAATGTTCAGCTCTGTGAGATGAATGCACGCATCACAAAGAAGTTTCTCAGAATGCTTCTGTCTAGTTTTTAAGTGAAGATATTTCCCTTTCCTCTAGAGGTCCCAAAGCCCTCCAACTTTGCAGATACTACAAAAGGAGTGTTTCAAAACTGCTCAATCAAAAGAATATTTCAACTCTGTGTGTTGAATGCACATATCACAAAGAAGTTTCTCAGAATGCTTCTGTCTAGTTTTTATGTGAAGATATTTCCTTTTCCACCATAGGCCCCAAAGCGCTCAAAATATCCACTTGCAGATTCTACAAAAAGAGTGTTTCAAAACTGCTCAATCAAGAGAAACGTTCAACTCTGTGAGATGAATGCACAGATCACAGAGGAGTTTCTCAGAATGCTTCTGTCTGGTTTTGATGTGAAGATATTTACTTTCCACCACAGGCTGTAAAGCGTTCCAAATATCCACTTGCAGACACTACAAAAAGAGTGTTTCAAAAGTGCTAAATCAAAAGAAAAGTTCAACTCTGTGAGGTGAATGCACACATCACAAAGAAGTTACTCAGAATGCTTCTTTCTTGTCTTTATGTGAAGATATTTCCTTTTCCATTCAGAACCTCATAGCAGTGTTCTGTAATCCTGTGTGAGGGACAAACACTCAGAATCCAGCCACTGTGTACTGGAATCCTATCTGAGGGCACACATTTAAAATCCAGATATAGTCTCCTTGCTTTAGTGAATACACTTATCTCCTTTTCCTGCTATACATTGAGGCAAATTATTTTTCTGTATCTTAAATAAATGGTAAATACCTGAAATTTCTTACTTTTTCCAGGCAGAGTGTCTTCACTATTTAGCTGTAGAAGTATAGCTATTTTTGTCTGTGTCATAATTTTGTACTCAGGAACCCTGGCCATGTCACTAGCCAAACGGACATAACTTATGGATTACATGGACAGCAACCGGTTGATACGCTCTAGAGAAAAATAGCAGCTACCATAGACTTCAGGAAAGACATATCGAGCAAATGACAAAAATGTGGGTTTCCTACCTTCAGGGAGTCTAAGAATGCAGTAGAAAGTGATGTGGAGCAAACATCTTTCAAATGGAAGGAAGGGATAGGGAAAGGAAGACTGTTAGAGGCTCTTCTGAATGTTAGAGGCAACATAAAACATATTTGGGTGTGTATTCCAAATAAAATGCAAATGTCAAGAATGATGTCAGCTGTGAGTGGGACTCAGAGAAAGAGAAATGCTTTGGACTACAGAGGCCTGCAGTACAAGTGGATCTACAATTTTGTTTAGGGAATCCAATGCCTCAGGTATCTATGAGAGGCAGAATTTTCCTACGGAGCCAGCGGCAAGGCTCCAGAGGAGAAATACAGTAGAAGCCACTTTATTTTGGAGTAAAAGCCTTTTGTACAAAAATTACCCACCCCCCTCCTTTTTTGAGAAACAATTTCACATTGGGATACTAATAAGAAGGAAGGCTCAATCATGAATAAGGGTGACCCCATTGTGATCTGAGCATTATAGGATCATACTAACTACAACCAGTCTTCCATCATTCCATGGATATTGCATGTATGCCACGTTGCCTTCTCAGTTTCCAAGGGATCAATTAATGAACAGGCTACTCACATTTTCAGCATCCTACTCCTGACACACTCCCACCCTTCTTTCTGTTTATCTGTGATTCATAGAGATTTGCCTATGACTGGATTCCTGAGGAGAAAAAAGTCTGGATTACAGATGGCATTCCTTGTTATGGAAGGCCCTTCCTTCTGAAAGTCTATTTCTATCATGTTCTTTCCCTGTGCTGTCAAAGGGTCACCCCTTTGTACAGAGGAGAAGAGAAATCCATCAAGTAAATAAAATTTCATTTACCTTTGTAAAAATTATTTCTACCAATTCACCTGGAGGACCTTATGGTTTGGTCCAATAATCAGAGATTTGAAAGAACCTGATATTGTTGGCCAGCAGATTAGAAAAGAGTTATTAGAGAGAGATGGCTCAAGTGATAATAATTGTATGCCTTGTGAATGCTCACCTAAACCAAAGATCACTGAAGATAATGTATTTTACCATAATGTTTTAATCTCAGGTAAATGCCAATCAAGAGACAAACACTTGTTTATCTCCTGATTGATATTGATCTGAATTAAGCTGTCTGCCATTTGGAGAAATTTAAATGCTATTTTAAACACACAGTCTTGTTACTTGAGTTATTTATGATCTTAAGGGGCTCCCCTCCTTTTGTGGGTTAGATTGTGTCTTCAAAAAGAAAATATATATATTAGAGTTCTAGCCCCTGATGTCTGTGAGTATGACTTAATTTGAAATCAAATTATTTGCAGATGCTGTATAATTATGATATGCTAGATGAGCTCATAATGCATTAGAGTGGGCCATAATTCAATATGGTTGATATCCTCATAAGAAGGGAAGAGGAAACAGAGACGCAGGGAGGAGATGGCCATGGGAGGATGGAGGTAGAGAATAAAGTGAGGTATCCTCCAGCCAAGCAATGACAATGAAGCTCAGTGATCACCCGGTGCTAGAAGAAGCAAGAAAGGATTTTTTCCCAGGTCCTTCAGAGAAAAATGCAGCACTGCTAACTCCTTCATTTAAGATTTCTAGCTTCCTGAACCGTAAAAGAACAACTTTATCTCATTTTAAGCGACCTAATGTGAACCACTTTGTCACAGCAGATGTAGGAAATTACACCTCCTTAAAGAATGCAGAATCCTGGCCCGTGCTTGCCTCATACTTATTGAATGAGAATCTAAGGGCTCTAGAATCTGCATTTGGAAACAAATACATAATACACAAAGAGAACTCACTAAGTACTCTACATGCACTTCATCCTCACAAGCCATGAAGTAGTTTACTATTATAATTCTCATTTTGCATATGGGAAACTGGAGCATTAAAAGATTAAGTAATTTGCCTACAGTCACTCACATAACCAGAAAGTGGAAGAGCTGGGATTCAATCCCAGTTCCAGACATCCTGATATCCTGGGTTCAGACACCACACACTTAGCAACTATTACACACTTAGCATTATTATTATTATTGTTATTATTATTATTATTTTAATCACCATCTCCACCTTCTTAAGCACTCAAAAGTTGAAATCCAGTGGTGTGTTGCTGTTTCCATCATAGCAAGTTATAGCCACAATCATAAATTACACTTCCTCCAAAGCAGTATACTGACTTCTCATCTCTTTTTAAAATCCCTTCCGTCCTTCTTTTCTTTCTTCTCTTCTCTTTTCTTTCTCTTGCTCTGTCACCCAGGCTGGAGTGCAGTGGCATCATCTTGGCTTACTGCGACCTCCACCTCCCGGGTTCAAGTGATTCTCCTGTCTCAGCCTCCCAAGTAGCTAGGATTACAGGCGCCCAACACCATGCTCGTTTAATTTTTGTATTTTTAGTAGAGATAGGGTTTCACATCTTGGCCAGGCTGGTCTTGAACTGCTGATGTCGTGATCCATCCACCTCGGCCTCCCAAAGTGCTGGGATTACAGGCATGAGCCACTGTGCCCAGCCTCTTTCACCCATTGAAATCTCATTCCAACAATTACCATCTTTTTTGAGTGGTATTTTTGAAGTTATAAATGAATTCCCTATAATACATAGTGAGAATATTTATGGGAGCTTCCTAATTCACCTTTCTAAACATTCTGCATTGCTTCTCATTTCCTTCTTTAAATTTCCTTCTACCTTGGCTTCCTTAAGACCACTCAATGTTGGCCCCATGCTTTCATTTTTTTCTTTTTTCTTTTTTTTTTCTTTCTTTTTTTTCTTTTTTCTTTTTTTTTTTTTTGAGACGAAGTTTCCCTCTTTTCACCCAGGCTGGAGTGCAACAGTGTGATCTCAGCTCACTGTAACCTCCGCCTCCCAGGTTCAAGAGACTCTCCTGCCTCAGCCTCCCGAGTAGCTGCGATTACAAGCATGTGCCACCATGCCCAGCTAATTTTGTATTTTTAGTAGAGATGGGGTTTCTTCATGTTGGTCAGGCTGGTCTCAAACTCCCAACCTCAGGTGATCCGCCAGCCTCGGCCTCCCAAAGTGCTGGGATTACAGGCATGAGCCACAATGCCCAGCCCATGCTTTCTTTTTAATAACTCCTTGCTGCCTAGTTTTTTCATGTCCACTGTGTAAGTACTAGTCTTAATGGGTATTTCTTTTCTTACTATTCTGCACCAATGTTTCCCTGATTGACAAGAGTTTTCCTGAAATGTATTCTTGGAATGGAATTCTATGATACGCTTAGAAAATTCTGCATACCTTATACTTCAGAATTTGTATGTAAAAGACTCCAGTAAATGATGCAGGGAAGCAAAAATATTTGTGTGTTTTGCGAGTTGTATTCATATGCGTATAAAATTCCCACAGCACTTTAGGTAACAATGCTCTGCACACTTTTCCTGTGCTCCTTTTATCCATTCCCACACTTCCAGCATTTCCTTTGACGTTTGATTTTCTTTCTTTATTTTTTTTACTCCAATATTTTCCTGTAGGTTCCAAACCTATATTTTGAAATGTCAACTGATTCTCCCCCTCTGTCTTCACCACCTACATCTCAAATTTGACATAGCCATAAACACATTTTATATTTTGGCAAATAAATCTATTTCTTTTAAAGCATTGCCCATCTCAGCTAATGATGATAATATCAAGCCAGTCGCCAAGAAAATTTAGAGTATATATACCTTGACTCTTCCTTCTAAATGAATTATTAAGTTCAGCTGTTTCTACCTTGAATTACCTTTCTATTCTGCCATTTCTCTTCTGTGTTGCTGCTAATGTTTTTATTTAGTCATTCATCACATCATGCCTGTACTGCTGGAATAATCTTGACTATTCTTTCTGACTTTTTCTTCTAACTGCATCTCAAAAACTTCTATCTAGAATGAAAATAAGTATATATATATACTATATATACATATATACATACACACTACATGTATGTATATAGTATAAGTATAGACATGCTATATACTATATATATATGCTATATATTTATATACACACACACCCACTATGTTTTTAAAAATTGTTTACTTATGTCCCATCATTGAAGGGTAAAATACAAAATCACTGATATTGAGAGACATTCTCCTCAATCATTTAACATTTTCCTTCACAAACCTGTGCTGTAGCCACACCCAGAACAGGTTATGTTCCTTCAAAGACACACACACTTTTCTATTACTCTCCTTTTATTCCTTCTATTCCATCTGCTTAGACCATTTTTTACTTGTTTTCTGTCTATCTTCATTCATTTTTCAGGATCCAATTAAAATATTGATACAAAGGCTGAGATCTTTATATCTTCTCTTATTTAAATTCCTGGAGCACCAGATAACTTCCTCTATTATAATTCTTACAGTATGCAACCATAACTCTCATTTGAAAACAATGAATACATAATTATAAAATCAGATATATCATAAAATGATTGGTATCAATATGTGAAAAAAAATCTTCAATGTTGAAAATACAAGATTACAAGCCATCTGAAAGTAACTAAACATCTATCAGAGAAAAATGTTCATCATTTTTTGATGAAACCAAAAGTAAGAGAATTTGGTATTAATCTACTACATCATTGGTAAATTACATATTAATTATTGTGAGAAAGAAATAATTGATGGAATTTAAAGAAAATCGGTTTTCCTTTATTTTTATTATTCTACCTAAAAGTATTATATCTAATTAAAATAATGATTTTAAAATTATCCTATCAAGTATGTCATCACACTAAAATCCATTGTATTTAATTTCTCAACTGAGAAATTGTATTCAATTGTATTCAATTTCTCTACTGAAAAATTAATATGAAAGCAATCACATAGCATTCAGAAATTAATAAATGTTTAAAGAAATTAAACAGCATTAGATTTTCTTGTTAAATTTTTTTCTTCTCTCAGTATGGCTTATGTCTCATTGCTTCTATTGAACACAGCACAATTCAAGTATTAATAGAGCGCCTTTATAAAAGTTGTGAATCTCAGAAATGAACAAGCTTACCTCCCTAGCTATTTATTAAAAGTTACAAGTCACTTTTTTTTAACTTCCTAATAATCTTAGAGGGGTATATTTTGTGTTTTTGTTTGCTATATCTTTTATAAAGAAGATCTCTAATGATTTGAAAGTTAGAACCAATTTTCTGAAGGATTGAGCCACGCTCCTTGAACTTGTGTGTTTGTGGGTGGCACACTATGTCTTTTGCAGACCCGGTACCTACCCCTTGGTCTAGAACATATTTTCCTCCACCTGCCTTTTAAGTTTTTATTTCAGCAGGGGTGGGTGGTTTGTGGTTGACCGAAAATAGAACGGGTTACAAAAGCCCTTCCTGTTTGATATTGAATCTGCTATTTGAGTCACCCTTACATTATGAACTGACTGTTAATTAACACATTTGGTAAGAGAATATCCTGATCTGCTTTGCATGTGAGGCTCTCCCAGTAATAAACAAAGAAGCATAATTAAACAAGATTTTAATTTCTCTATGCCCTGTTAGAAATTCAGATACAATTCAAGTCATCTTGGAAATTTTAAGTTGCATTCCGATGTCGCCTCTGTTCTGACCATTGTGCAATGGGCCTTCAACTGTTGTAGTAGAGGCCAACTGATATTCCTTTTTTATTCATTTATACACAGGTATATATATGGTGTGTGTATGCAAATATATATGTAAATATTCATATATGTGTACATGTGTACATACATACATATGGAGATAATACAAGTTTGCATTGTATTTAAAATTTTTTTACCCAAATTAACAATGACTCTACTGTATATCTTTATTGGTTATATCACGTTTATATAAATAAATTTATATAAGTGAGAATTTTCAAGTAAGTGAAATTTGAATTGGATTCAGGGTTTTATTTTTTTGAAATTTCTGAATTAAAATTACTTGATTTTTTAAAATTTTATCTTAAAATATTCAAGACCCATTTGTAAAAAAAAAAATACAGGATAAAAATGAAGTGTGTCTTTATGAGTTACAAATTTTTATTTTACTTTAATAATTGTTAAAATAATATTTTTTCCATGAGGCATTTTATAATGCCCTCTTTATTTATTTATTTTTTTGGTGAAGTACTTATTTTATTATTATTATTATTATTATTATTATTATTATACTTTAAGTTTTAGGGTACATGTGCACAATCTGCAGGTTAGTTATATATGTATACATGTGCCATGCTGGTGCACTGCACCCACTAACTTGTCATCTAGCATTAGGTATATCTCCCAATGTTATCCTTCCCCCCTCCCCCCGCCCCACAACAGTCCCCAGAGTGTGATGTTCCCCTTCCTGTGTCCATGTGTTCTCATTGTTCAATTCCCACCTATGAGTGAGAACATGCAGTGTTTGGTTTTTTGTTCTTGCAATAGTTTACTGAGAATGATGATTTCCAATTTCATCCATCTCCCTACAAAGGACATGAACCCATCATTTTTTATGGCTGCATAGTATTCCATGGTGTATATGTGCCACATTTTCTTAATCCAGTCTATCATTGTTGGACATTTGGGTTGGTTCCAAGTCTTTGCTATTGTGAATAATGCCGCAATAAACATACGTGTGCATGTGTCTTTATAGCAGCATGATTTATAGTCCTTTGGGTATATACCCAGCAATGGGATTGCTGGGTCAAATGGTATTTCTAGTTCTAGATCCCTGAGGAATTGCCACACTGACTACCACAGTGGTTGAACTAGTTTACAGTCCCACCAACAAAGTAAAAGTGTTCCTATTTCTCCACATCCTCTCCAGCACCTGTTGTTTCCTGACTTTTTAATGATTGCCATTCTAACTGGTGTGAGATGGTATCTCATTGTGGTTTTGATTTGCATTTCTCTGATGGCCAGTGATGATGAGCATTTTTTCATGTGTTTTTTGGCTGCATAAATGTCTTCTTTTGAGAAGTGTGTTCCTGTCCTTTGCCCACTTTTTGATGGGGTTGTTTTTTTCTTGTAAATTTGTTTGAGTTCATTGTAGATTCTGGATATTAGCCCTTTGTCAGATGAGTAGGTTGTGAAAATTTTCTCCCATTTTGTAGGTTGCCTGTACACTCTGGTGGTAGTTTCTTTTGCTGTGCAGAAGCTCTTTAGTTTAATTAGATCCCATTTGTCAATTTTGGCTTTTGTTGCCATTGCTTTTGGTGTTTTAGACATGAAGTTCTTGCCCATGCCTATGTCCTGAATGGTAATGCCTAGGTTTTCTTCTAGAGTTTTTATGGTTTTAGGTTGAACGTTTAAGTCTTTAATCCATCTTGAAATGATTTTTGTATAAGGTGTAAGGAAGGGATCCAGTTTCAGCTTTCTACATATGGCTAGCCAGTTTTCCCAGCACCATTTATTAAAGAGGGAATCTTTTCCCCATTGCTTGTTTTTCTCAGGTTTGTCAAAGATCAGATAGTTGTAGATATGCGACGTTATTCCTGAGGGCTCTGTTCTGTTCCATTGATCTATATCTCTGTTTTGGTACCAGTACCATGCTGTTTTGGTTACTGTAGCCTTGTAGTATAGTTTGAAGTCAGGTAGTGTGAAGCCTCCAGTTTTGTTCTTTTGGCTTAGGATTGACTTGGTGATGCGGGCTCTTTTTTGGTTCCATATGAACTTTAAAGTAGTTTTTTTCCAATTCTGTGAAGAAAGTCATTGGTAGCTTGATGGGGATGGCATTGAATCTGTAAATTACCTTGGGCAGTATGGCCATTTTCACGATATTGATTCTTCCTACCCATGAGCATGGAATGTTCTTCCATTTGTTTGTATCCTCTTTTATTTCCTTGAGCAGTGGTTTGTAGTTCTCCTTGAAGAGGTCCTGCACATCCCTTGTAAGTTGGATTCCTAGGTATTTTATTCTCTTTGAAGCAATTGTGAATGGGAGTTCACTCATGATTTGGCTCTCTGCTTGTCTTTTCTTGGTGTATAAGAATGCTTGTGATTTTTGTGCATTGATTTTGTATCCTGAGACTTTGCTGAAGTTGCTTATCAGCTTAAGGAGATTTTGGGCTGAGACAATGGGGTTTTCTAGTTATACAATCATGTCATCTGCAAACAGGGACAATTTGACTTCCTCTTTTCCTAATTGAATACCCTTTATTTCCTTCTCCTGCCTGATTGCCCTGGCCAGAACTTCCATCACTATGTTGAATAGGAGTGGTGAGAGAGGGCATCCCTGTCTTGTGCCAGTTTTCAAAGGGAATGCTTCCAGTTTTTGCCCATTCAGTATGATATTGGCTGTGGGTTTGTCATAGATAGCTCTTATTATTTTGAAATACGTCCCATCAATACCTAATTTATTGAGAGTTTTTAGCATGAAGGGTTGTTGAATTTTGTCAAAGGCCTTTTCTACTTCTATTGAGATAATCATGTGGTTTTTGACTTTGGTTCTGTTTATATGCTGGATTACATTTATTGATTTGCATATATTGAACCAGCCTTGCATCCCAGGGATGAAGCCCACTTGATCGTGGTGGATAAGCTTTTTGATGTGCTGCTGGAATCGGTTTGCCAGTATTTTATTGAGGATTTTTGCATCAATGTTCATCAAGGATATTGGCCTAAAATTCTCTTTTTTGGTTGTGTCTCTACCCATATAATGCCCTCTTTAAAGCCTCAAAATCTCAAATGCAGAAAGAATGACTTTTAAATATCCTACATATTTAAGCCATTTATTTTATACAACAATCCCATAGATGCAAAGCTACTACTAATAAACAAATAACCTAAGCCGAATTAAATAAAAGTATACAAAAAAAAATTATCCGTCTCTGGTGGTGGATGCCTGTAATCCCAGTTACTCATGAAGCTGAGGCAGGAGAATTGCTTGAACTCAGGAGATGGCGGTTGAAGTGAGCCGAGATCCTGCCACTGCACTCCAGCTTGGACGACAGAGCGAGACTGTCTCAAACAAAAAATAAAAAAAAGAAAAGAAAATAAAAGAAAGAAAGAAATTACTTCTTTTACACTTGCTCTTCTGTGTTTAGTTTCGAAATTATCATCTTCATGCAAAGTAGCATAGTGCCTGGCAGATAGAAAAAGTTAGCTATTATTTATTTATTTATTTATTTATTTATTCATTTATTTATTTGAGATGGAGTCTTGCTGTGTCTCCAGGCTGCACTGCAGCGGCACAACCTTGGCTCATTGCAACCTCTGCCTCCCGAGTTCAAGCAGTTCTCTTGTCTCAGCCTCCTGAGTAGCTGGGATTACAGGCATGCACCACCACGCCAAGCTAATTTTTTTTTAAATTTTATTTTTTAAGTAGAAATGGGGTTTCACCATTTTGGCCAAAATGGTCTATGTCTCTTGACCTTCTGATCTGCCCGCCTCTGCCTCCCATGGTGCTGGGATTACAGGCGTGAGCCACTGCACCCAGCTGCTAGCTATTATTTCTAATCCTTTGCCATGCTAAGGTATAATCTTCCCAAATCCGGAAGTAATTTTATAACTTCAGCTAATTGCAGTGATAAATTATTGAAATATTTTCCTAAAGAAAATACACAAATGAAACCTTAAAAATACAAGGACTGGGCCGCGCACGGTGTCTCATGCCCCTAATTCCAGTACTTTGGGAGGCTGAGCTGGGTGCATCACCTGAGGTCAGGATTTCGAGACAAGCCTAGCCAACATGGCGAAACGTCGTCTCTACTAAAAATACAAAAATTAGCTGTGCATGGTGGTGGGCGCCTGTAATCCCAGCTAATCGGGAGGCTGAGGCAGGAAAATTGCTTGAACCTGGAGGCTGAGGTTGAAGTGAGGCTAGATCTCACTGCTGGACTGCAGCCTGGGGCAACAGAGCAAAAACTGTCTAAGAAAAAAAAAAAGGCTGGGCGTGGTGGCTCATGCCTGTGATCCCAGCAATTTGGGAGGCCACGGCGGGCAGATCACGAGGTCAGGAGATGGAGACCATCCTGGCTAACACAGTGAAACCCCGTCTCTACTGAAAATGCAAAAAATTAGCCGGGCATGGTGGCGGATGCCTGTAGTCCCAGCTACTCAGAAAGCTGAGGCAGGAGAATGGTGTGAACCCGGGAGGCAGAGCTTGCAGTGAGCCAAGATCGCGCCACTTCACTCCAGCCTGGGCGACAGAGGGAGACTCTGTCTCAAAAAAAAAAGAAGAAAGAAAGAAAGAAAGAAAGAAAGAAAGAAAGAAAGGAAGAAAGAAAGATGAAGGTATAGTAAATTATGAAAGAGAAAAAGAGAGAATAAGCATCTTCAACAAGAAAAATGAAAATAATAAAAACTATACAATTGGAAAACAATAACTCTTGTTAAAATATTTTACATGTCATATTGTAAATAAGACACCCTCAGTGTATGCAGAAATGATTACACTAGTATAGGAAACAACTGTCATTGTAGATACATAAACTAGAGAAATGCGAATCAGAAATAAGTTTATCAACTAGAAGAGAGAAGAAATTTTTGTTTGAGTAAATCTACTGTCTATAATTTAAAAATACACAATGGTATTTCTTTCATTAAATAGCTTTATTTAAATATAAAAATAAAAGCTTATACATAGGCCAGAAGAAATATTGCTGGTTTATAATAAGGTTCATAGGAACTAAAACAGGTAATTAGATAAGACAGTGTGTAAATAATTATGTTATTTTAGTAAAAATATCCAACACTGTACCTTTCAAATAAAAATATACTTTTTTAAAGGTCAACAAAAAGTTATTGTGCTTCAAATTTTAACATTTATCCTCCAAGTGAAATTACTATAAGAAGAAACAACTAACCTATAAATAAATAATCGACTTTTTGGAAAAGTTAACAAACCTCTCTACACACAATATAATTAAGAAAGATAATAAGAAACATATATAATTTCAAGATTTTCAATTTTTTTTTTACTAAGCCAGAGAAGATAAATGAGTTAATCATTCATGTCAGTAAGTAAATACAGGATCAAAAAACATACCTAATGGAAGGACATTAATAACGAAAAGTAAAAATTATAATCTAGAAAATGAAAGATATAAATTGATTCATAAATGGATAAGACTTTTTTTGAAGAAATCATTTCAAACTAGAATAAGCAAGAGGAATAGATCAAAACAAAAAGGAAAACAGTGAAGGTGATATACACATCCTCTTACTGAAAATTAATTTTAAAGAACTGCTTTGTAAACACTAAAACTCAGAGTCATCAATGTGTCTGGATATGGATTCATTTTTATTTCTTCTGCCCAGCACTTGTTTTATACTTTAAATTAGAGTCCTCAAGTCTTTCCTCTGCAATGGAAATTTTATGGCATCATGTAAAGTATACAAATAGTGAAGGCATTGCCAGTGTTTTCTTGTGTATAAGTATTCTCTACCATTAGAATGGAAACGTCATCAAAGTGGGCCCTTAGTGAGTGTTTGCTGAGTGGATGAATACTGTCCTTAAATATGGCTTCTCCATTCTCTTTGGACTCTTTTTGAAATTCCTATCATACATGTGTTGGGGACTTTCTTGACTGGTCTTTCTGACTTTTAAATCCTTTTATCTGGATAAATTCATCATTATCTCCCAATTGACTAATTCTTTGTGTTTATTGCATTTACACTTCTTTTTTATATAATTTTCACTTCTAGAGATTTTAATTTTTTTTTCCTTTTTTGAGATGGAGTCTTGCTCTGTCACCCAGGCTGAAGTGCAGTGGCATGATCTCGGTTCACTGCAACCTCCTACTCCTGGGTTCAAGTGACTCTCCTCCTGCCTCAGCCTCCTCTCCTGCTTCAGCCTCCTGAGTGGCTGGAATTACAGGCAAGCGCCACCACACTCGGCTAATTTTTGAATTTTTAGTAGAGACGGGGTTTCATTATGTTGGTCAGCCTGGTCTAGAACTCCTGATATCATGATCCACACGCCTCAGCCTACCAAAGTGCTGGGATTACAGGTGTGAGCCACCACGCCTGGCTGCTTTTAATTTTTTATATCAATCTTTACTTTGTTCTTTTTTGCCTGCTTTTTTTTTTTTTCCCAGAGTCTTACTCTGTTGCCCCGGGCAGAGTGCAATGGCGTGATCTCTGCTCACTGCAATCCCCCAGAGTTCTATCAATTCTCTTACCTCAGCCTCTGGAGTAGCTGGGATTGCAGGCACCCGCCACCATTCCCAGTTATGGTTTCGCCATGTTGGCCAGGTTGGTCTTGAAGTCCTGACCTCAGGTGATCCACCCACCTTGGCCTCCCAAAGTGTTAGGATTACAGGCGTAAGCCACTACGCCTGGACTTTTGCCTGTTTTTATTTATATATATATATATATATTTTTTTTTTTTTTTTGAGATGGAGTCTACCTCTGTCGCCCAGGCTGGCGTGCAGTGACGCGATCTCAGCTCACTGCCAGCTTTGCCTCCCAGGTTCACGCCATTCTCCTGCCCCAGCCTCCCGAGTAGCTGGGTCTACAGGTGCCCGCCACCATGCTGG
Organism: Homo sapiens; assembly: GCF_000001405.40. Classification (NCBI taxonomy): domain Eukaryota; kingdom Metazoa; phylum Chordata; class Mammalia; order Primates; family Hominidae; genus Homo; species Homo sapiens. Next base: position 76,128 of record NW_021160017.1, read on the forward strand.
GCTAATTTTTTTGTATTTTTATTAGAGAGAGGGTTTCACTGTGTTAGCCAGGATGGTCTTCATCTCCTGACCTTGTGATCCACCCAACTCGTCCTCCCAAAGTGCTGGAATTACAGGAGTGAGCCACCACACCAGGCGTCTGTTTTTATTTTTAAGTCTTCGATTCTTTTTGATGAATTTTATTCTTTTTTTTGGCAGAGGCTCACTCTGTTGCCCAGGTTGGAGTACAATGATGCCATCTTGGCTCACTACAAAGTCTGCCTCCTGGGGTCAAGCAGTTCTTCTGCCTCAGCTTCTTGAGTAGCTGGGATTACATGCACCCACCACCGTGCCCTGCTAATTTTTGAATTTTTAGTAGAGATGGGGTTTCACGGTGTTTGCCAGGCTGGTCTTGAACTCCCGACCTCAGATGACTTACCCATCTCAGCCTCCCAAGGTGCTGGGATTACAGGCGTGAGCCACCATGCCTGGCCCTGGATGTTTTCTTCTTAAAAAGCCAGTTGAGAATTCTAAGTGTACTCACTTAAAAGGAAAATTTAGTTTGCTATAATATTTCTCATATTTGCTGTGGTGAATTCATCTCTAGGAGGTTTCTTTGTATAATTATTTCATTATCTCTCTAATAGTTAATTCTCCACATGTTTTGTAATATTTTTGCACACTCAACTTGAATGAGAAGTTCTCTACATGTCATAGTCATATAACAAACAGAATTCACCTTCCTTCGCCACTAATCACACTTCTGTATATTCAATAAAATGTGCATTTCTTCATGGATACTCTTTGAATCATCTAAATGGAGACTCTTTATAGAAATATTGAATCATTAATTCTTCCAACTACTGTACTCCTTTCCAACATACTGTCTTACTGATTTTTCACTTTTTCCTATTTATATCCATTTTGTTCTACTAACCCGTCTGTCATTGGCCTTCTTCTATAGCCAACCTCAAATTTCAGTTCACAGTAGCTGTGAACAGCACTCAAATTGCTGCTGTATTCTTAAAATAGAAATTTACTTCATAAAGCAAAAGTGAATTATATGTGTGTTACAAAAAATATTCCTAGCAGAGATAAGATGGGATGGTATTTGCTGGGATGTGCAGCATCGTTTTTTCCAAATTAATTTCTATCAGAATTCTCTCCTTCCTACTGCCAGGCAGAGCTCACCACTCACATGTCATGAATGACATTTTTAGTCATTTTTCATCTTATCTGATCATATGACTTGAGTTAATGTTTAGATCTGCTAAGGGCAAACACCACCATGGAATTAAATTTGCAAGAGGGAAGAAGGAGGAAGCAGGAGAAGGTGGGTAGAGTCTTCAGACTAGGGTGCAGATCGTACACCTGTAGAGGGAAAGAGGGAAGGAAGGCTGATTGGGGTAGAAAGAGACTGCAGCATGGTTCCAAGAATGCTTTGGCCTAGGTCACTGCGGACTCCTTAAATTAAAATTACTCATTGGAGACTCTCACAACTCACTGGAAACGTCCTCACATACAATCCCCATGTAGCTCTATGACTGTTGGAAACATGACTGCTGCACAAGTGTAGAAGTGCTTCCAGAGACAGAGGGCTAAAGCCAGGCTGTCGCTGACTTATGCTGTCTGAGTCAGGATATCTGCACTGCAAATTTCCTTGGTCATTAAAATCCATTATCCCCACCTCCTAACCCCACCACAGCACACACATATTTGTCCAAACAGGTTCTTCATACCAGCTCTTCCAAAATTCCCATGATCCTCTCTTTTCCAAGAGGAATCTTAGAAAAGAAAGGTTAATGAGACCAAGTCTAGCCCATGCTATAGCAGTTGGTCTCAGAACTGCCTTTGAATGCCCAGTTGTGTGAGGGGGAGAGAAAGAGAGAGAGAGAGAGTATGGTAGTGGGGAGTGTGTGTGTGTGTGTGAGTGTGTGTGTGTGAGAGAGAGAGAGAGAGAGAAATTATCTCTGCTTCTTTTGTAGAAAAGTAGCCCTACCTCCTCCTGCTAATCAGGGTGTATTCATCCTGCCCCAGTGGTGACGTATTTCTTGTCTTTTGGTTACTGGACCTAAGGAATCTAAAGCACCCAACAGATAACCTTCTTTAGAGAGCAGGACTTGCCTGCCTTCCAGATCCCAGAGCTGCAGTGATGAGAAGCACAGGAAAACCTGAGAAGATTATTGGGAGCATTTGTAATTAGGGACATTCCTGTTTCTACCTCTTGTTTTCTGAACCTGTAGATTCTTCCTATGGCACAAGAGCTACTATATAAAGATTTGTGATAGAATATGTATAAAAGATGGTGCCCCCTGCATTCAGAATGTCTCCTTTAGCATAGTGCCTCAGTTGCATCTTTAGAATGTTTTTCCAGGGCTCCATGAGTCTAGCTGCTTCTTGAAGAGTGTATGTAATACAAATAGTAGATTATATGGTCATGGACCCACTTCTGCCCATCCTTTGCTGTGAACAAGGAACCCTGGTCAGATGCTATAACATGTGGGATTTTATGCCTGTGGATCAGGAATTCTGGAAGCCTCAGAAAAGTGGTCCTGGCTCAGGCTCTGTGAACAGAATTGCCAAACCCAGCCCTGGAATAAGGATATATCCCTCTGAGGATGAAAAGGTGGTCATTCAAGGTCAAAAGACTTGCCATATAAGAGTCTCATTATTGATGTATGCTGTTGAAAAGTAGGACAGTCAGAGGCAGCAGTAGTTAGATCAACCTTGATACATAGAAGTCCAGGCTGTGGGGCCCATATGTATTGTCCATCTCTGCCAACATGGTCATATGAGTGACTGCATATGTGTGACTGTTGTGCTTGTTGTGGAAAAGCCAATCTCCAAGGCTGGCAGCTTGTCAAGTCATTTTGTCTGATTGGTTATTGAGTGCCTCTTCTGTGATGAGTGCTTTCTTGTGAGTGTTAACATGCAATACAAGATTCTTTACACTCCGTGCCTGCTCCTGCATGTCCACTCATATGCTTCTAACCCAGCTTCCTTGTCTCAGATATTTCAGTTCTTTTCTATCTAAGCCTCTGACCAGAAGATTCACCCACTGACTATGGCAAAGAAATCTGTTTATATTCCTGCCTTAGGCCATGTTTCTTCTATGTAAAGTCAATGGCCAGGGCCACTGCTCCCAGTGCTGCTAATAGGGAATATTTTAATTTCCTTCTGTCTTTCAGAGTCATTCTTGCATTGGGCTGCAATGCAACTACACCTTTAAACAGAGATTGCCCCTTTCTCCCTCCTTCAGATGGCCACAGGGACACAAATGCAGTCACAGGTGTGAGCTGAAGGAAGGTTGCTGGTGCAAACATGATGGGTGACATGAGGATCTGGGTTACCTGCTATTCAACTTATCCACTTGCTCTCATCTTGCTTGGCCTTTGTCTCATATTTAGTATTTCCACCTCATGATGAACTACTTCTTTTCCCTTCTGGTATCATGACTTGGTGGTTCCAATAGAACTCAGCCTGCAAGAGGTAGCGCCAGAAGCATGGTAACTTATCAAGCACAGCATCTCCCCTTGTTCCAACATATAATTCTCTGCTATGGAGGGCATGGCTTTGTTTCAGAATCCCAGGAGCTGGTGTTGTAATTCTTTCACTGAGAATTGCCATGTGTGCCACACTGCAACCACCATTGACACCTGCAAGAATACAGGTCCTGCAAGATCTTATGACCCAAGCTGCAGGGCTGTTCACAAAGCAGCCTGGACATGCTGTGGAGCCCTGTACTGCCCTGTACTCTTCAAACCCTGTGGTCTTCCTATCTCCCTGACTTGTCTTGTGGCTTACTTGTGTTATGTTGCTTAGGGTTTCTTGAGTTTTGTGAGTTTGTATTTTTATAACTGTGTAGATATAGATGGATAAATATAGATATGGTCAGAGAGGAAGAGTAAGAGAGAAAGACAAAGAATTTTACAAAAGACTTTACTGGACATGTTTAAAAAAAATCAAACTCCACCTCTAATCCCAGAACTTTGGAAGGCCAAGGTGGGTGAATCACAAGGTCAGGAGATCGAGACCATCCTGGCTAACACGGTGAAACCCCGTCTCTACTAAAAATATACAAAAAAATAGCCAGGTGTGGTGGTGGGAGACTGTAGTCCCAGCTACTCAGGAGGCTGAGGCAGGAGAATGGCGTGAACCCAGGAGGCAGAGCTTGCAGTGAGCTGAGATCTTGCCACTGCACTCCAGCCTGGGTGACAGAGCGATAATCCATCTCCAAAAAAAAAAAAAATCAAACTCCATAGTGAGAAGTCAAACAACACAATAACAAAATGGGCAAGAGATTTGAGTAGACAACAATAACCAAAGATATATGAATGATCGATAAACACTGAAAAATGCATCATTAACCACCTGGGAGTGGAACTTAAAAATCAAAATGTAATAACACTGCACAGAAACTATAATGGATCCAGAAAGATGTCAATTCTGAATGTTTGAGAGGACATACAACACCCTGAATTATCATATTTAGGTGGGAGTATAAAGTGGAAAATCAGTTTGGATTGCAGTTTGGCAGTTAAACATACACTTACAATTTGACCTAGAATATTCCATTCTTACTCAAGAGAAATGAAAACATGTGCATACAAATGAACGTAGCAGCTTTACTTGTAATAATCAAGGAATAGAAACATTTGTAAATGGTTCACCAACAGGCTAAAGGATAAACATATTGTAGTATTTCCATACAATAGAATAAAATAGAAAGAACTGCTGATTTTGCAACGTAGGTGATCCTAAAATATATTGAGAGAATGAAACAACAGTAGGCATATTATAAAAGTTTATTATTACAAAATTCTAGAAACTGAATTTATAGTGGTAGGTTGCAGATCAATGGCTGCTTGGAGCCAGAGGTTTTGGTAAGGAGTACAAAAGAACTTTTGAGGCGATAGACAGCTTCAATATCTTCATTGGTGGTAGCCACATAACTTTATATGTTTGTACTTAATTTGGATGTATTTTATTGTATTGAAAGTAAACCTCAGTTAAGTTGACTTTTAAAATTTATTACATTCTAAAACATTAATTTGCTTCCATCCATTATATTTATTCACAAATTCTACAATAGTATGTTTTAGAAGACCTGTAATAGACACAGTAACTGGCATATTCATAAAGGAAATTTCCTTATGTAGGATAGTTTTTAGGGGAAATGCCTGAAACAAAAAAATCTCTATCTGCTTATCATAATTCACTGCATAAAAGATCTAAATGTGTAACTGGCAATCAGCTTTAGCTTTGATTATCTTTCATAGCAGCATGGATCAATTATGTTTACCCAGTTGGCTATCTCTCCATGCTAAACTCATATTGCATACATGCCTCTGAAATTCCAGTCATGTATAGTCTGTAATTTATACCTATATTACACAATTTGTATACTTTTCCACTTTAAAGGGGGGATTTATACCTGCAAAGGGACTTGACCTACAACTATCATCCAATTCTGTTCCAAATTTTGGATACTATGACTCTATTCTGGGAAATTATTCAATAGTTTTGTTTCATTTGACTCTTCCTACAGACATAATGTGTTGAAGTAAACCTGTTTTTTATGTTTGGAAAGTAACCTTTTGACGGGTGTTTTCTAGCTTTTGGAAAACATGTACTCGAAGCAGAAGTAATTTGTTGTTGAGGGAATAGAACCACAGCATTTCTGACCTAGGCAAATTGAAACCTTGTCATCCTTGATGACAAACATGACATGACACATGATTTCTTTTTTCAGGGAGTTCTTATGTAACATATTTTACCCCCAACTAGTTGGTATCATTCAAATCAAATTTTATAATTTTACTGTGTATTAGGATGCAGTTTTATAACTTCCAAAGCATCTTTACGCATATTTTTTCTCAAATAAATCCTACAGCAACTGTGTGAGATACTCAAAGGTGAGAATATTATCCCCATTTTACAACTAAGCAAACAGACTCCAAGATTTGTTAACTTTTTAGAACTGAAGTTTAGTCCACTATTTTATGTTATCAACCTTTGATTTGCTGTGCTATACCCACCAATTTAGAAAAAAAATTTACCCAAGGTTGTAACATATAATACAATTAATTTATTTTTTTTCTCTCCGCTTGAAAACAGAAACAGTGGTGATGATGGAGTATCTACTGATTATTTTGCTGGGACAAGTTGATGTCACTGAATTTATAAATTGAACTGAACTGATAACCTCAGTTACTTTGCCAAAATTCCTTCTTTTAATATTACATAAACTGTAGAATGCAGAAGAGGTACTTTTAATTTCTAATTATTTAAGTAGAGAAAGACTCAACACTTCCTTTTAGGCTCACACATAAAATTTCTGGTTGATACATCACCAGCGATTGTGTTTCAGCATGTATGTAAATGCAGCTTTCTGAATAGGCAAACTTACAGGAAATATGGACTATCATTGTATTTATATACAGCAGTATCTCAGACATCATTCCAAAAACTAAAGGACAACGAGGAAATATTTCCAAAAGCCATATTACAGTGCTTTGGGGGAGGTAAAAGAGAGAATGCTGCAATATGTTTTCCTGTTTGACTCAAGCTACATTCTAGGAGATATTTTAAAAAGTGAATAAAATCTCTGTGTCATAGTCAAAAGATGTAAGGCAAACCACAATTATCCAAGGAAATCTGAAATGAATATTACTAAATACAACCTTCTGGATTTGGTTTTACTTACCTAGTATGTTGACTATGTCTGCTTATGGTTTCCTTACTTATGCCTACCTACACCATCTTTTAATTATGTGTGCCAATAAAATTTCATCTACGTGTAGAATTTCCTTTGCTTGACAAAAACACTTTGTTCTACTGTGAATCAACTGCTGGGGCTTTCTATTGTATGGATATCTACAAAGGGATGTGCTGTAACTCAAGTATAAGCAGATGGTTCTTTCATTATTGTAAATCAAATTGGTACAACCTGTGACTGGGTTCGATGTGGCCCCAGCTCTCTGAGGCCTGTGAAAACTGCTAGGTTGCTCGTTTTCATTTTTTCTTATCCCTTAACTGGAGTTGGAGGCCCTTGCAAGTCCAAGACAATGACGTCTTAGGCAACCTCAGTTGTCTAGTGTGACTTAATAAGCCTGATGTATGTAGTAGAACCAATCTTTTCTTTTATATATAATGCCATTTTAAGTGATGTGAACCTTATTCTCTAGGTTACAGGTATTGGATTATTTTAGTTCTTTATTATAATAAGCAAGGTGTTAATTTGTTGTTGTTGTTGTTGTTGTTGTTGTTGTTGTTTGAGACAGAGGCTCACACTATCGCCCAGGCTGGAGTGCAGTGGCGTGATCTTGGCTCACTGCAAGCTCCACCTCCCGGGTTCACGCCATTCTCCTTCCTCAACCTCCTGAGTAGCTGGGATTACAGGCACCTGCCAGCATGCTCAGCTAATTTTTTGTATTTTTAGTGGAGACAGGGTTTCACCCTGTTAGCCAGGATGATCTTGATCTCCTGATCTCATGATCCGCCCGCCTCAGCCTCCCAAAGTGCTGGGATTATAGGCGTGAGCCACCGCGCCCTGCCCGTTAATTTGATTTTTTAACTCCTAAATTCTACCACTTTCCTTCCTCGCTTTCTAATGAAAATTGATGGAGAAAATAAGCTGAAAATATCACAATTCTAAACATTCCACTATTTTGAGATTCTAAAATTATTGGCTTTTGGTGTTCACTGATTCATGTCGGATTTTTAGTAGCATAATCAAACCTTTTTTTGGCAATGGTATAGAGTGCAAAATGCAAAGCCATTTGCCATGGTGTAGATGCTCTCAGTATGCCCCTGTGTCTAAAGAGATACTATTCTTCAACATAAATCAGACATATAGAAAATACTTACAGCACAGAAAATATGAACTATGGCATAGAAATACATTAAATTAGCTAAATGACATCCCTAATAAAGATCTGAATCTGGCCGGGCACGGTGGCTCACGCCTGTAATCCCAGTACTTTGGGAGGCCAAGGCAGGCGGATCACCTGAGGTTAGTTCGAGACCAGCCAGGCCAACATGGTCTACTAAAAAAATTACAGAAATTAGCTGGGCATGGTGGCAGGCGCCTGTAATCCCAGCTACTTGGGAGGCTGAGGCAGGAGAATCACTTGAATCCGGAAGGCGGAGGTTGCAATGAGCTGAGATTGTGCCATTGCACTCCAGCCTGTGCAACAACAGCAAAACTTCATCTCAAAAAAAAAAAAAAAAAGAATCTATTCTAAAACTGGGAATTTTATGTTTAAGTAGATTCACTTAATTTTTTCCTATAATCTCCTGGGACAAATAAATGTTTTCAACAGTTGCGCTTAACAAACTGAAGAACTGGAAGGAGAAACAACATTATTAATAATTACTTCCAGAGTGGGGCGTGGCTCACATCTGTAATCCCAGCACTTTGGGAGGCCGAGGTGGGCTCATCACGACGTTAAGAGATCAATACCATCCTTGCTAACACGGTGAAAACCCGCCCCTACTAAAAATACAAAAAATTAGCCGGGCATGGTGGCGGGTGCCTGTGGTCCCAGCTACTTGGGAGGCTGAGGCAAGAGAATCGCTTGAGGAAGGCTGGCCAACATGGCTAAACCCCATCTCTACTAAAACTACAAAAATTAGCTGGGCATGTTGGCGCATGTCTGTAATCCTAGCTACTCCCAGAGGCTGAGACAAGAGAATCGCCTCATCCCGGGAGGCGGAAGTTACAGCAAGCCGAGATCACGCCACTCCACTCCAGCCTGCTCTACAGAACAAGACTCCGTCTCTCAAAAAAAAAAAAAAAAAATACTTCCTACGATGCATGATTAGATTACAAAGTTTTCTATTCTTTTCTTTTAAAAATAAATATCTTAGCTGCCTGTTTTCATTCTGGCCATCAAAATTGCCTAAAGTCTTTGTGGGCAATATCATCAACCCTTGAGGGAAATTCAAGATATTCCCAACACAGAAATATTCTTAGCTGAAAAGAGTATGGGATGACAATTTTCAACCTGGCACATATAAAAAGAAGAAAAATGTTGGGTAAATGAACAGCAGAAGAAAGATGACATTCACATGTCCTATGCAATTCTGAATACTTATTTTACATAGGTGAATATTTTAATGAAAGACATTTATTGATCCAAAATATTTTTTAACTTAACGAACTTTGGCAAAACAATGCCCTTCAGTCAGTGACTATATTATCAAGTTTCATCTACCTCTGATCAAGGAAACAAAAATAATAGTAATTCCATACTCAGTATGTGTGAGAAAATAAGAGCTGTGTTTAGTTCTAATTATTTTGAGTTATGCCACATAACACATAACAGTATATATTTATTTTGAGTTCATATGTAGAATTAGACTACTTTTTAATTTTGGGAACATGGAGAACAATATTATAGGATTATATTAGTAAGGCTATGGTAAATACTAACATTAAGCTCTCCTTATGTGCCACACACAGTTCCTTCACCAAAATGGGCAGAATTTTAGCTGAAGACTTATAATGAAGTCTCAAACTCCTGAGCTCAGGCAATCCACCCACGTCGGCCTCCCAAAGTGCTGAGATTACAGGCATCAGCCACAACACCCGGCCCAATTTATCCCTCATTTTAATATTTTTTTAAATTTTTTTTTCTTTTTTTGAGACGGAGTCTTGCTCTGTCGCCCAGGCAGGAGTGCAGTGGTGGGATCTTGGCTCACTGCAACTTCGGCCTCTCAGGTTCAAGCAATTCTCCTGCCTCAGCCTCCCAAGTAGCTGGGACTACAGGTGCCCACCACCACGCCCGGCTAATTTTTTGTATGTTTAGTAGAGATGGAGTTTCACCATGTTAGCCAGGATGGTCTCAATCTCCTGACCTCATGATCCACCTGCCTCAGCCTCCCAAAGTGCTGGGATTACAGGCATGAGCCGCCTCACCTGGACTATCCCTCACTTTATAACATTAATCAAGTTCTTTTATAATTTTATGTTAAAGATTTTTGAATTTTGTTAATCTATTTTATTTTCCTTCATAAAATGATCAAAGCTAGAAATAACATTACAAAGTATATCATAATCATTAATAGAAAGAGCTTTATAATCAGCTTAAATTTCTTTTCTCTCTTTTCTAGTTATGTGATCTTAGGCAAGTTACATAAATTACCTGTGTTCAGTTTATTTATTTGTGAAATGGGGAAAATAATGGTGCCTGTCTCTGGGTAAGATTGTAGTGAGGGTGAATAACAGATTTATCAAGCATAAAGCAGTGCCTGGGACACAGGAATTGCCCTCTCTGCATGCCCCTACATATGTGTGCATACAGGCATGAATCACTTGATGATGGAATAAATTTGGAGAAATATGTCTTTAGGCAGTTTTGTTATTGTGCAAATATCTCAGAGTGTACTTACACAAACATAGATGGGATAGCCTACTACTCTGCTAGAGTATATGGTAGAGTATATGTAGCCTGTTGCTCCTAGGCTACAAATCTGTACAGCATGTTACTGTACTAAATACTGCAGGCAACTGTAACACAGTGGTAGGTATTTTGCATCTTATCATAGAAAAGGTGCAGTAAAAAAAAAAAGGGTACACTTGTAGAGGGCACTTACCATGAAAGGAGCTTGCACAGCTGGAAGTTGCTCTGGGTAAGTGAGTGAGTGGTGAGTGAATATGAAGGCCTAGGACATTATGGGCACTGTTGTAGACTTTAGCAATACTGGATGCACACTTAAGCTATGCCAAATTTATTTTTAAATTGTTTTCTTTTATCAATAATAAATTAACTTTAGCTTACTGTAATTTTTTTATTTAATATACTTTTTTTAACCTTTTGGCTCCTTTGTCACAACTCTTAGCTTAAAAGATAAACATATTGTACAACTTTAAAAAATATTATTTTCTTTATATCTAAGTCTATAAGCTTTTTCCAACTTTTAATTTTTGTGTTACTTTTTAACTCTTTTATAAAAACAAACACAAACACGCACATTAGTTTAAGCCTATGCAGGGTCAGGATCATCAACATCATTGTCTTCCACCTTCATATTCTGTCTCAATGGAAGTTCCTTGGGGCAATAATACACATGAAGCTGTCATCTCCTATGATAACAATCCCTCCTTCTGGATACCTCCTGAAGGACCTGCCTGAAATTGCTCTACTCTTCAGTTTTCTTTTTCTTTTTAATAAGTAGTACCCTCTCAAAACATGATAAAAAGGACCAGGCATGGTGGCTCATACCTGTAATGCAAGCAATTTGGGAGGCTGAGGCGGGAGGATCACTTGAGGGCAGCAGTTCAAGAGCAGCCTGCCCAACATGGTGAAACCCTGTTTCTACTAAAAACACAAAAATTAGGCAGGTGCGGTGGTGGGCACCTGTAATCCCAGTTACTCGGGAGGCTGAGGCAGAAAAATCACTTGAAACCGGGAGGTGGAGGTTGCAGTGAGCCGATATCACACCATTGCAACTCCAGCCTGGGCAACAGATGGAGACTCCATCTCAAAAAAAAAAGATAAAAAGAATAGAGTAGTAAATGTATAAACCAGTAATATTGTCACTTATTATCATTATCAGGTATTATGTTCTGTAAGTAATTATATGTGCTAGAGGCCTGGCAGCACAATAGGTCTGTTTTCACCAGCATCAGCACAGACATGTGAGTAATGAATTGTACAATGATATTACATTGACAATGACATCACTAGGAAACAGGAATTTTTCAGCTCCATTACAATCCTACAGGACCAATAAGTGGTCCACCATTTATTGAAATGTATTTACATGGTGCATGACTGTAAAATTACTAGTCTTCAAAAATCAGTTGTATCTTCAACATTTCCTACCTCTGCAAAATTCATCACCATTCTCCCAGTTACCCAGGCTTGAAACCTCAGAATTCTATCAAATTATTTCATTTCCTTACATATCATGTTTAATTAGTCACTGATTCCCATCAATTGTCCCCTATCATGTTTAATAGCACCAACACATTATTTCTCTTAGAAAAATATTTTTCTAGTTTAGGCTCTTAATTTAGACTATTTTTAAAATATCTGAAAGTTTGCCATACAGTATTTATTTCTTATTTCTTGAAATATTTTCTACATTTTGATACAACTAAACTTTCTGAAGCATAAATATCTCACTTTGTCACTTGTCTGCTCAAAAAAAAAACCATAAAAATATCTTCTTGGTCTAGAAAGTAAAATTATAATGCTTGGCATGATGTAGACAGAAATCCCCATTTATCCTTTTTCTCCTTTGCCCCCACACTTTTCTTCCATGTTCACACCAGTACCTAATGTCCCAGACATATGGAATTCATTGTTTCATGAATAGAGCCAACACATTATAACTACCATGCATTTAGTCAAACCATCTGGCCACCTGGAATTTCCTACCATCCCCCATAAAATTTAAATTAAAAAATTCCACTGTTCTGTCCTCTCTGAAGATGTCCTTGAATCTTTATTGAAACTCATTGACATATCCTTTGGTTCCTGCAGACTTTATTGTATATGTCATAATTTAGCACATACATTACTCTGCCGTACATTTTAGTAAGTTAATGGCCTGTCTCTTTTCACTGATAAAACAGTGTCAGGCTTTTTTCATTTTTGTATTCCCTACTGGTCCACAGAGTGCTATGAACATATAATGTGCTAAGTTAATTTTAAATTGACTTAAACTTACTGGTGAATTCACCGATTAACTGTTCTTTTCCAGTATTACTCTTAGAAATGTCCTTGCCTTGATATATTTTATGTTCTAAAAATATTAACTTCATTTTAAGAATCACATCCTCCAAAACAAAAGAAACAAAAGCTCCCATACAATTCTAATGCTAGTTATAGGTAACATTAAAAAATGGCATACCAATTGTAAAAAACAAAAACAAAAAACAAACAAAAACAAACAAACAAAACAATTCCCATGAAAGCCAGAGGCAAATAATGCAAATTTTAATGTCAATATTGTCATTTTTTCCTAGGTTAGGGGACAATATAACCACATTTATAAACTTGTTCTTTTTGTCTCTCCTCGTGTTGACCTCACACATAGCATATTATGCCATTAAAACAACAAAAAAAGGAGAAAATGCTATATTGAAATACAGTATTTTCTTACAACAATTCCTTACTGTGAATTGTGAATGAAAATTAAATTCTTTAATCACTAGGAAAGACTCTGAGTGTGCGAGTCTTTCTTTCAGCTGATATAAACATTGATAAGATCAAAGCTTGCTCTAAATTATCTGTCTTACCAGGTCCTGACTGAATCTCAGAACAAAATCCTGTAGTTTCTCTTTATTTCAGACAAACCTTTGATCTTTTAAAAATATAGGCACAGATGGGCACAGTGGCTCAGGCCTGTAATCTCAGCAGTTTGGGAGGCCGAGGCAGGCAGATAACGAGGTCTAATATCGAGACCATCCTGGCCAACATGGTGAAACTCTGTCTCTACTAAAAACACAAAAATTAGCTGGGCATGGTGGTGCACACTTGTAGTCCCAGCTAATCAGGAGGCTGAGGCAGGAGAATCGCTTGAACCTGGGAGGCTGAGGTTGCAGTGAGATGAGAACGTGCCATTGCACTTCAGCCTGGGTGACCAAGCGAAATTCCATCTCAAAAATAAAAAGATAAATAGGCAAATCTGGCTAAGGAAATGGCAAAAAGGCAAAAAGATATGCACAAAAAAAGTTAGCCACTACTTGCATTGAAAATGGGTTTAAGGTTTTGGCAAGTGTTTGAGAAAAATATGAATTAAGCTGATTTTCTGTGGAGACAAGTCTCTAGGCGTTTAGTTTTGGTTAAGGTAAATACTTAAATCTATATAAAATTTTAAAGACCTTACTAACGTAAACAAATGGTGTTGAGTTTGGACTTCTCTACAATATCTATGTGGAATCTTAGGAAAGGAAGAGTGAAAGGATACAATACATTTTAAATGGTAGTTCAGCCTAAATCCTAAGCAGAAGCATAATACGCTGCTGCATTTTTTTTTTGACAGAGCCTAACTCTGTCCCCCAGACTGAAGTGCAGTGGTGCCATCTTGACTCACTGCAACCCCAGTCTCCTAGATTCAAACTATTCTCCTGCCTCAGCCTCCCAAGTATCTGGGATCACAGGCAGACACCAGCCATGCCCAGCTTGTTTTTTGTTTTTGTGTTTTTTCTTTTTTTGGAGACAGAGTCTTGCTCTGTCGCCCAGGCTGGAATACAATGGCACAACCTCCGCTCACTGCAACCTCCGCTTCCCAGGTTCAAGTGATTCTCCTGCCTCAGCCTCCTGAGTATTTGGGATTACAGGCACGTGCCGCCATGCCCAGCTATCCGCCTCCCATGTTCAAACGATTCTTCTGCCTCAGCCTCTTGAGTAGCTGGGATTACAGGCATGTGCCACCATGCCTGGCCAATTTTTGTATTTTTAGTAGAGACAGGGTTTCACCATGTTGGTCAAGCTGGCCTCGAACTCCTGACCTCCTGATCCACCTGCCTCAGCCTCCCAAAGTGCTGGAATAATAGGCGTGAGCCACCATGCCCAGCCCATTTTTTGTATTTTTAATAGAGGTGAGGTTTCACCATGTTGACCAGGCTGATCTCAAACTCCTGACCTCAAGTGATCTGCCCGCCTCCACCTGCCAAAATGCTGGGATTACAGACAAGAGCCACTATGCCTAGCCAATATGTTACTTTTAAAAAATAAGTTATTCGTTTTAGTTTTCTTCTGTTGCTAAAAATCATTTCTATTTTGTAGGGAAAAGGAAGAGGGATCAGACTGTTACTTTGTCTATATAGAAAGGGAAGACATAATAAATTCCATTTTGACCTGTACCTTGAACAATTGCTTTGCCCTGAGATTCTGTTAATCTGTAACTTTGCCCCAATCACTGTGCCCCAACCTCTTTGCCCCAACCTTGAGCTCACAAAAACATGTGTTGTATGGAATCAAGGTTTAAGGGATCTAGGGCTGTGACTTGTTAACAAAATGTTTACAAGCAGTATGCTTGGTAAAAATCATTGCCATTCTCTATTCTCAATAAACCAGGTGCACAATGCACTGTGGAAAACGACAGGGACCTCTGCCCTGGAAAGCCGGGTATTGTCCAAAGTTTCTCCCCATGTGATAGTCTGAAATATGCCTCATGGGACGAGAAAGATCTGACTATCCCCCAGCCCAACACCCATAAATGGTCTGTGCTGAGGTGGATTAGTAAAAGAGGAAAGCCTCTTGCAGTTGAGATAGAGGAAGGCCACTGTCTCCTGCCTGCTCCCGGGAACCGACTGCCTTGGTATAAAACCCAATTTTACATTTGTTCAATTCTGAGATAGGAGGAAAACCACCCTATGGTGGGAGGCAAGACATGTTGGCAGCAATGCTGCTTTATTGTTCTTTACTCCACTGAGATGTTTTGGCAGAGAGAAACATAAATCTGCCTACGTGCACATCCAGGCATAGTACCTCCCCTTGAACTTAATTATGACACAGATTCTTCTGCTCACATGTTTTTTTGCTGACCTTCTCCCTATTATCACCCTGTTCTACCACATTCCTCTCGCTGAGATAATGAAAATAATAATCAATAAAAACTGAGGGAACTCAGAGGCCGGTGCCGATGCAGGTCCTTGGTATGCTGAGCGCCGGTCCCCTGGGCCCACTTTTCTTTCTCTATACTTTGACTCTGTGTCTTATTTCTTTTCTCAGTCTCTCATCCCACCTGACTAGAAGTACCCACAGGTGTGGAGGGGCTGGCCACCCCTTCATATTTTCACTTAATTTACTCTGAATCCGTGCCACTTTTGCATTTGAGGCTAATGTTTGTATTGAAGGAAAGGATAGCAAGTCAATTTACAATTGGATTTTTTCAATGTATAGAGTTACATGTTTACTAAAAGGAGTAGCCCTTAATTCTTTTTAAAAAGCCCATAGCAAGCAAGATGATTAACAATTTTTATATGAACAAATGTCTTACAATGTTTTAAACATCTAGAGAACACTGATACCATCTTCACTTATTGACAATGGCATATTATCAATTCACTTTTCCAAAGAGATAGAAGTTACTTCTTTTGACTTAGATCTGACTTCTTAAACTGTCAAATGAAGTAGCTGAGTATAACTCACCACCTACAACTTTGATATTTAGCCTCCTCTCTTCATTTGCTTAGTATTATATGTACTGTAGCCCTTACTTTAATATTTCTATATCTTACACATCTTTCTCTCTTAAAAATGTGCTTTCATTTAGATGAGAAATACAATTTTAAGGGAGAAGTTGACTCATGCCTAGTTCTGTATTTTTTTTAATTGCTGATATGTCCTGAGGAAATTAATGTTGCCCTACTGGGTATGATGCTGTCCCTCTGGAGAGATTCCTGTGAGTTATGACCACTGGGGATTTTATAGGTGTCCACATTAAGCCTTTCACTGAGAGTAGAGATTAACTTGCAGTTGCCTCTCTGGCACAAATATATCTAAGAAATCAACATAATCTTTCAAAACCCTTCCGGCTAATACTAGTTTGTAGCCACTATTAATATAGTGGTTCTAAGTTTGTTCCAGGGTCTCAAAGCCTTAAATCATTTCATGAAAGCCTACTGCAAATGTCAACATATAATGCTTACAAGGACATAACTGGGTGTTTCACACTATTATTTTAGTTTTAACCCACTTGATCCATCAAGTTATCTGTCATAGAACAAATGAAAGGCCCCTTTAGGGAAGTCTCAGAATAAAAAATAGGCCTAGTTATGTTCGTTGGGAGAGAAGTAAATAAAGCATGGGTTTACATTCTCTGTCTACAAGAAATTGTCATTGTAGCTGTTGTTTGTTTCAAAATCTATGTACAGTTCTGACCCACCAACTGACAATGGCTGCCTGACTCTAACACTCAGGTGTGTTATTGTAAATTCCCTGAGTCTTCTTTATAGCAAGAGAAAAAATCAGGACATTCTGAAAGTAATACACTGTGGATATTTACATGGCCAGATTATAATTTTCTCTGCTTAATAATAAAACTTAATAATGAGCTTAATAATAAAACTCACATACAAATACAAAATAAACCTCTGTCAAAATTTATTTCACTTATTCCTGAGGAAATCAGTAGGTGGGAAAGCTGGTTCCAAGAACAAGTAAAAAAAAAATAATTACAGATTTTTTTTTCCCCAAAAACAAGAAATGTTAGAATAAGACAACTATGTTAGAAGCAAAACTGGGCCGGGAGCACTGGCTCACACCTGTAATCCCAGCACTTTGGGAGGCCGAGGTGGGTGGATCACGAGGTCAGGAAATCGAGACCATCCTGACTAACACGGTGAAATCCGGTCTCTACTGAAAATACAAAACCAAAATCAGCCAGGCGTGGTGGCCTGTAGTCCCAGCTACTCAGGATACTGAGGTAGGAGAATGGCATGAACCCAGGAGGCGGAGCTTGCAGTGATCCCAGATTGCGCCACTGCACTCCAGCCTGGGCGACAGAGTGAAACTCCGTCTCAAAAAAAAAAAAAGAAGCAAAATTGATTAATAACAACAAGTACTGGGTAAACTGGATATACACAGGCAAAATATAAACTTTGGGCCCTTAACTTACATAATATACAAAAATAAGCTAAAATAGATCAAAGAGTTAAAAGTAACAACTACAACACTTAAACTCAGATAAAAAAACATAGAAAATATTCTTTATGTTAGATTTAGCAATGATTTCTTAGATACGACATCAAAGGTACAGGGAATGAAAAATAACAAAAAAAATAGTTTCATCAAAAGTAAAGGTTCTGTGCATTAAAAGTCACCGTTGACCAGGTGTGGTGGCTCACGCCTGTAATCCCAGCACTTTGGGAGGCTGAGGCGGGTGGATCACAAGGTCAGGAATTTGAGACCAGCCTGGCCAATATGGTGAAACCCCATTTCCACTAAAAATACAAAAATTAGCTGGGCATGGTGGTGTGCACCTGTAATCCCAGCTAATTGGGAGGCTGAGGCAAAAGAATCACTTGAACCTGGGAGGTGGAGGTTGCAGTGAGCTGAGATTGTGCCACTGCACTCAAGCCTGGGTGACAGAGCAAGACTCCATCTCAAAAAAAAAAGTCACCCTCAAGACAGTGGAACAACAACTCAAAGAATGGGAGAAGATGTCTGCAAATCACATATGTGATATGACATCAGTATATGTGGATATAATATGTATAATAGAATAAAGAACTCCAGCAACTCAACAATAATAAATGGTTCAATTTGTTAAATAGGCAAAAGACTTGAATAGATAATTATCTAAAGAAGATATACAAATGGCCAACAAGCACACGAAAAGAGGTTCAATATCACTAGCATTAGAAAAACACAAATGAAAATAATGATGAGATATCATTTCACACCCATTAGGATGATTACAAAAAAGAAATCCCAGAAAATAACAAGTGTTAGTGAGGATTCAGAGTCAATGGGAACCCTTGTGCATTGCTGGTGGGAATGTAAAATTGTGTAGCTTCTGTGGACAACAGTTAGGTGGCTCCTCAAAGGTTAAACATAGAACTACTATGTGATCCAGCAATTCTATGCCTATATACATGCCCGAAGTAATTGCAAATAGAGACTCCAACAGATATTAACGACCATTGTTCACAGTACCATGATTTACAGTAACCAAAAGCAGGAAGCAACTCAAATATTCATCAATAAATGAATGAATAAACAAAATACACCATATTCACATAATGGAAACTTATTCAGCCTTATTAAGGAATGAAATTCTAATATACACTACAGAATTTCAATGATTACTACATATCTAAACTTTGAAAACATTATGCTTAGTGAAATAAGCCAGATGCAAAAGGATAAATATTGCTTGAAGTACTTAGAATAAGCAAATCATAGAGACAGAATAATCATTACCAGGGACTAGCGTGGGTGGGAAGTTATTCTTTAATGGGAACAGAGCTTCTATATGGGATGATTAAAGAGTTCTGGAAATGGACGGTGGTAAAGTTTGTGCAATTTGGTGAATGTAATGCCTTCTGAATTGTTCATTTAAAATTCATTAAAGTGATAAATTTTACAGTATGTGTATTTTACCACAATTTAAAAAAGAAAAATAAAGAAAAAATATGTATTCCCAATTGCACTGTATTTTTGGTTATTAAGCATAAAATTTAAACTTTATTAAACTTATTAGAAAAAGGGAATTGGAAATGTGATATAATGCAGTAATTCACAAAAATGTATACAGTAAATGCACTCAAGAGCAGTTTTTCTGATGCTTGATGAACTCCTATCAGTTGTGAATTAAAACTGATTAATATCCTTCATGGAAACAGATCCATAAGGTCTGGCATTGTCTTTTTCTACTAGAGAGAAACCTAGAAGTTATCACATAATTGCATAGCATCTAGGATCAAATCAACTAATACATAGCCAAGTCAAAAGAAAATGAAGTAATCTTTGGGTTGGCCTTCTAGATGATAGCTTTTAATAATGAAATATTACACTAAAAATACATGTGTTATGTCAGAGTTTTAGATACTTTTCCTTAGCAGTCCCCTATTACAAATATGTCCTCTGTTAGTGCTAATCCATAACTAACTCAGTTCCTTATTTTCATGTCAGTAATCTCCAAGTGTTATTCTTTTTTTTTTTTTTTTTCAGACAGAGTCTGACTCTGACTCCCAGGCTGGAGTGCAGTGGTACGATCTCGGCTCACTACAGGCTCCGCCTCTGGGTTCACGCCATTATCCTGCCTCAGCCTCCAGAGTAGCTGGGACTACAGGCGCCCGCAACCATGCCCAGCTAATTTTTTGTATTTTTAGTAGAGACGGGGTTTCACCATGTTGGGCAGGATGGTCTCGATCTCCTGACAGCGTGATCCGCCTGCCTCAGCCTCCCAAAATGCTGGGATTACAGGCGTGACCCACTGGCTCAGCCTCCAAGTGTTATTCTTAATCAAAAAAAGAAAAAGTTTATCTGACTATATTTGACCCTGATTATTTATGTAGCTTCAGAAAGAGGAGTTAAACACATAAGTGAAGTCTTCCCTCCACCAAGTTCTAAAATGTAAGATTCACGGCCTTCTGAAAACACTCCCTTACCAATGTGAGGCTGGAACCATAGAACAGGTGGAGGACTTAGTAGGTGTTGGCTCAACATTTAAAGTACAATCTTATTTCTTAATAGGTGTTTTCATACCTTATAAACACAGGTATGGCCTTGGATGTCCAATTAAATCCCAGGAAAAAAGGACAGATTCTTGATGAAACTATGCAAATAATGAGACAGCAAGTAAAAACGGCTCCCCGGCAGAACCTCCGACCAGCTTGCACACTGGCAGGAGTGCAAACTGAGGTGGAGCCTCGGGAAGTTTGCAGCAGGGAGGAGCCTGGCCTCTTCTGTTCCAGGGCGGAGGCTGGGATTCGATCTATGAGGCAGGAAGCTGAGTAGAGGACTCTCTTTACTGACAGTCTCTGTTTCCCCTTTTTTCCCTTTCGCCAATAAATTCCATTTTTCTCACCCTTCAAAGCGTCTGTGAGCCTAATATTTCATGGCTGTGTGACAAGAACGCAGCTTTTAGCTGAACTAAGGAGAAAGTCCTACAATAATAATATGTTGTCCTACAAGCATGCAGAGTAAGTACAAATATATTGTTCTGAATTCTCAGAGAAAAATAGAAATGAGACAGCGTTTGAATGATGTATTTCACTTACAAGATGTAGTATATAAAATTGAGGATCAGAGATAGAAAAAGAAACTGTGTGATTCATACTCCTTCTACTGGATGTTGAGTCAGTTTTTTGCTTTGATAAAATTATCTACCAATGAGGCAAAAAGATAAATCCTTAAAACAATGAGATTTAAAAGTAAGTTGTTATGCTCAGTACTTTATAGGAGAACATTCAAGTAAGTGTCAGAGGAAAACAAAAACCACCTAGAGATGCAACTAATTGGCTGTTTAATTTATATAGTAAACAGTAATATAAAAATGGAGAAGAATAAACTTCTGCATTAGGTTCAATACTATCTCATAAAGACTTGACCAATGTTTCACCTGGGGGCATATACCTCTCCAATTTCCTATTACAGTCTCTAATCTATGAGTTAAATGTCTACAGTTCCTAAACAATTCACCTCTTTTTTTTTTTTTTTTTTTTTTGAGACAGAGTATCCCTGTGTCACCAGGCTGGAGTGCAGTGGTGCGATCTTGGCTCACTGCAACCTCTACCTCCTGGGTTCAAGTGATTCTCCTACCTCAGCCTCCTGAATAGATGAGACTACAGGCATGCACCACGATGCCCAGCTAGTTTTTGTATTTTTAGTAGAGATGGGGTTTCACCATGTTGGCCATGATGGTCTCCATCTCTTGACCTCCTGATCTGCCCATCTCAGCCTCCCAAAGTGCTGGGATTACAGATGTGGGCCACCGCACCCCACCACCATTCATCTTAATATGTAAGATTATGTAAAATGAACTGAGAAGGCTGAGCCCTTTAGAATTGACCTCGTGCAACTCATGCAGATGTGTGGAACTAATGAAGAAATATGGAGCACACCAAAGAAGTCCAATTTATTGTAGCCTCACTCATTTTATAAGGCAAAAATTGTCACTGTTTTTCTAGAGGTCACCTAGGAAATCTAGAATATACTTATTTTTCCCTAAAAATCAGAAAACATTTACTTTTTGGAATTTAAGATATAATTTCAGATGGGCAAAAATTAAGTGTTATCAGAGGAGATTTGGTCACTGTGATAAAGATAGGAATACAGGTGCAGAGAAGAAAATGGTGGTAAAAATCCCAATAATAATACAATATTCTAAAATAAGCATAGAAAAAGATGTCATAATTGTTAGAAAATGTATCCCTTTCATAATTAATTATGCTGTACAAATGTTTTTTCTTATTTTTCTTTCTAGCTTCATTGAAGTATGATTGATAAATAAAAATTGTACATATTTAAGTTATATAATATGATGTGTGTATACATTGTGAAATAATAGCCACAGTCAATTAACATTTTCATCAACTTACAAAGTTACACTTTCTCTGTGTGTGTCTATGTGTGCTTGTATGGAAATACGTAAGACCTACCCTGTTAGCAAAATTCAAGTATACAATACTTTCTTATCAGCTGTAGCTACTATGCTATATATGTTAGGTATCCAGAATTTATTCATCTTTTAACCAAAAGCATCTCCCCATTTTTCCTACCTTCTAATCCCTAACATCTAATGAGTTTAAATTTTTTAGATTTCACAGATAAGTGAGATTATGCAGTATATTTGTCTTTCTGTGTCTCGCTTATTTTACTTAGCATTAAGTTCTCTCAGTCCATCAATGTTATCACAGATTTTAGGATTTCCTTCTTTTCTCAGGATGAATAATATTCTATGGTATGTATATGCCACATTTTCTTTATCCACTAGTCTGTAATAAATGCTATTATTCAAAATACACAAGAAACCCTTCAAATTTCACAAGAAAGTAAACAATTCAGTTAAAAATGGGGAAACAATATAAATGGAGAAGACACCAAAGGAAATATAAAAATGGCAAAAAAGTATTTGAAAATATATTCAACAGCATATGACTTTAGGGGGATAAAGCAATTCTATATATTGAAATTTCCTTTAACAAAGAAAGCAAATAGAAAACTTTCTCAGAAAAACAAAATTTAAGTGATTGTCAGCTGACCTGTCTTGCAAGAAATACTAAAGGAAGTTCTTCAAGGGGAGAGAAAATGATGCAAGTGAGAAATTCAGATCCACAATAAAGAAATACATGAAAAAGAATAAATTAAAGTTAAAAACTTTTTTTATTCTTATTGATCCATAAGATAACTGTTTAGTAACAAAAAATGAGTAATTATAGAATGTGGACAGATGAAATGAAAAATAGCAATGTCATAAGGTACAGGAGGTACAATCTGGTAGTATTTTTATGCAATACCTACACTACATGTGAAGTAACAATTTTATTTGAAGATAGACCTAAACTGTATATAATCAATTCTAACTAATTTAAAGATAGACTTAAAATGCATATAATCAATTCTAAGAAAACCACCACAAGTTTTTAAAAGAAGTGATGAGGTCACATCTCATGAGGTGATGAGATACACCAAGAGCTGAGACAAAAATGCAATCATAGAAGATGCTCAATTAAAATAAGAGGAGGCAGGCCAGGCACGGTGGCTCATGCCAGTAATCCCAGCACTTTGGGATGCCAAGGTGGGTGGACCCACCTGAGGCCAGCCTGACCAACATGATGAAACACCGTCTCTATTAAAAATATCAAAGTTAGCTGGGTGTTGTGGCACACATCTGTAATCCCAGCTACTCTGGGCTGAGGTGGGAGGATCACTTTAACCTGGGATGTGGAGGTTGCAGTGTGCCAAGACCACCACTGCACTCCA
Organism: Homo sapiens; assembly: GCF_000001405.40. Lineage (NCBI taxonomy): Eukaryota > Metazoa > Chordata > Mammalia > Primates > Hominidae > Homo > Homo sapiens. The sequence continues at coordinate 99,500 of NW_021160017.1, forward strand.
GCCTGGGTGACAGAGTGAGACTCTATCTCAAAATAAAATAAAATGAAATAAAAATAAATGAATATAATTAATATTTATATTCTACTTCAACAAAAGTAGAATACACATTCTTCTCTAGTTTGTACAAGACAGACTGCATTATGGGCCATAAACTTCTTAAAATTTTTCAAAGAATAAAGTTCATACAAAGTACACAATCAGACCACAATAAAAATTAAAGTAGAAATAAATAGCAGGAAGAACTGAAAAATTTTTCAAATATTTGAAGACTTAACAAAACATCTAAGTGCATCCCAAAAGAAGACTAAAGAGTAATTAAACTATTTGGAATTAAATGGAAATGGAATCACAACTTATTAAAATATATGAGATACAGTAGAACTGGTACCTAAATTTATAGCATTAAATATATATTATTATGAAAAAAGAGATAAAATCAATAACTTAAGCTTCTGCCTTAAGAAATTAGAAAAAGAAAATCCAAAGTAAGTAACAAGGGAAAAAATATATAAAGTATAGCAAATATCAGTAAAATAGAAAACAGGAAAACAATAGAGAAAATCAATGAAACAGAAAGCTGTTTCTTTGAAAAGATCCATAAACTTGCTAACATTTAGACAAACTAATAAAGAAAAAAAGAGAGAATACACAACTTACAAATATTGGAAGTGAAAGAGGGGTATGGGTTATGACTACTGATTTTGTGGACATTAAAAGAATAATATATTTACTATATTAAAAACTCTATACTCGCAAGTTCAATAACCTATATAAAATGGACAAATACCTTGAAAGACACAATATGCCAATACTCACAAAAGAAAAAATAGATAACATCAGTACTTTTATATCTATAAAAGGAATTGAATAAATAGTTAATAACCCACCCCCCCCCACCAATGGTTCCAGGCCCAAATGGCTTTAGTGGTGAATTCTATCAAGCATTTAAAGGAGAAATTATACCAATTTTCCACAGACTTTTCAAGAAAATGGAGTTAGAGATAACACTTCCTAACTTATTCTATGAGGTAAATATTACCCTCTTACCAAATCCAATAGACATAACACGAAATAAAATCAATATATCAATATCTCTCATGAACAAAGATCCAATAATCCTTCACAAAATACTAGACAATTGAATCTAACTATGTGTTTATTCTAGGTAAGACTGTATGCAAGACTGATTCAATATTAGAAAATTATCTGCAGAATTTCCTAAATCTGCAGGAAGAAAAATCATGTGACTGTATCAACTGATGTAGAAAAAGCTTATGGCAAAATCTATCACCCATCTATAATTTGAGAAACTCTCAGAAAACTAGGAATTGAGGTGAATTTTCTTAACTTGACAAAGAACATCTACAAAACCCCTAAAACTATCATACTTAATGATGAGAAATGGGATGCTTTTTCCCAAAAACCAGGAGCAAGAAGAATTTTGTTTTTTGTTTTTTTTCTTTCACCACTTGCAAAATGAAACCACCACTTTGGAAGACAGATGGGCAATTTCTTATGCCCATAGTTGCTATACTATATGTAAAAAAAAAAGTCTTACATATAATATAGCAGTTGTGGTTTTTTTGTTTGTTTTGAGATAGAATCTTGCTCTGTCACCCAGGCTGGAGTGCAGTGGTGCAATAGAAGGATACTGTAACCTCCACCTCCTGGGTTCAAACAATTCTCCTGCCTCAGCCTCCAGAGTTGCTGGGACTACAGGCACCTACCACCATGCCCGGCTAATTTTTTTTTTTTTTTTGTATTTTACTAGAGACAGTATAACTTGTTGATTTGGGAAATTTTACCATGTGGCCCAGGCTGGTGTCCAACTACTGAGCTCAGGCAATGCGACCACCTCGGCCTCCCAAAGTGCTAGGATTACAGGCGTGAGCCACCACGCCTGGCTGCAAATGTGTTTTTAGGTGTTTATCCACCTTATTTGAAAACTATGTCCACACCAAAACTGGCACATGAATATATATATAGCAGTTTGTTTATAATTCCTGAAACTGGAAGAAACCAAGAGATCTCATAATTGATGACTGGAAAAAAAAAACCACTGTGATACGTCATATAAGGGAATATTACTTCCTAAAAAAGTAAATGATCTGGCAAAAGATTCAGTGAGGAGGTTTAATAGGTGATGCACTTGGGCATTATTTGGACCAGTCAAAGTATTCTGTATGATACCACAACTGTGGAAACATGAGAGTATGCATTTGCGTTTGTTTTTTTTTTTTGTTGTTTTGTTGTTTTTTGAGACGGAGTCTGCTCTATCACCCAGGCTGGAGTGCACTGGCACGATCTCAGCTCACTGCAATCTCTGCAACCCGGGTTCATGCCATTCTCCCGCCTCAGCCTCCCGAGTAGCTGGGACTACAGGTGCCTGCCACCACGCCCGGCTAATTTTGTTTTTGTATTTTTAGTAGAGACGGGGTTTCACCGTGTAGCCAGGATGGTCTCTGTCTCCTGACCTCGTGATCTTCCCGCCTTGGCCTCCCAAAGTGCTGGGATTACAGGTGTGAGCCACCGCACCCGGCCTGCATTTTTTAAAAAACAAAGAATCTCACAGCACAAAGAGTGTCACTTAATATATGCAAATTTTAAAACAACAACAACAACAAAGTAGGTGTTCTGGGGATCCTGGGATGGAATGCAGAAAGTGATAAAAAATCTAAAGTACTACAAATGTAGAAAGCCACTTCCCTCTAGAGAGTGGGAAAAACGTGCTGACATAAGCATCTTAGAAAATGGATGGGCCTTCCGTGGTAGCTCACACCTGTAATCCCAGCACTTTACGAGGCCAAGGTGGCGGATCACCTGAGGCTGGGAGTTTGAGATCAGCCTGGCCAAAATGGTGAAACCCTGTCTCTACTAAAAAGACAAAAATGATCTGGGCATGATGGCAGGTGCCTGTAATCCCAGCTACTCAGGAGGCTGAGGCAGGAGAATCGCTTGAACCTGAGAGGTAGAGGTTGCAGTGAGCCGAGATCACGCCACTGCACTCCTGCCTCAGCCTGGGCAAGAAGAGCAAAATTCCATCTTAAAAAAAAAAAAAAAACAGAAAGAAACAAAGAAAATGCATGAAGACTGAAAGGAAGAGAAACTGCAAACAACTCACATGATCTGGTTGGTATAGCTGTTTCCTAAAGGAAATGGGATAGCGATTCTGATATTGATAGAGAATAAATGTATATTGGAACTAGACAGTTAAGCAAACGATGACAAATGACAGGAGCCTGGTTTCTCACTATTAAAGTGGGAGCTTAAATGTAAGCAAGGGGAGAAGGCCAGAATGATCATGTGATAAAAGAATTGAGTGGTAGACATCAGTATGAACTAACACACACATTACATTTAGAAATATTTATATTTATGTCTATACAAGGCTTTGTATACACACATTTATTTCTTTGCTCTGTAAGCTAAGACGGTCCAGAACCAATGATATCCCAGCAGAAATGAGCATATCTAACACTCAAGTCTTCAATTCTTGGGTTCAAAATTGAGGCACAGAAAGGTTAAGTGATAGCTAGAAGGTGAAAGACTTTAAAGTAATATTCAAGCCCAAGTTGAACGGAATCCAAAGGCCAAGCTCTTTCTATTCAAATAGGCCACTCTTTCACTAATGTAGTGAGTAATAAGAGTGAATGAATGTTGTTCTTTCTTCAGGAGAATATTAAATATTTGTTTTGAAGGCAGAGAAAGAGCATGGTATTTAATGTTGACAATTACATAAATCATTATGTGCTTTGAGACAGTGGACTAAACTTTCCTAAAAAGTCCTCTCACTCTCGTAGGACTGCTCTACACTGGGTCTGTGCCAATGGCCATGCAGAAGTAGTAACACCTCTGGTAGATAGAAAGTGCCAGCTTGACATCCTTGATGGTGAAAACAGGACACCTCTGATGAAGGTAAATGGTAGCCAGTTCTTTCAGCAGGAGATGGATTTGGTTTAAATACATAGAATAAAAATGAATATATCTCATTGAAATATAACTAGTTTGTGAAACCTGTGGAATATTTATTTATATTTCCTATAATTTATAATTTACTTCTTGCTTTAATACTGACAGGCTGCGCAATGCCAGAGGGAGGTTTGTGCAAATATTCTCATAGATTCTGGTGCTGATCCAAATATTGTAGATGTGTATGGCAACACAGCTGTCCATTATGCTCTTTATGGTGAGAATTTGTCAGTGGTGGCAAAATTGCTGTCCTGTGGTGCAGACATCGAAGTGAAGAACAAGGTAGATGTTAACCAATGTTATTTTCAAAATATTTGAAATCCATTTGTTTTAACATTAACATATGTAAATTGTTTTATATTTGGAAGCTCAAACATTCCTATTTTCCTATGAAAATAGTTTAACAAAACTTAGTTGTCTAGGATTTTGCTTTAAATATTAATATTTTTACAAGAACTATTAGTATGGCTTTTCTGTGCATTATGATAAATATTTGAGTTTGTTAAAGGTAAAATTTTTCAAATATTCTTTCCCACCCAAGTTTTTTTTTTCTTTCCAATTAGTGTAAAACTACAGGAAAGTAAAATTTGCCTGCATAAATTGAGTCAACATGTAAAATTTAGGAGACATGAAGAAATCTGGATTTCCTCTTAAAGGATTGAATCTGGTGTTTCTTGAGCCCATATGACTGTTTGGTATGCTATGAAGACATTCTAGCTTTACATAAAGCATATGTTTCCAGTTTGCTACTGTGCCCACCTAGTTACATCACTTATTCAACTTACCTCTTTTGCCTCTGTAAATATTTCAGTTATCAATTCCTCTCTCATAGTATATTTTGGTAAAGATTTCAAGTTATTGAAGACAGTTTATAGGTGTTTATAACATTTAGTTTATATTTTACATTAATTCATTAATAATGGGGTTGTCTTCCAGAATTTAGAATATTTTTTAAATGAAGATGTTTCTTCATATAAACCATAAATAATCATCTTCTATTAGAAGGCCTTTAAGCCTTTTTAGATTAATCATGTTTATATTTGAATGGGTTATGCAAATTGCAAAAAATACTATATCTTTCTCCACAGACTTGTCCCTTAAAATTCAAGCAATTTAGTGGCTTCTATTTTGCTAATCCATATACATGAGTTAGAACTTTCATTAATAAGCCATTTTATTCATACTTCTGATATTTTGCCAAAAAATAGTATCAATTACAATAGAAACCAGAATAAAAATAGATTATTGCATTTTAAGAAGTGGATATGCATTCGGATCCTAGGAGTATCATTATAATTGAGAATAAACTTTTATACTGAATTGCTTTTCTTTTTTTCTTTTTTTTTTTTGAGATGGAGCCTCGCTCTGTCACCAGGCTGGAGTGCAGTGGTGTGATCTTGGCTTACTGTAACCTCTGCCTCCCTGGTTCAAGTGATTGTCCTGCCTCAGCCTCCTGAGTAGCTGGGATGCAGGCATGTGCCACCATGCCCAGCTAAATTTTTTGTATTTTTAGCAGAGATGGGGTTTCACCATGTTGACCAGGATGGTCTCGATCTCCTGACCTTGTGATCTGCCCACCTTGGCCTCACAAAGTGCTGGGATTACAGGCATGAACCACCTCACCTGGCCTTTTATACTGAATTTCTAATAGCTTAGATAAAACCCTATTGTCTGGTAATAGGATAAACCTCATGGATGATTTAATAATAAGCAATCAAAGTTTATTTGAAGCCAATATCTTTTAATTTAGAGCCACTTCCTTAGTGACCCATTTAGAGCAGGAGAGCCTGACATTGGCATCTGGAATGTTGGGATCATTGACAGAAGAGAATCAAGTAAGTTTGTATCACCCAGAGGAAACCTCCATTTTTGGGGGGAAGATTTCAAAACTGCATCCCTGAAATTCTAATTTGTCAAATGTTAATGTTTGCCACAAAAATAGACTGTCAAATAAGTATTAGGTAAAGTTCAATTCATTTATTGAATAATGAACATTTAATTCACAGTTGTATAACATTTCTTGAACATAGATAATGGTGGAATCTGTTGGGGTACAGTGCTTCTGGTAAGGTAATTATTCTTTGGAATATAGTGGAAGAAACACTGTTCTAGAGGTAATAATTTAGATTACTAATTTAGTAAAAAACAAAGTATTTACTACTATGTCTTAGGGTTTAAGGATATAGAGGTAAAAGATACAGCCCCTGCCCTCAAGAAGCTCTTGGTTTAAATGGGAAACAATAAAATCATTACAATATAATGATTTTTGGAGATAACCAGAGTTAATGTGGTGATGCAGAGGCTGAATGTTTACAAGAGAAGGTGCAGTGCATGGGAAAGCACAGAAAAGTGAGAAAGAAGGGATTGCTATTGATTTACTTTCCATTGTTTAAGTTCATAGGATATTATATCAGGTATTCAGTTCAGCTGAGAAATATGTAATTTCATGAATTATAAATGGTTTTTGCTGTTTTACAGGCTGGCCACACACCACTTTTACTGGCCATAAGGAAAAGAAGTGAGCAAATTGTGGAATTTTTACTGACAAAAAATACAAATGCAAATGCAGTTGATAAGTTTAAATGGTATAGTAGTTTTTTTAATTAAAAAACACTTGAGTAGTGTGCTAGAGTAATAACACTCAAGTCAGAAATATTAAATTAATAACATTTACTTAAAATTATTAGATTATACAGAAAAATACCAACACAAATTATCAGTTAGTAAGAAAAGCAATTATTTGGACTGGTCAACATAAAGAACAGTATATAGTAGGATTTTCTTCTTTTGTTATATTGACTGATTCTTATTTGTAATCTGATGTTTTTGGTTGCATTATCTTCTATTAGCTAAAGTGGTTCTGTATTAGTTTTAAGAAGTATGAATTTTTAGTTTACTTTGTAATTCAATATTGAATGATTAACACCTTTATAGTATTTTTCTAACTTCTGTTTTTCATACACTTTTTAAAAATGCAATATTTGCTGGGCATGGTAGCTGTCATCTGTTATCCCAGCACTTTGGGAGGCCAAGTGGGTAGATCACCTGAGGCCAGGAGTTTGAGACCAGCCTAGCCAACATGGTAAAACCCCATCTCTATGAAAAATATAAAAATTAGCCAAGCCTGGTGGCACATGCCTATAGTCCCAGCTACTCAGGACAAATATTATTCCTAATATTGTTTTAAGTCTTCAGATTGCTCTCACTTGTCCGACTTCTAGCTAATTTTGAAGTACAAAATATTATATCAAACTAAGGAGGAAATAGATAATTCTCCACTTAAAACTTTGCCCCTTTTAGATTAGTGAACAGAACATATTTTCTTGCCCCTCAGTGGACTTTATGTTAGCCAATTCTACTATGCCATATCCCAGTGAGACATGAGTCTTTTCACCCCTTCCTTTTAGCCTTGGTCGTGATTTACAAGGATAAACACTTGAGCACTCAAGATACTTAACGTTTGTTAATACATGTAAATGGTTAATTCTACACTGACAGGCACATATTAAATTGGTTCTGTTCCTAATAATGAAGTTATCTCTTTGTTATTTCAGCACAGCCCTCATGCTTGCCATATGTCATGGATCATCAGAGATAGTTGGCCTGGTTCTTCAGCAAAATGTTGACACCTGTGCTGAAGATCCGTGTGGAATGATTGCAGAACGTTATGCTGTTGCTTGTGGATTTAATCCGTAAGTGTTTACATTTAAAGGTTAAGTGAGATTTTATAGTTTGTTTCAGGTAGGTTTTGAATGACAGTGAGTTAGTTCACTTCATCAGCCAGAAAGCTAGACTTGTTAGAAGGAGTAATGGCTCCAGGATTCTTTATTTTAGGGCTTTAGGGATGCTAATGTTGTCTTCTTGATTTGAAGTATAACCCCTATGCATGGGATAAACATAAAGTCACAATTTTGGTTTTTCTAATTAGCTATTTGGGTTTCAAAATGTCCACTTTAAGCAGAAAACCTGATAGTGTCCCCAGGGGGCTGTCTTCCATACCTTCATTCTTGAATTTTTTAAAAGAATCTGAACCTAAGTCCAAGGAAGACATTCCTTTCGTACAAGTCAGAAGGACTGGGGGGGAAATGCCCATTCTCTTCATTTTGTTGTTTCCATTCATTCTGTTGCTGCATCGTTGCCATTGAAACTGCTCCTGCAGTCTGGTAATGATTGACCTTTGTGACCAGGATGCCCTTATTAACACAGATCCCTCAGTCTTCATGGTGTAGACTTTGAAGTTACTACATGTTTTTAAAGTTCACGTACATATTCTCAGCCATTGTTTCCAAAGTACCAGCACCCTACTCTGGCAGCTAGAACTTTTAGCTTTAGCCACACACATAGTGAGCAAATTGACCCTTCTCCTCACACTCAAAACCTGATGTGAAACCCACATCTTAGCCTGGGCATGGCCTAGACCTTCATGGTAAGTTATCCTTTGAGTGACTTTTTTCTATTTTCTCTAGCCAATATTAGTTGTGGTAGTTTGAAACTGTAAGTCAGGTTGAAATAATGTTACAGGAAGAAATTAGAGATCCATTTTGTCTTTGTTAACAGATCTATATCCCTGGCCCTTTATATCCTGTGTAGCACCATTTTGTAGGTAGTGGAAGGTCTCACCTTATTCTGTAAAATCCCATGTCATCTTTCCCAAGTTGTAGTGGGTTCCAACTTGTGGTTGTCCCCTCAAGTGATTCTTTTTTCCTAAAAGTAAAAATCTCCCGTGCTACTTACATCTCTACCTCGAGTTTTTAAAATATTTTCAAATGCTGCATCACCATGAAGCCATTCAATAGACTTCACTAAATCTCAAGTAAGTTGGTTAGATTTAACAGAGCTAAGCCTCATCCATCACTGATCAGTCTTCACGTATAAAAATAAGGATTTTTGCTGGCTTCAGTGGTTCATATAGTAAAATTGAAACAACGTTGAGAAGATCAGCATGGTCCCCACACAAGGATGACATAGAAATCCGTAAAGTGTTGCATATTTCTTGCAGTCCCCCAAAGGACATTTTACTACTTTCTAACTAGCTCCAAGGAAATGGTGTGAGTCAAAGCAAAATGGGTGACACCCAGTATTGCAATTGTGATTTTCATACAAAAAATTATTTATGTAAGGTGATCTATGAAATGAGATGTGGTAACATATAGGATCTTGTGTGCAATATTTTGTTAGTACGGATCTCAGAAATGAGAAAATACCAACTTGCATCTTCTTTGTGGAACTTACAAAAAATGAAAGTAGGGTTTTGTCTTCCACAGCAGCTGGAAATGAACATAGTGACTAAGCATCATTCTAACAAAGATTTGTTGGTTCAGAATTTAAGGAGGTAGATAAAGAGTAGTAGTAGTAGTCCAAGCCAGATGCTGACATCTATTAGTTTTCTGCCCTTGGTGTGACTGATGAGCTCAGTAATAGAGTATAATTAGGTTATCTGATTTAATGATTTAATATATGTATAAATAAATTTCATTACAAAATATAAAATAGCTTAGATGCTCTGAATGACAAGCCACAAAGAATAGAACATCTAATATCCAAAAGTAGGAATTAATAACAGAAAATTGCAATATTTGAATATTATAACCTATGAAGAAACACTTTTTTTTTTGTAATTTAATTTTTGTAAAGATATGGTCTCCCTATGTTGCCCAGGCTGGTCTTGAACTTCTGGACTCAAGCAATCCTCCTGTCTCAGCATCCCAAAGTGCTTACATCACAAGCATGAGCCACTGCACCAGGCCAATATATTGGGTATTATTGGGAATTTTAAAATAGTTTCAGCAATAAGGTTCAAGAACAAATTACTTTTTTGCTTCACTTTTTATTTTAAGCATTTTTAAAATGTTATCTTATTAAATCTTTATAATAACATAGTGAAATAAGGCCCTAAAATCCTCATTGTTAGAAGACATTGAGTCTAAGAGAAGTAACTTGTTCAAGAAAAAATACCTGTTGGTAGCCATGCTAGGACTTATTCTGAGGTAAGGACATTTTCCATATGTCAAGCTACCTCTAGTTAATTTACTGAGTTATACTGCCCTCACTTCATGAGTGTTTTATCTTTCTTTCATCTTTAATTAGAAGCTTAATAAGTTCATAGAGCTTACAAACTTAAAGACTATGGAAAAAGTAATGTTCTGATGTTAGCTCTAATATTGTCTGAAATACCCTAAGAACTTCATAAATTTGGTAAGTGTTTTTTATATCAATGTTAAAATAGTAATTTTATTTATTTCATTTTTATACATAGCATTCATCAACAACTTTTGGAATACAAACAAAAGATATCTAAAAATTCTCAAAATAGCAATCCAGGTAAGACCTCTGATAGTAAACTAATCTTGGTGGTGCTACCATGAGATTATAGGAGTGTTGATCACAAAAGAGCTATTAAAAAAGCAATGTGTAAGTAGCATGTGTTTACATATATACCTATATGTAAGTGTTTTTATATATACATAGCTTTGATTTAATTTTTTAGTTTATAATTCAGAATTCATTAAGAATTTAGTTGTAGGTGGTTTATAATCTCAAAAATATTATCTGAAAAAATATTTGTTTAATTGTGGTCCCTAATATCCTATATAATACTTTTGTATAAATAAGTAAAACAATTTTTAAGTTTATATATTGTATGTTTCCTCAACTGTCATAACAATTTATGCTTGTTATAAAATGTATAACCCTTGGTGTGATTGATGAACTCAGTAATAGGGGATTATCAGCTTATCAAATTTAATGAATTAATATATTTATAAATAAACTTTATTACAAATTATAAAATAGCTTAATGCCTTGAATTACAAGCCACAAATAATAGAACATCTAATAATGAAAAGTAGGAATTAATAACAGAAAACTACAACATTTGAATATTATAATCTATAAAGGAACACAGTTAAATAAACTGTTAAATAAACAAATATTTATGTTTGTTTATTAAACATAAATAAACATATAAATGTTTATTTGTTAAATAAAAAAATAATTTATTTTTTTGTTTGTTTCTTTATTGTAGAGACAAGGTCTCCTTATGTTGCCCAGGCTGGTCCTGAACTTCTGGGATTTATTTAATTTTTACAATAAATGATTTGCATTTAGAAAATTAGAATTAATTACAGTTGAGTCTTGAGCAACATGAGAGTTAGGATGCTCATCCCCCCATGCAGCTGAAAATCTGCTTTATATGAAAATCTGTTTCTTTTGACTCCTCCAAAACTCTACTAATTTTCTACTGTTGACCTGGAGCCTGAAAAAAGGTGAAAGCAGAAGCAGTCAATTAACCCATAATTTCTATTTTATATGTACTATATACTGTATTCTTAGAATAAAGTGAGCTGGAGAAAAGAAACTGTTATAAAGAGGAAGAAATATATTCACTATTTATTAGATGGAAGTGAATTATACATAAAGGACTTCATTCTCATTGCCTTCACATTGAGTAGGCTGATAAGGAGGAGGCAGAGGAGAGATTTGTCTTGGTATCTTGCAGTGGCAAAGGAAAAGAAAAATCTGTCTATTAGTGGGCTCCTAAAGTGAAAACCCTTATTCAAAGATCAACTGTGTGGCATAGTGACTTGTGTCACTAAAAAAGTAACTCTCTTTAGAATTTGGAACTCAATAATGCTTTTCTTGCACCATAAATGAATGTCAATAAGAATTAACATAACTTAACGAGGGTGCATCAGTACCAATAGGAGATTATTTTTCAAAGATACCTACTGAGTGCAGAAGTCAGAAAAGCAATTCTTTGTTGAGAAGTGCAGGTTATGTTACATAGTCTTGTACCAACAAGGTCTCACTATTATCAACTTCATTCCCTCTAAGTTGAAACCAAATAAGATATATTTACTTCATTAGAACAAGATGTGTTGTTCTATCTGCTGGATAATTAGTGTGTTAATAGTAATTTTGTTACAACAAGTTACTCTGTTCCTACTAGCCAAAATATTATCATTATAAATATTCAACTAGCTCAATTCTAGGCTCAACAAATTATAATAAAAGTGGAAAAAATTTTCACAATAACAAAAGTGCTACTGTGATACCTAAATGTGACACAATACATTGTACAATATGAACTGTATTAGCACATCTTTAATTTATTACATATTTACCAAAGGACTTCTATAAGTTAGATTTTGCAAGTAGCAGGAGACCAAGATGGAATACACATAGTCTGGGTCTTTAAGGTGCTCATAATACATTAGAGCTGTCTCTATTGAATTTCTGCATTTTTCCAACAGAATTTCCTAACTATGTTTTTTGTTTATCCACTTGTCCACTTAACAAATAACTGTCAGGTATCTTTAGGGTACTAAGCATCTTTCTTGTTATTATCATTGTCATTTTTTATTATTTACTACTTTATTAAGGTACTAAGCATTTTTCTTGTTATTATCATCTTTTTTATTATTTACTACTTTATTTAGTGCTTACTGTGTGCCAGAACCCCTTTGGGAGCTTGTAATTATCACTTATTATGTCATTACCATATTCAGTATGTGTCAGACATTTTATATCCAACGTGAAGAATTAAAGCTTTAAAAAGTTTGATAGTGTCCAGGAGCGGTGGCTCACTCCTGTAATCCTAGCACTTTGGAAGGCCAAGGCAGGCGGATTGCTTGAGCTCAGGAGTTTGGGACCACCCTGACTAACATGGTGAAATCCCATCTCTACTAAATACAAAAAATTAGCTGGGCCTGGGTGGCATGCATATGTAATCCCTGCTACATGGGAGGCTGAGGTAGGAGGATTTCATGAACCCAGGAGGTGGAGGTTGCAGTGATCTGCTGAGATCGTGCCACTGCACTCCAGCCTGGGTGACAGAGTGAGGCTCTTGTTTCAAAAAAAAAAAAAAAAAAAAAAAAGGAGAAAACAAAAGTTTGGTAGTATTTAAGGAAAGCAAGCTGAATGAGTAGAAGTTTTCCAAGTAAAGAGTCAGAAGGATGATATTTAGCCAAAGGAAAATTTAACCAGACTGTGTGTTTGGCAGAAGGAACATCTGAAGGAACACCTGACGAGGCTGCACCCTTGGTGGAAAGAACACCTGACATGGCTGAAAGCTTGGTGGAAAGAACACCTGACGAATAGGATACAGTGAATTCCTCTTCAAAGATTTTAGCCTGTAAAAATTCTTTAAAATTCAAGAGGGGGTTAAGTACAGTGAGTTCTGAGTTCCTCATCAAAGAACAAATATGTCAGTATGTCCAGCTTCTCTGTTCTTTGTTCTCCATTTTAAAGTTTAACTTCCTCGTTCATTATGCCTCCTTGCCCCTAGTTTCATTAAACAACCCCCTCCTAGCCTCTAACACCTGCTTTGTCTTTAGTCATTCTTAGTCACCTGCTCTGTCTTTAGTCATCCTTAGACACCTGCTCTGTCCTTAGTCATCCTTAGACACCTGCTCTGTAACTGTCTTTCCCGCTGAAACTACTCACCCTGCCACTCCAGCTCATACCCCTGCTCTCTTTGAAATAGCCAATCTGAATTAGCTTAGAGTGTGCAGTCCAACCCTATCCAATAGGGAAAAGACACAACAGTAGGGACTAGCTGCGTTAGGAATAAGAACACTTTCCCTCCCTTGTCCGGTGTTATCTTGCCATTACTCCATCTGCAAGACCACTCTTCCATAGAAGTAAATTTGCCTTGCTGTAAAAACTTGTTGCTGGAGTGCTGACTGTTCTTTGTGGCACCGAAAATTTGTTTTCCACAAATTTGGGGGCCCACCCAGCATTCCCATTTTCCTCTGGGGGAGGGTCCAGTCCTCTCCTGTGAGGAGGCGCACCCCGCTGCCTTGTTGCAGTGGCTATAAAGGTAAGAAATCAAGACTCAACTGGTGAGATTAATAAACCTGGGATCTCAGCAACGTGGAAAGAAACAGGCCAGCATCTTTGGGGAAAGGATCTTCACATGCCGTGGTGACCAGGTAACTGTGCACAGACTGAGGTAAGAAATGTCGCAGGGGTGACAAAGTATTTCCTTGGTGGTCAGGATATTCTGGAGGTTGAAAGTGTGTGTGAATGATCACAAGCACTACTGCTTGTGGTGCTGTTTGTGTGGATGATACTAAGCATTATTGCTCTGAGGAGTGAGTGGGTCCTATCTGCGGTTTTTTATTTGAATAAAAAACCTTTGAAGAGGAATTCACTGTATCCTCACAGGGCTCAGGGCAGATCCTGCTGTGGGTTTTATACCATGATGCCAATGCTAAGAGGGACCTAAAATTCCTGGGAGGGAAGCAACCAGAGTGGATGAAGGAAAAGAAGGGTGCAAGGAGCCTCCAGCAGGTGGGGATAAAGGATAGGGAAGAAATCTCTAGCATGTGGGATTGAGCCTAACCAGGACCTAACATGGGAAAATCCCCAAGTAAGACAGGGAGCAAAAAAGAAGAGGATAGTAACAAAGACATGCCCCCTGATAGTACCCTGGGTCTCATGTTAAAATATTGGAAGGATAATGAGAGGAGTAAACATAAGAAAAAGCATTAGAGGATAAAAAATTGCTGTTTCATTTGGACCCAATGTCCCATTTTCAAAACCTCAATCTTCTGGCCAAAGTTTGGGTCGAATGAGGATGTAATGTGTCAACTTCTAATTCAATATGTTAATGATAAAAATCTGGTTTCTCAAGAAGAACTAGACTATGCTCTTTGTTGGAGACAGGCACCTGTCTTTATTCCCTTAAAGACAACTAGGGAAGAACCCGATCCAGCATCTCAAATTGAAAAGTCAGACGAGCTGACTCCCACACCTAAAGCCAGCACATGGGATCCCCTATACCATTTTGCCCTGCTCAGTGCCTCTGACCCTTCCCCTTGGGCAGCTGCTGCCACCCCAGATCCCACCCCAGATCCTTCTCCTGCTCACAATGTTCCTCCTCCTTACAACTCTAATTCTTGGGAGTTATCATCCCATGAGCGTGTCCCCTGTCAACCTAAATACCTCTTCTTAAAGGGACTCCAGCATGAGGTACAGCAATATAAATAGTACATTCAGAACTTCCCTTTTCTCTCCACACCTAAGGAGTCAGCCCCAACTCTCTTCCCCTTAAAAGACATGCCACAAGTAGGAGGAGCCATTGTATTTGTGAATGCTCCCTTGACCAGTTCAGAAGCCTGAAGTTTAAAAAAGGAAATTAAGCCATTATTAGATGAACCTTATGAGGTGAAAAATCAGGTTGATCAATTCTTGGGACCTCAGTTATACACTTGGGTCGAGTTTATGTCCATCCTAGGCATCCTCTTTTCGGAGGAGGAAAGAAGCATGATCTGATCCATAGGGCTGCTATGGCAATTTGGGAATATGAACACCCTCCTTGTCAAAACGTTCCTACCACAGACCAAAAATTCCCTGCCGAAGATCCCCAGTGGGATAATAATAACGCAGCTCACCAAGAAAACATGCAAGACATAAGGGAAATGATAATGAAAGAAACTAGGGAATCAGTACCCCAAACTCAAAATCTCTCTAAAGCATTTGATATACAACAGGAGAGAGATGAGTGGGCTGTGAAATTCTTAGACTAAAGGAACAGAAGAGACAATATACAGGCCTAAATTTGGAAAATCCCCTGGGACAGCGAATGTTAAAGCTCCATTTTGTCACTAAAAGTTGTCCAGATCTAAATGCTCCAATTAAAAGACACAGACTGGCAAATTGGATAAAGAGTCAAGACCCATCAGTGTGCTGTATTCAGGAAACCCATCTCACATGCAGAGACACATATAGGCTCAAAATAAAAGGATGGAGGAAGATCTACCAAGCAAATGGAAAACAAAAAAAGGCAGGGGTTGCAATCCTAGTCTCTGATAAAACAGACTTTAAACCAACAAAGATCAAAAGAGACAAAGAAGGCCATTACATAATGGTCAAGGGATCAATTCAACAAGAAGAGCTAACTATCCTAAATAAATATTCACCCAATACAGGAACACCCAGATTCATAAAGTAAGTCCTGAGTGACCTACAAAGAGACTTAGACTCCCACACATTAATAATGGGAGACTTTTACACCCCACTATCAACATTAGACAGATCAACAAGACACAAAGTCAACAAGGATACATAGGAATTGAACTCAGCTCTGCACCAAGCAGACCTAATAGACATCTACAGAACTCTCCACCTCAAATCAACAGAATATACATTTTTTTCAGCACCACACCACACCTATTCCAAAATTGACCACATACTTGGAAGTAAAGCTCTCCTCAGCAAATGTAAAAGAACAGAAATTATAACAAACTATCTCTCAGATCACAGTGCAATCAAACTAGAACTCAGGATTAAAAATCTCACTCAAAACCACTCAACTACATGGAAACAGAACAACCTGCTCCTGAATGACTACTGGGTACATAACGAAATGAAGGCAGAAATAAAGATGTTCTTTGAAACCAATGAGAACAAAGACAAAACATACCAGAATCTCTGGGACACATTCAAAGCAGTGTGTAGAGGGAAATTTATAGCACTAAATGCTCACAAGAGGAAGCAGGAAAGATCCAAAATTGACACCCTAACATGACAATTAAAGGAACTAGAAAAGCAAGAGCAAACACATTCAAAAGCTAGCAGAGGCAAGAAATAACTAAAATCAGAACAGAACTGAAGGAAATAGAGACACAAAAAACCCTTCAAAAAATTAATGAATCCAGGAGCTGGTTTTTTGAAAGGATCAATGAAATTGATAGAACGCTAGCAAGACTAATAAAGAAAAAAAGAGAGAAGAATCAAATAGATGCAATAAAAAATGATAAAGGGGATATCACCACCGATCCCACAGAAATGCAAACTACCATGAGAGAATACTACAAACACCTCTATGCAAATAAACTAGAAAATCTAGAAGAGATGGATAAATTTCTGGACACATACACTGTCCCAAGACTAAATCAGGAAGAAGTTGGATCTCTGAATGAGCCAATAACAGGATCTGAAATTGTGGCAATAATCAATAGCTTACCAAAAAAAAAGAGTCCAGGACCACATGGATTCACAGCAGAATTCTACCAGAGGTAAAAGGAGGAACTGGTACCATTCCTTCTGAAACTATTCCAATCAATAGAAAAAGAGGGAATCCTCCCTAACACATTTTATGAAGCCAGCATCATTCTGATGCCAAAGCCGGGCAGAGACACAACCAAAAAAGAGAATTTTAGACCAATATCCCTCATGAACATTGATGCAAAAATCCTCAATAAAATACTGTCAAACCGAATCCAGCAGCACATCAAAAAGCTAATCCACCATGATCAAGTGGGCTTCATCCCTGGCATGCAAGGCTGGTTCAATATATACAAATCAATAAATGTAATCTAGCATATAAACAGAACCAAAGACAAAAACCACATGATTATCTCAATAGATGCAGAAAAGGCCTTTGACAAAATTCAACAACCCTTCGTGCTAAAAACTGTCAATAAATTAGGTATTGATGGGAAGTATTTTAAAATAATAAGAGCTATCTATGACAAACCCACAGCCAATATCATACTGAATGGACAAAAACTGGAAACATACCCTGTGAAAACTGGCACAAGACAGGGATGCCCTCTCTCACCACTCCTATTCAACATAGTGTTGGAAGTTCTGGCCAGGGCAATTAGGCAGAAGAAGGAAATCAAGGGTATTCAATTAGGAAAAGAGGAAGTCAAATTGTCCCTGTTTGCAGATGACATGATTGTATATCTAGAAAACCCCATTGTCTCAGCCCAAAATCTCCTTAAGCTGATAAGCAACTTCAGCAAAGTCTCAGGATACAAAATCAATGTACAAAAAACACAAGCATTCTTATACACCAACAACAGACAAACAGAGAGCCAAGTCATGAGTGAACTCCCATTCACAATTGCTTCAAAGAGAATAAAATACCTAGGAATCCAACTGACAAGGGATGTGAAGGACCTCTTCAAGGAGAATTACAAACCACTGCTCAAGGAAATAAAAGAGGATACAAACAAATGGAAGAACATTCCATGCTCATGGGTAGGAAGAATCAATATCGTGAAAAAGGCCATACTGCCCAAGGTAATTTACAGATTCAATGCCATCCCCATCAAGCTACCAATGACTTTCTTCACAGAATTGGAAAAAACTACTTTAAAGTTCATATGGAACCAAAAAAGAGCCCGCATCGCCAAGTCAATCCTAAGCCAAAAGAACAAAGCTGGAGGCATCACACTACCCGACTTCAAACTATACTACAAGGCTACAGTAACCAAAACAGCATGGTACTGGTACCAAAACAGAGATATAGATCAATGGAACAGAACAGAGCCCTCAGAAATAACGCCGCATATCTACAACTATCTGATCTTTGACAAACCTGAGAAAAACAAGCAATGGGGAAAAGATTCCCTATTTAATAAATGGTGCTGGGAAAACTGGCTAGCCATATGTAGAAAGCTGAAACTGGATCCCTTCCTTACACCTTATACAAAAATCAATTCAAGATGGATTAAAGACTTAAACGGTAGACCTAAAACCATAAAAACCCTAGAAGAAAACCTAGGCATTACCATTCAGGACATAGGCATGGGCAAGGACTTCATGTCTAAAACACCAAAAGCAATGGCAACAAAAGCCAAAATTGACAAATGGGATCTGATTAAACTAAAGAGCTTCTGCACAGCAAAATAAACTACCATCAGAGTGAACAGGCAACCTACAAAATGGGAGAAAATTTTCACAACCTACTCATATGACAAAGGGCTAATATCCAGAATCTACAATGAACTCCAACTAATTTACAAGAAAAAAACAAACAACCCCATCAAAAAGTGGGCAAAGGACATGAACAGACACTTCTCAAAAGAAGACATTTATGCAGCCAAAAAACACATGAAAAAGTGCTCATCATCACTGACCATCAGAGAAATGCAAATCAAAACCACAATGAGATACCATCTCACACCAGTTAGAATGGCAATCATTAAAAAGTCAGGAAACAACAGGTGCTGGAGAGGATGTGGAGAAATAGGAACACTTTTACAGCATTGGTAGGACTGTAAACTAGTTCAACCATTGTGGAAGTCAGTGTGGCGATTCTTCAGGGATCTAGAACTGGAAATACCATTTGACCCACCCATCCCATTACTGGGTATATACCCAAAGGACTATAAATCATGCTGCTATAAAGACACATGCACACGTATGTTTATTGCAGCATTATTCACAATAGCAAAGACTTGGAACCAACCCAAATGTCCAACAATGATAGACTGGATTAAAAAAATGTGGCACTTATACACCATGGAATATTACACAGCCATAAAAAATGATGAGTTCATGTCCTTTGTAGGGACATGGATGAAATTGGAAATCATCATTCTCAGTAAACTTTCGCAAGAACAAAAAACTAAACACCGCATATTCTCACTCATACGTGGGAATTGAACAATGAGATCACATGGACACAGGAAGGGGAATATCACACTCTGGGGACTGTTGTGGGGTTGGGGGAGGGGGGAGGGAAAGCACTGGGAGATATACCTAATGCTAGATGACGAGTTATTGGGTGCAGCGCACCAGCATGGCACATGTATACATATTTAACTAACCTGCACAATGTGCACATGTACCCTAAAACTTCAAGTATAATAATAATAATAATAATAATAATAATAATAATAATAAAATAAAATTAATTAAAAAAAAAGAACCCAGCACAAAGCCAGTCTGCATGGCCTAGAGACATATTTTGCTGGATAATGATTACTTGATTTTCTTTTTGTTTTTGTTGCATTTTTCTGTTTGCTTAGTTCCTGACATACAAGAAAATCACTGTCAAAATATTAGCTTAACATTCGTTAAGGAAACAGAAAGACTTCAGTGACCACACCTTATAAAGCAAACAGTTTTGTAAATCACTTTGGAAAATTTCACTAAAATTAAAAACCTTAACAATATAATAAGTAAATAAATTTTAAAACCACAAAACATTAGTGTGTTTGTAGGGGGGGAGTCTGATTTACAGAGTAACTGCATAGTAATTATAATTATTATAATGTCCAGTTTTCAAAAAAAGTTACAAGGCATACAAAGAATGGGAAAGTAAGGCTCATTCAAAGGAGAAAAATAAATTGACAGAAAATATCTCTAAGGAAACCCAGACATCAAACTTACTAGACAAAGACTTTAAAACAACTCTCTTAATTATACTCAAATGTCAAAAAGAAAACATAAACAAAGAAAGAAAGGAATCAGAAAAAATATTAAAAAGTAGGAATATCAGCAAAGAGATAACAGAAATTCTGGAGTGGAAAACTACAGTGATAAAAATTTAAAAATCACCAGGGCGATTTAAGAGTATATTTGCACACACAGAAGAAGTCATGAGCTTGAAGATAAGATAATGGAAAATATTGACTCTGAGAAACAGATAAAAAATGAGCAGAGACTAAGGAATCTGTGGGACATCATCAAATAGACCAACATTCATATTCTATAAGGATAAATTATGTTGTTAAAAACTTTACCATTCTTTCTTTCCACCTTTCTTTCTTCCTTCCTCCCCCTCCTCCTCCTTTTTACTTTTCTTCCTCTTCCTTTCTCTTCTTCTTTCTCTCCTTCATTATCCCTTTCGCTCTGTTTCTTTTTCTCCCTTTCTCTTTTTCCTTTTCTTTCAATTTTCTCAATTACTAAGAGATGTTTAAATACCCTTACCATGTTAGTAGATATGGTTATTTCTCCCTTTAGTTTTTTGAGATTTATAGTCACTCTAAGTAAAGAGATAACCCAAACATAAGCCTCACAAACAGGCGTCCATACCATTCTTATTTGATCCTGTCATTCTTCATTGCTGTATTAACTTTCTGATGCTTTTAAGGATGTTTTTATAACAAATTGTTTAGTTTTTTCCAATGGAATGTTTATTCTGAATTATCTAATTCATATTGTAAGTATAGAGGGAGTTTAATATAAAATTATTAAACTAATATTTGTGAAAGAATGTATTTGTGCATTTAACAAATATGTTAATCCTCAAACTGTTATTGGGCAGCTGAGCATACAGCAATAAAAATAACATAATTTTTATGTGTACAATATTTATGGAATACGTTACTGGACCAAATAAATAATTTAGTTAATAACATGACAAAGAACAGAAATTGTATACACTATAGAGCATAGTAATGGAATAATGAATGATTAAAGTTATTAATATTAGGTAGAAAATGAAGGGTATCTTTGAGAGCAGAACTCAAGGAAGCAAGCAATTCACCTTATGAGGAAAGAGTTACCTGTGGATAAAGGAGAAACTGAAAAATTTACAAGTCAAGACTTTTTGAGCAAAAACAAAAATATGACTATTAGTCACCAATTCGGTACAGTGAAAAAAAAGTTGAAGAGATATCTTGGAAGTAAACCATGTTGTGGAAGAGCATGTAGGGTTTTGATAATCATGGGATGATTCTGAAGTAATTTTAAATGCGATAGGAATATATGAGATAATTTCACCAGAGAATAACATGATTGTGTTTGCATTTCAAAGGGGTGCATCTGGTGCACTGTTTAGAATAAATAGGTTATGTGACCAAATAAATTGGGAGGCTACTCTAATCCAGAGAAAAAAGGTAGTGACTTAGGAGAGAATGCTGTTAATATGAGTGGTATTAGTGGTGAGAAGTCGTTAGGCCATGGATGTATTTCATAGGACTGGCCAAGAGAACTACAGCTAAATTGGAGTGTAGGGAGTGAAATGGAGAACTCAAAGATGACTCTCAGCACTGGAAGGTGACAGCTGCCACTGAAGCATGCTGATGCCTCTTATTAAGAGAGTTACTTGGGAATGGCAAGATCAAAACTTTTCACTTTCAAATTTATGAAAAATATTGTTTTCAGAACGAATGACTTTGGGATCAGAAAGCCACCATTCTAATTGATGGTTCCATGACTACACAGGCTCACACTCCCAAGAGCAAAAGTAAATCATCACAAAAGTCCTTCCTGATAATTCTAGAGAATGGAGAATTACTGTAACATCTTTCTGATTTTAGGAGAGGCAGCAGTTCCTTTTTTAGCCCAAACGATATTTTTTTTAAAGCTCAGCCAAAAGACTCCATTATAATTTTCAAATGTGTGTAACTTAAATTCTCATATTAAATACCACTATGCTTAAATTAGTCAAAACATTTTCCCCATCTACAACTCTATCTTTTCATTGCAATCATTTTCACAAAAGTGACTGCAGCTCACAGACCCTAAAAGGGGAAAATCCAGAGTAGGTTATCTGATCTAGTTAGTTTTGAAGACAGGATCTAGAGATTATTTAATATGAAATAGGTCACCTGAAATGAAGTGTTTACTGAAAACAGCTTGGATCGGCCCAGTTTTCTACCACTGAACAATGCATTTGGTTTAAAAAACACAACAACTCTGGGGAATATCGGCTGCTTCCAACTGTGTTGAAGGTGTTAAAGAAAAGAGCATAAAATTAAAAATGATCATCTGAGGCCTTTATAGTCTCTGTTCAAGAGACTAGAGTCTTCCATTCTTAACGAAACACCCAAATATCTTAATAATTGGGCAAAATCTAAATATCAGAGAGATAATTTTATCTTAATGATCATTAAATTATAATTGCGATTCAGACCTTGCTACGTCTCTGAGTCAAAAATTAGATCTTTGTTTAGGAATCAGTGGTACTCTGCAACTTGGAAATAGGAAGATTTTAGAAGACTCAAACATTGACTTTCTTGTGTGCAAAAAAAAAGACGTATTGAGATAAGACAAGTCTTTCCTTGCAAGGATACCTCTATGCTCATACAACACCTCCCCTAACGTTACTATAGCTTCCAGGTCACTAACCAGTGTCAGAGAGCAGCCTATGCAACTACAAATTCAAAAGATGTGGAACATAGGGTCAAGCCTAGAATAAGAAGTCTTAGCTAATTAAGTATGCTTTTTCCCCCAAATTCATATTAACAAAAACTTGGATATGTCAGAGAATGCATTCTAAGTTCACTCAACCTAGGAGGGAGAAACATAATTTTAAATTAAGAGCTGAAACATTGTTCTCCTAACAAAAAGCAAGGAAAATGATATATCACACCACAGGAGGGATTTCACAAATTAGTGTCAATATCAAAACCTTAAAATACGCAAGGAAAATGCAGATTCACAATGAACTCTTGTACTTGTTTTGTTCAGAAAAGAGATGGTTCTGAGAGAACGACAGTGAACTAACCCCAGCTGGTTTAGTTGGTGCTTTCAACTGCTGCTTCTGATCAACTCCTTTAGCTAGAATAAATTGATGAGGATTCTGGCATGTGGTATTAGAGATGGTTATTAATTTTTTCCTCTTATTTGCGTTGTTCAATGTAGTAAATACTAGCTGTATATGGCTACTTCAATTCAAATTATTACAATGAAATATACTTCAATATTGAATTTTTTAGTCACTCTTGGTTCATTATTGAATATCTTCAGCTAAGATTTCCCATCTAAATACACTAAGAGGTGGCTTAGTTAACTGGTCGTTCACAAATATTGACGATGTTGTTAACTCCTGATATATTCTCTGCAAAGAGAATATTCATGAGCCTCCTCCTGAAATCAGCAGCCTAGAGATAGTTTTATAAATTGGATACAAGTTGGAAATCTATATACTCTTTAAGTTTTTGAAATATTAGCTTCCCAGGGAAGAAAATCAAATTCATAAGATATGTTAGGACAATTTAACTCCAGATGTTCAAAACTGAAATGACATATTCTACAATATGTGATAAAACCACCCCCTAACAACTTAAAGCAAAACAGGGATTGACCTTAAAGACCTGCCTTTTCCTCATCTCTCAGCCAATCAGTTTTCAAATCTTGCATTTTATTTTGAAATGTACTTATCCCCCTAGTCTGTTGTTTCTAGACTTGGCACATATTTAAGTTTGTTTCCTCTATCTACTGACTTTCCTCTCTTCAAACAGTATCTATGCCTGCCAAATGTGAACATACAAAAAACTAATCAGAATATGCCATTCTGATTTAAACTGATTATTAGTTAATACTCTCAAGATAACATCTGGGTTCTTAGCTGCACTGAATCAAGCCTACTTACATCTTTTTTTTTTGTCTTCGGCTGCACTTTTCCTATCACATCACACCCCAGCAATGACAAGCTGTGCGGGCCTTCTACCCCATTTCCACTATTTTGCCCCTGCCGCCATGGCTTTTTCCGCGCTCCCGCGGCTTTTTGCCCCGCCGCGGCGGGTTTTTGCCGCCGTGGCTTTTTGCCCGCGCCACCGCTGCTTTTTGCACCTTTTTGCCCCCGCCGCCGCGACATTATATGGTTTTTTGCTCCCACTGCTTTTTGCCCCCGCCTCCGCGGCTTTTTGCCTCCCCGGCTTTTTGCCCCCGCCGCCGCGACTTTTTGCCCCCGTCGCCTCCGCTTTTTGCCCCCGCCGCAGCGGCTTTTTGTCCCCGCCACCGAGGATTTTTGTCCCCGCCGCCGCGGCTCTGAGGGGGGGAGCAGCAGACTCGGCTGCCAGCTCTACTGGTGTCTTGGCAAGGGCAGCGCCGAGGGGCGCTCCTGGTCCAGCTCTCCTGGCTCAGGGGGTTCCTTGCCTAGGCGCTGGCACCCCGGGCTCCCTGCCTAGGCCCCTGTGGCCTGCATAGAGCGGCGCTGCACGCGGAGGCGATGGGAGAGAAGAAGGAGGGCGGTGGCAGGGGTGAAGCGGAGGGTGGTGCAGGGGCTGCGGCCAGCCGGGCGCTGCAGCAGTGCGGGCAGCTCCAGAAGCTCATCGTCATCTTCATTGGCAGCCTGTGGGGGCTGTGCAGCAAGTGCGCTGTGTCCAACGACCTCACCCAGCAGGAGATAGGGACCCTGGAGGTAAGGGGTTCGGGGACCCGGGCTGGGCTCCAGGAGCGGCCCGGACACCTCCTTCAGGGCCCCAGTTCACTCCTGGCAGAGTTGCATCCTTGAGCCCGAGTCACCCCCTTGGAGGCTTCCCCTCCCTCCTGCACTCGCTGATGCGGCAGCCAGAGGACCCGGGACCAACCCTCACCTTGGGCAGGATTTGTGGAGCGGGTGCGTGGTGGGAAATGGGATGGAGGCTCCAGGGTCCCATGGGGGTGGGGGTGGGCTGCGCGCGGACATCCTCTTACCCCCTGAATTTCCATCTGGTCCAGCCCTCTCATCTTGTAGGTGAGGAAACCAAAGGCCTGAGGGAGAACTGACTTGCCAGGAACCCCTGTTAAGGAGAATTAACAAAGTGTGTTTATTAAAGAAGAACTAAGTTGGGAGTCAGACCTGGAGGCCTGCGCCCTTGGTTAAGACATTACACCACCTTGAGTCTGGCCTGTTGACTGAGGGTGAGCCACTCCATCCTCGTCTGATTGTGGGGTCTTGACCCCAAGGGGTTTCCTGCAGGAAGAAGCAAATGGGTTTGCTTTCCTAGCTCTGTCCAGTACCTTAGGGACTCTGAGGACTGAAGAGATTCTTGGAGAGCCATCTGGTGTATGTCATGGGTGGGCCTTTTTTGAAGGTCAGTCTACCCAGTGGGCTGGCTCAGCCCGAATGAACTGTCTTGAATCTTTGGAGTTGTCTGTGTACTTTTAAGGGCTTCTCAGCCTTGCACCAAAAGATCCCCCTGGAAATTAGGTGGGAAAACCTTAACTTTTGTGGGGCCTTGTGTTTGTCTTAAAAGTTCATGCACATGGCCAGGTGTGGTGGCTCCCACCTGTTATCCTGTCCTGGATCCCTTAAGTCAAGGAGTTTGAGACCAACCTGGACAATATAGTGAGACCCCATCTCTACAAAAAATAAAATATTAGCCAGGGGTGGTTGTGCGCATCTGTAGTCCCAGCTACTACTGTGGCTGAGGTGGGAGGAGCACTTGATCCTGCACTGAGCTGTGATCTCACCAGTGTACTCCAGCCTGGGCCACAGAGCAAGACCGTGACTCAAAAAAAAAAAAAAAAAAGACAAGAAAAATTCTTGAAGATTTTGCATTCTGTCCCACTATCTGTTGGTTTTCATGTCAAGATAATGTCAGAAATTCTTTACAATTGCTTCCAGAAGGAGTAGCCTTTTGATCTAGTGCACAGGTGTCCAGTCTTTTGGCTTCTCAGGGCCACATTGGAAGAAGAATGCTCCTGGGCCACACACAAAATACACTAATGCTGACAACAGCTGATGAGCTTAAAAAAAAAAAAAGGTTTATGCATAATTTTCATGATACCCACCACCACAGATAGGCAGAAAAGTCCTTGTAGTCAAAGGGTTGGACACAGCTGATCTAGTATCTTGTCGTCCGTTTTGCTTTCTCCCTGATTCCAGAATGCAGGTAGAGATGTAGAGACATGCTCTCAGGACAGTTGTTGAGATAAAAAAATTCGTTGTCATTTATTCCCAAGCACAACTGGTTCTCATTGCATTGAAAAATTCTCCGTTCAAACTGCTGTCACATATAAAATCTATTTATGTAAGTCTGTATTTTTCTGTTGTCTTGGTCTTTGTAGGCAGTAGTGTGTTTTAACCGAGCAAACTGTCCTTCCAAATAATGAAGCCGAAGTCAGCCTACCTGCTTGCCATTTTTCTTCCCCTTCCATTTTTGTAACCTCAGAATAATTGTAAGAATGAATTAAGATTTGTGTTTAAGGCCAGGCACAGTGTCTCAGGCCTGTAATCTCAGCACTTTGGGAGGCGGAGACGGATGTACCGCTTGAGCTCAGGAGTTGAAGACCAGCCTGGGCAACATACTGAGACTCCGTCTTGTATAATTTAATTAAAATTTAAAAAAAGAAGAGAAAAAGACCTGTGTTTAAAATTTAAAAAAAGGGGGGAAAGTGTAATGCAAAATGTGGACTATGCCAGCTATGATTGGGAAAACTAGTTTCTCATACAGCATTATCTGTAGACTTGTATTAGCAGCATACTGGTCATAAGCGTTTTGCTTTCCTCAAATATGATGAGGTAAGCTAATTTAAAGTGTGTTGAGGCTTTCTGCCGCGTGGCTCCTGGAGGTGTTGAGTCCCAATTTAGCCAATTAATTTGGGTTTAGTTTTGATATGGATAAGGGAGACCAGCTTCATTCATGGTGTACACACAGTTTTGCCAATAAGGAAAAAAAAAGCCACCTGAATATTCCTACTCATTAGATGCTAGCTGGAGAGCTCCTACCCCACCCCCACCAAGGCCCGGGCCATTAAAAAGACTCAATGCAGCCTTTCTGTATCTCATACTGTATTCTGCAAGATACTCCTGTGAAAGAAAGTTGTGCTGCATCAGCCATCTCCCTCCTGAAGATCCCTGCGGATGAGGATTTGTGTTTTGAAGGTTCTGAGAATTCCTGCAACAACAATTCTCAAACTTATTTGTCCAGGGGATCTTTTCTTCCACTGAATGTAGTTGGGGAGACACGGCCTTAAGCCTTGAGCAGAGAAAGAGACGAGAAACTGTTGGCTCACTTACAACCAAGTGTTGTGTTTATGTTTTAGGTTTTTATGAAACTGAGGTGCTGTTTGAGGTTCTAAGTGAAATTGGGTGGTTGAAGAGAGGCTGGTATCCCTGTAGACTTAGCCAGCCATGAGAAGTTGCCTTTTGTTGAAGGAGGTGTTTTACAAAGGGAAATAGGGTGTCTCCTGGGCATTGCATTAGCACTTAAATACATGTATCACTGAAATGAAATGAAATGATGAAATGATGAAATGAAGAAATGAAATGATGAAATGAAGAAATGAAATATGAGATGAAATGATGAAAGGATGAAATGAAATGAAATGATGAAATGGAATGATGAAATGAAATGATGAAATGATGACATGAAATGGTGAAATGAAATGAAATTGAAATAATGAAATGAAATGATGAAATGATGAAATGAAATGAAAAGATGAAATGATGAATTGAGGAAATGATATGAAATGATGAAATGAAATGATGAAATGAAGTGAATGATGAAATGATGAAATAATGAAATGAAATGATGAATTGATGAAATGAAATGATGAAATGAGATGAAAAGGTGAAATGAAATGAAATGATTAAATGAAATGAGGACATGAAAAGATGAAATGAAATGATGAGATGAAATGAAATCACGAGATGAAATGATGAAATGAAATCATGAGATGAAATGATGAGATGAAGTGAAATGATGAAATGAAATGATGAGATGAAATGAAATAATGCAATGAAAGATGAAATGATGAGATGAAGTGAAATGATGAAATGATGAAATGTAATGAAATGATGAAATGGAATGATGAAATGAAATGATGAAATGAAATGGTGAAATGAAATGAAATGAAAAGATCAAATGGTGAAATGAAGAAATGATATGAAATGATGAAATGGAATGATGAAATGAAGTGAAATGATTAAATGATGAAATAATGAAATGAAATGATGAAATGATGAATTGATGAAATGAAATGATCAAATGAAATGACGAGATGAAAAGATGAAATGAAATGAAATGATGAAATGAAATGACGAGATGAAAAGATGAAATGAGATGAAATGATAAGATGAAATGAAATCATGAGATGATGAAATGATGAGATGAAGTGAAATGATGAAATGAAATGACAAAATGCAACAATGAGAAGAAATGATGAAATGAAATAATGAAATGAAAGGATGAAATGATGAGATGAAATGAAAGGATGAAATGAAATGATGAAATGAGGAAATGAAATGAAGTGAAATGATGAAATGATGGAATAAAAGATGAAATGATGAAATGATATGAAATGATGAAATGATGACATGAAGTTAAATGATGAAATGATGAAATAAATGAAATGAGATGAAAAGATGAAATGATGAAATGATGAGATGAAATGAAATGAGATGGAATCATGAGATGAAATGATGAAATGACGAAATGAAATGTTGAGATGAAGTGATGAAATGAAATGATGAAATGATGAAATGAAATGTTGAGATGAAGTGATGAAATGAAATGAAACAATGAAATGAAGTGAAATGAAATGAGATGAAATGATGAATTGATGAAATGAAATGAGATGAAAAGACGAAATGATGAAATGATGAGATGAAAAGATGAAATGATGAGATGAAATGAAATCATGAGATGAAATGATGAGATGAAGTGAAATGATGAAATGAAACGAAATGTTGAGATGAAATGATGAAATGAAATGAAAGAATGAAATGAAATGATAAAATGATGAGATGAAATGATGAAATGAAAGGATGAAATGAAATGATAAAACGAGGAAATGAGATGAAATGATGAAATGAAAGGATGAAATCAAATGATGAAATGAGGAAATGAAATGAAACGAGGAAATGAAATGAAATAATGAAATGAAATGATGAAATAGATGAACCAAAAATACTTATTCATTTTTTTTCTTTGCATCCTTCTAAGAGTATTTTAGTGAGGTTAATTTCTAAAAATAAATTGCTATTCAATGACTATACAGTTGGCCTTTGCACCACAGGGGTTTGAACTGTGCACGTCCACTTAGCAAAACCAACAATTCTACATCCTTCTCCACACCCTGCCCATGAAAAGGATGAGGATGAAGACCTGTTTGATCATCTACTTCCATTTAATAACTAGTAAATATATTTTCCTTATGATTTTCTTTTTTCTTTTCTCTGGCATGTTTGTTAAGAATACAGTATATAAGACATATAACATATTAAATATGTGTTAATTGACTGTGTTATTTGTAAGGCTTACAGTAGGCTATTAGTAGTTAAGTTTTGGGGGAGTCAAAGTTATAGTGGACTTTCTACTGTGCAGGGGGGCCAGCACCCCAACCTCCATGTTGCTTAAGGGTCAACTGTACATGTTATTTCCTTTCCTGTAAGAGAAAAATGATGAGAAGGTCTTTTCTCCAATAAGTGTATTCAAAATGTAGCAGATTTGAAATGTGTTGGCGCCACCATTTTGCGTCTCACTTTGAAAACTTATTATTTAAAATCATACTAAAGCCTACCTAACTTTTCCAACCTTAGAAAAAATGTTACAAAGAAAAGGGGTGAAACCATGCTAGTTTGCCCTGAAATTTGAAATTATCTTTTAAAAATATATTTTTACATTAATTACTTCCAAAATAGAGATCAGTTGCATACAAATGGCAGGTCACCCTAATCCACCCTATGACTGCACTTAGATCCATGAGGAATTGTGCCATCTAGAAAGGGCAGAGAAGAGGAATAGAGTGCTCTGCGTCTTGAAATATAAACATGCGCATAGCCACATGCTTAGATTCTGTTGTCACTGTGTACTTACTGCTAGGAAGAGGGCATGTTTGTGTATTTTTATGCTAATTATTATCCAAGTTGTTAATGATTTGCGCTTTCAGAACCATATAAAGATTTTTTTCCTTTCAGATATAAACTATCTTGCATTGTTCTTCTGATCATATGAGGGATAAATTTGCCTAAATATTCTTCAGACCATAATAGTATGTCCATATAAATGCCAGTAGCAAGAGTAGAATCAACCACAACTGCCTTTGTAATTATTTAAAGCATGTCTGCCTATAAGTAATTGGCATTTTATATAATCAAGAATCTTTGATATAATAATCTCTCAACTATTTGAAACATGGCTCACATGTATTAATTTTTTATGCAAATATATATATAATATCAGTGTATATGAAACTAAATTTTGGACTTTAGAACAGCTTCTTAGAATCCTGACTTAAATGTCTACAGTAATAGTTGGCTTACAAAAATTTAGCACACTGTCACTATGATGAAAAAAATTACTATAAATTTATTTTAAAAATTGTTCCACCCTAACATTTAGAATATTCTCACATTTGTGGTTAGATGTGATTGTTCTTAGAATTTAGATAAAAAATGTTCCAGAAAGTTTGAAGAGAAGCACTTTAGTCAATTTTTAGTTGTTGAAGCATGAAGAAATGGCATTTCATTGACATTTTAAAAATTATTCAGATTCCCTCTTTGAATTCAAGTGTTTCAAAGATATCTTATTTTAAAATACCAAAATAGGAATAGAATATGAAGGGCTGGTTATGAGTAATATGATACACTTTTATGAGAGGATGAGATTACAATAACAATACCTCCTCTCATAGAATAGCCAGCAAGTCTCCACTAAATAAGAGTGCCTTGATTTTATAGATGTTTAATCATGGATATTGAGTTAATGTGAACCATTTGTAGACACGGGAGTTTATTAAAGAATTATATAATATCTTTCAAGTATTTAGAATAGTGTTGAAATTAAGCCTGCATCCCCATGATTTTCAGCGGTGCTGATGCCTAATAAACTCAACCCCTTGCATGCCAAAATTGGCTTAAAGCCCATCTGTTACCCAAGCTACACTTCAAGCATCAAGGTTCAAAAATGTGATTTTAAATATGCAAGAGTTTGAGGAATTCACTACTCACACTTTCTTGAACAGTCTATCCAAGTGCATCAAGCAAAACGTAAGTAAAGAAATTTTGACCAAAGGATTGATAGTAATGTTGAATACATTTAATAGTAGATCTAAGATTAAAAGGTGAAATTGAGGGTGAGAAGAGTGTATGAATGCTTTGTGTTCTGACAAAGAGAATGTAGCACCCAGGTCCTACCTGCTTGGATGCATTGCCAGTGCCCACGGTAGGCCATTTTATCCAGGTTTTTAGGTTTTGATTTGTTTTGTTTTGTTTTGTTTTTTTCTTTTCAGGATAGTTAGTCCAAGACCAATAACTCCATAACTGGTAGATTTGGAAGACTTTAATAGTGCTTAACATTTTGTACATAGCTTTATAACAGTTTTCTTTTTCTTTTTTTCTGAGAGATTCTTTTCAATATACCCCATCATGGTTGAACTCAAAAATCATTGCTTATTTAAAATCTACAACTGCTGACGTTTTGTAACGTTCGCATTCCAGGTAATTGGTTTTTTGTGCATTTTCTGTATTTTTCTCCATCAGTCTACCTAGATATTTGTTAGATTTAATATTTTAATATTTTTCTGAAAAAGTGAGCTTTTGCCTTTTTAAATATATACCCAGTTGCTTTAATTTTGCTTTTTCGTGTACTATTTCCTCGTTTTTTGTTTTTTGTTTTTTGTTTTTTTTTGACAAGAAGTCTTGCTCTGTCGCCCAAGCTGGAGTGCAGTCACGTGATCTCTACTTACTGCAACTTCCACCCCCACGTTCAAGCAATTCTCTCACCTCAGCCTCCCGAGTAGCTGGGATTACAGATGCATGCCACCATGCCAGGCTAATTTTTGTATATTTAGTAGAGAGTGGGTTTCACCATGTTATACCAGGCTGGTCTCGAACTCCTGACCTCAGGTGATCCACCTGCCTCAGCCTCCCAAAGTGCTGGGATTACAGGCATGAACAATGGCGCCTGGCTATCTCCTTCATTCTTTATGTTTATTTTACTGGTTTTATCTCTCTCTCTCTCACTGTTTCTCTCCTTCTCACATTCACTTTGCAGTTGTCAAATAGCCCAGGTGATGTTACAGATTTACTCCTTATAAAAGGAGGCATTACACATTACACATGCATCTTAGTGGCCTTACAAAAGTGTTTGGTTTATTTGTATTGACTATTCACCTTTAAAATATTTCAATATTCATTAAAATAGCTTCCAACCAATATTATTAGACTTATGTTTCTAGCTTTCATTTTTGTATTGATATCTGCCTTCATTGCTGTTTGTTTAGGAAATATATTCTGTGTCACGTTATTTCCGTGAAAATTGTTTGAATTTGTGGCATGGTCTAGAAAATGTTAATTTTTGTAAGTATTCTGTATGAACATGAAAATAACATGAATTATAATATTCATGTTCCTTATATAATATTTGCCCTTTTTAAAATCCACTAGCTTCTTTTAAAACTTACTCTTTTAATTTTTTCTTTTATCTATTACTCAAAGATGTGTGTTTGAAATGTCTATAATATTTGGGGGCTTATCCATTTCTACTTACTTTCTGATATTTTTGCTTTATATAATTTGACTCTCTCTCTAAATACCTGTGTGTCTATGTGTGTGTGAGAGAGTGTGTGGTTTGTGTGTATACATATATGTATGTATCAGGCTAATGCACATTTAAGTCATCACATCTTCTTAATAACTTAAAACTTTTATCACACTGGTTAGACTTATTTTAATAAATGTTTCTAACATTCTATTTTGTCTACATAGCAACTTTTTAAAAGATTATATTCATGTAGTATGTTTGTATGTATATCATATATACACAGTATCTGTATTGTTTGAACTTCAAAGTTTCTGTAAATTTATATATTAGTTGCCTCTCTTGTAACTATGATAGAGACGGATGTTTTAAATTTTGCCAATCTTTGTATTTTAACAAAAACGTTGTCTACTTAGGTTTAAGTTAATCTTTGATCATTTACACTTAATTTTGTATTATTAATTTGTTGTGTATATATATATATAATGTCTCATTTTCTCCTATCAGTTTCTGTCTTCTTGTTTTAAAATTATGACTTTTATTTTTATTGTTTTCATAGACGCAACAGAGAAATGCATAATGTCCAGTCAATTTATTAAAGTTCCAAAGTCGGTCGCGTGCGGTGGCTCACGCCTGTAATCTCAACACTTCGGGAGGCCGAGGCGTGTGGATCACGAGGTCAGGAGTTGGAGACTAGCCTGACCAACATGGTGAAACCCCGTCTCTACTAAAAATACAAAAATTAGCCAGGCATGGTTGCACGCGGCTGTAATCCCCGCTACTCAGGAGGCTGAGGCAGGAGAATTGCTTGAACCAGGGACGCAGAGGTTGCAGTGAGCAGAGATGGCGCCACCACACTCCAGCCTGGGAGAAAGAGTGAGACTGCTTCTCAAAAAAAGAAAAAGTTGCAAAGTCATACCTTTCTGCTCTTGTCAGGCAATTAAGGGGTTTTTGAATACTTCAGCCCTAACAATTTGCTTCCTAACATACATATTGCAGTGCTTATCTAATTTTAAATATCTTTTTGTTTCAACACCTAATTTTTTATTTAGATCTATCTGTATGTTTACAATATATTTTGCTCTGTGTTCATTCTTTGATTTCAGAACTTCAATCTTTCTGAAGCATGTTTTCAGAGTTTCTTTTTAGTTTCATTAGTGGAATTCTGCTGGTGGCGTTTTGTTTTTTGTCTCTAAATATGTTATTTAGCCATAGGTTGATGAATATTTTTCTTGGTTGAGAATTTCAGAATGGCATTATTATTCTTAACAAATAATATTGTTTATTTTACCTTTCATGCTTTCAGATTTCAATATGATTAAAGGTAATTTGATTTTTCTAGTGCTCATTGAAATATTTTTCCCTTCCTGATTGTTTACTATTTCTCTACGAGATATGTAGATGTAGGTTTATCTCCATTGTAGCTTGCTTAGCATGCATAGAATTTTTGAATACACGGATTAGTGTCTTACAAAAGTCTAGAGAAATTTCAGCCAAAATACCATCACATATTGTCCCTTCCCGGTTCCCTTCTTCTATGAGAACACTCACTAAACACATGCTACACTTTCTCACTGTATCTTCCATGTCTCTTCATGATTCTGTCCACATTGTGCATTTTTAAAAATTTTCTGTAATGCATTCTGAAATATTTATGAACTCTCACCATGGCCATGTCTAATCTGATGAGTTCATTTTTGAGTTTTTAATTTAAAATACTATATACAAACTACTTTTCAAATTTGCAACATCAATTTTTTAGTCTCCTAAAAATATATTCATTTTTTAAAAAATTTTTTGAAAGCAAATGTGCTTTATAATCTAACAGTGATATTTCTACTAATGAACCTTTGTGGATCTGTTTGTACTCTTTTTCTATTTTCCTTTCAAATGGTGGAATATCATTTCCTTGTGTACTTAGATGCCTTTGAATGACAAAGATTTATTTTTCTCTGAAAATTATTATTGTGCACTTTTGCATATTAGTAAGAAGAAAATTTGCCAAAGAGAATTTGAATTTTTTGTGAGTCTACTAAAGGCACCACCATTCTGGGACCACATTATATTAATTCTTGGCCTAAAGGTGTTTGGACGTATGTTTGGACAGCACATTTAAACAATTTTTAAATTAATTGCTGTAAATCATTAATGATTGAGTTTCTTTAAATCTGTCCAATCTCAAGTCATTTTTATTTGCCATTTCCAGGGAATGTGAAATCGGACTAATTTACCTCTGATTCTTCTTTATACTGAGGATGTAAATTTTGGTCCTAGCTTTAGGGAGGAGCTCCTGTGTGATGCCCTATCTTGGGAAAAACTATGTATTTCTTTACTGTCCTATGTGATGTATGACAGTAGGAATCTGCACTCATTCATTTTGCTACATGTCCCTAGGGCAAAATCAGTTTCAGTGTTTAGGTGTATTTTGTCTGCTCCCTGCATTCCCATGGTTTTGACCTTATATTTTACTTTTTTTTTTTGTGAACATATCACTGCTTCAACTTTTTCCAGTAATATAATCAATTATACTATAAGAAAGAGAAAAATTTTGATAAAACACAAATTTCATGTTTTCCTACTCTAAATGGCTTTTACGTAAAAATACAGGTAAAATTTATTTGTGCTTTTTTGCTATTTCTGTTTTGCTATTCTCTGTTTGTCTATGTCTTCGCCACATAGACACAATTAGGGAATTTTGTACACTCTTGTGCCAACTGCTTTGATAGTAACAAAATGTATTTCTCGAACTCCTAGGTATAAAACTCAAGTATCCACAATTTAAATACTTTTTTGCTCACTTCTATTATGTTTCCAGTCTCAATAGAAATCGATGCCAATCCAGAAATACAAGCATTATTCTAATACTTCTCACACATTACTGATATAGATTAAATTTTCTAGATCTCCTTAAATACTATCATTTTTCACTTATTGTATCTTAACTGTTAAGTTCAACATTTTCTATAATATTAATATATGTGAAAATTTCCTTACTTTCTTATTTGTCCCAGGTTCAATGTTTTGCAGTCTCTACCTCACCCTGTGAAGCATAAACATTGTACATGCTGTACAAATAATACATCGTTCATGTACTTAGAGATTGCACAATTTTTATTTGGTTGACAATAGCTAATGTTTTCTTCTTCATTTTCTATTTCCTGATTTTTCTTTATTTAGTATATACTACACTATCATAAAAATAAGGACGTTTTACAAACTAAAGCAATAGCAACCCTAGGAATAAAATGCACAAATAAAATATATAAACATACATTTAGATGTACCACGTAACCTTGTAATTTATTTAGACATTTAATTTTAGTAAAATTTTAATTAAAGTCTGTGTATTATGTGTCATCGTCTTAGTATTTTTTATATAACAAATTTTGTAAATCAAAAAGTCTCAATGTCATTATAAACTATCTTGGCAGAGGATGATCTCAAAGGAATAATTTCTCTCCCAAATTACGCCAATCAGAATTTCAGTCTACCATAATTCTTTTAATCAGTTTCAGAGGAATAATAAATTTCAAAATTGTTCAAGGTACTTCTTTTATTTCAAGTACCTTTTGACTTGTAAATTCTACAGGTGTAAAACTGTAGACAGACTGATACAAACATATTCTAATTCACTCAAAATTATATGGACCTATTTTAAAATCTAGATTTTAAAATGTCGTGTCAACATACACATGTTCTCCTTGTGAAATAATTGCTTTTTATTCTCTGGATAGAATAATTTAATCTTTAAACAATTCACTGTTAGAAATGAAATATTACATAAGGATATGCTTATAAAAATAATTCCCAACTAGCTTTTCAATTCAGAAATATATGTGAAAAATCGTCAAACATCTAATGGATTTCAAGGAGAAATGGGTTAGTAATTTATTCCATATGTCTCAATTTTTCCTAGACTCAAGGCTTCCTTTAAAATAATTGTAGGCATTTAAGAAACCATGTAAACTAAGAAGAAATTGTGACACTGCCGCTTAGGCTTTTTAAATCTTTGGACATGATTCAATATATTTTTTAAATTGTATCTTAATTAGACATGGTGAGTTCACCATCTTCCTGTCAGTATAGCATCCAAGCTGATTATGATAGATTAGAAGTTCAACTATCAACTGTGTTCTGAGAGTCTAAAAAAATAAATGAACATATTTGTTTGGGTATTCTTAAAGCAGGAGTGAGGACACAGTGAAAGTGAGACAAGGAAAAGAGAACAAAATAAAACAGGAAAGATAGAAAAGCCAATAACACACGTGTTAAGAGGTAAGTTCCTGTGTTAGATATCTGGGCTTAATTGTATGGGAAGCTATGTGAAGCATGCCTCAGAATTACATCACTGAATCCAGGGAGATTCTTCTTATTTACCCTCACCTTTTCTTCACACTTCATGCCCAGTAACAAGCTCCCGTGCTGCTAGAGAAAGTCCTCAGCTAGAAACTGGTGCAAATTCTGGAGATGAGACCTTGTAGAGTGTTAAGAATGGTTTTCTTCCCAGCAGCTACAGGTAAGGAATAGGGGCTGGGCTATTAATACATCTGCTACAAACCAATAAAGCCCTTATGCTCCTTTTGGTGATCGACAATGTATTTAAAAATATTAGATGATCAAGAAGGGCTGCAGAAAAGAGGAAACAGAAACAAACAGCACACCTCTTGGTTTATTTTTATTCATTTCATCAGTTTCAAGGAAAATGTGTTGGGAGTTCCTGGCATAGACAATGTCACAAAGACATATTTTCAATAGTAGTGCTATCCCTAGGGCAGAGAAGACCCAGAGAAAGCCCAAGTGGCTGCTGGAACAAAGTCAGACACCGTGCCACCTGTCCACACTCCTTGGCTCTGCCATCATACTGAAGATCGCTTTAAAGGACTGGCTTCCCTCCCCCCAAAATTAAACGAGCACAGACTGAGAAACTGAATGTAGGAGACAGCAGTGGATTATGCTGTTCTCAGGGGTCACCTCAGGTTTGGAAGCATTCTTTCAAATTAACCCATCTCAGGCCATCTGCAGAGAAGAAAGGTGGTACCTAACTTTTTTTCTTGTCAGCATTTGGTAGGGGTGTTTTATTGACCAAATATGTTCCCACAACTTAGTTTTTTGTGACTAACTAAATATGGTAGATTTTTAAATTTTATCATCAAAATCTATAGACCATTTTTGATTAAAATAGACTTCATATCTATGTCCTGCTTTTCTTCTTCTTATTAATTACATTGCTGTATAAAGGAACAAGACTTCAGAATCAAGAATATCTTGTCTCTTGGCATTGAATTTATACAAGGTGCTCTTTCTTTAATGCTGTCTCAAAGGACATATTTTTACTCATTAAAAAGGAAGATCGGAATCTAGTTGTATGCACTGCTCCAACATATTAATAATTAAAATTAGGAGGTAAATGTGGTCAAAGCTATAGAAAGACTGAGATGTCATTTATATTGATTACTGTATAGCACTCTACAAACAGAAATTGTTAAATAATAGTTTATATAAATATTTTGTAGCATTTCAAATATTTGAGTGCTTGAAGTTTCTCCTCTTATATAGTTCAAATTATCAATTTAAAGACTTACTCCGCTAGTTAATATGTTTTTAGTCTCGTTTGAGTGATTATATAAAAGCAATTTTCAGTTAAATGTGTTCCGCTTACATAAAACATTACAAATTATTGAGGATTTAATTATTCATGTTCCTGTAATGTCTTTAGAAGATTTTCTTATTATTACCTATCAATATATGTATGCTTTGTCAAAGAAAAATCAAACATATATATCATTGAAATTGAAACTTTTTAAAAGTACTTATTAACTCTATTGAAAAACCACATCCATAGGAACAATTACAATATAATATTGTGAACATGTAAACATATACCCTATGTCTATTTTATGTATAAGCATATATGATTAAAAATATAGTTAAGAATTTTTAAACCTAGTATTATAAAGTAAAAATTAGTTAACTTCTGATGATTATTTGTTAATTAAGATAAAATTATTTTGATTTGTGTGATTTTAAATAAAGAAAAATATTAAATTACATGACAAAAATTATTTAGAAGTGTTTATGATTTTTACATTGGTTTTATCACTTTATTCCACTACTTTATTTTAAGATGACCTGCCTTGTTTAAAACACTGTATTCATCTTAATTAAATTAAATTCCATTTATAAAAAAATTAACAAATGATTTGCTCTATTGTACAGTGCGGTTATAAACTGAGTCAGTCTCTCAAGATTTGATCCCCATTATCATCATGTGTGGCCCTATTTGTTTTATAAATGTATTGTCTTTTTCCTTGCCTGTCACATCTCTATTGCTCTTTCATTTTTCTCTTTGTCCCTTATAGGGAGCATTGCCTATCTCTAGATTAAGCAAAAGTTGCATCGTAAAAAAGCACAATAACCTGCTCAATCTTTCTCATACAGAGAAATGTTTGTAAAGTAATTAAAGTGTAGATGATGATACAAAAAGCTTGATTAAATTAGATGCCAGAGTACCCTTGTGATTCAGAATATGAAAGGTATTTAATTTCCTTGAAATCATTAATTGCTGAGTGACATTAATTAATGCCAATATTCCAGAAGTTGTTCTAGTTAGTGAAATGTATGCAACATGCAAAAGATTTAGAACTCTGAAGGGCAACATTATTCTATAATTAAGAATTAAGAATTAATTCACATTAATTATTGGGGAGAAATAATTATTAAAAATTAATGACTGAGAAAATGTTTTTATTTTTTATTTAGAAAATTATTTTGTGCATGAGCATTACCGCAAGTTTTGCAAGAAACATAAATTTAAAGAAACAATTATGTGCACAAGATGAATTTAATAACATCTTGATATTTTCCACGATTACAGTTTTATTTGGTAAATATTTAAATGCACATCATCTACAGATAATAAATGAATCTTGGAAATCTTGTAGGTAAGGGTAAATATTAGGATGCATCCAGTTACATTTACACACACATACAGTTACATTTACACACACATACATGCATACAGACTGATACCCGTGTGTATATATATATATGAATTTACTAATTGATTTTAACTAATATTTATGAGAGCCAGTTGGATTGATATATATTGTTGAACCTGAAAAATATTATATATGTGTTTAAAATACACACAGAAATAAATAGTAATTGCACTAGGCATTTGAAACTGTACTAAAATATAAGCTGTGAATATTTTGTGATCATTACAAATTCTTACACTGAATATTTTTATTTTTACAATATTAATATGTTTGATACCTGTGTACATTTTTTACAATGTGTTATTTTATTTTTTGTCATACATTCATGTCATGCATAATAACATTTCTGTCAAAGATGGATTACATATACAAAAGTGGTCCCATGAGATTATAATACATATTTACATACTTTTCTACGTTTAAGTATGTGTAGATACATAACCTCTTACCACTGTGTTCTTATTGCCTGCAGTATTCAGTACAGTAATGTAGTACACAGGTTTGTAGCCTGGGAGAGAGAGGATCTACCATATAACCTAGACGTGGTAGGCTGTACAATCTAGATGTTTGTAATATTCTCTGTGATGTTTGCAAAATGATGAAATTGCCTCTGGATACATCTGTTAGAACGTATCCCTATCATTCAGTGATGTGTGACTGTACTAAAATGCTCAATGTAAGTTTCAATGCCCTCCATAAAATTGTTGTACTGTGAAATACAAATCTCTCACCCATGGCCTGAATATGTTTGCAAACTAAGCAGATCATGGGAAGAAGAATGTGCTGGCATCGCTGGGATGATTTTCTCACACTACATGAATAATATCTACAGACTTCGTGAATATGAGCCACTTGCATAGAGTTAAAGTAGGCATCTCTTTGCTGGGAAATTTATCAAATGGGAGTATGAAGTGTTTTTAAAAGATACTTGTTTGTTTGTAGCTGGTAGGTCTACAGTGGCTCATGGCAATGGTTGAGGTTGCTAAGATTTGGTGGAAGAAGGCAAAATGAAATGGCCACTTATATGGTATATGGTATATGGATCACTTGTTTCTGTTGAGTTACAGACTCAGCTGGCTATTTCTCCCAATGTTAGTTATTTGGAGAAAAAAATGTGATGGTAATTTTGGGGTAACAAATACAATATTTGATGAAAGCAAATTTATTGAGGGTTAGACAAACTACAAGATACTTTAGGCTGCAAAGTCAACACGAGACTTCTGGCCCAAATTGTGCAGAGTTTGCGTCCAGCTGCAAAGTTCAAAGGAAGAGGCCATATAAGATGATTCTCACTTCTGACACCAACTGCCAGTTCAGGGTTTTCCCCCTGAACACCCTCAGTTTCAAGAATTTACTAGAAAGACTCACCGAACTCATTGAATGCCATTGTACTCATGGTTTATAATAGAGAAAGGTAGAAATTAGGACCAATTGAAGAGACATATCATATAAGGTGGAATCTAGGAGATTTTGAATGTTAAGTTTCCATTGTCTTCAGGACATATTACCTGTCATTGTTGTACAGCAATAAACATGGAGTACTACCAACCTGGGGAGCTCACCTGATGCTAAAAAGACACTATTTTGAAAATGAAAAGACAAATGAAAGGATGAGATAAGATGACCTTCCACATTAAGGCACTGGAAATAATAGCAAACTAAACCTAAAGCAAGCAGAAGGAAGAAAATAAAAATTTGAGAAATTAATAATTTATAATAATAATATTTGTTAGTATTGAATAATTGATATTAATTCTTGACTAGCTTTTTTAAAAAAGAGAAATATTCACTTCCCAATTTATTCTGTGGGGCCAGTGTTACCTTGATACAAAAATTAGTCCAAATAGCATAGAAAAATAAATGCAAAATTCCTTAAAAAATACTAACAAATCGGATCTAGCAACATATAAAAGAATTATACACTATGACAAAGTTAAATTTATACAGGTAATCCCAGGTTGGTTTAACAGCCCAAAATCCATTAAGGTAATACATCTTATCCATAGAATAAGAAACGAGAATTGCATGATCATCTCGATAGATTTGGAAAAGACATTTAACAGAATCCAAATTCTTTAATGATTAAAAATAAAAATAAAAACTCAATGAACCAGGAATAGAGAACTTTCTACACCAGATACATGGCACCTGTGAAAAGCCAACAGCAAGCATGCAACTTAATGGTAAAGGATGCTTTCCTGCTATGGTCAGAGATAAGAATAGGATATATACTTTGACCTCTTCTAGTCAACACTGTACTAAAGATTGTATGCAGGGCAAATCAGCAACTAAAAAAATAAGAGTCATCCATATTGAACAGGAAGAAATAAAACTTTATTTGAAAATAACATTCTTGTATATAGAAAATTTTAAGGAATCCACTGAACGATAGAACTAGTAAATTATTTCAGCAATATTACAGCATACAAGATAAATTTACAAAAATCAATTGCGGACATCTACAATGAAAACCCCAAAATGAAATTAAGAAAACACTTCAATTTAAAATAGCATCAAAAAAAGAAATAATAATTAATTTGGAAAATGTGATACAAGAGTTTACTCTGAAAATTAAAAATTATTGTTTAGAGAATATCTAAATAATTAGCAAACATCTAACAGCCATGAATTGGAAGATTTAATATTGTAGTACTTTACAATTTAAACTACAGATTTGATGAAATCCCTGCAAGTATCCCAACAGACTTCTGTCTAGAAACTGACAAGCTGATTCTAAAATACACATGGACTTGTAAAGGACTCAAAATAGCCAAAATAATCTTGAAAAAAGAAAACATATTAGGATAATTCACACCCCCATGATCCAAACCTTACTGAAAAGTATCAGTAATCAAGACAACCCAATACTGATGAAGGAAAAATATACACATTGATGGAAGAGAATTGAGAGTCCATATATAAAACTATGTGTCTATAGTCAATGGATTCTTACAGTGGTGCCATGTGCAATTCAATGAGGAAGAGACAGTCTTTGAACAAACTGGGTCAACAACGTACACGTGGATCACCACTTGCAAAATAATAAATTCGAACCCTTACCCCAAAGCATACAAAAATATTAACTCAAATGAATTAAAGACACACATGCGAGAGCTAGAATAAAGCATATGGGAAAATCTTCAGGATTTTGGATCTAGCAAAGAAATAGCTGTAACGCCGAAAACATGAGCAACAAAATAAAAATTAGATATTTAAAATTTCTTAAAAATTAAAGACATTGGTGTTTCAAAGGACAACCAAGCAAGTCAAAAGGCAGCTCAAAAATTGTGAGAAGATATTTGAAAAACACGTATCTATATGTCTGTGTATATATATATATATATATATATATATATATATCTTGAATATAGAAAAATTGCTTCAACTCAGTAACAAATATCCCAACTCAAAACTGATAAATGAGAGGAATAGATGTGTTTCCCAAGAAGATACACGAACGGTCAATAATCCCATAAAAAGATACTCAATAGCATCACTCATCAGGCAACTACAAATCAAAACCACAGTTAGATACTCTATGGCTAGAACTGGCCACTTTGGAAAATAATTTGATGGCTTCTAAATATATTAAACATAGAGTTGTCATATGACCCAGAAATTTATTCCTAGGTATACACCCAGATTATTGGAAAGAGGTGTTCAAACACAAATTGTACACAAGTATTTTTAGCAGCAGTATTGAAAATAGCCAAAGGCTGAACACAACTCAAATGTCAATAAAAATATTATTGGATAAACAAAATGTTTTATCCATGAAATTGAATGTTATACAGTTATAAAAAGAAGTAAAGTACCAATACGTACATGAACCTTGATAGCATTATGCCAACTGAAAGAAGCCAGGCAGAAAAGGCCACCTATTGTATGATTCTATTTAGATGAAAACAGAATAGGAAAATCTACAGAGACAGAAAACAGATTTGTGGTTGCTTAGGATTGAGTAGGGGATGGGTGCATAGGAGGTTAACAGCTAGAGAAGGTGGGGTTTCTTTTTGAAGTGATGAAAATGCTCTAAAATTCATTGTGATGATGGCTCCACTTATCTATGCATATACTAAAAGCCACTGACTTGTAGATATTAATGTGTGCACTCTACACTATGTAAATTATATCTCAATAAATCCTTTCAAAAATATACAGAAGAGTAAGGGGTTTTGGAATGTTGCTACGGGGAGGCAGTTTGAAATACTGAATAGGCCTCATCGAGAATGTGAAGTTTCAGTAAAGACTTGAAGTTGAATGAGCTGATGAATGGATATATGGAGGGCTATCTTTCCAAGCCAAGAAATTAACTAGAGTCTTGGTCATAAGGCAGCAGCCTGTTAGCATGTCCAGAGGACAGTGAGGTGGCCAGGACCACTGGTAAGATCAAGGGTGAAGACATAAAAGAATTTTGGCGGTTAACATGCGGCAGATCATAATGGGCTTGCAGACCATTGTAAGAATTGTTGTTTTTAGTGTACATGACATGGGGAGACAAGTCATTATCCCATTATCAATATTTTAATAAATTGGATCCATGAACCAAATCCAATGAGATTAAATCAATTAATAATAATATGCAAATTTGTATTAAAATTATAAGAATTACTTTCACATTTGAGAACAGGAGAGTCATGATTGTTTATCAGCAATAATAAACATTATTAATTTTAATTGTGATCAGCTAATTGAGATTAGTTGCAATATATCATGCTTTATAATGTGACTGTCAAAAGGAAAATATGATTGTAATCTTACATTACATCTATCAATGTCTTTGATTCATAAGACTATAGAGTAAGCCCCTACTTTTCAAAGCCAACTTATGAGGCAGTGACATCTTATGCAAGTTTGCTGCTTTCTGCCACAGTGATCCTTTGTCAGCTGGCACAAATTGTTTCACAAACGCCCCTAGGTCTAAAAATAGTTTGGATCGCAATGATCACAGAAACACCTTCATCCCTTCAGAAATACCTATCAATTACTTCCAATACAGAATGAAAAATTGACAAAGGAAATATGTGGATTGTAAAAACACCAGTTAGCTTGCATC
Organism: Homo sapiens; assembly: GCF_000001405.40. NCBI lineage: Eukaryota > Metazoa > Chordata > Mammalia > Primates > Hominidae > Homo > Homo sapiens. The sequence continues at coordinate 144,403 of NW_021160017.1, forward strand.
TACATGAAAGAAAAATGCCATTTTTATTATATTAGATCACTGTTTTACATGAGTTTTGGCACAGCACAATGTTGAACCAAGGGCAAAGAGAGATGAATTAATGAAGTCTTAAGATATCAAGAATTTGAAAGAAAAGGCAGGTCATCTTTGAAGGTTAGTGACATAGCATTCATCTTCTGTTGTCACCTTTTCCGTCATTCCCTGTATGCCTGAGGGACAGGTTTCACTCAAGTTCAGAGAACAGCATGAAAAATTAGATACCAATTAATCTTTATGAAGTGAGCTGCATTTCTAGCCAGACTGAGCTTGCGTTTTAGCAGGAAGCATTTTTGGGAAATGTTTATGTTAGAGTTTGCCCTTCTTGACAAGGTGATACATAAATGTCTACTTTATAGACATGAATTAAGATGGGAAGATATTTGGGGGAATCATTTACTCAAACGCTAAATAATAAAGGTACACAAAGGGCAAATTATACTAGATTTCTTTCCCACTTGTTTTCTATGTCTCATGCAATTCACCTTGATTCACTTCAGTTTCTGTTTAATGTAGAAAGTGGCATTTTCATTATTTTAAGCTTCTAGCACAATGAAAGAATTTCTCTTTTTCATGAACAGGATCATAAATGAAAGGGAGGAAGAGTGTCCTATATCATATTTATTGTTCAACAAAACACTGCTCCACGGCTTAAATTCAGTTTAAAAAAGAGAATTTATTGAACATCTAACACATACATAAAAGGCAGTAAAGACAAATCAGAAGAGGGCAGGATATTGAAGTATACAGACTTCAATGCTGAGTTTTATATCTTAGAAAGTTACTCCACCTTACAGAGGCTCAATTTCCCCTGATTTAGGAAGGCGATGCTAATGGGTATTGCATAGGTGCAAGCATAAAAGTGTTGTATTTAAGAGAATCCCACAAGCTTGGTATAAGGCAGAAAATAAATAGATGTGACATGAATAAGTAGTTTATTACATTTGTATGCTACCTGCGGACTAGAGGAAGCAAGAAACACAGCCACTATGCTTGATTAGCATTACAGAGATGGTACAATGATGGTTGCCAGAAGCTGGGGGTAGGAAGAAATGGGGAAGTATTGTTTAATGGGTATAGAGTTTCAGTTTTACAAGATGAAATGAATTATGGAGATGGATAGTAGGGACGGCTGCACAATGTTATGACTATGTTTAGTACCACTGAACTGTACACTTAAAGTGGTTAACAGGGTACATTTTATGTTATGTGTATTTTACCACAATAAAAAAATAAAATACCTTAGGAACATTTTCATGAAAAATCCCACATAAAATTCATTTTAATGCACGTGTTTATGCATAGCTTTCTATTTTTCTCTTTTCTCTTTATATTCCAAATTCTAATCAGAGAAGGGAAACCCCTCTGTACCTCCAGGATATTCAGTAAAGACCACTGGAGGTTCATGCCCTAGTGACAGTGCTCATTTAGCTCCAAATTACAGATTGCTCTAAACAAACTCCACAAAGTTTAAAGAGAAGATTTAAAACAACAACAGACAAATACTCATCCTGAATTTACTGAACTGCCTGCCATAACATTGTTCAAAGGTAGTCAATAAAATCTAGATATTCAATAGCATAAAATCAAAATACCAAAAAAAAACTCTGACATGCAAAGAAGCCGTAAGATATATATAATTAAGATATACATTAACAGGATAAAAATAAGTCATTTATAAATGACAGAAAAGAAGGAAATTTCAAGGTCCTTAAAGTAAATATATTTTATAAATACATATAGATAAATACATACATATGTCAAGGTACTTAAATGAAAATTGAACATAGGAGAAAAATAGAAGTTATAAAATGAAAAATGTGACATGTATAGATGAAAAATAAATATTTGAAATAAAAATTCCATGAGATAGAATAAGTCATGGATTTTACCCTAACATCAGAAAATTTATAGAAAAAAATAGAAGCTTTACAAACTAAAGGACAAAGGGTAAACTAAAATAAGAAAGCCAGAAACTCACCGATACATCAGACAATATGCAGCAGTGTAACATACATGTAATTAATATCTCAAAGAGGATGGGTGGGGGAATTATAGGTGAATAAAGAATGGTACACTCATTCCTGAGGGCACCGAGGAGGGAGGATAGCTTTAGATTTCTAAGGGAGGGTATTATCCATTCATGAAGGTCCAACCCATGACCAAACACCTCCCAGTAAGCCCCACCTGCAACATTGGGGATCAAATTTTAACATGAGATTGGAAGGGGCAAGCATTCAAACCATAGCAAGAGTTAAATTTCCTTTTTAAAAAAATCACTGATATGATTCCATTTCACCATAGATAAAAGCTAGTATTTCAGCCTACCATCGAGTGTGCTTATAGCTCACCAAATGGGCACTCTGTCTCGGGAATACAGATTTGCCTAGAGGTATCCTAGTGCAGTCAAAGAAAGAGCAATGAGGGATAGAAAAGGTTAGTGATGGAGACACCAGCGCTGCATTTTGCAACAAACAATGTAAAAATTTTATGGATTGGTTCTGCTAACTTACTACAGTTTACTTTCCTCTCAGGTGGGAGAATTGTTGCGTTTTTTCTCAAGATAGAAAAGCAATTCAGATAATCTGAAATCTCCACAAGAAGGATAAGAAGCATAGCAGAAATTATTCTAGGCAGGAAGTCAATCCTTTCAACTGTCTGTGCTCCATAGAAACAATTGTCTGCACTGGGAGTCATATGAGGTACAGACAACAGCCAGACCTCTGATCCTCTCATTAGTGATTTCAGAAGAAATTACCAGTCAACTGAGTAATTCACTGAGTAAAGTAAACCTTTGGCACTGAAAGAGGTTAGACGGATAACTATTTGTATCACCATATTCATGAAGCTGGAATATTTTCCATTACTGGTATCACATCCGAATGGAAGATGTTAAAAGGTCTCTCATCTTGTAAGATGGATATGAAAGAACATTTTCTGAGAAATGAAATTATTAATACACCAGCGAGGTGGATGGAAGAGAAAAAAAAGAATAATCAGCTTGAGTTCTTCTCCTTGATAAGACAACTCACTAAAAACATAAAGAGAAAAATACAAGTTTAAAATAATTAACCAGAAGACGACTCTAGAGTTTTTAAATTGCTTATAAGATTTTAATTTGCTCCAAGTTGAAAATAATTATATTGCTTGTGTTTTAAGGCACATAATGAGCAAGTATATCACACATGATAGTTTCAGCAGTAAAATGTTATCCGTTAACAGCTGGAACTCATAAAAGCATAGCACAATGTGAAGACGGAATTTGCTAAAATAAACCATCTGCTGAAAACTACTATTCTGCAAATTTAAAAATAAAGTTTAAATGTTATTTGTCTTATTTAATAGGTCTGTGAAAAAAATGCGCTCTTTGAAAAGTAGCTGCTACCTTAATTAATTCTTTATGTTAGACGGCTGGTTACAGTAATGCACAGTAAGGTGCTACATAGATATATTGCTAAATTTTCTGCATGTGCTATGTATTTGGCTTAAATGATTTGAAATTTTATAGATAAAATAACAAATGTATATTTAAATGTTTTGACACAAATTGCAAATATACCTTTAAAAAGCGTCTTACACTCTAAATATTATTTGTCACCTATATATTTGTCTTTTCTCTATAGGAAAGTTTAAATTTTTCCCTTGAAGCTTTAATTATTTGAGTCTATAAAACAAACTGATAATGTACAAATTAACAGGAAAAAAAGGTTTACACATATGTGCACAAGTATGCACTTGGAGTTTACATAATATATATAAACATACCTATACAAATATTTGTATATTATAAATAGATATACAAATATATACTATATATATAAAAAATCCAGGAAAGGCAAGGTAGTCAAGACGCCTATGCTGTCTTGAAGTTACAGAAAACACAGAGCTGTAGGTTGGTAAATCAGGCTTTGTGGAAGACAGGTGACGAAAAGGAAGAAAGAGGAGCCTGGCAGCAGAGGTGGTCTTGTTACATGGATGAAAGCTCACAGGGAGCAGCCCTCCTCTTGGGAAGTATAGATAGGAAATGGTTTTTAGAAATGTAAACGTGCCAGGTTCAGTTAATTTTTCCTAAACCCAGACAAGGGAGTATCTCAGGGAAAGCCTGTCTATATCAATGCAGATTTTCTCTACAAATGCAAATCTCCCCAACTAACACAGCTTTTCAGCTATTCTTGTAGAAGAAGCTACCTCCAGTCTTCCGAGTAGCCATCTTGAAATATGTCAAAAAGCTGCCCAGGCACACGCCTGTAATCCCAGCACTTTGGGAGGCTGAAGTGGGTAGATCACCTGAAGTCAGGAGTTGGAGACCAGCCTGATCAACATGGTGAAACCCCGTCTCTACTAAATACAAAAAATTAGCCGAGTGTGGTGGTGCATGCCTGTAATCTCAGCTACTTGGGAGGCTGAGCTAGGAGAATTACTTGAACCTGGGAGGCTGAGGTTGCAGTGAGCCAAGATTGTGGCATTGCACTCTAGCCTGGGCAATAAAAGCAAAACTCCATCTCAAAAAAAAATGTATTTTAGGGTAATATTTTGAGTATCTTTACCTCCATATGTACAATAAATATGATTGTGCTTTTTAATCTTTTCTGTGGAGAAAACACAGGTGTGATTTCTAGTGTAGCTGAACATCGTTTATTTGACAATATTGCACTTGTGTGTGGGTGTGTGCGTGTGTAGCTACTCTTTAATTTTGTTCTCACATAATGATTAGATATTAACAATTAATACAGTAAAATGTATGTTTTGCAATATTTCTCCATGTTATCATGCTTTAAATTAGTTTAATCATGCCCCTATAATGTGTACATTTTAACCTTTGACTATAGATCTCAATCTTACTTTGGTTCCTGAATTTGAATTTATGCTAATAAAGTCCTACAGCTAAAAAAGATTATATAAACTTATCTACATTTTTACTAGTATTCTGGTGTCATTTTAAATTATGTAATGAAATCAAATTTTAATTTGGATTATTGTTATCTGAGTTAAGGATATAAATTTTTAATTTTCTTATAAATATTACATAATTATTTCTGAACCATATATTGACTAATCTTCCCTTTATATGATGTGCATTATAAGAGCTTGGGATTTTTTCATTTGCAAAGATGAATGCTTGAGAAGTAGATATTTAATCATAACATTTAAAAATCTACTGGATAACCTAGAATTGAAAAATAGCCTATAGGTTGAAATACTCCTGTAGTGAAGAAAGGAAATAACTAATATACAGTGATAATATAAATATTATAAGTATTTATTTTATTATCGCCCTGAAATTTGACAATACAAACATGTAATATCTACTTATCATCCATATATCAGGTCATAAAAAATCAATACGTTCTTCAAAAATTTAGCATAACAGAAAATGCACTCTCTTTCCTTGATGGAATTAAGTTACAAATAAAAGTAAAAATAAGTAGATAAGTAGATGGAAGTAGATGTTTAAAAACAAAGTATTTGTTTTGGATAACATAAAATCTCAATTGACAATTCCAATATTTCCAGAACTTTGCCTGTCAACTGGTGGAGAGTTTTCCCCAGGAGACATTTGTCAATGTCTAGGGTTATTGTGGGGATGTCAAGACTGGTGGAGGTGTGAAATTTAGAGGTCAAACGAAACACCTAGTATTGCTAGGGCAGCCTCCCACAACAAAGAATCCTCTGGTCCTAAAGGTAAGTAGCACCAAGGTTGAGAAACCATAATCTAGACAGTAAACACTACGTAGCTATTCCAAGTGCTCAGGAAAACACATCAGTGCCCTCGAGGGGAAAAGTGTAAACATTTTAATTGCTGTACATGGTGACACAAATCCATGTTGTTAATCTAAGTGGAAGGGGCTGAAGCACAAAACGTAATTCAAAGAGTTTACTTGAGCCAAAATGAGGACAGCTGCCTGGAAGAAACAGACGCAAGTATCCTTGGATATGAACTCCCTTTGGAGCTTTGCAACAAGCAGTTTCTTAAAGGCAAAAACGAGTCCAGAAGTGGGATGATGCAAAGAGGTTTGTCAGAAATTCTCATTGGCTTATGGAAATAACATTTATTAGTGACTGGCTATACACTGTTACACTATTATTGGGTGTGGATTATAGTGTCTGGTGTGGCATTATTGGTTAATTTATAGCTACTGTGGCAACAGCAAGCAGCCTAGATGAACACACAGCTCAAAGAGGAGCAGGACAGAACTGCTGTCTCATTTGAATATCTCTCTGGGCCTGATTATTTAAAAGGACTTGCATTTCTCACATGAAAGTTATTTTCTTTTCTCAATGTCCATAAATGAGAATAAATAGATGTAAAATAGATCTTTTCGAGGATGAAGTAAATGGAATGAAAAACAAAACCCAAGCTGACCAGAAATCATAGAGGGAAAGAAAAGGTTATAAATATATGGATTTTTCAAAGTGCTTTTAAGCTATCAGGAATCAGTTAAATGTTAGGGGATTTTGTCTGAGAATGGGCTAAAGGAGAATGTCCCTTTTGCCTTCTGAAGTTTCCCTGAAAATCACTAATAGGAGGCAGATAAATAGTAGAAAAGGCATACAGGTTTCTGCAATGTGTGTACACTGGAGCCCTTAGAACAAAGATCCAGACACACGATGCGTGCAGAAGCTTATCTACCACATGAAGTTTACAGAAAGAATGGGGTCTTGGTTCACAGGGGGAAAAAAAAAGGTTATGAGAGAAAACGACCCTGGCTAGCAACAGTGGACTTATTACATAGGTGGAACCTCACTGGGAGCAGTCCTCAGAGAGAATAGACAGAAAATGTTTCTTTCAGACCTTTGGAGACCTCAGACTCTCAGTTAACCTTTCCTATATCCAGACAAGGGAGCAGACCTCAGAGAAAGCCTTGCTGCATCAAGGCAGATTCTCTACCGATGCAAATCTCCCCAAGAAAGATTTGCAGCTAAGTTTGCGTTTCCAGCCCTTCTCAATAGCCATTTTGAAATATATGAAGGAAATATATTTAGGGGTAAAATATATTAGTTTCCTTCATACAGCTATAAAACATACAGGAATAATTTTTGTCAATCTCTACTACAAATCCAATATAGCAGTAATTATAAAACCCAACAGATATTGAAGAAAAAACATGTAGAGTACATCAATTACAAATGTTGATACTAAAATGCCAAATAAAATAAAAATAATATCTAACAATGTTTGAAACAGTAAGACAAGAAATTGGCAAAAAAAATAAAACAAATATCCACCTTGGGGATGGAAGTGTGTTTCCAAATTTGGTAATCCAATAATATTAATAATCATATTGATTAGCCCAAATTAAAAATAAATAGGGGATTCTCAGTACATGCTAAAATATATTTGTTAAAAGGCAATATTCATGTCTTTAAAGATTTTAAATGCTATAAAGAGTCTGATATTCTATATGCAAACATGTGTATGTCCATTAGAAGAAGAGAGGCCTGATTTTCATATGTTACTACATAGAGATAGAGAAGTGGGTAGATTAATTTGCATATGCATAGAGAAAGCATAAAATAGAAATTTACTATCATATTAAAGGAACTTTAATTCAACAATAAAATAATTCAAAGGTAAAATTTTAAATATTTTTAACAGGTACATTATTAATATTAGATAATATTTATAATAATTGTGAAAATATTCAATGCTAAAATAAGATAGAATGTCTAAACATCAGCACTAAAACTAGTATAAATATTTGCTTGTTTATACAAGGAAAATTCAAGCTCGACCTAAAATTATATAAGAAATAAAAGAAAAATTTTAAGGGAGATCTTTAATAACATAAACATATATATACACACACACACACACATATAACATGTATATATGTTATATGGGATATAGATTTAACATGTTATATCTATATTTGTATCTATAACTACAGCTGTACGTATCTACATTTCTATATATTTACTCAGTGATATAAATATAGACTGGAATAAATATAGAGACACATATGATTCTTGGATAAAAAGGATTTAGGATCATAAAGACAAATTCTTTCCAAATTCACTTATGAATTCACAACAATATACAGTTTCATTAGTATAATTTAAAATTTTTAAATAAATTCCAAGATTCATTTAAAGGAATATAAATGTATACAAGCAGTCAAGAAAGAAGCAACAGTGCACTAAACTAACTTGCTATTAAAATACATTTTTAAACTTAGTAACTGAAACTGAGTAGTACTGATTTGGAGTACTGGAATTTAGGTATATGGAATCTCAAAAGCACAGAGCTCAAAGCAGACCCCTGTATGCACGAGAGCTTAGGATGTGCTTTAGAAGGCATTACCAAACCACGGGCAAAGTTACTTCAGTGTCTTAGTCTTACTAGGTTTGAAAAGCCAGAGAAAAGACTCAAGGCCACCATATAAGAGCAAAACAAAAGGACAGGGAAAGAACGTGAAGATACTGAAACATTTTACATAAAGTTGTATAAAACACCCTTTAAAGAAAATATAAAGTTTAGGATATACATCAAAATCAGCAGAGCCACTAAATAAATAAATAGGCATTGTAAAATAGCAAGAGAAAATTTAAATGGATTTCTAAAAAATATTGACACCTATGATTTTTAAAATATGTTTAAGAAATCCCGTATTTCACAGGGCAGCCTTTCACAACACAGATATGTTAGGACATAAAGGTCCTTCTGTTTTTAATTTATTAGTGTTTATAGGGTTACAAATGTCTTCTACCCTTGTCTTTTGTCTGATGGTGCAAAAAATTTTCATAAGCATGTATTTCTGAATGCCTGATGGATTGACATATAAAATATGCTGCTAGTATTAAAATATGTGACGGAAAACGCATCCAATCTTCTCACTGTTTACATAAATTCTAGGTTTCTATTTACCTCAAGCACGTATGGAGCGAATTCTTACCTTTTAATATTGCCATGGCATTCACATTGAACATAAGTTGAACTCTCTCATATGGTAGCTGGGTTCAGATTCTCTTGACAATTTCCAGTTCTAACCCTCACAGTTCCTCAGTGTGGCTGGCCCAGATATTGACCCTACACAGTTGCCTCCTCCTGGTGACTACCAGCTATGGAACCGTTGGATACAACCTACCTGACTCACCCCACAGACCTCACAGTGCACATGGACAGCCCCCACACGCCAGAGTGACCTGCTCGGTTGCAGCGGGAGTCAAGAAATGTGCCTGCTGGCACTCACCCCACCGACTAGTGCCCCGTGGAAAACTTATTTGGGTAATGTTCTGGGCCCAATAAAGGCTGGAGTCCCACAGACCCCTTTTCTCTCTCCTGCTCCCCACTCATCTTCCCCATTTTGTTCAGCCCTATGAGGTGTGCTACTGTATTAGTCCGTTTTCACACCGCCGGTAAAGACATGCCCAAGACTGGGTAATTTCCAGAAGAAAGAGGTTTAATAGATGCACAGTTCCACATGGCTGGGTAGGCCTCACAATCATGGTGCAAGGTGAAAGGCACGTCTCACATGGCAGCAGACAAGAGAGCTTGTGCAGGGAAACTCCCCTTTATAAAACCATCAGATATTGTGAGACTTATTCACTATCAGAAGAACAGCATGGGAAAGACCTGCCCCCATGATTCAATTACCTCCCACCTGTTCCCTCCCACAACATGTGGGAATTCAAAATGAGATTTGGCTGGGGACACAGCTAAACCCTCTTCTCAGCTACCCTCTTCTCTCTGGATCTGTGAGTAATAAACTTACTTCTGTGATTTCCCATGTTTGGTTCTGTGGCCTCCATGGGTCTGAGCTGATCTACACTGGAACCTAACTCTCCTCCTGGCCAGGGTCTCTGAGAGTGGCTCTTGTCAGAAATACACAGGACACAGGTCAGGCAACATTCACCAGGCGTCTCCTAGTCTCAACAGATGTTCTGTGAGAGGGAGGCCTGGTCGTGGGATGCACACCTGGCCACTGCTGGGGTAAGGAAGTGTACTGTGAAAGGCACATGTTAAGCATCCACAACCCCCTGACCAGAACCCCAGAAAGGCAGGGCTCCAATTGACAGTCACTCTCCAGAGACAAACCTCAAGCCCTAACTGGAGGAAAAGAAAACAATGTAAAAAGTTGAATTTATCTTACTATTTCAATGATCCAGTAAAGACATTCTATGCCTGTACACCACATATTTTCTTCGACTGTGGATTTATTTTAGATAGAATTTTATGTCTGGCTTTTGCTTTAGCCTGGTCCCTACCTCAAGCATAAGGTAAAGATTTTCCATGGGTTCTTTTCTGGTACTACTACCTGCCAGGGTGGGGTCATGTCCTAGTCTATCTTGAGGGAATCCCCCTGTTCATTATTGTCAGAGTGAGAATGTTAAGTCTTGATTTCCCTGGACAACTTCACTGCATGACTTTTAATATGATTTTTTAATACACCCTTTACTGGACAATAAATTATATAGTTATCTGAGTAAGAGATATGGTCTGGAAAAGGCATTGCCTCATTCAGCTTTTCTCTTTGGTGAACTCGCATATGTTCTCCTCACCCGCCAGTCACCTCTAAATCGTATTGTTCCAAGACAACAAACAGAACTCGAGTCTGTATCTTTCACCACTGGATTTGTGTTTGCTCCATAAATCTTCATGCTTAATAGGGTTTCTGTTAGCATTTTCTCTATTTATTTTCCCATAAAATATCACAGGCCTTCTTCATATGGAATTATGGGTGATTTCCTTCAATCTGCATCATATCAAGTTGAGGTTCATGTTGATGAAAAGTAAAACATACGTTGAAAATATCAGTAATGATGTTTTCCCCTCCTTTTTAGCATCTGTGCTTGTGATACAAGCACATTTTAATACAATTGTAGTCTCATGCTTTGATCATTCCTATGATGAAAATAACATTTTTAGATAAAATATCTGAGTTTTATGAGGCCTTTAGTATGTGATGTGATAGAATATCAGAAGACCATACTTTTCTCTAGTTTTCCATGCAATTCTACCATTGTTTCATCTTTACTCCTACGAGAGTAATTTTCCAAAATAGATATCTTGTCACTCTTCCTGTTGTTATCAGTAAATAAGTGAAATGAAAAGTTAGATTATATAATTTATGTAGAAAAAGAAAGTAGAATTGAATCTATATTCATTAATGAGACTAACCAGTCAATTTCACAGATAGGCATTTTACATTTTGAAGATCATATGGACCCATTGTCAGAAATATTATTATTTATGTCTATATGGACATCACCTGTGCATATTTACATAGAAATCAATGAGAGCTGATTTTAATTTTTATTATATGTATTTTTTGAGATAGGGTCTTGCTTTGTTGCCCAGGCTGGAGTGCAGTGGTGCAATCACTGCTCACTGCAGCCTCAGCCTCCCAAGCTCAAGCGATCCTTCCACCTTGGCCTCCCAAATAGCTAGGACAACAGGTGCACATCACCATGCCTACTTTTTTTTTTAAACTTTTGGTAGAGACTGGGTCTTGCTATGTTGCCCAGGTTGCTTTTGAACTCCTGGGCTCAAGGAATCCTCTCATTTCAGCCTCTTCAACTGCTGGTATTACAAGCATGAACCACCATATGGGCTGGAAGCTGATTTTTAAAATACTGAGATAATATAGATGACAGCACCTGAAAAATAGACAACACCAATCTTTATGTTAAAAGGTGTGAGGGTATCAATATTGTTGTGGCTATTGGGGAGGAAAACATTAGTAAAACCAGTAAGTTAAAGCTCTTGCTTTAAACTTTGGCTTTAATTTAACAAATGTTCTACGGAGTGACAGTATGTATGTAACCATGCTATGCCCATTCACAGATGCAGTAGAGGGAAGAATTTCTCAAAGACAACTGTTCTAAGACTCAAATTAAACCGTACTGGGTTTGAAAAGAGAAAGTCCAGGAACTACCAAATATTTTAGATATCAGATACAAGAGAATGCCAGGTATGCGATGATAATCAGCAATGGTTGTTCACACAATACATCAAATCAGTATTTGAATTAGCTTTTGAATTACAAGGACAAATGGATCAACTCTAGACTCTTTAGTAGATAAATCTTATTAGGCTGAGATATGTTTTCCCCTGGTTTTCCACAAGGAGATTACAAATTTGCAAACCTCAGCTGCTCTCATTTTATGCTCTCACCAAGCCAAAAGCTGAAGTTCATCAATCAGTGTGTCTAAGTGTTCACTGGTTATATACCATTTTGTAGTTTCAGCTCTCTTTCCAGCTTCCTAAATCATCACCTTCATTTGATCTTGTTTTTTTACACTATCACTTCTTTATTGACCATATAAAGAATATAAGTAAGTTCTTATTTTGTTATTGTTCATTCTAGTCTAATTTCATCAAAATATCACAATGTTTTAATTTCATTTTAATTTCAAATATTAAATGAAACCTACATAGAAATGTGTGTAAGATTTGCATTTGCATTACTTTGGCATCAATTTGCTATCCTCCCTCATGCACATAGAGATCATTTCCATGTACGTGATTTCAAACATCCAAGTGCAGTATTAAAAGCAGTTGTAAATTATGGTTCTCATTTTCATGATACAATTACAATATAAACTTCCTCTTACTGCTGTAACCAATTACCACAAACTTCATATCTTACAATAAAGTGACCGTTAATCCTACAGTTCTGTAGTTCAGAAGCCTTAAATGAAACTCACAGGGCTAACATCAAGTTTTGGGCTGGGCTGCAGTCTTTCTGAGGGCTATGTGGCAGAATCTATTACTTGATTTTTTTCAGCATCCAGAGGCCACCTTTATTCTTTGGAACATGACCTCATTCTTATATCCTATTTTTCTTATTTTTTTTTTTTTGATATGGAGTCTCCTTCTGTCACCCAGGCTGGAGTGCAGTGGCACGATCTCAGCTCACTGCAACCTCTGCCTCCCGGGTTCAAGTGATTCATCTGCCTCAGTTTCCTGAGTAGCTTGGACTACAGGCACTTGCCACCATGCCCAGTTAATTTTTTGTATTTTTAGTAGGGATGGGGTTTCACCATGTTAGCCAGGATGGTCTCGATCTCCTGACCTCGTGATAAACCCACCCCAGCCTCCCAAAGTGCTGGGATTAGGCGTGAGCCATCGCGCTGGGTCCTCATTCTTGTATCTTAAAAGTCAGTGATGTTGAGTAATTTCTCATGCCACCACCTCCAAGGTTGCCTTTCTTCTGCCTTCTTCTTTCCCTTATAAGGAAGTTTGTCATTTCATTGATCCCACCCATTTAAGACAATCTCTCTATCATTTTTCCGCAACCTTAATTTCACTTGAAATCTAATTTCACACTGCCGTGCAACCTAACATATTTGTATGTTAGACTCTGGGAATTAGGACATGAAAATTTTGGGGAGGCCATTCTTTTGCCTACAGCAGACATAATCTATTTACCTGCAGATTAAAGCATTCTTTATTTTTCTGTCTCCCTCTCTTAATTTTTCTTGAAATAATATGAATTGTAGTAAAGAGAAAGAAAGAAAAGAAAACAAAGAAAGAAAAAGAAGGAAGGAAAGAAGGAAGGAAGGAAGGAAAGAAGAAAGAAAAGAAGGAGGAAATGAGGGAAGGAAGGGAGGGAGGGAGGGAGGAAGGGAGAAAGGCAGGAAGGGAGAAAAAAGAAAGCATGAACACAAGAAAGAAGGAAAGAAAGAATGAAAGAAAGAGAAAGAAGAGAGAAACAGAGAAAGAAAGAAAGGAGGAAGGGAGGAAGGAAAGGAGGAAGAGAGAATGGTAAAAGGGAGGAAGGCAAAGAAACAAAGAAAATAAAGAAGCGAAGGAAGGAAGGAAAAAGAGGAAAGGAAGGGAGGGAGGAAGGAAGAAAAGGAGGGCAGGAGGAAGGGAGAAAAAAGGATAGAAAGCAAGAACGTGAGAAAGAAAGAATACGAGAAAAGAAGGAAGAAAAGGGAGGGAGAAAGAAGGGAGGGAGGAGGGAAGGAAGAATAAGGGGAAAGAAAGAAAGAAGGAAAGAAGGAAGGAAGGAGAAAAAAGAAAGAATAGAAAGAAAGGAAAGAAAAAAGAAAAGGAAGAGGAAAAGAAGAAAGGAAGGAAGAAGGCAAGGGAAGGGAAGAGAAGAGAAGAGAAAGGAAGATGGAAAGAAGGAAGGAATAACGCAAATATTAGAAATTCTGGGTTTGTTAGAGAATATGCCATACTGTTTTTTTTTTTCACTTGAAAGGAAAGAGTATCTGCCATTGAAGATCGGATGTCTTGTTGGTGATATTGCTTTTCTTATCTTCCACATGATTACTGAGTTTGTGCCTAGTCTTTCCATTACTAAGACAAAAGTGTTGAAGCCTGCAAATATAATTTTGGATTTTTCTAGTTCACCTTTGATTTCCTTCATGTTTTACCTCATGTATTTGGAGGTTCTGTTGTTAGCTGCATATCCTAATTAGTAGGATGTTTACATATTCTTGAGAATTGATTATTCTATTATCTATCATCTCTCATCTCTGATACTATTTCTTGTTCCGAACTCTGTTGTGTCTAATATCAATGTAGTCCTTCCACAGCCTTATTTTACTGTTTCCATGATATGGCTTTCTCCATATCTTGATGATAACCTATTTATATCTCTATATATTTGGAGCAAGATATAAAATTTAGACTTGGTTTTTTAAAGATTTTTCAAGATGGAATTGTTATTTCTTTTTGTTCTATTTGACATTCTCTGAGTTTCCTATATTTGAAGTTTGATTTTCTGTCACTTATTTTAGAATATTTTTGGCAGTTATTTTGAAAAATATTTCTTTTGCTCCATTATATTTCCCTCTTTTCTTTTTGGGATTTCAATCATAACTAGAGTAGGTAATTTCATCTCAGTCTTATGCAGGTACTTTTTCTCAGGGTCTCAGGAATGTAGCCTTCTCACACTTCTGTTCTTCTCCTGGCTGTGTTGGTGAGCTCAGTGATATTCCTCCTTCACCTTCAAGAGCAGTTTTGTTTTGTTTTTCCTGTTTTCATACTTCCAGCATCAGGAGTATTCTAAGTGTGGCAGTTTTTGTTGCCTTCCCCTACATATTAAGTGGAATATCTTGGTCTATTTGGACTCTTATAACAAAATAACATAAACCGCGTGACTAAAAAACAACAGATATTTCTTTTTTCACACTTCTTGAGGCTGTAAGATCTCAGGTCAAGATGCTCACAAATTCAGTGTTGATGAGAGCCCATTTCATGATTCATAGATGGTGCGTTCTTTCTATGTCCTCACATAGTGGAAGGCACACAAGAACTCCATTGAGCTTCTTTTATAAAGGCACTAATCCCATTCATAAGGGCTCGGCCCCCAAGACCTGGTCACCTCCCAAGTGTTCTGCTCTCCCTGATCTGTGTCATATACAGACTCTCTTAGATTCCTTACCAATTGCTTGAGAGATCGCAGTGGGTTTGTGGGGAAAAAGTTTTCAAGATGATGGATCTTTCCCAACTTCTGCAGCTGTCAGCAGTCTCCCAATCTCACAAGCCCCACTTTGTCTTTAGAAATTTATTGATTATTCCAGCTTTACTTGTCATAGTGGCGTCTATTTGCATCTGTCCTATGTAAGTGCATCTGTCTTCTTTCTCCTTGCAGGTGCTTGTTTTCCCTCACATTTTGACTCAGTTCTTGGCATCGTCGTTGCTATAAAAATAAAATCATGACTTTGAAGTTAGTTTGGTTCTTTCATTGTTGTCAGGTTAGGAACCCTATTCTATCCCAGATCTCCAAAACCCAGACTTTTTGGGGGGTTGAAATTTTAGGCTTTCTCTTTGAATTGTAGTTTTATCTTCTTTCAGTTACCATTTGCATTTTCATAATGATTAATGAGACTAAGGTTTTTTTGCATAGTTGACTGTACCTTTGGATTTTTTTCCCAAATACCTTTTTATTTCTTCTTTTCTTTATGGTTTTAGAAAATGTAGTTTATGTAATTGCAGCTTGATTTTTTACTCAGTTAATGGCATGCTTAATGGAGAGAAAAAATATTAAATATATTTCCCTTTTTAATTACTGTGCTTTTTTCTTTTTTAAGGAAATGTTTCATTATGTTCAATTTCAGTGTTATTCTACTTAGCTATTCCTTAAATATTATAGTATTTTGGATTTCACATGTACATTTATAACATATCTTGAGTTTATTATGTATAGAGTAAGACTATTTTCTCTTTTTTGTTTTTTAAGGTAAAAATCACATAATATAAAATTAATAACAGCCATTTTAAAGCATACAGTGCACTTGCTTTTAGTATATTCACAATGTTCCAGGGCAATTTCATCATGTCCCTTGCAAAAACCCATTATGCATAAAGTTGTTACACCCTATTCTTCTTCCCTGAGCCCTAATGACCACTAATCTGATTTATATCCCAATTGATTTGCCAGTTCCTGATGTTTCATGTGAATAAAATCAAGTAATATTTGTCCTTTTGTGCACTTAACATAATGCTTTCAAATTTCACCAATATTATACCATATATAGGTACTTCATTCTTTGTTATAGCTGAAAAGTGGGTGTCCATTTATGAGTCAACAAGCATATGGATTGTTTACACTTTTTGACTGTATGAATATTACTGCTGTAAATATTCATGCACGTTTATTTTTTGAGCACCTATGTTTTGTAAGATTAACAGCTGACTTAAGAGAAACAATGGAAGGCAAGAGGCAGTAGAATAATATATTCAAAAGATGCAAAGAAAAAAAAACTCTCAGTCACAAATTCCTTATCCAGCAATTATTTTTCATAAATGAAGATAACACAAAGACTTACCCAGATAAACAGAAATACTAACTGAAGTTGTTGCTGGCAGACCTACCATATAAAAAAAAACTCTAAAACAAATTCCTAAGGCTAAAAGGAAGTTACAGAAGACAGTCACTTGAATCCACATTTTTAAGAAAGCACTGGTATAGGTAATATTGACATTATAAAAGGCAGTAAAAATGCATTTTTTCTCTTTATCATAAATTGTTTATTAAATAACATGTGTATAATGGCCGGGCACGATGGCTCACACCTGTAATCTCAGCACTTTGGGAGGCCAAGGCAGGCATATTACGAGGCCAGGAGATCGAGACCATCCTGGCTAACACAGTGAATCCCCGTTTCTACTAAAAATACAAAAAATGAGCCGGGCATGATGGCGGGTGCCTGTAGTCCCAGCTACTCGGGAGGCTGAAGCAGAAAAATGGCATGAAGCCGGGAGATGGAGCTTGCAGTGAGCGGAGATTGTGCCACTGCACTCCAGCCAAGGTGACAGAGGGAGAGTCCATCTCAATGATAATAATAATATGTGCATAATGTATTGCTGAGTATTTGACATGTAGAAATGTAATACGTCTATAACATATTTTCCAGTAACATCAAAAAGGAGGTAGTTGGAAGAAAAATGTATTGTGATAAGGTAATAACTCTAGATGGTAAAGTAATAATTACTAAAATGTATTGTTGGCTTTGTAACTTTAATAGATGTAATGTGTAAAGTGATAATACTTTAAAATGGAGGAAATAAGAGAGATTTATATAAGAATGATGTTTCTATGTATTACTAAAAGTTTACTAGTATAAATTAGAAGATGATTTGAATAATTAATTTTCCACATACCTATATGGTAAACTTACAACAACAAAAATTCTCAAAAATATATAATAAAATAATTCATTAGTAATCTAAAGTTCCCTATTTTAGAAAATATTCTTTCATTGCAAAATAAAGCAATAAAGAAAAATATTTGAGAAATATATAAAACAAATGGTAAAATGGCAGACATAAATAGAATTATACCAATTATAATCTTAAATGTGAGCAGATTAAAATCCATTCCAGAGGCAGAGATTGTCAGACTGGATTAAAACAAGTGATCCCAATATACGCTGAGATGCAAGGATACTAATGGATTGAAAGTAAAAAGATGACAAAAAATATCATGCAAAGAGCAATCATAAGGACACTGAACTCATTATACTCATAACACACAATATCGACTATTAAAAATGTGAATAGGATTTTAAAAATTTATATTGTAGTAAAAAGGGGGTCAACGCTTTAGGAAGACATAGCTATTACAATCATGTATGCACAGATATGAGCTAAATTGTTTCCTCTATATAGATGCTGAAATTCTAACCACTGAATATGACCTCATTAGGAAATAGGTTCTTTGCAGCTGATCAAGTTAAGATACAATCAGATGAGCCTGAATTCAATATGACTGATGTCCTTATTAAAAGAAGAAATTTGAGTAGAGGGAGACATACACACAGGGAGAGTACCATGTGATTATGAGGGCAGAGATTAGCCAAGGAATGCCAAAGACTGCCACTAAACCACCAGAAGCGAGAAACAAGGCAGAGAACAGGCTTTCTCTCATAGCCCTTGAAGGGACCATCCCTGCTGACACCTCAATCTCAGACTTTTAGCTTCCAGGACTATAAGACTATAAATGTATGTAGTTCAAGGCACCCAGTTTGTGTTACTTGGTTATGGCAGCCCTAGAAAACTAATGCATGAACTAATGACAAAGCATAATAACATGAAGCAAAAATTCACAAAAGAGGAGCATCAGCAAAATGGCAGTGGAGACAGCTGCAATCTTTCATTTCCCCACAGAAACATCACACATCTAAGAGAAACTGTCCGAAAAAAGTTTGCCAAAACTCTGGAAAATGGTCAAAAGATTACAACAACCAAGTGAAAGCAGACTCAAGAAAAAGACAACTTGAAAACTTTATGACATTTTTAACCTGCCTTTGCCCCAGCAAATTGGCAGTTTTGAAGTGTCAGAGGCCCACGTTCCCAGTGAGGAAGCCTCGTCCATGGTCCAAAGGAACAGGAGAAGATCTTACCCGCAAATTATTCTGTGTCTGTTCTGACTAGTCTGGGGGATACCTAAAGGACTCATGAAAGGCTTCTTTTTTCTGTGTTGCTAGAATACAGAACAGATAAGGAATGGACATTATTAAGAAACTCTGCAAGGAGACCTAACAAACCACAGATGCTTAGGGCAAAAATTAAAGTTTACACATATAGTAGATCACCCTCAGCACAGCAAGAAAAGTTGGAGAAGAGTATTTCAAAAAGTAAGACATACAAAATCATTCACGTACGTGGGACGGTCTAGAAAGTCACATGTATTCATAGGTTAAGCCACATGCTGACAAATGTCATAAGAAGACCCTACACTTTTACCTTGGCTGATCCCTTCCCTCAGTGCAAGCTCTGTGCAAGAGTCAACTTGAACTTCACTCAGTGCAAGAGTGAACACACACTTTGTCCCGGCTTTAAAGAACCCAGCACAAAGCCAGTCTGCATGGCCTAGAGACATATTTTGCTGGACAATGATTACTTTTTTTTCTTTTTGTTTTTCTTGTATTTGCCTGTTTGATTGGTTCCTGACATACAAGAAAATCACTGTCAAAATATTAGCTTAACATTTGTTAAGGAAACAAAAAGACTTCGGTGACCACACCTTATAAAGCAAACAGTTTTGTAAATCACTTTGGAAAATTTCACTCAAAAAAAAAAAATCCTTAACAATATAATAAATAAAGAAAATTTAAAACCACAAAACATTACTGTGTTTGTAGGGGGGGTCTGATTTACCAAGTAACCACATAGTAATTATAATTATTAGAATGTCCAGTTTTCAAAAAACGTTACAAGGCATACAAAGAATGGGAAAGTGTGGCTCATTCAAAGGAACAAAACAAATTGACAGAAAATATCCCTAAGGAAACCCAGACATCAAACTTACTAGACAAAGACTTTAAAACAACTCTCTTCATTATACTTAAATGTCAAAAGGAAAACATAAACAAAGAAATAAAGGAATCAGAAAAAATATTAAAAAGTAGGAATATCAGCAAAGAGATAACAGAAATTCTGGAGTGGAAAACTATAATGATAAAAATTTAAAAATCACCAGAGGGATTTAAGAGTATATTTGCACACACAGAAGAAGCCATGAACTTGAAGAGAAGAAAATGGAAAATACTGACTCTGAGAAACAGAAAGAATAAAAAATAAACAAGGAGCAGAGACTAATGAATCTGTGGGACATCATCAAATAGACCAAAATTCATATTCTAGAAGGATAAATTATGTTGTTAAAAAGTTTACCATTCTTTCTTTTCACCTTTCTTCCTTCCTCCTTCCCCCTCCTCCTCTTTTACTTTTCTTCCTCTTCCTTTCTCTTCTTTCTCTCCTTCATTATCCCTTCCACTGTTTCTCTTTCTCTCTTTCTCTTTTTTCTTTTCTTTCAATTTTCTCAATTACTAAGAGATGTTTAAGTACCCTTACCATATTAGTAGATACGGTTATTTCTCACTTTAGTTCTATTTTGAGATTTATAGTCACTCTAAGTAAAGAGATAACCCAAACATAAGCGTCACAAACAGGCTTTCATACCATTCTTAATTTGGTCCTGTCATTCTTCATTGCTGTATTAACTTTCTGATGCTTTTAAGGATGTTTTTATAACAAATTGTTTAGTTTTTTCCAATGGAATGTTTATTCTGAATTATCTAATTCATATTGTAAGTATAGAGGGAGTTTAATATAAAATTATTAAACTAATATTTGTGAAAGAATGTATTTGTGCATTTAACAAATATGTTAATCCTCAGACTGTTATTGGGCAGCTGCGCATACAGGAATAAAAATAACATAATTTTTATGTGTACAATATTTATGGAATACGTTACTGGACCAAATAAATAATTTAGTTAATAACATGACAAAGAACAGAAATTGTATACACTATAGAGCATAGTAATGGAATAATGAATGATTAAAGTTATTAATATTAGGTAGATAATGAAGGGTATCTTTGAGAGCAGAACTCAAGGAAGCAAGCAATTCGCCTTATGAGGAAAGAGTTACCTGTGGATAAAGGAGAAACTGAAAAATTTACAAGTCAAGACTTTTTGAGCAAAAACAAAAATATGACTATTAGTCACCAATTCAGTACAGTGAAAAAAAAGTTGAAGAGATATCTTGGAAGTAAACCATGTTGTGGAAGAGCATGTAGGGTTTTGATAATCATGGGATGATTCTGAAGTAATTTTAAATGCGATAGGAATATATGAGATAATTTCACCAGAGAATAACATGATAGTGTTTCCATTTCAAAGGGGTGTATCTGGTGCACTGTGTAGAATAAATAGGTTATGTGAGCAAATAAATGGGGACGCTACTCTAATCCAGAGAAAAAAGGTAGTGACTTAGGTGAGAATGCTGTCAGGATGAGTGGTAGTAGTGGTGAGAAGTCATTAGGCCATGGATGTATTTCATAGGACTGGACAAGAGAACTGCAGCTAAATTGGAGTGTAGGGAGTGAAATGGAGAACTCAAAGATGACTCTCAGCACTGGAAGGTGACAGCTGTCACTGAAGCATGCTGATGCCTCTTATTAAGAGAGTTAGTTGGGAATGGCAAGATCAAAACTTCTCACTTTCAAATTTATGAAAAATATTGTTTTCAGAACGAATGACTTTGGGATCAGAAAGCCACCATTCTAATTGATGGTTCCACAACTACACGGGCTCACACGCCCAAGAGCAAAAGTAAATCATCACAAAGGTGCTTCTTGATAATTCTAGAGAATGGAGAATTACTGTAACATCTTTCTGATTTTAGGAGAGGCAGCAGTTCCCTTTTTAGCCTAAACACTATTTTTTTAAAAGCTCAGCCAAGAGACTCCATTATAATTTTCAAATGTGTGTAACTTAAATTCTCATAAGAAATACCACTATGCTTAAATTAGTCAAAACATTTTCCCCATCTACAACTCTATCTTGTCATTGCAATCATTTTCACAAAAGTGACTGCAGCTCACAGACCCTAAAAGGAGAAAATCCAGGGTAGGTTATCTGATCTAGTTAGTTTCAAAGACAGGATCTAGAGATTATTTAATATGAAATAGGTCACCTGAAATGAAGTGTTTACTGAAAACAGCTTGGATCAGCCCAGTTTTCTACCACTGAACCATGCATTTGGTTTAAAAAACACAACAACTCTGGGGAATATCGGCTGCTTCCAACTGTGTTGAAGGTGTTAAAGAAAAGAACATAAAATTAAAAATGATCATCTGAGGCCTTTATATTCTCTGCTCAAGAGACTAGAGTCTTCCATTTTTAACGAAACACCCAAATATCTTAATAATTGGGCAAAATCTAAATATCAGAGATAATTTTATCTTGAAGATTGTTACATTATAATGGTGATTCACTACCTCGCCACGTCTCTGAGTCAAAAATTAGGTCTTTGTTTAGGAATCAGTGGTACTCTGCAACTTGGAAATGGGAAGATTTTAGAAGACTCAAACTTTGACTTTCTTGTGTGCAAAAAAAAAGACGTATTGACATACGACAAGTCTTTCCTTGCAAGGATACCTCTAATGCTCATACACCACCTCCCCTAACATTAATACAGCTTCCAGGTCACTAACCAGTGTCAGAGAGCAGCCCATGCAACTAGAAATTCAAAAGATGTCGAACATAGGGTCAAGCCTAGAATAATAAGTCTTAGCTAATTAAGTATGCTTTTTTCCCAAAATTCATATTAACAAAAACTTGGATATGTCAGAGAATGCATTCTAAGTTCACTCAACCTAGAAGGGAGAAACATAATTTTAAATTAAGAGCTGAAGCATTCTTGTCCTAACAGAAAGCAAGGAAAACGAAATATCACACCACAGGAGGATTTCACAAATTAGTGTCAACATCAAAACCTTAAAATACGCAAGGAGAATGCAGATTCACAATGAACTCTTGTACTTGTTTTGTTCAGAGAAGAGAGGGTTCTGAGAGAATGACAGTGAACTAACCCCAGCTGGTTTAGTTGGTGCTTTCAACTGCTGCTTCTGATCAACTCCTTTAGCTAGAATAAATTGATGAGGATTTTGGCATGTGGTATTAGAGATGGTTATTAATTTTTTCCTCTTATTTGCATTGTTCAATGTAGTAAATACTAGCTGTATATGGCTACTTCAATTCAAATTAATTACAATGAAATATACTTCAATATTGAATTTTTTAGTCACTCTTGGTTCATTATTGAATATCTTCAGCTAAGATTTCCCATCTAAATACACTAAGAGGTGGCTTAGTTAACTGGTCGTCCACAAATATTGAAGCTGTTGTTAACTCCTGATATATTCTCTGCAAAGAGAATATTCATGAGCCTCCTCCTGAAATCAGCAGCCTAGAGATAGTTTCATAAATTGGATACAAGTTGGAAATCTATATACTCTTTAAGTTTTTGAAATATTAGCTTCCCAGGGAAGAAAATCAAATTCATAAGATATGTTAGGACAATTTAACTCCAGATGTTCAAAACTGAAATGACATATTCTACAATATGTGATAAAACCACCCCCTAACAACTTAAAGCAAAACAGGGATTGACCTTAAAGACCTGCCTTTTCCTCATCCCCCAGCCAATCAGTTTTCAAATCTTGCATTTTATTTTGAAAGGTCCTTAACCCCCTGGTCTCTTGTTTCTAGACTTGACACATATTGAAGTTTGTTACGTCTCTCTACTGACTTTTCTTTCTTCAAACAGTATCTATGCCTGCCAAATGTGAACATACAAAAAACAAATCAGAATGTGCCATTCTGATTTAAACTGCTTATTAGTTAATACCCTCAAGATAACATCTGGGTTCTTAGCTGCAATGAGTCAAGCCTACTTACATCTTTTTTTTGTCTTTGGCTGCACATTTCCCATCACATCACACTCCAGCAATGCCAAGCTGTGCCAGCCTTCTATCCCATCTCCACTATTTTGTCCGCCGCCGCCGCGGCTTTCTACCCGCCGCGGCATTTTGCCCCCACCCCGCCTCGGCTTTTTGCCCGCCACGGCTTTTTGACCCCTCGCCGCTGCGAATTTTGCCGCCGCAGCTTTTTGCCCCCCGCCCCCCCCGCCGTGGCTTTTTCCCCCCTGCCGCGGCTTCTTACCCGCCACGGCTTTTTGCCCCCCGCCGCCGCGACTTTTTACCCGCCGCCACCAGTGGCTTTTTGCCCCACCGCCGCCGCGGCTTTTTGCTCCCACCCTGACTAGGCTTTTTGCCCGCTGCGGGTTTGTGCCCCCGTCGCCGCCGCGGCTTTCTGCCCGCCCCCCCCCAACCCCCCCGCGGCCGCGGCTTTTTGCCTCCGCGGCTTTTCAGCCGCCGCGGCTTTTCGCCCCCCGCCGCCGCGACTTTTTGCCCGCTCAGGCTTTTGCCCCCCCGCCGCGGCTTTTTGCCCCCCGCCGCCGCTTTCCCCGCCGTGGCTTTTTACACCCTGCCCCCGCAGCTTTTTGCCCCCACCCCGCCTTGGCTTTTTCCCCGCCACGGTTTTTTGGCCCGCCGCCGCCGCCGCCGCCGCCGCCGCGACTTTTTATCCCCAGCCGCCGCGGCTTTTTGCCCCCACCCCGCCGCGGCTTTCTGCCCAGCCCCCGTCGCCGCGGCTTTTTGCCCCCCGCCGTCGCGACTTTTTACCAGCCGCGGCTTTTTGACCCCGCCGCCCTGGCTTGCCGGCCGCGGCTTTTTGCCCGCTCCGGCTTTTTGCCGCCCCGGCTTTTTGCCCGCCGCGGCTTTGCAGTCGCGGATTTTGGCCCGCTCTGGGTTTTTGCCACCCCGCCGCCGCGGCTTTTTACCCCCACCCCGACTCAGCTTTTTACCCCCGTGGCTTTTTGCTCCCCGCCGCCGCGGCTTTTTGCCCGCCTCGTCTTTTTGCCTCCCCGCCGCCGCGGCTTTTTGCCCCCTCCGCCACCGCCGCTTTATCCCCGCCGTGGCTTTTTGCCTCCCATCGCCCCGGATTTTTGCCCGCCCCGGCTTTTTGTCCCCCCGCCACCGCGGGTTGTTCCCCGCCCCGGCTTTTTGCCCCCCCTGCCGCCGCGGGTTTTTGCCCGTCGCAGCTTTTTGACCCCCTGCCACTGCGGCTTTTTGCCCCCCCGCCGCGGCTTTTTGCCCCCGCCGCTAAGGCTTTTTGGCGTCGCGTCTTTTTCCCCCCGCCGCCGCGGCTTTTTGTGGTTTTTTGCCCCAGCTCCCGCTGATTTTGCCCCCACCACCGCGGCTTTTTGCGGCTGTTTGCGCCCGCCACGGTGGCTTTTTGCCGCCGCGGCTTTTTGGCTCCGCCGCCGCGGCTTTTTGCAGGTTTTTGCCCCCGCCGTTGCGGCTGTTTTCCCCCCGTCAGCGAGGCTTTTTGTTGCCGCGGCTTTTTGCCCAGGCGTTTGCTGCCTCCTTATTTAATCAGAGCCTTAATTTGAACGTCAGGTCATCAAATCTGGAAGGTGATAACACCAAAAGAGAACACTGGAGCTGAGGGAGGGAACAACTGGGGAAAACAAGAGGACTCTACCCAGGAAAAGAGCAAGAACACGCAGACCAACATCTCATCTGGAGGAAGTTCAGAAACACTGGAAAGCTCACACCCAGACTCAGAATCACAATATGGACCCAGGAAAAGTCGCAAAATCTCCCTTTATTCTATTGCCTTCAACCAATTTCACTATTGTCAGTTAAATATAACATTTTAACCCACCTGAAGGAGCTGAAAGAGATTCTCTGGAGGAGGGAACAGGTGATGAGACAAAGCCAAGCAGGAAAGAAAAACAAGGTATCACTGGAGGATCTGAAGTCTCTGGTGGACACAGAACAGACTTCAACTCTGATGTCCACTGCAAAAGTAAATGTCAAATGTAGCTGTGAGAAGATTCACGGACATTTCCACAATAATTGCCTGGCGAAGATAAAGTGTGGTCAAATACAGGCAGAAAATGGATAAAATGAAATAAGCCAGTATTAACTGTCAAACCCAACATGTCTGGTTATCAACAACGATTATTATATATATTAATGAGAAATGCCAAAGTCACAATAAAGAAATAATCAGAAAGGGATTTATAAAAGATACAGGTATTATAACTAATTAAATAAGATATATAATGTAACTATAATTCATATGTAAAAATCTCTTGAAGAAACTGTGGACATAATGCAGGACTAGATAGGGAACTGAGAGATGAAAATACTAAGAAGTAATCAAATGGAAATGCATGAGAAATCAAAAGCAATGCAGTATAAACATTGAGCAATCTTTGGGCACACCCCTCATTAGAGCTGGCTCAGCTTTTAAATGAAACCATGCACTTAAAATGTCACTAGAAATTTAACAAGTAAATTGCAAAGGAAAAGAGTGAAGAAACTAAACAATATCAAAAGTGTAGTAAATGTATACTTTAATTCTGAAAAGTAGAAATTATAGATACAGAGAAAGTATTTGAAAAAATAATGGTTAAGAATGTTCCCAATTTTGTGAAACACACTGAACTACAGATCCCAGAATCACAGAGAACCTCAAGCAGAGTAAACACAGACACAGACACACACCGCACATCCAACATGGACAGCGTGGTTAAAGAAAAAGCGCTCACATCACACACCACACACATTTCATCAACCTTATTCCTTTTGCTTAGTTGTTTTAAATTTATTGGCATTTATAGTATTAAGTAGAAGTCTGTAATTAAAATATATTATTCTATGCATAAGTCTGTCTATGCTTACCATGATCAAATACACAGCTTGGTGCAAATGAGTGTAACTATGTTGTTAGGAATTTCACTATTTCAAATAAAAATGGTGTTTTTTCCAGGCTCTGTGTTGAATCACTTGTAATGTATGGCAATACAATCCTTTTTAATTAAAGGATTTTTTAGGTAGGCAGATAATGATTGTTTGTGTTTATGGGGTACAGTGTGATATTTCAATACATCTCTGCCATGTGGTTTGACCAAATCAGAACAATGAGAAAATTCATCAGCTCAGACATTAACATTTATTTGTGTTGGTAGCATACAAAATGTTCTCTTTTGGCTACTTGTAAACGTACAATATATTGTTAGCTGTAGTCACCGTACTGCGCTGTAGAACACTAGAGCATATCCCTCCTGTCTACCTGTAATTGTGCATTTGTTAACAAGCCTCTTCTTGTCTCTCAGTCTCCTCCCATTTGGAGCATCTCATAACCACTACTCTACTATTTACTTCTAGAAAATCAACTTTCTTAAACTTCCACATTAAATTGAGAAAATGTGGTATTTATTTTTCTATGTCTGTCTGCTTTCATTCAACATAAGGGTGTCCAGTTCCAACCATGTTGCTTCAAATGGCAGAATTTCATTTTTAAGGCTGAATAATATTTCATTGTGTAAATTTACCTCATTTTATTTATCCGTTCATCTGTTCATGGACACATATGTTGATTTCATAGCTTAGCTATTGCAATTAGTGCTGCAGTAAACATGGGTGTACAGGTATCTCTTCAATTTTAGTTTTTTCTTTTAATTATTTAAATAGATAAATACTCAGCAGTTGGATTGCTGAATTATATGGCAGTTCTATTTTTTTCCCATGATGGCTATACTAATTTACATTTCCACCAGTGGTCAATAAGAGTGTCCCCTTCTATGCAGCCTTGCTAGCTTTTGTTTTCCTTATTTTGGCTTTCTGTTAACAGACTTTCCAGCAAAGATGAAGGATGAAAAGATATCTCATTGTGAATTTGCATGTTCCTGAATATTAGTGCTGTCTAGCAACATATGTGTGCATATATACTTATCATCTATCTATTGATCCTTTCCACGTCTTCTTTTGACAGATGTTCATTCATGTTATTTGCCCATTATTATTCACATTATTAATTGCAGTTCAGTTAATTTTATATGCTTTATAGTAATCCCTTGTCAAATGAACAGTTTTCAGATATTGTCTATCATCTGCAGGTTCTCTCCTCACTCAACTGTTTCCTTTACTGGGCAGGAGCTAAAATTCCTTGATAGAACCTGGACAGGTGGGCTGTGGAGCTGTGGGACATTGGAGAAGAGATGGTCTCCACTTGCTGTAAGCTCACACTCTGTTCTTCGCTTGCTCTCTGAACCATTTTATGAGGGTAGTGATGAGCCCTCACTAAATTTAATTTAATTTTCAGTAAATGGAAATTAAATGGAAATTGTATATCTTCTCAGCATGAATCCCATGGGCAGTCATGAATTATTCTTCTGGTTATAGTAATTGATTTTTCTTGGCATGTTCATTACTAGTAATATTCAAAGTCATTTCATTTAAATCTTTGATGCTTAATTTTTTTGTTTTTACTATGACATTCTTTCTTCTATTGAATCTTCCCTTTAGCATTATAACATGATCTAGTATCCAGGCTCAGCTGTCATTAATAATAACCACATATGTCAAAAGCTATGTCTTCTTTCCACAGCAGACATGATTTTCTCTTTTCTGGGGATGAACACACACTGCTGAGCTACCCCCACTCACAAGAACATATGCACAGTTATGATATTTTCATTTATTTGACTAATAAGTTATATTATTCTCCCTTCAAGTTCTTCACCCCTCAGAAGTCCTGGACAAACTCTTCTGCATCTGGTCAAACTATAAACTCAGAAACCAAACCACATGGTGAGTAAAAGCTCACTTGGTTCTGGATATTGGGTCCAGCTCTTCCCCACTTATGTCCCACAGCACCTCAGCCCACCTGTCCAGGTTCTATCAAGAAACCAAAACTCAGGGGCGGTTCCAAAATGGCCGAATAGGAACAACTCCAGTCTACAGCTCACAGTGTGAGCGACACAGAAGATGAATGATTTCTGCATTTCCAACTGAGGTACTGGGTTCATCTCACCGGGGACTTTCGGACAGTGGGTGCAGGACAGTGGGTGCAGCGCACTGAGCATGAGCCGAAGCAGGGCGAGGAATTGCCTCACCCGGGAAGTGCAAGGGGTCAGGGAATTCCCTTTCCTAGCCAAGGAAAGGGGTGACAGACAGCACCCGGAAAATCGGGTCACTCCCACACTAATACTGTGCTTTTCTGACGATCTTAGCAAATAGCACACCAGGAGATTATATCCTGTGCATATCTTGGAGGGTCCTACGCCCACAGAGCCTCACTCATTGCTAGCACAGCAGTCTGAGATCAAACTGCAAGGCAACAGCGAGGCTGGGGAAGGGGGGCCCACCATTGCCAAGGCTTCAGTAAATAAACAAAGCGGCCAGGAAGCTCGAACTGGGTGGAGCCCACCGCAGCTCAAGGAGGCCTGCCTGCCTCTGTAGACTCCACCTCTGGGGGCAGGGCATAGCCAAATAAAAGGCAGCAGAAACCTCTGCAGACTTAAATGTCCCTGTTTGACAGCTTTGAAGACAGTAGTGGTTCTCCCAGCATGCAGCCTGAGATCTGAGAATGGACAGACTGCCTCCTCAAGTGGGTCCCTGACCCCCAGGTAGCCTAACTGGGAGGCACTCCCCAGTAGGGGTAGACTGACATCTCACATGGCTGGGTACTCCTCTGAGACAAAACCTCCAGAGGAAGGATCAGGCAGCAACATTTGCTGTTCACCAGTATTCACTGTTCTGCAGCCTCCACTGCTGATACCCAGGCAAACAGGGTCTGGAGTGGACCTCAGGCAAACTCCAACAGACCTGCAACTGAAGGTCCTGACTGTTAGAAGGAAAACTAACAAACAGAAAGGACATCCACACCAAAACCCCATCTGTACGTCACCATCATCAAAGACCAAAGGTAGATAAAACCACAAAGATGGGGAAAAAACAGAGCAGAAAAACTGAAAATTCTAAAAATCAGAGTGCCTCTCCTTCTCCAAAGGAATGCAGCTCCTCACCAGCAATGGAACAAAGCTGGATGGAGAATGACTTTGATGAGTTGAGAGAAGAAGGCTTCAGACTATCAAACTTCTCCAAGCTAAAGGAGGAAGCTCAAACCCATGGCAAACAAGTTAAAAACCTTGAAAAAAGATTAGACGAATAACTAACTAGAATAACCAATGCAGAGAAGTCCTTAAAGGATCTGAAGGAGCTGAAAACCATGGCACAAGAACTACGTGATGAATGCACAAGCTTCAGAAGCCGATTCGATCAACTGGAAGAAAGGTTATCCGTGATGAAAGATCAAATGAATGAAATGAAGTGAGAAAAGAAGTTTAGAGAAAAAGGAATAAAAAGAACAAATCCTCCAAGAAATATGGGACTATGTGAAAAGACCAAATCTACGTCTGATTGGTGTACCTGAAAGTGACAGGGAGAATGGAACCAAGTTGCAAAACACTCTGCAGGATATTATCCAGGAGAACTTCCCCAATCTAGAAAGGCAGGCCAACATTCCAATTCAGGAAATACAGAGAATGTCACAAAGATAATCCTCGAGAACAGCAACTCCAAGACACATAATTGTCAGATTCCCCAAAGTTGAAATGAAGGAAAAAATGTTAAGGGAAGCCAGAGAGAAAGGTTGGGTTACCCACAAAGGGAAGCCCATCGGACTAACAGTGGATCTCTCATCAGAAACTCTACAAGCCAGAAGAGAGTGGGGGCCAATATTCAACATTCTTAAAGAAAAGAATTTTCAACCCAGAATTTCATATCCAGCCAAACTAAGCTTCCTAAGTGAGGGAGAAATACAATCCTTTACAGATAAGCAAATGATGAGAGATTTTGTCACCACCAGGCCTGCCCTAAAAGAGCTCCTGAAGGAAGCACTAAACATGGAAAGGAACAATCGGTAACAGCCACTGCAAAAACATGCCAAATTGTAAAGACCACCAAAGCTAGGAAGAAACTGCATCAACTAATGAGCCAAATAACCAGCTAACATCACAATTACAGGATCAAATTCACACATAACAACATTAACCTTAAATGAAAATGGGCTCAGTACACCAATTAAAGACACAGACTGGGAAATTGGATAAAGAGTCAAGACCCATCAGTGTGCTGTATTCAGGAAACCCATCTCACATGCAGAGACACACACAGGCTCAAAATAAAGGGATGGGGGAAGATCTACCAAGCAAATGGAAAACAAAAAAAGTTAGGGGTTGCAATCCTAGTCTCCGATAAAACAGACTTTAAACCAACAAAGATCAGAAGAGACAAAGAAGGCCATTACAGAATGGTAAAGGGATCAATTCAACAAGAAGAGTTAACTATCCTAAATATATATGCACCAAATACAGGAGCACCCAGATTCATAAAGCAAGTCCTTAGAGACCTACAAAGAGACTTAGACTCCCACACAATAATAGTGGGAGACTTTAACACCCCACTGTCAACATTAGACAGATCAACGAGACAGAAAGTTAACAAGGATATCCAGGAATTGAACTCAGCTCTGCACCAAGCAGACATAATAGACATCTACAGAACTCTCTATGCCAAATCAACAGAATATACATTCTTTCAGCACCACACCGCACTTACTCCAAAACTGACCACATAGTTGGAAGTAAAGCTCTCCTCAGCAAATGTAAAAGAACAGAAATTATAACAAACTGTCTCTCAGACCACAGTGAAATCAAACTAGAACTCAGGATTAAGAAACTCACTCAAAACCGTTCAACTACATGGAAACTGAACAAACTGCTCCTGAATGACTACTGGGTACATAATGAAATGAAGGTGGAAATAAAGATGTTCTTTGAAACCAACGAGAACAAAGATACAACATACCAGAATCTCTGGGACACATTTAAAGCAGTGTGTAGAGGGAAATTTATAGCACTAAATGCCCACAAGAGAAAGGGAAAGATCTAAAATTGACACCCTAACATCACAATTAAATGAACTAGAGAAGCAAGAGCAAACACATTCAAAAGCTAGCAGAAGGCAAGAAATAACTAAGATCAGATCAGAACTGAAGGAGATAGACACACAAAAAGCCCTTCAAAAAATCAATGAATCCAGGAGATGGTTTTTTGAAAAGATCAACAAAATCGATAGACCGCTAACCAGAGTAATAAAGAAGAAAAGAGAGAAGAATCAAATAGATGCAATAAAAAATGATAAAGGAGATATCACCACCGATCCCACAGAAATACAAACTACCATCACAGAATAGTATAAACACCTCTGCGCAAATAAACTAGAAAATCTAGAAGAAATGGATAAATTCCTCGTCACATACACCCTCCCAAGACTAAACCAGGAAGAAGCTGAGTCCTTGAATAGACCAATAACAGGCTCTGAAATTGAGGCAATAATTAATAGCCTACCAACTAAAAAATGTCCAGGACCAGACGGATTCACAGCCGAATTTTACCAGAGGTCCAAGGAGGAGCTGGTACCATTCCTCCTGAAACTATTCCAATCTATAGAAAAAGAGGGAATCCTCCCTAACTCATTTTATGAGGCCAGCATCATCCTGATACCAAAGCCTGGCAGAGACACAACAAAAAAAAAAAGAGAATTTTAGACGAATAACCCTGATGAACATAGATGCAAAAATCCTCAATAAAATACTGGCCAACTGAATCCAGCAGCACATCAAAAAGCTTATCCACCGTGATCAAGTGGGCTTCATCCCTGGGATGCAAGGCTGGTTCAACATACGCAAATCAATAAATGCAATCCAGCATATAAATAGAACCAATGACAAAAACCACATGATTATCTCAATAGATGACGAAAAGGCCTTTGACAAAATTCAACAACCCTTCATGCTAAAAACTCTCAATAAGTTAGGTATTGATGGGACGTATTTCAAAATAATAAGAGCTATCTATGACAAACCCACAGCCAATATCATACTGAATGGGCAAAAACTGGAAGCATTCCCTTTGAAAACTGGTACAAGACAGGGATGCCCTCTCTCATCACTCCTATTCAACATAGTGTTGGAAGTTTTGGCCAGGGCAATCAGGCAGGAGAAGGAAATAAAGGGTATTCAATGAAGAAAAGAGGAAGTCAAATTGTCCCTGTTTGCAGATGACATGATTGTATATCTAGAAAACCCCATTGTCTCAGCCCAAAATCTCCTTAAGCTGATAAGCAACTTCAGCAAAGTCTCACGATACAAAATCAATGTGCAGAAATCACAAGCATTCTTATACACCAATAACAGACAGAGAGCCAAATCATGAGTGAACTCCCATTCACAATTGCTTCAAAGAGAATAAAATACCTAGGAATCCAACTTACAAGGGAGGTGAAGGACCTATTCAAGGAGAACTACAAACCACTGCTCAATGAAACAAAAGAAGATGATATAAACAAATGGAAGAACATTCCATGCTCATGGGTAGGAAGAATCAATATCGTGAAAATGGCCATACTGCCCAAGGTAATTTATAGATTCAATGCCATCCCCATCAAGCTACCAATGACTTTCTTCACAGAATTGGAAAAAACTACTTTAAAGTTCATATGGAATCAAAAAGGACCCCGCATTGCCAAGTCAATCCTAAGCCAAAAGAACAAAACTGGAGCCATCACACTACCTGACTTCAAACTATACTACAAGGCTACAGCAACCAAAACAGTATGGTACTGGTACCTAAACAGAGATATAGACTAATGGAACAGAACAGAGCCCTCAGAAATATTGCCACATATCTACAACTATCTGATCTTTGACAAACCTGACCAAAACAAAATATGGGGAAAAGATTCCCTATTTAATAAACGGTGCTGGGAAAACTGGCTAGCCATATGTAGAAAGCTGAAACTGGATCCCTTCCTTACACCTTATAAAAAAATTAAATTAAGATGGATCAAAGACTTAAACGTTAGATCTAAAACCATAAAAACCCTAGAAGAAAACCTAGGCAATACCATTCAGGACATAGGCTTGGGCAAGGACTTCATGTCGAAAACACAAGAAGCAATGGCAACAAAAGCCAAAATTGACAAATGGGATCTAATTAAACTAAAGAGCTTCTGCACAGCAAAAGAAACTACCATCAGAGTGAACAGGCAACCTACAGAATGGGAGAAAATTTTTGCAATCTACTCATCTGACAAAGGGCTAATATCCAGAATCTACAAAGAACCCAAACAAATTTACAAGAAAAAAACAAACAACCCCATCAACAAGTGGGTGAAGGATATGAACAGACACTTCTCAAAAGAAAACATTTGTGCAGCCAAAAGACACATGAAAAAATGCTCATCTTCACTGGCCATCAGAGAAATGCAAATCAAAACCACGATGAGATACCATCTCACACCAGTTAGAATGACGATCATTAAAAAGTCAGGAAACAACAGGTGCTGGAGAGGATGTGGAGAAATAGGAATACTTTCACACTGTTGGTGGGACTGTAAACTAGTTCAACCATTGTGGAAGTCAGTGTGGCAATTCCTTAGGGATCTAGAACTAGAAATACCATTTGACCCAGCCATCTCATTACTGTGTATATACCCAAAGGATTTTAAATCTTGCTGCTATAAAGACACATGCACATGTATGTTTATTGTGGCACTATTCACTGTAGCAAAGACTTGGAACCAACCCAAATGTCCAACAATGATAGACTGGATTAAGAAAATGTAGCACATATACACCATGGAATACTATGCAGCCATAAAAAATGAATGAGTTCATGTCCTTTGTAGGGACATGGATGAAGCTGGGAACCATCATTCTCAGCAAACTATCACCAGAACAAAAAACCAAACACCGCATGTTCTCACTCATAGGTGGGAATTGAACAATGAGAACACATGGACACAGGAAGGGGAACATCACACACCAGGGCCTGTTGTGGGGTGAGGGGGTGTGGGGGGGAGGGATAGCATTAGGAGATATACCTAATGTAAATGATGAGTTAATGGGTGCAACACACCAACATGGCACATGTATGCATATGTAACAAACCTGCACGTTGTGTACATGTACCCTAAAACTTAAAGTATAATTAAAAAAAGAAAAAAGCAATCAGCACAATTGGAAGGCTACTCCAACAGAGAGAATTTGGACCTATTTAATTAATAGACTGGAATTCACTCAAAGACACTCTCCTATGGGATCTCAAACTTAAGCAGATCTCTGTAAGCTGAGGAAGTTTCCTCAACAGATATTTTTCTCTAGACATCCAAAAATGCAAAAACCCATTTTGGATATTTGTGCATGAGTGATCTGTAGAAGGCCTTGGCCTATTAATGAAAGTTCATGGATATATGATAACTTCATCATTTACTGTGCACTCACACTTCACTGGTTTCAAAAATTCCTCACCTGTGTGATGGGGCAATGCAGGAGAAGACACAATAGTGCCATCTTCCTCATGAACACAACTCAGCTTTGATACTGATTGTCATGCTTTATTGTTGGTGGAGAAGGGTCAGACATAAAACTTGTGAGGTTCTATCTGACATTGATCTGGCCCAGCCTCTGTCTTGGCTGAGGTTAGGATTCCTGAGACTGTTCTCCTCAGGGAACCCCACTAAGGTTCCTGTCCCGAATGTGACTGGAGAAGATTCACCAGGTTACCCTCAGCTTCCTCAGGGCTGTGATCCTAGTGACCACTGGCAGAGAGATTGCTCTACATTTAGGGCGTGTGAGAAGGTTTCCTCCTGGTACAACAAAACTGTGGTATTTTAGAGATGTAGAGCTAGACACAGCATCATGAAATAAGAGAGGGTCCCTGGAGGAAACATGAAGATGGTGAGGCAACCCCAGACCCTGGCAGTAAACCAACCTCTCATCTCTACCCCCACCTGCTCTGGGGGTGGCCCTGTGCTTCCTGCAACCTGCTCTTCCCTGGTGGTCTTGAGTCCCCCCTGTGGTCCTGAGTCTTCCTGGCGGTCCTGAGTGCCCTGCCAGCAAGGTTTGTGTCAGGGCTCACAAGGACACCTCCTCATTGAGTCTTTCACAGTAATACTCAGCTGTGTCCTGGGCAGCCGTGGAGCTGAGCTTCACAGAGAACTGGCTCTTGGTTGAGTCATTGTTGATGGGGACATGGACCTGGGTGGAGGGAGCATGATGTGTATTCCTTGGTGATCGACTCTAGTAACTGTGCCCCAGCCATTCCAGCCTGTTGCCCAGGGGATGGTGGATTCAGCTCAAATAGTATCCATGGTAAAAAAGAATCCAGACACAGCACAGGTGGAGGGCAGTGTCTGAGGGCCTCATGGGTCCTGGACCTGACTCCTGCACCTGCACATGGGACAGGACACCTGCAATAAGAGGGAACATCCTGGTGAGTCACACAGAGAGCTCACTTGTCCCCATCAACCCTTTTTTAAATTCTAGATGTTCACCCTGCAAAGCTGTCAGCAAAGGAAGAAATATAAGTAGTTGATCTTCTTGAGAGAAAGAATAATGCCTTTCATGGGGAATTTGTTCCTTGGCTGATGACAGAGCGATATCTGGGGAGGAGAGAGGCTGACAACACCCAGCATTGTTGCTGGGGTATAAACAGAGTTTGAGGAGAACTGTGCATGTGCCAGGAGCCCCGCACACGGCCGACCTCTGTCTTGGAACCTCTTCCCAGGGATGATTTTCCTGCTCAGGGGTCAGATGACACAAACTCATTCCTCCTCTGAAAGAGCAGCCCTCTGCTGAGTGTCAAGGCATCCATTCTTACCCCAAGGGCAGGAAGGCAGGTGACAGAAACAAGCAGGTTTGCTGGACAGAGAGGAAAGGAAAGGGGTAGGAACTGGGGAAAAACCTTGTGCCAAAGACCTATGGCCTAAAGTCCCCCTGCTTCTTTTGGGGTCCCACCTGGAGCTGGAGATTCTCCATTGTGAACTTTCCTGGCACAGGAAAGTTCTTGAGGGAAAATTGAGAGAAATGCTGAGTGAGTTCTCCTCTTTGCTGAGCACAGAATTCTCACCCTCTGTTGTACATGGTGTTTTCCCTGCCCGGTTGAGTCACCGCTCCTGGTCCCCTCCCTGCTACTCCCCAGGTTTTGCTTCTTTGCTCATATGCTCATCCTTTTCTAGATTTCTCTTCATGGAGCCCCCATTGTAGTCTTGAGTGACAACATCACCCTAGTTCACAACACCTTAGCAGGCCTGAGGACTCCTTTTGTACCACTGTGAACACACACACACACACACACACACACACACGCACACCAGTTTCCCACATCCCCTTTCAATTTCATACAGGAAAACTCATGGCTGTGTTGGGGAAATCATTTGCATGGGCCATAGGAGCCACAATGAGGCATCATCTGTCTCTGAGAATACAGAATCTCCATGTCCAGGGAGGTGAGAGACTGCAGGTGCACAGAAGCCGAAGGTTTCAGGATCTGGGAGAGGAATCACAGGAGACCAAGTACAGCAGGACTGGGCAAGAGGACCAAAGCTCTGATGGTAGACTTTGAATGAGAAGGACAAGGTGCAGCCTGATCTTATGGCCTTTGTCCTTTCTGTTGATGTGATGTGTCACATTGATTGATTTCCATATGTTGGACCATCCTTGAATCACTGGGATAAACTGAACTTGGTCATGATGCATGATTTTTTTAATGTGTTGTTGAATTGTGTTTGCTAAGTTTTCCTTGAGGATTTTTGCATCTGTATTCATCAGAGATATTGGCCTGTAGTGTTTTTTATGTTTTTATTTGGTTTTCATTTCAGGGTAATACTGGTCTCATAGAGCAGGTTTGAAAGTACTCCCTCCTTCTCTACCTACTTTTTAATATTTTGAGGAGGATAGATATTGTTTCTTCTTTAAATGTTTGTCACAATTGTGCAATGAAGCCATTGAGTCCTGGGTTTTTTTTCTTTCCTGGAAGACCTTTTATTAATGCTTCAATTTTGTGACTTGTTATTGCCCTGTTCAGGGGTTAGTTTCCTGCTGGGCAACACCAGAGCCAAAGGGGATCTTGGGTCTAGGCTTTGTGCAGCCAGTATTGTGGCCTTTACCCACTTGTGTGTTTGATGGAATGGAAACAGAGGCCCAGTGTGGAGACATGCAATGACTACTGCCCCAAAGAAGGGCACCCTCCAGAAGTGTCTCTGGTCTCAAAGTTGTGACAGGCTATAGCATTTTGGCTAATGGGATGGGTGGTGGGCAAGGAGTACAGATTTTGCTCCGAATCTTGTGCAGTACAGATGCATGAATTCCTTCCAGCTCTCCAAGTTGAGCTCAGGGTTTGCAAGCCCTGTGAATTTATTTTGTAGTAAGGATTGTTGATATGTGTGATTGCAGTAGGGCCTGATGTGCTTCTTCTACTTAACTTTCCTCACCAGGGATAATTCCATGTGAATCTCGAGTATGAAGCTGCAGACACAGGGTGCTTTCACACAGCACTACTGGGCTTCTAATAACCACAGGGACCTCTCCTCTCCCCTGCTATCCTCTACATCTCCCTTTCATCAGCCCAGTCTAGTCTTAGCTGTTTATTCAATTCTGTCATTCTGTCATATGGGATTGACAAATGTCAGGCACATCTATTCAGCTGTCATGCTGATTTTTTTTTTAACTTTTACTTACATATTTATAGCTAACATGGACACTAAAATTGGTAATTCAAATTTATAACAAAATAGATTGAATTATGATTACCTTAGCATCAATAGTGCATACAAATCTGTGTCTCTACAGCTCTATCCATTTTCCCTTACTGTGTTATTACTATATATTAGTATTTTACAAATTATATGTATATTATTCACATGTATAATTAATATTATAGTACTTGATTTTCAAAATAATGGAGGAATGAAACATGAGACTCAGGGCAGAATAAAACGCTATTGGCGCTCACATACACAAATGTAATGACATTTCTGGGACACCTTCCTTGTTGCTGTTGTTCTTTTTAGGTGTAAGATTTTCTGCTCCTCTCCACTCTCCTTTCAGTTCTGTCTGTGGGACTCCATTTAGCATTTCTCATAAGGACTGTCTAGGTTTCATGAACTCCATCAGCGTTTGTTTATTTATATTCACCTTAATTTCTCCTTCACTTTTGAAGGTTTCTTAGAAAGTGTATAATTCTTGATTGACAGTGTATTTCAGCCTTTTGATATGCCACCTCAATGAGTTTTTGTCTTCATGAATTTGGTGAGAAATCAGTTGTTTATTTTATGAAGGTTTTATTATAGGCAACGCTTCTTTCTCAGGTTCTGACACTCAAACATACTTGGTATTTTCAGACATGTGACACTGAGGTCAAGAGATGAATCTCTGGCTAGGTGCGGTGGCTCATGCCTGTAATCCCAGCACTCTGGGAGGCCAAGGCGGGCAGATTACAAGGTCAAGAGATCAAGACCATCCTGGCCAACATGGTGAAATCCCATCTCTACTAAAAATACAAAAATTAGCTGGGCATGGTGGCACACACCTGTAGTCCCAGCTACTCAGGAGGCTGAGGCAGGAGAATCGCTTGAACCCCGGAGGCAGAGGTTGCAGTGAGCTGAGATCACGCCACTGCACTCCAGCCTGGCGACAGAGCAAGACTCCATTTAAAAATAAATAAATAAACAAAAGAGCCTGGGCACAGTGGTTCATGCCTGTAATCCCAGTACTTTGGTAGGCCAAGGCGGGAGGATCACCTGAGGTCAAGAGAGACCATCCTGGCCAGCATGGTGAAACCCCATCTCTAATAAAAGTACAAAAATTAGCTAGGCATGGTGGAACATGCCTGTAATCCCAGCTACTCAGGAGCCTGAGGTGGGAGAATAACTTGAACCAGAGAGGCAGAGGTTGCAGTGAGCTGAGATCATGACACTGCACTCCAGCCTGGGTAACAAGAGTGAAACTCCGCCTCAAAAAAAAAAAGTCTCTAAAAGCATGCATACTAACAATCCACATGCATATAAACATGCTCACAGACTCACACACACTGTCAACACCCTCATATGTAGAGTCACAGGTAATGACCCACACACACACACACGGGGCACACACTCACCAAGTAATGCAAAGAGCACACACACACTCAAATATTCCTGGTCACACTAGCATCAAATCAACTATATTCACTTCTGAAAGGTAAGTAAATCTTGGGACCCTAAGATCACACAGCTGAAGAGAAAAGTCAAGTTAGAAACTACTAGGGCAAACTTGTCTACTACTCTATTCAAAGTCATCCATCTGCTCACAGAGATAAAAGCATATCTGATTGAGTCTTTTGGAAAAGCTAATCAGAAACTCAAAAGAATGCAACCCTTTGTCTCTCACCTACATATGGAAACCCCCTTCAAGTTTTCACACCTTTCTGGAATGAATCAATGTATTTTTTTTCTTAAGACAGAGTCTTGCTCTGTCACCCAGTCTGGAGTGCAGTGGCACGATCTCGGCTCACTGCAATCTCCACCTCCCAGGTTCAAGCAATTCTCCTGCCTCAGCCTCCCAAGTAGCTGGGACTGCAGGCGTGCATCACCACACCCAGCTAATTTCTGTATTTTCAGTAGAGATGGGGTTTCACCATGTTGACCAGGCTGGTGTGGAATTCCTGACATCAAATGATCTGCCCACCTCGGCCTCCCAAAGTGCTGGGATTACAGGCATGAGCCACTGCACCAGGCCAACCAATGTACATCTTACACATATTGTTTGATGTCTCATGTCTTCCTAAAATGTATAAAACCAAGCTGTGTCCTGACCACCTTGGGCTCATGTCATCAGAACCTCCCGAGGCTGTGTCACAGGTGTGTGTCCTTAACTTTGGCAAAACAAACTTCCTAAATTGCCTGACACCTATCTCAGATACTTTGTATTCACCCAGTCAAGTATGCAACTCACACATACTCAGGAAAATTAACATTCATGCAAATTGATAGGCTCAAATATTGAAGAACGCACTCACACACACTCAAAATAGCATACGCTTTTACAAACTAACAGAAACACACAAACAAGTTCTCCCACACACTTGGTCGAAGATATAGTGTAACAATCACAAACTAAGTAACTCATTTTAATATAAAACACAGGCACACACAAGCTCACACCCTCACACACACACATTCACAAACACACAGACACAGTTGTATGCATCATCCCACTTACACACAATGTTCTACAGTGACACACAGACAAACATTGAGACTATTCCATGACCAGGGGCTTGAGACAGTAGCTGTCTCAGTCTCCATGGACATCACACTGTCTCAGAGGCTCAAGGTTTGCTTTCTACTACAGCAGGTAGCCCTGAAATTTCCCTAGATGTTAATGATTGTGTCTTCCCTTCCACCATCTAGATTCTCCTCAGAGATGGCCAGGACTCCAGAGTTCAGGTTCTCACATGTTGTGTGGCTTTTGGGCTAAAACACACCTGAAACACTGAGTGGCTGTTGTCCTTGATCACTTGATCATCATCTGCATTTTGGTTGATGCATTTTTTTACCTCATTTGAATAAAATAAAAGAAATTAATTGACTCTACCTGGGCCAAATGGACTTCTTTCTGTTTCTCTTGGTAGCTGCAAATGTAGCCCCAAATATGACAGGATCCAATAAACACTGCAGCTCTTAAAACACTTTCTTGGTCAGCTGGTCTAACAGCATAAGGACCTCAGGAGAACAATTATATTATGGGTCTAATTCTGTACCCACTGCAGACCAGTTTATTTTTATAGACCAGCAGCTCCAGTCTATCACAACCTATGATTATCCAGATGGAAGGAAACAGTCTTCAAATTTTTATGACAGATGCGGTAAGATAAACTGATATTTCTGTCATTTGTTTTCTAGGCCCAGGTCTTGTAGCTCCTGGCCATGGGGCACTGTGGTGCTCTCTGATTTGGGGCATTTGAAGGATACTGGAAAATAGTATTGTCCTCAAAACTGACTTTCTTTAGAGACTAATTTTTCTACTATGAAACAGTGGCATAAAACATCTGGTATAATACTCATATGGGACTGGAGAGACTGAAGTCAATTCTCCCATTGTTCTCCTGGGTCTCTGTCTGGGCAACTGTGAAAAGACAAAGCACTGCTGGATCCCTGCTCATGTTCTTACGATCACGTCTCCTATCCCTAACAACAGCTACATTCCTTTGTGTCAGATCATAATATGCAGTCTCTCATACTGGGAAATAAGATATCCAGAACTTGGACAGTGGCGTTAGCAGGTTCTCTATGGAAAAAAAAGAAACCACAAAACCTAAAAACATCCCATGTGAAGATAGGAGTCAGTTTCTCATTATAAATTACTACCTATCAAGTTTGGGCTTTATCTAAATTATTCAAATTGTCCCCATATGGCTGGTGGATATCCTTAAAGGGTGTCATTTTTTGTTAGACAAATGTGATATCTATCACTATCAGCTCAGGCACTCGCTGAGAGGTGCTAGGTTAGTCTGGTGGAAGGTATCTGTGCTGAGTCTTCATTGTACATGTTAGGGAAAGTTTTGATATAAAGAGAGAGGAGACTATAACTTGCGTAGCAGTATTAATTAAACTGAAGAAGATAATCATACTATGAGTTCCCCATACTCACTTACCCAGGATAATGGATTTCCCTTTTCTTCAGCTGTTGGCTTACTTACCTTAAATATTACTGCATTTACTTTTATTTACAATGTTTTTTTATCTTAGGTTATTGCCTGATTAAAGTAAGCACAAGTAAAATTTAAAATTAACAATCAATCACCTGTAGAAATAACATAAAATGGGCATGGTGAAATTTAAGGAGAGATGCCAGAATTAAACAAATAAAGAAACACATTGTGTAAGTTAGAGTGGTCAGTGAGGACTGAAATGATGAGAAGCTGGTGCTGAATGATATATGAAGAACGTCAAATATACTTGATATTCAGAATGCTGGTCACAACAGTGAAAAAATCTGTAGAGTGGTCTGCGCAGATAAGAAATTAGAAAGTGATAAAGTCACAAACTTGCAACACCAGGAGACATGCAATATATTCAGTATTCAGCTCTCTCTGTCCTCTAGGAAAAATAGGTTATAACTGCATGGAAAATGAGACAAGTAGTTTTTAAGATAATTCTCGAGAAAAATTGCTAATAAAGTGACTCAGATGATGTTCCGACACAGGATTGTGGAGGGGACGTTGACCTGTGGTGGTCACTGTCAGCTATACGGGATGGTCAACTTGGCGGTCTCCTTTGCCAATTTTTTGTCCACAAGAGAGATTACACTGTCATGTGCTATGTTGCAGATGAGTTTCTTAACCTCACACCATGAGAGGAACATGAGAACAAAGAAGATGAGAAAACTGAAGACCACACTACATCAACTACATTCCACTGATGAGCACTCGTCACACAGAGGCCCAGGGATGAGCAGGGAAGACGAAGGGGCTGGGAAATATCATCCGCAAAGGGACACCCTCCAGCCTGCTTGACCTCCCCATGCACGGAGGGGTGAAATGTTTGTTCTCAGCTAATGGTGGCTATGTCAGGACCTCCACAAGCTTTGAGAAATACAGATTTGTATGAACAAATGCCCATACTTTATTCGGAGGGAATTTTTTACTCATAATTTATTTCCTCTCCTTAGCAAGCACCGCAGAAGGATGTTTCCATGATTCTCCCTAATCCTTCCTCAGTTCCTGGTGCAGTTCCTGGAGGAAAAGCCTGCATCGGGGAGGGAGCCCTCCTCATGTGCAGCCCTGAGGCTGTCCCATCACCTCACCCACCATTGCCCTTCAGTCACTTTTTAAACATTCCAAACTAATTTTCCTGAAATGTGTAGTATTTGGCAGTGTCTTTCCCAGATAAGAAAATACTTAAGTTCTGTTTATCCCTGCAGGCGCATATCCATTTTTGGAGCTCAGGTTGTTTTTGAATGATTAGTAGTGGATAATTAGTGGGAGGAGGTTTGTGTGCATCTTGTCATCTTCCAGAGTGCACCCCAACATGGCATTGACACTGGCAAGCAAGCAGATGGGCTTGCTCAGCTGGAGAATGGCAGACATTATTATAACCTGTGACCCCAATGAGGCTCTCCCTCTACAAGCCCAATCAGGCTCATGCCTCTTGACAACGTGCAGCCAGCACAGGACACCAGTGTCCACCTCAGTGAGGGGCCTTCCAGGTGCCCACCTCCTTCCTAAGGGGGAGCTTTTGTCCCTGCCTGGATCCCATGCATGTGCTTGCATTTGCTGCAAAAAGGGATTCATCCATAAACATGCCCCATGAGCCTACAGTGTAGGTAATCCATCTACAGGGCCTCATACATGACATCTCTCATGGTCAAGGTCTCCACTTCTTATTAAAGAACATTCATTGTAGAATTCACTAGAACTTGCTGGACTTTTAGAGGCATGGATAGGAATACCCTTACCCACTTTCCCTCTAATATCATTCCTAGAAACCCTCTGAAAATACCTCTGGTGCTCCAAGATAATTTATGTTTGTTACACCACGGGATCACCAGGAAAAGAAAGAACCAAAGTGTCCATGTAGGTTCATCATTTGTAACTTGCTGATATGACTCTGGTGCAGGATGCAGATAGTGGAGAAGGCTGTGCCTGTGTTGGATGGGGATTCCTGGGAGCTCTGGTACTTTCTGTTCAAGTTCACTGTTATCCTAAAACCACTCTAAAATAAATTTTATGCAACAACAGTAGCAGAGACATTCTTGGAAGACATTTTGGACATTTTTCAGAATCATACTTAGTCTTACCATGTGATCAAATAATCTTGCTCAAATTATTCATCCATCTAATTTGAAAACTTGTTCACAATAATATATTCATGGGAATGTTTGTATCAGCTTTATTGATATGGTTTGACT
Source organism: Homo sapiens (assembly GCF_000001405.40). NCBI lineage: Eukaryota > Metazoa > Chordata > Mammalia > Primates > Hominidae > Homo > Homo sapiens. The sequence continues at coordinate 188,842 of NW_021160017.1, forward strand.
GTATCCCCACCCAAATCTCATCTTGAGTTTTAATAATTCCCATGTGTCAAGGGTGGGGTCAGGTGGACGTAATTGAATCATGGGGGCGATTTCCCCCATACTGTTCTCGTGGTAGTGAATATGTCTCATGAGATCTGACAGTTTTATAAACAGGAGTTCCCCTGGCACAAGGTGTCTCTTGCCTGCTGCCGTGTAAGACATCAGTTTACTCTTCCTTCATCTTCTTCCATGATTATGAGACCACCTCAGCCATGTGGAACTATGATTCCATTAAACCACTTTTCTTTATAAATTATTTGGTCTCAGGTATGTCTTTATTAGCAGCATGATAATGGACTAATACAGGGCCTTTCCTAATCTTTGAATTTTCTGTATACGGTGACTCTTGAATAAAATATTTATTATAAAATTAGAGTGTGTCCTTGTTTCTATTGATCCTTGTCCTCAGTTACTTGACCCATTTTCTAAACAACTTTAAACCTCATCTTCCCTGTCATCTCCTCTGCAGGAACACAGCTGCCTCCTCCCTGCAATTTCTGACACTCTCAGGATGTGGGTTTTCACATTGTGTCTCTCACACAGTAATACATGGCCGTGTCCTCAGATCTCAGGCTGCTTAGCTCCATGTAGGCTGTGCCCATGGATGTGTCCCTGGTTATGGTGACTCTGCCCTGGAACTTCTGTGCATAGCTTGTGCTGCCATCACTAGGGCACACCAATCCCATCCACTCAAGCCCTTGTGCATGGGCCTGGCACACCCAGTGCATACAGTAGCTGGTGAAGGTGTATCCAGAAGCCTTGCAGGAGATCCTCACTGAGGCCCCAGGCTTCTTCACCTCAGCCCCAGACTGCATCAGCTGTACCTGGGACTGGGCACCTGTGGAGAGGACACAGGAGTGGATAAAACCCCCTTTGACTGGACCCAGTCACCTTAGTCCTGGGGACTGAGAATTATCCTACCTGCAGCTATGACCACCAAAAACAGGATCCTCCAAGTCCAGCCCATGGTGAGGAGCTGTGCTCTCAGGGGCTTCTCTAGAGGACGTGTGTGGTTATTGGGTGATGCTCTCAGGGCGCAGACATATCTGTAGTGTTCACCTCAGGTGATTTGCATATTCACAAGAACTACTACTTCATAGCCTTACACTTGATCCAGCATGAGAAAGAGAAAATAGATCTCACATGAGCCACACAACTGTGGGATGCTGAGGTGCAAGTCCTCATTCTTATTTAATGTCGTGTTTCCCTTTATATGCCCAGAACTTTGTGAAGGGAGAACTTCTCCACTAAGAAGGTGACTCACACAGGACATAGCACATGGACAGCCTCCACTCTTTCTAGGTTTTGCTGTCTGCAGTCTTACTCTTGGGATCTATGTGTCTTCTGAAATGTGTACATTTTGATTTAATAAAATCATCCCTGTTCTTCATCTTTTTACTAGGAAAATATCTCAAACCTGTAATAATTTTGCCTTTTAAATGTGGTTCTCACTGAATTGTTGATTTATTTATTTCTAAATGTATAGAGATAATAGAAATAGTCTTTGCAAAATTCTAATTTTAACATGTTATAATTTTTTGATTTTCAATAAAACAACACTCAGTTCTCAGAGAAATCCCCTCTGCAGCCTCATGTGCACCAGCTCTGGGGCTGGAGCCTGCTCTGGGTGGGTCCTGGGTGCCCCCTGCAGCACTGCCTCTGCCCTGCATGGAGGTTTCCATCTGGGCTCACAGAGGATTTATCTCTCAGTGTTTCTAGGGCTATAGGAAGAGGTCATGCCCTAGTTTAAAATGCTCCTTCAGTGACACCATATGTTACTGACACCATCTTTTGAAAACATTGACCTTAGGAGACCCAGTGAACTCTAAGAAACCATCAGGGAGCCCCTCCCTGGAGCTCAGGATGCATTTAATCAGTGGACACATTGTAAGCACAAAAATTTTGAAGGGTTTTCGGGGATGCTTTATCTTGTTTGGTCTCCTGCAATTGAATATTACATCTAAGAATACCTGTAGGTATATATACTTGTGGATGAATGCCCACTCCATGTCTTCTTTTTCAATAACACACACACACACACACACACACACACACACACACATACAAACACACACAGAACTAGTTGATTTTTACAACAGTGGGCCTCTAACTTGCCATTTTTTCTAGTATCTTGCAAATGGGGAGCACCCCCTACATGGATACTAGACCTGAGTATATGACTTCCTTCTCCAAACAGAAGTAAGGAAAACAGTACAGAATTGGAGACGTAGCAAGTGTACATTCATCATGTTTGCATATTGTCACCTGAGAATACTGCAATTTCCCTAAGAGAAGTGACTCTGTGTCCACCAAGGGTTGAGTGACCCCGTTCATCAAGCTGTTGGTGTCAGAAGCTTCCAGTTGCTCTACTGTCCTTGAATTTTTTCTCCCATTGTCTTTACATTTCCCTATATAGAGTCTCTGCATTGCCACACTCATCTTCAATATAGATTAATTATGCTGATGAGAAGGTAATGTGTGAGGATTGTATTTTTTTTCTTTTCTTACAACTATAGGCTTTTTCATTCAGTTAAGAGGTAAACAGATTAACATTGGAGACTATTCCATTTAACTAGCCCAAGTTCCTATTCCACTTTATATATCCCTCCCACACTGCCATACATCTTGAAGAAATGACTGCCAAAAGACTTTGCTTCTAACTTCTTAGCAATAACCTTCAATGAATTGCTTTCAAATAAGTTATTCCTAACTTAAAATTTTATTGTGTTCAAAGAAACTCGTCCCTCTAAGAGGCTTCCACATATGCCAATAGAACGTTCCACCACTGACAGGAGGGCAGAGTACCAATTATTCTAATTACAGGAGCTACTCCAAGGAAAGCTTCAGTGATATTTGCGTTGTCAGATTCAGTGCTTGTTAGGGCAGAAGATGGTGAGACTAACAATGCAGAGCACACTCTGTCAAATGACTGCATGTTTGGCTGTTTTAAAAAAATCTTTGGTTATCTTTAGAGACAACATTTTAAACATAATGGAATTGAAGCCTGATACAAAATGTATAGAAACATGCACAGGAATAGACAGCCAAGAAGCAAAGTGGAACTCAGTGGAAACCTGGCTACATTACATAGCTCGTTTTGAACCTAACCATATTTATCACCAAACAACTGTAGCACAATAACACTTTCCTTCTCTGGCTCCCAAATTTAAGTAGACTCGTGTCAGCCTTCCCTAACACTGTAATCATTCTTTGAGAGGGCCGGAATATGTAAGGTAGTCCCAAACATTGACAAAAATGTTAATGTCAAACAGCTTCACACTGTGAGGATGACATACTTGAAGACAGCCAAGATGGCAGCACTGACAATTCCAGAAATAAAGACTGTGACAAACCAGGCTATACAATATCACGAAAGAGTCAAGTCAACAACTTTCTTGGATTAAAGCCAGGTACAAAGGAGCCCATGTTACAACGTGTTGTACTGATGGGGAGGCCGATATTTGATGCAATCACCATAGTGAGGGGGCAGGAGCCAGTCCAGTACCGAAGGCACGAGAGGGTGTTACAGTGTCAGATTCTTCCCCATGGCCTGAATCACTCTCCTCCAAACCCACAGACTAATGCAGATTCCAACACCACCAGAGAGCAGAAGCCATACTGGCATCACCACTCTTGAGGAAACATTTCCCATGTTATAAACCAGATACAAAGCCACGAGAGAATTTATTACATTGCTGATGTCATTACCACCATAGGGTAATGACCTCAATCAGGCAATAAGAAGTTGCAGGAACTGGAAGAGGAGAGATAGTTCAAGCTTATCTTGGCCATACAATTCTTCTCAAGAACCACTACTTCCTTTTCTCTCGCCTAGACCCATCTCCACCTTGATACTCATGATTATCTTCGATCCTGAGAAGGTCAGAGACAGCATTGTAGTAACCAGTGTAACTGTCCATTCAAAATTACTTCTTGGGGACTGCATTGGACCATGTAAGATTCTCCATTTCCTTACCCTTCTGAGGAACTTCTTTGGCATGAAATGAGTCTAGAAGTGTGCCACATATTGTCATGATATAGGAAAAACAGCTATTATTGCACCGTAAGTGTTTGCCACCAAATCTCCCATGCCGTCTTCCACTATGGCAATGTGCAACTTATAGAGAAGCTCTTGTACCAGAACCTTTAGGCATGGGGTAATATGCATAGTGGCCACTAAAGCCACCTGGCTGTTGATGGCTTGATTGAACTGGACCAAGTTTCTTAGAATTTCATCTCAGTGATTTTGTTATCTTCTGTTTCTTGGCTGTGACCTTTACAAGGAGTTTCCTCTAATAAAGCTGATATTTGTCTATTATGTCCTTCCCTGTCTGCAGCATCTCAGGACTATTTTTGCTCAATCTTACCCTACTGGCACATCCTTTTGTTCAATCTTACCATACTGGCAATCACTTGCCTAATAAAGGAAGGCTGGGAAGAGGGTTCTACAATGGCAGTGAAGTACCTTTCACCATGTAGATAAATTATTATAAATGTTCTTCCCGTGGGTGGTCTATCTGGAGAAGGTTCTGGGTAAAGGTGTTAGAGATTAGGTCTCTCAATGACTGACCCAACTCACAAGGAATTTATGTGAATTCTAAATTAAAAATGTGGAGGTTCATGGAGCAAATGAGGGGCACCCAGAATATCTCATCCTAATAATAGTACAAACCTGTCCTTTAAGTTATTTTAGTTTAGATTTATATATAACAAATCAAACAGCCAGGGTCATTTAAATAGTAACATGCTCAAACATATTAGGGCAACAGCTGAATATAATAATCAAATTGAAATCAAGCAAATCTGGGAGCAAACTAATGTTTTTCATAGTTCAGAACAGCTTTATTAACTCAATTAACTTGTAATCCCAGGAGTCTGGGAGGCCAACTTGGGCAGATCACCTGAGGTCAGGAGTTTGACACCAGCCTGACCAACATGGCAAAACACCGTCTCTACTAAAAAATACAAAAATTAACTGGGTGCCGTGGCATGCACCTGTAATCCCAGCTACTTGGGAGGCTAGGGTGGAGAATTGCTTGAACACAGGAGGTGGATATTGCAGAGCCAAGACCGCACCACTGCACTCCAGCCTGGGAGACAGAGCGAGACTCCATCTAAGAAATAAAAAATTTAAAAAAATTAATAAAAATGCTTCCAACACTGACCTTAATCCTGGTTATATTTGCGGTTGTTGTTGTTTGTTGTTGTTGTTTTGTTTTTTCAAACAGAGCTAAAGCAAGCTCAGTACTCCTGGAGATTTGGAAAGTGTCTTCACCTTGTTTTTGCCCGTTCTCACCTGGGAACCCTGTGGATGCCCCATGAGAGGTAAATCTAAGGCCATTGACAGAGGGGCCATGGCCTTGGTCCTGAAGCTGTTGGTCTCAGAAGCTTTAAACCGCTTCACTGTCCTTAACTTATCCTCTCCCTCTGCCTTTGGTTTTCCTAAGTTCTAGTCCTTGGACAGAGTCTGTGCATTGCCACACTTTTCTCTTTAATCCAGATTGATCATACTGGTGAAGAGGTAATGTCATGGGCAGGGGAGCAGTATATGTACTGGAAATTGAATTTCAATGTTTTCTTGATGTTTTTTCTCTAGACTGTGCCCTTTACAAGGAGTCTCTAGTGGTACAGCTGATTTTCCTCCATCATTCTACTCCCCCCTCCTGGCTGCAGCATCCACATATTATTGTCTTGAACTTGACCCCCAGTTGTTTTATTAATTTTGCCCCTTTTTATGACACAGGAAGACTAAGATGAAACTGCCTGGGATGGAAAAGAATACCTTCCCCTCACATAGAATAGAGATCTTGAAAAGCATTTTTTCTTTATAGGATCTGTCTGGAGGAAGTTCTGAGCATATTTATCAGAGAATAGCTCTCCTGATGACAGAGCCATGAGGGAATGTTTGGATTATCATCCTGAGAACCCAGAAGTTTCTGGAGGGAAATTCCATCAAAGTGTGGGGTGTGCAGCCCCCAGGAGTTCTTACCCTATCCCTGTCCACACCTGTCCACCAGAAATTTACTGAATTACCATGTAACTGTTCCCACCAGCTTGCACTTTCAACGGAAGAGTCACACAATTTATAAATTTAGAAAGGAGATTTTACTTCCGATAAATGATTGAAGCTGCAGGACAGCCATCTTAACAGGCTGGGAAGCAAAGCCTCCCACAGAGACAGTGAGCAGGCACTTCAAGAGAGGGAAAGAGGATAAATGAATTCATGCAAATGGATAAGCCAAGTGTACACATTCAGCAGACTATAGGAGGATCTATTGATATTCACATAGTGGGCAGGCTCTCATGTCTAATAAGCAAACACACGTTACATGCACTTAGTGTTTGCTTTGGGGGTGAGGACTTAAGAACTAAATGAATGAAAATTGGGCCCTGTTCATCAAAAGGGCTTTGTGCAGGGGCTGAAAGATACACACTGCACAGTCTCTGTAAATTGCCAAGACAAGTTCATGGTCAGTGGTCTCTTCTCAGAAGACAGTTACTGAAATCTGTCTCTTGTCCAATCAAAGCTCTATTTATGGCTTGTGGAACAGGGTCACAGTTACCACATGTTTGGAGTTCCATGAGCTGCAAATGTTTTAATATGCTTACCTCAGAACCAGTGCTTGTTTAGGTGCTACAGAAAACAAAAAAGCCCTGTGGAAGTTACAATATAGTCATTTTTTTAAGTGTAGGGGTGAGTGACTTAATCCATGACTTTAGGCCTTGTTTATAATTTGGTATCTTATTGCCACAGAACTTTGATCCATCAGTCTGATTATCTCTATTTTAATGTCTTTCTAGTTTTGGGGGTCCTGGTTTTCCCTGCAATTTCATTTCTTCAACAGATTCAAGAAATTATTGATAATCAATTTTCCAGGCTTTTATTATTGTAAGAAAGTGGGTGATGTTTGACATGCTTTTTACATATTGAAGCAGAAACCAGAAGCAGCTTCAGAGATCACCAGTGACCTGACACAAGCAGCAGGAATCTCATCTCATTAAGTGTAAGTGGCACCACACAGATATAGCTGAACATGCAGGGACACAGAAGACCCATTCCACAGGACACCCCCCAAAATTACAGTGAATCTAATGGAATTATAGAAAAACATACATGATGTGCATCATGACCAAGGTCTCCACTTCTCATCAAAGGACATTCCTTATGGGATTCACCAGAACTTGCTTTCTTTCCATAGACATGGATATACTGCTAAACACTTAGGGACCTTACCCTCTGGGAAGGGACATAGTAAATCAGGAGTCACAGAATGTATAGGAAAATATCCGTTTTATGAATCCTCTAAAAAACAGCCCAAATATGAATAGCCCCACCCACTTTTCCTCTGAACTGGCATCATTCCCAGGAACCCACTTGTAGTGTTATACCCAAACGAGTTAGAGAAAATGCAACACTTTGAGACGAATTAAGAGTCCTTTATTTAAGCTGGCAGCCAAAGAGACAGCTAACGCTCAGAATTCTCTCGGCCCTGAGGAAGGGGCTTGATTAACTTTTATATCTTGGTTTAGGAAGGGGAGGGGAACTCAAATACAATAATTCTATAGAAGTAAAAACATGCAAGAATCAAAAGAAGCAAATGGTTACAGAGTGATAAACAATTTAAAAGACAAATGGTTACAAAAAGCAACAGTACCAGGTGCAGGGCTCTAAATCCTTGATTTGAGTTATATATAGATGCTATGCTGGGCACGAACTCAAGGCTTTATGTTGTTATCTCTTTGAGAAAAATCCTGGTAACTTCATACATTGTTTGTTCCAGTACCTTATCAGTTAATTGGGCTCCTTTGAAATGCTGAGGATCTGTTTACATAGGTTAACTCCTTGAAGAAGGGGGTTGGATAAGGAGCCTTAATGTCTTGTAAATCAAAAGATCAAATGGAGTTTGTCCGGCTTTCCCAGCCAGGGAGAGTCTATTCATATGGGAAACGTGGCTGGCAATTAAGGAGACAAAAGAAGGGAAAACTTAAAGTAGCAAGCTAGAGTAAAAAACAAGGTTAGGCATTACAGCAGAACCTATGGTGCTTCAAGATAATTTGGGCTTGGTATGCCAAGAGACCACCAGAAGAGGAAAGAACAAATCTGCCCATGTAAGTTCATCCATTGTAACTTATTGATGACTCTGGGGCAGGATGGTGACAGTGGGGAAGGCTGTGCATGGTGAAGCAGGGGCACATGAGAACTCTCTGCACCTTCTGTTCAATTTTGCTGTGGTCTTAAAACTACTTTTTAATACATTTTATGTAAAAGGAGTGGCAGAGACAATTTGGAGTGCATTTTGGCCAGTTTTTAGGAATCATATTTAGTCTTAGCCATGTTACCAGCAATCTTGTTCCAAATTATTTATCTATCTGATTTTAAAACCTATGTCTGCACAAGGCCTCCATGGGATTCTTTGCATCAGCCTCACTGATTGCTGTCTTTACCACTCTGAATTTTGCATATAGGGTGACAGCTGAAAGAAACATTTCCTATATAGAGTGCATCCATGTTTCTATTACATTCCTCAGTTGCTCAGCTCATTTTCTAAACAACTTTAAACATTGTAAGCCCTGTAATCTCCTCAAATTCACTGCAGCTGCCTCCTCCCTGGGGTTTCTGACACCCTCAGGATGTGGGTTTTCACACTGTGTCTCTCGCACAGTAATACACGGCCATGTCGTCAGATCTCAGGCTGCTCAGCTCCATGTAGGCTGTGCTCGTGGATGTGTCTCTGGTCATGGTGACTCTGCCCTGGAGCTTCTGTGGGTAGTTTGTGTTACCATTGTAAGTGTTGATCCATCCCATCCACTCAAGCCCTTGTTCAGGGGCCTGTCACACCCAGTGCATATAGTAGCTGGTAAAGGTGTAACCAGAAGCCTTGCAGGAGACCTTCACTGAGGCTCTAGGCTTCTTCACCTCAGCTCCAGACTGCACCAGCTGCACCTGGGAGTGGGCACCTGTGGAGAAGACACAGGAGTGGGTGAAGTCTCACATGACTGGCCTGGTTTCTCCCTCAGCCCTGGGACTGGGGAGTCCCTTACCTGTTGCTGCTGCCACCAAGAAAAGGATGCTCCAGGTCCAGTCCATGGTGAGGAGCTGTGATCTAGGGGATTCTCCCAAGGAGGGGTGTGGTTGTTGTGTGATGCTCTCAGGGCACAGAGATATCTATATTCACCTCAGTTATTTGCATATTCATGAAGGATGCTATTTAATAGCCCAATTCCTGCCCCAGGATGAGAAAGAGCAAATACATGACACATGGACGACACAATTGTAGAAGCTGAGGGTTCAAGCCGTAATCCTGTTAGAGGCGATGCGACCCCTACACATCCCTGAACTCTGTGTTGACAGAGCTTCCCCCACTGGAGAACAAGCTCCCCCAGGACACGCACCTCACTTTGAACCCACATTTGACTGTCTCATGGGCAACTTGAATCATTTCTAGACCTTAATATGTGAATGTGCTATTTTGGGAATGAGTGTGTTTCTCCAAAAATTGCACTTATTTATAAGAAAGGATCTCCTCCAGACCTCCAGCTGCTTACTATTAAGATGTCTAGGGGAGTTTGAAATCCTCATTGTAAAAGTGGTTCTCATTACAACATCGAGTTTCATAAATGCTGACAATTAAATAGGGTATTTATGTGAACATCAGCAGTCTTTCTGAAATACTTATTTTAGATTTTTTAAAGGAAGTCCCAGGCCCTAAGAGGAACCTCTCCCCAGCCTCCTGCGCTCCTGCTCTGGGGCGGAAGCCTGTGCTCGGTGTGTCCTGAGCGCCCCCTGCAGCCCCGCCCCGCCCCTGCAGGGAGGTTCCTGTCTGAGCTCACAGAGTATATTCCTACCAGTGTCTCCAGCCAAGTATAAAGTGGCTGTGCCCTGGCTCAGAATTCTCCTTTAGTGACAGCCTGTGCTTCTCACACCATTTTTTGAAATAGTGAATTGGCCTTAGGAAACCCAGAGAACTTTGCAGAGAGACCCCAAGTAAGATCTCATGCATCACCAGGGAGACCTTTCCTGGAGCTCAAGAGGCACTGAATCATTGGACACACGGTGAATCCAAAAAGTCTTCAGGGGTTTGGGGGGGCTCTTATTTCCTTTAGGGTCCTGAAGTTGATTATTGCACCTGAGAACACTGGCAGGTGCAGGTTGATAGAAGCCCACTCCAACTCTACTATTCAACTCACACGCGCGCACACACACACACACACACACAATGGCTAATTTTCACATTAATGGGCCCTATGTTTACCCTATTTTTCTGGTATCCGTGTTAAGGAAAGCACTCCCTACACTGGCACTAAGGCTGCATATGTGTCTACTTTCTGCAAATAGAAGTAAAGATATCAGAATGCAAGTGGACACTTCGGAAGTACATGCGCATTGAATTAATTTTTTTCACTTTGGAACCATGCAGATGCCACAGGAAAAGTAAATTTGAGGCCAATGAGGGTGAAATCATTTCCTTTGTGCTGAAGTTCCTGGTATCAGAGGCTTCGAATTCTTCTATTTTCCTTAACATATTTCTCCTATTTCCTCCTCAGAGTTTGTGCATTGCCACACTCTCGTATTTAATCCATGTTGACTAAACTGGTGAGACGTAATGTGTGGAACACGGAAGCATTACATGTTCTTACAGTTGAATCTTAATGCTGTGGTGGTCTTCTTCCTCTGGGCTGTGCCCTATACAGGAAGTCTCCAGAGGTGAAGCTGATTTTTGCTCTTTTCTGGCTGGAACATCACAGGAAATTTTCCTTAAATTTACATCTATTGGCTAATTTTACCCATTTTCATGATAAAGGAAGGCTGCTAGTATGGGCTTGTAATGGGGATGGATTACCTTTCCCCACATAGATGAGGATCTAAAAATGCCTTTCCCATGGTTTGTGGGTCTGAAGAAAGTCTGGGTGTATTTATTAGAGATTTGGTTTCCTGGAAATAGAGCCATGAAGGGATCTATGTGGATTCTCACCCTGAGAACTTGGAGGTTCCTGGAGGAAAGGGCGATAAGAGTATGGGGGTGGGGTTCCCAAGATCTCTCACCCTCATGCTAGTCCAGACATGCCTTTTATGTTTATTTAGTTCAGATTTTCATATAACAAACCACACAGCCAGGCTCATTTAAATTCCCCATACTCAGTCCATATTGGAGCAGGAGCTGAGTATAATAATTACGTTGAACTCAGACAAACCTGGGCCAAATCCAATTTTTCCTATAGCTCAGAGCAGCTTTCCTGACTCACTTAATTTGGAGATTATTTCTTCCCTGAAAGAACTGTAAGGGTTGCTGTGGAGCCTCTGTGGGTTTGGAATTTTTTGCATCAGCCTATCCTGTAGGGTATTCTGTACAATGTAGACCTTTATACTTAGATGGTAATTATTCCTAATGGCATGGAAATAGCTGGCAGCCCTCAATCCTGTTTCTTTCTTCTGTTCACCTGAATGTTTACAAGAATCCCATGAACCTCAGGACTCCCCTTCATGGATGACTCTGAAGATTGTAGACTCAGTGCTACAGACAGAGAGAGCTAAGGGAGGATACTCAGTTCACTGATATGTTTGGCCAGCAACATAGGATACATCCAAGAATGAATCACTTTTGTCAATGCCAATAAATAATAAATTCAAGAGTCATGACTTTCAGTATATCAGAGTTAAAATTTTCATGATTCTTGACAATGAGGCTCAAACTTGATGGTTTGCAGAAGAAATGAGCTCATCATTGTTAGAAAGAAGCCTTTTCCTAGGAAGCCAGTCTTTTAAACTAAAGTGCCAGAGAGTTTAGTTTCACAATAGATAAATTGTGAAAATTTATCTATTGGAGAAAAATAAAATCAGGAAAACTGGTCTCAAATAATTGAAAGAAAGCTTATAAGAAATTTTTATTAACACAGCCATGAAACTCCAGTTAGTCAAATTTTTTGGTTCATTTGTTACAACTCAAGAAGCAATTCAGAAGTCTACACAATTGGAAGCCTACTCCAACAGAGATAATTTTTCCTGATGTGAAAAACAGACCAGTATTTATAAAGAAAGAGTTCCCCATGAGATCTACAACTTACACAGATTTCTGTAACCTGAAGAAGTTTTGCTAAAAGGATTATCCTCTAGATATCTATGTATGCAAAAATATATTGCATATATTTGTATAAGATTAATCTGTACCAGCCCTTGGCACATTAAACAAACTTCATGTAGACATGATAACTTTATCACTTACTGTGCACTCACACTTTACTGGTTTCAGAAGTTCATCACCCTTGTGAGGCAGCAATAAGTTCCTTTGAGAATATGCTGTTGCTTCAAGTGAACATGTTCTAGATCCTCACTTGACTTCATCATTTCATATTGAGTGTAGGTGGGTCTATGACTGAAAACCCAACATTTTTATGCAACAGATTCTCCTCTTATGAGATCATCCTGAAACCTGCCAACAGCCTCCATCATGTATGCTTCCAATGTTTTGCTTTTAGGAAATAAGAGGTAAATTCATAATCCATCCAAGCTTTAAGGTGAGAATCCTTCCTGGCCTTCCATCATATTTAGTAGAAACTCTCATTGAGAGCCATAAGCAAATGCTGTTTATGGATCATAACTCAAAACCAAAACTGTTTTTCATAATGGCTATACCATTCTACATTTCCACAATTATGGAAAGCAACATAAAGCCTCCTAAATGAATTAAAACTGGAGATTTTATATGACCAGAAATCCTGTTTCTGGGAGCATACCCAAGTAGATGAAATTACCACCTTGTAAAGATATCTGCATCCTATGTTTATTGAAACACTATTAATAACAGCCAAGATATGGAAACTATCTGATGGTCAGCACATAGACAAATGAATAAAGACAATGTGGTATGTGTATACAATATAATACGGTTTAATGTTATAAAAGAAAGATGCTGCCATTTGCCACAACGGATCAATTTCCATAGCTACTAACAGTGCACACCATCCACTATAGCACTCCCTAGGGGATGGCAGATCCTTATTCAGTAGTAACCACTGGCTGTGGTGGGAAGGCAATTTTACGTACTGTTGAATTTTTCAGCATAAGACATCGATGTCTTAAAATATTCTGCGGTGTCTGCATGTGATAAAGTGGAGTCTAATATTGGAGGCAAAATTAAAAGTGCATGAGTCTTCTAGACACCAAGTCATAGAATGATCCTGGCTGTGTCCTTGAGGGAGTGGACCATATGTAATAGCATTTGGATTGGGGATTGGTGCATTTCCAGTTGTACGAATAAAGTTGTATTATATTAGGTGTAATTATGACTTTATTATTGTCTTTATTTGAAGATTATATATAATCTCAGGAGATGTGTATGGTTTCAAGTTGACAGGGTGGACTCGTAATGCTAAATACTGATTAGCATTGATTAGATTGCAGGGTGCAAAGTATTGATCCCGGGTGGGTCTGTGAGGGTGTTGCCAAAAGAGATTAACCTTTGAGCCAGTGGGCTGAAAAAGGGAGACACACTCTTAATCTGGGTGGTGCAATCTAATTAGCTGCCAGTGTGGCCAGAGGAAAAAAAAAAAAAGAAAAACAGAAGAACATGAAAAGATTAGACTGGCTAAGTTCTTCAGCTTTGGGACTCGGACTGCCTTCCATGCTCCTCAGCTTGCAGATGGCCTATTGTGGGACCTTGTGATCATATGAGTTAATACTCCTTAATAAACTCCGTGTGTGTGTGTGTGTGTGTGTGTGTGTGTGTGTATCGTGTGTGTATATATATCCTGTTTGTTCTGCCCCTCTAGGGAACCCTGACTAATACAATCTTACTTGAAAAGAAATTTTTTTAAAAATAGGTGATTAGGAATTCCAGGATGGAATGCAGATAATATAGAAAATGTCTAATTCCATTACAAATGTATGAATTCAAAAGAGGTACTAAGTAGATTCAGAAATGGTGTAGGCAATAAGATTAAAGAAAAAAGAAACTGCACATCAGCATTGTACCCCAATTGATGATGTTCCACAAAAGAGCACAACTTACACATCTGGTTACACTCCACAGGAATCTTGGAATTGGACTACAAAGAGAATGGACGGTGTGTGGGGAAATGGGGTTCCTCATGGTTGGAGTGCAAGGTTAGTGACAGGCATAGAAGGAATGTGATAAACATTCATGTGGTATTAACTTAGAGTGGACATGTCATTTTATTTGCAAGTTTAGCATAATATAGGTACATATATTAGATAAAAATAGTTTAGATGTGTGTGCATATATGGGTTAATACACAACACACACTTCCTAGATTTTTTTACCTGAGAATTTCTACAAGAAATGAGTGCACATTAACAAAAAATACACCCAGAATCAAGATTTGAGTTTTTAATACTATTCTTCTATAAAAGAAACCAGTGACAGGGGGCAGTGGCTAACACCTGTAATTCCAGCAATTTAGGAGGCTGAGGTGGGCAGATCATTTGAGGTCAGGAGTTTGAGACCGGCCTGGCCCACATAGCGAAACCCCGTCTCTACTAAAAATACAAAAAGTAGCCAGGCATAGTGGCGCATGCCTGTAATCCCAGCTACTTGGGAGGCTGAGACAGGAGAATCGCTTGAACCCAGGAGGTGGAGGTTGCAGTGAGCCTGGACCCTGTCTCAAAAAAAAAAAAAAAAAAAAAAGGAACCAGCATGTCTTTGAGAAATGGCTAATGCTAGGGCTTTGGAAGAGAATATAGGGATTAGTCTACAATTTCTAATCGTACCAGAAAATGAGAAAGGGTCTCAAAACAGATAATTGCTCCTTTTGCATTTTTCTTGTTTGTTGATAAATCTAGCTAACAGTGTAACAGTTCTGTTCATGTTTTATTTCTGTTTTTTTTCCGTAGAATCAGGGTGTACATGTGCAATTTTGTAACATGAATATATTTCATAAAGGTGAGGTTTGGGCTTCTGGTGTAACTATCGCCCACTAGTGAACATTGGAGCCAGTAGGTGATTTTTTAACCCTCACATTCCTCTCACCTTGCCCTCTTTTGCAGTTCCCAGTGCCTATTGTTTTTTATCTATGTATATGTGTACCCATTATTTACTTTCCGATTATAAAAGAGAAGATCTTTTTGAGTTATTTTATTTAGGCTAATGTCCTACAACTCTTCATGTTGCTGTGAAAGACACAATTTCAATTTTTATGGCTGCATAGTATTCCACAATTTACATCTATCATATTTTATCTATCTAATCATCCACTGATTGGCACTTAGATTACTTGACTTTTCTATTGAAAATAGTGTTGCAGTAAATATAGGAATGCAGGTGACTTTTTCTGATGTAAAATTTCCTTTTGGGAGGAATATACCCACTGGGAGGGATTACTGGGTCAAATGGTAATTCTAATATTAGTTCTTTGAGAAACTTCTGTATTGTTTTTCATAGAGGTTGTACTAATTTATATTTTCACCAAGCATATAAAAAGCATTATTTTTCCTATGCTTCTCTGCAAACACCTGCTGTTTTTTATTTGTAATAACAGCCATTGTGACTGGTGGAAGATGCTATATCATGTTGTTTGTAATTTACATTTATCAGATGATTGGTGATGCTGAGTATGTTTTCTTATTTGTTTTGGCCATGTCTGTGTCTTCTTTTGAGAAATGTCTGGTTTTTGCTCACTCTTTAATGAAATTGTTATTTCTTGTTGACTGATTTGAGTTCCTTGTAGATTCTATGTATTAGCCCTTTGATGAATAGATTGCAAATTTTTTTTTTTACTGTTCACAGGTTGTCTTTTCACTATGTTGGTTATTTCTTTTGCTGTGCAGACAATCTTTGTTTCAATTAATCCTGTTTGTCTAATTTTGTTTTCATTGCATTTGCTTTTGAAGTCAGTCTTAGTCATATTTTATTTGCTTAGGCGAATGTCTAGAGGATTTTTTTTAGATTTTCTTCAAGCATTTTTATGAGTTTATAAATTTAAACATTGAATCCAATTCAGTTAATTTGTGTCTGTGATGATATAGAAGTCTCATTTTATTCGTCTACATAAGGCTATCCAATTCTCCCAGCACTACTTATTGAACAGAGAGTTGTTTCTCCAGTGTATATTTTTGTCAGTTTTGTCAAAGAACTGTTGGTTGTAGATATTTGGCTATATGTCTGGGCTCTTGATTTTTTTCTACCACTACCATGCTGCCTTTCTTATTATATTTGTGTTGTGTAGTTTGAAGTCAGGGAATGTGGTACTTCCAGCTTTGTTCTTTTTGCTTAAGATTGCTTTTGCTATTCAGACTCTTTTTTGGTTCTATATGAATTTTAGGATTTTTAAAAATATGTAATCAATTATATTAGTTACTTGATATAAATTGCATGGACTCTGTATATTGCTTTGAGCAGTGTATTAGTCTATTTTACATTGGTATAGATTAATACCTGAGGCCAAGTGATTTACAAAGACAAGAGGATTATTTGGCTTACAGATCTGCAGGTTGTGTGAGAAGCATGGCACCAGCATCCGCTTCTTGTGAGGGCCTCAGGAAGCTTACAGTCATGGTGGAATGCAAAGGGGGAGGAGGCTGTGTCATATGGTGAGGAGGGGGGACATGAGAGGGTAGGAGGGTTGCCAGACTCTTTTGAACAATCAAATCTCACAGTAGCTAATACAGCAAGAATTCACTAATTACCATGGGGTGGATGCCAACCCAGTCCTGAAAAATCTCCTCATGACCCAAAACCATCCAGTTGGCCCCACCTCCAACATTGTGGGTCACATTTCACCATGACATTTGGAGGGTAAAACCCTTAAATGATATCATTGCACTCTCGGACCCAAAGTTCTCATATTCTTCTTACATTGCAAAATATAATCACCTTTTTTTCAATAGTTCCCAAAATGTTAACTTGATCAACCTCCAACTCAAATGTCCAAAGTCTCATCTGAGTCTTAAGGCAATTTCCCTCCAGCTGTGAGCTTGCAAGTTTAAAAAATGAAAGTTGTTTACTTCCAAGGTGCAATGATGGTGCAGGCATTGGGTAAATAATTCCAACCCCAAAGGGATAAATTGGCCAGAGGAACAACCAACAGGCCCCACATGCATATAAAACCCAGCACTGCAGATATTAAATCCTAATGCTACAAAATAATCTCTCTTGACTTTATGTACTTCAACCAGGGCACACTGGAACAAGGATTGGGTCCCCAAAACCGCAGGCAGACAATCCCTATAGTTTGCTAGGCACAGACCATGGGGCTGCCTTCACAAGTGAGAGTCAAGTGCTGGAAGCTTTTCTAGGCTGAGGGTGCAAGTTGCCCATGGCCCTACCATTCTGGGGTCTTGAGGGTTGTGGTCACATTCCCACAACTTTACTATGAAGCACCCTAGTGGGGACTCTGAATGGGGGCTCCAACTCCATCTCTCCCCATCTTTGGTGCTGCCCTAGTAGAGGCTGTCAGTGGTGGCTCCACTCCTGCACCAGGCTTCTTCCTGGGCATGCAGGGCTCTCTACACATCTGAAATCTAGGTAGAAGTTGCACAGGCTCCTTCACTCTTGCATTCTGCATATCTGCCAGAATCCAGTTATCCCAGCACCATTTACTGAATACAGAGTTTTTTCCCCATTGCTTGTTTTTGTCAGCCTTGTCAAAGATCAACTGGTTGCAGGTGTGCAACTTTATTTCTGTTTTCTATTTTGATCTATTTTTTTTGCGTGTCTGCTCTCATACCAGTGCCAAGATGTGTTTGTTAGCAAGACTTTATGGTGTAGTTTAAGGTCAGTATCATGATGCCTCTAGCATTGTTCTTTATGCTTAGGATTGCTTTGACTATTCAGGGTCTTTTTTGGTTCCATATAAATTTTAGAATGTTTTTTTTTCTAATTCTGTGAATAATGATGATGATAGTTTTATGTAAATAGCATTGAATCTGTGAATTCCTTTGGGCAGTATGACAATTTTTACAATATTGGTTCTTCCAATCCATGAGCATGAAATGTTTTCCCATTTATTTTTGTCATTTATGATTTATTTCTGCTGTGTTTTGTAGTTCTCTTTGTAGGGATTTTTCACCTTGTTTGTTATCTGTGTTCCCAGGCATTTCATTTTCTTTGTGGATATTGTAAGTTGGAAAGGATTGTGTTCTTGATTATACTCTCAGCTTGGATGTGGTTGGGGTATAGAAATGCTGGTAATTTTTGTCTATCGATTTTGTATCCTAACACTTTACTAACGTTATTTATTCTACAATTATTTTGGCAGAGTTTTTAGGATTTTCTAGCTATAAAATTGTATCATCAGTGAAGACGGATGGATGGACTTCCTTTCCTATTTAGATGCTGTCTTAGTCCATTCTCACACTGTAAAGAAACAACTGAGACTGGGTAATTTATAAAGACAAGTGTTTTAATTGGCTCATTTAATATGATGTTGACTGGGGGTTTGTCATAGATAGCTCTTATTATTCTGAGGTATGATTCTTTGATGTCTAGTCTGTTTAGGGTTTTTGTCATGAGTGGATGTTGGATCCTATCAGAAGCTTTCTCAGCATCTATTGACATAATCATATGGTTTTTGCATTTATTCTGTTTACATTGTGAATCACAGTTACTGTGGATATTGAATGAGCCTTGCGTCCCAGGGGCAATGCCCACTTAACCATGATGTATCACATTTTGAAGTGCTTCTGGATTCTATTTGCTAGTATTTTGTTGAGGACTTTCAGGTCTATGTTCATCAGGAATATTCATCTGATATTTTCTTTTGTCATTATGTCTCTTCCTGATTGTGTGTGCCAAGAACACACAGTAGAGAAAGTACAGTCTTTTCAATAATGGTGTAACAACCAGGCATCCATATGCAAAAGAAATAAAATTAGGCCTTCTCTAACTCCATATAAAAATCAACTAATAATGGGTATAATACCTGAAACCATAAACTCATAAATGACATGGAGGAAAAAAATCTTCCTACCATTGATTCAGAACTGATTTCTTTGAATTTAATACCAAAGCACAGGAAAAACTATGCGCAATTATGTATCTGACAAGAAGTTCTATCCAAATGTATAAATAACCCATATACCTCAATAGCAAATAACAAATGAACTGATTAAAAAAAGGGCAAAATCCTGGATAGATTTTTTTTTCAGAAGACAAACACATGGCTAACAGAAAATGCAAATGTTCTCAACATTCCTCATTATCAGGGGAATTCAAATCAAAAGCACAATGCGATATCACCTCACACAAGTTAATATGGCTATCATCAGAAAGGTAAAAGATGACAAATGTTGGCAAGAATGTGTGGAAAAGGGAATATTTTGTGGTGGGATTGGTTACTCCATAAGTTGAAAATAAAGCTATCATATAATCTGGTGATCCCACTTCTTGTTATACATCTAATGGAAATAAAATTATTTTGCCAAAGACATGTTCATTGCCAGATTATAAATAATTGTATAGATTTGTAAAATAACTTAATGACTGTAAGTGGATGAATGTATAAAGAAAATGTGTATACACAAAACTGAATTTTATTTGGCTTTGAAAAGAAGGAAATTCTGACATTTGCAACAACACGGATGGGCCTGGAGGACGTGATGCTAAGTGGAATAAGCCAGATGCAGAAAGACAAATGCTGCATGATCTCATTTACGTGTAGGATCTAAACTATCCCAGCTCTTGAAAGCAGAGAGTAGGATAGTGGGTCTCAGGACCTGAGAGGAGAGGGAAATTGGGTGACGTTGGCCAAAGGGTACAGAGTTTCAGTTGTGCAGGGTGATTGAGTCCTGGAGGTCTAATATATGGCAATGTTCCTATAGTTAATACTGTATTGTAAAAATGATATTTGCTAAAAAGGTAGATCTTAGGTGTTCTCATGGGACACACACACACACGCACACACAGACACACACGCAGTAAAAATAAAAATGGTAGCTCTGTGAGATGATAGATCTACAAATTACCCTACCATGATGAGCATTTTACAATGTATATCTGATTTGGTTTGGATCTGTGTCCTGGACCAAATCTCATGTATTATAATCCTCAATCCTGAATGTGGGATTTGGTGGGAGACAACTGGGTCATGGGGTGGGTCTTTCATGAATGGTTCAGCAACAACTCCTGGTGCTGTTCTCACTACAGTGCATGGGTTCTTACAAGATCTGGTTGTCTAACAGTGTGTAGACCTCCCCCGCCACTTCCTGTGGCTCCTGCTCTGGCCATGTGATGTGCCTGCTCCCCTTTGTCTTCTGCCATGATTCTAACTTTGCTGAGTCTCCCCACAAGGAGAAGCCACTGCATTTCCTGTACAGCCTGCAGAACTGTGAGCCAATTAAATATCCTTTTCTTAAAATTTCTGAGTCTCAGGCATTTCTTTTTAGCACTGTGAGAACAGACCAATAAAACATAAAAACATCAAGTGGAGCACTTTAAATATATACTTTTTAAAAATTTTCTATTATACCTCAATAAAAATGAAAAAAATTAAACTTACTCTTATAATAAAGAAATGCATACTTCATATTTTCTCAATAAAAATGAGAGAACATAGAAAAACTTATGTTAAGATATTTGCAACAGCTTTGCTTACAATATTTATAAACTGGAAACAAATTTAAAGTCCATCAACAGAAAAATAGATCAATATATTGTCATTTATTTACTTAATGGGCTGACTCAGACATAAAATCTCTGTCCTTTCTCTCTCTCTGTCTCCATATATACATGAAAACTTTGAGGTTTCATGTCAGAGTCAGTTCATTAATTGAATAAATGACAATATGTTGATCTAATTTTATACATTAAATAGCATGAATACACCTCAAATATAGCAAAAGTAGCCATTACCAAAAAAAGTCTATAATGTTAGATTTCATTTATGTGAAGTTCAAAGCAGAAAAACATGGATCTATGGTGTCAGAAATCAAAACATTTCCCCATGCAGGAGTTGACTGCAGGCACAGAGGAAGACCTATGTTGGGGGTGGACTTGCTCTTCAGCTACCTTAGGTGTTGGGGACAAGGGTATTCACCTTTGCCAGAAACTCTCTAGTGATACATTTTAGATCTATGCATTTCTTCTTATATGTAAATTTTATCTCATAAAACAAGAAATAAAAATGTATAAAATACTTTAAAATTCAGCAAATAATAAAAATAATATTAAACCCTTATATAAAATATGAACATTATTAAATGAATTAATAAAGTACACTCAAGTATACCTAGCAAATTAAATTCCTGAATCCAAAAAGATAAGGGTAACATCTGTAACATAAAAAATAAAAAGCACACATTTCATAGAGAAGACAAAAATAGGACATATGTGGAACATGTATTCTTTTTTCTAATCAAATGTCTTTAAATTATTTACACAATATTTTAATCTGTCATAAGTATAAATTACTAATATTCTGTTTGATATTACAACTATGAACAACTTTTAAAGAGAAAAGGATATTTTAGAACATGTGAAATAAATTGAATTTATTCTCAATGTTGGTACAATGATTACACCTAAAAGTTCTAATAATACCCGGGTTTTCAGTGGGTCTTTTGAAAATTAATTTTAAGAGATAAACTAATGCAAATCAAAACCACAATCAGATATCATCTCACACCAGTTAGAATGGCGAACATTAAAAAGTCAGGAAACAACAGATGCTGGAGAGGATGTGGAGAAATAGGAACACTTTTACACTGTTTGTGGGAGTGTAAATTAGTTCAACCATTGTGGGAGACAGTGTGACAATTCCTCAAGGATCTGGAACCAGAAATACCATTTGATCCAGCCATCCCATTACTGGGTATATACTCAAATGATTATAAATCACTCTACTGTAAAGACACATGCACACGTATATTTATTCCAGCACTATACACATTAGCAAAGACTTGGAACCAACACAAATGCCCATCAATGTTAGACTGGGTAAAGAAAATGTGGCACATATACGCCATGGAATCCTATACAGCCATAAAAAAACAATGAGTTAATGTCCTTTGCAGGGACACAGATGAAGCTGGAAACCATCATCCTCAGCAAACTATCATAGAAACAGAAAACTAAACACCACATGTTCTCACTCATAAGTGGGAGTTGAACACTGAGAACATATGGGCACAGGGAGGGGAACATCAGACACCAGAGCCTGTTGGGGGTGGGGGGCAAGAGGAGGGATGGCATTAGGAGAAATACCTCATGTAGTTGATGGGATGATGGGTGCAGCAAACTGCCATGGCACATGTATACCTATGTAACAAACCTGCACGTTCTGCACATGTATCCCAGAATTTAAAGTATAACAATAAAAAAATACATAAAAGAATAATCTTTAATAAAGAGACATCAGCATTCCGTATCAGAAAGAAATTGAAAATATGTAATACATATAAAGTCCTGATAGGAAACCTTGAATCATAGGAAGAGTCTCGTGTATGGTAGGTTGTAATATGTTTATTGTTAAAATTATCATCTTTATGTTGTTTTGAAAAATTAAACCAAAGCATAATAAAAGGAAGTGTTTTTGTGTTTATTTGGTACAACAACAGCATGTTGAGAAAACTGAAGAGACCTGTAATCCTGAGGAGGAGGCCTAATCCAAGGAGAGAGATGCTCCTGGACCTGTGGACACACATGGTTTGCCTGATTCTACCCATCTAAGAGCTACTGAAGACTTCGGGAGACATGAGAATGGATGAGTTCCTCAGGACGATTCAATCAGATCTGGACAGGGGGGAAAAATTCATGGCCTAGGGTAGATTAACAAATATAATTAAATTTTCATTGAAAATTGAGAAATTTTTGTTGTATATATTTATGGCCTGCAAAGCTATGTTATGATTTGTGAATACAATATGGAATAATTGAATCAAGCTAATCGACATATATATTACCTCAAATCCACAAATCCCTATCACTTTTTGTGACAAGAATATTTGAAATTATTTCTTGGCTATTTTAAAATGACCAATACACTATGTTTAAGCTTACAAATAGACATCGATTTATGTGAATCATAGAGAATCATTGAAATCAATTATAGATTACTTTAATAATTTATATTTGTTTTTCATTAAGTTTGATTCTTTAGGACATATTTTAGAATTGTTCTGTTATAATGTTAAATATAAAAGACTATACATGTATGCATAGGTTTGTGTATTTAATCGTATGTCTAGGATGTAAATTAATGTCTCTATAGCTGTGGAGTAGCTGATATCAACAGACGTTAATAAAACTCTAGAAGAATAAGAGTAAATAATTAGGAAGAATTATTTCTTGAAGTTATGTATCTTTAAAAAATATCCCTACATATAAATTTTAAAATTACAATAACACAAATATCAATAAAAATACATCATAAATAAAAATAATAACATATCGCTAACTCATAAAACTCCAGAGTCCTGCAAAAACAAACCTGCCTCCTGCATCTGAGAAAGGAAACCGCCCCCTGCCCCTGCTCCTGGGACCTGTCCCTATCTCAGTGGTCCCGAGCGCTCCCTGGTGGCCCCGCACGCCCCTGCAGGGAGGTTTGTGTCTGGGCTCACGCTGACCTCCCCTCACTGTGTCTCTAGCACAGTAATACACGGCCAAGTCCTCGGTTTTCAGGCTGCTCATTTGCAGATACAGCGTGTTCTTTGAATCCTCTCTTGAGATGGTAAGTCTGCCTTTCACAGACGCAGCATATTCTGTCGTGTAACTGTTAGCTTTGTTTCTTATTAAACCTACCAACTCTAGCCCTTTCCCTTGAGCCTGGCGGACCCAGCTCATGTAGTGGTCACTGAAGGTGAATCCAGAGGCTGCACATGAGAGTCTCAGAGAACCCCCAGGCTGGACCAAGCCTCCCCCAGACTCCACCAGCTGCACCTCACACTGGACACCTGCAAACACAGAGACACCCTGGTCAGAAACTGCCACAGAAATCCACTGTTTCTCTCACTCATGTCCCCTCACACTCAATCTCTCTATTTCTCCATGAATCACCTTTTAAAATAGCAACAAGGAAAACCCAGCTCAGCCCAAACTCCATGGTGAGCCCTCTGTGTTCAGTGCTGATCTCTGAATGGAAACACCTGGGAATCTCATGGCTGGGGCTCCTCTCCCAGAGCTGCAGGGTCAGGGCTGGGCTGGTTTTCATCAGCAATGGAAGGGGCCCATTTGCATGTCTCCTACTATATAGCGAGTTCTGGAAGGGATGCCTCAGAGTGGGCTGTGTCCCAGAGTGGATATGAGCGATTATATGTCATAAATAATTAATTATCATTAGCATGTCTACTTTTAGATGCACATGAATTATGCTCCGTGAGAGTCAAGTTTTCCTTCATTTACAAATGTGAACATAAACTCCCAAGCATGGAGGGGCCATGTGACGTGTCTACGAGCTCACATCTGGTAAGAGCCAGTCTCACTGTCTGGCCTGTGTTTCTCAGGACTGGATCCAACTGCTTCCTAAATTAACTCTAGGACAGAGCAAGAAATTCTGAGTGAGGTTTACAAAATCCTCTTAATATAATGATATCATATTATTTGGCTGTATCTTAGTGTTTTTCTAAATAATATAGAAAAACTGAGGATTCATTCGCATGTGTATTCAGAAGTCTAAGGCTTTTCTTGTACTATTTTTATCTCTCTCTTTATCTTTTTCTACCAAATTATACACTTTTATTTTTTATGAGATAATACTGAAAAATTGTAGTCTTCACCTAATATCTTCTCAGTTTGACAAATATTGACATAATCATCACCACTCACAGATAAAACAAATCAATTAGCCTCACAATTTTCTCTTTTTCTCCTGAAATTTCCCTTTCTACACCTTTCCTCCTCTTACCATGTAGAAGTCAGTTAGGTATCTTCATTATGTAACTTGCAATGAGTATTCGCTTTGTACATTTTATAAACTGGAGTCATATGTATGTGCTTTGACTCATTATACTTATCATGTGTACTTGTGAATTGAACCACACTGTTGATCATATCCAACATTAATTGATTGTAGTAATGGGTACTATTCCAATAAATGACTTTTCCACAATTTGTTTATTGATAAAGCTGCTGATTAATATTTGAATTTTCAGTTTCTGTGTATTTCAAATAAAGCTGCTGCTCAGCTCAGAGAAGTACACAGCTGAGAAACATGTTCTTAATCTTACAACAACATGAACAACTGCTAAACTGGTCAAGTTGCAAATGAATCAATTTGCTTTAATGTATCAGGTAATTAAAGTTATAGCACCCCGTGTGTTTGTCAGTGTATGTGAGAGAAAGAAAGAAAAAGGGAGGAAAGGAGACTGAAAAAGAAAGTGATTCCACAAAAATTTTAATTTATGAAGTCTTCAAATACAAGGACTTATTCCTAATGAATGGGGTCCACATAAGTTGAAGCTGAAGAGTCTAACATATGGCTATATATTTATAATATAAATATTATTCTCTAAACATATAAACACTCATACACATGAGACTAGATATAGTGGAGGGTGTCTAGTGGTGCAATGAGAATGTGGCACAAAACCCCATCTCCAGGGCCTTTCCCCACCTGCTGTACCTGCCCTGATGCTGAGCCTTGAGCCTGCCTGACCACTGAGCCCCACAATGCTCCTGAGCCCCCATGCGGTGCCAAGTGCCCCCTGGTTCTCCCTGCTGGTTCCTGAGTACTTGCTTCTGTCCTCAGCACCCTCAGCTGTCCTGTGAACCCCCACAGGGAGGTTTGTGTGTGGGCTCACACTGATGTCCCCTCACTGTTTTTTGCTTAAAAATACATGTGCAGTGGCTCACGTCTGTAATCCCAGCACTTTGGGAGGCCAAGGCGGGCGGATCAGGAGGTCAGGAGATCGAGACCATCCTGGCTAACACGGTGAAACACCAGCTCTACTAAAAATACAAAAAATTAGCCGGGTGTGGTGGCAGGTGCCTGTAGTCCCCAGGTACTCGGGAGGCTGAGGCAGGAGAATGGCGTGAACCCGGGAGGCAGAGCTTGCAGTGAGCTGAGATCGCGCCACTGCACTCCAGCCTGGGCGACAGAGCGAGACTCCACATCAAACAAACAAACAAACAAAAATACATGGTTGTGGCCAGGTGAGGTGGTTCACGCCTATAATCCCAGCAATTTGGGAGGCCAAGGCAGGCGGATCATCTGAGGTCAGGAGTTTGAGACCAGCCTGCGCAACATAATGAAACCCTGTCTCTACTAAAAATACCAAAAATTAGCCAGGCATAGTGGCGGGCACCTGTAATCCCAGCTACTCAGAGGCTGAGACAGGAGAATCGCTTGAACCCAGGAGGCGGGAGTTGCAGTGAGCAGAGATTGTGCCATTGCTCTCCAGCCTGAGCAACAAAAGTGAAACTCCTTCTCAAAAATAGATACGTACATACATACATGGTTGTGCACTTGTAGCTCAGCTGTAGGAAAAACTGTTTTTTGGACGTAGATCTGGAGGTGGTGACCAGACTCTTGAGGAGTGGGTTGGAATTTGTGCTCCCTTCATGACCTGTGCACCTGACCCACTCCACTCCCTTCCTTGGGGCTGATGGATGAAGCTCCAGCAGGAAGCACTGGTTCTGTTGGGGAATCCAGCATTTAAACCTAAATGTTATTGTTGTTGATTCACTAAACAAAATGTGGCACTCGTTTTTATTGAGTTGAGATACACAAAACATAAAATTTACCATTTTAGCCCTCATTAAGTGTATTGGTCAGTGATACTTTACACATTCGCAATGCTGTGCAACCATCACCACTGTTTGGTTTGGGAACATTTTCATCTCCTCAAAGAAAACTGCAGCTCCATTAAGCATTACTCTCCATTTCCCCTCCACTCACCTCCTGGGATCTGTCTCTAGGGATTTTCCTCCTCTGCATACTTCACGTCAATGGGACAATTCAGGGTGTGGACTTCTGTGTCTCCCTCAGTTCACTCACCCAATGTTTTCAAGGCTCATCCAAGTTGCAGCCTATGTCAGTGCTTCACTCCTCTTTAAAGCTGGGTTAGAGACACACAGACACACCGCAGCCTCTTCATCCCTGTGGGTTACCGACACTCAGACACACCATGACATCTTCATCCCAGTGGGTTACAGACACACAGACACACCGCGGCATCTTCATCCCTGTGGGTTACAGACACACAGACACACCACGGTGTCTTCAACCCTGTGAGTTACAGACCCACAGACGCACTGCAGCATCTTCATCCTTATGGCAGTCGATGGGCACTTGAGTTGTATTCTCCATTCGACTACTGTGAGTGGTGACACTAGGTACACTTGTATATGAGGTTTTCAGTGAAGACCATTTTCCAAAGTTGCTGTCCCATTTCAGTACCAACTGGCAATCCACAGCCATTCTAAATTCAGTATGTTTTTACCTACAAGTGATTATGTTTTTTCTATTTAGTTTTGAATACTTGTTTTCTCAGTGTGTGCAAGGCAGTAATCTATATGGAACTTAAATTAGCAGCATAAATCAAATAACCCCATTAAAAATGCGGAAGGGACGTGCACAGAAACTTCTCAAATACAGACACAGAAGTGGCCAACTAACATACAAAAATGCTCAGCATCCTCAATAATCAAATAAGTGCAAATCAAAACCAAATGAGATACTATCTAACACATGTCAGAACTGCTATCACTAAAAGATCAAAAATTAACAGATGCAGACAAGGCTATAGAGAAAAGCGCCACTTACATATGTTTGGTGAAAATGTAACTTGGCCAAAGCACTGTGGAAATCAATCTAGAGATTTCTCAAATAACTTAAAACAGACCTACAATTCCCCTCAGCAATCCAATTCCTGGGTATATGCCCCAAAGAAAACAAATTATTGTAACAAAGAAAACACATCCCCTCATGTGTGTATCACTGTGCAATTCACAGTACCATAGACATGGAATCAACCTAAATGTCCATCAGTTATAGACTGGATAAAGAAATCATGGTTCTTATACACAGTGGAATACTATGCAGCTATAAAAAAGAATGAAATCATGCTTATTTGCAGCTACTTGGATGCAGCTGGGGTCAAAAATTCGAAGCTAACTGACATAGAAACAGATGATAAGAGTCAATGGGAGAGGAAATGAACATTTTGGGTGTTGCTCTGTGTACAATTAAGAAAAGAAATCCCCGGGTGCATGAACACTTGAAATACAAAAGCCTGGAGACACTCATGTCCTGACTTCCATTTCATTAGGTTGTGCTTTCTCTCATTTTTTTTTTCAGTTAAAATTGCTTTCCTTCACTCTTGGCCAAGATAGCCACACATAATCATCGAGAGACATTACAATAAAAATAACACATCTGAACATTAGAACAAATGCTAACTTTTAGGTCAAAGTTATTGTGGATTCAGTGTGATAGACAGGAGACATGGCTGAATAGTAGCAGTGTGCTCACAGTAATTTTATCTAAATTATGAAAATTTGTTTACATCTGTTAGATTAGATTCCCATTGAAATCCTTGATCTAATATCATCTCTGATGCATTATACATCGGTAATGAAATGAGGTTATGCACTCAATTGAGTAGTGCAAACTTTCATTCAGCGTTTGTTCCTCTACGTGATGTAAAGTCAGCCCGGATGGCAGAATTTATTGCAGTCAACAGAGCTCATCAATAAGCCAAAGACAAGGATTAAACACATGTTCTAGAGGAGTACCTGACTTTGTGATGCTCTTCATGCAAAGAAATTTCTCACATCTTCTGGAACATGTAAAAATGCACAACAAAATAACACATTTTAGATGCACTCCTACATTTTAGAGACCTGACTAATATAACTTGGAAAGTAAAAACTGAAAGGAAAATGACATAGCATACCAACTAAAAGTATACATATTGTAGTGGGTTATCACACCAAGTAAGCAGTCTTATCAGTCAGGAGTTTATAATATTATCTAAATATGGAAGGCATTAGCATTATGTATACAACACAGCATCCGTCCCATCCACAATTTTCTGAAAATGTTGAAGAAAATTGTCATCCTTAAACTAAAATTGTCCAAACCTTAAGAAAATCTTGAACTTCCTTGGCCAAAGGTTCTCTCCCTAGCAAGACAGCCTTATAGTTAACACCCTCAGGGAGACATCAGTTGTTAGCCTATTATTTGGTAGCTGGAAGGCCCATACATTTACCCACACTATTCATCAACAGATTAAACCATCATTTCCCTACATCTTTTCAGTAACCTCTAATAAGATTAAAGAGGGGAATTATATCTATTGTAAGAAACATCAGGGTAGAATATTGCTCTTGAACCACTTTGGAAGGAATTTTACCAGGTACTTTTAACCACAACACAGCAGTGAAATTGCAGAAAGTCAATAGTTGGGTTCATATTTATAAACTGTAACCTAAAAATAAATCCCTAAAACCCACCACTGATTAAATAGTCCATCTCTTGGCCTAGGGAACCCCCTAAAAATCTAAAAACTTTTTCCAACCATGACTAAACAAGAGATCAGACACGCCTCGTTATACCTACTCCCCTTTGTGGTTTAGTCACAGCAGTGACCAACACTCATGTTAAAATAGAGATCTTAAGACTGACAGAAGAGTGGCAGTAAGATGTCAAATTATAAACAAGACCTAAGGCCTTGCCAGGCAAGGATTTTGCCACTCACTTCTACACTTAAAAGATAAACTATGTTTTAACTGCCAATAGGTTATTCCTTTTCTCTAGTGGCTCAGTAAGCACTGGCACTGAGACAAGCACTATGAAGACAATTGCAGCCCATCCCCTGATGAACTGACCCCCTGTTCCACAAGCCATAACCCCAGCTTTGATTGAACATTTGCTATCAGGATCTTTTTCCTGATCAGAGGCCACTGACCATGGCCTGGCTCTGGCCGTTTACAGAATGTGCACCCTGAGTGCCTTTGTGTCTCTGCTTCTGCTATTTGCACATAGGGCCTGACTGTAATGGATTTAAATGCTAAGTCACCACTGGTGAGTGAACAGGGCTCATAAGCTTCATGTGTGTTTGTTCAGTATGCGTGTGTCAGGACAACCTCCATGAACATCCATAGCCCCTCCTGTAACCTGTTGATTAAGTCTGTTTAGCCAAACAGTTCAGCATAAAGCTTCTGCCCAACCCCTTCTTCTTGGGAGTGCCTGTCTCTCATTTTTACCAAATCCATGCTTTCCAGTGTATAGGATGGCTGTAACCCTTGATAAAAATATAGTCTCAGTTTCCTAATTTGTAGATTGTGGTATTTTTAAATATTTAATACAACTGAATATTAAATTCAGAACTTCATCTAATTATTAGACTACTTTAGTAAAGTATGACAAACTGTGGATATCCTATAATAATTTTTATATACCCTATAAGGGCCTGTGATATTTTGAAGCAGGAAGCTGACCTGAGACCTTCAGAATAAACTGATCACTGTGGATAATGAAAAGGCCCCACCCAGGACATTGATTGAGCACCCCTGCCTGTCTCATTCCTTCTTCTCTTTCTTTTTATTATGTGCTTACCATAATAAAAATTTTTATTGTCTTTAGATCTGTTTGCTTTTCACACATAGTGGACTCATCTCTCTTTTTCACTCATTTTCTTAAACTGCTAGGGAGAATAAAGTGTCAGGTCCTATTTTGGTGCTCACTGCTGATGAATTAAGGTTTATTCTTCTTCGTCCTTGTCCCCCACATATGGGAAATCTAGTAAGAAATCGTAGAAGCTCCCTTATCTGATGCCAGTGTGAGGTTTAAATCACACAAGCTCCTTCTCCTGAGTAGAAACGTGCCCCTACCCCCAACCCCACCACCAAATCATTATAAAGCCCTGAGCCAGCCTCCTTTCCTCTTCCATTGAAGAAATTCCAGTTTGGAATTTCCTGAGAGGCCTGTGCTGCTCTCAGCAGACAATAATAGAGTTGGTAAATCTTTTCATAACCACCTGAGGTGTGAGTGTGGCACTATCAGACCTGACATCCACACTAACAATTGGTGGGCTCTCTCTTCTTTTGCATGGGGTCACCTACAATTGGAACTATGGGTTTGGAGTCCTGACAGTGACCACCACAGGGCCTTTCTTCTTTTGCACTGGATGCTAACTCCCTCTGCCCCAGTGCCCAGCATGCACTTTATCCTGCCTGCTGCTCACTGACCCTTGGAGTTCTGTTGAGCTGGGCTGCAGTGTTGAGTTAAACACCACACCTTTTATAGATTTAGCTGATTGAATTCAGAAGCATTGATAATTTATTCACATTGAGAAACAGGAGTGATTGTAGGTGACTCTGCCTTTGGTGCATGTGAGAAAATTTTTCTCTTGTCACCACAAATGTTTCTTCTTCAGGAAGAACAGGATAAGGAATCCAGAGAAGTGCCCCAGAGGAAACTGTTTCATGGAGAGGAAGCCACAGGGCTGACAGGAAACCAGACCTTAACCTCCCTCTGCACCTGCCCTGAGGCTGGCTTTTGTGCTCAGTGGGTCCTGAGTGCCCCCAGCTGGTCCTGTTCCCTCTTCAGGGAGGCTTGTTTCTGGGCTCATACTGACATTTTTTCTAATTGTGTTCCCCAAAATGGAGACAGAGTAAACCGTGAATCCATGCATCTCAGAGAACAGAGAACAGCAGAATTACACCCACTGATCCCCCCACACACATTTAGGTAAATCTTATTAAAACTGCTGAAAAGGAAAGACAAATAGAAATATACGCAGGCAAGTGGAGGTGAGCAGAGGGGGCATTCCTTCCAAAAGAACAGAAAAGATGATGACAGCATTCTTCTGGTTAAAACCTTACAAGCAAGAGGAAAGTTGATGGTATCTGTAAAGTGTTGGATGAAAAGTCAACCCATTATTTTATAACGCATGGGTGTTCTCTAAAAAGTGAAAAAAAATTCTATTTCTCTTTGACAGCATGAGGGTTTCAGTGAATCCAGGCCCTCATGAGACCAGTGAAAATTATTTTGAAAAATTACAGGGTTTGGAAAGGCTCTAACAACATAAAGCAAGTGAAGAAATATTTATTCAAGAAAATCTAGAAAACTCAGTAAGGCCAGTCATCATACTTGATCTAAGATGCTCTTCCTTCCTTCCACATCCCAGCTCAGCATGATGTAAACTCCACTGCGGACAGATGCAGCCAAGAAGACAGGTCACCTTCTACCAACTCCCACCAGAGGAAACTCTTCCCCAGGACCCAGTACGTTGGCCCTCTGACCCTGCACACAGCACATGATGCTGAGGTTCAGTGCTGAACAAGAGCTACTGAGAGCCAGAGACTCACTTCTTCCATGGAGCCCCACTCATGGATGGAGGCTCTGCCCCGGGTCCAGTGCCACTGGGAACACTGGGTCTCTGGTTTCTAGCTCTGTCCTATGGCAGAGGTTCCATCCCACAATAACCGAAGTGCTGAGAAGGTGGGAAGCTCCTGCCCGACCCTCCACTGAGAGCTCAGCTCCTAGGCTGAGGAATAAAACAGCTCAACTTTGTCTACACCTGCAGAACCTTGTTTAGGAGCTCTGTCCCAGGAGAGAGGGGGCAATGGAATTCAGTCATAAAATATGATCCTTAATTAGTCCTAAAAATCCTAACTTCAGTAACAACAGAATGTGGACAAATTGAAAGCCTGCCAGTGCTCTCAAAAACAGTGGATGGTGTGGTGGAAAGCCCTTGGAAGGAGACGGGTGGATGCATGAGAGATGCAGGCTACACTGCAGGGCTGCTGGCTTGCAGGAGAGAACCGAGGACGAGGGAGAGCTGGGGAAAGTTCTCTTGTGGTTGAAATAAATGCCAGACACTCTTCAATGGAGCCCATGTTTGTTTGGTTCAGTCTGTGAAGTAATTCAAACCTCAGTGCATGATTGAAAATAGTACAATTTTCCA
Organism: Homo sapiens; assembly: GCF_000001405.40. Classification (NCBI taxonomy): domain Eukaryota; kingdom Metazoa; phylum Chordata; class Mammalia; order Primates; family Hominidae; genus Homo; species Homo sapiens. The sequence goes on from NW_021160017.1 coordinate 221,678, forward strand.
TCTGCAAGTGGCAGAGCTCAACATCTGGGTCTGGTCAGGAGAGAGACAGAGAGAGCCCAGCCCAAACCACTGACACCTGGGGTTGACAGTGCTGCTTACAGATGTGTTCCTTTGATCTTTGAGACTGGTTTCTCTCACTTAGCATAATGCCTGGAGTTCAACTGTAATGGTTTGTGAATCGATCATTTGATATTTTTTATTGCTGATGGATTCAATTTATAGATGCTTCCTAGTTTTTTCACCTACTCAAATTTTGAGACATTTATGTTATTTTTCATTTCTAACACACACACACATGTAATATCTTGAATATTTGAACAGAGGTTTTGTGTGAAAATAAGATTGTATTTCTCTGAAGCAAAATTCAAGAGTGGGATATTTAGGTCATGTGTTAAGGGCATGTTTGATTGCAGAAAAAACTAAAAATTATTTTCCCGAGTAGCTGTTTCATTTTGCATTCCCATTAACAATGTCGTAGACACTAGGAACTTGGTATGCTCATCAGCATTGGTATTACCTGTATTTCTTCTTAATTTCAGCCATTCTAAAAAGTGTATAGTGGTGTCTCATTGTGGGCTTGATTTGAATTCCTTTAATGGAAAATCCTGTTAACAGCCTGTTTATATGCTTATGTGTCATCTGCACATCTCATTTGATGAAATGTCTGCACAAACCTTTGCCTATTTTATCCATGGGTTGTTTCTTTCTTATTTCTTTTTCACAGTTGAGTCCTGAGAGTTCTTATTCTAATTAAATTGGTGGTTATGTGATTTGAAAATAGTTTCCCATCTGAAACTTGACATTCATGTTCTTATAGTTACTTGAGTAGAAAACGTCTTTAAATTTAATGAGTTTCAACTGATAGTAATTTCATTTATTGATCATTTTTTACATATTATTTTATTTTATTTTATTTTATTTTATTTGAGATGGCGTCTTGCTGTGTCACCCAGACTAGAGTGCAGTGGCACGATCTTGGCTCATTGCAAACTCTGCCTCCTGGGTTCAAGCAATTCTCCTGCCTCAGCCTCCCGAGTAGCTGGGATTACAGGTGCCTGCCACCACATCTGGTTAATTTTTGTATTTTTAGTAGATGGGGTTTCACCATGTTGGCCAGGCTGGTCTCAAACTCCTGACCTCATGATCCACCTGCTTCGACCTCCCAAAGTGCTGGGATTACAAGCGTGAGACACTATGCCCGGTCTAAATTTTAATTTTAAGATCATTGGTCAACTGTTAATTATTTTATATTTTTAACTTTTTTGTGTGTACATTTATTTGTATAAATTTAAGGGCTATGAGTGCAACTTTTGCACATGGATATATTCCATAGTGGTCTTGGCTTTTAGTGTAATATCACCCAAATAATGTACATTGTACCCACTAGGTAATGTCTCCTCATGCTCCCACCTTCCACCTCCCATCCTTCTAAGTCTCCGGTGTCCATCATTTCTCTCTCCATATCCTTGTGGACACATTGTTACCTCCCACTTACAAATAATAACGTGTGGCATATGACTTTCTGTTTGTGAGTTAGTTCACTAATTATATTGTCCCCAGTTCTAGGCATCTTGCTGCAAAAGACACAGTTTCATTTCTTATTGTGGTTGACTAGTATTGAATTGTGCATATGTGCTGTGTTCTTTTATAAAATCATCTGTTGGTGGACACTCAGGTTGACATGTGTGTTATTAAGAATAGTTTTGTGGTAAACATAGAAGCATGGATATCTTTTTGAAGTAATGATTTATTTTCCTTTGGGTAGTTACCCCGTAGTCAGATTGCTGGATCAAATGGCAGTTCTATTTCCAGTGTTTTGGGAAGACTCCATACCATTTTCCATAGAGGTTGTCCTCGTCCACATCCTCATCTACAGTGTCGATGAGTTCCTGTTACTTTCCATCCTCACCAACATCTGATACTTTTGAGTTTTTAATAATAGTCACTGTGGCTTTTGTAAGATAATACCTTACTGTAGTTTTAATTTGCATTTCCCTGATGGTTAGTGATGTTGAGCATTGTTTATATATTTATTATCCATTTGTATGTGTTCTTTGGAAATGTCTACTCACGTCCTTTGCTCATTTTAATAGGGTTATTTGGTTCTTCTTCCTGTTGTTGTATAGTCTAATTCCTTGTAAATTCTTCATGTTAGTTCCTTGTCACAGGCAAGGTGTGTGAAAATTTTCTGTCATTCTGCAACTTGCCTGTTCAGTCTGTTGCTGTGAAATACCTCTATAGTTTAATTCTCACTTGTCTATTTTTTTCTTGGGTGTGTTTTGTGGTGTTAGTCATAAATTCTTCACCTCGCCCAGTGCCCAGAAGAGTTGTCCTCGTATTTTATTTGAGTACATTTATAGTTTGAGGTCTCATATCTAAGTCTTTAATTCATTTTGTGTTGAGTATGTATGTGTTGAGGGTAGGGGTCTAGTTTTGTTCTTCTGCATGTTCATTTCCAATTTCCCCAGCACCATTTATTGAATGGGGTGTCCTTTTTCTGGTGTATGTTTTTGTTAAGTTTGTCAAAGGTCATTTGGCTATAGATTGTGTGGCTCAATTCTGGGTTCTGTAAAATGTACCCTAGAGCCTTGATTCTCCTGAGGCCTCAGTAGTGACCTGCTCACAGTTAGAACTCTGTTGACTCAGTGGTGTTTCTATGAGTGTAGTGATTCGTGGTCATGGGGTGGTTTTCCTAAAATTGTGGACAATTCTGTTTTGATGTTCAAGCATGTGCTAAAAATTTCACAATAAATGTGTCTGTGAATTTTCCATTTCATTTCCACATTACTCCTTGGACTTACTGAGATGTGTTTGTGATGTCAAGATGAGGTGTTTTTCTTTCCAGGTGTTGGATTTTTTACCTATCTGGGTATTTATGGGCTCCCTGGGTGGAAATAAGCCGCATCCATCACACCTACCTTATGGAATTTTTAGAAATTTATTTGTGCACTGCCACTGTGAGACACTCCATGATGATGACACATTTCATTTATGTTATTGTTTCATAAAATTACTAGTGTACCTTCCACTCTAGAAGAGAAGATGCTGTCTGGATTTTCATAATTCCTCCTGCTCTCTTATCTCCACATTCTTCTTTGACACCATATCTGCAGCTTAAGAATGACATACGCTACTGACATTTGTATTTGGTCCCTTAAAGTGATATGAACCTAAGGAACTGGTGGCCGCATATCAGTGATGCATCTGGCTCAGGTAATAGGAACCTTTCGTGCTGAATCTTGTCAAACTGGATACAGCCTCGGCTGTGTCCTGTTGAGTTAGGCATAGAATAGACAGCTTCATTGCCAAAGAAAAAAAGTAGGGGGTAAAATGGGTGGTATGTCTCCAGCAAATACAATGCATAGGAAAACAAATTGCCATATGCTTTAAGGCTCCGCTGCAATCATCTCTGAAACAATCTTTTTCCTTCTCAGCTTATTTGGGTGGCAGAGTCAGCTCCAAGGCTGCAGGCAGAGGCACCGCTCCTGAAGCACTGCTAGGCCCAGCTCCCATGTCAAAGGCCTCATGCAGCCCTACACACAGGGCTGGCTGGTTGCTCCCAAGCCCAAGCCTCTGTTGGGTGGTTTCTTCCTCAAGATTTTAGAAACAGGCTTTCTGGTCTGTTGAAATAAAGGCAGTGGTCTGATAGTTTCTAAATAAATTTAAAGCTTATTTTTTCTCCCTTCCAGAAGAATCATGTACATTTGCTGCCAAGTAGCTCTATTATTCCAGGCCATTAAATCTGAAAAATCTAACAGTTTTCATCAGATTTGTCTCAGGTCAATTCTCATTCTTTAAAACCTGAAATATTTCTTTTCATAGAGTATCTTAGGCTTCTTACTGAGTGATATTTCAGTCATATACTCAGTGTTCTTTGTAGAATACAGTTTCTGATTTTGGCAATATGGATAGGTTGAGAATTTTCTAAGTGCTCAGGTTTTTTATTCTTTTTCGTTTATATTTTTTTCTGATTTTAATTTATCTACCTCACTTGTTATAAGCACTCAGGAGGAACCAAGCAAAATATCTTCAACACTTTACTTAGAACTATTCTCAGCTACTCACAAGTTCTCACTACTCGCAACTTCTCTTTCACTAAATATTATATCACTGTCCAGCCAAGATTTTTTTAAAAACTTTATGATAAGGATGACTATTGCTCCATTTTCCAAAACCACTCTACTCATTTCTGTCTATCAGCATGACCCTCAACATACAAATTTCTTCATATATGTCAAAGGTACCCATCCTTTTACACATAACCCAATTCCAAGCTACTTTCACAATTTTCAAATAATTGTAACATCAGATTTCCACTTCCTAACCCCAAATTTTCTTTTGTCAGTTTAAGATGCCATTACAAACTATCATATTTGGTGACTCATGCAACATTAATTTTATTTCATTTATCAGTGCTGTGAACTCCAAGATCAAGATGCTGACAAGATAGGTTTTATTTTGAGGCTTCCACTTTTGGCTCAGAGCAGCCATCATATTGTTACTTTTTCATATGATCATTTCATTGTAGGGCATGTGTGTGTGTGTGCATGTGTGTGTGAGAGAGAGAGAGAGAGAGAAATAGAGAGAGAGAGAGGCTGTCTGGTGTCTTTACTTATGAGGTCAGTAATTTCATTCTGATGTTTCACCCTCATCATCTCCTTTAAAATTCAGTACTTTCTTTCTTATAGAAAGCAGCCCGACAGAAATTTGCAAACTTCCTTTGTGATTTTTATTATTATTATTTTTTAGCTCATCAGCTATTTTCAGTGTTAGTGTATTTTATGTGTGGCCCAAGTCAATTGTTCTTTCAATGTAGCCCAGGGAAGCCAAAAGATTGGACACCCTGCTCTACAGCTACAGTAGTTTAATATTAATATAAAGATATAGGCAGAACAACTGAACAGAATAAAGACTAGAAAAATATCTAAACATATTACTAATTATCTAAACATATTACTGATTTTCAGTAATGAAAATCAATTAACCACTGACATGTATTACCTATATGAATCTCACAAACAATGTTGAATGAAAGACTCAAGGCAGAGGTTGTACATTCCATTTCAAAATTTCAAAAACAGCAATCAAGACCAGTGTCAAAAGTTAGCATAGTGATTACTTCTGAATACTGTTAGAAGATAAACTCAGATAACTAGGAGATTAATGAGAAAAACAACCAAAAATGGCAGTAAGCATTGAATCTAATTACCTATAGGAGGCCAAGACTAATATAGGGATTTTGATTTGAAAATTAAATGTTGGAGTTGTAAACCTTGATAATAGAATAGATACATAACTACCTATATGTAGAGAGGCCGAGGTATGAGAATCACTTGAACCTGGGAGGCAGAGGCTGTGGTGAGCCGAAATTGTGCCGCTGCACTCCAGCCAGGGTGACAGAGCAAGAGTCTGTCTCAAAAAAAAAAGTTATGAATAACTGTGCACCAGGTAACAGAGCATCAGCATTCACAGAGAAGAGCTATAGGGGAAACAAGAAAAAATATAGAAAACACAGCATCTTAATTATTTAATTCATGTGTTTTAGTTCATTAAACATCAAGAGGACCAAAATTAAGCAAGACTAAAAAATACCTAAATATCGTAATTGATAAGGTAGAAATATGTGTGTGTATGTCTGAACATAACAACTCATTCTTTTTTAAGTGGCAATGAAACATTCATAAAATAAAAAAAAAGAAATTCCTTAATTGCTATAAAAGTATTCCTGGGGATGAGTAATTTATAAAAAATAAATTCTAATTTGGCTGACGGTTTTGAAGGCTGTACAGGAAGTGTGGTTCTGCTATCTGCTTCTGGTGAGGGCTTCAAAAACCTTATATTTATGGTAAAAGGCACAGGGGAAGAAGGAGTGTCACATGGTGAGCAGGGGGAAGAAGGAAAGGGGGAGATCCAAGTCTCTCTTAAAAAATCAGATCCTGAGTGATCTAACTATGTGAGAACTCACTCATTACCAAGTGGATGGCACTAAGCCATTCGTGAGGAATCTGGATTCTGGATTCCCATGGGGTGATGAGAGGAGAGCAGAGGGGAGGAGGGGCAGGGTTGGGTCCTGGGTAAGGCGGTGCTCGGGCTGGGGTCCCTGGAGAGAAGTTCTGGGTTCCTGGGGGCCAATCAGGCAGGCGTCTTTTCTGTCCACACCCCGAGGGTCCCAGCCGGAGCCAGGTGGGGAACCATAAGGAGAGGGCTTGTGTCCTGTCCTCCCCAGTCCTCTAGACAGGGTGGGGACTGAGGGGTCCACCCCAGGGCAGGGCCAGGCAGTGACTCTGATGTGGGGCCTGGTTTTCGTGGACTGGCCTGGGGGGTGCGGGGTGCAGAGCAGGAGGGGGCAGATTCTGTTGGGGGATGGTGCAGTCATCCCTGTGTTCAGGCCATTTCCTGCCCTGGTCACCTGCAGTGAACCCTGGCAAGGAGGGGGTGGCCTCCCAGACAGCAGCCTGCCTGGGATCTGCTCTGGCCCTGGAACTGGGGATGGAGCCATTCTGGAGGTCAGCAGCTGCCTAGGACAGCAGGGGACCAGGCCAGCCCCTAGCAGGGGAGGCAGTGGGGATTTTGGCAAGGACCGAATTGTTTGGGAGCCAGTGCCCCACTAGGCACAGTGACAGACACCCCAGCAGTATGTCCTGTCCCCACCAGACTGCCCACCCTATCTTAGGTGTGGCATGTGAGGGTGCCGTGCCCCTGGCAGGCCCAGCCCTTGACCTTCCATGCAGTCATGAGGCCCTGGGAAGCTGAGAACAGACCTCCCACTGAGGGAACCCTCCCCACAGAGGGCAGAGTGCAGACAACAGTGACCTTGAGAGCCCCAGGAGAAGCAGGTGAGCTGGAGGCCTGGGGCTGCATGGCAGTGGCTCATCTACTTGGCGTGGTTGCTGCTATGGGTGGCCCCACTGTGGTAATCGTAGACACTATATCCACCACAGTCTGACACCCCCTGACAATAACCACACCTGGAACTGGAGGCGGGGCTGTCAGGAGGAGCTTCCCAGGGAGCAAGGAGGGTCCAGACAGCTGTGCCAGGGGCCCCCAGGACTGGGGACGTGGGGGGCTGCTCAGGGACCAGACATGCACAGTGTCCCCCTGGAGAGGCCTCTGCAGCCTCCTGGGCTCTGGGACGGGCCTCCAGTCAGCAGGAGGCTGGGTGCTTCCTGACATGTGCTCTCCTGCCCTCACTGGTGAGCTCCTATGTGGCCCAGTGCAGGCCCAGCTCCAGCGTCCGCTCCTGTCAGCCTGGCCGAGGGTCTGGGCAGAACTGGGCATGGCTCCTTCTTAGATCCCTCGGGGACTGTCTCTACAGCTGTACCTGGGGCTGGGGGCTCCATGAGTGGTCTTTGCCATATGGGGACGTCAAAGGCAGGTGTTTCTCTAGTGGCAGGTGAGGGAGACTGTCCAGGGCCTGGCCCTACGAAACATAGTGGCCTCTCAGAGGAGGGTGTGTGGGAGTCCTGCCTATTGGGAGCCTGGCGGATGCTGCCCTCTTGATTCCAGCCAGGATGGGAATCCAGGCAATTGGCAGGAGCTGCTGGAACAAGGCTGGTGTCTACAGCAATTCCCGGCCCTAGGAATTGGCTGTTGGAACTGTGGCAGCTGTTGGGACAGGGTTCGGTGCAGCTGGCAGGCACCTGTGGTCATGAGTGAGGTCACCTCAGAGCCCTCTGAAGCCCTTGTTTGAAGGCAGATGAAGTGTGGGGCACCAGCCCATGGGCTTTCATGGCCAAGGTGTCCCTAGAGGCCGAGGGTCTGGGCAGAAATCCTTGGGCCTGGCTCTTCTTATCCTGGAGAACTCTGAGCCGAGAAGTGTGCATAAACCCTGGGAGTCCGGTCAGTTTTTGCTGCTGGGTTCATCACTGTGGTAGTTAGCACCATAGTCACATAGCAGGAGGGCCTTCACAAAAAGCCCCTCAGTGAGCCCAGAGGCATTTCCCACGCAGGTGCTGGTCCAGGCGTCTGGGGCCCCCATTGACAGTGGTGCTGCATCCTGGGGATCTCAGACCGGTCTGAATCTTCCCCGCCTGCCGTCGAGGGCAGGAGGGTCTGACTCACCCTCCAGGGCTCCTGTCCCCTCCAGGAGGGGCCGAGGTGACATCCGGTCAGAGCATGTGCAGGAGTCAGGCCTCCTGGATTTTTAGTCCTGGGGTAGGTGCAGGGGGTGGGACACCTTTTAGGGGTCTGGGAAGGGCTGGGCTGTGGGGCTGTCCCCATGGGCCATCTTGTGTTCTGGGTGCCGTCCTGATCCAGATGTGGGTTCCCGATGTGATATCACTGAGGACTGTCCTGGAAGAGGGTGCCCACTGGGGAGAGAGACAGGGATTTCTGGAAGGTTCTTTGTCTCTGACTGTGAGAGGTGAGTCCTCTGTTGGCTTCCCGGGTGAGGTTTGGAAAGGAGCAGGACTCAGGACGGCCAGGCAGGATGAGCGACTCCCAGCTCCGGCTGTCCCGGGAATGCCTTCTGTCTTGGAAATGACCCAGGAGAGGCTCAGGTGTCAGAGCCAGGCAGGCCAGGGACCACAGGGGCAGGGACAGCGCACAGGACCAGCCCCGCCCTCCTGCCCCTACTCGGACCTGGGGGGTTCTCAGGGTCCACACATGTGGCTCAGCCTTGAGGGAGGGGCTTCCGGGACTGCTGGGTGCCTGTCCCCATCTGGACTGGTACTGGAGGGCAGCAGCGATGCAGACCTGTTGGACTCAGGTCTGGCTGACCTATGGGATAATCCTGGCCATCTGTTTCATGGTCTCCGGGGCTGGCGGGCAGGAGCTCAGGGTGGTCACTCTTGGGCTTGTCCATTGTGCCTGCTGCCCTGTGTGTTTGGGACACAGGTTGCACTGCTGTGGTAGCCACTACACCCATGGTGCTGTGGCCTCGATCAAAATCCTAACGCGGCATGTGGTGGTCCACTGTGGGGAGGGCTATGGCAGAAGGCTCCCAGGGATGGGTTTTTGATGGACTCTGTGACACTGTGGGTATAATAACCAGTCCAAAAATCATAATACCACAGTGACACAGACCTCACCCCAAACCTACTGCCAGGTCCGGGGAAACTCGGGATGTCCAGGGCTGACCTGAGGAGGTAGCAGGGCACCGAGGGGAGGCTGTGGGCCCAGCGCTCTCAGGTCTGCTGCGGGGACACTCGGGTCTGCCCCTCGCTTAGGTGGACAGTGTCTGTGCCCACCTGTGTCCTGAGGCTCCATTTCAGGCTGATATCTGTCTGTACTGTCCCTACCCATTCCATAGCCATGTCCTTTTGGGTTTATAAATTGCCCCCAAATCACGCAGGCATCACTCAGGCTTTTTATATTCCCTGGGCCACCAGGTGCCTCCACCCAGAAAGGTGAGATGTGGGAGAGTTCCAGAGTCATTCTGCAACCCTGGATGAGCCCTTGCAGCCTCAGTGCTACTGAGGTTCCAGCAACACCTGGAGCAGGTGCAGGTGAGGCCCGAGGCCAGGTGAAGCCCAGGCCAGGTGAGATCCAGGCCAGTGATGCCCAGGTCAGATGAGGCCCAGGTCAGGTGAAGCCCAGGTCAGGTGAAACCCAGGTCAGGTGAGGCCCAGATCATGTGAGCTCGGGACAGGCAAGGTCCAAGTCAGGTGAGGCCGAGGTCAGGTGAAGCCCAGAGGTGAGGTCCAGGCCAGGTGAGGCTTAGGCCAGGTGAGGTCCAGGCCAAGTGAGGTCCAGGTCAGGTGTGGCCCAGGTCAGGCAAGGCTGAGGTAGATGTATGAGACTTCTGTAATTTTCAGTCGGTGCCAACCCTGCCTGGTGTCCCTGCCCCTCCTCCCAGCCCACGCTCTGTGCCTGCCAGATGGCAGCCCCTGCACAGGTGGTGCTGGCTGTGGAGGAGCTGGGCTCTGCTTCCCTGTGCATGGGCGTCCCTCTCAGGCTCTGGCCTGGGAGTGTGGCTCAGTTGCTTCTCTCTGGAATGTGCCGACTGTGCCATCCTTGGGGGTATATGTCCTCGGGGGGATACGGCTCTGTGCCTGCTCCACATCTGGCCCCAGGAGCTGCCAGCAGGTACCGGCCTGCCCTGCCACACAGTGAGCCTGCAGCCTGTCCGGGGATGCCCAGGGAGATGAGTGCTACCACACATCAGGCCTTTTCTCTTTAAAGTCATTTCTTTGGGGATACATCATCGATGTCTCATATACTGAATGTATGTCTGTATCACTGTGCAATTGCCTGTGTCATCGTTTATTTATCCAACCTGGGTTAATGTCTTTGCTATTATGAACAGTGCCGGAGTGAGAATTTTCTAAACACAGCTGTGTACATTTTCCTCTTCTTGCGATTTAGAAGTTTAACTGCTGTTTTCAAGGTACTGTAATGTATTTGTTCTGTTCTTGTTAGGAGACTTGCCAAACCTGTGTGTCTCTGTTCACACCCTCTTCCTTCCCCAGTAGAAGTAACCACAACTGTGTTTATGTGATCATCGTTTTCTTGATTTTCCTTATAGTTTTTCTAGTGGAAAGTTTATCCCTTAAGAAGATAGTTCATTTTGCCAGGTGTAAATTTTATTTAGAAGAAATCATATTGAAAGTATTTTTTGGAGTTTCCTTTGTTACTCCAATTACTCAGCATTGTCATGAACTCAACCACAGAGTTGCCCGTAACCCTGGTAACCCTGTACTGTTGTCCTCGTGGCTGTCTGGGTTTGCATTTCATGAACCTGCCATCGTTTATTTGCCTGTTTTCCTTCAGATGGATGTTTGCTTCATTCTCAGTTTAGGGCTATGACAAACATATGTTCTGCACATCTTTGCCCATGAGGTTCTCAGGGAGGGCTCTGGGGCTGGCATTGCCTGCAGGGCTCTGCTTTGTTGCAGGGAGTTCCTGCCAGGGCTTTTCAGAGTGTCTGTGCCCAGCAGCAATGCCTGAAGGTACACACTGTACTTTGCCCTTGCATCAGGCACTTTCTGTTTGCTTGCTTCTGTGTGGCTCCACATTCTGGAGAATTTATTCAGATCTGTGCTGCAAATCCTTCTCACTGATTCTCTCTTTAGCTGTGTCTACATCAGCTGTTAAGCATCCCATGATGCAGCAGTGTGGGCACAGGGCAAACTTTCGAAAGATGACAGTGTGGGATAGAGGCTGCTCCTCCTTCCCTGTGCCCTTCCCACACTGTCCTCCTGGGCTCACTCCCAGCCATTTATCTCGAACACCAGTTTATGGAATTCTCTGCCCAGGAAAGCAGAAACAGTAAAAGGCCCTGCTCAGGCTCTGCCTGCATCTTCTCTTGCACACCCACCAAAGCTCTTTCCTTGGGGCCTCTGCCAGCTTCCCCAGCTTGCTTCTCATTTTCTGTTTACTCTGCTCGCTGGCTGGTGGGGGTGATGTCTGGGGGGAAGTCTGGTGTGTTTTGGCATTGGTGGACACCCCTAGGCCCTACTTCCCAGACGCTCCCCCTCAGCTCCAGAAGTGGAAGCATTTACAGCAGGGCTTTGGGACTGGGGCTGTGTCACTGTGGGCATAGAAAGTAGTACTATTACAATATTCTCACAGTGACACAAGCCCCCACAAAATCCTCCTGTCCCCATGGGTGTCACGGAGTCCCCCCTTGCTGTCTCTGGCCAGTTCTCCTGCTGATACTGTGATTTCCAGGGGGTTTTTGTCTGAAACTCAGGGTGTCTTGGAGAGGACTCTGAGCCCAGTGCTGTACAGGGGGCTCCTCCTTTGTCCTGGGGGAGTTGCGTGGACCCTGTGTTTGGTTAAGGGAAGCATTTGCTGGTGAGGTAGACCTCCCCTCCTCTCTTTCTCAGGAGCCTCCTCTGATGATTTTGCCTGGTGTTTCTTGGGGCTGGTGCTCGGGGCTCAGCAGTCTCTGCCCTGGTCCAGCTGGGAATGTGGGTCCGTCCTGTTTCCATGAGTTTTCTGGGGCCACCAGTGAGGGGCTCGGGATGTCAGCGGCTGGTCTCGGTCCCTATGGTCTGGGCTCCGGCTCACTGCTCCCCTGCCCTCCAGGTCAGTCACTGACTCAGTTACTATGCAGCGGGCTCCATGGCTGTTTGGTGGTGGCTGCAGGTCTCTTCCCAGGAGAGGCCTGCAAGAGGGTTGGGATGTCTGGGAGCCCTGCATTCTCCCGTGATGTTGCTGCCTGGATCCCTCATCTTTAAAGGGAGTGCCGAGCCTCCCTGCAGGTGTGGGCAGTGAGAGACACAGGCGGATGTGCATCAGGGCGCTGGAGGCCGATTTCTTTCATTGCCTTCTGCCTGTGGAAGAGCTGAGCTCCCTGCTTCTGTGCACAGGAGATTTCCCTGTAAATGGGGAGTGAGGGCAAGGGTCTGTGTGGGGAAGACTTGGGTGAGCCTTCGTCCTGGAAATACCAGGGCCATGTCCAAGAGGGGAGTGGAGCCAAAGTGTCCAGGAGGAAGGTGAAGGCAGTGTGTGGGTGGGAGTGCACGGTCAGTGCCATGGCTCAGAGGCCCCAGGAGAGGAAGAGCTCAAGTTGTGGGCAGGAGGAGGCAGTGGGTAGGCACAGGGGGGAGAAACTGAGGCTCTGGCAGCAGAAGAGGGGAGGGCCTGCATGTGCAGGGTTGGCCTGGGAGGGGTGTCTGGAGGGAGAGACAGGGGTCTGGGTGGAGACCAGGGTGGTGACTGCAGGGACAGGACCCCAGGATTGTCTGGGTGGGCGGCAAGAGCAGCAGGGCAGAAAGGGCCCAAGGCAGGGTCCAGTCTTCTCAGGGTGTGGGCTGCAGGGATGGGACCCCAGGGTTGTCTGGATGGGCAGGAAGAGCAGCGGGGTAGAAAGGGCTGGAGGCAGGGTTGGGCGTCCCCAGGGTGTGGGGTGCAGGGAGGGGCTGCACAGGCTGTCCCCCTGAAGGAGGGAGGAGGGAAGGAGCACAGAGGTGCTGGGAGCAAATGGAGAGGGAAGTGGCAGCGACCCGCATGCCAGGCGGTCCCGGTTTGGGGTTGATCTGTGTGGAATAGCTCCCTGGCCCATGTGTAAGTGGTCAGGGGAGACATGGAGGTCTGGAGCTACAAGCGGTGGCAGGAAGGCAAGTCCTGGTCTTGGGGGTCTGGAGCTTATCTTCTTCCTGTGAACTGAGTGTGGGCGGCACCTATGGGTGGTGCCCTGGACCTGTGGTCTGGTGGAGTCCAGGCCTCCCAGGGATAGCAGGGCAGCCAGGGCTAGAGGAGCCTGAGGGGCCAGGTCAGGGTAGCCCTGGGGACACTGCCTCCACCTTTGACCAGTGCTGCTGCGGGGATCTGGTCATGAGACCCCTTCACCCAGGAGGGGAGGCACGTGAGTGTGACCCTAAGTCCGTACCCTATGGGGGGCTCTGACCCTCCTGCATAGGGCCTGGACAGGGGTGGGTGGCTGTGTGCAGGTGGGGAGTGGGGAGCCCAGACTCTCCCAGACACAGCCTGCTCTGCTCCAGAATGTGGGCTTGGGGACTGCAGGCTGGCTGGGTCTGGGCTGCCTGGTGTGCCTGTGGTGGCTGCATTCCCATATCTGGGACTGAGGCCTAGTGAGTACCAGGAGGAGCCTGAAGGGAGCTCCATGGAGGACCTGCCTCGGATGACACCCCTATTTTAAGAAGGACATGGTGTGTTCCAGCTGGGAGGAAGGGAAGTGGGCCACCTCCTGGGGGTCTTCCACCCCCACCACCTCAGCCTGGGGCTTCTGTGCTTCCTCCCTGCGCAGACCCCAAAGTCTGTGCCGCCACAGGGCAGGAAGGAAGGGCCTGTGTCCTGGTCGAGGTTGGGGCCACAGTGGTGTTCCCTAAGCCCCAGTCTGCTCTCAGGGCCCGCCCCGCAGCAGGTCCTGAGTGAGGGACAGAGACGGGGAGGGGTTTCTGATCCTGGTGGACTCTGGGGTGGACTCCAGTGGGGAGTCATCAGGGTCGGTGTCCCCCAGGGTATTGGGGTGAATGTGCTCCTGGAGTCTGCTCTGGATGTGGGGTTTATGCCTGTGCTGCCTGGGGTTGATGTTGGGGGGTGCCAGTGACCCGTTTCCCTGAGGGACTCTTGTCGGTGGTAGGGTCAGTTCTGGCCAGGGGCACGGGGCCATAGCAGTAGGATGGGGTCCAGCCCCTTCCATGACCCCCTGGAGCCCTGGTCCCCATCCTCACCATTCAGTGGGGACTCCGTTGTGCTCTGGCTGCTGGGGGTCATGTGAGCTGAGCAGGACCTAGGTTCGGGGCGGCTGTTCCCCTCTCTGGCATGGCCTCCGGCAGTGGCCAGGAGACGGTTTTGGACAAAGCTTTTCTCACAGTGGTTGTTCCAGTTATACCCACTGTGACTCGGGGCTGTTCAGAATCTGCCCAGGTGCCCTGAGCTCTGGGGCCTCCTGGGTGGGGGCTGGGCTTGTGGGCAGGATCTCCTTTGGGGGCTCTGGAGGCTGTGGCTCACTTTGGTTGTGGGGTGGGCACTGGAAGCCCCAGCTAGCAGAACACCCACAGAGACTGGGGCCTGCACACATTCCGCCCCAGTGTGTGGGGTGGGCCCAGGCCCCTCTGCGCAGGTCAGCTTCAATGGGGAGGGTGCTCAGGTCCTGCTTGTTTTCCTCTGGGTTAATGGGATTCATCTCCTGGCCCCAGATCCTCACAGGCTGCCCCTGTCCCTCCAGCAATGCAGGACATGGCAGGTCACCCTGGAGGGAGGCATGTTCTGGTCTGGGTGTCAGGTGTGGCACCTCAGATTTTCCATGCATGCTGTGGGCTGAGCAGGACAGCAGATGACCCCGGGCCCCCACCCTGTCTATGGACATTTTTTGCTGCGGCAACTGTGGGAGCTGACAGTGTTCACAGCCACGCCACGGTCATCATCATAGTCAAGTCTTTCTAAGAGTTTCATTGTGACGAAGCCTCCTATTAAATGGCACCTCGGCCCTGCTTCCTGAGGGTTACTGCTGAGTCCCGGATTTCCCACAGAGGCGAAGAGAGGAGAGCAAAGGGAGGAAGAGGCAGATGAGCTGGGCCCTGCAGAAGGGGGTGCTTGGGTTGGGGTCTGTGGAGCAAAGATCTGGGCTCCTAGGGGCCACGCAGACAACCATCCTCCCTGTTCACACCTTGAAGATCCCAACAGGAGCCAGGTGGGGAGACTGTGAGGAGAGGGCCTGTGTCTTGTCTTCCTTGGGCCATGGGACAGGGTGGAGGTTGAGGGCGTCTTTCCCAGGGGATCACAGAACAGCACCTCTGCTGTGGGGGGCATCTAGCATGGGGGGCTGGGCTGTGGGGTGCAGGGCAGGAGGGGGCATGCATGGGAGGGGTGTGGCCCAGTCATTCCTGCATTCACAATCTTTCTTGTCCTGGGCACCTGCACTAGACCCTGGCCTGGAGGGGCGGCTTCCTAGCCTTCAGCATCCCTGGAGTCTGCTCTGACTCTGGACCTGGGGACAGGAGCCAGGCAGGAGGTCAGCAGCCTCCTAGGACAGCAGGAGGGCCCAGGCCAGTGCCTAGCAGACTTCCACGGGAGAGGGGTCCCAGGGGCGGGGAGATAATGATTTCTAGAAGGGTCTGTGTCTCTGAGTGTGCAAGTTTGTCCAAACTGTCCACCAGCTGTGATCAGGTAAACACAGGCAGACCTGAGTTCAGGTGGAGGAAACAGTTTTGTCATTAACTCTCTACCGACTCTAGGGGAATGAGCCAAGCTCCATTGTCGTCTGTGCAGAGGCCACAGCCTTGAAAAGGGAGGGGGTAGAGGGAGCAGGGAGGGTGCTCGGGGCTCAGTCGTCGGGGAAGGGAAAATTTGCCCAGTGCTGGTCAGCGTCCCTGGGATGGGGCCCGCTGTGTCCGTGCTGGCCACTGTTGAGGTCAGGATTCTGTCCTCCCAGAGCCTGGAGACACAGGCCCCATCCTTCCCAATGGGGACACTTCAGGGAGTGGCTCTCAGGTCCCGAGAAAGACCTTCCTGGCCACAGGAGACACACAGACATCAGGAAGGGACAGAGGAAGGATGTGCAGTTGCAGCCTTTTCAGCAGATGCTCTGAGAATGGGAGGTCAAGAGTTGGAGCAAACGGTCAGTTCTGGTGCATTGAGCTTTCTCAGGCAGGTGTTGATGGGGCTGGGGTCAGCCTAGGGGTGTGACCTGAAGCCACTGGAAGCCTTGCTGGGGTCTGGCTCTCTCTTGGTGCAGGGGGGTGGAGGGAGCCCTGACAATAGAGCACTGGGGGGCCTCCAGGAGACCATCCCTGCAGCAGCCGGGCCATGCTCTGAGGATGTGGGAAGAGGACCCCCACTGTCTCTGAGTATAGGGTGGTGACTTCTTTGCACAGACTGGCCAGGGGTCCCACAGGGGCACAGTACAGGTGTCCCTGGGCTGCAGGGCTGGGGGACATCAGAGCTGCTCTCTGGGCTTGGCAGCCACCTCAGGTGGGATCAGAAGGGGGGGCAGTGCCTGGTGCTTCCCCTCCAGGCCTCTCTCCATGGTGTCCAGGGTAGCTTCTGGGGCTTTGGTGCCAATTTCTGAGGCCAGGGTCCTACCCTTCCTGATGCCGTGATGCTTGGTGGCTCTGGAGGAAGCCCCAGCTTTGGCCACTCCTGCACTGCCTGGGGCTTCAGTCCTGCTGCGCCTTGAGGGGAACCCAGGGCCCCAGGCTTGGCCCTGTAAGGTCAGATGGGGGCTGGGCTCCAGCATCCTGCCGCTAGGTTTAGTTCCTAAATGACAGGGAGGCAGACTCTGGCTGAGCTCAAGACCTGTTCCCAGGCTCTGTGCCAGAGCAGGGTCCCCCAGCAGAGGCTGTGTGGAGCTGGGCAGGGTTCGCACTTTGTGGGGAGTTCCCTGGACCTGGAGACTCAACCCTCAGCCTCCTTGATGATGAATGATTCATCCTGTGACTGTCTTGGCCCAGACAATCAGGTGGCCTCCTCACCTACCCCTCTTCAGACAGGGCCTCAGACCTAAGGCAGGAGCACCCCCTACACCAGACCTCCTGGGTCACAGGAAATGCACAGACATCGGGAAGGGACGGAGGATGGACGGAGGAAGGACGTGCAGTTGCAGCTCTTTCTGCAGATGCCCTGAGAGAGGAGGTAGGAGCACGCTTGCTGTGGTTTGAATGCTTCTCTCCTCCAAAACTCATGTTGAAATTTCATTGCCATTGTAACAGTATGAAGAGTGATTAGGTCATAAGGTCCCCACCTCATGGGTGGGATTGGCGCTGTTATAAAAGGGTGAGTTCGGCCCCCTCTTGCTCTCTTTCTTGCCTTCTGCCATATGATGACACAGCAAGAAGGTCCTTGCCAGATGCTCCTGGACTTGCTTTGGACTTTCCCTTGCTCTTGGACTTGCTCTGGCACCTTGCTCTTGGACTTCACAGCCTCTAGAACTGTGAGAAATAAATTTCCGTTCAGTATAAACTTCCCAGTCTTGGGTGTTCTATTACAACATCACAAAACAGTCTAAGACAACCCCGTATTCAGACCTAAGGTGAGATAACCCCTACCCATATCTAAGGATCCCCTGCTCCAGATCTTAGTGGTGAGGTCAATACAGGACTCCCTCTGAGGGAAGCCCTGACAGCAGTGCCTGGGAAGGCATCTGTAGGGCCCAGTGGGCCGGGGAGGCCCAGGACACACCTACATCATCTCTCATAATCCCTCCATTCTGTTATAACAGGAGCATATGCTTATAGCATACTTTAAAAATCAGCCCAAAACTGAAGGTAAGCATCAGTTAATTGATGGACTCCTTTTCACGGTTTGGTCTTTGTATTTACACCACAGTCATCTCACAGTGTGTGTTGAGCTTTGCACCCTTTTATCAAATGAGGTCACCCCATGAATGCTGGCTGTCACGTTATCACAGATATGTGACAAGTATAATTGGGAATGTTTGCAGAATAGTCCCATTAATGTATGCACCATAATTTCTTCAGGCACTATCTTGCTTTCAACTATTTTATAATTATAAATAATGGTCTGAAGAATGTCTGTTCACAAAGTGTTTTCCTCATGTGTGCTAGCCACTTGTTTTCTTTTGGAAATTGTGTTATATCCTTTGCTGATTTCTTAAGGGATTTGTTCTTTTTCTTATTAGCTTATGTATGTTGTTTGCCTAATAATGGTACAAGACCTTTACATATTAGATTAATATTATTTGAGTTTATTATTTACTGTTAAGTTTTGATGATTTTTAAATGTAAAGAATCTGTAAAGGTGTTACCTAGCTTCATGATTTGGGTATGCGGTGAAGCCTGCCCAACTTTGGGCAGCTGTCTGGGCCTGTGTTTCCAGAGCTTGAAGGAGTCTCTGCTTCCCTCTGGAGGGCTGGTGTGATAGTGTTCTCTCTCCAGGCCTGGGTGCCCTCCTGGGTCTGGGCTTGGGCTGGGCTCTTAGATGTCTCAGAGGAATTGAGACTCTATTAATCAAGTGAGTCTTTCCATTTCTGGTGAGATGATCATGGGTCATCATTGGCCTGAGTGGTGGGATGAGCTATAAATAGTTCTTAATTCCCGGTGTAAGTCCTTGTTCAATGAGATGGACAGAATTTGGCCTTCTAGGATGTCATTTATAACATTTGGCTCTTTGCCAAAATGCAAGTAACCCATGTTTTACTCTGGGGACTGTGGAGTGTGATCCCGTTCATAGACTTTTCCATGTTTCTCCAAATCCTGGAGCAGTTCTTATGGGAACTGATTAGTTTTGTGAAAGTCTAAACTTCACCCATAAAGCCATCTTGGCCTGAAGTCATCTGTGAGGGCAATTATTTAATAATCTTAATGCTTTCTTGAGGATTATTGTTCCAACTACGATTTCCATTTCTTCTTGAGTCAGTTTTAAGTTTTATTGCTAGAAAAGAAAAATGCCAACTTGCCGTCATCTCTGCCGTCACTATTTTGTGTTCAACAATTGCCTTCTGTATCTGCTGTGTCTTCCCCAGCACAGAAGCTGTAATGTTATTAAACAAAGCAATGTATCCAGATCACTCAGAATCTATGCCTGTCACGGGGAGCAGGAGATGAGGGTGAATGAAGAGCCAGAGCATGGCAGGGGAGCCACTGCAAGGATGCTGAAACTCATGTGAACAGAGTTGCTGTAGGCAGGCCACCATGGAACCTTGCGGGGGAAGCACTGCCTCTTAGGAATGGCAGTGAAAATGGGAGAAGAGGGTGGTATTGCCTCCAGATAGAAGATGCAGTGCTTTGCCTTGCTCCTTGGTGCATGGAGAGGGAAAGGGATGCTGCTATAAAGTTCCTGGCTGGACTTTGGCTTGATAAGGCATGGGTACCTTTGGGAGTATGAGGGCGGGTGGGTTTGTGCACATCTTCCACGAGGAGCTGTTAGTATTGGGGCAGACGTTTCAAGTATGGCAAACAAAGGATGTTCTGCATGGGGAAATGTGGTGACATCCATTTCACAAGGACAGCTCACATAGATTGAGTGCTCAGGAAGGACCAGCATCATACCCAGTGCCTGATGTGTATCATCTCAATTAGTCCTTGCCTCAAATGCAAAAGGAAGCCATTGCCATCTTCATCACCACCATCATCATCATCCTCCTGTGCAGATGGAAAAGCTGAGGCATAGAGAGGTGACGGAGTCTGCCCAAGACTGCAAGCCTGCTGGTGGCAGAGCCAGATTCCAATGGAATGAAGGTTGTCATCCTCAGATGGCAGGGTAGGCAAGTGGCTAGAGCTCACTTGGGAGAAGGGGAAAGGACACTGACATTGGCTAGGGATGGAGCAGGGCTTGGGCTGGCTTTCCATGCACGGGCAGTGGGCCTGGCTCATGGCTGTGCTCCAGCCCCTGGTGTGGACATTGAATCTTCCAGGTCTACCCTAGGCTATGGGTTTGGACAGCACTGTGATGGAAAGAAGACGCTCTATGTCCTGCAGTCTGTGACCAATGATGTGACTGTGGGAATGGCGCTGGCATCTGGCTGCCACTCTGGGACGGGTGGCCAGCTGCCATCAGGCCCTGGGATGGGACCACCATACGACTTCTTCCCTCGCTCCTCCAGGTCATGTCCACAGCCCAGGAGGACCAGCAAAGCCTCTCAAGCCGATGGCAGCTCACGTTCTGCCTTGTCAGCTACTCCTCTCCTGGGCAACATTGGCTGCTTGCTGTGGCTCTCCCTGGGGTACGTGACTGCCTCTGTGCTGGGCGCCTGGCCTGGGCTTTCCTTCTGGGCCTGGGCAGCTGGGCTCAGCTTGGACCCAGGCAGCAGCCACAGAGGGGCCCATGGAGGTGACAGAGTTGCTTCTATGATGGTGAACGGGCAGCTGTGACACGGGGGAGGCGACCACTCCTTAGTTTCCAAGTGCTGCGGTCAGGGCCAGGGCCAGCAAAGTCCCTCCCATATTCAAAGAGTGGGTTTGGGTTTGTCCCAGGAGGACATAGTCAGGAGCCCATGCTGGGACATGCCTCCTCCAAAGTTCAGCCTGGACCCCAGCCTCTGCCAACGGCCCCGCTCCTTAGCTAACCCAGCTTACTCCTGGGTTCCACGGCAGAGTCAGATGTTTCTGGGTACTTTCACCTTTGTGCCTTAAAGCATGTTGAGGACTTTAAGGAATTGTGGAGAAATAGGGCTGTGCCAAAGGCAAGTGACAACCGGGAACAATGATCCCACAGAGGCTGCTGAGGCCTGGGCCCCAGGGGCGTGAGTTCATCCTTCTGCCTGGGCTTTGGTGAGAGGGGCAGACTCTGTGGTCTGAGACACAAAAAAACCCCAAAACATACTTGTGTACAGACACACAGCAGAGGCACACACACACTTGGGCCCATGCACACACTCACAGGAGGCTCGTGGACTCCGCACAGTGAAGAAACTCCTCCGGTCGACAGTGGAAGGTGCTGCAGCAGGGACCCACCCCCAAGCCCTGCCTGCCTCCCATTGCCCACCTGGCCCTGGCTTGATGGGCTCATCTCATGCTGTGGCTGGGGCCTCTTGCTTCCTGCAACCCCTTGCTGGCCTGGGGCCTGGGCCTCTCCGGGGCTGTGCCTAGGGTTTGTAACCCAGGGCCTGTGCTGGCGTGCACAGAGCATCTCTCCCTGGGAGGCTCAGGGCTGCCTCCTCGAGTTCTGTGGGCCTGCACCGGCTGGTGAGCCTGTGGTGTGCATTTTTGGGCTGTATCCTTCTACTTCCTGAGTCCAGGGGTCCCAGGTACCCTGCAGCTGTCTCCTCAGCCACCCTGTGGGGCCCCGAGACCTTGCCCTCACTTCAGTGCCCGGGTGCTCCAGCTCTGCCCAGGTGCCAGGCGAAGGTGTGAGCATGAGCCTATCGGACACACCTGGCAATGTATACCGGGTGTCCCACCCCTGCCACCACGGGGCCTCCCAATACGGCAACCGCCAAGGACCTGTGGGGACCAATGAGGAAAGAGAGACGCAGGTCTGGGCCAGGCTCACAGGGACTCCGCCATAGCAGACCCTGCCCCAGCAGGCCCCCTTGTCCTTCCTGGGCCCTGGTCCTTCATGAGGAACTAGCCCATCCCTGGTGGGGCTCCCACCCCACTTCTAGTGGGCTCCATGCTTGTCTTGTCAGAGTCACCCCTCAGGCAGTGGCAGGATCCTCTCCTTTAGACCCACTGTGCCTTCCGGGCCTCCTGGGCTTCTGCTGGGGACAGAAGAAATGCCTCCCCAGGTCTGTCTCTGGAGGCTCTGAGGGAGATGGGCTTGGGGGCTCTAGGAGGAGGCAGGGATTCCAGGGTGTTAGGAAGGCAGGGGTGCAAGGTCCCACCCAGTGAAGTAACAAGCCGTGGGTGGTGACAGTGACCCAGCGCCCTCGCTGCCCAGCCCTGCCTGTCCCCAGCCAGCACTGCAGGGAACCCAGTGAAGTAACAAACCGTGGGTGGTGACAGTGACCCAGTGCCCTCACTGCCCAACCCTGCCTGTCCTCAGCCAGTGCTGCAGGGATCCCAGGCCCAGACTCTGCAGGCCTTCACTGATCCTGGCCACCCAGAAAGGCTGCAGCCTGCGGGCACCAGCCGGGCCACATGCCCAGTGCCAGCTAGGGCCCACCGCCCATCCTTCACACAGGGCTGCTGGGTAGGTGCCCCTCACACCCCCAGGATGTCAGTGCTCACCTCGAGCAAAGTGCCCCAGCTTGGCCTTGGGAGGCGGTCATGTCCCGGGGCATGATGGAGAGCTGTCCAACTGAGAGAGAGGGAGGGAGGGAAGGAGGGAGGGAAAGAGACAGAGAGAGAGAGAGAGAGAGAGGAGGTGTGGGCTCTAAGGCTGCCTTAGTGGAGTTGTGCGTGGCCTGCACCTCACCAAGCCTAGCCACTCTCACCGCTCTGAGTGGCTCACAGGCTTGTGAGGGCCCCGTCGCTGCCTGCTGGGTCCCCACCAGGGCTCCCTCTAGGAATGCGCCATGGCTGCTATGACAATTTGCACAGCCCAGTGGCTTAAACACCACACATTTATACCACAGGTCCAGATGAATCCTACAGGGCCAAGGTCTAGGTGTGCTGGAGGCCATGCTCCCTCCAGGCTTGCGGGGAGAACTTCCCTGCCTCTTCTAGTCTCTGCATCCCTGAGCTCTCGGCTCCTCCTCCGTCTTCAGGGCCAGGGCGTAGCATCTGCTCTCTCAGCCTCTGCCTCTGCTTCCGACCTCATCTGGCTTCTGTCTATGTCAGTCTCCCTCTGCCATCCTCCTAGAAGGACACCTGTGATTATATTAGGGCTCACCTCTTTAATCCAGGAGCACCTCTCCACTTCATGATTTTCAGCTAACTTCCTTCTGCAAAGACCCCCTTTCCCTATAAGGGCACACATTCACTGGTCCCGGGGCTAAGGACCTTGCTCCAAGTCCCTCCACCCATGATGTTGTGCCTTCCAGAAACCTGTCCTCTGCAGTTCGGTCTTGACCCCAAGCCTGCTGGTGACCTGAACATCACAGGGTTATCCCCTTGGGCCGTGTGCAGCATGATGCAATTTCTTGGCCTGAATGTCATGCTCCCTGGGGCAGGACCTTGAGCCTGCAGCACACACTAGGCCACCTGCAGCCTCACAGGCCATGCCCTGGGTAGACAGGGAGGTGCTCAACCCCAGCTCGGGTCCTCTAGTCTGCCTGGCTACCATGCTTCTCATTCTCCTGCATCTGCAGACCCTGGGTTGCCATGTGAGGCAGGGGTGGGGTGGGGCTGAGGGCGTGGCTTTGGTCCCTGGCTGTCCGGATGAAGCACCAGAGTGATGACACAGCCCATCCCGGTGACATGCTCACCCCCAACCCCCATGTCCGGGACCCCGGTCTTGTGTGGTCCCTGATGTGGAGTCCTCAGTCCTTAAGATACATCCAGAAAGTCCTGGCCATGAATTGGGGGTGCAGAGTCCTGCAGAGCCGCTGGGCTGGGCTGGTGCCCCCAGGAGATGGAGGGTCTGGTGGATGCCCTCCTCCCTCAGAGCTGGGGCAGCTGCCTCCCAGGGGTGGGACCGTGGGCTCAGAGAGAGGCCCTTGAGCTGCAGCTCAGGGGAGTGTGAGGCTTCATGGAGTGTGTCCTGGTCCATGTGGTCCACGTGTCTCCATCTCCAAGGAGAGGCTCCTCAGTGTGCATCCCCATATCCGTCCTCTCTGCCGGCCCCCGGCATCTGAGCAGTCATTCCCTGTCAGCACCTCTGCAGCCTGCTGGGCCTCAGGTTCGCTGTGAGGGACCTCCCCGGCCTTCCGCGGAGGTGGAGTAAGCTCCGTCAAGGCAGGTGGCTTCGTCCCTTCCTGTGAGTGACACCAGTGATGAAATGGACCCCTCCACACAGGCATCCTCAGGGCACAGGGCCCTGGGGGCACCTTCCTCCTTTCTTATTTGTTGAGAAAAAAAAGTGGCATTGGGCTCACACCAGGATGCTGGTGCAGAGCTGACATGCTCGGGAAAGGTCAGAGGTCACTGGGGGTGGGAAGGTCATCCAGTCCAGACTCAGCACCTTGTGGGCTGGTAAACTGAGGCTCAAAGTGCTGGTGCCAGGCCTAAGGCCTCGCGGTGACTGCTGTCTCTGGTTCCCAGCACCTGCCTGAGACCTGCCCCAGGCACCCATAACCTGGAATTCCGTTTCCTTGTCCAGGGCCTGAGGAAATGGCTCCCCAGGTCTGTCTCTGGAGGCTCTGAGGGAGACGGGCTTGGAGGCTCTAGGAGGAGGCAGGGATTCCAGGGTGTCAGGAAGGCAGGGGTGCCAGGTCCCACCCAGTGAAATAACAAACCGTGGGTGGCATTTCGGCCTCCCTGCCTTCCCCACTGGGTGTGCTGGTGCTGGTGCTGCTGGGTCAGGGCTGCCCGTGACCCCAGACACCACTGTCCGTCCTGTGAGGCTCCTGTCTGGGCATGTCCTGGGTGGATTCCTCCTTTCTGTTAAGTAGCTACATGAGGCAGGGGCTCCTGGATCCAAAAAAAATGACAGGAATTCCAGAGCCAGGTGCATCCACTCAGGACAGCCAGTGTTCGTGGAGCTGCCTCTCCACAAGTGAAAGTCAGCCCGCCCCTCTCATGAGAAAAGAACCTGTGGATACCTCTCAGCCTCCAGCGTTGCAAGTGCAAGGCCAGTGGAGTTAATCTGCAACGTGCATGAGGGCATGTGTCAGTGGCTGTGTGCAGGAGCGTGAGTGAGCAAGAGTGAGAGTGCATGGCTCCTGCTGTACCTCAAAGTGTGGGCTCCTGGTGGCTGCTCAGCGTTCCCAGGGGTGAGAGGCCTCATGCATCCTAGGCTGTCTATATATAGACACAGATTTTCTTCTCTGTGGTCTGGAGCGCCGCCTGGTGGTCTTGTGCTTCCCTGCAGGGAGGTTTGTGTCTGGGCTCACACTGAGGTACCCATTCTGTCTCCCACGGGAATGTGTGGCCCTGCCCTTGGCCATCACGGAGCTCAGCTGCAGGGATAACTGGGCCTTGGATGTGTCTCTGCAGATGGACAGTTGGCCCAGAAGGGTGGGCTGAAGTGTGTGCTGCCCCTGGAGCTGAGGTGCCCCAGTGCCTTCCCAGAGTGCTGCTGGGTCCAGGCCCAGAGGTCTGTGAGGACCTCACCAGCCCTGGGCATGACTCTAGTAGCTGCACTTGATGCAGGACACTCAGGGCCAAGAAGCAAAGACATGAGTCGCAAACGGACACCACAGCCCACAGCCCCAGTTCTGAAATCTCTGAGACACTCACATGGAAGTATAGCCATCAGGCAGAGGACGACGCAGAGAGATCTCATGTTTTCCTCAACAAGGGGCACGACTTTCCCAGTGGCCTCTCCAGGACAGAACAAGAAAAAATAACTGGCTCTCTCTAGCCTGAGGTTGCATTTCGCCGAGTCTCTGGGATGGAAATGTGTCTTGTGTCTTCAGGAGTCTGCAGGGCAGCCGCTGCTGTGACTCAGGTAGAAACTTCTCTCCCCTGATGTCCTGGCCCCTTGTTATCCCTGCCACGGTGGAATCAGACTGGGCACCGCTTTCGGGAGAAACGGAGGACATGGAGTGACGGCTGGGTAGTGGAGACTATTGAAAGGAGTCAAAACTCTCCAGGGGAAGAGACGCCTCCAGGAACCCTTGGCATTGTTTTCTTCACTTCGCAGGAGTAGGAAGGAGCTGAGAGTCTAGAGAGAGCCTCAGATGCACAACCCTAATTTGGCATATCAGGGAGCAATCTCATCAGCCCAGGAGAAGGCCCAGGAGAAGGGTCAGCTCTTTGTGCCTCTGCAGAGAAGCGGCAGGGACTGGGAGGGCTTTTTCCCTGCCCAGCAGGTGGTGCTGCCTCCTTGTTCCCTGCTTGGCACAGCCTCGGGGTGCAGCTGCTGGCTTTCCCAGGGCCTGTGGAGAGCGTCTTCTTGGTACTTCCTTAACGTCAAATAAAGTGAACGCCTTCTCAATGCACATCTTAATTCATCATTGGAAAGGCCAAAACACACACACACACACACACCCCTATATTTTTTTCTGACAAGAGCTAGAGACAATTGATAAGTATGTTATCTGACTATAGCTCACCTTAAGGAGGAAAAAACTATTAAGAAATTTCTTAAGTGTAAATTGTGCCTAATCATGTGTAAATTAGTAACAGAAGCAAAAAATAATAACTGCAGTCAACTTATACACTTTAAAAGAATACTCTGTGAAACAATGACATGTTATCAAAAAAGGGATACTTAATTTGTTATGTGTGGTGACGGTCAATGAGCAGACTTGTGTTCTTGCTGGAGAAGTCACAGCATCCCCACAGGTGGACTTCCTGCAGCAATCTTGCATGCCTCACACTTCTGTCCAAAGCACGTAAGGGAGGAGCTCAGTGCGCACAGGAACCTGACGCCTGCCACCCAAGGGATGCGTGAGCTTCCGTATAAGCAGAAGAAGATGGAAACTTCAGCACCTGCAACAGAAGAGGCTTTCTGCTTTGGGGACCCAAACAGTTCCATCTATGGTGGAGGTGTAGGCTCATTCCTACATCAACGTCAACAAGCCATTGAACACAACAACATTTAGGAGTAGTCGAGCCCACCTTCTCCAATGTGGCCTGCACAGCCCAGGCTGCAGGGTGGGAGAGGTTGATTCTGGAGAAAAGTCATTCCTGCTCCCCTGGTACACTCTCCTCCCCCACTGCTTCATACAGAGACCAATGTGATGATGCCATCATGATGTTGAAGCACACACTGAACCCTGTAATCAATTAAAGGGTTTTCCCATCCACCCATCCACACACACATCCACCCATCCACTCACCCATCCATCCATCCATCACTTATCCATGCATCCATCCACCCACCCAGCCATGCATTCATCCAGCCATCCCACAATCCACCCACCCACCCACACATCCAAACATCCATCCACTAATTCATGCATCTGTCCACCCATCCAGCCATCTGTTAGCAGGAGCGAATCCATACAGGTCTGCAGCAACTTGATTCTTGCCTCCTTGGAGGAAAGAATTTGGCCAAGGGGCATGCAGAAGAGTGAGAGACCCAAGCAAGTTTTAGAGCAGGAGTAAATGTTTATTAAAGTTTTAGAGTGGGAACGAAAGGAAGTAAAGTACACTTGGAAGATGGCTAAGTGGGTGACTTGAGAGATCTAAGTGCTCTGCCTGGCCCTTGACTTGGGGTTTTATACATTGGCATGGTTCTGGGATTTGTATTTCTTCTCCCTTGATTTTTCCCTTGGGGTGGGATGTCCACATGTACAGTGGCCTGCCAGTGCTTCGGAGGGGCCGCGTACACAATGGGTTTAATGAAATGTGCACATGCTCATTTGAGGTGTTTTTCTCTTACTTTTAGAGTGTTCCTAGAGGAAGATTATGTGCCAGTTAAACTCTGCCACTTTGCCTCTTAGTGCATATGCTTGAGCCCACTCATCCAACTCCTGAGATCTTATCGGGAAGCTGCTGATGACCAGTTTCGGGTGTTTTCTATCTATTGGGAGACTGCCTTTTCTTGGTGCCCGCTGAGATCAATTATTATTATTTATTATTATTATTATTATTTGAGACAGGGCTTTGCTCTACCACCAGGCTGGAGTGTGGTGGCGCAATCTCAGCTCACTGCAGCCTCTGCCTCCCAGGTTCAAGCAATTCTCCTGCCTCAGCCTCCCGAGTAGCTGGAACTATAGATGCACGCCACCACGCCCAGCTAATTTTTGTATTTTTAGTAAAGACAGGGTTTCGCCATGTTGGCCAGGATGGTTTCGATCTCTTGACCTTGTGATCCACCCGCCTCAGCCTCCCAAAGTGTTGGTATTACAGGCGTGAGCCACCATGTCCAGCCGAGACCAATTATTATTTTAGAGAGGCAGTTTAACAATCACTTGACTATCAGCTCATGCCTGCCTAACTACCCACTCTAATACATCCATCCCTTCACATACCCATTCATCCATCCATCCATCCATCCAACCATCCACTCACTTATCTATCCAAGTACTCATCCATGCATGTAGCCACCCACCTACCCACTCATTCATCCACCCACCCATGCATCCATCAACCTACCCATCCACCCATACATGCATCCATCTATCTTTCCACTCTTCCATCCACACACCTACTCAGCCATTCATCCATCCATCCATCCATCCATCCATCCATCCACTAATCCATGGTTGGGTCCATCTGTCTGTGCGGCAAACATGCAAGGATAAGTTCCATGTGACAAGTCTGAACTCAGTGTTGGAATCATGGGAGGGGCAAGGTGGAACAGGCTGGCTTCCTCACCACTATTAACACTGTGGGGAGAAGGCCGATGGCAAACTCACTTCCATGTTAAGTTTCCTGAAAGAGGAAGGGGAGTGTAATGCTAGAGAGTAATGGAAGCTCCCACTGTTGACACAGAGGTAATAAATGCCTGTCTGATGAGCTAAGACCTGCAGGAACAGAAACAGCCACATGAAAACAAGGCAGGAAAGAGGCCTATGGCAGAAGAGCAGCTGCTGAAAGTTCCCTTAGGTTGGGCAAAACTGCTATGTTTTGAGGAACTTAGAACAGTCCAAGGGCAAGCTACCGCCCTGTGTTTCTCCTCTTCCCCCGTGTCTGTCTGTGTTCCACAGTGATTGTGCAAACTCTAAATACATTGATGACTCACCATTGCCTTTATGTTAGAATAAACAAAACAGAAAACAAATCCCTGATGACCCCACAGGTTGCCCTCTTTCACTTTGTATCTCTCATTTCTGCCTCTCTCTCTCTCTCTCTGTCTCCCTTCATCTGGCCCATCTCTCTGTATATCTTTTTGTCTTATTATTTCAACAAAGTCTCTTAGGGTCCATCTACTGTGCTGGAAACTTTCTTCTCACCAACCATTGTAAGTTGGAGAATGTTTTCTCCACCTTATTACAAAATGTTATAGCTAATTCTCTTACTGCAGAATAATCTTTAATATGGGTGCCCTGTTTTTAGAATTTAAAATTAGTATCAATTGCCATTTTTTCACAATTACAATTAGTATTTTACAAATGAGTTTTGTAACAGGGCAGGGCATTAATGAATTAAATTACTCTGTAATAGGAATGAGAAATTTTATTTTAATATTTTTGAGACAGAGTCTTACTTTGTCTCTCAGGCTGGAGTGCGGTGATGTGATCTTAGCTCACTGCAACCTACACCTCTTGGGTTCAAACGATTATCCTGCCTCAGCCCCCCAAGTAGCTCGGACTACAGGTGCACGCCACCATGCCCAGCTAATTTTTGTATTTTTGGTAGAGACAGGGTTTCACCATGTTGGCCAGGCTGGTTTTGAACTTCTGACCTCAGGTGATCCACCTGCCTCAGCCTTCCAAAGTGCCGGGATACAGGCATGAGCCATCATACCCAGCCAAGAAATTTTATTTTTAATGGACCCTCTTAGATAGTTATTAATAATGGCAGTATCAAAATACATGCAATTATGCATATGGAAGTAGCTTTTTTCCTGCAAACTCAAGAATATTTCAAATCATCTTCTCTTTATTCTTTTGAATTACATGTGTGAGAAACAGATTATAAGTATTTCATGTCATTTTCCCAGACATCACTATAAGCATCAAGTAACTATTCACATGTGTGCCAGCGATTTATCATCATACTCATGAGGGTTTTCTATTTCTAGAAGTTGCCCATTTTTTGATCTCTTCTTTGCTTTTTCCTTCTTGTAAATGTTGGACTTCTTAATTCTTTTCTAATGCTGCAGATCCTCCTAGGGAAGGATTCTCTACAGTACTACATGTGTTAGAATGTTGGGTGAAAAATTATACATGGTTTAAATAATGAATGAGCCCCAAAAAAAGAGCTGGATGTTGCCAGGTGCTAGGAATAGACAAAATTAAAAAGGGCATTTGAATTGAGAATGAAACCTGAATGCCCCTTGCATTTCTGAGGTAGGTTTAACATACACAGGACAGGAGCAGCCTTGTGTGACTTCTGGGACTGGAGCTGAGGTTTCTGCTTTAGTAGAGAGGTTTTTTTTTTAATAATTAGTTTCTCTTTTGATTGACACATAAAAATGACCTATATTTATTCTGTACAGCATAATGTTTTGTAACATGTCTACATAGGGGAGTGGCTCCACTGAGCTAATTAACATCTGTATCACTCACATACTCCCCATACGGCTAGAGAGGTTCTAAGTTGGCTTCAGCCATGACGTCAGGTGAGAAACATTCCCCATGAAGAGCAGCCCTGGACATGGTAGAAAAGCAAACCCCAAGCCCTCGCTGTTCACAAAGTGGTCCTAGTGTCTCACCCACCATCTGGAGCTGCAACACTGAGCTAGGAAATCACCGCCGTGGAGTGCCACTGGCAGCGCACAGGTCCCAGCAGCCCGGAATAAGGCGCCATCCACAGATGCCTGCTCCCGGCGGACCACAGCTCCTGTGGTGAGGTCTCATACATAGAAACCATGTGATGAGCATGGGAAAAGCCTGTTATGGCATTCTGAAGGCCACAAAGAGGGAGGTAAACCTCTAGAGATGACAGATACTTCAAGTTACTTTCTGATTTTTCTAAAATTATAAAATAGATCAACAAAAAGCTAGAGAAGAATGAATAATTCAAGAACAGATTTTAAGAAAGAAGAACTTTCTGATGTGTGAAAGTACCCAATATGCATTATCATAATTGTAGGCATTGAGCTCTCAATGAAAGAATGACCTCACACTTGACACTCAGAAGGGGATAAATAATGTTGGACAGATTGCCAAAGTGCTCTAGGAAGAAAATAATCCATCTTTAATTTTACAATACCACTCTTTCTACAATGATAGCAAAAAAAAATCCAGATACAAATGGCAGGAAAGTGGAGCATACAGTTTCTTGCTGAAGCTGCTGTTGATGAATGTGCTTCACTTGCACGATCTCAGCTGTGCATAGTGTGTGGCCAGTGGGGAGCAGTGCTTGTGGGTGGCTGAATAATGCATCCCCCAAATGTTTACATTCAAACTCCCAGAACATGTGGATTTGTGACCTCATATGGCACGAGGAACTTTGTAGATGTGATTAAATTAATCTCGAGAGGGGAGAATATGACCCTGCATTTTCTGGGTGGGTATGACATAATCACAAGGGTGCTTATAAGTGGAAGCAGGAGAGCCAGAGTCAGGGGAAGGGTGATGTGATGATGGACACAGAAATGAGAGGATGGCCTTTGAAGATGGAAGAAGGGGACACAGAGCAAGGAATATGGGTTCTAGAATCTGGAAAAGGCATGAAAACAGAATCTCCCTCCCAGGGTTCAGAAGGAACCAGCTCTGCCAACACTTTGCCTATAGACTAATAAAACCGCAGGACAACCAAGAAACTGCTCTTTCTTACATAGAACACAGTCAGTATGCTCACATGACATGGGTGGGTTTGAGAGTTAAAGGAGACTGCAAGGCCTCTGGGTGAAACAGGGCAGGAATCAGGTGGAGCAAGAGGGTGGGTGGGCAGGACCTGATTTTCAGGAGTGTAAATGTGAGGCACTGATGAGATTTCCAGGTGGAGACAGAGGGAGGAGTTATGTGTTCAGGTCTAGAGTGGAGCTGGTAGCTTGGTCTGGGCCTGAGAAAGGAGGGCATCCTCTAGGGATTGAGAGTAGGAAAAAGGAAGAGTGGATTAGTGCTAAGAACTAAGTGGGAGATTTCTGGAGGTTTCAGCTCACAGAGCCAGCAATGGCTTATGGTTGGGGTTTGTAACCCCAGTCACTGAAAGTGTCCTCCCAGCCTTTCTTTGCATATGCCCCTGGGGCTGAGTTCCTGCGTTGGGTGGTCACTTACCATTCCCTAAGAGGCCCTAAGCACCTCCTGCAGCCCAGCAACTCCTGGACCCTCTGGAGAGGAAGTTTGTGTTTGTGTTTGCTTATGGAGCCCGGCTGCAGAGAAAACAAGTTTTGTTTTTTTTTTTTTCGAAAGGATCTCACTCTGCCTGCCACCCACACTGAAGTGAGGTGGTGCCATCATAGCTCAGTGCAACCTCAACCTCCTGGCCTCAAGCCACCCTCCCACCTTGGCCTCCCAAAGTGTTGCATTTACAGGTGTGTGCCAAGGTGCCCAGTCAAAAACGGGTTCTTGGCTGGGCACTGTGGCTCAAGCCTGTAATCCCAGCACCTTGGGGGTCAAGGTGGGTGGATCACTTGAGCCCAGGATTTGAGACCAGTCTGAGCAACAGACTGTGACATGACCATTTAGCCTATGCAAATGTGGGGCTGGTTAAATGGTCTATGTGGGGCTGTCGCCTTGTCTTTGCATCTGTCACTGAGGCCAGAAGTCAGCAGGGCATACATTTCGGAAGGAAAGACAGTGGGCAAGCTGAGGTGGACAGAGGCATCCACAGGGATGGGTTGGGACACATGAAGGCAGGTGAAACCATGTTGTCTCTCACACCCTTTCAAGGGTCTCAGAGACTTGATTTAGAATTTAGATTTTTGAGAACATTTGTTATAGATGCTAAAAGGCTCAAAATATTTGATCAAAACAGAATCACAGGCCATTGTAAAATGATAGTTACTAATTTAACCAAAGTGGTAATTAAAAAGACTTTGGAGGTGAGTCAAGATGGCTGACTAGATGCAGCCAGGAGGAACATCTGCCATGGAGGGAGTGAGACATCAGGAAGACTGGTGCTTTCCAAGCAGATCTTTAAAGGGAAGGCATTGAGAGTGGACTGAGAGATGCCGGGCTGAAGGTGGAGGAAGATGGGAACCCTGCATGGGGATGCCGAGCACCAGGACTCATTCCTGGCTCCCAGCAACTCCTGGGGAAAGGTTGAGTTGAACAGGTGAGGAGTGGCCTGCTGTTGCCATGGGCCTCCAGAATCCTAGCAGCAGGAGACCCCATGACCCCCATGGACACTTGTGCTGGCAGGGACAGCTGCTTAGAGGGATACCAAGGGTAGGACTCCAGTCTGTGTAAAGCCCAGAGTGTTTGACATGAGAATGGCTGTAGTGGAGCACAGCCAGGTGACACCCATCCCCCAAGGCTCACCAACCTCCTCTAGGAGATTTTAACCTTAGAGTGACTATTGGAGCTGAATATAGCAGGGTGGTCTTGTCCATGGGACAGGGTCCATCTGAAATGAGCATTTCCTTGCCTTCTGGCCTCTCCTGGGGCCCCAGGCTGGCTGTGCCTGCTTGCAGTACAGCCTTGGAAGCCCAACCAGGGTGTTTCCTGGGGGCCCTCATCATAGCTCCTTTGCCAGCAGACCATGCCTAACCATTGGGGACCTCCAGCAAGCCAGCCTCTGCTGATGTGCACCAGTCCACCCATAGCACCTCCCAACTGCTTTGCTGGCATGAGTGCACAGCGGATCACAACTCCCTCTACCACCAGCAAGCATGTGCATGTGCACCCCGCCACCCTGTCCCTGCCAACACACAGGCACCTCACTGTCCTGTGACTGCCAGCAGGAACCTATGTAGGGATGCTGCCACCCTGCTCCTGCCAGTACCCCCACCCCAGCAGAGGCATGTGCACCCTGCCATGACACCACAACTGCTGGCACCTATGAGTGAGAATGGATCCCACTGCCACCACTCTAATGAAGTGCTTTGGCCGGCACCACCTACTATAGTGTTGTGGCCAGTGGACTGGGAAAAACTCAGCCCCTCCAATGCAGCAAGTTTCTAAACTCAAGGGGCCAGAGAATAAAGCCAGGGGCCCAGTCCCAGAGCAGAGAACACACCACAAGAGTGCTGAGGTCAGCCTGGACCCCCTAAGATTTTCAAGAAACACAGCTAACTGAACCCACTTTATACCACAATCAAACCTGCAAGAGTATCAAAGAAGATAAGAGCAAAAAACAAACAAATGAACAAACAAACAAAAACACACACCAAAAAACAACAAAAAAGAAAAAAACATCCAAAGGACAGCCACTTCAAAGATTAAAGAAACAGCCCACAAAGATGAGAAAGAATTAATGCAAGAAACTCTGCAACTCTAAAATCCAGAGTGTCTTCTTACCTCCAAACGACCACACTGGTTTCCCAGCAATGGTTCTTAACCTGACTGAAATGGCTGAAATGACAGACATAGAATTCAGAATATGGATAGGAAAGAAGATAACTGAGATTCAGGAGAATGTTGAAACCCAATCCAAGGGAGCTAAGAAATAAAGTAAAATGATACAGAAGCTGAAAGATGAAGTGGCCATTTTAAGAAAGAATCAAAATGATTTGATAGAGCTAAAAAACTCACTTCAAGAATTTCAGAATACAACTACAAGTATTAACCGCAGAATAGACCAAGCTGAGGAAAGAATCACAGAGCTTAAAAACTGATTCTCTGAATTAACTCAGTCAGACAAAAATAAAGGAAAAGAGAACAAAAAAGAAGGCATAAAACCTCAGAGAAATGGGTGATTATGTAAAAAGATCAGACCTATGACACATTGGTATCCCTTAAAAAGAGAAAGAGAAACAAAGCAACTTGAAAAACATTTCAGGCTATCCTCCATGAAAATTTCTCCAACCTCACCAGAGAGGCCAACATTCAAATTCAAGAAATGCAAAGAACCTCTGCAAGATATTATACATGACAACCATCCCTAAGACATATAGCCATCAGACTCTTAAAGGTTGAAAGGAAAAAAAAAATGTTAGAGGCAGCTAGAAAGAAGGTTCAGGTCGCATACAAAGGGAACCCAATGAGGCTAACAGTGGATGTTTCACCAGAAACTGTACAATCCAGAAGAGATTAGGGGCCTATATTCAGCATTCTTAAAGAAAAGAAATTCCAAGCAAGAATTTCATATCTAGCCAAACTAAGCTTCACAAGTGAAGGAGAAATAAGATCCTTTTCAGACAAGCAAATGCTAAGGGTATTCATCACCACTATATTTCCCTTACAAGAGGTCCTTAAGGGATTGCTAAATATGATAATGGAAGAATGTTACTGACCACCACAAAAACACACTTAAGTACATAACGATTGCCACTATAAATCAACTATACAATCAAATCTGCATATTGAGCAGCTAACAACATGATAACAGGATGAAATATGCACATATCAATATTAATCTTGAATGTAAATGGACTAAATGCCCCAATTAAAGGGCACAGAATTGCCAAGTTGGATAAAGAAGCAAGACCCAAATGTATGCTGTCTTCAAGAGACCCATCTCACATGCAGTGACATCCACAGGCTCAAAGTAAAAGGATGGAGAAAAATCAACAAAGCAAATGGAAAACAGGAAAAAGCAGGTGTTTCTTTTTTTTTAATTTTTTTATTATACTTTAAGTTTTAGGGTACATGTGCACAACGTGCAGGTTTGTTACATATGTATATATGTGCCATGTTTGTGTGCTACACCCATTAACTCATCATTTAACATTAGGTATATCTCCTAATGCTATCCCTCCCCCCTCCCCCCACCCCACAACAGGCCCCGGTGTATGATGTTCCCCTTCCTGTGTCCAAGTGTTCTCATTATTCAATTCCCACCAATGAGTGAGAACATGTGGTGTTTGCTTTTTGTCCTTGCGATAGTTTGGTGAGAATGATGGTTTCCAGCTTCATCCATGTCCCTACAAAGGACATGAACTCATCCTTTTTTATGGCTGTGTAGTATTCCATGGTGTATATGTGCCACAGTTTCTTAATCCAGTCTATCATTGTTGGACATATGGGTTGGTTCCAAGTCTTTGCTATTGTGAATAGTGCCGCAATAAACATATGTGTGCATGTGTCTTTATAGCAGCATGTTTTATAATCCTTTGGGTATATACCCAGTAATGGGATGGCTGGGTCAAATGGTATTTCTAGTTCTAGATCCCTGAGGAATCGCCACACTGACTTCCACAATGGTTGAACTAGTTTACAGTCCCACCAACAGTGTAAAAGTGTTCCTATTTCTACACATCTTCTCCAGCACCTGTTGTTTCCTGACTTTTAAATGATTGCCATTCTAACTGGTGTGAGATGGTATCTCATTGCGGTTTTGATTTGCATTTCTCTGATGGCTAGTGATGATGAGCATTTTTTCATGTGTCTTTTGGCTGCATAAATGTCTTCTTTTGAGAAGTGTCTATTCATATCCTTTGCCCACTTTTAATGGGGTTGTTCGTTTTTCTTGTAAATTTGTTTGAGTTCATTGTAGATTCTGGATATTAGCCCTTTGTCAGATGAGTAGATTGCAAAAATTTTCTCCCATTCTGTAGGTTGCCTGTTTACTCTGATGGTAGTTTCTTTTGCTGTGCAGAAGCTCTTTAGTTTAATTAGATCCCATTTGTCAATTTTGGCTTTGGTTGTCATTGCTTTTGGTGTTTTAGACATGAAGTCCTTGCCCATGCCTATGTCCTGAATGATAATGCCTAGGTTTTCTTCTAGGGTTTTCATGGTTTTAGGCCTAACATTTAAGTCTTTAATCCATCTTGAATTAATTTTTGTATAAGGTGTAAGGAAGGGATCCAGTTTCAGCTTTCTACATATGGCTAGCCTGTTTTCCCAGCACCATTTATTAAATAGCTAATCATTTCCCCATTTCTTATTTTTGTCAGGTTTGTCAAAAATCAGATAGTTGTAGATATGCGGCATTATTTCTGAGGGCTCTGTTCTGTTCCATTGGTCTATATCTCTGTTTTGGTACCAGTACCATGCTGTTTTGGTTACTGTAGCTTTGTAGTATAGTTTGAAGTCAGGTAGCTTGATGCCTCCAGCTTTGTTCTTTTGGCTTAGGATTGACTTGGCAATGCGGGCTCTTTTTGGGCTCCATATGAACTTTAAAATAATTTTTTCCAATTCTGTGAAGAAAGTCATTGGTAGCTTGATGGGGATGGCAATGAATCTATAAATTACATTGGGCAGTATGGCCATTTTCAGGATATTGATCCTTCCTACCCATAATCATGGAATGTTTTTCCATTTGTTTGTATCCTCTTATTTCATTGAGCAGTGGTTTGTAGTTCTCCTTGAAGAGGTCCTTCACGTCCCTTGTAAGTTGGATTCCAAGGTATTTTATTCTCTTTGAAGCAATTGTGAATGGGAGTTCACTCCTGATTTGGCTTTCTGTTTTTCTGTTATTGGGTTATAGAAATGCTTGTGATTTTTGCACATTGATTTTGTATCCTGAGACTTTGCTGAAGTTGCTTATCAGCTTAAGGAGATTTTGGGCTGAGACGATGGGGTTTTCTAGATATACAATCATGTCATCTGCAAACAGCGACAATTTGACTTCCTCTTTTCCTAATTGAATACCCTTTATTTCCTTCTCCTGTTTCATTGCCCTGGCCAGAACTTCCAACACTATGTTGAATAGGAGTGGTGAGAGAGGGTGTCGCTGTGTTGTGCCAGCTTTCAAAGGGAATGCTTGTAGTTTTTGCCCATTCAGTATGATATTGGCTGTGGGTTTGTCATAGATAGCTGTTATTATTTTGAGATACATCCCATCAACACCTAATTTATTGAGAGTTTTTAGCATGAAGCGTTGTTGAATTTTGTCAAAGGCCTTTTCTGCATCTATTGAGATATCATGTGTTTTTTGTTGTTGGTTCTGTTTATACGCTGGATTACGTTTATTGATTTGTGTATGTTGAACCAGCCTTGCATCCCAGGGATGAAGCCCACTTGATCATGGTGGATAAGCTTTTTGATGTGCTGCTGGATTCAGTTTGCCAGTATTTTATTGAGGATTTTTGCATCTATGTTCATCAGGGTTATTCGTCTAAAATTCTCTTTTTTTTGTTGTGTCTCTGCCAGGCTTTGGTATCAGGATGATGCTGGCCTCATAAAATGAGTTAGGGAGGATTCCCTCTTTTTCTATTGATTGGAATAGTTTCAGAAGGAGTGGTACCAGCTCCTCCTTGTACCTCTGGTAGAATTCGGCTGTGAATCCATCTGGTCCTGGACTTTTTTTGGTTGGTAAGCTATTAATTACTGCCTCAATTTCAGAGCCTGTTATTGGTCTATTCAGAGATTCAACTTCTTCCTGGTTTAGTCTTGGGATGGTGAATGTGTCGAGGAATTTATCCATTTCTTCCATATTTTCTAGTTTATTTGCATAGAGGTGTTTATAGTATTCTCTGATGGTAGTTTGTATTTCTGTGGGATCAGTGGTGATATCCCCTTTATCATTTTTTATTGCATCTATTTAATTCTTCTCTCTTTTCTTCTTTATTAGTCTTGCTAGTGGTCTATCAATTTTGTTGATCTTTTAAAGAAAACCAACTCCTGGATTCATTGATTTTTTGAAGGGTGTTTTGTGTCTCTGTTTCTTTCAGTTCTGCTCTGATCTTAGTTATTTCTTGCCTTCTTCGGGCTTTTGAATGTGTTTGCTCTTGCTTCTGTAGCTCTTTTAATTGTGATGTTAGGGTGTCAATTTTAGATCTTTCCTGCTTTCTCTTGTGGGCATTTAGTGCTATAAATTTCCCTCTACACACTGCTTTGAATGTGTCCCAGATATTCTAGTATGTTGTGTCTTTGTTCTCATTGGTTTCAAAGAACATCTTTATTTCTGCCTTCATTTCGTTGTGTACCCAGTAGTCATTCAGGAGCAGGTTGTTCAGTTTCCATGTAGTTGAGCCGTTTTGAGTGAGTTTCTTAATCCTGAGTTCTAGTTTGATTGCACTGTGGTCTGAGAGACAGTTTGTTATAATTTCTATTCTTTTACATTTGCTGAGGAGTGCTTTACTTCCAACTATGTGGTCAATTTTGGAATAGGTGTGGTGTGGTGCTGAAAAGAATGTATATTCTGTTGATTTGGCGTGGAGAGTTCTGTAGATGTCTATTAGGTCTGCTTGGTGCAGAGCCGAGTTCAGTTCCTGGATATCCTTGTTAACTTTCTGTCTCGTTGATCTGTCTAATGTTGACAGTGGGGTGTTAAAGTCTCCTATGATTATTGTGTGGGAGTCTAAGTCTCTTTGTAGATCTCTAAGGACTTGCTTTATGAATCTGGGCGCTCCTGTATTGGGTGCATATATATTTAGGATAGTTAGCTCTTCTTGTTGAATTTATCCCTTTACCATTATGTAATGGTCTTCCTTGTCTCTTTTGATCTTTGTTGGTTTGAAGTCTGTTTTATCAGAGACTAGGATTGCATCTCCTGCCTATTTTTGTTTTCCATTTGCTTGGTAGATCTTCCTCCATCCCTTTATTTTGAGCCTATGTGTGTCTCTGCATGTGAGATCGGTCTCCTGAAAACAGCACGCTGATGGGTCTTGACTCTTTATCCAATTTGCCAGTCTGTGTCTTTTAATTGGAGCATTTAGCCCATTTACATTTAACGTTAATATTGTTATGTGTGAATTTGATCCTGTCATTATGATGTTAGTTGGTCATTTGGCTCATTAGTTGATGCAGTTTCTTCCTAGCCTTGGTGGTCTTTACAATTTGGCATGTTTTTGCAGTGGCTGGTACAAGTTGTTCCTTTCCACTTTTAGTGCTTCCTTCAGGAGCTCCTGTAGGGCAGGCCTGGTGATGACAAAGTGTATCAGCATTTGTTTGTCTGTAAAGGATTTTATTTCTCCTTCACTTATGAAGCTTAGTTTGGCTGGATATGAAATTCTGGGTTGAAATTTCTTTTCTTTAAGAATGTTGGATATTGGCCCCCATTCTCTTCTGGCTTGTAGAGTTTCTGCTGAGAGATCAGCTATTAGTCTGATGGGCCTCCCTTTGTGGGTAACCCAACCTTTCTCTCTGGCTGCCCTTAATATTTTTTTTTCATTTCAACTTTGGTGAATCTGACAATTATGTGTCTTGGAGTTGCTCTTCTCGAGGAGTATCTTTGTGACATTCTCTGTATTTCCTGAATTTGAATGTTGGCCTGTCTTGCTAGGTTGGGGAAGTTCTCCTGGATAATATCCTGCAGAGTGTTTTCCAAATTGGTTCCATTCTCCCTGTCACTTTCAGGTACACCAATCAGACATAGATTTGGTCTTTTCACATAGTCTGATATTTCTTGGAGGGTTTGTTTCTTTCTTTTTACTCTTTTTTCTCTAAACTTCTCTTCTCCCTTCATTTCTTTCATTTGATCTTCAATCACTGATACCCTTTCTTCCAGTTGATCGAATCAGCTACTGAAGCTTGTGCATTCATCACGTAGTTCTCGTGCCATGGTTTTCAGCTCCATCAGGTCATTTAAGGACTTCTCTACACTGGTTATTCTAGTTAGCTATTCATCTGATCTTTTTTCAAGGTTTTTAGCTTCTTTGCAATGGGTTCCAACTTCCTCCTTTAGCTCGGAGTAGTTTGATCATCTGAAGCCTTCTTCTCTCAACTCGTCAAAGTCTTTCTCCATCCAGCTTTGTTCCATTGCTGGCGAGGAGCTGCGTTCCTTTGGAGGGGGAAAGGCACTTTGATTTTTAGAATTTTCAGCTTTTCTGCTCTGTTTTTCCCCCATCTTTGTGGTTTTATCTACCTTTGGTCTTTGATGATGGTGACGTACAGATGGGGTTTTCATGTGGATGTCCTTTCTGTTTGTTAGTTTTCCTTCTAACAGTCAGGACCCTCAGCTGCAGGTCTGTTGGAGTTTGCTGGAGGTCTACTGCAGACCCTATTTTGCTGGGTATCAGCAGCAGAGGCTGCAGAACAGCGAGTATTGCTGAACAGCAAATGTTGCTGCCTGATAATTCCTCTGGAAGCTTCATCTCAGAGAGGCACCCGGCCGTGTGAGGTGTCAGTCTGCCCCTACTGGAGGGTGCCTCCCAGTTAGGCTACTTGGGTGTCAGGGACCCACTTGAGGAGACAGTCTGTCCATTCTCAGATCTCAAAGTCCATGTGGGAGAACCACTACTCTCTTCAAAGCTGTCAGACAGGGACCTTTAAGTCTGCAGAGGTTTCTGCTGCCTTTTGTTCAGCTATGCCCTGCCCCCAGAGGTGGAGTCTACAGAGGCAGACAGGCCTCCTTGAGCTGCAGTGGACTCCACCCAGTTTGAGCTTCTGGGCCACTTTGTTTACCTACTCAAGCCTCAGCAATGATGGGCACCCCTCCCCCAGCCTCGCTGCCACCTTGCAGTTTGATCTCAGACTGCTGTGCTAGCAATGAGCGAGGCTCTGTGGGTGTGGGACCCTCCAAGACAGGCATGGCATATAATCTCCTGGTGTGCCGTTTGCTAAGACCATTGGAAAAGTGCAGTATTAGGGTGGGAGTGACTGGATTTTCCAGGTGCCATCCATCACCACTTCCCTTGGCTAGGAACGGGAATTCCCTGACCCCTTGCACTTCCTGGGTTAGGCAATGCCTCACCCTGCTTCAGCTCACTCTTGGTGGTCTGCACACACTGTCCTGCCCCCACTGTCCAACAAGCCCCCATGAGATGAACCCAGAACCTCAGTTGGAAATGCAGAAATCACCCGTCTTCTGCATAGCTCATGCTGGGAGCTGCAGACTGGAGCTGTTCCTATTCAGCCATCTTGGAACTGCCCCCTCATAGATTCTTGATATTAGACCTTTGTCACATGCTGATGTGGTTTTGCTCTGTGTCATTAAACAAATCTCATCTCAAATAGTAATCCTCGGCCGGGCGCGGTGGCTCACGCCTGTAATCCCGGCACTTTGGGAGGCCGAGGCGGGCGGATCACGAGGTCAGGAGATCGAGACCATCCCAGCTAAAATGGTGAAACCCCGTCTCTACTAAAAATACAAAAAATTAGCCGGGCGTACTGGCGGGCGCCTGTAGTCCCAGCTACTTGGGAGGCTGAGGCAGGAGAATGGCGTGAACCCGGGAGGCGGAGCTTGCAGTGAGCCGAGATCCCACCACTGCACTCCAGCCTGGGTGACAGAGTGAGACTCCATCTCAAAAAAAAAAAAAAAAAAAAAAAAAATAGTAATCCTCATGTGTCAAGGGATGGACCTGGTGGGAGGTGACTTGGTCATGGGGGTGATTTCCCCCATGCTGTCCTCATGGTCTCCTGATAGTGAGTGAGTGCTCATGTGATCTGATGGTTTTATCAATGTATGGTGGTTCCTCCTTCATTCCCTCTCTCTCTCTTTCTCTCTCTCTCTCTGTCTCTCACCTGCTGCCATGTGTCACATGCCTGCTTCCACTTCCACCATGATTGCAAGTTTCCTGAGCCCCCAACCCTAACCACACAGAACTGTGAGTCAATTAAACCTCTTTTCTTTACAAATTACCCACTTTTGGGCAGTTCTTTATAGCACTGTGAAAACAGACTAATATAGTAAATTGGTACCAGGAGTGGGGAACTGTTATAAAGATAACTGAAAATCTGGAAGCAACTTTGGAACTGGGTACCTCCTGACAGAGGTTGGAACAGTTTGGAGAACTTGAAAGAAGAGGGGAAGATGTGGGAAAGTTTGGAACTTCCTAGAGACTTATTGAGTGGTTTTGACTAAAATGCTGATAGTGACATGAACAGCGAAGTCCAAGCTGAGCTGGTCTTAGATGGTGAGGACTAAACTCTGATTTTTTTTTTATCTTGCCCAAATTCCTATCTAAAGAGTCTGGGGAGGCATGCTCTACAAATCATAAATTCTCATCAGATAGGTTTTATTTAAACCTATATATCATGATTTACTTTCCAAACTGACTCTGGCATAACATTATGAGACAAATAAGAAAATCAAAATATTTTACCCCAAAACATGTTTCTTTGCCATACTCTGAGATGGCCCTGCAGGCTGGGCATGGTGGCTCATGCCTGTAATCCCAGCACTTTGAGAGGCTGAGGTGGGCGGATCACCTGAGGTTGGGAGTTCGAGACCAGCCTCACCAACATGGAGAAACCCTGTGTCTACTAAAAATACAGAATTAGCCGGGTGTGGTGGTGCATGCCTGTAATCGTAGCTACTCAGGAGACTGAGGCAGGAGAATTGCTTGAACCCAGGCAGTGGAGGTTGTGGTGAGACAAGATCGTGCCATTGTACTCCAGCCTGGGCAACAAGAGCAAAACTCCGTCTAAAAAGAAAGAAAGAAAGAAGGAAGGAAGGAAGGAAGGAAGGAAGGAAGGAAGGAAGGAAAGAAAGGGCCCTGCAAAGCTGTTCTTTGTGGGGGAAAATTTGCATCTGTAAAGAATCTCTATTAACATGGCTAGATCTTTTTCTTCTAGAACCTCCCAATCCTAAAGAGTTGAACTAAGATCTGAATAGGAAACATTTGTCACCTATTATCTCTAAGGGCAGCCACTATAAGACTTCAAAAGAACTTTGGACTCTAGAATCTTTATCTTAACCTGAACATTACCTTTCTATCTATCCCAGGTCTTTAGACAAACTCAACCAATTGTCAACCAGAAAATGTTTAAATTCACCAATAGCCTGGAAGCCCTCGCTTTGAGTTGTTCCACCTTTCTGGACCAAACCAATGTATCTCTTAAATGTATTTGATTGATGTCTCATGCCTGTATAAAACCAAGCTTGATGGAATTTTTCCCTGCCCTAGAAATCTGTGGAACTTTGCCCTTGAGAGAGATGATCTGAAATAGGAACTTATGTTTAAAAGGGAAACAGAGCATAAAAGTTTGGAAAGTTTGCAGCCTGGCCATGTGGTAGTAAAGAAAAACACATTTGCTAGGGAGAAATTCAAGTTGGCTGCAGAAATTTGCATAAATAATGAAGAGATGAATATTAATAACCAAGACAATGGGGAAAATGTTTCCAGGCCATGTCAGAGATCTTTGCAGCAGCCCTTCCAATCACAGGCCTGGAGGCCTATCAGGGAAAAATGGTTTCATGGGCTGGGTCCAGGGCCCAGCTGCTCTTTGGAGCCTTGGGACTTGGTGCCCTGTGTCCCAGCTGCTCCAGGTCTAGCTGTGGCTAAAAAAGTCCAATGTACAGCTCAGGCCATTGCTTCAGAAAGCCCCAATCATTGGTGGCTTCTACATGATGTTGGGCCTATGGGTGTGCAGAAGAGAAGAGTTCAGCTTTGTGATCCTCTGCCTAGATCTCAGAGGATTTATAGAAATGACTGGATGTCCAGCCAGAAGTCTGTGCCAGGGGCAAAGCCCTCATGGAGAGCCTCTGCTAGGGCAGTGCAGAAGGGAAATGTGGGGTTGGAACCCCCACACAGAGTCCCCACCGGAGACAGTGACTAATGGGGCTGTGAGAAGAGGGCCACCATCCTTCAGACCCCAGAATGGTAGATCTATTAACAGCTTGCACTGTGCACCTGGAAAAGCTGCAGGCACTCAATGAGAGCAGCCAGGAGGGCTGAACTCTGCAAAGCCCATGAGAGCAGCCATGGGATCAGAGCTGCAAAGCCACAGGGTGAGAGCTTCCCAAGGTTGTGGGAGCCCCCACTTTGCATAAGCATGCCCTGAATGTGAGGAATGGAGTCAAAGGAGATTATTTTGAAGCTTTAAGATTTCATGACTGCCCCACTGGAGTTTGGGCTTGCATGTGACCTGTAGCCCCTTTATTCTGGCCCATTTCTCCCAACTGAAATGGGAGCATGTATCTAATGCCTGTACCCCCATTTTGTCTTGGAAATAACTGACTTGTTTTTCATTTTACAGGTTCATAGATGAAAGGGACTTGCCTTGTCTCCAATGTGACTTTGGATTTGGACTTTTGAGTTAATGCTGAAATGAGTTAAGATGTTGGGGGACTGTTGGGAAGGCACGATTGGTTTTGAAATGCAAAGAGGACATGAGATTTGGGAGGGGTTGGGGTGGCGTGATCTGGTTTGGCTGTGGGTCTCTACCCA
Organism: Homo sapiens; assembly: GCF_000001405.40. Classification (NCBI taxonomy): domain Eukaryota; kingdom Metazoa; phylum Chordata; class Mammalia; order Primates; family Hominidae; genus Homo; species Homo sapiens. The sequence continues at coordinate 266,069 of NW_021160017.1, forward strand.
AATGACACCATTCCTCAGGGTGATCAGCGAGCTACCTGATGGCAGGTTGGATTATATTGGACCTCTTCCATCCTGGAAAGGGCAGAGGTTTGTCCTCACTGAAATAGACACTTACTGCAGATATGCATGCAATGCTTCTGCCAAGACTACCATCTGTGGAGTCATGGAATGCCTTATCCACTGTCACAGTATTCCATATAGCATTGCCTCTGACCAAGGCACTCCCTTTACGGCTAAAGAAGTGTGGCAGTGGGCTCATGCTCATGGGATTCACTTGTCTTACCATGTTCCCCATCATCCTGAAGCAGCTGGATTGATAGAAGAATGGAATGGCCTTTCAAAATCACAATTACAATGCCAACTAGGCTCCAATACTTTGCAGAGCTGGGGCAAAGCTATCCAAAAGGCCATGTATGCTCCAAATTAGCATCCAACATATGGTACTGTTTCTCCCATAGCCATAATTCATGGATCCAGGAATCAAGGGGTGGGAGTGGAAATGGCACCATTCACCATCACCCCTAGTGATCCCCTAGCAAAATTTTTGCTTCCTGGTCCCATGATATTACATTCTGTTGGCCTAGAGGTCTTAATTCCAGTGGGAATAATGCTGCCATCAGGAGAAACAACAACAATTCCATTAAACTGGAAGTTAAGATTTCCACCTGGCCACTTTGGGCCACTCCTACCTTCAAGTCCACAGGCTAAGAAGGGAGTTACAGTGTTGACTGGGCTGATTGACCTGAACTATCAAGATGCAATCAGTCTATTACTCCACAATGGAGGTAAGGAAGAATATGTATGGAATACAGGAGATCCATTAGGGCATCTCTTAACATTACCCTGCCCTGTCATTAAGGTCAATGGGAAACTACAACAGCCCAATCCAGGCAGGACTACAAATGGCCCAGACCCTTCAGGAATGAAGGTTTGCATCACTCCACTAGGAGAAAAAACTCTACCTGCTGTGATGCTTGCTGAAGGCAAAGGGAATACAGAATGGGTAGTAGAAGAAGTAGTCATCAATACCAGCTACAACCACGTGATCTGTTGCAGAAATGAGGACTGTAATTGTCATCAGTATTTCCTTCTTCTTTTGTTAAAAACATGTTTGTGCATGTACACACTTGTACTAAGAAAATTCCTTCATTTTATTTCTTTTTTCCTTTATCATGTGACATAAAATTTATTGACTTCATATCAGCATTTAAGTGTTCTTAACTTTACATAATAGCACTTGGGTTGGGGATTGGTGCATTTCTGGTTGTACAAAAGATAGTTGTATTACATTAGGTGTAATTATGACCTTATTATTGTCTTTATTTGAAGATTATGTATGATCTCAGGAGATTCGTATGGGTTCAAGTTGACAAGGGTTGGACTTGTGATGGTTAATACTGAGTGTCAACTTGATTGGATTGAAGCATGCAAAGTATTGATCCTGGGTGTGTCTGTGAGGGTGTTGCCAAAGGAGATTAACATTTGAGCCAGTGAGCTGGGAAAGGCAGACCTACCCTTAATCTTGGTGGGCACCATCTAATCAGCTGCCAGTGTGGCCAGGGTATAAAGCAGGCAGAAAACATGAAAAGACTAGACTGGCTTAGCCTCCCAGCCTACATCTTTCTCCTGTGCTGGATGCTTCCTGCCCTCGAACATCAGACTTCAAATTCTTCAGCTTTGGGATTCGGACTGGCTTCCTTGCTCCTCAGCTTGCAGGTGGCCTACTGTGGGACCTTGCAGTTGTGTGAGTTTAATACTCCTCAATAAACTCCTACATATATATAATATATAATACATATTATATATTATATATATACATACTAGGGTTCTCTAGAGGGACAGCACTAGATATATATATATATATAGTTTCCATAGTCTGTGGTGTAAACTATGTGAAATGGACTTTACAACCTCCTGAAGGGTAACACCCAGACTGTCACCTGAACTCCCTGAAATCCTGTGCCCTGGGGATTGGAGAAACCTTAAAACCAAAGCCAGTGTTAAGTTAGCTCAGTCTTTGATTAAACATGGCAATCTCCCTATACTTGGCTTCCAGGGGTGGGTGAGGGAGAATTCCTGCCTGGAACAAGGTCGCATTACAAAGAATCTTCACAATGCTCATGAGACATCTTGGACCTTCCATCAGAAGCATTCAGGATGGCAGGAGACTGGACATGATGAGCAAACATGGGGAGAGGAGGAAGGAAACAGAGAATGGAAGGAGGTGACAGCTGACAAGGCCTTGTGTTCCCAGATGCTGAGTGTGAAATGAAGCGTTTATGATGAAGGAAACAGAACAGATGTACGGTACAATATTAAATATAAAACAGTAAATTACAGCAGGTGGCTTCACAGCAGCTTAGACACAGCAGAAGAGAAGAGGATGGAATTGGAAGATCGATGCTCAGGACGGATGCAGAGTGAAGCCGAGGACCCGGCAAAGAGGATTTGGGAGTTGCAGGCTCTGGCAGAGGACCCACCCCAGAAAGAGAGAAGGAGGGGGTGGGAGGAAGAAGGAATGTTTGAAAGTGCTCCATAGAGAACCAGGACAGCCCCTTGGGCCAAGCAACCCACGACCCTTGCAGCTTCAGAAGTCCAGACTCCAGCCTGGCCTCACATGCTGGTTGGTCTTATCCCTGCCAGGCCAGAACCCTCTTCAGAACCCAGAGCCCCCACAGCTCTCCCTCACCCTATTCCCAGGACATGTCTCCTGTGTACTCTTCCCTGGCCCACAGGTGGGAGTTTACACCTGCTTGGGTAGCCTCGGCATCCACACCAACAACCCGGTAGCAGTTGTCCTGCTCCCTCCACCTGGCACAGCTCGAATCTCCCACAGTGCAGGCCCCGTGTATAGGAGTGATTAGGACACACAGGAGGGCAGGTCAGGACAACAGGTGCTGAGGCAGGCAGATTTCGAGGATTTAAGTGCTGATGCTCTTGGAAGACCATTTCCATGGGGTTAATTGTGGTTTTTCTTGGTGAACTGTTGGCTTGTTTTTGATATTGTTGTTGCTCTAAATAGTGTTTACCTGGCTTCAATACAAACTCTATTGGTCATGTTCTTTGTTAAAATATGTATCATTCTAAAAGTTCACATGGCATTAGATTTTTTGCTCAAACTACCTATAATATTTCTCCAACAGAGTGCACATTTGCCTTCCTTCTGCACATACCACCGCCCCCTGCGCTGAGCAGTGTCCCAGTGGGTCCATCTGTTTAGGGGGTGAGGAAGGGGACACAGGCCCTGACACAATGTGGGGCTGTGCCAAGCTTGGTGGTCTTGCACGGGCACTGAGTGGGTGGGCCCTGGAGAGAGGGGAGGTCATTCCCCCAGGGAACCCCCCAGGCCACAGGGAAGAGGTCAGCTGGGTGCATGAGGTGGAGGGTGGAGATGCATAAAGGGTGGGACGGGGCCTGCTGTTCTATCAGCAAAACCCCTCACACCCGAAGGACACACAGGGCGAGGGCATTGTATTCACTGACCTCACACTTCACTGTCCATTAGCGTTCACCCACAAAATAATAGAACACCCTGAGAGAGGCACAGGAATGCATTACTCGCATTTTTATGACAGCTGAATGGAGGAAATTTCTAAGCAGGTTCAGAGAAAGGATATCAAGCTGTGTTTGGAGAAAGGGGTGGGAATTCTAAACAATATCTGTGGAAGCAGGACATCTAGAACCACAGATGTATTCAGAAAAATGCTAGATCTCAGTACTACTCTAGAATACCAGCAGTTTTCTGTTGATGGTATGGGAAGGGTGATATCTTCCGTTGGTGGGCTTTGCCTTTGACATTCTCTGTGACATATCTACACTGCATTTTAAACGTCAATATTATTGTGAATTGTAAGTTAAAATAAAATGTTATCTCATTCAGTTATTTATACATTTAACTTCCATTTTCCTTTACAACAACTTAGCGACACACCTAGCCCTGTTTTCCACCCAGACCAGCCTGTGCTGCTACAAGCCTGGTTTCTCTTCCTCATCATGACTTACTCAGCTTCCCTTCCTGTTTCAGTTCAAGAAAATGTGGGGGCAAGAAGAAAGGGGGCAGCTGCCACTCACAGAGCTCACACTAAATGACAGACAGCTTGCCCTCACGTCTACCTATTTTTCTAGTTGAATTTCATTGCTTGCAGCAATCAACCTGAGGGATTCATTTTCCCACATACGGGAAGCTCGGCCCCAGGTAGGGGGATTTGCTTGGTGGGGGATTTGAACCCAAGTCCCTCTCACTGCAAAGCCCACAGCACCCCTGTAAGGAACAGACAGGGAACAGGGAGTAGCCCTGGATCACCCTAAACTGACTTCGGGTTTAGAGAAGGACTGATTACCTGGGGAATGAGGAAGCTTATTGCTCTGGAGCTCTCTTCTGGAGAAATGTCATGAACGTGCCCTGTAAGGAGCTGGTGGCAACTTCCGTTAATTCCGGGACCAGCGACCTCAGGTCAAGAGCCAGATGCTCATTCATGTCTCTCCAGGCCAGAGGTTCTGGCCAAGTTTGGGCTCCCAGAGGAGTCTAAGAAAATGTGGAAGGCACCAATGTGTGTTTTTGAAGATTTATTTCAGAGTGAACATCAGCGACCTACAAGAACCTGGGATAGAAGCCAATGCCTCCCCTTTCCCTGTGACGTGAGACAGGACCATGTGCCTCCTGTTGACTTCAAGAAATGTGGACTTGAGCTTTGCCATCCCTTCGCCTGATCCTATTTCATAGATTTTGCTGTTATATTCTCTGTATCTTTACAGGGATCGGGAGGCTGAATTAGTCTTATTCAGGGTTAGTAACTGTCTCTTCCTAACCGGTGGTGGTCCTGATAAGTTTGCACATTTGTGGCTGTCCCAAAGAGCAGTGCAATTATGAAGGTGTAAATACGACCAAAGACCACTCTCAGATACATCTCTGATTGTTGGCTTTGTCTGAGAGAACATGTTCTTTTTGGAGGTGGCCCGCTGTCGACACTCCCACCAGCACCTCTTCTTAGGCACAGTGGAGGATCCCAGCCTATATGGCAATGGCAGTTCCTTCTGTTGTTGCAGACCCCTCTATGACTGCACTTCTCAAGGCGACAGTCGTAGCCCAGTGAAGTGATAGTTGCATTGCACCGGGTGTTATTACAGAAGTTTCCATGAACACAAGGAGTGCCATCTATCACACGCCCAACCTCAGTCATGTCTGTTGCATGGTGTTCATCCAGTCTAAAACACTGAAACCCTCCTCTCACTGAGTGATGGAATGAAACATGTTCCTGCAGCTGGGGAAGATGGGTCACATTGGTACACTGCAGTCCTCCACAAAACTTATCTATTCCTGTACAAGCCTGGTAGCTGAGATATGTTTGTTGTCTAATACAATGTCCAAATCGGTAGCTTTCAAGATTTATGTCATAGCAGACCTCAGGAGCATCCTCAGCACTGACACCAAACATCGCCTTGCAGAGCACATTGCGGTCAGTGCAGTTCCCATGATAACAGTAGCCTTCTTCCATGCACAGGGTTCCATCTTGCATATAAAAGTTTGCTGGGCATGTCACGGTGGTCCCGTGACAGTACTCTGGAAGGTCACATATATTTTGGATAGGTCTGCAGAGAGTCCCTGGTGGGGAGAAGCTGAAGTTTGTACAGCACTCTCCTATATGACAGGTGCTCCCCGGTGTTAAGTGACAGTCACTTTGGCAGCAATAACTGGCATAACACTGCTTGAAGGAGCCACAGTCACATTCCTCCCTCCCCTCCACTATGAGGTTTCCACAGCGAACCATTGTCATGGTTTCGTTATACACAGGAGAAAGTGTTTTGAAAACACACCGGCCTGGACGTATAAAACAATTTCGTGCATGTCCATAAGAACAGTTACTGAATGCATCTGTCATCCCAGGAAATCTCTGCATAATGCAGGAGGCCCTTCTTTAACATGTGCAGTAGTTATCATCATACTCCAGACCAATACTTCTCATCTGTGTCTGGGTTATTATGATGGCTACCAATAAATAATGTCTGCCTAGAGTACCAATGTGTAATAGGCCTAAATGTGTACAGAAGCTATACCTTTCAGGTTCATAGTTGGATTCATGTGGTGCGTCTTTAATAAGTAGTGTGGATGAATGAACATGAAAAGTATCAGAAAAGGTTGTTTTAAAATAGGTAAACATTGCACTCTGAATTCGATATTGATTCACAGGGGCTGGGTCACGATTATTATATATGGTCAAAAGATAAATGTAGTACCACAGATCAATATTTTGAACAATGCTGTCAATGAGACTGAACATCTGGACCACCTCTTTGGAACAGGTGGTAATATTGCCATATATATGATAATATGAATTGGAACATTGAACGTGGCCTTTTATATTGCCTCTATGAGAACTATACAGCGAATTAGATATCCTGGGATTCATGCTGTTATTTGCTTCAGAGAACAGGGGGTCTGTCTCCTCATTGTCACCATCTCTAAATGTGGGCACCGTTGCATTGGGCTCAGCCACTATCTGAGAAACAACATGTTCAAACCTGCGGGAATCCTGGAGGGGTTTGATTTCGTAGGCAAGGTCGTCCAGCTTCATGATGCCTCTGAGGCCCCCATAGCACGTGTCGATGGTGACCATGGACTGAGGCACCTCCTCCAGGTAGCCGAGGTAGTAGCAGTCTGGTGGAATGTAGGGGCCATCCATCGGCAAGGCTCCTTGGTCATCCTGAGTTGTCACCAGCAGATGTCTGGGCCAAAGAAGGTGTTTCCTCCGCATGTGAATGACGTGTCTTTGACCCCCAAAACGCAGGCTGTGGGACAGCCAGCCGGGAAACTGAAGGCCTTTGCCGTGGTGCGTCTCCTTCCTGGGAATCACCACCTCGGAGGAGGCGTAGTGCCACAAGGGACGGCCTTGAGAACACCGGACTGGAGCCAGGAGCGCCCAGAGCCCCAGCAGCAAGAGGGGGGCCCTAAGGGTGACCCGCACCTCTGCCTGCCTCATGTCCCAGCCCAGCAATAATTACCCAACGACAATGGGAAAGGAAAGGACTGTCCTCGGTGAAGCCAGGCCCCAACCAGCTGCGGTGGCTGCGTCCCTCCCAGGGAGACCCTGACAGAGAACAAAGGGCCTCCCCAGGCTCCCGCACCACACCGCGGGGCACCTGGACTCTGGGAGGGAATGAGGTAACAGTCCCAGGGAGGGGCAGGAGGTGGGTCTGGACAGGACGGCAGCTGCTGCACTGCGGGATGAGGCTGAGGGTCACGGCTGTGAGGGCTCATTGGGAAGGGAAAAGGGAGAGGGAAGCAGGGCTGTCTCTTTTACCACCGTCAATCTTTTCTGTTGCTTTCTGAATCTACAAAATGCAATGATGTGTGTTCAATGCCCTCGCATCACCCGTGTTATTCTCGGTCACTCTGTGGGTTAATATGCTCCTTTCTGTGGCTTACACTGCTTACTCCTTTGTCATGTGGAGGTGGGCACTGCCAATATTTTCCTTGGGGACTGAATGTTTTTCTACTCTTAATAAGTACCCATGTCTTATTCTTTTTGTTGTTGTATTGTTTTGTTGTGGCTTTGAAGTTTTGTTTGAAGTTACCAGATTGTGAAAGGAAAATATCTTGGGCCCCATCAAGCTGAGAACCACTCAGGGCAAATCTGCCTCCCAGTCTATTTAAAGTTGTCCCTCTGCTCACAGAGACAGATGAATATTCTCATGACCTCCTTTGCGAACACTTATCAGAAACTCAAAAGAATGCAACCATCTGTCTCTCACCTACCTGTGACCTGGAAGCCCTAAGTGGGGAGGACTTGCTTTGAGTTGTCTCAGCCTTTCTGGATGGAACTAGTGTCCTTCTTACTTATATTGATTGATGTCTCATGTGTCCCTGAAATGCCTAAATCAAGATGTGCCCGACCACCTTGAATCCACAGTTCCTGGATTCACAAGATCAACAGTTGATATAGGGTAACTTTTTCTTCTGTGCTATGTAAAACCCTTGTGAATTATGATACTTTTTACTTAGTCCATCTATTGGGAGCAGACACTATTCCTGACCCCATGAGAGCCCCAGGTGCTGTCCCTCCGATGCTTCTGTGTGGTTCTCTCCTGGTCTTTGGTCATTTCTTCAGATGCAGGAGCTGATCAGCTCTCAGGGAAGGACAGAGGGGGCCCTCTCCGGGTGTCTCATGTCTGAGAACTAACGTTTCACATATTTCTGCTGATTCTGTCATTGCTTATGAGGGGAGGGAAAATCCAATGCCAGATCATAATCAGAAACACAAATTACTGTTTCCTCAAAAGTGTAAATATTTCCCTTTCCTGGCGAATGTGGTCACTCCATTTAAACTTAACATGACCATAGTGTGTTTCGAAGGCTGCGTTGTGTGGCACTTTGTGTTCCAATGCCCCGTACTCCCATCTTCCACCGCTTCAAATCCTGCCTTTTTACCACAAATGTACGATTACTAATGAAGCTGGTTTCCCCTCTACGAGCGTGCAGGTTGGACGCCCTTTCCCTACCCCTTTAGGGTTTTCACAGGGAGCAGAAGGAAAATATTTGACATCCCTGAAGGAGGCTGCTAGGGTAGACTGTGTCCCTCCTAAATTTTTGTGCTGAAGTCCCAACCCTTGGTCCTTCAGAATGAAATCATACTTGGATCAGTGTCTTTTAAAGAGGTGAATAAGTTAAAGTGAGATTCCTGGAGTGGGGCCCTAATGCAATCTGACTGTTGTTATAAGAAGGGGAAGCAGGAGGGAGGGTGCACACGCCCTGAGGGACGGCCATGTTACCACAGAACAGCGAGAAGGCGCCATCTGCACACCAGGGAGTGAGACTTCAGAGGAAACCCACCCAGCTGGCAGCTTGATCTTAGGCTTTCATCCTCCATAAGTGTGAGGAAATTGGTTTTGTATTGTAAGCCATCCAATCTGTGGTATTTCATTATAAAAGCCCTATAAAATGAATACAGTAGGTAATAGGAGATCTTCTAAAAATTGAAAAAGTCGGATGGCCAGACAAACCTAGACACTCCTGTTCAGACCTGAGCAGGGTGATGGACCTGCTATGGGACAGGAGAGGGGAAGAGATGAACCCAGCACCCAGACCCAGCTGAGCCCATTCCTCAGCAGGCTGTCCCTGGGCCGGAGCTTGCACTGGTGTGAAAGAGTGTGTCTTGGTCTTCAGGGGCTCATGGAGTTGGACAGAGAATGGTGTAAACTCTTGCTTACACAAAAGAACAAGTCATCGGTGTGCCCGTGTTTATGTGAATGGGATGTGTTTCTAGGGTGTGCTCATCCCCAAAGAAAAATTAATCAGGTCTCTTGGGCTAGAAAGAGGTTGTGGCATTTGTGTGTATTAATAACTGCGGTCGGACAGTAAATTATGTTAAAATGCTTATGGGAAGGCACAATGGAAAGAAACAGTTTGTTACAGAAGGAAAAAAATGGTGATTATTTAAATGAGATGCCTTTGAAAGTCACCATGCCAAGAAAGCTGATCACATGATAGTGTTGGGTTTCATGTTCAGGAGATCAGGAGGGTCCATTTGCTGGCTTTTACGATACCTAGACAGAGCTGAGAGTATAATGTGTGAATGGAGGGGACGTGGAGAAAGGGGAGGCCAAATGTTTGATGGGAATGGAGGGTCACTATTGGAGCCATTAGGAAATACACAAGCATGATTTGTGCTGAAGCACAGAACAGTGTTCCTGGGGAATATTGTGTTGCTTTGGCAGCTGCTGAACATACAGAAGTTTCACTGTTCTTAGTTCTCAAATTCTCTAGACTCTCTTGGCAGCCCAGTTTTAAATATTGGGAATATAGGTAAGACACATTCGTTATTAAAAATTATTAAGAGAAGATGTAGGAAGAAGTTTAAAGTAATCCATTTAGGTTATGAAAATTTAGTTGCGGCGAACTGTGATGTCCATTTCTTACTTGGAATAATGGAATGTAAGTCATTAGTCATCTCAATGGTTCATTTTTCCATAACCATCAATTACAAAACTGCTGCGTAATTTCCTGAATTGCCCGCCATAGAAGCTGACCTCACATTTTCTCAGTGAGAAACTGCCAGTCCCGTTGATCCAGCCTCGTTCTTCCCATAGGGGATTTTGTATCTCTGTGGACATGTGGTACAGTGCTGCATATCCATTGGCATATGGCCTCGGGAAAGGTTCCAGCCTATCCATGCACGATGAAGCTTACTTAAGGGATGAAGCCGGAATGCTGGGTGTGCCAGTGCCGACAGCCGAAAGAATCAACTGCCTGGTGTATGATGCTTTTATGAAAACAAGCCCAGGGCCTCTTGCTTTCTTCTGTATTAGATTCTCTGGTGAATATTTTTATTCATCTCTGCCAGAAATTGCCACATATAATTACCTAGAAGCATTACAATAAACTGATTTGGAAGTTAACTGACTTCCTGGTGAGGTTAAAATGAGTGTCAGGTGCATAGTGAGACAGACCGGAGACATGGGTGCATAGCAAACTTGTGCTCACCGTGGTTTCTATCTTAGTTAGGGAAACTTCTGTACCTTCCTTAGATGTTCAGGCACTCCATTGAGGACCCTGACATAACATTATTTATTGACAGACCATAGCCCAAAGTATAGAACTGGATATTACCAAGGAGGATATACTATTACTATTTTATCTTTATCTTAAAATACACTCTTCCAACTGAGGTGAAAATTAATCCAGATGGTAGAACTTATTGCAGTTACTACAGCATTTTAGGAAATCAAAAGCTGCAGAACAAACATATGGACAGATGGCAGGTATGTTTTTGGAATCATAAACAACTTCGTGGTGATTGTAAAACCAAGGGGTGTCTCACAAGGGCTGGAAACCTCTCAAAATGAAACAACACACTGAGGATCTTTGAGAAGTACTCTGACCTCCAAGTGAGCTGGCTGATATGGAGGCTGAGCTACATGTAGAAAGCCAAAGGAATTTCTGCAGGACATCATCATGCCAAGCACAGCCGTAACCTGGGTTCCAGCCCTTTTCACACGCTCAACGGTTGGATCTTGGGAGGAAATCAAAGAAGCCATTGTAAAATATCAAAATTTAAACCCTGATTTTGAATTTAAAAAGTGTTAAAATATGGTTGTGGCCTACACTCAGAAAATCTGTGTCCTTCAGATGGTTTCTCGGTGGCACCAGATGGTTTCAAGTGGCTATTCATTAGGTTTCTCAGTGAAATTACCAGATATAGAATAAATAAATTGTCACTGTCTTAAATCAACCCATGGGAAAGGAAAACTGTATAAAGACAGCAGAGAGGAAACATTGTCCACACCAAGGAAAAAACAATCTCCAGAAACTGTTGTTGAAGAAACAGAGGCATCACACTTACTAGAAAAATATATTGTATTTCATATATTATGGGCATACAACGTGATGTTTTGATATATGCGTGCATTGTGAAATTATTAAATCAAGTAAATAAACATGTCTGTCACCTCACATACTGCTTTTTTTATGGTGTAAATGTGTAAAATCTACTCTCTTATCAGTTTTCAAGTATATATAGTACATTAGTATCACTGAGGTCTGACCATGGTGTGCAATAGATCTTCAAACGAATTCCTTCTGTCTAACCAAAACTCTGTACCCTTTCACCAGGGCCTCAGCTTTTACATCCTCCTAACGCCAGCTCCTGGTAGGCAACATTCTACTCTCTACTTCTCTGAGTTCAACATTTTTAGATTGCATGTGTAAGTGAGATCATGGAGTAATTTTTATACCAGGCTTATTTCACTCAACATAAAGACATTTAAATGCTCAACATCACTCACTAATCATCAGGGAAATGCAAATTAAAACTGGGATGAGATATCACCTCACACATCTTACAATGGCTTAGTCTGAGTCTGTTTTTGTGTTGCTATAACAGAATACCAGAGACTGGGCATTTCTTTTTTTTGAGACAGAGCCTCGCTCTGTTTCCCAGGCTGAAGGGCAGTGGCATGATCTCCGTTCACTGCCAGCTCCGTCTCCCGGGTTCACCCCATTCTCCTGCCTCAGCCTCCCGAGTAGCTGGGACTACAGGCACCCACAACATGGAGACTGGGCAATTTTTAAAGAAAAGGAATTTATACTTAATGGTACTTGAGTCAGAGAAGCCCAATATCAAGGGGCTGGCATCTGAAAAAGGCCTTCTCACTGCATCATCTAACAGCAGAGGAGGATGAGCAAGAGACCACTTGTCTGTGAGAAAAAAAGAGGCCATCTTTTATTAGAAACTCGCTCCTGTAATAACTAGCCCACTCCCATGATAGTGACAGTAATCCATTCATGAGGACAGAGACTTCATGACCTGATCACATAATAAAGTCCCACCTCTCAACACTGTTGCATTAAAGATTTTTTCCAAATCATAAACTTTGGGTGACACATTTAAACCATAGCATTCCATTCCTAATACTAAAATGTATGTCCCAATTACAATGTAAACTACATACATTCCATCCCAACTGTCTTCAAAGTCTTAACTCATCCAGCATCAATGCAAAAGTATGAAGTCCAAAGTCTCATCTAAATCAGATATGAGTGACACTGAAGGCACAATTTAGTCTGATATAAATTGTTTCCATCTGTGAGCCTATAAAATCAAAATAAGTTATCTACTTTCAAATACAGTGAATGATGAGGCAGGTATGGGATAGAAATTCCCATTTCAAAGCTCAGAGAGAGGCAAGGAGAAGGGGTGCATAGTCCAAAACCCAACATGGGAAACAACATTAAGCCTTAAACCTGGAAAAAATCCTCCTTGACTGCATCCTGTGCACACTGGGGAGGGGGATGGGCCCCCAAGGCCTCCAGCAGTCTTGCCTCTATGGATTTTCTGGGTTCAGTCCACTCAGCCTCTCTCACAGGTGGGACTGTCAAGCCTCTAGCTCTCCTAGGTGGACTGGATACCCTTTGTGGTGCCTCCAAACCCATATTTCTGCTTGGCATTGTGCTGAGGGCTCAGTGTGGTGACTCTGTCTCTGCAACAACTCACTGCCCGAGACCTTAGGCTGTCCACAGCATTCTTTGAAATCTACGTGGAGAAAGCCATGCCCTCGTGGTTCTTCTATTCTGCACACCTGCAGAATTAACAACACATGGATGCCATGGAAGTTGATGACTTGTACCATTGAAGTGATGGCTTGAGCCACACCTAGGTCCTCCTGAGCCACAGCATGGGCAGCCAAGGAGTGCTGTGCCTGGACACAGGGAACGGAGTCCTAAAGTGCCTGCTAGAAGTGAGGCCATAGATTTGCTTCAAATTTCTTCCATCATATATCCTCGTTTATGGCTCTGAACTTCCACTTTACAGAAAGACCTAGGGATGAGCACAATTCAGCCACATTCTTTGCCACTTTATGGCAAGGATGGCCTTTGCTCCATTTTCTGATGAGCTATTCTTCTTTTTCTCCTGAGACGTCATCAGAACGGCCTTTATTGTCCATGGTTCTACCAACATTCTAATGGTCATCACTTGAATAATCTCTAAGAAGTTTCAGAATTTCCTCACAACTCTCTTCTTCTGAGTCCTCAAAAGAATCACCTCTAGTGTTCTATTCAGGGCAATCTAGACTTTTTATAGTCTGATCCTCCAAATTATTCCAGACTTTGTGCATTACTACATCCACTTCTACATTTTGGAGTATTTGTAATCACAAAAGCCCCACCTCTTGATACTGATTTTTTTGTCTTAGTCCACTTTGTGGTGCAATGAGGCAATACCACAGACTGACTAAGTATAAGTAAAAGAAATTTGTGTTCTCACAGTTCTAGAGCCTGGGAAGTCCAATATCAAGGTGCTAGCATCTTGCAGGGGCCTTCTTGCTGTGACACCTATGTGGGAGGCAGGAAAGCATGTGCGAAGGAGAGAAATGGGGCTAAATTCATCTTCTAATGAGGACCCCAGGCCTGTAGTAACTAATCTACTCCCTCTATGAGTAACCCACTCTGCCAATAATGGCATTAATTGCTTCATGAGGGCAGAGCCCTCATGACCTAATCATTCCTGAAAGTTCTTACCTCTGGACACTATGGAATTTGGGATTAAGTTTCCAATATACATTCTTTCTAAATAGCCAGAGCTTTTTAATAGGTTTACCACCCAAGGCTACATGAGGCTGTGAAGCAGTGGCCTGAGGGTGACTGTCCTTTGTGAGAATGGAGAGGAGTGAACTGACTCATGGAGACACAAGTAGATGAAGTAAAGGGACTCATTGCTTCATTACATGGATAGTGAGGGTGACTGAAGGCATTAACGGATTAATCGTGGTGGCAAAACCATCTGAGGTGGACACCACGGGGAGCCAACCAGAAAAAGAGGACACATCCCATTAAATGGTGCTTCATCTCCTTGCAAAACCAATGAAAGAAAGCGAAACACAACGCCATAGTGTATACCAGACAGTGGATTGAGGGAAGAGTTTCCTAAGTCGTAATCGACAAAGTGGAGAAAACATACAAATCTTTGCACGGTGCTAACATTTGGACTGTGGCTTCATTGTTTCTTATTAACATTTTAGTGAAATATTGCTAGAAGGAGACTGAAAATGAAGTATGAAAAGTTAAATGGGATTTCTGTTCCAAGTTAGTCCTTTTCAGATGAGAGGAACTAAGAAGTTACAGGGAAGAAACAATAATATCTGCTGAGCAAGATTTTTGCAGGGCAGGCCAAGGAATTACCAAGGAGAAAAAGGAAATGTCAGCTTCACCTTGCATCTGCTCCCGAGCCAGGTCCTGAGCACCCCCTGCTGGCGCTGATCGTCCCCTGGTGTCTGATCCCCTCTGGTTCCCTCAGCTTCCCTGGTGGTGTCTGAGCCACTCTACTGGTGTCTGAGCCCCTCTGCCTGCCCTCAGCTCCCCCTCGTGGTCTGAGCCACCCTGGTGGTGTCTGAACCCCGCTTGTGATGTCCTGAGCCCCTCTATTAGTGTCTGAGCCCTACTGGTGGGTCCTGAGCCCCTTTGGTGGTGTCTGAGCCCCCTGGTTTTGACCCCCCCCTTCTGCATCCTGAGCCCTCCTGGTAGTGTCTGAGTGTTATTTTCACCATACACTCAAATAAGATTGAGCAGTGATTCTTTCATCTGTGGTGGTCATTCCAAGTGATCTGTCCAGGGCACATGGGGACTCTATCCCTAGGACCACTTGTCCCCACAGAAGGAGAAACCACAGTAGCAGCACCAAGGGTAGGTCACAGCATTGTCACCAGGAGTCCCCATATTCTTCTCCCAGACGCAGTGAACCTTGTCACCCTCTTCCCACACTCCACAGGGGGTGTACAAAGAGGCATCTTGCATTGACCTGACCCTGGGATGTTATGGAAAAGGAGACAGCCTGAGCTCATGACTCCTGGAATTACATGCTCCAGTCTTGGCTATATACAGACCTGCAATTCTTTTCCTTTTACTCAGGCACTTTGCCTTCTGGTTGAGGACAGTGTTCTACAGCCCTCCACAGTGTGCTAGAGCTGACTAGAGTCGAATAGCCACTTTCTTTGTGCAAGTTTCCTTTCTGTGACTTTACTGGATTTCAATGGTAGTAAGCGTTCATCCAGACAGATTCCAAGACAGTGTCCACATGAAAGGAAAACAAAGGCTGATGGGCAGAGACGCCCTGAGCATCCAGTCCCAGGGTACCTTTGCCAGCTGCCCTTCCAAACATCCAGAGGCAGGGAAGGGAGGAGCCCTGCTGAGCAGTGCACACATGTCCGCAGAGAGAATGTCACAGAAATGCAGCTCTGCTCCCGCTCATGAGAAGCAGCTCATCCGCTGTCCTGCAGGCCCTGGTGAGGAGCCAGCCCATGTTTGGGTCCCTCCTCAGCATCCCCACCATGGAGCCTGTGCCTGCTCATCACTGTTGAGGGAGCATCCCTCCTGCAGCAGGCTCACTTGTGGCTGCCCCACACAGGGCTGCTCTCAGTGTGTTTTCTCTGTGCTTCCAGGACTCCCTTGTGAACTTCAGCTTGGGGAGGTCGAGGACACATGAGGCTGCCCTGGGCATTCTCTGAGCCTTCTGCAAAGACTCTGGTTTCACCTTCGCTAACAATAGCTTGAGCTGTGTCCAGCAGACTGGAGTGGGTGGCACAAGTGTGTAATCCAGCTGGAAAAAATCAGTACTATTCTCCATCAGACAAGGAAGAACTCAAAAGAATTCTTGCTGTTTAACAGGGAGCTGAGCAAGAGTAAGGTGTAGAAAGCTTACTTAAAGAAATAATAACAGATAAATTTCCAAAACTTGAGAAAGATATAAATATCCAGGTACAGGAAGGCATGACAACACCAAACAGAATCAACAAAAATAAGACTACTACAAGACATATACTAATCACACTTTCAAAGACAAGGACAAAAAATGGATCCTAAAACCAGCAAGAGGAAAGAAACAAATAACATATGAAGGCATTCCAATTCCTCTGGCAACAGGCTTCTCAATGCAAATTACACAGGCCAGGAGGGAATGGATTGACATTTTTTAAGTGCTCAAAAGAAAAAAAAACCTGCCATCCAAGAATATATTCTTCAGCAAATTACCCCTCCAATTGAAAGGAGAGATAAAGACTTTCCTAAACAGAAAAAAGATGAGAGGATTCACCACCCTCAGGCCCATCTTACAAGAAATGCTAAAGGGAGTTCTTAAATCTCAAAGAAAAAAATGCTAAAGAATAAAACAAAACTTTTATAAATATAAAACCCACTGGTAAAATTAGGTACATGGAGAAACCCAGGGGATGGAGTCAAAATGTAGAATTTTTCTGTGTCTTTTTTGCCTTTGCTTGTTTCTGTTCTTTCATTTGAGTTGTCATCTCCTTTAAATAACTTCTCATATCTATAAGGTGTTTCTTTTAAGACTCATGATGACCACAGCACAAAAACCTATAACTGATTCACTAAAAATCAGAAGCAACAAATTCTACTGAAGAAAATCACTGAACCACAAAAACAAGAAAAAGAAAGAAAGAAAGAAAGAAGGAAGGAAGGAAGGAAGGAAGGAAGGAAGGAAGGAAGGAGGAAGGAAGGAAGGAAGGAAGGAAGGAAGAAAGAAAGAAAGAAAGAAAGAAAGAAAGAAAGAAAGAAAGAAAGAAAGAAAGAAAGAAAGAGGGAGGGAGGGAAGAAGGAAGGAAGGAAGGAAGGAAGGAAGGGAGACAGGAGTCTCAAAACTGCCAGAAAATGGGCAACAAAATGGCAGTGGTTGCTCCTTCCTTCTCTTTTCCCCCAACTAGACGGCATCGCTCCTCACACTATGCTACCTGGCGTTGGGACAGGAGTGACACAGGTCATGCTGAACTGTTGTTCTTATTCTCTTCAATGTGTCGTTTCTTACTTTTAGGCTGTAACCAGGTATGGGGATCTCTCACTTGGCTTCCTTAGCTCTTGTGAAGGATTTTTGGACGTGGATAGTTGTTCAGATTAATGTTCCGGCAGGGAACCATCACTGGAGAGTCCTATTCCGCCATCTTGCTCCTGGATGATCACTCAAGACTGTCAGACTAAAGGACACACATACACTGAAACTGAAAAGAAGGAATGAAAGAAGACATTTCACGTAAATGTTAACCAAAAGAGAGTGAGGTGGGAGTATCTACATATATATCAGAAAAAAATAGATTTTAAGTAAAAAGCTCTCACAAAAGACAAAGATCTTTGTCTTATATAATTATTATATGTGATACAAAGTTTCACTTATCAGAAAGATACAGTTATGCACACACACACATGCATCCAACATCAAAGTACCTAGACATATAAAACTATCATTTACAGATCAGAGAGGAGACACAGAAAGCAATACAATACAATTAGGAGATTTCAACACCCCACGTTCATCAATAGATAGAACATACAGACAGAAAATCAGTAGGGAAACAGCAGACCTGAATAGCACTAGAGACCAAATTGACCTAACAGATAGATACAGAACATTCAATTCAAGTCCAGCAGAGCATGCATTCTCCCCAAATGCACAGGGAACATTCTTCAGGATAGATCACGTGCTAGGTACTACACATGACCTTAGCCAAAAGGCTGAGGAATGATTACCTCACATGTTAGGTCACAAAGAAGACTCAACAAAATTAAGAAGACTGAATCGCATCAAGTATCATTTCTGACAATGGATTGAAACTAGAAATCACTAATAGGGAAAAAGTTGAAAATTTACAAAGAAGTATAAGCTAAGCAAACTTAAAAGATAATGTAGAAAATATTTTGAAATAAATGACAGTGAAAACGCACTACATTGAAACATGGGATACTGCAAAAGCAGTACTAAGAGGGAAATTCATAATGATGCCCACCTACATTAAAAGAGAAGAAAGGGGCTGGACATGGTGGCTCTCACCTGTAATCCTAGCACTTTGAGAGGCTGAGGTTGGTGGATAATTTGAGGTCAGGAGCTCAAGACCAGCCTGGCCAACATGGTGAAGCCCTGTCTCTACTAAAAATACAAAAATACAAAAATTACCTGGGTGTGGTGACTCATGCCTATAATCCAAACTACTCAGGAGGTGGAGGTTGTGGTGAGCCGACATTGCACCACTGCACTCGATGTTTATTGCGGCACTATTCACAACAGCAAAGACTTGGAACCAACCCAAATGTCCAACAATGATAGACTGGCTTAAGAAAATGTGGCACATATACACCATGGAATACTATGCAGCCATAGAAAAGGATGAGTTCATGTCCTTTGTAGGGACATGGATGAAGCTGGAAACCATCATTCTCAGCAAACTATCACAAGGATAAAAAACCAAAAACCGCATGTTCTCACTCATGGGTGGGAATTGAACAATGAGAACACTTGGACATAGGGTGGGGAACATCACACACCAGGGCCTGTCATGGGGTGGGGGGAGGGGGGAGGGATAGCCTTAGGAGATATACCTAATGTAAATGACGAGTTAATGGGTGCAGCACACCAACATGGTGCATGTATACATTTGTAACAAACCTGCACGTTGTGCACATGTACCCTAGAACTTAAAGTATAAAAAAAAGAGTTTGAAAAAAATAATAGAAAAATAAAAAAAAAGAAGAGAAAGAACCTAAATTAATCTTATTAATCTTACACCTCCGGATTTAGAGAAAGAATAAGTAAGTCCTAAGTTAGAATGAAATAATAAAGATTAGAGTAGAAATTAATGAAATACAAAACAGAAAAATAATAGGAAAAATCAACAAACTAAGGGCTTTTGAAAAAAAAGACAAAATTGACAAAACTTTAGCTAGACTACAAAAAAAGAATACTCAAATAAATAGCATCAGAACTGATCAAGGAGACATTACAACTGATGCTACAGAAATAAAAATGATCATGATGTGATATGATCTGGATCTGTGTCCCCAACCAAATGTCATGTTCAGTTGTAATCCTCAGTGTTGGAGGTTGGGGCTCAGCGGGAGGTGATTGGATCATGGGAGAAGGTTGGTTTCTCATGGTTTAACACCATGCCCCTTGGTGCTGTCGTCCGATAGTGAGTTCTCCTGAGATCTGGTTGTTTAAAAGCATGTAGCGTGGCCGGATGCGGTGGTTCACGCCTGTAATCCCAGCACTCTGGGAGGCCGTGGTGGGCGGATCGCGAGGTCAGGAGGAGACCATCCTGGCTAACACGGTGAAACCCTGTCTCCACGAAGAAATACAAAAAATTAGCCAGGCGTGGTGGGGAGTGCCTGTAGTCCCAGCTAGTCAGGAGGCTGAGGCAGGAGAATGGCGTGAAGCCGGTAGGCGGAGTTTGCAGTGAGCTGAAATCGTGCCACTGCACTCCAGCCTGGGCCACAGAGTGAGACTGTGTCTAAAAAATAAATAAATAAATAATAGAAAAAAATAAAATAAATAAATAAATAATAGAAAAAATAAATAATTAATTAAATAATAGAAAAAATAAATAAATAAATAAAGCATGCAGCACCTCCGGTTCTCTCTCTTGCTCCTGCTTCAGCCATGGAAGAGGTTCTCCTTTACCTTCCACCGTGACTGAGTTTCCTGAGGCCTCCCCAGATGCAGATCTTGCCATGCTTTCTGTACAGCCTGCAGAACTTCTTTTTTTTTTTCATAAATTACCCTGACTCAGGTATTTATAGTAGGGCAAAAACAGACTCATACATGGAGACGACTATAAATCATTATTGAATAAACACCAACACATTGGATAACCTAGAAGAAATGGGTAAATTCCTCAAAACATACATTCTACCAAGACTGAATCATAAAGAAATAGAAAACCTGAAGAGACCAAAAATGAACAAGGAGATTGAAACAGCAATCAAAAATCTCCCAATCAAGAAGATTTGAAAATCAAGTTCAAGTGGTTTCTCCAGTGAATTCTACCAAATGTTTAAAGAAGAACTAAAACTAATAACTCTAAACTCTCCTAGAAAGTTAAAGGAACACTTTCAAAATATTTTTA
This sequence comes from Homo sapiens, assembly GCF_000001405.40. Lineage (NCBI taxonomy): Eukaryota > Metazoa > Chordata > Mammalia > Primates > Hominidae > Homo > Homo sapiens. The sequence continues at coordinate 286,460 of NW_021160017.1, forward strand.
TGTGAGCACTCTCAGTCTGATACCAAAGACAGGCAAAGGCCATTTAAGAAAAGAGAACTACAGTTCATATCCCTAATTTGTATAGGTACAAAATTCAACAAAACCCAGCAAATCAAATTCAACAGCACAATAAAAGGAACCTATCCCACCACCAGAAATGCATGATAAAGTGGGATACATCTCTGAGATGTTCCTGTTTGAAACACAAAATCAAACATCTTTGTAGTAACTCTAAGAGCTGTAGCCTGGCCTGGCACAGTGGCTCAAACCTGTAATCCCAGCACTTTGGGAGGCCAGCGTGGGCGGATCACCTGAAGTCGGGAGTTCGAGACCAGCCTGACCAACATGGAGAAACCCTGTCTCTACTAAAAATACAACATTGGCAGAGTGTGGTGGTGCATGCCTGTAATCACAGCTACTTGGAGGGCTAAGGCAGGAGAACAGCTTGAACCAGGGAGGCTGAGGTTGCAGTGAGCAGAGATCTTGCCATTGCACTCCAGCCTGGGCAACTCCATCTCAAAAACAAACAAACAAACAAACAAACAAACAAAAACCTGTAGCCTTTTGGCAAGGAGATGCTTCAAGCCATTCTGAATGTAGTCACACCATAAATAACACATACCCAAACTCCAAGTGGATGATTCTTGGGTTAAATCGTTTTAACTGTGTTCAAAGTATTTTTGAGCTTTGGTTTCTCCCCAGGGTTACCATCACTCTTTTACCAGCACGATGTTGTTGACTGGTCACAACTGATGCAACGACAACCACAGCTGTGACTTTAAATTTTACCATCAGATGTTGATTGGAGACAATAACCAATTACCATACACCTCAAGATTCGTGGAGAAATCATGGTTTCATGGAGAAATCAAGATAACATCTACTTGAGCTCATCTGGTACCACCAAGCATGTATCTTGAGAGCTTCATAAATTACCAGAGTTAGCAAACAAATTTACAAGAAAAAAACAACGCCATCAAAAAGTGGGCGAAGGATATGAATAGACACTTCTCAAAAGAAGACATTTATGCAGCCAAAAGACACATGAAAAAATGCTCCTCATCACTAGCCATCAGAGAAATGCAGATCAAAACCACAATGAGATACCATCTCACACCAGTTAGAATGGCGATCATTAAAAAGTCAGGAAACAACAGGTGTTGGAGAGGATGTGGAGAAATAGGAACACTTTTACACTGCTGGTGGGACTGTAAACTAGTTCAACCATTGTGGAAGTCAGTGTGGCGATTCCTTAGGGATCTAGGACTAGAAATACCATTTGGCCCAGCCATCCCATTACTGGGTATATACCCAAAGGACTATAAATCATGCTGCTATAAAGACACATGCACACGTATGTTTATTGTGGCACTGTTCACAATAGCAAAGACTTGGAACCAACCTAAATGTCCAGCAATGATAGACTGGATTAAGAAAATGTGGCACATATACACCATGGAATACTATGCAGCCATAAAAAAGGATGAGTTCATGTCCTTTGTAGGGACATGGACGAGACTGGAAACCAACATTCTCAGCAAACTATCGCAAGGACAAAAAATCAAACACCACGTGTTCTCGCTCAGAGGTGGGAATTGAACAAAGAGACCACTTGGACACAGGAAGGGGAACGTCACACACTGGGGCCTGTCGTGGTGTGGGGGGAGGGGGAGGGATAGCACTAGGAGATATACCTAATGTAAATGACGAGTTAATGGGTGCAGCACACCAATGTGGCACATGTATACATATGTAACAAACCTGCACATTGTGCACATATACCCTAGAACTTAAAGTATAATAAAAATAAAAGAAAAAAGAAAAACAAAGAAATTATCAGAGTTAGTTACACAACCAGATTTTTCTATTATTTTAAATTTAAAATCAGGAGTTAAACATTCATATTCTGTAATGGCTTTCTGAATGCCTCCAGAGCTTGATCACTTGAATGTTTAAATAGGATTATAACCTAGGTTACAGCGACTAGTTTTGAATAATAATCTGCTGGAGTATGCTCTTTCACTTCCTTACTACCTAATTTGTGTGGGTGCCAATCTTCACATCAGCCAGCACAGGGAAAGGAGGTGTGTATTTAAAGGTTCCTTAACATTGTCCATCTTTTTTGGTGATGATTATGTTCTACTTGTTTTCAATGTTTTCTGCTGTGTACATTAAGAGTGTACAACATGGTGTTTAGATATACACATGCATAGTAAAAAGGTTACCACAACCTAGCAGCAAATTAACCAATCAATTTCCTTTTATGGTTACCGTTTTGTAGCAGGAGAAACTAAATTCTACTCTTTTAGCAAATGTTCAGTATACAATAAAATATAACTACAGCCTACCTGCTGCACACAAGAGCTCTTGATTTTATAACTGCAAGCTCTTTCTTGTGTAGCGTCTGCATAACTGCAAACTCTAACTTCTGTAGCTTCTGCGTGACTGCAAATGTGTTAACTTTCACCTATTTCTCCCCATTTCCTACCTCTCCACACCCCTGGTAGCCATCATTTCACTCTCTGTTTCTATGGATTTGATATTTTTAAAGATTTTACATGTAAGTGAGAACTTGCTGTATTTTTATCTTGTGTCTGGCTCATTTCACTTAGCACTACGTCCTCTGGATCTATCCATGTTGTTGTAAATGACAGTCGATCTCCTTCCTTCTTGTCCAGTATTGGGGTATGTTTCATCAAGTCTTCTTTTTCCCTGAAAACATCCCCAAATCATGCACTATTTCAACACTTACCTTCTAGATATCAGTCTCTTTGTCTATTTTTGAGACTTGGCTAGCTTACACCTTCTAGTCACTGGCTTAAATTCTACTATTCAGCGTGGGTTTACTTCAGCTGATGGTGATGGTACCTCCTTCTCCATAACATGCAGTTTCAGTTTTGAGATGTGATCCATCAGCACATATTGTGAGGCTCACATTACCAATGGGAGTCTGTAATACACCTAAGCAATATGCAGGCAGTTTCCTCACTAAGATGAGACGGGGTGAGCACAGCTTGATATTCTGCCACGCCTCCTGCCTGTCTCACTACTCACTACACACTAAATTTGAACTCACATGAAGTTCAGGTTAATGTTTCAATCTGTTTGGTTTAATTTAATTTTTACTTCAAGATTATTTCCATTATTATATGTGGCTATTTCAGTACAAATTGAAGGAAAGGCAACTTTTATTGCCTTTATTTATGAGGCTTTATTTATGGGCATGATGACAGCAGTTTTAAAAGTCACATTCCGACATAGTGATGGGCTGGATGAAGAGAGGGCATTCCCTCTGAAATGCTCTTCGGAAGGATCAGAAATGCCTCAATCGACCAACTCTCCTGTCCTCATGACTAGAGCTGTGTCACATCTTCAGAGAGACACACATCCGTGGTAGGAAGGATAAGATTACATGGATGAATCTGGCTGTTTTCTAATGTTTTGCCTGAGATGAATCCAAATATATGGGGAATGGTTATTTTTATTATTTTGGGATTTGTAAGCAATGGCTGAAAACAAGAATACTTTTTAAGATGACATTTTATTTTTGTGACATTCTGTTATTTCATTGTAGAGATTGACAATTACATTTTCTTTTTCAAAAAATAAATTGTATTATGTATATCTAAGACATACAACATGATATGGAATAAATATATACAGTAAAATGATGACTATAGTGAAATAAATTAATGCAGCCCTCAACTTACAGAGTTACCCACCTCCCCCATTTGGCAAGAACAGCTATAACCTCAGTTAGCAAAGTCCTGGATGCAATGCACCCTTATTAACTTCCTCATGTTGCACGTTGGATCTGTGGCAGCTTCCAGATGGGAAAGCCTCAAAGAGTCAGACGTGACGATATGGGGGTGCTGCATCTGAGCACACAGCTCCCTGCAATCCTCTCTGTTCCCAGGTGTCCTGTCCCAGGTGCAGCCGTAGGAGGGGCAAAGCCCTCGCAGGCAATCTCCGTGTCCCATGCTGCTTCCCGCTGCTCTGTTACCAGGGGTTACTCAGGGGGGGTGGATCCCCCGACCTGCAGGGAAAGGTTGGAATGCAATGGATTGCTCACCTCTGTTATGGAGGGAGCATATAGTTTATCCCTACCATCAAAGTTGAGTATCCATCTCCAGAGATGCATTCAGGATACATCCGGTTCTCCTTGCAGCTGAGTTTTGTGACTACTGAGGACACAGCCCTGTATGACTGTGTAAGAGACACAGAGAGGAGATCCCAGTGTGGGCCCAGACACAAACCTCACTGCAGGGGTGCCTGGGACCTGGATGGCAGGGGCCCCCAGGGCCCAGCCTCAGGGCATATGCAACCAAGGAGGGCATATGGGGAGGGAATCATCACCCAGGGTTTCCTTTCCTTAATGAACAGCATCTGAGCCATGGAACCTCTGCTTTATATCTGGGCTACGGAGTGGCCTGAGGCACCTGAGATGCAAGCACAATGGAGATGTTTAAGATTCTGTATGAGCATATGTGACATCACAGTTCTTTTTCCTCATCTCTCGGATTTCACTGAAACTGTGAAGAGAACTGTCATCCTACTGGCACTGTGTGCTGTGCAGGAAATTTCTAAAATATGGTAACCATCATGAGGGATGCCTTCGTGGCTGCACTGTGCTGGGAAGAGTCACACCAGGGAGAAATCCTGTGAGGAACCCTGGACTCCACCGGCTGTGCCCAGCACAGCTGTGAAAGACCCAGTTGATGTCCAAGAAATGAGAATGCAAACATCTGCCTCCAGCACATAGGAAATTACAGCAAACGATTCCATGTCCCGTGGTCCCTCTATCCCCAAATTCTTTCCCTTTTCCCAAAATCAAGGAGGAGAACTGGAGTTTCCAGTCCATAGCCTGAGCCAGCCACCACGTGTGTGTCCCCAGCCTTTCCCAGAGCTGCCTGAGGGGCTGGACAAGACCTGCTCCCTTCCCTCCTGCTCACACAGCTGCACAGGGGAGCTCCTGCAGGCTGTTAGCATCCCAGTTTCCAAACAGCTTTCATATCCACAGGATTCATTTCTTGCTGTTACTATTGTTATTTTGCCTGAGCATTCTCATGACTGCATCACTTGTCAGAGACACGTGCCCTGCACTGAAACCCCACTCTCTGCTTTCCACAAAGATGGAGTTCCTTAGACCTTCATCTGCTAGAAGGATCTGATGTCTTGTCCTTACACTGGCCAAGCATTGTCTGATATGCCCCAGTTGGCACACAGACATTATGGATTATTTGCACCTGTGTGGGAATGGTCTATAATTGGGACACGTGTCTAGACTCAAAGATGCCTGGATGGTCTATAATTGGGACATGTGTCTAGACTCAAAGATGGCTGGATGGTCTATAATTGGGACACGTGTCTAGACTCAAAGATGCCTGGATGGTCTATAATTTGGGACATGTGTCTAGACTCAAAGATGCCTGGATGGCCTATAATTGGGAACCGTGTCTAGACTCAAAGATGCCTGAATGGTCTATAATTGGGACACGTGTCTAGACTCAACGATGCCTGGATGGAAAAGGTGCAGGCTGCTCCACTGATGTCACCTGTTTCATCATAGTTTTATGATTTAATAAAAGTCATATTTTTTTCATTTTTGCACATCAAATTTTTTTCTGTGTTCCATATTCCTAAGCCCATCTTTGAGCTCACAGCCCTTTCCCAAGAAATCAACTTCTAGACCTCCCTCTTCTCGGGGCTCCGAGGTGATTTCTGAGTGGCATCCTCTCCACCTCCCTGCTGGGAACAGAGCCAGTCGCAGGGCTCATGGGCAGCTTTAGAATGCCTGCTACTCCGGGGTGTCCCCCTGCTTCTCACTGGAGAAGAGGCCTCTGGGGTGGTCACAGCCTCTTTCTCCACATGAATCCTGAGAGTTCTTCCTGAGCTACACAGCTGGGGGAAGACGGCCCTAAGAGACGTGAAAAGAGAGACATGGGAAGTGAGGTGTCTCAGCTCTTGTCTCCCCTGGTTGGTGTGGCCTGACCTCACCAGAGCCCCAGCCTAACCCACCTGACCTGTCCCCAGGAGCTGTACTGAGCGATGGCTGCACCTGCTCAGTTACCTGTGGGGCCCAGTGCCTCTGAGAGAGGTGCCCAGTGAGGGCTCTGCAGGGCTCCCCCCGAGCAGGAGCTGGGCTGAGGTAAATCAGCAGGAAGGAGGGGCTGCCCAGGCCCCGGGGAGGCAGGCAGCGTGGAGAGGAGACAGAGGCGCACTGGGAGGGAGCAAGCCAGTCAGGACCACCCTCTCAGCTCTGAGAAATGAGCTATGCTCACGGAATGCTCACACTGACCACTGAAAGACTTGACTATGATGATGACTCTCCCTGTGTTAGCAGGTGGGTGTAAGCACCTGCTTCCCAGGTTCAAGCCATTCTCCTGCCTCAGCCTCCTGAGTACCTGGAATTACAGGCACCTGCCACCACGCCTGGCTAATTTTTTTGTATTTTTAGTAGAGATGGGGTTTCACCGTTCACCATGGTGGTCAGGCTGGTCTCGAACTCCTGACCTCAGGTGATCCACCTGTCTCAGCCTCCCAAAGTGCTGGGATTGTAGGTGCTAGCCACTGCACCAGCCTCAACACAACTCTTTTAGGGTCAATATCTTGAGACCCACAAGGAATTTCCTTTGAGCAAATTCTGTGGGAGGTATGTAGCCTTTTATCTTTATAGTTATGTATTTAGGAAAAAAAAAAAATGAGAGACAGGTTTGTGTGACACAGTTCCCAGCTAGCCTTTTCCCTGTAGCGTAGTGAGTCTGAGATCCCAAGATTTTATTTTTCTTTTATAATATAAACATGAAATAATAAGAAATGTATATTTGTAAGATCTGAGAGCTACAGTGTAAAAGAAAATAACACAGAAAAAGAATACACACACTCGCACACACACACATACACACAAACACACATATATGGTCTCTGTCCCTGTCTCCTGGTGCACAGCTCCTGAAACCCTTGGAATCTCCCAAGTGATGTGTCTTTATGGATGCTAATGAGACGACTGATTTCTGGGGACTCCCAAAGGACTGGTGGCCAGGGGAACCAACCTCGTGATTACGGGGTTAAACTTTTCAGCCCCCTATCCCCTGATTTCCAGGGATGGGGAGGAGCTGAAGGTTGAGTTGATCACCAGTGGTCAATGATTTAATCAGTCGTGCTTATGTGGCCATCGTGGGTGGCTCATGTCTGAAATCCCAGCATTTTGGGAGGCCAAGGCGGGAAGATCACTTGAGGCCAGGAGTTTGAGACCAGCCTGGGCAACATACTGAGAATTCATCTCTACAAATAAAAAAAAAATAGCCAGGCATGGTAGTGCATGCCTGTGGTCCAGCTACTCAGGAGGCAGAGGTGGGATGATCAATTGAGTCCAGGAGATCAAGGCTGCAGCCAGCTATGATTGCAGCACTGCATGCCAGCTTGGGTGACAGAGCTAGACCCCGTCTCAAAAACAAAACAAAATGAAACGAAACAAAAAACAAACTAAAAACCAAATCATGCCTATGTCATGAAGTCATGAAACTCAGGACAGCGGCCGGGCGTAGTGGCTCATGCCTGTAATCCCTGCACTTTGGGAGGCCAAGGCAGGCAGATCACTTGAGGTCAGGAGTTTGAGACCAGCTTAGGCAACATAGTGAGATTCTGTCTCTATTTTTTTTTAATTAAAAAAAAAGATAAAGTAAACATGGGGCAGAGGAAGCAGTCAGATATGCATTTGTCCCAGGTGAGCAGAGGGATGACCTTGAGTTCTGTCCTTTGTCCTGCAAGGATAAGCTATCAATTTACATTGTCAGGGAAATTCAACAGAACTGTTCTAAGGTCAAAATCTTGAGGCCCACGAGGAATTTCTTCATGGGCAAATTGTGAGGGAAGTATGTAGCTTTTTAAAAAAATCTTTGTAGGTATCTATTTAGGAACAAAATGGGGGAGGCAGGTTTGCATGATCCAGTTTCCAGCTTGACTTTTGCTTTTGGCTTAGTGAGTTGGTGGTCCTGAGATTTCTTTGCCTTTAGCAGTCATTATTCAGGGAAGAGGGTATGGTCTTGATACTCAAAATTTCTTAGGCGAGAAATCTACCAGGGTTTGGATGAGACCATACATTGCTCATTCAGTATCTCAAACCCAGAAAGATGAGTTACTGACATTGAATGTGTGAAAGGAAAACAAACAGCTCTGTTGAATTTTTTGAATTTCATCTAAAACAGTTCTGGGTTTTGTTTTGTTTAGTTTTTGAGACAGAGTCTTGCTCTATTGCCCAGGCTAGAGTGCAATGGTGTGATCTTGGCTCACTGCAACCTCTGCCTCCTGGTTCAAGCAATTCTCCTGCCTCAGCCTCCTCAGTAGCTAGTATTACAGGCATGCACCACCATACTCGGGTAATTTTTGTATTTGTAGTAGAGACAGGGTTTCACCATATTGGCCAGGCTGGTCTCCAACTCCTAGCCTCATGCAATTCACCTACCTCAGCCTCCTAAAGAACTGGGATTACAGGCATGAGCCACCATACCCAGCCAAAACAGTTATGTTGAATCTCACCCTGACAACATAAATGAAAAACTTGTCTTCACAGGTAAGGGACAAAGGACAGATTTAAAAGTCATCCATCTGCACACTGGAGACAAAAGCATATCTGACTGTTTCCTGTAGTCTATGTGTATTTTTCTTCTGTAAAAATGCAGATTCACTGAGTGCAAGATGAATACATAATTGACTATTCCTCCACCCTTTTCTTTCCGCATGTAAAATGTGGGTTCCATGAATGCTGATCAAAGACTAAAAGGAACACAAATGCTTGGCTTTTCAATATGCTCTCCCTTCCCGCTTGTTTTTCCTTTTGCCTTCCCCTACTGGCCACTCTTTTTCCATTTACTTATTCATTCATTCATTTATTCATTTATTTATTTATTTATTTGGAGATGGAGTCTCACTCTATTGCCCAGGCTGGAGGCAATGGCATGATCTCAGCTCACTGCAACCTCCGTCTCCCAGGTTCAAGCAATTCTCCTGCCTCAGCCTCCTGAGTAGCTGAGACTACAGGCACCCGCCACCACACCTGGCTAGTTTTTGTATTTTAGTAGAGACAGGGTTTCACCAAGTTGGCCAGGCTGGTCTTGAACTCCTGACATCGTGATCTGCCCACCTCAGCCTCCCAAAGTGCTGGGATTACAGGCATGAGCCACTGCACCTGACCTATTTTTTTAAGACAGAATCTTGCTCTGTTGCTCAGGTTGGAGTGCAGTGGTGCAATCTCGGCTCACTGCAACCTCTGCCACTTGGGTTCAATCAATTCTCCTGCCTCAGTCTCCTCAGTAGCTGGGATTACAGGCATGCGCCACCACACCCAGCTAATTTTTGTATTTTTGGTAGAGACAGGGTTTCACCATATTGGCCAGGCTGGTCTCGAACTCCTGACCTCAGCTGAGGAGACTGAGACAATCCTGGTCAATATAGTAAAACCCCATCTCTACTAAAAATACAAAAATTAACTGTGCGTGGTGGCACATGCCTGTAATCCCAGCTACTTGCCAGGCTGATGCAGGAGAATCACTTGAACCAGGGAGTCAGAGGTTTCAGTGAGCCAAGGTCACACCACTGCACTCCAGCCTGATGACAGAGCAAGACTCCGTGTCAAAAAAAAAAAAAAAAAAAAAAAAAAAAAAAAAAAAAAAGGGCTGGGCGCGGTGGCTCACGCCTGTAATCCCAGCACTTTGGGAGGCTGAGGTGGGCAGATCACGAGGTCAGGAGATCGAGACTGTCCTGGCTAACATGGTGAAAACCTGTCTCTACTAAAACTACAAAAAAAAATTAGCCGGGTGTGGTGGCGGGCACCTGTAGTCCCAGCTACTCGGGAGGCTGAGGCAGGAGAATGTGGCATGAACCCAGGAGGCGGAGCTTTCAGTGAGCCGAGATCATGCCACTGCACTCCAGCCTGGGTGACAGAGCGAAACTCGGTCTCAAAAAAAAAAGAGAGAGAGAGAACTTAGTGATTTTAAAGGTTTTTTTCCTTTCTTTTGATATCTAATGTTGGATTTACAACTTTGAAATGCAAAACTACATGTACAAATCTGTGAAACACAGGGCAGATGCTAGACAAAATATGCCAGAATTTCCCAGTGATTACCTCTATTGGAAAATTTCATCTCCAGACTTTTCCATACATTATGCATTTTCTACAGCAAACAAGCATTGCTTTTGTGATCATAAAATACAAGCAGACACAATCAAGACTGGGGGAGGTTTCCTGGGGGAGAGCAGCCAGGCCCAGGATGCAGGGCTCTCCTTCCTGGGACATCAGCCAGGTCAGGGCCCTTGAGGCACAGGTCTGGGCAGCTCTACCAGTGGGCATGGGCAGAGAAGGACCCAGCTGGTTGAGCCCCTGATGCAATTGAGGGCAGGCCCCTTGCCGGAGAGGGAGACAGAACAGCTGCCAAAACACAGCCTTGAGGCCAGGCTCTGTCTGGGGGTCTCGCTGCTGCTCCCCAGCCCACAGGGCTTCCAGCCGCACCAGGACAAGCTTCACTGCAAAGGCGGGAGAGGAGGGGAGGGGATGTGCCTTACCTTGGGGCGTGTGCAGTGTGGACTGTGTGTGCGTGTGCATATGCACATACATTTGTACGTTTGTGGGATACTGGTGGGTGCACAAGCTTTGTATGTGTGGACGTACATGTGTCTGTGTGTGGGGTGTGTATGCACGTGTGTTTACACATATGGGGTTTGGGTGTGCACGTGTTCATACATATGATGTGCGCATGTGTGGGCATATACATGTGTCCATTTATGGGGTATGGGATGCAGATATGTGCATGTATTCATGCACATTCATGTAGCGCATGTGTGTGTTACAGCATATGGTGAGTGCATGGGTGTTCGTATCTGTGGGGTACAGGTATCATGCACGTGTGTTCATCTGTGTGGGGTGTGGGTATACGTGGACCGTGGCCTGAGGCTCCCCCACAGGACACTGCTCCCTGCCGCCTCCCCAGGGGCTAACAGGACCCTGCTCCTCTTGCTAAAGCCAGTTTGGGAGCAGCCCCACCCAGGCAGCCCCAAGCCAACCAGGCTCGCCTCTGACCAGATGGCTGAAGGAGCAGGTAGAGCAGGAAGTGTGAGCCAGTGACCCAGGTTCCCCTGGTGGCCAGGCTTGGTGGCCCATGTCCATGGAGTCCCCCACCTGCCAATGACCTCCAGCCATGTCTCCTGGGTACCAGGCCACCCATGGGTGGGGGTGGGGGTAACTCCCTGCTGACTCACTGCTCAGCTGGCACCAATGAGGTCTCCACCTCAGCCCTGGGCTGAGTGTCCAGTGCTGAGTCCTTCCTACAGGCAGGTGAGCTTGGGAGGCAGGGACCCTGTGGACTTGGGGAGCGGGCTCAGGGTCTGGAGGCCAGAGGCCTTGTCCCCAGGCCCGGCATCCCATCAGCAAGAGCCCAGGAGGCTCTCAGGGCAGCACTCCTCTAGCAATCTCAGGGGCAGCGTCCTCCCAGGAGTCACATCCAGATCACCATACGTACCTGCTGGCCCCTAGCATGTCCCATAAGTGGAGAGGGGTTGGCCTGTGGAGGCAGGGGTGGCCAGAATATGTGCCGGAACCCCATCTACAGGCTGACACCTAAACCCAAATGGCACAGGGGAGCCTGAGCATGAAGTGGCTGGCCTCTCCCTCGCGGGGGCCCAGCAACTGCTGACTCCATGTGCCAAGCCCCGCCTGCCCGCTGGAAAGCCTCAACAGACTGCTCCCTGTGGTGACACCACCACTCGGGTCGGCTTGGCTGAGGCCAGCGGAGCATCTCCCCTCTAGGTCCATTCACATCCATCTTCCCTGGACAAATGAACACTCCCCAAACACTCACTTGCCACTTTGACCCCAGACCAAACACACAGCCACTCCTGGAGTGCCGGTGACTGAGGGTGGCTGGGCCCTTCTGTGCCCACAAAGCAGGGCCTGGGCTATACCTGTGGGGCTGCACGACTGTGCCAGGACAGCCTTACCTTTGCTGGGGGCTTCGTGCCCTCCCAGCTGCGTGTGTCCATGGACGAGGGGACCTGGTAGATGTCATGCCCCATCCCGGCAGAAGGTGGCACCTGGTAAATATCCTGGGCAGGGCCTCCAGGCCCTGGGGACACCTGGTACAGGTCTGTGGCCGGGCTGGGAAACGGGTGATGGGGCGTCTGCTTCGAGAAGGTGGATGTCTGCTTGGCTGGGGGCGACTGGAACTGAGGGCTGGGACCCGGGACTTGGTAGAGGCCTTGCTGAGCCTTGCTGGGAGTGGGCACCAGGTAGACGCTGTCGGGCTGGGGCTGGTAGGTGTTGGGGAGCATGGGCGTGTACTGGGAGGCCGGAGGCACTGGGGCATGGAGGCCAGGCTGAGGCTGGGCCGGGGTGGCGGGAGGGCCGGGGCCAGGCCCTGCTGGCTTCTTATCATACATACCCACCAAGATCTTGAGGTGGTTCCCAGGCACGATGCCCTGGCGCCCGTGCAGCGAGCAGAGCCACCAGCCATCCAGGCCCTGCGTGTCCTGCTCCAGCACCGTCATGATGTCGCCCTTGCGGAAGGAGAGCTCATCCGGGGACTCGGCCACATTGACATAGAGGGCTTTGGCCAGCACATTCAGGTGGTTCATGGTGTCCGGCGGGCCTGGGGCCCCGGCTCCCGTGGGGGCGCACACCGAGCTGCCCGGGCCGCGTGCCCTCGGGGCTCCGAGCGCGCCGCAGCCGCCCCGGTGCCGCCGCGCAGCTGCCGCCTCGGCCATCCACAGCCGGTCCCTTAAGTTTTTTTTTCTTATTGTGACAAAAAGCATATAAGATTAACTGTCTTAACCATTTGTAAATGTACTATTCAGTAGAATTATGTATATTGACATTGCTGTGAAACATCTCCGGGACCTTTTCATCTTGTGAAACGGAATCCCTGTACCCATTAAACAGCGATTCCCCAGTTCCCCTTCTCCCAGCCACTGGTAACTATCATTCCACTTTCTGTTTCTATGAATTTGACTACTTTAGATACCTTATATAGTGGAATCATGCAGTATTTATTGTTTGTGACTGGCTTATTTCCCTTAACATAATGTCGTCAAGGCTTACGTATGTTACAGCACGTGACAAGATTTTCTTCCTTTTTAAGGCTGAATACTACTCCATTGTATGTATAAATCACATTTTGTGTATCCATTCATCCATTCATGGCCTTTGGGTTGCTTCTATCTCTTGTGATTGTGAACAATGGTGCTGTGAACGTGGATGTGCAAACAATCTCTTTGAGACCCTGCTTTTAATTCTTTGATTATATATCCAGAAGTGGGATTGCTAGATCATATGGTAGTTCTATGTTTCATTTTTTGAGGACCCTCCGTACTGTTTCCCATAACCATAATAGCTGCATCATTTTACAATCCCACTAACGGCACACAAAGCTTCTGGTTTCTCTACATCCTCAAAAATGCTTGTTTGTGTTTTTTTCTTTTTCTTTTTTTTTTTTTTGAGACAGAGGCTTATCCTGATGCCCAGGCTGGAGCACAGTGACATGATCATAGTTTATTGCAGCCTGGAGCTCCTGGGCTCAAGGGATCCACCTGCTTCAGCCTCCTGAGTAGCTGGACTACAGGCATGCACCACCACACCCAGCTAATTTTTGTATTTTTGGTAGCAACAGGGTTTTGCCATGTTGCCCAGGTTGGTCTCCAACTCTTGGCCTCAGATGATCCACCTGCCTCAGCCTCCCAATGTGCTGGGATTACAGGCGTGAACCACCATGACGAGCCAAATGAGGCTAATTTTAAATTCTTTTGTAGAGACAGTATTTCATTATGTTGCCCAGGCTGGCCCCAAACACGTAGCTTCAAGTGATCCTCTTGCCTGGGCTGCTCAAAGTGCTGGGATTGGCCGGGTGTGGTGGCTCATACCTGTAATCCCAGCACTTTGGGAGGCTGAGTCGGGCAGATCCCGAAGTCAGGAGTTTGAGACCAGCCTGGACAATATGTTGAAGCCCCGTCTCTACTAAAAATACAAAAATTAGCCAGGCATGGTAGAGCGTGCCTGTAATCCCAGCTACTTGGGAGGGTGAGGCAGGAGAATTACTTGAACCTGGGAGGCAGAGGTTGCAGAGAGCTGAGATTGCACCATTGCACTCCAGCCTGGGTGACATAGCAAGACTCTGTCTCACGGGTGGGGAAAGCGGGGAGGGCTGGGATTACAGGTGTGAGTCACTATGCCTGGTCCACTTATTGTTTTTGATGGTAGCCAACCTAATGGGTATGAGGTGATAGCTCACTGTGGTTTATTTCTCTGATTAGTGATGGTGACCATCTTTTCATATGCTTTTTTGGCCATTTGTATGGCATATTCACCCAGAATAGGTAATTTTTTTAAAACATAAAAATTTAAAAATTATTTTTTAAAAGAAATAATTTGTGTGTGTGTGTGTGTGTGTGTGTGTGTGTGTGAGAGAGAGAGAGAGATGGAGTCTTGCTCTGTTGCCCAGGTTGGAGTGCAATAGCACCATCTTGGCTCACTACAACCTCCGCCTCCCGGGTTCAAGCAATTCTCCTGCCTCAGCCTCCCAAGGAGCTGGGACTACAGGCGGGTGCCACCACGCCTGGTTAATTTAGGTATTTTTGGTAGAGACAGGGTTTTGGCATGTTGACTGGGCTTGTCTTGAACTCCTGGCCTCAAGTGATCCTGTGCTGGGATTACAGGCGTGAGCCACTGCACCGGGTCTCTGTTCTTGTCAAAAATCAATTAATCGTAGATATTTTGATTTATATCCGGACTCTCATTTCTGTTACACTGGACTGTACCTCTACCTATAGGCCAGTACCAGAGCCTTTTTTTTCCTTTCTTCTTACTGGTAAACTGAAGTCACATCACAGTCTTGATTATTGTAGCTTAGTAGGTTTTAAGATTGGAAAGTATAAATTCTCCAACTTTGTTCTCCTCTTTCAAGATTGTTTTGTCTAATCTGGGTTCTTTGCATTGCTATATGAATTTTAGGATCAGCTTCTCCATTTCTGCCAGAAAGGCAGCTGGGATTTTGATAGAGGTTGCATTGAATCTGTAGATTAGTTTGGGGATTATTGTTGTTATAACCATGTTTAGTCTTCCAATCCATGAATATGAGATGTCTTGATTTAGGTCTTCTTTAATTTTTTTTTTTGTTGGTGGTGGTGAGATGAGGTCTCCCTCTGTTACCCAGGCTGAAGTGCATGATCTCAGCTCACTGCAACCTCTGCCTCCTGGGCTCAAGCCATCCTCCTACCTCAGCCTCCTTAGTAGCTGGGACTACAGTCATGCACCACCCCACCTGGCTAATTTTTGTATTTTTTGTAGGGATGAGGTTTTACCATGTTGCCCAGGATGGTCTTGAGCTCCTGATCTCAAAGCAATCCACCCGCCTCAGCCTCCCAAAGTGCTGAGCTTAAAAGCATGAGCCACTGGGCCTGGTCAGGTGTTCTTTAATTTTTTTCAACAATGTTTCAGAGTTTTCAGTATATGAGTCTCAGACCTCTTTTTTTGAATTATTTCCTATGTGTTTTATTCTTTCAGATGTTATTACAAATGGAATTTCTTAATTTCATTTTTGGATAGTTCATTACTAGTGTATGAAATATAATTGATCTTTGTGTATGGATCTTGTGCCTTTGACCTTGCTGAACTTGTTTATTAGCATGTGTTTTCTCTTTCTCTCTCTGTCTCTAGTGTGTGTGTGGGTGGGGGAAACTTTCTTAGGCTTTCTATATACAAGATCACATCTGCCGGGCACAGTGGCTCACGCCTGTAATCTCAGCACTTTGGGAGGCCGAGGTGGATGGGTCACCTGAAGTCAGGAGTTCGAGACCAGCCTGGCCAACATGATGAAACCCTGTCTCTACTAAAAAAAATACAATTGGCTGGGCATAATGGTGGGTGCCTGTATCCCAGCTACTCAGGAAGCTGAGGCAGGAGAATCACTTGAATCCAGGAGGCAGAGGTTGCAGTGAGGCAAGATCGCGCCACCACACTCCGGCCTGGGCAACAAGAGCAAAACTCCGTCTCAAAAGTAAATAAACAAATAAAAAGATCACATCGTCTGGAAATATAGTTTTACTTTTTCATTTCTAATATAGATGCCATTTATTTTATTTTTTTTGTGTGCCTAATTGTCCTGGCTGGAACTTCCTCTTTTTTTTTGAGACCGAGTTTTGCTCTTGTTGCCCAGGCTCTGAGGTGCAGTGGCATGATCTTGGCTCACTGCAACGTCCACCTCCCAAGTTCAAGTGACTCTCCTGCCTCAGCCTCCCGAGTAGCTGGGATTATAGGCATGCACCATCACATCTGGCTAATTTTTGTATTTTTAGTAGAGACTGGGTTTCACCATGTTAGTCAGGCAGGTCTCGAACCACTGACCTCAGGTGATCCACCCACCTTGGCCTCCCAAAGTGCTGGGATTATAGGCATGAGCCACCGTGCCCGGACTGGAACTTTCAATATAATGTAGATTATAAGTGACAAGAGTAGATGTACTTGCCTAGTTCCTGATCTTAGGGGGAAAGCTTTGTTTTCCCCATTTAATACATTGTTAGCTGTGGGTTTTTCATAGATGCCTTTAGCAAGTAAAGAAAGTTTCTTTCTATTCCTAGTTTGTGGACTGTTTCTATCATGAAAGGGTGTTGGATTTTGTCAGAAAATTTTTGTGTTTATTGAGAAGATCATGTGGTTTTTGCTTTTTATTCTACTTTTATGGTGCATTATATCAGTTGATTTTTGGGTGTTACTCCAAGCAGGCATGAATCCTACTTGGTCATGTTATAGAATCTTTTTATGTATTACTGGACTTGGCTTGCTAGTATTTTGTTGCAGTTTTTTTTTTTTTTGGTCTTTATGAGAAATATTGGTTATTATTTTTCTTTTCTCATGATGCCTTTGGTTTTGGTACCAGGAAAATATTGGCCTCAATGAATGAGTTTGAAAGTGTCAGCCGGGCACAGTGGGTCACACCCATAATCCCAGCACTTTGGGGGACTGAGGTGGGTGGATAATAAGGTCAGGTGTTCCGAGACCAGCCTGGCCAACATGGTGAAACCCCGTCTCTATTAAAAATACAAAAAAAATTAGCCAGACTTGGTTGTGCGCACCTGTATTCCCAGATACTTGGGAGGCTGAGGCAGGAAAATCGCCTGATTCCGGGAGAGGTTGCAGTGAGCCAAGATTGAGCCATTGCACTGCAGCCTGGGTGACAGAGGGAGACTCTGTAGTATAAGAGGAAGGAATGCATGTTTGTAGTATAAGAGGAAGGAAGGCATTAGAAGGAGGCCTGAAGATTCATTTGGGGGATTTGGGGTGATAGGTAAGGTCAGGGCTTGGAGAGGACAGGAAACTTTTCTTTTTTTTAGACAGTGTCTCACTCTGCCTCCCAGGCTGGAGTGCAGTGGCGCAATCTCTGCTCACTGCAACCTCCGCCTCCTAGTTCAAGTGATTCTCCTGCCTCAGCCTCCCAAGCATCTGGGACTACAGCCACACACCACCATGCACAGCTAATTTTTGTTTCTTTCTTTTTTTTTTTTTTTTTTTTTTTTTTGAGACAGAGTCTCACTCCCTCACCCAGCCTGGAGTGCAGTGGCACGATCTCAGTTCACTGTGACCTCCACCTCCTGGTTCAAGTGATTCTCCTGCTTCAGCCCCCCGAGTAGCTATGATTACAGGCATGTACCACAAGCCTGGCTAGTTTTTGTATATTTTATTTTATTTTATTTTACATTATTTTATTTTATTTTTGAGATGGAGTTTTGCTCTTTCGCCCAGGCTGGAGTGCAGTGACGCAATTTCGGCTCACCACAAGCTCCGCTTCCCAGGTTCATGCCATTCTTTTACCTCAGCCTCCCGAGTAGCTGGGACTACAGGCACCCGCCACCACACCTGGCTAGTTTTTGTATTTTAGTAGAGATGGGGTTTCACCAAGTTGGCCAGGCTGGTCTCGAACTCCTGACATTGTGATCTGCCCACCTCAGCCTCCCAAAGTGCTGGGATTACAGGCATGAGCCACTGCACCTGACCTATTTTTTTAAGACGGAGTCTTGCTCTGTTGCTCAGGTTGGAGTGCAGTGGTGCAATCTTGGCTCACTGCAACCTCTGCCAGTTGGGTTCAATCAATTCTCCTGCCTCAGTCTCCTCAGTAGCTGGGATTACAGGCATGCGCCACCACACCCAGCTAATTTTTGTATTTTTGGTAGAGACAGGGTTTCACCATATTGGCCAGGCTGGTCTCGAACTCCTGACCTCAGCTGAGGAGACTGAGACAATCCTGGTCAACATAGTAAAACCCCATCTCTACTAAAAATACAAAAATTAACTGTGCGTGGTGGCACATGCCTGTAATCCCAGCTACTTGCCAGGCTGATGCAGGAGAATCACTTGAACCAGGGAGTCAGAGGTTTCAGTGAGCCGAGGTCACACCACTGCACTCCAGCCTGATGACAGAGCAAGACGCCATGTCAAAAAAAAAAAAAAAAAAAAAGGCTGGGCGCAGTGGCTCACGCCTGTAATCCCAGCACTTTGGGAGGCCCAGGTGGGCAGATCACGAGGTCAGGAGATCGAGACTGTCCTGGCTAACATGGTGAAAACCTGTCTCTACTAAAACTACAAAAAAAAATTAGCCGGGTGTGGTGGCGGGCACCTGTAGTCCCAGCTACTCGGGAGGCTGAGGCAGGAGAATGTGGCGTGAACCCAGGAAGCGGAGCTTTCAGTGAGCCGAGATCGTGCCACTGCACTCCAGCCTGGGTGACAGAGCAAAACTCGGTCTCAAAAAAAAAGAGAGAGAGAGAGAACTTAGTAATTTTAAAGTTTTTTTTTCTTATTGTGACAAAAAGCATGAGGTTCTCAAGGTTCACGCCATGATGGTGCCACTGCACTCCAGCCCCTTCCCTCTACTTTGCTGCCACTCGGATGGGGGAAGCTCTGGAAGACTTCTTAGGGAAGTGGCATATAAACTGTGTGTCATACTTGTTGTTGTTTTTTTTTTTTTTTTTGGAGACAGGGTCTTGCTGTGTCCCACAGGCTGGAGTGCAGTCGCATGATCACAGCTTACCATGGCCTCAAACTCCTGGCTCAAGCAATCCTCCCATCTCAGCCTCCCAAGAGGCTAGGACTACAGGCAAACACCACCACGCCCAACTAATTTTTAAAATTCATCCCACGTAGAAGAGGGGGAAAGGCATGAAAGGGCATTTGTGGCAGAGGAACAGTGTGAGCAAAGACCAATAGTCTGGGAAAAGGAGGAGGATAGGCTGTGGGTGGAGCAGGAAATGTGGGTGCTTCTCTTGGCAAAGGATTCTGAATGCCAGGTGAGCAGGACGAATGTATCTTGTGGGCGCCAGAGAGGCCTGGGCCTCAGCCTGCCCCTGTAAAATGAGGTGATTAGACTGGTCTGCTTCAGGCCTTCCTAGGGCAAGGGGCTGTCACAGAAAGGGTCTACTCTAGGTTCTTCCAGGTTCAACCCCAGAAAGGCAGAATGGGAAGTGGCTGGAGCAGCTCAGAGGCTAGGGGTAATATTTTGCTCCAGAGCCCAAGTCTGAGAATGACTATTTTACCAAGCTGTCTGCATTGCATCCCTAAGTCACCCTGGCTAACCCTCCACCCAGTCAGGGTCCTGCAGGGAAAACCCAGGCCTTGGGTCAGGAGGCAAGAAGGGTGATGGGTGTCTTACCCCTGGCTCCACCCTAGGTAAGGGTTGGCCCTCTTGGAGCCTCAACTTGCTCATATGCACAATGGAGGAGCTGTGCCTTGGGCTCTCTAAGCCTCTCTCCCCAGGACAGCACTGTCATTCTGGAGATGGGAACAGCATTAGCAAAGGAACGGAAGTAGGATTGTGAGGACCTTGTTGGGCAACAGACAGGCAGGTGAGGCTGGAGAATGGAGTCCCTAGAAGTGGATGGTTCTTGTTGGGGTTGGCTGGATCCAAGGGGTATGACCTTCCTCCTTATGTGCAGAACTGGGTGAGCCCTAGGTCATGGCCAGCAGCCCTCGGAGTGGGACTGAGGACCTGTTGGGAAACCAGTTTGGCAAGGCCATCATCTCCATGATGTCATCCAGCCACTGTGTTCTCTGGGCAATAGTGCCAGGCAAACTTCTGGCCCTGCAGGAGGAGAAAGGGCCTCAGATGCCCACTGGGCAGCAATGAATTCCAGGAGACCCAGCCTCACAGACAAAGGAGAGGCAAGGGGCTGGAACAGGAAGGAGAGAGTTCTGGATGTGCCAGCCTGGACCTCTTTAGACTTCTGGGAGTCCCTGATGCCTGGGCGCAGGGAGTGGGGGTCTAGGCTCATGGTGGGACACTATGTAATTGCTACCTGATGGGTTGGACACTGGCTCCTGATCATGCTTATACTACATGTGTGGCAATTTTGTTACCACTATGACCTTCACAGCTTGAGTCCTGTGAGGTAGGACCACCATTATACAGATAAGGAGACAGACTCAGAACCCTCGTTCTTTTGTTGTTTTTTTTTGTTTTGTTTTGTCTTTGAGACAGAGTCTCACTCTGTCGCCCAGGCTGGAGAGTGGAGTGGCACAACCATGGCTTACTGCAGCCTTGACCTCCCAGGCTCACAGTGGGACTACAGACACATGCCACCATGCCCGGCTAATTTTTTTTATTTTTTGTAGAGACAAGGGTCTCCCTGTGTTGCCAGGGCTAGTCTTGAACTCCTGGGTTCAAGCAATCCTCCTGCCTTGACCTTCTGAAGTGCTAAGATTACAGGCGTGAGCCACTGCGCCTGGCCAGAACATTTGTTCTTAATCACCATATTCTACCATCCACCATTTGGAAGCTCCGCTTGGATGAAGCCTGAGCACTGGGGAGACCTGGGCCTCAGTCTGCCCATCTGTAAAATGAGGGGGTTTGACTGGCTTCCTTCAGGCCCTCCTAGGGCAAAAAACTGTAACAAGAAGGGTCTAGATTCTTCCAGGTTCAGCCCTGGACTGGCAGAGTAGGGAGTATCTGGAGCAGCTCAGGGGCCGAGGGTATTTTGGCTCCAGAGTCCAGTCCGAGAATGAATATTTTACCAACCTGTCAGTGTGGGATCCCAGCAAACCCTTCTCTCTACTTCTGAACATAGCACCTGAATCTTGGCATCACAGAGTCCTGGATACCCACCTTATGGTTCAAATAGGTAACTGAGTCCCAGAGAGGACAAGGGACAGGCTTCAGGTAGTGTAGCAAATCAGGAGCAGAGCCATTCTGCATCCCAGATTCTCAACCTCCCAAAACTTTGTTTCCTCCTCAGGTCCTGGCACACTTAAGCATGAAATAACTGACACATATTGAGTGCCTATGGCATACCATGCACTCATGTAACCATCACCACAGCCCTATAAAGCAGATGCTAATAGTCTGTCCCTTTTATGGGCAAAGAAACTGAGGCTCAGAGAGGGGAAGTCATTTGTCCAAGTTGACACTGCATGTTGGTGGTAGGGAAGGGATTTGAACCCAGGTATATAGGCCCTTCCCCCTCAGCAGATCCAGTAAGCCTCACTGGAGGCATGAAGACCTGTAGACAGCAGGGTGGATGGCTCCTTTGCTGGTTCTGAAGGCGCGCAGTGTCCAATTCAGAGTTTCCACGCAGGCCTGGCCTCTCTGGGGCAGGCAGAAAAGTGCTGAGGCTGCAGAAGGGCTCTGAATCTTCCCAGAGGAGGCGGCCATGGTGGGAGGCAGTGCTCTGCACCAACCTCAGAGCCAAGTGTAGACATGGTGGCTGGACCAGCTGCAAACAAGGGAAGGCAGGCAGGGTGGGGCCCAAACCCTAACCCAGCCTCCAAGCCGTGTTCCCAGCCTTCCGCCAGCCAGGCCCTGCCCTACCACCCTTCTCGCTCCCCACCTGGATTTGAGATGAGGACGCCGGGCCTAATAATAGCCAAACGGCAGCAGAGGCAGTGCCTGGAGCCACTGCCAGTTGGAGCCTGGGGTCCCCCATGGTCTCATGTTGGCCTCCAACAGGGTTCAGAACTTTAAAAGTACTGCACTCCAGCCTGGGCGACAGAGTGAGGTCTTGTCTCAAAAACAAAAACAAAACAAAACAAAAACCCTTTAAAATAGCAACTGCTTATGAAGTTTATAATATGTGCTGGGCACTGTGCTAAAGCATAGCCCACAGTAACTTACTTATTCCTCACCCTACCCCCACTGGCTAAGACTATTTCTTTTTTTTTTTTTTTTAAGACAGAGTCTCACTCTGTCACCCAGGCTAGAGTGCAGTGGCGCAATCTCGGCTCACTGAAACCCCTGCCTCCTGGCTTCAAGTGATTCTCCTGCCTCAGCCTCCCAATTAGCTGGGATTACAGGGGCCCGTCACCACGCCTGGCTAATTTTTGTATTTTCAGTAGAGACGGGGTTTCGACATGTTGGCCAGGCTGGTCTTGAACTCCTGAACTGAGGTGATCCATCTGCCTCGGCCTCCCAAAATGCTGGGATTACAGGCATGAGCCACTGTGCCTGGCCAGGCTAAGACTATTCTTAGCCCTTTTGATGGATGGAACACTGCCCCTGATGATAACAGGAACTTGGCAGCCTTCAATTGCTGAGCATGCATACTGTCCCTCCTTGGCACTCTGCTAAGCACTTTCTTTGTATTTTCCCATTGATTCCCCATGGCATTATGAGACAGATGCTAATTTCTTTAGACGAAGAAAAAAATGAGGCCCAGAGAGAAAAGTGACTTGCCCAAGGTCACACAGCTATAATGGACAGAGTCGAGACTCAAACCTAGGACTTTCTAACTGTAGCGAGGCTAAGACCTTAGATTCTGGAAACAGACAAACTTAAGTACGGTGGGTTCATCACTGCTCCTTAGCTATGCAGCCTTGGCAAGTCACATCACCTGCCTGAGCCTCTGTTTTCTCCTCTGTAAATTGAGGGTTTGGGGGAGATAATACTAACACTCCCTGACAGCTATTAAGCCCACGTTGGGTGTAATAAAATAGGTAATTTACAGCACACATTTCCATGGTGCATTCCCTCAGTCAATTCTCACAATAGCCCCCAATGTTAGGACTCCTCTCTTCCAGCACCTGTGTTTTTTGGTTGTTGTGTTTTTTTGTTTGTTTTTTTTTTTAGACAGTTTCACTCTTGTTGCCCAGGCTGGAGTGCAATGGCACAATCTCAGCTCACTGCAACCTCCGCTTCCTGGGTTCAAGCGATTCTCCTGCCTCAGCCTCCTGAGTAGTGAGTAGCTAGGATTACTGGCGTGCGCCACCACGCCTGGCTAAGTTTTATATTTTTAGTAGAGACGGGATTTCACCATGTTGTCCAGGCTAGTCTTGAACTCCTGAACTCAGGTGATTCGCCTGCCTTGGCCTCCCAAAGTGCTGGGATTACAGGTGAGAGCCACCATGCCCGGCCCCAGCACCTGTTTTATAGAAGGGAAATGTGAGTCTCAGAGAGGAGCGGCACTTGCCCAAAATCAATAGCAAGTGAGTCAGGACTTAAGCCCAGGGCTGTGGTTCTAGAGGCTGAGCTCTTTTTTATTTTTTAAGACAGGATCTCTGTCACCCAAGCTGGAGTGCAGTGGTGTGATCATGGCACACTACAGCCTTGACCTGTCTGGGCTCAGGTGATCCTCTCACCTCAGCCTCCCAAGTAGCTGGGACTACAGGCACTCACCACCACACCTGACAAATTTTTATAGAGATGGAGTTTCCCCATGTTGTCCAGGCTGGTCTCAAACTCCTAGTTTCAAGTAATCCGTCCACCTCAGCCTCCCAAAGTGCTGGAATTACACAGGTGTGAGCCACCATTCCCAGCCAGGCATGTGACTATTTTTGGCCAATAGAATATATGGAAGTGGCATTGCCAGTTCGAAGCCTGGGTGTTAAGAGATTGGGCCTTAAGAGATTCCACTCATTCTCTTGGAACTCTCGCAGCTGTTATGTGAACAAGCCTGGGCTATCCTGCCTAAGAGACCACTGGAACAGGGACTAGTTATCCTAGCTGAAGCTGTCCTAGTCAGTCACCATCTAATCCAATAGCTGACCACAGATACATGAGTAAGCCCAACTGAGACCAGAAAAATCTTTAGCTGAGCCCAGGCTAAAGTGCCAGTCCATGAAATCTTGAGCTAAAAAAATGGTTGCTGTTTTAAGGCACTAAGTTTTGGGGTGGTTTGTTATGTAGCATTGTTGTGGCAATTGATAACTGATACACAGTTTTATTCAGTGTAATTAATGCTGGCTGCTGTAACAAACAAAATATCTCAGTGGTTTAACCCAATCAGAGTTTATTTCTCACTCCTGCAAAGTCTGATATAGGTTGGGGCTCTCCCAGGGAGCTCTTTTCCAAGCAGTGACCTTGCCCCCCAATCCTGCCTCCACCCCAGGCTCTCCATGGAATCTATTCCTGAATCCTCTGCATGTGGAAAGGGAATCAGAAAATCAAAGGAGGCACATCCACACTTAACTGCCTTTGCGCAGGGGTCACGTATAATTTCATTGGCCTTTATGTAGTCACATGACTCTACTAACTGCAGGAAAAATGAGAACATGACCTTCCTGTGTGTCCAGGAAAAGGAAACAGGTTACAGAACACAAAGCATTGCTTCTGTTACATTCCTCCTGTTGTGGGGCTGGTGTGCGTGCATGCATGCGTGTGTGTGTGTGTGTGTGTGTGTGTCTGTGTCTGTATGTGTGGTGGGAGTTGGAGGGGCGTGTGTGTTAAGTAGAGAATTAACATCTATAAAGAATCAACAGTG
Organism: Homo sapiens; assembly: GCF_000001405.40. Classification (NCBI taxonomy): domain Eukaryota; kingdom Metazoa; phylum Chordata; class Mammalia; order Primates; family Hominidae; genus Homo; species Homo sapiens. Next base: position 311,174 of record NW_021160017.1, read on the forward strand.
GTGCATGCCTGTAATCCCACTACTCTGGGGAGCTGAGGCAGGAGGATTGCTTGAGCTCAGGAGGTTGAGGCTGCACTGAACTGAGATCATGCCATTGCACTCCAGCCTGGGTGACAGAGCAAGACCGTGTCTCAAGAAAAAAAAAAAAAGAGAGAGAGAGAGAGAGAATCAACTTCAGCACCTACCATGTGTTAGCTTAAATAAGGGACAAGTTATAGGTAAAGAATTTGAGGCTCAGCTTAACTGGGCCTGGTGCCGCATGCCTGTAGTCCCAGCTACTTGGGAGGCTGAAGTGGGAGGATCACTTGACCCTAGGAGGTTGAGGCTGCAGTAAGCAGAGATTGCCCACTGCATTCCAGCCTGGGTGGCAGAATAAGACCTTGTCTTAAAAAAAAGAAAGAGGCTGGGCACAGTGGCTCATGCCTGTAATCCCAGCACTCTGGGGGGCTGAGGCGGGCAGATCACCAGAGGTCAGGAGTTCGAGACAAGCCTGGCCAAGATGGTGAAACCCGGTCTGTACTAAAAATACAAAAATTAGCCAGGCGTGGTGGTGGGCACCTGTAATCCCAGCTACTTGGGAGGCTGAGGCAGGAAAATGGTTTGAACCTGGAAGGCGGAGGTTGCAGTGAACTGAGATCATGCCATTGCGCTCCAGCCTGGGTGAAAAGAGGGAAATTCCATCTCAAAAAAAGAAAAAGAAAAAAAGAATCTGAGACTCAGAAAGGTTGAGGAACTTGCCCCAAATCATACAGCAAGCCAGTTGAGTAGCTATTTTGCGGTAGTGAAGGGCTCAGGGAGATCTGGAGTTGGACAGATCTAGGTACAAATCCCAACTCTGTCAATTCTTCACTGTGTGACATTTGGCAAGTTACTTAATTTCTCTAGGCCTCAGTTTCCTCATCCACAAAGTGGGGAGCTAATACTTCCAACCTTATAAGGTTGGGAGTGATCATTCACAGAGCTTGCATGGGATGGGGATCCTGGTACATGGGCCTTACATAATGAATGTCAGCCACATAGGCAGAAATGATGCTATCTCTGATCTTACCCTGCCAGGGTCCATGAATTTGGCCAAGGGGATTTATTATGTTTTCGATAAATCCTATCCCTTCCCTCTGTCTCTTGTGGTGTAAATGGTTTTATTTACTTCATTAAGAGATGGCAATTTGGCTAAGTGTGGTGGCTCATGCCTGTAATCCCAGCACTTTGGGGGGCTGAGGTGGGAGGATCGCTTGAGTCCAGGAGTTCAAGACCAGCCTGGGCAACATGGCAAAACCCCATCTCTACAAAAAGTACAAAAATGAGCTGGGTGTGGTGGCACCCACCTATAGTCCCAGCCACTTGGGAGGCTGAGGTGGGAGAATCCCTTGAGCCTGGAAGGTGGAGGTTGCAGTGAGCTGAGATCATGCCACTGCACTCCAGATTGGGTATCGGAGTGAAACTCTGCCTCCAAAAAAAAAAAAAGAGAGAGAGAGAAAGAGAGAGCTAGAACTATTTCCCCAGTTGAATTTTTTTTAATTAATTAAGTTTTTAATTTTTTGAGACAGGGTCTCACTCTGTCTCTCAGGCTGGAGTGCAATGGTGTGATCACAGCTCACTGCAGCCTCGACCTCCTGGGCTCAAGCGATACTCCCACCTCAGCCGGTGCATGCCACTATGCCCAGCTAATTTTATGTATTTTGTTTTTGGTAGAGATCAGGTCTCACTTTGTTGCCCAGCTGGTCTCAAACTCCTGGGCTCAAGCAATCCTCCTGCCTCAGCCTCCCAAAGTGCTAGGATTACAGGTGTGAGCCATGATGCCCGCTCCAGCTGAATATTTGTTACTGAATAAACCTTTATAAGCACAAAGCCCCTGAACACCTATGGCTGCTGACAGATGTCTGAAATGCCTCCATTACTGCATTTTTTTTTGAGACAGGGTCTAGCTCTGTTGCACAGGTAGGAGTGCAGTGGCGCAATCATGGCTCACTGAAGCCTTGAACTCCTGGGTGCAAGCAATCCTCCTGCCTCAGCCACCGAAGTAGCTGGGACTACAGGCACACACCACCATGTCTGGCTAATTTTCTTATTTTTTGTACAGATGAGATCTTGCTGTGTTGCCCAGACTGGTCTGGAACTCCTGGCCTCAGCAATACTCCTGCCTTGCCTCCCAAAGTATTGGGATTACAGGAGTGACCCACTGCACTCAGGCTTAAATCTTTTTTTCTTTTTTTTTTTTTTTTGAGACAGAGTTTTACTCTGTCGCCCAGGCTGGAGTGCAGTGGCGTGATCTCAGCTCCCTGCAACCTCTGCTTCCCGGGTTCAAGCAATCCTCCTGCCTCAGCCTCCCAAGTAGCTGGGACTACAGGTGCATTCCACCACACCCGGTTAATTTTTGTATTTTTAGTAGAGACGGGGTTTCATGATGTTGGCCAGGCTGGTCTTGAACCCCTGACCTCAAGTGATCCGCCCACCTGGGCCTCCCAAAGTGCTGGGATTACAGGCATGAGCCATCGTGCCTGGCTGGCTTAAATAATTTTTAAAGTTTTGTTTTGAACAGGTAGTTCTGGGAGGCCAGAGGAGTTATCTCTCAGGAGATAATTATGCTCAAGTCTGGAAGATAAGAAATTGTTGAACAAAAAACTAAGTTGGTCTCGACGTGGGGGTGGGGGTGTTCCAGGCAAGGGGAACAGACTACGCAAATGTCCCAAGGCAGGAACAATCTCCAGAAACTGATGGAAGACCAACGTGAGTGAAGTATGAAGGGTAAGGGAGAAGTGGGGTTTGGATGGGGAGAGGGGAAAAGGCCCAGACTGAAAGGCCCCTGTGGGAACCTTCATAATTTGCAGGACCTGGTGCAAAATGAGAAAAAGGAGCTCCTTGTTCAAAAATTATTAAGTATTTCAAGATAGTGACAGCAGAGCATTACACTGACCCTTCATTGCATGAAGCTGGCCCTGCTCATGGACCATAGTAAGAGGAAAGGACTTTCATGTGAGGGCTGCAGGGACCCATGGAAGGTTTTTGAGCTAGAGGTGATGAGATCTGATTTGCATACGCTTTAGTTGCTGTCGTCACTACCCCACACCTGGATGATGTGTGTCTCTGCACAGGTGGCCTGCTTCACTTTCCTCTTAAACATGTCACTCCCCTGCTCAAGAACCTGGGGTGGTTCCTACTTCCTATTAGACCCAGCCCAGATTCCCTATCCAGACACCCAGAGGCCCTTCAAAATCTTCCCTTACTGGATTTAGTTAATCTAATGTCAACAAAGGCTGTGTGCTGAATCCCAGAGAGATGATGACTCAACCCAAGTTCACACAGCAATTATAGGAGAGCAAGTCAAGGCTGGAACCCAGGTTTCCTGAGGTCGGCCCATCCAGCCCTGAGCGAAGGTGCAGTCCTCTGAAGTGTTTTGTATCCCCCATCCTAGCACAGAGCCATGCACACAGTAGATGCTCAATCTGTGCCTGTGGCCGTGAGTTCGTTCCTCTTAGGGCACATCTCTGCCAGGGCATGGGTGTCCCAGAGTCCAGGATGCAGTTAGCATCCTTCCTGACTCCTTCTCTCCCTCATCCCTACCTCTAGGCATTCACCAAGCCCCACCGCACCCAGGCCAGCTGGCCAGGTCCTGCCCATAGACATGTTGTTTGGCCTGTGCAGTGTTTTAAAGCTTTTCCAATTCATCGTTCTAACATTTTAAAAAATCCGGAAACTTCACATGGCAACCCGCATCTTGTGTCTCTTTGCAAAGTCTCAAGCCTGGGTCTGGGTTCCTTCGGGGAGGCAGTTCTCTCCAACCTCTGAGCTTGCGGTGGGTGGGGTGGGGAGCGGTCACTGTAGTCCCCAGTGGGGCGCCTGAATTTGGGACTTTGAAGCGACAGTGCCCTAATTACCTCCAAGGACCAATAAGGATGCTGGAAGCTGATTCAATCAGACGTATAATAACCCCTCCTTCTGGAGCGGGGCCAGGTGGGGGCAAACGCCGCCTCTGGTCTCTAACAACAGGGAGTAGGAGGGGTGTTTTGCCCTAAACCTTACAACTAGCCCCAACCTGATGTTTGACTTCAGAATCCCTTAGGGCTTCATAGATGAAATGAATGCCCCTGAGAGAGGCCATGCTGCTTCCTCTCACCTGGCCTCTGCCTTTGCTTTCTTCTCCCCCGGGACTGTGCTCTTCGACCTCATCTTCACTCTGGCTGGCTCCGGATTACCATTCAGATCTTAACTCACACGTCACCTCCTTAGAAAGGTCTTCCCAGAGCACGTATCTGAAGCTCCCCAAAATTACTCTGTACTGTAATTACTCCCCATCACAGCACTGACGATCGGAAATGATTAATTTTTTTGTTGTCTCCTGCTAGACTGTGAGCTCTGAGAAGCCAGGGACTTGGGTTTGTCTCGCTCAACAGGGTCCCCAGGACCTAGAAAGGATCTGGCATCAACGAAGGGGCTCAACACACATGTGTGGAACAACTGAACCACTGGATTCACAAAACAGCTTTCCCTGAAGGATGCATGTGACCCCTGGGTCAGCCAGCCAGCATGGGTGGGAGCCAGTAAGGAGGCAGCCAATTTGCAATTAGGGAGCAATTAATAACTACCCAATTGGTACAAAAGACAGCTGAGGGGCTGGGAGGAGAACAAGGGAATGAAGCTCAGAAAGGAGCCTCAGGTCTTTCTTGGAAAATACTGGGAGCGGGCAATGAGGAATCCCCGGGGTAACATTTGAAAACCTCTTCTGTTATTGGAGATTTAAATGATCAGAAGCCCCCCTAAAAGGACTTGGTCCCTTTAAAACATTTTTTTTTTTGAGATGGAGTTTCACTTTTGTCACCCAGGCTAGAGTGCAATGGCACGGTCTTGGCTCACTGCAACCTCCACCTCCCAGGTTCAAGTGATTCTCCTGCCTCAGCCTCCCGAGTAGCTGGGATTACAGGCGTCCACCACCACACCCAGCTAAATTTTGTATTTTTAATAGAGATGGGGTTTCACCATATTGGCCTATTGGTCTCAAACTCCTGACCTCAGGTGATCCACATGCCTCGGCCTCCCAAAGTGCTGGGATTACAAATGTGAGCCACCATGCCTGGCCAAAACATTTTTTAATGGTTTGTAGAGATGAGATTTCACTATGCCCAGGCTGGTCTTAAACTCTTGGACTCAAGAGATCTGCCCACCTCGGCCTCCCAAAGTGCTGGGATTATAGGCATGAGCCACTGAGCCCAGCCAGGACTTGGTCCTTTAAGAAGCAGGTGTGGGCCGGGTGCGGTGGTTCACGCCTGTAATCCCAGCACTTTGGGAGGCTGAGGCAGGCGGATCACAAGGTCAGGAGATCGAAACCATTCTGGCTAACACGGTGAAACCCTGTCTCTACTAAAAATACAAAAAAAAATTCACCGGGCATGGTGGCCGGCGCCTGTAGTCCCAGCTACTCAGGAGGCTGAGGCAGGAGGATGGCATGAACCCAGGAGGCAGAGCTTGCAGTGAGCCAAGATCGTGCCACTGCACTCCAGCCTGGGCAACAGAGCAAGACTTGTCTCAAAAAAAAAAAAAAAGAAGAAGCAGGTGTGCCGGGCTTGGTGTCTCATGCCTGTAATCCCAGCACTTTGGGAGGCCTAAGGGGGAGGATCACGAGGTCAAGAGATCAAGATCATCCTGGCCGACATGGTGAAACCCCATCTCCACTAAAAATACAAAAATTAGCTCGGTGTGGTGGCACTCACCTGTAGTCCCAGCTACTCAGGAGGCTGAGGCAGGAGAATTGCTTGAACCTGGGAGGTGGAGATTGCAGCGAGCTAAGATCATGCCACTGCACTCCAGCCTGATGACAGAGCAAGACTCCATGTCAAAAAAAAAAAACAACCTTTCTGGGCATGGTGGTGTGTGCCTGTAGTCCCAGCTACTCAAGAGGCTGAAGTAGGAAGATTGTTTGAGTCCAGGAGTTTAAGCTTGCACTGAGTCATGATCACACCACTGCACTCCAGCCTGGGCAACAGAGACAGACTCTGTCTCTAAATAAATCAGTAAATCCTGCCTTAGATAAAAATTGCAGACCAGGTGTGGTGGCTCACACCTGTAATCCCAGCACTTTGGCAGGACGAGGTCGGTGGATTGCTTGAGCTTAGGAGTTCAAGAGCGGCCTCGGCAACATGGCAAAACTCTGTCTTTACAAAAAAATACAAAAATTAGCCAGGCATGGTGGCATACACCTGTAGTCCCAGCTACTCAGGAAACTGAGCTGGGAGGATCACTTCAGCCTAAGAGGTTGAGGCTGCAGTGAGCTGTGATTGTGCCACTGCACTCCAGCCTGGGCAACAGAGCAAGACCCTGTCTCAAAAAATAAAATAAAACAAAATAAAATAAAATTGCTGTTGGATTAATTAGGAGGTTTGATATGGAGCAAGTCATCCTTTCATGTTTTGAAGTAACTTTAAAGTTTGTCCACTCAGTAAGACACAAGTATCCATTTGGGCTTCTTCAATATTCTATGGGGTTTGGCCGGGCATGGTGGCTCATACCTGTAATCCCAGCACTTTGGGAGGCCAAGGAGGGCGGATCACTTGAAGCCAGGAGTTCGACACCAGCATGGTAACACGGTGAAACCCCATCTCTACTAAAAATACAAAAATTAGCCAGGCGTGGTGGTGCATCACTGTAGTCCCAGCTGCTTGGGAGGCTGAGGCATGAGAATTGCTTGAATCTGGGAGGTAGAGATTGTGTGAACCAAGATCGTGCAACTGTACTCCAGTCTGGGTGACAGAGTGAGACTCTGTCTCAAAAAAATAAAATAAAATATTCTATGGGGTTCAAGAGTTTCGTTTTTAGGGCCAAAGCATTATTATTGGAGGAAGGCAATCCCTACTTCTCCCACTTATTTCTGCCATGGGAGGAGGGTTCTCCTGCCCAACACCCACAGGCCCAGGCACCTGGAGGCAACTCTAAAAACAGCAGGAGACTACTGAAGGAAATTGTCCATCTCTACGAGGCACTCCTTGTGTCTCCAGAATTTATTAAATGACATCACAGTAAGGCTTGGCAAGTAGGATAAGGGAGTTAGACCAGGGAGGACAGACAGAAGTCTGCAGGCCTGAACACAGGCAGGAAGGAAACGGAAAATGCAAACAGGAGAGGTGAGGCCAGAGCTGAGCACTGCAGAAGGAAAATGAACAACCCTAGTTTGTATTACAGAACACTTTCACAAGTACGGTCTGCCTTTATCCTCAGCAGTTCTTACTGGTAAGATATAATGATATCCATTTTATAGATAAGGATCCTAAAGCCCAGCAAGGTCATGGATCTACACATAACTGAGCCACACATCTTAGATCAGTGCTTTTTCTGCTTGGCACACCCCACAGGGACTGGCACATAATGGGTAAAGAGTTGACATTTATTGAAGAAAAGTAGAAGGTATGCATTTGACAGCACTTAAAAAAAAATGTAGGCCAGGCGCGGTGGCTCACGTCTGTAATCCCAGCACTTTGGGAGGCTGAGGTGGGTGAATCACCTGAGGTCAGGAGTTTGAGACCAGCCTGGCCAACATGGTGAAACCACATCTCTACTAAAAATACAAAAATTAGCCCAGTGTCATTGCATGTGCCTGTAATTCCAGCTACTCAGGAGGCTGAGGCAGAAGAATCGCTTGAACGTGGGAGGTGGAGGTTGCAGTGAGCCAAGATCGCACCACTGCACTCCAGCCTGAGCAACAGAGCAAGACTCCATCACAAAAAATAAAAATAAAATAGAAGCTGATAGGGTATATTTGAGGGGGAAAAGATTCAATAACAGAAATTGAAATGTAGGTAAGCATGAGGAAGTTGTAAGCACTTCCTAGCTCTGTCTTTTTTTTTTTTTTTGAGACGGAGTTTCACTCTTGTTGCCCAGGGTAAAGTGCAATGGCGTGATCTCGGCTCACGGCAACCTCCACCTCCCGGGTTCAAGCGATTCTCCTGCCTCAGCCTCCTGACTAGCTGGGATCCACCTCCCGGGTTCAAGCGATTCTCCTGCCTCGGCCTCCCGAGTAGCTGGGATTACAGGCATGCGCCACCATGCCCAGCTAATTTTGTATTTTTAGTAGAGACAGGGTTTCTCCATGTTGATCAGGCTGGTCTCAAACTCCCGACCTCAGGTGATCCACCCGCCTCAGCCTCCCAAAGTGCTGTGATTACAGGTGTGAGCCACTGCACCCAGCCTCTAGCTCTGTCTCTTACTTGAATGTGATCTCACCCTGTGTGCCTCAGCTTCCTCATTTGGAAATCCAGGTCTCAGAGTCAGGAAGTAACTTTTTGGTTACCTTACACTGAACACTGAAGGTTGCATAAGAGTTGGTTACATGCTGGGCGCAGTGGCTCATGCCTGTAATCCTAGCACTTTGGGAGGCCGAGGTAGGTGGCTCATCTGAAGACAGGAGTTTGAGACCAGCCTGGCCAACATGGTGAAACCCCGACTCTATTAAAAATACAAAAATTAGCCAGGTGTGGTGGCACTTGCCTGTAATCCCAGCTACTCGGGAGGCTGAGGCAGGAGAATCTCTGGAACCCGGGAGGCAGAGGCTGCAGTGAGCAAAGATTGTGCCACTGCACTCCAGCTGGAGACAGAGCAAGACTCCGTCTCCAAAAAAAAAAAAGAGAGATACACTCCAGGTAGATGGGACTGCATGAGCAACGGCTTGGGTTAGAAATTATGGCAGCATGGATGAGAGACACTGTTCTCATGTATTTTGTTTCACGAGGACAATAATAAAACTTGTTTACTGTGATGACAATTAAATAAGATAATGCAGGTAAGGTGCTTAGCAGAGGCTTGTACATAATGAACTCAGTAATGGTGCTTGTTTTTACTGCTATTTTTGTTGTTTTTACAGATTAAAAAAACAAAGGCTCTGATAGGTGATATGTAGGCCAGGCACACAGCTATTGGTTGTTGAGCAGGATTTGAACCCACAGCTTTTATTTATTTATTTATTTATTTATTTATTTATTTACTTATTTACTTACATTTTTAAATTTAATTTAATTTTTTTTTTTTTTGAGATAGGTTCTCACTCATTGCCCAGGCTGCAGTGCAGTGATGTGATCTCGGCTCACTGCAACCTCTGCCTCCCAGGTTCAAGTGATTCTCCTGCCTTAGCCTCCTGAGTAGCTGGGACCACAGGCACATGAAATCATGACCAGCTAATTTTTATATTTTTAGTAAAGACAGGGTTTCGCCATATTGGCCAGGCTGGTCTTGAACTCCTGACCTCAAGTGATCCGCCCACCTTGGCCTCCTGAAGTGCTGGGATTACAGGCGTGAGCCCACTGCACCCAGCCTATTTATTTGCTTTTAGAGACGGAGTCTCACTATGTTGTCTAGGGTGGAATGCAGTGGCTATTCACAGTCACAATCCCTCCACTGATCAGCACAGTTTTGACCTGCTCCATTTTCATCCTGGGCCTGTTCACCCCTCCTTAGACACCCTTGCTTACAGGAGGTCACCATATTGAAGCTGAACTTAGCACAGACACTCGATCAATATAGCACACTACAGCCTAGAACTCTTGGGCTCAAGAATCCCTAGGCTTATCCTCCTGCCTCAGCCTTCTGAGGAGCAGGAACCACAGGGACACACCACTGTTCCCGGCACCATATCTTCTTGACACTAAGAGACCAGGCTCTGAACCACTGTGTTCAAGTTACCCCGTTGTGGGGCCTCTGTTCCTGCCCTAGGGGCCTCCCTGACTCAGCAACTGTGGGTGGCCTTGCTTCTGTGCCTGGACAGCAGAGGAGGTGAGAAGCCTTCCAGTTCCTTGAAAACCAAATACGGCCAGACCAGGCCTCTGAGGCCCAACCCTCAGGCTTGGCCTGCTCCTGCCTGCTCATATGGGCTGTGGGGCGCAACTCCCTACTCAACCTCCTGGCTCTGCTCCAGGAGGCTCTGGCAGAACCTCCATCCAGATCCTCCTTCTCAGGATCTTGTTGGGAAAAATACTGAAAGAGAACATAAAATGAGTGCCTCTCATCCATGCTGCAATAATTCCTAATTCTAAGACTTTGCTCATGTAATTTGGTCCACGGAGTACCTCTCAAATCAGTGTTTAATGTGTCTTTGGTGGCCAGTGTGAGCTATCAGGAAGAGTTACTTTATAACTGTGAGACCTGCAGTAAGTCACTCATCTCATCCATCCACCCATCCATCCATCCATCCATCCATCTACCCACCCATTGGGCACCTACCTGTGCCAAACACATTACATACAGACTCTTCTTCCAGACCGGAAACTCCATGAGAATTGCAGACCAGGTGTCAAAAGATAATTATTCAGGGCAGGCATGGTGGCTCATGCCTGTAATCCCAGCACTTTGGGAGGCCGAGGTGGGTGGATCACTTGAAGTCAGGAGTTTGAGACCAGCCTGGCCAACATGGTGAAACCCTGCCTCTACTAATAATGCAAAAATCAGCCAGGCGTGGTGGCATGCATCTGTAATACCAGACACTTGGGAGGCTGAGACAGAAGAATCACTTGAATCCAGGAGGTAGAGGTTGCAGTGAGCCAAGATCGTGCCATTGCACTCCAGTCTAGGCAACAGAGTAAGACTCTGTCTCAAAAAATAATAAAAAAATTAAAAAAAAGATAATTATTCAACCAATATCCATGTGTCTCAATGTGTCTCCTCCAATTTATATATTGAAACATAATCTGCAATGTGGTAGTATTAAGAGGTGGGACTTTTGGGGGCGATCACTTCATGAAGCTCCATCCTTATAAATGGGATTAGTGCCCTTATAAAAGAAGCCTGAGGGAGTTTGTTCACCCCTTCTACCATGTAAGGACACATAGAAGACGTCCTCTATGAGGAACAGGCCCTCATTGACACCCAATCTACTGACGCCTTGTTCGTGGATTTCTCGGCCTCTAGAACTATGAGCAACATATTTCTGTTGTTTATATATTACTGAGTCTGAGGTATTTTGTTATAACAACAGGAGCAGACTAAGACAATGAACCGATGGGCCAAGGCTTGTCCTTACTACAGTCCTGGTAAGGCTGTTATCATTATCACCCCCATTTCACAGTTGAGAAGCCCGACACTCAGAGAGGGGAAGTACAAAGAACATACAGCCAGAGATGAGTGGAGCTGAGACTTGGCCAAGTTCTTAACCCTCCTAACAGGGAGGAACCATGCTAAGGGGCAGGCCCTGGAGGAGGACACGGACCATTTCTCCTTCAGCTCTTGGCTTCCTTGGCAGGAAGTGGATTAATTCTTTCTCTTGTCTCCTTCCTAACCAAGCCTTTGAGGGTGCCCAGCTCAGAGTCTACAAAGTCCTTTTCAAGGTTTCCAGAGCCCTCCTCTCAGCCCTGTAGGGGATTCAGGGCGGGGGGACCTTCCTCATGGTTCAGATGGGAGAATTGAGGCCTCTACTGCCCACAGTTATGTGCCATATTAGGGGCCTGGAATCTCATGCTTCAAGAAACTGAGCATGGAACTGGCTGCTAGATATTTCCTGTAGGTGTGGTATGAAGCTCTTAGAGTCTGACAGGTCCTAGCTCTGCCACTTACAAGTTATGCAGTCTTAGAGGAATCACTTCACCCCTCTGAACTGCAGACTTCTCCCCTGAATAGTGAGGACAGTGCTAGTACCTATTTGAGAGATGTTGGGAGGATGAAATGAAACAATGCTTGTGAAGCACTTAGCGTAGTACCTGGAACATAGTCAGTGCTCCAACAATGAGGCTATTATGGTACTAAGTACCTAAAACAGAACATCAGACTGGTAGGAATATCCATGCTGAGGGTAATGTTAGCTAATGTTTCCCTTTTTTTGAGACAGAATCTCGCTCTGTCGCCCAGGCTGGAGTGCCATGGCCCAATCTCAGCTCACTTCAACCTCCACTTCCCAGATTCAAGCAATTCTCCTGCCTCAGCCTCCCATGTAGCTGGGATTACAGGCACAAGCCACTTCGCCAGCTAATTTTTGTATTTTTAGTAGAGACAGTGTTTCACTGTGTTGGCCAGGCTGGTCTCCTACTCCTGGCCTCAAGTGATCCACCCTCCTTGGCCTCCCAAATTGTTAGGATAACAGGCGTGAGCCACCATGCCTGGCCAGCTAACGTCTTTTTTATTGCTACTATGTACCAGACACATTCATCTGGACAATATCCCTGTAACTTAGTGCCATTTTACAGATGTGATAACTAAAATTAGCCCAGCTAATTTTCTTGTATATTTAGTAGAGACGGGTTTTCACCATGTTGGCCAACCTGGTCTTTTTTTTTTTTTTCTCAGATGGAATCTTGCTCTGTTGCCCAGGCTGGAGTGCAGTGGTGCAATCTTCGTTCGCTGCAACCTCCAACTCCCGGGTTCAAGCAATTCTCCTCCCTGGGCCTCCCGAGTAGCTGGGGTTACAGGCGTGTGCCAGCACGCCCAGCTAATTTTCTTGTATATTTAGTAGAGACGGGGTTTCACCATGTTGACCTGGCTGGTCTTTTTTTTGTTTGTTTGTTTGTTTTGTTTTTCTGAGATGGAATCTTGCTCTGTTGCCCAGGCTGGAGTGCAGAGGTGCAATCTTGGTTCGCTGAAACCTCCACCTCCCGGGTTCAAGCGATCCTCCTGCCTGGGCCTCCTGAGTACCTGGGGTTACAGGCGTGTGCCAGCACGCCCAGCTAATTTTGTTGTATATTTAGTAGAGACGGGGTTTCACCATGTTGGCCAGGCTGGTCTTTTTTTCTTTTTTCTTTTTTTTCTGAGATGGAGTCTGGCTCTGTTGTCCAGGCTGGAGTGCAGTTGTGCAATCTTGGTGCACTGCAACCTCCACCTCCAGGGTTCAAGCGATCCTCCTGCTTGGGCCTCCTGAGTAGCTGGGATTACAGGCATGTGCCACCACGCCCAGCTAATTTTTTTGTATATTTATTAGAGACAGGGTTCCGCTATGTTGGCCAGGCTGGTGTTTCTCTTATTTTTTTGAGATGGAGTCTTGCTCTATTGCCGAGGCTGGAGTGCTTCTTTTTTTCAGATGGAGTCTCACTCTGTTGCCCAGGCTGGAGTGCTTCTTTTTTTTGAAATGGAGTCTCACTCTGTTGCCCAGGCTGGAGTACAGTGGCGCAATCTTGGCTCGCTGCAGCCTCCACCTCCTGGGTTCAAGTGATCCTCCTGCCTGGGCCTCCCGAGTAGCTGGGATTACAGGCCTGTGCCACCACGCCCAGCTAATTTTTTTGTATATTTAGTAGAGACGGGGTTTCACCATGTTGGCCAGGCTGGTGTGTTTTTTTTTTTTTTTTTTGGTTTTTTTTTTTTTTTGGAGATGGAATCTCGCTTTACTGCCCAGGCTGGATGGAGTGCTTCTTTTTTTTCAGATGGAGTCTCACTCTGTTGCCGAGGCTGGAGTACAGTTGTGCAATCTTGGCTTGCTGCAGCCTCCACTTCCCGGGTTCAAGCGATCCTCCTGCCTGGGCCTCCTGAGTAGCTGGGATTACAGGTGTGTGCCACCACGCCCAGCTAATTTCTTTGTATATTTAGTAGAGACGAGGTTTCACCAAGTTGGCCAGGCTGGTCTTTTTTTTTTTTTTTTTTTTTTTTTTTTCTGAGAGGGAGTCTCGCCCTGTTGCCCAGGCTGGAGTGCAGTGGTGCAATCTTGGTTCGCTGCAACCTCCACCTCCCGGGTTCAACAGATCTTCCTGCCTGGGCCTCCCAAGTAGCTGGGATTACAGGCGTGTGCCACCACGCCCAGCTGATTTTTTTGTATATTTATTAGAGACGGGGTTCCACTATATTGGCCAGGCTGGTGTTTTGTTTTGTTTTTTTTTTTTTGGAGATGGACTCTCGCTCTACTGCCCAGGCTGGATGGAGTGCTTCTTTTTTTCAGATGGAGTGTGGCTGGGTGGCTTGGGTGGCTGGGCTGGCTGGCTGGCTTGGCTGGGTGGCTTGGCTGGCTGGCTGGCTGGCTTCGGTGGCTGGGTGGCTTGGCTGGCTTGGCTGGCTGGCTGGCTGGCTTGGCTGGCTTGGCTGGCTGGCAGGCTTGGCTGGAATGACTGGATTGGCTGGCTTGGCTGGCTGGCAGGCTTGGCTGGAATGGCTGGCTTGGCTGGCTTGGCTGGCTGGCAGGCTTGACTGGAATGGCTGGCTTGGCTGGCTTGGTTGGCTGGCTGGCTTGGCTGGCTTGGCTGGCTGGGTGGCTTGGCTGGCTTGGCTGGCTGGCCGGCTTGGCTACCTTGGCTGGCTGGCAGGCTTGGCTGGATTGGCTGGCTGGGTGGCTTGGCTGGCTTGGCTGGCTGGCTGGCTGGCTTGGCTGGCTTGGCTGGCTGGCAGGCTTGGCTGGAATGGCTGGCTTGGCTACCTTGGCTGGCTGGCAGGCTTGGCTGGATTGGCTGGCCTGGATGGCTTGGCTGGCTGGCTGGCTTGGCTAGCATGGCTGGCTCGCTTGGCTGGCTGGGTGGCTTGGGTGGCTTGGCTGGCTGGCTGTCTTGGCTGGCTGGCTGGCATGGCTGGCTTGGCTGACTAGGTGGCTTGACCGGCTTGGCTGGCTGGGTGGCTTGGCCGGCTTGGCTGGCTGGCTGGCTTGGCCGGCCTGGGTGGCTGGCTGGCTTGGCTGGCTGGGTGGCTGGCTGACTTGGCTGGCTGGGTGGCTTGGCTGGCTTGGCTGGCTTGGCTCTCTGGCAGGCTTGGCTGGATTGGCTCTCTGGCAGGCTTGGCTGGATTGGCTGGCTTGCCTGGTTTGGCCGGCTTGGCTGGCTGGCAGGCTTGGCCGGCTTGGCTGGCTGGCTGGCTTGGCCGGCTTGTCCGGCTGGGTGGCTTGACTGGCTTGGCTGGCTGGGTGGCTTGGGTGGCTTGGCTGGCTGGGTGGCTTGGCTGGCTTGGCAGGATGGGTGGCTAGGCTGGCTTGGCTGGCTGGCTGGCTTGGCTGGCTTGGCTAGCTTGCCTGGCTTGGCTGGCTTGGCTGGCTTGGCTGGCTGGGTGGCTGGCTGGCTTGGCCAGCTGGGTGTCTTGGCTGGCTTGGCTGGCTTGGGTGTCTTGGCTGGCTAGGCTGGCTGGCTGGCTTGGCTGGCTTGGATGGCTGGCTGGCTTGGCTGGTTTGGGTGGCTTGGCTGGCTAGCTGGCTTGGCTGGATGGGTGGCTTGGCTGGGTTGGTGGGCTGGCTGGCTTGGCTGGCTTGGCTGGCTTGGCTGGCTAGGCTGGGTGGCTGGGTGGCTTGGCTGGCTTGGCTGGCTTGGGTGGCTTGGCTGGCTAGGGTGGCTGGCTGGCTTGGCTGGCTTGGGGGGCTGGCTGGCTTGGCTGGCTTGGCTGGCTAGGCTGGGTGGCTGGGTGGCTTGGCTGGCTTGGCTGGCTTGGGTGGCTTGGCTGGCTAGGCTGGGTGGCTGGGTGGCTTGGCTGGCTTGGCTGGTTTAGGTGGCTTGGCTGGCTAGGGTGGCTGGCTGGGTGGCTTGTCTGGCTTGGCTGGCTTGGGTGGCTTGGCTGGCTAGGGTGGCTGGCTGGGTGGCTTGGGGGGCTTGGCTTGCTTGGCTGGCTGGTTGGCTTGGCTGGGTTGCTTGGCTGGCTTGGCTGGCTGGCTGGCTTGGCTGGCTGACTGGCATGGTTGGCTTCGCTGGCTTGACTGTTTGGGTGGCTTGGCCAGCTTGGCTGGCTGAGTGGCTTGGCTGGCTTTGCTGGCTGGGTGGCTTGGCTGGCTTGGCTGGCTGGGCGGCCCACTGGCTTGGCTGCCTGACTGGCTGGCTGGCTGGCTGGCTGGCTGGCTTGGCTGGCTGGGTGGCTTGGTTGGCTTGGCTGGCTGGCTGTCTTGGCTGGCTGGCTGGCATGGCTGGCTTGGCTGACTGGGTGGCTGGCGGGCTTGGCTGGCTGGGTGTCTTGGCTGGCTGTGTGGCTTGGCTGGCTTGGCTGGCTGGGTGGCTTGGCTGGCTTGGCTGGCTAGGTGGCTTGGCTGGCCTGGCTGGCTGGCTGGCTTGGCTTGCTTGATTGGCTTGGCTGGCTTGGCTGGCTGGCTGGCTGGTTTGGCTGGCTGGGTGGCTTGGCTGGCTGGGTCGCTTGGCTGGTTTGGCTGGCTGGGTGGCTGGCTGGCTTGGCCAGCTGGGTGGCTTGGCTGGCTGGGTGGCTTGGCTGGCTTGCCTGGCTGGGTGGCTTGGCTGGCTTGGCTGGCTGGCTGGCTTGGCTGGCTTGGCTGGCTTGGCTGGCTGGCTGGCTTGTCTGGCTTGGCTGGCTGGCTTGGCTGGCTTGGCAGGCTTGGCTGGCTTGGCCGGCTGGCAGGCTTGCCTGGCTTTTCTGGCTTACTGGCTTGGCTGGCTTGGTCGGCTTGGCTGGCTGGCTTGGGTGGCTTGGCTGGCTTGGCTGGCTGCAGGCTTGGCTGGCTTGGCTGGGTTGGCTGGCTGGCTGTCTTGGCCGGCTTGGCTTGCTTGGCTGCCTGTGCTGGCTGGCTGGCTGGGCTGTCTGGCTGGTTGGCTGGCTTGTCTGGCTTAGCTGCCTGTGCTGGCTGGCTGGCTGGGCTGTCTGGCTGGTTGGCTGGCTTGGCTGGCTTGGCTGGCTTGACTGACCGGCTTGGCTGGCTTTGCTCTCTTGGCTGGCTTGGCTGGGTGGCTGGCTTTGCTGGGTGGCTGGCTGGCTTGGCTGGTGGTCTGGTTTGGCTGGCTGACTGGCTGGGCTGGCTGGGCTCGCTGGCTGGCTTGCCCGGCTTGGCTGGCTGGGCTGGCTGGGCTCGCTGGCTGGCTTGCCCGGCTTTGCTGGCTGGCTGGCTGGGCTGGCTTGGCTGGCTTGGCTGGCTGGGTGGCTTGGCTGGCTGGCTGGTTTGCCTAGCTTGGCTGGCTGGCTTGGCTGGCTGGGTGGGTTGGCTGCCTTGGCTGGCTGGCTGTCTTGGCTTTCTAGCTGGCATGGCTGGCTTGGCTGACTGGGTGCCTGGCTGGCTTGGCTGGCTGGGTGGCTTGGCTGGCTTGGCTGGCTTGGGTGGCTGGGTGGCTTGGCTGGCTGGCTTGGCCGGCTGGGCTGGCTGGCTGGCTTGGCTGGCTGACTGGCATGGTTGGCTTCGCTGGCTTGACTGTTTGGGTGGCTTGGCCAGCTTGGCTGGCTGAGTGGCTTGGCTGGCTTTGCTGGCTGGGTGGCTTGGCTGGCTTGGCTGGCTGGGCGGCCCACTGGCTTGGCTGCCTGACTGGCTGGCTGGCTGGCTGGCTGGCTGGCTTGGCTGGCTGGGTGGCTTGGTTGGCTTGGCTGGCTGGCTGTCTTGGCTGGCTGGCTGGCATGGCTGGCTTGGCTGACTGGGTGGCTGGCGGGCTTGGCTGGCTGGGTGTCTTGGCTGGCTGTGTGGCTTGGCTGGCTTGGCTGGCTGGGTGGCTTGGCTGGCTTGGCTGGCTAGGTGGCTTGGCTGGCCTGGCTGGCTGGCTGGCTTGGCTTGCTTGATTGGCTTGGCTGGCTTGGCTGGCTGGCTGGCTGGCTTGGCTGGCTGGGTGGCTTGGCTGGCTGGGTCGCTTGGCTGGTTTGGCTGGCTGGGTGGCTGGCTGGCTTGGCCAGCTGGGTGGCTTGGCTGGCTGGGTGGCTTGGCTGGCTTGCCTGGCTGGGTGGCTTGGCTGGCTTGGTGGCTGGCTGGCTTGGCTGGCTTGGCTGGCTTGGCTGGCTGGCTGGCTTGTCTGGCTTGGCTGGCTGGCTTGGCTGGCTTGGCTGGCTTGGCTGGCTTGGCCGGCTGGCAGGCTTGCCTGGCTTTTCTGGCTTACTGGCTTGGCTGGCTTGGTCGGCTTGGCTGGCTGGCTTGGGTGGCTTGGCTGGCTGGCAGGCTTGGCTGGCTTGGCTGGGTTGGCTGGCTGGCTGTCTTGGCCGGCTTGGCTTGCTTGGCTGCCTGTGCTGGCTGGCTGGCTGGGCTGTCTGGCTGGTTGGCTGGCTTGTCTGGCTTAGCTGCCTGTGCTGGCTGGCTGGCTGGGCTGTCTGGCTGGTTGGCTGGCTTGGCTGGCTTGGCTGGCTTGACTGACCGGCTTGGCTGGCTTTGCTCTCTTGGCTGGCTTGGCTGGGTGGCTGGCTTTGCTGGGTGGCTGGCTGGCTTGGCTGGTGGTCTGGTTTGGCTGGCTGACTGGCTGGGCTGGCTGGGCTCGCTGGCTGGCTTGCCCGGCTTGGCTGGCTGGGCTGGCTGGGCTCGCTGGCTGGCTTGCCCGGCTTTGCTGGCTGGCTGGCTGGGCTGGCTTGGCTGGCTTGGCTGGCTGGGTGGCTTGGCTGGCTGGCTGGTTTGCCTAGCTTGGCTGGCTGGCTTGGCTGGCTGGGTGGGTTGGCTGCCTTGGCTGGCTGGCTGTCTTGGCTTTCTAGCTGGCATGGCTGGCTTGGCTGACTGGGTGCCTGGCTGGCTTGGCTGGCTGGGTGGCTTGGCTGGCTTGGCTGGCTTGGGTGGCTGGGTGGCTTGGCTGGCTGGCTTGCCCGGCTGGGCTGGCTGGGCTGGCTGGGCTCGCTGGCTGGCTTGCCCGGCTTGGCTGGCTGGCTGGCTGGGCTGGCTTGGCTGCCTTGGCTGGCTTGGCTGGCTGGCTGGCTTGGCTGGCTTTGCTGGCTGGCTGGCTGGGCTGGCTTGGCTGGCTTGGCTGGCTGGGTGGCTTGGCTGGCTGGCTGGTTTGCCTAGCTTGGCTGGCTGGCTTGGTTGGCTGAGTGGGTTGGCTGCCTTGGCTGGCTGGCTGTCTTGGCTTTCTAGCTGGCATGGCTGGCTTGGCTGACTGGGTGCCTGGCTGGCTTGGCTGGCTGGGTGGCTTGGCTGGCTTGGCTGGCTTGGGTGGCTGGGTGGCTTGGCTGGATTGGCTGGCCGGCTGGGCTGGTTTACACGGCTGGCTGGCTTGGCTGGCTTGGCTGGCTGGCTGTCTTGTGTGGCTGGCTGGCATGGCTGGCTTGGCTGACTGGGTGGCTGGCGGGCTTGGCTGTCTGGGTGGTTTGGCTGGCTTGGCTGGCTGGGTGGCTGGCTGGCTTGGCTGGCTGGGTGGCTTGGCTGGCTGCGTGGCTTGGCAGTCTTTGCTGGCTGGGTGGCTGGCTGGCTTGGCTGGCTGGGTGGCTTGGCTGGCTTGGCTGGCTGGGTGGCTTCGCTGGCTTGGCTGGCTAGGTGGCTTGGCTGGCTTGGCTGTCTGGGTGCCTTGGCTGGCTTGGCTGGCTGGGTGGCTTCGCTGGCTTGGCTGGCTAGGTGGCTTGGCTGGCTTGGCTGGCTTGGGTGGCTTGGCTGGCTTGCCTGGCTTCGCTGGCTTGGCTGTCTGGGTGGCTTGGCTGGCTTGGCTGTCTGGGTGGCTTGGCTGGCTTGGCTGGCTGGCTTCCTTGGCTGGCTTGGCTGGCTGGGTGGCTTGGCTGGCTTGGCTGGCTGGGTGGCTGTCTGGCTTGGCTGGCTGGGTGGCTTGGCTGGCTTGGCTGGCTTGGGTGGCTTGGCTGGCTAGGCTGGGTGGCTGTCTGGCTTGGCTGGCTGGGTGGCTTGGCTGGCTTGGCTGGCTTGGGTGGCTTGGCTCGCTAGGGTGGCTGGCTGGCTTGGCTGGCTTGGGGGGCTGGCTGGCTTGGCTGGCTTGGCTGGCTAGGCTGGGTGGCTGGGTGGCTTGGCTGGCTTGGCTGGCTTGGGTGGCTTGGCTGGCTAGGGTGGCTGGCTGGCTTGGCTGGCTTGGGGGGCTGGCTGGCTTGGCTGGCTTGGCTGGCTAGGCTGGGTGGCTGGGTGGCTTGGCTGGCTTGGCTGGCTTGGGTGGCTTGGCTGGCTAGGCTGGGTGGCTGGGTGGCTTGGCTGGCTTGGCTGGTTTAGGTGGCTTGGCTGGCTAGGGTGGCTGGCTGGGTGGCTTGTCTGGCTTGGCTGGCTTGGGTGGCTTGGCTGGCTAGGGTGGCTGGCTGGGTGGCTTGGGGGGCTTGGCTTGCTTGGCTGGCTGGTTGGCTTGGCTGGGTTGCTTGGCTGGCTGGGTGGGTTGGCTGCCTTGGCTGGCTGGCTGTCTTGGCTTTCTAGCTGGCATGGCTGGCTTGGCTGACTGGGTGCCTGGCTGGCTTGGCTGGCTGGGTGGCTTGGCTGGCTTGGCTGGCTTGGGTGGCTGGGTGGCTTGGCTGGATTGGCTGGCCGGCTGGGCTGGCTTACACGGCTGGCTGGCTTGGCTGGCTTGGCTGGCTGGCTGTCTTGTGTGGCTGGCTGGCATGGCTGGCTTGGCTGACTGGGTGGCTGGCGGGCTTGGCTGTCTGGGTGGTTTGGCTGGCTTGGCTGGCTGGGTGGCTGGCTGGCTTGGCTGGCTGGGTGGCTTGGCTGGCTGCGTGGCTTGGCAGGCTTGGCTGGCTGGGTGGCTGGCTGGCTTGGCTGGCTGGGTGGCTTGGCTGGCTTGGCTGGCTGGGTGGCTTCGCTGGCTTGGCTGGCTAGGTGGCTTGGCTGGCTTGGCTGTCTGGGTGGCTTGGCTGGCTTGGCTGGCTGGCTGCCTTGGCTGGCTTGGCTGGCTGGGTGGCTTGACTGGCTTGGCTGGCTGGGTGGCTGTCTGGCTTTGCTGGCTGGGTGGCTTGGCTGGCTTGGCTGGCTTGGGTGGCTTGGCTGGCTAGGCTGGGTGGCTGTCTGGCTTGGCTGGCTGGGTGGCTTGGCTGGCTTGGCTGGCTTGGGTGGCTTGGCTGGCTAGGGTGGCTGGCTGGCTTGGCTGGCTTGGGGGGCTGGCTGGCTTGGCTGGCTTGGCTGGCTAGGCTGGGTGGCTGGGTGGCTTGGCTGGCTTGGCTGGCTTTGGTGGCTTGGCTGGCTAGGGTGGCTGGCTGGCTTGGCTGGCTTGGGGGGCTGGCTGGCTTGGCTGGCTTTGCTGGCTGGGTGGCTGGCTGGCTTGGCTGGCTTGGCTGGGTGGCTGGCTTGGCTGGCTTGGCTGGCTTGACTGGCTTGGATGGCTGGCTGGCTTGGCTTGCTTGGCTGGCTGGTTGGCTTGGCTGGGTTGCTTGGCTGGCTTGGCTTGCTTGGCTGGCTTGGACATTAAATATAATATATTTGGTACATTAAATATAAACATTGTATACATTAAATATAAACATCTTTTATACATCAAACATAAACATTTTATACATTAAATGTAAACATATACATTAAATATAAACATCTTGTATACATTAAATATAAGAATACATTTGGTACATTTAATGTATACAATACATTAAATATAGACATTTTAGACATTAAATATAAGCATATATTCAGCACATTAAATGTAAACATATTTTATACATTAAATATAAATACTGTATATGTTAAATATAAATATGTATTTTCTATATTAAATATAAATATGTATTCTGTACATTAAATATAAACATTTTCTATATTAAATATAAACATGTATTTTGGATAGTAAATATAACTATACATTGTCTATATTAAATATTAACATGTATTTTGTATATTAAACATAAACATATATTTCCCATATTAAATATAAACATATATTTTTATGTCAAATATAAATATATATTTTATATATTAAATATAAATATGTATTTCCTGTATTAAATATACACATATATATTAAATATAAATATATTTTTCCATATGAAATGTAAACATATTTTAAACATTAAATATATTCATCTTAGATATGGCCCGTGTTGGAATGTGTAATAGATTGAGTATATAATGTCTACTCAATATAAAATTTATATTTATATATGCAGTAATGATTCAGGTTGATTGTAGTTAAGAAAAACAAGCTCCAAATTCGAAAGAAATATGTAAGAAGAGAGACAGGGAGAAAAAATAATGAGGCAGGTAAATGCAACAGACAATTCGAGACCCACAAGTGCAGAGCAGGCTTCCCAGACCCGGGTAATGTCTCCTGGGCTGATAGGAAGCCCTCAACCCCCCAAGTCCTTGTCAGCCATAAACCGCCTGAGCACAGAGCCAGAGGGACCATGTTGGGGCTGGGCCTCCCGACTTCAGTTCCTCTCATTCTGTGCAAAGGAAAAACAATTCAGAATCTACAGAGGTTTAGACGTGTGTAGATGTGGACAGAGAAGTCCGGGCACAGTGGTTTACTGCCCAAGAAGACAGTGAGTCCCCGGAGGAATAGAATAATATACATCATGCTAATATATGTCATCCCAGTACTTTGGGAGGCCGAGGTGGGTGGATCACTTGAGGTCAAGAGTTCGAGACCAGCCTGGCCAACATGGTGAAACACCGTCTCTACTAAAAATACAGAAATTAGTTGGCTGCAGGGGTGGATGCCTATGATCCCAGAAACTCGGGAGACAGAGGCAGGACGAACTGCTTGAACCTGGGAGGAGGAGGTTGCAGTGAGCTGAGATCATGCCATTGCACTCCAGCCTGGGGGACAGAGCAAGATCCCGTCTCAAAGAAAAAAGAAAAAAAGAAGTTGTGAGTGCTAAGTTCTCTCTGGATTTTCAGGAGGCCAGTTCTCCAGTCCACGGTGTCCTGGGAGGACAGGGGTTCCTGAGGGTGAACAGAGCCTGTGCCCGGTCAGGTAGGATCACATGTCCCTGAAGTTCAGAACCCAGGAGAATGGGGAGGGTCCTGGGGGTTCCTGCTGCATGGAGGGAAGACCCTCTTTCCACAGGGGCCCCAGAGAGCGAGAGGAAGGAGGAGGGCAGGTCAGTGAGTGTGATGGTCACAGTGGAGAGGGAAGCAGAAAGAAGTGTTCCCACAACAAGACACACACAGTGTCCACGCTGAAGCTACAGAGAGGACCTCTCCACCTGTGTCTGCCGCAAAGCAGTAGGGCGTCTTCTGGCAGCCCAGAGTCACCTCCAGATCCCACCTGCACCATGCTTCCTGCGGGGACTGCCTGTCTTCCTAATACACTGTCTTCTGACCAGTCTTCCAGACAAATCACCGGTTGCTATATATATATATATTTTTTTTAATAGCTAATATCTTACACTGATATATTTATATTATATATAAATATTTTTGTACTTTATGTTTATGCTATATATACAGATGTAGTTAGCTATTTATGTTATATATAATATAAACATGATGTATATTCTTATATTTCTCTGGGGACTCACTGTCTTAATAAACTGTCTTCTGACCAAATTCTTCCAGACAAATCAGCTGTTGCTATATATATATATATATATATATATATATATATATATATATATGCTATATATTTTACTGCATAGAATATATAATATATTATATAGCATAGAATATATTATATATTATATATTAATTATATAATATACATTACATATTATATATAATATATTATATTATTATGCTATATCTTATATATTATATATGTTATATATGTATATATATATTATATATACACATATACACATACATACACACATGTATATTTTAATAGCTAATATCTTACACTGGTATATTTATATTACATATGATTATATACAAATATTTTTGTACTTTATGTTTATGCTGTATATACAGATGTAATTAGTTGTTTATGTTATATGTAATATAAACATGATGTATATTCTTATTTTCCTGTGAGGACCCACTGTCTTCTTAATACACTGTCTTCTGACCAAAGTCTTCCACACAAATCAGCTGTTACTATATATATATATATAATATTTATATACACATATACACATACATACGCACATATGTATATTTTAATAGCTAATATCTTACACTGATATATTTATATTACATATAGTTACATACTAATATTTTTGTAGTTTATGTTTATACTATATATACAGATGTCGTTAGGTATTTATGTTATATATAATATATTAACATGATGTATATTCTTATATTCTTCTGGGGACTCACTGTCTTCTTAATACACTGTCTTCTGACTAGAATATTCCAGACAAATCACTGGTTGCTCTCTCTCTCTCTATATATATATTTTTTAATAGCTAATATCTTACACTGATATATTTATATTACATATAGTTATATACAAATATTTTTGTACTTTTGTTTATACTATATACACAGATGTAGTTAGCTATTTATGTTATATATAATATATCAACATGATGTATATTCTTATATTCCTCTGGGGACTCACAGTCTTCTTAATACACTGTCTTCTGACCAGACTCTTCCAGACAAATCAGCTGTTGCAATATATATATTTATTTATTTTTTAATAGCCAGTATCTTACACTGTGGCTCATGCCTGTAATCCCAGCACTTTGGGAGGCCAAGGCGGGTGGATCACCTGAGGTCAGGAGTTTGAGACCATCCTGGCTAACACAGTGAAACCCCATCTCTACTAAAAATACAAAAATTGATTGGGTGTGGTGGTGCATGCCTGTAATCCCAGCTACTCGGGAGGCTGAGGCAGGAGAATCGCTTGAACCCAGGAGGCAGAGGTTGCAGTGAGCCGAGATCGTGTCGCTGCACTCCAGCCTGGGCAACAGAGCGAGACTCCATCTCACACACACAAAACATCTTACACTGATGTATTTATATTACGTGTAGCTGTATATAAATATTTTTGTACTTATATGCTGTGTACTTATATTCTATATATTATAAAACATTTTATAAAATTATACATGTATAAAATGTTACATAAAAATTTTAATACCATTTTATTGCATATATTTCTAAATTTAATATAATGAAATTTTATATATAATAATGTATAACATTTCTAAATTTATTATAATACAATGATATATAATTATTTTCTCATATTATAATTATACATAAGATAATTTATTATAAATAAAATTTTATATAATCTACATTTATTATAATAAAACATATAACACATTTCTAAATTTAATACAATAAAATACTATGTATAATAATTTATAACGTTTCAAAATTTATTATATAATTTTATTATACAATTATTTTGTACATAATTATATATAGTATATAATTGTATTTATAGAAATATAATTATGCATATACAATATGTAATTTTATTTTTACATAGTATATATGCATAATTATGTATTAACAAATATAATAATAATTTTATATACTTATTTACATTAAGTTACATATTATATAAATGATGTTATATGTTATATATATTACATATATTTTTGCTTAATATATTAAATTTAATCTATAAAATTATGTATTACAAATAAAAGTGTATTTTACATATACACTACATATAACTTTATTTATATAAAAATATAAAAGTCACATGGTTAAGTTAATAAAATATATTTATATCAATCTATTCATATAAAATATACACAATGCATATTTATATAAATACAAAGTATATAAAACTTTTACCAGTAGGATGCAAAGAGTTGCTGACCGTCTGCAGAAATCCTGAACCTCTGGAAGCAGAATAAAATCTTACCTCCCAGTCTGCTTTGAAAGGAACAGTAAAGCAGTCCCGAACCCCAAACCCACCCTAAGGGGAGATGGGGGAGTTGGGATGGACACGTTGACCAGTGAGGACTTTCCTTTGCTGGTTTTGAGGTGTCTTAGCCCAGAAGCTAAGACGGGAAGTGATTCTGGAGCAGGTGAGCTGATCACAAGCCTGAGCCAAGAATCCATGGAGCTCATAAATAGCAGAAGCCAGGACCCTGTGCAAATCCTTCTGAAATATCCCCCGTTTACTGGGCTCCTAGGGGTGGGGAAGAAAAATTCCCTGACATTTCGGCCTCAGGGAAAGAGAGAGACATCCCACTGGCCGGAAGCCTCTGCTATTTTTCAGAAGACACCTGGGGCATCACCCTTTCCCAAATGACGGTGATTTTCAGAGTGGTTCACTTTTTGGAGAGACATTTCTGCCCTGGAGATCCATACATATTGAATCCAAACGAATACTTTTTAATTAAAAAAAATTAAACATTAGAAAGTTCAATATTGAGGCAGCTACGAGTTTGAATTCCTCATTTTTCCTAAATGCATGTTGTCAAAATCTGTATTGCATTTAGTAACTACCTATGTTTCTAATGTATATAAGGTTACACAATGTTTTCTTCTTTTTCTCCTCCTCAGGGTCAGAATTTGAAATAAAAGTTTTGGAAAGAAAAAACACTCTTGTCTGTTTGTGCAAAAATAAAAGAACCCATATTTTAAGAATATTTTAAGATAAATACAAATTGTGTGTGTGGGGGGGTTGCTTATAAGAATTCTTCATATCCTAAATCAAAGATAGATCTTGTTATTAACCAGAAAACAAAATGTGTGTGTATAAATGTACAACACTCTTACACTCACACAAACACAGGCACACATGCGCACACACACATTCACGCACTCACTGATGTACTCACACAAACACAGGCATTCATGTATAAATACACACCTAAGCATGTATTTATGGAAATATAATTATGCACATACAACATATAATTTTATTTTTACATAGTATATATACATAATTATGTATTAACAAATATAAGATCAATTTTATTATATACTTATTTACATAAAGGTATATATGATATAAATGATGTTATATGGCATGTATATATCACATATAACTTTGCTTAGTATATAAAATTTAATCTATAAAATTATGTATTACAAATAAAAGTATATTTTACATATACACTATATATAACTTTATTATTTATATGAACTATAAAAATCATATGTTTATATTAATAAAATATATTTATTTATATCAATATATTAATATAAAGTATACACAATGTATATTTATATAAAAATTTTTAATTAAAAAATATTCATTTTGGTTCAATATGTATGGATCGCCAGGGCAGAAACGTCTCTTCAAAAGGTGAACCGTTCTCAAAATCACCGTCATTTGGGAAAGAGTGATGCCCCATCCGTTTTCTGAGAAACAGCAGAGGCGTATGGCCAGTGGGGTGTCTCTCTCTTTCCCTGAGGCCGAAAAGTCAGGGAATTTTTCTTCCCCACCCCTAGGAGCTCTGTAAACCGGGGATATTTCAGAAGGATTTGCACAGGGTCCTGGCTTCTGTTGTAAATGAGCTCCATGGATTCTCAGCTCAGGCTTGTGATCAACTCACCTGCTCCAGAATCACTGACACAAATGCAACCACACACTTACACAAACACACATCAACACGAAGACAGAATCACAAAACACACTCATAGAAACACATGGACACACAAAGACATGCACACTCACACAAACGCAGGGACACACACACAAACACAATTACAAAAATGTGTGTTTTTTTGCACACGTGGGTGCACATGCACATTGACATTCTCACAAAGCACACAAACATGTATACATACAAAGACACTCATAAACAGAATCATGAAAACACTCTCATATAAACACGTGGATGGCTACTCACCCACAAAGACGCTCACATATGTCATACACACTCATACACACACTCAGAATCACACAAGCACACACAAACACATAAATACAGTCACACACTCATGCAAACACAGTCACAAAAAGACTCACATAATCATGTGGACACACAAACATAAAAATTCACACACCGGGGCCGGGCAAGGTGGCTCACGCCTGTACTCCCAGAACTTTGGGAGGCTGAGGCGGGCAGATAACTTGAGGTCGGGAGTTCCAGACCAGCCTGGCCAACATGGTGAGACCCCGTCTCTACTCAAAAATACAAAAATTAGCCAGATGTGGTGGCGTATGCCTGTAATCCCAGCTACTCAGGAGGCTGAGGCAGGAGAATCATTTGAACCCGGGAGGCAGAGGTTGCAGTGAGCCAAGATTACGCCACTGCACTCCAGCCTGGGCAACAGAACGAGACTCTGTATCAAAAAAGAAAAATTAGCCAGATGTGGTGGTGGGTGCCTGTAATCCCAGGTACTCAGGAGGCTGAGGCAGAAGAATCATTTGAACCCGGGAGGCGGAGGTTGCTGTGAGCTGAGATTGTGCCTTTGCACTCCAGTATGGGTGACAGAGCGAGACTCCGTCTCAAAAAAAAAAAAAAAGAATTTATACATTGCCATACAGATTCACACACATACATTCATATTCACAAACACACAAATACGATAAACACAGGGGCACACACAAACACCATCACAAAAACACACTTCCATAAAACACAGGAATGCACGCTCACACAGAAACATGCATGGAAACACACGTTGTCTTACAGACTCACAGAAACACTCATCATCACATAAACAGGCACACACAGCCACACAAGCACACACCCACACCCACATCAACACACACACTCCCACACGGCACCCACGCGCTCACTCACACAGGTAGAACAGGCCTGCATTACCTGATAACGCAGTTAAATCAGACGTGATGCTGCCTACCGAGGAGACCTGGAGGCTTCCCATGAATGGGCTTTCAGAAGAGAGGTCTCTGGGTGCATTTGGTGACACCCCAGGCAGTGGGGGAGACGTCCAGGCTGGAAGGCCAGCCACAGCCAGCTCTGCTCAAGGATGCCACGTCCATTTGCTTCAGTAGGATATGCACCCTGGTAACCCAGGTTCCTGCCTCTCCAGGAAACCCCACTGAGGTCAGCACATCCCCCCAGGTTTAGAAGGGGTCTCTGGGTGCATTTGGTGACACCCCAGGCGGGGGGGGACATCCAGGCTGGAAGGCCAGCCACACCCAGCTCTGCCCGCAGATGCCATGTCCATTTGCTTCAGTAGGATCTGCATCCTGTAAACCCTGGTTCCTGCCTCTCCAGGACACCCCACTGAGGTCAGCACACTGCCCAGGTTTAGAAGGGGTCTCTTGGTGAAATGTGGTGACACCCCAGGCAGAAGGGGGGACGCCACAGCCAGCTCTGCCCGCGGATGCCACGTCCATTTGCTTTAGTAGAATCTGTACCTTGGATTCCCAGGTTCCTGCCTCTCCAGGACACCCCACTGACGTTAGCACACCCTCCAGGTTTACAAGCGGTCTCTGGGTACATTTGGTGACACCGCAGGCAGAGGGGAGACGCCACAGCCAGCTCTGCCCGCGGATGCCACGTCCATTTGCTTCAGTAGGATCTGCACCCTGTAAACCCTGGTTCCTGCCCCTCCAGGACACCCCACTGAGGTCAGCACCCCCCACCCCCCACCCCCAGGTTTGTCCAGCTTCGCTGTCTGGGGAGAGACACAGAAAGACCACATTCGGTGGAATTCTGGCTATAACCTTTTGTGGCCGGCAAGAAGGATCACCAAGCTGTCCTGTTACCTTGCTGGAGTGATCACTGGTTTCACGCTTGGCCCCCGTGCAGTGAGTGCCTGGGCCAGGCTCGATTTCTGGAGCTCCGGTGAAATTTGGGCTTGGAGCTCACGCCTGCACCATCCAGAAAGCAGAAGGCAGCCGGCCCGGGCTGTACGGTTTGTAGAATCAGAGAGAACACTGTTTGCCTTCATGTCTGTACCACAATAAATCTGCCAACTGCAGTCAAAGTCTCTGGATTCCTGACCCCTCATTTTATTTTGTCTATTACGGAGTGGAAGGAGTGAGAAAGATTTTGCTTCCTATTTTGTTTTGCAAAGTGTTTCTAAGAAAAACAACCCATGTTCTGAAAATGAGATTCTGAGTGTCCCCTGGGCGTGATGAAAACAAATTTTGGGAATCCAAGGGCCTGAGAGGCAGAGTGAATGTCATTTGCATTTCCCTGCGAATGACAAAGTCACTTTTTATTTATTATTATTATTATAGATTCAGGGGATCCACGGGCAGCTTTGTGACCTGAGGATATTGTACGTTGCTGAGGTTTGGGGTATGAATCATCCCGTCACCCAGGCACTGAGCATTGTACATTCCTGAGGTATATAATGTGTACTAAAAATAAAATGCATATTTATATATGCACTAATGATTCAACTTGATTCCTTGTAATTAAGAAAAACAAACCCCAAATTCTAGAGGAGTTCTAGAATATATAAGAAGAGGTCCAGGTGCAGTGGCTCATGCCTGTAATCCCAGCACTTTGGGAGGCCGAGGCAGGCAGATCACCTGAGGTCAGGAGTTCGAGACCAGCCTGGCCAACATGGTGAAAGCCCGTCTCTGCTAAAAATACAAAAATTAACCAGGTGTGGTGGCGGGTGCCTGTAATCCCAGCTACTTGGGAGGCTGAGGTAGAAGAATTGCTTGAATCCAGGAGGCAGAAGTTGCAGGGAGCCGAGATTGCACCACTGCACTCCAGCCTGGGTCACAGAGCGAGACTCCATCTCAAAAAAAAAAAAAAAAAAAGAGAGCGAGAGAGAAAACAAACAAGCAAGAAAATGCAACAGAAAAATCCGTGACCCAAAGCTCTCTCCAGTTGCTGCTTTCTGCCTGAAATTCAAAGAATCTCAGGGTAGTTTTTCAACCCTTGTACCCCCGCCCCTGCTTCCTGCTCTATTAGTACTGAGGGTCTGTGGTGCCCCTTCATTGTATCCAGGTGCAGGCAATGTTTAGCTCCCACCTATAAGCGAGAACATGTGGTATTTGATTTTCTGTTCCTGGCGTTAATTCACTAAGCATAGTGCCCTTCAGCTTCATCCACGTGACTACAAAGGGCATGATTTTATTCTTGTTCATGGCTGTGTAGTATTCCATGATGCGGAAGGACCACATTTGCTTTATCTAATTGAGAACATGTGGTATTTGATTTTGTTTCTGGCATTAATTCACTAAGCATAATGCCCTTCAGCTTCATCCATGTTGCTGCAAAGGGCATGATTTTATTCTTGTTCATGGCTGTGTAGTATTCCATGATGCAGAAGGACCACATTTGCTTTATCTAGTGAAGAACATGTGGTCTTTGATTTTCTGTTCCTCATATTGATTCACTAAGCATAATGGCCTCTGGCTGCATCCATGTGGCTGCAAAGACAAGATTTTATTTTTTTCATCACTGTGTAGTATTCCGTGGTGTAGAAGGGCCACATTTGCTTTATCCAGTTGAGGACATGTAGTATTTCATTTTCTGTTCCTGGCATTAATTCACTAAGCATAATGTCCTTCAGCTGTGTCCATGTGGCTGCAAAGGACATGATATTATTCTTTTTCATGGCTGCGTAGTATTCCATGATGCAGAAAGACCACATTTGCTTTATCTAGTGGAGAACATGTGGTATTCGATTTTCTTTTCCTGGCATTAATTCACTAAGCATAATTCCCTTCAGCTGCATCCATGTGGCTGCAAAGACATGATTTTATTCTTTTTCATGGCTGTGCAGTATTCCATGGCGTAGAAGGGCCACAATTGCTTTATCCAGTCAAGAACATGTGGTATTTGATTTTCTGTTCTTAATTCATTAAGCATAATGCCCTCCAGCTACATCCATGTGGCTGCAAAGGATGTGATTTTATTCTTTTTCATGGCTGTGTAGTATTCGATGCTGTAGAAGAACCACTTTTGCTTTATCCGGTACCCTACTGATGGGCAACTAGGTTGATTCCATGACTTTCCTATTGTAAGTCATGCTGTGACAAACCTTACAGGGCTGGGCACTATAATCCCAGCACTCTGGAGGGCCAAGGTGGGCAGATCACCTGAGGTCAGGAGTTCAAGACCAGCCTGGTCAACATGGTGAAACCCTATCTCTACTAAAAATACAAAAACTAGCCAGGCATGGTGGCGCATGCCTGTAATCCCAGCTGCTCAGGAGGCTGAGGCAGGAGAATCACTTTAACCCAGGAGGCAGAGGTTGCAGTGAGCCAAGATTGCTACTGCACTCCAGCATGGGCAATAGAGCGAGACTCCATCTCAAAAAACAAACAAAAAAAAAGGAACTTTACCATGCATGTATCTTTTTGGTAGAATGACTTCTTTTCCTTTGGGTAGATGCCCAGTCTTGGAATTGCTGGTGCAAATGGTGGAGCAGTTTGGATTCAGGAGGTACATGTACAGGTTTCTTACATGTGGACGATGTGTGATGCTGAGGTCTGGGGTATGAGTGATCCCATCACCCAGATAGTGAGCATAATACCCCACAGTTGGTTTTTTCAACTCTTGTCCTTCTACCTTCCTCTCTCCCCCTAACTAGAACCCAGTATCTGTTCCCTTCTCTGTGTCTACCTATACACAACATTTAGCTCCCACTTATAGTGAGAACATGCAGCATTCTGTTAATTTACTTAAGATAATGGCCTCCACACTGTTCACAATAGCAAAGATGTGGAACCAACCCAAATGCTCATCAGTGATAGACTGGATAAAGAAAATGTAGCACATAGACACTGTGGAATACTATGCAGCCATGAAAAAGGATGAGTTCATGTCCTTTGCAGGGACATGGATGAAGCTGGAAACCCTCATGTTCAGCAAAGTGAAACAGGAACAGAAAACCAAACAGTGCATGTTCTCACCATAAGAGGGAAGTGAACAATGAGAACACATCGACCCAGAGAGGGGAACATCACACACTGGGGCCTGTTGCAGGGGTGGGGGACTGGGGGAGGGACAGCATTATGAGAAATATCTAGTGTAGATGATGGGTTGATGGGTGCAGCAAACCGCTATGGCACATATATATCTATGTAACAATCCTGCACATTCTGCACATATACCCCAGAACTTAAAGTAAAATAGAAAAAATAAAAAATAATAAAAATAATTTAAAAAGATAATGGCCTCCAGCTACATCCATGTTGCTGCAAAAACAAACAAACAAAAAAAACAAAAAAATGATTTTGTTCCTTTTCAGGGTTGCGTAGTATTCCATGGTGTAGATGTACCACATTTTCTTTGAGGGTAGAGGGTGGGAGGAGGGAGAAGATCAGCAAAAATAACCTGTGGCTGGGTGTGGCAGCTCACACCTGTATTCTCAGCAGTTTGGGAGGCTGAGGTGGGTGGATCACCTGAGGTCAGGAGTTTGAGATCAGCCTGGCCAACATGGCAAAACCCTATCTCTACTAAAAGTACAAAAATTAGCCGGGCATGGTGGTGCACGCCTGTAATCCCGGCTCCTCTGTAGGTTGAGGCAGGAGAATCTCTTGAACCCAGGAGGCAGACATTGCAGTGAGCCGAGATCGTGCCACTGCCCTCCAGCCTGGGCCACAGAGTGGGACTCCATCTCAAAAAATAATCATAAAAATAATAATAATAACCTGCTAGGCTTAGGACCTAGGTTGATTCCATTACAAAAAAAAAAAAAGAAAAAACTAACTTTTTAAAAGAAGGATCTCTCTGTTCAAAAACAAAACCAATGCCCTGTCAGGAAAGATGTTCTGTGTTTCTGGTAAAGCTGGAAGGAACCTACAGGAAGGAGTCACCCCATAAAACTAGTGGAGCAGCATTACCTTTTGAGGTGAGGGCTACTTCTGTTAGGCCACCAGGATGAGTGCCTTCCTGGGGAGTGTGGTTCATCCTATACCATCCAGGAAGCAATTCCTGCCCCCAAATCACTTGCCAGCTTCTGCCCCGTAAGTAAAATCCCCAGCAAGCGGGCAGCAAGGAGCTGCTTGCCTTGGAAGTCAGCTGAAGTCTCTGCCCACCACCCAGACTGTGTCCTCTGGGAAAGGCCAGGTCTTCCAGTTGGATGGTTTTCACATTAGCGGCTGCTTAGAATCATCAACATTGGCCAGGCACGGTGGCTCATGTCTGTCATCTCAGCACTTTGGGAAGCTGAGGCGGGCGGATCACAAGGTCAGGGACCAGCCTGGCCAACATGGTGAAACCCTGTCTCAACTAAAAAAAAATACAAAAATTAGCTTGGTATGGCTGGGCATGGTGGCTCATCCCTGTAATCCCAGCACTGTGGGAGGCTGAGGCGGGCGGATCATGAGGTCAGGAGATCAAGACCATCCTGGCTAACATGGTGAAACCCTGTCTCTACTAAAAATACAAAAAATTAGCCAGGCACGGTGGCAGGCACCTGTAGTCCCAGCTACTCGTGAGACTGAGGCAGGAGAATGGCGTGAACCTGAGAGGTGGGGTTTGCAGTGAGCCCAGATTGCGCCACTGCACTCCAGCCTGGGCGATATAGAGTGAGACTCTGTCTCAAAAAAATTAAAATAATAAAAAATTAGCCTGGTGTGGCGGTGGGCACCTGTAATCCCAGCTACTCAGGAGGCTGAGGCAGGAGAATTGCTTGCACCCCAGAGGCAGAGGTTGCAGTGAGCCGAGATTGCACCATTGCACTCCAGCCTAGACAACAGAGTGAGAATCTGTTGCAAAAAAAAAAAAAAAAAAAAAAAAAAAAGGAATCATCAACATTGCCTTGGCCCAATCTCTTCCCAGACTTGTCAAATATTTACCACTGGACCTCCATGTTCTAGTTTCAAAGCTCTGCTGGCCACAGTGGCTCATGTCTGTCATCCCAGCACTTTGGGAGGCTGAGGTAGGAGGACTGCTCGAACCCAGAAGCATGAATCCATCCTAGGCAACATAGTGATAATAGTGTCAAATGAGAGCCAGTGTCCAGTAATTCCCCAAATATCTGAGAATTTTCTTTTCTTTAAGTCACAGTCATCCTGGCAGAAGGCTGTAGGTCCCTTTGGGGAAGACTGGGAAAAAGATTAACAATGTAAATTTTTGGCAATGTAGCAGCGTACTTCCCCAAGATCACCCAGCCTCCCCTTCACTTAAGGGGTTGTGGGCCTGTGAACTGGCTCAAGTCTGGGAATTGATTGAGGGTTTTAGATCTGTGTTTCATTAATTTGAGTTAGTCTTTTATTCAGTTGACCTAGAATTCTTCATTTTTTAAACAACAACTAAGACTTTGGTACAGCCCATTAGCTCTCCCTGTGGATACCATGGACTACACAATGCCATGGGTGTCTGTGAGTCAAACCATTCTGACTGCTGCTTTGACACTGCTTTCCACTGTGGTGACCACACCCACCTCATCTTTGGTGATTAAGGACAGCCCATGTTCCCTGCCACCCCAGGATTCAATTATCCTCATTTTACTTAAAGATCCCAGTCCAGTGGCTGCAGTTCCTGCTGTAACATTTTGCCTACTGAGAGCACAAGCTCAAAGCTCTTCCAGGATACTGGGCTCATCTCACAATATTCTTTCTCATGATCGTTGTGAGGAGTATGTTCTGTAGACCCTTCAGTGTGAGTGAGCAGGTCTGACATAATAAATCCAGTCTCCCTGAGTTTTTGCATACCTTTCTGTACATATAAACCAAGGAAGTTGTGGCATCTCAACTTTATGTACCTTAGGTAAACTCTGATTCTGTTTCAGCCAACCAACCAAGTCACCAAACAAATAAGCAAACAGCCAACCAATCAACCAACAAGCAAGCAAGCAAGCAACAAACCAACCAAACAACCAAGCAAGGAAGCAAGCACCACCAACCAAGCAAGCAACCAACCAAGTAACCGATCAAACCAACCCTTGGAGCCCTTTCTAAAGCTTTGACCTACAACTCTGAGTCCAGAATCTCTGTTTAGTGGGCCAACATTAATAAATTTAGCCTAATCCAACTTTATGTTACTTTCACCATGGTGCCACACACTTAATATCCATTCCCACATATATTCTCCAGATTTCCTTCTGTATAAATTGCATGTGTGTGTGTGTGTGTGTGTGTGTGTGTGTAGAAAGAGAGGATCAACTGAAAAATCACACAATTTTATAAATTTAGAAAAGAGAGCTTTATTTCTTATAAAGGTTTGCAGTCTGCAAGGTGGCCATTATGACAGGCTGGGAAGTGTGGCCTACAGCCAAGGCCAGAGGCAGGCATTTCCAGGGAGGGAGGGAGAGGACAGGAATTTGAGCCAAATGAGTTGGCTACATATACATACTCAATAGGATATCAGAGGAGCTATATCATTTTATGAGAATACTCATAAAAGAGGTCCTAACACATGCATATTCAATAAACATGCATGTTCATTCTGGGGTGGAGACTTGACATTTAAATGTATTATAATTAGGCCCTACACATCAAAAAGTGAAGCAGGGACATGAAGGTACTCAGCCTCGTAAAGGCACAGCCTCTAAAACTGGCCAGAACCAGTCCATGGAGGATGGTCTCTTATCAGGAGAAAGTTACTGAAATCAGTCCCTTGTCCAGAGAAAGCTGTCGTTAAGGTTAGTGGGGCAGGAGATCAGTTACTCAGCATCTGTGAACTGGGTGAGTTGTAATTGTTTTAATCTTCTCTCACAGCCATCTCTCACAGCCAGTGCTTGCTTGGCTGCTAGAGAAAAATAAAACCCATGTGGTAGCTAGAATCTAGTTAATTCTTTAAGAGTAGGGTACAAGACTTAACCCTCGCCTGGCATGGCCCTAGGTCCTGTTTATAATTTGAGGTCTTATTGCCACAAAGAGTCTGTTCTGTCAGTCTCATGATCTCTATTTTAACATCAATGCTGTTCAGTTGTTGGGTCTAAACCATAAGAGGGAGGGAGGTACAGGGAGGTATGTCTGACTTCCTGTCCTGTCATGGCCAAGAACTGAATTTTAAGATTTATTTGAGGTTCCGTTGGCCAACAGGGGGTCTGTTAAGTTGGGTGGGGGGCTTAGGATTTTAGTTTTAGTTCTCAAGGGAGATAAAATAATTTAATCAATTGGCCCCTGCGACTGTGGGACTAACATGGCTATGATCTGTCGGACAGACTTCAGGGTGGCACCCAGGCAAAATTCTATGCTGTAGTAAATGCATCATGCACATTTGTAACAATATGTACATAACAATGTCACAAAATACTTTCACGGTGACACCTAGATTAGTATTTTATTGAATAGCTGATGATATAAACTGGCTCATTTGATGCCAAGACTGACCATTACCACCATACCAAGGTCATCACTGATCAGAGGCCTAACCCAAGGAGGGGGTCATGTGCAGACCCAGCAGTGGGGAGGAAAGATGCTGCAGAGGAGACAGATGCCCACAGAGGCCCCTGAGCAGATACCATGCTCACTAAGTGGTAAGTATAGACTCAACGTAGGCTGTAAGGTCTCCCCCTGTGCAAATGGGACATCCACTTGAGAGTCAAGGGTCTGTTTGGGTGGCAGGGATAGCCACTTCTGAAGGTAGAAAGGAAATAAGCCACCAAATTGGTATCTTTCTGTGAAATGGACATCGTGCTTAGAATCTCCATTTTCCCCACAACCTGGAGGAATAAGTACTGTCATGTGCATTTTGTAGCTGAGGAATCTGATGCAACAAAATTAAATTACTTGCCTAAGCAATTAGCAATTAACCAAGTCTTTCTGACTCAGAAACTCAGCTGTTGCCTGTTCATATCCAGCCCCTGTATTGGGGTCAAGATCTGGCCTGTTCTCAATGCAGCAAGATCCAGGCAGATCACACTGGACTCCCAGCACTGAATCTGGCTCAAGGGGACATCAAATTTGACTGGGTCGTGGGGCTCAGGAGCATCACTCTCAAAAATAGTGGTACAGGAAGAGGCGATGACCCTAAACAGCATTTGCAGGCAGATCCCATGTTAATCATAAGGGTCAGGACTCTCTCACTTTTCTGTCTCTCTCTCTGTCTCTCCTCTAGGGCTGACCCCACATTGGACACCACTGCATCCATGTCCATCACACACCACAGCTGCCTTTTCTTCTGCCTGCTTATGGGAAAGTCCCCTCCTCTCCTCCGTTTTCTTCTCTTCCTGCCCTATCACACCGTGCACTTCTCCCTTTCCTTAAAGAACCACCATCAACTTTAGGAGGAGGGAAAGGGGTGGCTCTGGCAGGAAAAGCCAGAATCCCCTCTAGCCAGCAGAGAGAGAGGAATGGCTGCATGTTTTCTCCCCCAATCCAAGGCACTAGGTTTTGGCTAGGTTGCAGGTTCCAAGCTGCTCTCCTGCTGTGTCGGTGAGTTCTGGTTAACCTGCAACCTCCTGATGTGGCCACTGCAGTTCATCGAGTCTTCAGGGACTCCCCATGGCCTGGAGTACTTTGCCTTGCTTACACGGGAGAGGAGAATGGATTTATAAAGAACATCATCTAAATCCAACTTGACCATTGTGTGGCCACACTTGCTAGATTGCTTTAGTCTAAATCTAGCATTGTAGAAAGACGGGGGAGCTTGGAGCTGCACAAACCCCGGTCTGGAACTGGCTCCTTACCTTGAAAGGTGAATAATCCTGGCAGGACTCTTAGCCTTCCTGGGCCTCAGTTTCTTTATCTGTTTCTTGGGAAGGAGGATCTCTGCTGGTTGGTTGGGTGATGTGGGGGCTGTGTGAAAACAACTTGTCAATACAAGCCAAAACAGGAATATTTCTCCACAGAGTATGAAGGTCAAATGAGAGAATACATTTAAATTAAATGGAAAATTTAAATGGCAAAAAAGGCAAAGCTGTATTGAAAGTTCTGAGCTTCTCTATAAGGAGCTTTTTGACTATGTAAGAATCCTATACTCGTTCCCCCTAAATATAAAAAAAAAAGTTGAAGGAGGCAGAAGGGAGAGTGATGCACGATGGGCGAGGACTTCACCTGCTGTTGCTGGCTTTGAGGATGGAGGAAGGAGGCCACAAACCCAGAAGCTGGAGCCCCTAGAAGCTAGAAAACGCAGGGACCTGATTCATCCCTTGAGCCTCCAGAAGGGACATAGCCCCACCAGCACCTTGACTTTAGCCCAGTGAGATCCTCTTAGGACTTTTGGCAACCAGAACTATAAGACGGAAATGGAAGCCACTGAGTCTGTAGCTGTTTGCTGCAGCAGCAATAGAAAACTAATGCAGAGCCCAAGAAATCACTGGTGATGAGATGGGGAAGTGGGCTCAGGAGGTCTGGATCTGTGATGAGATGGGGAAAGTGGGGGAGGTCTGGATCTGTGATGAGATGGGGAAAGTGGGCTCAGGAGGTCTGGATCTGTGATGAGATGGGGAAAGTGGGCTCAGGAGGTCTGGATCTGTGATGAGATGGGGGAAGTGGGCTCAGGAGGTCTGGATCTGAGTTGGGGATCTGGAGTGGAAGGGGAATTCATTTGTTCATTGTCTATCCTTTTGCATTGATTCAGTTTTTTTTCCATATATATATATGTGAATTTCACAATAAAAGTTTTTTCCAAAATAAAAGAAACAAAAGGGGCTTTTTGCAACTCAATTCCTATCTATGTCTGAGTCCACTTGTATTGAATGAGTCTTTCTGCTAACGTCCTTATATTTGGGTGACAATCTGAATGTCAGTGACCAATCAGAGCAGAGGCAGACCTTGGAGTGGGCAGGGCATCCTGAGGGCCCTGATTCCTGCCATGAGGCATAACCCTTTAGATGCCAGACCATGGGGAGGTCCAGGGGTTGCAGGGGAGGGCTGTGCATCTGCAATGACTCTCAGGGGGCTCCCGGTGGTGGCAATTGGTGAATCTGCACGGCAGTGTTTCAATATTGTCACAGCCCTGCTGTCTCTCATGCTCTCAAAAAGCATTTCTCTTACCTGTGACAGACTTCCTATACCTAACAGCTTGCAAAAATGTTCCAGGTTAACGAGAATAATCTCTCGGAGCCATACCTCCCTGCTTGGGGTCTCAGTTTCCCCAACTGTCTCCAGACAAGTTAGGCTAGAAGGCCCCTGAGCCTCAGCCCCTCTATACCCCTCCTGTCACCCAGACCTGATCTGGGGCTTGCACCCTGGGTGCAGCATGACAGGGGTGGGCAGGGTCTGGCTCTGGGCCAGAGGACCCTTTCTGATGGACTTCAGCTGTTGGCCTTCCAGGGGAGACTGATCAACCTCACAAGAGTCATACGGTGAGTAGCGGTGGGCAAATCCATCCCCCTCATCTTAGATATATGGGGAGACAGAGAGAAAGAGGAGACACTCCAGGAAGACCTGCAGGTGGGAGTACCAGGTTGAAACCAAGGACACCTTCCTGGAGGAGCTGCTGTTTGAGCCAGCTCTGAGAACAGGTGGGGACAGGACTGGAGAGGAGAAGGGTGTCCCCTATGAGCAAAGACTGGCCACCACCCAATCTAACACCCCCACAGGGCCCCTGTGGCATCCCTGTCCAGTCCCTGTCACCACCCAGTTTTTCCCTCTGGACCCAGGAATTCAAAGTAAGCAAGGAGGTCCGCTGCTCCAGTTGGCTGCATATAATTACAACCTTGAGCCCAAGCAGCACTTTGGGTCCTGGTTTGGGACCATGAAGCGGCTCGGTGAGACTGAGAGGTAAGGCCAGGGCAGGAATTGGGATAGTGGGATTGAACTCTCCCTGGGGGCCAGCCTCAGAAAGCCTGTGGCCATGGCCTCTTGGTCAACATCAGATCCTGTGGTCTGGCAATGCCTGGGGTACCCAGACCTCACTCTGGACAGGCCCTGGGAGGGGGCCCTGGTGAGATTCCTGGCAGCCTCACAGCCACTCTTCTGTCCATAGCTACAACATGTCATGCCAGCTGGAGGCTCCATCCCAGTTGGCTGGGAGCACAAAGGCCAGGAAGATAGACATCACCCACCACAGGAGCCAGTCGGGTCCTGAACCAGGGCGGGCAGAGGTTGGCTGCCTTGGGATATGGGTGGGCTCAGGGAGTCAGACAGCAAGGGACTAGCCTCCCATCCTACTGCTGACCAGCCCTGTGACTGGGGAGAGTCACCTTACTTCTCTGGGCCTCAGTTTCCCCCTCTGTGGAGTGACACTAAATGATCTCTCTGGAGACTGGGATCAATAGGGCACTGGTGATTGACCAGGCACTCAGCACATGCCTGGAGCACACGGTGCAGGGCTGTGGTGGGGAGGTGGCCTGAGTTCCTGGGGAGTCACCCATGTGTGCCTGCCGTTCTGACCAGCCACCAGGCACTCAGGGCAGAGCCCACTACCAGCAGCAGCTCACACCCCGATACCAGCTCAGAGGCGGCCCCTAGCTCAGCAGCAGGGACATCACGGACACTTTAAGCTGCTACTAGGGTGGCTTCTCCAGCTCCCACGTGGAGAGGGGTCCCAGCTGAGTCCCACTCACGTGGAGTCTCATGCCCATGAAACTGCCATTCACCACTGGCCAGGCTCATGAGGCCGCATGAAACGGGGGTCACTGGGCAGGAGATATCGGGGGAACAGAGAGGGTGGTTGAATTTTTGTATAATAGGCAGTGCAAGTGTTTACCGTTTGGGAGGGGAAAGGTTTGTTATTATTAGCAATGTTACACTTGAATATTATACTAAAATCCAGTTTCTCTATAACCTGGGAGTTGCTCTTTTGTTCTTTCTTTTCCCATCTTAATTAAAATGAGATGCAGACTCTCACGGTCCACAGTCGATTAAGAAATCTTGCACGGCCATCAGGTTATGTCTTGGAGAGCAGAGTTTCAGTACCATCAGCCTGGCAAGGAGCCGAGCCTGCTCCTCAGAGCTGCCGGGACTGCGAGAATTGGCATGTTCACAGGGCACTGTCACAGCCTCTGAAACATGCTGTCTTTAAAGACGTTTGCAGGCTGCATGCGGTGGCTCACTCCTGTAATCCCAGCACTTTGGGAGGCAGAAGCGGGGGGCTCACTTGAGGTCAGGAGTTCGAGACCAACATGGCCAACATGGCAAAACCCCATCTCTACTAAAAATACAAAAAATTAGCCAGGTGTGGTGGCAGGTGCCTGTAATTCCAGCTACTTGGGAGGCTGAGGTAGGAGAACTGCTTGAACCCAGGAGGCGGAGGTTGCAATGAGCAGAGATCACACCACTGCACTCCAGTCTGGGCAACAAGAGCAAAACTTCATCTCAAAAAAAAAAAAAAAAAAAAAAAAAAACACAAAGACATTTGCAAGGACCATGTCCTCACCCAGAATGGTGCCTGCCTTTCTACAGTTTTTCAGGAAGAGGAAACATTTTCTGCTTCTCTCGCTGAGGTTTTTTTTAACCACCCATTAGGAACCTATAGATTTCAGGATCGAACACTGGGATTCCCTCAGCACTAAAGGAGGAAAATTGCAAACAGAGCTGAAAGTGCAATGTGCAAAGGTGAGGCTAAGGAAGGTTCTTAGCCAGTAGACCAAGGGCAGGAAGGACACTGCCTCCTCAGTCTCCCACTAGGGAACTTGTGATTCGTCTCCCCTGACCTCAGAATTCCTTGTCATGTTTGTTTTGTCTCCAAGGGAAGGGTTTGAATTACAGAATTTAAGGCTAGAGTGAGCCTCGTGCAGTTAACATTAACCCTCTCTCTCCTTCGCTGGCCGAGGTGAAGTCCGGGAACATGTAGTTCTGACGTCCACTCTCTCGGGGGATCACCAGTTCACCCATCTCACCTGGCAAGCTGGGCCCTAGTTTGGCGACAGGCATCTTCCACCCACCTGGGAGGCAGGGTTCAACACTCTGCCTCTGACCTTGTTTCCTTCTTCTGCCATCTGCTTAGGCAGCCAGAAGGGGTTGTCCAGCCAGCACCTGGGCTTTGGCACTCCTCAAGTAGGTGGAGGAAGTTTCAGGCACCTGGCTCCTCAGGTGTCTGCCATCCAGGTGCTCTTCAGGCCTGCCCAGCAGAGCTCTCTTGATCCAGCTAGAACTGGCCAGAACTGACTCACTCAGGAATGTGTAGACTTTGGCATCAGGGGCTGCTTTAATTTGCACAATTTCCAAATACCTCTTTTTTCTTCTTTTTCTGATGAGTCATCTCCCTAGACTTGCATTTTAAAGAGATAGATAGTTATCAGGTTCCAGAGAAGACATGGTAGAACATTTATATCTCAAAGACACAGAGCTGAGACTTCAGTTTTAGATACTATAATTTGCCTAAACCAAAAAGGAAGGTGTAGGTAAAGTTCTAGTCAAGACAGGATGGCCAGGAAAAACACCTTAAACCAAGGGACGGCTTGCTTTGCTGATTTAAGCCAATGGCTTCTTTATCATAAGACTTCCCAGTGATTTAGTCCTCCCTCTCTTCCAGTGCACAGAGACATACCCCTCCTTACAAATAAAAATGTTCTTTATAGATGTAAATTTATTTTACAAAAATGTTTCAAAATGACCAGATGAAAATCATCCTTATGCCAGAAAGACTTGTTTTTTTTTTTTTCATTACTAGAAATGAAACAGTAAGTATTTGTTGTATTGACATACTTAGGCTTAGACCTATGTTTAACATGAAAGCCTAATAATAGCACTGTGGTTAGACTGCAGCCTATTTTTCCAAACCATCATTTTATTATTAAGGAAACGAAGGATCAAATACCTTTCATTCATCTGATATGATCCTTTAAAACACATTCCACTAATAAGTCCCATTTGGAACAGCTGAAAATCTTTTAATAAAACTTTTTAAAGATGAGCTCATGGCTTAGTGTAAATTTCACAAGCTTAATTAGGTCAAATGGAAGGAACTCAGATGAGTAGTTGCCCAATCAGAGCCCATTTGTAAGTCATCAGACCCCTCCATGACCTTAAAACTCCACTCTGACTTAATTATTGCAAACCTATATACAACAAAGTGAAAGGATTAATTTTCATTCATCAACCTCTCAATCCCAGATTTTCAAAGAAAAAACCTATGTAAGGAATACTTACCAAAACCAGACAGGAAAATTAGAGCCTGCATACTTTAGAGTCAAATTTGTTCCACTACAGCCAGGTCGCATACAATTACATCATTTGGTTCTTCATACACTCTAGAACTGACTAGGACAGAGTTTAGCATAGAAAAACTGTAAGAAATTGGTTCTGAAACATAGAAATTGCAAAGTTCAAAAGGCTATGAAAAAAACTAATGTAAATGAGAGACTCCCCTCCTTTTGTTTTAAAGAAATAGACCCATCAGAGAAATGCAAATCAAAACCACA
This sequence comes from Homo sapiens, assembly GCF_000001405.40. Lineage (NCBI taxonomy): Eukaryota > Metazoa > Chordata > Mammalia > Primates > Hominidae > Homo > Homo sapiens. The sequence continues at coordinate 354,501 of NW_021160017.1, forward strand.
ATGAGATACCATCTCACACCAGTTAGAGTGGTGATCATTAAAAAGTCAGGAAACAACAGGTGCTGGAGAGGATGTGGAGAAATAGGAACACTTTCACACTGTTGGTGGGACTGTAAACTAGTTCAACCACTGTGGAAGACAGTGTGGCCATTCCTCAGGGATCTAGAACTAGAAATACCATTTGACCCAGCCATCCCACTACTGGGTATATACCCAAAGGATTATAAATTGTGCTGCTATAAAGACACATGCACACGTATGTTTATTGCGGCACTATTCACAATAGCAAAGACTTGGAACCAACCCAAATGTCCAACAATGATAGACTGGATGAAGAAAATGTGGCACATATACACCATGGAATACTATGCATCCATAAAAAATGATGAGTTCATGTCCTTTGTAGGGACACAGATGAAGCTGGAAACCATCATTCTCAGCAAACTATCGCAAGGACAAAAAACCAAACACCGCATGTTCTCACTCATAGGTGGGAATTGAACAATGAGAACACTTGGACACAGGAAGGGGAACATCACACACCAGGGCCTGTTGTGGGGTGGGGGGAGGGGGGAGGGATAGCATTAGGAGATATGCCTAATATAAATGATGAGTTAATGGGTGCAGCACACCAACATGGCACATGTATACATATGCAACAAACCTGCACATTGTGCATGTGTACCCTAGAATTTAAAGTATAATTAAAAAATAAAAAAAGAAAGAAATAGATGTTCTGTAAAAATATACACAATTTTTACAGACAAATACATTTATAAGTTGTTTTTGTCTTAAAAATTGGGGATATTTCATATTTATAACTAATTATTGAACCTTAAGTTTTCTTGGCCATTTCTAGGCTAATAAACTAAGAATCATGTAAACTAAGCCAAAGTAGAATAGACATAAAAGTCCTGAACACTTCAACTTCTATCCTTCAAGAAGTATACCTCGCAAAGCTCATTTGAGAGAGGAAAATCTTTCCTCCACCCTCTGTTTTACAGCGCTGAGGCTTCTCATCACATTTCTATGACTTGTAGCTTAAATCCATGTTACATGGTCACTGGCATTGTTAGTGCTTCTCTTTTAACACTGTAGGAGATAATCAATTTGGTGGTGTATTTAATTCTATCACTAGAGGATTGTAAAATTACATATATTAATACCTCACTTTAGAGGCCACTTAATTTTTTTCCAAGGGGATATTTGACTATATTTCACTTGTGTCTTATTTAATGATTTTATAATTTAAACCCTAAATTATAAATCTAGAATTTAGAAAGTATATTTCCCCACTGGATTACATTTTTGGAAATATTATTTTATATGTGCACAAATATTACAAAATCACTGTAGACACCTGAAAACTATATTATCTTTTAAAGGCAATATTTACATTAAACTGGTATAACAAAATTGTTTGGTGCATTTTTTCCAGTACATTTTGTATATATTATGTTTAACCTTTTTTTATTCAGCAAATAATTTTTGAGTATCTACTAAGTGCTAGGTTCTGCATTACTAACTGAATTTAAAGAGTGAAATAACAGACATGGTCTCAGACAATAAAAATTAACATTAGGTCACCTATTTATATATTTTTAAATGGTAATTATGAAAACTTTTTGAGATTTTTAACTAGATAACATTATAATAATACACTTGATGTTGTTAATATTTGCCAGTGAGCAAAAAAGAAAATAAAAAGATGGTTTTATTCAATATACACTTTAAAATTGCAGAAAATAGTCAAGTTTCTCTGCTTTGCAGTTGAATGTCTATGTGTTTTTCTCTGCAACTTGGCTTTTGTGGAGTGAAACAATTATTCTTCCAGCCCAATAAAAGCAGAAGAGTAACAATAAATCTGATATTTTAAATGCTTATCAAAAGATAGTAGACATATTATTTCAGAATACTGAGTTCAATAAGTTGACCTACAAAAAAAGCCAAACTGACAGTATTACTGAATAAGGAAAGGCCCAAAGAGACAAAATATTTTTTATTTTGTAACCTCGGTATGACACAACTTACCCTAACTATAAAGACCCTAAATGACCAAGATGGGTGCTTATAATATGGAGAGTAAAAAAGTCATTTCACTTTTAGCTTTTTTATTTCTCTCAGAATAAAAAGTGTATAAGGAGTTGATAAAGAAGTTGATACTATAAGTTAGTACTACAATGACAGCACTTTTCAAGAAAAGACTTTTTTCTCTCTTACAAATATCATGTTAGCAGTATTTGTTTTCTCCAGAAATAATGAGGAAATAAAAACATAAGTATGTGGGTAATTAGTTAGTTTCTTAAAGAAATGAGTTAGGCAACAGGCTAATAATGTATACTTCACTGGCTTTTGAATGCCAACAATCATATTCTTTATAAAGCACAGAGAAGATTTTTCTAAAGAATAAGTATGTGAACCTGAAAAGTAATCACCACTTGGTAGTGACAATATGGATAGGGTGAAGGGTGTCATCAAGAAGCAATGAAAAGATACATTTGCAGTTAAATTTGAAAACCATGATGTTTAATACATATAGTAATAAAGAATACTTTCTCCTGTTTCAAAATCATTTTAGAATTTAAGATAGAAGCTAAAATACCTAGGGATAATGATATGACTATCAAAAATTAAAAATTAAAGGACATTTTGAGTATTATAAGTTAAGAATGAGAACTTATTACCCAATGAACAGGGGATAATTCATTATGCTCCATATCCATTGAATTAAAAGACAGGCCCATTACGTGGATAATTTGAAAGTTTAATTTTATTTAAAAGTCTTGTTTCATTCATCAAGCAAAATGATTAGCTCCCAGAAATATTCTAGGATTGCATATCCCCAACTCTGTAGGAAGTATAGAAAGAATGTTATAAGGGCCACCATCTAAACATTATTATGTAAATAATTTAGTACCATTCCATTTGCCTTTGTAGATTTAAAAATGTAAATGGCTTTCTCATATTAGGAAACATCACTTTTCAAAACCCAGATAAACATAGTACATTGCAAGAGAATAATTATTTTCTTTATTAAAAAAGAAATACTGGATGCTAAGTCCAAAAGACATAAATTATTTTATACTAATAACTACTAACATTTTATTCATGAAAATATAAAGGTCAAAGATTTTAAAATGATCTTTAAATGATTAATAACATGTTGATCTTTTTCTTCTTTCTGTAAACCTTTTTGAGTCTTAAAAATACTAAACTATACAAGCAATATTAAATGGTATATAAACTTGGATTAAAATATTCAAATTTACTAGAATGTAGACATTGGAAAGAATGAAAATAAACAGAAGCATAAAGCAGCAGCTATAAAATTAAGAAAGCAACTAAGAGTGTTTAAAGTACATATTCATCTGTAGTCTAATGTCTACCATAAAAAATGACTCTTCTCAGTAAAACACAAATTGTTCATGAAGGGAAAAAGCATGTTGTATTAGAGAATATTCAACATAATTTCTTTAGTACTAACTTGTGCCTGGAGTATTATTGGTTTTTCTATTATGAACTTATGCACTTGATAATTTTTTTCATAAAAATTGTATGTACAACTCTGACTGTACTAAAAATACAAAAATTAGCCAGGCATGGTGGTATGCACCTGTAGTCCTAGCTACCTGGAGGGCTGAGACAGGAGAATCGCTTGAACCTGGGAGGTGGAGGTCGCAGTGAACCGAGATCATGCCACCTCACTCCAGCATCAGTAACAGAATGAGATTCCATCTCAAAAAAAGAAAAGAGTGTAATATCGGTATACACAGGTAATATACTGAATGAAACAAATAGAATAATTTGAAGAGGTATCTTGATGAACAAGGAGTCATTAGAAAGGTTGTATTCATGTCTTTGAAGGAAATTGCAATGTGAGAAATTAATACTTTGACTACTATACTAAAAGTTTATTGCTAACATGTATTGAGTTATTAACGTGTGTTAGGCAGAGTACCATATAATTTACAAGTGTTATCTCATTTATTGTAGGTAAAATGTAATTTTGAACTCTGGGAGTATAAATGAATTAGATAGAATAAAATTCTATTTAAATGGCCATCAGTAAATCGGTATCTAGGAACAGGGTGATACAGTGCCCAAGTTTTCTATTCTTACTAAATGTTGTGTTTCATTTTCAATGTTTTCTTGGATATTGCTCTTTTTTGGTGATTTTGATTTTTTTTATTTTAGAAAACTAATAAATTGACTCTTCTTGGTACTGACTCGGGTTTTATAGAAGAAGAAGTAATTAAATTCTGTACATTTACCTTTACCTCATTTTTTGTCTTTTAAATTTATTTTAATTGACATATAATAAATGTACATGTTATGGGGTACAGAGTGATATTTTGATATATTTATGCAATGTGTAAAGATCAAGTCAGAGTCATTATCATATCCATTACCTAAATCATGTATTATTTCTTTGCAGTGAGAATATTCAAAATCTTTTATTTTAGTTATTTGAAAACACACAATAAATTCCCGTTAACTACAGTCACCCAACAGTGCTGTAGAGAACTAGAACTTCTTCCTTCTCTCTAGCTGTAATTTTGTATGTATTAACCACAGTTTTCTTATACTCTTCTTTCTCCTACTCTTTCCAGGATATGGTAACCAAAACTCTACTATCTACTTCTATGAGATTAAAAATTTTAGCTTCCATACATAAGTGAGAACATGTAGTTATGTGGTGTTTATGTTTCTATGCCAGGCTTATTTCACCTAACATAATGCCCTCCACTTGCATTCTTGTTGCCACAAATAACAGGATTTTGTTCTTTATTATGACTAAATAATATTCCATTATATATGTATGTCACATTTCTTTATCCATTCATCTGTTGATGGACACTTTTGTTGATTCCATATCTTGGCTATTGTGAATAGTGCTGTAATAAACATGGGGGTGCAGGTAACTCTTTGATATACTGATTTTCTTTCCTTTGGATATATACTGAAAACCATATGATTAAATTAATAAACACAATAAAAGCGTTTGGCAAAATTAAATATTCTTACATGACAAAAAACCTCTCAACAATTTAGTATAGAAAATATATGCCTTAACACAGAAGAACATAAAGGACAAATCTACAACTAAGATCATACTGAGTGTGGAAAAGGTGAAAGATTTTACTGTGAACAAGAAAAAGATTTTACTGGAACAAGAAAAGGATGCCTATTCTCACCAATCATATTTCACATAGTGAAAGTCTTAACCAGGACAATTAGGTGAGAGAAAGAAATAAAGGACATCTGAATTGGAAAGGAGACAGTCAAATTGTCCCTGTTTAAAGACAATGTGATCTTATACACGGAAAAAAATAAGACTCTACCAAAAGCTTCTTAGGGTGATACATGAAATTAATAAAGTTGCAGGATATAAATCAACATACAAAAATCAGTAGCATTTCTATATATTGATAGTAAACTAGCTGAAACAAGAAATTAAGAAAGCAATTCCTTTTACAATAGCTACAAAAATGTACTTAGAAATAAATTTAACCAAGGAAGTAAAAGATTTTGACAACAAAAATGACAGGTATTAATGAAAGAAATTAAAGAAAACACAAAAAAGGAAAGACATCCATGTTTACAGATTGAAATAACTAATATTCTTAAAATGACCCACTATCCTATGTGATTTACAAATTTGGTACAATCACTAGCTTGTATTTTTAAAAGCACCTTTGCTGCATATTCTTAAGACATTCAACAATGCCTGGATTTAAGTTTGAGGTATTATTATATCTATTTTATACTGGGCACAATATAATGTTATCAGAGGTAACGGTTTTGATTGGTCCTAGGTCATACAGTAATATATACATTGTGATTTATAGACATGCTGTCTTTTAATACTCAGGCATTTAGAAAGTTCATTTAGAAAAAGTTATAAAAACTTGCCTTCCTTTCTGACTATATCACCTAAAAATCCTAATTTAAGAGGTAATAACATTTTTTATTTGATATACAATTTATCAACACAATAAAAATCTAACAATTATCATGTGCAGAGTGTGAAAATCTCATCAGATTAAGGAACACAAAGACATCTTTTTCATATTTCGAATGTAAAACTGTTTTGGAAACTGTTATTTTTAGAAACAGTTAAAAACATTTTTTCATTAGTTTTTCATGTAAAATTATGACAACCAGCATGAAATAACTGTCATCACAGAAGCATGGTATATTCGATTCCAAAACATATTCTTTGTAAGTTTTAATATATTTATGTATTATTTATACTTAGATTGTAACCCATAATGTTACAATTTATGTTACAATATTATTTTTCCTTCAACTCTTAAGAATATTCTTAAATAATAAAATTAAAATTAATGAATTATAATTTTTGTTGCTTGGGAAAAAGAGTAGACACACACGTGACAGTGCATCACTTCACCCCATCATTTCATCTCATCATTTCATCTCATTTCATCTCATCATTTTATCCCATCATTTCATCTCATTCCATCTCACCTCATCATTTTATATCATCTCATCATTTCATCTCACCATTTCATCAAATCTCATCTCATCTCATTTCCATTTCATTTTCATTATTTCATTTCACTATTTCATTTCATCTAATTTCATTTATTTCATTTTGTCATTTCATATAATCTCATTTCGTTTCATCTCATATTTTTGATATCATTTTTCATATCATTTTTCATCTCATCATTTCATCTCAATTCATTTCATCTCATCATTTCATCTCCTCATCTCATCATTTCCTCCTTTCATTACATTTCATCTCATTTCTTCTCATCTCATTTCAATTTCATTTCATTATTTCATCTCATTTCATTATTTCACCTAATTTCATTATTTCATCTCATCTCATCTCAATTCATCTCATCTCATTTCATCTCATCATTTCATCTCATCATTTCTCATCTCATCATTTTTCATCTCATCATTGAATCTCATTTCATTTCATTTCATCATTTCAGCTCATCATTTCATGTCACATCTATTCATTTCATCATTTCATTTCAACATTTCATCTCATCATTTCATCTCATCTTTCAATTTCATTTCAATATCATCATTTCATCATTTCATTTCATCTCATTTCATTATTTCATTATTTCATTTCATTTCAAATTCATCTCATCATTTCATCTCATCTCATCATTTTTCATCTCATCATTTCATCTCATCATTTTTCATCTCATCATTTTTCATCTCATCATCTCATCTCATCATTTCATCTCATTTCTTCTCATTTCATCTCATCATTTTATCTCATTTCATCTCATCTCATTTCAATTTCATTATTTCATTTCATTTCACTACATTTCATCTCATCATTTTATCTCATCTCATTTCATCTCATCATTTCTTCTCGTCTCATCTCATCATTTCATCATTTCATCTCGTTTCATCTCATTTCATCTCATCTCATCTCATCTCATCATTTCATCTCATCCTTTCATTTCATCTCATCGTTTCATCTCATTTCATCTCATCTCACCTCAGCATTTCATCATTTCATCTCATCATTTCTTATTTCATCTCATTTTATCTCATTTCATCTCATATCTCAATTCAATTTCCTTTCATTATTTCATCTCATTCATCTCATTTCATTACATCTCATCATTTCCTCTCATCATTACATCTCATCTCATCTCATCATTTCATCATTTCATCTCATCATTGCATCTCATCATTTCATCTCATTTCATCTCATCATTCATCTCATCATTTCATCTCATCTCATCATTTCCATTTCATTATTTCATCATTTAATTTCATCATCTCATTTAATTTCACCTCATTTCATTTCATTTTTTCATTTCATTATGTCATTTCATTTCATCTCATTACATTTCATCTAATTTCATTTCATCTCATTTCATCTCATCATTTCATTTCATCTCATCATTTCATCTCATCTTTTCATCTCATCATTTCATCTCATCATCTCATCAACTATTTTCATCTTATCTCATCATTTCATCATTTCATCTCATCATTTCATCTCATCTCGTATCTTCTCATCTCATTTCAATTTCATTTCATTATTTCATTTCATTATTGCATGTCATCTCATCTCATCATTTCATCTCATCACATCTCATCATTTTATCATTTTATTTCATCATCTCATCTTATCATTTCATCTCATCTCATTTCAATTTTATTTATTTATTTCAATTTCATTTCATTATTTCATTTCATTTCATCTCATCAGTTCATCTCATCATTTCATCTCATCATCTCATCTCATCTCATCATTTCATCTCATCATTCATCTCATCATTTCATATTTTATCTCATCTCATCATTTCATCTCATTTCATCTCATCTCATTTCATCATTACATCTCATTTCATCTCATTTTATGTCATCATTTCATGTCATCATTTCATCACATCTCATCTCATCATTTCATCATTTCATCTCATTTCAACTCATTGCATCTCATCTCATCATTTCCATTTCATTATTCCATTTCATCATTTCATTTAATTATGTCATTTCATCTCATCATATTTCATCTCATTTCATCTCATCTCATCATTTCATTTCATCTCATCATTTCATCTCATTTTATCTCATCTCATCATTTCATCTCATCATTTCTTCTCATCTCATCATTTCCATTTCATTTTCATTATTTCATCGTTTCATTATTTCATTTCATCTCATTTCATTATTTCGTTTCATTATGTCATTACATTTCATCTCATTTCATCTCATCATTTCATCCATCATTTCATTTCATTTCATCATTTCATCTCATGATTTCATCTTATCTCATCATCTCATTTCATCTCATTATTTCATCTCATTTCATCTCATCTCATTTCATCATTTCATTTCATCATTACATCTCATCATTTCAACTCATCTTATTTCAATTTCATTACATTTCATAATTTCCTTTCATTATTTCATTTCATCTCATTTCATTATTTCATTTCATTATTTCATTTCATTTCATCTCATTTTTCATCTCATCATTTTTCATCTCATTTCATCTCATCATTCATCTCATTTCATCTCATCATTTTATCTCATTATTTCATCTCATCTCATCTCATTTCAATTTCATTATTTCATATCATTTCATTATTTCATTTCATTTCATCTCATCATTTCATCTCATTTCATCTCATCATTTCATCTATCATCTCATCATTTCATCTCATTTCATCTCATCTCATCTCCTTTCAATTTCTTTTCAACTTTGTCATTTCGTCTCATCATTTCATCTCATCATTTCTACTCACCATTTCATCTCAAAATTTCATCTCATCATCTCATCTCATCTCATCACTTTGTCATTTCATCTCATCTCAAGTCATCTTATCATTTCATCTAAGTGAAATGATGGAATCATGAAATGAAATGGATAGGATGCCCTCAGTGATGTTAAATTTAAAAATTGTTTCTTTTCATGTATGCATTTTTATATTTATATGTATTTATATTTATATTTACTTATATTTCTTTTTACTTATTTTTATTTATGTTTTTACTTATTTCTTTATTTATAGACAAGGTCCTGTTCTGTGGCCTAGGCTGGAATGCAGTGGTGCATTCACAGTTCACTGCAGCCTCAAGCAAACCTCCCACCTTAGCCTCCCAGGTAGCTGGGACCCCAGGTGGGCACCACCACACCTGGTTAATATTTTATTATTTGTAGAGATGGAGTCTTGCTATTCTGCCCAGGCTGGTCTCAAACTCCTGGGCTCAAGCAATCCTCCTGCATTGGCAACCCAAAATGCTGGGATGACAGATGTGAGCCACAGTGCCCAACCTATTTATTTATTTATTTATTTATTTATTTAATGAGGACAAGTTCTCACTATGTTGCCCAGGCTGGTCAACTCCTGGACTCAAATGATTCTCCAAACTTGGCCTCTCAAAATGTTGGGATTACAGGTATGAGCCACCATGCCTGGCCTAAAAATAGTATTATATTTTTGTATCATATAATTTTCAATTAGGTAATATGAATATTCTGTACAGGAAATACGCCCTTAATTACATAGGAATAAACATTTGTTACACTGAGAAAAATCTAATAGAGCTAAAAATAAAAATTAATTTGGAAAGGTCATTAGATACTCATACATTCTTACGTTTATACATTCTTTCATATATTCATATATTCTTTTAACAGTATCAATGGTTTGGAGTTATGTGTACAAAACCATGACCTATATGTAATACAACTAATAACAAGCACTTACAATTCAAGGCATATTATATACAAAGCTTTAACTTCCTATCAAAATATTTTGGTTTTTTTCTTTCTGTTTTGGCAGATACTATGAACACAACATTCAACTCACAGACACTATGGAGCCCTTACTAAGCATAAAGTACTGTGAAAGGCCAGGGCTAGGAGAGAACTGAGACAGGGCCAGGGATAGGACAGAACTGGGGCAGGGTCATGGCCAGAGAAAAACCAGGGGCAGGGTCATAGCCAGGGACATGAGAGGACCAAGGCCAGGGCCAGAAGCAGGGCAGAACCAGGGCCAGGGCAGGGACATGGCAGGGCCAGGGCCATGGCAGGATCAGGGTCAGCAGAAGGCCAGGGCAGGGCTAGGGTAGCACAGGGCCAAGGCAGGACAGGGTCAGTGTAGAGCAAGAATGGGCCAGAGTATGGCAGGGCAGGGACAGGGAGGTCCAGGGCCAGAGTCAGGTCCAGGACATGGACAGGGCAGGGCCAGAAACATGGCAGGACAAGAAAGGGGACAGGGCAAGGGCAAGGCCAGAGAAGGACCATGGAAAAAACACGGCCAGGGAGGGTCCAGGGTAAGGGCAAGGCCAGGGCAGAACCAGAGCCAGAGCAGGCCAAAGGCAGGGCCAGGGCAGGGCAAAGCCAGGGTAGGCCAGGGCCAGTGTAGGGTGAGGGTAGGGCCAGGGCGAGTTCAGGGCCAGGGCAGGACTAAGATAGCACAGGGCCAAGGCAGGGCCAGGGCAGGGCCAAAAGGAGGGGCCAGGGCCAAGCATAGCCAGTGTCAGACCTGGGGATTGTCAGGGCCAGGGTCAGGGTCAAGGCTGGGCCAGGGACAGGGCCAGAGCAAGGACAGGGCCAGGGAGAAGGCAGAACCAGAGAGGATCCAGAGCAAGGCCAGGGTCAGGGCAGAACCAGGACCAGGATAAGGCAAAGCCAAGGCCAGGGCAGGGCAAGGCCAGGGAGAAGGCAGGGCCGGGGCAAGGCAGTACCAGGGCAGGGCAGGACCAGTGCAGGGCCAATGCAGGGTGAGGGCAAGGCCAGGGCATGGAAGGGCAGGGCAGGACCAAGGAAGGGCCAGGAGAGGGCCACGGCAGGGTCACGGCCAGAACAAGGGTATGGCTGGGGTCAGGAATATGGTAGGATGAGGGCTGGGCCCAGGCTGGGACATGCAGGGCAGAGCATGGCCTGTGCAAGGCATGGCCAGAGCCAGGCCATAGATATGGGAGGGCAACACCAAGGCAGAGTCAGGGTAGATCCAGGGCTGAGCAGAGTCAGGGCAGGTCCAGAGTCGAGGCAGAGCTAGGGCCCAAGCAGGGCCATGGTAGCACCAGGGCAGACGAGGGCAGGGCAATGGAGGACTGTGCCATGGCAGTGCCTGGTCAACTCCGGGGCAGGGCCAGAAGCAGGACAGGGACAGGGCCAATGCTCAGGCCAGGGACAGGGCATGACAGGAAGTGCCAGAGCAGGGCTGGGCCAACGTTGGGGCAGGGCAAATCAGACCAGGACACCTCCAAGTCCAGCTCTGGCCCTGCCTTGGCCCTGGCCCCTTCCTGGCCTGACCTTGTCCCTGGCCCTGCCCTATCCATGCCCTGTGTGTTTGACCAGTGTTTTATAACCAGAATCCTACAAGAAACTTAAATTAGTTCTTTTTGTGCATTTTTAGTAGAGATGGGGTTTCACAATGTTGCCCAGGCTGGTTCCAAACTCCTGAGCTCAAGCCATCTGCCTGCCTTGGCCTCCCAAAGTGTTGGGATTACAGGAGTAATCTGGCCAAGTATTTAACTTCTTTATGCCTGTTTCCTATATTTGGAAAATGGGGATGCTTTAAGTACCTAGCACATAGAATTATTGTGAGAATCAATGCCTCACATATTTACATATTGATAAAATTATATTATATTCATAGAACACTACTGGAAGCAAAGATAGTATTAGTTAAAATTTAGTGATTACTGCAAATATTATTACTATTACAAACAATATAGTATAGACATTACTACTAATATAGTTATCTTAAAAATCTAAAATAAAAATTTTATGTAATAGCCTAATGTAATCTCTCCTGCTCTGCCCTGGTTCAGCCCTAGTGCCGGCTCTGCCGCTAGTCCTACTACATCCCTGGCCCTGATCCTTCCCTGGTCCAGCCGCTGCCCTGGCCCTTCCCATCTTCAGGCCTTACCATGGCCCTACCCTGGTCCTGACCCTGCCCTGGTCTGGTCCTGACCCTGGCCCTACCCCAGAGAAGGGGTATGGCAGAGCCAGGGAAGGGCCGGGGCAAATAAGGGACAGGACACATCCAAATCCAGGAAAGGGCCAGGGCCATGACAGAGCCAGGGCGAGTCCTTGGCAGGGCCAGGTTCCAGGCCAGGGCCAGGAAAGGGTCATGACAGGGTCACTGTATGGCCAAGGTCCAGGCCAAAGCCAAGGCAGTGGCAGGGTCAGGTCTGCATAAGGGCAGGACGAGAGCAAGTGATATGGCAGGGCCAGGGCCAGGGCTGTGCCAGGACAGAACAAGAGCAGAGCAGGGCAGGACCAGAGCCAGGCCATAGAGAGAGTAGGGCAAATGCCAAGGCAAGGCCAGGGTAGTGCCAGGTCTGAGGCGAGGTCAGGGAAGGTCCAGGGCTGAGTCAAGGCTAGAACCAAGACGGGGCAAAGGCCGAGGCAGATCTAGGGCACAAGCGGGGCAGATCTAGGGCACAAGCATGGCAGGCTAGGGCAGGGCAATGGCAAGACCAGGTCATGGCAGGGCCAGCCCAGGATAGAACAGGGCACAGGCAGGGCAGGGCCAGGGCCATGGCTGGGGCAGGACAAGGACCAGGACCGGGGTCCAGGCCAGGGCAAGGGTATGGCCAGGGCAGAGGTAGGGCCAGAGCCAGGGTCTGGGCAGGACCAAGGCAGGTCTATTGCAGGGCCAGGGTTCAGACCAGGGCCAGAGCAGGGCTGGGACAGGGCCAGGGCCAGAACCAGGAAAGGGCAATGTCAGAACAAGGGCCATGGCAGGACCAGCAATGGGGCTGGGGCCAGGACAGGGACAGGGACAGGGTCAGGGATAGGGCCAGAATAGCATGCCAAGGTAGAGCCAGGCCAAATTAGGGCCAGGACAGGGTCAGGACCAGGGCTGGACCAGGGTATGGCCTTAAGTAGCGAACGGCCAGGGCCAGGGTCCATGCCAGTGCCAGCGCCGGTCCAGGGCAGAGGCAGGGCCATGGCCAGGTCAAGGACAAGGCTGGGGCAGGGCCAAGGTCTGGGTCAGGGTAAGCACAAGACCAGGACAGAGCCAGGGGAGGGACAGGGCCATGGTAGGGCCAGGTTAAATCAGGGACAAGACACCTGCAAATCCACTTCAGGGCCAGGTCAGGGCAGGGCCAGTTCAGGGCCAGGGCCAAGACAGGGCCAGGGTCACGGCTGCCAGGGTCATTGGCAGGGCCAGGGCCATGGCAGGACCAGGGTCAGGAGCAGGGGTCAATGCCAGGCCAAGGCCACACAAAGGACCAGGTCTGTGCTAGGGCCAGTGTGAGGGCCAAGGCAGGGTCAGGGCAGGGACAAAGGGAGGGCAGGGCCAGGGCAGGGTGGAGCAGGCCCAGGGTTGCACAGGGTTAAGGTAGGGCATGACCAACCAGGGCAGGTCTATGGCTGGGGCCGGGGCAGGGCCAGAGCCAGGGCAGGGCCAAGAGAGTGGCAGCTCCAGGGCAGGGCCAGGGTTAGGACCACGGACATGTCCAAGGCCAGTGCCAGGGCAAGGGCAAGGGCAGGGGCAGGGCCAGGTTCATCTAAGAACCAGGGACAAAGCCAGGCCCAGAGCTGGGCCAGGACAGGTACCTGGCAGGGCTAGGGTCTGGGACAGGGCCATGGCAGGGCCAGGGCCACAACCAGGTCTGTGCTATGGCCAGGTCCAACACAGTGCCCAGGTAAGGCTAGGGTGAACGCCAAGGTAGGGCCAGGGCAGGGTCAAAGCTAGGCTAGGGCCAAGGCAGGGCCAGGGCCGGCAAGGCAGGGCCAGGAAAGCATAGGGCCAAGGCAGGGCAGGGCCAGGCCAGTGCCAAGACCTGGGCAGGGCCAGGGCCAGGACAGGTCCAGGGCAGGGCCATGACAGGGCCAGGGGCTGCGTTAGGGCAAGGGCAGGGCCAGGGCAAGGTAAGGGTCAGGGCCAAGGCCAGGGTAGGGACAGGGCAAGAAATATGGCAGGACCAGGGGCAATGCCAAGGCCAAGGCTGGGCCAGGGCTGAGCCAGGGCTGAGTCAGGGCAGGGCAGGGCAGGGCATGGTATGGCCAGTACAGGACAGGACAAGAGCTGGTCCACACAGAGAGCAGAGCTGATGCCAAAGAAGAGCCAGGCTAGTGCCGAGGCTGAGGCAGTGTCAGAGCATGTCCAGGGCAGGGCCAGGGCCAGGGCCAGAACCGAGCCAGGGCACAGCCAAGGCAGGGTAGGGCAGGGAAATAGCATGGCCAGGTCAGTACTGGGACAGGGCAGAGCAGGGCAAGGCGATGGTAGTGGCAGGGCAGGGACAGGCCAATGCAGAGCCATGTTACGCCGGGGCCAGAACACCTCCAAGTTCACTTCAGGGCCAGGGCTATGGCAGGACAAAGACCAGGGCCAGGATCAGGGCCAGGTCTGTGCTAGGGCCAGCTCCAGAGCAGGGTCTAGCGAAGACTAGGGTGAGGGCCAAGGTAAGGCCAGGGCAGGGTCAAAGGCAGAGTAGGGCCAGGGCAGGGTGATGACACATCCAGAGCACAGCAGGGCAGGGTAATGGCAAGACCAGGGGCAGACCACTGCCAGCTCAGGGCCAGGGAAAGGCCAGTGCAGAGCCAGGAAAGGGTCTGGGTCTGGGTCAGGGCCAGGAACAAGGCAGAGCAGGGCCAGGGCCATGGCAGAGTCAGGGCAGGTCCTTGACAGGACCAGGTTCCAGGCCAGGGCCAGGGCAGCAGCAGGGGCAGGGCCTGGATAAGGGCAGGGCCAGGGATATGGCAGGACCAGGGCTAGGGCCAGGGCCAGGCCATAGTGAGGGCACGGCAAAAGCCAAGGCAGGGTCAAGGCAGGTCCAGGGCAGGTCCAGGGAGCGGCCAGCACCAAGCAGGGCCAAGGCACAACCAGCTCAGGGTAAGGCAGGGCAATGGCACCACTGGGCCATGACAGGGCAAGGTCAGTGCCAGGAGAGGGCAGAACAGGCAGGCCCATGGTGGGGCCAGGGCAGGGATGGGCCAAAGCAGGGCCAGGACATATCCAAGGCCAGGTCAGGGCCAGAACAAGAGCAGGACCATGACCATTGGCAGGGCCAGTGCCATGACAGGACCAGGGTCAGGACAAGGGGCAGGGCCAGAGCCAAGGTCAGGCCAGTGCAGGTTCAGGGCAGGGCCAGTGCCAGGGCAAGACCAGGGAAGGGACAGGGTAGCACAGGGCCAAGACAGGGTCAGGATGGGACCAGAGCAGGACAGGGCCGAGAGTCCAGGTAACAGTAGGGCAGGTACAGGGCAAGGCAGGGCAGTACAGGGCCAGATCCACGGCAGGCGCAGGGCAAAGCCAGGCCCATTGCCAATGCACCAGCCCTCCCTACAAGGCTCCTACCACCTGGTCACTGCTGCAGCCCGTCCATTGCTGTAAGCCTGACCCTGGCTGCAGCCGCCTGCCCTCCTAGCGTGGCCGCTCTCCTACCGCTCTGGTGCACTGCAGTCTCCGTCACTGCCACCCACCTGTAGCGAGGCGAGCCGTGGTGTTGCAGGCTCTAGGTGTCTCCTCCTCCTCCTGGCATGGAGCAGCTGGGCGGGCAAAGCCAGAAAAGCCTAGAGGAAGATGTGAGGGGTGGAAGGGTTAGAGCCTCACCTTGTCATGCCGGCCACTGGGTGGCAGGGGCCAGTTTCAGCAAAGGCACTCACACCCACCCTCCAAAGTCCAGCCTCTCCTTTTGGCCCAAGCTGGCCGGGAACTGAGGTCTGGGGTGGGTGCTGGAGACACCACAGCACCCAGCTCCCCACTCCACAGGAACCATTGGGCCCACTGGGGCTGCACTCCTTGGGGAGCAGGAGAAGCAGAAAAATTCAGACCCAGCCAGCCCTCTGCACCCAGGTGCCAATTCCTGTTCTGGACGCTTCCACGCACAGGGCCCTGTCCCCCGTGGTGTCCCCAGGGGTGCCTGGCAGCCTCTGAGGCACAGACCCAGAGTGCACAGGCCCAGGAACCACGGTGGGTGTGGGGGCTCTGCCATGCTCAGGATTCCCATGCAAACGCTGCGTGCCCTGCCGCATTCCAGTATGACCAAGAGTGGGTCGCCCTCTGGAGTGTGGAGTCAGGGAGAGGAGAACCACTCCTTCCTTGGATGCCAACTCTGTTGACCGCCACCAGCAGTGCAGCCTGATAGCACCGAACTCGTCCCCCACTCCACGGCTAGTCCTGCCCTCAATAGCACCCCCCACCTCTGTCCCCCAATGCCGCCAGTAGCGTATACCTGATAGTGCCCTAACCTGTTCTCCTCCATGGGCATTGCAGCCCCAGAAAGCACCCATAACCCACCTTCCCTGCCGTGGGCAGTGCAGCCCTGTACAGTGCTACCAACTAGTACCCCTAATGCAGGCAATGACACCCTGGATAGCGCCCCCAACCCACCCCACACTGCGAAAGGTGCAGCCCTGGATAGCCCCTGTCCTACCACTCTGGTCATGCTGCAGTCTCTGTCACCGCCACCACCAACCACAGTGAGGCAAGCCAGTGGGCCGCAGACTCTAGCACCCAGCAGCCAGGCATGGAGCAGCTCTCGCTGATGGCCGGCTCCTACCACTCTGACCACGCTGCTGTCTGTCTCTGTGGCCATCTTCTTTCACTACAAAGGAATAAAAATAGGTATCAATAAGAAAAGTAATTTTGGAAATAATACAATCACATGGAAGTTAAACACTACCCTCCTGAATAAATGACTAGCGGGTCAATGAAGATACTAAGACAGAAATTCAAAAATTTCATGAAACAAAGGGTAATGAACACACAGTATACCAAAACTTGTTATGCAGAAAGCAGTACAAAGGCAGAGATTTACAGCTATAAGTGCCTACCATCCAAACAAAAGAAAAACTTCAAGTAAACAATACATCTTAAAGAACTAGTAAAGAACAAACTAAACCGAAAATAAGAAAATAAATAAGATCGTAGCAGAAACAAAATTGAAATAAAAACCTCACAAGATTAAACGAAAAGTTGGTTTTCTGGAAAGCTAAACAAAATTGACAAACTTTTAACCAGGCTAAGTAAAGAGACAAGATTCAAATAAATAAAATCAACAGATTAAAAAAAGGAGACATTACAACTAATACTTCAGAAATTCAAAGGATCATAACTGGCTATTATATGCCAATAAATTGGAAAGCCTAGTAGAAATTGGCAAATTCCTAGATGCATACAACCTACTTAGGTTAAACAACGAAAACATCCAAGACCAGAACAGATTGGTAACAAGTAATGAGATTGAAGCCATCAGAAAAAGTCTCCCAGTAAAGAAAAGCCCAGGAACTGATGTCTTCACTGCTGATGGCTTCACACCAAACAATTTAAAGACCTAGTACAAATCCTGCTCAAACTATTTTGAAAAACAGGAGGGAATACTTCCAAACTTATTCTATGAGACCATTATTACTGTGATACCAAAATCAGACAAAAGCATCAAAGAAGGAAACTACAGGCCAGGATCTCTAATATTGATGCAAAAATCCTCAACAAAATACCACTGAATCAAATTCAGTAATACATTAAAAAGATAATTCATCATGATCAAGTGCAATGTATCCCTGGGATCAAGGGTCACTCAACATACAATGTGATACATCATATCAACCAAATAAACGACAAAAACAGTATCATCACGTCAACTGAAACCGAAAAAGCATTTGATGAAATTCAACATCCCTTCATGCTATAAATCCTCAAAGAAACGGGCACAGAAGAAACATACCGCAACATAATAAAAACTACAGGAAAGACACCCACAGCTAGAATCATATGGAATGGGGAAAAATGGAAAGCTTTTCCTCTAAGATCTGGAACATGATAAGGATGCCCCCTGTCACCACTGTTGTTTAACATAGTACCAGAAATCCTAGCTAAAGCAATCAGTGCAGCCCCTGATATGGCCCCCAACCCACCCTGCCCCCTACCACCAGCAGTGTCGCCCCCCCCCAATAGCACACCCAACGTAGGCAAACCGCCCCGCCTCCCTGCACCATGGGCATTACAGCACCCCATAGCGCCCTCAACCCGAAACCGCCACACCACCCCCCACAGCCGCACAGTGCAGCCCTGGATAGCACACTTAGCCCACCTCACTGTTGCCAGCAATACAGTCTGGGATAGTGCCCCCAACCGGCTCCCCGCCAAAGGCAGTGCAGCCCCGGTTTGGGCCCCCAAACCACCCCCCGGTGCAGGCAGCACAGCCCCAGATAGCACACCCAACCAGCCACCCAAGACGGGCAGTGACGCCTGAGATAGGGCTCCCAACCCGTCCCAGGCCACCCGCAGTGCAGCCTGGATAGTGCACTTACCCCGATGCCTTTCTACGCTCTGGCTGGCTGCAGTGTCCATCGCTGCCACCAACCACAAACAGGGCTGCAAACAGGAAGTATTTTATTCACCGTCGATGCGGCCCCGAGTTGTCCCAAAGCGAGGCAGTGCCCCAAGGTCTGTGCAGAGCAGAACGCAGCTCCGCCCTCGCGGTGCCACCGGCCCGCCCGCCCGCCCGGGTCTGTGCTGAGGTGAACACTGCTCCGCCTTCGCTGTATCTCCGAAGTCTGTGCTGAGGAGAACGCAGCTCCGCCCTCGCAAAGGCACACAGCGCCGGCGCGGGCGTGGCGGAGAGGCGGACAGCAGCGGCACGGCGGAGAGGCAGACAGCGACGGAGAGGCGGACAGCGGCGCAGAGGCGGACAGCGGCGGCACGGCGGAGGGGCGGACAGCGGCGGAGAGGCGGACAGCGGCGGCGCGGCGGAGAGGCGGACAGCGGCGGAGAGGCGGACAGCGGCGGCGCGGCGGAGAGGCGGACAGCGGCGGAGAGGCGGACAGCGACGGAGAGGCGGACAGCGGCGCAGAGGCGGACAGCGGCGGCACGGCGGAGGGGCGGACAGCGGCGGAGGGGCGGACAGCGGCGGCGCGGCGGAGAGGCGGACAGCGGCGGAGAGGCGGACAGCGACGGAGAGGCGGACAGCGGCGCAGAGGCGGACAGCGGCGGCACGGCGGAGGGGCGGACAGCGGCGGAGAGGCGGACAGCGGCGGCGCGGCGGAGAGGCGGACAGCGGCGGAGAGGCGGACAGCGGCGGCGCGGCGGAGAGGCGGACAGCGGCGGAGAGGCGGACAGCGACGGAGAGGCGGACAGCGGCGCAGAGGCGGACAGCGGCGGCACGGCGGAGGGGCGGACAGCGGCGGAGGGGCGGACAGCGGCGGCGCGGCGGAGAGGCGGACAGCGGCGGAGAGGCGGACAGCGGCGGCGCGGCGGAGAGGCGGACAGCGGCGGAGAGGCGCACAGTGCCGGCGCTGGCGCGGAGAGGCGCAGGCCCAGGCTCCACTCCCCAGCTGTGAAAGGGTAAGAACTGAGGGTGGCTGAGACTCGGGGTTGTTCAGGGCGGGGTGGGCTCTGGACCCAGCAGGCCTGGCACCCAGGTCAGGGCTCCAGGGGAGGCCAGGTGGGCGAAGGCCAAGAAGGGGCTGGGGCTGGTCAGGAAGGGCTCCTGGTGACCAGAGCACTTTGCGTGAGCCAGCGTGGGAGGAAGGTGGGCTGGATGAGCCAGGGAGGCGCCGGGAGGGGCCTTGGCAGAGGCGACCCCCTCCGTCAGCCCCCAGGCCACTGAACCCTGGGTAGCGAGAACCGACAGGGGAGACTGCAGACAGAGGAGTGGAGGCTCCCCGGCTTTGGGGGCTCTGAGTGGAAGCATCTAGGGGGTCCCTCAAGAGGCCCCCAAACGCTTCCCCATGGTGAAAAAAGAAGGCGCAGAGAGGGGCACGGCGCCGGCGCCGACGCAGAGGGGCGCACAGTGAGATTTGCTGTGATTTCTTTTATTGCCCCAAATGTACTTCATCTTGGTAGATTTCTATTGGCTTTAAAAATGTGTGTGTTTTGCTGTTGGGGAGTGGGGTATTATACGGATGTCAGATTTTGCTGGTTGACTGTTCAGATCTTTTGTAAATCCTTGCTCCTTTTCTGCCTAGTTTCACTCTGTCACTTACACTAGAGTGCGGTGGCACGAACATGACTCACTGCAGCCTTGACTTCCTAGGGTCAAGTACTTCCCCTGGCTTAACCTCCTGACTAGCTGGTACTATAGGTGTGTGCCGCCACACCTGACTAAATTTAAAATTTTTTGGAGAGATGAGGCCTTGCTATGTTGCCCAGGCTCGAACTCCTGGCCTCAAGCTATCCTTTGTCTTTGCCTCCCAGAGTTCTGGGATTACAGGCATGAGCCACTGTGCCCGGCCTCTGCCTAGTTTTAACAGTTGCTAAGAGGAGGATGTTGAAGTAGATGTCTTCTTGGTGGGTCAATCCTTTTGTCATTAAGCAGTTGTTATGGTCACTTCCTTTTCACCCCATTGGTGAAGGAGGGGTCCCTGCCCTAAAGTGTAGGAGATGGCTGAACACGACACCTGGCGTGGATGGATGAGATTGACAGCAGTGTTTTAGTCACATATACCCACAGCTCAGAGGAGGACACTGCATGCCACACAGGGTCAGATGGGCACCGCACTCTGTAGCGGAGTGAGGGCTGCAGGCTGAGGAAGCAGGCAGGCTTGATAGTAACAAGAGCACACAATGACCAATGGTTCCCGAGGGGGAATGCAATTGGCTTGTTTGAATAAATTCATGGGCTGGCAGACAGGTGAAGTGAAACTTCTTAGGCTGAGGTGCAACTGTTCTGGCTGATAAAAGAACTAGCCAGGTGGGGAGCCTTTCCTGTTGGGTGGCAGGGTAGGGGGTGTCTGGTAGAAACAGGAAAACCCACGGCTAGGCCTTTGGGGCCCTGTGAGGCTCAAAGATGTCAAGGCAGCATAGGAAATTTTAGATCTTAAAATTCAACGAAGACCCTCTCCAGCTCTGGTAAATTATTTTGCTTGAAGTCTACTTCATGAGATATTAATATATTCACTCCTGCTTCCTTAAAAAATTAATGATTTCACAGGATATCTTTCTCCATTCTTTTACTTTCAACCTACTTAGGTCCTTAAGTGAGTTTGAAGTTTCTTATGAACAGTATTTAGTTGGGCCATGTGTTTATTATAGGCTCTCCATCAATCTGTCTTTTGGTTTATTTAGACCATTTACATTTAAGGTGCTTATTGTTACATAATTGCTTATGTCTGATGTTTTTATTATTTGCTTTTTTGTTTCCTTTTTCTTTCCCTCCATCTTGATCTATTTCTGTATAATGTTGTTGCGTGTATCTCTTTGTATAGTCTTAAAGTGTTTGCTCTGGATGTTACAATATGTGTATTGTAATATAGTAGTCTACTGGTACCAGTATTTACCACTTCAAAGTGTGGAAACCTGCCTTGCATTTATGTCTCTTTACCTTTTCCACTTGTATAAATCACTGGCTTGAGTATTAGGTGGTGGTATAGTTTTTGTTTCAGTCGTCAAATGTGATTTTAAGAACTGTGGATTGTCTCGCGTATGTATCCACATTTCTGGTCTTTCCTTTGTCCCTCCTCCCGTAGTCCCATATTCATCCCTTCTGCATAAGAACTTTCTATAGCCATTTTTTATTTTGATTTTTTTGTTTTAATTTTTTGTATTGTGGAAATGACAGAACATATTTCTGT
Organism: Homo sapiens; assembly: GCF_000001405.40. Lineage (NCBI taxonomy): Eukaryota > Metazoa > Chordata > Mammalia > Primates > Hominidae > Homo > Homo sapiens. The sequence continues at coordinate 376,495 of NW_021160017.1, forward strand.
AGCCACTTTTTAGCATGTCTAAATTGACCAGTGACAAATTCCTATATTCTCTTCCTCGGAGAATGTCTTTATTTCTCTCTTCATTTCTGAAGGGTAGTTTCATGGGATATAGAATTTGCAGCGAACAGTTTTTTGTTTGGTTGGTTTTTTTGTTTGGTTGGTTTTTTTTAAGCACTTGAAAATGTTGTGCCACTTCCTTCTGGCCTCCATGGCATTTGAATTGGCGTGTCCCTACAGGCATTCTGCCATTTTTGGTCTTTGTTTTTAGTTTTGAAAGTTTAATCAGTGTTGCTTTCTTTTGGTATACTTTGAGGTTTGCTCAGCTTCTTGAATCTGTAAGTTTATATCTTTCACCAAATGTGGGAAGCCTCAGGAATTAGTTATTTGCATGCTTTCACAGCTCTGGTCTCCTGTGGGACTCAGATAACATAAATGCGTGGTCTTTTGTTATCGTCCCACAGGTCCGTGCAACTCTGTTCATTTGTTTTCAGGTTATTTTCTCTCTATTGTTTAGACCGGGTGAATTCTGTTGATCAGGTTTCAGCTTCTCTGATTCTCTCCTCTGTCGTCTCCACTTTTACTCAATAGAGCCCATCCAGTTAGATTTTTTTAAAATTTCTTTTACTGTATTTTATATTTCTGTAATTTCCATTTGATTCTTCTTCAGTTTCTTTGCTGACGTTTTCAGTTCTTTGATTGTTGCCATAGGATTTGTAGTTGCTTGTTGAAGCATTTTTATACTGGCTGTTACAAGTGATGAGTCAGATGGTTCCAACATCTGCCTATGTAATTTTTTTTATTTTTGCAGGCAGTCCTCCTGTTTAGGTTTAGTCTGTAGGTCTTGGTCTACTTTGTGGGCTGTGATTGCAATGGCAATTTAATTTCAGAGCTTTCATGGTGTTATTTTGGTCTGTTTGGCTTATATGTATCACTGGGATTCTCCCACCAGTCCCTTCTGTTGCCCACCTGAGGGAACAGGGGAGCTGCCCCAGGCTGGGCCACCTGCTGCAGCTAGGTGGGTGGGGAATGGTGGTGGTCTTGGTGTGTGGAGCTGGTTTTCTTGTTGTGGGGAAGATCTCCTTTGATCTGCAGGGACTGAGTCTGCCTGGGTTGCCTTCTATTGCTACGTTGGGAGTTGGGAAACTCTGGGCCTGGGTCACCTTCCTATTGGATGAGGTCCAGGGAGACACCTGGCTACTATGCATTCCCTAGTCCTAGAGTCCCTCAGCAGCCTTTTTCTGTCCACCTTTTGGAATTCTCCATTGATCCTCTCCTGTCTATTATTTCTACAATTTGGGTTACATTTCTTAGGAGGGTATAATGTGTTATCTTCTCTAGACCAGAAATCCTTAGTGGTGGTTTCGGGTTGTAACTGTGCTAAAGGGAGAATTGGCATATTTGTGATGTCGAATCTTTCTTTTCAAATGAGGACGTATCATTATTCAGTATATAATATTTACAACACCTACTTCCTTGGGTTGAAGAATGTGGTTAAGGCAAGGAAAGTACTTAACGCAGTGCCTGGTGTGGAGAGCACTTACGAGTGTTGGTAGTGATGCTATTCCTTTTGTCCTTTGGTAGCCTATTAAAGCTTTTCTTCTTTTTTAAAAAATAAAGTTCCGGTGCACTTCTTGTTAGGTTTATTCCTATTTTATCCTTTTTTGCTTTTATTACAAATAGGAGCTTCCTATCTTTTATAATGTCTACCTGGTTCTTTGGCCCTTATGTGAAAATGTTTTAATAGCCTTCTAAATATTGCTCTCCCAAATGAGTTTTAACTTGCCTCTTTCTTTTGTTATCCTTTTTTTGAGACAGGGTCTCACTCTGTCACCCAGGCTGGAGTTCAGTGATGCAATTATGGCTCACTGCAACCTCTGCCTCCCGGGCCCCCAAAGTGCTGGGTTTACAGTGTGAGCCACTGCACCCAGCCTTACTTGTCTATTTCTTTTAAGAGTGGGAACTATAATTGAGCCCAGAGCTCCAAAAACAAATGAAGGAATGAATAAGTGAATAAGCTCTTCCCATGGGTTTGGTGTGGTTTGGGGCTCTACTCTTAATCTAAATGCTATGTTTTATATAATCTAAAATTTCCCCTAGGTGTGTTACATGATTGTGTTGTGTTGAACTTACATTGAGACTCCTTTTCACATGTACTGGTTATCAGCGTGGGACTTTTCCATTCACTCTTTGAATTATTCGTTTGGGGGACACAGATAGACCTCTGTGTCTTTCATAAAGAGTGTCCATTGGCCGGTTGCAGTGGCTCATGCCTGTAATCCCAGCACTTTGGGCGGCTGAGGAGGGCACATCACGAGGTCAGGAGTTCGAGACCAGCCTGGCCAATATGGTGAAATCCCATCTCTACTAAAAATACAAAAATGTTGGGAGGCCGAGGCGGGCGGATCACGAGGTCAGGAGATCGAGACCATCCTGGCTAACACGGTGAAACCCCGTCTCTACTAAAAATACAAAAAATTAGCCGGGCGTGGTAGCGGGCGCCTGTAGTCCCAGCTACTCGGGAGGCTGAGGCAGGAGAATGGCGTGAACCCGGGAGGCGGAGCTTGCAGTGAGCCGAGATCGCGCCACTGCACTCCAGCCTGGGCGACAGAGCGAGACTCCGTCTCAAAAAAAAAAAAAAAAAAAAAAATACAAAAATGAGCCAGGCCTGGTGGCAGGTGCCTATAATCCCAGCTACTCGGGAGACTGAGGCAGTAGAATTGCTTGAACCTGGGAGGCAGAGGTTGCAGTGAGCTGAGATTGTGCCACTGCACTCCAGCTTGAGTGACATAGTGAGACTCCGTCTCCAGAAAAAAAGAAAAAAAGAAACAAAAGAGTGTCCATTATCTATACTGGAAAAATTGAGATTGGGATTTTGACATGAAGTGCGGAAATGTGGATTGGGTCCATTTAGTTTACCTAAACAGATGATGAAATACTAACCGTTTTATGAAGCATTCCCTAGTGCAAAGTTTTGCCTGTGTGTCTAGTGACGGGAGCAGTGAGAATGAGGCTTGGAACACAGAGCGCATTGTGGGCCTGTCGTGGGTGGGGCCAGCAGCACATGCATGCCGGGCTCACAGAGCAGCCTTTGGGTGTTCTTTTCCCAGAGGAGCTCTATGGTGACTTTGAAGACTTGGAAACAGGGGACGTGCACAAGGGAAAATCGGGCCCCGATACTCAGGTATGTCTTTGTTGTAGCTGGCTGTTCTTGGTCATTGTGTTCTGAGAGAGGCCCATATTGAGAAATGCAAATCTTACTTGTGATGTGTGAAGATTGCAGATGGGATGGATAGATTCCTTCCTAAAGGGTGGGGATGTGGAGACCAAAGAGAAGCTTTCTTGTTTACTTGTTAAGTTTTGGACGACAGTTACTACCGTTTCTTGCCGTAGTCATTTGCCAAGTCCACTGTGATTTTTCACTCACAGAAGTCTTAGCTTCTCAGACTTACATTCAACCATTGCCATCATTCTCCTCTTTTTAAATTTAAGTGTCATTTAAAAGAATGAAGTCCCTGTTCTCCCTAATATTTCTTTAGAACAGGGTCTGGGAGCATCTGGGTGAGGGACATATCTGTTATTTTTATTCTAGTTTGTGTTCCCAGCCAGCTTAAGGAATAGCAGCTAATTGTAATGCAGATGTAACAATTTCATGTAGCAGTACCATGTTATTCAGAGACCAAGGTTATGTTGTGTTTTGTTTTGTTTTATTGATAACGATAACAGATTTTTGCTAAGATTTTTGTTTAAATAGAACTTTAAAAAATCTAACGTTTAAAGAAAAGACCTTCATAAACATACACAAAATTTTTTCTCCTGGAAATTTAAGAATGAAGATATAGAGAAACAAGAAAGAAATTGACCCTGATGAAGAAGAAAGTGCCAAGAAAAAGCATTTGGATAAGAAGAGAAAATTGAAGGAGATGTTTGATGTGGAATATGATGAAGGAGAAAGCACATATTTTGATGATCTTAAAGGAGAAATGCAGAAACAAGCACAGGTGAGAAACCTCAGTTCCTCTTAGCCCCTTGTCAAGACTATCACATAGTGCAGGAATCCCTGACTTTCTTTGGGTCCCTGCTTCCTATCCTGCTTCTGTGCCTTTCAGTTGGACTCCTGGGTAGATGCATGTGAGTGTGTTTATTCATGCAGTGAGCTCATTGTTTCTACAGTCAGAAGGTCACCAGAAAAAGATCCATACCTATTTTGTAACAAGAATTAGGAAACCGAAATGACTGAGACATGGTCTCTACTTTTGAGACTTTTACAATGTAGTGATCTAAGACAGTGTGTTCATTTCAGTGCAAGCCAATGCTGCCTATTCTGATCGCTGCTCCCTGATTTGAATGGCAGGTGATCAGTGGCCTGTGTGGCTTATGGACACACAAGAGCTCCCAGGGGAAGTGCTCTCAAAACATCCTGGTCAGAGTTCAGAAGGACATGTGGAGTATAAGGTCAGATGCGGAGATAAGGGAGATGGTGTGGCCCTCCTGCCTGGGGGTGCTGAGCAGGTTGCTGGAGGCGGTGATCTCACTCTGAAGGAGACAGACACAGAAACGTGTGTACAGTTGATGGTGAGCATCTGAGTTGCGTCTTGTTAGTGAGGCCAGGAGTGCCTGTGTAAGCTGGAACAGATTAGGTGTATGATTTGTGAAACGGAGTTTCATCCTAGGTCTTCATCTAGTCAAAGGACTGTTTCCTGATTAGGCATTAGCTTAGTGGTTGCTAGTCTGTGTTGACCTTTGAAAGGCATGACTAGGCTAACTCTGAAGTTTTTGCTTCACACCATTTACAATTTAAAATTACCTAGAGCCTTGTGTGCCATTGGAAAAGACTGAATGTTTCACTCTGAAATGGGAGTCCTTGGAGGGTTTTGAGCAGAGGAGAGACATTCAGGTAATCAGATCACTCTGCCAAGAGATCAGTCTGGTAGAGATCAGTCCGGTGGCACAAACCAGAGGGCTGGCAGTGGAGATGAGACAAAGAGTCAAACCTGGATAGAGTTTATTTGGAAGCTGGGTCAGTAGGATTTCCTGGTGGACTGAATGTGGGATGTGTGAGAGGAAATGAGGATGGCGGCTGGAAATTCCTGGAAGGATGGGTTGTTGCAGGTTAGATAGGAAACTGTCTGCAGATGCAGTTTTGGGAAGATGATGTTTGGTTTGGCTGGGTATCATGCAGACAAGCGGAGCGTCAAGTCTGGAGAGACAGGTCTGGCCAGGGACTTAGATGTACAGCCGTCAGCATGTAGATGCCACTTAACTCTGTGAGGTAGCCAGGGAGTGAGTGCAGAGTGACTGGGAGGAGCAAGACTGGCATGGGCGAGATGGGGCGATTGCGGCTGTGAGGCCTGAGCAGTGCCGAGGAGGGAGAGGGAGAAGCAGTGTGAGCATGCAGGCACGCAGGAGTCCAGTTGTACATGGAGGCGAAGCACTGTTCAGATCCCGCTGCAGTGTTAACTACGGTAAAGGCAGAGTTGACCACTGGAGGAGTCCTTCAGCGTGGAGGCCTTCAGCAATCTTGGCAAGCACCAATTTTCATGGATGTAGGAGAATGGGAGCAGAGGAACTGGAGGCTGCAACTGCAGAAAACTTTTGTGGGGTTTTGCTGCAGAGAGAAGCAGAGAAATGAAGCAGTTTTTGGTGGAAGAAGTGGAATCAAAAGGTTTTGAGATAAGAGAGAGAACAGAGGGAAGAGCTGTTGGAATAAAATCCAGGAAGAGTGGATGGTGTCTAGTGAGCAAGTGATGTGTGGCCCGGAGTAAAGGCATGGACAAATCATCTGTGCCTGAGCTGCCCGTAGAACTTTCTGTGATCATGGAGATGCACGTCTGTGCTTCCCAGTATTGTGACACTGGCCGCAGGTTGATATGGACCACTTCCAGTGTGACTAGTGTGATTGAGGAACTGCATTTTTAATATTATGTAATTGTAATTAATTTTAATTTAAATAGCCACACATAGCTCCTCTATGGGCCAGGTCAGAGCTCTGATAAGGCTGGATATGGGAGGAAACCCTGGTAGAGGGTTGACCATAGAGGTTCTTTTGGTTTTGGAGTGAATCAGGAAACAGCCATCAGCTGAGTGAAGGTGAGGGTGGTGGTGGGTGTTTGAAGACAAGAGAAAAGTGTGAAAGAATTGTTTGGAGAGGAAGGAAAGAAGGTGTGGACTGGGGATGTTTCCAATGTTTGAGCACGCAGGGCTCCACAGTTATCTACATTTGCTGTCCCTTGGAGCAGGAGAGAAGAAAACGGTTGGGACATATTCTGAGCAGACTGTAGAGGTAAAATGTGTAGGTTTTTTTTGTTTTTTTGTTTTTTGAGATGGAATCTCGCTCTATTGCCCAGGCTGGAGTGCAGTGGCACGATCTTGACTCACTGCAACCTCCGTCTCCCAGGTTCAAGCGATTCTCTCACCTCTGCCTCCTGAGTAGTTGGGACTATAGGCAGGCACCACCACACCCAGCTGATTTTGGTATTTTTAGTAGAGACGGGGTTTCACCATGTTGGCGAGGCTGGTTTTAAACTCCTGACCTCATGTGATCTGCCCGCCTCGGCCTCCCAAAGTGCTGGGATTACAGGCATGAGCCACTGTACCCGGCCAAATGTGTAGTATTTTTAATAGGATAAAGCCTACATAATTTTGTCCACAGTTCCTTTACTTAGAAATTGCTCATTTGTTCATGTTAATCCTATGTTTATTACAGATAACAGCATACAGGTTCCCCGCCCCCCGCCCCGTCATGTACAGTTGAATCATGCAGAATTTGAAGATCAAGATGATGAAGCCAGAGTTCAGTATGAGGGTTTTCGACCTGGGATGTACGTCCGCGTTGAGATTGAAAATGTTCCCTGTGAATTTGTGCAGAACATTGACCCCCATTACCCCATTATCCTGGGTGGCTTGGGCAACAGCGAGGGAAATGTTGGATACGTGCAGGTGGGTCCTTTTGCTGCATATTTGGTGCCTGAGGCTCTGTGGATTTCCCCTCCATCAATCATCTTACCCTCTCATCCCCTTCAGATGCGTCTGAAGAAACATCGCTGGTATAAGAAAATCCTCAAGTCCCGAGATCCAATCATATTTTCTGTAGGGTGGAGGAGGTTTCAGACCATCCCGCTCTATTATATCGAAGACCACAATGGAAGACAAAGGCTTCTAAAGTATACCCCACAGCACATGCATTGTGGAGCAGCCTTTTGGGGTAAAATATGATTACAATAACTTGCCTATTGCCGAGATTAAACCTTACAGGCTGCGTTATTTTAGCTTTGTGCTTTTCCTTTCATAAAATTCCACTCCTAAGATTTTTCTCTTTTCTGGGAGCGGGGAGGTGGTTTGGAGTATATATGTAAATCTATATCCAAATCTAAATGTCCATATCCAGTATGTTAAACTAGAATCTAAAATTTGTGGTTTGCTATATTTCTTTTTTTCCTTTTCCTTTAAGACCCTATCACTCCACAGGGAACTGGTTTCTTGGCAATACAGTCTGTCAGTGGCATAATGGTAACTATCTTGGATGATTTCTTTTACAGATTGGTTTGAGAAATATATCCTGAATGTGGGTTATTATGTACATGAGACTTTAAATTGAAAATTACTCATTTTTATTAATATAAAGTAAATTTCCCTTTGCTTTTAATCTTCGTACATCCTTTTCAGTAGGGTGTGGGATTAGAGGAGGGGAGGTGGAAGAATTATAATGGTACATTTCCTATTTTTGTGCATCTTTTGCATTTATTTATCTAAGCAAGTATTTAAGCAGTGCTCACCATGTGCTAAGCACTATATGAGGTTATGAGGAGCCATCAGAGACCACCCAGACACAAGACTCCCTGCAGCTGTGCTGGGGTAGCAGTCTGTTCACTCCATTTTCATTTGACCAGTCACGCAGGGCAGGGTTTACTGGTCCCATTTAACAGAGAAGAAAGCAGAATAATGAGCAGATGGAATCTTCCCTGGAGGTCCAAATTTTAATTTCCTAAACATTGCAACTGTATTTTTCTTTTCCATTTCGTTCCAAATAAATCATTATAGTAAAATTACATTCCTCTGAAATCACTCTCAGGAAAGTACTCAAGTAGCCTTTTTTTTTCTTTCTTTTTTTTTTTTTTTTTTGAGACAGAGTCGCACTCTGTCATCCAGGCTGGAGTGCAGTGGCACGATCTTGGCTCGCTGCAACCTCTGCCTCCTGGGTTTAAGCGGTTCTCCTGCCTCAGCCTCCCAAGTAGCTGGGATTATAGATATGAGCCACTGTGCCCAGCCTCAAGTCACCCTTGTTAGTTTGGCTTACCAACTTTAAAGTTTTGGATTGCTTTTGTCAAACCACTGGGTTGCAAGTTCAGATGGTCTCTCTTGTTTTTCTTAGCTAATTGTCAGTAAAATTCACTTTGGTAATTTATTGTGTCACATAGAATTGAAGTTTTTCTTTTGCTAATATTATTCCTATTTTCAAATTTTGGGGTTCCTGTTAGCCTGATTTTCGGATAGCTGCCACAGGAGTTGTCCTTGATCTGGATAAATCCATAAAAATTGTGAAGAAATTAAAGCTAACTGGTTTTCCACTTCATTTATTAAGGTCTGTATATCTATATATTCTCATATTTATAAATCTCCATATTGTTTGAGAAAAGGAATGAAATACCTCTAAAATATGGGCCTCATTTTTAGAAAAGTGTTTGAAATCTTTTATAAACTTCATATTTTGTTTGCTCCTTTATATTCTGTATTACTTAAATATGCTCAAAAAAGCAGTGGTAAACAGCTATTTAGGAATTGAGGCTGTTACTCCTGACTTCCATGTGAGACTGCCACAGAACTCATATTGAAAATATGTCATTTTATCCACTAGGTTTTGTTTCCTACTTTTTAAATTTGTGTTAAGAAAGGGAAAAAAATCACAAGTTTGTCTAACTCGGTAGAAAAATCGACAAAGCATTTGCAGACAACTTGGCAAGGGTACAGAGAAACGGACGTACTGTTTTTCAGTATTTGGGGAGGGTGGTTTGAGCAGCATTTATTGACAATTTCATTAGTGGGGATGTTTCTATTGAAAACACAGAGTTAGGAAGTCATAAAATGTTCTTGCAATATAAGGTAATAATACCACCAGCATTTATCTTACTGTTTTCATGTTCTAAGTGCATGCATCTGAGTAAAAGGATCTGGGCTGCAGTCCAGTCTGAGAGATGCCAGCAAAGGCTTCCTAGGCCAATTCAGTCCAGTAAATCCCTCTTCGATCTTCTCTTCCACACAGACAGCAGTGATGAGCATGCCCATGAACTCACATGATTATTTTGGGGAAAATGAAAGAGTTGTATTCTTTTTGAGGTAGTAATTCCACTTTCAGGGGCAAATACATTTTGATTATTTTATCACCCTTCAGTGAGTTGTTTTTGTTCTTTAATCAAGGATGTATGTTTGAAGTAAGAAGTAAAGCATAAAGTATATGATTTTGTGTGTGTGTGTTTTTTTATCTTGCTACACCTGTAGGGAATGTTTAATTCTGCCTTGGACGTGGCCAAATTTGAAGGTGCTGTGATTTGAACTGTCATTGGGATAAGGGGGCAGATCAAGAAAGCACTCTGAGCTCCAGAAGGAGCTTTCTGGGCCAGCTTTGAGGATAAGCTGCTGATGAGCGGTGAATGTCTTAAGTAGTATTCAGGGCAGGGTGTTACCATTCATGCTTGACTTCTAGCCAGTGTGATGAGAGGCTGGAGTCAGGTCTCCAGAGAGTTGAGCAGCTCCAGCCTTAGATCTCCCAGTGTTATGCGGTGTGCCCATTCGCTTGTGTCTTCAGCCCCCTGGCCACACCCAGTAACAGTTCTGTGATCTATGAGAATAGTTCCCTTAGCGACCTTTCCCTTCAAATACTTTGCAGCCAGGTAGAGAAGTTTGGAGTGAAGGTTTTGTTCTTTGTTTCTTCGCAATATGGATATGAATCTTCTTTTGAAAATGTTAAAGTAAATTACCTCTTTTCAGATATTGTCTTCATGCGAACTTGGTATCCTGTTTCCATCCCAGCCTTCTATAACCCAGTAGCATCTTTGTTGAAACCAGTGGGTGAGAAAGACACCTGGTCAGGAATGCGGACCACGGGCCAACTCAGGCTCGCCCATGGTGTCAGACTAAAGGCAAACAAGGACTCTCTGTATAAGGTACTGGTCGTGTGTGTGTTAGTAGAGATGAAGCCTGTGCTCTACAGACAGGGAGTCACACAGACACTTTTCTATAATTTCTTACGTACTTTGAATGTTCAAGTATAAAGTCTAACGTTAAATTTGATTGAACAATTGTATATTTTTGGGATATTTTGGAATGGAACACCAAAAAATGGTAATAGTGGTTCTTTCTGGATTGAAGACAAACTTTTCCTTTTTAAAATAAATTTTATTTTATGTATTTGAGGTTGACAATATGATCTTAAAGGATACATATAGATAGTAAACTGGTTACTATAGTGAAGCAAATTAACATAGCTACCATCTCACATAGTTAGATTTTTGTTTGTGTGACAGGAACAGCTAAAATCTACTTATTTAACAAAAATCCCAAAGACAATATATTTTTATTAACTATAGCCCTCATGATGTACACTAGATCTCTAACTTGTTCATCCTACATGTCTGCTACTTTGTATTATTTTAATGTACATCTCCCCATTTCCTATTGGTCATTTCCTATTTGGCCCATTTTTCAACTGGGTTGTTTTTCTGCTATTAAGTTGTAAGAGTTCTTTACTGATTTTTGGATATTAACACTTTATCAGATATGTGGTTTGCAAATATTTCTTCCAGTCTGTAGGTTCCCCTTTCATTTTGTTGGTTGTTCCTTTGCTGTGCAGAAGCTTTTTAGTTTGATGCAGTCCTCCTTGTTTATGTTTACATTTGTAGCCTGGCTTGTGGTGCGATATCCAAAAAATTATTGCTAAGGCCAATGTCAAGAGGCTTTCCCCCTATGTTTTCTTCTAGGAGTTTTATGGTTTCAGGTCTTATTTGGGTCTTTGGTCTTGTATCTGTTTTGAGTTGATTTTTGTGTATGGTGTATGATCAGGGTCCAGTTTTATTCTTTTGCATGTGAAAATCCTATTATTGAAGAGACTATCTTTTTTACCATTGTGTTGTCTTGTTTGCCCTTGTCAAAAATTAGTTGACAGTATATGTTTGGATTTATTTCAAAGGTCTCTGTTCTGTTCCATTGGTCTATTTTTTTGTTTTTGTGCCAGCACCATACTGTTTTGATTACTGTAGCTTTGTAATACAATTTTAAATCAAGAGGTGTGATGCCTCCAACTTTTTCTTTCACAGTAATCTGTTGGCTGTTTGGGGTTTTTTGTGGTTCCATATGAGTTTCAGGATTGTTTTTTCTTTTCTTTTTTTTTTTTTTTTTTGAGGCAAAGTCTCACTCTGTCGCCCAAGCTGGAGTGCAGTGGCATAATCTCGGCTCACTGAAACCTCTGCCTCCTGGATTCAAGCAATTCTTCTGCCTCAGCCTCCCAGGTAGCTGGGACTACAGGCACATGCCACTATGCCTGGCCAGTTTTTGTAGTTTTAGTAGAGACAGGGTTTCACTATGTTGGCCGGGCTGGTCTCCAACTCCTGACCTCGTGATCCGCCCGCTGCGGTCTCCCAAAGTGCTGGAATTACAGGCATGAGCCACTGTGCCTGGCCAGGATTGTTTTATTCTGTTCTGTGAAGAATGCCATCAGAACTTTGATGAGGATTGTGTTAAATCTGTATATTTGCTTTGGGTAGTGTGAACATTTTAACAATATTAAGTCTTCTGATCCATAAACATAGGATGTCTTTTCATTTGTTCATGTCTAAATTTCTTTCATCAATGTTTTATGGTTTTCAAGTGTACACATCTCTCACCTTCTTGGTTAAATTTATTCCTAAGTTTTTGTTTTTCTTTGATGCTATCGTAAATGAGATTATTTTCTTGATTGCTTCGTCAGCTAGGTTATTTGTATATAGAAATGCAACTGATTTTTATATGTTGAGTTTATACCTTGCAGCTTAACTGAATTGATTTAGTAGTTCTCACAGTTTTTTGTGGAATCTTTGGAGTTTTTTACATAAAGGATCTTGTCATCTGCAAATAGAGATAATTTTACTTCTTTAATTTAGTTGCCTTTTTTTCTCATCTGATTGCTCTTGCAAGTACTCTATTGAATAAAAGTGATGAGGCTGGCCATCCCTATCTTGTACTCAATCTTAGTGGAAAAGCTTTAGTTGTTCCCCACTAACTATGATTAGACTGTGGGTTTTTCATAAATGGTCTTTATTATGTTGAGGAACTTTCCTTCTATACATAAACTATTAAGAGGTTTTATCAAGAAAGGTTGCTAAACTTTGTTAAATGCTTTTACTGCATCAATTGAGATGACCATGTCGTTTTATCTTTCATTGTGTTAATGTGATATATCACATTGATTGATTTACATATTTTAAACCAGTCTTGCATGCCAGGGATAAATCCCACTGAAACACGATGTATAATGTTTTTGATGTGTTGTTGAATTCTATTTGCTAAAATTTTTTTAGGATATTTGCATCAGTTTTTAATTTATTGGAGAAGTTGACCTGTAGTTTTTCTTTGTTTGGGGTGTGTGTGTGTGTGTGTGTGTGTGTGTGTGTGTGTGTGTGTTTTGGTTTGGCTTAGGTATTAAGGTGATACTGGCCTGGTAAAATGTGTTTGGAATTATTTCCTCTCGCTCTGTTTTTGCGAAGAGTTTAAGAAGTAAACTCCCAGGGGATGGGAGTGACTCTGGACATGGGAGTGACATGATAGTGACTCTGGAACCTGCCGTGGTGGGACACAGCAGCATCTCAGTCTCTGTGAGGCCAGATGCAGCATCAGCAAGGACCCCAGAATGGTGGAGCCCTACTGTGGCTTGGGCCCTTAGGGGCAGGGACCAGTGCAGCAACTACTTCTCTCCCTGGGGAGGCAGGTGCCTGGGCAACTCAGATTCTCCAGAGCTAGTCCAGTTCCAAGGAAGCAGGGTTCTACAGTTGTTTGTCCTGAAGGGCAAGGTACCCCAGTTCAGCCAATGCCATTTTCCTAGGATATGGGGGTGCCATGTTGGCTCATCCCTGGCAGGTGTGGCTGCTCAGCTCAGCCAAGACACTGATTCCCTGTGAAGCAGGGCAGCGCTTCAGCTCTCGTGCAGTGGGGGGTGTGACTGCTCAGACTGGCCAAGGCACTGATTCCCTGGAAAGCAGGGCACCAAGTCAGCTCAGGCTCCAAGGGGCAGGGCACAATGGCAGCTGGGAGGGGAGGGGCACAGCAGCGTAGCCCCACAGGTGGGGTGTATGCTGTGATGTGGACATCATTTGTTCCCACCAGCCATTTGAAATTTCATCCATTTGAAATTTGATTCCAAATGTGGTGGTGTGGGAGGTGGGGCCTAGTGGGAGGTATTTGGGTCACAGGGCAGATCCTTTATGAATAGATTAATGCCTTTTCATGGGACTGGATTAGTTACCAGGAGTGGATTGTTATCAGAGTGAGTTCAGCTTCCTAGACTCTCGTGTTTCCTCTCTTGCCATGTGAGCCCCTTGCGTACACCTGTTTCGCCTTCCACTTTCCCCATGAGATGAAGCAGCCCAAGACCCTCGCCACTTGTGCTGCCCGATCTCGGACTTTTCAGACACAAGCAGGGTGAGCCAAATAAACCTTTTTTATAAAATAAGTTACCCCGAGTCTCAAGTATTCTGTTACAGCCACACTAAATGGCCTAAGACAGTGTAACAGCGGCTCGGGGGTGGTGGGCCACTAGGTGGGTGTGATATACAGCAACAGAGCCTGAGGTTGGAAGAAGGGTGCGGTGGCTGCTCCCCCTGGGTGGGACATGCTCCCGAAGTGGTCCAGGTCCAGGAGGGCACGTTGCAGCAGCAGCTGGTCCATGGGGGTGGGGCACAATGTCAGTTCCTTCTCTGAGGGGAGTGCTGGGGCTACTGGGCCCCTCTTGCTTCCTTTTCCCTGCAGGGAGATATCCCCTCTGCTTCAGGCTGATCCCTCTGGGGGAGTGGGTGGTGGGGGCCAGATGTTTCCTTCCCTCCTTTATGTGACTGTCTTGGTTTTCTGTGCTCTACTGGATTTCTGCTACTCCTTGATGCACTCTGGGGCTCTCTTTTAGTGACTTTCATCAAAATATAGTTGTTTGCTGCTTTGGGTGTCTTTGTCAGGGGATGAGTGCAAGGGGCTATTGATCAGCCCCTTGCTGGCGTCACTCCCTCTTAAACTTTTCACTGGGTACTCTTTTGAACTATTTTTCCCCCACCGTATCCATGTATTTTTTAAACGTTAATGTGCTAATTTCTACTGAAGCAATGTGGATTTTTCTGAAAGTTTTAATGTTTTAATAAGCTTTTTATTGAAATGTTAATGTACATACAGAAGAGTGCCCGAATCATAAGTGTGCATCTAGATGGACTGTAGCACACCAGGCTGCCACGCCCTGGACCAAGCAGTAGCCTTGACCTGTGGCCTCTCCCAGGCACTGCTGCCCCAACACACAAAATAGCTACTTTCCCAGTTCCTGATGTAGATTTGTTCTGCCTGGTTTTGATTTCTATAAAATACAGCACATTCTATTTAGCCTGGCTTATTTGGTTCAGTATTACAGAACACATCCATGTTCTTGTCTGTGGTAGACATTGATTTATCGTCATTGTTGAGTTCCATTATATGACTGTGTCACCATTTTTCCATTGATGAGTAAAATGATTTCCTATTTTTGGCTGTTATCCCACGGCCCTGAACACTAGGTCTGGATATGGGACTTGCAGGTATGCAGGGGCAAACGTGCTTCTGCTGGAGGATCCCTGGGTGGGGTGGAGACTCCAGGGCACCTGTGCTCTGCTTCAGTGTGGAGGCTTCTGTGTCGTGTTCTGGGAGCACAGTGTCTTGGCCTCCACCACCAGCAGCAGCTTAAAGAGTTCCTGCTGTTCCACATGCTTGCCAACAATTGGCCTCTTCAGTTTTTGTTTTTGTTTTTTTTTAGGTTTTCAGTGCCTGCCTGGACTTCTGTTTTCATTTAGATTTTGGTTTCTTAGAACTTTCGTTATTCTCTTCACAGCTTAACAATGCATTTGAATAGATTTGTTTTCATGTGGAGTATTCAGTTTTGTAATAAGAGGGTTGTTCAAGGCATCAGTCTGCCACTCTGCTGGAAATAGAAGTCTCCCAGGCATTTCTTTTTAAAGTAGTTAGTGAAATTTTGAACCATCTTACATGAATTTTTATTAAAATACACTTCAGGATGTGGTGCCCATTATCCATTCTACTCTTTTGTAACAAGTAGATTTCTCTGCATTCTTGAATTTGAAAACAACTGGGGTTCCTAAACAGAGAATATGGAATATTATTGGGGATGATGTCTTTAATAATACATTTCAAGATAGGAGAAACCTTTTCTATATAGTTGACTTTAATAAAAGCCTAGGGCAAAACTTTCAATATATTAACAGTATTTATGAGGCAGTTAAGAATTTGGGTCATCTCCGTCTCCACTAAAAATACAAAAAGTTAGCCAGGTGTGGTGGTGGGCGCCTGGGCTACTTGGGAGGCTGAGGCAGGAGAATGGTGTGAACCCGGGAGGCGGAGGTTGCAGTGAGCCGAGATCATGCCACTGCACTTTAGCCTGGGCGACAGAGCGAGACCCCGTATCAAAAAAAAAAAAAAAAAAAGAATTTGGGTCATCTCAATTAAACATAGAATTTAAGATTACGTTGAAAATTCAGTACAGAGTATTTTGCCTTCATCTGTTGTTTGAGTCTCCCTTCTTTTAGCCATCCTTCCATCAGAAATAGAATACCAAGTTAAACTTCTTAATTAGAATCAGGAATCAGGACTCTTTGGCTGCTGATTGAAGGAAGAACTGTCCTTAAATCCAGAGTGGGCCGGGCATGGTGGCTCATGCCTGTAATCCTAGCACTTTGGGAGGCCAAGGCAGGTGGATCACCTGAGGTCAGGAGTTCAAGACCAGCATGACCAACATGGTGAAACCCCATCTCTACTGAAAATACAAAAATTAGCCGGGCGTGGTGGTGTGTGCCTGTAGTCCCAGATACTTGGGAGGCTGAGACAGGAGAATTGCTTGAACCTGGGAGGTGGAGGTTGTGTGAGCCAAGATCGCGCCACTGCACTCTAGCCTGGGTGACAGGGTGAGACTCCATCTCAAAAAAAAAAAAAAAAAAAAAAAAATCCAGAGTGTTTGGTAGTCAAGACAAAAAGCTAGATTATTTTTGTTAGTCTGGGAAATAAGCACCTTAGTGGCCCAAAGACAAGGCCTGAAATTTCCATGAAAAGAAACTGGGATCTATTCATCTGTTCTGTTGAGACCTCATAGTTCCATACCACAGAAATAGGCACAGTGGGTTTCGGGGAGAGAGTTGTAAGTATAAGCTCTCTGTTCCTCTATATTGGCCATCTATAGACCTTCTTTGGAGAAATGTCTATTCAAGTCCTTTGAATCAGATTTTTTGTTGTTGTTGAATTGTAGAAGTCCTTTTTATATTCTGGATATTAAACCCTTATCAGGTAAACCATTCACACATATTTTCTCTCGTTCTTCGGGGTGTCTTTTCACTCTGATAGTGTCCTTTGATGCGCAAAGGTATTTTAATTTTGGTGAAGTCCAATTTATTTTTTCCTTTGTTGCCTGTGCTTTTAGTGTCATAGCCAAGAAATTACCAAATTATTGTTTAGTTTTTTAAAAGTATTTATGTGGTTATTTGGCCGATACCTGTCTCTAATGATTGACGGCACTTCTTGAGCGCGGCTTTTAAACATGCAAATTTGATGTCACTTTCCGAGGCTCCTTCCATGGCATCCCTTTGCTTCTAGGCCGCAGCCCTTGTCTGGCCTCGCTGCTGCTCTGGCCCCTGCCCTCCTCTAGGGCCTCTCTTCTGCTGCCTCCAGCTCTGGCCACAGTGGCCTTTCATTCCTCAGTGCACTTGCCTGGGGTCCTCAACACTTGCAGTTCCCTCTGCCGGGAATGCGGCAGCTCCTACGTCCCCCTCCCGGCCTCCACCTCCTCGCTGCTCCTTCGGACGCTGGTCCTGAGACCACTGGTCGGTGCGGCCTTCCCTGGACCCTCTCCAAACTCCCCAGTACTCCTCCACACTTTTCTCCAAAAAACCAGTGGCACTCAATTGTGCCGTCCAGGGACCCCTGGGATTTTCACGACCCTGTCAGTGGCTGAGTGAGGTTGAGTCAAGAATGTTTCGTGACAATAAGGAGATGTTATTGATCTCTTTTCACTGGAAGTGGGAGCGTCTTGCGGGGGGACAGCGGGCTGAGGATGCAGCTGTGTTAGGACGTGACAGCTCGCACAACTGAAGCACCGCCACTTTCCCACGGTTTTTTTTTTTTTTTTTGCTTTGGAAAACATTTCTCACAAAATATGCAACTTATGTTACCATGTAATGGGCTTGCTTCTGTTATTTTAAAACAAACTAATAAATCTCTTAAATGTTTCTCGGCTTTATTTTTTGTTGTTATGGTTCGTTTTCTTCTGTTTCCCCCAGCTTTATGAAAGTTTAATTGACAAACTTGCCTATCTTTACTGCTAACAGCGTGCTGCTTTGCTGTATGTGTGCCCTGTGGAATGCTTCGTGGTGCTGCTGCACACCTCCATCACCTACTGCGGTGAGGGCCCCTGGGATCTGCGCTCCCGGCGCTGTGCCCTCGCCCCACCGCTGTGCCTGAGCGCCCCCCCATCCCGCCCGGGGACCCGCGCCCGCTCCTGGAACCGCACCCATGGCCAGCACCCTGTCCCCAACCCCGCTTTAGTTTCCACCCACGCGAAGAAACTCAGCCTCGGTCCTGTTTAGGCACGGAAAGGGCTGGAGAACCGCGTCCTTCCGAGGCGCCCCCAGCGCGGCTCCCCACAGCGTGCAGGACCCCGGACTGTCGCGCCGCGCCTGGGGACGCACAGGAGGTGGGATCCAGGAGCGAAGCCCCTGCAGCGTCCCAGACTGGACGTGGCCCTGCACCCCCAGCTGCTGGGCTGGCCGGGACATGCATGAGATCGCGCGCTTTACAAACTGTTGTTCTTTCTGGGAAAGTTAAAGAACGCGCTGCAGCCGCTTCGCCTGCTGCTGAAAGGAGCCAGGCAGGGCTGGTCACTCCGCGCCACGCCCCGTGCGCCAACACCGGAAGGTGAATGTTCAGAACATTTTTATCATTTAAAGCCAGTATACCGGCTGGGCGCGGTGGCTTACACCTGTAATCCCAGCTACTTGGGAGGCCCAGGCAGGAAGATCCGATTGAGCCCAGGAGTTCCAGAGCACCCTGGGCAACATGGCAAGACCCTATCTCTACAAAAAAAAAAAAAAAAAAAAAGCCGGGCGTGGTGGTGCGCACCTGTGGTCCCAGCAACTCGGGAGGCTGAGGCGGGAGGATGACCTGAATTCAGTAGGTCTCCAGCCTGGGTGACAGAGCGAGACCCTGTTTACTAATAAATAAAGCCAGTGTACCTAAAATACCATCATAACATGGAATCAGTATAAAAATGATTATTGAACTACTTGACATTCCTGTTTTGTGCTAAGTCTTTGAAATTTGGTGTAGTGTTTTGTTTTCTTTTCTCTTTTGAGACAGAGTTTCGCTCTTGTTGCCCGGGCTGGAGTGCAATGGAATGATCTCAGCTCACTGAAACCTCAGCCTCCCAGGTTCAAGCGATTCTCCTGCCTCAGCCTCTGGAGTAGCTGGGATTACAGGTGCCCGCCACCACGCCCGGCTAATTTTTTTGTATTTTTAGTAGAGACAGGGTTTCGTCATGTTGGCCAGGCTGGTCTCGAACCCCTGACCTCAGGTGTTCCGCCTACCTCAACCTCCCAAAGTGCTAGGACCACAGGCATGAGCCACTGTGCCCGGCCCGGTGTGTACTCTTATAACACCTCTCAATTCAGGTCTAAATTTTGTGGGAAATAATCTATATTTAGGTTTCACAGTATTCACAGTTGAAAAAATAGATGTATATCCCCTTGTTTCAAATGTAACTGAACCTAGTCCCTTGTTTGAAATTCAAATTAATTGAAATTAAAAATTTCCAGTTCTTGGCAGCAGTTGCACATTTCAAGGGCTCAATTGCCCCATGTGGCAGTGGTCCCGTAGAGGACGGCACAGCTCTAGACATGGTGTAGGAAGTTGGAGAAGGCTTCCTTAGGGAAGCAAGTGATGGTTGAGCCATGACCAGAAGTTGGTTAACTTGGCAAAGGCTGGGAGTTGGGGAAGCAGAAGAGTGTGTCAAGCACAGGAATGTTATGTGGAAAGGCCTGTGACACAGGGCATCATGACGCCTGCAAGCCAGCGTAGCTGGAGCCAGGACAGCGGCAGAGTCCTAGGAGCTGGGGAGGAAAATAGAGAGGCAGGGGATGAGGCCGCCTTAAGATGCTATCTTCATCCCAAGACACCAGGAAGCCCTGAGAGAACATTTAACCGGGACAGCATGGTCAGATTTTCATTTTTCAAAAAGCCCCTTTGCTACTGGGTGGAGATAGTTTGCAGGGAGTTCAGGGGGAGGAGGCACAGAGAGGGAGAAGTGGTGGGTGCTAGAGCTCTGAGAGGTAACATTGGAGGGGTAGTGGGTCTGGGGGTTGTGAGGAACAAGGGGTTTTCGGGGAGTACCCCAGGGCCCCCAGGTGTCTGGCTGGGATGCCAGGTGGAGTGATGGGCACCTGTGGGACAGCCAGGTAGAGACATCTGAGGCGGAAGCTGGGGAACTGTATGGAACTCCGGTTGATGTGCTACCTGGGCTTAAGATGTACTCCCAAGCGTTACCAACACCTACACTTGGGAGTGGGTACATTATCCAGGGAGGAGCCAAGATTGAACACAGGTGGGTTTTTGTTCAGCATTTTAAAAATTTTTAATTTTTTTTTGTAGAGACAAGGTCTCACTATGTTGCCCAGGCTGGCCTCAAGAGTTCCTCCTGCCTTGGCCTCCCAAAGGGCTGGGATTACAGGCGTGAGCCACCGGTCCCAGTCTGTTCAGCACTTTTTCCACTAGCTTAGTATCTCCACACACCTCAAAGAGATCACCAAGTCCAACTCATACATGCAAACCAGTGCTCAGGAAGTCCACATGATCCTGCTGTGGTTCATTTGACCAAAACCGAGTGGTGGAGCTAAGCAAGGCTGTTTCACAGAAGCCAGATATATAAGTGGCCTCAATACGGAGGGCAGTCTCCATCTCCCAGTGTCTCTGACTGCTGCACGCACACTTGGCAACCTGTGCTCAGGTCAGGGATAGTCTGGGTGGGGGCTCCAGTTTCTGCCACTCACCAGTGATGTGACTCTGGGCAATGTACAAAATCTCTTGGGTTTTAAGTTTCTTATCTGTAAGATGGGGATAATAAACCAATCTTGCAGCATGTGAGGATTTAATGAGACTACAGTTCCCATGAAGGGGATGGGGTGCCAACCTTCCCACACAGTCAAAAATCCACATATAGGCCAGGTGTGGTGGCTCACGCTTGTAATCCCAGCACTTGGGGAAGCTGAGGTGGGTAGATCATGAGGTCAGGAGTTTGAGACCAGCCTGATCAACATGGTGAAACCCCGGCTCTACTAAAAATACAAAAATTAGGTGTGGTGGTGCGCACCTGTAATCCCAGCTACTCAGGAGGCTGAGGCAGGAGAATTGCTTGGACCCAGGAGGTGGAGGTTGCAGTGAGCTGAGATCTCACCACTGCACTCCAGCCTGCAGGACAGAGCAAGACTCTGTCTCAAAAAAAAAAAAAATCCACATATAACTTTCAACTCACCACAACTTTTGTTAATAGCCTACTATTGGCCAGAAGCCTTACCAATAACATAAACACTCAACACATATTTTGCATGTGATTTGTATTGTATACTGTATTCTTACAATGAAGTAAGCTACAGAAAAGAAAAAGTACTAATAAAATCATAAGGAAGAGAATGTATTCACTATCACTAAATGGAAGTGGATCATCATAAAGGTTTTCATCCATATCGTCTTCACATTGAGTAGGCTGAAGAAGAGAAGAGGTTGGTCCTGTCATCTCAGGGATGGCAGAGGCAGAAAAGGTCAGGGAGATGGGAAGGAAGTCAGGAGATGCACACACACTGAGAAATTCATCGTTATTTCTGTCTGACATTTTTGCTTTTTCATTTCTCTAAATATGTTTCTTTATGTTACCAATCTTTCTTCCACCATTTGCTTTAGTTTTGGTGTCCGTACCATAGAAAGGTCCATGTGGTAGAAGTCACAAGTAGTCTTGAATAATCAGAACTCCTCTGCCAGATTGTCAAATGTCAACTTATTTTCTGGCACTGCATCTACATCCTCTTCCTCATCATCTGGCACTGATTCGAAAACACTCATCTCCATCAAGTGGTCTTCTGTTAATTCCTCTGGTGTGATGTCTCTTCACTCTTGAATTTCTCCAAGATCCATATCCTGAAAGCCTACATTCCCCACCTTTTTTGCCACAGGCACACTCTCTTTCATGATTTCCTTGATTGGCCCTGTTGTAAATCGGGACCAGTTTTCTCCAGTAGGAAGGCTGGGCACTGAGAGCCTTCGAACCTTCTGCTTCACCTTTTGACATATAGGGCCCAATTTTAATGCATTTAAATGTTGCCTCCACTCCAAAATGAATATGGGACGTATGTAATGTGTGAAATAGGTGTGTCTCACCCCCTTCATGAATATTAATAGAGCCTTCTATAATCTGTTGAATATGTACGTTTAGCCAACCCTTTCAGCATAACTTCCTGTCTCATCTTTCCCTGGAAGTGCCTGCTTTTGGTCTTTGCTGGAGGCTACACTTCCCAGCCTGTCAAGATGGCCAGCCTGCAGGCTGCAACCTTTCTAAGAAATAAAGCTTTTGGGCTGGCCCAGTGGCTCACGCCTGTAATCCCAGCACTTTGAGAGGCTGAGTTGGGTGGATCACTTGAGACCAGGAGTTTGAGCCCAGCCTGGCCAACATGGCGAAACCCCATCTCTACCTAGAAAAAAATACAAAAATTAACCAGATGTAGTGGCATGTGCCTGTCTTCCCAGCTAATCGGGTGGCTGAGGCAGGAGAATTGCTTGAACCTGAGAGGCAAAGGTTGCAGTGAACTGAGATCGCACCACTGCACTCCAGCCTGGATGATAGAGCTAGACTCTGTCAGACAAAAAAAAAAAAGAAAGAAAATAAGGCTCTTGGCCTGGCACAGTGGCTCATGCCTGTAATCTCAGCACTTTAGAAGGTCGAGGTGGGAGGATTGCTTGAGTTCAAGAGTTCGAGACCAGCTGGGCAAGATAGTGGGACCCCTGTCTCTACAAAAACAAGTTTGAAAATTAGCCAGGCATGGTGGCACACACCTGTAGTTCCAGCTACTTGGGAGGCTGAGGTGGGAG
This sequence comes from Homo sapiens, assembly GCF_000001405.40. Taxonomy (NCBI): domain Eukaryota; kingdom Metazoa; phylum Chordata; class Mammalia; order Primates; family Hominidae; genus Homo; species Homo sapiens. Next base: position 398,878 of record NW_021160017.1, read on the forward strand.
ATTGCCTGAGCCCAGGAGGTTGAGGCTGCAGTTAGTCATGATTGTGCCACTGTACTTTAGCCTCTCCAAATTTGTAGATCTCATAATTTTAAGTCACCAACCTCCACCAGTCTCATTTTAGGTTGTCATATAATGACATCAGTTTTTCTTGAATCATATTAGAGTCTATAGATACGCTTTTCTTGTAGATATCCTTCACCCAGATAAAAGCTGCGTTTTCTCTATTTCTCTGTCCTTCCTTCCTTCTTTCATCTTTTTTTTTTTCACCCTGACAGAGCCTCGCTTCCAGGCTGGAGTGCAGTTGTGTGATCTTGGCTTACTGCAGCCTCCACCTCTTGGGCTCAAGTGATCCTCCTGCCTCGGTCTCCCAAAGTACTGGGATTAAAGGCATGAGCTACTACATCCAGCCAAAAGCTACATTTTCAAGACTAGATAAAAAGGTATTTGGCAAAAAGAGCAAAGTTTCATGTCTGCTAGCATGGCTGCAGTGATGACACTGCGAATTTCCTTTTCTTATTTTACAGCGGTTCTTAGGCTGGATTAATTTATCTTGAAATGGTGGGCAACCACAGCTGCAGACCTCAGTCTACAGTACATATCAATCAATCCATCTTTTTCTTGTACTGTCTTTTCTCTGCTTCTTGGCAGCACTTCCAGCATCACTAGTGGCATTTCGTACATGTCTTCTTCAGGTTTATTGTATTGCACTAAACATGAAAAATACATGAGAACCACAAGAGATTACTTTTCACTGTGATACACAATCTACAGGAGAGACAAGTGCTCACGTGGAGATGGCTAGTGTCACATGGCATTTTAAGTGGACACTGGACACCTGAGCTCACTGCAATAGTAGCAGGAGGGGTGACAGAATTATTACAGTAGTACAGTGGGCTCCCATTAATTTATGCAATTATGACTTAATACTGCATCTTTACATTTGTTTACATTTCTCTTGACTGGCACCATGTACTGTGTTTGTGTGCATAACTTTTGATAAATTTTAACTGTTTATAATTGATATATGTATGTTTATAAATGATATATGTATGTTTTATGGTGGTAAATGATAAAAATATGCTAGTATTTTATGCATTCATGACATACCTTTTTCTTAACTTTTTCAATATTTCTAGGCTACAAGGTTCATCTGCAAGTTTCTTCAAATGGTTGCAATGCTTACTGCAACCTCCATCTCCTAGGCTCCAGTGATCCTCCTGCCTCAGCCTCCCAAAGTGCTGGGATTACAAGCATGAGCTACTACATCTGTCCAAAAGCTGCATTTCCAAGACCAGGTAAAAAGGCATTTGGCCAAAAGAGCAAGGTTTCACATCTGCTGGCATGGCTGATGTGAAATTTTCCAATACATTTTTCCAATATATTTATTGAAAAAAAAAGTGGACCAGGTGTGGTGGTTCATGCCTGTGATCCCAGCAATTTGGGAGGCCAAGGTTGGGAGGGTTACTTGAGTCCTGGAGTTCAAGACCAGTCTGAGCAACATAGCAAGACCCCGTGTGTGTTGTTTTTTTTTTTTTTTTTTTTTTGAGACGGAATTTCGCTCTTGTTGCTCAGACTGGAGTACAGTGGCATGATCTCGGCTCACTGCAACCTCCACCTCCTGGGTTCAAGTGATTCTCCTGCCTCAGCCTTCTGAGTAGCTGGGACCACAGGTGCATGCCACCACACCCAGATTTTTTTTTTTTTTGTATTTTTAGTAGAGATGAGGTTTCCCTATGTTGGCCAAGATGTTCTCAATCTCCTGACCTCGTGATCTGCCCATCTTGGCCTCCCAAAGTGCTGGGATTACAGGCATGAGCCATTACGCCTGGCCAACCCCATGTCTATTTAAGAAGATTTAATTTAAAAAAAAATTTTTTTAAGAAAAAATCTGTATGTAGGTGGACCCATGTAGTTCAGACTTGTGTTGTTCAAGGGTCACAACTGTACCTGTGGTGACTGATACGAAACAGATGACCAAAAAATGATAGTTTTATTTCCCCATCTGGTCCCATTTAAAAGAGGTGTTTAGGTCTGAGAATTTTCACACGTACAAGGTTCCACAGTCAGGATGCCGAGGAATGGCACCCCTCTTGCTGGAGTCCAGCCCTCCCCACCCAACCCTGCTGACTGCTGATTTGCCTTCTATCCCTGTCACGCCATTGTCTCAGGAAGGTCATGTGAGTGGAGATATGCAGCATGGGCTCTTTGTAACTGGCTGCTTTCGCTAAGCATCATGTTTTTGAGATCCACCCCAATGCTCTGTGTGTCAGTGACATGTTCCTTTCAATTGTGGAATGGTGTTAGCCTACACAGGGAGACACAGGTGGTTACCTCTTCAGCCATGGGAGGACGTGTGGTTGTGTCCAGATTTAGGCGATTATGCATAGAGTTGCCATAAACATTTCTGCAGAGGTTTTCATGTGAACACAAATTTTCCTTACTCCAGGAAAATTCGTTATGGGACTGCTGGGCCATGTGGTTTAACAGAACTGTCAAACTGCTTTCCAGTGGCACCTCACTATGGTTTTGATTTGCATTTCCCTAGTGATTAGTGTCGATGGTCTCTCATAGGCTTTCTGTCTTCCACATAGAGCGTCCTCTTCAGTGAGGGTCCAAGTCTTTTACCCACTTTTGTTTGGATGGTTTTCTAACTTGATTTTAAGAGTTCTTTATATATGTCAGACTACTTTCTTCGTTGGATATGTGGTTTGTAGATATTCTCTCCCAGCCTATAGCTGTCTTTTCAGTGTCTTTTAATAGTGTCTTTTGCAAAGCTATATTTTTTATTTTGATCAAGTCTAATTGACGGATTTTTGCTTTTACATGCATTTGGCATCATGTCTAAGAACAATTTCCCTAACCTCAATTAATGAAGATTTCTTCCTATGTTTTCTTCCAAAACTTTAAACACTCTCTCTCTCTATCTCTCTCAGCAAATAAGGAGGAAAGTTTCATGACAATTGCAGTCCTGGTTTCTGTAGCTGGTCACATGGTCCTATAACTACCTTCTTGCACTCCCCAGTCTGTATTCCCTTTGCCTTCAGGAAGCCTCCACTGGTTGTGGTTTTTAACCTGGTGGGGGAACCTTCATTCCTGAAGGTTCTGGACCATTATTAATCCTGCCTAGATTGGGCTGTTGTGCTTTTCCATTGATCTTAATCACAGCGCATGCCACGAGGGCCCTCCTGTACCCCAGACATGCTCTTCCTCAGTCCATTGTGAAGCAGCAGGGCAGTTTCTCCTTGGTGATCTGGACCAGCCACCCCCACCAGCGTAGTTAACTCCTTCTTTACCTGTTGATCCAGAGGCATGAGGAGCTTGGTGCCACCAGATGGCAGCCTAAACTTCCAGCGCAATGGATCATCCCTCTGTCTTTTGGCGGCAGCATTCCTCCCTCTGGAACTAAGACCTCTAGGCCAGCAGAGCATAAGGTGGTGGGGACAAGGAGCAAAACTTTTGCTAGTGGGTCACTAGGGGTGATGGGGTTTCACCCTGTTGGCCAGGCTGGTCTCAAACTCCTGATCTCAAATGATCCACTCGCCTCGGCCTCCCAAAATTCTGGGATTACGAGCGTGAGCTACTGCACCCAGCCTAGTGCTAATCACTTTTTAAAAAGCCATTCTAATATGTAGTGATGTCTCATTGTGGTTTTAATTTCAACTTTCCTAATGGCTAATGTTGCTGACCATCCTTTCATGTACAAAGAATATTTGCTTTGGTCAAATATCTGTTCATGTCATTTGCGCATTTTTAATTTGATTACTTATTTATTTTATGTTGAGTTCTGAGAGTTCTTTATTCTTGACACAAGTTCTTTGTCAGATATGTGATTTGCAAATATTTTCTCTCATTCTGTAACTTATCTTTCCATCATCCCAATTGCGTCTTTTGCAGAGCAAAAAAAAATTTAATTTTGATGAGGTCCAATTTATCAATTTTTTCTTTTATAAATTGTATTTTGATGTCAAGTCTAAGGGCTCTGCCTAGTCCCTGATCCTGAAGATTTTCTTCTTTTTTTTTTCCTGAAAATATTACAGTTTGACATTTAAGCCCATGATCCTTGTGTTATGTTTTGTATAAAATGTGAAGGTCAGGCCAAGCCTCATCTCCTTGCCTATGGATGTCTGATTGTTCCTGCAGCACTTGTTGAAAGGGCTATCAGTCCTCTACTAAACTGCTGTTGCATCTTTCTCAAAAATTAATTAAGCATATTTCTGGGGTGGGATCTCTATCTTGCACCAGTAATTAATGTGTCTCTCCCTCCACCAGCACCATACTGAGTTGATTACTGTAGTTGTAGAGTAAGCTTTAATAATTGGTACAGTGATTTCTTCTATTTAATTATTCTTTTTCAGAATTGTTTCAGCTAAACTAGGTCCACTTCCTTTTAATATAAAGTTTACAATAAGTTTGCATATGTATACAAAAAACAATGCCAAGATTTAGAATTCTATTAAACCTGCAATTTGAAGGAAGCTGACATCTATGTTGAGAATTCCCATCCCTGAATATGGCATGACTCTCCATTTATGTAGATGTTTGATTTCTTTCAGCAGAATTTTGTAATTTGCATATATTCTCCTGTATATGTTTTATTAGATTTATTCCTACATATTAATACTTCATGTATTTTGAGCAGTTGTAAATGGTATTGCAGTTTTTATTTTGGTTTCCACTTGTTTATTGTTACCATAGAGAGATGTAATTTGTGTATCTGTGTTATTCTTGTGTATTGCAGCCTTGATATTCTCACTCTTTATATCAAGGATTTTTCTTTTGTTCCATGGGACTGTTTATGTAGATGATTATGCCACATGCAAGCAGTGATAGTTTTCTTTCTTTCTTTTCAATCTGCATACTTTTTATTTCTTTTTCTGGTCTTATTACACTGGTTAGAACTTCTAGTACTATCTTGAATTAAAATGGTGAAAGGGAACATTCTTGCCTTGTTCCTGCTCTTAAGGGGAAAGCATTCATTCTTTCACCATTAAGTGTGATGTTAACTGTAGATTTTTGTAAATGCTCTTTATGAAGTTGGAGGAAATTACCCTCTATTCCAAGTTTGCTAAGAGTTTATATCATGAATAGGTTTTGAATTTTGTCAAAACCTTTTCCTATGTCAATTGATAAGATCATTATGATTTTTCTTCAGTTTACAAAACAGAATATGTGGATTGGCTTTTCAAATATTAAAACAGTCTTGCATAACTTGAGTGAAATTCCTCTTGATTGTGGTCTACTACTCTTTTTATGCATCACTAAATTTGATTTGCTGACACTGTCTTGAGGATTTTTCCATCTAAGCTTATGAGCAAAATCAGCCTGCAAGGTTCTTTCCTCTGTCCCTGCCTCCTTCCTCCCTCCCTTCCTTCCTTCCTTTGTGCTGTCTTTGTTTTGTTTTGATATCAAAATAATGATATCATAGTCCTTTCTCTTCTATTTTCTGGAAGAGACTGTGTAAAACTGGTGTTGATTCTTCTTTAAATATTTGGTAAATTCTCCAGTGAAACCACTGGGTCTGGATATATTGTGTTCAGGAGCTTTTTAGTTACAAATCCAATTTATATAATGATTATAGGACTATTCAGGCTTTTATATATTTCATCTTTTCTGAGTTGTGGTAATTTGTGGTTTTCAAGGAATTGATCCATTTTTTCCTAGGCTGTCAAATGTATGAGCATAAAATTTTTATAGCATTTTTCATAGATGCAGCCTCTTTTGTGATATTTCTTGTTTCATTCCTGATATTGCTGATTTGTGTGTTATCTCCTTTTATCTTTGTTGATCATGCTAGAGGATTATCAGTTTTATTAATTTTTTGAAGAACCTGTTTTTTATTTCCTTAATGTTCTGCATTGCTTTCCTGTTTTTAATTTCATCAATTTCTGCTCTTCGCTTTCCGTCCTATTTGCCTTAACTTTATTTTACTATTCCTCTTTTAGTTTTTTGACTACTGGTTTGAGAACTTTCCATATTACTAATATAAGGATTTAGTGCTATAAATTTCTCTCTCAGCTCTGCTATAGCTGAATCCCTCAATTGTTTTTTAAGACAGGGTCTCATTCTGTCACCGAAGCTGGAGTGCAGTAGCACAATCTCCACTCGTTGCAGCCTCAACCTTCTGGGCTCAAGCAATCCTCCCTATCTCAGCCTCCCAAGTAACTGGGACTACAGGTGCATGCCACCACACCTGGATAATTTTTTGCAGAGATAGGGATTTCACCATGTTGCCCAGGCTAGTCTTGAACTCCTGGGCTCAAAAAGCGATCCACCTGCCACAGCCTCCCAAAGTGCTGGGATTACAGGAGTAAGCCATTGCACCCAGCCTCATCCACAAATTTTGATATGCCATATTTTCATTGTTACTTGCTTTTTAAAAATTCCCTTTGAGACTTCTTCTTGTCCACATTGTATATAAATGTTTACTGCTTAATTTCCAAGTGTTTGCAGATTTTTCTCTTGTCTTTCTGCAATTTATTTCCAGTTTGATTCCATTTTGGTCAGAGGACACTCTTTGTATGATTTCAGTTTTTAAAAATTTGTTAAGGTTTGTTTTAAGATCTAGAGTCTGTTCTATAAGAGCTTGAAAATAATGCATAGTTTGCTGTTGATGGATAGAGTTTTCCATAAATGTTAATTTTACCCTATTGGCTAATAATATTGTTTAGTTATCCTATATTCTTGCTGATTTTTTTTCTAGTAATTTTACAAATTCTGAAAGTGAGATGTCGACATATCCCAACTATAATTATGGATTTTTCTATTTCTTTTTTAAGCTCTATCAGGTTTTGCTTCATGTGTTTTGAAGCTGTGTTGTTTGGTGCACATATATTTAGGATCAAGATATACTCTTGCTCTTTTGTTATTATGTAATATTTCTCTTTTGTTCTAGAAATTCTTTTTGCCATGAACTCTATCTGATATTATTATAGCAACTCCTGCTTTTTTAAAAGTTCCTGTTTGTTTGCATGAAATTTTTTTTTCTGTTTTTTTTTTTTTTTTTTTTTTTTTTTTTTTTTTTTTTTTTTTTTTTTTTTGAGACGGAGTCTTGCTCTGTCGCCCAGGCTGGAGTGCAGTGGCGCGATCTCGGCTCACTGCAAGCTCCGCCTCCCGGGTTCACGCCATTCTCCTGCCTCAGCCTCCCGAGTAGCTGGGACTACAGGCGCCCGCTACCACGCCCGGCTAGTTTTTTGTATTTTTAGTAGAGACGGGGTTTCACCGTGTTAGCCAGGATGGTCTCGATCTCCTGACCTCGTGATCCGCCCACCTCGGCCTCCCAAAGTGCTGGGATTACAGGCGTGAGCCACCGCGCCCGGCCTTTTTTCTGTTCTTTCACTTCGAATCTGTTAAATACCTATGCCATGGTATTAGAACTGAATATCTTATGGACATCATATAATGGGTCATATTTTTGCATTTACTCTGCTATTTCTGTGTTTTTCCCAGATTTAACCAAACTGCAAAGTCTGAGGGCATGGTTCCTAAAATTTCCCTCATTCCTGACACCAACAGCAAGTTTTAGAGGTTTCCAAAGCACCCTAAGTTTCAATCATTTGCTGGAAGAACTCACAGAAGTCATTGAAAACTGCTGTACACATGGTTACTGTTTACTGCAGGGAAAGGATACAAATCAGAACCAGCACAGAGGGCAGGGCTAGGAGGGTCTGTGAAGCCTCTGTTGTCCTCAGGTGCATTACTCTCCCAGCATCCACGTGTGACAATACCATGAAGCACTGCCAACCTAGGAACCTCACCCAAGCCTTGGTGTCCGGAGTGTTTCCTGGAACTGCATTGTGCAGCCATAATTGACTGATCTGTTGGAGACTGGTTGGAACTCTGTCTTCATCTCTCCCTTTCCCGGAATCTGGGGCTGACAGCACATTCCTGGGAGGGCCCACCATGAGCCAGCTGGTAGCATAAACTTCAGGTATAGTCTGAGGGACCCACCATGAATAGCAAAGACCCTCCTGTCACATGGTCTTCAGGACTACTTGCCAGGAGCCAGGACAAAGGCTAGACCTCTTCTTTGGGCTAGGCCAAATTCTTTACCACACAGAAATCATATTTAGGATTCAAATGTGCCATTTTTATTTGCTTTCTGCATGTTTCTTATGTTTCCTTTATTCTGTTTTGTTTCACTTGTCATGGATTACTTAAACAGTTTTTAGCATTTCATTTTGAATTATTTATACTTTTGGGTGAATTGCTTTGTATCGTTTTCTAAGTGGCTGCTCTAGGATTGATTATAATATACCCATGTAACTTATCACAGCCTGCTGGCATCAATGTTTCACCACTTCATGAGAAATATCAAAAGCTTACTTTTATTTACTTCCCCTTTTCCTCCCCCACTTAAACATGTAATTATCATAAATATTTCCTGTTCAGATGTAGAGCACCGTAGCAGATGATGTTAATATTTTTTGCTTCAACCATAAAATACAATTTAAGAAACTCATCATAGTCTATTATACTTACCATATGATTACCCCTTCTGTTGTTGCTATTTCTGATTTCCTTATTTCCTTTTCGTTAGTAGAGCTTCCTTCAGCCATGTATTAAGGGTAGGTTTTCTGGTAACAAACTATCCTAGTTGTCCTTCCTCTTAGAATATCTTTATTTCCCCCTCATCCCTGAAGGATACGTTCACTGAATAGGGTTCTGGGCAGACAGTTTTTCTCAGCACCTGGTGATGGTGTGTCGCCCCCTCTGCCTCGTGGTTTTAGAGAAGCCCACCATCCTCAGAACCAGCGTCCCTTAATGCATCGTTTTTCTCTGGTGGTTTAAAAGATTTTTTTCTTCATCTTTCCTTTCCTGAAGTTCCGTTATGATGTGTTTATCCTATTTGGGGTTTGCTCAGATTCTTGAATCTGCAGGTTTACTTCTTTCACCAAATTTGGGACATCTTCAACCACTGTGCCTTTGAATACTTTTTCACCACACATTCCTTCCTCTCCTCCTGGGACTCTGGTGACAGGAACGCTGGGCCTTTTGTCACTGTCCCACCCATCCCCGAGGAGGCGTTCATTTCTCAGTCTCCTATCTCTCCATCGTTCCTATGGGCCAGCTCTATTAATTGTCCTTGAATCAAGAGACTCTGTTCTCTGTCGTCTCCACTCTGCTATTGTACCCAACTGCACATTTTTTCATTTAGTTATTGTATTTTTCAGTTGTATGATTTTCATTTTGTTCTTGTTTCAAGAAAATTCACCATTGTTTTCTGAAGCACTTTTATGATGGCTGCTTTAAAGTTCTAACATCTGATTTATCTTGGTTAATCTTATTTTGCTATTTAAGTTGTTTTTTGTTTTGCTCTGTTATGTTTTTGAGACAGAATCTTACTCTGATGCTCAGACTGGTGTGCAGTAGCATGATCTCGGCTCACTGCAGCCTCAAACTGCCGGGCTCAAGCAGTCCTCCTGCTTCAGCCTCCTAAGTAGCTGGCACCACAGGTGTGTGCCACCACAGCTGGCTAATTTTTAAATTGTTTGTAGAGACAGGGTCATGCTGTGTTGCCCAGGCAGATCTCAAACTCCCGGGCTCAAGCCATCCTCCTGATTGACCTTCCAAAGTGCTGGGATTACAGGTGGGAGCCCCCTCACCAGGCTTCAAGTTGCTTTTTATGTTTCCTGATATGACAAATAATTTCAAATATGTTCTGGAGATTTCGGTTATTATGTAAGGAAACTTTTTATCCTATTTGAACATTCCAGTTTACCATATAGGCCCCAGCCTGCTTTAGGGGAAATGTAGAGTCAATGACAATTTAGTTTTCAAAGCCCTCCCAGTGCTATTCTGGTCTCGTTTGTTCTTCTGGATCTGCTGGGGCTCTGGTTCAATCCCTGTGCATGTTGCTGGGGTTGCCCTGTGCGGCGGGGGTAGGTTAAGGAAACGCCGGGTGCTGGGTGTGGTCTCTGCGCCGTGGTCAGCAGAGCCTTTGTGGCCTGGGTGTGATGCTGAGGGCCAGGCTTGAGCGGAGCTGCTGTGGCATGGATCAGTAGGAATCTCCTCACTGGGTCTTCAGTGAGATACCCTTCTCAGTCCTTTCACCAGAGAAAATAGGCTCGTTTTCTTTTCTTTTTTGTCCCTGCAGGTTTTGGCAGTTACAGGTTGCAGGGTTCTCTGGGCCCATCCAGGAGATGAGAGAAAAAGAAAACTCAGGGCCTTGTACAGCGTCACCCCCAAAGTCCCGAGGTTCCTGGACAGCCTTTCTTCCTCTACACTTCCTATAGTCCTCTTATGTCTGTTAAATTTTTTCCAGGGTGTCTAGTTGTATTTAGAGGGCAGATGCCACCTCGTCATAGAATGCCGGGGTCCACTCTCCAGGCATTTGGAACGAGTTGCCACGAGGTCCTCGGGAGGGTGTGACAGTTCACACGCCCACCAGCAGCTTTCCACGTCTCCATTTCCTCTGCCCCTGACAGCATCTAATGTTATGATTTTTGTTTGTAAATTTGGCTTTTGGTTCCTTTATGAGGGGATTAATTAATACAGGCTGCTGGCTCCTTCCCACGAATCCAAACCTTGGAGATGCCATCAAAGGGATGACAGTTGATGGAGCCCAGAACCTAAGAGGACCCCTGAGAGCCTTGCGGAGGCTGGGCAAACGTGGTGGAGTCTGGGACAGGAGGGGAATCACAGTCTGAGTGGAGGAGGCCACACAGCACAACCGGGGCCAGACTGCAGCTCTCTGCTCCGGGGCCCACCTGGGGCTGTCATCTGCCAGCCCTGCTTTCCTGTAGAAGATCCCACCCGTACCAGCCCCAGGAATCTAGGCAAGGCCAGAGCACCTCAGGAGCCTCCTGGAGTGAGGGCCACGACACCTGGGCAGGCTGGCTGGTGGCCCCTGGGCAGCCTTCCTCCCCAGCCCAAGGACAGCCAATTACAGCACAGGGCAGCCCTGGACAGACAGCACCAGCTAGAAGGACAGGGGCGTTCCCTGCAGACCAGAGCAGCCCCCGGGGATGAGCAAAGAGGGCCCCAGTCATCCTGCCAGAGGCTCTGCCCCCAGGAGCCCCTGCCTGCCTCCCTGAAGCCCACAAGGAAGGTGTCAACTGGGGCCTAAGACGAAGGCAGTTGACCATACCCAGGGAACAGAGAGCGGCCTGAGGAAACGAGACAGCGAGGGGAGTGAACTCCGGGAGGGAAAAACCCCAAGGTTTTTCCTTGGAGGAGGGAGCAGATGAGCGGATAAGACCGGTAAATCCGTCACATACCCTCAGGACGCAGGGAGAGCGCGGCTGGAATTGGCAGTTATGCAGAAGATGCAGCCGGGAATACTGGACTGGAACATGCGGGCGCTTAAGTGATGAACTTGGTGGGAAGGTTGGAGACCAGAAAATGAATGAGTGAGGCAGGTCAGGCTCTGAGCTCTTCTAGAAGGAGCTGAAGGGGTTGAGGAGGCAGAGGTGAGGGAGGAAAAATATTCAGTGCTTAAAAGAGGAAAAATGAATAGATAAGAGGAAGTATCTGAAAAATGATTAGGAAATTTCCCCAATTAAGAAAAGATGCACATCCTCAAACTAAAAGGGCCTGCAGAGTGTTAATTACATTTTAAAGTTAAAATCTTATGTGTACTTTCAAAGAAAAGCATCTACATTTTGAGTCAAAATTGCTAAAAACTTCCAAAGAGAAAAAGCAGGTAACCCGCACAGGAACAGGAGTGGTGCTGACATTAGAATCGCGGCACAGACAACGGATGCAAGAAGAAAGGGAGTGACAGCTTCAGACGCGAGAGGAAAGGACCCTGGAACCCAGGGCTGTGTCCTGCTCACCGCCATGAAATATGGGCACGCAGGAAGCCATCCTCAGTCCTATCAGCCCCCTTGAGAGTCAACCCCAGAAACACTCTTGGAGAAATATTTCAGCAAGAAAAAGGAACCGGGGAGGATGCTGCCAGGTCTAGGGAGGAGTGATGCTTCCCCAGCGTGGATGGTTCACTGCCATCTAAGTAAGCAATGACCTCCGCGTGTGCCGCACAGTCCAGCTTCCTCAGAGGCGGTGGTGGCCTGGTGGAGGAATGTGGGCTGGCTGGGCGGCCACAGAGAATTACTGTTTCCATTAAAAGGAAATGTGTTCTGGCCGGGAGCCCTGGCTCACACTGTAATCCCAGCATTTTGAGAGGCTCAGGCGGGTGGATCGCTTGAGGTCAGGAGTCTGAGACCAGCCTGGCCAACCTGGTAAAACCCCGTCTCTGCTAAAAATACAAAACTTAGCTGGGCGTGGTGGCGGGCGCCTGTAATCCCAGCACTTTGGAAGGCAGAGGCGGGCGGATCACTTGAGGCTAGGAGTTCGAGACCAGACTGACCAACATGGGGAAACCCCATGTCTACTAAAAATACAAAAATTAGCCTGGCATGGGGGCACATGCCTGTAGTCCCAGCTACTCGGGAGGCTGAGGCAGGAGAATCGCTTGAACCCGGGAGGTGGATGTTGCAGTGAGCCGAGATTACACCACTGCACTCCAGCCTGGGCAACAGAGCAAGACCCTGCCTAAAAAAAGAAAAAAAGTGTCACATGGAGACGTGTGTCTGTTTGGGACTGTTTTCCAGCCTTTCCACACTCTTCCCCTCCCCATCTGTCCCTCCATCTCCACCAAGCTGTGTTTTGATGTTGTGTTTGCATGATTTGGTGTATCTGGCATTTTAACATTTCATCCTTGCCACTATTTATTATTTTCTGTTTCTTCGTAGTAGCCACTAAATTGTTTTCAGGTGATATCTCATTGTGGTTTTGATTTGCATTTATCTAATAATTAGTGATATTTAGTGTCTTTTCATATGCTCATTGGCCACATTTGCCTGTTTTTAAATCAGGTAATTTGTTGATTTGTTGTTGAACCATGGAGACATATTTTTAAACCACAACAGCTATCTTGCAGATTGCGGTGAGAACTAAAAGATTTATGTATGCAAATCATATTACCTGTCACGTAGTAGGCACTCAAAAATTATTACTTGTCTTCTTAGGGTTGTTATGTTAAATAATGTTATGTTAATAACATATGTAAAACTGCTTCTTAAATTATAAAGTGCTATGCAAATGTGAGTTAATACTACAAAGCTGTATGCAAAATATTTTAATATTTTTCTGAGGTTCTCCATACTTAAATATATAAATCTTTCCATCTCTAGACTTTATTCTTTTTTTAGCTGTAATCCCTTTTTTTCCATTTTACTTCAAGTTTTATCAAAAAAAAAATAGCAGCCAAAATAGAACAAGTAAAGACGGAGAAACAATAACTAATTTCACTAAAGCAAAGTCAGAGTAAGATCTATTTAAAAATAAAACGTGAAGAAAAGCTGCAATGGATTACACTATTGAAAAATCCTAAGACAACCAGAACTGCCGTTCCTTCAGAGAATGTGAGTGATGTTGAAAGATTAATAACATTTGGATAACATTAATTACAGTGATGTTATAAACTCTGGTATTCCAGTTGCCATAACAACCCGCTATATGTTGGTTTTCTAATGACATTTCGAACAAGTGTTGAGGCGAACTGCATCACTTCAGAACTTTGATTGCTGTCACTCAGTGATTTTAAAATTGAATTGTTTTGTTCTTAAAGAGTCAGAATATGTCACTGTCTTCAGAAATATTCTCAAAATTATGGGGAGGAAGTGATACACATTCCTATACAATTATAGAGCACTCAAAAAAAAAGAAATGTATTTTGTTTTTAATACAAAATTAACAGGTTTTTTCTATAGGGAATAGAAAAAAACAGAAAGGAGAAAGATTATGCTTCATGCTTCTCAGAAGACTTTGTTCCCTTGCAGAATTATTTGACAATAAAATTCTTTCTAGAAAAACTCACTTTTCTTGCTTATATTTCTCTCGTCTCCATTCTCTCCTTTCTTTTCACCTCCCTATTTCTTTCTTCCAATGAATTCTTTTAGAAGCCATGGATTCTGGTCAAGGTAGATGCAACACTTTGGAGTTAGTGAGAGGAGGTCATTCCTCCATCCAGCTTTCTGCTTTCTGATCTCTCTTCCCTCTGCTGACCAACCCGTTGCCCAATGGATATAATAAAAGAAAGACTACTTGCCACTGGCTTATATTATATTGGATTTTAATATTCCCAAGAGAATGTGTTAAATATATATATTGTGCCACTGACCAGAAGCAAAGCATGATTGTAACAGACATGCTTCTAAGTATTTGCTCAGCCCACAGCCTACTCTGCTCCTGCTGCCCCACCCATCCACAAATATGAATCGTTTGATTAAATAGGAGCACCAGAACCAACTCATCCATATGCATTGAGCTGGACAAATACATTCTCTCTTTTTCTCCTCTTTTCCCTCTTTCCTCTCCCTCTCTACAAATTCAGCTAAGGTGAATGCTAACCATTTGCAATGGTGTTTAAAGCAGAACAGTGGTGTTCTGTGGCAGAACTCTGTGCTACAGGACTCTGAAGGGAGATTATGCCCACTGCCTCCCCAACCACCCCTCTTGCCCACCCCCACCACAGTTCCAGCAGCATCTCAGTCTATACAGTGCATCTCAGGCATTGGAGGTGGCATCATTCCATGTAAAGCATATTCTATGCTCTATAAACCCTGAGCCCAATGCAATGCCATCTTAAGTAGGCCCAGGTCTGCCCCTTGTCCAGATGTGCCATCAGCACCCTTTCAACACTCTCTCCCCTCCCCCTTTCTCTATACTTAAAGCTCCCTCTACCCCACCCAGATATCCAAAGGCATTGATCCTACCCTCCCAAAGCTCCCACTGTGGCCAGCTCCTCCGAGGCCTCTCAGGGAAGAGTGAAGTGAGCTAATCAACCCAGCCTAGGCTTCTGTTGACCCAGAACCAATTCAAGATGAAGGCCATGCCTTAGACAGCAGCTGCCAGGGAAATACATGACTTATACAATGACATCAGCTGAAATTCACAAAGGTCACTGCATTTAACTCATTCCTCACCCAAGGTGATGCAAGCATGCTAACCCTTTTCCTCCCAGTCTTCTCTGGATGATCTTCTCCACTTGATTTTACTGGGATGTACATGAACAAGCTAGAGGAGCAGCCTGTGCCTGTTACCCTCTCCTCCCCACTGCTGAGGTCACTCTCCACCCTTCTCATCCTACTCTCTTGCTGGGGACACTGAACTGTATGAGTTTCATCAATGGACTCCCTTGCCCTTTGACCTCCAGTTGGGTTCTGCCAATTAGAGGTCCTTAATAGGAGATAAGAGGGAGGGAGAAGGAGTGGAGGCTGGGGTATTTATGCCTCTGGCTTGATCCCTGAAGTATTGTCTTGCAGTCATCTCTATGTGATTCTCTCCACCCAGGTTCCAGTAACTGATCCCTCCTCATATCATTTCTGGTGAGGAGTCATATCTGAACTCAGTGGTGCTACACTGTCCTTTTTGGACTCCATAAACACTGCTCATCATTTGTAAACAGTCCCTTCACTAAACCTCCCTCCAATTGTTCTAGTGCAAATGGCCCAACACATTCCTCCTGGGATCCTGAAATGATTCCTTAAATGATGTGGTCTATCCTATCTCCCCTTCCTGCCTACAATGGCCTTGGGATCTGTCCTAACTCTGCTGCCTTTAAGATTGGTCTACCCTAAACTACATCCACATAACCCCACGATTGTCCCTTCATGCCTAACCCACAAAGAGAGGTGATAGGAGTTAGGCTGAGGAGTGGGGTTGGGGAAAGACAAGGCTCAGCATGGTCCCTGATAACCTCGTAGCTTCCAGGCAGATGAAGGCAGGGTGGAGGCAGGCTGCTCTGAGCCCAGCTGGTCGGTGCTCAATCAGAAAGGATATGGGTTGAGCTCAGAAAGCCTGAGAGCAGTGGCGCTCTGGAGCAGATCAGAAGCCAAGACTCTAAGAACAACATGCAAATCTGTGTAGGGAACATCAGAGGCTCCTACCCAGGTCTGAGCAAGTGCAGACAGGCTGGTTGTCAGGAGGATTAGGGTTAGGGTTAGGGAGGAGTGAATCAAATATGAAGCAAAGCAATGATCAATTAGCTCAATCTGCAGATAGGAATAGATTCCTACAGATAGAAATTTAAGTCAGAGTTGCAAGGGGATTTAGAAATCACACACTTCAATCACTTCACTTTTAGATGAGGACTACCAGACTGTAGACACAGGGGTGATGAGCGCAGAACAAAGACAAACACCCAGAACTTGTCACTTCTAGATTAAGGATTTACCTGTGAAGCCCATGCCTCTAAAAAGGTCGATTCTACTTTTTAAATATTTTTAAACAGAGTAGCTTTGGATGAAAACATGATGTTATGGCCTTGATATTTTTATATCAAGTATATTTTCAACGGGTCACTAGAAAAAAAAAGTAGATGTAAAAAGAATCTACACAGGATCAAACTGATAATAACTAAAATGATATATGTTAACTTTGATATTGACAAAAAACTGACTGAAGAATCTCATTGTGTTGGTAAGTCTCAAAACTACAAAAGTGAACTCTTAAAATTGCACTTTATGCAAATAACACAAAATAAAACTGACAAAGGTGAAAGCTTTACACAGAAAAATTTGTAATTGACGTTAAAGATTGACAAAAGAATCAAATCTTCTTGTCAAAAATTATACCTGCAAAATCTAGCCCAGGAAAATTAGGTTTGGTAGAAAATGACTACAAAAGAAACCTCAAAATTGCTGATTGGAAAAGTTGGAAAGATTTAATACGGACATAAAATGGGATCACTGAATAAAGTCTAAATTATTTCAGTAAAATAAAAATACTGAAAATTATTTAATGGCACAGGAAGAAATTTGATCAAAGAATTACATTAATTCAAGACAGTTGCTTCTAGAAAATAATTTCTTGATAATATTTCCAGAAATGTTGGAATAATTCTGATGAAAATGTTTGTTTTCATTCAATAAAAAATGTCCTCAGGGTCAAAACAACTGAGAGAGAAGTACCTGATATGGGACTTCTCAGGTAGCCCCCACTCTTGGGGCTTCCAGTTTTACATTTACCAAGTTTAAAGAAATCTAAGATCTCTTTCCAGGATCCTAACAACTTGTCTAGATCAAAATAACATGTACTTCAGTGAATGATTTCAGCTGGTTGATAAAATCAAAGTTTACCAGAAGGCATGAAAGTTCAGAGATCCCCTTACCATTTCAAAGGGGGTTTGTACTTTAAAGTCAATCTACATGTCACCTCACACCCATTATGATGGCCACTATTTAAAAAGAAAACAGAAAATAGCAAGGGTTAGCACCAAGGTGGAGAAATTAGAGCCCTTGTGCACTGTTGGTGGAATGTAAAATGATCCTGCCATTATGGAAAACAATATGGAGGTTCCTCAAAAAATTAAAGCTAGGATTACTGTATAATCTAGTGATATGGTTTGGCTCTGTGTCCCCACCCAAATCTCATGTGGAATTGTAATCCCCACGTGTTGAAAGTGGGGCCTGGCAGGAGGTGATTGGATCACGGGGGTGGTTTCTAATGGTTTTGCATCATCCCTCTAGTATTGTCTCATGACAGAGTTCTCATGAGATCTGGTTTTTAAAAGTGTGTAGCACATCCTCCTCCACTCTGTCTCTCTCTCCTGCCACCATGTGAAGATATGCCTGCTTCCCCTTCACCTTCTGCTGTGATTGTAAGTTTCCTGAGGCCTCCCAGTCATGTTTCCTGTACAGCCTGCAGAAACTGTGAGTCAATTAAACCACTTTTCTTCATAAATTACCCAGTCTCAGGTAGTTCTTTATAGGATTGTGAGAATGGACTAATACATCCAGCAATCCCATTTCTGGGCATATATCCAAAAAAGAATTGAAAGCAGTATCTTGAAGAGATATTGGTACATGTGTGTTCATAGCAGCACTATTCACAATAGCCAAGAGCTGAAACCAACCCAAATGCTCATTAAAAGATGAATGGATAAACAAAAGAGTGTGTTTCTTTAAATGTGATTTTATGCTGGGATCATAGAGAACCCTGGATTTTATGCAAATGAGTGGGAAAAAAATTAACCCAACACAAAAAAGTAGGTTTATACTGATCATACAGGACAACACCTTTCAAGATTGTAAAAAGTTAAAACTTTTCTCTCTTCACATCACCTGTAATGATGACACCCCATAAAGATTTTTCTCTATGTA
The DNA here is from genome assembly GCF_000001405.40 of Homo sapiens. Lineage (NCBI taxonomy): Eukaryota > Metazoa > Chordata > Mammalia > Primates > Hominidae > Homo > Homo sapiens. The sequence goes on from NW_021160017.1 coordinate 416,982, forward strand.
TCCTTAGTTTTGCACAATCCCCTGGCCCCAGTGCTGCATCCCCATATCCCAATTGAGAAGAATATGCCAATATTTAAGGACACACAATAAGGTCAGCACATCAAGCTTCAGGACTTACACCCTCCATAAAAGAGAAAATTCTCCTTTCTCATGCCACTCTCTCAAAGCCAGGGTTCCTGAAGAAAGGATTTCTGGTGTCATTACACAAAGGAGATCCTGGAAATTAAGGTTTGCCATGGGTTATGTCCAGTACTGGAATAAACACAGAATTATTGAGGTACCTTCCTCTGTCTTCTTTGCAAACTCCTCGTTGCAGCTCCTTCCTTGCAAACCCCTCTGTCTTCCTTGCGAACCCCTCATTATAGCTCAGAACTCTGCTTTGGCATTGCCTCCTGGTAAAGCCCCTGCTGCATCCACCCTTCCAACCACACTTCCTCACTCTCCTCCGCACCACTTTGGTGCTGCAGGAGTTACACTTTCTGTTGCAAAGATCAAGTATTCTCGGGTGACCTCTGGTGTTGTGGGTGATTGGAAAGATACTTAAGGCAATAAGGAAGCACAGGTATGACACTAGGCAGGTTGTAGTCCAGCCTCCCAGAGCCCTGGGATGTCAGTAAGGGCTCCCCTTTGAGTCAGTAATGGTAATGCCCCCTTGAGAAGAGGGACCTTTGGCCCCTGACTCCTGACGGTGCCGTACTCACAATTCCACTTCTCTCCTTCACCTCTCTGTGCTTCCGCTTCTCACTAGTTCAGCTGTTACCTCCACTTTTGTTTCTTTCTAATTCTACTCTGGTTCTGTAGTTGAGTTTCTCACAGTGGAAACTACCTGTGCTCTCACTGGTTGGGTCAGTGAGTTGCCTCCACTATTGGGCAGAATTCTGCTATTAGACCTCCCAGGGCCCATTGGTAAACCTAAGATTGTAAAAATGTAAAACTTTTCTCTCCTCAACGTCATCTGTAATAATGAAACCCCAAAAATATTTATGTATCCTGTAGTTTTGCACAATTTTGTGGTTACCTTTGACCAAGTTACAGATTCTTGATCAGTTCGATCATGGTTACTTACCAGGGTCACATGACAGAAAGTCAACAACTTATGGAAAAAGAACAGTCTTTGCTGCTTTGCTCAGAAGGTAATATGTACAAACTTGCATTATTGCATATATCACAATACAGCTTGTTTCTGCATAGCCCAGTCCCCTACAAGACTATAACCGTGAGGCCAGTGGTATTTCCTATATTTGCATGTTCAGCATGTAGCATAGTGCCTGGTACATGGTAGATTCTCAATAAAGCTCTGTTGAAGTTAATTGAAATGAAAGTAAAATCAAAATACCTGAATTCTAATTTTGCTATTTCTTTGCTATCTGAACTAAGATACATTACTTAATCTTTTTGAACCTCCCTTTCTTCTTATGTAAAAAGATATAGTTGTGGTAAATATTAAGTAAGATGTGGGCATACCTAGCACAGTTTTGTGTGTGTGTGTGTATGTGTGTGTGTGTGTACATATATATATATATATATATATATATTTAAACATATATATATATTTAAACTGTCTCTTTGTTATACCACTGCCATGTATTGTAATTACATTCAAATAGATCTTCTCTTCCAAACAGAGAGTAAGTTTTAAGGACAGGGTCTGTGTCTTATTAACCTTTGCACCTCCATACCACCACCCAAATTTCTGCTTTTGGTGGGTATTTAAGATAATTAATGGCATGAAGCGCCAACGGATTTATAAACTGAATGTGTTTAAAATCTCCATATATTAACATTTTTAACAATTTTTTAAAAGCAGGAAATATTAAGCATGACAAATTATGGTCAACCCAAGTTTCAATAACTCTGGGTGCCTAGCAATCTTCTAAGAGTCAAACGAAAGCAATGTTGCCTAGGTTGCAGTTTTCCAGTGTTTGTCTCCACCTACTGTATTTACTGGAAAGCTGCTGAAGCGTTCCTTCTAATCTTGAGGTTTTCAAGCGTCTATCTCTGGGACAAGCAAAGCTCTGCATTGGGCACCACAGTCTAGCACACGTTTTCAGGCACCACTAGAGGGCAGGCTAACGCTAACTTCGGGGACTACTAAGCAAGGGCTTTAGTCTCGAAAAAATGGGTAAACGCACCACTTGTTTATTGGGTCTGTTTCTAAATGGAAAAGTACATGTGGGCATGTCCAGATTTGTATTTCGTGTTCCCTTGATTCGTTATTTAATCCTTCGGCTCACCTTTCCTTTTGTTTTCTCTTTCCTCCTTCAAGTTCTTTCTCCTCTGGAGTGTAACAAACAAACCTGTTTCCCCCCCGGTCAAAGGCTTAACCCACAAAAATAAATCAAGATGAAGGAACAGAAGGAAACACTGCATAATTTAGTTAGTGAAAGTTGGACAGCTGAGGTTTCCTTTGGGTTTATTCTAAAATAAAGGATTTTTTAAAGGTTCAACTTGCCTAATTTTTCATACTTTTGGCAGCTTGCCAAGATGGGAAGGGAAGGGGATTTGCAGAAAGAAGAAAACAGAGAGAGAGAGTGTGAGTGTGTATGTGTGTGCGCGCACATAGCGGGGTGCATTTCTGGGTGTAGGGGATGTTTATAGGGATGGAGGAAGGAAATGAAAAGCAGATGTTGGGAGTTGGATGGTCACAGAACACTGGCTTGCAAGTATTACTGGGCCACCATGAGCAGTGCTGGGACACAGCTCCACTGGACAGCCACCCCTTTCTGTAACCTGAGAGCCGCCACCCTACTCACACCTCAGGCTCCTCATCAAGCATGTGAGAAATTTGTACTAGATGACCTTCTGGTTCAAATATGAGCCTGTGTTGAGCGAGAGAAAACATGGGGGTTGGAAACGCAGGATGAATATTTGTGGAGAATCTGAGAATGACAAACAGAAAGCAAGCAAGCCAACAAATACACTATGAAGCTGGAAGAGTCTTCCAGCTGACCCAAGTGTAGAAACAGTTGCCCCATTTAGAATATTTGGAACATTTTCCCTCCCATTATCAGGGCTCTAACACCGGGCTGCCCTCTGTTCTACCCTCTGGAAAGTCCAAGGGAAAAAGGTACCAAAGCAGACAAGCAAGGATAGAAACAGTGGTGGCATTGCAGGCTGGTCTGCATTGCGGCTATAGAACAAAAATTTCCAACCCAAAATGATAAGATAATAAAATTCTAAACACAAAATTCCTCTAGCCAGTTAAAACAATGGTTCAAAGAAATACACACCCCTTGGGATCGTACTGCTATTCTTCCATAGTTAGTGTAAGTTCAGTGTTGGTTTTTCATGACTTTTGGAGGCCACTAACTTTCCATTTCACCTGCACAGTTTCAATTACTCTAATCATATAGCTCTTTAATAATCAGCCTGGCTATGAGTTGGAAGCTTTAACTGCTCTCTGACAATAAGTAGTAGCTAATTAATTGCTACTTATGAACTTTCTGTTTTTTTATCTTAATACTTCTGAGAGTTCTTTCCAGATAATCACTGGAGAATAAGGAGTTTTTACCCCCATGTGGCTATTCCTCTAAAACTAGCTATATTTAACTAGCTCTAAAATAGATGCGAAAGATTGTTACTTTGCGTGCAACAAATACACAGGAAGAATTCAAAGAATTGTATTTTAAATTTGTTACATCTGCAATTTCAAGTAACCACCACTAGGGGGTGGTGCTAAATACTTAAATGGTAATTCTCAGTCTGAGTTCAAAAATGCAGATGTCTAGGTCTTGGAGAATCAGGATCTTCTGAGTAAGAGATTAGGAAATCTTCCCCTTTTTTATTATTATACTTTAAGTTCTGGGGTACATGTGCAGAACGTGCAGGCTTGTTACATAGGCATACACATGCCTTGGTGGTTTGCTGCACCCATCAACCCGTCATCTACATTAGGTATTTCTCCTAATGCTATCCCTCCCCTAGCTCCCCACCCCACAACAGGCCCCAGTGTGTGATGTTCCCCTCCCTATGTCCATGTGTTCTCATTGTTCAACTCCCACTTATGAGTGAGAACATGTGGTGTTTGATTTTCTGTTCTTGTGTTTGCTGAGAATGATGGTTGCCAGCTTCATCCATGTCCCTGCAAAGGACATGAACTTATCCTTTTTTATAGCTGTGTGGTATTCCATGGTGTATATGTGCCACACTTTCTTTATCCAGTCTATCACTGATGGGCATTTGGGTTGGTTCCAAGTCTTTGCTATTGTGAACAGTGCTGTAATTAACATATGTGTGCATGTGTCTTTATAGTAGAATGATTTATAGTCCTTTGGGTATATACCCAGAATTGGAATGCTGGGTCAAATGGTATTTCTGGTTCTAGATCCTTGAGGAATCACCATACTGTCTTCCACAATGATTGAACTAATTTACACTCCCACCAACAGTGTAAAAGCATTCCTATTTCTCCACCTCTCCAGCATCTGTTGTTTCCTGACTTTTTAATAATTTCCATTCTAACTGGCATGAGATGGTATCTCATTGTGGTTTTGATTTATATTTCTCTAATGATGAGTGATGATGAGTTTTTTTTCATATGTTTGTTGGCTGCATAAATGTCTTCTTTTGAGAAGTGTCTGTTCATATCCTTGGCCCACTTTTTGATGGGGTTTTTTTTTCATGTAAATTTGTTTAAGTTCTTTGTAGATTCTGGATCTTAGCCCTTTGTCACATGGATAGATTACAAAAGTTTTCTCCCACTCTGTAGGTTGCCTGATCAGTCTGATGATAGTTTCTTTGGCTGTGCAGGAGCTCTTTAGTTTAATTAGATCCCATTTGTCAATTTTGGCTTTTGTTGCCATTGCTTTTGGTGTTTTAGTCATGAAGTCCTTGCCCATGCCTATGTCCTGAATGGTATTGCCTAGGTTTTCTTCCAGGGTTTTTATGGTTTTAGGTCTTATGTTTAAGTCTTTAATCCATCTTGAGTTAATTTTTGTATAAGATGTGAGGAAGGGGTCCAGTTTCAGTTTTCTGCATATGGCTAGCCAGTTTTCCCAACACCATTTATTAAATAGGGAGTCCTTTCCCCATTTCTTGTTTCTGTCAGGTTTGTCAAAGATCCGATGGTTGTAGATGTGTGGTGTTATTTCTGAGGGCTCTGTTCTGTTCCATTGGTCTACATCTCTGTTTTGGTACCAGTATCATGCTGTTTTGGTTACCGTAGCCTTGTAGTATAGTTTGAAGTCAAGTAGCATGATGCCTCCAGCTTTGTTCTTTTTGCTTAGGATTGTCTTGGCTATGCGGGCTCTTTTTTGGTTCCATATGAAATTTAAAGTAGTTTTTTTCCAATTCTGTGAAGAAAGTCAATGGTAGCTTGATGGAGATAGCATTGAATCTATAAATTACTTTGGGCAGTATGGCCATTTTCATAATATTGATTCTTCCTATCCATGAGCATGGAATGTTTTACCATTTGTTTGTGTCCTCTCTTATTTCCTTGAGCAGTGATTTGTAGTTCTACTTGAAGAAGTACTTCACATCCCTTGTGAGTTGGATTCCTAAGTATTTTATTCTCTTTGTGGCAGTTGTGAATGGGAGTTTACTCATGATTTGGCTCTCTGTTTGTCTATTATTGGTGTATAGGAAAGCTTGTGATTTTTCCATATTGATTTTGTATCCTGAGACTTGCTGAAGTTGCTTAAGGAGATTTTGGGCTGAGACGATGGGGTTTTCTAAATATACAATCATGTCATCTGCAAACAGAGACAATTTGACTTCCTTTCTTCCTATTTGAATACCCTTTATTTCTTTCTCTTGCCTGATTGCCCTGGCCAGAACTTCCAATACTATGTTGAATGGGAGTGGTGAGAGAGGGCATCCTTGTCTTGTGCCAGTTTTCAAAGGGAATGCTTCCAGTTTTGCCCATTCAGTATGATATTGGCTATGAGTTTGTCATAAACAGCTCTTATTATTTTGAGATACGTTCCATCAATACCTAGTTTAAAGAGATTTTTAAGGGGTGCTGAATTTTATCAAAGGACTTTTCTGCATCTATTGAGATAATCATGTGGTTTTTTTCATTGGTTCTGTTTATGTGATGGATTATGTTTATTAATTTGCATATGTTGAACTAGCCTTGCATCCCAGAGATGAAGCCAAATTGATCGTGGTGGATAAGCTTTTTGACGTGCTGCTGGATTTGGTTTACCACTATTTTATTGAGGATTTTTATATCAATGTTCATCAGGGATATTGGTTTGAAATTTTTTGCTGTTGTTTTGTCTCTGCCAGGTGTTGGTATCAGGATGATGCTGGCCTCATAAAATGAGTTAAGGAGGATTCCCTCTTTTTCTATTGTTTGGAATAGTTTCAGAAGGAATGGTACCAGCTCCTCCTTGTACCTCTGGTAGAATTCAGCTGTGAATCCGTCTGGTCCTGGACTTTTTTTGGTTGGTAGATGATTAATTACTGCCTCAATTTCAGAACTTGTTATTGGTCTATTCATGGATTTGACTTCTTCCTGGTTTAGACTTGGGAGGGTGTATGTATCCAGGAATTTATCCATTTCTTCTAGATTTTCTAGTTTCTTTGCATAGAGGTGTTTAGAGTATTCTCTGATGGTAGTTTGTATTTCTGTGGGATCAGTGGTGATATCCCCTTTATCATTTTTATTGCATCTATTTGATTCTTCTCTCTTTTCTTCTTTATTAGTCTGGCTAATGGTCCATCAATTTTGTTGATCTTTTCAAAAAACCAGCTCCTGGATTCACTGATTTTTTGAAGGGTTTTTTGTGTCTCTATCTCCTTCAGTTCTGCTAGTTCTCTCCATTGTGATGTTAAGGTGTCAATTTTAGATCTTTCCTCCTTTTTTAGTGCTATAAATTTCCCTCTAAACATGGTTTCAGCTGTGTCCCAGAGATTCTGGTACATTGTGTCTTTGTTCTCATTGGTTTCAAAGAACTTATTTATTTCTGCCTTCATTTTGTTATTTACCCAGTAGTCATTCAGTAGCAGGTTGTTCAGTTTCCATGTAGTTGTGCGGTTTTGAGTGAGTTTCTTAATCCTGAGTTCTAATTTGATTGCACTGTGATCTGAGAGACTGTTTGTTATGATTTCCGTTCTTTTCCATTTGCTGAGAAGTGTTTTACTTCCAATTATGTGGTCAATTTTAGAATAAGTGTGATGAGGTGCTGAGAAGAATGTGTATTCTATCAATTTGGGGTGGAGAGTTCTGTAGATGTCTATTAGGTCTGCTTGGTCCAGAGCTGAGTTCAAATCCTGAATATCCTTGTTAATTTTCTGTCTCATTGACCTGTCTAATGTTGACAGTGGGGTGTTAAAGTCTCCCACTATTATTGTGTGGGAGTCTAAGTCTCTTTGTAGGTCTCCAAGAACTTGCTTTATGAGTCTGTGTGCTCCTGTATTGGGTGCATATATATTTAGGATAGGCAGCTCTTCTTGTTGCATTGATCTCTTTACCATTATGTAATGCCCTTCTGTGTCTCTTTTTATCTTTACTGGTTTAAAGTCTGTTTTATCAGAGACTAGGATGGCAACCTCTGCTTTTTTTGCTTTCCATTTGCTTGGTGAATATTCCTCCACCCCTTTATTTTGAGCCTATGTGTATCTTTGCAAGTGAGGTGGGTCTCCTGAATACAGCACACCAATGGGTCTTGACTATTTATCCCATTTGCCAGTCTGTATCTTTCAATTGGGGCATTTAGCCCATTTACATTTAAGGTTAATATTGTTATGTGTGAATTTGATCCTGTCATTATGATGTTAGCTGGTTATTTTGCCCGTTAGTTGATGCAGTTTCTTCATAGCGTTGATGGTCTTTATAATTTGGCATGTTTTTGCAGTGGCTGGTACTGGTTGTTCCTTTCCATGTTTAGTGCTTCCTTCAGGTGCTCTTGTAAGGCAGGCCTGGTGGTGACAAAACCTCTCAGCATTTGCTTGTCTGTAAAGGATTTTATTTCTCCTTCACTTATGAAGCTTAGTTTGGCTGGATATGAAATTCTGAGTTCAAAATTCTTTTCTTTAAGAATGTTGAATATTGGCCCTCATTCTCTTCTGGCTTGTAGGGTTTCTGCAGAGAGATCTGCTGTTAGTCTGATGGGCTTCCCTTTGTGGGTAACGTGACCTTTCTCTCTGGCTGCCCTTAACATTTTTTCCTTCATTTCAACCTTGGTGAACCTGACGATTATGTGTCTTGGGGTTGCTCTTCTCAATGAATATCTTTGTGGTGTTCTCTGTATTTCCTGAATTTGAATGTTGGCCTGCCTTGCTAGGCTAGGGAAGTTCTCCTGGATCATACCCTGCAGAGTGTTTTCCAACTTGGTTCCATTCTCCCCATCACTTTCAGATACACTAATCAAACACAGGTTTGGTCTTTTCACATAGTCCCATATTTCTTGGAGGCTTCATTCATTCCTTTTCATTCTTTTTCTCTAATCTTGTCTTCACACTTTATTTCATTAATTTGATCTTCAATCTCTGATTTCCTTTTTTCCGCTTGATTGATTTGGCTATTGATACTTGTATATGCTTCACAAAGTTCTCGTGCTGTGTTTTTCAGCTCCATCAGGTCATTTATGTTCTTCTCTAAAGTGGTTATTCTAGTTAGCAATTCATCTATCATTTTTTCAAGGTTCTTAGCTTCCTTGCCTTGGGTTAGAACATGCTCCTTTAGCTCAGAGGAGTTTGTTATTACCCACCTTCTGAAGCCTACTTCTGTCAATTTGTCAAACTCATTCTCTGTACAGTTTTGTTCCCTTGCTGGTGAGGAGTTGTGATCCTTTGGAGGAGAAGAGGCATTCTGGTTTTTGGAATTTTCAGCCTTTTTACGCTGGTTTCACCCCATCTTCATGGATTTATCTCCCTTTGGTGTTTGATGTTGGTGACCCTCAGATGGGGTTTCTGAGTGGACATTCTTTTTGTTGATGTTGATACTATTCCTTCCTGTTTGTTAGTTTTCCTTCTAACAGTCAGGCCCCTCTGCTGCAGGTCTGCTGGAGTTTGCAGGAGTTCCACTCCAGACCCTGTTTGCCTGGGTATCACCAGTGGAGGCTACAGAGCAGCAAAGATTGCTGCCTGTTCCTTCCTCTGGAAGCTTCATCCCAGAGGGGCACCCACCAGATGCCAGCCAGAGCTTTCCTGTATGAGGTGTCTGTTGGCCCCTGCTGGGAAGTGTCTCCCAGTCTGGAGACATGGGGGTCAGGGACACACTTGAGGAGGCAGTCTGATCATTGGCAGAGCTCAAACATTGTGCTGGGAGATCTAGCACTCTCTTCAGAGTCAAGTATTGTTTGTTTTTAAGATAATATATAGATTAGTAATGCATATCTTGCAACCCTTTTAAAGATTTCAATAGATGATATAGGATCTTTACTTCTTTATTTCAGTTCAATCCAACTCGGGTGACAATTACTGATGCCTCTCAGGCCCAGGGGCTTGCTGGCCCATACAGAGGGCTTGTGGCTTTGCAGACTCTGAAACTTGATTCTTTCTGATTTAATCTTTCTACTTCCTTCAATCCAAGGGTCACTTCCTCTTATCAGTTGCACAAGAGACACCATCCCACTTGCGTGTCCTGGCAACAGCTTGCCAAGGTGCTCTAAGTCCAAAGAAGAATGCCAATTCTGCTTTCCCTTAAATAAATCTCTCTGGGAAATCTTCCTTTTTAAATAAGTCTCCTGAGTGAATTTGAGGCAGGCTAAGTTAGACAACAGCAATTCAATTCATTTTAACTGGTTTGAGTTCCCTCAACCCCATCCACAAAAGAAAATCTTCCTTTAGAAAATTGTCATCTTTAACTAAAATGACAATATGAATATCCACATAGAGTGTATCCACGCCCAACCACTTTTCAGCACCTCTACTGACCACTGTCATCCCTTGTCACAGACACTGAAATCGCCTCCTAATCAGTTCCCTTGCTTCCATTTCCCTGGAATCAATCTCCACATAGTAGCTGGAGTGATCTTTTAGAAAGATAAATTCTGTCATCTCACTTTCCTGCTCAGAACTTTCTATTTACTATACATCACCCTCAGAATAAAATCCAAATGTCTTACTGTGGCCTGGAAGGCCCTCCATGAACAGGCCTCGGACCGCCGTATCATTGCCTCCCCTAGCACCTTCCACCTTCACGCAAAGCTCAGATCCTTGAGCAAGCTATTTCCTCAGCCCGTCCCCAAGATCTGCAGGGCTGACTCCTTCCTCCTCTGCTCAAATGTCACTGCCTCAAAGAAGCTTTTCCTTTGCCTCACCACCTACCATCAGTCCTGCCAGTGGTGGCTGGGGGCCAGGGGCCAGGAGTCAGGGAGGGTTATTAGAGACAGATTTTGTAGATCCTTTTACAATCACAAAGCAGGAGCATAGTATGTGTTTGTTGAATGAATAAATGGATAAACTTAAGCTAAATCTAAGTATAAAGTGGGAAAATATTAATATGTGTAGGTGCAAACTGTGACCCCCTCTTTATTATTATAACTATGCAATGGCTTTTTAACTAAGCTTTCCATACACATTCAACTTTAACACAACTACCCTTGTCTTGCCTCTTAGGAGTGATTTTCCATAGGGACTTGAGGGAGATGGACCCTTCCAAAACAGGCATTTCAGAATTTTCAAGCACCAAGGGATATATAAAGTTGAAGCTGCACACTCAATATATGTCATTATAATATTTTAATTAATTAATAGTGACTTTAATATGAATAAAGACTTAAAGCAGATTTCAACACAATCTTCTGGTACTGTCTATCCCTAGGGCATTAACATGACCCTCTTCCTTGGAGCTGAAGGTTTTTGGTGTGTGGCCCTCCAGAGCCCTCTCCACCCTCCTCTGCTCTGCTGACCCAGTGGCCTGGGAGGCTGACCTTCATGGATTATTGTATCATATGGGTTTCCTTGGTCTCTGTTTCATTTTAGGGTTTGGCCAATGGAAAGTATCAGCAGAAATTAAGAGGATGAAAGAAAAGAGTGTGTTATTTATTCTCCAGCTCACCCCCTGTAGATTGGCAGTGGCTGCTTTCCTCTACCAAAGGGCCCAGTTAAGTCAGACAGCCTCTGCTAAACTACAAGTCTCTCTAGGGTCCAGTAAGTGCTCCCTTCCCTTGCCTCCTTAGGCCTAAGGATGGTCATAGCTCTCTGCAGCTACTGGCTCCAGAATGCCCCCCTAATCCTGCTTGCACCTTTGTAAATAGCCCCTTCATTAATCTTTCTTCAATCACTCCTTTGGAGTAAGCAATTAGTCTACTACATGGACTCAGATGACTACGCTATTTTTATTTTTATTTTTTGAGACAGTCTTGCTCTGTCACCCAGGCTGGAGTGCAGTGGTGTGATCTCGGCTCACTGCAGCCTCTGACTCCTGGGTTCAAGCAATTCTCCTGCCTCAGCCTCCCAAGTAGCTGGGATTATAGGCGAGTGCTACCACACCCGGCTAATTTTTGTATTTTTAGTAGAGACGGGGTTTCACCATGTTGGCCAGGCTGGTCTCAAACTCCGGACCTAATGATCTGCCCACCTTGGCCCCCCAAAGTGCTGGGATTACAGATATGAGCCACAGTGCCCAGCCCAGATGACTACACTTTATGAGGGTGATGTTGCTGTTCTAGTCTCTTTCTAATGACAAACGGATCTTAAGTTGCTCAGGTGACTACATTTCAGTCCTTTTCTCTCATTGTCTCCATACTGTCTTCTCTTTTCATTCCCCTCCTGTCCCGAGCTGTTCTCAGCAATAACTTCACTAATGTTTACCCATGCCTGTGCAAAAGCCAGCACTCCCAGAAAGTCCTAGCATTCTCCAACTCTCTACAAAAAGGGTCTTGGCTTTTGTTTTCTTTCAGAATATTTATATTTTAAGCATGGAGAGCTTTAAAAAAGAATCAGCTACTAAATTTTCTTTAAAATGACTATCCCACACCTGTCACCCTGTTTATTCTCTTTTTTTTCATAATTACACATTTGTTTTATTCCACATTATACATACAACAGTCTCAGAACAATAATGCCAATACCACCACCGCTCATGTAATTACTGAAAACAGCTAAATCATTTTTGTATATACTTTCTTCATCTTCCCCACTTTTAAAAAATAGATGTATAGCACAATTGCACTGTATCAACAATGTTAATGCATATATAATCCTTGCATACAATATGCTTTTATAATTCTCATCTAATCTTAGTTCTTTTTTTTTTTATTGATCATTCTTGGGTGTTTCTCACATAGGGGGATTTGGCAGGGTCATAGGACAATAGTGGAGGGAAGGTCAACAGATAAACAAGTGAACAAAGGTCTCTGGTTTTCCTAGGCAGTGGACCCTGCGGCCTACCGCAGTGTTTGTGTCCCTGGGTACTTGAGATTAGGGAGTGGTGATGACTCTTAACGAGCATGCTGCCTTCAAGCATCTGTTTAACAAAGCACATCTTGCACCACCCTTAATCCATTTAACCCTGAGTGGACACAGCACATGTTTCAGAGACCACTGGGTTGGGGGTAAGGTCACAGATCAACAGCATCCCAAGGCAGAAGAACCTTTCCCAGTACAGAACAAAATGGAGTCTCCCATGTCCACTTCCCTCTACACAGACACAGCAACAATCTGATTTCTCCATCCTTTCCCCACATTTCCCCCCTCTCCATTTGACAGAACCGCCATCATCATCATGGCCCGCTCTCAATGAGCCACTGGGCACACCTCCCAGACAGGGCGGCAGCTGGGCAGAGGGGCTCCTCACCTTCCAGAAGGGGCGGCCGGGCAGAGGCGCCCCCCCACCTCCCTCCCGGACGGGGCGGCTGGCCGGGTGGGGGCTGCCCCCTACCTCCCTCCCGGGCGGGGTGGCTGGCCGGGCGGGGGCTGCCCCCCACCTCCCAGATGGGGTGGCTGCCGGGCGGAGGGGCTCCTCACTTCTCAGACGGGGCGGCTGCTGGGCGGAGGGGCTCCTCACTTCTCAGACGGGGCAGCTGCCGGGCGGACGGGCTCCTCACTTCTCAGACAGGGCGGCCGGGCAGAGACGCTCCTCACCTCCCAGACGGGGTCGCGGCCGGGCAGAGGCGCTCCTCACATCCCAGACGGGGCGGCGGGGCAGAGGCGCTCCCCACATCTCAGACGATGGGCAGCCGGGCAGAGATGCTCCTCACTTCCTAGACAGGATGGCAGCTGGGAAGAGGCGCTCCTCACTTCCCAGACTGGGCAGCCGGGCAGAGGGGCTCCTCACATCCCAGACAATGGGCGGCCAGGCAGAGATGCTCCTCACTTCCCAGATGGGGTGGCGGCTGGGCAGAGGCTGCAATCTCGGCACTTTGGGAGGCCAAGGCAGGTGGCTGGGAGGTGGAGGTTGTAGCTAGCCGAGATCACGCCACTGCACTCCAGCCTGGGCAACATTGAGCACTGAGTGAACAAGACTCCGTCTGCAATCCCGGCACCTCGGGAGGCCGAGGCTGGCAGATCACTCGTGGTTAGGAGCTGGAGACCAGCCCGGCAAATATCAGCAACTGGGAAGCCCATAAATAGCAGCAGAGGACAAATAGGATGACTCAGTAAGCCCTCTGAGTCAGACTGGCAGAGACTGGCCTTCCTTCATAATTATGGGGCATTAAACCCGTCATCTGTGAAGTCACCTCCAAGTCTCATCTCACCAATATCATGCATCTAGTTTCCTTTGAAGATGTGCAATCTTCCTCCTTGTAGCTACTAAGAAATTAAAGTGCTTGGGCTGAGAGGGCTCCTGTAAGCTAATAGTCTATGTCTTCAGCAATTAACCCCTTTCTGAGATTGGCTGGTGTTCATGCTTTTAGCTGGTCCTAGTCCTGGCTTGGGTACCCTTGAGCGTGAGTCCTCAGATAAGTCACTTCATCTCACTGAACTTCTTTCATCTAAGATGAGATAATAAAACTTGCCTAGCTACAGAGTTGTCATGAAGATTAAAGTCAATTTGGCCAACTACATGACATTTGGAAAAGGCAAACTATACAGACAGGAAATAGACCAATGATTGCCAGGGACTCGAGGATGAACAGGTGGAACACATCATATTTTTAGGGCAGTGAAACTATTCTCTATGATATTCTAATGGTGGATACATGACATTTTACGTCTTTCAAGGCCCACAGACTGCACAACACAAAGATGAGCCCTGATGTAAACTGTGGACTTCATTTAATAATAATGTATCCATACTGATTGATGAATTGTAACAAATATACCTCAGTAATGCCAGATATTAATAGTAAAAGAAACTTCAGGGAGAAGAAAATGTAGGTAAGTGGGAATCCTCTTCACTTTCAGGCCAATTTTTATGTAAACCTAAAACCGTTCTAAAAATAATTTTTTGTGACATTACCAGGCCAAAATGAATTAATTTAATTTAAAAAGTAAAATACAAATAATTTTTTAAATCAGTTTGGATAAGATATGTGAAAGTATTTGACAAACTCTAAAGAGCTAAATAAACATAAGGCATAACACCCAAATGATCTTAAAGAACTTAATTGTGAAAGTTCTTTTGGGGATCTGACAAGTAGAGCCCCAGGTGATGTCTTAATTACCTGTCTCCATGCCTTAGAAGTTGGTTGAGATAGAAGGGTGGGTAGGACTTCTATGACCAGTTTGCCTTCACTGCTGACTGAAAAGATTTCTACCAAATCCAAATCATGGTACAAATATTCTACCCTTCACACAACTACTACCTCTTTGAAATTGCTCAGGAAAGTTTAATACACATACACACTACCTTTCAGCATGTTTCCTTTTGATTCTCTGTGGCTCTCACCCTGTCCAATATTTAGCAGTCATGTTTGATTAAGGTCACATTTTTCAGAGGTGAAAAAGCGATGAGAAGATTTCAGGATTAAGTTCAGGATTAAGTTCAGTTAGGTTAGGAAGGAAAATCTTTCCTCCTTGTAAGCCAGAGAATGCCTGACATAGACAAAGCTTCTTACAGTGTTTCGTTGTTGGGACTGGGGGTTGAAAGGGTGGCTCTTGCTGGAGCCTGGAAAACATTATCTCTGATGCCCACTATATCTGTGTCAGTTAGGGAGGATAAATTGTGGGGCAAGAAAGAGGACCAGTGGGGTCAAAAATTAGCATAGATCATGCAGAAATGACAGACAGGGATTCAAACTCAAGAGAGAGGAAGCTGTTGTTCAGGCCTTGCCAAGTGAGATTAGCTAGCTAATTTCAGCCAGCTTATTCTGGGATAGTGGTGGTCAATTGCATTTCCTCTCCTGGATAATGCATGTACTTTTGACAAGAACCTTCAAAGCTTTTGAAAAAGACCTTCAGTGTTCATCACACAATGATCACTGGAACTCTGTTCTAGGAGCTATTAATAGACTTGCCATGAAAAAAGAAGTTCTATGGTCAAATAACTAGGAAATGCTTAACATGATGGAGCCCTTTGTGAACAATTATGACACACATTCGTACGTTGCAGGCTCTGGGCACCCTGCAGCTAAGAAAACTATTTAGTTTTGTTTAACTCCAACATGTCCCAGGTTTATGTGCACTTTGAGCACATTTTACTGTATGCTTACTAACATTTCCTAGAATATCAGCATAGGAAAAAATTGGTTTTAAAAAAGGAAGCAGGCTGAACATGGTGGCTCACGCCTGTAATCCCAGCACTTTGGGAAGCCAGGGTAGGCAGATCCCTTAAGGTCAGGAGTACGAGCCAGCCTGGCCAACATGGTGAAACCCTGTCTCTACTAAAAATACAAAAATTAGCCGGGCGTGGTGGTGCATGCCTGTAGTCCCAGCTATTTGGGAGGCTGAGGCACGAGAATCACTTGAACCCAGGAGGCAGAGGTTGCAGTGAGCCGAGATCATGCAACTGCACTCCAGTCTGGGCAACAGAGTGAGACTCCATCTCAAAAAAAAAAAAAAAAAAAAAAGGAAGCAACTAATGGTGGAAGTAAAGCCACCCTGACATGATAACAAAAGCGTCATTTTGGGGAAATGACCTCATATCAGCAGTTTCCCCACTCATCCAGAGGTGAGTATGGTGTACTCTCCATGTAGTGACAATAAATATATTTATTAAATAAATAAATCCTGTGTCCATGATTTCTCCACAACTCCATGTTAGATCCTGTTATCATCCATTAGGTATTAAAGTGCTCTCAGCCAAGGAGCACTCGGGGGTTAGCTCTAGATTCTGAGGTAATACTACCAGAAACTAGAAAACGAGGAGAAACAGGTGTCTGAAAAGAGAATCAGAATCTGATGCGAGGAACTGAAGAAAAGCAAGCTGCAAAACTGACATCTCTTGCACTGCCTCCACTCACTATCTGACTATGTAGACAGAAACATCTAGGTTTTAGGTTGGTGCAAAAGTAATTGCGGTTTTTGCCATTAAAAGTGTATTTAAGAATTAACATCCCTAATGAAAGGTACTAGAAGTTTAAGCCACTCTAAATACTAATAAGATACATAGTGTTTGCACATAGAAGGATGGAAAAACAGGCAATGAGAAAGACTTCTTTGCTGCACGTAACTGTCAATGAATGTGGAAGCTTAGTTGTTCGGAATCTAATAGTTGAGACCAGTTTTCAAAACCACTCCCAATTTCAGGGCGCAGAATGTCTTAGTAACACCTACAAGTTTCATCTAACGAATATGACTAAAGCCAGAAAGCAGCCCTGAGGTTTTTCCACAGAGAGTCCGCCCTGCCTGGGTCATACATGCCCCTATGCAAAGTGGGCCCAGCACTGTCCCCTCCTGGTGCTCGCGCTGCGGGGGAGCAGAGCCAGGGTGGAAACCTGCTATGGGC
Source organism: Homo sapiens (assembly GCF_000001405.40). NCBI lineage: Eukaryota > Metazoa > Chordata > Mammalia > Primates > Hominidae > Homo > Homo sapiens. Next base: position 433,705 of record NW_021160017.1, read on the forward strand.
AGAATGAGGCTGTGCTGGGCTGGAATGAGCCACTCCTTTAGAGAATCTAAATGAGGATAAAGAATTTCTGAACCAGCTAGGGGCCAAAACCCATCCAAGAATAGAAGTGGAAGGGACTCAAGCTTTTTAAGTTTCTTCCACAGCAATCCAGATTCCAACATTGTTTCTAAGGAGGCTTTTGTTTCCCTGGAGAACTCTAGTTTCAAAGTGGACTTTCTTGCACAAAGAGCGCTTCAATAAAATTGGTTGCGTGAGTGAGTGTTAAGTGTGAATTCAAAGAAGAATATTAGGCTGGGTCTCAGGCATATGTTACTATTACACTATGTATCTTATTAGTATTCAGAGTGGCTTAAACTTCAAGTACCTTTCATTTGGGATGTTAATTCTAAAACATACTTTTATGGCAAAAACTGCAATTACTTTTGCACCAACCTAATACCTAGTTTCTGTCTACATCTCAGAAGCCAGAGGTGCCTCATGAGAACACTGAGGTACCCAGACAAGGACCACATCCAGACAGGAAGAGCACACAGCACAGTGGCTGTGAGCATGGGTTTTCCATGAGATAGACCTCAGTTAGAATCTCAGCCTCAACACTTACTAGCCATGCAATCAGGGGAAATCTTGCTGTATGATCCTGCTGAGCCTTGGTTTCCTTAACTGTAGAGAGACTAAGAATCTCTAACTTACTTGGGGATTCAATGCAATAATATGTATCACAGACCAGGCACAGTGGCTCACGCCTGTAATCCCAGCACTTTGGGAGGCTGAGGTGAGTGGACCGCTTGAGTCCAGGAGTTTGACCACCCTAGCAACATGGTGAAACCCCATCTCTACCAAAACTACACACACACACACACACACACACACACACACACACACACCAGCCAGGCATGGTGGCACTTGCCTGTAGTCCCAGCTACTCAGGGGGCTGAGGTGGGAGGATCACCTGAACTTTGAAATTTGAGGCTGCTGTGAGCCAAGATGGCACCACTACACTCCAGTCTGGGAGACAGGAGTGAGAGCCTGTCTCAAATAATTATAATAATACATGTAATATTTAGCATTTTACCTGGCATATCAGTACTTGATATATTGTAGTCATTATAAAGGTCAAATTTCTCTCTAGGACTGGGTTAGAAAATATGAGGAAAATAGATAAGTTCATAGAACTAATTAGAAAAGAGAGAAAGTTAAACTCTCCTATGACTTGATAAAATGTCTGTAGAAAAAGACAATTTCAGCAGGGTTGCATCAGATAAATTGAACCCATCCCCTGCCACATTTGTTCCTGGGCCTTTATATCCTCAGCATGACATTGAACTGATAGGACCAGAAGGTACTGGGAGAAATGTAAAGATGGGATGTGACTGAATTTGGGGTGGGTGCTTTGCTTCGTAGGAATTCTTTGGTTTTTGGAGAAGAAGGCCAAACTGTGATTTTGTCATGAAGCTGTCATGAAACTGGCATTTTATGATCATTTTTAAACTTCCATTATAGTTTTAAATAAGTTCCTGGCAGTCTTCAACTTTTACAAAGTCTTCCTGGAAACAGGGTCAGAAAACAAAAAGGGTGAAGCCAAATCCCTTTCCCCTGACATTTGCTGTGCTAGAAAGACAGACCGGGGTCCCTCTCAAAGCTGGCTGCCCCTCACTTCCCAGTTCCCCTGGTTCCTGTGTGCCATTCAGACACCCCACTGCAGTGCTTTCAGCCCACAGGATAGAAAGGAAAAGCTCATGGCTATTGTTATAAAACACAGTTATAAGATCAATGGAATGGTTTTGAATGCATTTGCTTGCTAATGGGAATTTTTACAAGAGGGAAATAAAAGAGAAATTAGTTCAAATTTCCCTAGACAGATGTCTTAAAGAAATCTGAGCCTTCCAAAATGCTACCAAAAAGCTTTTCTAAATTCTGCAAACGAAGCAAAATTGTTGTTAGTTAAATGCGTAATGTTTATTATCACCAGCATATTAGTTTTAGAGAAAATTTACACCACAGTGGAGTTGTATTTTCATGTACTACGAGTACATTTTGTCAATCATTAGGGTCCCTGCTAAAATCAAAGTAACAATATAGTAAGCCCATTTTAAAGAAGCTAGAAAACAGTTTTACTATTTTTTTATTGGTTTGGAAACTTGTGCTGTTGTGTTTTTTCTTTAATGACATCATTAAGTATCCGGCCAAATATCCCTGTCCAAGGAATTCAGTCTTTAATTATTACATTTTTCCATGGGAATAAACACTGTCACTGAGTGTTACAACTTAGTTTCTAAAAGTACATGGTGGCCAGAAGCCTGCTAGCCTCAGAGGTATTTCCACAAGTTTAGCAGTGTCAAAACTAACTGAGTTACATCAGCTATTTGTTGAAAGAGTCCCACCAAAATCTGATAAAAGGCCCATAAAGGAATCAGAATGTTTGCTTATTTGTCTGTTTAAAGTAGTGTCAGAGTAATAGATCAATACAACATAGGGGCTGCTTATATTGTTCAGAGGAATAGTATATTAAAAAATGCTATTCTTGATCAAAGTAGACCCCCAACATGATAACACATAAGAGAATCTGGAATTCTAAAACTACAAGAAACGGGGAGAGATAGGAAGTAAGCACAAAATAAGGAGAAACCTTCAATAATCAGCTTTAGTTTAGCTGATCATTGAACGACAATATTTACTATAGTGTTTTCTGTCTTTGCTAGTTTAACCACATGTTCTGTTTTTCAATTCAAGATCAGGGCATTTTTATATTCACTTTGGGGAAATCATATGTCAAGAAACATTTACTTGTATATCCCCAAACATTCAGATTTCATGGTAAAAATTAATGTACATGACATACATTTAGACAACAGCTACTGGTTGCCCCCTCCAAAAAAAGTCAAGGTGCCACAAAGACTGAGCTCTTGATGTGAGGAAAACAGTCATTATAAGCAGTCCTGTGGTCCCTGAGAAAAAGGATTCCTTCACTCTCTGAAGAGGAATTTATTTATACAGCATGAACAACTATCTGCTGAATTTTAATTCTGTCCTTTCTCAGAAATAAGTTTGGGCTCTGCTTTTAAAAACAAGCCCAGGAAATAACAGTTTGCAGGGGCCTGAAATCAGAAGCCTGCAGACTGCTGGCAGGAAAGTTCAATATTCATATTCATTTTCATTCTACAATCGACCTCATGTACCAGAAGGCTTTTCCTCAACTTGAAATCTCAGTGTTCCCTCAAACAAGTCGCAGCATGTGTTTGCCTCACACATGACACTAACTCTTACTTTTGGACTGAAACAAAAGCCAAAGGTGAATCCTGGTGACCGTCAAGACTCCAGGAATGACCCAGCATTGATTATGGGCTCCTTGGAGAAATTCAGACAAATATGAGAAAACAAATAGGGGTGGAGCCAGAATTTAGGTTGGTGGGGCACTGAGAAACTTTTTTTCTCATTTGCATATTTTCCATTATTGTTGTAACACATGCTTCATTCACAGGGTATGTGACAATCCAGAAGGACACCACTCTCCAGGATGACCTGTGTCTGAGTGTAGAGTTTCAGAGACCAGGCCATTCACTTGGCACAGTTACCAAGAATGGTCTTTTGGAGTTTTTCAGAGTGGTTGGAGTTTCTCAGAGATACGTCCTCATTGTTTGATTTTCTTACATAATATGTACTCCCTTGGTAATCACATCTGCATTTTTAATTATTAACTATATTCAAATCCTCTGGCCCCTCCACTGAGCACCAATGATATATAGCCAACTCTTGTGGACATCCCCACTGCTGGTCCTACAGCCCATCACATTCAGCAATGCTTGCATCATCCCCCCCTCTTTCCCAAACCACTCTCCTTCCTGTCTGTTGCCTAAGCAAATACCACTTCCATCCAGCAAAGCTCCTCAGCCAGACACCTGACTTTCTCTCCCTCACAACCACCCATGACCAAGCCTGTCAATTTCACCTCCTATTAATAATTTCCCCTGAACCAGTCCACTCCCCTCCATCTCTATCACCACCATCCTGGGGGAGGAGACCACTACCATCTCAAACCTATGTTACACACAGTCTTCCTAACTGAAATGCTGAGCCTCTTCTAAAGCACTAGAACTTTCAAAGGCTCAGTCCTACCTTTCTCACCCTCCTGCTCAAAACCTACTCCCACTGCCATTTGTCTAAACAAAACTCTTTTATGTGGCATGAAAGGCATTTCTTGATCTATCTCCTTTATCTTGAAAATCTCATCCCTTGCACTCCATAATCTAGTCATGCTACAACCTAGTCACAGTATTTCGATTACCTGTTTTGTTTTAATTTTGTTTTTTGTGGTTTTTTTTTTTCAGAGACAGTGTCTTGCTATGTTACCCAGGCTGGAGTGCAGTGACTGTTCTCAATCCTGATCATAGTGCACCATGGCCTCAAATTCCTGGGCTAAAGCCATCCTCCCACCTCAGCTCCAAGGACTACAGGCTCACACCACAACACCTGGCACTCTGTTTACTTCTCTTTTTCCCCTACCAGGTTATAAACTCCTCCAAGGCAAGGATTTAGTCCTGCTCACAGTTGTAACATAACACCTAGATCAGTGCCTGCACATAGCAGATGTTCAATCATTAAACTAAAATTTATTTCTCCCATAATTTTTTCTTAAGTTTTGGTGGTTCCAATTGAAAAAAAGACAACATGAATGAGCATTAACAAATAAATAAAAAGCTCAGATGCATGAGACCTGCCTGCATCCTTATAATAAAAGCTGTATTTTCTCCAAGTAATTTTTTCCTGTTTTATGTGAGGAATTAAATATATCAATATGTCATAGTGTTAGAAAAGGAGAACTTTGGCCTTCAGGTAATACAACACCTAAAAAAGTTTTATGTCATTTGTATTAGAAAATGTCACGTTCCTAGGCTGCTTAGATACTCAGGATTCATTAGCTATTTCTCATTGGAAGTGCCAGAAAAGTGCCAGAAATACAACTCAATCAACTTAGACACTCCACCCTCACAAAAACTGATAATCGGTTCATGTAATCCAAGAAAAGATTGAATAACCAATACACAGAAAGGACAGTCATGCATTTAGGTCTCAGAAAGGACTCAAAACCAAGATTCAAAAGCTATCAGACTCACTGTGACGCTTCTCTCAAAAAAAAAAAAAAAAAAAAAAAACCTGCATACTCTCACTAGTTCTCTCCACTCCATATGATGAGAAAAAAAAAAAACACAACACAGTATTATTTTCTAGGGCTGCTATAATAACACACTAAAAATGAGTTGTCTTAAAACAACAGAAATCTATTGTCTTACAATTCTGGAGGTTAGAAGTCCAAGCTCAAGGAGTTGGCAGGGCACGCCCACTCAGAGGACTCGGGGAGAATCCTTTCTGGCCTCTCCCAGCTTCCCATGTTTGCGGGCAATCCTTGACAGCCAGTGGCTTTTAGATGCGTCACTCCAGTCACATAACCATCTCCTCCCTGTGTCTCTTCGCATGGTCTTCCTTCTGTGTGTGTCTGTCTCTGAGTCTAAATTTCCCTTTTTTATTATGTAAGGACACCAGTCCTATTGATTAGGGCCTACTCTAATGACCTCATTGTAACTTGATTACAGGTATAAACACCCTATTTCCAAATAAGGTCACATTCTGAGGTACTGGGGGCTAGGACTTCAACAACATACCTTTTTTCAGGAGACATAATTCAACTACAACAACGAATAATAACAGTTTCCAATATTTGCATCTAAAGTCTCCCCTACCAGAGGAAAAGTCTAGAAGTCCTTGACCTGGTTTATGTGGTGTCCCCAACCCCTGGGCCAAACAACAGAGATGGGGGCAGCAGAGTTCTATAAGAACATGATTGTTTCTGTGGTAGTCATATAGATGGGGAAAGTGGTACTATGGAACAGCTATGCTCACATCTGCTTCCCTTCTAGTGACAAGGAGATGGGTTAATGTTAGAGGGTAAAAAAAAGATACAGACACTCAGCAGAGTGACAGGTAAACATTCACAAGGAGAGGAGTGTTAGGAAATAGATCAGGAAAGGAGTGTGTGCCATGACATATCAAATGTCTTCTTTAATACTGTAAGTGGGAAACAAAGCAAAGCGTTTGTTCAATTTACTGCTGCCACAAATGAGAGATGCATTATTTTTCTTTTTCAGGGGTTATGGTCAACCCAATTTTCTCCCTACATACAGCATTCCATTACATATATTTTGCTCCTAACTTATTTTATATTCTGGAGGTGAAAGCATATAAGAACAAATCAGTAAAAACTGTGGTGATATTTTGGCACCAGAAATTAAGTTCCTTTTTAACATTATGAACTATGGCTAAACCAGGACAAAGGTGACTCAAAATTTCCTTAACTTAAGCTGGGTATGGTAGCAACGGCCTGTATTCTCAGCTACTCAGGAGGCTGGGGCAAGAGGAGAGGATGGCTTGAAGCCAGGAGTTCTAGGCCAGAGTGCACTGTGATCACACCTGTGAAGAGCCACTGTGCTCCTAGGCAACAAAGCAAGGCCCTGTCTTTAAAAAAAAAAAAAAAAAAAAAAAAAAAAAAAGTTAAAAAAATTTCCTTTACTTAAAGGTTTGCATGACTATTTAGACATACATTGAAGCCAAGTGTGGTGGCTCACATCTGTAATCCCAGCATTTTGGGAGGTGGGGCAGTGAGGATTGCTTGAGGCCAAAAGTTCATGACCAGCCTGGGCAACATAGCAAAATCCTGTCTCTACAAAAATTTTTAAAATTAGCTGGGCCTGGTGGCATGTGCCTGTAGTCCTAGCTGCTTGGGAGGTTAAGGCAGCAGGATCGCTTGAGCCCAGGAGTTTGAGGCTGCAGTGAGCTATGATTATGCAGCCTGAGTGACAGAGCAAGACCTTGTCTTTAGAAAATATAAAAGTAAAAATAAAATTAAAATAAAAACATACATTGCAATTGTTCTAATTGTCAAATTTATTTGCTCCAAAATAAAACTGGGCAGGTCTATTTTGGATACCATTTAAACTCCACCATTAAAGAAACTATTTTAAAGTATTTTTTAATTATAGAAAAATAATATTTGTTAATTTATAGACATTTTGGAAAAATCTATGAAAGACTGTTTAAAAAATAAAAGTCACCTATAATCCCATCACTAATTACCGTTAACATTTCAATATCTTTACTTAGTTGTTTTCTCTATTTACATAAGTACATTTTTAAAAACTTTACAGAGTTAGATTTATATTATACAGTTTTTGTTTTTTGTTTTTTTGAGACAGGGTCTCACTCTGTCACCCAGGCTGGAGTGCAGTGGCATGAACATGGCTCTCACTGCACCTCTGCCTCCTGGGCTCAAGGGATCCTTCCACCTCAGCCTCTAGAGTAACTGGGACCACAGGCATGAGCCATCACACCCGGCTAATTTTTGTATTATTTTGGTAAGGTTCTGCCATGTTGCCCAGGCTGGTCTCCAACTTTTGGGCTCAAGTAATCCTCCTGCCTAGCCTCCCAAATTGCTGGGATTACAGGCATGAGCCGCTGCACCCAGCCAGATACATATTAAACAGTCTTATGTCCTCATTTTTTCATTTTATATTTTGGAAATACCATGTTTAATCACAGCATAATATTCTATGGTATGCCATAATTCATATAAACACTATTTTATTGTTGGACATGTAGGTTGCTTATTTTTTTATTATAAGGATGTTCCAAATATATATATATGCACAGTTTTATTGTAAGCATAGCTAATCACCCCTAAAAGAGATGCAAAGCTTTCTGCCATCACTAAGCAAATTTCAATTTATTCTATACAATCTGCCTCTAAAATGAGATAAAATATCAATCATCACAAGAAATATACCAAAATGCATACATACAATTAACAAAGATATCTAATTCCTAATTACAAATTGTCTCATATATTGAAAAGCACAGTGTTCAAGTTCCTTGAGGGCAGGCACAGTGGCTCACACCTAGAATGCCAGAACTGTGGGAGACCAACGTGGGAGGATCGCTTGAGGCTGTTACAGTAAGTAGCTAGTCAGACATAGGTGGAGCAGGGCAGGGCAGGAGAGGGGAGGAGTGGGCAGGAGAGGGAAGGAATGGGCAGGAGAGGGTTCCCCCATCCCCAGCCCAGGAGTCTTGGGCAGGCGAGGGGGTTGTTAACTGTCTCTCTAAAGTAATAATTGGTCCCAGCCGGTGCTAGGGAAAGGCAGGCTCACAATAAATAGAAAACACCTGAAACTGATCAACTTCTGGATAAGCTTTCAGGAGTGGGGAGAAGTAACCCAAGATCCTGGAAGTATGCCGATGTATAAAACCCCAAATCAAAAGGTCAAACCACACATTTGTCTTTCAGGTCACCCACTTGGGCCTCTTCCAAGTATATTTTCCTCCCTTTCATTCCTGCTCTAAAGTTTTTTAATAAACTTTCACTTCTGCTCTAAAACTTGCCTCAGTATCTCCTTCTGCCTTCTGCCCCTCAGTCGAATTCTTTCTTCTGAGGAAACGAGAATTGAGGTTGCTGCAGACCTGTGGGATTTGCCGCAGTAACAAAGCCAGGAGTTTGAGACTAGCCCAGAAAACGTGGTGAGATCTTGCCTCTAAAGAAAAGGGGGGAAAAAAGTTTCTTGACTCTCTTCAGATCTTTTGGAAATCTTATCCCTTGCTAATAAATATTTGTAGAGTCAGAAAGAGGAGATGGCATTAATTTCTGCATTGATGTTTATATTTTGGTGCTATATGGCCGGGTCAAAGGGCTACATATTCCACCTCTGCTCCAGAGCTGCTTATCCAAGTTCTCTGGGATGTAGCTGGTATACCTAGGAATTATGTCCCTAGAAAGACGCAACCCTGCAGCAGCTAGAATTAGTGCAATTTAGTGAGAAGAGCACAGGACTTTCTCTACACCTGGGTTCAAATTTCAATGCCAGCACTTCTGGGAGCAAGTCTTTGGGCAACTCAGTGTTTGTGAGTCAATCTACTATTTCTAAAGTAGGGAAGGACACAGGTGAACATTCATTGAATACAGAGGCTTTACACAAGTGATCTCGTTTAACTCTCACTAAAAAATGACTGATCCTTTTAAAAATAAGACAACAGGCTCAGACTGGGTAAGTAATTACTCAGACTGATAAGGAGGCAAGGCAGGATTTAATTCCAGATCTGTCTAGCCCTAAAGCTCACATTCCCTGCCCCACTTGACATGTTGCTTCCTGGACTCACTTGGATTGTGGAGAAATTAGTTGGATTTGAATGTCTCCTCTAGCGTAGTCAGCATAGTTTTCATTCCTGTAGCAGTTTTTGTATTATAGTTTGTTGGGATAGAGGGTTGGGACCAGGGCCAGGAATAGGTTAAGGCAAGCGAAACACTAACCTCAGGCAGAAAATATAAGGGGCGGGGCACAAAAAACTCAGTCGTCAAGATAAATAATATTTTAATATAATATTTTTTTAAATCTAAATTAATGCAAAAATCCATAAAGAACAAAATAACATTTTAAATGAAAACAAGAACTGATAGTTCCATGTTAAGCCATATTGGAGCCTACAACAGAAAAACATACAACCCTATTCACATGTTTTTAATGTATTTTTGATGTTTAATTATGATAAATGCTATGTAATAATACCTTGGCCAGGCACAGTGGCTCACGCCTGTAATCCCAGCACTTTGGGAGGCCGAGGCAGGTGGATCATGAGGTCAGGAGATCGAGAACATTCTGGCTAACACGGTGAAACCCGTCTCTACTAAAAATACCAAAAAAATTAGCCGGGCGCAGTGGCAGGCGCCTGTAGTCCCAGCTACTCAGGAGGCTGAGGCAGGAAAATGGCGTGAACCTGGGAGGCGGAGCTTGCAAGTTTGTGCCACTGCACTCCAGCCTGGGCGACAGAGTGAGACTCCATCTCAAAAAAAATAAAATAAAAATAATACCTTAAGCAGATATGAATTTTTTTCAGAGCACTAGTTTTAAAATATTGAAACAATTGAAAAGTAGATATCTACTTTTCAATTAAATAAAACTCACATTTTAAGTATTTGATCAGAATTTATTATAAATTTATTTTGCTGGTTTTAATGGAAGCAAATTCATAGGTGGTATTTTTATCTAAGTCAATAGCCTTTTTTTTTTTTTCCAAGACAGTTTCACTCTTATTGCCCAGGCTGGAGTGCCATGGCGCCATCTCGGCTCACTGCAACCTCAAGCGATTCTCCAGCCTCAGCCTCCCGAGTAGCTGGGATTACAGGTGCCCGCCACCATGTCCAGCTAATTTTTTTGTATTTTTAGTAGAGATGGGGTTTCATCATGTTAGCCAGGCTGGTCATGAACTCCTGACCTCAGGTGATCCACCTGCCTCAGCCTCCCAAAGTGCTGGGATTACAGGTATGAGCCACCGCGCCTGGCCGCCAATAACTGGTTTTAAAAATACGTAAAATCATGTATCCAGTTATATAGTATGTAGTACACATCCTTCCTTTTGCAACATGGCTCAGCACAGCACTGGCTGGAACTATGACTTGCAGCTACCAGCCTCAAAGATTTTCAGGACTCTGTAAATGGAAACAGAACATCTGATCATATCTGACTCCTCAGGTCTCCTATCACAGCTCCTTTGGGTAGTAGTCTCTCTTTTCATAGAAGAATATCACTGTCAGGCTGACTTTTAGGGTCATGTTCCTAAAGGCCAATAAAGACAAGCTGTGTTCTCATGACAACAGGCAGAAATCAACCTCACACATCTGCTGATGCTCCAGAACATCTATGTGGACTTCCAAGCACTAAATATCTGAGAGTTACTGTCTTTTAAATACCCCCAAATGAAGGTTTTGAATAACCTTTCTGGAGCACATATGTTCATTTAACATTTATTGAAGACTACATCCCTACTAAATAAAACAGCCTATATCTGCGTTTGCAGATTCTATTATCCAGCCTTATGTTCTTTACCAATTAGTAGTGTATGTCATTATATCTTTTGTCATTTAAAAAGCATGTATTATGCATCTTTTATTACAGTAAGGGCTATATAATAATGCCTTATGCTTTTACGATTTTTCACTTGCATTCAATGCTTATGAAGGTTCTATGAGGTAGGTAGATATTTTATAGAAATTAATGTATTAACTTTTTCTTTGAAGCTGCAGATTATCTAGTGATCAGCCCTCTCACTTTTTACTCACTGTCCTCTGATTCCAGTTCTAATGCTCTTTCCACACTGCCAAGTTGCCTCTTCTAACAGACAGCCTAATAACATAGGATTTCAGATAGACAAGTGTAGACAAAACAGGACTGTACGGTGGAATATAGGATGTCTAAAGTGATCAAATGAATATGAAATTATGATATAACCTGCCAAGGAAAAGATGAATTTTCCAGAAGGGAGAGTGAAGAGGAGTCATAGGGTAACTCAGTCCCCGACACTGCCACAGAGCTGGGGAGGCCCGGGTCTGCCGGAGAGGTGATGCCATGTGTGGTTACCATATGGCTGGGGGCAGAGGCATGGTCAGCAGCACAGGCAGAGCTCAGAGCATGACAGCCTCACCAGAGACAAAAAGTTGAGTCACAAACCTGGCCTAATCAGAATCAAGAAACAGAGCAGGCCGGGAGCAGTAGCTCATGCTTGTAATCCCAGCACTTGGGAGGCTGAGGTGGGTGGATCACAAGGTCAGGAGTTCAAGACCAGCCTGGCAATACAATGAAACCCTGTCTCTACTAAAAATACAAAAATTAGCTGGGCGTGGTGACGGCTGCCTGTAATCCCAGCTACTTGGGAGGCTGAGGCAGGAGAATCACTTGAACTAGGGAGACAGAGGTTGCTGTGAGCCGAGATCGTGCCACCGAACTCCAGCCTGGGCGAGAGAGCTAGACTCCATCTCAAAAAAAAAAAAAGAAAAAGAAAAAGAAAAAAGAAACAGACCAATTCTCAGAATGAGTGCCAATGAGAAGACCTAAGAAAACAAGAGACAGGCCAGGTGCGGTGGCTCACGCCTATAAACCCAACACTTTGGGAGGCCGAGGCAGGTGGATCATGAGGTCAGGAGACTGAGGCCATCCTGGCCAACATGGTGAAACCCCGTCTCTACTAAAAATACAAAAATTAGCTGGGTGTGGTGGCGGGCGCCTCTAATCTCAGCTACTCGGGAGGCTGAGGAACAAGAATCGCTTGAACCCAGGAGGCGGAGGTTGCAGTGAGCTGAGATCACACCACTGCACTCTAGCCTGGAGACAGAGTGAGACTCCGTCTCAAAAAAAGAAAAAAGAAAACGAGAGACAAAACAGACTACTGTCCGTGATTTCTTTAAAAAACCAGGAGGAGAAGATAAAACTGTTCTGGAGATGGATAATGGTATTGGTTGTACAATAATGTGAATGTTTAATGTCACTGAACTATACATTTAAAATGGTTTAAATGGTAACTTTTATTATATGTATATTTTTAACATTATATATTGTGTTATATATAATTGTGTATATGTGCACCATTTTTAACATAAATAATTTTTTTAAATCAGACTCAAGTTGACCTAATTCTCTGTACCTCAGAGGAAAATCCTCCCAGGTCCAAAAAAGAAAAACAGTCAGGAGCTGCTTAACCAGTGATTGAGGTGAAGGCAGGGGAATTTTACCCACCTAAAGGGACAATTTGTAAGTTTGTCAGTATTTGGGGGTTTTGGTTTATTTTTCTTTTTTGAGACAGAGTCTCACTCTGTCACCCAGGCTTGAGTGCAGTGGTGTTATCTCGGCTCACTGCAACCTCTGCCTCCTAAGTTCAAGCAGTTCTCGTGCCTCAGCCTCCCAAGTAGCTAGGATTACAGGCACATGCCACCACGCCCAGCTGATTTTTGTATTTTTAGTAGAGACAGGGTTTCACTATGTTGGCCAGGCTGGTCTCAAATTCCTGACCTCAGGTCTGCCCGCCTCAGCTTCCCAAAGTGCTGGGATTACAGGCATTAAGTCACCATGCCGGGCCTAGTTTGTTTGTATTTTGGCTCTAACAATGAATGAGGTACAACTGGCTGGGGTCCTGGGATTAGAGATGCCCAATAATATGTGGGTCAGTCGTGCAAAAAGAAGCTGTCTCATGTCAGACATGAGCTTTGAATGTCTTTCAAGTAGAGGAAAAACCTATTTACAATGATGTGAGCCTAAAACCTAACTTTAATTTACACATAAAACACAAAATACTTTTGAGTAGTTTTAAATGCACTGAATTTTCTAGGAATACAATTTATAAATGCAAAGAAAATTGGACGTTGCCTCACTGAATTTTTAGGAATGCACTTTATAAAGGCAAGGAAAACTGGATGTTGCTTCACGCATAACTTAACCCACTGTAGTTCATCATTCTGGAAAATTACAATACCAATGGTGATGCCCCCTGTGGTATTTGAGTCATCGATGTATCACTCCAGTACCAGTCTGCATTTGTAGGTGTCACATTCACAACGATTCTAGGTATAAGTACAAGCATCTGGCTATAATGTATGTTTACTATAAATTAAATTTTTAAAATTTCTCCTTTATGTTATGCTTAGGTTATGTGTGAGATTAGCTTGTACTTTCTATTCACCTTCTTTTAGAATAGAAGATATTTATGAAAGAAAAAGGGTATTGAGACTGGTGAAATGTATCTACATCCAACCAGGATGGCTTGGAGTACACAGCTACTGGGGATTTTCCAAGCACTTTGGGAGAATGCATGCATTCTATTGTTTGAACAGAGACAACCCATTTATCACTGACATCCTGTATCCCTTTTCTGCTGCTATCGGGGGTCTAACCTTGTCCAGACAAGCCAGAAATATCTCGTTTTCTCTTCCAAGTACTCTGCAGCATCTTCACTGGAAAAGAGGAATTTCAGATGTTTGACTATTAGAGGCTTGACAAGGGCAGAGAGAGCAGACACCTAGCACAGAGTTTAGTCAGTAGGAACTCTGAGGAAAAGGGCAATGATCAGTTAAAAAAGGTCAGCTATAATATGTTTCCTATCCTCAAAGCCTGCTGCTAAATTAAGGGAAAAAATTTTAAAGATGTATGCAAAAAATTTATTGTACACAATCAAAAGGAAGTTGAATCTAACTACAACCGCAATTATTCATGAGGTTTATCAATTTGTAGATCATTTTGAAGAATTGACAAAATTTTGTATGCTCCTTGGGGAGACACTGAAAAAGTCATTAAAGCAAAGGAATCTCATTAGCAAACATGGTCTCTGCCCTCACTGAAAGTTAAAGAATGACTCAACTGACAGATAGTTTCCATACTTCCTTTTTAATAGCCATACCTTATATCAGTTTGCTCTCATACATGAGAATTAGAGACCACATATTTTTTCAGAGCAATTTAAAAACAACTGTTTCGCCAAGCGCAGTGGCTCATGCCTGTAATCCCAGCACTTTTGGAGGCTGAGGCAGGTGGATAACGAGATCAGGAGTTCAAGACCAGCGTGGCCAAGATGGTGAAACCCCGTCTCTACTAAAAATACAAAAATTAACCGGGTGTGGTGGCAGGTGCCTGTAATCTCAGCTACTCGGGAGACTGAGGCAGAGAATTGCTTGAACCCGGGAAGCAGAGGTTGCAGTGAGCCGAGATTACACCACTGCATTCCAGCCTGGGCGACAGAGTGAGACTCCGTCTCAAAAAAAAAAAAAAATCTGTTTCTTTCTACAACCACTTAAAAAAACAAACCATGCCCAAACTTAATATCATAAACTTAATTGCACTACTAAAAACCAAAGGTTAATTGGAAAATTTAAATTTTCATTATTTTATTGCAGAGTTGTTTGTAATAGTAAAAACAAAAATGGAAACAACCTAAATGTCTCAGCAGAAACATAGTTGAATAGGAGACGGTGCATTCATAAATGGAATACCATGCAATCTCCAAAATGATCTTATAGAATTACCAATGTTATTGAAAGATGTGCATGTGCCAGGCATGGTGGCTCATGCCTGTAATCCCAACACTTTGGGAGGCCAAGGTGGGTGGATCACTTGAGCCTAGGAGTTTGAGACAAGCCTAGGCAACATGGCAAAACCCTGTCCCAACAAAAAATACAAAAATTAGCTGGGCATGGTGGTGCACACCTGCAGTGCCAGCTACTTGGGAGGCTGAGGCAGAAGGATCACTTGAACTCAAGAGATGGGGGTTGAAGTGAGCCAGAATTGCACTACATTCAAGCCCGGGTGACAGAGCTAGACCATGTCTCAAAAAAAAAAAAAAAAAAAAAAAAGCAAGAAAGAAAAGAAAGAAGGATGTGCATGATATATTTAATCATGAGAACATTACTGAAATCCTTTAAAAATGCATATATTTACACATATGTGCTTAGAGAAAAAAGGATACACACCAAAGTGTTACAAGTCATTGTAACATTGCATTTGTGTAACAACATTTTCTTTGGCTTGTCTGTAATTTCTAAATTGTCTGTGTATATATTACTTTTGCAATAAAAACAATGTCTTATCAAAATAAATACATTTAACTTTTATTGACAATATTTTCTCTGGGGCTGTCATATTTTTTTCTAAGGCCTCAATAAACTAAACAACTAGACAGAACAGAAGGTAAAAAAGTGAAGCTCATTTTCTTTATTAGTTGTTTATGACCATCATCATCTCTACTCATCACCTTCAAGCACCAAGCTGGTTCTTCCCCACCATCCCTGCCTCATGAATGGCATCACCTCACTGGCTGCCCAAGTGAGAATCTGTTACCTTTACTCATCCCCAATCCAGGGGCCCACCTCTGTCTAATGTTTCTCCATAATAGCTCCCAAACTCTAACACCCTCCTTATCATTTCTACCATCTTGTTGCTCTATGACTGCAGCAAGCCCTGTAACTGGCCTCTCTGCCTCCAGGCTTCTCCCGACCTAGACTTGCTTACATTGCTGTACAAGTGAGGTTTTTGACATTCTCAGTCTTGTCACTCACTGCTTAAACTCCTCAAGAGTTTTTACTCCCTTCAGGCCAAGGGCTATATGAAGCCCTTCAGATGTGGCCATTGCTTGCATCTCCAGCCCCATCTCTCAGCAGTGCTCTTAACACTCCCAACCATCATGAGCTAATTACTATCCTTCCAACACGCCATGCTCTTTCACACCCCTCTTGCTTTGAACACACTGACTCTTCTGCCTGAAATACCTTTCCCAGTTCCCTTCTGATATGGTTTGGCTGTGTCCCCACCCAAATCTCATCTTGAATTGTAGTTCCCATAATCCCCACATGTTGTGGGAGGGACCTGGTAGGAGGTAATTGAGTCATGGGGGTGATTACCCTCATGCTGCCATTCTCATGGTAGTGAATGTGAGTTCTCACAAGATCTTATGGTTTTATAAGGGGCTTCTCTCCCTTTTGCTCAGCACTTCTCCTTGCTGCTGCCATGTGAAGGACAGGTTTTCTTCCCCTTCCACCATGATTGTAAGTTTCCTGAAGCCTCCTCAGCCATGCTGAACTGTGAGTCAATTAACTTCTTTCCTTTATAAATTACCCAGTCTCGGGTATGTCTTTATTAGCAGTGTGAGAATGGACTAAAACACCCCCTTCACTCACTTTTCAGTCTTCAAAGTGCACAGCCATCCTTTACTGCCCCGTGCAGCACCTTCAGGCCTTGAGCTCTATGCAGGGAGGTAAGCCACAGAAGTCACAAGCACATCTTTTATACTAGTGCACACAGCTGAAAACTCACAGACTGGTACCAAACCAGCTTGGTTCTGTTCTGCTTCCACTGCCTGTCAAGACTGTGTGCTCTGGGCAAGGTACTTCAACCACTGGGTCTTGGCTTCCTCATCTGGAAAATGAAAATAAAACTGCAACTTTATAAAGCTTTTCTGAAATCAAATGCAGCAATGTACATAAAAGGCAAATAAGCTCACTCTATGTTTTACCTAATTTTCTTTTTATCCTGTCTGTGTATTTCTTAAGCCAACCATCTTACTTCCTTTTTAGAATGCATCAGGATAGACACAAATAAATGGAAACACCATTACAAAGCCCCTGCTCACACTTCAGAATTCAGATTGCATTACCTCCTCCAGGAAGTCTTCCTTAATCACTCTCTGCTCGAGTCTCATTTAGATGATCTCCTGTGTGCTTGCATATCGTCTGTGCATACCTCTGTGTTGAGAGGAGTGGTAAGAGATGGGGCTGGAGACTCAAGAAAAGGCCACATCGGAAGGGCCTCGATCCTTTCCCCTGAAGGGAGTAAAGGCTCTCCAAAGACTTTCAGCAGTGAGTGAAAAGACCAGCCGAGAATGTGAAAAACCTCATCTGGACACAAGGCAAAATAACTATTTTCTCCCTTGGTTACCTTTCCCATTCCCTTTCTTCAAGGGAAAGAACCATGTCTTATTTTACTTGGCATCAGCAGCTCTCAGAACAGTGGCTTGACCAATACCAAGCATTCAATAAATGTTTATTGAAGGAATGAATCAATGGCCACCCACAACCTATACCTCTTACAGCCCATTTAATGCCCTTTAGCCCCTTCCATAGGTATTTGCCTGGAATGTTTGTAAGATTTTTGAAAATCTCAGAAACAACACCAGCCCTCCACCCATGGGAAGATGTGTTTCAGGCTAACACCTGTGCTATTGTTGATGCCATTGCCCCAAAGAAGACCAACCTCTCCTTCTTGCCCATATAAGTTGGCTCTAATTTCAATGCTGCTGAAAACCTCTCCTCTTCCATAAATTATTTTTTCAGATTGCTCCAGCCCATTGTGATCTTTCATCCTTCAAACTCCTTTAACATCTAGGGCCTACACCATTAATCTGACAATCACCATATACTGCTTAATATTGTTGTAGTCTGCTATTTACCTTCAGTCTGCAATTTAACTTCCTTAAGTTTATTTCTTGTTCCCCATTGTAGAGAATATCTCCCTTAAATAGCTGCCAAGTCTTGCCAATCATGGCCTTTCCTGTAGTGTTTTGCATGTGTGTGCACACATGTGTTTTTAATTCACTTGAAGACAAAGAGACTCCCCTTAGGAAGCTTTATTTTCTGTTTGCCACTTCCCTAGGACCCAAGATACCCTGATCCCCCTCAATTCATTCTCTGCCTTTCCCTGCTCTTCTTCCCAAGGAAATGAACACCTTCCAACTTTATCACCAGGGCTCCTTTGCCTTCTGGCTTGCATTTGTGTTCAACCAATAGAAGGCACAGATAGGTAATAGATGGGTGGGAGGACAGTGGTAGGGAATGTCTTCCCTTGCTTGGCCCATTCTGTAGTGTTTGAGCCCTTCCAGGACTATGGCTTCTCTAGGGCAGCCCCTCTTCAAAAGCTGTGCCCCCCAGATAAGCTCCAATGGCATCATTTCTTCCCTTTACCTTTTCAGGCCTGGTGCCTCAACATCCTTTTTTGATGCTCTTAACTCTGCCCACACTTCTGTAAATAGTCCCTTTATTAAAGGGACTTTTATCTCTTCAAAAATCCCCACAGAATATTCTGTTTCTTGCTGGGATCCTGACTAACACAGGAACTTTCCATTTAGTTGGGATAAGACTATGGGAACCTTATAATTTATCATCCAAACCAGGACACTTCTGAGAGTGAAAGGGGGCACTATTAATTAAACCATGGCAACGGGCGCAAATCAGAACTGTTCCAGGCTACCTGGAATGAATGAGCATCCTAGGTAAGTCAGTCACATAAAAAGATAATTGTTATAATGAAGAGATAAAAACATTTCTAAAAGAGATAATATTACAGCATAGATTAAGGTAAGTGCCAAGGGTGGAATAGACTTGCAGTGCTACAGCCATTCCAAGACAAGAGAGATTATTTCTCCTGGGGAAAGGCATTTGAGATCAGCGGGTTGCTCAGTTCTCCTCCAACTAAATGAAGTCACACAATCCATGTGTGCTTGGCCGATTTTGTAGATTTTCTCCAAGAAATTTCAGTCCCAGTTGGGTCCCCCCCTCCACCCCTCACACACCCAGTGTAACTGTTCCTATTTCTTTCTATTGTTTAGGCTCTGAGTTTTTAAGGAAAGCAAATTAATTTAAATCTTAGCCAATTATTCCTTTTAAAAAATACCAAATGCATTCCTGATTCAATTATAAATCATTGTAAATATCTTATATTTTTGATTCTTTAAACCACGTTTTAGCTTCATTTTGCAAAGATATCTAAGAGGTGATTTATAAGCTTTGCTTGCAAATACAAACATTTCTGCTAGTAATCACATAAAGCCTAAGTAACCCTAGAAAGCTTCTCTATGTATGCATGTATGTATGTTTACCTTGTCTCTTAAACAAAAGAGTTTGACAATTAACCAATACTCTAAAGCCTTGTCACCCTGAGCAAAGTGAACCCAGACTCATTGCACCCCCACTCCTAGCTGATTCAAGGCTACTTGGCCAGGAAATGTTTCTAATGCTCACGTTGCTAGCAGAAGCAAGTTACTATGAGCCCCAGTGTGTGACTTCAGGCTTGCCAAATCACTGCTTTGTTCAGGCATTTCATACTCAAGAGAATAGTATATAAAAACACCCACATCCCTGCCCAGGAGCAGAGAGCACCATGTAGATTAGGGCAGCCAGAGTTCCTGCTCTACTTCCCAACCAGCTGGTGCTGGTTAGGATTAGACCAGTGGGAGTTGGGGTTGAAAAGGTCCCTCTTGAGAGAGTCAGAAAGGGTTCTACAAGAACAAGGCAAACAGGAAAAGAAAGCAGTAACTAGAGACAAAAAGCAATGGCAGATGTACAAATCACACACAGGAAATAGCACAAATCAACACAGATAGTGTTAATAAATGCAGATAGTGTCAGATAGTGAACCAAGTAGGTCCATGCTATGCCCAACATCAAAGAAAACAGTTAAGTATGCCCCACCATGTAGCTGAAAGGCAGATAGCTAGAAGGCTTTTGCTATTGACACTAGCAAGACTCTATCTCAAACAACAACAACAACAAAGTCAAATAGAGCTTTAAACCTGAATCATTTACATCTTTACTTCATAAAATGTAAAACTACTTTTTTACCCAAGACTTAAAATATAGAATTATGTAACTTCTACTTTAAACAAAATGAAAAATGTTTTGAGTATCAAACAGTATATTATCTACCTTGTAGACAGCATCTTCATCTAACACTGCCACTGTGTTAGCAATTCTTAAATGACATCAAACTAGAAGAAAAGCTGCTCCTACGTTGTTTTTATTTAATAAGACAAATTTGGCACTAGACTTTTTCTAGAAATAGCATTCATAGTATATCGATATAATAGTAACATCTTGTTTTAGGTTAATGAATTCCTATTAGGAAGCAGCACTTTGGGACAGTTTTTAGTGACACTAATTTAATTCTATCATTATAGTCCTCTGACCTGCCTTAATTCCAGGATCATCTGAATTCTAGGTTAAGGAATGATTATTAGCCAAACCTGGAAACAACTACAAATTGTATTATTATAGGTAACCCCAATTTAATAGTGACTAAAAGTCATAACTGTCACCATTAAAAATAGCCATATTTCATATCTTCAAAACTATTCTATTTACAATACTTTATATAATAAATAACTTACAGCAGTATAGTAACACGCCTCAAAAAAGTTCTTTTTTCACTAATTCCTAGAGGTTTCTTGGTTACTTTCCTTCATAAAAACACATCAAATGTGAGTTTACGCTATGAGAAAAACAGGATTTGAAAATAGATAGATATTTTCCATTATGGCACAAATGTTTAAGGCCGAGTCAGCACCAGAAATGTTCGGGGCCTGAACGTGTTTGTTTCCTCACATTAGTATGAAGAACTGTCTGAGTTGAGAAGGCTGAAAGGGGAGGGCAGCTTCTTCTTGACCTGAGGCCGTGCAGCCCCGACCGATGGGAGGCACAAGGTGCTGGCTGACTTCTGTCTGTTCTTGTTGGTGCCCCAACTCAGGAAGGAAAGCTTCTTGGAGATTTTCTGGGTTTTATCAGTTTTGTTGTCATCATCAATGGCTAAGCAGATCATGGAGTACGTTTTCTGCATTCCCACGGAGTATGTGGCACTCTTATTATGCTGCACATAGAAAAGAAAAAGGGCGTCAGACATCATCAAGATAGATGATAAAAACTACGAAGTTTGGCCAGGCGCAGTGGCTCACGCCTGTAATCCCAACACTTTGGGAGTCCGAGGAAGGTGGATCACTTGAGGTCAGGAGTCCAAGACCAGCATGGCCAACATGGTGAAACCCCATCTCTACTAAAATACAAAAATTAACCAGGTGTGGTGGTGGATGTCTGTAGTCCCAGCTGCTTGCAAGGCTGGGCACGAGAATCACTTGAACCCAGGAGGTGGAGGTTGCAGTGAGCTGAGATTGCACCACTGCACTCCAACCTGGGTGACAGAGCAGGACTCTGTCTCCAAAAAATAAATTAAACAGACATAATTCGGAAACTCAGGTGACCAATGCTTATATAGAATTAGGTTCTTAAAACAAGGACAAACTGTT
Source organism: Homo sapiens (assembly GCF_000001405.40). Lineage (NCBI taxonomy): Eukaryota > Metazoa > Chordata > Mammalia > Primates > Hominidae > Homo > Homo sapiens. The sequence continues at coordinate 455,119 of NW_021160017.1, forward strand.
TTTCTTTTTTGAGACAGGGTCTTGCTATGTTGCCCAGGCTGGTCTTGAACTCCTGGGATCAAGTGATCTTCCTGCCTTGGCCTCCTGAGTAGCTGGGGCTCTAGGTGTGTGCCACCAGGTGCAACAAGGATAATTTTTGTTTGTTTGTTTTTTGTTTTTGTTTTTTTTTTTTTTAAGACGGAGTCTCACTCTGTCGCCCAGGCTGGAGTGCAGTGGCACGATCTCGGCTCACTGCAAGCTCCACCTCCCGGGTTAATGCCATTCTCCTGCCTCAGCCTCTCTGAGTAGCTGGGACTACAGATGCCCACCACCACACCTGGCTAATTTTTTGTATTTTTAGTAGAGACGGGGTTTCACCAGGGTCTCGATCTCCTGACCTCGTGATCCACCTGCCTCAGCCTCCCAAAGTGCTAGAATTACAAGCATGAGCCACCGCGCCCAGCCCAACAAGGATAACTTTTAAGGAATGTACTCAATAGTAACAATTTAAGCTTAGGAGCCACAACTCACATTTTAAGGTTCTTCTTCTATTTGAGAAAGTAATAATACTAATGGTCACGAATATGAAAGTATAGGATGGGGCGTGGTGGCTCACGACTACAGTCCCAGCTACCTGAGAGGCTTAGAGGGGAGGAATGCTTGAGCCCAGGAGGTTGAGGCTATATAGTGAGCTGTGATTGTGCCACTGCACTCCAGCCTGGGCAACAGAGTGACACCTCTGTCTCAAAAAAAGGGCGGGGGGGAAGGGAAGAGGGGAAAGGAAAGGGAAGAGGAGAAGAGAAGGGAAGAGGGAAAGGGAAGGAAAAAAAAAAGAATATGCAGTGAGCAATAGGTCTCCCTGTCACCTGGGCTTCTAGGCCCTCCATGTTATACTTCTAGAGATGATGTGCATGTACAGGTATTTCTGTATGTACATAAGTATATTACCATTCATTTTCTTAAAAGGAATATACTGCACTATTCTACACCTGATTTTCTTTTTTCTTTTTTTTTCTTTTTCTTTTTTTTTTTTTTTTAAGATGGAGTCTCGCTCTGTCGCCCAGGCTGGAGTGCCATTTTCATCATTTTCAAGTGTAGAGTTCAGTGGCATTAACTACATTCACATCATTATGCTCCACTGCCACCATCCATCTCTAAAACTTTTTCATCTTCCTCAGCTGAAACTTTGTACCATTAAACACTCTCTACTGTTAACTTTCCAAGAATCATGTAGGATTCAAACTGGAAATCTAAGGAAGCTTGCTTTCTGAAGACTTCCACATGGGCTATCACCAGCTTCTAAGGTTTGCCTAACATTGAGATTGTTTAGTTCGCCACATGTTTATTGATGGTCTACTATGTTCTGGCACTAACATTAGGCATACAATATATCGCTGCAATAGTTGAGGACATTGTTCCTAATATAAACCCTAAGAGGGGCCGGGCACAGTGTCTTACACCTGTAATCCCAACACTTTGGGAGGCTGAGGTGGGCAGATCACTTGAGGCCAGGGGTTCAAGACCATGGTGGCCAACATGGTGAAACTCCATCTCTACTAAAAATACAAAAATTAGCCAGGTGTGGTGGCACACACCTGCAATCCCAGCTACTCAGGAGCTGAGGCAGAAGAATCACTTGAACCCAGGAGGTGGAGGTTGCAGTGAGCCAAGATCACGTCACTGCACTCCAGCCTGGGTGATGGAGTAAGACTCTATCACAAAAAATAAATAAATAATAAATAAATAAATAAAATAAACCCTCAGGAATCTGAGTTATGCAGCAATAAAGTAGGGGGTACTTTGAGCCCCTAAGGATGGAGATGCCTCTTCCTTTTCTGGAAAACTGACCACTAACTCCACCATGTTTTACGGAGCACATACAATGTCATTTAAAACAATAATAAAACGAATAATCCTGGAGACAGATGTGAGGCCTGAAAGCATTTCCCAACCCTCAGCTGCTCAAAGTCCATTGTGTATCAAAACCACTGCCTTATAAATACCCTCAGTTCTCTTCCATCTGCCCCCAGCAATGCTAACTTGCTCATCTCCGCCCTCTGCCTCCCCTAGGGCCTGTATCTGAAAGGTTGTGCATTGCTGGAGGACACTCACCAAGGCTTCCCTTGGAATTCTAACCTGACCCCAAACCTCTAATAGGCACCCATTTCCTGGCACTCTTGTGTGTCCCTAGTAATTTCGTTTCCTTTTCTCCTGTATACTTGTTTCTTATCTTCGCTCTCCTCCTGAAGCCACTCACACACCCTCCTGAAATCCCTGCCGTATACTTCATGGCATCCATCCCCCAAGACCAAGCCCTTCTGTGTGCCTGGATCCCATTCCCTCTCTCCTCCAGGAACCCTTGCCTCCCAGATCTCTACACACACACACGCACACACCCCTCTCTCTCTACACACACACACACTCCTCTCTCTACACACACACACACACCCCTCTCTACACACACACACACACCCCTCTCTACACACATACACACACCCCTCTCTCTACACACACACACACACTCCTGCAATGCATACCATCACATTCTTTGAAAAGCCTTTCTTGGCCAGGCACAGTGGCTCACGCCTGTAATCCCAGCACTTTGGGAAGCCAAGGCGGGCGGATCACAAGGTCAGGAGATTGAGACCATCCTGGCTAACACGGTGAAACCTGCCTCTACTAAAAATACAAAAAATTAGCCGGGCATGGTGGCGGGCACCTGTAGTCCCAGCTACTCGGGAGGCTGAGGCAGGAGAATGGCATGAACCAGGAGGTGGAGCTTGCAGTGAGCTGAGATAGCGCCACTCACTGCATTCCAGCCTGGGCGACAGAGCGAGACTCTGTCTCAAAAAGAAAAAAAAAAAAGTAAAGCCTTTCTTGACCCTATTCCCCTCCAGGTCCACCCCAGTATCATACCCACATACACTCTCTCTCACTCCTGCAATGTGTACCACTACTTTCTTTGAAAAGCCTTTTTTTTTTCTTTTGAGACAGAGTCTTGCTGTCACCAGGCTGGAGTGCAGTGGCCCAATCTTGGCTCACTGCAACCTCCACTTCCAGGTTCAAGTGATTCTCCTGCCTCAGCCTCCCAAGTAGCTGGGATTACAGGCACATGCCACCATGCCCAGATAATTTTTGTATTTTTAGTAGAGTCAGGGTTTCACCATGTTGGCCAGGTTGGTCTTGAACTTCTGGCCTCAAGTGATCCACCTGCCTCAGCTTCCCAAAGTGCTGGGATTACAGGCTTGAGCCACTGTGCCCAGCTCCATTTACTATTTCTTTCCCTGCCACCCACTCCTCGCTCAAATCCACCAGGGTACCCCTGTAGAACTCTTAGGACTTTACAGAGCACAGTTTAAAACCACTGTGTAGGCCTAACTCTTCCATCCTCTGGATGAGAAAACTGAGGCCCAGGGAGGGTATGAACGTGCTGAAGGTTACACAGCTTGTGAACGGCAGTCAGGGCGTAATTCCAGAGCTTGATTCCAAGCTTAGATTTGTTCAGTTAGGGATCCCCACTGTAGTCAAGAGGGTAGCCAAGGGCAGCAGGTCATCGGTTCAGCCAGAGTGCTAGGCTAAATGCTCTCTTTATTTGATTTTGTTTGAAAGGTTCAGTCGCTAAAAACAGTGCTTGGCTGTCATTATCTAAAATCCTTATCATAAAAATTAATAGACAAAAATAAATTATTTTTTAAAAATTATTTTTAAAAAACCAGGGGCTGGGAATGGTGGCTCACTCCTGTAATTCCAGCACTTTTGGGAGGCCAAGGCAGGCCAATCACCGGAAGCCAGGAGTTCAAGATCAGCCTGGCCAATGTGGTGAAACCCCATCTCTACTAAAAATACAAAAATTAGCCAGGCATCATGGTGGGTGCCTGTAATCCCAGCTACTCGGGAGGCTGAGGCAGGAGAATTGCTTGAACCCGGGAAGCGGAGGTTGCAGTGAGCCAAGATTGTAGCACTGCACTCCAGCCTGGATGACAAGAACAAGACTCTATCTCCAAAAAAAAAAAAAAGAGCCAGGTACAGTGTCTCACACCTGTAATCCCAACTATTCGGGAGGCTGATTCAAGAGGGTCTCTTGAGGCTAGGAATTCAAGATCAGCTTGGATAACTTAGTTAGACCCCGTCACTACAAAATTAGTTAAATAAAAGATGAAAGGAAATTACTTTTGGCCTGGTGCACTGGCTCATTCCTGTAAAACTAACACTTTGGGAGGCGGAGGCAGGAAGATTGCTTAAGCCCAGGAGTTTGGGACCAGGCTGGGCAACAAAATGAGACTGTCACTACAAAAAAAAATTAAAAATTAGCTGGGTATAGTGGTGCACACCTGTAGTCCCAGCAACTTGGGAGGATTTTTTTTTTTTTTTTTGAGATGGAGTCTCCCTCTCTTGCCCAGGCTGGAGTGCAGTGGCATGATCTCGGCTCACTGCAACCTCTGCCTCCTGGGTTCAAGCAATTCTCCTGCCTTGGCTGCCCAAGTAGCTGGGATTACAGGCACCCACCACCACCACACCCAGGTTTCACCATGTTGACCAGGCTGGTCTAGAATTCCTGACCTCAGATGATGAGAAGGGAGGATCTTTTGAGCCCTAGAACTCGAGGCTATAGTGAACTATGATTGCACTATTGCACTCCAGTCTGGGCAACTGAGTGAGACCCTGTCTCAAAACAAACAAGACAAAACAAAAAACAACAACAAAAGAAATTATTTGGCCGGGCATGCTGGCTCATGCCTGTAATCCCAGCACTTTGGGAGGCAAGGTAGGCGGATTGCTTGAGCTTAGAAGTTAGAGAACAGCTAGGGCAACACGGTGAAGCCCCATCTCTACAAAAAATATGAAAAATTAGCTGAGTATGGTGTTGCATGCCTGTAGTCCTAGCTACTCAGGAAGCAGAGGTGGGGGGATCACTTAAGCCCAAGAGTAAAGGCCACAGTGAGCCAAGATCGCGCCAGGGCAATGAGAGCGAGACTGTGTCTCAAAACAAAAAACAAACTTTTTTTTTTCTAGACAGGGTCTTACTCTGTTGCCCCGGCTGGAGTACAGTGGCACGATCTCGGCTCACTGCAACCTCTGCCTCCCAGGCTCAAGCGATTCTTATGCCTCAGCCTCCCACGTAGCTGGGATTGCAGGTATACACCACCACATCCTGTTAATTATTGTATTTTTAGTAGAGATAGGGTTTTGCCATGTTGGCCAGGATGGTCTCCAACTCCTGGCTTCAAGTGATCCACCTGCCTCGGCCTCCCAAAGTGCTAGGATTATAGGAGTGAACCACTGTGCCCAGACTAAAAACATTTTTTTTTTTTGAGACAGAGTCTCGCTCTGTCACCCAGGCTGGAGGGCAGTGGCACGATCTCAGCTCACTGCAAGCTCCACCTCCTGGGTTCACGCCATTCTCCTGCCTCAGTCTCCCAAGGAGCTGGGACTACAGGCACCAGCCACCACGCCCAGCTAATTTTTTGTATTTTTAGTAGAGATGGGGTTTCACCATGTTAGCCAGGATGGTTTCGATCTCCTGACCTCGTGATCCACCCGTCTCAGCCTCCCAAAGTGCTGGGATTACAGGCGTGAGCCACTGTGCCCGGCCTAAAAACATTATTTTTAAAAAAATTAAAGACATCCTGCTGGGTGAAAAGAATAAACATCATGATCATGGTTATCATCATTATAATGTCTATTGTGAATTGAAATGTAGCTCATGTTTGGCCCTCTTGGAAGGGCTTTATGTAAACTCAGTTTATCCTGAGGCTCACAGCTATTCCCTGACTTGCTGAAGGCCACACAATGGTGGTGGAAAGCCAGGATACACATCTAGACTGTCTGAGTGCAGAACCCTTGCTTTTAGCTATTACAGCAGCCCCTTCCTTGGCCTGGTGTAAAGATGTCACAGGCTTGAAAGTCAAGCCTTTGCACCTCTCACAGGGGGCAGGGCATGCCCCATAAACTCAGGCCTCTGCTGATGGGGTCCCTACTCCAACCTTCAGTGTATGGTTCGGCTCTTTTCTCTAACCTCCTTTTGGACAAACTTCTTTTCTGTTTCTGCTGGGGACCTTAATCACTTGTCCATAAACTCCATGCATTTTGTCCCTAAAAATATAATTTCTTATGATCCCTTCTCCCAAGATGCTCTGAGTCCCTTGACTTTATCTTCTTTTAAAATTTGAAGTATATCAGGTGCGGTGGCTCACGCCTGTAATCCCAGTACTTCGGGAGGCCGAGGTGGATGGATCATGAGGTCAGGAGTTCGAGACCAGCCTGAGCAACGTAGTGAAACCCTGTCTCCACTAAAACAAAAATTAGCCAGGCAGAGCGGTGCCCGCCTATAATCCCAGCCACTCAGGAAACTGAGGCAGGAGAATCACTTGAATCCTGGAGGCAGAGGTTGCAGTGAGCCAAGATCACGCCACTGCACTCCAGCCTGGGCGATAGTGTGAGACTCCGTCTCAAAAAAAAAAAATTTTTTTTGAGATATAATTCACATACATGCATAAAATTCACCATTTTAATACCCTTCTGTGGCTTTTATTTATTATTTTTGAGACAGGGTCTTGCTCTGACACCCAGGCTGGAGTGCAGTGGTACAATCATAGCTCCCTGCAGCCCCAACCTCCCTGGGCTCAAGTGATCCTCCGGCCTCAGCCTCCCAAGCAGCTGGGACTACAGGTGTGTGCCACCATGCCTCGCTAATTTTTTTTATTTTTTGTAGAGACAAGGTCTCGCCATGTTGCCCAGGCTGGTCTCGAACTCCTGGGCTCAAGCGAACATACTGCCTCAGCCTCTCAAAGTGCTGGAATTACAGGTGTGAGCCAGCATGCCAAAACACCAGTGATTTTTTAGTATATTCACAAAGTTAGGTGACCATCACTACTACCTAATTTCAGAACATTTCCATCCCCCCAAAAAGAAACCTTCTACCTTATGACCCTTCAGCAGTCCCTCCCCACTCCCATTGCCCAGCCCCAGCACCATCTACTTTCTGTCTCTGGATTTGCCTATGCTGAGCATTTCATATCCACGGACTCAAAATCCATTGGCTCTCTGGCCCTCTCTCAACTGACTTCTGTTGCCACCTCTCCACCAAAGTGTCTTTTCATCCTGCTGCCAAATACAATAGGCACAGCTAAGCCAACCTCATTCTCCACCTCTCAACTGCATTCAATGCAACCCATCACTCTCTCACTGCAAAGCTTTCTCCTCTTAATTTGAGAAGTTCCTTTCCTCCGACATCTCTGAACTCTCCTGCATTTTCTTTGCACTTGCTTCTCTTCCAACTGATCTCTAAATGTTTAGACCTCAGCCCTAGCCCCCTTGCAGGGAGCTGCATTTTGTCTCACAGCCTCAAATATCATCCCTGTGCAATGATTCTCAAATATTTATTTCTAGCTCTGATTTCTTCCTCGAACTGAAGACTTCACATCCAATCTCCTCCTTTATGCTTACGTCTGACTGCTAATAGCTTCTGAAACATTCAAAACATGACTCTTGATTTCTCTCCTTCACCTCCCTCACACCCATTACCCATCATTATGAAAAATAACCAGGCCGGGCATGGTGGCTAATGCCTGTAATCCCAACACTTTGGGAGGTGGAGGTGGAAGGATCGCTTAAGGCCAGGAGTTTGAGGCCAACCTTGGCAATATGTCAAGGACCCATCTCTACCAAAAAAAATTTACAATAGGTAAATAAACAAATTAGCCAGGCATAGTGGTACACACCTGTAGTTCCAGCTACTCGGGAGGCTGAGGCAAAAGGATTGCCTCAGCCCAGGAAGTCAAGGCTCTAGTGAGCTATGATTGCACCACTGCATTCCAGCCAAGCAACAGAGTGAGACCCTGTCTCAAAAAAAAAAAAAAAAAACAAAAACAAACAAACAAAAAAAAAAAAAAACAAGAGAAAAAGGAAATTAAAGGTAGAAAAATAACCACTACCCATGAGATTGATCAAGCCAAAAACTGAGGCCTCACCTCCCTGTTCACTGTCTCCTTTACACAAATCATCCACAAATCCCCCATCAGCTCTACCTCCAAACTATGTCCCAGGGACACTCACGTCTCTCCAACTCTACAGCCACCCCCATCACCTCAGCCACTAACGTCACCAGCCTGGACAACTGCCATGGCCAGTCTCCGGCAGCAGACGCACTTCTAAAACAAACATCACACCATGCCGCTCCCCTTCTGAAAAGGCCCAGTGGCTTCCAAGCTCCCACCACTGCCACCGAGGCCTCCTTCCTACCTCACTTCCCACGGCTCCCTTCCTTGTCCTGGTGCTCTTGCCAAAAGGCCTTTCTTTGGCCTCTCTGGTAGGAGAAGCTTATTCTGCTGCAGGGGCCCTGTACCTGTAGGTGCCCCTGCCCAGAAGGCCTTTCTTGTCTCTCTGCCACTGGCTCGAACCTCCTGGTCACTCTCATGTCTGTTCCAGCCCTGCCTAGATAGAGTCTCACCTCCTCCCCAGTCATTCCACCCCATTACAGGTCTTTTTTCCTTTACAACACTTATCAAAATCCTGACCATTTATTTGCTGACTTAGTGCCAGCTTCGTGGGGGGCGGCAGGGACCTTACCTGTGTAATGTAAACTGGAGCTCTGACACCTAAGAGAGTGTCTGGCACCCAATTGATCCTCAATCAATATTTGTTGAATGAATAAATGACTGTTGTTACAGAGGGAAGGTCGAGGGTACGTCATTAAGTGTGGCAAAGTGCAGAGGAGAACGTCATTGAGTGTGGCATGAACGCTAGCACTTGGGGAAAATTTTAGGGTTTTTTTGCAGACAGAGTCTCACTCTGTTGCCCAGGCTGGAGTGCAATGGCGTGATCTCCACTCACTGCAACCTCCACCTCCCAAATTATTCTCCTGCCTCAGCCTCCTGAGTAGCTGGGGTTACAGGCGCACACCACCATGTCCAGCTAATTTTTATATTTTCAGTAGAGACAGGGTTTGCCTTGTTGGTCAGGCTGGTCTTGAACTCCTGACTTCAAGCAATCCACACACCTCAGCCTCCAAAAGTACTCAGATTACAAACATGAGCACCGTGCCCAGCCTCACCTGGGGAAAATTAAAGGTGGTAACTGTGCAGGTGAACTTGAGAGACTCAAATGCTTCCCAAATCTCCCAGAACATGGCTGACATTGCCTCTAGGGTGTACAGAGGGATTGTCTTAACTTTCACAGGTCATCTTAAGCTCTTCTGTACCATTAGAATTTTTTTTTTGTTTTTTGTTTTTTTCACTATGAGTATGTATTACTTTTGTAATTAAACAATTTGATCAGAAAAATAGATCAGTTGATTATTTTATCTACAGGATATTTTTAAAAGTTTGCTAGCAGGGTGCAGTGGCTCATGCCTGTAATCCCAGCACTTTGGGAGGCCAAGGTGAGAGGATGGCTTGAGCCCAGGAGTTCAAGATCAGTCTTGGCAACACAGCGAGAACCTGTCTCTACAAAAAATAAAGAATGGGCTGGGCATGGTGGCTCACACCTGTAATCCCAGCACTCTGGGAGGCCGAGGCAGGTGGATCACGAGGTCAGGAGATCGAGACCATCCTGGCTAACATGGTGAGACCCCATCTCTACTAAAAATACAAAAAATTAGCCAGGCACATTGGCAGGCGCCTGTAGTCCCAGCTACTTGGGAGGCTGAGGCAGGAGAATGGCGTGAACCTGGGAGGCAGAGCTTGCAGTGAGCCGAGATTGCACAACTGCACTCCAGCCTGGGTGACAGAGCGAGACTCCATCTCAAAAAAAATAATAAAAAAAAAAATGAATAAATAAATAAATAATGAGCCAGGGGTGGTAGTGGGTGCCTATAACTCCAGGTGCTCATGTGGCTGAGGTGGGAGGATCACTTAAACCCAGGAGATAGAGGCTGCAGTAAGCCATGATCATACCACTGCAAACCAGCCTGTCTTTAAAAAGAAAAAGTTTGCCAATTTTCTCTTTGACCCAAGGTGAGCACATTACAGTGATTACAAGCCTGGGAGTCCAGTCATTTGTACCATGTTACACAGGCAGGAGACAGAGGGTCTGATAAACACCTCTGGGGCTGAACTCATGCAGATTTCACTCCACACCACTACTGACTGCCCAGGGAGGTGTCAGTGCTCACCATGGATGATGTGGAGTCCAGGAGGCTCACAACTTTCATCTCGATCTCGTCCTCACCAAAGCTCTTCAGCAGCTTCATAACCTCACTCACCGTCAGCCACTTACAATCCACAAGCTGAATGGAGACAATATAATCTCCTCCCCGGGCTCCTGCCACCTGAAAAAGTATTGTTGAAAATAAGTCAACGTTTTGTTCACTCAAATCCTTGAATCAGTCCCCATTAACAAAATAGGTATTTGCGTAAGTTCGCATCAAGAAAGCAAAAATTCACTTTGGGTGGCTGAGACGGGTAGATCACTTGAGGTCAGTAGTTCAAGACCAGCCTGAACAACACGGTGAAACCCATCTCTACTAAAAATACAAAAATCTGCCAGGTGTGGTGGTGGGCACCTGTAGTCCTAGCTACCTGGGACGCTGAGGCAGGAGAATTGCTTGAACCCGGGAGGCAGACATTGCAGTAAGCCGAAATCGTGCCACTGCCCTCCAGCCTGGGTGCAATTAAAAAAAAAAAAGTCAAAATTGGCCAGGCACAGTGGCTCACGCCTATAATCCTAGCACTCTGGGAGGCCAAGGCAGACAGAATACTTGAGGCCAGGAGTTTGAGACTAGCCTGGCCAACATGGCAAAACCCCGTTTCTACTAAAAATACAAAAATTAGGCCGGGCCAGGTGGCTCACACTTGTAATCCCAGCACTTTGGGAGGCTGAGGTGGGCAGATCACAAGATCAGGAGATCAAGACCATCCTGGCTAACACGGTGAAACCCCGTCTCTACTAAAAACACACAAAAAATTAGCCGGGCATGGTGGCACGCACCTGTAATCCCAGCTACTCAGCAGGTGGAGGCAGGAGAATTACTTGAACCCAGGAGGTGGAGGTTGCAGTGAACCAAGATCGCGCCACTGCACTCTAGCCTGGGCGACAGAGCGAGACTGTGTCTCAAAAAACAAAAACAAAAACTAAAATTAGCTGAGTCTGGTGGCACGTGCCTGTAATCCCAGCTACTCAGGAAGCTGAGACAGGAGAATCACTTGAACCCAGGAAGCAGAAGCTGCAGTGAGCCCTGAGATCGCGCCACTGCATGATGACGACTCACTGCAGCCTCCACCTCCCAACGTCTAAAAAAATACTAAAAACAAAATAAAGACAGTAAAAATTAATCCTTTTCTTTTAGGGAATGTAGCACCCATGAGGCCTTTCACATCAAGTCAGGCCTTTGACGTGGGTGAACCCGCCCTAAATTCAATCACCCAGATATCTGTATTTGCTGCCAACCAAGAAAAGCATGTGCTTACCAAGGCAGAGCAGTAAGGATCCAGGAAGTGAACCTCAACGGGGGCGTTCCCTCTTAAGGTGAACCCCAAGTCCCCTTCTTCTGCGGTGAAGCGGTTGCTTCGAGGAGGCATCCACTGCTTGTTAGCCAAAAACACAGATAAGGGGCCCTTTGGAAGAGAGCATCGTTAGGTGTAGGATTTGAAGGCTAGATCAGACGCTTGAAAGCTAAAGGGAATTTTGCCTGCTGTCCTTGAAGATCTCACTTGGCCTTGTTCAGGGACAAATGACACATCTGGGGGCATACATGCTACAGCAGTCATGCAAGAAGCTGGAAAGCCATCTTCTCAAACATACCCAATATATTTTCAATAAAATTATCTTTTAGACATTGTATTAATTATCTTTTTCTTTTCTTTTTTTTTGAGACATTGTCTCACTCTATCACCCAGGCTAGAGTGTGGTGGTGTGATCTCGGTTCACTGCAGCCTCTGCCTCCCGGGTTCAAGTAATTCTCCTGAGTAGCTGGAATTACAGGTGCGAACCACCATGCCTGGCTAATTTTTGTATTTTTAGCAGAGATGGGGTTTCACCATGTTGGCCAGGCTGGTCTCAAACTCCTGACCTCAGGTGATCCGCCCGCCTCAGCCTCCCAAAGTGCTGGGATTAAAGACGTGAGCCACTGCACCCAGCCAAAATTATCTTAAATAAAATCTCTAATATAAACAATTTAAGACCAGGCATGTCATGCCTGTAATCCTAAGCACTTTGTGTGACCAAGGCAGAAGGATTGCTTGAGGCCAGAGGTTTGAGACCAGCTTGGGCAACATAGCGGGAACCATTCTCTACTAAAAACATAAAAGAATTAGCCAGGCATGGTGGTGCACGCCTATGGTTCCATCTACTCAGGCTGCTGAGGCAGGAGGACTTCTTGAGCCCAGCAGTTCGAGGCTTCAGTGAACTGATTGTGCCACTGCACTCCAGCCTGGGTGAAAACAGAGTTAGACCCTGTCTAAAAAAAAAAAAAAAAAAAGGAAAAAAATCTCAGGTCAGGCATAGTGGCTCATACCTGTAATCCCAGCACTCTGGGATGCCTAGGCAGGAGGATGGTTGGAGCCCAGGAGTTTGAGACCAGCCTAGGCAACATAGCAAGACCCCATCTCTACAAGAAATAAAAATTAGTTGGACGTGGTGGTGTTTGCCTGTAGTCCCATCTACTAGGGTAGCTAAGGTAGGAGGATCGCTTGAGCCCAGAAGGTTCAGGCTGCAGTGAGCTATGACCATGCCACTGTAATCCAGCCTAGGTGACACAGTGAGACCACATCTCTAAAAAAAATTAAAAAATATTTTAAAAAATTTCAAATAGACAATACCTAAAAACTACTTTTAAAATATGCTATGGGGCCGGGCACAGTGGCTCAGGCCTATAATCCCAGCACTTTGAGAGGCCGAGGTGAGTGGATCACTGGAGCCCAGGAGTTCAAGATCAGCCTGGCCAACATGGTGAAACCCTGTCTCTACTAAAAATACAAAATTAGCTGAGCATAGTGGCACAGGCCTGTAATCTCGACTACTCGGGAGGCTGAAGCTGGAGAATCACTTGAACCTGGGAGGTGGAGGCTGCACTGAGCCGAGATCGCACCACTGCACTCCAGCCTGGGCAACAGAGTGAGACTCTGTCTCAAAAAACAAATAAATAAAAATAAATGAATAAAATAAAATATGCTATGGTCTGAATGTTTGTACCCTCCCAAAGTTTGTATATTAAAACATTAAAATTTTATTAATATTTATTAAAATTTAAAATGTATATTAAAATCATCAATGTAATTATTAGGAAGTGGGGCCTCTTGAGAGGTGATTCAGTCTTGGGGTGGAGCCCTCAAGAATGGGATACATGCTTTTAAAACAGGCCCAAGGGAGCTCATCACCTTTTCTGCCATGAGGACACAGGTAGAAGGCCCCACCTATAAACCAGAACATGGGCCTTCAGCAGATACCAAATCTGCCAATACCTTGGTCTTGGACTTCCCAGCCTCCAGAACTGAGAAATATATTTCTACTGTTCATAAGCCACCCAGTTTGAGGCATTTTGTTATAGCAGCCCACATGGACTAAGACACCATACTCACCAAAGTGAAGAGCTGTCCCCTTAGGTCATTTATGTAGAGAGCTTTCAACATACCAGCTTCTAGAAGAAGTCCGTGACTGTCAGCTTGGAGAACTGGGGTAATATAATGTCAACCTCTTGCTCAGTTTTAGCTAGAATAGAGGATTAGAAATGGGAGGATAAATGTTTCTGTAATTGAAAGTGATCCTTATAGCCCGGTGTTGTGGCTCACGCCTGTAATCCCAGCACTTTGGGAGGCCGAGGCAGGTGGATCAATGAGGCCAGAAGTTCAAGACCAGTCTGGCCAGCATGGTGAAACCCCGTCTCTATTAAAAATACAAAAATTAGCCAGGTATGGTGGCAGGCGACTGTAATCCGAGTTACTTGGGAGGCTGAGGCAGGAGAATCACTTGAACCCAGGAGGCAGAGGTTGCAGTGAGTTGAAGTCTTGCCACTGCACTCCAGCCTGGTGACAGAGTAAGACTCCAGGGGGGGAAAAAAGAAAGTGATCCTTGGGAAGGAGACAGTACAGAACTTTCTCTTAGTCACACACCCTTCCCCTCGGTTTAGACAAGTAGTACAAGAAGATGGAACACAGCTCAACCCCCGACCTAGGTTGAACTCTACCTTCCATTTGGGTACCTCCTGTGAGCCATAGGAGGTATAACTCATTCCTGAGCTGGGACCAAGGAGTGATAACCAGACACATTCCCATGGGGTTTCCTGATATTTAAGGGGCTTAGTGGGCTTCTCTGGCACTCATAAAACCCTAATGAGGAGGCTGGGCACGGGGGCTAATGCTTGTAATCCCAGCACTTTGGGAGGCCGCGGTGGGAGGATCATCTGAGGTCAAGAGTTCAAGACCAGCCTGGCCAACATGATGAAACCCCATCTCTACTAAAAATACAAAAAATTAGCCAGGCGTGGTGGCACGCACCTGTAGTACCAGCTACTTGGGAGGCTGAGGCTTGAACCAGGGAGGCAGAGGTTGCAGTGAGCTGAGATCACACCACTGCACTCCAGCCTGGGTGACAAGAGCAAAACGACCTCTCAAAAACAAACAAACAAACAAAAAACCTATTGAGAAGTCATCTATGTTTCAAGTATTATTGTTATGGAAGTTCCATGCCTCACTGGACACAGTCCTGGGATATTGAGCTTTCTGTTTTCAACATTATTACTATTTTGAGACAGGGTGTCGCTCTGTCGCGCAAGCTGGAGTGCAGTGGTGCGATCACAGCTCTCTTGCAGCTTGACCTCCTGGACTCAAATGATTCTCCTGCCTCAGCCTCCCGAGTAGCTGGAACTATAGGTATGCACCACCACACCTGATGAATTTTTTTTAAATTTTTTGTAGAGATGGGGTCTCACTATGTTGCCCAGGCTGGTCTCAAACTCCTGAGCTCAAGTAATCCTCCTGCCTCGGCCTCCCAAAGTGCTGAGATTAGAGGTTTGAGCCACCGTGCTTGACCTTTTCATTATTAATGTGGTATGAGGATTTCCCAGTGAAAAGGAGGTTTGGCAAATCATAACCATTGACAGCTACATACCCCCACCAGCATCTTCACAGCAGGCTCGGACTACCCTTAACATAAGGCTGGTCAATTTCTAACAAAGGATCCCAGGGCAGGCTGATTCTACACGAGAACAAATAGCATAAAAAGTGTATCTAGGCCAGGTGTGGTGGCTTACTCTGGTAATCCCAGCACTTTGGGAGGCCAAGGC
Organism: Homo sapiens; assembly: GCF_000001405.40. Lineage (NCBI taxonomy): Eukaryota > Metazoa > Chordata > Mammalia > Primates > Hominidae > Homo > Homo sapiens. The sequence goes on from NW_021160017.1 coordinate 470,315, forward strand.
AGGCGGATCACTTGAGGTCAGGAGTTCGAGACCAGCCTGGCCAACATGGTGAAACCCCATCTTTACTAAAAATCCAAAAATTAGTTGGGCGTGGTGGTGGGCGCTTGTAATCCCAGCTCCTCGGGAGGCTGAGGCAGAAGAATCACTTGAACCCGGGAAGCAGAGGTTGCAGTGAGCCGAGATCATGCCACTGCACTCCAGCCTGGGCAACAGAGCGAGACTCCATCTCAAAAAGAAAAGAGAACTCCAGGGCGAAATAAGCACCTCGGTCCCTGCCCTGTGCAGCCCTCCCTGTGCCAAGCACACAGCGAGGGCTCGCTCAACCCCCACAGGCCAGGCGTACTCTTTCCGCGGCACAGGCACCCCCACAGAGGGAACACAGTCTAGGTTACTCACCAACAACACTGGGGGCGTGGATCAGGTTCAGCAGGTCATCATCCTCCTGGTGCTGGGCGTACGTGAGCCGGGAGCGTTCCTGTGCGGCACACAGCACCTTCTGTAGCACCTCAATGCTCCGCAGCTTCTTGCAGAGGCTGGCCTCCCGCACTGACTCCTCGTGATGAGCCATGGCTCTGTGCAGGTGGGACTTCCCCGCAGATGGAAGCCAGCACCCACGTGACCTGCAGATCCACCAAGCAGAGCATAAGGGCCCAAGGGGCAGCCCAAGAGGTTGGACGTTCTCTTTTCTAAAGAATCTGCCTGGATAGCTAGAGCCCGTGATACCCTACCTTGTTTTAACCTGAGTGACTCTCTCCTAGCAGAGAGAGCCGGACAGACTCCATTTTAGTTTCTTCACTTGCAGCCCCCTTTATCCCCCTTAAGGGAACAACTAGTGTAAGCTGACTCCAAGCACATCCAGGAACGCAAACTGCTGATAAGATACTGAGGCAGGCTGTACCAGCAGCTCCTGGGGATGTGCTCAGTGGCAGGTACCTAAAGCCCCTGCATTTATCTCTCAGTGATAGTTTAAGCCCCTGCACCTGGAACTGTTTATTTTTTGTAACTGCTTCTATAACCAATTACTTTTTTTAACTTCTTGCCTATTCTGCTTCTGTAAAATTGCTTCAGTTAAACCCCCCTCCCCTATTTAGACCATAGTATAAAAGAAAATCTAGCCCCTTCTTCAGGCCCGAGAGAATTTCGAGCATTAGCCGTCTCTCAGTTGCCGGCTAATAAATGACTCCTGAATTAGTCTCAAAGTGTGGCGTTTCTCTACAACTCGCTTGGTTACAACAAGCCTTTTATTAAAATATTATTTTATTTCATTTTATATTTTATATTTAGAGACAGGGTCTCACTTTGTTTCGCATGCTGGAGTACAGTGGTGCAATCATGGCTTACCACAGCCTCAAACTCCTGGGCTCAACTGAAATTCCCACTTCTGACTCTTGAGTAGCTGGGACCACAGGCATGCACCACCACACTTGGATAATGTTTTCATTATCATTATCATTTCATTATCATTGCTATGTTGCCCAGGCTGGTCTCAAACTCCTGGCCTCAAGCAATCCACCTGCCTTAGCCTCCCAGAGTGCTGGGATGACAGACGTGAGTCACCACGCCCAGCCCAAGCCTCCCTTAAATGCATATGTAATAAGCTCACTTGTGTCCATAAGATGTTCACTCAACAAATATTTACCAAATGTGCTAGGCACTAGAGATAAAGCAACGAGTAAACAAACTGCCCCCACATTCATGGAGTTTACATGTAGTGACTGAAGACAGATAACTAACAAGACAAGAAATATGTAATGGATGGGGTGGTGATGAGGTTATAGAGAAAAATAAAGCAGGGTAAGCGGAGATGGTAGGAGAAGACTGGGAATGGGGTTGTCTTATGATGGGTGACCAAGAAAGGCTTTTTTTTTTTTTTTTTTTTTCTTGAGACGGAGTCTCACTCTGTCACCCAGGCTGGAATGCAGTGGCACGATCTCGGCTCACTGCAACCTCCGCCTCCCAGGTTCAAGCGATTCTCCCACCTCAGCCTCCCAAGTAGCTGGGATTACAGGCACACACCACCACATCTGGCTAAGTGTATTTTTGGTAGAGACGGGGTTTCTCCATGTCGCCCAGGCTGGTCTCAAACTCCTGACTTCAAGCTATCCTCCCACCTCAGCCTCCCAAAGTGCTGGGATTGCAGGCATGAGCCACCACACCCAGCCAAGGAAGGCTTTGTGATATGGTCCTTTTTGAGCAGAGCCCTGATGGATGTGAAAGAGCAGCAGGTGCGAGGGCCCTGGAGCAGGGGCACGCACAGGTGTTCAAGGGCAAGGAGAAGCTAAGGCGTGCCTGGAGGCAGGGAGGGTGGGACAGAATGACTGCAGGGAAGGAGCAAGGCCAGATCATGGCAGATCTCACGCGTGCAAGATGAGGGCTCTCACTCCTGTTCTGCTTGAGATGGGAGCCCACTGGGGTGTGAGCAGGGGACTGATGTGATCTGGCCTGCATGACCAGACTCTGAAGGGGCAGCAAGAAAACCAGCTATGAGCAGGGCAAGCCATGTGACTGCCCTGGGTCTCAGTTTCCTCAGCTGTAAAATGGGGATGCCATGAGACCCACCTCATAGTGTTGCGTGGGGTTTAGTGAGTAAATGTTTCTTACATAAGCACTGTACACATGTGGCTTCCACCAGGGCAGCAGGGTTAAAGTGGCCAGATTTGAGTGTGTCTTCTAGGTACAGCCAAAGGGATTTGCTAATCAAATGTAGGGTGAGAAAGTAAGACAAGAGGTTAGGTGTGGCGGCTCGTGCCTGTAAACCCAGCTCTTTGGGAGACAGAGTCAGGAGGATCGCTGGAGGCCAGGAGTTCAAAACCAGCCTGGGCAACACAGTGAGACGGCAACTCTACAAAAACCTTTTTACAATATTAGCCGGGCATGGTGGTGCATGCCTATAGTCCCAGCTACTCAGCAGGCTGAGGCAGGAGGATCACTTGAAGCCAGGAGTTCAAAACCAGCCCGGGCAACATAGTGAGACCGCATCTCTACAAAAACCTTTTTACAATATTAGCCGGGCATGGTGGTACATGCCTATAGTCACATCTACTCAGCAGGCTGAGGCAGGAGGATCACTTGAAGCCAGGAGTTCGAGGCTGCACTGAGCTGTGATTGCACTACTGCACTGCAGCCTGGGGGACAGCAAGACGCTGTCAAAGAAAGCAAATGAAAGAAAAGGAAAGAGGAAAGGAGGGAGGAAGGGTAGATGGGGAGGAGAGAAAGAAAGAGAGAAAGAAAGAAAGAATAAAGGAGAGGAAAGGAAAGGGAAAGAAAAGGAAAGCAACAAGGAACAAGAAAAGGGGAGGAGAGGGGAGGGGATGAGGGGAGAGGGGAGGGGATGAGGGGAGAGGGGAGGGAATGAGGGGAGAGGGGAAGGGTGAGGGGAGAGGAGGAAGGATGAGAGGAGAGGGGAGGGGAGAGGAGGAGAAAGGGGAGTGAAGGGGAGGTGGGAGAGGGGAGGAGAGGAGAGGAGGGGAAGGATGGGAAGGGAGGGGAGGGGAGAAAGGGAAGGGAGAGGGAGGAGGGGAAGGGAGGAGAGGGAGGAGGGGAAGGGAGGAGAGGGAGGAGGGGAGGGGAGGGAGGAGGGGAGGGAGGAGGGGAGGGGAGGAGAGGGGGAGGAGAGGGAGGAGGAGAGGAGAGGGAGGACGGCGGAGAGAGGAGAGCAGGGGAGGGGAGAAGAGAGGGGAGAGAAGGGGAGAGGAGGGGAGGGGAGGGTAACAGAGGGGAGGGAAGAGGAGGGGAGAGAACAGGACAGGAGGGGAGGGGAGCAGAGGGGAAGAGAGGAGAGGGGAGCAGAGGGGAGAGGAGGGGAAAGAGGAGGAAAGAAAAGAAGAGTGGAGAGTGAGTCCAAGGTTTCTGGCCTGAGCACCTAGAGGGGTGGGAGTTGCCATCACTGAGACGGGGAAGCTGCGTATGTGTGCGTGGGGGCAGATTAGGGTGGTGGAGGTGAGGTCTGCACATGGGAAGAGATAGTCACACTGAGACATGGCAGAGACCAAACCAGGACACTTCATTACCAGTCATTAGGTGTTCTTGGTAATTCAGCCATGCATAAAGAAATCAACAAACGTTTCCTTCCCTGTTAGCATGATACAGGCCACCCTATGGACCCCAAGGGAGATGGTTAAAGTCCTGGCTCCACAGGGGGAGGCCTGGGTGCTATGGAACCCATGAGAACACAGCCTGGGAAGCCCTCTGAGGCTCAGGACTGCACCTCATGACTTCTGAACCCAAAGTGGCCACGATGACTTGGAACACCCCCCTCTCCCGGGCCCTCTTCAGGGACCTCTCTGTGGCTGTCTGTGAGCAGGATCAACTGGGCACCAAGTGGGACCCACATCTGGGTGCAGAGGGACACGCACCCAGCTGTCGGCGCTGCTGATCATTCTTCAGTGTGGCCAAGGGTGTCAGCCCCTCTGGCATGTGGTCGTAGAGCCGGGACAGGCACTTCTCCTGGTGGTCCAGATCCGTGCCTGGCTTCACTGCAAAGAGAACCACAGGTTAAATCCCCTCTCATGGATCTGGCCACAGACCCACATAGAGATTTCTCTTTCTACCATGTCTCTAGTTTCCTTTCTTCTGCAGTTTCACAAGGCATTTGGGATCATCGCTCTCCTTTCTGCCCCTGGACACACCCCAGGCAGTCTGACCCTCAAGCTTTTTTTCTCTTTGAGATGGTCTCACTCTGTCACTCAGGTTGGAGTGTGGTCTCACTCTGTCAGCAGGCTGGAGTGCAATGGCACAATCATAGTTCACTGCAGCCTTGAACTCCTGGGCTCAAGTGATCCTCCCACCTCAGCCTCCTGAGTAGTTAGGACTACAGACATGCACCACCACATGCCAGGCCAATTTTTAAATTTTTTTGTAAAGATGAGGTCTTGCTACATTGCCCAGGCTGGTCTCAAACCTCTGGGTTCAAACGATCCTCCTGCCTTAGCCTCCCAAATTGCTGGGATCAAATGTGTGAGCCACCATGCCTGGCTACCCCGAAGCTCTTGCTCATTGGAACCAGTCATGCTCCAGAGGTTCAGAATTTTTTTTTTTTTTGAGATGGAGTTTTGCTCTGTCGCCCAGGCTTGGGTGCAGTGGTGTGATCTTGGCTCACTGCAACCTCCACCTCCCGGGTTCAAGTGATTCTCCTGCCTCAGCCTCCCGAGTAGCTGGGATTACAGGCACGTGCCACTATGCCCAGCTAATTTTTCTATTTTTAGTAGAGACGGGGTTTCAGCATCTTGGCCAGGCTGGTCTCGAACTCCTGACCTCATGATCCACCCAGCTCGGCCTCCCAAAGTGCTGGGATTGTAGGTGTGAACCACCACACCCGGTGAGGTTCATAATTTGACCCTGAGCCCCCACACGCTACCTCCTCTGACTCACCCACCACACAGAACCTCCTAGCATAGCCCAGACCCTGTCATGCCTGGCCTGCACCCCTCTGCAGGCCTGCACACCTGCAGCACAGCCCCTTCCTGCTTCAACCACACCCTCCCTGGTGCGTATCCTGCTCTCAAACCTCACAAAACCACTCTCCACTTACCCAGCACCCTCGGCCTCTATTCCTGTGCTCAGACACTTTACTCCCTCTAGGCTGACCCTGCCCTCCTGTGCAGATGGAAAAGTTGAACTCAAATGTCACCGCCTCTGAGAAGCCATCAATGACTGCACCATGGAGTCCACCTGCTGCTGCATTTGTGTCTCTGCAGCAATCACCAAGGCACTACATGGTATTTCTATTTGTTTCCACATCTTGTCTCACCTAATAGACTATATAGTACTAGGAGTGGTGGCTCACACTTTCAGAGAACCTACAGCATATAAAGCATTATTGAGCTTTGCATACAGGCCCTTCATTTTCATGACAGCCTGTGAGGTAGATTCTCTCCATATACCCATTTTACAGATGAGAAAATCGAGGCAGAGGACAGCTAAGTAACTTGCCCAAGGTAATACAGCTCATTCATGGCAGAGCTGAGATATGAACCCAGGAAGTCTGGCTCCAGAGGCTGTCTTTTTAATTCCTCAGGAGGCTGCCTGGATTAGTACTCATTAGATCAAAAATCCCTGGCCAGGCACCGTGGCTCATGCCTGTAATGCCAACACTTTGGGGAGGCCAAGGCAGGACAATTGCTTGAGGCCAGGAGTTTGAAACCAACCTAGGCAACATAGTGAGACTCCATCTCTACAAAAAAAATTTTTTTTCAATTAACTGGTGTAGTGGCATGTGCCTGTAGTCCCAGGTATTCAGGAGGCTGAAGTAGGAGGATCGCTTGAGCCCAGGAGTTCAAGAAGGCAGTGAGCCATGATCATACCACTGTACTCCAGCCCCATCTCTAAAAATAAATTAAATTAAATTAAATTCTGATCATCACAGATTTTTTTTGCATTAATTTTTATTTTATTATTATTAGTTTTTTTGAGATGGAGTCTTGCTCTGCTGTCCAGGCTGGAGTGCGGTGGCACAATCTCAGCTCACTGCAACCTCCACCTCCCCGGCCCAAGCCATTCTCCTGCCTCAGTCACCAGAGTAGCTGGGATTAGAGGCACGCGCCATGCTCGGCTAATTTTTGTATTTTCAGTAGAGACAGAGTTTCACCTTGTTGGCCAGGCTGGTCTCGAACTCCTGACCTCAAATGATCTGCCTGCCTTGGCCTTCCAAAGTGCTGGGATTACAGGCGTGAGCCACTGTACCCGGCCTGCATTAATTTGGATTCTTTTAAAATATTACCTTAAAGTGTTACCTATCTTGATGCCAGCATTTTTGGCATTCCCTTAGATTCTAGATTCCAGGTGAAAATTCATCCTCTTGCACACAGGCAGAATTAAAGGTGCCTCCTCTTCCTCCCTCTAAAGAAGCTTATAACCCCTAACCCCACCATGGCCTGTGCAGCAGCTGCCTCAGTCATGGGTCATTCTCATCCTCTGCCCTCAGCCTGTGAGCATCTCCAGGGAAGGCAGTTAGCTCTCGCTCAGCTCAGAATCACCCCTGGGGCAGCTGGACCACAGCCCTGGCCAAACCCCTGAACCCCACAGGCCTTACCCTGGTGGTCGATGAGGAGGATGGCAGTGAAGTAGAGGGCCAGGGCCATGTAGTGGTGGGCCTTCACGCAGGCCAAGCTGGCCCAGGAGTAGGGGATGTTCTCTTTCACCGGCGCCTGGCTCATGGCTGCGTGCAGCTGTTGGTAGACCTCTCCCACCTGAAATAGAAGAGGCATTGGGAAGGGGCAGCCCGGCACAAAGGCCCTCATGAACCCATTTGCAGAGAAAGAGCCCTTTCTTCTTCTCATGCAACAGCCCCTGCCAGGGGCTGCTCCAGAATCTGGGAGCAACTCCAAGCAACCCCTCGTTCTGTCACTGTCACAGTTAACAGGGGGATCAGGCTGCTGTCATTATGCTGGTTTTTAGGTTAAGCTACACATGGAATCAGTGATCCGTATCTGAAACACCAACACTTGCCAAGAAAACTCAAGCCAGCAGTACTGGCCGGAGCTGGCACAATGCCCAGGTCACAGGCAAGCTCCCGTGGGAAGGCCCCGCTACTTCCAGTGCTCCTGTGCCAGCATTTCCTGCCCACTCCCCAAAGTCACAGGAACCAGGGAGTCTTACCTTGGCAGCCTCCTGAGCCACCTTCACCAGCATGAAGAATTCATTCCGGATCCCAGGAAGGCTGATTTTCTCAAACACGCTTTCTTGGGCTTGTGCAAGCATCATTTTGACAAGCACGCTGAGAATGGCAGGGCTCATGTCGTAACTTGGAGTATGGGTAAATGTCTCTTTCAGGTAGTTTAAAACCCCTAAAAGTGGAAAATGTTTTGCCCATTAGTTCGGGTTTACATTTACTTCATCACGTTGCTGTAGAGAAAGATAGGAGGCCAGGTGCGGTGGCTCATGCCCATAATCCCAACACTTTGGGAGGCCAAAGTGAGCAGATCACTTGCATCAGGAATTTAAGACCAGTGTGGGCAACATGGTGAAACCCTGTCTCTACAAAAAATACAAAAATTAGCTGGGTGTGATGGCATGCACCTATAGTCTCAGCTCCTCTGGAGGCTGAGGCAGGAGGATTGCTTGAGCCCAGGAGACAGAGGTTGCAGTGAGCTGAGATCTCACCACTGCACTCCAGCCTGGGTGACAGAGCAAGACTCCATCTCAAAAAAAAAAAAAAAAAAAAAAAAAGGAAAGATAGGAGAAAAAAAAAAGAACCAGTGTCCTACAACATATTAAAAAGTTTGATTCTCAATTATATGGTCTAGCAATTCCACTCTTATGATATATATCCCCAAACAGTTGAAAGTGGGGGCTTAAATGATACTTGAACACCCGTGTTAATAGCAACATTATTCACAAGAGCTGAAAAGTGGAAACCACCCAGACATCCATGAGCAGATGAATGATTAAACACAATGTGGCCTATCCATACAATGGAATATTTTTCAGCCTTAAAAAGGAATGAAATTCTGACATATGGTACAGTGTAAATAAGGGCATTATGCTAAGTGAAACAAGCCAGTCACAAAAGGACCAATATTGTAGGATTCCATTTAGATAAGGTACCCGGAATAGTCAAATTCACAGAAACAGAAAGGAGAATAGAGGTTAGCTGGGGCTGGGAAAGGGGGCAATGGGAAGTTATTGCTTAACTGAGTAAGTACAGAGATTTGCTTATCCATCATCCAGATGGAAAAGTTCCGGAGATAGCTGGTCACAGGGGCTGCTGCCTATAATCCCAGCTACAAGGGAGGCTGAGGTGGGAGGGTTGCTTGACATTAAGAGTTCAAGACCAGCCTGGGCAACATACTGAGACCCCTGTCTCTTAAAAAAATATATACTTTTAAAAAATGTATTTATTTTATTTATTTTTGAGACAAGATCACACTCTGTTGCCCAGACTGGAGTGCAGTGGCACGATCATGACTCACTGCAGCCTCAAACTCCTGGGCTCAAGCGGTCCTCCCACCTCAGTCTCCTGAAGAGCTGGGACTACAGCCATGCACCACCCCACACCCAGCTAATTTTAAAATTTTTTGTACAGATGGGGTGTGCCTATGTTGCCCAGACTGGTCTCCAACTCTTGGATTCAAGTGATCCTCCTGACTCAGCATCCTAAAGTACTGAGATTACAGGTGTGAGCCACCTTGCCTAACCAACAAAAAAAAATTTTAGCTTCTGGAGATGTTTAGTGGTAATGGCTGCACAACACTATGAATGTACAAATGCACTTAATGTCATTGAACTGCACACTTCAAAATGGTTAAAATGTGCTTCTGGTTGGCAGATAATTTTAAAATTTTAAAAATTTAAGATAATCATTAAAATGGTAATTTTATGTTCTGTGTTATTTTACTATAATAAAAAAACTGGTTAAAATAGTCCATTTTAAGTTATATATGTATATTTTAACACTATTTATTTATTTATTTATAAATAAACGCCCAGGCTGGAGTGCAGTGGCATGATTTCAGCTCACCGAAACCTCTGCCTCCCAGGTTCAAGCGATCCCCCTGCCTCAGCCCCCCAAGTAGCAGGGATTACAGGTGCCCACCACCACACCTAGCTAATTTTTGTATTTTTAGTACAGACGGGGTTTCACCATGTTGGCCAGACTGGTCTTGAACTCCTGACCTCAGGTGATCTGCCTGCCTCAGCCACCCAAAGTGCTGGGATAACAGGTGTGAGCCACCCCACCCAGCCTTTTAACCCAATTTTTTAAAATTGGATTATCTTCCAAAACACTTACATCTCTATTGAGTAGAGAAACCAGCCTGCTCCCCACAACTCCTGTGTCACCTGGGACAAAATTCCACCATGACAGGTATGGAGATGCAAGCAGACAGCAGGCAGAAGGACTGAGGGGCTCACAGGCGGCCAGGCTCACACATAAGATCTGAGTCATTCAGCAGTCCAGGGCTTTTCCCCTGGACCTCAAGAAAGATCTATTCTGGCCAGGTGCGGTGGCTCATGCCTCTAATCCCAGCACTTTGGGAGGCCGAGGCGGGTGGATCACCTGAGGTCAGGTTCAAGACCAGCCTGGCCAACATGGCAAAACCCTGCCTCTACTAAAATTATAAAAATTAGCCAGGCATGATGGTACACACCTATAATCCCAACTACTCAGGAGGCTGAGGTAGGAGAATCACTTGAACCCGGGAAGCGGAGGCTGCAATGAGCCAAGATCTCACCACTGCACTCCAACCTGGGTGACAGAGTGAGATTCCGTCTCAAAAAAAAAAAAAAAAAACAACTCAATCCGTCTGCTCCAATGGAAATTTTCATGCTGCAGCCTTCCACTGACTTCTTTATAGTTTAGAAAATTAACTGTCCAAAGCGCTAACTGACAATCAATCTGGAACTGAAATAGAGTCTCTCATATGAATCCCATCCAACTGGGTCCTCTGGTTTTGTTGCTGAGAAAAAAAAAAAAAAAAAAAAAAAAAATCCCCGCCCTGTGGAGGGATGGCACCTGCTGTTTTGAGCTGTGAGCTCCGTGGGGGTTCCCTCACCCTCCCCACTGTTCTCCCACTTGCTTCATTTCATCTATAATTTGTCTCCACTGCTATAATCTCAGAGACAGGACACAGAGTGCCTGCCTAAGATTCCCCAGAAAGATGAGTCCAGAAAAAAGATTTACAACAAAAGAAATCAACTCATACTTGGAATCTTAGCATATCGCTTCATCCCAAGAGACCAATCTTTCATTTTTTTAATTAATTAATTATTTTTTGAGACAGGTTCTTGCTCTGTCACCCAGGCTGGAGTGCAATGGCACGATCTTGGCTTACCACAACCTTGGCTGATCCTTCCATCTCAGCCTCCCAAGTAGCTGAGACTACAGGCATGCACCACCAGGCCCAGCTAATTTTTGTACTTTTTGTAGAGATGGAGTTTTGCCTTGTTGCCCAGGCTGATCTCAAATTCCTGAGCTCCAGCAATCCACCCACCTCAGCCTCCTAAAGTGCTGGGATTACAGGCATGAGCCACCATGCCTGGCCTATTTCTTGAATTAAAAAAAAAAAATTCTTTTTGACAATCATAGCTCACTGCAGCCTCAAACTCCTGGGCTTAAGTGATCCTCCTGTCTTAGCCTCTGGAGTAGCTAGAACTATGGGCGTACACCACCACGCCTGGCTAATTTTAAATATGTTGTAGAGACAGGGTCTTCCTGTGTGGCCCAGGCTGGTAGGACCAATCATTGTAACATCAGAAATTTCACAATGAGTTGAAGTGGCAAAGCTCTGGTTCTTCACAAGCTTGCAGGGCAAAGTGATATCAAACAATGATCCACATGGGTGGAAGGGGATCACACCCCAAAGCAGAATGTCGATGATCAACCTAGAAGGCAACACACTATAGAGCTAGTGTGGAGAACACACTGTGGTCTACACTGTGCCCTGCTCTTGCATCCATCCCCATGGGGAGTCTGACCCAGACACAGGCCCTGCTATGGGGGAGCAAGGCAGAACCCGTAGGCAAGGGTGAGCCGTGCCAGGCTCACCCACAGCACTGGGTCTGGTGACCCCAGTCCTCTACAGGTGTAAGCAGTAGGTTGCTTTTCTCCTCGACCCCGCACCTCGTTCTCATACTAGGATTACCTAAGGTCAGGAGTTTGAGACCAGCCTGGCCAACAGGGCAAAACCTCATCTCTACTAAAAATACAAAAATTAGCCGGGCATGGTGGCAGACGCCTGTAATCCCAGCTACTTGGGAGGCTGAGGCAGAAGAGTTGCTTGAACCCAGCAGGCAGAGGTCGTAGTGAGCAGAGATTGTGCCACTGCACTCCAGTCTGGGTGACAAGAGCAAGACTCTATCTGAAAATAAACAAATAAATAAAATAAAATAACAAAAGACAGTTCCCAGAAGAAGGGAACTGAGCTATGAGATATCCTTTGAATGCATCACTTGACCAAGGGTTGAGAACACCCACCTCATGCTGGAGAAGTTGGCAGAATGCAGGTGACATAAAGGCATGGAGGGGCAGGGTGCGGTGGCTCACCCTGTAATCCCAGCATTTTGGGAGGCTGAGGCAGGCGGAACACCTGAGGTCAGGAATTCGAGACCAGCCTGGCCAGGATGGTGAGACCCCATCTCCACTAAAAATACAAAAATTAGCCGGGCGTGGTAGCGAGTGCCTGTAATCCCAGCTACTCAGGAGGCTGAGGCAGGAGAATCGCTTGAAACTGGGAGGTTTCAAGCAGTGAGCCAACATTGCGCCACTGCACTCCAGCCTGGGCGACAAGGGCAAAACTCCATCTCATAAATAAATAAATAAATAAATAAATAAATAAATAAATAAATAAAGGCACGGAGAGTAATATGCACAGATAGGGTACACCTAATACAAGAAAAAGAAGCCTACAGTTTCACTATTTGGGAAAAGTTATTCTGCTCTTCATGACAGTGTTGAAAGAAACAGTTATGCACTGCCATCCCAGGGCCACTTGTCTGGAAAAGATCAATCATCAGCCACAGGATTCACCATGTACATCAGCCATCCCAGACTGAGGTCTGAACCACCAAGCAAGTTTCTTTTTTTTTTTTTTTTGAGATGGAGTCTGGCTCTGTCGCCCAGGCTGGAGTGCAGTGGCGCGATCTCGGCTCACTGCAAGCTCCGCCTCCCGGGTTCATGCCATTCTCCTGCCTCAGCCTCCCGAGTAGCTGGGAATACAGGTGCCCGCCACCAGGCCCAGCTAATTTTGTGAATTTTTAGTAGAGATGGGGTTTCACCATGTTAGCCAGGATGGTCTCGATCTCCTGACCTTCGTGATCCACCTGCCTCAGCCTCCCAAAGTGCTGGGATTACAGGCATGAGCCACCGCGCCCGGCCAGAGCAAGTTTCTTAATGGGAAGTTACACCAGAGCTGAAGACTGGTCTGGCCCTTGCAGGGGACGACCTGTAGACCCTCTTCAGTGGGGGGTCCCCTGGTGCCACCAGGCGGGGCCAAGGCTCTGTCCAGTCAGCCCTGGAGGAGACATACCTGCAGCTCTCTGAAAGGCATCTATGGCACTCTGCAGCCCAGCCTGCATCTGCCAATAGCGCCACGTCCCAATCTGGGTGTAGAGGGCCCCAGTGTTGAACAGGACACTGGCCTTCTCCAGCAGCAGGTTCTGCTGGCTGACCAGAACCCCAGTGAGGGAGTCATACCTATGTGAAAGAAATGCATTCAGGGAGTACAGATTACTTGGCTAGTTAATGCTACTTTTGGATGCAAGTGGAAAAAATTATTATTATTATTTTATTTATTTATTTTTTTTGAGACAGAGTCTCACTCTGTCGCCCAGGCTGGAGTGCAGTGGCGTGATCTCGGCTCACTGCAAGCTCTGCCTCCCAGGTTCACGCCATTCTCCTGCCTCAGCCTCCCAAGTAGCTGGGACTATAGGCACCCGCCACCACGCCCAGCTAATTTTTTGTATTTTTAGTAGCGACAGGGTTTCACCGTTTTAGCCAGGATGGTCTCGATCTCCTGACCTCATGATCCGCCCACCTCAGCCTCCCAAAGTGCTGGGATTACAGGCGTGAGCCACTGTGCCTGGCTCTATTATTATTTTTTTAAGAGTCAGGATCTCACTCTGTTGCCCAGGCTGGAGTGCAGTGGTGTGATCATAGCTTACTGCAGCCTCCAACTTTAGGGCTCAATTGATCCTCCCACCTCAGCCTCATGAGAATAGCTGGGATTACAGGTGCATGCCACCATACCTGCCTAATTTTTTTTTTTAATTTTTGTAGAGATGGGGTCTCACTATGTTACCCAAACTGCTGTTAAACTCCTGGGTTGGCTGGGTGTGGTGGCTCACACCTGTAATCCCAGCACTTTGGGAGGCTAAGGCGGGTGGATCACCTGAAGTCAGGAGTTCGAGACCAGCCTGGCCAAGATGGTGAAACCCAGTCTCCACTAAAAATACAAAAATTAGCCAGGCATGGTGGCGGGCACCTGTAATCCCAGCTACTCAGGAGGCTGAGGCGGGAGAATTGCTTGAACCCGAGAGGCGGAGGTTACAGTGAGATGAGATTGCACCGCTGTGCTCCAGCCTGGGTGACAATAACAACAACAACAAACTCATTTCTTCAATAAAATTCAAGAATGCACATGCACTGAGGCTTTTGTTTCCAAGCAAGATGACAGGACTAATCGCACTGACCGCCACAGCCACACACACAAATATCTGATGGGGTAACTTTATAAACACAGCATGGGACATCCAGACAATGGACTATTACTCAGTACTAAAAATGGAGCCTTTTCAAGCAAGCCTTGAAAAGATGCAGAGGAAACATTACTAAGAGCCAACCTGAACGTTGCTACCTACTGTATAGCACGCTGTGTGAGTCCAACATTCTGAAAAGCCAAAAACCCGGGAGACAGAAGAAAGATCAGGGGTTGCCAGGACTTAGGGGGAGGGAGGGAGGAACGGCAGAGCACACGGAGGATTTTTCCAGCAGTGAAACTCTTCTGTACGACACTGCAAAGATGGATCACTGTCACTCTATGTTGGCCAAAAGCTGCAGAATACACAAGTGCAAGAATGAACCCTAATGGGAACTATGGACTCTGGGTGATAATGATGTGTCAGGTAAGTTCCTCAATTATAAAAAAAAAAAAAAATGCGCCAGGTGCGATGGCTCATGCCTGTAATCCCAGCACTTTGGGAGCCCGAGGCAGGCAGATCACAAGGCCAGGGATTGAGACCAGCCTGGCCAACGTGGTGAAACCCCATCTCTACTAAAAATACAAAAATTAGCCAGGCGTGGTGGGGCACACCTGTAGTCCCAGCTACTCAGGAGGCTGAGGCAGAAGAATCACTTGAACCCAGGAGGCGGAGGTTGCAGTGAGCCGAGATCACGCCACTGTCCTCCAGCCTAGGCAACAGAGCAAGACTCCGTCTCAAAAAAAAAAAAAAAAAAAAAAAGGGCCAGGTGCAGTGGCTTACACTTGTAATCCCAGCACTTTAGAGGCCAAGGCAGGTGGATGGCTTGAGCTCAGGAGTTTGAGACCAGCCTGGGCAACATAGTGAAACCCCTCTCTACCAAAAATACATGGTGGTGGCATGTGCCTTTAAGCCCAGCTACTTGGGAGGCTGAGGTGGGAAGATGGCTTGATACTGGGAGGCAGAAGTTGAAGTGAGCTGAGATCACACCACCACACTCCAGCCTGGGCGACAGAGTGAGACTCCGTCTCAAAAAAAAAAAACAAAAGAAAAGTGTGTGTGTATATATATATAGCTTCTCCTAAATAAAATATGGCAATTACTAACCCCTCATAATTCTTTCTGAAATCTAAAACCTCAGATTTGTTTTACTTTTTTATTTTTTCAGACCAAGTCTCACTCTGTTGCCTAGGCTGGAGTGCAGTGGCATGATCATGACTCACTGCAGCCTCAACCTCCTGGGCTTAAGCGATCCTCTCATCTGAGCCTCCCAAGGAGATGGGACTACAGGCATGTGCCACCCATGCCTGGCACATTTTCTCTAATTGTTTTGTAGAGATGGGGTCTCACTGTGTTGCCTAGACTGGTCTCAAACTCCTGGGCTCAAGTGATCCACCAACCTCGGCCTCCCAACATGCTGGGATTCCAGATGTGAACCACCACACCCAGCCTAGGACTTGTATTATTTATTTATTTTTTTTTTAATTTTTATTTTTTGAGACAAAGTTTTGCTCTTTCACCCAGGCTGGAGTGCAGTGGCGCCATCTCAGCTCACTGCAGTTTCTGCTTCCCGGGTTCAAGCAATGGTCCTGCCTCAGCCTCCTGAGTGGCTGGGATTACAGGCGCCCACCACCACACCCGGCTAATTTTTGTATTTTTAGCAGAGACATGTTTGTCAGGCTGGTCTCGAACTCCCGACCTCAGGTGATCCACCCACCTCGGCCTCCCAAAGTGCTAGGATTACAGGTGTGAGCCACCGCACCTGGCCCTAGGACTTGTTTTAAAGTTTACTCATGAACCAAGGGGTGTGCAGACAGCTTCTCCCTAATTCATGACTAAGGAGAAACCACCTTTCACCATGCAGACAGCCTGGTGCATTGTTAGGAAAAGTCATCCCCCTTTCCTTTGCTTTCAATGAGGAAGGCATCAGTAGCCAACCATCGGCTATAGAAACATTCAATTCTGATATGCCCCGACCTTCTAGGATGTACTCTCTTTTCACTGACACTCCTAAAAACACTCAGAGAAGGGGTGCAGCATCTCCAAAGTACTTTTTTTTTAGGTTGTTGGTGTTTTTTTTTTTTTTTAATACAGACTCTCACTCTGTTGCCCAGGCTGGAGTTCAGTGGTGCAATCTTGGCTCACTGCAACCTCTGCCTCCCAGGTTCAAGTGATTCTCCTGCCTCAGCCTCCCAAGTAGCTGGGACTACAGGCACGCACAACCATGCCCAGCTAATTTTTGTATTTTTTAGTAGAAGCAGGGTTTCACCATATTGGACAGGCTGGCCTCGAACTCCTGACCTCGTGATCCACCTGCCTCGGCCTCTCAAAGTGCTGGGATTACAGGTGTGAACCACCACACTCAGCCTTTTTTTTTCTTTTTTGAAACAGGGTTTCACTCCTATCACCCAGGCTGCAGTGCGGTGGTGTGATCTAGGCTCACTGCAACCTCTGCCTCCCAGGCTCAAGTGATTCTCTTGCCTCAGCCTCACGAGTACCTGGGACTACAGGTGCATACCATCGTACCCAGCAAATTTTTGTATTGTTTGTAGATATGGGGTTTTGCCACATTGCCCAGGCTGGTCTCAAACTCCTGGGGTCAAGTGATCTGCTTGCCTCAGCCTCCCAAAGTGTTGGCATTATAGGTGTGAAAACCACTGTACCCGGGCTCCCAAGTATTTAAAGTATACTAATCTTTGAAAACACCAATTGGGTCTACGGCCATACCACCCTGACGTGCCTGATCTTGTCTGAAAATAACAATTGTGGAGAAGAATCAAATCCTCTACTTCCATTTTTTAAATCTGATCTAAGCTGAGTGTGTAGCTCATGCCTATAGTCCCAGCTACTCAGGAGGCTGAGGCAGAAATATCACCTGAGCCCAGGAATTCAAGACTAGCCTGGGCAACACAGTGAGACCCCATTTCAAAAGAAACCTGATCTATTTCTGTTTGGTGCTTTTGTCTCACTGGACAAGACCTGATTTTCTCTCTCTCTCTCTCACTCACTCACACATACACATGCATGCCCCAGTCCAATCTGAGACAAGAATCTTGCTTCTGACTAATTCCATTTCAGAGCCCTGTGCTTCCCCAGTGATACAACAAGCAAGAAAAATGTCTCCTCTCCTTGGCTCACCTGTTCTGAGAAGCAAGAGGCCACAGTCTGTTGGGGCCATCTCCCTCGGATCACCTTCATAAATAAATACCAATGTATTGATATCTTTCTAGACTTCCCTGGATAAATGCAAGATAGGAAAGGGGGCTGAGGTGCACAGGGGTGCACCCCGGATAAATGCAAGATAGGAAAAGGGGCTGAGGTGCCCGCAGAGGGGCGTCTGTGATGCTGAGGCTCCGAAACTGTGGCTGCCATAACACGTGAAGCACCAGCGCAGACCTCAAGCACCTACCAGGTGAACAGGAGTCCCATCTGCCGCGTGGGTGGGAAGAATCAATTCTCAACAAAGCCCAGCTGGATGAAGTATGTCATCAGCAGTTCCACCCTGGCCTCATCCCGGCTGGGCGTCCGACAAGCCTGCGAGGAAAAGAACCCCAGAGGGCATGAGCAGAGGAGGACACAGCTGACAGCCCTTCCCGGAAGGTGCCCTGCACATACCAGCAGGTGCCTGTAACTATTTCTGCAGTATGACGACCTCACTGCTGGCATCATAAACTCTAGGAGGGGTGGAAAGAACCTGGCAGGAAGTCAGAAATCCTGGAATCCAGTCCCAGCCCTGCCAGGAGGCAGGTCTCTCCCCTTCTATGGTTTTCCTTTTTTTTTTTTGAGACGGACTCTTGCTCTGTCACCCAAGCTGGAGTGCAGTGGTGCGATCTTGGCTCACTGTAACTTCCACCTACCAGGTTCAAGTGATTCTCCTGCCTCAGCCTCCCGAGTAGCTGGGATTACAGGCGTGTAGCACCATGCCCGGCTTGTTTTTGTATTTTTAGTAGAAACGGGGTTTTGCGATGTTAGCCAGTCTGGTCTCAAACTTCTGACCTCAGGTGATCCACCCGCTTCAGCCTCCCAAAGTGCTGGAATTACCAGCATGCACCACCACGCCCAGCTAATTTTTGAATTTTTAGTAGAGACGGGGTTTCACCATGTTGGCCAGGATGGTCTGGAACTCCTGATCTCAGGTGATTCTCCTGCCTCCGCCTCCCAAAGTGCTGGGATTACATAGGCGTGAACCACCATGCCCGGCCTCCTTCTACAGTTTTCTTATGCAGCAAATGGAATGGATGATTCCAGCACCCCCCAACCATCACCTCAATCTACCCACGATTCTGTTAAGACCACAAGCATGCAATAATGGGGTTCCCCGAAGACTTGGAAAAACTACCCTCCCCTCTCTGCTGCACACAAAAACTTACTTGTCTCGGATCCATAAGATCTGTGATTTCATCTTCATATAAATAGCCATCTTCACTGTAATGTTCCAGGATAAAATCCTTAAAGAAAAATAAGGTTAGATACTATAAAATGTGATTGAAAACCATGTATGTGCATAACAGTAATATGTCATTTGTGACCTGTTTCTAAAAAGGCAGAATAAAGAAAAACTTACAGTGATTTTCAAAGTGGGGGAATTTATTTTCTTAATTTATGTAGTTTTTTTTATATGGAGTCTTGCTCTGTAGCCCAGGCTGGAGTGCAGTGGCACAATCTCGGCTCACTGCAACCTCTGCCTCCCAGGTTCATGCAATTCTCCTTCCTCAGCCTCTCAAGGAGCTGGGGTTACAGGTGCCCACCACAACGTCTGGCTAATTGTTGTACTTCTGACCTCAGGTGATCCACCCACCTCACCCTCCCAAAGTGCTGGGATTACAGATGTCAGCCACAGTGTCCGGCCATAGAATTTTTTTTTTTTTTTTTAAAACAGGGTTTCACTCCCATTGTCCAGGCTAGAATGCAATGTTGCGATCTCGGGTCACTGCAACCTCCACCTCCCAGGCTCAAGTGATTCTCATGCCTCAGCCTCCCAAGTAGCTGGGATTACAGGCATGTGCCACCATGCCCAGCTAATTTTTGTATTTTTAGTAGAGATGGAGTTTCACCGCATTGCCCAGGCTGGTCTCAAACTCCTGGGCTCAAGCAATCCATCTGCCTCAGCCTCCCAAAGTGCTGGGATTACAGGTGTGAGCCACTGCACCCCATGCCTATGTTTTTAAATGCTGTGTTGCTTCAGTAAAAGTGAGAGTTGAAGTTAATTTTTTGCTTAAAAATGTCTTTGTGTCTGCGCATCATGGCTCACATCTGTAATCCCAGCACTTTGTGAAGACAGGGCAGGTAAATCACTTGAGCCCAGGAGTTTGAGACTAGTTTATGGCCTATACATTCAACTATACTGCAAACACTGCAGATATTCAGGGGCTCAGACTTGCAATTCTGGGCCTCCCTCAGGACCCAGACAAGTTTCCCAGCACAGACCCTGAGGGTAGGACTGTCATAACAGTCCCCAGATACAGGTTTCCTTTGCCAAGAAGACCCTTAACCATGTTATAAAGGCATTTTATTTTATTTTATCTTTGAGGCAGGGTCTCACTTGGTTGCCTAGGCTGGAGTGCAGTGGTGCGATCGCGGCTCACCACAGCCTCGACTTCTCTGGTCTCAAGTAATCCTCCTACTTCAGCCTCCCAAGTAGCTGGGACCACAGGCACGTGCCACAGGCTAATTTCATTTTTGTATTTTTTAATAGAGATGGGGTTTTGCCCTGTTGCCCCACCCCCGCCCCTACAAGTGCTGGCTCCCCCAAGCTGCAAGAAAGGTGATCACATAGATGGCTCAATTATGTCTTCCCAAGTGACTGTGTAACCTCTTTACACAACTTCTACATTAAAGCTCCTCCTGTTTTTGTGTGTTCAACGTACACACACACAAACACTTGTCTTACAAAAATGGATTTGTACTAAATATACAACTTTGCTGTGCCTTCTTTTTCTAAGAGATGAGGGTCTCGCTCTGTCATCCAGGATGGAGTGCAATGGTGCAATCATAGCTCACTGCAGCCTTGAACTCCCGGGCTCAAGTCATCCTCCCACTTCAGCTTCTCCAGTAGAGGGGACTATAGGTGTGCACCATCACACTCAGCTAATATTGTTATTTTTCGTAAAGACAGAGTCTTCCTATGTTGCCTAGGCTGGTCTCGGACTCCTGGCCTCAGGTGATCCTCCCACCTCAGCTTCCCAGAGTGTTGGAATTACAGGTATGAGCAACTGCGCTCAGCTGACTATGCCTCTTTTCTTTAAACTTGGCCATGGGCTGGGTATGGTGGTTCACACCTGTAATCCCAGCGCTTTGGGAGGCTGAGGTAGGTAGATCACTTGAGGTCAGGTGTTCCAGACCAGCCTGGCCAACATGGTGAAACCCTGTCTCCATTAAAAATTTAAAAAATAAAAAATAAAATAGCTGGGCATGGTGGTTAAAAGGGGTCAGGTGTAGTGACTCATGCCTGTGATCCCAGCACTTTGGGAGGCCAAGGTGGGAGAATCACTTGAGACCAGGAGTTTGAGACCAGCATGGACAACATAGTGAAACCCCATCTCTACAAATAATAAAAAATTAGCCAGGCGTGCTGAGGCAGGAGGAGGATCACTTGAGCCCAGGAAGTTGAGGCTGCAGTGAGCCATGATCACGTCACTGCACTCCAATCTTATGTTCACCTCATAAAAGTCAAAGAGGATTTTGATTAAATTATATATGTGATCCTGAATTTGAAACTTAGTAAACTAGGGTAGATTAACGTACTTAGTGGGATAAAAAAAATTATCTAACTGGCCAGGCACAGTGGCTCACCCCTGTAATCTCAGCACTTTGGGAGGCCGAGGCAGGTGGATCATTTGAGGCCAGGAGTTCGAGACCAGCCTGGCCAACGTGGTGAAACCCCATCTCTACTAAAAATACAAAAATTAGCCAGGCATGATGGCAGGTGCCTGTAATCCCAGCTACTCAGGAGGCTGAGGCAGGAGAATAGCTTGAGCCCAGGAGGCGGAGGTTGCAGTGAGCTGAGATTGAGCCATTGCACTCCAGCTTGGATGACAGAGCAAGACTTCGTCTAAAAAAAAAAAAATCCTAACTGAAACCCACTGTAAACATTAGGGACAAAAAGAGAATTTCTACCATCACTGTTATTACTTAGCCTAATTCCAAACATTCTCTAGCCCACATATTAAGAAAAATAAGAGACATAAAATACTGGAAAGAAACAATCAAAATAATTTTTTGCAACACAACAGCATGTTTATAAAACCCAATAGCATCAACTGAAACATTACTAAATTAATAAGAATTCAATAAAGTGGCAAAGAAGTTAGCACATGAAAGTCAATAGTAAAAAAGAAAAGTCAATATTCTTCCTTTCTTATACAAGCAATAACCAATTAGACAAACTTAACAGACAGCCAGGTGTGGTGGCTCGTCACATCTGTAATCCCAGCAGTTTTCAAGGCTGAGGTAGGCAGATCATTTGAGGTCAGGAGTTTGCGACCAGCCTGACCAGCAAGGTGAAACCCTGTCTCTACTAAAAATACAAAAAATTAGGTGGGTATGGTGGCAGGTGCCTCTAATCCCAGCTACCCAGGAGGCTGAGGCAGGAGAATCACTTGGACCTGGGGGGCAGAGGTTGCAGTGAGCCAAGACTGCACCACTGTACTCCAGCCTGGGCGACACAGTGAGACTCTGTCTCAAAAACAAACAAACAAACAAACAAAACCTAACAGAGAAACAATACCTTTCAAAATAGCAACAAAAATACATTTCTAGGGATAAAATTAATATAATTAAGCAGAAAACTATTAAACTTTACTGAAGAACAGATGTGATTTCATTTTCTTTCATTGATTCGATTTTTTTTTTTTTTTTTAATGAGACAAGGTATCATTCTGTTTTCCAGGATGGACTGCAGGGGCTCAATCACAGCTGACTGCAGCCTCGACCTCTTGGGCTCAAGCAAGCCACCTCAGCCTCCTAAGTAGCTGGGACTAAAGGTGTGAGCCACTGTGCCTGGCCCTATTTCCTCAAAATAAAACAAAATCAGCCAGCTGCAGTGGCTCACGCCTGTAATCCCAACACTTTGGGAAGCTGAGGCGGGTGGATCACTTGAGGTCAGGAGTTCGAGAACAGCCTGGTCAACATGGTGAAACCCTGTCTCTACTAAAAATATAAAAATTAGCTGGGTGTGGTGGCGGATGCCTGTAATCCCAGGTACTCAGGAGGCTGAAGCAAGAGAATCGCTTGAACCTGGGAGACGGAGGTTGCAGTGAGCCAAGACTGTGCCACTGCACTCCGGCCTGGGCTTCAGAGCGAGACTCCCTCTCTAAATAAATAAATACATAAAATAAAATAAAACAAAATCACACTGTGAAGCTTCACTGATTATTAAAAATATCACATGGACACACAAGTCAGATTTGAAATGGAATTGCCCTAATTCAGTCTGCTGAACCACTTCTGCAGTACCTGTGTTTCTCTCAAATATGGAAGGGAAAAAATACAACAGAAAGCCCCTCAAACGTTCTCATTTTCATATGACTGACATTTGTAGCGTCTCTTTTAGGCTAAAATGACATGGTTGGAAGCCTGTGCCGAATGGCAGTTGGCCATGTCCACAACATGTGAATATTTTCATTTGCTTTAATGTGGAATTCAGAACATGACCCAGTTGAATCCTTAAAAATGCCTATAAAATTCCTAAGTTTCTCCAAGAGACTCTTCCTTTAAAATGCTTGCATTCTTGGCCGGACGCAGTGGCTCACACCTGTAATCCCAGCACTTTGGGAGGTTGAGGCAGGCGGATCATCTGAGGTCAGGACTTCAAGACCAGCCTGGCCAACATGGTGAAACCCTGTCTCTGCTAATAAAAATTAGCTGGGTGTGGTGACACATGCCTGTAATCCCAGCTACTTGTGAAACTGAAGCAGGAGAATCACTTGAACCCAGGAGGCAGAGGTTGCAGTGAGCTGAGATCATGCCATTGGACTCCAGCCTGGGTAACAAGAGTGAAACTCCATCTCAAAAAAAAAAAATGCTTACATTCTTGTAGCCCAGCACCATGCAACAGACAAATTAAATCGTAAAGAAACTTCTACAATAGCAACAGACATTTCCAGACACGTGGATTGTTTTGAGTCCCACAGACCAGTGGCAAGTCACATCTATTTTTGCATTTATATATACACACATATATTTTAAATAAAAATAGAGATGGGGCTGGGTGTGGTGGCTCACATCTATGATCTCAGCACTTTTGCTGGAGGTGGAAGCAGGAAGATCGCTTATGGCCAGGAGTTCAAGACCAGCCTGGGCATCATAGTGAGGAGACCCCATCTCTTAAAAAAGAAAAAAAAAAGAGAGAGAGAGAAAGAGATGACTGCGTGGTGGTTGACACCTGTAATCCCAGTACTTTGGAAGGCCAAGGTGGGCAGATCACCTGAGGTCAGGAGTTCAAGACCAGCCTGGCCAGGATGGTGAAAATCTGTCTCTACTAAAAATACAAAAATTAGCCTGGCGCAGTGGCTCACACCTCTAATCCCAGCACTCTGAGAGGCCGAGGCAGGTGGATCATGAGGTCAGGAGTTCAAGACCAGCCTGGCCAGGATGGTGAAACCCTGTCTCTACTAAAAATACCAAAATTAGCCAGCATGGTGGTGGGTGCCTGAAACCCCAGCTACTCAGGAGGCTGAGGCAGAGAATTGCTTGAACCTGGGAGGTGGAGTTTGCAGTGAGCCGAGATCACGCCACTGTACTCCAGCCTGGGCGACAGAGCGAGGCTTCATCTCAAAAAATATACATATATACACACAAAAATTAGTTGGCCATGGTGGTGCATGCCTGTAGTCCCAGCTGCTCAGGAGGCTGAGGAAGGAGAATCACTTGAACCCAGAAGGTGGAGGTTACAGTGAGCTGAGATCGCACCATTGCACTCCAGCCTGGGCAACACAGTGAGACTGTGTCTCAAAAAAAAAAAAAAAAAAAGAGAGAGAGAGAGAGGGAAGGCCTCATTCTGTTGCCCAGGCTGGTCTCCAACTCCTGGCCTCAAGCTGTCCTCTTGCCTCAGCCTCCCAAAGTGCTAAGATTATAGGCGTGAGCCATTGCATCTGGGCATAAGTCTCACGTAAAAGTTCAGGCAGGCTGTGGCAGTGTGGCATAAAGCTGCAATTCCTGGATTGTTTTCATTGCTTTCTACCCAGAACATAAACTTTCCGGTAAACTTGAGTCCTGAAACACTCAGAATACCAACTTCCCTTCTCCAGTTCCAAAATAAACCCCAAACTCACAGGATTTAAACAAGGCAGCAGTAAAAAAGGCCTCTATTTATGTCAAACAACTCACCGTCTCTGAGAATGAAGGTCAAGTGCTTCCAAAGTATTAACCAATTGCTTTTAAAAGTAGTAGTTGGCTGGGAGCGGTGGCTCACACCTGTAATCCCAGCACTTTGGGAGGCCAAGGCGGGTGGATCGAGTTCGAGACCAGCCTGGCCAACATAGTGAAACCCCATCTCTACTAAAAACACAAATTAGCCAGGCATGATGGCAGGTGCCTGTAATCCCACCTACTCAGGAGGCTGAGGCAGGAGAATCACTTGAACCTGGGAGGTGGAGGTTTCAGTGAGCTGAGATGGCCATCACTGCCCTCCAGCCTGGGCAACAAGAGCGAAACTCCAGCTCAAAAAAAAAAAAAAAGAAAGAAAGAAAGAAAAAAAAAAGTAACAGTCAAAATGTCATAAGATGTTTTCTTTTCTAAACTAAAAGTAGTCCAAGATGAGCCAACTAAGAGGATTATCATGGAAAGTAAAATAAGCCAGGCACAGTGGCTCATGCCTATAATCCCAGCATTTTGGAAGGCTGAGGCAGGAGGACTGCTTGAACCCAGGAGTTTGAGACCAGCCTGGGCAACAGTGGGAAACTCTGTCTCTATGAAAAATACAAAAATTGGCCGGGCATGGTGGCTCACGCCTATAATCCCAGCACTTTGGAAGGCCAAGGCAGGTGGATCACCTGTGGTCAGGAGTTCGAGACCCACCTGACCAACATGGAGAAACCCCGTCTCTATTAAAAATACATAATTAGCCAGGCATGGTGGCACATGCCTGTAATCCCAGCTACTCGGAAGGCTGAGGCAGGAGAATCGCTTGAACCCGGGAGGTGGAGGTTGCGGTGAGCCGAGATCATGCCATTGCACTCCAGCCTGGGCAACAAGAGCTAAACTCCATCTCAATAAAAAAGAAAGAAAAATGCAACAATTAGCCAGGCACGGTGGCACACGCCTGTAGTACCAGCTACTCAGGAGGCTGAAGTGGGAGCATCAACTGAGCCCAGGAGGCAGGGGTTGCAGTGAGCCAAGATCATGCCACTGCATGCCAGCCTGGGTGAAACAGTGAGACTCGGTCTCAAAATAATAAAGAAAAAGGAAAAAAAAGAACACAAAATATTTCTTCGAAGCAATTTTCGCAATGCTAGGATTAATTCCTATAACCAATGCCTGGGCTGCATGATGCAATCTTGGGCCACCCTGCACCTCATCCCCTTTCCCCTCCTTGATGGAATTTGGAGGTGACTGGTTAAAAACTCAAATTGATGGAGTTGAAGAGGGAAGGAAGAGGAGGGTATTCCAGGCACAGGACGGTCTCCCGGCCCCAGCCTCCGGGCACGGTATCTCCTGTGTTCTCCATTGAAGCACCCCTTCCACTTCCCACTTGAATCCCCCACTGACCCAAGGGCCCCGCAGGCAGTGCTTGTGGCACCTCTGGCACCCAGCACAGTGCCAGGCACAGGTGGGCTTATGAGGATCTGCCAAATGGGAGAGGAGTCCAGATACCCAGGAATGTGGCAGGGGGACACACAAGCAAAGACTCTGGTTATTCAAATATTTAAGGGGAGTGAATTGACATCTTTGATTTCCTTTGAAATTGCATCACAAATAAGACAGATTGATATTAGCCATTACTTTCGTTCTCTTTTTTTTTTTTTTTTTTTTGAGACAGTTTCACTGTTGCCCAGGCTGGAGTGCAGTGGCACAATCTCAGCTCACTGCATCCTCTGCCTCCTGGGTTCAAGCGCCTCTCTCGTGCCTCAGCCTCTCGAGTAACTGGGATTACAGTCATATGCCACTATGCCCAGCTAATTTTTTTTTTTTTAGATGGGATCTCACTCTGTCGCCCAGGCTGGAGGGCAGTGGCGTGATCTCGGCTCCCTGCAACCTCCACCTCTACCTCCCGGGTTTGAACGATTCACCTGCCTCAGCCTCTGAAGTAACTGGGATTACAGGTGTGCACCACCACGTCCAGCTAATTTCTGTACGTTTGGTAGAGACAGGGGTTTTACCATTTTAGCCAGGCTGGTCTTCAACTCCTGAGCTCAAGTGAGCCGCCTGCTTCAGCCTCCCAAAGTGCTGGGATTACAGGCGTGAGCCACTGTGCCCAGCCTTTAGCCATTACTTTCAATGGCAAAAACTGCAATTACCTTCAAACCAACCTAACAGACACAAGAATGCACAGATGGACAAATATGTCAGGAAGCAATGCTGGCAGTATGTTCTCGGAAGAAGTGAGTACACAGGGGTTTGCTATAAAATTCTTAAAATTTTTTGAAAAGTTTGGAAATTTTCATAATCAAATGTTAGAGAAAAAACTTTAGCTATTCTTCCAAAGACATAACCTAAACTGGATACATGACTTGAGAAACAAATACACTATTAATAAAAGAGGATGTAAGTTTTAAATTTGAAAGCATATCCACTACAGACCCTTTGACTTGGCCTCTCAGGGAAGGCCCTCCTGGGTTTCCAACCTGCCTTGTCCAAGACCCAGGAGGAGCTTCAGAAGCCATCAAAGGCAACAACAAAAATATGGCAGGAATAAACATATCAATTATGCATGTAGCTGGCTGAGAAGGGCCTCAGGGTCACTCTGTAGATATCAACTGACTCTGCCTGTTGAGCCTAAGGCCATTGCAAGGGATACATATTTTCTCTATATCCATTTTTTTGCTTTTTTTTTTGGAGACAGGGTCTCATTCTGTTGCCCAGGCTGGAGTGCAGTTGTATGATCACAACTCACTGCAGCCTCCAATTCCTGGGCTCAAGCGATCCTCTTGCCTCAGCCTCCCAAGTAACTGGGACTACAGGCATGCGCCACTGCAAATGGCCTATTTCCATTTTAAACACTGAGTCCAGTGCCCACGGCTTTGAGATTTACCTTGAGGATGACTGAAAAGTCGATGTCTTTCGTTTCCTTCAGGCCAAGAGGAATCAGGGGAACCGTAAATGCCTCCCTATGAGGAACACAACAAGGTATGTATGAACACCCCCAACCGGACCCTTGTGCATGCCACAGCCTTGCCCTCAGCAGCCCAGCTCAGGTGTGTGCCCCCTCCTTGCCCCATCCAGTACTCACCTGGCTGACAGGCTCATTTTCCATAAGGATGACTCTAGTCATGCCCCACCCTCTGCTCTAAAACTGACCCTGCTCCCTAAGACTGCTGGACCACCCTGCCTAACACATCAGGCCCCTGGCATCTTGACACTGATTTATCTCCCGGTTTCAATGCCTAAATGGTTCCTTTCTTATTTTATTTTTTTTTGAGAGACTCTTGTTCTGTCGCCCAGGCTGGAGTGCAATGGCGCAATCTCAGCTCACTGTAGCCTCCGCCTCTCAGGTTCAAGCAATTCTCCTGCCTCAGCCCCCTGAGTAACTGGGATTACAGGCACAGGACACCACACCCGGCTAATTTTTGTATATTTTTTTAGTAGCAATGGGGTTTCACCATGTTGACCACGTTGGCCAGGCTGGTCTTCTGACCTCAAGTGATTCGTCCACCTTGGCTTCCCAATGTGCTGGGATGATGGATACAAGCCTCTGTGCCCAGCTCAATCTCAATGCTTCTTTTGGCAGCTGTGCTGAGAGTCTATTGTGTGCCAGGGCCTGTGCATGGTGCACTTGCTGCTCCCACCTGGGTGCACCACCCTGCTGCCCTGCGCCTCCTTTGTCAGCTCCTCACCCCCTCCTCCTCTGCTCCTCAGCGGGCCCCACAGCTGTGGCAGCTCTCCAACACCCTCACATTCACAACTCTGGGTTCATAGGGGCCTCTTCTTTGGGAAGTGTCTAGGCGTCCCACCACCAGCACAGAAGATGCCATCAGGGCAGGAGCCCCATCCGACACCGAAGTGCACCTGCCTCCCAGCCCAGGGTCAGACACCCTCCACCTCCTCTCCCCCAGCTGACCACTCTGTAACCACAGGTCGCCTGGGGAGTGCTCCCTGAGCCTACATTCCTAGGGGCAGGGACAGCAGGAAGTGAACGGAGCTCAGGCTGTGTTTTGCAAACAGGGATTCAGCTCCCTGACCTGTAACAGGAGACCTCCTTGGGCTGCTCAGCCCAGCCCCACAAGAAGGCCAGGAAGGCTGGGCAGGGCGAGGGGACAATGCAGCTGTAAGCTGAACCTGGCTCTGCAGCACAGCCATGCTACGGCCAGGTGAGACCCATCCTGGGGGCATGGAAAGCCGAATTCTGCTGAAGGCTCCTCCAGGCTACGCAGGGTGGGAAGCCAGGTTTGTGGCTGTCCAGGCAACAACAAGAGGAGGAGCGACTGTCCTGAGTCCCAACTCCAGGGCACCCCAGCCCCAGTGTGGCACTGACAGCACCCTCTAGGTGCCCTCCGGCTTCCCTGAGTTTTCCCATGAGGGAGGGAAATAACCTCATGCACCATGAGGTTATTTCTTTCCCGCCTACCTCCTAGAAGACTGTAAAGATCAACCATGCTAAGAAAGAAACAGTCTACCTTGAAAAAAGAATAGTGCAGGCCAGGCGCAGTGGCTCACGCCTATAATCCCATCACTTTAGGTGGCTGAAACAGGCAGATCACGTGAGGTCAGGAGTTCAAGACCAACCTGGCCAACATGGTAAAACCCCGTCTCTACTAAAAATACAAAAACTACCTGGGCATGGTGGTGTGCGCCTGTAATCCCAGCTACTCAGGAGGCTGAGGCAAGAGAATCACTTCAACCAGGAGGTGGAGGTAGCAGTGAGCCAAGATTACGCCACTGCACTCCACGCCTGGGTGACAGAGCAAGACTCCGTCTCAGAAAAAAAAAAAAAAAAAAAAAAAAAGATCAACCATACTAAGAAAGAAACAATCTACTTTGAAAACAGGGCCGGGCATGGTGGCTCACGCCCATAATCCCAGCACTTTGGGAGGCCGAGGCAGGCGGATCACGAGGTCAGGAGATTGAGACCATCCTGGCTAATGGTGAAACCCCGTCTCTACTAAAAATACAAAAAATTAGCCGGGCAAGGTGGCGGGCGCCTTTAGTCCCAGCTACTCGGGAGGCTGAGGCAGGAGGATGGTGTGAACCCGGTAGGCGGAGCTTGCAGTGAGCCGAGATCACGCCACTGCACTCCAGCCTGGGCGACAGAGCAAGACTCCGTCTCAAAAAAAAAGAAAAAGAAAAAAAAAGAAAACAGAAAAGCGCAGGACCCAAATGCATGGTGCCGTGTTGAATCTGCACAGCTCTCCCTCTTCCCAGTGACACAGGGCAGTGACTGGCCACTCTAGAGCCCAGGGACCACTCCAGAGATCTTCGGTTCACTCTGTGGGAAGCCCTGTGTTGCACATCCCCACTCTTCGGCACAGCAAATGAGAGTGTGGGACAGCCGACATTTATTACCAAACCTTGGCCCCATCTCGCCTCCTCCAGAACTTGAACCTTTTGGACAAACACTGTAATTGAACACCAGAGCATAGGCTGGGAGAACCTTCCATTAGCTGTCACACTGACTGGGTGTTCAAAACTGCACAGTAGGCCGGGTGTGGTGGCTCACGCCTGTAAACCTAGCACTTTGGGAGGCTGAGGCCGGCAGATCACAAGGTCAGGAGCTCGAGACCAGCCTGGCCAACATGGTGAAACCCCATCTCTACTAAAAATACAAAAAATTAGCTGGGCATGGTGGCATGCGCCTGTAGTCCCAGCTACTCAGGAGGCTGAGGCAGGAGGATTGCTTGAACCTGGGAGGCGGAGGTTGTGGTGAGCCGAGATCATGCCACTGTACTCCAGCCTGGGTAACAGAGAGAGACTCCATCTCAAAAAACAAACAAACAAACAAACAATAAAAACCGTACAGGAGCCCACAGGTAAGCCAGGCACGGGGTATCACAAAGGGAAGAGCCAGCGAGCTTTCACACACTGACACTTCCCCTCCAGCTCTGAAACCACCCTGGTGCCCTGTGGAGGACCAGCACCAGGAAACACACATTCCATAGGTGACTTAAGGTTCCCAAATCCAGGGAGCTATTTTCCGACTGAGTTTCCCCTGGGGCCCACCTACTTTTTGAGAAGTCTCATGCCCCTACTAAAAAAGCACGTAAACCCTTCTTTGAACTGTCTCAAAGTTATTTCTCCTTAAAAAGAAGCATTTCACTTAGGGTTTTGTTTTGTTTTTGTGTTTTTTGAGACAGGACTTCTTTCTGTTGCCATTACTGCAGTCTCGACCTCCCTGGCTCAAGTGATCTTCCCACCTCAGCCTTCTGAGTAGCTGGGACTACAGGTGTACACCACCATGCCCGGCTAATTTTCCTATTTTTTGTAGAGATGGGGTTTCACTATGTTGCCCAGGCTGGCCTTGAACTCCTGGGCTCAAGCGATCCCCCATCTCAGCCTCCTGAAGAGCTGGATTACAGACATGAGGCAAGAGGGGCATTTCTTTCATAGTTAGATCTCCATTTTTGGAGATGTATTGCAATTCTGAGGGATGGTGTTGTTGGCTTTCATCTTGCAGAAATCAATTCCAAAATTGAGTTATGGAGAATGATACGATAGAGTGCCTTCAAAACTGACCTAGGAGCCAGGCACAGTGGCTCACATCTGTAATCCCAGCACTTTGGGAGGCCAAGGCGGGCAGATTACTTGAGACCAGGAGTTCAAGACCAGCCTGGCCAACATGATGAAACCCTGTCTCTACTAAAAAAAAAAAAAAAAAAAAAAAAATTAGCCAGGTGTGATGGTGCACGCCTGTAATCCCAGCTACTCAGGTGGCTGAGGCACAAGAATCGCTTGAACCCAGAAGGTGGAGATTGCAGTGAGCTGAGATCTCGCCACTGCACTCCCACCTGGGTGAGAGAGGGAGACTCTGTGTCAAAAAAAAAAAACAGGAAATACAACCTTAAAAGGAGACTGGTGTGTTACTTTGTTTTAATTTGGATTTTTCTGTTTCAGTTTGTCACCTCCAGCTAGGAAACAGACTGCAGTCCAGCATCTAAGTACAGTGCACAGAATCTCTGTGTGTGCATAGTGGCCTCCCCTTACAGGGTCAATTTTGGCCTTTGGCCTTAATCCCGAAGTATTTGTGTATGCTTTCTGTTCCTTGGCAAATAAATGAGAAAATAATTAGCCAACATTGGAAAGGTATTGTCCTAACAATGTCCCTTTAATGTTTCTTAGGAAAATTATGATGACCCACTAAAATATCCTTGCTCAATGTCTGTTCAGTTGAATTTAATAACATATCTTGCTAATGTTTGCATGTCTATGAAATGTGACTACGCGGAATTACTGAAACTTAACTATAAAATCCAAGGCATCTAACTTTTAAACTTATCTTGGTTCATCACGTATATTTACACTAGATTTTATACTGTCTTCATTTGTTTTTTTTTGTCTGTTTGTTTTGAGACAGAGTCTTGCTCTGTCAGCCGGGCTGGAGTACAGTAGTGTGATCTCGGCTCACTGAAACGTCCAACTCCCGGGTTCAAGCAATTCTGCCTCAGCCTCTGAGAAGCCAGGATTACAAGTGTGCACCACCACGTCTGGCTATTTTTATTTTTAGTAGAGACGGGGTTTCATCATGTTGGCCAGACTGGTCTCGAACTCCTGACCTCAGGTGATCCACCCGCCTCAGCCTCCCAAAGTGTTGGGATTACAGGAGTGAGCCACTGTGCCTGGCCTCACAAATGCCTTTTTGTCACTGCAGATATTTCCCAACACTACAGATATTTCCCAACACTGCAGATATTTCCCAACAAATGGGCTCATCCCTTCCAGTCTAGCACCTCACTCAACCCCAAACCTGATGGTTCTCTCACTTCCCAAAGCTGGGGCTGCCACACCCCAGTCTAGAACCCTATCTGCCCTGTTTGTGCAGATAGGGTTCGTACCCAGGTACCTCTTCATACCCTGGATATATGAAGGATCTCTGGCTCAGAGGCTTCTGGAAGGTGTGCTGCTCCCACTTACTCTGTGTTCTGATAGATGCCCACTGAGATGTTCAGCCCCTCCAGCTCTTCCTTGAGCATCTGCAGGTCTGAGTTGACCAAGCTCAGCTCCAGCCGCACTTGTTCCCGCACCTTTGGGTTCGCAGCCACTCTGTTCAAAGAGAAGAGGGAGAGAAGTGCCCTCAGCCAGGTATCCCGGCTTCTGGGTGAGCAGAACCAATCCCCAGTCCCTGCAGGGAGGATCAGGGCACGGCTTGCAGAGGAGGGCCAGGAGTGTTGGGTAAGGTATCCCAGGGACACGGAGCACCTGCCCAGCTTGCAGTACACCTGCCAGTACGTGGAGCTGCGGACACAGGCAATGACACTGTGAGCTGCAGACATGAACTCTATGACATCCTGCAAAAACTCCACCTTGAGAACAGAAAACAAAACTGCTCCCAGCCATGCCCTAAAATACCATAAGATATCCACTTGAAAAGAAATGAATGATTCTGGTTGGGCGTGGTGGCCCACGTCTGTAATCCCAGCACTTTGGGAGGCCGAGGCAGGTGGATCAGCTGAAGTCAGGAGTTCGAGACCAGCCTGGCCAACATATAGTGAAACTCTGTCTCTACTGAAAAATACAAAAACTAGCTGGGTGTGGTGGTGCACACCTGTAGTCCCAGCTATGCAGAAGGCTGAGGCTTGAACCTGGGAGATAGGGGTTGCAGTGAGCTGAGATTGTGCCACTGCACTCCAGCCTGGGCAACAGAGCAAGGCTCCCTCTCAAAAAAAAAAAAAAAAAAAAAAGAAATGAATAATTCCTTTCGGTAGGAGAAATCCAAATAAATAAATAAATAAACATAAAATTTGTTTTAAAAAAAGAAAGAAATGGATGGTTAGCTGGGCATGGTGATGCATGGCTATAGTCCCAGGCAGGAGGATCGCTTGAGTCCAGGAGGTTGATACTGCAGTGAGCTATGATCACACCACCGCAATCCAGCCTGGGTGACAGGGCAAGACACTGTCTCTAAAAACTAAAATAAGATAAAATGAAATAAAATATAAATATATATATATATATATATATGATAAAAAGTAAAATAAAATAAATGAATGAGAAAATGAAGGCAGAGGTAATGCTTCCCAATTCATTCTGTAAGACTAGTATTAGCAACCCAAGCCTAGCAACATATAAATAGGATTATACACCATAACAAAGTGGGATTTATCCCAGAAATGCAAGGTTGGTTTAACATCTGAAAATCAATATAATATAATATATTATATTAACAGAATAAAGGACAAAAAACACATGGTGACTTCAACAGATATTGAAAAAACTATGTGACAAAATCCATCACAGATTCATAATAAAAATTCTCAACAAAGTAGGAATAAAAGAGAATTTATGAAATCTGATAAAAGACACCTACAAAAACCCACAGTTAACATCACACTTAGTGGTGAATGACTGCTTTCCTCTTCTCACCACGAACAAGGCAAAGATGCCCACTTTTGCTATTTCTAATCAATGAGGCAAATAAAGAAATTAAATGCATCCAGATTAGAAAGGAAGAAATAAAACTGTCTTTATTTACAGATGGCATTATCTTATATATAGAAAATCCTAAGGCATCCATAAAACAAATATTAGTACTAATAAATTTAGCAAGGTCACAGGGTATAATCAATATACAAAAATCAATTCTTTTTTTTTTTTTTCTCTAGACAGGGTATCACTCTGTCAGCCAGGCTGGAGTGCAATGTCACCATTATGGCTTACTACAGCCTCAACCTCCCAGGCTGAAGCCATCCTGCAGCCTCAGCCTCCCAAGGAGCTGGGACTACAGGTGCACACCACCACACTGGCTGATTTTTGTATTTTTTTGTAGAGATGGACTCTCACTATGTTGCCCAGGCTGGCCCAGAAATCCTGGGCTCAAGCAATCTTCCTGCCTCAGCCTCCCAAAGTGCTGAGATTACAGGCATGAGCCACTGTGCCTGGCCAATTCGATTTCTATATACTAGCAATGAACAATCTTGAAATTGAGAAAACCATTCCATTCACAATAGCATCAAAAAGAATAAAATACTCAGGAATAAACAAAAGAATCACAAGACATGTAAACTGAAAACTACAAAACAATGCTGAGATATATTAAAAGAAGAGCTATTCCATGTTTACGGATGGGAAGGCTCATTATTGTCAAGATGTCAAGCCTCCTTAGTTGGTACATTCATTCAATGCAACCTCAATCAAAATCCCACTAACCTTTTTAATAAAAATCAGCAAGCTGATCTTAAAATTCATATGGAAATGCAAAAAAAAAAAAAACCTACAGTAGGCAAAATAATTTTGAAAAATAACAGAGTTGGAAGACATATTGATTTTAAAATTTACTAAGAAGCTGGGCTGGGCATGGTGGCTCATGTCTGTAATCCTAGCACTTTGGGAGGCTGAGGTGGGTAGATCACCTGAGGTCAGTAGTTTGAGACCAGCCTGGTCAACACAGTGAAACCCCATCTCTACTAAAAATACAAAAAATGAGCCAGGCATGATGGTAGATGCCTATAATCCCAGCTACTCGCGAGCCTGATGCAGGAGAATCACTTGAACCCGGAAGGCAGAGGCTGCAATGAGCCAAGATTGTACCATTGCACACCAGCATGGGCAACAAGAGCAAAACTCCATCCCAAAAAAATAATAAAAAATAAAAAATAAACTTACTAAGAAGCCATAGTCATCAAGATAGCATGGTACTGACATAAAGATAGGCAATGAAACAGAGTAAGAGTCCAGGAATAGGTTGGGTGTGGTAGCTCACACCTGTAATCCCAGCACTTTGGGAGGCCAAGACAGACGGATCATGAAGTCAGGAGATCGAGACCATCCTGGCTGACACGGTGAAACCCCGTCTCTACTAAAAATACAAAAAAAATTTGTATTTTTAGTAGAGCGTGGTGGCGGGCATGGTGCTGAGCACCTGTAGTCTCAGCTACTCAAGAGGCTGAGGCACAAGAATGGCGTGAACCTAGGAGGCGGAGCTTGCAGTGAGCTGAGATCGCACCACTGCACTCCAGCCTGGGTGACAGCGAGACTCCGTCTCAGGAAAAAAAAAAAAAAAAAAGAGTCCAGGAATAAATGTTTACATTTATGTAGCAAATCTTTACAACTGATTTGAACACAAGTGCCAAATCAATTCAATGTGGAAAAGATTATTGTTTCAACAAATAGCGCTAAAGCAGGCAGACATCCATAGGTATGTCAGGGTCCCTAAAACCACCCCCAAGTTCAGTGTTAATCTAGGAGGGCTTGCAAAAGTCATGGCTGTGGTTTACTACAGCAAAAGACACAAAGCATAATGAGCAAAGGGAAAGGCATATGGGGTGAAATTGGGAGGAGGCCCGGCCCAGGCTTCTAGGGGTCCTCTCCCAGTGGAATCCCACAGACCATGCTTAACTCCCCCATCAAGGAGTTGTGACAACACACGTAAAATGCCAAGAAAGCCCCCAGAAAGTTCCAATCAGGACTCAGGTCCCACCGGGAGGTCCCTCCCTAGCTGACTTCTTGGGCTCCCTCCCAAAGTGGGCAGAAGGGTCTGGGTGAGGGACCCGAGCCTGGTTTTCACTTCCCTAAGCCCGAGGGTCCTCTTCCTGGCACAAGGCCTTGAGGAGGCTTGGGAAGCCAGCCTTCAGGTCCCGCTGTTTTGTTATTTTGCTAAAGCATGTCCCGTCTGTAAGTTTGCCCCCTCGGGTCACTTTCTTCACCTTATCAGCAGGGCCCATGATTCCTTCTGCTTTCCAACAAGACGCCAGAGCATATTTTTAGACCAATGAAGTCGGTGGGACAGTGGGTGGGACCCAGAGAGTGACGGACAGTGAGTCGGCCTGGAGGGTGGGAAGGCGAAGTGAGTTCCCCTCCTGGGACGGGGCTGGGAGGGGACATGGAATGGTCTGTCAGCTATGAGTTTGTGGAAGGCAGAGTCAGTGACTTTCAGCTGACCTGCCTCGGTCTGGAAGATTCCAGTAGAGAAAGGGAGGGCCAGGGGCCTGGAGGCTGGTTCCAGGTCTGGGTGCTGGGCCTGAGAGCATTTCCAAAGCACTGAGCCTGGGACTGAAGGTAATTCACCATGAGGGTTCAGCTGGGGAGGACTGTCTGTGTGCTTCCCCCACCTCCCAGTCCCTCAACTCACCCCCAGTCCCCCTACCTGCCTTAACTCAGGAAAAAGGCCTCCCTCGTGAGCACTGGCAGCTGCCTTTGGAGGCATGTCACGGTCACACCCCAGGACACAACGCAGAATCTCAGGCTGGCAGGGGACATTTGAGATCAGCCAGCCCAGCCTCTCATTTTACAGCTGGGAATGGGTGCACAATGGCCATGGCTGCCCAAGGTCACAGAGCCCGGGAGGGAGCAGCAGGCACAGTGGAAAAAGTAAGGTCACGTGAGCCAGGTCTGGGCACCGGGTCCAGGCCTGCCACTCCCCCGCATGTGGCTCAGGTCGATGGCTCAGACTCTCAGCCTCAGGTCCACAGCTGAAGCAGTAGAGGAACAGCTGTTCGAGGGGCTGCCTGGGGAGGAGCGGGGCTGGGTGCCCTGTGCGCACAGCAGACACTTCATCAGCCACTCAAGTAGGCAGCCGAGCCAGGAGGGCCCTCTGGGCACCTGGGCCTCTCCGTAGGAAGAGGAGCAGGGACCCACTATCCTTTGGGTCAACAACGGCCTTAAGCAATGGGCTCGAAAATCCCTGGTTAGTGACCACCTTCTGTTGCTAGGCAAGATGGGGACAAAGATGGGGTCCAGTTCTCCAGTTGTTAAACATCTGTCTCATCAAGAAGATGGGACAGCACATGGAAAATAAATTTCTATGGTTATAATAACTGTCCCAGATTCTCTGTGCAGTAATGGCAGACCCGCTTTCCCTCTGAAAACAAGCAAGAATTTTGGATAAGACAATAACAAAATTACGTTAAAAGCATCAAAGGGCTGCTAAGCTAGTGGGAAACCTCCAGGCCAAGTTTCAGGGGAAAACCAAGAACCTAGAGAGGAGCGCTGGGGCCACTGTTGCTTGTGAGCATTTGCCAACCTGACAAGTTGGGCTTCGACCTTGGAGGGAGTAGGGGGGTAGACAGAGGTCAAGGTATGAGGAGGCTGATAGGGGATTCACCCCCATATCAAGCTGGGAGCCTGAAAGGCCTCACCTGGGTGAAGACAGAAGCAGAGATAACCCTGGTCCCTGCCCCAAAACAAGGAATTCATTAGCATTAAAAGGAGTGGGAGGAAAAAAGGAAAGGAAACTCACAGATTCAACCACAAAGAGCCTTGGATCTCCGGCGGACTTGGACCCCTCACCCATCACACCTGGGAGGCCCAGGGATGGTGGGGCTTCTGTGCACTTGGTTCCAGGTGGTCTGGGCTGTCCATGTGAAAGCAAACACCATCCTTGTGAGAAGGAACCTCTGTCTTTGGCCTCACGGAAACCCCACAGACACCCTTCCAAGGGCCCCAAGAAGCACACAAAGATATCCAAGTCTGAAAGGGAAGAAGGCACCATGAGTAAGAACCAGCAGACAAGCTAGCAGACACCCGCACAGTCTCCCCATATTTTTATACAATTACCAAACAAGACACTATGGTACATTTCAAACCATAATAGGAGAGATGGCCCATGTTCGGTGGCCAAGCATAGCACAGAGCTCCTCACTCCTCCAGGAATTCCACTGAAGGGTGGCAAGTTCTGGAGTTCAAGCCACTGGGGAGGCAACAGGAGTGCAAGTGGCCACGGTTCAGGCGCTGATGGGCAGAGGTGGGGAGGGGGCGCTCCCAAGGAGTCCACTGGGAGATGCAGGCAGGGGGCTTCCCAGGCAGCCTCACCAGCTTCCCTTCACACTGATCCCCTGTAAACGTGTGTCCGGCCTCGACGTAGGAGGAACAGGGAGAAACTGATTTTCTATTCATAAAATGTGCGCCTCTCTGCGCCTGCGCCGGTGCTGTGCGCCTTTGCGAGGGCGGAGCTGCGTTCTCCTCAACACAGACCCGGATTGCATCGTGAGGGCGAGCTGAGTTCTCCTCTGCACAGACTTCAGAGATACAGCGAAGGCGGAGCAGTGTTCTCCTCAGCACAGACCCGGGCGGACGGGTGGGCCGGGGGCACCGCAAGGGCGGAGCTGCGTTCTGCTCAGCACAGACCCGGGGGACACAGCGAAGGCAGAGCAGCGTTCTCCTCAGCACAGACCTTGGGAACACTGCATCGCTTTGGGCAGAATAGGTGAATGAATGAATGAATGAATGAGTGTAATCACATGCCCTCCCTTTCCCTGTTTATCAAGCCTGGCATCACTTTAGAATCTCTTGTTAGAATTTATGACACCTAGGCTTTACCTCAGAACCTGAGAGTGGCACTCAGGTATAAGCACGTGTTTCCAAGCTCCCCAGGTATTCCATAGCACAGCCAAGTTTGAGACAGTGGGGTCTAAGAACCATGTAGAACTAATGAGAATCCTGAAGTGTCTGTGATAAAGGTAATAAGCTTTTTGTAAGATTACAGAGGACATAGATTAAGTTGGAAAGCCTGAGTGTTGAGATTCCTAGGCTCAGGAATTTTAATTTAACCAAAGTTAAATGTCTTAACTTGCAAAGACATGAATCTGTAGATTCCAGATTAATGGCAGGTGTGAATTGTACAATAGAAACTGATCTAGCCTACATGTCTTCTTGGACTGGCAGACTATGTTAATCTTTTTATTTTATGACAAGTTCAACATTATTCCCTTTTGTACTGAATTTTAGATTACTGATTTTGGGCACTCCAAGATTTTGGGAGAGACCTCTCTCATGAGAACTTTATGTGGAAC
Source organism: Homo sapiens (assembly GCF_000001405.40). Lineage (NCBI taxonomy): Eukaryota > Metazoa > Chordata > Mammalia > Primates > Hominidae > Homo > Homo sapiens. The sequence goes on from NW_021160017.1 coordinate 509,476, forward strand.
CCCCACCTGCTTGGCTCCTGAAGTTCTTGTTTCTGTTGGGACTGCTGGGTATAACCGTGCTGTGGACTGCTGGAGTTTAGGAGTTATTCTTTTTATCTGGTAAGAAATATTTTCATTGCTTCACAGACTGGTAGGAGGTGATTAGATGAAGTCACAAATGTGTCTTGCTCTGTTGTCCAGGCTGGCATGCAGTGGCTTGATCTTGGCTAACTGTAGCCTCTGCCTTCTGGGTCAAGTGATCCTCCCATCTCAGCCTCCTGAGTAGCTGGGACTACATGCGCACACCACCATGCCCAGCTAATTTTTCTATTTTTTGTAGTGATGGGGTTTTGCCATGTTGCCCACACTGGTCTTGAACTCCTGGGCTCAAGTGATCCTCCTGCCTCGGCCTCCCAAAGTGCTGGGATTACAAGCATGAGCCATTGTGCCCAGCCTAGCTCACTTTTTGACCATTGATTTAAAGAAAAATCTGACTTTTCATTATGCTGAAAAAGAAATCTTTATATCTGAATGCCACTGAGAATGCCACTTGATTTCTTTTCCTTTCTCTCTCTACCAATATTAAGCCTTAGTGGGTATCCACCTTTCTCTGAGCACAGGACTCAAGTGTCACTGAAGGACCAGATCACCAGTGGAAAACACAACTTCATTCCTAAAGTCTGGGCAGAAGTCTCAGAGAAAGGTATGAATATGAAAGGGTTAAGAATTTGTGGTATGCTAAAATGTGTGTGTCCTGTGGTGGGAGTTTCTTTCCAAATTCCATGGTGTTTTCTCCTGTCAATTCTGTTCTTATTTTCTATCGTTAGTTTCACACCATTTGAGAGGCACTGGAAATTATTAAGAGCATGCACTCAGGTCCTGGGTCTGCTACTACTTAGCTGTGTGGCCTTAGGCAAGTTATTTAACCTCCGTCTCCAATTTCTTTCTGTGTAAAGGGACCCTCAATAATCCCTACCTTAAAAGGTTTTTTGAGGGTTAGGTATAATGTAAACAAGTGCCTTGTACCTATTTTACTGAGCAAAATAAATGCATTTGTAACTTTTTAGTTACAAGGTTTCCTTTGAGTAAGCAAGCGTGTAAAAACTATATGTCTTTAGTTACCTTGTATTTTATAATTTGTCCTGGCAACTTTAGTTCCCTGAAGAGAAAATAGAAAATTAAATGTCAAATAACGTAACATAGGTAATTGTGTTAAATGTCAGAATATTTCAGGAATAATAATGTTGTGATATACAGGCCAGCATGCATTTGTTGCTTGCTGGAGTAGTCAAGTTTTATTTCTGACAAGTCTGCAGTTCCAGGGAGCCTCTCCCTGGCTGAGTAACTGTCACCCATCCATCTGTAGATGTCAGGGAGAGTTTGCTGTGCATCCCAATTATCTTAGAATTGGGTAGAAGTTTAGCTTTAATTAGTTTGACCTTGAGTCTAGCAACAAGAGAGGGAACAGGCAGCGAAGAGGTCGTGACTGATGTCCCAGCAACAGGAGACAGGGAGTGTCATTATCATTCCTGGTCTTCTCACAGTACTCTGAATACAGAGAGTGAGGAAGATTAGGGGGCCCTGTCTGCTGACTCCCTGACGATCTCAGACCCTCTCTGCTCTTTCTGGATGGTGGCCTGTTAATTCTGGCATACTGTTACTGATAATATATTTATCCTTTTCACTGTGATTTGCCCAATTGTTGCTTTAGCTCTGGACCTTGTCAAGAAGTTGTTGGTAGTGGATCCAAAGGCATGTTTTACAACAGAAGAAGCCTTAAGACACTGTGGCTTCAGGTGGGTGTGGGACAGTGCCTGCTAGCATAAAATACATGGGAAGCCCTGCTGCCTGAGAGACATGAGACAGAGGACAGAAACATGTTTACTTTGTTGAATGTGTTTAATTGTTTTAGATGTATGGGGGGTATCTTGGACAGGTTACAACCTGTTTTTTTTTTTTTTTTTTTTGAGACAGGTTATCATTCTGTCACCCTGGCTGGAGTGCAGTGGCACAATCTCAGCTCACTGCAACCTCTGCACCCTGGGTTCAAGTGATTCTCCTGCCTCAGCCTCCCAAGTAGCTGGGATTAAAGGTGCATGCTACCACGCCCAGCTACTTTTTGTATTTTTTGTAGAGATGGGGTTTCGCTGTGTTGGCCAGGCTACAACCTTTTTGATATTACTCATGGCTGTTGGATGTACAAGCTCACTTTATGTCCTGTTCTGGTTCCACTTGGCTGCCCCGAGTCTCCAGTTTGGCCTGTGTTCTTTTGAGGGCTTGTTCTGGCTCTACTCCCAGCCATGTCCACTGCTCTTCATAGGTGGGGTGCATTCTAGCCATCTTCAACCTTAAATCAGGGAAGTGGGGGAGGGGGAGGAGGGCAGCCTCCCTGGGGAGAATCCAGCTATTTCTCAAGCCCAAGTGACTCGGTATAAAGGGTCCCACTGCTTGTTCATTCAGGTGAGTAAATGTGTCCTTAGTGAAGGCTGTCACCTGCACCTTTCATCTGTGTTACTGCTGTACTCCTGCTAGGGGTTGGGGCTGCCATTATTAAATGCTGACCTCATTTGGAACTGCCAAGAGTTGGAAGTACGTTGTGGCTTTGCTGGGTTAATCTTTAGTTTTGGAATTAGCTACGGCATTGGGCAGGTTTTTCTGATAGATGTCTGGTCTTCTGTAATGAGCAGTTCCATTCAGTACAGCCATGCCCCTTTCTATTAATTTTCTTTTGGTCTGTGTATTAGTCTGTTCTCACACTGCTATAAAGAACTGCCCAAGACTTGGTAATTTATAAAGAAAAGAGGTTTACTTGACTCACAGCTCCACATGGCTGGGGAGGCCTCAGGAAACTTACAATCATGGTGGAAGGGGTAGAAGGCATGTCTTAATGGCAGCAGGTGAGAGAGCTTGTGAAGGAAGTGAAGGGCGAAGAGCCTCTTATGAAACTGTCAGATCTCATGAGAACTCACTATCATGAGAATAGCCTGGGGGAAACTGCCCCCATGAGCCAATCACCTCTCAACAGGTCCCCTTCTCAACACCTGGAGATTACAATTTGAGATGAGATTTGGGTAGGGACACAAAGCCAAACTGTATCAATCCGTTTTCTGTGGAGATGGGGGACAGAACTGGTAGCTTGAGCTAGAGGCTGTTACTTGAGCTAAATGCTGTTTCTCTGGGGATTACTGGTCCAGGAACTCCTTGGGCAATCCAGCCTCAGCCCCGTACTTCTGGAACTCTGGGAAGACTGTCCCCATTCTCTGTTCTAATCCTCTACACCTAACAGTTTTGCTCAGGCCAGCTCAGGTTGAGAACAACAAAAACTTAAAAAAAAAGACAGATATATATATATATGTGTTTTGGATGTTGCCCTGGAAACTATAGTCTCCCCAGAAGAAATCTGTCAGATGATTTAGCATTTAATAGACCACAGAGATTTGAAACAGCGGGACCCTGGAGGAAAGGGGTTTGGAAACAAAGGGTGCCTTTGCATGTGGGGATTTTAATTTTGATGAGAAAGAGAAACATGTCTTTTGGCTCTTTTCATGTGTCCTAATAGGGAAACTCTTGGGTCTAAATGTAGAGGTACAGGAGCTGTGTTCATCTCTAGCAAAAAAATAGAGCTGGCCTGTTGAGCCTGGGAACAGGGTTTGCATCTGCCTGAAATTTATGAGCAAGCGTAGCCTATTTTTCTTGTACTTCTTTGTCTCAAAGAAAACTTATTAACAACCAAGGAGAAGGTGAAGTTCAACTCCATTGCAGGATCTCCCTGGAATACTCTTTTAGCCACCTTTTGTTTTTGCAGTAAAAGGAGGAATGAGCATTGAATGAAGACAAGGATGAAGACTGACCATCTAAAACATCTGTTAGTGATAGTTTGGGTTTTATTTTGGGAAAATTCAGTGTTTTTGCAAAAACCAAATGGTTTTGTGGGTCTGGCGCTGGACTGAGTGTTGGGAATGTGGATTCTGGTCTCTGTTTTGTCATTAACAGAGTGGCCAGTTTTGGGAGCATCCCTTACATCTACTCTCTGCTTCATATTTACTGCCTGAAATAGAGGATTTCTTCTGTTTGCTTTCAAGGGATATTATAATTTAATTTTTATTTTATTTATTGTTGGAGACAAGGTCTTCTTCTGTTCCCTAAACTGGAGTGCACTGGTGCAATTATAGCTCACTGCAGCCTCGACCTCCTGGCCTTAAGGGATCCTCCCGCCTCAGCCTCATAAAGTGCTTGGATAATAGGCATGAGCCACTGTTCCTAGCTAATTTAATATTTTGGAATAATTGTAGACATCATGAAGAAAATCAATGTTTATTTATTTATTTCCTTTTTTGAGATGGAGTCTCGCTTTTGTCTACCAGGCTGGAGTGCAATGGTGTGATCTCAGCTCACTGCGACCTCCATCTCTGGGTTCAAGTGATTCTCCTGCATCAGCCTCCCAAGTAGCTGGGATTACAGGTGCCTGCCACCATGCCCAGATCATTTTTGTATTTTTAGTAGAGATGGGGTTTCACCATGTTGGTCAGACTAGTCTCGAACTCCTGACCTCAGGTGATCCACCCACCTTGGCCTCCCACAGTGCTGGGATTCCAGGCATGAGCCACTGTGCCTGACCTGATGACTTGTTTTAAATATAGGCCTGATTAGGCTTGTGACTACTCTGTTTGGCTTCACTGAAGGGCTGCCAAGAGATGGACTTTTGAGAGTGACACTGCAAGATAATTGAGATCCTAAGTAAAGCCGTGAGAGGGTGGGGAGAGGAATCCAGATGAGCTTGCTGCTGTCAAATGGCAATGGGGAGCTACACTGAGAAACTCAAAACATGGTGAACTCAAGTGTTCTGCCCTGCCTTGGCCTCCCAAAGTGCTGGGATTACAGGTGTGAGCCACTGTGCCTGGTCCTTCTTTCTTTCTCTTTCTTCCTCCTTCCTTCCCCCTCCCCTCTCCTCCATTCCTTTTTCCTCCCCTCTTTCATCCCCCCTCCCTTTTTCCTCCCTTGCTTCTTTCCTTCCTTCCTTCCTCAGGGTCTTGCTGTCTCACCTAGGCTGGAGTGCAGTGGCATGATCACTGCACCATGACTTTCAGGCTCAAGTGATCCTCCTGCCCCAGCCTCCCAAGTAGCTGAGACTACAGGTGCATGCCACCATGTCTGGCTAATTTAATTTTTTTTTTTTTTTTTTTGGAGACAGAGTCGTACTCTTTTGCCCAGGCTGGAGTGCAGTGGTGTGATCCTGTCTTACTGCAACCTCCGCCTCTCGAGTTCAAGTGATTCTCCTGCCTCAGCCTCCTGAGTAGCTGGGATTACAGGCATGCACTACCACGCCTGGCTAATTTTGTATTTTTAGTAGAGATGGGGTTTAACCATGTTAGCCAGGCTGATCTTAAACTTCCGACCTCAGGTGATTCACCCACCTTGGCCTCCCAAAGTGCTGGGATTACAGGCGTGAGCCTCCATGCCTGGCCTAATTTTTAAATTTTTTTGTAGTGACAAAGTCCCAGTATGTGGCCCAGGCTGGTCTCAAATTCCTGGCCTCAAGCAATTATCCCACCTTGGCCTCCCAAAGTGCTGGGATTATAGGCATGAGCCACCATGCCCAACCTAGTGTTGTAAAATTTCCATATCCATCAAGTTGCCAAATGGTGGAGGACTTTGCTGTATCCTCTCCCTTTCCCCACTGTGGTATGCTTGGCTCAGTGGGAGGAGGGGCTGGAGTTGGGTGGGAAAGTACATGAGGCACTGGAATCAGATAACTCTGGGTCTGTATTCCGCACATGCCACCTGTGAGTGGCTGAGCTGGGCTTCTGGCCAGCACTCAAAGGCCACATTACTAGATATAGATGTTCCTTTCACCTTGCTGAAGATGGGGAGAGCTGCACCGGACCACCTCTCAGGGTTTCCTAATGCAAATCCTTGAACCCTGCAGAAGTGAGCATCCAGAGAGGTGGGAGCTACCCGTATACACACTGTCTGTGCCCTGCTCATCTCCCGCTCCTGCAGCATGAAACACCTGTAATGCTTTGTTCTGTTTATTGTCTCCCTTTCTCATTAGACCTGAACTCTGGGATACTGTGGGCTTAAGTACTTCTGAAAATTTCTATGGCATCTGCTGGGTGAATTTTCCTAGGGTGCTGGGCTGGTTGTTAAGACAGCCTGGGTGACTGGCCTCATTCATGGCAGGGGCAGCAGGTGGAGAGCGGTCCTGGAAGGATTTGAGGAGCTGCACGGAGTGAGACCCAGCCCCTGGCCCCCTGATTGTCACCTTTCTCAGGATCTGGGATGCTAATTCAGAAACTCTTGACTGCTGGAGGCTGTGATTGACCCACTGAGAGCTTTTAGGCATGTGGATGTGACTCAGCCAGGATCGATGGAGCATTGACTGCTGATTGGACTCCTGTGGGAAGGTAGAGGGGGGCAACACATAATGCCTTCACTGTGGGAGCTTCATCAAGGGGATGATTCTTGGACGGACATTTTTTCCTCCCTCTTTCCACAGAGGCATGCTAGCCCTGTCATTCTAGGAGTTTATTATCCTTCAGACACAGCTACTTATGTTTTTAATTCCCTCACAGGATGAAGACATGAAGAGAAAGTTTCAAGATCTTCTGTGTGAGGAAAATGAATCCACAGCTCTACTCCAGGTTCTAGCCCAGGTATTCATATTCCTGATGATCACTAAATGTAGTCTGGGCTTAAGGAGATGATAAGCAAAGATGATGAAATTCAAGATTTTCCTGAGTAGCAATTGCTTAACATTGTTTCAGTTATAATGTAGTAGAAACTCTGTTTGAACTTGATTCACTCCAGCACCCTTAGATTTAAAAACGCAGGATATGTTTAATATCTAACACCTAATAGACAGATAAGCACAGCTAGGGATTGTCATCCAAAAGGTCACCTGCAAGGCAATTTCGAAAGACTCTATTAGGGGCTCAAATATAAATTTGTTGGAAAAATTAAAATTTGGGTCAGTAGTTGATTCCTTGATTACAAGTTTATTCTTTAAAGTTCTTTGTGAGTATAAGTTAATTCCAGTCCTACTTTGTTGTTGTTGTTGTTGTTGAATGGTAGCTGTCCTTTTTCCCACTGTTTCCTCCCCGCTGCCCCGATTTTTATTTTCTTGAGACAGAGTCTTAGTCTGTCACTCGGGCCAGAGTGCAGTGGTGCAATCTCAGCTCACTGCAACCTCTGCCTCCTGGGTTCAAGCAGTTCTCCTGCCTCAGTCTCCCGAGTGTCTGGGACTACAGGTGTCCACCACTGCGCCCAGCTAATTTTTGTATTTTTAGGTGAGATGGGGTTTTGCCATGTTGGTCAGGCTTGTCTCGAACTTTTGACCTGAAGCGACCTGCCCACCTCGGCTTCCCAAAGTGCTGGGATTACAGGCGTGAGTCACCGCACCCAGCCTTCCTCCCAATTTTATATATGGGAAAACAACTAAGGCACAAAGGTTGTCTTCCCGCAAAAGACCAAGACTTGGGGCTTCAACTGAGAGGTATTATAGTCCTTTTAAACTTGATATTTAGAAGAGGACGATCAAGAGGAAGTTGGTTATGCTACTTGCTTTCAGTATACATCGTTCAGAGGTCAGAAGCCATAGGGAGAGAAATATCTATTAGATAAGCATGTCTGAGTTGCGGGCTGTGGTGAGGACTCAGTTGTCAATGATGACGACCAGTAATTTTTGGTACTAGAATTTCACATCAAATGCCCCCACTTTACTGGAAGTATATTGAGGAACTTTGATAATCTTAAAGAAGCCAGTGATTTTCTTTTGAACATTTCTCCATTTTCCTTTATTTTCAGCCTTCTACTAGTCGAAAGTGGCCTCATGAAGGGGAAGCCGAGGGTGCCGAGACCACAAAGCGCCCGGCTGTGTGTGCTGCTGTGTTGTGAACTCCGTGGTTTGAACATGAAAGAAATGTACCTTCTTTCACTCTGTCATCTTTCTTTTCTTTGAGTCTGTTTTTTATAGTGTGTATTTTAATTATGGAAATAATTGCTTTTTCACAGTCACTGATGTACAATTAAAAACCTGATGGAACCTGGGCTTTGTGCTTCTGCTTGATAATCGGTTCTTTAGTTGAATGGCTTTGTTATTTATTTATTTGAGACGGAGTCTCACTCTGTTGCCCACCCTGAAGTGTAGTGGTGCAAGCTTGGCTCACTGCAACCTCTGCTTCCCAGGTTCAAGCGATTCTTGTGCCTCAGCCTCCCGAGTAGCTGGGATTACAGGTATGCACCACCATGCCCAGCTAATTTTTATATTTTTTTGTAGAGACAGGGTTTTGCCATGTTGGCCAGCCTGGTCTTGAACTTCTGATCTCAGGTGATCCACCTGCCTCGGTCTCTCAAAGTGCTGGGATTACACACGTGAGCCACTGCGCCTAGCCTGAATGGCTTTTTTATATTTAAAGTTGTTGTGTGCCTTTCATCTGGAGCTACACCTTGGCTATCACTAGGCAGGTTTCCCAGGATGTCACCCTGGTCTCAGCCTGTGAGAGCTGAATACAAATTCTAAGGGCCCCTTGGAAAGTTCCAGGGAAAGGAGCATAGCAAGGTTGGGGGTGGAGTTTGTAGAGACTGGCTGGCTGGCTGCTGACATCTTCATGAGAACAGCAGGTACCTTGGTGCATAATAACAGGCCAGGTTATATTCTCATCCTTGCCCTCATAAAGATACAGGTCTACAGTCTCTGAAACCTTTGGGCTAGATAAGTTGTGAAATTTAATTACCCAATTTTAGGAAGGTGGTAAGGCATATCTACTATGTGTATGTGTAGCACCTCAGCGGAGTCCTACACATGTGGAGTCCTACCCAAGTGGAGACCAAACATGTTAATATTTCCACAGCAAATATTCACAGCAAGAGGGATAGAGAAAGATTATAGGTAGTTGCATATTGATTCATATCAGTCTTTTCTTCCAAATGAGCTACAATGACTCGTTTTTGAGAGCTGTTTGGGTTTTGGAAGTGGAGATAAGGCATGGTTCTGTCTTGTTGACCCAATAATGACCAGGGAAGCCCTGTGCAAAGACTTACCCTTGGCTGCTCTTGTCCTCACAGTGATTTTATGAGTGAGGTCCTCTAGCCACTGTCATGTCACAGGTGAGGAAACCAAAGTTAGAGGACGAAGGTAACTTTTCTGATGTCGCACAGCTGGTAAATGGCAGAGCTGGGACCCAACCCAGGTCTTTTTGACTCTAATGTTCCTTATTGTCCACTGAATCTGCTTTTATAACTTTGCTTGGTTGATGCTAGGACACTTTGTAGCTCGCTGGCCATGCCATGAATTGAGTGCCGTGGTTCAATGGCCACTGGCGATTCAGTCAGGGCAGAATCAAGGGCACACAGCCATTTCCTTAGGAAATGGGGATGTGGTTGGAAATTTCTATTAAAGGGTATATAAGCATTCTGAGACTTGGCTGGCCTGGTGTAGGGGGTTTGTTGGGAATTTAGTTGGTTTGCATGTTTAAAGGAATAAGGCTGAGATTGTCCTAGATGGGTTTTAGCTCATTTGAATATTTAATGTGGAGGCTGTGGTTTCCTGGGACATTTTTCCCGCTGTGGAGAGTTAGCCACCTTTTCTCTGTTTCTTTTTTCTTTTTTTTTAATCGAGATGAAGTCGTATGCTTGTTGCCCAGGCTGGAGTGCAATGGTGCGATCTCGGCTCACTGCAACCTCCGCCTCCTGGGTTCAAGCGATTCTCCTGCCTCAGTCTCCTGAGTAGCTGGGACTACAGGTGCACACCACCATGCCTGGCTAACTTTTGTATTTTTATTAGAGATGAGGGTTTCACCACGTTGGCCAGGATGGTCTCGAACTCCTGACCTCAAATGATCTGCCTGCCTCAGCCTCCCAAAGTGCTGGGATTACAGGTGTGAGACACCACGACCGGCAAAATTTTTTAAGATACATTTCAGTAAGCTAAGGTTAATTTATTGAAGAAAAGCTTTAAAAAATTTTGGTGTAGCCTAAGCATATGGTGTTTATAAAGTCTACAGTAGTGTACAGTAAGGTCCTATGCCTTCACACTCACTGACTCACCACAGCATCTTCCAGTCCTGCAAACTCCTTTCATGGTAAGTGCCCTATACAGGAGTACCATTTTAAAATCTCTTATACTCTATTCTTACTGTACCTTCTCTATGTTCAGGTACACAAGTACTTACATTGTGTTACAACTGCTTATAGTATATTCAGTAAAGTATCAGGCTGTACAGGTGTGTAGCCTAGGAGCAATAGGCTACACCATACAGCCTAGGTGTGTAGTAGACTGTACAAGGCTATACAAGGTTTGTGTAAATGCACTTTGCTGTTTGCACAATGATGCAATCACCTAAGGAGGCATTTCTCAGAACCATCCCGTGATTAAGAGAGGCATGATCGTACAGTCATCATCTCCCTGAAAGCTCAGTCAGCCCTGTGCAGTGCTACTGCCACACTCCCCTTTTGCACATGTAGAAATCAAGGATCTTTGGCTCCTCTGAGTGACTTGTTCCAGGTTTCTCAGTTTTCAAGAGATGGAGGTGGGACTCGAATTGAGATTTCCCTTTCTTGAGAACCTGTGGTCCTTAACCATTAAAACCACTTAAGAGGTCTTCTCTCTCGATCACTACCTACTAAGTGCTAGGCGCGGTGCTGAGGCGTTCTCTTGATTATTATATTGAGTCTTTAGATTTAGGAGAAACAGGCCGAGCGCGCTGACTCACGCCTGTAATCTCAGCACTTTGGGAGGCCGAGGCAGGAGGATCATGAGGTCAGGAGATGGAGACCATCCTGGCTAACACTGTGAAACCCCATCTCTACTAAAAATACAAAAATTAGCAGGCGTGGTGGTGGGCGCCTGTAGTCTCAGCTGCTCGGGAGACTGAGGCAGGAGAATGGCGTGAACCCGGGAGGCGGAGCTTGCAGTGAGCCGAGATCACGCCACAGCACTCCAGCCTGGGTGACAGAGCGAGACTGTCTCAAAAAAAAAAAAAAAAAAGATTTAGGAGAAACAAGTCCCGAAGCCCTGACCCTAACACGCAAGGGTTAGTGGAGATGTGGGACTTGAACTCAGCTTCTCCGTTGAGTCTGGCTGTCACCGGGACGCAGGCACGTGCTTGCACACCTCCACGGTGGCGATCCCACCCCCTTAGTAGCGTCCTTAGCTCGGCACTTCTTGCGGGGAAGTTCTTCTTGGCCCAGACCCTCGTCCTAGGCCCCGCGCCATGGGGGAAGTGAAAGGGGCAGTGTGGGGAAATGGCCGAGAGGTCGGGTCAGGGGTGGTCTGCAGAGAGGCAGGCGGCGGTGCTGAGTCGGGAACCGCGCGCTCACCCGCCCAGTCGGACGGTTCCGGCGGGGGTGGGTGAGACACTGGGAACAGCGGCCAGCTGCAGAGGGCCCGAGGCCGGGCGCGCGGGGAGCGGGGCGCGTCGAACGCGCGCGTGCGCGGTTCGTGTGTGGGCCTGCGGGGGCGTGCGCGGTTGGGGGGCAGTGAGGGTCGCCGCGGCGGCGCGCAGCACGGCGGGAACATGGCGCGCGGAACCGGCGCACGCGCCTAGCTGGTGGGACCGTTAGCTCGAGGCGGACGCGGCCCGGACCCCGTGGATATGGAGCAGTGGCCGCCGCCGGCGCCCGAGCCGGCCCAAGGGCCGACCCCCGCAAGGAGCTGAAGGCGGCGGGAGACCGAGTCGCCGCCAGCGTCGGCGCCGGTGAGTGCGTGAGGGGCTCGGGCCGGGAGACTTTCTTTGTCAAACTCCGGCGGTGGGAGCCGGGCCGGGCCTCAGCGACTGAGGAGCGCCTGCGAGGCGGAGGGTGTCTCGCAGTCCGGGTTCGATCCCAGCCGCGAGCCGTCAGGCGACAGGACCTGGTCGGCCGCCTGCCTGCCTCAGTTTCCGCGAGAGTGTGTGTGGGTGTGTGTGGGTGTGTATGGGTGTTGGCCTGCACACACCGGGGGTGGGGGGGTCGGTATACAGTCGGCGCCTAATGCGCGCGGTGCCTCCCCCCTCCCCCCAGTCCCCGTGGGGCGGAAGCTGGGGACTGGAGTCCACCAGAGCAGTAGGCGGCACCCGCGGGGAGACAGGTGTCGGCGCAGCCCGGGAGGATCAGGTGCTACCTCTCCCGGGTGGGGTTTGTGAGGAGTGAGCTCTTCGTCCCCAGTGGCGAGCAAGTCTGTCGGTGGCTCATCACAGAGCACTGTTTTGGAAAGCGTTCCACCCACCTCAGCTTCGTGCTGTGTTTGGGCCACTAGTCAGGGGGAAGGATGCTGAGCGACATGGACTTTAGAGGTGGGGCTCCCGCTGGACGGGATGGCTCTGGGCTCTTGAGCTTACCCCCACCCTTGTCTCCTAAACCCGTTAGAGTGTAGGAATCATTGGGAGCACCTGATAAAAATGCCACGGATTGTGGCTCACCAAAGCAGGGAAGCCGATTTGGAACTTAAACAAGCTCCCAAGTTGTGATCAGTCGAGCTTGGCAAGCACTGTTTTAGAGAGTAGGCTTCCTGCAAGCAGGAGCTGTTTTTGTGTATACCTCACCATGGCATCTTGGTACCTGGCATGGTGCCTGGCACACGGTAGATGATCAGAAAATATCTGTAGAAAGTCTAAATTATTAGGGAGAGTGCAACATAGGAGTTCTTGAGACATTTTCAGGAGCTTCTTGAGATTAATATCTGTCAGATTTGTTTTACAGTATATGATTTTTCTCAGCTCCCAACTTTTGTGATTGTTTTTAATGCCATGTTTTCAGTATGTTCTAGGCAAAAGCAGGGTATATGTTGCTTAGTATACACTATCCACTAGGCCGGGTGCGGTGGCTCACTCCTGTAATCTCAGCACTTTGGGAGGCAGATTGCTTGAGCCCAGAGGCTTGAGGCTGTAGTGAGCCAAGGAGTTAGAGACCGGTGTGGGAAACATAGCGAGACTCGTCTCCGCAAAAATTAGCTGGGTGTGGTAGCGTGCACTTGCAGTCCCAGCTACCCTGGAGGCTGAGGTGGGAGGATCGCTTGAGCTCAGGAAGTACAAGTTGCAGTGAGCCAAGGTTGTGCCACTGCATTCCAGTCTGGATAATACAGCGAAACCCAGTCTCTTAAATAAATAAATAAATACATAAATGATTATGTATACTCCAGCTAGGTTAAAATTAATTCTAAATCAAAATTCTAAATTAAAATATGCATATTTCTTTCTCTTCATCATTTGAGAACACTAGGCTTTTAGGATTTCATTCCGTTGGGGCAGGTAAATATCTACATTTTTGACAAAGCAAATATGAATTACTGTTAATTCAAGAAAGGTGGGAATTTGCTTAAACCTGAGTATTTGTAGTCTGTGATTTTTTTAAATTTTAAATGTAAATTTTCTTTTTTTTTTTCTTTTTTTTTGAGATGGAGTCTCACTCTGTCGTCCAGGCTGGAGTGCAGTAGCACAATCTCAGGTCACTACAACCTCCACCTCCCGAATTCAAGCGATTCCCCTGCCTCAGCCTCTGGTGTAGCTGGCATTACAAGTGTGTGCCACCATGCCCAGCGAATTTATGTATTTTTAGTAGAGAGAAGGTTTCACTATGTTGCCCAGGCTGGTCCCAAACTCCTTGACCTCAAGTGATCTGCCCACCATGGCCTCCCAAAGTGCTGGGATTACAGGCATGAGCCATGGCACCTGGCCTTATTTTTATTTTTTTGAGACAGAATCTCAGGCTGCCACCCAGGTTGGAGTGCTGTGGCATGATCTCCACTCACTGCACCCTCCACCTCCCAGATTCCAGTGATTCTAATGCCTCAGCTTCCTGAGTAGCTGGGGTTACTAGACCCGGCTAATTTTTGTTGTATTTTTTTAGTAGGGACTGGGTTTCCCTATGTTGGCCAGGCTGCTCTGGAACTCCTGGCCTCTAGTGATCCACCTGCCTCGTCCTCCCAAAGTGCTGGAATTACAGGCATGAGCTACTGCTCCCAGCCAATCTTTGTGACATTTTGAAATTGAGGTTTATATTTTGTTCAGAGTCAAAGCTAAAATAGAATTGTTTGAAAATTAATATTTCAGGAACTGTTTTTTAATTAAGTTGAATTTTATTTTATTAGTTTCATTTCAGTAGGGTTTTAACTTAAAAAATATATAAATATATGTGTGTGTGTGTGTGTGTATAAATATATATATATATATATATATATATATATATATATATATATATATATATATTTTTTTTTTTTTTTTTCCCTGAGACGGAGTCTTGCTCTGTCACCCAGGCTGGAGTGCAATGGCATGATCTTGGCCTCACTGCAGCCTCCACCCTCCCAGCTCAAGCAATTCTTCTGCCTTAGCTTCCCGAGTAGCTGGGACTACAGGTGCCTGCCACCACACCCAGCTAATTTTTATATTTTTAGTAGAGATGGGGTTTCACCATGTTGTCCAGGCTGGTTTTGAACTCCTGATCTCAAATGATCTGCCCTCCTTGGCCTCCCAAAGTGCTGGGATTACAGGCGTGAACCACTGTGCCTGGCCTAAAAAATATTTTTAAAGACAGGATCTAGCTGTGTTGCCTCAGCTGGTCTTGAACTCCCAGTCTTGGCCTCAAGTGATCCTTCTGCCTCAGCCTTCTGAGTAGCTGGAAGCACAGCTGTGAGCCACCACACCTGGCTTTTTTTTATTTCTAATAAAAAATTAATAGAGTGTCTTGTTTCACTGGACAAAATACGCATATATAGGAAGGAAAGACTTTTGGACTTGAGATTGCGCTGAAGAAGAAAAATGGAAAAATTAGGCATTTTAGTCTCTCAGTATGTTATTTTTGTAGCTTATACAGATATGTCTTTTTAAAGTGTCTTTAAAAAGCTTTATTGAGATAAAGATAAATGAGATAAATTCACCTACCATGAAATCAACCCCTTGAGTGCAGAATTTTGTGGTTTATAATATATTCACAGAATCGCACAAACAAGACAGGTATCTAGATACTTTCAGACCATTTTCATCAGTCCACAAGAAATCCCATACCCATTAGCAGTCATCCTTATTCCCTTTTCCCCTAGTCCCTGGCAATAACTAGCCTACTTTCTGTCTCTGAGTTTAGCTCTTCTGGAGGTTTCACAGAATGAAATCTTACTACATATGGTCTTTTGTGATTGACTTATTTCACTTGGCACAGTGTTTTCAAGGTTTATCCATGCTGTAGCGTATATCAGCACTTCATTCTTTTTTAATGCTGAGTAATCTTTTGAATGGATATACCATATTTTATTAGTTCCTCTGTTGATAGGCACTTGAGTTTTTTTTCCAATTTTTGGCTATTATGAACAATGCTGCTATGAACATTTGTGTACAAATTTTAGTGTGGATGTATATTTTCATTTCCCTTGGGTATATCCCTAAGGAATAGACTATCTGGGTCATATGATAATTGTTTAAGACTACAGGCACGTGCCACCACACCTGGCAAATGTTTAAAAATTTTTTGTAGATAAAGGGTCTCGCTGTGTTGCCCAGGCTGATCTTGAACTCCTGGCCTCAAGAGATCCTCTCACCTCAGCCTCCCAGAAAGTGTTGGGATTACAGATGTGAGTCACTGCACCTATAAAAGAGGCTCATACCTCTTTTTACATATTTTTTTTGAGACAGGGTTTCACTCTGTTGCCCAGGCTGGAGTGCAGTGGTGGGATCACAGCTCACTGCAGCCTGGACCTCCCTCCATATGATTCTAGCTGTGGGTGTCTTTCCTGTAGTTTTTATTATGTTGTGGTATGTTTCTTCTGTACCCGTTTCTTTGAGGATTAATAGCATGAAGGATGTTGAATTTCACCAAATGCTTTTTCAGTTTCAGTTGACATGATCATACTGTTTTTGTCATTTATTTGATTGATATGATGTATCACATTGTATGTTGAGTGACCCTTGCATCCCAGGGATACATCGCACTTGATCATGATGAATTATCTTTTTAATGTATTACTGAATTTGATTCACTGATATTTTGTTGAGGATTTTTGCATCAATATTTGAAATACTGGCCTGTAGTTTCCTTCTTTGATGCCTTTGTCTGATTTTGGTATCACAGTAATAATGGTCTCATAGAATAAGTTTGGAAGTATTCCCTCCTGTTTTTCAAAATAGTTTGAGTAGGATTCGTACTAGGTCTTTAAATTGTTTGTTGTGAAGCCATCAGCAGTGAAGACATCAGTTCCTGGGCTTTTCTTTATTGGGAGACTTTTTCTGATGGCTTCAATCTCATTTCTTGTTACCAATCTGTTTTGGTCTTGGATGTTTTCATTATTCAACCTAAGTAGGTGTATACAACCTAAGTAGGTGTATTCCTAGATGTATACATCTAGGAATTTGCCAATTTCTACTAGGCTTTCCAATTTATTGGCATATAATAGCCAGTTATGATCCTTTGAATTTCTGAAGTATTAGTTGTAATGTCTCCTTTTTTTTAATCTGTTGATTTTATTTATTTGAATCTTTTCTCTTTTTTCTTAGTTAGCCTGGTTAAAAGTTTGTCAATTTTGTTTAGCTTTCCAGAAAACCAACTTTTCATTTAATCATGTGTGTTTTTTATTTCAATTTTATTTCTGCTATGATCTTATTTATTTTCTTATTTTCGGTTTAGTTTGTTTTTACTTTAATAGTTCTTTAAGATGTATTGTTTATTTAAAGTTTTTCTTTTGTTTGGATGGTAGGCACTTATAGCTGTAAATCTCTGCCTTTGTACTGCTTTCTGCATAACAAGTTTTGGTATACTGTGTTTTCATTACCCTTTGTTTCATGAAATTTTTGAATTTCTGTCTTAGTATCTTCATTGACCCGCTAGTCATTTATTCAGGAGGGTAGTGTTTAACTTCCATGTGATTGTATTGTTTCCAAAATTACTCTTCTTATTGATACCTAGTTTTATTCCTTTGTAGTCAAAGAAGATGGCCACGGAGACAGCAGCGTGGTCAGAGTGGTAGGAGCCGGCCATCAGCGAGAGCTGCTCCATGCCTGGCTGCTGGGTGCTACAGCCTGTGGCCCACTGGCTTGCCTCACTGTGGTTGGTGGTGGCAGTGACAGAGACTGCAGCACGACCAAAGTGGTAGGACAGGGGCTATCCAGGGCTGCACCTTTCGCAGTGTGGGGTGGGTTGGGGGCGCTATCCAGGGTGTCATTGCCTGCATTAGGGGTACTGGTTGGTAGCACTGTACAGGGCTGCACTGCACATGGCAGGGAGGGTGGGTTATGGGCGCTTTCTGGGACTGCAATGCCCATGGAGAAGGACAGGTTAGGGCACTATCAGGTATACGCTACTGGTGGCATTGGGGGATGGAGGTGGGGGGAGCTATTGAGGGCAGGACTAGCCGTGGAGAGGGGTGAGTTCAGTGCTATCAGGGGCTGCACTGCTGGCGGCGGTCAGCAGAGTTGGCATCCAAGGAAGGAGTGGTTCTCCTCTCCCTGACTCCACACTCCAGAGAGCGACCCACTCTTGGTCATACTGGGGTGCGGCAGGCGCACAGCGTTTGCGTGGGAATCCTGAGCATGGCAGAGCCCCCACACCCACCGTGGTTCCTGGGCCTGTGCACTCTGGGTCTGTGCCTCAGAGGCTGCCAGGCACCCCTGGGGACACCACGGGGGACAGGGCCCTGTGTGTGGAGGCGTCCGGAACAGGAATTGGCACCTGGGTGCGGAGGGCTGTCTGGGTCTGAATTTTTCTGCTTCTCCTACTCCCTGAGGAGTGCAGCCCTGGTGGGCCCAATGGTTCCTGTGGAGTGGGGAGCTGGGTGCTGTGGTGTCTCCAGCACCCACCCCAGACCCCAGTTCCTGGCCAGCTTGGGCCAAAGGGAGAGGCTGGACTTTGGAGGGTGGGTGTGAGTGCCTTTGCTGAAACTGGCCCCTGCCACCCAGTGGCCGGCATGACAGGGTGAGGCTCTAACCCTTCCACCCCTCACATCTTCCTCTAGGCTTTTCTGGCTTTGCCCGCCCAGCTGCTCCATGCCAGGAGGAGGAGGAGACACCTAGAGCCTGCGACACCACGGCTCGCCTCGCTGCGGGAGGGTGGCATCAACGGAGACTGCAGTGCACCAGAGTGGTAGGAGAGCGGCCGCACTAGGAGGGCAGGTGGCTGCAGCCAGGGTTGGGGGTCAGGCTTACAGCAATGGACGGGCTGCAGCAGTGGCCAGGTGGTAGGAGCCTTGTAGGGAGGGCTGGCGCATTGGCAATGGCTTTGCCCTGCCCATGCCGTGGATCTGACCTTGTACTGCCCTGCCTTGCCCTGTACCTGCCCTACTGTTACCTGGACTGTCTCGGCCCTGTCCTGCTCTGGTCCCATCCTGACCCTGTCTTGGCCCTGTGCTACCCTGTCCTTGCCCTGGTCTTGCCCTGGCACTGGCCCTGCCCTGAACCTGCCCTGGCCTGACCTTGGCTCCGGCCCTGGCTCTGGCCCTGCCCCTTGTCCTGACCCTGGTGCTGTCATGGCACTGGCCCTGCCAATGGTCATGGTCCTGCTCCTGTTCTGGCCCTGACCTGGCCTTGGACATGTCCTGGCCCTGCTTTGGCCCATCCCTGCCCTGGCCCCACCATAGGCCTGCCTGTTCTACCCTCTCCTGGCACTGACCTTGCCCTGTCATGGCCTAGTGGTGCCATTGCCCTGCCTTACCCTGCGCTGGTTGTGCCTTGGCCCCGCTTGGTGCTGGCCGCTCCCTGGACCTGCCCTGACCCTGCCTTGGCTTTTGCCCTGCCCTCACTATGGCCTGGCCCTGACCCTAGCCCTGGTCCTGCCATATCCCTGGCCCTGCCCTTATCCAGGCCCTGCCCCTGCTGCTGCCCTGGCCCTGGCCTAGAACCTGGTCCTGTCAAGGACCTGCCCTGACTCTGCCATGGCCCTGGCCCTGCTCTGCCTTGTTCCTGGCCCTGACCCAGACCCAGACCCTTTCCTGGCTCTGCACTGGCCTTTCCGTGGTCCTGAGCTGGCAGTGGTCTGCCCCTGGTCTTGCCATCACCCTGCCCTGCTGTGCTCTGGATGTGTCATCACCCTGACCTGGCCCTACTCTGCCTTTGACCCTGCCCTGGCCTTACCTTGGCCCTCACCCTAGTCTTCGCTAGGCCCTGCTCTGGAGCTGGCCCTAGCACAGACCTGGCCCTGACCCTGGCCCTGGTCTTTGTCCTGCCATAGCCCTGGCCCTGAAGTGAACTTCGAGGTGTCCTGGCCCCGGCGTAACATAGCTCTGCATTGGCATGTCCCTGCCCTGCCGCTACCATCGCCTTGCCCTGCTCTGCCCTGTCCCAGTACTGACCTGGCCATGCTATTTCCCTGCCCTACCCTGCCTTGGCTGTGCCCTGGCTCGGTTCTGGCCCTGGCCCCGGCCCTGCCCTGGACATGCTCTGACACTGCCTCAGCCTCGGCACTAGCCTGGCTCTTCTTTGGCATCAGCTCTGCTCTCTGTGTGGACCGGCTCTTGTCCTGTCCTGCACTGGCCATACCATGCCCTGCCCTGCCCTGCCCGACTCAGCCCTGGCTCAGCCCTGGCCCAGCCTTGGCCTTGGCATTGCCCCTGGTCCTGCCATATTTCTTGCCCTGTCCCTACCCTGGCCTTGGCCCTGACCCTTACCTTGCCCTGGCCCTGCCCTTGCCCTAACGCAGCCCCTGGCCCTGTCATGGCCCTGCCCTGGACCTGTCCTGGCCCTGGCCCTTCCCTGCTTGAGACCTTGCCCTGGTTCTCCCCTGGCCCTGACCCTGAAATGCCTGGCCCTACCCTGGCCTTGCACTGCTCTGGCCCTTGCCCTGACTCTGGTCCTGTCACTGGCCTAGCCCCAGCCCTGTTGCTGGTCTTACCATGGCCCAGACCCTGCCTTGGCCCTTCCCTGACACTGTCCTGGACCCTGGCTGTGCCAAGATCCTGCACTGACCGTGTCCTTGTTTTGCTCCTGCCCCGAACCTGGTCCTGCCCAGGCCATGGCCATGGCCCTGGCCCTGGCCCTGCCCTGGCTGTTCCCTGGCCCTGCCCTGCCTTGGCCCTATGCTTTCCTGGCCCTGTCTTGCCTGTCCTGGCCCTGCGTTGGCCCTAGCCTGGCTTTGACCCTGCCCTGGCCCTACCTTGGCCTTCACCCTAGCCTTACCTGGCCACTCTGTTGGACCTGGCCATAGCACAGACCTGGTTGTGGCCCTGGCCCTGCCATGGCCCTGTCCCAGACCCTAGCCCTGCCAGGTACCTGTCCTGGCCCAGCTCTGGGCCTGGCTTTGTCCCTGGTTCTTAGATGAACCTGGCCCTGCACCTGCCCTTGCCCTTGCCCTGGCACTGGCCTTGGACATGTCCGTGGTCCTAACCCTGGCCCTGCCCTGGAGCTGCCACTGTCTTGGCCCTGCCCTGGCTCTGGCCCTGCCCTGGCCCTGGCCCTGCCCCGGCCCCAGCCATAGACCTGCCCTGGTTGGTCATGCCCTACCTTAACCCTGTGCTACCCTGGGCCTGCTCCACCCTGCCCTGGCCCTGCCCTCCCTTTGGCCCTGCCATGACCCTGCCTTGGCCCTCACACTGGCCCTAGCACAGACCTGGTCCTGTCTGTGGCCTTAGCCTGGCATTGACCCCTGCTCCTGACCCTGGCCCTGCCATGGCCCTTGCCCTGCCAATGACCCTGACAGCCCTGGCCCTGGCCCTGAACTGGCCCTGCCCTGACCCTGGCCCTGAAGTGGATTTGCAGGTGTCTTGTCCATGATTTAACCTGGTCTTATCATGGCCCTGTCCCTCCCCTGGCTCTGTCCTGGTCTTGTGCTGACCCTGACCCAGACCTTGGCCCTGCCCCAGCCTTGTCCTTGACCTGGCGATGGCCCTGCCTCTGCCCTGGACCGGCGCTGGCACTGGCATGGACCCTGGCCCTGGCCGTTCACTACTTAAGGCCATACCCTGGCCCAGCCCTGGTCCTGACCCTGTCCTGGCCCTAATTTGTCCTGGCTCTACCCTGGCATGCTATTCTGGCCCAGGCCCTGACCCGGTCCCTGTCCCTGTCCTGGCCCCAGCCCCGTTGCTGGTCCTGCCATGGCCCTTGTTCTGACATTGCCCTTTCCTGGTTCTGGCCCTGGCCCTGTCCCAGCCCTGCTCTGGCCCTGGTCTGAACCCTGGCCCTGCAATAGACCTGCCTTGGTCCTGCCCAGACCCTGGCTCTGGCCCTACCTCTGCCCTGGCCATACCCTTGCCCTGGCCTGGACCCCGGTCCTGGTCCTTGTCCTGCCCCAGCCATGGTCCTGGCCCTGCCCTGCCTGTGCCCTGTTCTATCCTGGGCTGGCCCTGCCATGGCCTGGTCTTGCCATTGCCCTGCCTTAGCCTGCCCTGCTTGTGCTCTAGATCTGCCCCGGCCTTTGCCCCGTCTTGGTTCTAGCCTTGACGCAGCCCTGGACCTTCCCTGACCTTGCCTTAGCCCTGGCACTACCCTGGCCTTGGCTTGGCATTTGCCCTACTCTATGGCCTGGCTCTCGTCCTGCCCTTATGCAGGCCTGACCCTGCCTGTGCCTTGGCTTTGGCCTGGACCTTGGCCATACAGTGACCCTGCCATGACCCTTTCCTGGCCCTGGCCTGGAACCTGGCCCTGCCAAGGACTCGCCCTGGCTCTGTCATGGCCCTGGCCCTTTTCTGGATTTGGATGTGTCCTGTCCCTTATTTCCCCGGCGCTTCCCTGGCTCTGCCATACCCCTTCTCTGGGGTAGGGCCAGGGTCAGGACCAGGGTAGGGCCATGGTAAGGCCTGAAGATGGGAAGGGCCAAGGCAGCGGCAGGACCAGGGAAGGGTCAGGGCCAGGAATGTGGTAGGACTAGGGGAAGAGCCGGTACTAGGGCTGAGCCGGGGCAGAGCAGGAGAGATTACGTTAGGCTGTTATGTAAAATTTTTATTTTAGATTTTTAAGATAACTACAGTAGTAGTAATAATGTCTATACTATGTTGTTTGTAATAGTAATAATATTTGCAGTAAATAATCACTAAATTTTAACTAATACTATCTTTGCTTCCAGTAGTATTCTATGAGTATAATTTTATCAATATGTAAATATGTGAGGCATTGATTCTCACAATAATTCTACATGCTAGGTACTTAAAGCATCCCCATTTTCCAAATGTAGGAAACGGGCATAAAGAAGTTAAATACTTGGCCAGATTACTCCTGTAATCCCAGCACTTTGGGAGGCCAAGGCAGGCAGATGGCTTGAGCTCAGGAGTTTGGAACCAGCCTGGGCAACATTGTGAAACCCCATCTCTACTAAAAATGCACAAAAAGAGCTGATTTAAGTTTCTTGTAGGATTCTGGTTATAAAACACTGCTCAAACACACAGGGCATGGATAGGGCAGGGCCAGGGACAAGGTCAGGCCAGGAAGGGGCCAGGGCCAAGGCAGGGCCAGAGCTGGACTTGGAGGTGTCCTGGTCTGATTTGCCCTGCCCCAACGTTGGCCCAGCCCTGCTCTGGCACTTCCTGTCATGCCCTGTCCCTGGCCTGAGCATTGGCCCTGTCCCTGTCCTGCTTCTGGCCCTGCCCCGGAGTTGACCAGGCACTACCATGGCCCAGTCCTGCGTTGCCCTGCCCTCCTCTGCCCTGGCGCTGCCATGGCCCTGCTTGGGCCCTAGCTCTGCCTCGACTCTGGACCTGCCCTGACTCTGCTCAGCCCTGGATCTACCCTGACTCTGCCTTGGTGTTGCCCTCCCATCTCTATGGCCTGGCTCTGGCTGTGCCTTGCACAGGCCATGCTCTGCCCTGCATGTCCCAGCCTGGGCCCAGCCCTTGTCCTACCATATTCCTGACCCCAGCCGTACCCTTGTTCTGGCCTTGACCCTGCCGTGGCCCTCTCCTGGCCCTTCCTTGGTCCTGCCCTGCCCTTCCATGCCCTGGCCTTGCCCTCACCCTTCATTGGCCCTGCACTGGTCCTGCCCTGCCCTGGCACTGCCTTGGCCCCGGCCCTGCCTTCTCCCTGGCCTTGCTCTTGCCCTGCCCTGGCCTGACCCCAGGCCTACCGAGTCCATGAAATGGCCCTGGACTTGCCTTGCCATCGTCTGTCCTGTCCCTGTATTGTCCCCACCATGCTCTGGTCCAGCACTTACCCTGGCCCTGTTGCTAGTCCTGCCACTGCTATGGCCCTGCCCTGTTTTTGGCCATGCCCTGTGCTACCCTAGCCCTGCCCTGCCTTGGCCTTACCGTGGCCTTCTCCTACCCTGGCCTGGCCCTACACTAGCCTTTTCTACCCTGGCCTTGCCCTTCCCTGGTCTTGCCCTGCCCTGGCCTTGCCCTGCCCTAGCCTTGGCTTTGCCTTATCCTGGTCCTGGTTCTGCCCTGGCCCTGCTCTTGCTCTGGATCCTCTCTGGTTTTGCCTTCTCCCTGGCCCTGCCCCTGGCCCAGTCTTGACCCTGGCCCTGGCCCTGGCCCTGGCCCTGACAATCCCCAGGCCCCACACTGGCCATGCTTGGCCCTGGCCCCTCCTTTGGCCCTGCACTGGCCCTGTGCTATCTTAGTCCTACCCTGGCCCTGAACTCGCCCTGGCCCTACCCTCACCCTACACTGGCCCTGCCCTACCCTGACCTTGCCCTGGCCTGGCCCTGCCTTTGGCCTGCCCTGGCTCTGGTTCTGCCCTGGCGTTGCCCTTGCCCTGGACCCTCCCTGGCCATGTTTTTTCCATGGTCCTTCTCTGGCCTTGCCCTTGCCCTGTCCCCTTTCTGGTCCTGCCATGTTTCTGGCCCTGCCCTGCCCATGTCCTGGACCTGACTCTGGCCCTGGACCTCCCTGTCCCTGCCCTGCCATACTCTGGCCCATTCTTGCTCTACACTGACCCTGCCCTGCCTTGGCCCTGTGCTACCCTAGCCCTGCCCTGGCCTTCTGCTGACCCTGATCCTGCCATGGCCCTGGCCCTGCCATGTCCCTGCCCTGGCCCTGGTTCTGCCCTACTTCTGGCCCTGGCCTTGGTCCTCTCATGTCCCTGGCTATGACCCTGCCCCTGGTTTTTCTCTGTCCATGACCCTGCCCCGGTTCTGTCCTATCCCTGGCCCTGTCTCAGTTCTGTCCTAGCCCTGGCCTTTCACAGTACTTTATGCTTAGTAAGGGCTCCATGGTGTCTGTGAGTTGAATGTTGTGTTCATAGTATCTGCCAAAACAGAAAGAAAAAAAAATCTGATGATGAGAAGTTAAAGCTTTGTATATAATATGCCTTGAATTGTAAGTGCTTGTTATTAGTTGTATTACATATAGGTCATGGTTTTGTACACATAACTCCAAACCATTGATACTGTTAAAAGAGTATATGAATATATGAAAGAATGTATAAACGTAAGAATGTATGAGTATCTAATGAACTTTCCAAATTAATTTTTATTTTTAGCTCTATTAGATTTTTCTCAGTGTAACAAATGTTTATTCCTATGTAATTAAGGGCGTATTTCCTGTACAGAGTATTCATATTACCTAATTGAAAATTATATAATACAAAAATATAATATTATTTTTAGGCCAGGCATGGTGGCTCATACCTGTAATCCCAACATTTTGAGAGGCCAAGTTGGGAGAATCATTTGAGTCCAGGAGTTGACCAGCCTGGGCCACATATTGAGACCTTTTCTTTATTAAATAAATAAATAAATAGGTTGGGCACTGTGGCTCATATCTGTAATCCCAGCATTTTGGGTTGCAAAGGCAGGAGGATTGCTTGAGCCCAGGAGTTTGAGACCAGCCTGGGCAGAATAGCAAGACTCCATCTCTACAAATAATAAAATATTAACCAGGTGTGGTGGTGCGCACCTGGGGTCCCGGCTACCCGGGAGGCTAAGGTGGGAGGTTTGCTCAAGGCTGCAGTGAACTGTGAATGCACCACTGCATTGCAGCCTAGGCCACAGAACAGGACCTTGTCTATAAATAAAGAAATAAGTAAAAACATAAATAAAAATAAGTAAAAAGAAATATAAGTAAATATAAATATAAATACATGTAAATATACAAATGAATACATGAAAACAATTTTTAAATTTAACATCACTGAGGGCATCCTATCCATTTCATTTCATGATTCCATTACATCATTTCACTTAGATGAAATGATAATATGACTTGAGATGAGATGAAATGACTAAATGATGAGATGAGATGAAATGATGAGATGAAATGGTGAGTAGAAATGATGAGATTAAATGATGAGACAAAATGACAAAATTGAAAAGAAATTGAAAGGAGATGAGATGAAATGAGATGAAATGATGAGATGATGGATGAAATGATGAGATGAAACGAGATGAAATGATGAGAAGAAATGATGAGATGAAATGAAATGAAAAAATGAAATGATATGAAATAATGAAATTGAAATGAGATGAGGAGATGATATAATGAGATAAAATGATGAGATGAAATGAGATGAATGATGAGATGAAATGATGAGATGATAAAATGAAATGATGAGATGAAATGAGATGAAAAATGATGAGATGAAAAATGAGATGAAATGAGATGAAATAATGAAATGAGATGCAATGAAATAATGAAATTATGAAATGTAATGATGAAATTGAAATGAGATGAGATGAAATGATGAAGTGAGATGAGATGAAATGAGATGAAATGATGAGATGAAATGAGATGATGAGATGAGATGAGATGAAATGATGAGATGAAATGAGATGAAATGATGAGATGAAATGAGATGAAATGAGATGTAATGAAATGAGATGAAATGAAATGACATAATGAAATGCAATAATGAAATGAGATGAAATGAAATAATGAAATGATGAAATAAAATGATGAAATAAATGGAAATGAAATGGAAATGATGAGATGAGCAGAAATGATGAGATGAAATGATGAAATGATGAGATGAGATGAAATGATGAGATGAAATGAGATTAAATGATGAGATTAAATGATGAGATGAGATGTGATGAAGTGAGATGAAATGATGACATGATATGATAACATGAAATCAGATGAAATAATGAGATGAAATGAGATGAAATGATGAGATGAGATGAAATGTGACGAGATGAAATGACAATGAAATGAAATAAATGAAATGATGAAATGGAATAATGAAATGGAAATGATGAGATGCAATGAGTTGAAATGATGAGATGAAATGATGAAATGATGAGATGAAAAGATGAGATGAGATGAGATGTGATGAAATGATGACACGAAATGATGACATAAAATGAGATGAGACGAAATGATGAGATGAGATGAAATGGTGAGATAAAATGATATGAAATGAGATGAAATGATGAGATGAGATGAGATGATGAGATGAACTGATGAAATGAAATAATGAGATGAAATAATGAAATGAAATTGAAATAAATTTGAGATGAGATGAGATGATGAGATGAAATGATGAGATGAACTGATGAAATGAAATGAAATAATAAGATGAAATGAAATAATGAAATGAAATTGAAATAAAATTGAGATGAGATGAAATGAGATGAAATGATAAGATGAAATTATGAAATATAATGATGAAATGATGAGATGTGATGAGATGAAATGATGAGATGACATGAAATAATGAAATGAAATTGAAATGAGATGAGAAGATACGAGATGAGATGAAATGATGAGATGAAATGATGAAATGATGAGATAAGATGAAATGAGTTGATGAGATGATGAGATGAAATGATGAAATGATGAGATGAAATGAGTTGATGAAATGATGAGATAAGATGAAATGAGTTGATGAGATGATGAGATGAAATGAGATGAAAAGATGAGATGAAATGATATGAAATGAAATTAGATGAAATGTAATGAGATGAAATGAAATGACATAATGAAATGAAAAAATGAAATGAAATAATGAAATGAGGTGAAATTAAATGAGATGATGAAATTAAATGATGAAATGAAATAATGAAATGGAAATGAAATGGAAATGATGAGATGAGATGAAATGATGAGATGAATAATGTGATGAAATGAGATGAAATGATGAGATGAAATGAGATGAGATGTAATGATGAGAGGAAATGATGAGATGTAATGAAATGAGATGAAATGAATGAGATGAAATGAAATAATTAAAGGAAATTGAATTGAGATGAGATGAGATGAAATGATGAGATAAAATGAGATGAAATAAATGATGAGATGAAATGACGAAATGCTGAGGTGAGATGAGATGAAATGAGATGAAATGATGAGCTGAAAGGATGAGGTGAAATGATGAGATGAAATGATGAGATGAGGTGAGATGAGATGAAATGAGATGAAATGATGAAATGATGAGATGAGATGAGAAGAAATGAGATGAAATGAGATGAGATGAAATGATGAGATGAGATGAAATGAAGTGAAATGAAATGAAATAATGAAATTGAAATGAGATGAGATGAAATGAGATAAAATGATGAAATGAAATGATGAAATGAGATGAAATGATGAGATGAGATGATGAGATTAAATGATGAGATGAAAAATGATGAGATAAAATGATGAGATGAATTGAAATGAGATGAAATGAAATAATGAAATGAGATGAAATGAAATGATGAAATGATGGTATTGAAATGAAATTGAAAGATGAGATGAAATATGAAATGTTGAAATGAAATGATGAAATGAAGAGATGTGGTGAGATGAAATGATGAGCTGAAATGATGAGATGAAATGAAATGAGATTAAATGAGATGAAAAATGATGAGATAGGGAGGAGCCAAGATGGCCAAATAGGAACAGCTCCGGTCTACAACTCCCAGCGTGAGCGACGCAGAAGACGGGTGATTTCTGCATTTCCATCTGAGGTACCAGGTTCATCTCACTAGGGAGTGCCAGACAGTGGGTGCAGGTCAGTGGGTGCGCGCACCGTGCACGTGCCAAAGCAGGGCGAGGCATTCCCTCACTTGGGAAGCGCAAGGGGTCAGGGAGTTCCCTTTCTGAGTCAAAGAAAGGGGTGATGGATGGCACCTGGAAAATTGGGTCACTCCCACCCGAATACTGCACTTTTCCAACGGGCTTAAAAAACGGCGCACCACGAGATTATATCCCGCACCTGGCTCAGAGGGTCCTACGCCCACGGAGTCTCGCTGATTGCTAGCACAGCAGTCTGAGATCAAACTGCAAGGCGGCAGTGAGGCTGGGGTAGGGGCGCCTGCCGTTGCCCAGGCTTGCTTAGGTAAAGCAGCCGGAAAGCCCGAACTGGGTGGAGCCCACCACAGCTCAAGGAGGCATGCCTGCCTCTGTAGGATCCACCTCTTGGGGCAGGGTACAGACAAACAAAAAGACAGCAGTAACCTTTGCAGACTTAAATGTCCCTGTCTGACAGCTTTGAAGAGAGCAGTGGTTCTCCCAGCACACAGCTGGAGGTCTGAGAACGGGCCGACTGCCTCCTCAAGTGGGTCCCTGACCCCTGACCCCCAAGCAGCCTAACTGGGAGGCACCCCCCAGCAGGGGCACACTGACACCTCACACAGCAGGGTACTCCAACAGACCTGCAGCTGAGGGTCCTCTCTGTTAGAAGGAAAACGAACAGAAAGGACATCCACACCAAAAACCCATCTGTACATCACCATCATCAAAGACCAAAAGTAGATAAAACCACAAAGATGGGGAAAAAACAGAACAGAAAAACTGGAAACTCTAAAAAGCAGAGCACATCTCCTCCAAAGGGACGCAGTTCCTCACCAGCAACGGAACAAAGCTGGATGGAGAATGACTTTGACGAGCTGAGAGAAGAAGGCTTCAGACGATCAAATTACTCTGAGCTACGGGAGGACATTCAAACCAAAGGCAAAGAAGTTGAAAACTTTGAAAAAAATTTAGAAGAATGTATAACTAGAATAACCAATACAGAGAAGTGCTTAAAGGAACTGATGGAGCTGAAAACCAAGGCTCGAGAACTACGAGAAGAATGCAGAAGCCTCAGGAGCCGATGCGATCAACTGGAAGAAAGGGTATCAGCGATGGAAGATGAAATGAATGAAATGAAGCGAGAAGGGAAGTTTAGAGAAAAAAGAATAAAAAGAAATGAGCAAAGCCTCCAAGAAATATGGGACTATGTGAAAAGACCAAATCTACGTCTGATTGGTGTACCTGAAAGTGATGGGGAGAATGGAACCAAGTTGGAAAACACTCCGCAGGATATTATCCAGGAGAACTTCCCCAATCTAGCAAGGCAGGCCAACATTCAGATTCAGGAAATACAGAGAACTCCACAAAGATAATCCTTGAGAAGAGCAACTTCCAGACACATAATTGTCAGATTCACCAAAGTTGAAATGAAGAAAAAAATGTTAAGGGCAGCCAGAGAGAAAGGTCGGGTTACCCTCAAAGGGAAGCCCATCAGACTAACAGTGGATCTCTCAGCAGAAACTCTACAAGCCAGAAGAGAGTGGGGGCCAATATTCAACATTCTTAAAGAAAAGAATTTTCAACCCAGAATTTCATATCCAGCCAAACTAAGCTTCATAAGTGAAGGAGAAATAAAATACTTTACAGACAAGCAAATGCTGAGAGATTTTGTCACCACCAGGCCTGCCTTACAAGAGCTCCTGAAGGAAGCACTAAACATGGAAAGGAACAACCGGTACCAGTCACTGCAAAATCATGCCAAAATGTAAAGACCATCGAGACTAGGAAGAAACTGCATCAACTAATGAGCAAAATAACCAGCTAACATCATAATGACAGGATCAAATTCACACATAACAATATTAACTTTAAATGTAAATGGACTAAATGCTCCAATTAAAAGACACAGACTGGCAAATTGGATAAAGAGTCAAAACCCATCAGTGTGCTGTATTCAGGAAACCCATCTCACATGCAGAGACACACAGGCTCAAAATAAAAGGATGGAGGAAGATCTAACAAGCCAATGGAAAAGAAAAAAAAAGGCAGGGGTTGCAATCCTAGTCTCTGATAAAACAGACTTTAAACCAACAAAGATCAAAAGAGACAAAGAAGGCCGTTACATAATGGTAAAGGGATCAATTCAACAAGAAGAGCTAACTATCCTAAATATATATACACCCCATACAGGAGCACCAAGATTCATAAAGCAAGTCCTGAGTGACCTACAAAGAGACTTAGACTCCCACACATTAATAATGGGAGACTTTAACACCCCACTGTCAATATTAGAGAGATCGAGACAGAAAGTCAACAAGGATACCCAGGAATTGAACTCAGCTCTGCACCAAGCAGACCTAATAGACATCTACAGAACTCTCCACCCCAAATCAACAGAATATACATTTTTTTCAGCACCACACCACACCCATTCCAAAATTGACCACATACTGGGAAGTAAAGCTCTCCTCAGCAAATGTAAAAGAACAGAAATTATAACAAACTATCTCTCAGACCACAGTACAATCAAACTAGAACTCAGGATTAAGAATCTCACTCAAAACCGCTCAACTACATGGAAACTGAACAACTTGCTCCTGAATGACTACTGGGTACATAACGAAATGAAGGCAGAAATAAAGATGTTCTTTGAAACCAACGAGAACAAAGACACAACATACCAGAATCTCTGGGACGCATTCAAAGCAGTGTGTAGAGGGAAATTTATAGCACTAAATGCCCACAAGAGAAAGCAGGAAAGATCCAAAATTGACACCCTAACATCACAATTAAAAGAACTAGAAAAGCAAGAGCAACCACATTCAAAAGCTAGCACAAGGCAAGAAATAACTAAAATCAGAGCAGAACTGAAGGAAATAGAGACACAAAAAACCCTTCAAAAAATTAATGAATCCAGGAGGTGGTTTTTTGAAAGGATCAACAAAATTGATAGACCGCTAGCAAGACTAATAAAGAAAAAAAGAAGAATCAAATAGACGCAATAAAAAATGATAAAGGGGATGTCACCACCGATCCCACAGAAATACAAACTACCATCAGAGAATACTACAAACACCTCTACGCAAATAAACTAGAAAATCTAGAAGAAATGGATAAATTCCTCAACACATACACTCTCCCAAGACTAAACCAGGAAGAAGTTGAATCTCTGAATAGACCAATAACAGGAGCTGAAATTGTGGCAATAATCAATAGTTTACCAACCAAAAAGAGTCCAGGACCAGATGGATTCACAGCCGAATTCTACCAGAGGTACAAGGAGGAACTGGTACCATTCCTTCTGAAACTATTCCAATCAATAGAAAAAGAGGGAATCCTCCCTAACTCATTTTATGAGGCCAGCATCATTCTGATACCAAAGCCAGGCAGAGACACAACCAAAAAAGAGAATTTTAGACCAATATCCTTGATGAACATTGATGCAAAAATCCTAAATAAAATACTGGCAAAACGAATCCAGCAGCACATCAAAAAGCTTATCCACCATGATCAAGTGGGCTTCATCCCTGGGATGCAAGGCTGGTTCAATATACGCAAATCAATAAATGTAATCCAGCATATAAACAGAGCCAAAGACAAAAACCACATGATTATCTCAATAGATGCAGAAAAAGCCTTTGACAAAATTCAACAACCCTTCATGCTAAAAACTCTCAATAAATTAGGTATTGATGGGATGTATTTCAAAATAATAAGAGCTATCTATGACAAACCCACAGCCAATATCATACTGAATGGGCAAAAACTGGAAGCATTCCCTTTGAAAACTGGCACAAGACAGGGATGCCTTCTCTCACCACTCCTATTCAACATAGTGTTGGAAGTTCTGGCCAGGGCAATCAGGCAGGAGAAGGAAATAAAGGGTATTCAATTAGGAAAAGAGGAAGTCAAATTGTCCCTGTTTGCAGACGACATGATTGTATATCTAGAAAAGCCCATTGTCTCAGCCCAAAATCTCCTTAAGCTGATAAGCAACTTCAGCAAAGTCTCAGGATACAAAATCAATGTACAAAAATCACAAGCATTCTTATACACCAGTAACAGACAAACAGAGAGCCAAATCATGGGTGAACTCCCATTCACAATTGCTTCAAAGAGAATAAAATACCTAGGAATCCAACTTACAAGGGATGTGAGGGACCTCTTCAAGGAGAACTACAATCCACTGCTCAAGGAAATAAAAGAGGATACAAACAAAGGGAAGAACATTCCATGCTCATGGGTAGGAAGAATCAATATCGTGAAAATGGCCATACTGCCCAAGGTAATTTACAGATTCAATGCCATCCCCATCAAGCTACCAATGACTTTCTTCACAGAATTGGAAAAAACGACTTTAAAGTTCATATGGAACCAAAAAAGAGCCCGCATCACCAAGTCAATCCTAAGCCAAAAGAACAAAGCTGGAGGCATCACACTACCTGACTTCAAACTATACTACAAGGCTACAGTAACCAAAACAGCATGGTACTGGTACCAAAACAGAGATACAGATCAATGGAACAGAACAGAGCCCTCAGAAATAACGCCGCATATCTACAACTATCTGATCTTTGACAAACCTGAGAAAAACAAGCAATGGGGAAACGATTCCCTATTTAATAAATGGTGCTGGGAAAACTGGCTAGCCATATGTAGAAAGCTGAAACTGGATCCCTTCCTTACACCTTATACAAAAATCAATTCAAGATGGATTAAAGACTTAAACGTTAGACCTAAAACCATAAAAACCCTAGAAGAAAACCTAGGCATTACCATTCAGGACATAGGCATGGGCAAGGACTTCATGTCTAAAACACCAAAAGCAATGGCAACAAAAGCCAAAATTGACAAATGGGATCTAATTAAACTAAAGAGCTTCTGCACAGCAAAAGAGATTACCATCAGAGTGAACAGGCAACCTACAAAATGGGAGAAAATTTTTGCAACCTACTCATCTGACAAAGGGCTTGATATCCAGAATCTACAATGAAGTCAAACAAATTTACAAGAAAAAAACAAACAACCCCATCAAAAAGTGGGCGAAGGACATGAACAGACACTTCTCAAAAGAAGACATTTATGCAGCCAAAAAACACATGAAAAAATGCTCATCATCACTGGCCATCAGAGAAATGCAAATGAAAACCACAATGCGATACCATCTCACACCAGTTAGAATGGCAATCATTAAAAAGTCAGGAAACAACAGGTGCTGGAGAGGATGTGGAGAAATAGGAACACTTTTACACTGTTGGTGGGACTGTAAACTAGTTCAACCATTGTGGAAGTCAGTGTGGCGATTCCTCAAGGATCTAGAACTGGAAATACCAATTGACCCAGCCATCCCATTACTGGGTATATACCCAAAGGACTATAAATCATGCTGCTATAAAGACACATGCACACGTATGTTTATTGCGGCATTATTCACAATAGCAAAGACTTGGAACCAACCCAAATGTCCAACAATGATAGACTGGATTAAGAAAATGTGGCACATATACACCATGGAATACTATGCAGCCATAAAAAATGATGAGTTCATGTCCTTTGTAGGGACATGGATGAAATTGGAAATCATCATTCTCAGTAAACTATCGCAAGAACAAAAAACCAAACACCACATATTCTCACTCATAGGTGGGAATTGAACAATGACATCACATGGACACAGGAAGGGGAATATCACACTCTGGGGACTGTGGTGGGGTGGGGGGAGGGGGGAGGGATAGCATCGGGAGATATATCTAATGCTAGATGACGAGTTAGTGGGCGCAGCGCACCAGCATGGCACATGTATACATATGTAACTAACCTGCACAATGTGCACATGTACCCTAAAATTTAAGTATAATAAAAAAAAGAAAAAAGAAAAATGTTGAGATTAAATGCGATGAGACGAATTGAGATGATATGAAATAATGAAACTAGGTGAAATAATGAAATGAGATGAAACGAAATAATGATATGAAATTGAAATGAGATGAGAAGAAATGACGAGATGAAATGTTGAAATGAAAGGAAGAAATGATGAGATGAGATGAAATGATGAGATGAAATGATGAGATGAAAAATTATGAGATGAAAATATGAGATGAAATGAAATGAGATGATATGAAATGACATAATGAAATAGATTAGATGAAATGAAATAGTGAAATGAAATGATGAAATGATGAAATGATGAAAATGAAATGGAGATGAGATTTGATGAAATGATGAGATGATATGATGAGATGGGATGGGATGAGATAAAATGATGAGATGAAATGATGAGATGATGAGATGAAATGATGAGGTGAAGTGATGCACTGTCACGTGTGTGTCTATTCTTTTTCCCAACCAACAAAAATTATAATTCATTAATTTTAATTTTATTTAACAATACTCTTAAGAGTTGAAGGAAAAATATTATCTACATTATGGGTTACAATCTAAGTATAAATAATACATAAATATATTAAAACTTATAAAGAATATGTTTTGGAATAGAATATACCATGCTTCTGTGATGACAGTTATTTCATGCTGGTTGTCACAATTTTACGTGAAAAACTAATGAAAAAATGTTTTTAACTGTTTCTAAAAATAAGTTTCCAAAACAGTTTTACATTCGAAATATGAAAAAGATGTCTTTGTGTTCCTTAATCTGATGAGATTTTCACACTCTGCACATGATAATTGTTAGATTTTTATTGTGTTGATAAATTGTATATCAAATAAAAAATGTTATTACCTCTTAAATTAGGATTTTTAGGTGATATAGGCAGAAAGGAAGGCAAGTTTTTATAACTTTGTCTAAATGAACTTTCTAAATGCCTGAGTATGAAAAGATAGCATGTCTATAAATCACAATGTATATATTACTGTATGACCTAGGACCAATCAAAACTGTTATCTCTGATAACATTATATTGTGCCCAATATAAAATAGATATAATAATACCTCAAACTTCAATCTAGGCATTGTCATTGAATATCTTAAGAATATGCAGCAAAGGTGCTTTTAAAAATACAAGCTAGTGATTGTACTAAATTTGTAAATCACATAGGATAGTGGGTCATTTTAAGAATATTAGTTATTTCAATCTATAAACTTGGATGTCTTTCCTTTTTTGTGTTTTCTTTAATTTCTTTCATTAATATTTGTCATTTTTGTTGTCAAAATCTTTTACTTCCTTGGTTAAATTTATAAGTACATTTTTGTAGCTATTGTAAAAGGATTTGCTTTCTTAATTTCTTGTTTCAGCTAGTTTACTATCAATATATAGAAATGCTACTGATTTAAACAGGGACAATTTGACTGTCTCCTTTCCAATTCAGATGTCCTTTATTTCTTTCTCTCACCTAATTGTCCTGGTTAAGACTTTCACTATGTGAAATATGATTGGTGAGAATAGGCATCCTTTTCTTGTTCTAGTAAAATCTTTTTCTTGTTCACAGTAAAATCTTTCACCTTTTCCACACTCAGTATGATCTTAGTTGTAGATTTGTCCTTTATGTCCTTCTGTGTTAAGGCATATATTTTCTATACTAAATTGTTGAGAGGTTTTTTGTCATTCAAGAATATTTAATTTTGCCAAATGCTTTTATTGTGTTTATTAATTTAATCATATGGTTTTCAGTATATATCCAAAGAAAAGAAAATCAGTATATCAAAGAGTTAGCTGCACCCCCATGTTTATTACAGCACTATTCACAATAGCCAAGATATGGAATCGACAAAAGTGTCCATCAACAGATGAATGGATAAAGAAATGTGACATACATATATAATGGAATATTATTTAGTCATAATAAAGAAGAAAATCCTGTTATTTGTGGCAACAAGAATGCAAGTGGAGGGCATTATGTTAGGTGAAATAAGCCTGGCATAGAAACATAAACACCACATAACTACGTGTACTCACTTATGTATGGAAGCTAAAATTTTTAATCTCATAGAAGTAGATAGTAGAGTTTTGGTTACCATATCCTGGAAAGAGTAGGAGAAAGAAGAGTATAAGAAAACTGTGGTTAATACATACAAAATTACAGCTGGAGAGAAGGAAGAAGTTCTAATTCTCTACAGCACTGTTGGGTGACTGTAGTTAATGGGAATTTATTGTGTGTTTTCAAATAACTAAAATAAAAGATTTTGAATATTCTCACTGCAAAGAAATAATACATGATTTAGGTAATGGATATGATAATGACTCTGACTTGATCTTTACGCATTGCATAAATATATCAAAATATCACTCTGTACCCCATAACATGTACATTTATTATATGTCAATTAAAATAAATTTAAAAGACAAAAAATGAGGTAAAGGTAAATGTACAGAATTTAATTACTTTTTCTTCTATAAAACCCGAGTCAGTACCAAGAAGAGTCAATTTATTAGTTTTCTAAAATAAAAAAAAATCAAAATGACCAAAAAAGAGCAATATCCAAGAAAACATTGAAAATGAAACACAACATTTAGTAAGAATGGAAAACTTGGGCACTGTATCACCCTGTTCCTAGATACCGATTTACTGATGGCCATTTAAATAGAATTTTATTCTATCTAATTCATTTATACTCCCAGAGTTCGAAATTACGTTTTACCTACAATAATTGAGATAACACCTGTAAATTATATGGTACTCTGCCTAACACACGTTAATAACTCAATACATGTTAGCAATAAACTTTTAGTATAGCAGTCAAAGTATTAATTTCTCACATTGCAATTTCCTTCAAAGACATGAATACAACCTTTCTAATGACTCCTTGTTCATCAAGATACCTCTTCAAATTATTCTATTTATTTCATTCAGTATATTATCTGTGTATACCGATATGATATTACACTTTTTTTTTTTGAGATGGAATCTCATTCTGTTACTGATGCTGGAGTGAGGTGGCATGATCTCGGTTCACTGCAACCTCCACCTCCCAGGTTCAAGCGATTCTCCTGTCTCAGCCCCACGGGTAGCTAGGACTACAGGTGCACACCACCATGCCTGGCTAATTTTTGTATTTTTAGTACAGTCAGAGTTTCACCCTGTTGTCCAGGCTGGTCTCAAACTCCTGACCTCAGGTGATCCACCCACCATGGCCTCCCAAAGTGCTGGGATTACAGGCATAAGCCACCGCACCCAGCCTGATATTGCACTCTTGGATTTTGAACACTGAATATCTTTTTGAAAGATTACACCTCTTTACCTCTTTGTGCTTCAGAAATTATTTTCCTTCAAGTGTTCTAAGAGTCTAATGAAGAATGAAGTCATGTTTTATCACTTTTGTCCTTAAAGATTTCAGACATGCTGAAACTGATTGAAGTATAATTTGCTACCAGATAGATTAATTATCTCTAGTTGTAGGAGTGGATACATCTTTAATGGTATATCTTGGGTTATTGTCTTATTTTTGATGCAGTATTCTATAAATAATTTATTAAACCTGGCATCCTTGGGTGAGCATAGATTTTTCAACTTTGGTGTTATATTGTGTTTGCTTTTAAAAACTGCTTTTGAGGCCAGGTATGGTGGCTCTTGCCCATACCTAGCACTTTGGGAGGCCAAGGTGGGCGGATTACCTCAGGTCAGGAGTTCAAGACCAGCCTGATCAACATGGCAAAACCATGTCTCTACTAAAAACACAAAATTAGCCAGGCATGGTGGTGCATGCTTGTAGTCCTAACCTCTCGAGAGGCTGAGGCAAGAGAATCACCTGAACCTGGGAGGCAAAAGTTGCTAGGTTGCTGTGAGCCAAGTTCGCACCATTGCACTCCAGCCTGGGTGAAAAGAGCAAAACTCTTTCTCAAAAAAAAAAAAAAAAAAAAAAAACCACCAAAAACTGCTTTTGAGTGGAGTTGTACATACAATTTTGATGAAAAAAATTATCAAGTGCATAAGTGCATAATAGAAAAACCAATAATACTCCAAGCACAAGTTAGTACTAAAAAAAATATGTTGAGTATTCTCTACTACAACTTGCTTTTTCCCTTCATGAACAATTTGTGTTTTACTGAGAAGACTCATTGTTTATGGTAGACATTAGACTACAGATGAATATGTACTTTAAACACTCTTAGTTCCTTTCTTAATTTTATATCTGCTGCTTTATGCTTCTGTTTATTTTCATTCTTTCCAATGTCTACCTTCTAGTAAATTTGAATATTTTAATCCGAGTTTATATACTATTTAATATTGCTTGTATAGTTTAGTATTTTTAAGACTCAAAAAGTTTTACAGAAAGAAGAAAAAGATCAACATGTTATTAATCATTTAAAGATCATTTTAAAATCTTTGACCTTTATATTTTCATGAATAAAATGTTAGTAGTTATTAGTATAAAATAATTTATGTCTTTTGGACTTAGCATCCAGTATTTCTTTTTTAATAAAGAAAATAATATTCTCTTGCAATATACTATGTTTATCTGGGTTTTGAAAAATGATGTTTCCGAATATGAGAAAGCCATTTACATTTTTAAATCTACAAAGGCAAATGGGATGGTACTAAATTATTTACATAATAATGTTTAGATGGTGGCCCTTATTAACATTCTTTCTATACTTCCTACAGAGTTGGGGATATGCAATCCTAGAATATTTCTGGGAGCTAATCCTTTATCTTGATGAATGAAACAAGACTTTTAAATAAAATTAAACTTTCAAATTTTCCAGGTAATGGGCCTGTCTTTTAATTCAATGGATATGGAGCATAATGAATTATCCCCTGTTCATTGGGTAATAAGTTCTCATTCTTATAATACTCAAAATGTCCTTTAATTTTTAATTTTTGATAGTCATATCATTATCCCTAGGTATTTTAGCTTCTATCTTAAATTCTAAAATGATTTTGAAACAGGAGAAAGTATTCTTTATTACTATATGTATTAAACATCATGGTTTTCAAATTTAACTGCAAATGTATCTTTTCATTGCTTCTTGATGATGCCCTTCACCCTATCCATATTATCACTACCAAGTGGTGAT
This sequence comes from Homo sapiens, assembly GCF_000001405.40. Classification (NCBI taxonomy): domain Eukaryota; kingdom Metazoa; phylum Chordata; class Mammalia; order Primates; family Hominidae; genus Homo; species Homo sapiens. The sequence continues at coordinate 548,173 of NW_021160017.1, forward strand.
TACTTTTCAGGTTCACATACTTATTCTTTAGAAAAATCTTGTCTGTGCCTTATAAAGAATATGATTGTTGGCATTCAAAAGCCAGTGAAGTATACATTATTAGCCTGTTGCCTAACTCATTTCTTTAAGAAACTACACTAATTACCCACATACTTATGTTTTTATTTCCTCATTATTTCTGGAGGAAACAAATACTGCTAACATGATATTTGTAAGACAGAAAAAAGTCTTTTCTTGAAAAGTGCTGTCATTGTAGTACTAACTTATAGTATCAACTTCTTTATCAACTCCTTATGCGCTTTTTATTCTGAGAGAAATAAAAAAGCTAAAAGTGAAATGACTTTTTTTACTGTCCATATTATAAGCACCCATCTTGGTAATTTAGGGTCTTTATAGTTAGGGTAAGTTGTGTCATACCGAGGTTACAAAATGAAAAGTATTTCGTCTCTTTGGGCCTTTCTTTATTCAGTAATACTGTCAGTTTGGCTTTTTTTGTAGGTCAACTTATTGAACTCAGTATTCTGAAATAATATGTTTACTATCTTTTGATAAGCATTTAAAATATTAGATTTATTGTTATTCTTCTGACTTTATTGGGCTGGAAGAATAATTGTTTCACTCCATAAAAGCCAAGTTGCGGAGAAAAACACATAGACATTCAACTGCAAAGCAGAGAAACTTGACTATTTTCTGCAATTTTAAAGTGTATATTGAATAAAACCATCTTTTTATTTTCTTTTTTGCTCACTGGCAAATATTAACAACATCAAGTGTATTATTATAATGTTATCTAGTTAAAAATCTCAAAAAGTTTTCATAATTACCATTTTAAAATATATAAATAGGGGACCTAATGTTAATTTTTATTGTCTGAGACCATGTCTGTTATTTCACTCTTTAAATTCAGTTAGTAATGCAGAACCTAGCACTTAGTAGATACTCAAAAATTATTTGCTGAATAAAAAAAGGTTAAACATTTAATATATACAAAATGTACTGGAAAAAATGCACCAAACAATTTTGTTATACCAGTTTAATGTAAATATTGCCTTTAAAAGATAATATAGTTTTCAGGTGTCTACAGTGATTTTGTAATATTTGTGCACATATAAAATAATATTTCCAAAAATGTAATCCAGTGGGGAAATATACTTTCTAAATTCTAGATTTATAATTTAGGGTTTAAATTATAAAATCATTAAATAAGACACAAGTGAAATATAGTCAAATATCCCCTTGGAAAAAAATTAAGTGGCCTCTAAAGTGAGGTATTAATATATGTAATTTTACAATCCACTAGTGATAGAATTAATTAAATATGCCACCAAATTGATTAACTCCTACAGTGTTAAAAGAGAAGCACTAACAATGCCAGTGAACATGTAACATGGATTTAAGCTACAAGTCATAGAAATGTGATGAGAAGCCTCAGCGCTGTAAAACAGAGGGTGGAGGAAAGATTTTCCTCTCTCAAATGAGCTTTGCGAGGTATACTTTTTGAAGGATAGGAAGTTGAAGTGTTCAGGACTTTTATGACTATTCTACTTTGGCTTAGTTTACATGATTCTTAGTTTATTAGCCTAGAAATGGCCAAGAAAACTTAAGGTTCAATAATTAGTTATAAATATGAAATAGCCCCAATTTTAAGATAAAAACAACTTATAAATGTATTTGTCTGTAAAAATTGTGTATATTTTTACAGAACATCTATTTCTTTCTTTTTTTATTTTCTTGTATTTTTTTATTATACTTTAAATTCTAGGGTACACATGCACAATGTGCAGGTTTGTTACATATGTATATATGTGCCATGTTGGTGTGCTGCACCCATTAACTCATTTATATTAGGCATATCTCCTAATGCTATCCCTCCCCCCTCCCCCCTCCCCCCTCCCCCCACCCCACAACAGGCCCTGGTGTGTGATGTTCCCCTTCCTGTGTCCAAGTGTTCTCATTGTTCAATTCCCACCTATGAGTGAGAACATGCGGTGTTTGGTTTTTTGTTCTTGCGATAGTTTACTGAGAAGGATGATTTCCAATTTCATCCATGTCCCTACAAAGGACATGAACTCATCATTTTTTATGGCTGCATAGTATTCCATGGTGTATATGTGCCACATTTTCTTCATCCAGTCTATCATTGTTGAACATTTGGGTTGGTTCCAAGTCTTTGCTATTGTGAATAGTGCCGCAATAAACATACGTGTGCATGTGTCTTTATAGCAGCACGATTTATAATCCTTTGGGTATATACCCAGTAGTGGGATGGCTGGGTCAAATGGTATTTCTAGTTCTAGATCCCTGAGGAATGGCCACACTGTCTTCCACAGTGGTTGAACTAGTTTACAGTCCCACCAACAGTGTGAAAGTGTTCCTATTTCTCCACATCCTCTCCAGCACCTGTTGTTTCCTGACTTTTTAATGATCGCCATTCTAACTGGTGTGAGATGGTATCTCATTGTGGTTTTGATTTACATTTCTCTGATGGGTCTATTTCTTTAAAACAAAGGGAGGGGAGTCTCTCATTTACATTAGTTTTTTTCATAGCCTTTTGAATTTGCAATTTCTATGTTTCAGAACCTATTTCTTACAGTTTTTCTATGCTAAACTCTGTCCTAGTCAGTTCTAGAGTGTATGAAGAACCAAATGATGTAATTGTATGCGATCTGGCTGTAGTGGAACAAATTTGACTCTAAAGTATGCAGGCTCTAATTTTCCTGTCCGGTTTTGGTAAGTATTCCTTACATAGGTTTTTTTCTTTGAAAATCTGGGATTGAGAGGTTGATGAATGAAAATTAATCCTTTCACTTTGTTGTATGTAGGTTTGCAATAATTAGGTCAGAGTGGAGTTTTAAGGTCATGGAGGGGTCTGATGACTTACAAATAATGGGCTCTGATTGGGCACCTACTCATCTGAGTTCCTTCCATTTGACCTAATTAAGCTTGTGAAATTTACACCAAGCCATGAGCTCATCTTTAAAAAGTTTTATTAAAAGATTTTCAGCTGTTCCAAATGGGACTTATTAGTGGAATGTGTTTTAAAGGATCATATCAGATGAATGAAAGGTATTTGATCTGTTTCCTTAATAACAAAATGATGGTTTGGAAAAATAGGCTACAGTCTAACCACAGTGCTATTATTAGGCTTTCTTGTTAAACATAGGTCTAAGCCTAAGTATGTCAATAGAACAAATACTTACTGTTTCATTTCTAGTAATAAAAAAAAAAAACAAGTCTTTCTGGCATAAGGATGATTTTCATCTGGTTATTTTGAAACATTTTTGTAAAATAAATTTACATCTATAAAGAACATTTTTATTTGTAAGGAGGGGTATGTCTCTGTGCACTGGAAGAGAGGGAGGACTAAATCACTGGGAAGTCTTATAATAAAGAAGCCATTGGCTTAAATCAGCAAAGCAAGCCATCCCTTGGTTTAAGGTGTTTTTCCTGGCCATCCTGTCTTGACTAGAACTTTACCTACACCTTCCTTTTTGGTTTAGGCAAATTATAGTATCTAAAACTGAAGTCTCAGCTCTGTGTCTTTGAGATATAAATGTTCTACCATGTCTTCTCTGGAACCTGATAACTATCTATCTCTTTAAAATGCAAGTCTAGGGAGATGATTCATCAGAAAAAGAAGAAAAAAGAGGTATTTGGAAATTGTGCAAATTAAAGCAGCCCCTGATGCCAAAGTCTACACATTCCTGAGTGAGTCAGTTCTGGCCAGTTCTAGCTGGATCAAGAGAGCTCTGCTGGGCAGGCCTGAAGAACACGTGGATGGCAGACACCTGAGGAGTCAGGTGCCTGAAACTTCCTCCACCTGCTTGAGGAGCGCCAAAGCCCAGGTGCTGGCTGGACAACCCCTTCTGGCTGCCTAAGCAGGTAGCAGAAGAAGGAAACAAGGGCAGAGGCAGAGTGTTGAACCCTGCCTCCCAGGTGGGTGGAAGATGCCTGTCGCCAAACTAGGGCCCAGCTTGCCAGGTGAGATGGGTGAACTGGTGATCCCCCGAGAGAGTGGACGTCAGAACTACATGTTCCCGGACATCACCTCAGCCAGTGAAGGAGAGAGAGGGTTAATGTTAACTGCACGAGGCCCACTCTAGCCTTAAATTCTGTAATTCAGACCTTTCCCTTGGAGACAAAACAAACATGACAAGGAATTCTGAGGTCAGGGGACAAGAATCACAAGTTCCCTAGTGGGAGACTGAGGAGGCAGTGTCCTTCCTGCCATTGGTCTACTGGCTAAGAACCTTCCTCAGCCTGACCTTTGCACATTGCACTTTCAGCTCTGTTTGCAATTTTCCTCCTTTAGTGCTGAGGGAATCCCAGTGTTCGATCCTGAAATCTATAGGTTCCTAATGGGTGGTTAAAAAAAACCTCAGCGAGAGAAGCAGAAAATGTTTCCTCTTCCTGAAAAACTGTAGAAAGGCAGGCACCATTCTGGGTGAGGACATGGTCCTTGCAAATGTCTTTGTGCTTTTCTGTTTGTTTGTTTTTTTTTGAGATGAAGTTTTGCTCTTGTTGCCCCGACTGGAGTGCAGTGGTGTCATCTCTGCTCATTGCAACCTCCACCTCCTGGGTTCAAGCAGTTCTCCTACCTCAGCCTTCCGAATAGCTGGAATTACAGGCACCTGCCACCACACCTGGCTAATTTTTTGTATTTTTAGTAGAGATGGGGTTTTGCCATGTTGGCCATGTTGGTCTCGAACTCCTGACCTCAAGTGAGCCACCTGCTTCTGCCTCCCAAAGGGCTGGGATTACAGGAGTGAGCCACCGCATCCAGCCTGCAAACGTCTTTAAAGACAGCGTGTTTCAGAGGCTGTGACAGTGCCCTGTGAACATGCCAATTCTCGCAGTCCCGGGAGCTCTGAGGAGCAGACTCGGCTCCTTGCCAGGCAGATGGTACTGAAACTCTGCTCTCCAAGACATAACCTGATGGCCGTGCAAGATTTCTTAATCGACTGTGGACCGTGAGAGTCTGCATCTCATTTTAATTAAGATGGGAAAAGAAAGAACAAAAGAGCAACTCCCAGGTTATAGAGAAACTGGATTTTAGTATAATATTCAAGTGTAGCATTGCTAATAATAACAAACCTTTCCCCTCCCAAACGGTAAACACTTGCACTGCCTATTATACAAAAATTCAACCACCCTCTCTGTTCCCCTGATATCTCCTTCCCATGTGACCCCCCTTTCATGCGGCCTCATGAGCCTGGCCAGTGATGAATGGCACTTTCATGGGCATGAGACTCTACATGAGTGGGACTCAGCTGGGACCCCTCTCCACGTGGGAGCTGGAGAAGCCACCCTAGTAGCAGCTGAAAGTGTCCATGATATCCCTGCTGCTGAGGTAGGGGCTGCCTCTGAGCTGGTCTCGGGGTGTGAGCTGCTGCTGGTAGTGGGCTCTGCCCTGAGGGCCTGGTGGCTGGTCAGAATGGCAGGCACACATGGGTGACTCCCCAGGAACTCAGGCCACCTCCCCACCACAGCCCTGCACCGTGTGCTCCAGGCATGTGCTGAGTGCCTGGTCAATCACCAGTGCCCTATTGATCCCAGTCTCCAGAGAGATCATTTAGTGTCACCCCACAGAGGGGGAATCTGAGGCCCAGAGAAGTAAGGTGACTCTCCCCAGTCACAGGGCTGGTCAGCAGTAGGATGGGAGGCTAGTCCCTTGCTGTCTGACTCCCTGAGCCCACCCATATCCCAAGGCAGCCAACCTCTGCCCACCCTGGTTCAGGACCCGACTGGCCCCTGTGGTGGGTGATGTCTATCTTCCTGGCCTTTGTGCTCCCAGCCAACTGGGATGGAGCCTCCAGCTGGCATGACATGTTGTAGCTATGGACAGAAGAGTGGCTGTGAGGCTGCCAGGAATCTCACCAGGGCCCCCTCCCAGGGCCTGTCCAGAGTGAGGTCTGGGTACCCCAGGCATTGCCAGACCACAGGATCTGATGTTGACCAAGAGGCCATGGCCACAGGCTTTCTGAGGCTGGCCCCCAGGGAGAGTTCAATCCTACTATCCCAATTCCTGTCCTGGCCTTACCTCTCAGTCTCACCGAGCCGCTTCATGGTCCCAAACCAGGACCCAAAGTGCTGCTTGGGCTCAAGGTTGTAATTATTTGCAGCCAACTGGAGCAGCAGACCTCCTTGCTTACTTTGAATTCCTGGGTCCAGAGGGGAAAACTGGGTGGTGACAGGGACTGGACAGGGATGCCACAGGGGCCCTGTGGGGGTGTTAGGTCGGGTGATGGCCAGTCTTTGCTCATAGGGGACCACCTCCTCCTCTCCAGTCCTGTCCCCACCTGTTCTCAGAGCTGGCTCAAACAGCAGCTCCTCCAGGAAGGTGTCCTTGGTTTCAACCTGGTACTCCCACCTGCAGGTCTTCCTGGAGTGTCTCCTCTTTCTCTCTGTCTCCCCATAAATCTAAGACGAAGGGGATGGATTTGCCCACCGCTACTCACCGTATGACTCTTGTGAGGTTGATCAGTCTCCCCTGGAAGGCCAACAGCTGAAGTCCATCAGAAAGGGTCCTCTGGCCCAGAGCCAGCCCCTGCCCACCCCTGTCATGCTGCACCCAGGGTGCAAGCCCCAGATCAGGTCTGGGTGACAGGAGGGGTATAGAGGGGCTGAGGCTCAGGGGCCTTCTAGCCTAACTTGTCTGGAGACAGTTGGGGAAACTGAGACCCCAAGCAGGGAGGTATGGCTCCGAGAGATTATTCTCATTAACCTGGAACATTTTTGCAAGCTGTTAGGTATAGGAAGTCTGTCACAGGTAAGAGAAATGCTTTTTGAGAGCATGAGAGACAGCAGGGTTGTGACAATATTGAAACACCGCCGTGCAGATTCACCAATTGCCACCACCGGGAGCCCCCTGAGAGTCATTGCAGATGCACAGCCCTCCCCTGCAACCCCTGGACCTCCCCATGGTCTGGCACCTAAAGGGTTATGCCTCATGGCAGGAATCATGGCCCTCAGGATGCCCTGCCGACTCCAAGGTCTGCCTCTGCTCTGATTGGTCACTGACATTCAGATTGTCACCCAAATATAAGGACGTTAGCAGAAAGACTCATTCAATACAAGTGGACTCAGACATAGATAGGAATTGGGTTGCAAAAAGCCCCTTTTGTTTCTTTTATTTTATTTTGGAAAAAACTTTTATTGTGAAAATTCACATATATATATAGAAAAAAATTCAATCAATGCAAAAGGATAGACGATGAACAAATGAATTCCCCTTCCACTCCAGATCCCCAACTCAGATCCAGACCTCCTGAGCCCACTTCCCCCATCTCATCACAGATCCAGACCTCCTGAGCCCACTTACCCCATCTCGTCACAGATCCAGACCTCCCCCACTTTCCCCATCTCATCATAGATCCAGACCTCCTGAGCCCACTTCCCCATCTCATCATCAGTGATTTCTTGGGCTCTGCATTAGTTTTCTATTGCTGCTGCAACAAACAGCTACAGACTCAGTGGCTTCCATTTCTGTCTTATAGTTCTGGTTGCCAAAAGTCCTAAGAGGATCTCACTGGGCTAAAGTCAAGGTGCTGGCGGGGCTATGTCCCTTCTGGAGGCTCAACGGATGAATTGGGTCCCTGCCTTTTCTAGCTTCTAGGGGCTCCAGCTTCTAGGTTTGTGGCCTCCTTCCTCCATCCTCAAAGCCAGCAACAGCAGGTGAAGTCCTCGCCCATCGTGCATCACTCTCCCTTCTGCCTCCTTCAACTTTTTTTTTATATTTAGGGGGAACGAGTATAGGATTCTTACATAGTCAAAAAGCTCCTTATAGAGAAGCTCAGAACTTTCAATACAGCTTTGCCTTTTTTGCCATTTTAATTTTCCATTTAATTTAAATGTATTCTCTCATTTGACCTTCATACTCTGTGGAGAAATATTCCTATTTCGGCTTGTATTGACAAGTTGTTTTCACACAGCCCCCACATCACCCAACCAACCAGCAGAGATCCTCCTTCCCAAGAAACAGATAAAGAAACTGAGGCCCAGGAAGGCTAAGAGTCCTGCCAGGATTATTCACCTTTCAAGGTAAGGAGCCAGTTCCAGACCGGGGTTTGTGCAGCTCCAAGCTCCCCCGTCTTTCTACAATGCTAGATTTAGACTAAAGCAATCTAGCAAGTGTGGCCACACAATGGTCAAGTTGGATTTAGATGATGTTCTCTATAAATCCATTCTCCTCTCCCGTGTAAGCAAGGCAAAGTACTCCAGGCCATGGGGAGTCCCTGAAGACTCGATGAACTGCAGTGGCCACATCAGGAGGTTGCAGGTTAACCAGAACTCACCGACACAGCAGGAGAGCAGCTTGGAACCTGCAACCTAGCCAAAACCTAGTGCCTTGGAATGGGGGAGAAAACATGCAGCCATTCCTCTCTCTCTGCTGGCTAGAGGGGATTCTGGCTTTTCCTGCCAGAGCCACCCCTTTCCCTCCTCCTAAAGTTGATGGTGGTTCTTTAAGGAAAGGGAGAAGTGCACGGTGTGATAGGGCAGGAAGAGAAGAAAACAGAGGAGAGGAGGGGACTTTCCCATAAGCAGGCAGAAGAAAAGGCAGCTGTGGTGTGTGATGGACATGGATGCAGTGGTGTCCAATGTGGGGTCAGCCCTAGAGGAGAGACAGAGAGAGAGACAGAAAAGTGAGAGAGTCCTGACCCTTATGATTAACATGGGATCTGCCTGCAAATGCTGTTTAGGGCCATCGCCTCTTCCTGTACTGCTATTTTTGAGAGTGATGCTCCTGAGCCCCACGACCCAGTCAAATTTGATGTCCCCTTGAGCCAGATTCAGTGCTGGGAGTCCAGTGTGATCTGCCTGGATCTTGCTGCATTGAGAACAGGCCAGATCTTGACCCCAATACAGGGGCTGGATATGAACAGGCAACAGCTGGGTTTCTGAGTCAGAAAGACTTGGTTAATTGCTAATTGCTTAGGCAAGTAATTTAATTTTGTTGAGTCAGATTCCTCAGCTACAAAATGCACATGACAGTACTTATTCCTCCAGGTTGTGGGGAAAATGTTGATTCTAAGCACGATGTCCATTTCACAGAAAGATACCAATTTGGTGGCTTATTTTCCTTTCTACCTTCAGAAGTGGCTATCCCTGCCACCCAAACAGACCCTTGACTCTCAAGTGGATGGGGTCCCATTTGCACAGGGGGAGACCTTACGGCCTACGTTGAGTCTATACTTACCACTTAGTGAGCATTGTATCTGCTCAGGGGCCTCTGTGGGCATCCGTCTCCTCTGCAGCATCTTTCCTCCCCACTGCTGGGTCTGCACATGACCCCCTCCTTGGGTTAGGCCTCTGATCAGTGATGACCTTGGTATGGTGGTAATGGTCAGTCTTGTCATCAAATGAGCCAGTTTATATCATCAGCTATTCAATAAAATACTAATCTAGGTGTCACCGTGAAAGTATTTTGTGACATTGTTATGTACATATTGTTACAAATGTGCATGATGCATTTACTACAGCACAGAATTTTGCCTGGGTACCAGCCTGAAGTCTGTCCGACAGATCATTGCCATGTTAGTCCCACAGTCGCAGGGGCCAATTGATTAAATTATTTTATCTCCCTTGAGAACTAAAACTAAAATCCTAAGCCCCCCACCCAACTTAACAGACCCCCTGTTGGCCAACGGAACCTCAAATAAATCTTAAAATTCAGTTCTTGGCCATGACAGGACAGGAAGTCAGACATACCTCCCTGTACCTCCCTCCCTCTTATGGTTTAGACCCAACAACTGAACAGCATTAATGTTAAAATAGAGATCATGAGACTGACAGAACAGACTCTTTGTGGCAATAAGACCTCAAATTATAAACAGGACCTAGGGCCATGCCAGGCAAGGGTTAAGTCTTGTACCCTACTCTTAAAGAATTAACTAGATTCTAGCTACCACATGGGTTTTATTTTTCTCTAGCAGCCAAGCAAGCACTGGCTGTGAGAGATGGCTGTGAGAGAAGATTAAAACAATTACAACTCACCCAGTTCACAGACGCTGAGTAACTGATCTCCTGCCCCACTAACCTTAACGACAGCTTTCTCTGGACAAGGGACTGATTTCAGTAACTTTCTCCTGATAAGAGACCATCCTCCATGGACTGGTTCTGGCCAGTTTTAGAGGCTGTGGCTTTACAGAGGCTGAGTACTTTCATGTCCCTGCTTCACTTTTTGATGTGTAGGGCCTAATTATAATACATTTAAATGTCAAGTCTCCACCCCAGGATGAACATGCATGTTTATTGAATATGCATGTGTTAGGACCTCTTTTATGAGTATTCTCATAAAATGATATAGCTCCTCTGATATCTTATTGCGTATGTATATGTAGCCAACTCATTTGGCTCAAATTCCTGTCCTCTCCTTCCCTCCCTGGAAATGCCTGCCTCTGGCCTTGGCTGTAGGCCACACTTCCCAGCCTGTCATAATGGCCACCTTGCAGACTGCAAACCTTTATAAGAAATAAAGCTCTCTTTTCTAAATTTATAAAATTGTGTGATTTTTCAGTTGATGCTCTCTTTCTACACACACACACACACACGCAATTTATACAGAAGGAAATCTGGAGAATATATGTGGGAATGGATATTAAGTGTGTGGCACCATGGTGAAAGTAACATAAAGTTGGATTAGGCTAAATTTATTAATGTTGGCCCACTAAACAGAGATTCTGGACTCAGAGTTGTAGGTCAAAGCTTTAGAAAGGGCTCCATGGGTTGGTTTGATCGGTTACTTGGTTGGTTGCTTGCTTGGTTGGTGGTGCTTGCTTCCTTGCTTGGTTGTTTGGTTGGTTTGTTGCTTGCTTGCTTGTTGGTTGATTGGTTGGCTGTTTGCTTATTTGTTTGGTGACTTGGTTGGTTGGCTGAAACAGAATCAGAGTTTACCTAAGGTACATAAAGTTGAGATGCCACAACTTCCTTGGTTTATGTGTACAGAAAGGTATGCAAAAACTCAGGGAGACTGGATTTATTATGTCAGACCTGCTCACTCACACTGAAGGGTCTACAGAACATACTCCTCACAACGATCATGAGAAAGAATATTGTGAGAGGAGCCCAGTATCCTGGAAGAGCTTTGAGCTTGTGCTCTCAGTAGGCAAAATGTTACAGCAGGAACTGCAGCCACTGGACTGGGATCTTTAAGTAAAATGAGGATAATTGAATCCTGGGGTGGCAGGGAACATGGGCTGTCCTTAATCACCAAAGATGAGGTGGGTGTGGTCACCACAGTGGAAAGCAGTGTCAAAGCAGCAGTCAGAATGGTTTGACTCACAGACACCCATGGCATTGTGTAGTCCATGGTATCCACAGGGAGAGCTAATGGGCTGTACCAAAGTCTTAGTTGTTGTTTAAAAAATGAAGAATTCTAGGTCAACTGAATAAAAGATTAACTCAAATTAATGAAACACAGATCTAAAACCCTCAATCAATTCCCAGACTTGAGCCAGTTCACAGGCCCACAACCCCTTAAGTGAAGGGGAGGCTGGGTGATCTTGGGGAAGTACGCTGCTACATTGCCAAAAATTTACATTGTTAATCTTTTTCCCAGTCTTCCCCAAAGGGACCTACAGCCTTCTGCCAGGATGACTGTGACTTAAAGAAAAGAAAATTCTCAGATATTTGGGGAATTACTGGACACTGGCTCTCATTTGACACTATTATCACTATGCTGCCTAGGATGGATTCATGCTTCTGGGTTCAAGCAGTCCTCCTACCTCAGCCTCCCAAAGTGCTGGGATGACAGACATGAGCCACTGTGGCCAGCAGAGCTTTGAAACTAGAACATGGAGGTCCAGTGGTAAATATTTGACAAGTCTGGGAAGAGATTGGGCCAAGGCAATGTTGATGATTCTTTTTTTTTTTTTTTTTTGCAACAGAGTCTCGCTCTGTTGTCTAGGCTGGAGTGCAATGGTGCAATCTCGGCTCACTGCAACCTCTGCCTCCGGGGTGCAAGCAATTCTCCTGCCTCAGCCTCCTGAGTAGCTGGGATTACAGGTGCCCACCGCCACACCAGGCTAATTTTTTATTATTTTATTTTTTTTGAGACAGAGTCTCACTCTATATCGCCCAGGCTGGAGTGCAGTGGCGCAATCTGGGCTCACTGGAAACCCCGCCTCTCAGGTTCACGCCATTCTCCTGCCTCAGCCTCATGAGTAGCTGGGATTACAGGTGCCTGCCACCGTGCCTGGCTAATTTTTTGTATTTTTAGTAGAGACAGGGTTTCAGCGTGTTAGCCAGGATGGTCTTGATCTCCTGACCTCATGATCCGCCCGCCTCAGCCTCCCACAGTGCTGGGATTACAGGGATGAGCCACCATGCCCAGCCACACCAAGCTAATTTTTGTATTTTTTTTTTAGTTGAGACAGGGTTTCACCATGTTGGCCAGGCTGGTCCCTGACCTTGTGATCCGCCCGCCTCAGCTTCCCAAAGTGCTGAGATGACAGGCGTGAGCCACCGTGCCTGGCCAATGTTGATGATTCTAAACAGCAGCCGCTAATGTGAAAACCATCCAACTGGAAGACCTGGCCTTTCCCAGAGGACACAGTCTGGGTGGTGGGCAGAGACTTCAGCTGCCTTCCAAGGCAAGCAGCTCCTTGCTGCCCGCTTGCTGGGGATTTTACTTACAGGGCAGAAGCTGGCAAGTGATTTGGGGGCAGGAATTGCTTCCTGGATGGTATATGATGAACCACACTCCCCAGGAAGACACTCACCCTGGTGGCCTAACAGAAGTAGCCCTCACCCCAAAAGGCAATGCTGCTCCACTAGTTTTATGGGGTGACTCCTTCCTGTAGGTTCCTTCCAGCTTTACCAGAAACACAGAACATCTTTCCTGACAGGGCATTGGTTTTGTTTTTGAACAGAGAGATCCTTCTTTTAAAAAGTTAGTTTTTTCTTTTTTTTTTGTAATGGAATCAACCTAGGTCCTAAGCCTAGCAGGTTATTATTATTATTTTTATGATTATTTTTTGAGATGGAGTCCCACTCTGTGGCCCAGGCTGGAGGGCAGTGGCACGATCTCGGCTCACTGCAATGTCTGCCTCCTGGGTTCAAGAGATTCTCCTGCCTCAACCTACAGAAGAGCCGGGATTACAGGCGTGCACCACCATGCCCGGCTAATTTTTGTACTTTTAGTAGAGATAGGGTTTTGCCATGTTGGCCAGGCTGATCTCAAACTCCTGACCTCAGGTGACCACCCACCTCAGCCTCCCAAAGTGCTGAGAATACAGGTGTGAGCTGCCACACCCAGCCACAGGTTATTTTTGCTGATCTTCTCCTTCCTCCCACCCTCCATCCTCAAAGAAAATTCGGTATATCTACACCATGGAATACTACGCAACCCTGAAAAGGAACAAAATCATTTTTTTATTTTTATTTTTTGTTTGTTTTTGCAGCAACACAGATGTAGCTGGAGGCCATTATCTTTTTTAATTATTTTTATTATTTTTTATTTTTTCTATTCTACTTTAAGTTCTGGGGTATATGTGCAGAATGTGCAGGATTGTTACATAGATATATATGTGCCATAGCGGTTTGCTGCACCCATCAACCCATCATCTACATTAGATATTTCTCATAATGCTGTCCCTCCCCCAGTCCCCCCACCCCTGCAACAGGCCCCAGTGTGTGATGTTCCCCTCTCTGGGTCGATGTGTTCTCATTGTTCACTTCCCACTTATGAGTGAGAACATGCACTGTTTGGTTTTCTGTTCCTGTTTCACTTTGCTGAACATGAGAGTTTCCAGCTTCATCCATGTCCCTGCAAAGGACATGAACTCATCCTTTTTCATGGCTGCATAGTATTCCACAGTGTCTATGTGCTGCATTTTGTTTATCCAGTCTATCACTGATGAGCATTTGGGTTGGTTCCACATCTTTGCTATTGTGAACAGTGTGGAGGCCATTATCTTAAGTAAATTAACAGAATGCTGCGTGTTCTCACTTATAAGTGGGAGCTAAATGTTGTGTATAGGTAGACACAGAGAAGGGAACAGATACTGGGTTCTAGTTAGGGGGAGAGAGGAAGGTAGAAGGACAAGAGTTGAAAAAAACCAACTGTGGGGTATTATGCTCACTACCTGGGTGATGGGATCACTCATACCCCAGACCTCAGCATCACACATCGTCCCCATGTAAGAAACCTGTACATGTACCTCCTGAATCCAAACTGCTCCACCATTTGCACCAGCAATTCCAAGACTGGGCATCTACCCAAAGGAAAAGAAGTCTTTCTACCAAAAAGACACATGCACGGTAAAGTTCCTTGTTTTTTTTGTTTTGTTGTTTTTTGAGATGGAGTCTCACTCTATTGCCCATGCTGGAGTGCAGTAGCAATCTCGGCTCACTGAAACCTCCGCCTCCCGGGTTCAAGTGATTCTCCTGCCTCAGCCTCCTGAGCAGCTGGGATTACAGGCATGCGCCACCATGCCTGGCTAGTTTTTGTATTTTTAGTAGAGATAGGGTTTCACCATGTTGACCAGGCTGGTCTCGAACTCCTGACCTCAGGTGATCTGCCCACCTCGGCCCTCCAGAGTGCTGGGATTACAGTGCCCGGCCCTGTAAGGTTCATCACAGCACGACTTACAATAGGAAAGTCATGGAATCAACCTAGTTGCCCATCAGTGGGGTACCAGATAAAGCAAAAGTGGTTCTTCTACAGCATCAAATACTACACAGCCATGAAAAAGAATAAAATCACGTCCTTTGCAGCCACATGGATGTAGCTGGAGGGCATTACGCTTAATGAATTAACACAAGAACAGAAAATCAAATACCACATGTTCTTGACTGGATAAAGCAATTGTGGCCCTTCTACGCCATGGAATACTGCACAACCATGAAAAAGAATAAAATCATGTCTTTGCAGCCACATGGATGCAGCTGAAGGGAATTATGCTTAGTGAATTAACACCAGGAAAAGAAAATCGAATACCACATGTTCTCCACTAGATAAAGCAAATGTGGTCTTTCTGCATCATGGAATACTATGCAGCCATGAAAAAGAATAATATCATGTCCTTTGCAGCCACATGGATGCAGCTGAAGGACATTATGCTTAGTGAATTAATGCCAGGAACAGAAAATGAAATACTACATGTCCTCAACTGGATAAAGCAAATGTGGCCCTTCTACACCACGGAATACTACACAGTGATGAAAAAAATAAAATCATGTCTTTGCAGCCACATGGATGCAGCCGGAGGGCATTATGCTTAGTGAATCAATATGAGGAACAGAAAATCAAATACCACATGTTGTGCACTAGATAAAGCAAATGTGGTCCTTCCGCATCATGGAATACTACACAGCCATAAACAAGAATAAAATCATGCCCTTTGCAGCAACATGGATGAAGCTGAAGGGCATTATGCTTAGTGAATTAATGCCAGACACAGAAAATCAAATACCACATGTTCTCAATTAGATAAAGCAAATGTGGTCCTTCCGCATCATGGAATACTACACAGCCATGAACAAGAATAAAATCATGCCCTTTGTAGTCACGTGGATGAAGCTGAAGGGCACTATGCTTAGTGAATTAACGCCAGGAACAGAAAATCAAATACCACATGTTCTCGCTTATAGGTGGGAGCTAAACATTGCCTGCACCTGGACACAATGAAGGGGCACCACAGACCCTCAGTACTAATAGAGCAGGAAGCAGGGGCGGGGGTACAAGGGTTGAAAAACTACCCTGAGATTCTTTGAATTTCAGGCAGAAAGCAGCAACTGGAGAGAGCTTTGGGTCACGGATTTTTCTGTTGCATTTTCTTGCTTGTTTGTTTTCTCTCTCTCTCTTTTTTTTTTTTTTTTTTTTGAGATGGAGTCTCGCTCTGTGACCCAGGCTGGAGTGCAGTGGTGCAATCTCGGCTCCCTGCAACTTCTGCCTCCTGGATTCAAGCAATTCTTCTACCTCAGCCTCCCAAGTAGCTGGGACTACAGGCACCCGCCACCACACCTGGCTAATTTTTGTATTTTTAGCAGAGACGGGCTTTCACCATGTTGGCCAGGCTGGTCTCGAACTCCTGACCTTAGGAGATCCACCTGCCTCGGCCTCCCAAAGTGCTGGGATTACAGGCATGAGCCACTGCGCCTGGCCTCTCTTCTTACATATTTCTAGAACTCCTCTAGAATTTGGGGTTTGTTTTTCTTAATTACAAGGAATCAAGTTGAATCATTAGTGCATATATAAATATACATTTTATTTTTAGTACACATTATATACCTCAGGAATGTACAATGCTCAGTGCCTGGGTGACGGGATGATTCATACCCCAAACCTCAGCAACGTACAATATCCTCAGGTCACAAAGCTGCCCGTGGATCCCCTGAATCTATAATAATAATAATAATAATAATAATAATAAAAATAATAAAAATAAATAAAAAGTGACTTTGTCATTCGCAGGGAAATGCGAATGACATTCACTCTGCCTCTCAGGCCCTTGGATTCCCAAAGTTTGTTTTCATCACGC
Organism: Homo sapiens; assembly: GCF_000001405.40. Classification (NCBI taxonomy): domain Eukaryota; kingdom Metazoa; phylum Chordata; class Mammalia; order Primates; family Hominidae; genus Homo; species Homo sapiens. The sequence goes on from NW_021160017.1 coordinate 564,654, forward strand.
CCAGGGGACACTCAGAATCTCGTTTTCAGAACACGGGTTGTTTTTCTTAGAAACGCTTTGCAAAACAAAATAGGAAGCAAAATCTTTCTCACTCCTTCCGCTCCGTAATAGACTAAATAAAATGAGGGGGCAGGAATCCAGAGACTTTGACCGCAGTTGGCAGATTTATTGTGGTACAGACATGAAGGCAAGCAGTGTTCTCTCTGATTCTACGAACCGTACAGCCCAGGCCGGCTGCCTTCTGCTTTCTGGATGGTGCAGGCGTGAGCTCCAAGCCCAAATTTCACCGGAGCTCCAGGAATCGAGCCTGGCCCAGGCACTCACTGCACGGGGGCCAAGCGTGAAACCAGTGATCGCTCCAGCAAGGTAACAGGACAGCTTGGTGATCCTTCTTGCCGGCCACAAAATGTTATAGCCAGAATTCCACCGAATGTGGTCTTTCTGTGTATCTCCCCAGACAGCGAAGATGGACAAACATGGGGGTGGTGGGTGGGGGGTGCTGACCTCAGTGGGGTGTCCTGGAGACGCAGGAACCAGGGTTTACAGGGTGCAGATCCTACTGAAGCAAATGGAAGTGGCATCCATGGGCAGAGCTGGCTGTAGCATCCCCCATCTGCCTGTGGTGTCACCAAATGTATCCAGAGACCGCTTGTAAACCTGGAGGGTGTGCTAACGTCAGTGGGGTGTCCTGGAGAGGCAGGAACCTGGGTTTCCAAGGTGCAGATCCTACTGAAGCAAATGGACGTCGCATCCGCGGGCAGAGCTGGCTGTGGTGTCCCCCCTTCTGCCTGGGGTGTCACCAGATTTCACCGAGAGACCCCTTCTAAACCTGGGGAGTGTGCTGACCTCAGTGGGGTGTCGTGGAAAGGCAGGAACCAGGGTTTACAGGATGCAGATCCTACTGAAGCAAATGGACGTGGCATCCTTGGGCAGAGCTGGCTGTGGCTGGCCTTCCGGCCTGGACGTCTCCCCCACTGCCTGGGGTGTCACCAGATGCACCCAGAGACCTCTCATCTGAAAGCTCATGCATGGGAAGCCTCCAGGTCTCCTCGGCAGGCAGCATCACGTCTGATTCAACTGCGTTATCAGGTAATGCAGGCCTGTTCTGCCTGTGTGCGTGAGTGCGTGGGTGCCATGTGGGAGTGTGTGTGTTGATGTGGGTGTGGGTGTGTGCTTGTGTGGCTGTGTGTGCCTGTTTATGTGATGATGAGTGTGTCTGTGAGTCTGTAAGACGTGTGTTTCCATGTGTGTTTCTGTGTGAGCGTGCATTCCTGTGTTTTATGGAAGTGTGTTTTTGTGATGGTGTTTGTGTGTGCCCCTGCATTTATTGTATTTGTGTGTTTGTGAATATGAGTGTATGTGTGTGAATCTGTATGCCAATGTATAAATTCTTTTTTGTTTTTTTGAGACAGTCTTGCTCTGTCACCCATACTGGAGTACGAAACATGATGAAACCCCATCTCTACTAAAAGTACAAAAATCAGCCGGGTGTTGTGGCTCAGGCCTGTAATCCCAGCTACTCGGGAGGCTGAGGCAGGAGAATTGCTTGAACCTGGGAGGCAGAGGTTGCAGTGAGCCAAGATCATACCGTTGCATTGCAGCCTGGGAGAGCCAGCCAGCCAGCCAAGCCAGCCAGCCAGCCAAGCCAGCGAAGCCAGCCAAGACGGCCAAGCCAGCCAGCAAGCCAAGCCACCCAGCCAGCCAGACAGCCAACCCAGCCAAGCCATCCAAGCCAGGCAAGGAAGCCAGCGAGCCAAGCCAGCCAAGCCAGCGAGGCAGTCACCAAGCCGGCCACGCCAGCCTGTCACCCAAGCCGGCCAAGCCAGCCAGCCATCTAAGCCAGACAAGCCACCCAGCCAGCCAACCAGCCAAGCCAGCCAGCCAGCCAAGCCACCCAGCCAGCCAAGCCAGCCAAGCCAGCCAGCCAGCCAAGTCAGCCAGGCCACCCAGCCAGTCAGGCCGGCCAACCCACCCAGCCAGCGAGAAAGCCAACCCAGTCAAGCCAGCCAAGCCAGCCAAGCCAGCCAAGGAAGCCAGCGAGCCAAGCCAGCCAAGACAGCTAGCCAGTCACCCAGCCAGCCAAGCCAGCCAAGCCAGCCAGCCAGAAAAGCCACCCAAGCCAGCCAGCCAGCCAAGCCACAAAAGCCAGCCAGCCAGCCAAGCCAGCCAAGCAACCCAGCCAGCCAAGACAGCCAAGCCACCCAGCCAGCCAGCCAAGCCAGCCATGCCAGCCAGGCCACCCAGCCAGCCAGCCAGCCAAGACAGCCAAGCCAGCCAAGCCAGCCAGCCAGCCAAGACAGCCAAGCCAGCCAAGCCAGCCAGCCAGCCAACACAGCCAAGCCAGCCAGCCAAGCCAGCCAGCCAGCCAAGCCACCCGGCCAGCCAAGCCAACCAAGCAACCCCGCCAGCGAAGCCAGCCAAGCCACCCAGCAAGCCAAGCCAGCCAAGCCAGCCAAGCCAGCCAGCCAGCCAAGCCAGCCAAGCCAGCCAGCCAGCAAAGCCAGCCAAGCCAGGCATCCAGCCAAGCCAGCCGGCCACCCCGCCGGCCAGGCCAGCCAGCCAAGCCGGCCAAGCCAGCCAGGCCACCCAGCCAGCCAGCCAGCCAAGCCAGCCAAGCCAGCCAGCTAGGCCAGCCAGCCAGCCGGCCAAGCCAGCCAAGCCAGCCAGCCAGCCAAGCCAGGCAAGCCAGCCAAGCCAGCCAGCCAGCCAAGCCAGCCGGCCTACCAGCCAGCCAAGTGGCCAGACAGCCAAGGCAGCCAAGTCAGCCAGCCACCCAAGCTAGGCAAGACACCCAGCCAGCCAAGCCAGCCAAGCCACCCAGCCAGCCAAGCCAGCCAAGCCACCCAGCCAGCCAACAGCCAAGCCAGCCAGCCAGCCAAGCCACCCAAGACAGCCAGCCAGCCAAGCCAGCCAAGCCACCCAGCCGTCCAAGCCAGCCAAGCCACCCAGCCAGCCAACGAGCTAAGCCAGCCAGCCAAGCCAGCCAGCCAGCCAAGCCAGCCAAGCCACCGAGCCAGCCAGCCAGCCAAGCCCGCCAAGCCACCCAGCCAGCCAAGCCAGCCAAGCCAGCCAAGCCAGCCAGCCAGCGAAGCCAGTCAAGCCAGCCGGCCTCCCAATCCAGCCAAGCCAGCAAGCCACCCAAGCCAGCCAAGCCAGCCAAGCCAGCCAGCCACCTAAGCCAGCCAAGCCAGCCAGCCAGACAAGCAAGCCAGCCAGCCATCCAGCCAAGCCTGTCAAGCCAGGCAGCCAGGCAAGGCAGCCAAGCCAGCCAGCCAGCCAAGCCAGCCAAGCCACCCAGCCACCCAAGGCAGCCAAGCTGCCCAAACAGCCAAGCCAGCAAAGCCACCCAGCCAACCAAGCCAGCCAGCCACCCAGCCAGCCAGGCCAGCCAGCCAGCCAGCCAGCCAGCCAAGCCAGCCAAGCCAGCCAGGCCACCCAGCCAGCCAGACAGCCAAGCCAGCCAAGCCAGCCAGCCGGCGAAGCCAGCCAAGCCAGCCAAGCCAGCCAGCCAGCCAAGACAGCCAAGCCAGCCAAGACAGCCAAGACAGCCAGCCAGCCAAGCCAGCCAAGCCAACCAAGACACTCAGCCAGCCAAGACAGCCAGCCAGCCAAGACAGCCAAGCCAGCCAAGACAGCCAGCCAGCCAAGCCAGCCAGCCGGCCAAGCCAGCCAGCCAGCCAGCCAGCCAACCCAGCCAGCCAAGCCAGCCAGCCAAGCCAGCCAAGCCAGCCAGACAGCCAAGCCAGCCAAGCCAGGCAGCCAGCCACGTGAGCCAGCCAGCCAAGCCAGCCAGCTGGCCAAGACAGCCAAGCCACTCAGCCGGCCAAGCCAGCCCAGCCAGCCCAGCCACCCAGCCAGCCAAGCCACTCAGCCAGCCAAGCCAGCCCAGCCACCCAGCCAGCCAAGCCACCCTTCCAGCCAAGCCAGCCGAGAAAGCCTGCCAGCCAAGCCAGCCAAGCCAGCCAGCCAGCCAAGCCAGCCAAGCCAGCCAAGACGGCCAAGCCAGCCAGCAAGCCAAGCCACCCAGCCAGCCAGACAGCCAACCCAGCCAAGCCATCCAAGCCAGGCAAGGAAGCCAGCGAGCCAAGCCAGCCAAGCCAGCGAGGCAGTCACCAAGCCGGCCACGCCAGCCTGTCACCCAAGCCGGCCAAGCCAGCCAGCCATCTAAGCCAGACAAGCCACCCAGCCAGCCAACCAGCCAAGCCAGCCAGCCAGCCAAGCCACCCAGCCAGCCAAGCCAGCCAAGCCAGCCAGCCAGCCAAGTCAGCCAGGCCACCCAGCCAGTCAGGCCGGCCAAGCCACCCAGCCAGCCAGAAAGCCAACCCAGTCAAGCCAGCCAAGCCAGCCAAGCCAGCCAAGGAAGCCAGCGAGCCAAGCCAGCCAAGACAGCTAGCCAGTCACCCAGCCAGCCAAGCCAGCCAAGCCAGCCAGCCAGAAAAGCCACCCAAGCCAGCCAGCCAGCCAAGCCACAAAAGCCAGCCAGCCAGCCAAGCCAGCCAAGCAACCCAGCCAGCCAAGACAGCCAAGCCACCCAGCCAGCCAGCCAAGCCAGCCATGCCAGCCAGGCCACCCAGCCAGCCAGCCAGCCAAGCCAGCCAAGCCAGCCAAGCCAGCCAGCCAGCCAAGACAGCCAAGCCAGCCAGCCAGCCAAGCCAGGCAAGCCAGCCAAGCCAGCCAGCCAGCCAAGCCAGCCGGCCTACCAGCCAGCCAAGTGGCCAGACAGCCAAGGCAGCCAAGTCAGCCAGCCACCCAAGCTAGGCAAGACACCCAGCCAGCCAAGCCAGCCAAGCCACCCAGCCAGCCAAGCCAGCCAAGCCACCCAGCCAGCCAACAGCCAAGCCAGCCAGCCAGCCAAGCCACCCAAGACAGCCAGCCAGCCAAGCCAGCCAAGCCACCCAGCCGTCCAAGCCAGCCAAGCCACCCAGCCAGCCAACGAGCTAAGCCAGCCAGCCAAGCCAGCCAGCCAGCCAAGCCAGCCAAGCCACCGAGCCAGCCAGCCAGCCAAGCCCGCCAAGCCACCCAGCCAGCCAAGCCAGCCAAGCCAGCCAAGCCAGCCAGCCAGCGAAGCCAGTCAAGCCAGCCGGCCTCCCAATCCAGCCAAGCCAGCAAGCCACCCAAGCCAGCCAAGCCAGCCAAGCCAGCCAGCCACCTAAGCCAGCCAAGCCAGCCAGCCAGACAAGCAAGCCAGCCAGCCATCCAGCCAAGCCTGTCAAGCCAGGCAGCCAGGCAAGGCAGCCAAGCCAGCCAGCCAGCCAAGCCAGCCAAGCCACCCAGCCACCCAAGGCAGCCAAGCTGCCCAAACAGCCAAGCCAGCAAAGCCACCCAGCCAACCAAGCCAGCCAGCCACCCAGCCAGCCAGGCCAGCCAGCCAGCCAGCCAGCCAGCCAAGCCAGCCAAGCAAGCCAGGCCACCCAGCCAGCCAGACAGCCAAGCCAGCCAAGCCAGCCAGCCGGCGAAGCCAGCCAAGCCAGCCAAGCCAGCCAGCCAGCCAAGACAGCCAAGCCAGCCAAGACAGCCAAGACAGCCAGCCAGCCAAGCCAGCCAAGCCAACCAAGACACTCAGCCAGCCAAGACAGCCAGCCAGCCAAGACAGCCAAGCCAGCCAAGACAGCCAGCCAGCCAAGCCAGCCAGCCGGCCAAGCCAGCCAGCCAGCCAGCCAGCCAACCCAGCCAGCCAAGCCAGCCAGCCAAGCCAGCCAAGCCAGCCAGACAGCCAAGCCAGCCAAGCCAGGCAGCCAGCCACGTGAGCCAGCCAGCCAAGCCAGCCAGCTGGCCAAGACAGCCAAGCCACTCAGCCAGCCAAGCCAGCCCAGCCAGCCCAGCCACCCAGCCAGCCAAGCCACTCAGCCAGCCAAGCCAGCCCAGCCACCCAGCCAGCCAAGCCACCCTTCCAGCCAAGCCAGCCGAGAAAGCCTGCCAGCCAAGCCAGCCAAGCCAGCCAGCCAGCCAAGCCAGCCAAGCCAGCCAAGACGGCCAAGCCAGCCAGCAAGCCAAGCCACCCAGCCAGCCAGACAGCCAACCCAGCCAAGCCATCCAAGCCAGGCAAGGAAGCCAGCGAGCCAAGCCAGCCAAGCCAGCGAGGCAGTCACCAAGCCGGCCACGCCAGCCTGTCACCCAAGCCGGCCAAGCCAGCCAGCCATCTAAGCCAGACAAGCCACCCAGCCAGCCAACCAGCCAAGCCAGCCAGCCAGCCAAGCCACCCAGCCAGCCAAGCCAGCCAAGCCAGCCAGCCAGCCAAGTCAGCCAGGCCACCCAGCCAGTCAGGCCGGCCAAGCCACCCAGCCAGCCAGAAAGCCAACCCAGTCAAGCCAGCCAAGCCAGCCAAGCCAGCCAAGGAAGCCAGCGAGCCAAGCCAGCCAAGACAGCTAGCCAGTCACCCAGCCAGCCAAGCCAGCCAAGCCAGCCAGCCAGAAAAGCCACCCAAGCCAGCCAGCCAGCCAAGCCACAAAAGCCAGCCAGCCAGCCAAGCCAGCCAAGCAACCCAGCCAGCCAAGACAGCCAAGCCACCCAGCCAGCCAGCCAAGCCAGCCATGCCAGCCAGGCCACCCAGCCAGCCAGCCAGCCAAGACAGCCAAGCCAGCCAAGCCAGCCAGCCAGCCAAGACAGCCAAGCCAGCCAGCCAGCCAGCCAGCCAGCCAAGCCAGCCAGCCAGCCAAGCCAGCCGGCCTACCAGCCAGCCAAGTGGCCAGACAGCCAAGGCAGCCAAGTCAGCCAGCCACCCAAGCTAGGCAAGACACCCAGCCAGCCAAGCCAGCCAAGCCACCCAGCCAGCCAACAGCCAAGCCAGCCAGCCAGCCAAGCCACCCAAGACAGCCAGCCAGCCAAGCTAGCCAAGCCACCCAGCCGTCCAAGCCAGCCAAGTCACCCAGCCAGCCAACGAGCTAAGCCAGCCAGCCAAGCCAGCCAGCCAGCCAAGCCAGCCAAGCCACCGAGCCAGCCAGCCAGCCAAGCCCGCCAAGCCACCGAGCCAGCCAGCCAGCCAAGCCCGCCAAGCCACCCAGCCAGCCAAGCCAGCCAAGCCAGCCAAGCCAGCCAGCCAGCGAAGCCAGTCAAGCCAGCCGGCCTCCCAATCCAGCCAAGCCAGCAAGCCACCCAAGCCAGCCAAGCCAGCCAAGCCAGCCAGCCACCTAAGCCAGCCAAGCCAGCCAGCCAGACAAGCAAGCCAGCCAGCCATCCAGCCAAGGCCTGTCAAGCCAGGCAGCCAGGCAAGGCAGCCAAGCCAGCCAGCCAGCCAAGCCAGCCAAGCCACCCAGCCACCCAAGGCAGCCAAGCTGCCCAAACAGCCAAGCCAGCAAAGCCACCCAGCCAACCAAGCCAGCCAGCCACCCAGCCAGCCAGGCCAGCCAGCCAGCCAGACAGCCAAGCCAGCCAAGCCAGCCCAGCCAGCGAAGCCAGCCAAGCCAGCCAAGCCAGCCAGCCAGCCAAGCCAGCCAAGCCAGCCAGCCAGCCAGCCAGCCAAGCCAGCCAAGCCAGCCAAGACAGCCAGCCAGCCAAGCCAGCCAGCCGGCCAAGCCAGCCAAGCCAGCCAGCCGAGCCAGCCCAGCCAGCCAAGCCAGCAGCCAAGCCAGCCAGCCAGCCAGCCAGCCAGCCAAGCCAGCCAAGCCAGCAGCCAGCCACAGCCAGCCACAGCCAAGCCAGCAGCAGCCAAGCCAGCCAGCCACCAGCCAGCCAAGCCAGCCAGCCAGCCAAGCCAGCCAGCAGCCAGCCAGCCAGCCAGCCAAGCCACCCAGCCAGTCCCAAGCCAGCCAAGCCACCCAGCCAGCCAGACGCAGCCAGCCAGCCAAGCCAGCCAGCCAAGCCAGCCAGCCCAAGCCAGCCAAGCCAGCCAGCCAGCCAAGCCAGCCAAGCCAGCCAAGCCAGCCACCAAGCCAGCCAGCGAAGCCCAGTCAAGCCAGCCGGCCCCCAATCCAGCCAAGCCAGCAAGCCACCCAAGCCAGCCAAGCCAGCCAAGCCAGCCAGCCACCTAAGCCAGCCAAGCCAGCCAGCCAGACAAGCAAGCCAGCCAGCCATCCCAGCCAAGCCTGTCAAGCCAGGCAGCCAGGCAAGGCAGCCAAGCCAGCCAGCCAGCCAGCCAGCCAGCCAAGCCACCCAGCCACCCAAGGCAGCCAAGCTGCCCAAACAGCCAAGCCAGCAAAGCCACCCAGCCAACCAAGCCAGCCAGCCACCCAGCCAGCCAGGCCAGCCAGCCAGCCAGCCCAGCCAGCCAGCCAGCAGCCAGGCCACCCAGCCAGCCAGCCAGCCAAGCCAGCCAGCCAGCCAGCCAAGCCAGCCCAAGCCAGCCAGCCAGCCAAGACAGCCAAGCCAGCCAAGACAGCCAAGACAGCCAGCCAGCCAAGCCAGCCAAGCCAACCAAGACACTCAGCCAGCCAAGACAGCCAGCCAGCCAAGACAGCCAAGCCAGCCAAGACAGCCAGCCAGCCAAGCCAGCCAGCCGGCCAAGCCAGCCAGCCAGCCAGCCAGCCAACCCAGCCAGCCAAGCCAGCCAGCCAAGCCAGCCAAGCCAGCCAGACAGCCAAGCCAGCCAAGCCAGGCAGCCAGCCACGTGAGCCAGCCAGCCAAGCCAGCCAGCTGGCCAAGACAGCCAAGCCACTCAGCCAGCCAAGCCAGCCCAGCCAGCCCAGCCACCCAGCCAGCCAAGCCACTCAGCCAGCCAAGCCAGCCCAGCCACCCAGCCAGCCAAGCCACCCTTCCAGCCAAGCCAGCCGAGAAAGCCTGCCAGCCAAGCCAGCCAAGCCAGCCAGCCAGCCAAGCCAGCCAAGCCAGCCAAGACGGCCAAGCCAGCCAGCAAGCCAAGCCACCCAGCCAGCCAGACAGCCAACCCAGCCAAGCCATCCAAGCCAGGCAAGGAAGCCAGCGAGCCAAGCCAGCCAAGCCAGCGAGGCAGTCACCAAGCCGGCCACGCCAGCCTGTCACCCAAGCCGGCCAAGCCAGCCAGCCATCTAAGCCAGACAAGCCACCCAGCCAGCCAACCAGCCAAGCCAGCCAGCCAGCCAAGCCACCCAGCCAGCCAAGCCAGCCAAGCCAGCCAGCCAGCCAAGTCAGCCAGGCCACCCAGCCAGTCAGGCCGGCCAAGCCACCCAGCCAGCCAGAAAGCCAACCCAGTCAAGCCAGCCAAGCCAGCCAAGCCAGCCAAGGAAGCCAGCGAGCCAAGCCAGCCAAGACAGCTAGCCAGTCACCCAGCCAGCCAAGCCAGCCAAGCCAGCCAGCCAGAAAAGCCACCCAAGCCAGCCAGCCAGCCAAGCCACAAAAGCCAGCCAGCCAGCCAAGCCAGCCAAGCAACCCAGCCAGCCAAGACAGCCAAGCCACCCAGCCAGCCAGCCAAGCCAGCCATGCCAGCCAGGCCACCCCAGCCAGCCCAGCCGCCAAGACAGCCAAGCCAGCCAAGCCAGCCAGCCAGCCAGCAGCCAAGCCAGCCAGCCAGCCAGCCAGCCAGCCAGCAGCCAGCCAGCCAAGCCAGCCGGCCTACCAGCCAGCCAAGTGGCCAGACAGCCAAGGCAGCCAAGTCAGCCAGCCACCCAAGCTAGGCAAGACACCCAGCCAGCCAAGCCAGCCAAGCCACCCAGCCAGCCAACAGCCAAGCCAGCCAGCCAGCCAAGCCACCCAAGACAGCCAGCCAGCCAAGCTAGCCAAGCCACCCAGCCGTCCAAGCCAGCCAAGTCACCCAGCCAGCCAACGAGCTAAGCCAGCCAGCCAAGCCAGCCAGCCAGCCAAGCCAGCCAAGCCACCGAGCCAGCCAGCCAGCCAAGCCCGCCAAGCCACCGAGCCAGCCAGCCAGCCAAGCCCGCCAAGCCACCCAGCCAGCCAAGCCAGCCAAGCCAGCCAAGCCAGCCAGCCAGCGAAGCCAGTCAAGCCAGCCGGCCTCCCAATCCAGCCAAGCCAGCAAGCCACCCAAGCCAGCCAAGCCAGCCAAGCCAGCCAGCCACCTAAGCCAGCCAAGCCAGCCAGCCAGACAAGCAAGCCAGCCAGCCATCCAGCCAAGCCTGTCAAGCCAGGCAGCCAGGCAAGGCAGCCAAGCCAGCCAGCCAGCCAAGCCAGCCAAGCCACCCAGCCACCCAAGGCAGCCAAGCTGCCCAAACAGCCAAGCCAGCAAAGCCACCCAGCCAACCAAGCCAGCCAGCCACCCAGCCAGCCAGGCCAGCCAGCCAGCCAGACAGCCAAGCCAGCCAAGCCAGCCAGCCAGCGAAGCCAGCCAAGCCAGCCAGCCAGCCAAGCCAGCCAAGCCAGCCAAGACAGCCAGCCAGCCAAGCCAGCCAGCCGGCCAAGCCAGCCAAGACAGCCAGCCGGCCAAGCCAGCCAGCCGGCCAAGCCAGCCAGCCAGCCAGCCAGCCAACCCAGCCAGCCAAGCCAGCCAGCCAAGCCAGCCAAGCCAGCCAGACAGCCAAGCCAGCCAAGCCAGGCAGCCAGCCACGTGAGCCAGCCAGCCAAGCCAGCCAGCTGACCAAGACAGCCAAGCCACTCAGCCAGCCAAGCCAGCCCAGCCAGCCCAGCCACCCAGCCAGCCAAGCCACTCAGCCAGCCAAGCCAGCCCAGCCACCCAGCCAGCCAAGCCACCCTTCCAGCCAAGCCAGCCGAGAAAGCCTGCCAGCCAAGCCAGCCAAGCCAGCCAGCCAGCCAAGCCAGCCAAGCCAGCCAAGACGGCCAAGCCAGCCAGCAAGCCAAGCCACCCAGCCAGCCAGACAGCCAACCCAGCCAAGCCATCCAAGCCAGGCAAGGAAGCCAGCGAGCCAAGCCAGCCAAGCCAGCGAGGCAGTCACCAAGCCGGCCACGCCAGCCTGTCACCCAAGCCGGCAAAGCCAGCCAGCCATCTAAGCCAGACAAGCCACCCAGCCAGCCAACCAGCCAAGCCAGCCAGCCAGCCAAGCCAGCCAGCCAGCCAAGCCAGCCAAGCCACCCAGCCACCCAAGGCAGCCAAGCTGCCCAAACAGCCAAGCCAGCAAAGCCACCCAGCCAACCAAGCCAGCCAGCCACCCAGCCAGCCAGGCCAGCCAGCCAGCCAGACAGCCAAGCCAGCCAAGCCAGCCAGCCAGCGAAGCCAGCCAAGCCAGCCAAGCCAGCCAGCCAGCCAAGCCAGCCAAGCCAGCCAAGCCAGCCAGCCAGCCAAACCAGCCAAGCCAGCCAGCCAGCAAAGCCAGCCAAGCCAGACATCCAGCCAAGCCAGCCGGCCACCCCGCCGGCCAGGCCAGCCAGCCAAGCCAGCCAAGCCAGCCAGGCCACCCAGCCAGCCAGCCAGCCAAGCCAGCCAAGCCAGCCAGCTAGGCCAGCCAGCCAGCCGGCCAAGCCAGCCAAGCCAGCCAGCCAGCCAAGCCAGGCAAGCCAGCCAAGCCAGCCAGCCAGCCAAGCCATCCGGCCTACCAGCCAGCCAAGTGGCCAGACAGCCAAGGCAGCCAAGTCAGCCAGCCACCCAAGCTAGGCAAGACACCCAGCCAGCCAAGCCAGCCAAGCCACCCAGCCAGCCAAGCCAGCCAAGCCACCCAGCCAGCCAACAGCCAAGCCAGCCAGCCAGCCAAGCCACCCAAGACAGCCAGCCAGCCAAGCCAGCCAAGCCACCCAGCCGTCCAAGCCAGCCAAGCCACCCAGCCAGCCAACGAGCTAAGCCAGCCAGCCAAGCCAGCCAGCCAGCCAAGCCAGCCAAGCCACCGAGCCAGCCAGCCAGCCAAGCCCGCCAAGCCACCCAGCCAGCCAAGCCAGCCAAGCCAGCCAAGCCAGCCAGCCAGCGAAGCCAGTCAAGCCAGCCGGCCTCCCAATCCAGCCAAGCCAGCAAGCCACCCAAGCCAGCCAAGCCAGCCAAGCCAGCCAGCCACCTAAGCCAGCCAAGCCAGCCAGCCAGACAAGCAAGCCAGCCAGCCATCCAGCCAAGCCTGTCAAGCCAGGCAGCCAGGCAAGGCAGCCAAGCCAGCCAGCCAGCCAAGCCAGCCAAGCCACCCAGCCACCCAAGGCAGCCAAGCTGCCCAAACAGCCAAGCCAGCAAAGCCACCCAGCCAACCAAGCCAGCCAGCCACCCAGCCAGCCAGGCCAGCCAGCCAGCCAGACAGCCAAGCCAGCCAAGCCAGCCAGCCAGCGAAGCCAGCCAAGCCAGTCAAGCCAGCCAGCCAGCCAAGCCAGCCAAGCCAGCCAAGACAGCCAGCCAGCCAAGCCAGCCAAGCCAGCCAAGACAGCCAGCCAGCCAAGACAGCCAGCCGGCCAAGCCAGCCAGCCGGCCAAGCCAGCCAAGACAGCCAGCCGGCCAAGCCAGCCAGCCAGCCAGCCAACCCAGCCAGCCAAGCCAGCCAGCCAAGCCAGCCAAGCCAGCCAGACAGCCAAGCCAGCCAAGCCAGGCAGCCAGCCACGTGAGCCAGCCAGCCAAGCCAGCCAGCTGGCCAAGACAGCCAAGCCACTCAGCCAGCCAAGCCAGCCCAGCCAGCCCAGCCACCCAGCCAGCCAAGCCACTCAGCCAGCCAAGCCAGCCCAGCCAGCCCAGCCAGCCAAGCCACCCTTCCAGCCAAGCCAGCCGAGAAAGCCTGCCAGCCAAGCCAGCCAAGCCAGCCAGCCAGCCAAGCCAGCCAAGCCAGCCAAGACGGCCAAGCCAGCCAGCAAGCCAAGCCACCCAGCCAGCCAGACAGCCAACCCAGCCAAGCCATCCAAGCCAGGCAAGGAAGCCAGCGAGCCAAGCCAGCCAAGCCAGCGAGGCAGTCACCAAGCCGGCCACGCCAGCCTGTCACCCAAGCCGGCCAAGCCAGCCAGCCATCTAAGCCAGACAAGCCACCCAGCCAGCCAACCAGCCAAGCCAGCCAGCCAGCCAAGCCACCCAGCCAGCCAAGCCAGCCAAGCCAGCCAGCCAGCCAAGTCAGCCAGGCCACCCAGCCAGTCAGGCCGGCCAAGCCACCCAGCCAGCCAGAAAGCCAACCCAGTCAAGCCAGCCAAGCCAGCCAAGCCAGCCAAGGAAGCCAGCGAGCCAAGCCAGCCAAGACAGCTAGCCAGTCACCCAGCCAGCCAAGCCAGCCAAGCCAGCCAGCCAGAAAAGCCACCCAAGCCAGCCAGCCAGCCAAGCCACAAAAGCCAGCCAGCCAGCCAAGCCAGCCAAGCAACCCAGCCAGCCAAGACAGCCAAGCCACCCAGCCAGCCAGCCAAGCCAGCCATGCCAGCCAGGCCACCCAGCCAGCCAGCCAGCCAAGACAGCCAAGCCAGCCAGGCCAGCCAGCCAGCCAAGACAGCCAAGCCAGCCAGCCAGCCAGCCAGCCAGCCAAGCCAGCCAGCCAGCCAAGCCACCCGGCCAGCCAAGCCAACCAAGCAACCCCACCAGCGAAGCCAGCCAAGCCACCCAGCAAGCCAAGCCAGCCAAGCCAGCCAAGCCAGCCAGCCAGCCAAGCCAGCCAAGCCAGCCAAGCCAGGCATCCAGCCAAGCCAGCCGGCCACCCCGCCGGCCAGGCCAGCCAGCCAAGCCAGCCAAGCCAGCCAGGCCAGCCAGCCAGCCAAGACAGCCAAGCCAGCCAGCCAGCCAGCCAGCCAGCCAAGCCAGCCAAGCCAGCCAGCCAGCCAAGCCACCCGGCCAGCCAAGCCAACCAAGCAACCCCGCCAGCGAAGCCAGCCAAGCCACCCAGCAAGCCAAGCCAGCCAAGCCAGCCAAGCCAGCCAGCCAGCCAAGCCAGCCAAGCCAGCCAAGCCAGCCAAGCCAGGCATCCAGCCAAGCCAGCCGGCCACCCCGCCGGCCAGGCCAGCCAGCCAAGCCAGCCAAGCCAGCCAGGCCACCCAGCCAGCAGCCAGCCAAGCCAGCCAAGCCAGCCAGCTAGGCCAGCCAGCCAGCCGGCCAAGCCAGCCAAGCCAGCCAGCCAGCCAAGCCAGGCAAGCCAGCCAAGCCAGCCAGCCAGCCAAGCCAGCCGGCCTACCAACCAGCCAAGTGGCCAGACAGCCAAGGCAGCCAAGTCAGCCAGCCACCCAAGCTAGGCAAGACACCCAGCCAGCCAAGCCAGCCAAGCCACCCAGCCAGCCAAGCCAGCCAAGCCACCCAGCCAGCCAACAGCCAAGCCAGCCAGCCAGCCAAGCCACCCAAGACAGCCAGCCAGCCAAGCCAGCCAAGCCACCCAGCCATCCAAGCCAGCCAAGCCACCCAGCCAGCCAACGAGCTAAGCCAGCCAGCCAAGCCAGCCAGCCAGCCAAGCCAGCCAAGCCACCGAGCCAGCCAGCCAGCCAAGCCCGCCAAGCCACCCAGCCAGCCAAGCCAGCCAAGCCAGCCAAGCCAGCCAGCCAGCGAAGCCAGTCAAGCCAGCCGGCCTCCCAATCCAGCCAAGCCAGCAAGCCACCCAAGCCAGCCAAGCCAGCCAAGCCAGCCAGCCACCTAAGCCAGCCAAGCCAGCCAGCCAGACAAGCAAGCCAGCCAGCCATCCAGCCAAGCCTGTCAAGCCAGGCAGCCAGGCAAGGCAGCCAAGCCAGCCAGCCAGCCAAGCCAGCCAAGCCACCCAGCCACCCAAGGCAGCCAAGCTGCCCAAACAGCCAAGCCAGCAAAGCCACCCAGCCAACCAAGCCAGCCAGCCACCCAGCCAGCCAGGCCAGCCAGCCAGCCAGACAGCCAAGCCAGCCAAGCCAGCCAGCCAGCGAAGCCAGCCAAGCCAGCCAAGCCAGCCAGCCAGCCAAGCCAGCCAAGCCAGCCAAGACAGCCAGCCAGCCAAGCCAGCCAAGCCAGCCAAGACAGCCAGCCAGCCAAGACAGCCAGCCAGCCAAGCCAGCCAGCCGGCCAAGCCAGCCAAGACAGCCAGCCGGCCAAGCCAGCCAGCCGGCCAAGCCAGCCAGCCAGCCAGCCGGCCAACCCAGCCAGCCAAGCCAGCCAGGCCAGCCAGCCAGCCAAGACAGCCAAGCCAGCCAGCCAGCCAGCCAGCCAGCCAAGCCAGCCAAGCCAGCCAGCCAGCCAAGCCACCCGGCCAGCCAAGCCAACCAAGCAACCCCGCCAGCGAAGCCAGCCAAGCCACCCAGCAAGCCAAGCCAGCCAAGCCAGCCAAGCCAGCCAGCCAGCCAAGCCAGCCAAGCCAGCCAAGCCAGCCAAGCCAGGCATCCAGCCAAGCCAGCCGGCCACCCCGCCGGCCAGGCCAGCCAGCCAAGCCAGCCAAGCCAGCCAGGCCACCCAGCCAGCAGCCAGCCAAGCCAGCCAAGCCAGCCAGCTAGGCCAGCCAGCCAGCCGGCCAAGCCAGCCAAGCCAGCCAGCCAGCCAAGCCAGGCAAGCCAGCCAAGCCAGCCAGCCAGCCAAGCCAGCCGGCCTACCAACCAGCCAAGTGGCCAGACAGCCAAGGCAGCCAAGTCAGCCAGCCACCCAAGCTAGGCAAGACACCCAGCCAGCCAAGCCAGCCAAGCCACCCAGCCAGCCAAGCCAGCCAAGCCACCCAGCCAGCCAACAGCCAAGCCAGCCAGCCAGCCAAGCCACCCAAGACAGCCAGCCAGCCAAGCCAGCCAAGCCACCCAGCCATCCAAGCCAGCCAAGCCACCCAGCCAGCCAACGAGCTAAGCCAGCCAGCCAAGCCAGCCAGCCAGCCAAGCCAGCCAAGCCACCGAGCCAGCCAGCCAGCCAAGCCCGCCAAGCCACCCAGCCAGCCAAGCCAGCCAAGCCAGCCAAGCCAGCCAGCCAGCGAAGCCAGTCAAGCCAGCCGGCCTCCCAATCCAGCCAAGCCAGCAAGCCACCCAAGCCAGCCAAGCCAGCCAAGCCAGCCAGCCACCTAAGCCAGCCAAGCCAGCCAGCCAGACAAGCAAGCCAGCCAGCCATCCAGCCAAGCCTGTCAAGCCAGGCAGCCAGGCAAGGCAGCCAAGCCAGCCAGCCAGCCAAGCCAGCCAAGCCACCCAGCCACCCAAGGCAGCCAAGCTGCCCAAACAGCCAAGCCAGCAAAGCCACCCAGCCAACCAAGCCAGCCAGCCACCCAGCCAGCCAGGCCAGCCAGCCAGCCAGACAGCCAAGCCAGCCAAGCCAGCCAGCCAGCGAAGCCAGCCAAGCCAGCCAAGCCAGCCAGCCAGCCAAGCCAGCCAAGCCAGCCAAGACAGCCAGCCAGCCAAGCCAGCCAAGCCAGCCAAGACAGCCAGCCAGCCAAGACAGCCAGCCAGCCAAGCCAGCCAGCCGGCCAAGCCAGCCAAGACAGCCAGCCGGCCAAGCCAGCCAGCCGGCCAAGCCAGCCAGCCAGCCAGCCGGCCAACCCAGCCAGCCAAGCCAGCCAGCCAAGCCAGCCAAGCCAGCCAGACAGCCAAGCCAGCCAAGCCAGGCAGCCAGCCACGTGAGCCAGCCAGCCAAGCCAGCCAGCTGGCCAAGACAGCCAAGCCACTCAGCCGGCCAAGCCAGCCCAGCCAGCCCAGCCACCCAGCCAGCCAAGCCACTCAGCCAGCCAAGCCAGCCCAGCCACCCAGCCAGCCAAGCCACCCTTCCAGCCAAGCCAGCCGAGAAAGCCTGCCAGCCAAGCCAGCCAAGCCAGCCAGCCAGCCAAGCCAGCCAAGCCAGCCAAGACGGCCAAGCCAGCCAGCAAGCCAAGCCACCCAGCCAGCCAGACAGCCAACCCAGCCAAGCCATCCAAGCCAGGCAAGGAAGCCAGCGAGCCAAGCCAGCCAAGCCAGCGAGGCAGTCACCAAGCCGGCCACGCCAGCCTGTCACCCAAGCCGGCCAAGCCAGCCAGCCATCTAAGCCAGACAAGCCACCCAGCCAGCCAACCAGCCAAGCCAGCCAGCCAGCCAAGCCACCCAGCCAGCCAAGCCAGCCAAGCCAGCCAGCCAGCCAAGTCAGCCAGGCCACCCAGCCAGTCAGGCCGGCCAAGCCACCCAGCCAGCCAGAAAGCCAACCCAGTCAAGCCAGCCAAGCCAGCCAAGCCAGCCAAGGAAGCCAGCGAGCCAAGCCAGCCAAGACAGCTAGCCAGTCACCCAGCCAGCCAAGCCAGCCAAGCCAGCCAGCCAGAAAAGCCACCCAAGCCAGCCAGCCAGCCAAGCCACAAAAGCCAGCCAGCCAGCCAAGCCAGCCAAGCAACCCAGCCAGCCAAGACAGCCAAGCCACCCAGCCAGCCAGCCAAGCCAGCCATGCCAGCCAGGCCACCCAGCCAGCCAGCCAGCCAAGACAGCCAAGCCAGCCAGGCCAGCCAGCCAGCCAAGACAGCCAAGCCAGCCAGCCAGCCAGCCAGCCAGCCAGCCAAGCCAGCCAGCCAGCCAAGCCACCCGGCCAGCCAAGCCAACCAAGCAACCCCACCAGCGAAGCCAGCCAAGCCACCCAGCAAGCCAAGCCAGCCAAGCCAGCCAAGCCAGCCAGCCAGCCAAGCCAGCCAAGCCAGCCAAGCCAGGCATCCAGCCAAGCCAGCCGGCCACCCCGCCGGCCAGGCCAGCCAGCCAAGCCAGCCAAGCCAGCCAGGCCACCCAGCCAGCAGCCAGCCAAGCCAGCCAAGCCAGCCAGCTAGGCCAGCCAGCCAGCCGGCCAAGCCAGCCAAGCCAGCCAGCCAGCCAAGCCAGGCAAGCCAGCCAAGCCAGCCAGCCAGCCAAGCCAGCCGGCCTACCAACCAGCCAAGTGGCCAGACAGCCAAGGCAGCCAAGTCAGCCAGCCACCCAAGCTAGGCAAGACACCCAGCCAGCCAAGCCAGCCAAGCCACCCAGCCAGCCAAGCCAGCCAAGCCACCCAGCCAGCCAACAGCCAAGCCAGCCAGCCAGCCAAGCCACCCAAGACAGCCAGCCAGCCAAGCCAGCCAAGCCACCCAGCCGTCCAAGCCAGCCAAGCCACCCAGCCAGCCAACGAGCTAAGCCAGCCAGCCAAGCCAGCCAGCCAGCCAAGCCAGCCAAGCCACCGAGCCAGCCAGCCAGCCAAGCCCGCCAAGCCACCCAGCCAGCCAAGCCAGCCAAGCCAGCCAAGCCAGCCAGCCAGCGAAGCCAGTCAAGCCAGCCGGCCTCCCAATCCAGCCAAGCCAGCAAGCCACCCAAGCCAGCCAAGCCAGCCAAGCCAGCCAGCCACCTAAGCCAGCCAAGCCAGCCAGCCAGACAAGCAAGCCAGCCAGCCATCCAGCCAAGCCTGTCAAGCCAGGCAGCCAGGCAAGGCAGCCAAGCCAGCCAGCCAGCCAAGCCAGCCAAGCCACCCAGCCACCCAAGGCAGCCAAGCTGCCCAAACAGCCAAGCCAGCAAAGCCACCCAGCCAACCAAGCCAGCCAGCCACCCAGCCAGCCAGGCCAGCCAGCCAGCCAGACAGCCAAGCCAGCCAAGCCAGCCAGCCAGCGAAGCCAGCCAAGCCAGCCAAGCCAGCCAAGCCAGCCAAGACAGCCAGCCAGCCAAGACAGCCAGCCAGCCAAGCCAGCCAGCCGGCCAAGCCAGCCAAGACAGCCAGCCGGCCAAGCCAGCCAGCCGGCCAAGCCAGCCAGCCAGCCAGCCAGCCAACCCAGCCAGCCAAGCCAGCCAGCCAAGCCAGCCAAGCCAGCCAGACAGCCAAGCCAGCCAAGCCAGGCAGCCAGCCACGTGAGCCAGCCAGCCAAGACAGCCAAGCCACTCAGCCAGCCAAGCCAGCCCAGCCAGCCCAGCCACCCAGCCAGCCAAGCCACTCAGCCAGCCAAGCCAGCCCAGCCACCCAGCCAGCCAAGCCACCCTTCCAGCCAAGCCAGCCGAGAAAGCCTGCCAGCCAAGCCAGCCAAGCCAGCCAGCAAGCCAAGCCAGCCAAGCCAGCCAGCCAACCAAGCCAGCCAAGCAAGCCAGCCAGCCAAGCCGGCCAAGCCAGACAGCCAGCCAATCCAGCCAAGACAGCCAAGCAAGAAAAGCCAGCCAAGCCAGCCAGCAAGCCAAGCCAGCCAAGCCACCCAGCCAGGCAAGCCAGCCAAGCCACCTAGCCAGACAGCCACCCAAGCCAGCCAAGCCACCCAGCCAGCCAGCCAGACAAGCCAGACAAGCCACCCAGCCAGCCAGCCAGCCAGCAAGCAAAGCCAGCCAAGCCACCCAGCCAGCCAAGCCAGACAAGCCACCCAGCCAGCCAGCCAGCCAAGCCACCCAGCCAGCCAAGCCAGACAAGCCACCCATCCAGCCAGCCAGCCGGCCAGCCAAGCCAACCAAGCCACCCATCCAGGCAAGCCAACCAAGCCACCCAGCCAGCCAGACAGCCAACCCAGCCAAGCCAGACAAAGAAGCCAGCGAGCCACGCCAGCCAAGCCAGCAAGCCAGTCACCCAAGCCAGCCAAACCAGCCAGTCACCCAAGTCAGCCAAGCCCACCAGCCACCTAAGCCAGCCAAGCCAGCCAACAAGCCAAGCCAGCCAAGCCAGCAAGCCAGCCAAGCCACCCGGCCGGCCAAGCCAGCCAAGCCAACCGGCCGGCCAGCCAGCCAAGCCAGACAAGCCAGCCAGACAGCCAAGCCAGCGAAGCCAGGCAGCCAGCCAAGTGAGCCAGCCAGCCAAGCCAGCCAAGCCAGCCAAGCCACCCAGCCGGCCAAGCCAGCCAAGCCACACAGCCAGCCAAGCCAACCACGCCAGCCAGCAAGCCAAGCCAGCCAAGCCAGCCAGCCAACCAAGCCAGCCAAGCAAGCCACCCAGCCAAGCCAGCCAACCCAGAGAGCCAGCCAATCCAGCCTAGACAGCCAAGCAAGCCAGCCAGTCATGCCAGCCAAGCCAGCCAAGTCAGCCAGCCAGCCAAGCCAGCCAAGCCAGCCAGCCAGCCAGCCAGCCAATCCAGCCAGCCACCCAAGCCAGCCAAGCCACCCAGCCAGCCAAGCCAGCAAGCCAGCCAAGCCAGCCAAGCCAGCCAAGCCAGCCAGGCCACCCAGCCAGCCAGCCAGCGAAGCCAGCCAAACCAGCCAGCAAGCCAAGCCAGCCAAGTCACCCAGCCAGCCAGACAAGCCAGCCAAGCCAGCCAAGCCACCCAGCCAGCCAGCCAAAGGCAACCAAGCCAGCCACCAAGCCAAACCAGCCAGCCAGCCAAGCCACCCTGCCAGCCAAGCCAGCCAAGCCACCCAGCCAGCCAAGCCAGCCAAGACACCTAGCCAGTCAACCAGCCCAGCCAGCCAGCCAGCCAAGCCACCCAAGCCAGCCAGCCAGCCAAGCCACCCAGCCAGCCAAGCCTGCCAAGCCACCCAGCCAGCCAAGCAAGCCAAGCCACCCAGGCACCCAACCAACCAAGCCAGCCAGCCAGCCAAGCCAGCCAAGCCACCCAGCCACCCAACCAACCAAGCCAGCCAGCCAGCCAAGCCAGCCAAGCCACGGAGCCAGTCAGCCAAGCCAGCCAAGCCACCCAGCCAGCCAGCCAGCCAAGCCAGCCAAGCCAGCCAAGCCAGCCAGCCAGCCAAGCCAGCCAAGCCAGCCAAGCCAGCCAAGGAAGCCAGCCAGCCAAGCCAGCCAGCCAGCGAAGCCAGCCAAGCCAGCCAGCCTCCCAAGCCAGCCAGCCAAGCCAGCCAAGCCAGCCAAGAAAGCCAGCCACCCAAGCCAGCCAAGCCTGCCAGCCACCTAAGCCAGCCAAGCCAGCCAGCCAGCCATCCAGCCGAGCCAGCAAAGACAGGCAGCCAGCCAAGCCAGGCAAGCCAGCCAGCCAGCCAAGCCAGCCCAGCCAGCCAGCAAGACAAGCCAGCCCAGCCAGCCAGCCAACCAAGCCAGCCAAGCCAGCCGGCAAGCCAAGCCAGCCAGCCAGCCAGCAAGCCAGCCAGCGAAGCCAGCCAGCCAAGCCAGCCAAGCCAGCCAGCCAGCCAAGCCAGCCAAGCCAGCCAGCCAGCCAGCCAACCAAGCCACCCAAGCCAGCCAGCCAGCCAAGCCACCCAAGCCAGCCAGCCAGCCAGCCAAGCCACCCAAGCCAGCCAGCCAGCCAAGCCACCCAAGCCAGCCAGCCAGCCAAGCCAGCCAAGCCACCCAGCCAGCCAAGCCACCCAGCCAGCCAAGCCAGCCAAGCCACCCAGCCAGCCAAGCTAGCCAAGCCACGCAGCCAGCCAAGGCAGCCAGCCACCCAGCTAGCCAAGCCAGCCAAGCCAGCCAGCCGGCCAAGCCAGCCATTTGGCTAAACCACAGAAGCCAGCCAGCCAGCCAAGCCAGCCAAGCCAGCCAAGCCACCCAGGGAGCCAACCAGCCAAGCCAGCCAGCCAGCCAAGCCAGCCAAGCCACCCAGCCAGCCAGCCAGCCAAGCCCACCAAGCCACCCAGCCAGCCAAGCCAACCAAGCCACCCAGTCAGCCAGCCAGCCAAGCCAGCCAAGCCAGCCAGCCAGATCCAGAGGCGTCCTTGGCCTGGGGACCGGGTGGATTTGACGCTTGCACAGGTAGAGATTGCCCCATGCAGATGAGCCATGTAGGGGGCTCGGGCCCTAGGGACCCAGCCTCTGGGCCAGGGGTTGGCCTGCCCAGGCCTGCTGGTGTCTCAGCTGGTGGCCGAGAGCCATAAGGCAGGCATTGTCCTCCACAAGGTCAGCTTTGCCGCTAACTTCCTGTTCTCGTTAATAACCTGATGCAAGGAATTCTATTGCAATTGTTTATGTGTCTCTCGGAGAAGGCTGTGAGCAACACAGTATCCCGAGCTCCTGGTCTGATGCCTGACACACAGTAGGTGTTTAATAAATGATTCTTCAGTGCATAAGTGAAAGAAAACATGGGTGAAGTTAGCATGGTCAGGACCATTGCAACTGCCTTCTGACTGGTCTCCTTGCTTCTCCTTAGTCTCCAGGCAGCAGTTGGAGTGATACAGTAATGGGAATCACCACACTCTTCCTTCTCTGGCCAGGTGCAGCCCCAGACTGGTGCTTCCAGGGAGCCCTTGATGCCTTGGTGAGGGGTGTGGGCTTGGAAGCTGGGCACTTACAGCTGTGGGTTGTTGCCACTGTTGGAGTAGCGGAGGCATCGAGCCCCCTCCCGATTTTCCAGCATGACTAGTGGTGACAATATTGGGTCTCAATGGGTCTCTCCTGCCTCCAGTCCAGTGCCCTTTTTTGGGGACCATTATTGGCTTTTGGGGACCCTGAAGGAGGAATGGCCTGATTATGCAATTTGGCTGGAGTGGAACGTCCCCATGACGACATGGCAATGAGTCTTCCCCAGCAGGCAGATGCCAGATGCAGTGGTGACCACACCTGTCATCTGGGAGGATTCCAGGTGAGTCCCTGGTGTGGGGACTGGGGTGGGCTCTCCATCCTCCTATCCCTGGGACAAGTGTGTGGGGGACAGCGGGGGCCACCAGGAGCCACGCTAGATGGGCCCAGCCTCACCAGGTCTACTCTGGGACCGGCTGGGCCCCAGGGGGGCTGTGATCTTTCACGGCCATGATGTTAGGAGAGAGACAAGGACCAAGGATGGTGATTCCTTCCCAAAGGGCCACAGCCATCCAGTAAGGCCGAGCAGGGAGGAGCTGAGAAAGGCAGCCTCCCTCCTTTCTGCCTCTCTCCACCATCAGCATCAGCTCTGTTGCCCAAGGTGGTCGCCCTCTGCAGGGGCTGGGGCTTGTAAGGCAACGCCCCCCACCCCCACCTGGCGGTGCTTGCTCTCCGATTCCTGGGACCTGCCTGACCTTGACTGCAGCAGGGTTTTATGAGTGGCCTCACCACTTTATCAATTGCTGTTGCCTTTTATTACTTCTCAGGGGCTTTATCTCAGCGGCCGCCTTACCTCCTGGCTAAATGAGGATTAATTTTTTAACAGGATTATGTGCTGTGGGTTAGCTGTACTCTCTGGGGACGGCCAGGCGCTCCCCTCCCTCTTAGCCCCTCCCTCTCCCCAGGCCCCCCTTGCTGGTTTGCTGGGAGCAGGGGCTACATGTGGGGGCCCCAGGAGCTGGGGGCTGCATCATTCCAGACTCTGGGATGGGGGTGGGGTGGCGAGGGCCAGACCTGGACTCTGGGTGGTGATGTCCTTGGGCAGGGCCTGCCCTGCAGGGTGAAGTTCCTTTAGAGGTTTCAGCCACTTCTTGAAGGACACCAGACTTGGCCACTGAGCAGCTGGGAGTGGGGAGAGATGGAGCAGGAGCAGGAGCAGGATCAGGGGGACATGGGGAGAGAGAGGATGGGGGCCACCTTGCCAAGCCCACCTGCCCCGGTATCTCAGAGCAGCACAGCCTGAACATGGCCAGCATCAGACTTTCTTGGTCCTTCTGGAACACAATTTCAATTTTCCACCAAAGTTTGATAAAGGTGAGCCTGTTCTCACCCCTCCTGTGTCTATCGCCTGGAGGACAAAACCCAGGATCCCACCTCCAGCTCTCCATGCCACCATCTCCTTCACAAACCAGAGGGAGGCCTCCTTCTTTGCCCATCAGGAAAGCCTCTGTGTCAGTCCAGGGTGGGCCTCCAGACACCAGTCTAGGGGGCTTCTCCCTGTTGCCCCAGGCAGAGCTGAGGCCCTTGTGGCTTCTCTTGTGATTCTTCTGTTGGGCCTCCTGTCCCCTCTGGAGTTATGAATTTGTGGGTGTGCTTACCTGCCTGCTGTGGGCCCCTGAAAGGGACACATTGATACTGCATTCATATCTAGGCGTGTGGGAGGTGCCAAGCCTGTTTATGGAAGGAGTGATGAATGGATGGCTGAATGAACAAATGAAGGGATGAATGCATGAGGGAGGAAGGGAGGAGGTCATTGGCTCCCTGAAGGGGCCCAGGGCTGACTTGTTCACAGCTTCCTCTTCCCTTGGCTGAGCCCAGGGCAGGCTGGCAGCTGTAGGCCTGGGATGTTGGCCCAGCAGCCTCGTGGGCAGCTGGGTTGATGGGGTGAGGTCCTGGCCAGAGGGGAAACTGTCCCTTTTCGGGTCTGGCTTCTCCTCCAGAGTTCCTGCTCTGCAGGTATGTGCAGACCTGGCTTAGCTGATGTAATGAATGACCACAAACTGAGTGGCTTCAAGCAGCAGTCATGCATTCTGGTGGCCTGGGCATCCTTGGCTTGTGGCTGCATCCCTCCTGCTCAGCCACCATTCTCAAGAGGCCTTCTCTGTGTCTGTCCCTATGACTCCTATAAGGACACCAGCCCTTGGATGTAGGGCCTGCCTGAATAACCCAGAATGACCTCATCTCCTCATCCTTCACTTAATTCCATCTGCAAAGGCCCTCCATCCAAAAAAGGCCGTATTCACACATTCTGGGAATTAGGACAGGGTCATATCTTTTGGGGGGACCACGCTTCAACCCATAAAATACCCATATGCTTGACGACCCACCTTCCTCCTCTCTAGGAGCCTCTGTGCTCACACCTAGAAATTCCGGGTGTGAGTCTATGCCCCTCTGTGACCATCCTGTGTCCTGGTTGTTTGTTTTTGTTTCTTGAGATGGAGTCTCACTCAGTCGCCCAGGCTAGAGTGCAGTGGCATGATCTTGGCTCACTGCCAGCTCCACCTCCCGGGTTCACACCATTCTCCTGCCTCAGCCTCCTGAGCAGCTGGCACTACAGATGCCTGCCACCACACTCGGCTAATTTTTTGTATTTTTAGTAGAGATGGGGCTTCACCGTGTTAGCCGATGGTCACAATCTCCTGATCTCATGATCCACCCGCCTCGGCCTCCCAAATTGCTGGGATTACAGGCATGAGCCACCATGCCCGGCCTGTCCTGTGTTTTTTTTACATTTATTTTTTGAGACAGGATCTCACTCTGTCACCCAGGCTGGAGTACAGTGGTGAGATCGTGGCTCACTGTGTAGCCTCGACCTCCTGGGCTCAAGCCATCCTCCCATCTCAGCCTCCTGAGTAGCTGAGACCACAGGTGTGTACCACCACGCCCAGCTAATTTTTAAAATGTATTCGTAGAGACAGGGTCTCCCTATGTTGCTCAGGCTGGTCTTGTACTCCTAGGTTCAAGGGATCCTCCTGCCTCAGCCTCTCAAAATGTTGGGATTACAGGCATGCCTGGCGTGTCCCTTGTTTATTTGTTCATGTATACCACTCCTGGGTATACGCCCAAGAGAACTGGAAGCAGGGTCTCAAAGAGATACTTGCACACAGGTGTTCATAGCAGCTTATTCACAAAAGCAAAAATGTGGCAACAGGCCAGGCGTGGTGGCTCATGCCTGTAATCCCAGCATTTTGGGAGGCTGAGGAGGGTGGATCACCTGAGGCCAGGAGTTCGAGACCAGCCTGACCAATATGGTGAAACCCTGTCTCTACTAAAAATACAAAAATTAGCTGGGCATGATGGCAGGCGCCTGTAGTCCCAGCTACTCGTGAGGCTGAGGCAGAAGAATCACTTGAACCCAGGAGGCGGAGGTTGCAGTGAGCCGAGATGGCACCACTGCACTCCAGCCTGGGCAACATAGTGAGACTGTATCACAAAAAAAAAAAAAAAAAAAGGCATTTAGTATGCCTAACCGCCCTGCCAGCTCAGCCCAGCTGACCTCAGATGTGCTCAAGACACTCCCATTAGCCTCTAGGTAGGCAAAATCAGCTCACACAAAGCTTTTTTTTTTTTTTTTTTTTTTTCAGGCAGACTCTCACTCTGCTGCCCAGGCTAGAGTGCAGTGGTGTGATTATAGCTCACTGCAGCTTCAAACCCCTGGGCTTAAATGATCCTCCTACCTCAGCAACCCAAGAAGCTGGGACAACAGGTATGTGCCACCACGCCTGGCTAATTTAAAAAAAGGTTTGTTATGTTTTGTAGAAATGGGGTCTCGCCATGTTGCCAAGGCTGGTCTTGAACTCCTGGGCTCAAGCCATCCTCCTGCTTTGGTCTCCTAAAATGCTGGGATTACAGGCGTGAACCACTGTCCCCAGCTCATGAAGCTAGTTTTCTAATCAGGTGTTGATTTTCTTGTGCAATTTGTCGAATACTGTACTGAAAGTGAACATGGTTGTGTGGGACTTAAGTGCCGTTGCTACTGAGTTCTGGCCACATTCTTACCATCGTGGAGTCGGGGCCCGTCGGTGGAGCCACCCTAATAAGGCAGGGCCATCTGTGTAGGAATCTGCTGTTTGCAGAGATTTTTGTTGGTGATCACCAGGCTTGGACTCTGAGAACCTTGGAGGAACCCAGTGGGTAGCACACAATGCGGAGTGGGACGTTCACTGGACCAGGGAGGTCGGGCCGTGGTTAGGAACCTGGGGGAGGAAGAGCTGAGGGGGTTGGGGATCTGAGCTTTTCTCAGTGGCTCAGCCACGACCCTGGGCTACCCCTGCCCCAGGCCTCCCTCCTGTGCCTGTGAGCTGGGGATGATCATTAGTGTCCCCTCCCCCAGCATGTAGGGCTGTGCCAGGCACAAGGAGGAGGCTTGCGGCATTCCCACTGAGGACAGACTACCCGGGAAAGCACTCGGACAGCCTCAGGGAAGATGAGGGTGGGTCCAGGAGATGCCAAGGGCAGGCCCTTGGGCAGGTTTTTCAACAGTGCCTCTGCCCCACCACCCCTGTGCCCTTGCCTGTCACCACAGGGTCTCGGAGAGGAGAGCCATGTGGCTCAGCATGGCCAGGGGCAGGCTAGACTGTCCTGCTGCAGAGGACCCACTGGGGCCCAGTGGGACAGCCCTCCCCCTCCCCCTGGGACTCCATGGCCTGTGCTGTCCTCCTGCCCAAGAAGCTTCCCTCTGAGGCATCTCGGGTCCGGGTCCGTCCTGCTCACCCAGGGCCAGGAGCCCCCAGGAGGCCCACGGTAAGAAGGAGCGCAAGACATAAACAATTTCCCCCTCCTCTGCCGAAGGCTCTGGTGTCAGCGTGCTTTGCCTGCAGTGGCCTTTCCCCGGGGCAGCGAGGGCCTGAGTGGGCGCCTCCCCCAACGCCTCCTGGGTGTCAGCCCCAGACTGCCCCACGGCTCCACCCCTGTTCAGAGCCACTCAGCCCCTGGGAAAGGTGGCTGGGTCATGAGTTGGGGATATGAGGGGGATCAGTGCCTGCTAGTTGGTGCCAGAAAACCACCTTTGCTGGACTTGGCATTGAGGGTTGGCAAGGGGGCCTCGGAGACACTCTCCTCCCTCCTACCTGTACCCCCAGGGTACCCGTGGTCACTCAGTTCCTGACTGCCTGCTTTGGGTTGGGATCCCAGGACCCACCCTCTCCTGGCTTCTGCTGAGCCATGCCCTCCGCGGTGGGGGGGTCCCCTGCCTGATGCCACGGCCTTGCGAGTGTCACTCAGAGCCCCTGCTGCACGGAGCCGTGCTGTGGGTTTCTTTTCCTGTGTGGACCTGCAGAGAAGCTGCCTTGTCACTGTCCCCTCATTGCTGGGGTATAAATCCTCATTGTCACTATCTTCTTGGCCCTCTGCCACCAGCTGTGGACTCTGGGGACACTCAGGACTCAGGCCTGGAATTTTCCCCAAGGTTTTTCCTAGGTGCATTGGTGTAAACAGGGTCCCCTCTTGCCCCAGAGGCTGAGCTCCCATGGGCAGGGGGAGAGTGGGAGCAGTTGTCTGAGGGCCAGGCTGCGGGAACAGGGTCTGGGGTTTCCTGTGGAAATGCTGAAGAGTGCCCGCCCCTGCCCTGGCTCCGGCCAGCATCTGGTCACCCTGGCGGGCAGGGAGTGGCAGCTGCAGAACGCATGAAAGTGGTGGGTGGGGTGGGAGTGGCTGGTGCTGACTTTGTCCAAAGGCCAGAGGTGCGGTGGGGCCCCTGACACCATGTGGCTAAGGGCTTCTCCATTCACCAGGACTGTTCTCACAGAGTCTTTCCAGAGAGGCTGCAAAGGGCCTCTTATCTCCAAAAACGTCTATTTTATAGGCACCTGGATGTCTACTGTGTCCTGATACAGAGGAGAGGACATGCAATGGGAGATAACGTGGCTACCTTTGGCCATGTCGGGTGGATAAGAGATGGCCAACAGGTCACTGCAGGGCCTGCTCCCCCTTACTTACCCCATCAGGGGACAGGATCTCGTGTGTGTGTGTGTGTGTGTGTGTGTGTGTGTGTGTGTGTGTCAAGGAGGGGTATCCCTCTGGTGCAGTCCTTGATGGTTTCCTCACCTTGATGTTGGTCCCATGGCCATCGGTGTTGGCCTCACCATCACCACTTTCAGTCTCTGAACAGCAACAGGCTCCACTGAGCAGGTGCCCAGTGACACCTGGTGCGTTGGAGGGTGGGGCTGAGCCCTGGTGAGCCAGGACCTGCTGAAAGATCAGGGGGAAGAGAATAGACCCCCCTCCACCAGCCCTGGGGACCCACAAAGGAACATTCAGGCCGCCCCAGTTTGAGCCATGAGTTGTGTCCACGGCAGCCTCGCTTCCTTTGCTGGGCCTTGGCAGCGATAACGCCTGAATCTGTGCAGGTCTCAGGTGAGCCTTCTCCAGCTCAGCCTCTGTCGCCTCACAGGACGCCTCGGTTCCCGGGCATTGATTCAGCACCTGCTGTGTGAAGGGAAACCAGAGAGGCCAGTCCTTGCTCCTGAGGACTCAAGGGTCTGGATGTGGGGGGAAACCCACACCCCACAACGCTCCCAGACGATGGACGCAGCGCAAGGTCTAGGCTCACTCCAGGAATGTGGGGCACAGGGCCCAGAGCCCATTTGGATGAGGAGGCGCCGTGCCCTCCGTGGGCTGGAGGGACAGGGGGCCTTTGGTGGCCGGTGAAAGCGTTTTGCCAGCTGAGAATATTCTTTTTGCTGGCCGCATCTAATCTGGTTTCTGGGGAAGATAAGAGGAGGCTACATCAGCAGATGCCTGTCACCATGGACTAAGAGCTGGCTCAGGGAATCCAATTCCAGCTCAGAACCCGGGGCCCAAGGAGCCGCTTGAGGCTGTGGCTCTGTCTCTTTTTGGACTCGAGGGACTCTGACCATGGTTGTGGACTCTCCCTAGAAAACATGCACACATAGCAATTTGCTGACCTGTCCTGGGAGCTCAAGGGAGGCCCAAGGCAGTGGGGCTGGGGGGCAGGGAGCAGAGGGGCAGGGTCGGGGCCAGGGGAAAGAGAGAGCATGGGGGGGGGGGTCCTGTCCCCTTGAGGCTGCCATGCAGGGGCTGGCTGCATTCCAAAGCTGGAGGAACAGCTCTGCCTTGCAGGGAATTAGCACAGTCTGCCTGTCCGGCTGCTTCACCATGGGTTGCCCCCGTGCCATTGAGGATGGTGATGGGGGAGGAAGGGTGGTGATGAGGGAGGGAGGGTCTTGATGTACCACCTGCCCCCAGATGGCCAAGGTGACCCTCCCCAGCGTCCCCAAGCTTCGCAGGCATGTAGGGGAGCCTCGGAGGGCACATCTGTTTGCTGTTCCTGCTGTTACACGTGACCACAAACTTAGTGGTCTAAAACAATGCAAATGTATTTATTTTTTCCTCTTTTTTCCCCCATGTAGGACAGGTAATGTGCCACTGTTCTAAAGACGTTGCACGTCCCACGCAAGAGTGTGAAAACCCCCTCATCACACATATCAGCCACAGAAGGATCAAAACAATGCCAATTTATTATTTTAGAGTTCGGGGGGTCAGAAGTCCCACGGGGCCGCACTGGGCTAAAGCCACGGTGTCAGCAGGGCTGGCTCCTTCTGGAGGCTGGGGGCAGATGCATCTCCTGGCCTTTCCCGGCTTCTGAAGGCCACCACGTTCTGGGCCTCAGTCCCAGGCTGGGGCATCACCACACCCACTGCTTTTGCACCAGGTCTGCTCTCACCCCCGCCTCTCGCTCACAGGGGCCCTTGTCATGCCACTGGGTTCACCTGCATGATGCCGGGGAGCCTCCCATCGCAGGACCCTCGGTCACACTGGCAATGTCCCTTTTGCCATGAAAAGTAGCCCATTCACAGTCCCGGGATTAGGATGTGGGCCTTTTGGGGGGCACCATTCTGCCCACCGTGGAGGGTGTGCAGGAGTGACCAGACCTCAGGGAGGCTCTCAAATTGACCTCATCCCCAGCACAAAGTCCAGGAGGGATGGCATGAGGTGTCCAGGATGCTGGAGCTTGGTGGGGGCTGGACAGGGACTCTGCTCAGGCACCCAGCCCCAGTGTGAGGGGCCCATGGCTGTGGGCGCAGGAGCCACAAGGGAGAAATGATGGCCCCATAGACTTTCCTTCCCCAAACTCGGATCCCCTGAAACAGAGAGGTGAGGCTTAGGGGTGAAGGGCGAGCAACTTCTGCAATAAGATTTCCATGATGCCTGACCATGTCTGTAAGAGAAAGGCTATGTCTTTCTTTATTTTTGTTTATTTATTTTTTGAGACAGAGTCTTGCTCTGTCACCCGGGCTGGAGTGCAGTGGGTTGATCATAGCCCACTGCAGCCTCAACGTTCCAGCCTCAAGCAATCCTCTCTCCTAGGCCTCCCAAGTAGCTGGGACTACAGGCATGTGTCTTGGGAGGCAATTTTTTTTTTTTTTTAAGAGACGAGGGTCTCACCATGTTGCCCAGGCTGGTCTCGAACTCCTGGCCTCAGGCAATCCTCCTGCCTTGATATCCCAAAGTTCTGGGATTACAGGCATGAGCCAGCATGCCTAGTCTCTTTTCAAAAAAAAAAATTTTTTTTTTTGAGTCACAGTTTCACTCTTTTTGCCCAGGCTGGAGTGCAATGGTGCCGTCTTGACTCACTGAAACCTCCGCCTTCCAGGTTCAAGCAATTCTCCTGCTTCAGCCTCCTGAGTAGCTGGGATTATAGCGCCTGCCACCACATCCGGCTTATTTTGCACTTATTTTTATTTTTAGTAGAGATGTGGTTTTACGACGTTGGCCAGGCAGATCTTGAACTCCTGACCTCAGGTGATCTGCTCGCCTCGGCCTCCGAAAGTGCTGGGATTACAGGCGTGAGTCACCGTGCCTAGCCTCAAAATTTTTTAATGTAACTTTTCAAATAAACTCACACATGTGATCAGTGATCACCACACATGCTTTATCGATAATTGCCACACTTGTTTCATGCATTGCTGTTGTCTTTCTCTTTCCTTTTCCCCTTTGGCTGAAGCATCTTCCATCCTGTAGCAAATGTTCTGAAATTTTGTTCCTATGAACTTCAGGTTGCAAGGCGCCAAGTACGGGAAACTCTGGAACACACTTGCGGCTCCCTTAGGGCAATGTTCAAATTAACAGTCATTCCTTGGCACCTGCTCAGGCCCCATCCGGAATCACATTCCCCTGATTGTTTGCTTACATCCATCAGATGGAACACATAGGTTCCTAACAAGGCCCACAGTTTAAGTTTTGTGGTGGCGCCTCTTGAACCTCTCTTACTCTAGATCAGGCGCCGCCCCGACCCCCACTGCTCCTCCCACCACTTGTGATTTGTTGCAGAAACCAGATCAGCTGTCCTGCAAATGTGTCGCCTATCACGCAGCTGTTTGCCTCTCTGTGGTGTCGCCTCGCCCCATGTCTCCTGCAAATGGAAGCTGTGCTGCAGAAATGCCCTTAGATTCAGGCTCATCTTTCTTTGCCAGAAGCCTTCGTGGGCAGAGCTGTGAGAGCCACATGGAAGCACCTGTGATGCTAAGTGTGCCCCGTGGGTCCAGGTGGCCAGAGCCCGAACCCACCCTGTGATGCAAAGTGTGCCCAGTGGGTCCAGGTGGCCATAGCCCTGACCTACCCTGTAATGCTAAGTGTGCCCCGTGGGTCCAAGTGGCCACAGCCCGAACCCACCCTGTGATGCTAAGTGTGGCCAGTAGGTCCAGGTGGTCATAGCCTGAACCCACCCTGTGATGCCCTTGTTTTGTCATTACTGATCTCATCCATGACCCTTGCGAGAAATAATTATGTCATGAGAGGTGGCAAAATCGTGGTTTCTCTCATGATCTCATCTCTTCACAATGAGTAGCTGAAATTCTTCTATCAAAAACAACAACAACAAAAATGGCTGGGCACGGTGGCTCACACTTGTAATCCCAGAGCTTTTGTGGGCCAAGGTGAGAGAGGCCAGGAGCTTGAATCCAGCCTGGGCAACAAGACCCCATCTCTACAAAAACATAAAACATTAGCCAGGTATGGTGGTGCGTGCCTGTAGTCTTAGCTACTCAGGGGCTAAGGCAGAAGGATCCTTTGAGCCCAAGAAGTTAAGGCTGCAGTGGGCTGTGATTACACCACTGCACTTCAGCCTGGGTGATGCAGCGAGACCCTGTCTCTTAAATAAAACAAACAGGCTGGGTGTGGTGGCTTACACCTGTAATCCCACCACTTTGAGAGGCCGAGGTGGGTGGATCACCTGAGGTCAGGAGTTTGAGACCAGCCTGGCCAACATGGTGAAACCCCATCTCTACTAAAAATACAAAAAATTAGCAGGGCCTGGTTGTGGGCGCCTGTAATCTCAGCTACTCAGGAGTCTGAGGCAGGAGAATCACTTGAACCCACGAGGCAGAGGCTGCAGTGAGCCGAGGTTGGGCCATTGCACTCCAGCCTGGGCAACAGAGCAAGACTCCGTCTCAAAAAAAAGAAACCAACCAAACAAAACCCAAAAAAACTTGCTGTTGTCCACTAGAGTTATTGAGTTACCCTGAAATATAGTTTAAAAGGGAAATTCTTAATTCTTTTCTTTTAATTGACAATGTTCCGAATAGAGAGTTGGAGCCTTGTTTTTCCAGTGGACTACCGATGGGTTTTGGTTTGGTTTCTCTCTTTAAATCTATTTATAGCTTTTGTGTATTCATTGTGTATTCAGCAATTACACACAATGAATACACAAAAAATTACACAACCAATACACAAAAGGTATAGGCAGATTTAAAAAGCGAGATACCAAGGCTTGATTTTAGGCTCGATTTGTCCCCTCTTTAGCCAGGGATTTCTAATTTTTTTCACCTCAAAAGTGGTAGGCCAGGGTGCTGTCCCATCAGTGGTGGGAGGAAAGGTTGGTTGCCCCGGACAGTGGGTGAATGCCGGGGTGCCAGTGTCAGGGAGGGGAGGGGCTGGTGGGTGAATGCCAGAATGCCAGTGTCAGGGACGGAGGGGCTGGTGGGTGAATGCCAGGGTGCCAGTGTCAGGGACAGAGGGGCTGGTGGGTGAATGCCTTGGTGCCAGTGTCAGGGACGGAGGGGCTTGTTGAAGAGAAACTCTTTCTTCAGGGCCATTGATTTCCCTGCCTTGTTTGAAGTGCCTGGATTGGGCTCTCTGAAAACCAACACCATCTTATTAGAAGACAAGGGCTTCTTCTCTTTTCTTTCTTTCTTTCTTTCTTTTTTTTTTGAGACAGAGTTTCACTCTTGTTGCCCAGGCTGGAGTGCAATGGCGTGATCTCGGCTCACTGCAACTTCTGCCTCCCCGGTTCAAGCGGTTCTCCTGCCTCAGCCTCCTAAGTACCTGGGATTACAGGCGCCCGCCACCACACCTGGCTAACTTTTGTATTTTTTAGTAGAGACGGGGTTTCTCCATGTTGGTCAGGCTGGTCTGGAACTCCCGACCTCAGGTAATCCGCCTGCCTCAGCCTCCCAAAGTGTCAGGATTACAGGCGTGAGCTACTGTGCCCGGCCTTTTCTTTTCTTTCTTTAGAGACAGGGTCTCTCTCTGTCACCCTAACTGGAGTGCGGTGGCATGATCACGACTCACTGCAGCCTCGACCTCCTGGGTTCAAGCGATCCTCCCATCTCAGCGTCCTGAATATCTGGGACGACCGCACCTCACTAATATGTGTGTGTGTGTGTGCGTGTGTGTGTGTATGTGTGTGTTTTGCAGAGATGAGGTCTCCCCATGTTGCACAGGCCTGGCAGGTGTTTCTGATAGTCACAAAGCCCCTGCTACTGGGGAAAGGGAAAGGAAGCCCCAGCTAAGACCCAATTAAGAAAATCCCAGAACCAAGAACGAATCGACTGTTCGGCTTTGGTAATCTCCAATGTGTCCACCAGGTGGTGCTGTCCAGCCACAAATCTCCCAGGTTTGATCTCGGGCTTCTGCCGAGGGCACCTCCAGGGCTGGGGTCTCATCGTGTTGTCCCCACTTTATTCCAACGTCCACCCCAGGCCTGGGGGAGCCCAGGGAGGACCGAGTTTCCTGGGCCCCGCAGGGTGCACAGAGGTGAGTTTGGTAGTGCGGTCCCGACCTCGACAAGCATCCCAGCGAAGCAGGCTGAGCGCCCGGCTGGCTCCCTCAGGACCCCTCCTCCGGGCCTTCGCCCTGTTGATTTGGGTGTTTTAATGCAAGAAAGTAGGACACTGGTTGTCACCTGCCTGCTCCTACAAGGAAAATGCATGTTTGTGTGGTTATCCGTGGCCACCCCCACCAGGGCCTGCGGGGGGTCCAGTGCAGTGGAGGTGGGGAGGCGACTCATGGGCTCCAGGATCCGTGGAGAGTGAGTGTCAGCGGGAGGGTGTCCCCTGACCTCGGTCAATGGAAGCTGCTCTTCCTGGGGGTCCCACGGGAGGCCCGTGATGGGGGTGGGGGAGGAGGGGTAAACGCCAGGCCCTGATTGGCCGCCTGTCCTTGGGTCTTGGCTGGTCCTAAGAGGGAACGGGGAGCACAGCTGGGGTCACAGCCTCAGCCGGGACTCCTGCCCTCCAGCCCCTCAGCATCCTCCCTGCGTGTGCTCTCCTGGGGGCTGCTCAGGGCAGGTGGCGAGTAGGGGAGCTGTGGGACCAGAGAGAAGGGGTGGACGTGCCCAGGGCCTGCCCTCTTGGCCTGCCGTGGAGACCCACCCAGGCATACCTGGGGGCTGACCCTCCCCTGCAGAGAGCAGGGTGAACCCCAGCCCTGCCCTCGCCTAAGAGCCAGGTTCGAGGGGAGTGTAATTTATAATGAACCTCACTCCTCCCCCCAACACCCACCACAGGGAGGAGCCAGCCTCTCTCCTGACACCAAAGTCACGCTCCTGACCCTGCAGGCCACAGGATGAGGAGGACCCAGAGAGGCAGCGGGGTGGGGGCATTTCATAAGCCGGTGAGAGCTGCCCGTGTGCATCCTCAGGCCTCACAGTGGAGTGAGGGGCGGGGGCCGCCTGCGTCCTCCACAGGAGCTCCTGTCATTCCACCTCTGGGGGTGCACTTGCCGACTTGCCCCAGACCTGGACTCAGGCTGCGCTGCTGTCTGCCCAGGGCCTGGCGATTGCTGCGCCCATGGTGGGTCCCACAGGCAGGCCCTGCCCTCCCATCGCTGGCTTCTGAGCAGGGGCTTTGGGGCTGCTGGACCTTGGAGGCAGATCGGGGGCTTCTGGTGTCCCTATGTCTTGGGGGCCTGGTGTCCTGAGGGCCAGCGCCCCCCGGCCTGCACTGGGACCCTCCATGGAAGCAACTCCTCTTTCATCTCAGGCACTGGGTGTCCCAGGGCCAGGGAAGGGGCTGCGCAGCACCTCAGGAGCCCAGAAGAGCTGCCAGCCAAGGAGGAGGAGCTGGGGGGAGCAGAGGCCTGGACCAGCTGGGATGTTCCCATCCGCGTGTCCCTCCCGCCCAGGCCACATGGGCAGGGGAGGAAGAGGGGAGGAGGAGGGGAGGGGCCCTTGTCCTCCCAGAGCCTCTCCCTTCCTCTCCCTTCCTCTCCTCCCTCTCCCTCTGCTCATCTCATCATGAGACAGCTGGCGAGGCCCTTCGGCTGCCCTGGAGTGCCCCTGCCCTGGCCAAGCTCTTGCTGCCCCCTTCTCCTGGAGGTGCCAGATGGGGCGGGCCCAAAGCAGCAGAGGTCTGGGCCCTGGCTCCAGCTCTGTCCCCTCCCGAGGGCCCTGGAGGAGCTAGGAGGAGGGCCTAGCAGGGCCGGGCAGATGGTGGGCCGGGAGGAGGGGTTGCCTGGGGAGACGGACCGACTAGCAGGACAGATGGTGGGCCAGGCAGGGGTCCGGAGCCCGTCCCATCTGCTCCAGTCCCTGGTGGGACTTTTCTTGTCCACCTCGGGCTGAACTGGGATGGGCTGCGTGGGTGGCTGCGGCCCAGGCCGGATTCTGTCACACTGGGTCCTCTGTCCCTGGGGCACGGCCAGCCGGGTGCTCATCTGGGGTCTTGAAGCCCCCTCCTGGCAGCTGGCACGTGGCTGGAGGTCATCATGTTTCGGGGGCTCCTGAGGGTCTGCGGGCCATGCCTGAGCAGAGCCTGGGGCGCGTCCCGGGAACGAAGCCGCCGCTGCAGATGAGGGGCTTTGTAGGTGGGTGGGCGACTGAAGCCCCCTGGAGGGGCTTCCTGGGGTCCAACGCCGAGAGGGTCCGGGACAAGAAGATGCTCAGTCACGTGTTTGTGCTGCAGGTGCACCCCCAGCCCAGGCGACATCAACGGCCAGCCCCATACGCGTGAGGAGGGATTGCGGCACCAGGGGCGCTCAGGATTGGGCCGGGCTGCTTCTCAGAAGAGGGGACATTGAGCCCAAGCAGGCTGCACTCCTGCTTGGACGGAAGGTGCATGGGTGGGGAGGGTAATCACACCAATAGAGACATGGATGGACTCGTGCAGAACATAAATACTCTCTTTGCTTATGTCTATGTTACTCAAAGGAACCATGGAAATAACACATTCCCAATTACAATGCAGTAAACTTTAAGAGGAGCAGAGTGAGCTTCGCTCTTTTATGGTTGGTGTATTTCCAAAAAACACTTTCTTCTTCTTTCCCAATTCTTTTTCTAGTTTCTCCTAAATTGGTGTTTCTTTAGATGGAAGCAGTGTCTCAGACCATAAAACACTAAACCTATTTGAAGCACTTAAGTTAATTATTCTATTCATAAAATCTAGGTTGATCCATCTCATAGCAAAATCCGTTAGTATAATTTTACCTTCTTCTTTTTAAAAAGCCAACAAACTATAAGTGGTGCTTCTATGTAGAAATATATAAGTAGAACTGAGTTTTTACTTATAGAACTTATATCAAATGATGATAAGCAAAGTATTTTTATTCTATAACCTGGATTTAAAAATATATAATCTCTGCAATATATATTAAAGAAACTATAATTAATTTTAAGAAGTCAAATGGGGAAAAAAACAAAACAAAATGTTCCATCCTTAGACAGATGACCTATAATTTATTTTATTTGATTCAAGCTATATCTTTAAATAGTAGTATCAGGATCACAAGTCATTTTGAAATGTCATAAAAATGTTCCAAGTTTGTGTTTTAAAGGACCTTAGAGGGACTATTTGTGGTTTTGTACTTTCTTTGTTCAGTGATCCACTTGCAGGTTATTCTGAACCTCCTTGGGAAAAGATGAAAGTAGGATGGCATTTTGGAAATGATTCTTCATTCTGAAACCTCCTTGAGTGATAGACTAGATGAAGTATAGTTATATATTTGGCAGTAGAAAGCAATCTCTCCTGTCAAATTTCCCATTCATTTTTATTTCTGGATTTATTCTTTCTACTTTTGCTCAAATACCAACACATAAAGAGTGTCCACAGATATAGGCTCTAATAATGCACTGTGGGAATTTAACACATTTTAAAAGACTGAAGGATAGTAAGAAGAGAGTTTTTAACAGATTCCTTATGGAGGGAAAAGAATATTGCTAGATGAAACAAAAATGGAAAAAAATCTTTTATTGATAGATATAGCTTATATTTTCTTCCTTTACTCCTAATTGAATTGTGAATGTTTTATTATCAAAATTCACAAAATTTTGATAGAATGTGCCAAATATTTCCTGA
This sequence comes from Homo sapiens, assembly GCF_000001405.40. Classification (NCBI taxonomy): domain Eukaryota; kingdom Metazoa; phylum Chordata; class Mammalia; order Primates; family Hominidae; genus Homo; species Homo sapiens. The sequence goes on from NW_021160017.1 coordinate 601,911, forward strand.
GTTACAATTTCTCATTTAGAAACATTTGCTTTAAATTCTCATACATATCCAAAACTGTTCTGTTCATTTTCCTGTTGACTACTTTTTCTACCTTGACTTGAGATACTCCAGAAGAGATATCCTTGTTGTTAACAAGAAAATAAGCTAATATAAAAGGGATAAATTAAAGTTAGATTATAGGCCATATACTAAGAACTAAAAAATTGAGTTTGGTGGAAACATAAAGATTATGTAGTTAAATGCTCACAATTTTCCCTTATATCACTAAATAAACAAAATAAAAATATTACAAAGGGTTAAAAAAACAGAAAAGATGCCTGCAACATTTTTAGTCAGATACATATTCGCATAGATATTTCCATATATTCATAGAAATATTTAGTACCATTTCTTTGAAAATAAGAAAGTATAAAGGAAGAAATTGATTTTGACATTATCCTAGAGAGTTTAAATGGATCCTAACCAAATACAGACACAAGTCAAACAACACTGACCATCCAAGCATTTTACACTGATCAAGATAATGCAAAAAGGTTGAACTTATGACAAATACAGAAATAAGAAATTTGTGTTATTTTTTAAAGAAATAAACTGTCTGTGATTAATCTTTTTCCCATTTATGAAACTTAAATGACATATCATTTGTTTGTAAATTGCAGGCAGGGTGTTTAATTATATAAAAATGAAACACATTCTGTCTTTATGGAGTTTATGGAAAAAAGGTAATACAGATTAATTTAGGGTAAAGTTTTAAAAATTAATCATTAATATTGGAGAAACAAGGATCAAAAACATCTAAGTAAGCTGTAGCTCAAATAAGAAGGCATAGACCCATTTCTTCTTGCTCCCTCTCACTAGGCACAACCTTAAGCACTGCAAATGGTACAAAAAGCAAATAAAGGAGAACTCTGCAGGTGGTAAAAATAGAAGAGCTGGTGTGGGGACCCAGGATTTGAGCAACAACACAACATCAAGATGCCTTGTGTCCTCCCACCTGAGAGGAAGGCCATCCATATCCAGTACTTCTTTCCCCCATGACATAGTAGCAGAAGGCAGCCCAGATAGGCCCATTGTTTCTCCAGATCAAACAGTAGCCCCCAGCATAGCACCAGCTGAACTTAAGACATGAGAGTGCATCTCCTCACCCACCTGTCCTGAGACTTCTTTTTTCTACCAAGAGATACTTAGGCTACAAGACAAAGAGCCTGCAGGAGAGACTGAACAATACCAGGCAACTTAGTAGGTCATGGAAGCCTCTTTGTCCTCATAGGACTGAGATTCTCCATTCTTGATCAGATGTATTAGACCATTTCATGCTGCTATAATAGAATACCACTGACTGTAATGTATAATGAACAGAAATTTATTTGCAGCAGGAGCCAATCCTTCTCATCAAATTTCACATTCATTTTTATTTCTAGATTTATTCTTTCGACTTTTGCTTAAATGTCCACATTTAAAGAGTGTCCACAGATACAATATAGGCTCTAGTGATGCATTGTGGAAATTTAATACGTAGTGAAACACTCAAGGATAGTACAAAGAAAGCTCTCTTATTTTTACTACCTTCAGGGTTCTCCTCTATATTTGTCTTTTCACTACTTCTAATGCTTAAGGTTGTGTCTCGTGAGAGACAGCAAGAAGAAATGGGTCTATGCCTTCTTGTCCGAACCACGTTTCATTTAGATGTTTTTGATCCTTGTGTCTTTTATACTAATGATGATAAAAGAATCAATCAACTAGACATAAAAATTCTAAATATGTACCGACCACGAGAGCGTATTTGCAAAATAACATGAAACAAAAACTGATAAAGAGTTGAAAGCAGAGATTCACTACTGTAATTGCAGACTCCAACACTGATAATAATGATAGAATTATTAGAAAATCAGCAATGACCTGCAATATCTAGAATATATGCACATTCAGCTAAGAAGATCTAACTGCCACATAAAAACACTCCGCTCAATTACAGCAGAACACACAATTTTTTTCAGACCTTCATGGAATACTCATCAAGATAGATCATAGACATAAGTAGACATTAATCAAGCCTCAACAAACTTAAAAAAATAGTTTAAATTGTGTTATGTATTTTTTGTGATACCAAACTAGAAATAAATAACAAAACAAGAGGAATCTGAGAACATGTGGGAAATAACGTATTTTTAAATGATCCATGGGTCAAAAAGGAAGTCTCAAATAATTTAAAAACAAATACATAGATGTGAATGATTTAAAAGATACAAAATATTATGTCAGATAGAACTAAAGAAGCGATTAGAGAAAAACTGATAGCAGTGCAGGCTTACATTAAAAATGAGAGGTCTCAAGTTGATAATCTACATTTCTATTAACAAAAGTAGAAACAGAAGAGCAAAATAAGCTCAAAACAAAAAGAAAAAATAATAAAAAATCAAAGCAGAAATCAATAAAATTGAAAACAGAAAAGCAATAAAGAAAATTAATATAACCAAATATCTTTCAAATATGTTTATCAATAAAATTAATAAAACTCCAAAAATACTCAACAAAAGTAACAAAAAGACAGCTATTGCTCATGTCAAAATTAAAGTAAGAAATAACGCTCTTGATTCTGTAGCTTTTAAAAAGATAAAGAGAATAATACGAACAACTTCATGCTTATAGTTTCACCAACTTAAACGGACTAATTTTTTGAAAACACAAACTATCAAAAATTACCAAGATAAAATTAACAATCTAAAATAGCTCTATTTCAATCAAATCAATTATTAATTAAAAGGTCCTGAAAAATAAAATTCCTGGCTGAAATAGTTTCACCGGAGAATAGTAATAAACATTTAAGAAGTAATTATTACTAAATTTATACAAGCTTTACCAGAAAATAGAAATGAATTGAAAATTTCCTAACTATTCTTATGAAGTATTACACCAATACCCAAGCCAGTGTACAAAAAAGAAAATAATTGATTAGTATTCCTCGCAAATATAGATATAAAAATCATTAACAAAATATTATGAAATAAAACTCAATAATATATAAAAATAACTACACACATGACCAAGTGTGTTTATTCCAGCAATACAAGGATGGTTCAACATTACAAAATCAGTCATTGCAATGAACAATATCAACAGGCTAAAGAAGAAAAATCAGATGATCATATCAATTGATGCATAAAATTAATTCAGCAAAAAATAAATATATATAATAAAAAACTCTTAGAAAATTAGGAATAGAGGAAGACCTTCTCCAAATTTTAAAGAACAGGTAAAAACCCTACAGCTAAGATTATACTTGATGATGAAAAACATCCTAAAATCCTTCCTAAAATCAGGAATAAGGTGCTATAGTTTGGATATATGTCCCTGCCAAATCTCATGTTGAAATGTAATCCCCAGTGTTGGAGGTGGGGCCTGGTGAGAGGTATCGGGGTCATGGGAGCAGATCCCTGATGTCTTGGTGCTGTCCTCAGGTTAGTAGGTGAGTTCTCATGAGATCTGGTTGTTTTAAAGTTTGTGGCACCTCCTTCCACTCTCTCTTTGGCCACATGACCATGGCCATGTGATTCTGCTTTGGCCATGTGACATACCTCCTCCCGCTTCTCAGGGAGTAAAATCTCCCTGAGAGACCCCCAAAGCTGAGCAGATGCCAGTGCCGTGTTTCCTGTACAGCCTGAAGAACCGTGAGCCAATTAAACCTCTTTTCTTTATAAATTACTCATTCTCGAGTATTTCTTTGTAGCAACATAAGAACAGCTTAGCACACAAGGTAAAGATGACTACTCTTACTTCTCTTCTCAACATAGTTCTGGAAGTCCTCAACTAGCACAATAATGAAAAGAAAGGAAACAAAAGGTATACAGACAAGAAAGGAAAAAGTAAAATTTTTTTCTATTTGCTGATAACATGATTGTCTGTGTTGAAAATCCTAAAGGATCTATCAAAAAACAGAGCTAATATAAATGATGCCAACAAGGTCACAAGATACAAGATAAGCATAACACAATCAATTTTTCATTCTAGATACCAGAATGTGCCCATGAACACTGAAATTAAAAACACAATGCCATTCACAACACTCAAAAATGAATTATTTAACTATAAATCTAACAAAACTGTGCAAGACTTTTATGCTGAAAAATATACAACAATGATGAAATAAATTAAAAATCCTAAATAAGTGGAAAGACATTGTGTTCATGGATTGGAAGAAACAGTATAGTAATGATGCTAATTTTTTCTAAATCAATGCACAGGTTCAATGTAATTCTTATCCAAAATAGCCCACTTTTGTATAAATATAGAATTATCACTGTAAAATTTACATGCAATGCCCAGGGAACTAAACTAGCTAAAACAATTTCAAAAAGGAAAAATAAAAAGGAATGAATTATTGTATCTGATTTCAAGACTTATTATCTACATACATTAATTAATATTATGTGGTACTGACACATAAGCCAATGGAACAAGGTAGAGGGCCTAGAAACAGACCCATAAAATATACCTAACACACTTTTGAGCAAGATGCAAGAACTAAACTGAAAAATGTTCTTTTCAGGAAATGGTCCTGCGGCAATTGTATATGCATAGACCAAAAGGAAAAAAAAAACAAAAGAAAAATAATCTCAGCCTACATTTCATATAACATACAAAAATTAAGTCAAAATAAATTATATCCTTAAATGTAAATATATAGCTAAAAAACATGTTTAAACTAAAAGAAAACAAATCTTCAGGATCTACAGGAAAGCTACAATTTCTCAGACTTGACATCAAAAGCACAATACATAAAATAAAAAAATTATAAACTATAAACTTTCTCTTAGTGAAAACCGGTGTGCAAAGGATAAACAGACCAAGGTACGTATTTGGAGAAAACATTTAAAATTATATATCTGAGGAAGGACTAGTATTTAGAACATAAAAAAGACCTCTCTAACCTCAACAAAACAAAACTATACAGATTGCAAAAGGTCTTGTAAAAATGAACTCGAAAAACCAATTAGAATATGGGCAAAAGACATAAAGAGACATTTCAGTGAATAGGATATGCAGATGGAAAACAAGCATCATATCAACATCATTCATCACCAGAAAATTGCAAATTAAAACCACAGTGATATATTATTACCTAATACTACAAATCTATTACAATGGCAAAAATTAACAAAAAAGTGACAGCAGCAAATATTGCCATTTCTGTAGAAAAACTAAATCACTCATATATTTCCTGTGAAAATGTAAAATGATACAGCCGCTATAGAAAACAGCTTGGAGCTTGGTAATAAAAAAGGTATACAACTATTATTCAACCTAGCAAATTGTACTCTTGTGAATTTCTCCAAGAGTGGGGAGAAAGCTCTGTTCACAAAAGCCTATTCAACAAATATTTATAGCAGATGTATTCATAATAGCCAAAACCTTTGCTCAATCAAGATGTACTTCAGTAGGTGAATGGTCAAACAAATGGCAGTACCTATGCACCATGGAATACTACTTAACAATTAAAAGGAATAGATCATTTATGTACATATCAACTTAGGCAAGTCTCCAGAGAATCACACAAAGTAAAAAAATACTAACCCCAAAGTTTATATTCTGTATTGTTCTATTCATGATGAAATTTTAGAAATAGAGGATAAGTTTAGTGGCAACATTTAAAATGAGTGGGAGAAATGGTGGGAGGTGTGTATGGTTATCAAAGAATAGAAAGGATCCTGACGTTGTTAGTGTTTAGCATTTTTACTCCTATTTGTGGATAAACACACCTACTCATCTTAAAATTGTATCAGATTTAATACACACATATATGTGTGTAAGTAAAACTGGGTAAGTCTGAATTAGATCAATGGATTTTATTGATATTAATATCCTGGTTATGCTATTATGCTATGGTTACGCAAAATGTCACCATTAGGGGAAACTGGATGAAGTATACAAGGGATCTCTCTGTATCGTTCCTTCTACCACGTGTGAATCTACAATAATCTCAATTAACAAATATGCTGCTCATAAGTGAGAGAGGTTCATATGCCAAATATTTCCAGAAAAAAAAGTACTAAATTCATGATACTATAAGGTTTAAACAACGAAATAATTTATAATTACATAGGAAAGAGGATTTTTTAAATTTAAAACTCATCAGGATCTGGCATTTTCACAAGGAAAAAGGAGTAAAATTAGCTGTACTAAGTATGAAGTCAGATGTGAACTATGATTATGACACAAACATCATGTTTTATTTTCAAGGTCAATCCTGGGTGAGTATTTGTCTGTGGCCTAGTATCAGAGACCCACGCATCAGGTACAGGTAGATGGATTAAGTAGAGGATTGAACAGAATAAACTAAAATAAAAAGATATGAAATAAATACATGCCTCAGGCAGTGAGAAATCTCAAATATTCTGGAGTAACACAATGTTTCTTATGGTGATGATATAAAAATATATCACTAAGATTATAATATACTGAGACGCTGCATCACCATTATCCCAGAGCTACAGTATGAGTGGCTGATGAAGAGTAATGAAATTTTAATTAGCATTTTGGTAGCAGAAGATCAGTTCAATAGTCATTTTCATTTAATTGATAGCCTTTTGGAAGCTGGGATGCTTGTTTCATGCATGGACCGTCGCTTACCACCTGCAGGGTTTATTTGTATGGCTAGCTATTAAATCTCACCTAAAACCATCATGAAGCTAAATGCATATCACTTCTGTTTTAAAGTGCATTTCAAGGAAAAAGTTCAAACATTTAAAGGGTCATGCTCTGTAATGGAAAAGAAGAAAACAATAGCTTTTTCTATTCAATATGAACCTTCATGGAGAAAATTTAGAAACTATTCTAATTTTATGCTGGTTTAATGTTTAAATAAGCACATAAGTACATTTCTTAGAGTCCAATACTAGTACTTGAGGTAGAAATGATATTTTTAAAAAAATATTCTACGGATATGCTTTCAGGCATACAGTGGATATTGTTAACTGCCAATCCAGTATCATTCTTGTTTTTCTCCTTCCAAACAGAATCCCTTTCTCTTTTCAAACAGAAAGGTCTTTGAATATTCACCATTTTCACAAGTCTGTGCATCTTATTCAGCAGCTACTGAGTCTAATCTCGGCTCCAGAGAATAGTTGGAGAAAATTAGAATGATTATATCTTCCCTTTCTGTATTTGAATCAAGAATGGCATGTCATCTAACCCAGAACAATAAAACAATATAAATAGTTGATTACAGCTTCTGTGGAAATCCTCTCTGGTATTTTCAAGGGGGAGGGTCTCAGTTTCTACACAGAATCTGCAAAAGGGCCATCCTACCTTCTAAATCTCTTCAGCAGTTTCTGGTAATCTAGTGAAGACATTTCATGTAGGTACATGTACTCAGTCCTGTAAAATGCCATTTATATATCAAACAATACTTGGATTGATAATCAACCATTCAATTTAAATATATGAAGATCACTGAGGACCTTGATAACATTAATTTCCTTGAGGTATTGGAAACAAAAGCTTTATGTAAAGCATTCAAAAAGATTCAGAGTGTTGGTGGCAGGGAGTGGGGGTAGAGAGATCATTAGAAAAAATAGGTAATGCATGCTGGGCTTAATACATAGGCCATGGGTTGATAGGTCCAGCAAACCACTATGGCACATGTTTACCTATGTAACAAATCTGCACATCCTGCACACGTACCCCAGAACTTAAAATAAAAATAAAACAGAAATAATTGGAGACAACCAATATCCATCAACAGATGAATGGATACACTAAATGTGTTAAATAGACATAAAGTAATATGATTCAATCCCAAAAAAGTTCTGATATATGCTACAATATGGCTCAACCTTGGATAAATTATACTAACTAAAAGAAATGAGACACATAAGAATAAATGATGTAACATTCCATTTACTTGAAATATTTACAATAAGAAAATTCAGAGAGAAGTTCCCAGGGGCTGGGGGAGAGGGAAACAGAAGTTATTACTTAATGGGTGCAGAGTTTCTGTTGGAAGTGATAAAAAAGTTTTAGAATAGATAGTGATGATGGTTGCACAGCAATATGAATATAAAATGCCACTGAGCTGAATATTTTAAAATGATTAAAATGACAAATTTTATGTTTTATATATATATATTTCACCATGATAAAACCATTTAGACTATTAATGTAGATAATTCTCTGAAATAATTTTCTTTAAAATGAATAAAAATATTTAGTGCTAGTTGAATAAGTTCAACAAAAGACTTGAAACTATAAAAGTAAAAAGATATTTAATTCCTATAAAGACACTTAAAGACAGCGATAAATCATGAATAATGGCATTTTGAAAATGTGACAGAAGAGAAAATTCAAAGAAAAACTGAAAGAAAAGTGGAAAAAAAGTCCCAAGAATAGGTTTTCCCTTGAAAAAAAATATCAGAAAGAGCTATTATTTTTTAGACCGGACAAAGTTGGCTCTTTGGAAGTAATGAAGAGGTGGGTCTGACTGTATTACATACATATCAATGTGAAGAACAAGAGGTGTGTGTGGCATGTTAAATCATCCTGTGGACTCTATTGATAAGTGTTTTTATGTGGAGTGAATATATTATGAGGCTTGAAGTTACTAGACTAAAAATGCTATGAAAGGTTACTCTAATTAAAACCCTTCTAGAAGTGTGAAAGAAGTCACTGGTGAAGCACTTGCTCAAATGATCAATTTAATTCAGATTAATGAAATCTACAAAGCCACAAATAAAACAGAAGATATAAAATATTAGAAGATACCACACTTACATGCTAGATAACCAAAAACAAACTTCTTAGACATAAAATGCCAATAAATATATTCATTTACTCTTAACAAATTAAAACATTTTTTAAAAATATTTTTAAAAATTAATCAATTTTAATTTATTTTATTTTTAATAAGAGAAACATTTATGCTTTTTTGGGTAGAATCAACAATTGTTTAACAGATTCTTTTTTTCCTGCCATCTCATGTTGCTCTGACTCAAATTAGGGCTGAAGATATTTGAATATTTGATTGCACCACAATATAAAAAGGGCTAATATAGATATAAACCCAGAAGAGAAAAACAAATCAGAAAATGAGGCTCTCTGGGGTGGGTTATATTTGTTTCACGTCTCAAAGTATGAATACACAACAACTTAAATTTAGCAAACATTAAAGAAGAATCTATGTAGTTAGTCTTAATCCCCAGGAGTAACAAAAATTACAAATACATCATTTATGAGTGGTAAGTGCCATTTGATACTTGTGGAATAATTAACATTACAGTACAAAAAACAGATCAAATCTACATAATATTATTCCTCACACCTTCTCCTTTTAAATTATAAAATCACACTTGCTTATGTGACAAGATTTTGAGAGACTTAAATGAGATAATGTATGTAAGTGAAACTGTTATTCACTCTTAATGGCCGCACTGGATCTTGCATTGGTTATTCATTAAAGAACCACTCAGTAAGCACCTACGTACAAGGCCCTGTTTTAAGAACTGATGACACAGTGCATAAAAGCACTTTATGCATAAAAGTACTTCTCTGCATAGTACCTTTTTATGCCCAAAAGCACTTCTCTGCATAGTTTATATCTTTCCTTCTGTCTTCGTTTAGTCCCAATGTTTCATCATGAGATTGCAATAAAAATTCTCAATTTCCCCCTTTATTATTTGTGAAAATTATGGACATATTTGTAGCCATGATCACCTATCACTTTTCTACTAACAACAGAGCTAGACTATGAAATGGCTTCAACTGTATATGTATTAGCAATTATATGTAACTATAAATTACATATAAAATAATTGTATATGTACATTTTATGCTATGCATTAATCACTTTTTCCTTTCTCAAAAATTTTATACATAGCTTATGACTCTGTAATTTATAATAAAATATATACACAGTACCCTAAACTCACATTATCTTTGCAGCAGGGGAAATCAAAGAGAACAAAATCAAGATTCTTCTCTTTCCCAGAATTTTATATATATATACACACATATATATTCCTGTATAAAACAAACAATATCTGATAAACCATGATAGATAAAATCCCAGGTTATTTTTTGATTGACTCTTTCTAAATGTTGAATTGAGTTCTCATAAGAAGGCATTAATATAAATTTTTATTATTACTACAACTTATACATTACCACTACAACATTGAACAAATATTACTAGCATCAATATCACTTAATATTTTTAATGTTTATTTGACCAGTTAACTTTGTTTACATGAATTGAAGTACTCATCATTCAACATTTAGCAGATTTTTTAATGAAAAATAAAGACAATAAATAACATATTCAATACAACTTTCATTTATCACCATTATCGAAGACCTACTGTGGACTTCACACTGGGTTTAACATATTTTATTTATTCCTTGATAAATTAATTACATTTTAGCTAATATTGTTAATGAAAATGTTGAACAGTTTCGCAGTGCTTTAAAATAATCTACGTAGCATATTACATTTACAATGACATGAAAACTTCTAGAAACTTTTAACCAATAGTTCTATTTGTCATCTCAACTTTTTGAGTAGGACAGTAAAATTCAAAGGGATACAATGATTTGCGTAATTCCACACAGCTAGTGTATGGTGATGAAGATTTGAATCTAGCTGCTCTCAATTGTAACACTGCTCTCCTCTCATTATACCTTACTGACATTTACTAAGAGCACTGAATCTTTCTGTACAAAGCCTTCCACTATTCTTATGCCTCCCCTATTTACCTAATTAATGTTTATAAAATATAGACAGTTTTAAGTGTATTTTTAGTTATTTTTATTTTTTTAAGTATAAGAAACTAGCCAAGTTAAAAAAAAGCATTACGATTGAAGTGTTTACAACCTTTGGTAATCTGAATATTTTCCACATCCATTCCAAAGATTATGTAGGTGAAAGGTATTTTAATGTTAATTTTCAACTGGTAATATGGGGTAGTCATGTAGCTATCATCACTGAAAGAGGCATATTTTTTTTTAAATAGAGACTTTCTAAAAGAATTCTATTTTCATCAATATAAATTGAAGTGATTGCCATTTTCAACTATAAATCATTTACACTGTGTTTTAGGAAGCAGTACTTGTTCCTGTCATGATTCCAGTCCTTGACATTGCCGCTGATCATTAAACCCTGTATCTCCTTGTATTCATATAATTCAGACAGCTACCTTGGCAATGCAGGATGTCACATTTTCACAGTATTCATGAACATGGAATGGGAGCCTCCAATTTCTGTAATCAAGATATTTGAGAGTTGATGTGCCCAAGGTCCTCTCTTTAATCAGCTGTGGTACTTCCCGCCCTGAACTCAAATTATCCCTGCAACAGGAGTAATCAAGGCAGAATAAAATCCAGGTTATTCTCTTTGGCCCAGTTTATCTCTCTACAGCCACGGGGAAGGCTGATGCATCAATCAAGTCTCCAAATAAAAAGGTAATTATTTCTTGATTTCTCTGGAGCAGATGCAATGAGAGCAAGGTTGCTTCTACTGGGAGTCCCTACTGTGTTGCCAAACAGCAGCAGTTATCTTAGAAGACAGAAGCAATTACTTGCAAGATGTTCTTGTCTTTTTAGGTAAGGCTGAGTGCTAGTCATTAAAATTCATCTGGCATTTGAGTAACCACTACAGGCCAGGCATAATGCTAGATATTTTTATATATATGTACATATTTTATATACATATATAAGTTAAATTTCTTTTAAATTTCAGACATTTATGAATGCACTCACATATGCACAAAAATATTAACACTGTAAGGTTTGAATCATCTTCAAGTAAGAGTGAGGAAAAGCTCAGTGAGTGAGTGAAATGACCAAGGTCACTGAGCTAGTCAGCAGCTCAGTAGTACTTCAAACTTGTGTTTCTATCATCTTTCCACTACGTTTTTATTATGAGCATGTGGTAGTTTGCAAAGCCTTTTTCTAATGCATAACACACGCACTGATATATACACTACAACAGCTTGCCGTTGTCATCTTAAACGCTTAGGACAGCAGTTCTAATCTTCTCTTTGTCCTAAAGGGTCCTTGGTGACAGGGGGATCACCCTGGATGTTAGCCTAAATTATTCTTTCAAACTTTATTTAACTCCCAATCTCCCATGTCCAAATGGTATAAAATATGTGAAATTTACCAATTAGCTAAATTTAGCATTCCATTTCTTCTTGATATCACTTGAGGGAAAATATACATTATATACTTAGTCTAATCATTGAATTAATATAATTGGATTACTGACTACCCAGATGGAAAGAAGGATGCCATCACTGCTGATGTATAGTACAGGCAGCCCCTGACACAAGTAACAGTGTAATTCTTGAACTAGGGGAGGGTGCTACTGACATCTAGTGAGTAGAGGCCAGGGATGCTTGTAAACATCTGCAATGCATTAGACAGCACAACAGAGAACTGTGCTGCACAATTTTGCCCTGAGAGGGCAAAGTGATGTTGGATGAGGTAATTGTCATCTCATGAATTCCTAAGAGACAGCATGTACATGAATAACTGATTCATGCAGGTTTATGAAGACTCAGGTCCTTTCTGTGGCCCCTTATAGATCTGAGGGGCCCTCCAGATACAGACACCATCAGCTGAGAAAAGAATTCATTAAGAATGAAAACTGCTCCCTTGGCCCAATCTTGTTTTCTTTTCTTCCCTTTCCTTGTCTTTTACAGGAAGGACAGGAAGCAAGATTGGGCAGAGGAAGCAGTTTTCATTTATTAGGGGATTATTCTCAAAAACAGTCTCCCAATAAATCTTTTGCATGCTAATTCCCATATCAGGCCCTTCTTCTTCTGGAACCTGACCAAAAAGGGCTGGTATCTGAACTGGTCTCAGAAAGCAGATGCTAAAATGAGATTTTGCAGTTGGATTATCCACTGCCCTGTTGAAAATGAGGACACTGGCTGGGCGCAGTGGCTCATGCCTGTAATCCCAGGACTTTGGGAGGCCGAGCAGGGCGGATCACAAGGTCAGGAGATCAAGACCATCCTGGCTAACACGGTGAAACCCCGTCTCTACTAAATACAAATACAAATACTAAATACAAAAAATCAGCCTGGCTTGGTGGTGGGCGCCTGTAGTCCCAGCTAATCGGGAGGCTGAGGCAGGAGAATGGCGTGAACCCAGGAGGTGGAGCTTGCAGTGAGCCGACATCACACCACTGCACTCCAGCCTGGATGACAGAGCGAAAAAAAAAAAAAAAAGGAAGCAAGGACACCATCAATAGTGATAAATAAGTAAAGGCAGCCCCTGGCACAAGGGAACAGTGCCATTTTTAAAATCTTCATTGGCGGAGGGATGGTATGCACTCAGTAGAAGAGAATGGTATGCACTCAGTAGAAGAGAATGGTATACACTCAGTAGAAGAGAATGCACTAGATGATGTGGTGTGATGTGTTAAATATTTGAGAAATATTGGAGACGTAGTAGTTATAAGGAGAGTGGAATTGAGTAGCTTTGCTAAACTTGAAGTATGCCTTGAAGAAAAAGATAAAAATATGATTCATTAATCTGAAATTAAAAGCTAAGCGTGAATGCCAGTGCATGAAAGCAAGTAGCATGTAAAGAGGATCTCATTTACTGCAGCTAGAGGCAAAGAATGTTGAGGACCAAACCAAAGTCTCAATCATAAGAGTAGAAGAGAGCTGTAAAAAAACTCTCAAACTAAGCAGGTCTGCTATAACCACATTAAAAACTCAGGCCAGGAAAGAATGAAACTCTCATGGAGTAAGAGCATCTGGATTATTACATCTAAAAATATTGTAAACTCATATCCCTTATATTTCAACATCGTCCGCAGATATGACCAACACATTCCTGTTAAGGGGTGCCTCCTTTGCATCAAGATGACTTAGAGACCTCCCCTTCATACTACAAAGTATTCCACCCTCACAATGTGTTTCCACATTCCTAGGTATTCCATTCTCTTGGAAGCAATTGTGAATGGGAGGTTCACTCATGATTTGGCTCTCTGTTTGTCTGTTATTGGTGTATAGGAATGCTTGTGATTTTTGCACATTGATTTTGTATCCTGAGAGTTTGCTGAAGTTGCTTATCAGCTTAAGGAGATTTTGGGCTGGGACCATGGGGTTTTCTAAATATACAATCACGTCGTCTGCAAACAGGGACAATTTGACTTCCTCTTTTCCTAATTGAATACCCTTTATTTCTTTCTCCTGCCTAATTGCCCTGGCCATAACTTCCAACACTATGTTGCATAGGAGTGGTGACAGAGGGCATCCCTGTCTTGTGCCAGTTTTCAAAGGGAATGCTTCCAGTTTTGCCCATTCAGTATGATACTGGCTGTGGGTTTGTCATAAATAGCTCTTATGATTTTGAGATATGTCCCATCAATACCTAGTTTATTGAGAGTTTTTAGCATGAAGGGCTGTTGAATTTTGTCAAAGGCCTTTTCTGCATCTATTGAGATAATCAGGTGGTTTTTGTCTTTGGTTCTATTTATATGATGGATTATGTTTACTGATTTGCGTATGTTGAACCAGCCTTGCATCCCAGGGATGAAGCCCACTTGATCGTGGTGGATAAGGTTTTGGACGTTCTGCTGGATTCGGTTTACCAGTATTTTATCGAGAATTTTTGCATCAATGTTCATCAGGGATATTGGCCTAAAATTGTCTTTTTTTTTGTTGTGTCTCTGCCAGGCTTTGGTATCAGGTTGAATGGCCATACTGCCCAAGGTGATTTACAGATTCAATGTCATCCCCATCAAACTACCAATGACTTTCTTCACAGATTTGGAAAAAACTACTTTAAAGTTCATATGGAACCAAAAAAGAGCCCGCATTGCCAAGACAATCTGAAGGCAAAAGAACAAAGCTGGAGGCATCACACTACCTGACTTCAAACTGTACTACAAGGCTACAGTAACCAAAACAGCGTGGTACTAGTACCAAAACAGAGATATAGACCAATGGAACAAAACCGAGCCTTCAGAAATAATACCACATATCTACAACCATCTGATCTTTGACAAACCTGACAAAAACAAGAAATGGGAAAAGGATTCCCTATTTAATAAATGGTGCTGGGAAAACTGGCTAGCCATATGTAGAAAGCTGAAACTGGATCCCTTCCTTTCACCTTATACGAACATTAATTCAAGATGGACTAAAGACTTAAATGTTAGACCTAAAACCATAAAAACCCTAGAAGAAAACTTAGGTGATACCATTCAGAACAGAGGCATGGGCAGGGACTTCATGTCTAAAACACCAAAAGCAATGGCAACAAAAGGCAAACTTGACAAATGGGATCTCATTAAACTAAAGAGCTTCTGCACAGCAAAAGAAACTACCATCAGAGTGAACAGGCAACCTACAAAATGGGAGACAATTTTTACAATCTACCCATCTGACAAAGGGCTAATATACAGAACCTACAAAGAACTTAAAGAAATTTACAAAAAAATAATCAAACAACCCCCATCAACCAGTAGGCGAAGGACATGAATAGACACTTCTCAAAAGAAGACATTTATGCAGCCAACAGACACATGAAAAAATGCTCACCATCACTGGCCATCAGATAAATGCAAATGAAAACCACAATGAGATACCATCTCACACCAGTTAGAATGGCGATCATTAAAAAGTCAGGAAACAACAGGTGCTGGAGAGGATGTGGAGAAATAGGAATGTTTTTACACTGTTGGTGGGAGTGTAAATTAGTTCAACCATTGTGGAAGACAGTGTGGCGATTCCTCAGGGATCTAGAACTAGAAATGCCATTTGACCCAGCCATCCCATTACTGGGTATATACCCCAAGGATTACAAATTATTCTACTATAAAGACACATCCACATGTATATTTATTGCAGCACTATTTACAATAGCAAAGACTTGGAATCAATCCAAATGCCCATCAATGATAGACTGGATAAAGAAAAGGTGGCACATACACACCATGAAATACTATGCAGCCATAAAAAGGATGAGTTCATGTCCTTTGCAGGGACGTGGATGAAGCTGGAAACTATCATTCTCAGCAAACTAACACAGGAACAGAAAAACAAGCACTGCATGTTCTCACTCATAAGTGGGAGTTGAATAATGCGAACACATGGACACAGGGAAGGGAACATCACACACCATGGCCTGTTGGGGGTTGAGGGGTAAGGAGAGGGAGAGCATTAGGACAAATACCTAATGCATGTGGGGCTTAAAACCTAGAAGACAGATTGATAGGTGCAGCAAACCACCATGGCACATGTATACCTATGTAACAAACCTGCACGTTCCTCATATATATCCAAGAACTTAAAGTAAAATTTAAAAAAAGAAAAAAGTTACTCATTTGCAGACTACTGCAGGAAACAATGATGAAAGTAGCTTCTGCTACCAGGAAGATTATAGACTCTCTCTCTTATCATCTCCTCCCTTTTCTAGAGCCTACCATGGCACATAATAAAATATGTTATAAGGTTTTGGTGGACAATATAAATTTACAATATTTTGCATTTTTATTCATAAGTTTACAGAGTATAATATGGCTTTAATATGTAAAAAAAAATTACTGTAAATAAAAAATAATAAAATGCTTAGGAATGACATTAACTGTGAAGTGTTTGGATAGAATATTTTAATACTCCAGGTCATCAATAAATAATGCTTATTCTTTCTTTTTGTTGCTGTTATTCGTGTCCCTGAACTGTGGTCTCAACCACAACCTTGTTCTCCATCAATTCTATCCCTGGGCAGAGCTCTGTTGATGACTGCAGTGCCGTGGCCTTGTGTGTGTGTCTAGCCATCACTCTGGCTCCCCGACTCCCTGCCAGCAAGTTGGCCCCACTGAGCAGCCCAGCATGGTGCATTTGGTGGCTCTGAGAAATCTGATCTCATGAAAAAAAAAATCACAGGCCTCTGAGTTTTCTAATTTTGCCTCTGTCATTTACTCCGAGTCATCATTAAGCAAATCTTGTTACTTATTTGAGCCATATTGAACCCGTGAGTTTGGAAAACAGGCATTAAAGTCTTACTCACAGGCATAAATTAAACGGCATTTCATAGGAAATAAACATTTTGTAAGCCACGATTTGCTCAATTGTGAGACGTTTTTGTTTGTTTGTTTGTAACTATTGTTTCAACTGCAAAGTCACCAAAAACACTGAGTCATTGAAAACAGAGCAATGGTCCTTAGGAAAAATACAGGGTTAGGTTCCTGTGAATCTCTGATCACAACATTTTTATCATCTGATCAATACATAACTTTCTTTTATGTTATTTCTGTTTAGAAATACCTGATTATAATATATTTTTGATTTAACATTGAACTGACAGCCAACAACATTATCTGCCTGAACGAAGCTCATCTAGCACACACAGTGTCTGTTCTCTCTAAGGCACGTTACAGCTTTCTTGTGTACAGGGACACTAGACAACATTCCAGCACTCTGCTTTGAGGCCATGTTGAACAATGAAATCACCAATACAAAGCAGAAAACGTGGTACTAAATAGACCACAAACAGACATGTGTTTATAGTACGAGAGCTGAAAAAATAAGGAAGATTATCACCTTTTTTACTTCAGCTGTGCATGCCGGCGACTCAAATTTTTCACTGCTGTGAACGTTTTTACAAACTATGAAGGTGCCATGAGTATGGGGGTTATAAAGAAAATGTATTATTAGACAAACTTGCAAGTATGAAATCCACAAATAATCAGGATTGACTTTAATTATATGTGAAGGGCACGTGAATCTCCCTCACAGGTACCAAGCACAGGACACCTTATTCTTGTCTTGATTTCAGATCCCTGTTTGGAACCCCAGTATGCAGTCTTTGTCCTTCCTTCTATCGATGTATTGGTCAAGGTTTCCAGAGAAACAGAACAAACATTACCCTACAGGATTGGCTCATCCAGTTATGGAGGCTGAGAAGTCCTAAGATCTGTAAGCTGGAGACCCAGGAAAAAAAATGTGTAAGTTCCTGTCCAAGAGAGCAAGCTTGAAACCCAAAAAGAGCCTATGTTTCAGTTCAAGTCTGAAGGCAATAAAACACCAATGTCCCAGCTCATACAGTCAGGTAGGAGTTCCCTCCAACTCATGGGAGGGTGTGTTTTTTTATTCTAGTCAGACCTTTAACTGATTGGATAATCCCCACATACTTCAGAGATGACAATCTGCTTCTCTTCTGATTCTAATGATAACCTCATCCCAAAACAGCCTCACAGGCACATCCAGAATAATGTTTGAGCAGGTATCTGCACATCCTCCTGTGGCCCAGTCAAGTTAACACGTAAAATTAATCATCATAATTAGCATTACATATTTTATTATCTAATTTTTACATAAATTTTGAACAATATATATCACATATATGCACATTATAAAACTTAAACCACTTCATGAAAATCCCATCAAAGCCAGAACTCCATTTTGGTAATGCTTCTCTGCCGTGGCTCTTTCCCTTTCTGACACACAAGATACAAATGGGTGGTATTCATTCATGATTTCATAATTCTAACATAATTCTAAGAGGCCTTGACATCTCCATCATATGGCCTAAGGGTCAAAAAGCCTTCAAACAGCTAACCTTATATGGAATGCTCACTATAGGTCAGGAGATTTTAAAAATTATTTTGTGGTATAAGTTCACCAATTTTTTAGCCAGGCTTTGAGCTAGCCACAATTAGTAGCACTATATGAAAGATGAGGAGGCTTGAAATGTAGAGAAATTTGTAAGGAACACATAGTTCCTATTATGGAAAGTTCTTCTTCCTGATGGAAAGACAGGAATCTGACTTCAAAGCCCGTGTTCCTATCTGCTATGCCTTACTGCCTCTAACTTCTAACTGGCCAGTGCTACTTCCTACTGTTTTTTTTCCCATTAGGAGATACATTAAATAAATTGGAAATATTTGGAATATAGCAAACAATTAGCTCATGTATTTATGGAACCTGCAGAGGTCTTTAGTTTTCTAGGGCACAGCACAAATGGCTTTCTCTTATCCAGCTTGTTTGGAAAATTCCAAGTCTAGCTGTGGAAATGAAAAACAGTTCTCAGTCCACCAAAATGATTTTGTTCCCAATCTGATGTAGCCTGTTGTGATTTATGCCTTTGAAAAGGTTGACCAACATGGTACATAACTGCCATGCCAATTTCAGCTAAATTACCTCTGCCCTTTTTCAGTTTCCCTGTGAAACTCTAATTTGGCTTGTGAAATCAAGTTGTTTTAACAGTAATGCTTTTTCTCTTTTTAGAAGGTTTTTATACAATGGTAAAAATACGTTTATTTTTAGTTTTAAATATAGGTTATGGAGTGAGATATCATTCTTTTTAAAATCAGAAATGACTAAAATCTGAATCTTGAAATAACAGGGGGAAATATATCACCCCAGCAAAGCACTATGCAGAAAATAATGCACCAAAAGATTTAAAATGTAAGCTATCTATTTAACCTATCTGCCATTCAAAGGAAGGGGTGGCAAGATGGTGGAAAGAGGTCAAGTGAGCAGAAAATGAAGAACCAATCACAATATTGGAGGATCAGAAGAATTGGAAGGGGAGTGACATGATTTTAAGTGGGTTCCAATTGCCTTTGTGTGAATATTAAGAATGCCCTTATAATGATTGTAAAGATGCTTAATGATGTGGTCTCCTACTTAGATCTCTAGCTTCACCCCTGGTTAGACTCCTACACAAACCTTATGCCAGTCATACTGAATATTGTCTGAATCCTTAAAAATTACCTTATGCTTTGCACCTCTGGAAATCCTCATGTTCTGTTTCCTCTTTCTGTGAAGATCTGGACAAACTGACTCACAACCTTATTTATTTTTATGACATATTTTAGCCTTTGGTCCAGATTGCTGGTCTGTAAGGACCTCACTGATTGGACCAGATTCTAAAGAGTTACTTATTTCATTTTCTGAAAGTTCATAGAATCATATGCTTTCTTCTTTTTATTTTAGAGTCTCTCTCTTTCTCTCTCTCTCCATATATATATATATACACACACACACATAGTCTTCCAAAACTCCTCGGAAGAAAGGGAAGCATTCTGTAAGACTTTGGGCAGATTTTTTTTTTTTTTTTTTTGGACAGAGTCTCACTTTGCTGCCCAGGCTGGAGGGCGGTGGCAGGATGTCGGCTCACTGCAACCTCCACCTCTCAGGTTCAAGCAATTCTCCAGGATCAGCCTCCTGAGTAGCTAGGATTACAGGCCTGTGCCACCACACTCAGCTAATTTTTGTATTTTTAGTAGAGATGAGGTTTCGCCATGTTGGCCAGGCTGGTCTCAGACTACTCTTGACCTCAACTGATCCACCTGTCTTGGCCCCCCAAAGTGCTGGAATTACAGGTGTGAGCCACTGTGCCCTGTGATTTTGGGTACATTTTTGTTGTTATTTTGTCTTACCCCATTTCTCTGTACAAAATGTGAAACACATGAGTCCTCTTAACTGGTGCATGTGTGTGGAGGGGAGCATTTTGTTGTTTAGTGCCAAAATGAGATAGATAGATGTTTAAAGAATGTGACATTTGTAAAATGTTCTCTGTAAAAAAAGAGCAGGTACTTACCAGCCCCGGAATAGAGGAAGACATCGTGCACTGCTGGCTGCTGTGGGGGAGACAAAACTAGCAGGGCACTGAGCAGAGAGCCTCAAAAACAAAAATGTGCATTATCTTGTGTGTGTGTGTGTGTGTGTGTGTGTGTGTGTGTGTGTGTGTGTGGTATGATTTTATATATGAGATGTGTGCTTGGGGCGGTGTGGTTTGTCTGGTATGTGTGCATATGTGTGTAGTGTAATGTGTGGTAGGTGATGTGTGGTGTGGGTGTGATGAGTGTGAGTGGTGTGACTGTGGTGAATTATCTGTGGTGTATGTGTATATATGCATAGGTGGAGTATGTTATATGGTGTGTGTGTGTGTGTGTGTGTGTGTGTGTGAGAGAGAGAGAGAGAGAGTACATGAGAGAGAGAAAGGAAGAAACCTCTCAACTATGTTGTAAGCATTTAGTAAAATTACACATATAACAATATTCTTGGGGCAGTTGTCTCCTATGAAGGTCAGTGAAGGAGATGAGTTTTGCATAACGAAGATGTATAAGCCAGACCATGTGCAGCAGAGACAAAGCCAGCATGTGAAATACTATTTTACCTTCATGACTACTACAGGCTCTGAAACATATTGGTGCTTAGAGACATTCTTTTTTTTTTTTTTTTTTTTTTTTTTTTTTTTGAGACAGAGTCTCGCTCTTTTGCCCAGGCTGGAGACATTCTTAAAAACATTAATGAATGATGAAAACATTTAAAATTGTGTCACAAACAAGAAGTCTTTTATTAAATACTTGTTCATTATATTTATAGAAAGGAGAGATAAAGAAAATAGTTTCAAGATTATACGTTTGACAAATGTTTATCTGAAAATTACTAAAGTCATTTTTGCTGATATAAAATTAGTCCTTTCAGTAAATCAAACTATTTAATTTACGGATGTTCTCTAGGTGTTACTGTATAGTAATGATATTCTGCAGGCAATTATGTAGTAAAAGATTCCAAGCATGTTTGTGATATGTTTAATTCCTGACCCTTGGCTTTATTTAGTTAATATTCTTTTGTTCTTTCATTCATTTAATTTAATTCATTCATTCATGCAAAAGCTACTTATTGAGAGATTTCTACATGCTAAGCATTATTTTAGGTGTTAAGGGACATGATAGTGAACAAAACCAGCAAAACTCTCTGCCCTTATGGATTTCACATTCATGTGGCTGCAAATGCAAGAGATCAATACAGGCAAGTGTTAACACAAATTGGAAAAATCAAAAAAGAAGAGGGTGGTGACTAAAGGAACCAAAAGATTGAAGTACAACTTGGTCTGAGAAAATTTCTGGAACGAACTAAGAGAAAATTAATCAATATTCTCTCTCTGTTTTTTTTCTCCTTCTATCCTCTAAGAGTTTTATCTATTTTTTCTATACTTTCTTTCTGAAGGCTGGACTTTGTGCCCTGTAGATAACCACTAACATGATCCAGTCACATCCAAAAACATTTTAATCTAATTTTTGCTTCAAACTCCAAGAATAAGTTTTCTGATTATACTAGGTTGGTCAACTTTTGTCTCAACTGTGACAGATTGGGGGCATAATTAAATGGACTAAATGGTTGCCACCAATATAATCTTATGAATGAGTGAAAATCTAAAAACAGTAATAAAACTGTAGAGAACTCTGAGATCTCTTTTTGACACTCAGGGTGTCCTTATGGCTTTATGTCTATTCTGGTTCCCTCTATGTCTGGTAAAAAGTATTTCCCTTTGGGATTCTAACTCCTGTATGTCTATGTGTGGATACTTACATATTTTTACAATTTAAAGCAATATAGTTGGTTCTTTAGTTTTGGTTGGTAAACGGGTTTGTAAGATTTAAAGCAATAAAGAAGATAACAGAGAAAAAGATGAGCTGGTTTAATTACTCATATATAAACTATTTCAAATATCTTTACATATTCAATATAATATCAAGAAAAAAGGTAAGAGATCTATGTTCATATGAATTGAGGAATATCACCTAGCCATTTTGAGCTTTCATTTTTAATACCTATGAAACTTTCATTATGAATACATATTTATGTGACACATTCTATCTGATGTTGTCCAGGTCCTGAGGGGGAAACATATTTTCTTGCTTTCTTGGCAGGGTTTTTGCAAGGATCAGAAAAAAAGAAGCAATATAAAATGACAAAAGTAATGCATAAAGGGCCTAAAAATGGAAGTGATCACTATTAAAGAAGGTCATGCTGTTAAGAGAGCGATGCAAATGTGGTGTAGCCACTCTACATATGGCTAAGTTTGCAACATATTTGTCAGGCTTTCTGGGAGTTTACTCAGAGGTGTCTGGGTCATTACCAGCTAGCCATCTGGTGGAACCTAAAGGAATCAGAAGATGAAATCCATTTTTCCTGCTGCATTTATTTGAGCAAGGTGATTTTATCATGCATATCCTGTACCATGCTTTGTATTTACAAGGCTTGCTGGCCATGACTGCAGTGCAGTGTCCCCAGGACACCATCAACACTTCCCTAGGGAAAACCTGAGCAACAGCTCAAGCTTTGAGAGTTTGCTCACCCGTGGAAAGCGGTTGCAGAAGCCCAGTAGGCATCCACTGCTAATTTGAGGCTGTTGCATTTGTATTCTCCTTCTCACACACTGAGTTCATTCTTCTTATAAATAAGAGTATTTGCTCTAACTTTGTAGTTCTTCTTCTCCAAAAACAACATCTGGACATTCTTTCCTGAAAAATACACAGCATACCTCTCCTGAGAATATTTTTCATCTAAAAATGTAATGTTTTAAATCAGGTAAAATTAAAGAGTAGGATTGAATATTAATTCAAGATGGATTAAAGACTTAAACGTTAGACATAAAACCACAAAAACCATAGAAGAAAACCTAGGCATTACCAGTCAGGACATAGGCATGGGCAAGGACTTCATGTCTAAAACACCAAAAGCAATGGCAACAAAAGCCAAAATTGACAAATGGGATCTAATTAAACTAAAGAGCTTCTGCACAGCAAAAGAAACTACCATCAGAGTGAACAGGCAACCTACAAAATGGGAGAAAATTTTCGCAACCTACTCATCTGACAAATGGCTAATATCCAGAATCTACAATGAACTCAAACAAATTTACAAGAAAAAAACAAACAATCCCATCAAAAAGTGGGCAAAGGATATGAACAGACACTTCTCAAAAGAAGACATTTATGCAGCCAACAGACATGAAAAAATGCTCATCATCACTGGCCATCAGATAAATGCAAATGAAAACCACAATGAGATACCATCTCACACCAGTTAGAATGGCGATCATTAAAAAGTCAGGTAACAACAGGTACTGGAGAGGATGTGGAGAAATAGGAATGCTTTTACACTGTTGGTGGGAGTGTAAATTAGTTCAACCATTGTGGAAGACAGTGTGGCAATTCCTCAAGGATCTAGAACTAGAAATACCATTTGACCCAGCCATCCCATTACTGGGTATATATCCAAAGGACTATAAATCATGCTGCTATAAAGACACATGCACACGTATGTTTATTGCGGCACTATTCACAATAGCAAAGACTTGGAACCAACCCAAATGTCCAACAATGATAGACTGGATTAAGAAAATGTGGTACATATACACCATGGAATACTATGCAGCCATAAGAAAGGATGAGTTCATGTCCTTTGTAGGGACATGGATGAAATCGGAAATCACCATTCTCAGTAAACTATCGCAAGGACAAAAAACCAAACACCGCATGTTCTCACTCATAGATGGGAATTGAACAATGAGAACACATGGACACAGGAAGGGGAACATCACACTCTGGGTACTGTTGTGGGGTGCGGGGAGGGAGGAGGGATAGCACTAGGAGATACACCTAATGCTAAATGACGAGTTAATGGGTGCAGCACACCAGCATGGCACATGTATACATATGTAACTAACCTGCACATTGCGCACATGTACCCTAAAAGTTAAAGTGTAATAAAAAAAAAGAGTAGGATTGAATATCATAGTTTGATCTCCCAGACTGGGAAGCACATGGTGTTGCTTTAAACTCGGACGCCAGAGCTGAATTTTTCCAACAAATAACAAATAGCAACTAGAATGTAAGCAAATGAAGCATACAAATTAAATGGAAATGCTCTTCTTTTTAGTCAACTCTGTCTCTGTTTTGCCTTAGAACCCAACTGCCATATATCATACTGACTGACCACTGCTTATTTCTTTAAACTGAAGCCAAAGGTCACATCTTATAGGAATCTTTCCATGATTCCCTCCCTTTATATTTCCGTTCTTCATCTGATGATTTTTCATACCTAGCATAGTTCTTGGCATATGGTAGGCAATTTTGATATGTTAAATGAATGAATTGGGCTTACAACACTGTGGTAGACAGAATAATGCCTCCTCAGTATGTCTATATCCTAATCTCCAGAATCTGTAAACATGCTAGTTTGCATGGCAAGGGGGAAATAATAATGCAGGTGGAATTAAGGTTTCTCTTCAGATGACCCTGAAATGGCCATATTGTCTCTGATTATGTATGAACCCAATGTAATCTCAAGGGTTTTATAAGTAAAAGAAAGACATAAGAGAGTGTGATGATGCAGCATGCAAAAGGCCCTACTGGCTGTTACTGGCTTAGAAAATGGAAGAGGGGCAGGAGCCAAGGAATGAGGGCACCTTCTAGGAGCTGCAAAAGACAAGGAAACATTTTGTTTGTTTTGCAAAAGCAATGCTGCCCTTCTAACATCTTGATTTTAGCCCAGTGAGATCTGTTTCAGGCTTCTGCTCTCTAGAATTGTTGAGATAATTAATTATTTTTTTGAGACAGTCTCACTGTGTCACCAGGCTGGAGTACAGTGGCCCGTGATCTCATCTCACTGCAACCTCTACCTCCCAGGTTCAACTGATTCTCCTGCCTCAGTCTCCCAAATAGCTGGGCCTACAGGCTAATTTTTGTATTTTTACTAGAGACAGGGTTTCACCATGTTGGCCAGGATGGTCTTGATCTCCTGACCTCATAATCCGCCCGCCTCAGTCTCCCAAAGTGCTGGAATTACAGGCGTGAGCCACCGCTCCTGGCCCAATTTGTGTTGTTATACCCAAATTTGTGGTAATTTGCTACAGCAGCAATAGAAAACCAGTATAGATACCGTAATATAGGCTTTTTTGTTTGTTTCCTCCTTTTCTGCTGGTGCCAATGGTGAAGTCATGGGCAGGATCTCTCAATGTCAGAAGAAGTATAACCATAATATTTCCTGATTGAATGTACTTCTTGGAAGTTTAGTAATGAAAATTCATTGAGTTTAGAGATTGCATGGCTCTGATTCCTAGCCCAACACATTTGTGACCTTGGGCAAATCACAAAACTGTACTGAATGTTTTTATCTGTTTAATGGAGACCATAACATACACTTTGCAGGGGCACCATGAACACTAAATGATCTGCTAAAGGCCATCGTACACAGTCAAAGTGAAATAAATGCACTATGGCAGAGATAATCATTTTGCATGCTGATGAAGAATGTAATAAGGCATAAGCACCAAATGTGTGTTGAGAACTGTGATGGTATTTCTTGGGGGTGTTAGAGCTGACATTGGCCTTGTATGAAGGGAAAGGTTCACACATGTGGACACAGCACAGAAAGGGCACTCCAGGCTGTTCAAGTTGTGTTCAGGATAAGACATTAGGAGCAGCCCAGAGCAGCTGCTGGTGACACCACTTAGTGGCCACAAGGGTGATGCTGGAGCCAGAAGGCTTTGGATTGCCTGGTTCCACAACTTCCAGAGGTTGGCAGTTTAGGGTCATTATTCAAACCCTTTGTGCCTCTGATTACTGAAATGTAAAAAAAACAGGAAGCTCTGGCAATTTAATGTGTCAGTACATCTAAAGCACAAGAGCAGAGCACTTACACAAGTCCAGTAAAAATTAGCTAATGTTGGTGTTATTTACTGCACGTGGAGAAGTGAGTATGGGGAAGATGTTCTGGAATATTTTCAGCCTGGATCGCTTGAGCAGCAGCCTCTTCAAACCCACGGAAAATGTCTTGTATGGAGCAATTTCATGCACTCTTACAGGAGTGGGCAAGAGAGTTCAACTAGAGTTGAAGTTCAATGAGGATAGAAATTAGATTTTGCTGTTGTAATTCACCTATTTATCCTCAGCACTCAATGTCTTGCCAATAGAGGTACTCTAAATATTTCCTGATTGAATGTACTTGTCTAAAGTTTAGACTATAGCCTAAAGTAGCTTATCAGTCCTATTTTTTGCATAAACTAGGGTGTAATCTGTATGAATGAAACACTTGAAGCCCATTACATCAAGCCAGCTAGACCATAATTTAAATCATCCAGGGATAGGAGTCTATATTTCTCCTCTGCTTGCTTGTATGACATCGGGTAAGTCATTCAAACTCACTTGGTCTCAGGTTCTACCTTTATGAAATGATAAATCTGTGGGTTTTGTTCTATTCTAGTCTGTTACTTTACATGGTTTTTGTAAAATAACAATAATACCATAATTATGTAAATCCCAGTCCAGATTCTATCTTTCTATTTTACAATCTATATAACTTACATACCATATTTTCTAGGAGTGTAACTAAATGTTACTGAAACATCAAGAGTTCAGTCTAGGTCCTGTTGCTTGCTTCACAGAAAGCCAGTCACTGAAACAATGAGTATTGCCAGGGAAAGGGGCTTTATTTGGATGCTGCAGCCAAGGAGAATGGGACATCACTCAAAAATCCATCTTCTCAATGGACTAAAATTAGAGGTAGAAAAATAAGGGAAGAAATGTAACTAAGTATGGAAAAATAGGAATTAGGAGAGGATTAAGAAGAGAAGGTGGTCAACAGGCAGCAGCAGGTTACTTAGGCAACCATAATTGGCAAGGGGTCTGGGTCTGGCATCTCATTGTCCAGGTGCAGTTATCTGGTGAGTTGCAGTTCCTTGAAACTATCTTGGAGGGCTGATAGTTGGTTTCCTGAGAAAGGAACTCAGATAAGAAAAGTGTAAGTTTCTTCAGTTTTAATACTGGGAGGGTCAACTTTTTATTTTTATTTTTTCAAAAGAAACCATAAACATCAGTTCTATAGGACAATTGGGCCAGTTTCATAAACATTATAACATATAAGCAAAGTGTATGAGATAGGTACTGGTCCATGATCAATGTTCAATGAGCCCCTTCCTTATTTCTCAGCCTTAGTAATATTTAAGTGCTTTTCTTCCATAAGTTACCAGGCATAAGGTGTTATCTACAGTCCTCGCAGAAGAGTAAGATGTCTCGTCGAATCTATCCCCTGGTTTATGTCTCCCACACTATTCTTATTTAAATGGAATTATCCTGTTTATCACATAGGCATTTTACAGATAGACTCTGTAATATTAGTGCCATGCAGAGCATTATAGCCATGCTAAAATATCATTTTTCCTGGGAAATAATATCAGTATCAAGGTGTATGGCAAGAAAATATAAATCTTTCAACGGGCTAAGAATTAAAAAAAGAGTAATGATTCTGTACAATTATAGTATAAGAAAAATGAGGGTGGATATTTAGGTAGTGTTGATTAGAAAGTAGAAAACAATCATTTGCTGCAGTGACTGATTTATGGTTTCCTCTCAGTGCACATGTTGAGGTTATTTCCTCCAGAAGGAAGCTGTAGACAAATTCATAATTTATAATATTTAGAAATACACTTGTGATAATGTGGCTAGTGTTAACAGGAGAACAGGAGAACAGCTATTCCAAGGCTTACGCTACTGTTTTTAGGATGTTGATGGTACTATTTCTATGACCATTAATAATTTTAATGCTTGTCAATAAATCTTCTTTTCATACTAATAGCTGCATGAAGCACCATAGGCATAGTAAAAAGAATTAGGGAAGCTGGATTTGAGACAAGCTTCTTTACGCTCTGGCAATGGAATTCTTTCCCCTAATTCCACAAACTTCACTTACCATATCGATAAAATGTGTAAAACATAGTGCGATATGTTAAAGCACTGTAAAAATGATAAAGTAACATAGCATAACCATTGATTTGTGAATGTTAGTTGAGGAATACTACAGTATAGTCCTTGTCAAATCTATGAAAATTATATGTGTATGTGTTATGATATCCAAAGGGTAAGATCTTTTTAAATATTAACCACAGATACGAATTTCAGTGGTTGGTTGGCTATTTTTTTTTATGTAATTTTCCCAGTTACTTCACCCAACATTCTCTGCTCTCTAGTATAATGACTCCCAGATATTCATTTGGGCCCAACACAAAATTAGCTTTTTTGTATTTCCTGTGCAAAATTTTCTAAACCGTTTTATTTTTAAAAGATTAAAAATAAGTCTATTAAGAAAATTGAAGTTATCAAATTAGATTAATAAACAGATATAAACTTGAAACATCCTCTACCACATAATCTGCACATGGCTGTAGAAAGCATAATTTTTGTGGAGCCTCACAACATCGCAAGTAAGTAATTTTTTCATCCCAATTGGTTATTTAGATTTGTTTTCCTATCTAGAAAGTCTGGGTTCTAGGCCTTTGTCCTAAAAACTTTACACAACTTTAAAACTGAATATCTTTAGTCTTAATGAAACCTGAATGACTGTGTAAATGAATTCCTATGTATTTCTACAATTTCATTAAGAGTATGATATATGAAAGTATCACTGAAGCATGAATTTCCTGATCATGACAATTACTGCCACAATCTTATATTCACACACTCTGTGGTGACCCATTTCTGGGTTGGAAATCCAGAACAGAGTATGAATCATATAAATACACATGATTTCAAGATTAAGGAGGTTTTATCCCGACTTCCTTGGGGTGGGAAGCATCAAGGAGGAGTTAATCTTACTGTGCATCAGCCTCTAACCATATTCATGAAAGTGAAAATTTGATTGTCCTAATTACAAATGAGGTTGTCATGGTTGTTATTTTTCTGATTTATTGCCTGTCAATGACAGACACCAACAATAGACCTTGAATTCTTGAAATATAACACAGATAGCCCCTCTTACCTTTTAAATGGAAAATACTTTATTTTTCTTCCCTAGAAAAGGGTATGCTGTTTAGGATTGTGCCTGTGTGCATGTGTGAGTGTGCATATCCAAACATGCTTGTTCACATGTTGATTGTGGGAAGTGGTTGACATGTATCAACTAATTTAAAATTCACAACAATGGGAAGGATTGTATTTCCTATCAGTTCATTGTAAATTACAGCTAATAAATGAGATAAATTGAATCAATACACATAGCTATCTGATTCAAACTACTGCATGTATGTCTCTGTGTGCTTGTGCATGAGGGATACATGTATTTGCATGTATACTTACAAAAATTGTTGCAGCATATTGCTAATCCGGATCTTGTCAGGAGTCCAGCTACAGTACTATGCATAATTTTCCTCTGTCAGTTTGTATCACTGGCCAAAATCTAACAGATGTTTCTAAGAGTAAAGGCACTGGGAATTAACACTGTTGTCATTGATGAAGTACAAGTGCTCACACAGCCATCTTTATTTCATGCCTGTGAGGTTGATTAGCCACATTTCTAGTTTGGGAGTCAGGTATGCCTATTCTTATACCTTTTAGATTAATAAAACACCATTTTGAAGTTTTGGGTTGACAATAAAAAAATGTACCTCAACTTAAAACTGATATCCAATGTCCTTGCACAATTTTTTGCAAACATTATCCTTTCCACAGCAAATATCTTAACTTTGTTTTGAAAATTAATTTATCATAAATGGAAAAGTTTATTTCTGGATTGATATTCAATTTTTTCTATTGATCCAGATACTTATAGTTATACCAATACCATACCCTACTGATTACTGTAACTTTATAGTGAGTTTTAAAATCAAGTAATGTAAGTCCTCTAGCATTACTTTTTTTCCCGAGTTTTTCTGGCTACTTAAAGGCCTTTACATCTTCAGGTAAATTTTAGGTGAGTTTATGAAATTTAACAACAAAAAAATTCTGCTTGGATTTTGACATTGAATTGAATCTATAGATCAATTTTGGGGTGAATTGCCGTCTTTATAATATTGAGTCTTCCAATCAATGAAAATGGAATGGCCTTCATTTATTTGGAACAATTATCTCACCAATACTTTGTAGTTTTAGTTGAATATGTCTTGAAGTTATTTTATTAAATGTATTCCTAAGTATTCTATATTATGTTATTATAAAATAAATTATTTTCATAATTTCATATTTAATTATTTGTTGTTAGTACATAAAAATACAATTTATTGATCTTACATCTTACAACCTTGCTAAACTTCTTTATTAGTTCTAGTAGTTTTTAATGCAGATTTGTTAGGATATTCTACAAAATGATGTCCTCAGGGAATAAAAACAGTTTTACATCTTCCTTTCTTGGTAGAATGACATTAATGTTTGCTCTGATGGATGTATTGATTGTTTCATTAATAGATTTGCCTTATAATAATGGCAAGAACACCTGTACAATACTGAGTATCTTTCTATGTATTTGTGTTTTATTGTGGATTTATTAGATTATTTAGAAATGTGCTATTTAATACCTAAGAATTTGGATATTTCCCGTCTCTCTTGATTTCTAGTTTAATTACACTATGTACATAAATAATATATTACATTAATTTGAATCACTCAAATTTGTTAAAGTTTCCTTTACAATATGTCTGTTTTGGTGAATGTTCCCCATATACTTGAAAAAAATATGCCATTCATGTGTTTGAGTAGAATGTTCTATAAACATCCATTAGATCCAATTGCTTGATAATGTTGTTCTAAATTCTTGCGGTTTTCTATCCATTTATCATTTACAGATAAATGTTGAAGTTCTCTATTGTGAATCTGTATGTTTCTTCTTTCTCTTCTGTCAGATTTTTCCATTTATAAAACACTTCGTTAGACATATCCCCATTTGAGATTGTTGTGTCTTTTAGGTGAATTGATCATTTTATCTTTATATACTATCTCTTTTTGTTTTGTTAGTTTTCTTTGTTCTAACCTCTGTTTTGTCTCCAGCTTACTACTGATTTGTTTTTGCATGGTATAACTTTTTTCCATGTTTCTAACTGTAGCCTATCTATATCATTGTTCTTAAAGTGGGTTTACTTTAGATGGCGTTGGTTTATTACCTTTTAATACATTATCCAAATCTAGTCTCTTTCATTAGTGTTTTAAGACCACTTACATTTAATGTAATGAATGATATATTTGGATTTCAGTCTATTTTTTCTTATTTACCTTCTGTTAGTTCCCTCTGCTTTTTATCTCTCTTTTTTCCCTTCCTTTTTCTGCCTTCTGTTTGGGTTATTTAAACATGTGTACAAAGCATTTCACTATAATTTATCTAGTTTCAAGATTATTTATTCATTTATTTACACTAGTCTTTTCACACTAATTTGTTGTCCTGGGGATTAAAATTTACAAACTAAACTTTTATAGTCTTCTTAGAATTAACACACTCCAATTTCAATTGAATATAGAAAGCACTTATTTGTACTTCCAAATGTATTCTGTAATCAATTTGTCTATACATTGTTTTACTTTTTTTCCATAAAAATGCATGGTATTTTAATTGAAATTCTAACAATTTTAAATTAATTTAGGAAAAATTACATTTAATATGTTGAGTTTTTCTTGATATGTGTTGACATTTGTTCAAGACCACCTTTTTTTCAGGAATATTTTTAAGATTTTTGGTTGTTAAAGCTGTTTCTTGTTAAATTTATATGTGGTTCTTTTATTTATCTCTATTCTATCTTAAGTGGGTCATTTTCTTTCCTTATGTATTTATTTTTTGAATGTGCATAAAAAGATACTGATCTTTTGAATATTATTTACATCTCTAGTGAATTTACTAGATTCCCTTATTTTTTCCCATAAATCTGCCAATTTTGTTGAGTTTTATTGGCACATTTATGTGCATGTTTATACCATTTACATCAAAGGTGACATTACTTCTTCCTTTCCAATTTTTATACTCCATTTCTGGTGCCTAATCACATTGGCTAACTTCTCTACAATGGCGTTGAATTGTCATAGAGATGGTGGCCTTCCTTGTCTAGTTCCAGACAAAGGAAAATAACAGAAAAAGTAATAAAGAAGCTGCTGGTGTGTTACAATTAAATCAGAACTCTTGTTTGCTGGAGGGTTACATCTCTATCTAATCTACATCTACGTCTACATCTACTGTGTCAAGGAAGTATTTAAGTGCTTTTTACAGGAATTGTCTGTTTAAGGCTTTTTCAGATTTTCTTAAGATGGTTATATGATTTATTTCATTTTTTAGAATTTTATATTTAATTGACAATAAGTAAAAATGATTGTGTACATCACATACACTGTGATGTCTATATACATGTGTACATTGTGGAATGATCAAATCAAGCTAATTAACATGTCTATCACCTCACATACTCATTTGTGGTGAGAAAACTTAAAATCTATTCCCTTCACATTTTCAAATATACATTATTATTAACTACAGTCACCATGCTGTGCAATCGATCAGCAGTACTTATTCCTCCAGTCTAACTAAAACTTTGCACCCATTTACCAATGTCTCCCCTTTGCTTTTCACCCCACTCCCCCCACCCCTGGTAACCATCATTCTACTCTCAACTTCTATGAGTTCAACTTTTTTATATTCCAGATACAAGTGAGACCATGTGGTATTTGTCTTCCTGTGCCTGTCTTATTTTACTTAGTGTAATGTCCTCTAGATTCATTTATGTTGATGCAAATGACAGAATTTCCTGTCCTTTTTGGGCTGAATAATGTTCCATTGTGTGTGTGTGTGTGTGTGTGTGTGTATTTACCCCTTCATCCATATTGAACACTTAGGTTGTTTCTGTATCTTGGCTATTGTGAATAATGCTGCAATGGACATGGGAGTGCACATAACTCTTCAGCATACTGATTTCATTTTGTTGGGATATATACCCAGAAGTGGGATTGCTGGATTATATGGTAATTCATTTCTATTTGTTTGAGAAATCTTCATAATGTTTTCCAAAATGGCTGTAATGACTTATATTCTCATCAACAGAGTGCAAGGGTTCCCTTTGCTTCACATCCTTGCCAACACTTGCCATCTTTCATCTTTTTGGTAATAGGCATTCTAACAGGTGTCATTATTGTTTTTATAAATTGCATTTCCCTGATAATTTTTGTACTTAAGCATTTTTTATATATCTATTTGCCATTTGTATGTCTTTTCTTGAGAACTGTCTATTCATGTACTTTGTTTATTTTTAAATAGGGTTATTTGCTTTCTTGTTATTGAGTAATTTGAGTCTCTTATATATTTTAGATATTAACTCCTCATGAGATGGGTTATATGTAATTTTTTTTTCCCAATCTATGGGTTGTCTCTTCATTCTACTGATTTTTTTCCTTTGCTGTGCTGATGCTGTTTAGTTTGATGTAATCCCATTTGTCTATTTTTGTTTTTGTTGCCTGTGCCTTTGTGGTCATATCGAATAAATCACTGCCTAAACCAATGCCATGGGTATTTGGGCTCTTTTTTGGTTCCATATAAATTTTAAAATATTTTTTCTAGTTCTGTGAAGAATATCATTGGTGGTTTGATAGGAATAGCATTGAATCTGTAAATCACTTTGGGCAGTATAGCCATTTTAATGACATTGATTTTTCCTATTAATGAGCATGGGATGTTTTTCCATTTGTTTGTGTCTTCTCTGATTTCTTTGAGCAGTGTTTTGTAATTCTCATTGTAGAGATCTTTCACCTTCCTGGTTAGCTGTATTCCTGGGTAGTGTGTGTGTGTGTGTGTGTGTGTGTGTGGCAATTGTGAATGGGATTTCCTTTTTGATTTAGCTCTCAGTTTAGTTGTTGTTGGTGTATACAAATGCTAGTGCTTTTTGTACATTGATTTTATAGCCTGCAACATTGCTGAAGTTGTTTATCAGCTGAAGTTGATACTGATTTTAATGATAAAAAATTCCTCCAATATATGATAAATCTAGACAATAGGTTTTATTGTATTTTTTGAGATTGTATATGTTTCTTTTATATTTCCTGTTTGATCACAGTATTTAAAATATTTTAATACTATTAAATGCAAAGTATTTTTTAAATTTTGTCATTAATTTCTACTTATATGTGATTTCTGATTAATACATTTGTATTATTCATTTTCTTGTAATGTGTCAAGTTTTTCCTTGTAGTCAACTACAACAAATTTTGTGAATATTCTATTTTTATTTGAAAAGACTGTGTGTGTGTTTATTACCTTCTTAATCATGCTCTTTTCATTTTCTATATCTTTACTAATTTTTGTTGATTTTATTTGTCCTGGATTGAGAATCTGTGTTTTAGATTCTTCATTTTAGTGTATTTTTCTCTAAAGCATTTTTTAGTTTTATTTTCTCTTACAAACTTATTTTTATTTTTTCTTGAAGCTCTGTATTTTCTTCCTCATGAAGATTTTTGCTGCATTATTGAGGCTATAGACATTAATATCTGGTGTTTTCTTTGAGTATTAAAGCTTTTAATATTATAAAGTGAACTAGAATCTATTATGATTTTATTCTGAAAGTAATCATGCTAGACACTAATATTTTATTCTTCACTCTCTTCCTACTTCTCCATAGTTCATCATTGTCACGTTTTTATGTTTAGGCTTTCTGGATTTCATTGTTTTAGGTTTGTCTCGAGTGTTCTGGATAGGGTGAGTAAGCCTCTCTAACTTTTTAAATATTATCAATACGTTTGGCTTCAGTTCTCTTGTGGTCATTTCTATTTTTTTCTATCACTTTTTATTATTTAAGTTTTATACTTTCGTTCAAATGCTCAAATTTTTATACTTACTTTTGTATGTAATGTTCTCATCTCTGTCCCCCAAATTTGGATACGGTATATCGGTTCCCTACTATTAGCTATAATGAACTTTACCAGTCAACTCTTCTTCCTCCTTTTCTCCTTTTCCTCCAAGATTTAATGTGAAGTAAAAATCTTTTATACCCATAGTTTTGTAGTTCAACTCTATCTTCTTTATGAGACATATACAATACCTTTTTCATTATGATGTTCATTTTATTTCAGTTTACCAGAAAAAAACAATATTAATTTACTACTCATGGCTAAATTTTTATGTTGGTGTCCTCCTTTTTTTTTAAATTATATGAAGCTTGCTTTCTAATAGATATTTCTCTTTTTAAGTTATCTCTTTAGTATTTGCTTGGCTAAATGTCATCTTACTGAAAACCAAAAACTAAATTCAAATTTTCACAAAAATAGCTAACCCCAGTAATGATTTCTGTATCTGATGTTATATAGATTTTTATTGAGGGGAATTTCACTAGAATGGAAAGTTTTTTCTCTACACCCCAGAGTGTGATATCATTACTCATTTGTATCCACTCTTAATTTTCTTTCTAAGTTGGAGCTTGTCTTTTACTTGTGAACACTTTTATCACTTCCACTTGCCCTCACTCACTCTTTTCTCCCTTTGCCTCTTTTTAGCACTTCTCTTCAGGGTTTAGCTAAGTGCCACATGTGTTTGCAAAAATCTAAATCTTGGGAACACCTGGATATTTCTGCCTATGTAGGTGATTGCCTTTTTTGTTGATTGCTTCTGGTGTGCTTTCTTGGTTCTCACTCTCCATCAAAGATTAGTTTTTCAAGTTATGAGTTCTTGGAGGAAGATGCTACGTGAAACATAACTTTACCATCTTTAGCTGCAATCTTAATTCCACTTGATCACACAAATCTTGCTTTCCTATTTGTATTGACTATATCTCCTCTATGGTTTAACTTATGCATGTAAGGAATAGCAGTTCTGCCATTGCCTGTACAGAGATGAAAGTGTTCTTGATCTAAATGAGTGTTTTCAAGTCAGATGACTTTTTATATTTATTTTCTAAAGAAATAATACAATATTTATCATTTAATAGTTTAAAAGTATATTAATATATCCCTACCATTACTTGAGAAAATGACATATGGAGATAATTGTATCCCAATATGAAAATAAAGAGGTATGGATATTTTTTAGACATAAAATATGGGTAGGACATAAGTGGCCACAAATACTAAAGTGTTTCTTTTTCTACTTACATTACAGTGTGAAAAAGTTAGTCTAGCACTAGATGAGTAAGAGTCAAATAAGACAATGATTAGGAAGACAGTGTCTGGGAAGCCAACATTCAAAGAGCTACTAAACTATAAATTAAGTCAAATTTCCCAATGCTTTAATAGTAAATTGATACTCTATCAAATAATCATATCTTATTAATAAAGCAGCATCATTACAACTGAAAAAATTATGCAAGAGTAAAATGAATCATTTGTGACTTTCTGAGAAAAACATATTTTGGTTATCTTTAGAAGAAAACAATTGATCTGCAGTCGAATTACCTTAGCAAAATAAATTTAAAATTAGATTTGGAGTCAGCTAACAATTGTGATTTGCATTTCAAAATAATTTGTTAGGAATTCAAAGTATATTATTTCATATAAGTTGAAATACAAATTGAGACATCTGCCAAATTTTACCTCAAAGATGGAGTAATTCATTGAATCATTTATGATTTGAAATACTGTTTTTTACCTTTTCTCAGGTTAACAAAAATCATGAGAACTGCTTTATCGAACACCAATTTTTGCCAGGCTAAGCATTACATATGCATATACACAAATACACACACATACTGTGTATATTACATGTATGTACTCTCTACTTCACAAAAAATACTTGCAAGAAAATATTTATAAACCCATTTTACATGTGAAAAAATAGGCTCAAAAAGGTTGGTTACATTTCCCTCAGTTAAAGAGCTCATATACTGCAGAGGTGATAACCAAACCTGTTCCATCTATTCTACATCTTTCTGATGCTGCTCTACGTTTTCAAACTTCAATATAAAAAATGGTTAGCAATTATATTTATATAGATATTTGCAGTGTGTGAAGGAGATGAGAAAACATTTAAATTAACTTAGAGTGATCTCACTGACTTTTACTTTCAAGCACCTAGGATGTTCTCATGCAAATAGCTCTTGTCAATACATTTTTTTCATATAGCACTGAAGATAATGATGGATCATTTTCAATTAAAAATCTAATGTCTCAGACAGACGGAATCATGAATCTACATTCTTTTAAGTTACAAGAAATAATATAATGAGATATGCATACAACACTACCAGTAATAAGCCTGAGATATGGTAAATTTAGTGCAATAAGTTGTTCATAAATGTGTCTCTATGGAATAATAAAAGGTACAGAGAGAGACAATAGTAGGTGTACAAAAGATGCTCTTAACAGTCTTGTTTCAAAGTCCAGACCCTTTTGAGTAGTAAATAACTATAAATGACCTCCTATTTGAAAATAACAATTAGTTAGCTGAGTCTTATTATTTACAATTGTTTAGACTATTCCATCAATTTATCCTTTTACAGTGCTTTCCAATGTGTCTGCTAGAATATTTAGTGTTTTCCTTACTTCCTTTATTGTCTCTCAATATAAATACCCCTTAATATGCTAAATACCTTCTCTTCTATTTTCATCAGAAGCTGATTCTCGAAGGAATGATACATACATTATCATCATCTTATTCAATTCCCATTCACTTTTCAACAGACTAAAATAAGAAATCCATATTCACTACTATTTTCAGGGATTGATATCGCTCTACTTTCCCTGACAATTGTTTCCACAACCCTGGAATTTCCTTCCTCCTTTTTATATTTCCACAAATTCTTTCACCACTCAGCTAGAACACTCACTTTCGTAGACCAAGAAACTTAGTTCAGTCATCAACTTGTCATTTTTTTTATGTGTCTTCTAGGGTAAACAAATTTTGTTAAGTATTAAGGAATTACTTGCTCAAGGGACATTTATTCTCTATTGTCCAAAAACTCTGAGTCCTAATTTGTTTGCTCTTCTAGTCACCTCTAATGACAGCCCTGTTGATATTTAGCTTAGAGGGTACTTTCTTAATTGAGCTGAAATATATTAGAGAGAAAAACACACAAATCAAGGGCAAGTCAGAATGTAAAGTTGTTCCTAAAATGGCAGGACAATTATAGTAAAATAGGCCAGGTGCAATGGCTCACGCCTGTATTCTCAGCACTTTGGGAGGCCAAAGCGGGTGGACCACTTGAGGTCTGGAGTTTGAGACTAACCTGGCCAACATGGTGAAACCCCATCTCTATTTAAAAAAATACAAAAATTAGCCAGGTGTTGTGGTATGCAGCTGTAATTCCAGCTACTTGGGAGGCTGAGGCAGGAAAATCACTTGAACCCAGGAAGCAGACGTTGCAGTGAGCCGAGATCTCACCACTGCACTCCAGCCTGGGCAGCAAAGCGAGACTCCAACTCAAAAAATATGTATATATGATAAAATAAGAGCAAACATATTTTATATCACAAGGCAAGTTAGTTACAGTAAATTGCAGGTGCAGATGAAGTAGTTATCAAGGAGCTTAAGTACTGAATCTGAAAGAAACTCCAGCTTTATTTACAGTGAATACTGTAAATAAGACATTTTCTATATTATTATAACAAATTTTTGTAAGTATATTTTTCTTATTTATAATTCAGTATTTTTGTATTAAGGTGCATTGATTAATGATAATTTACTTTCTATCTCAATTATGAAGATGTATAATTTCTCTTTTTTTTCTCTTTTTTCTTTCCAATGTTTATTTTAAGTTCAGGGATACATGTGCAGGATGTGCATGTTTATTACATAGATAAACATGTGCCATGGTGGTTTGCTGCACAGATCATCCCATCAACCAGGTATTAAGCCCAGCATGCATTAGCTATTCCTCCTGATGCTCCTCCTCCTCCCAGCCCCATCCTCTGACAAGCCCTAGTTTGTGTTTTTTCTTATCATGTGTCCATGTGTTCTCATCATTCAGCTCCCACTTATAAGTGAGAACACTTATTTTGTTTTCTGTTCCTGAATTAGTTTGCTAAGGATAATGGCCTCCAGCTCCATCCATGTTTCTGCAAAGGACACAATCCCATTCCTTTTCATTGCTGCATAGTATTCTGTGGTGTATATGTACCATATTTTCTTTATCCAGTCTATTATTGATGGGCATTTGAATAAGAATGTAAGAATAACTTATATTCTTTTGGGTATATACCCAGTAATGAGACTGCTTGATTGAACGGCATTTCTGCTTCTAGGTCTTTGAGGAATCACTATATTGTCTTCCACAATGGTTGAACTAATTTACACTCCCATAAACAGTGTAAAAGCATTCCTTTTTCTTCAGACCACGGCAGCATATGTTGTTTCTTGACTTTTCAATAATCGCCATTGTGACTGGTATGAGATGGTATTTTATTATGGTTTTGATATGCATTTCTCTAATGATTAGCAATGTTGACCTTTAAAGCCAGAGTGGCTCCTTTCCTCCAAATGACCACAACACCTTTCCAGCAAGGGCTCAGAACTGGACTGAGGCTGAGATGGCTGAAATGACAGAAGCAGGCTTCAGAATGTGGATAAAAACAAACTTTGCTGAGCTAAAGGTATCTGTTGTAACCCAGTGCAAAAAAGCTAAGAATCAGGATAAAACAATGGAGGAACTGAAAGCCAAAATAGGTGCAATACAGAGGAACATGACCAACCTGATAGAGCTGAAAGACACACTACAAGAACTTCATAGTGCAATCACAGTATTAATAGCAGACTAGACCAAGAATATTAGAGGTTGAAGACTCTCTGTCTGAAATAAGACAGGCAGACAAGAATAGAGAGATAAGAATAAAACGGAATGAACAAAACGTTTGGAAAATATGGGATTATGTAAAGAGATGGAATCTACAACTAATTGCGGTACTTGAACGAGACAGGGAGAATGGAAGCGATTTGGAAAATATACTTCAGGATACCATCAAGGACATCTTCCCCACCTAGCAAGACAAGCCAACATTCAACTTCAGAAAATGCAACAAACCCCAGTAAGATGCTCCATGAGAAGATCATCCCCAAGATACATAATCATCAGATTCTCCAAGGTCGACATGAAAGAAAAAATGGCAGCCAGAGAGAAAGGCCAGGTCACCTACAAATGAAAACCCATCAGACTACAGAGGACCTCTCGGGGGAAACCCTATAAACTAGAAGAGATAGGGGGGCCAATATTCAACATTCTTAAAGAAAGAATTTTCAACCTAGAATTTCACATATGGCCAAACTAAGCTTCACAAGCAAAGGAGAAATAAGATCCTTTTCAGACAAGCAAATGCTGAAGGAATTTATTACCACCAGACCTGCCTTATCAGAGCTCCTGAAGGAAGCACTAAATATGGACAGGAAAAACTGTTACCAGTCACTACAAAAACACACTGAAGTACACAGACCAGTGACACTATGAAGCAACTACATAAACAAATCTGCAAAATAACCAACTAGCATCATGATAACAAGATTTTTTTTTTTTTTTCTTAAGACAGGATCTCACTCTGTCACCCAGGCTGAGTGCAGTGGCACAATCACGGCTCACAGCAGCCTCGACCTGTCAGGCTCAAGCGATCCTCAGCCTGCCAAGTAGCTGGAGCTACAGGCACATGTAATATGCCCAGCAAATTTTTGTACTTTCAGTAGAGATGGGGTCTTGCTATGTTGTACAGGCTGGTCTTGAACTCTTCAATTCAAGTGATCTGCTCACCTGGGCCCCACAAAGTGCTGGGATTACAGGCATAAGCCACTGTGCTCAGAAAGATGTACAATTTCTACTTGGCATTCTTACTGCCCTAATATTAATGAGTTTTTTTATTATGGGAAGAATTAAAATTTTGACATTGTGACGGGGCCTTCCTAAAGACCCAGAGCACTTCTGGATATTATTAGATAGAAAAATCTTTTGTAAATGATTATACAGTGAATAGGATACTACACTGTCCATGACTTGGGGATTAAACTCCAAGAGAGGGTTTTGTGAAATGTGCATTATTTTGTGCTGAGGAGGTAGCAGCTTCATCATAGACCTGGTGCCCATCAGTCGGTTATTAGCCAAAGACATTCATGCCTTTCAGCCTCCCCATAAGCTCAGCTATTTACTAGTTACTCCATAAGCCCATTTCTCTCTTGTCAGCATTTAAAAAAAAAAAAACTTTATACTAGGTTTGCAATTAGTTGACTATAATATTACCAAGGAATCTGTCAGTAATTTATATAGTTGCTACTTACCAATGTAATCACATTTGCCTCTCTAGTGTAACATTTAAAAGAATGAGACAAATAGTTTTGGTCACTTACAATGTACTTTTAGTTTTTAGTTCTTTATCTTTGTAACTTTTTTTATTGAAGCATAAAAAGAATTTGGAAAAATTCTCAAACACCAGGACATAGAATCACAGTAAATCACAATCTGCCCGACCCCATGATCCTTTTAGGCAATTAACTCCGATGACAACCACATTCTTACCTGAAACGATAGATAGATTTTGCTTGTCCTTGATATTATATTACTGGAATTATAAGATATGCATGTTTTTTGCCTCTGGCTTATTTCATCAAAATCTTTGTGAATTTTATACAAATTTATGTGCATAGTTGTATTTTGTTTGTTTTCAGTTCCACAGAATACAAATATACCACAATTCATAAACTCATTTTATTGCATACAGAGCGTAAGTGATAATTCTAGAAAATGTCCTTTGTTGAAGGTATGTACACATTTATGTTTGGTATGATTGCAAATATGAGACATATGGTATAAATATGTTCAATAGATACTATCAAAAAGTGTTCCAATGTGGTTTTTTTTTAATGAAACTCTCGGCAGATTTAATTTTTTTAATTGTGGTAAAATATACTTAATATAAAATTTGTTATATTCAACTATTTTTATGTGTACAATTTATTGGCATCAATTACAACATAATGTTGTGCAACCATTACTACTATCTTTTTCCAAAAATTTCCTCACCTAAACAGAAACACTGTACCCATTAAGCAATATCTTTCCATTTCTGCCTTTCCCCTGGTAATCTCTTGTACATTCTTTTTCAATGAATTTGCCTTGTCTGGATAATTCATGTAAGTGGTATCATGTAATATTTTCCCAGGCAACTTACATCACTTAGCACAGTATTTTCAAGGTTCATTCATGCGGTAGCATGTATCAGAACATCATTTCTTTCTCGGACTGAATAATATTCCATTGCATTCATATACCACATTTTCTTTATACATTCTTCTGTTGACGGACATTTGGGTTATTTCAATCTTTTGGCTATTGTAAATAATGCTGCAATGAACATTGGTATAAAAGTATCTGTTTGAGTCCCTGGGTATATATCTGAAAGTGGAATTACCAAGTTCTATGGTAATTGTGTAGAGGTATTTAGCTTTTTGAGACACCATCAAGCTA
Organism: Homo sapiens; assembly: GCF_000001405.40. Classification (NCBI taxonomy): domain Eukaryota; kingdom Metazoa; phylum Chordata; class Mammalia; order Primates; family Hominidae; genus Homo; species Homo sapiens. Next base: position 644,814 of record NW_021160017.1, read on the forward strand.
TTTTTCACAGCAACTGCACTATTTACACTTCCATCTGAAATTTATGAGTGTTCTAATTTCGGCACATCCTGGAAATTTGTTAGTTTCTTAATTAATTAAATATTTTTTATTATAACCATATTAGTAGGCATGAAGTAATATCTCATTGATTATGATTTCCATTTCCCAAATGATTAATGATGTTGAGCATCTTTTCATATGCTTATTGTGCATTTATAAATATTATTTGAAGAAATGTAAACTTAAGCCAATTACAAAAATTTTATTGGATTGTCCCTTTGTTGTTGAATTGTAATTCTTTATATATTCTGGATATTGAATATTTATCAGATATATGATTTTCAAATATTTTCTCCCATCTTGTAGGTAGTCTTTTCACTTTCTTGATAATGTCCTTTGTTGCACATAAGATTCTAATTTTGTTAAATAATTTGTTAATTCTTTTGTTTCTTGTACTTTTGGTGTCATATCTAAGATTTCCTTGACAAATCTAAGGTTAAGAATATTTATCTGCATGATTTCCTTTAAGAATTTTATGATTTTGTCTCTTATATTTAAGTCCTTGACCCATTTTGAGTTCATTTTTTAATACAGCTTAACTTTTTTTTTCTGCATGTGGAAATTCAGTTACTGTAGCACCATTTGTTGAAGCCAGCGGTAATTATGAGTGTTTCAATTATTCCACATTCTCATAAAGATGTAGTGTTCTCTGTGCTTCTATTTTTCTGTTATGTAAGGGTTTTATACTTTGGTTATAATTTGTATTTAAATGTACAATTATATTTACTGTGAAGGTCAGTACCCTTTCATATGTTTATTGGACATTTGGATGTCCTATTTTATAAAGTGCATGTTCTAGCATTTGTCTCACTTTTCAAATGTGAAATGCTAATTTGTTTATATATGTTGGATAAGAGGCTTTTGTGGCTTAATTTCTTATTCTCTTAATGGTGACTTTTGAAATTCTTAGTTGTATTATAATAAAATTTTTCATCTCTTTTCATTGTGATTAATCCTTTTCGGTGTTAAATTTTTTTGCTAGCCCAAATTCATAAAGATATTTTTCTGTACTGTCTTCTAGCAGTGTTAATTTGTACATTTATATTTCCACTCAATTTGTATTTATTTTGTATATAGTATAATATAGGAATCTATTAATAGATTCTTTTTTGAAAATATCAATAAACATATAAGTGGCCCAGCAGCAATTATTGAAAAGGCCATTTTTCTCTTATTGTACTCTAGTGTTTCACTTTCATGTATCAGGCAACTGTATGTATGTGCAACTGCTTTTAAATACACTTTTACATTTTTTTGATCAGCTTGTCTATACTTTTACCAATTTTACACTGTGCTAATTACTAGAGCGTTGCAATAAATCTTGATATAAATTGGAATGAGTCATTTAGCTTTCTTTTTCCTCTTAACATTGTTTGGCTATGTAAGACCCTTCATATTTCTAAACTAATATTGGAAAGAATTTGCCAACCTCAACAAAACAACAGAAAATTGTACCTAGTTTTGATCGATATCACATTGGATCTAAATATTTAGAAAGAATTGTGATTTGTATAATGTTATGTATTTTCATAAAATCACATTGTATACCTGTACTTGTACAGGTTTGTTGTACATATGTATGTCGTGTATGTATATACACAAAAATATATTCTGCTATTTCTTACAGCACAGTTTTGCAGCATTTGGTGTCAATTTAAATATATTTTATTATAATTATTCTCAGTTATTTGATATTCTTAATTTTATTATGAATATTTTAAACTTTTATTTTCTAATTTTTATTGCATATAAGAAAAATTAATCTATATATTGACTTTTATACAACCAACATGCTAAATTTATTTATTGATTCCTATAGTTTGCCAATGGATGCTTTTGGATTTTCTATATATGTAATTGTATGATCTCTGAATAATGAGAGTTATTTCTTCCTTTGTAATCTTGTGGTCTTTATTTCTTTTTCTTTTATTACTACACTAAGTAGAACTTGTAATATCATTAATAGAATTTGTAAGATCAGGGACACATGGCATTTCTGATGCCAAAGGAAATACATTCAACAATTCACTGTAACTATAAAATTTACAGTATGTTTTTGGTTAATATTCTTCGTCATATTGTATAAATTTCCATCTACTTACATATTATCATGAAACATATTGATGGTTGCTTAATTTTATCAAATATTCTTCCTAAATATATCAATAATATGTTTTCTTTTTATTAATATGTAATAAATTCTATTCATTGATTGAAAAATATTAAGCTGCTCTCACATTCCTGTAATAAACCTTAATTGGCTTTGTGATATATTATCAGTTTTCATAAATATATGAATACAGTTGACCCTTTAACAACATAGGTTTGAGCTGCATGGGTCCACTTATATACAGATTTTCTTTTTGCCACTGCCACACCTGAGACAGCAAAACCAAACCCTCCTCTGCCTTTTCCTCCTCAGCCTAGTCAATATGAAGACAATGAGGATAAAGACCTTTCAAACGATTCCACTTCCACTTGATGAATAATAAATATATTTTATGTTCCTTATTTTTTTAATAAAATTTTCTTTTCTCTAGCTTGATTTATTGTAAGAATACAGTATATAATACATACAACATACAAAATATGTGTTAATCAACTGTTTATATTATCAGTAAGGCTTCTAGTCAACAGTATGCTATGAGTAGTTACATTTTGGGGGAGTCAAAAGTTACGCACAAATTTTCAATTGCATGGATAGGTCAGCATCCCTAACCTTCACATTGTTCAAGGGTCAGTTGTAAAATGATTTCATCAGTGTTGGTAATACATTATTCTGTGATTTTTTTTCTACTGATGTTCTTGCCAAAGTTTACTATAAAGAATATGATAGCTTTAAAACAGGACATGTGAAGTGTTCTCATGCTTTTTATGTTCCCTAAAATACTTTTTGTAATATCAGTGCTATTTATTTTCTAAAAATTAGAAATAATTCATAGGGCACATCCTGTGTACCTCAAATTGTGTTGAGGGTATTAATGAATTCATTGTTTTACATATATATAGGACTATTTAGGCTTTCTATTTCTTCTTGAGTCTGTTTCAACAAGTTTCTCTTTTGTGATATATGCATATGTCATATAAAGTATCAAATATATTGGCCTGAAATATTTTTAATCTTGTTCTCTTTAATTTGTAAGAAAGACCTATAGTAATTATCCAGTTTTCATTAGTGATATTAGAATGTATTTCTTTATTTGATTTTACTTTTTCTTTTTTTTTTTTATTATACTTTAAGTTTTAGGGTACATGTGCACATTGTGCAGGTTAGTTACATATGTATACATGTGCCATGCTGGTGCCCTGCACCCACTAACTCGTCATCTAGCATTAGGTATATCTCCCAATGCTATCCCTCCCCCCTCCCCCCACCCCACCACAGTCCCCAGAGTGTGATATTCCCCTTCCTGTGTCCATGTGATCTCATTGTTCAGTTCCCACCTATGAGTGAGAATATGCGGTGTTTGGTTTTTTGTTCTTGTGATAGTTTACTGAGAATGATGTTTTCCAATTTCATCCATGTCCCTACTACAAAGGACATGAACTCATCATTTTTTATGGCTGCATAGTATTCCATGGTGTATATGTGCCACATTTTCTTAATCCAGTCTATCATTGTTGGACATTTGGGTTGGTTCCAAGTCTTTGCTATTGTGAATAATGCCGCAATAAACATACGTGTGCATGTGTCTTTATAGCAGCATGATTTATAGTCCTTTCAAACATAAAAAAATGGTAATTTTGTATATATCCAGGAATCTACTATAATAATTATCAAGTCATGATCAATCTTGTTATTTTATCTATACTCCCACCCATTTTGAAACTGCATTGTCCATATTATTTTGAATTAAATCCCATGAATCTTATGATTTCATTTATACATATGTTTGTGTGTTTTTTTTTTTTTTTGGCAGAGTCTCACTCACTCTGTTGCCCAAGCTGTAGCTAGAGTACAGTGGCATGATCTCAGCTCACTGGAACCTCTGCCTCCCAGGTTCAAGCAATTCTCCTGCCTCAGCCTCCCAAGAAGCTGGGATTCTGGGAGTGGTGGCACATGCCTGTAATCCCAGCTACTCATGAGAATCACTTGAATCTGGAGGCAGAGGTTGCAGTGAGCCAAGATCGTGCCACTGCACCCCAGCCTAGGTGAAAAAGTGAGACTCCATCTTGAAAAAATAAATAAAAATAAATACATTAAAAAGTACGCAAATTCAACTTCCGGGGTGTTTGTCCATTTTCCTAACTTTTTAAAAAGTAATTCTTTTCTTGTGTTACTTTTTCCTCTGTCATCGTGGTAGTTAGTTAACACTAGTAGGACCCCATGGGTTATGCTTCAGTGTTTATGCCTTTTTGTAGTTATTTCCTCCTGAATCCAAGCTTAGCTTATAACTCAAAGACTTTAGAATAGAATATAGCAAAAATATTGCTGTGCAATCCTAGCCTAGGCTTTAACAAAGTATAAAACTTCTACTTATGAACTCTTAGAAGTCCTAAAGTTTCACATGAGAATTCTAGATGAAACTGTGTAAAGAAAAAATATGAAGAGGTCATGTGGAGAGAGAACCTTGAGAACTGAAGAATCCAGACATTCCTCGAATCTAGCTCTTCTAGCCAGCCCTCCACCGCCCAATCTCCCTTGCTGAGGCACCAAAAAGCTAACGAAGCTGTTGCAGCCTTTCCAGTGACAGCAGGCACTGAAGCGAGCGTAGATAAGCCCACTGCCTCTGTAAAATCCTGACCCTCAGAATCATGAGAAATAACAAGTGATTGCTGTTTTAAGCCACAATATTTTAAAGGTAGTTTGTTCCATGGAAGAAGATTAACAAAAGATAGAATGACACCAGAAGAGGGGTGCTTCAGCAACAAAATATCAAAATATGCAGCACTGGCTTTATGATCAGGTGGAAGTTATGGACTAAAAACCTTGAGGAAACTGTTAGAAAGAGCAAAAAACAAATGGACCTTAATGATATTGGCACAAAAATCAGTGAAGCTGCCACCTTCTTATGTGGAAGATAGCAAATGTGGCTAATAAACTTGCAAATCTGGCTAATAAAATTTCCGGGCAGAGTGGTGAATGCACCAAGTGGTTCCTTTAATTGCCTACAATAAAGAATGTGAGAAGTGAGATGAGCTAAAAGAGGAATTGCTGGAATTTTTTTTTCTCGATATGCCCTCAATCCATTCTAGTACTGTAAAGGCAACATTCTATGGGTTGTTGGTTTCTCTGAAGGAAATGAAAGTAAGCAACAAGAAGGCATCCAGGGAGAAATCATTCCACAGAAGTAATAGGTAGCATTTCGGATGTTACGCTTTTATTAGCATCATCATATCTTAATAGTGAGAGGACCTCTGGAGGTCTTTTAGCTCTTTGGAAACAGGTCCACGCATATTTGAAATATTGAAAACTGATCCAGAGCAGAAGAATAAATTTCCCAATATCACACAAGCTGGTGAGAAGCAGAGCTGAAAATAAAATCTAATTTTCCTGGCATCCTTCCTGCTGCACAGCATTGAAGTTCTCTTCCTTTTGCAAAGTGAGACAGGGTAGTGATAGAGATATCTCAATGCTTAACTGTCAAACTGAACCCAGGCTGCTTGATAGCGTCACAGGGAGAAATAATCTAAAGGGCTGAAATGAAGACAGGAAAATAGTTCTCAGCAAGTGGCATCAACTTATTTGGTATTTTTTTCTCAGCTTATTGTTACAGACATGTTAGTGGCAAATCTGAGAAGGTTCTTTTGTGAATCAGGTTATGGCTATGATTGTTCAAAAAGCTCATTACCAATTTATGAAAAGCAGCAAAACTCATTTTCTCTTAATGTGAAATCACTTCAGCCTGTCAGTAGAGAAAGAATTGTTGAAAAGTGAATTGACCACATACGGATCCATTCTTTCTTTTAAAAAGAAATGAAAAAGTCATCTAAAAGGGAAATATCTCTCAATAATGAGATATATGTAACACTCAGCCGGAGTTAAGCCCCAGTTAAGATGGTTTTCTGAATTGGGCTACTTTTCTCATTTGCCTACTGTGGGTACCACACAGGTAGACTTCATAAACCTGAGTTATCTGTCTACTAAAGAGCAGCAGGGGCTCTTTGACTCAGGATGTCATTAAAACAACAAAAGGATTTTGGGGAATAACTGAATTCACTCTCTGGAACTAGAGATACATAGTTTAATACATACATATTCTTTCCATAAATTGAATGACTTAAGTGATCAAAATGAGTTCTGATCACAATTCCTGGTTCCTCCACATTAAGAAATAAACAATGATTGTTACCCATAGTGGCCGTAGAGATAGGTCTATGCTGAGTGACACTGTTTTTCTGTGTTCTGTCTATGGTTCCTATGACCTCTCTCATGCTCTGTCACTTGGGATAGCTAGCTCTTATTCTAGAGTCTTTCAAAGTCTTATTTTTCACACCAGAGCATTTGGCCAAGGTTCAGCATTTAACCACTGTGTCTTTGTCTTTTTTTTCCTATAGCTTTATCTTCCACTCTCCATTGAAAATCCCTGGATATCTACTTAATTCATTAAAGTCAGGAGAGGTTGTGGGCACTGCAGCTTTCTGATTATTTTAAGATTGGCTATCTGCATTATCTCTGCCATGATCATCATTGGTCTAATCCCTCACTTATTTGTTTGTTTATTTTTAAGGACTTAATTACTTTAGAGCAGTTTTCGGTTCATAGCAAAACTGAAAGGATGTAACAGGGATTTCCCATAAGTCCTCTGCCCCCTCACATGCAGAGCCTTTCATTATCAATATCCCCTACCAGCATGGGACAGTTGTTACAAATGATGAACCTACATTGACATATCATAATCACCAAACTCCATAGTTTACATTAGGGTTTACCCTCACTGCTGTACATTACATAAGTTGGAAAAATTTATAATGATATGTGCCACCATTAAGGTACCATGCAGAGTATTTTCCCTGCTCTAAAAATAGTCTCTGCTCTATGTATTCAACCTCTTCACCCCCAACTCCTGGCAACCACTGATCTTTTTACTGTTTTCATAATTTTGCCTTTTCCGGAATGTTGTATCATTGGAAATTTACAGATCGGCTTCTGCGACTAAGGAACATGCACTTAAGATTCTGACATGTTTTTTCATAGCTTGATAGCTCATTTCTTTTTAGTGCTGAATAACATTCTATTGTTTGGATGTAATGCAGGCTATTTATCCTTTCACCTTCTGAAGGATGGATATCTTGGTTGCTTTCCAAGTTTGGGCAATTAGCAATAAAGGTGCTTTAAGCATTCACACGCAGGCTTTTGTGTGAACAAATATTTTCCATTTCTTTGGGTAAATACCAAGGAATGTGATTACTGGTTAGTATGGTAAGAGTATGTTTAGTTTTGTAAGAAACTGCCAAACTCTCTTCTAAAGAAGCTGTACCATTTTGCATTTCCGCCAGCAACAAATGAAAGCTCCACTCCAGCATTTGGTCACGACGGTATTCTGGATTTTCCTGGATGCTAACAGATGTACTGCTCCTTTGTTTTTTGATAAATGAGTACATGTATCTTCAGAGGAGAAGTGTGCTAGTTGCTTATAGCAAGAGTATAAATCAACAACATCTTCATGAAGCAACAGTTGTATAATTTTAAGACATTAAGATAGATTTATAGTAAATTGATCACGAATATTTTATAGAATATAATGAAAAAATTGATAGGTTTTAGATATAATTACAGATTCCAAAAGTATTGTTTGAAATGAGCCACTAACTCCATTATCCACTGAGGGCAATTTTATAAAAAAATATGAGACCAATAACAATAATAACAAAAACAAAAACTTGATACCTATAGGTGTATTTACATTTTGAAAAGCTATTAAATTCTATACTTTTAAATCTAAACTGCATTGCTCACTGATGTATCTATTTGTGTGTGATCAGCAGACAGGTTTAACACTTTTCGGTTTATATTTTTCTTCATATATATGATAATTCACTCAGTTGAGTGTTTCTAAGTGAACATCCATCATTTGTTAATATCTTATAAGGCCATGTAATCAGACAAGGCCTAATTCTTGAATCTGAATGCCTAAGATACGTGTTCTGGTGTGACCACAACTACACTTTCTAGGTATTTATTGAAAATGAGACTACCACATATCTGCATAAGAACCTTCAGGAGCATGCCATCAGGAAAAAAACAAAAAACAAAAACAAAACAAAACAAAAAAAAAACAGTGTGAGAACAGTGACCAGCAAACTAGACTCCAGGAATCCCCTGAAACAAGTTTTCATCTCAGCACTTAAGTCATTCTTTAAAATAATGTTATAAATTGCGCACTTGATTCTCTAGATTCTAATTATTCTAATTTTAAGCCATTAAACGCATAGGTAACCATGACACTTCCATAATCTTTTCTTTTTTTTTTTATTGTACTTTAAGTTTTATGGTACATGTGCACAATGTGCAGGTTTGTTACATATGTATCCATGTGCCATGTTGGTGTGCTGCACCCATTAACTCATCATTTAGCATTAGGTGTATCTCCTAATGCTGTCCCTCCCCCCTCCCCCCACCCCACAACAGTCCCCGGAGTGTGATGTTCCCCTTCCTGTGTCCATGCGTTCTCATTGTTCAATTCCCACCTATGAGTGAGAACATGTGGTGTTTGGTTTTTTGTCCTTGCGATAGTTTACTGAGAATGATGATTTCCAATTTCATCCATGTCCCTACAAAGGACATGAACTCACCATTTTTTATGGCTGCATAGTATTCCGTGGTGTATATGTGCCACATTTTCTTAATCCAGTCTATCGTTGTTGGACATTTGGGTTGGTTCCAAGTCTTTGCTATTGTGAATAGTACCACAATAAACATACGTGTGCATGTGTCTTTATAGCAGCATGATTTATAGTCCTTTGGGTATATACTCAGTAATGGGATGGCTGGGTCAAATGGTATTTCTAGTTCTAGATCCCTGAGGAATTGCCACACTGACTTCCACAATGGTTGAACTAGTTTACAGTCCCACCAGCAGTGTAAAAGTGTTCCTATTTCTCCACATCCTCTCCAGCACCTGTTGTTTCCTGACTTTTTAATGATGGCCATTCTAACTGGTGTGAGATGGTATCGCATTGTGGTTTTCATTTGCATTTCTCTGATGGCCAGTGATGACGAGCATTTTTTCATGTGTTTTTTGGCTGCACAAATGTCTTCTTTTGAGAAGTGTCTGTTCATGTCCTTCGCCCACTTTTTGATGGGGTTGTTTGTTTTTTTCTTGTAAATTTGTTTGAGTTCATTGTAGATTCTGGATATTAGCCCTTTGTCAGATGAGTAGGTTGCGAAAATTTTCTCCCATTTTGTAGGTTGCCTGTTCATTCTGATGGTAGTTTCTTTTGCTGTGCAGAAGCTCTTTAGTTTAATTAGATCCCGTTCGTCAATTTTGGCTTTTGTTGCCACTGCTTTTGGTGTTTTAGACATGAAGTCCTTGCCCATGCCTATGTCCTGAATGGTAATGCCTACGTTGTCTTCTAGGGTTTTTATGGTTTTAGGTCTAACATGTAAGTCTTTCATCCATCTTGAATTAATTTTTGTATAAGGTGTAAGGAAGGGATCCAGTTTCAGCTTTCTACATATGGCTAGCCAGTTTTCCCAGCGCCATTTATTAAATAGGGAATCGTTTCCCCATTTCTTGTTTTTGTCAGGTTTGTCAAAGATCAGATAGTTGTAGATATGCGGCATTATTTCTGAGAGCTCTGTTCTGTTCCATTGACCTATATCTCTGTTTTGGTACCAGTACCATGCTGTTTTGGTTACTGTAGCGTTGTAGTATAGTTTGAAGTCAGGTAGCGTGATGCCTCCAGATTTGTTCTTTTGGCTTAAGATTGACTTGGCGATGCAGGCTCTTTTTTGGTTCCATATGAACTTTAAAGTCGTTTTTTCCAATTCTGTGAAGAAAGTCATTGGTAGCTTGATGGGGATGGCATTGAATCTATAAATTACCTTGGGCAGTATGGCCATTTTCATGATATTGATTCTTCCAACCCAAGAGCATGGAATGTTCTTCCATTTGTTTGTATCCTCTTTTATTTCATTGAGCAGTGGTTTGTAGTTCTCCTTGAAGAAGTCCTTCATGTCCTTTGTAAGTTGGATTCCTAAGTATTTTATTCTCTTTGAAGCAATTGTGAATGGGAGTTCACTCCTGATTTGGCTCTCTGTTATTGGTGTATAACAATGCTTGTGATTTTTGTACATTGATTTTGTATCCTGAGACTTTGCTGAAGTTGCTTATCAGCTTAAGGAGATTTTGGGCTGAGACAATGGGGTTTTCTAGATATACAATCATGTCATCTGCAAACAGGGAAAATTTGACTTCCTCTTTTCCTAGTTGAATACCATTTATTTCCTTCTCCTGCCTAATTGCCCTGGCCAGAACTTCCAACACTATGTTGAATAGGAGTGGTGAGAGAGGGCATCCCTGTCTTGTGCCAGTTTTCACAGGGAATGCTTCCAGTTTTTGCCCATTCAGTATGATATTGGCTGTGGGTTTGTCATAGATAGCTCTTACTATTTTGAGATACGTCCCATCAATACCTAATTTATTGAGAGTTTTTAACATGAAGGGTTGTTGAATTTTGTCAAAGGCCTTTTCTGCATCTATTTAGATGATCATGTGGTTTTTGTCTTTGGTTCTGTTTATATGCTGGATTACATTTATTGATTTGTGTATGTTGAACCAGCCTTGCATCCCAGGGATGAAGCTCACTTGATCATGGTGGATAAGCTTTTTGATGTGCTGCTGGATTCGGTTTGCCAGTATTTTATTGAGGATTGTTGCATCGATGTTCATCAAGGATATTGGTCTAAAATTCTCTTTTTTGGTTGTGTCTCTGCCTGGCTTTGGTATCAGGATGATGCTGGCCTCATAAAATGAGTTAGGGAGGATTCCCTCTTTTTCTATAGATTGGAATAGTTTCAGAAGGAATAGTACCAGTTCCTCCTTGTACCTCTGGTAGAATTTGGCTGTGAATCCATCTGGTCCTGGACTCTTTTTGGTTGGTAAGCTATTGATTATTGCCACAATTTCAGCTCCTGTTATTGGTCTATTCAGAGATTCAACTTCTGCCTGGTTTAGTCTTGGAAGGGTGTATGTGTCGAGGAATTTATCCATTTCTTCTAGATTTTCTAGTTTATTTGCGTAGAGGTATTTGTAGTATTCTCCGATGGTAGTTTGTATTTCTGTGGGATCGGTGGTGATATCCCCTTTATCATTTTTTATTGCATCTATTTGATTCTTCTTTTCTTCTTTATTAGTCCTGCTAGCGGTCTATCAATTTGGTTGATCTTTTCAAAAAAAACCAGCTCCTGGATTCATTAATTTTTGGAAGGGTTTTTTGTGTCTCTATTTCCTTCAGTTCTGCTCTGATTTTAGTTATTTCTTGCCTTCTGCTAGGTTTTAAATGTGTTTGCTCTTGCTTTTCTAGTTCTTTTAATTGTGATGTTAGGGTGTCAATTTTGGATCTTTCCTGCTTTCTCTTGTGAGCATTTAGTGCTATAAATTTCCCTCTACACACTGCTTTGAATGTGTCCCAGAGATTCTGGTATGTTGTGTCTTTGTTCTCGTTGGTTTCAAAGAACATCTTTATTTCCACCTTCATTTCGTTATGTACCCAGTAGTCGTTCAGGAGCAGGTTGTTCTGTTTCCATGTAGTTGAGTGGTTTTGAGTGAGTTTCTTAATCCTGAGTTCTAGTTTGATTGCACTGTGGTCTGAGAGACAGTTTGTTGTAATTTCTGTTCTTTTACATTTGTTGAGGAGAGCTTTACTTCCAACTATGTGGTCAATCTTGGAATAGGTGTGGTGTGGTGCTGAAAAAAATGTATATTCTGTTGATTTGGGGTGGAGAGTTCTGTAGATGTCTATTAGGTCCACTTGGTGCAGAGCTGAGTTCAGTTCCTGGGTATCCTTGTTAACTTTCTATCTCGTTGATCTGTCTAATGTTGACAGTGGGGTGTTAAAGTCTCCCATTATTATTGTGTGGGAGTCTAAGTCTCTTTGTAGGTCACTCAGGACTTGCTTTATGAATCTGGATGCTCCTGTATTGGGTGCATACATATTTAGGATACTTAGCTCTTCTTTTTGAATTGATCCCTTTACCATTATGTAATGGCCTTCTTTGTCTCTTTTGAACTTTGTTGGTTTAAAGTCTGTTTTATCAGAGACTAGGATTGCAACTCCTGCCTTTTTTTGTTTTCTATTTGCTTGGTAGATCTTCCCGCATCCCTTTATTTTGAGCCTATGTGTGTCTCTGCATGTGAGATGGGTTTCCTGAATACAGCACACTGATGGGTCTTGACTCTTTATCCAATTTGCCAGTCTGTGTCTTTTAATTGGAGCATTTAGTCCATTTACATTTAAAGTTAATATTGTTATGTGTGAATTTGATCATGTCATTATGATGTTAGCTGGTTATTTTGCTCGTTAGTTGATGCAGTTTCTTCCTAGCCTCGATGGTCTTTACAATTTGGCATGATTTTACAGTGGCTGGTACCAGTTTTTCCTTTCCACGTTTAGTGCTTCCTTCAAGAGCTCTTTTAGGGCAGGCCTGGTAGTGACAAAATCTCTCAGCATTTGCTTGTCTGTAAAGGATTTTATTTCTCCTTCACTTATGAAGCTTAGTTTGGCTGGATATGAAATTCTGGGTTGAAAATTCTTGTCTTTAAGAATGTTGAATATTGGCCCCCACTCTCTTCTGGCTTGTAGAGTTTCTGCCTAGAGATCCGCTGTTAGTCTGATGGGCTTCACTTTGTGGGTAACCCGACCTTTCTCTCTGGCTGCCCTTAACATTTTTTTCTTCATTTCAACTTTGGTGAATCTGATAATTATGTGTCTTGGAGTTGCTCTTCTCGAGGAGTATCTTTGTGGCATTCTCTGTATTTCCTGAATCTGAATGTTGGCCTGCCTTGCTAGATTGGGGAAGTTCTCCTGGATAATATCCTGCAGAGTGTTTTCCAACTTGGTTCCATTCTCCCCATCACTTTCAGGTACACCAATCAGATGTAGATTTGGTCTTTTCACGTAGTCCCATATTTCTTGGAGGCTTTGCTCATTTCTTTTTATTCTTTTTTCTCTAAACTTCCCTTCTCGCTTCATTTCATTCATTTCATCTTCCATTGCTGATACCCTTTCTTCCAGTTGATTGCGTCGGCTCCTGAGGCTTCTGCATTCTTCACGAAGTTCTCGAGCCTTGGCTTTCAGCTCCATCAGCTCCTTTAAGCACTTCTCTGTATTGGTTATTTTAGTTATACATTCATCTAATTCTTTTTCAAAGTTTTTAACTTCTTTGCCTTTGGCTTGAATTTCCTCCTGTAGCTCGGAGTAGTTTGATCATCTGAAGCCTTCTTCTCTCAACTCATCAAAGTCATTCTCCATCCAGCTTTGTTCCACTGCTGGTGAGGAACTGCGTTCCTTTGGAGGAGGAGAGGCGCTCTGTTTTTTAGAGTTTCCAGTTTTTCTGCTCTGTTTTTTCCCCATCTTTGTGGTTTTATCTACTTTTGGTCTTTGATGATGGTGATGTACAGATGGGTTTTTGGTGTGGATGTCCTTTCTGTTTGTTAGTTTTCCTTCTAACAGACAGGACCCTCAGCTGCAGGTCTGTTGGAGTTTGCTAGAGGTCCACTCCAGACACTGTTTGCCTGGGTATCAGCAGTGGTGGCTGCAGAACAGCGGTTTTACTTGAACCACGAATGCTGCTGCCTGATCGTTCCTCTAGAAGTTTTGTCTCAGAGGAGTACCTGGCCGTGTGAGGTGTCAGTCTGCCCCTACTGGGGGGTGCCTCCCAGTTAGGCTGCTCGGGGGTCAGGGACCCACTTGAGGAGGCAGTCTGCCTGTTCTCAGATCTCCAGCTGCGTGCTGGGAGAACCACTACTCTCACACTTCCATAATCTTTTCAAAAATTACTGAAGGTGAAAGTTAAATCTGCCATTTTGTCTACTTTTTATATAATAACTATTCCAGAATATGACTGAAGAAATAAACTTTGTATCAAAAGATCTAAATTCAGATAGTAGCGTCCCAATCTATGAATGGGAGGATACTTAGAAGTTATCTAAACTCTCTATCAGTTTTCTTATCCATAAAATAAGAATAATGTGGTTTAATAAACCTTTTGCAAAAATTAACATACATGTTGATATATAAAAAGACTTTTTTTTTTTTTTGAGACAAGGTCTTGCTTTGTCTCCTAGGCTGGAGTGCAGTGGTGTAATCTGGCTCACTGCAGCCTCAAACTTCTGGACCCAACAATCCTGCCACCTCAGCCTAGTTGTCTTCTTCAGTAGCAGAGAAAGTTTAGTGGGCATTGCCTCTTCACTCATCGCTGACTAAAATGGAAACAACCAATTAAGAATAAAGTAATCCTTTTATGGAACATTTTCATTTTACTATGCAAACATCTGAATTTGAACACATGAAAATCAGTGATAGCCAAAACAGCTATAAAGGATGAAATTTAATGGGGGGAAGAAGCAACATGGTCCTTTAATTTGCAGCTCATTAAACTCACTGGTTGTGTAGTAGAATTCCACGTCTATTATTAGGTTAGTTTGGATTGTGTGTTGGGCACACAATGAAGCAGTCAGATGTATAGACTAGGGCAATAAACACAGGCAAAAGTTGAGAATATGACTTATTTTTCTCTGGGATTTCAAAATCTAATTGAGCAGAAAGACATGAAAAAGGCAGCTGATGTATATTTTCATATAAGAAGTAGTCAACTTAAACACAGGGTGTAATGAGAGAAGGCACTATCTAACACAAACTGGGAGTGAGGGGGGCAGTTGACTGAGTAAGTGGGGAGCATTCAGCAGAAAGTGGCTGCTTGCATAGTATGAGGAGACTTTATACCAAAACAAAGATGAAGGTCATCTAAAGAAAAGAATACAGTGGTAGAAGTGGAAAAGCTTATTGATACATACAATCCTAGATAAGAGTCCAATATGGCCCAAGAGGAGGTAAAATAATTAGTCTCCTCTACTCAGCTCTGCAGTGCTGTAGACTCTTCCAACTTCAGGTTTATTACTGTCGAAAAGAGAAGCAGAGGCTACCTAAGTGGGCCAGAACACCTACCACATAATGAGTTAGGCTGTAAAAATGGTATTATCACTAAAAATTTGACATCTACGAAGTTTTTATGTGTTCTCTATTCATAACATTTTTAGGGCATAAGGATAGACAAATGTCTTTCTAGAGATTACCTGGGATAAACACTAGTGTGGCAGGATTAGCAAATGCTCATATTCCAGGGCATCATGCTTCCACCCCATTTAAATAATCTGATTGTTTCATTACTCTTGAATCAGCTAGCTCTTGCAATTGCTAAGACTGATTGTAAAGGAGTTCAATCAACATGTCTTTTTCAAAAATAAAAGTAAAAATTTCATGTTTGGCCTGGCATGGTGGTTCATGCCTGTAATCCCGGCACTTTGGGAGGCTGAGGTGGGCGGATCACCTGAGGTCAGGAGTTCGTGACCAGCCTGGCCAACATGGAGAAACCCCATCTCCACTAAAAATACAAAAATTAGCTGGGCATGGTGGCACGTGCCTGTAATCCCAGGCTGAGGCAGGAAAATCGCTTGAACCTGGGAGGCGCAGGGTGCAGTGAGCCAAGATAGCACCATCGCACTCCAGCCTGGGGGACAAGAGCAAGACTTGCCTCAAAAAAGAAAAAAAAAAAAAAACCCGTCACGTGTTGTTGTTACAACATTAGGGCAAGCTTTCTATAGAAGAGTAATAAAAGGCCACTAAACAATTACCAAAATCCTGCTACTCAGAAATGAAACCAAAATACACACATTGTTATTATTTAGTGAACAGCATTCTTCATATTTCTCTGTGGAGACAGACATATGAATAGACATGTAAATAAACAGAGTAATAGATCAATTCATACAATCCCACAAATGAGATTCTGTACCACACTACGTTATTTTTACTTTTATAATATTTAATTTAATGAATATAATAAAGCAGAAGTAAAATTATAGCAAAAATTATTCTGGCACAAAAAAATTTAATTCTAAAATGTAGTTCTAAATTAAAAACAGCAAAAGCAACAAAAACAGAAGATAAAAATAAGAGTATTGTGTCATTTTTTCTACAATTCAACTTGAAATAGTGACTTCATATTCATATTTAATAGAAGAGGATATAATATTTGTACCTCTATTCTCCATATGGATCGATTTATTTTGTTATATTGTTAAGTTTACATTGCCAATGCTTTAAACAGTTATTCTCCTTTAACCATGATTGACAAAGATTTTGTTTCATTCTAATTTAATTTCAATATTTAAATAGAGGGTAATTTTCAGCATCATTCATTTCACTGAATCTTCACATTCTTGAGTCTGTTATTTTAATTTCTGTCTGGCTTGACGTGTTTTCAAGTCAAGAGTGAGAAGTAAAGCTCCTCGGTGTTTTCTTCCATTACACTTGCAAGAACACATGACTGGCTTCAGAATTCTAGGGTCACTTTCCTTTCTGTCAGAATTTAGCCGTCACTGCCTCACTGCCTTCCATCCAGCATGGAGCATTTCTGTGGAAAGTCTTCCACCCTAGAGGCCTCCATTTTGATCAGTTTTGGCTATTTATTCCAAAAATATACTGGACTTCAATTCTTCTTACTGATTTGTTTTCCTTTAGCAATTGTATTTCTTAATTTTCAAAAGCTTTTATGTATTTTATTTTTTGAATTTTTTTACTTGTTACAGCTTCCTCTACCTTTGAGATGTATAGGTGTTATAGATTTTCTCTCTCTGAACATAACTGCATATCATTTTTAAAAGTTTTTTCCCAGGCCTGTATTGTATCTTTTATTATAGATTTACTTGTAATTATTATTATTATTATTTTTACCTTGATCCCTGCCTTTCATGTTTGAGGTTACTGTCAAATCTCGGTTGTCTATTCATTTTTAAGATAGAGGAACTGTAAAACTTATTGGAGATGGTATTTGGGTGATGTTACATGTCTGCTTGTGAATTTCTCTATACTTATTACTACCAGTGTATGGATCTGAACAGAAGAAGTTATGAGAGTGATTTACAATTAATGTAAGTACAGTGAGATTTTACCCTTCTGTTTGGTAGACCTTATTCTCTTGTTTTGTGAATTGTGTCCCTACACCTGGCCCTTCTCTTGACATATTTCTCCAGAGAATAAATATCTAGGCTTATGCCTCATTCTAGAAAGAACAGGTACTGGACTCCGTGGGATGTAATTGGGAAATGGAAGCTCTTTGTTTCTTCTGTGAACTTTCACACCAGCCACCACCAACTACAGTAGTACTAGTGCTCATTCCTAAATTCATTTGTTCTGCAAAGTTGAATTGCTTGTTTCTTACTAGTTTCTGCAATTGTTTGAGGCTTTTTCACTCACAAGTTAGAGAATGAGACTTCAGCTAATTCTTTACTGTGTCTCCTTCTTGTTCTGTGTGTTTTTTGAAGGAGAAAGAAGTCAAAAGTTCTCTATCACCTTAAAGTCAAAAATTCATATTTTATTTGTTTTGCTCTTTTCTTCGGAAACATCAAATTTATAGTACATATTGCTTTTCTTGTCATTTCTCTCCATTTTGTAATTTGTGTATGCAGAATTCTAAGATGACCTCTAAGAGTTTCACCCCCTGGTGTGTATGTCCCATGTAATTCCAACATCAAGGATGAGCAGACCTGTGACTATGAGGGATAGTTACTCTCATGAGTATATAAAGCTACATAAGACTTCTTCCTAGCCCACTGGAGAGAGATGCTTCTGCTGGTTTTGAGTAAGCAGCCATGTTGTCACAGGGCGTGGCCAACAGCCTGCAACAACACAGAGACCTCAGTCTTACACCTGTAATGAACTGAACTTTGCCAGCAACTGGATGAGAACTACAGGAAGCCAGTGCCTTAATGGCAGAATGATGGGCTCCTTAGCAGAAGACCTACATAACTCAGGGCTGGGCTCTGGACCCACAGAAATAGTAATTTCCGTGTTGTTTTGTGTTGTCTTGTTTTAAGCAACTACGTATGTGGTGATGGGTTATGTAGCAATGGAAAACTACTACCACACTTGATGCTATATGTTATGGCAGGACCATCTTTCCAATGGAATGTACTATATGCTCTGAGGCAGCCTACTCATGTGACTTTAATTTCCGTAATGGTTATAATATTTTACTTTTGTTGTAAGCTTCTCAAATTTACTTTTTATTTTTTCAAATTGCATGGCTTTTTAAACCCTATATCTTTTTTTCCAACTTAAATTGTTGTAATAATATCATTCGTTTTCAATCATAAGGGAGTATTTGTATGAAATCTTCCTTCGTTTCTTGAGTGATTTCCTTTAGAATGTGTGCTCTTCATTAACCTATTGATTATCATCCTCTCCTCATCACCACCATCAATCACGCTTCTCTCTCCACCCCTTTCCCCAACTTTCACTCTCAGGATTTCAGAATATGTCTTCTCACTTCCTTCAGTCATTTGCCTATTTTTTTAAATTACTCTTTTATTTTAGATACAGGAGACACATGTGTAGGATTGTTACATGGGTATATTGGTCCCAAGTAGTGAGCATAGTACTCAGTAGGTAGTTTTTTAACCTGTGCCACTTTCCTCCCTTTTCTGTCTAGTTGTGTGCAGTATCTATTGTTCCCATGTTAATTTTCATGTGTGCTTAATGTTTAGCTCCAACATATACATGGGAATATGTGGAGTTTTGCTTTTTGTTCCTGTATTAATTTGCTTAGGACTATGGCCTCCAGGTCCATCTATGTTGCTGCATGGGACATGATTTCATTATACTTTATGCTGCATGGTATTCCATGATGTATATGTATCACATTTTCTTTATGCAATTCATTGTTGATGGGCACCTAGGTTAATCCATGTCTTTGCTATTGTGAATAGAGCTGTGATGCACATCTATATGCATGTGTCTTTTGGTAGAATGATCTATGTTCCTTTGAGTACATACCAAGAAATAGGATGACTGGGTTCAATGGTAGCCTTGTTTTAAGTTCTTTGAGAAATCTCCAGACTGCCTTTTACAGTGGCTGAACTAATTTACATTCCTACAAACTACAAATGAGGATTCCCTTTACCATCTGTTGTTTTTTGACTCTTTAATAATAGTCATTCTGACTGGTGTAAGATGGTACCTCATTGTGGTTTTGATTTGCATTTCTCTGATGATTAGCGATGATGAGCGTTTTTTTCATGCTTGTTGACCATTTATATGTCTTCTATTGAGGAGTGCCTGTCCATGTCCTTTGTCCATTTTTTAATGGAGTTATTTGCTTTTAATCTGTTGATTTAAGTAGATTATGAATATTAGACCTTTGTTGGATGCTGATATGGTTTTGCTCTGTGACACTCGCAAATCTCATCTCAAAATGTAATCCCCACATGTCCCAGGAGGGACCTGGTGGAAGGTGATTGGATTATGGGGGCAGTTTCCCCCATGATGTTCTCATGACAGTGGGTGAATTCTCACAACAGCTGATGGTTTTAAAGTGTGGCACTTCCTTGTTTTCTTGCTCTCTGTCTCCTACCACCAGGTAAGAAGTGCCTTCTTCCCCTTGACCTTTTGCCATAACTGTAAGTTTCCTGAGTCCTATCCAGCCATGGGGAACTGGGAGTCAATTAAACCTCATCTTTTTTTTTTTTAAATAAATTACTCAGTCTCAAGTAATGCTTTATAAGCAGTGTAAAAACAGACTAATACAGATACATAGTTAATGAATATTTTCTCCCATTCCATAGGTTGTCTGCTTATTCTGTTGCTGTGCAGAAGCTGTTTAGTTTAATTAGGTATCACTTGTCAATTTTTGTTTTTGTTGCAATTGCTTGGGGACTTAGCCAAAAATTATTTGCCAAGGCCAGTGTTGACATAAGTATTTCCTAGGTTTTACTCTAGTGCTTTTATAGTTTGAGATCTTACATTTAAATATTTAATCCATCTTGAGTAAATATTTGTATTAGTGAAAGATAAGAATTTGGTTTCATTTTTCTGCTTATGGCAAGCCAGTTAACCTGAAACATTTATCAAATGGCAAATCCTTTCCCTATTGCTTGTTTTCATTGACCTTGTCGAAAATCAGATGGTTGTAAGTGAGCAGCTTTATATTTTAGCTTTCTATTCTGTTCCATTAGTCTATGTGTCTGTTTTTGTATCAGTACTATGCTGTTTTTTCACTGTAGCCTTATTGTTTGAAGTTGATAGTGTAAGGCCTCCAGCTTTGTTCTTTTTGCTTAGGTTTGCATTGGCTATTTGGGCTCTTTTTTGGTTCCACATAAATTTTAGAATAGTTTTTCTAATTCTATGATAGGTTGATAGGAATAGCATTGCATCTGTAAATTGCTTTGGGCAGTATGGCCATTTCAGTGATATTGATTTTTCATTTCTATGAAACATTAAAACATTCCATGAGTATGGAATGTTTTCCCACTTATTTATGTCACCTGATTTCTTTCAGCATTGTTTTCTAGTTCTCCTTGTAGAGATTTTTCACCTTCTTGGTTACCTGTACTCTCAGCTGTTTCATTTTCTTTGTGGTTATTGTAAATGTGATTGTGTTCTTAATATGACTCTCAGCCTGGATGTTATTGGCACATATAAATGGTACTGATGTTTTCTACATTGATTTTGTATCATGGAACTTTGCTAAAATCATTTATTAGTTCCAGTAGCCTTTCTCCTGCTTGATTGCTCTGGCTCTGACTTCCACTACTACGTTGAATATGAAATGGTCAGAGTGCTTGCCTTTTTTTCAGTTCTCCAGGGGAATGTTTCCAGCTTTTGCCCATTCAGTATAATGTTGGCTCTGGGTTTGCTATAGACGACTCTTATTATTTTGAGTCATATTATTTTGATGTCTAGTTTGTTGAGGGTTTTTATCATGAAGTGATGTTGAATTTTATTGAAGTTTTTCTGCATTTTTTGAGATGATCAGATAGTTTTTGTGTTTCAATCTGCTTATGTGGCGAATCATATTTATTGATTTGCATATGTTGATCCAACCTTGCATCCCAGGAATAAAGCCTACTTTATCGTGGTGAATTAACTGTTTTATATGCTGCTGGATTCAGTTTATCAATATTTTGTTGAGAATTTTTTGTCTGTGTTCATCATGGACATTGGCCTCAAGTTTTCTTTCTTCATTGTGTTTCTGCCAGAGATTGAGTTTGAAAGGATTCCCTCCTTTTTTTGTAATAGCTTCAGTAGAATTGGTACCAGTTTTTCTTTGTATATCTGGTAGAATTTGACTGTGAATCCATCTGGTCTAGGACTTTTTTGGTTGGTGGTAGTTTTTTTTTATTACATATGATTCAATTTCAGAGTGAGATATTTCACTATTCAATGCTTCAATCTTTTCCTGATTCAATTAGAGACTGTGTGTTTCTAAGAATTTATCAATTTCATCTACAGATTTTCTAATTTGTATGCATAGAGTTGTTCATGGTATTCTATGGGAAACTTTTGTAATTCTGTGGGATCAGTTATATTATCTTTGTTATTTCTGACTATACTTATCTTCTCTTTTTTTCATTGTAAATCTAGCTGTTAAATAGCAGTCTATCCATCTTGTTCATCTTTTCAAAGAACAAACTCTTGCTTTTTTATTATTTTTTCTATGGATTTTTCTATCTCAATTTCAGTAAGTTCTCTAATTTTAGTTATTTTTTTCTTCTGCTAGCTTTTTCTTTTCTAGTTCCTTTAGGTGCAAAGTTAGATTGCTAAATTGAGATCTTTCTAACTTCTCGATTACTGCATTTAGGGAAATAAACTTTCCTCTTAACACTGCTTTGGCTGCATCTCAAAGATTTTGGTAAGTCATATTCCTGTTTTCAATATTTCAAAGAATTTTTCTTAAATCTACCTGTATTTTGATGTTCACCTAAGAGTTATTCAGGAGTAAGTTGTTTAATTTCCCTATATTTGTGTAGTTTTGAGAGGTCTTCTTGATTTTGATTTCTATTTTTATTTCACTGTGGTCCAAGAGTTTGCTTGGTATAATTTCAATTTTTTGAATTTATTGAGACTTGCTTTATGATTAAGCACGTGGTTGATCTTAGAATATGTTCCATGTGCAGATGGGAAGAATATATATTCTGTGGATATTACCTGGGGTATTTTGTAGATGTCTATTAGGTCCAATTGTTAAAGTGTTGAGTTTATGTCCAGAGTTTGTTAGTTTTCTTCCTTAATGATCTGTTTAGTGCTGTCAGTGGGGTGGTGAAGTCTCCTGCTGTTATTGTTTGGTTGTCTAAGTGTTTTCATGGGCAATGAAGAACTTGTTTTATGAATCTGGGTGCTCCAATATTGAGTGTATATATATTTAGTACAGTTAAGGTTTCTTGTTTGATTGTACCCTTTATCATTATGTAATGCCCTTCATTGTTCTTAATTTTTATTGGTTTAAAGTCTATTTTATATAAGAATAGCAACTTCTGCTCTTTTTTGCTTTCTGTTCACATGGTAGCTCTTTCTCCATTCTTTTGCTGTGAGCCTGTGGTTGTTCTTAATGTGAAATAGGTCTCTTGAAGATAACAGATGGTTGGGTCATTTATCCAGCCTGCCACTCTGTGTCTCTTAAGTGGAGCATTTAGCCCATTTACATTCAAGGTTAGTATTGGTATCTGTGATTTTAATTCTGTCATCATGTTGCTAGCTGATTGTTATGTAGACTTGATTATGTGGTTGCTTTATGGCGCCTGTGTGCTATGTGGTTAAATGAGCTTTTGTGGTATGACTGTCATTCTTTCTTTTCCATGTTTAGCACTCCCTTAAGGACCTCTTGTATGGCTAGTCTAGTTGAAACATATTCCCTTAGCATTTGCTTCACTTCACTTTTAAGCTTAGTTTGGTGGGATATGAAATTATTGGTTAAAATTTATTTTCTTTAAGGATGCTGAAAATAAGCTACCAATCTCTTCTGACTTGTAAGATACCTGCTGAGAGGTCTGCTGCTAGCCTGATGAAGTTCCTTGTATGTGACTTTACCCTGCCTTTAAGACTTTTTTCTTTAGTGTTGACCTTGATGAATATTGTACTATGTGCCTTGGAGGTAGTCATTTCATGTCATATCTATCTGGGGTTCTGCGTGTTTCTTGGATTTGTATGTAAATCTCCCTAAAGAGATAAGAGGAATTTTCATGAACTGTATCTTCAAATATATTTTCCAAGTTGCGTATTCTCTCTCCTCTCTCAGGAATGACAATGAGTCATAGATTTTTTCGCTTTACAAAATCCCATATTCTTGGAGGTTTCACTTTTTTTTCCCATTTTTTTCCTTATTTTTGTCTGAGTTGACTTAAAGAACAAGTCTTCAAGTTTTGAGATTATTTCCTCAGCTTGGTCTATTCTGCTGCTAATACTACTGATTATTTGATAAAATTCTGATAGTGAGTTTTTCAGCTCTAGAATTTAAGTTTGGTTATTTCTGAAAATGGCTATTTTATCATTCAGCTCTTGGATTGCTTTACTAAATTATTTGAATTCCTTGCACTGAATTTCACTTTCTCCTGAATCTCAATGGGTTTCCTGGCCACAGATTCTGCATTCTGTGTCTGTTATGTCAGTCATTTCAGACTGGTTAGAAACCATTACGGGGAGCTAGTGGATCATTTGGAAGTGAGGGTACACTCTGACTTTTTGGATTGCCAGAGTTCTTGTGCTAATTCTTTCTCATCTGGGAGGGTTGGCATTTCTTTAACTGTGGTGTAAGTTGAGAATAGTCAGTTGGCTTAATTTCTGAATGCTTTTAGAGGCCCAGGGCTCTTACAGAATCTTTATGTGTGGGTAAATTTTTGACTTGGTTTCACAGCTGTATATATTAGCAGAATAAAATTTAGGTGTTGTAGTTTGGGTGGCAATCCAGTGAATGAGGTTTAACAGTAATGACTGGTAGCTAGGTTAATACCTGGTCACAGGGCTTTTTTGTACTTCTTGAGTTCACAGATATGCTCTGCAGTGATATGGAGTGATACGGTTCCCTCAACAGATCTGCTTGTAAAACTTGAGAGAGCTCCCTCTGATAGCTGGTGCTGTGCCCACATTTCTTTTGTTAGTTTTTCTGAGCCACATGGTCTTCTTGGGCAGAAGCTGTGGCAGGGAGATATGCCACATGCTTTTTGGACTGGACCTGAGAAGGGAGGCATGTTCCACTCTTACCCCAGCTCAGGAATCCGTGCATCTCACCCCTCTCACGGCTCTGAGATTGGGGGCTCTTTCTCTGTTTGAGTGCCAGCCACAAATCTTGGTTCCATACTCCCAAGCTGCACACTACAGCCCTGGGGACACTGGGATATCCCATGGCTTGGGTTTGGGTTCTTGCTCCACTGGGGGATACAGTGTGCTCCAGGGTCATGAAGAAAATATGTGGGTGCAACTACACACTCAGGCTGACCTTCCAGGGCTGCACTATGCACCTGCTCCTACAGGGCAGCTAGGCATGGACCCTGGGAAGGGCTGGTAGGCAGAAGGGCTTGCAGAGTAGATGCACCCCAGTCGTGCAGGAAAGCTGGCCCAACTCTCTCCTGGCTTGGAGGTCAGTAGGGGTCCATGCCTCCCAGAGGAGAATGGAAATCCCTGGGGAATGGGCATCTATGGCTGCTCTTGCCTGCAGCAGTCCAGCACACAAAAGCTCCTGGGCTCTGTGCTGTCCAAAGTCTGTCTCTGCCTGCTCCCCAGGGAGATCCCCCTGCCAGCTCACACATCCATGGTCGCGTAAGGTCCCTTGTAGCTAGAAAATCAAATGCTCATGGCAAGAGTGAACCATCCCTCAGTTCCTTCATTCAGTCCTTTACTGGAATTGTTTGGGGCCAGGAATTAGCCCTGGCATTTGGGTAGCTAACTCAGGGTTTCCAGCTTCCTGCCTCTTCAGTCTTGGCTTCGACCTTGCCTCTCCATCCACTTTCAGCATTTTCTCCTTGAATACCTGTTCAAATTATGGTGGTTTACCTAATAATTTGGCCTCTCTTGAGAGGAGTGGCACTTCCTGGCTGTGTCTAGTCGGCCATCTTGTTCGTCTCCTCTATCTTAAAATGGAGTCAACCAATCCACTACAAATAATGTGATTTGAGGAAGTCCAAAGCTCTAATTCAGGTTTTTATTTGTTTGTTTTGTATGCTTTCTGGGTTTTTTCTTGTTGTTAAAAACTATCTCAACAATTTTATTCTCTCCAATAAATGTACATCTCATCTAAATTTTGGTATTGAGCTTTTTTATACATCCTATTTCCAACCAAAAAGACTTGTTTTTAAATAAATGCAACTTAATCATCCTATTTCTATTATTTAGATACTATCATTCCTTCTATCTGGAGGTCTCTGTAATGGCTGTATTAACAGTACTCAAAAGTAATGTGGATAATAATTGTGGATTTTGTTCTTGTTTTTAAATCTGTCTTTAATCATTTCATGTAAAGTTGTAAGCCTTTGAAGCATTTGAGAATTTCATACAAAACATTTCTGAAAGATAAATTTTCTCATATTTTCTTGGACACGCTGATTGATCATTTTAGTTAGTCTCTGAAGAAATCCATGAAAAAGTACTTGTTACTATTTTTACCCACAGCAGCATAATTTGAGTTAAATAGGCTTATAAACAAATTTGTATAACCATGATGAAAAATCATCTTCCCAATAGTATAGCTAAACTAATAAAGTAACTGTGGTAGGGATGAGCAATTATAGTCCAAGCAATGTAAACTCAATTCATACGTGGAAAACCACAGGGGCAAGGGGAATACAGTATATAGACAGTGTCAGACAGTATATAGACAGGAGGCAGAACCCAGAGCCAATACAATGTAACGTCCAAAGAATCCAGAATGAAATAAAAATTCTCATATGTGAAGGACAACAACCAATAACTGACTATAATCAAGGGAAAAAAACTGCAAAGAGCAGCAGACCAACAGGTGGGCAGATGTTAGAATTAGAAAACAAGAAATTCAACATAACTATCAGAAATATGTTTTAAAATGTACAGCAAAAGATAGATTTGGCCAGGCACGGTGGCTCACACCTGTAATCCCAGCACTTTGGGAGGCTGAGGCGGGCAGATCATGAGGTCAGGAGTTCGAGACCAGCCTGGCCAACATGGTAAAACCCCATCTCTACTAAATATACAAAAATTAGCCAGGCATGGTGGCAGGCACCTGTAGTCCTAGCTACTCGGGAGGCTGAGGCAGGAGAATCACCTGAACCCAGGAGTCAGAGGTTGCAGTGAGCTGAGATCACGCCACTGCACTCCAGCCTGGTGACAGAGCAAGACTCCATCAAAAAAAAAAAAAAAAAAAAAAAAGATAGACTTAAAGGATGAAGAAAGGAACTGTCAGAAGAGATATAAAACTATTAAATGAGAGCCAAATGGAAATAAGAGATGTGAGAAATATAAAATAAAGTATGTCTTGGATGGATATAACAACAGATTAGGCCCAACAAAGCAAAGCATCTTGACCTTTCAAACAGATCAAGACAAACTAACCAAGCTACTAACAAGGAGAAGAAAGACTTTCTATTAAAGTCATAAAAGGAAACTCACTAACCGTGTAACAGATGTATAATAGTATTTCCAGAAAAGAACAAAAAGAGCAAGACGGGGAAAAAAACAGCAGTCAAAAGTTTCCAAATTTGGTAGGGGAACAAAAATCAAGCCAAAGATGCAAGCAGCTTAAATAAATTTCAAGGAGGATGGTGGGGTGGGCGGGGTGGGCCACCATTGCATACATGAGCCCAGCTTAGGGAAACTGCAGAAAACCAAAGATAACACAAAATACGAAAAGCAACCAGAGAAAACAGACATTTCATACAAAAGAAGAGATAAGAACAACGACTCTCCATCGGAATCCATGGAGACAAAACAGCGGAAGGTCTTTTTTTGTACAACAGTCCTTCTCAGTTCCTGAAGAACAACTCTACACGGCCTTCTAGGTGTTCACACTCGGCATCTCCCAGCATGACTGCAGGGAGCACGTGCACCGCCCCACGTGCTCTCAAGTTGCTCAGCGTCTTTTGATCTCTGCCAGGGAGACTGGAAACACAACCAGGCCCTTTAAAATGAACCTTCACCTCAGAGGTTCCCAGACCTGAGAAGAAGCTGGAGTTCAGAAGAGCTCACGGCCAACCTCCTCCCTTCCTGCCCACACCCGTTTCTTGCTTTCTCCCTTTGCACCCCCACCATCTTTCCAGCTCGTTCTAGGACTGGGGGAGGCCTCCCACCTGTCCAAGGCAGTGGCTGCCTCATCTGGACCCTTGCTCCCAGAAGGGCCCTGCTATCTGAGGGTTTCTGTTAGGGTAATTTCTGACTGCCAAACTGAGTACTGATAGTTTTATTTTTGTCTCTGATATTTTGTCCAGATTTTTAATGTATTACACAGCAAGAAAGATTTTGGAATGAACATCTCTAATCCTCTATGTTGCCAGCCATGAAAGCTCCCATCCCTCTTACACTCAATCACGTCGCCTCCTCTATGCGAACGTCCCGTAGCCCTGACCCTGTGCCTCGCTGCTGCCCTCACCTGCTCCACAGCATGGAGAGAGCGGAGAGGCTGGCGGCACCAGAGCACCCCCAAGAGGCTCCTGAGTGAATGAAACAGACAAACGGCTGCCAGAGTCCTGACGAGCCTCTTTGAATAATTCTACTTCCTGGAAAAAGATCCCTTCATGAAGATGTGAGCGTTTAACCCATGCTGCATCTAGTTAATATTTTTTCACAATTTACACAAACCCAAAATAAGGTTAAACTTCAACCCTCTCAGTCTTTAGTATTATAATGTTCTGCAGACTATGCACAAACATGGTTAAACCCCAATGAATCATTAGAATTATTTGCGCACTATCATTTAACATTCAGAATAGATCCTTAAGAAAATATACATCTAGAAAAAAAGTGTTCACAATTTAGTGCTGTGGATTAAAAACTGTCAAGGCTGCATGGCTGTACCTCAAGTTCCTGTTTATCAAATATGGCCTTCACAGGAGACGGCTGGGTGGCCGAGGCCAGCAGCTGCTGCAAGAGGATCATGGGGGGCTGCGGCCCTTCAGGAGACATGTCCCCAAGGTCAGGTGATACCACTGCTCCATCATCTGAATTTAAAAACAAAATATGTGTAAGATTCTATTTTCAACTGCGAACACCACTTTACTATTAAAGAAAATGCATTAAGCATGTTAAATCAGGTATGACTTCTGCCTCATTATGTGATAGAAAACCAAAATCTTCAAGGTTCAGACATCGAACAAAAACTAGACTCTAGGTTGGGTGCGGTGGCTCACGCGTGTAATCCCTGCACTTTGGGAGGCCAAGGCGGGTGGATCACGAGGTCAGGAGATCGAGACCATCCTGGCTAACACAGTGAAACCTCATCTTTATTAAAAACACAAAAAAATCAGCCGGGCATGGTGGTGGGCACCTGTAGTCCCAGCTACTTGGGAGGCTGACACAGAAGAATGGCATGAACCTGGGAGGCGTAGCTTGCAGTGAGCCGAGATCACGCCACTGCACTCCAGCCTGGGCGACAGACCAAGACTCGGTCTCAAAAAAAAAAAAAAAAAAAAAATTAGCTGGGCATGGTGGTGCGTGCCTGTAATCCCAGCTACTCGCAAGGCTAAGGCAGGAGAATTGCTTGAACCAGGGAGTTGGAGGTTGCAGTGAGCCAAGATCACGCCACTGCACTCCAGCCTGGCAACAGAGCGAGACTCCATCTCAAAAAAAAAAAAAAAAAGGAACTAGACTCTAAACCACTTTCACTGCCTGCTTTTGGTCTCTGTCCTTCATTAGTGCATCTGTCTCTTAGAGCCAGCAAATGCTCCTTCCCAGATTTCTGCACTTGGTCTGATTCTTTCTCTTTTTCTTGAGATGGAGTCTCACTCTGTTGCCCAGGCTGGAGTGCAGTGGCACAATCTTGGCAAACTGCAACCTCTGCCTCCTGGCTCAAGTGATTCTCCTGCATCAGCCTTCCCTGTAGCTGGGACTACAGGCACATGCTACCACGCCTAGCTAATTTTTGTATTTTTAGTATAGATGGGGCCAGGCTGTTGATTAGATTTCACCATGTTGGCCAGGCTGGTCTCCAACTCCTGATCCACCCGCCTCGGCATCCCAAAGTGTTGGGATTACAGGCGTAAGCCACCATGCCTGACCTACACACTCTCTTTCATGTTCACTCACGGCTTCAGTAACCCCTGACACAGACACATCCCACGTGCATATTTCTAGCTGTAGCTTTTCCAGCTAAGCCTTGTTGAGATCATTAAGTGACCCCAATTCCAAATGTGTCATGTGCTCAGGGTGATGGCTTTTTGTCTGTTATGAGTAGCTTTAGGTGCAGCCTTTAGGACTCTGTTTGACACAGCCCCAGGGAGATCCACTGCGCTCAAGCCCACTTCACACATCTAGGTACTCATCCAGGTACTCACAGCATTTGCATGTGCTGGTTTTCTTCAGTGACAATTTCAACTAACTAGACCAGGAGCTGGAAATCTTTCTCTTAAAGGGCCAGAGAGTAAATAGTTTAGGCTGATGGGCTGTACAGTCTCTGTCCCAACTACTCAGCTCTGCCATTGCAGAGCAAAAGCATCCAGAGACGATGTGTAAACAAGTGGTGTGCCTGTGTTCCCATAAAAATTTACAAAAACAGGTGCACGGCAGTTTTGTCAATCTAGCTCTGTTCGGAGTCCCTGCTCGGCCCAAAGCACAGACTTGATCATCCTGATTCAGGTCTGCTGTAATTGCTCATCGGGCTGAGTGCAGAACAGAACAGCCAATCCAATTCCCAGGCTCCAATCTCCCAATCTCTACAACTGGGAAATCTTCATGTTCCCTACGACCTCTACTATTAATTGATTCTATACTTTCAATTGATTTCTTTCATCCTCAGCAGGTTTAAAATTAATTTCATAGCATCCTCTCCTCTTAAGAAGCAAACGCACACACTCCACATTCTACTGGACTTATTTGTTTCAAACACACTACTCAATATTCCTCCCTCAACTCAAGCTTGAAACAGCAGTCACCTTCCACTTTTTGCTGGTTCCCCATAAAGTTATCATCTACAAGACTACACCATCACAGTGGATGGCACCTTCCTTCCACCAGAACCTTCTTTCCCTTTTCATGCCTTCCCCCTCATCACCTGACGCAGGAGCAATTCTCCATCTCTGTCATCTCCTGTTTCAGATACTCCTATACCTTCCTAGCAGGTGTATCACCCGAAGGTCAATGCTTACCATGTGGCCCCTACCACAGCTTTCCAAGTGGGCCTCAAGTTTCACCCTGGTCTCCCAGGTACTCTGTAACAGGATGTCAGCTGCCCATCTAGCTTCAGCCCCACCACTCATTGAAAAACCCTGAGCTCCAAGAAGAGGAGAGCTGCTCAACGTGCTTCCAAAGACTCACCACGTTCACTCCTCTCCTCCTGCCTCCACCACCAGCAGAGTGCTTGTCTGCTGGCATCTGTCTGCCACAGCCTTCAAAGGCTGCCCGTCCAGTGCTCAGCTGCCACTGGCTCCAGACGCCTGTGGAACCACTCACATGCCTCACCGCCCCCTGGCCCCAGAGAACAAAGAGAGCCATCTGCATTCACTTCCTCTCCTCATCCAAACCCTAGAGAGCAATGATCATAGAAAAGGACTTCTCCGCAAAAGACTTAGCATAATGTCTTTCAATAGTTGGAGATCAAAAAATGTTTTTTTCTATTAAAAGTAACACAAGCTCATTCTAGAAAACTAAATATAGAGAAATATAAAGAAAATAAAGACAGCCAAAATTCCACCAAAGATTACTGGGTCACTGTTTTGCTAAACAGATAACTATGGCATATCTATAAACGGATATACATAGCAGTGTGCTTTTCTGTTCACTTATTGTTTTCATGTTTCCACAGCAATAAACATATACAGCTAGCCCTCCGTATCCATGGGTTCTGCATCCAAAGATTCAACAAACCACACATCAAAAATATTCAGAATAAAACAATTTTTTAAAATATAATTTTAAAAAGAATAGCAATAACAACTATTTACATATCATTTATTTTATTTTATTTTTATTTATTTATTTATTTTTTTGAGACAGAGTCTCGCTCTGTCACCCAGGCTGGAGTGCAGTGGCACGATCTTGGCTCACTGCAAGCTCCGCCTCCTGGGTTCATGCCATTCTCCTGCCTCAGCCTCCCAAGTAGCTGGGACTACTGGCACCCGTCACCACGCCCAGCTAATTTTTTCTATTTTTAGTAGAGATGGAGTTTCACCGTGTTAGCCAGGATGGTCTCAATCTCCTGACCTCGTGATCTGCCCACCTCAGCCTCCCAAAGTGCTGGGATTACAGGCGTGAGCCACCGCACCCAGCCTATATATCATTTATATTTTTAAAGTATTTCGGAGGATGTGCATAGGTTATATGCAAATACTACACCATTTTATAGAAGGGCCTTAAGCATTAGTGAATTCTGGTATAACTGGGGGTCTTGGAACTCATCCCCATGGATATTGAGGGAAGACTATACATGTACCATCATTTTGAATGGCACCATGATATCACACTGTACGGATACACAACATAAGAATGGGTATTTTGGTGTCTACAGTTTTTCAATACAAAAACAATACCAAAAAGGAGGCCATAACGACACTGTTGAATACATTATTTTTATTTATTATTTTTTTTGAGACGAAGTCTCACTCTGTCACCCAGGCTGGAGTGCAGTGGCACAATCTGCACCCTGCAATCCGCACACACGGCAACCTCCGCACCCCCCGGTTCAAGTGATTCTCCTGCCTCAGCCTCCCAAGTAGCTGGCATTACATGCAGCCACCACTATGCCCCGCCAATTTTTTTTTTTTTTTTTTTGAGACAGAGTCTTGCTCTGTTGCCCAGGCTGGAGTGCAGTGGCGCCATCTCGGCTCACTGCAAGCTCCGCCTCACAGATTCATGCCATTCTCCTGCCTCACCCTCCCAAGTAGCTAGAACTGCAGGTGTCTGCCACCTTGCCCAGCTAATGTTTTGTATTTTTAGCAGAGATGGGGTTTCACCGTGTTAGCCAGGATGGTCTCTATCTCCTGACCTCGTGATCCGCCCGCCTCGGCCTCCCAAAGTGCTGGGATTACAGGCATGAGCCACTGTGCCCAGGTGGTGAATACATTATCTTTACATGCCTTTTCGTGTGATAAAGTCCCACAGAATGACTCGCTGGGCCAAAGTATATAAATACATACATACATCTATGCATTTCAAAGTCCAACTCATTTCCTCAGACGCCCATTAGATGGCTACACCAACTGAAATTCCCAGCAGCAGCGTGTTCATGGAGTGCGGCTTTACGCGCATTTGAAGAACCAGCTTAGGTTCATCTTGTTACAATACAGGCTCTATTTCTTTGGTCTGGGGTGCGGCCTGGGAGTCTGCATTTCTAACACATACCTGCGTGCCACCAATCTTGCTGACCCATGCAGCAAACTTTAAATGGGAAGGCATGAAAATACCTTTTTCCCTCCCCACCCACCAGATGCCCTCAGTCTTGTCTTATAAGATGACGATGACAATTTTATTCACAGTTGGTGGTTGCTGGGCAGGCCACGTGTCTGTTTTGTACATTTATAAGCCACCTATGTCCATTTTTATGAACTGATTATTCACTTCCTTTGTCTACTTTCTACTGCCCTTCTTATAAAGATTTAAGAACTTTTTAAAAAGACACCTGTGTGAACAGTTCCAGTCTCCTGAACAGCTGGCTGAGACAGGATCTGCCGCAGTTTATCCTGGTGGGAGAACAGCGCCCGACCTGCTTTCAGGATGTATAGCTTCAACTGCTGGCACCGCAGCAGGTCCAGGTCCACTTGTCCTGCGGAAGGAAAGACTCAGTGAGAAGGGCGTGCCCTGCTCAGACTCCCTCCTCGCCAGCAGCAAGCCTCCGCCACATGGCGACGAGTAACGCTCTGCCCTTCAGGAATCTGCCGACCGCACACACTGTCCGTGACGAAGGGCTTGCCTTTCCCAGAGTTACACTCGGTGCTTCTGGGTAAGCATCTTCTGCCTCCTGGGTCTTCCTTCCCTGCTCTCCAGGCACCTAACTTGATAGGACGCAGGATTCAATGGGTTTAACACGGTTAGAACCATGTTAGCTACTATTAATATGATCAAATGTTCCCCAAGTTGCTGAAGTTTCAGCCGCTTCCACTCTTCTTCTAAGACTCCTCTGAGAGAATCTGTCAGCCCCACTAGCTCTTTAACTGATGAAGATCGCAGCAATGCCCAAGGCTTATCTGATAGCAGAGGCCGCAGAAGCAGCACAGAGAGCATGGGGTGGGAAGGAAGGAGGGCCGCAGGTGCCGCTCGGACACTGGCTCAACTAACTGGCAGACAGTTTTATTCACCACGATGGGAAACGGCAGCTACTAGAGAAAGCCAGCCAGCTGAATTTCGGACATATGATGATTTGCATGCACTGCACCTCCAACCAGAGATGTGAATGGGAGATCCAGAGTTGAAAGTGCTTACATCATATATGCTGAAGCAGCAATCGTAGGTCTGTGGGAGCAAGAGGGGAGAAAACTCAAGAAGACTGGGCAGAATATGCCATAGTTATGGGTGAAGCCACACAGACTTCCAGGACATAAAGAATGAGCAGAGAGAAGAGCTCCCTAGAAACATGGAAACAAACTCAGGAGAGCCGCATTCTAGACCTGAAGGAAGGCAAAGCCAAGCCAGGCTACAGTCACAGTCTTAGCCATCCTGAATGTTACAGGCAAGCCAGGCGCTTCCGGGACAGAGGCCCCTGGATCCGGCAGAGAACAGGCTGTGAGCCATGGTCCAACAGGGTGACGGGGCCACAGGGCCCTGGGATGGAGGGGAGGAGGGAAGAGGTGAACAGACTTCTCTTCCGGGATAAAGGGTGACACGGAGAAGAGGGTGTGAGCCATGGGGTTCTTCAAGTGTGGCTCCGAACATGGCGACAAAGGCTGACTCGAAAATACTCATTACCACGAACACAGGGTTACATTCCCAACCGCAACTCAACAAATGGTGAGCCCACGTGAACCCCAGGACTTTAGTACGTCCGTGAATTCACTCATAAAAGAACACTGTACAAACGACACGAGTTTAAGACGGCAGCTATTTCATCAAGAAGCGCCATGTACTGACCTGCAAAGGCCTGTTTAGTCGATTTCTTTATTTTGTGCTTTTCTAACTTGCTTCCAGCGAGGTTCACCAACTGAGCCCAGACAGACAGCATGGGCTCTGTGAAGGGCAGGTTGTTCACATTAAAGGCCACGGCAGGGAGCTGGAGAGGACACAGAAGCTGTCAGAGTGTGGCCAATATGACTAACAAATGAAACGTTCTGAAAGTCATCAAAACCATGGGCTTAATCCTGAAATGCCACACATACCCGTAAGCCTTTTTATAGCTGAGAATAATCATTTTTTAAAATGACATTAAAGGCAGGATAGAGATTTACACATATAATAAGTATAATCTATATTAATTTTTCTTTACAAACCTGTCAACAATAATTACATCAGTGTGGTGGTTACTATCTTCTCAGATATTTTCTATATACTTCAAGTTTTCTACAACATGTATATATTCCTATAATAATAAAAAAGAGTACTTTATAGAAAATATAGTCAGGCCGGGCACGGTGGCTCACGCCTGTAATCCCAGCACTTTGGGAGGCCAAGGCGGGCGGATCACCTGAGGTCAGGAGTTTGAGACCAGCCCGGCCAACATAGTGAAACCCCATCTCTACTAAAAATACAAAATTAGCCAGGCGTGGTGGCACACACCGTAATCCCAGCCACTCAGGAGGCTGAGGCAGGAGAATCGCTTGAACCCGGGAGGCAAAGGTTGCAGAGGGCCGACAACATTGTGCCATTGCACTCCAGCCTGGGTGACAAGAGCAAGACTCCATCTCAAAATAAAAAAGAAAAAGAATATATAGTAAGATTGCACTTGGGCTACATGAAAATAATGTAAATGGCTCCTTCTCCCTGTGCATCCTTGATTCACAGATTAAGATGACAGTAGCTGCTACATTAAGTCACGTCACTCAAAACTACTAAGCATTTTCTACATGAAGAAAGGCTGTTTTTTTAAAGGTGTTTAAACATGTTTGTTTTTTTAAAACTTGAGTTGTTGAATAAAAAGTAAACTTCATAAATTCACATTTTAAAATAATTAGAACTACCTCATAGATGCACGGTACCTTCTAGGTTGCTAAAGCCCTCTTCGTGTCTCTGAGGCTGAAATACACACGAACCACTGCTTTAAGTGCCCTGTGAGACAGGCCCTGCTTACCACAGAAGCACAAGCTCACACAGCTTCCTGGAAGGCAAACTTCAAGTACCAGAATCAAGTTCTTTCAAGTGCTGATGTTGGTGCTCGGTTCTAGTGTAAAGTCAATTTCCCTTATCATGCAGTAACTAAGCACAAGTTCACCTACTGGTTTCAGCTGATTCAATGGGCAAACGTGACACGTCCGCATGTCAGAGAACTGCACGGTGATTTTGCCCTTCAGGGTGATGCGAGTCATGGTGACTTCTCCAAAGTCATCGTGCACAACTTGGCCGCCCAGGCACAGGCGACCATCGATGCCTCCAACCACAGCCAGGACCGCCATGAGGCCCCCCACTTCAGGGTTCTCGGAATCAGGGAAGTAGTCCTCTAACTGGGCCTAGTGCAGACCAAACAGCGAGCTCGACCGGGGACACTCACGGAGCTGCCCAATCCCTACAGGTTTACTGTTCAACTAAATTAATTCTGAGAACACAAACCCACCCCTTTGGAAGGCCTTCCCGCAAAGCTGTGGGTGATGGAGCGGAGCTGGGAGTTGATGTACTTGTTGATGAGCCCATTCCACTGAGTCAGGGAGTGCAGCGTGTGCAGCAGTGCCACCACCTCCTCCGCCAGTGTGCTGCTGTGGGTGGCAGTCAGCGAGGCCTGCGGGCACACCCTGCGCCGCCTCAGCGTGGACTCTGAGGAGGAAACCAGGGGAGAAGCTGCTGCACCACTCTTCACCAGGGCACAGGGAAGGGAGACGGCCACTCACCTCTGAGTGACGGCACTGCGCCGCTCTTCACCAGGACACAGGGAAGGGAGACGGCCACCCACCTCTGAGTGATGGCACTACACGGCTCTTCACCAGGACACAGGGAAGGGAGACGGCCACCCACCTCTGAGTGACGGCACTGCACCGCTCTTCACCAGGGTACAGGGAAGGGAGACGGCCACCCACCTCTGAGTGATGGCACTACACGGCTCTTCACCAGGACACAGGGAAGGGAGATGGCCACCCACCTCTGAGTGATGGCACTGCACCGCTCTTCACCAGGGTACAGGGAAGGGAGACGGCCACCCACCTCTGAGTAACGGCACGTCAGAGGAGCACATAGTGAGCAAGCTCCCCAAGAAGTCAAACAGCTTCTCCATGAGGCATTTCATGTCCCTCGCCCTTTCGGTCTTGTCCCATGACGGAAGGACTGCTTGCAACAAATGCACAGCTAAGATCTGATAAAAGAAAATTTAAAATGACAAGCATTAAAAAAAATCTGATGAGGAAACTACAGATTGTTATTTTCTTTTTTTTTTTTTTTTTTGAGACAGAGTCTCGCACTGTCGCCCAGGCTGGAGTGCAGTGGCACGGTCTTGGCTCACTACAACCACCACCTCCCAGGTTCAAGCGATTCTCCTTGCTTCAGCTTCCTGAGTAGCTGGGATTATAGGCACTCACCACCAAGCCCGGCTCATTTTTTTTGGATTTTCAGTAGAGACAGGATTTCACTATGTTGGCCAGGCTGGTCTCAAACTCCTGACCTCATGATACACCTGCCTCTGCCTCCCAAAGTGCTGGGATTACAGGCATGAGCCACTGCGCCCAGCCTCTCTTTATTTTCTGTTCTCATAATGCAAGTAATCATGTGAAAATTTTGAGATTCATTATTTTACAGCCAGGTAATTACACTCAAGTTGATTAGTGATTAGGATTGTCAGGGACTTTAGAAAAAAGCAACATTACAGATGCATGTGTTTAATTAAAAAAGAATTATTTTTAGTTTAATTCTTAAGACAATTACACTACAAATTCTGTGAAGCAGATGAGTAAGTAGTTGCAGGATTTACCACTTAAGAGAAAAGCAGGTAAACTGAAGGTTAGCAACTTACCAATTATCAAGGACCTCTGCCCCTTGCCTCCAGAAAATCTACCCTGTCACTTCTAGACCCTTTCTGCACTCGTTACGGAATAAAGGCCCCTGACTCTGAGGGCAGGGAACTTCAGTACATGGAGGCCTCTCTCAGGGAACTGGTTTTGCCTGGCAGCACATTACCTGCCTCTGCAGCGAGGTGGCAGTGAAGGGTGCGTGCCCTTCCACGACCTTCATGAGCAGCGTGATCCACTGCAGGGAGCTGAGGGTGCCGCACACCTGCAGCGTGAGAGCGATGCTCTGCACAAACCCCAGCGTGCACCAGCTCCGGTGTTGCTCCCTGTACACCAGCCTGTTTGGAGAAGCGGCGGGAGGGAAAATAGACATGCTTGGTAACAAGTCCCTAAAGACAAATCCCTAAAGATATATCCTTATTTTTTTATCAACTTATTTTCTACAATAAGCTCCTTTAAAATATATTGCAGTTTGTAAATTAATTCAAACTAATTCAAAGTGAGAAGTGGAAGGCGGCTTTTAAGTTAGTTCAAGAAACATTTCCGAAGTTTTCTTTTTTTTTGTTTTTTTTAGAGATGGGCCCTCACTATGTTGCCCAGGCTGGTCTAAAACTCCTGGGCTCAAGTGATTCTCCTGCCTTGCCCTGCCGAATAGCTGGGACTACAGACATTTTTAAAACCTTCTAAATATGTGTCGTAAAAGTAGTTAGGGAATTTTAGCTATGTATTGTTTCTAGGCAATAGGAAAATGATCTATAATTCAAATAGTAATTTGCAACAGTGCATCTATTATATTTTTAATTTCGTGTTTTAAATATCTCCACAATCTTGGTTATATTTAATCTGCACCACTTAAATACTCTTTTTGTAATTTTAGTAGAGACAGTTTCCAATCCAAGTTTAATGCATCTGCATTAACAAAATGAGTTTTTCACTAGGTTTACACCACTGGATTCTGGCACCAGTGGGCCCA
This sequence comes from Homo sapiens, assembly GCF_000001405.40. Lineage (NCBI taxonomy): Eukaryota > Metazoa > Chordata > Mammalia > Primates > Hominidae > Homo > Homo sapiens. The sequence continues at coordinate 683,031 of NW_021160017.1, forward strand.
CCTCTGCTCCGCCTGGCTCCAGGACTCCACTACTCCCTGAATGGAAGCTGAGGCTTGGAGGCTGGGCCCCCTGAGGGACCCCGCCCACAGCCCCACAGGACCTGCTCTCCCTCCCACCTCCCCCACCCTGCCCTCAGCTATCCAAGCTTATGAGGACACCTGCCTTCCTTCAGCACACTCACATGCGCTCACACACACACACACTCACTCTCACACCCTCATATGCATCCTCACACTCACACTGATACTAAGTTATTCAGACACACTCATGGGCACTCATACACCCACCCTCACACTTTCAGGTGCACTCACACCACTGTCGCAATCACTAACACACACACAATCCCAGTCACACGTATGCACAGATGCAAGCTGACACACACTCCCATGCACTCTCACATACACTTACCCCTCCCAATGCATACAAAAACTCACATATGCACTCACACTCCTCAACACTAGTAATGACCGATTACTCACCCACTCACACCTTTACCCACACACTTTCTCACTTTACACTCACACCTATACTGTTATAACCTCCCATTCACTGACACAAGCAAAATGCTCACATTCACTCACACGCATTCACAATAACATCACTCGTGCTCACACTGACACAAGGCACTCATACATTTACACAAATGCTCACACTCAATCGCACACTTACACTTGTGCCTGCCACCCACTCATACTTCCTCACACTCACCAACCCTCACTGACTTACACTTACACTGGGTGTCTCATTCGCACACCCAGTAATCCCCTCACACTCACACTCATGCCTCTCTCGTGCTCACCCTCACACACACACATTGGCTCAATGCACCGACGCTTTCACTCCCACTTCACCTGAATGTAGTCACCTGCCCACTCACATGCTCTCATGGACATACACACACCCACACAACCACATGCTACAAACACACCATCACACTTGCAACACAAACGCTCAGCCACTTGCCCATCGACCGCTAACACACTCACTCTCATCAATATGTGCGGACGCTCCAGCACACCACTAATACACGCATGCTCTCACACACACTGGAGGACGCCCACATACCCACCCACACTCACATGTGCTCACTCTCAGTCACATGCACACTCACCCCACTCCCTCAGCTCACATTTCTCATACTTACTCTCCACACACACAAACACTTTATGGATTAAACTGTGCCTGTCCTCCAACTTCACATACATTCGGAACCTCAGAATATGATCTTATTTAATGAGGTCTCTGTAGACGTCATTAAGGTAAGAATTTAGGTGACATCATGTTGGATTAGAGTCAAAGAAACTCAATGAAAGAGTCCTTTCAGAGACAGAAAAGGACATGCAGAACACAGGGGCAGGGGCCATGTGAAGACGCAGGCAGAGACTGGCACAATGCGTCCCAACACCAAGGAAGCCTGGAGCTCCCAGAAGCTGGACAAAGTAAGGAAGGACCTTCCCCTAGAGCCTGTGGAAGAAGCATGGCCCTGCCCGCACCTGGATTTGGGACTTCTGGTCTCCAGAACTCTGAGAGAACAAATTTGTTGTTTGAAGCCAGTGTTACGGGTTGAATTCAGAATTGCAAAATTCGTATGTTGAAGCCCTAACCCCTACCGTACCTTGGCAGGTGACCTTGTTTGGAAATAGGGTCGCTGCAGATGTAATCAGTTTGATGAGGTTGAATGATGTCCTCATGAAAAGGGGAGATTTGGAGGCGACTCACACACAGGGAGAATGCCATGTGAAGATGACGGCAGAGATAGGGGTGACACCTCTACAAGCCGAGGAACGCTAAAGAGACCAGTAAACTCCAGAAGCTGGGGCAGAGCCCTGAAGCAGCTTCTCCCTCACAGCCCCAGAAGGAACTACCCTTGATCTCAGCCTTCCAGCCACCAGAACCGTGAGAATTTCTACTGTGTAAGTCCCCAAGTTTGTATACTTTGTTACAGCAGCCACAGGAAAGGAATCCACACACATCCACACCCACCCACATGCACACCCAGACACGACAAGTGTGCGGCCCCCAGCGCTGACTCCCTGGGCCCTCGATCTCTCATTCCATACATGTCTTGTCCGTCATTCCGCTTTCCACTAACATTTGCAGCAGTCCGCATAAAGTCTTGGTGGCTTCACTCTGCATGATCTCAGCATGAACTCCAGCAGACAGACAAAGAGTCTGCAGTAAGTTAATAGTGCTGGTAAACATCATTGCAGTGGGGTGAATGTTCCTTTCAGTTTGTTCGGCTTCTAAAAAAAATAATCAAAATTACAAATTATATTGGCAGCCCCAGCCTCTTGGATGGTCTTACCAAGCCCAACCATGTGAAGCTTCACGTGTTTTAGGAACAGCTAAGAAATGTCATGAAACCTCCTCCCACAACCTGGATCTCCACAGATAGGATCTAGCTTTCTTGGTCCACCCCTAAATTCTCACCTCTGCTTCCCTAGAAGCGATAAAGTGCTGACTAACTCCACATTACATGAAGAGTTCAGAGTCAGGGACCACAGAGGAAAGGTAAAGGCAGGTGGCAGGTGGGGTGTGCTTGGGCAGGGGCTCTCACTGGAGGAGGACGCGATGGACCGAGACCGCAGGGCAATTCCACCAGGCCTCGGCTCACTCGCTCAGATGCAGGCTCAGCACCAACCACATGAGACTCACTGGTGATGCAGCTGCCCCCACCTGGCCACCACATTCTCAAAGAGGGGCGGGTGCACACATGAGAGGAAAATGCAGAAAGTCAGTTCCAGCCAGATCGCCGGATCCCACAGTCACTCCACACACCTGCATCGGAGGTGCCTGGGAGCTTATTTAAATTACAGGTTCCGAGGACAGAGCGCCAGCTGCAGGTGTGTCCTGACATCCCATTCTAAGGCCCAGATGGCAGTGGCAGCACCCAGCAACTGGACAGTTTGTAGGCTGCCTTGGACTAAACACCTTCCTGAGTCACCCACCAGAGTCGTCCTCTGTGTCCGAATCCTCTGCTGAGGGCTGTGCAGGGGCTGGCAGCTCTGCCAGCTTGAGGTCGTAATTTCCTTCTTTCCCCATCCTGTAGGAGTTGGTGCTGCCTGTGTCCCACTGGACTCTTATCCACCCGTCCTCTCCCAGCTCACCAATCACTCGGCCTAGGCCTGGAGGAGGCCTATCCTGAGAAAGCCAAAGTAGAGATCAGTTAGGAGGGTGCGTAACCTGCCCTGGTCCTTCCATGGCTCCCAGCAGACCTCAGTTAGGAGGGTGTGTGCCCTGCCCTGGTCCTTCCATGGCTCCCAGCAGACCTCAGTTAGGAGGGTGCATGCCCTGCCCTGGTCCTTCCATGGCTCCCAGCAGACCTCAGTTAGGAGGGTGTGTGCCCTGCCCTGGTCCTTCCATAGCTCCCACCAGACCTCAGTTAGGAGGGTGCGTGCCCTGCCCTGGTCCTTCCATGGCTCCCAGCAGACCTCAGTTAGGAGGGTGCCTGCCCTGACCTGGTCCTTCCATGGCTCCCACCAGACCTCAGTTAGGAGGGTGCGTGCCCTGCCCTGGTCCTTCCATGGCTCCCACCAGACCTCAGTTAGGAGGGTGCGTGCCCTGCCCTGGTCCTTCCATGGCTCCCACCAGACCTGCCACACAGATGTCGCCATATGCCACCCTGTCTGTCAGGGGCTGTCCCCAGACACAGATTTCACCTCTCCTACAAAATGTGTGCTTGCATCATTTTAAATTAAATGGCATAAAATAACGTGCTCATGCTGCTTTACCAAGGAAGTCGGGGAAATCTCATCTCAATGAGGATCCTCTGAGTCAATGCAGAGACAGGGCTTTGCAGCAAGTCCTGTCCCCACAATCCCTCACGGGCCTTGCAAGAGCGGAAACCTGAAACAAGCACCAGCACCTCCACATTCCCTTTGCTTCAGTTTCCCCTGGGCCCCAGGGGGAAGCTCTGTCTCTCACTTCTGCAGGAGAAAGCTGTTTCTAGGATGGATGCTGTCTCCAGACACTGCTATTTCTAAGATGACTGTGACAAAGCCAGGGCTTACCAGCGTGGCTGAGAAAAGCCAGACAGACCATGGGAAGGTGAACACTGCCCTAACTTAGCTAGGGCTGTGGTAAGTGACTTCCACCTGGGGGCACCTGGCAGAGATTTAGAAGAGATCTGCGATGAGGGAAGATGGAAACGTGGCCACAGGCCCATGAAGTAGATCCCTAACTACTGGCTTCAGGGCACTTCGCAGCACATGGCCATCAGCCCACAGGGGCAGCATCTGGGCTTCCTGCCTCAGAGCCTTCACTACACCAACTTTCAGAATGAGATTTACTCTCTTGCTCACTCTCACACTCTTGTTCCAGTGACCCATCAAACTGAGCCTCATGCCAGTGAGTTTCCTGAAAAGAGCTGCCTCTCTTTCCAGACTTGATTCTGCTCAGATGCCCTACTTATGATTCCCTGTTTGTGTTCACTCCCTTCAGCTGCTCGGGAACCAACACCTGTGTCATCGATCAACTGACACATCCTGGATTATTCCAATTTCCACCCACCAATATCGTACAGAACTATGCAGAAGATAACTAATGTGTGGCTAATGTGTTCACATCAAATCTCTGAGTACCTGATCGCCCCATTTCCAGTCCACACCTCTCATGACCCTTGTTCCAATCTTCATCATGGCAGCCAGTTCTGGCCCTGAAACAGGGAGCTGCACAGGAGCCGTTTCCTTCCTTGTTTCTTCCAAAACTGTGGCAGAAGCACCTTGAGCAGAAGCATTCATATCTTCCTCAACGCTGTCACAACTGGGGCCTGACGGAGCGTCAAAAACAATAGCTGAGCCAACAAGTAGCTACAGTGTCCCCTTAATACACACAAAACATTCACAAAGTACTAATGAAGATCGTAATTTTGAACAATCCATACTATATGTTTTATCAATATAATATTATGAATATTTTACTGATATAGGATAAAAAGAAGATAAACGGAAGGATGAAATACATAAATATCCTAGGAAGATATAAAAGATATTAAAATGCTCAGTAAAGCTACTTTCTCTACTTCTAGGAATTACTCCCCTGAAAAAAGCAAAATAACTGAGTTAGAAAGATCCTCATCACATTTTTTATTAATAGAAAAACAAAGATAACTACCTAAATATCTAACAGTGGGAAACTAACAAACTTTAATCATGGTTCTGTGCAGAAGACAGCTAACAGCTGGCCCGAGATACAACCTCAGACAGGGTTGCTGCAGGCTGGCCCTCAGCTGGAGTCTGGATCTCAGGAGGGCTCCCCCATTCCCTAGGTGGTAGGTGTGGTTCCCTGTGCCTGAACTGTCTGTACAAACAATGTGGTCTGTGCTGAAACCTGCTTTCCTTAGTCTGGAACTTGGTACACGCCAGGCAGGGGGTGCCCGTGTGATCAGTCCTGATGGAAACCGTGGGCCTGGAGTCTCTACCCAGCTTCCCGGCAGACAGCACTTGACACGGCTCGGTGCCAGGGCAGTTAAGCTCGTCCTGTGTGGATCCTGTGGAAGCTTGTACCTGCTTTCCTCTGGACTTTACCCATGTCCTTTTTCATGATTTTGCTCTGTGTCCCTTCACTGTAATAAACTATAGCCCTGAGTACAACTACATGCTGAGTCTTGTGAGTCCTCCTGGCCAACCATCAAACCTGGGGGTGGTCTTGGAGACCCCTGACAATTGGTGCCCTGGGTGGCTACAGAGTCATCCATAGCACAAAACAGAAGCCGAGCTGCTGTCACCTGAGAGAAGTAAAACTTCCCAATGGATCTGAAAATAGGAGCGCTAACCCTAGGAGAGTAGGCTAGATTTTTAACCCCCCTTTTCCCACTTGCTAAACTGAGAGGGGGTAGGAGTGTGGTTCTGGTAACTCCCTTGATTTTAGTTTTCTCCTCCAGGTGGGAGGGAAAAAGATCCAAACAGTCCCAAAGGTGGGCTGGGGTGGACCAAAAAATGTAAAAAGTTTGTGTTTCTCTCTCTTCCAAGAGAACAAAAAAGGATATTCAATTCCCAGGGCTGGAGCAAAACTTTAGATAAACTAGCAGGAGAAACAGCCTTTCCTTTAGCCTAGCCGCTACTTTAGGGCCCCCAGGAAGGGGCCCCAAGGAAGGGACAGGAGTTGCATTCCAGGTGGATCTCCCAGGATCCCCTGGGCAGCTATACTGTTAACTCTGTAAAGACTGAATTTATTGCTAAGGGCTTGAATAAATTTGCAACCAAAACCGGGGGGAATTTTTTTTATTTTACATAGCTTTATGTTTTGTGGCTGTTACATGTGGATGTATACATTAAGCTGGTATAAAATATTATATGTTTATAATTTCTTAAATGATAAGAAGGATACCCTGATCAGGGCAAGCTGCAAATATAGACGGATATTCATGAGACACAACTTCCTTGCTTTTTGCAGCCAGTGGGCCAGATGAAATTTAAACACATGAATATTATCAACAGAACAAGTCCCCATACTTAATGATTTGTGCTGTGATTTTTACTTATTGGAACCTCTGGGGGAAAAGTAGACAACATAAAAAGGCCATTTCTCGATGGAGATATGCTTTTGTAATTTTTAAATGCAACTTTTGGTTGCTAATGAGGCCTCAGGAAATCAGATATAACCCTTACTAGATGATTCTTTTCAGCTGTAATACACATATTAAAATATATATTTAACATAATACAACATATAAACATAATATATAAATTAAAAAATAATTATATATATATATATATAGAGAGAGAGAGAGAGAGACAGACAGACAGACAGATAGATAGAAAGATTCCACCCACCCCCAAGACAGGATTTCACTCTGTCACCCAGGCTGGAGCCCAGGCTGGAGTGCAGTGGCTTGATCTCCGCTCACTGCAACCTCTGCATCCCTGGCTCAAGCAATCCTCCCACCTCAGCCTCCCAGGTAGCTGGGACCACAGGCACACACCACTATGCCCAGCTAGTTTTCGTATTTTTTGTAGAGAGAGGGTTTCGCTATGTTGCCCAAGTTGGTCTCAAACTCCTGAGCTCAAGCAATCCACCCGCCTGAGCCTCCCAAAGTGCTACGATTACAGCCTGGCCTGATACATATTTTTGAATGGATTAATGTGAACTCTAAAACTGATGTGATTATAAGAGCTTGGGAAAACCTTGCTTTTTCACTGTGACTTTGACAACTGGCCCTGCAGCATCTCAGTTTTAGCCAAAGAACACCACCATAAACCAATCAGATCTAATAGACATATACAGAACATTTCACCAAAAAGAGCAGAATACACGTTCTTCTCAAGTATACCACAGGACTACTCTCTTAGACTGACCAAACCATATGTTAGGCCACAAAGTCTCAAATTTAAACAGACGAAAATCATACAAGTTACCTTCTCCAACCAAAAGGAAATGATGAGAAATTAATAACAAAAGTGGAAAATTCACAAGTATATGAAAATTAAACAACACATGGTAAACAATCAGTGGGTCAAAGAAGAAATCACAAGGGAAATTAGAAAATACTATGAGATGAATGAAAACACAACACACCAAAACTTCTGTGCTGGGCCAAAAGCAGGGCTAAAAGGGGCAATTATACTATAAAAGTCTGCATTTACAAAAGATGATCTCAAATCAATAACTCTACATCTGGAAGAACTAAAAAAATAAGAACACAATAAAAACCAAAGTTAGGCCAGGTGTCGTGCCTCACACCTGTAATCCCAGCACTTTGGGAGGCTGAGGCAGGTAGATAACTTGAGCCCAGGAGGTTGAGGCTGCAGTGAGCCATGAGTGCGCCACTGTACTTGGGCCTGAGGGACAAAGTAAGACCCTGTCTCAAAACAAAGACAAAAACAAAAACAAAAAAATACAAAGCAGAAAGAAGGAAACGATAGAGATTAGAGCAGCCATAAATTAAATAGAGAATAGAAAAATAATCTACAAAACCAAAAGTTCGGTTTCTGGCAAGAACAAAAAATCTGACAAACTTTTGGTAAATTAAGAAAAAAAGAGGCCAGTCAAGGTGGCTCACGCCTCTAATCCCAGCACTTTGGGAAGCTGAGGTGGGCGGATCACAAGGTCAAGAGATTTAGATCATCCTGGTCAACATGGTGAAACCCCATCTCCACTAAAAATACAAAAAAAATTAGCCAGGCCTGGTGGCAGGCGCCTGTAGTCCCAGCTTACTTGGGAGGCTGAGGCAGGAGAATCACTTGAATCCGGGAGGCGGAGGTTGCAGTGAGCCAAGACTGTGTCACTGCACTCTGGCCTGGCAACAGAGTGAGACTCCATCTCAAAAAAAAAAAAAAAAAAAAAGAAAAAAAAGAGAAAAGATGCAAATAACTAACATCAGAAATGTAAGTGGAGACAGTACTACCAACATAAAAATAAAAAAGATTATAAAAGAACACTGTGAACAACTGTATGCCAACAAATAAAATAGCCTAGATAAAATGGACACATTCCTAGAAACATAAATTACCCAAACTGACTCAAGAAGAAATAGAAAATCTGAATAGAGCCATAACAAGTAAAGAGATTGAATCGGTAATTAAAAATCTTTCAGGCCAGGCGCCGTGGCTCACGCCTGTAATCCCAGCACTTTGGGAGGCCGAGGCGGGTGGATCACGAGGTCAGGAAATCGAGAGCATCCTGGCTAACACAGTGAAACCCCGTCTCTACTAAAAATACAAAAAATTAGCCGGGCGTGGTGGCTGGCGACTATAATCCCAGCTACTCAGGAGGCTAAGGAAGGAGAATGGCGTGAACCCGGGAGGCGGAGCTTGCAGTGGGCCGAGATCACGCCACTGCAGTCCAGCCCGGGCAACAGTGTGAGACTCCGTCTCAAAGAAAAAAAAAAAAAAATCTTTCAACAAAGAAAAGCTTAGGTGGTCAACTCTACCAAACATTTAAAGCTGAACTGACACCAATCCTCAAACTCTTCTAAAAACAGAATATATGGGAACACTACCTAGTTCATTCTATGAGGCCATTATTACCCTGATAACTGTAAAACAATAAAATATTGCTGAAAGAAATTAAAGAGGACAGAAATAAATGGAAAGACATTCCACATTCAGAGAATGGATGTTAACATTGTTAAAATGGCACTATTCCCCAAAACAATCTACAGATTCAATCCCTAGCAAAAATCCCAATGGTCTTTTTTTGCAGATATGGAAAAGCCAGCCTTGAAGTTCATGTGAAAATGCAAGGGACCCAAAGTAGCCAAAATCATCTTGAGAAAGAAAACACACTTCTCAATTTTAAAACAGTACAAAACTACAATGTTCAAAACAGGGCGGTACCTGCACAATTATCAACATATAGAATGTGATAATGTAATTGAGAGTCCAGAAATAAACCTAAATATCCACAGCCAACTGATTTTTGCCAAGGGTACCCAGAACTTCAGGGAAAGAACAGTCCTCAACAAGTGGTATTGAAACAATCAGATCAACAAAAGAAAAAGGCTGGACTCTTACCTCACACTGTGTAAAAGAAATTACCTAAAAATGGACCAAAGATCTAAATATAAGAGCTGAAACGATAAAACTTACAGAAGAAAACATGAGGATAATCTTCATCAACCTTGTGTTTGGAAATGGCTTTTTGGATATGATATCAAAAGCATAGACGACAAAAGAGAAACAGATAAATTGAACTTCATCAAAATAAAAAACTTCTCTATCTAAGGGAATACAATCCAGAGAACAGGAGAAAATACCCTCAAATGATATACCTGATAAAGGTCTACAGATCTGTGAAGGTCTAGTATACACGAACTTTTTAAAGAGTCTGAGGACTGGTGTTAATTCTTCTTTAAAGGTTTGATACACTTATATAGTGCATTTATTGGTACAACAAGATGACGACAAATAACCCTATTTAAAAAGGAGAAAGGGGCTGGGCGCAGTGGCTCACGCCTGTTATCCCAGCACTCTGGGAGGCCAAGGCAGGCAGATCACCTGAGGTCAGGAGTTCCAGACCAGCCTGGCCAACATGGCGAAATCCCATCTCTACTAAAAATACAAAAGTTAGCCAGGTGTGGTGGTGTGTGACTGTAATCCCAGCTACTTGGGAGGCTGAGGCACAAGAAGTGCTTGAACCCGGGAGGCGGAGGTTGCAGTGAGCCGAGATCGTGCCACTGCGCTCCAGCTTGGGCGACAGAGTGAGACTCCGTCTCAAAAAAATAAAATAAAAAATAAAGAGAAAGGGACTTGAATAGACACTTCTCCAAAGAAGATATACAAATGGCCAACAAGCACAAACATGTAAAGAAGCTCAATGTCATTCATCATTAGTGAAATGCAAACCAAAATCACAATGAGATACCACTTCACACCCACTAGGATGGCCTTAATCCAAAAAAAAAAAGAAAACCACAAAAAATAGCGTTGGCAGGGAAGCAGAGAAACTGGAACCCTGGAATCCTGCCCACTGGTGATGGGAATGTAAAAATGATATGGCACTGTGGAAAACTTTGGTAGTTTCTCAGTAAGTTACACATAGTTGTACCATATGACCCTGTAATTCCAGTCCTAGGTGTATAATCAAAAGAACTAGAAACAAGTGTTCAAACAAGTACTTGTATATAAATGTTCCTAGCAGCACTATTCACAAAAGTCAAAAGGCAAAACCAACCCAAATGTCCATCAACAGATAAATGAGTAAACAAAATGTTATATATTCATACAATGAAATCTTTTTCAGCCATAAAAATAAAGTACTGATATATACCAAATGAAATAACCCAGACACAAAGGCCACAAATGGTATGATTCCATTTATATGAAATATCCGGGATATGCAAATCCATAGACAGAGAAAGCAGATTTGTGACTACCAGGGGCTGGAGAGCAGGGGAGTCAGGACTGATGGCTAAATGGGGTGCATTTATAGTGATGAAAAAGTTCTACAACTAGACAGTGGTGATGACTCTAGAAAATTGTGAATGTATTTAATACCGCTGAATTGCGACGTTAAAATGCTACACTTTCTGCTATTTGTGTCTTACCATAATTTACAAAAAGCTTTTTTAAAAAAAAAGAAAGAAAATAAATCAAAGCAAAATCTTGACGTTTTCCCAAAGGCTCTCAAGCCAGTGCAGACCTACCAATCAGGCGCAGTGCCGTCTGAGCGAGGGCCAGCGTGCCGGAATTGAGCAGGAGGTCAAGGTTGTTTGCGCTGTGCTGCAGGGTGAGCATGCTGAGCATCACCAGGAGGAAGTGGGCTTGCGGGATGGTCCCCAAGCTCGGTCCCGATGGGTTCTCATTGGTGATGGTTTGCAGGGGAACCGGCTGGATACCTAGTGAGCATTGGCACCCACTGACATTTCTTGTAATGGATATAAGAATAAATGTAATGCAGAAAGCACGGGCAATTACTCTAAACATCTGACTAATAAGCACTGACACCCACTGACATTTCTTGTGCGTGGATACAAGAATAAACGTAACGCAGAAAGCATGGGCAATTACTCTAATCATCTGACTATTTTGACACCCACTGACATTTCTCTCGCATGGATACAAGCATAAACGTAATGCAGAAGGCACGGGCGATTACTCTAAACATCTGACTATTTTTCAGTGGTTTCCACAGAGTGGGCAGCTCTGTCATGCTGCACGATGGGCCTACCCCCTGCATTCTATGCACAGGTCGTTCCATCTGTCTACAGGACTTAGTATGTTGCTCTCTGAATACACCGGTGCCCTATTCCATTCCTTCCATTTCAAATATAAAAGTTATGTCTCACTTTTCCTCCACAAAACCAATCCAATCAACTCTCTGTAGATGCTCAAACTATCCAGGAAATAAATATCAATATAGGACACAGACACTTTAGGATATGTGGTGATACACATAAAAATGTCAAAATGTAAAAATGTTATACTAGAGTACTTCAACATTGTGTCTCCTGCTAAATTTTAAAGTTTTGTTTAAAATCTGAGAAAGCTGACAGCAGCATAGATTATACAAGTACAAAGTACAAACTTATTAAAGTCTTCTCAAAAGCAAAAATTGGCATTTGCAAGTTTCCACAACATATAATTAAAGGCAAACTATAAAATAACATTGATACAATTATTGACTCACCAAGCTCTTTAAATTTGGCACTGGCATCCACCAAAACATTTCGAATGTTCTGAACAGCCCAAGCGTACAGCTTGCCAAAGGTGACTTCCAGCAGCATCCGATTAAAAGGCGGGATCAAATCAACATCCTTTAAACAATCAGTAAGAGGTTCCCTTTCAAATAAAGATAAAGAATTTGACTCGGGACACTGCCAGACTTCTAACTGTTACAGAAAAACATTCTGTTGCCACAGCTTCCTTAATTAAGAAAAAAATATGCTAACATTTTACCCTATATCGATTCCCTCAGGAATAAGTCTTTGCCATCCACAAAACATCGCATACGGCACAGATGGAAGTAAGAAATTCTTGCTCACCAGATACAATTTTAAAATTGTATCTATCCCTTCCAGGCGAACCTCTGCTCTCTCCAACTGCAAAATATCAATGCATACAGTTAAGTGTTATGTATATTACCCAATGCAGAGAAGCATTTCTCATCAAATGTTACCTGTTTTAGTAGGCACTTTCTCTTTTCCACATCCACTGGCTCTTCTTTAAGGGCAAATTCAGCAATTGTACTGAGGAGTGGAGACTGCGGATAAAGACCCTGCACATTCTGCTTCAACCACTTGTATTTGTGAACACCTGTAACAGTACTCAACAGCGGCTGCCATTTGTCCTAACAAAGGAAAACAATTTTCATCATTAGTCTACCCTATTTAATAATAAACTGTGCTCTAAAAGTTATTCAAGTAAAATATAAATAATGCTTATGGGTTTAAATTGGTTAAAATACGTTAAATTTAGTAATACATGTTTTTAAAACTATGCTATAAATATAAGTGAATTTATAATCTCTATACTATATGTTGGAACAGGCTAGCTTGGCATACTAAGTTAAGTTATGGTTCATATTAACAGCCACAGGGCCCAGCACTGTTTCTGGAACAAAGAATATATTTAAGGAATGAATGGTGAATAATTAATGATACAATCTAATACCAAAAATAAAAGGAAACCCTTCTCCAGCTACAGCTCTGACCAGGACATCATAAGTCAAGTTCATGAAGCATCACTGGGGCCGTATTTCTAACAACCGCCCGTCCCTCCCTCCAGATGCTCAGGTACAGAGGTACAAGACTGTGGATTCCTGTGCTACATGCTACGATTCTATTCAGCCAACCTCAGAATCACAGAAAATACCGCACCTTGGGTGATTTAATTGCAATGGGTCTCTTGTCCACATTTATTGGACTATGAGGCAAAATGCAAGCTTCTTCTAAATCACTCTCTTCGTTTCCAATTTTTTCTTCATCATCCGTAGATTCTGGCTTCTTAGGAACTGTGTTTTAAAACATCATTCACTATAAAAATCATACACTTAAATATTAATTTTAAATTAAGACATATTTAGATTTACATGAAGGACAAATATTTCATTCAAATAAACATCTGAACAACATTATAAATTGCAATGCTCAACAACAAGAGTGAAATGATCACCCTGGCAGAACAAAAAGACAAAGTGAGAGTGCGACGAGGGGAGAAGCCCCGAAGCAGGGGAAGCCCGGCAGCCAGCAAGCTCTTCCTCAAGTGCCAGAGAGTGAACATTTGAGTCTTTCAGGCCATGCTGTCTGTCGCAAATACTCAACTCTGCTGCTGTAGCACAAAAAGTAACCACAGATAAAGCAACAGGTGTGGCTGTGCTCCTGTAAAACTTTATTTATGGTGCTACAATTTTAGCTTCATGTAATTTTCATGTGCCAAAATAATATACTTCTTTTAATTTTTAAATAACAATTTCAAACTGGAAAAAAAAAAAAAGGTCTTAGTCCATGGGCAACCCAAAGCCAGCAAGAGGTAGAATTTGGCCCATAGTTCCTGGCTTGTCCACCCTGGTCCAGTTCAGTGGTTCTGTTACTGTGTAACTGAATCAACTGAATTCACTGTGATATGTGGAATCTCCTCCCTATACTTTATCTCTTTTAAAATTTTTGGTCTAAATCTCCTCAGCATATAATATAAAAAATAAGCAACATGATAATACATCTGGGCAGTAAAGAGCTAACATAGCAGGCCGGGGTTGCTCAAACCCTGCAAATTCCCAAGGAAGGTCTGTCCCTTCAGGATTGGTCCTTCTTCTAGGAGCTGAGCTCTGAGCCCTTGGAACATTCTGCCTGAGAAGTTTTTTGGTATACCTGACACCCAGGACCTTGTGGCAGTGGTCTGGCCAGGTAGTTTATGCTAATGATGGGACTTGCGAGGGACCACTTGTTTTTGCACTGGGGCACTGGAGCCTGAGTGAGGTCAGTCACAGGGGCACTGCCTGCGTATGTGACTGGCCCCCAACAAAATCTCTAGACTCGAGGCTCAGGTGCGCTGGCCTGGTTAACAATTCTTCACACATGATGTGACACTATTGCTGGGAGAGCTAAGCACATCCACGTGACGCCACTGGGGAGAGACACCAAAGCGTGTGCCTAGTTTCCTCTGGACTTCCCTCCATGCACCCTTCCCTCTGCTAATTTTAATCTGTATCCTTTTTGCAGTAAAAACACAGCTGTGACTATAACAGCTCTTCTGAGTCCTTTTAGTGAATCATCAAGCCTGAGAGAAGGCTCGGGGATCCCTGACACAGCAACAGGAATATTAATCACTTAATCTTTTCAAGTTACTTAATTTCCAAAAAAAAAAGAAAACCAGCTTGAAACACCACACGATAAATCTATAAACCCACAAGAAACTCTAAAAGTGACAGTGTGGGCTCAGAACCCACGGATATGAGATGGCAAATGTGGAGTCTCTCTCCCTCATTCCGAGGCAGCCTGTCTCCTGGGCCCAGGCTGAGTTCCTGCATGCCTGGGTTAAAGGAATCGCAGCAGTGTGACTGCTGTGACTTCCTGATCCAGAGCACCCCTCGCATTCAGACAGGCTGTTATGGTGTAGGGTTTGTTCAGGAACAATCAAATTAGGATGGCTTCTAACACACTTTAGTCTTTCATAAGCTTATTGTTCAAAATGCCCATCAGAAAGTCAGTAATCAATACTGTTCAATAAGCAGGTTTGTGAGTAAATCAGTATAAGTCATAATATGATCAGAGGCCAGGCGCGGTGGCTCACGCCCGTAATCCCAGCACTTTGGGAGGCCGAGGCAGGCAGATCACGAGGTCAGGAGATCAAGACCATCTTGGCCAACATGGTGAAACTCCGTCTCTACTAAAATATAAAAATTAGCCAGGAGTGGTGGCGCGTGCCTGTAATCCCAGCTACTTGGAAGGCTGAGGCAGGGGAATCGTTTGAACCTGGGAGGCGGAGGTTGCAGTGAGCTGAGATCGCACCACTGCACTCCAGCCTGGCAACAGACCAAGACTCCATCTCAAAGAAAAAAAAAAAGGATATAATCAGAAATTTCTGTAGTTTATTTATAATCACAAGTGACTAAATTCTAAACTATTTTATAATTTCTAAGCATTTTTATTCAAATTTGGATTTAATGCAAAAAGACTTTTCTGTACCCTTACACAGCTACTTCCAGGAAAATGTCAGTAACTCTTTTAGCTTCCCTTTATAGTTCTTCATGTATCAGAATACTCAATATTTCCAAACAAAAAACATTTCTTTAGAAGAATGGCAATAAGTTTAAATGTTCCCATTATATCTCATTACCAGGATAACTAATAAAAGTACTTCCTTGTTCCCATCAATTTAGCAAAGATTATTTATGTTTTCAACATCAATTTACTAGTAATCAAATCATACCACACTCAATTCCTAAACTGCCTCATTGTCTGATCATTTGGAAAAATAAGCGAGATGTCTGTATTTAATCCTAACTATAATAAAAATGATGGCAGCAGGTAGAAATGTTACATGGAATCAACAGTAGAGAAACTTCACTCTGAAATCACAGATCCAACGTGGCAGGGTGAAGCACAAGCTTTAATAGTATCTTCTGTCCTTTTACATTCTTACCTCTCTTTTTCCTTGGTTCTCGAATTATCTTCTGAGCTATCCTCCTCCAATGGGGCAAAGAACTTAACAATTTAAACTTAGACATTATAGAGAGGTCATTACAAACAGCAGGTCTCAATTCATTAAAGAGGAATCTCAAACGTTCGATGACAGGAGCGCAGACCTCCTTGTAAGAACGGCCCTGTTCTTGATGAGTCTGCAAAGTTAACCAGGAAAAGACAACTTTAACAACAAATATTTCAGCAACTGTCTGCAAAGCACAGAATAAAAAGAATTAAAATCTATCACCTTAATGAGCGAACATTTTGCTTGGTAGACAACTCTACAAACATCCACCACTGACTTAGGCAACGTTCTGTGCTTTACTTGCTCAATACCAAGTGCACCTGCATGAACTAAAGATAATGCCACATGACCTGTAAAAAGACATTTAAAAGAAGGGCAGTGAAGGAATGAATACGTACCACAGGTTAGTCGAGGAATCGCAGTGTAGCTAAAGTACAAAGATATTGAGCTCCTTACCTAAATCTTCATGTTTTAAGAGGCAACATAACAGCAAGCGACCGACCTCTTCCACGGGATGCTCGGGGGGAAACATGATCGGTGTGGTCAAATGGCACTGCCTACAGTACCTTTCTATTTGACACAAAAAGTCCTGCAACAGGAACAGCTGGAAGTAACTTCAGGGAAACCCAGTGAGTCTTCACAAATCTTAAACATGCCACAGCTTCTGACGCACTTGCAATCACTAATGCTTCTGAAGCCTCGCTAGCATGTTAACACAATCAGGTTCTCACCTCAAAACCCTCCAAATAATACATGAAACAAAGTCTGTGCTGTGTTAACCAAAGAGCACATAAGTATTCCTATGTCAAAGTCCTCAGATAAACAGAGCACTGAGGTGGCAGTGGGGGCAGGCCTAGCTCACCTTCACGTTGTGATCCTGAATGTTGTTGTCTGCAATGGCTTGCAGAAATGCCTGGGAATGGTCCCCCAGGGCCCGTCTGTGGGAGCAGAGTCGAGATTTGCTGGCAGGTGTGCCCCCTGGGGAGCTGCAGTGGTCCTCGTCTTTCTCCTCGTTGTAGCTGTAGTGGATCTGGCTGGTCTGCAGGCCTCCAGAGAAGATGGATGACTGAAGCCATTCTAGAAAATGCACACGCAAACATGAAAGAGAAACTCAAGTGCACAACTCAAAATAAATACTAAAAAAAAAAAAAGATGCTCAACTGAACACTCAATTTAGAAGGTGAAATTCAGCATCATTCATATGAAAGAGCTCCACCTAACATGTTTACACAGGTTGACTTATAATTCCTCTATCTACGTGAACACACTTTCTGGTGATTCCACACGCCTCAGGCATGGCATCAGAACTCAGGATCGTAGTTCCAGTCCAACATTCTCTGGATACCTGTGCTCTGCCTGCAGCTGCCTGGTTCCACAGGTACCGTGTGAAGACTGAGGTGCACATTCTAACAGGGAAGGCAGCAAAGGGCACCGCTGACACAATTAATCACAGGATTTCAAGTCCGAAACTGTGCAACAGATGACTATGGGGGTACCAGGGAGACTGGAAGACAGACCACCGCTATTCTGAGGGTCAGTGAGGGACTTGTGGAAGCAACAACTGAGCTAAGATGAGGAATAAGACCCAGACGCTGAGTATCCAGGCAGGGAACAGCACATCTGAAGGGTTTCTACAAAGAATTACATCCTCAGGGTAGGCTATGTATTCCTAGAGCACTTATAAAGGAATGAAAAGGAGAAAATATTTAAGAAACACACAATCTGTAATGAAGGATAGATCCTTGGAGATGGGAGGGCCGATGGACTGGAAAGGAGACCTGTGCGTGGTGCAAGGCATGGGATCAACCAGTGCGAATGTTAATTACAACTGCTTATGGCAACTTGAGGGAGTGCACCACTACAGATCTCTATTAACGATCTGTGTTATCAAATACTGCTCCAAATCCAAGCAATCAAAGCGGGATGCACTTAGTGTTCTTTTACTGGACATTTAGATTTTAGAGCACTCAGGAGCATTCCCCAACACACCACATTCGTTCTTCTGAAACACTAATCCAATGCCGACTCTCTCTGGCCCCCTCTCTTTAAGCACAGGACAGCCCCTCCTTACTGCTCCAAGATAAGCCTCTGATCCTCCTGTGGATCGGACCCACCTGCCAGGGCCCATGGCACCCTCTGCCCTGGAGCTCGCCAGCCCTGCCCTCCTTGCCAATTTAAACAAAGCCCATCTTCTGGCAAGCAATGAGCCTTGAGGAGGAGGGAAGGAAGCAGACACCTCAGAGGGCACCACAGGCAGCCCAGCACCTAGCACTGCACAAAGGTCCGCCCAACGGGGGGCTGTATGGACACCAAGATCCTCCTTCCCTGCAAGCCTCTGCCACACCCACTCCTGCAAGCAGCAGGAAAGCCCTGCTCCTCTCAGCAGTGCCCTTGACACTCCTGTGTTTTCTGCCCAGAATGCTCTCTCACGCAATTTCAGGACTGCTGCCAATGTGAAGCCTTTCTTCTCCCAGAACCATGTATGAACATCTCCATTTCACCATTCACCACCTTGTAATGTGACCTGCTTAGAATGGTGGCTCATCAACAAGCAGCAGCTGAAAGCAGAGGCGTGTCCTACCCATCACTGCATCCTGAACACCTCGCATGGTAACGGCACCAGAAAGCAGAGGTGTGTCCTATCTATCACTGTATCCTGAACACCTCGTATGGTAACGGCACCAGGCAAATGCTCAACAGAAGCTGCTCACATGGATGGACAGACAGACAGATGGGAAATGCACAACTACATGAAGGAAAATGGAAACACATCTTAGGAGACAGAAAGAAGCTTATTATTTTAGGTGGTTACAAAGGCTGCCATCCTGAAATATAACTGACTTGAGCCTGGTCTGGTAAAAACGCAGTGCTCAAATAGTATGCTCTTCCCTGAGAGGACAGCTGATCCACATTCTGTGCAATTTCTGGGCATGCAGGGAGACAAAAGCCATGCTGGGCCCATCAGGCAGAGGCTGCAATACGTGAGACCACCAAGGGCAGACGGGTAGACATTCCTGCACACTTTTTAGCTTCCTCTGCAGCAACAGACCATGAGGGCAAATGACAACCACTCACAGCTGTTTCTACCTGATTGAGTCTCACTATCCTTATTATTTTTTTTTTTGTCATCATCAACTGTGTTGAATCCTCCTCTCCTTTTTTTTTTTTGAGACCGAGTCTCGCTCTTGTCACCCAGGCTGGAGTGCAGTGGCGTGATCTCAGCTCACTGCAACCTCCGTCTCCTGGGTTCAAGCAATTCTCCTACCTCAGCCTCCCGAGTACCTAGGATTACAGGCACCCGTCACCACACCCAGCTAATTTTTGCATTTTTAGTAGACATGGGGTTTCACCACATTGGCCAGGCTGGTCTTGAACTCCTGACCTCAGGTGATCCACCCGCCTCAGCCTCCCAAAGTGCTGGGATTACAGGCATGAGCCACTGCCTGGCCATCTCCTGCTTTTTTAAAGAGAGAGTCTTGCTCTGTCACCCAGGCTGGAGTGCAGTGGTATGATCATGACTCACTGCAGCCTCAACCTCCCAGGCTCAAGCAATCCTCCTACCTCAGCCTCCTGAGTATCTGGGACTACAAATACGTGCCAACATGCCTGGCTAATTTTTGTGTTTTTTGTAGAGATGGGGTTTTGCCATGTTGCCCAGGCTGGTCTCAAAATCTTGATCTCAAGCAATCCACGTGCCACAACCTCCCAAAGTGCTGGGATTACAGGCATGAACCACTGTGCCTGGCCCTCTCCCACTCTTAATGGCACTTACAGTTCAAAAAAAAAAAAATCTGCTAATTAGCAAAAAGTAAAGATTTTCTTACTGGCACATTCAATCTCGACAGGAGACAGCGGTGTGCTCATTGCTAAATAGGAAGCGTGTAATCCGAGAAGCAGGCCCAGATTCCTCTCTGTGTCTATCAGAGGTGAGGAGAGACTCCCCAGATCTGGTATGGTGACGCCTTCTTGGTCAGGCTGGAAAAATAAATTTAATCATCAATCTGAGGAAACAGAATTAATTAAAAACATAAAACCAAAAGGACAGCTCTCTCCTGCAGCTGTACCGCACGTGAGCCCAGGGGTGCTCTGGGCGTTCTGCCCCTCCATCCTGTAATGAGTTGGTGCTGCTGTGCCCAAGTAACAGCAGATACCATATAAACCCACATGCCCTATAAAGCAGGCAGCAACCGCACAGCCCTACTGTAGAAAAACTAAACCACAGATACATGATTTGGCTAGAATATTCCTTAGGAATCAGTTTCCAAAGTGACTGTACACCATGCTTCAGAAAGTATAATGAATTGTTACATGCATAAAGAACCCACTGGGCAACAAAACTATGACAAGTATTCGATGACAAGTATTAGTGGACTGTGACCACACATGTAGAGGAAATGAAATTTATTCTAACAAAAATCAAACTCTGAAAAAAGCAAGAGTTCAACTTTTTCAGTCACAGAAGATATTTACAGCAAAGTTAATTCTCCCCTTCATAAACTGTTTTAAGCCCTGCCCTAATGGCATTTAATACATCTTATTACTTGTCGATACCTAGTAAGCTAATCCCAATATATAAATTCTATGTGTTCGTGAATACATAGGAAGGACATATTTCTATTGTAAAGAATTACACTTCTACATAGTTCTTCCCAAAAAATACATACCTCAAGATTATAAGCCATTCCAAATTTCTACATAAGACCAAAGTTTAACCTCTTTTCTTGTGGAACACTGCCTATATTTCTCACAAATTGATCATTTAAAAAACAATCTTTCAAGACCAGTACATCACAGATCTTAACATGAATAAATGTAAATTCATTTATGACAAAACTTCTAAAGGATCTTTATATTTATCCCTAATGCCCCGCAAAAGACCCAGATATCAGTACTTCTAGATCCAAATATTCCTATCACAAACACACAGAGGGTATCCCCTGCCATCCTCTGCATCACTCAAGGCATACAGCCTCACCTCCAAATACTGGCCAACACAAAATGCGTGCATGGATTCCCGGGTGTCTTCAAACTGCAAAGCAGCTTCCAAAGCTACCACTGGGTCTTCCCCTGCAAACTGAGCTGAAACAAAAAGGGAAAAAGCAACATGAGTTCAATTCAGCTTGCCTGAAGAGCTACAGGAGAAATAGTGAGTAGGAAATAAGTTAGGCTCTTAACTCAAAAGTGAGGGTTACCAGAATATAATGACCTCCCACTGTCTCCCAGGGTTGCCTGGGCCAACTCGGAACTTGAAATGAGTTCCAAGTATTAAAACAAAAGATACATAATGAAAGGAAATTCTTCGAATGTGCTGAATTTGTTGATAAGACAGACACCAAAGCCACAGATACATTAAAATATGCGGGGGCTGGCACAAAACTAAAGGAATCATTTATAAGCCAAATACTCTGCTTAAAATGATACAGGCTGTAACTTTTAACCAGGAAATAACAAGTGTAATCTTACCAAGAATACTATTTTCTGTTAACGACTGTGTCTGGAAGTCCTTTATATCATACACTTTCCCGTCAATCACAGTCCAGAAGCCTCCATCGTTATTATGGTTCTCCAAATCAGCTATGCGTACAAATGTCACTTTCTCATTATTTCTACAGTTCTGACCTGTAAAAAATGACTCTGTATATACAGAAACCAGAATCAGTCCATTGATCAATCAACAGGTAAAATGAAAAGAACAAACTGTGTGAAAGAACTACAAGCAGAAATAAACAAATCCACAATCACAATGGGAGAAATACATACCTAGCTCTGAAACTAATACCACACATACAAATTCTGTTAAATATAGAATGCTTTAAAAAAAAGTCTAGGCAGCATGAATACCAAATCGGGCCATGCCAGGCCATAGAGTAAATCTCAACAGATTTCAAAGAAATAAACTTACAGAGCATGTGTGCTGACTACAATGCAGTTAAATTACAAATAGGTTTTCAAAAATTCATTCAAAATAAAATAAAAATGACTCTGTATACACAGAAAATAAAAATATTCATCCACATATTTGAAAATTACAAGATACACTTATAAGTAACCCAAAATTCTAAGAAAAAATGACTATGAAAATTAGAAAATGTGTTCAGTTAATAATCAAAATACTGCAGATCGAAATTGGTGACATACAACTAAATGCATGCTTGAGGGCATTTATGCCTTTAAATGTATATATTTACACATTAAAGGGGGAAAAAGCTAAAAAAGAAAAGAAACACCAAATCAATAAAAGTCTGTTAGTTCATAAAAATACTCAAAAAAAAGAAAACCTGAGTGGTGGTCACCTATGCAAGTGCTAGGATACCAACTCAATATTATGAAAAATAGTTAAAGGGAGGTGGCAGTTCAAGAAGTCAAGCTTAGATTATGTCCTTGCTGTACAAATTGTACCTCCTGCTAACCAGACAGCAGAGGGCAAGGTTGGTAGGGGATTTTATAGAGGATACGCAACACATGAATTCCCTGGTCTAGCTTCACAGAACTAAAGCGGGGAGCCACCGAGCATTACAGGCCTCCTGAGCCAACAGAAAGCATGCAGCATGACCCCAGACATAACACCGCCCCAACGAGACTGAATTCAAATCCAACCAAACCTCTAGATCTAACCAGCAGATTAATGTAACTAACAGAAGAACATGTTGGTCTAGAATAAGAGAATGCAATCAACCAAGTTCAGAAAATGTGAAGTTCTCCAAAATAACCAACCTGCTTCTTTGAAAAAGAAAACGGTATGATCAGAGACAGGGAGAAGAGGGCCTGGAGCCATGTTGTTTGGGGAAAGAGACTAGAAGCATATGTCAAGCAATGCCAATACGCAGAACATGCTCAGGTCTTAATTCAAAATTACCACCTAAAAAAGGCATTTTTGAGATAGTCCAGGAAAATGTAACATGGACTGCATGTTAGATTAAGGAATCACTGTTAATCTTATAGACAGGATAATGATATTGTAGGGTTTTTTTAAAATCCTTATCATTAAGAGGTAAAATACCTTAAAATGTTTTAAAGACAGAGTTATGCTTTAAAATAATCCAATCAGCCGGGCGCGGTGGCTCATGCCTATAATCCCAGCACTTTGGGAGGCCGAGGCGGGCAGATCATGAAGTCAGGAGATCGAGACCATCCTGGCTAACACAGTGAAACCCCATCTCGTACCATGCCATATTACTGCATTTAACAGGTATGATGAAGCAACTGAACAGGCTATTTTTCCATTTCCATTGCATTTCAACAGAGCCCATTAAAAAGTAGTATAAATGGCCCTTAAATACTAATATATTTTAAAATGCTCAAACTATATCGGGGTCACCACTTTGTGCTTTAGCAGGCAAAATCCCAAAAGCCCACACACAAGGCTGGGAGACCAGCATCCCTATTGGTGGTGAGAGAAATCAAGATGTACAGGAGCAATCTGGTGACAACCAGCCCACACGAGGTCCATCCCCACCTGTGCATGTGCACAGGCACACACGCGTGCACACATGGAGGACACGTGTTCCAGGCCAGGCCTTGCAGTACTATTTGTGTTTTCTGTTGTTGTTGTTTGAGATGGAGTTTCACTCTTGTTGCCCAGCCTGGAGTGCAGTGGCGCGATCTCGGCTCACTGCAACCTCTGCCTCCCAGGTTCAAGCGATTCTCCTGCCTCAGCCTCCCAAGTAGCTGGGATTACAGGCACCCGTCACCACGCCCCGCTAATTTTTGTATTTTTTAGTAGAGACGGGGTTTCTCCAAGTTGGCCAGGCTGATCTCAAACTCCCAACCTCAGGTGATCCACCCACCTCGACCTCCCAAAGTGCTGGGATTACAGGCGTGAGCCACTACACCCGACCCTCAGCACTATTTGTATAGCAACATTGTGGCAATAAGCCCAAGTGTCCACCAATAAGAGACTCACTAAAGAAAGATAGATAAAAGACACATCCACACACTGAAGACTAAGCTGATTTATAAAAACAAAGAGGGACACTCTGATAAGGTACTCCAGTATATATGGTTAGTTAAAAAAAAAAACAAAAAACAAGCAACACAAGTAATGAAGCATGCTACCACGAACGTACTCATGCCAGAGAACAAGGAGGTTACAGAGGAGACTGGAAAGTCAGAGGGAGCAGGTGGGAAAATGGGTGGAAGGGGTGGGCAGGGGAAGCGACAGTGTGTCTCTGCCTAGGTTTGATTTTTGAACCATGTGACTGTATTTTTTTTTTTTAATGACTGTAAAACAAAATAAATACTCTTTATACTAGAAATAAAATGTTAGAAAAATCTGGATTCAAAACTAGGATTACTGTTCTGCACTGGCAAAGTTCACTACCATTCCCAAAGGCAGTTTTCTCATTGACATAATGAGATACAACAGCGTGCATGAGGTCCTCAGCGGGCCTGCACCCTACAGGTGCTCCACACATGCAAATCACTACCATTACTATTACATAAGAGATATAATACATAATTATACTGTCACTACTATAACCAGCATGACATACTAAGACAGCCTGCGTTCAGAGTATGAAGAAGGCTGTGGAACCCCCTGCAGAAGGTGGGAGGGCCTGGGGCTGTGGATAAAGGGGAGCTCTCTGGGGCTGTGCCACCTGAACCTGGAACCCGGGCCCCCAGGTTGGGTCGCCAGGCCTGTGCGCCTCAGCTTGCTCATCACTCACTCTCAACACGGATAACACCTTCAACTGCAAACACGTTTAAAAACCACAGGCCAGCTCCCCCTACCAATACCAGAAAAAACAAGTCTCCACACGGGCCCAGGATGAGAACCTACAAGTGGTACTAGCTACAAAACACATGGAGAACACGGTTCTTGCACACACCTTATGAGACGTCGGAGAGCTACACAGAGGAGGCATCTACAGGGTGTAGCCAGACGGTCTAAATGGGCCATGACAACAACCGCCGTTTGTTGCAGATCAATGGCAAGCCTGTTGTCTTGTGGAAGGGTGAGGTACCTCAGGAAACTCTCACTGGGGCTCAGAGGACCAGACAAAAGCTAGAAAGGAAAAGTAAACAAAAATTCAGAAATGGTGGGAAAAACTAAAGTAACACAGTTTTTTACCCACGCTTTATATTTTGGTATTGACTCATTTGACCCATCAAATGACAATGTTGATGATACAGTTATACTATACGTCTATATATTTATGCAGCATATAAACTGTATAAATCTCTAAATCTGCTGTATACATGTACACAACATTGACTGTGCATGTATACATTTATGATACCATAGGTAAGTTGAATCCACACAGATTACTAACATGACCAAACCACTCTACAAGCCTAGGACCCCTGGAGAAAGGCAGAACCACCTCTGTGGGAACCCAGCACAGCATCTCAAGCTGGCCTTGAAATCTAAAACCAAAACCTTTATTTTAATCTAAATGTTGCCCACTCTGGAGAACACCTACTTTCATTTGCAAATTAAATCACAGTTCTAATTCTTCTAAAGGCAGAAGACCCCTATTATCATTAGTTTAAAGACTGCCAAATAATAGGCTGGGCATGGTGGCTCACATCTGTAATCCCAGCACTTTGGGAGGCCGAGGCAGGCAGATCACAAGGTTAGGACTTTGAGACCACCCTGGCCAACATGGTGAAACCTCATCTCTATTAAAAATATAAAACTGAGCTGGGCATGGTGGCGGGTACCTATAATCCCAGCTACTCGAGAGGCTCAGACAGGAGAATCATTCGAACTAGGGAGGCGGCAGTTGCAGTGAGCCGAGAACGTGCACTGCACTCCAGCCTGGGAAACAGGCAGAGACTCCGAAGACGGGAAGGGACGGGATGGGACGGGATAGGACAGGACGGGATGGGATAGGACGGGACGGGAAGGGAGAAAGAAAGCAATGTACCCGCAAAACAAACAAACAAACAAAAAAACAGTCTCGGGGACCTATGGGACTATAACAACTCCGGTCACTGAACTCACGAAGGGACAGGAGAAAGAAGGTGGGGCTGAAACTGTACTCTATGAAGTGATGGCTTACAAGTTCCCAAATTTGGCAAGAGACATAAATCTACAGATCTAAGGTAAGCAAACCCTAAACAGGATGAACCCAAAGAAATCCAAACTAAGACATATAATAATCAAACTCCAAAAAACAAAAGACAAAACATTTCAAAAGCACTAAACAAAAACAGTGCCTTAACTATCGTAGATTAACAAGTCAAATGACAGCGAATTTCTCATCAGAAACCATGGAGCCCAGCTGAAAGTACAAAATATTTTTCAAGCGATGAAAAGAACCATTAACCCAGAATTCTTATATCCAGCAAAAATGTCCTTCAGGAATGAAAAGGAAAGCAAAACATTCTCAGAGGAAGTGAAACAGAATTTGTCACCAGAAGACCCACACCAAAAGAAAGGCTAATGGAAGTTCTCTAAGCAGAATGGCAACCATCAAAGAAGAAAACCCTGGAACTTCTGGAAGGAGGAGATGACAAGCACACCAACGCATAAATACAATAGACTTTTCCCTCACCTCTTGACTTTGCTAAATTATGTCTGAAGGTTCAACCAAAAATTATAACATTGTCATATGTGGTTATCAATGTAAGTAAATGAAATATTTAAGGCAAGTATATTATGAACAGAAGAACATAAAGGAACATCAAGGGAGGTAGTTTCTATATCCCTGAAGCTGGTAAATGACAACATCAGGTAAAATCTGATAAGTGTTCATACATACACAGGCTGAGTGTCCCTTATAAAATGCTCAGGAGCACAAGTGTTCCAAATTTCAGATTTTTATCAGATTTAGGAATATCTGCATATAAATAATGAGATATTTTGGGGATAGGACCCAAGTCTAAATACATTCATTTATGTTTTATATATAACTTATACACAGAGCCTGAAGGTAATTTTATATAGCATGCTTAGTAATTTTGTGCATGAAACAAAGTTCATGCTAAGTACTTATGAATGGAATTTTCAATTTGGGGGCGTCATGCTGGAGTGCCATAAAGTTTCGAATTTTGGGGCATTTCAGATTTTGGATTTTGGGTTTACAGATGCTCAATCTGTATGTAATATATTACCTAGAAAAGCCACTAAAAAAGCTATACAAAAAGATACACTCTAAAACACTACAGATGAAATAGAATGCTAAAAATGGTCAAGTAAACCACAGAGAGCCAGGAAGAACCAAACCGAAAAAATGAAAAACAGAAGAAATAGAAAATGCAAAACAAAATGGCAGTGTTAAGCCTCAATTTATCAATGACATTAAATTAAATGTAAACAATCTAAATACATCAATTAAAAGACACTAGGAGAGTAGACTAGAGAACATGATCCAACTATATGTTGTCCATAAGAAAGTGACTTCAAACAGGCAAACTGAAAATAGAAGTATAGAAAAAAAAAGATCATGCAAACATTACTGAAAGGACAGCAGGAGTTGGCTATATTTATATCAAATAAAGTAAACTTCAGAACAAAGATAATTACCAGGAGGGCCGGGCACAGTGGCTCACGCCTGTACTCCTAGCACTTTGGGAGGCCAAGGTGGGTGGATCTCAGGAGTTTGAGACCAGCCTGGCCAATATGGCAAAACCCCATCTCTACTAAAAATACAAAAATTAGCTGGGTGTGATGGCAGAAGCCTATAATCCCAGCTTCTCAGGAGGCTGAGGCAGGAGAATCACTTGAACCTGGTAGGGTCGGAAGTTGCAGTGAGCTGAGATCATGCCACTTCACTCCTGCCTGGGCAAAAGGAGCGAAACTCCGTCTCAAAAAAAAAAAAAAGATAATTACCAGGAACCAACGGCAACATTACAAAATGAGAACTTGGTCAATCCACCATTAAGACACAGCAATTCGAAACGTGCAGACACCAAACAAACAAAAAAACAATGAATAGAACCGAAAGGAGAAAAAGACATTTATACTTTTATAGTTGGAGACCTCAAAATCTCTCTCTACAGCTGATAAAATTAGGAGACAGAAAAGCTGCCAGGATATAGAACGCAACATCACCATCCATCAACTAGAGCCAATCAAAATTTATAGAACACTCCAGCCAATAATAACAGAATACATAATCTTTTCAAGTATCCACAAAACAAATACTAAGTTAGAACATATTCTGAGGCATAAAACAAACCTAACAAATTTTTTGAAATTAAAATCACACAGCATATGTTCCCTCAAACAATGGGAACAAATCTGAAGTCAACAAGAGAACAATTACAGGAAAATTGCCTAACTCTCAGAAACTAAACAATAAACTTTTACATAACCCATGGATCAAAGAGAAAGTCTCAAGGGAAATTTTAAAATATATTGTGAACTGAGAGAAAATGCAAGTACAATACATCAAAATGTATGGGAAAGAGCTACAGTGGGTGACGAGAGACAAATTTACAGCACTAAATGAATGGTACATTAGAAACTTGGAAACAAATCAATAATATAAGTGCCCACGTTGACAACCTAAAAGAAAATTAAAAATAGCAAAATCAACCCAAAAGTAAGCAGAAAGGAAGAAATAATTAAGGTAAGAGTAGAAACAAAGTGAAAACAGAAAAACAATAAACAGTAAAGCAAAAAGCTGGTTCTTTGAAAAGATCAATAAAACTGACACACCTCTCTAAGCAAGACTGAAAAAAAAAAAAAAGACATAAATTACCCAACATTAGTGATGAAACAGGCTCTAAAGATATGAAAAAAGATAATTAGGAATTACTAGGAACAACTCTACACACATAACTTTGACAACTTGGGCAAAATAGACTTATTCCTCAAATAATGCAAATTACCACAACTCACCAAATATAAAATAGATCATTTGAATAGCTCTACCACTATCAAGAAAACTGAATTCATAATTCAAAGAATCCCAAAAAAAAAAAGAAATTACCAGATCCAAATGAACTCACTGGATAATTCCATCAAACATTAAAAAAGAATTAACACAGACTCAAAACAATCTCTTCTGGAAACTAGAAAAGGAAAAACTTCCCAATTCATATTAAGAAGCTAATATTAGAGCTAATATT
The DNA here is from genome assembly GCF_000001405.40 of Homo sapiens. Taxonomy (NCBI): domain Eukaryota; kingdom Metazoa; phylum Chordata; class Mammalia; order Primates; family Hominidae; genus Homo; species Homo sapiens. Next base: position 712,137 of record NW_021160017.1, read on the forward strand.
AGCATTTTAAGAAGCTAATATTAGAGCTAATATTAGCATTTTAAGAAGCTAATATTAGGTACCGTACCTAAAGACAGTACAAACTACAGAACAATATACCTTAATATATATATAGACACAAAAATATTCAGTGAATTATTAGCAAGTAGAAGTAAACAATATATAAAAAGAATTCCACATCATCGCCAAGTAGTTTCATTCCAGGAATGCAAAGCTGGTTCAACAGTCAAATATCAATGTAACCCACCCTATTAATAGACTAAAGAACAAAAATCACATAATTACATATCAATTGATTTAGAAAAAGCAAATGACAAAATTCAATACTCGTGAATGATAAAAATTCTCAGAAAATAGCAACAAATGGGAACTTCATCATCTTGATAAACAGCATTTACAACACCTTAAGCTAAAACCTATGCCAACAAGAATGTCAGAAAGGGTCCTCCCAGACCTATTTATACAGCAGAGAGAATCATTAAGAATGATTTAGATAGTTACTAAGAGTTTACTCTCCTAAGAGATTACAACACCCAATGGCCAGCAAGCCCTTTTCATTAGACAAAAAGAAAAGCTGTGATCTGTCAACACTCTCAGAAGGTTCACTGTGAAATGTGCACTTCTGAACTCCTGCTGAGGGCCTACACGCTGCAATGTTGAGAAGCAAGTGTCCAGAGGTCTCCTTGGAAACATTGCAAAAAAAATGTGAGGGACTGATGGATGAATAGAAGGATGAAAAGGTGGAGAGAACGGTGATAAAGCACGTGGGATGATGCCAGCGGCACAATCTTAGGTGGTGAATATGTGGGTGCGCGCTGTAAAATTCTTTCAACTTTTCTGTATATATTTTTTTCATAATAAAATGTTGGAAAAAATAAACCTGTGAAAAAGGAAGCTTTAGTCAAACATATCTAAGCAAAAGACAAAACAAATTCTAAATTCCTATGGCTCAAATTAACGTGTTTTTCTTTTTAGGCTGAGATGGAAGAGTAAAAAAACAGAAAAAGAAATGAAAGGAATAGGAGCTATTCTAACAGCTACAAATTCCACCTGCAGTTTGATTAAAGATGGCGTGGCTCAAGAATATGCTTTGAATCCAAGTCCCTTCAAGGCTGCCAGGTACAGAGTCGGTTCTGCAAAAGCTCTGTACCTGTGAACAAGCAGAGCTTCCAAATAAACCGATTAAAGCTGCCCTGAGTCAATAAGCCGGGCTTTAATCTGAGCAAGAAAGGTACATTTTTAGTCTAGTTACCCACCCATAACTGTAGGTACTTTGATACCTAGGTGAGGGGAAACATGGAGAAAGGCAAAATAACAGATTTTTAAAATCACAACAAATCTTTATCAAACATTTGTGCCAGGCACTGACTTAAGAGCTTCAAATGCATTATTTCATGTCATTTGCACAGCAACTCTCTGAGTAAGTACTTTCACTTATTTTATATATAATTTTAATTATTTACATTATATTATACTTATTCCTTTTTTTTGTTTGTTTTTTTTGTTTTGAGATGGAGTCTCACCCTGTCACCCAGGCTAGAGTGGTGGTGCAATCTTGGCTCACTGCAAGCTCCACCTCCTGGGTTCATGCCATTCTCCTGCCTGAGCTTCCCGAGTAGCTGGGACTACAGGTGCCCACCACCACGCCCAGCTAATTTTTTTGTATCTTTAGTAGAGACAGGGTTTCACCACGTTAGCCAGGTTGGTCTCGATCTCCTGACCTCATGATCCGCCCGTCTCAGCCTCCCAAAGTGCTGAGATTACAGGCATGAGCCTCTGCACCCGGCCACTTATTCCTGTTTTATACATGAGAGGCCCAAGGTGAGACAAAGTGATTTGTGTAGAGTCAGAGATAAAGCCAAAATTGATACCCAGACAGACTGAAAAACTTCTCTGTCAGAAAATCTAGAAATGGTAAAGGGAGATCTTCAAACTGAAGGAACATGATAACACAAGGTAGCTGGGACAGAAACAAAACCTTAAGGGCCCATAATGGTAAAATGAAAGTTAACATAAAAAACTTTTTTTTGGCCAGCCATGGTGGCTCTTTGGGAGGCCGAGGTGGGTGGATCACCTGAGGTCAGGAGTTCGAAACCAGCCTGACCAACATGACGAAACCATGTCTCTACTCAAAAATACAAAATTAGCCAGGTGTGGTGGCGTATGCCTGTAATCCCAGCTACTCGGGAGGCTGAGCCAGAATCGTTTGAACCCAGGAGGCAGAGGCTGCAGTGAGCCAAGATCATGCCATTGCACTCCATCCTGGCAGCCTGGGCAACAAGACCAAAACTCCGCCTCAAAAAAAAAAAAAAAAGAGGCCAGGTGTGGTGGCTCACACCTATAATCCTATAATCCCAGCACTTAAGGGTGGCTGAGGCACGTGGATCACCTAAGGTCAGGAGTTCGAGGCGAACCTGGCAAACATAGTGAAACCCTGTCTCTACTAAAAATACAAAAACGTTAGCCAGGCACGGTGGTGTGTGTCTGTAATCCCAGCTACTAGGGAGGCTGAGGCAGGAGACTCGCTTGAACCTGGGTGGCGGAGGTTGCAGTGAGCTGAGATTGTGCCATTACACTCCAGTCTGGGCAACAACAGCAAAACTCCGTCTCAAAAAAAAAAAAGACTTTTTTTTCTCTTTTCAAATTTGAGGGGAAAAAATGTAATTGCCTATTTAAAGCAAAAACAAAAACATCATATTGTGGGGTTTATACCATGTTTCACTTGGACATGACACAGCAACACTACCAACCAAGAACATGTCAGAAGCAGGAAGCTACAGTCAGAGCACTGCCCCGCGGCTCAGGCAGTGTAATACCATTTGAGAGTGGGCAGTGACAAGTGAAAGATGTAACTGAAAACGCCAGAGATGATAGATTTAAACCCAAGTAGTCTAAAGATTCCAAATAAAAAACAGAGGTTGTCAGGGTGAATAAAGAAGCAAGACCTAATTAAATGATACCTGAAAGAAATCTACTTTACACATACACAAAGTTTGAAAGTGAAAAAAGCTAAACCTGGCAAACACACCACGCAAACACCAAATCAGAAGAAAGGAGAGTAGTCAGACCAAGGTGACTTCACAACAAAGAATGTCACCGGAGATTAAGGGGGTCAAATTTATGAATATGGCGTAAAAATCCTAAAAGTGCATGCACCTTATAACATTCTCAAATACATGAAGCAAAACCTGCAGAGCTGAAAGAAAATAATCCATAATTAGCATGAGAGATTTCAATTCTCCTCAGAAGAAAGAGGAACTAAGCAGTGAAATTGCTCTTCATGCCTCCCCAGCACAATGGAGATACTCCTGGGAAATAAAGCCAGTCACTGGGGCTGATCTCCCAGAACACTGAGACTGGCTTCTCTGTAAATAAATGACTGGTATTTGCTAGGAGAAGTGTCCTTATCTATGAAATGTTTTTAGCAAGATGTGGTTAGTTTAGGATTGTGTTTGGTAAACATACCTAAAATCCATGGACTTATGGGACATGGCTCCCTGGAAAAGGTTCCCTAAGGTGTATAAACTATCTGACTACAAAACGGGAACACTGCACATCCTTAATGCTCCTTGTGCAGTGAGATGACGACACACCTCAGTGAGAGGACCACACGCCTCAGTGAGAGGTCTCATCTCGCAGGCCGGGCTCAAAGAGGATGGACCTGCGGGGGTTGCACAGACTCTCCCACATCTCTCCCCACTTTGCCTGAGCACACAAGTGAGGATATTACTTGTATCTTTAAAGTTACTAAGTAATCAGCTACGGGTAACATCTCTGAGATTCATGTCAAACTAATGTGGTAAGCCAACCTTGTGTGTTAGTTCAACTCCTCTCCTAACAGTGACTAGAACAAGCAGGCAGAAAACTATTTCAAGTCAAGGATACCTGAACACTATCAACTTGATCTCACTAAGCTTTACAGAGCAGCAAAATACACTTTTTTTTTTTTTTTGAGATGTAGTCTTGCTTTGTCACCCAGACTAAAGTGCAGGGGTGCAATCGAGATTACAGGCACCCACCACCACACCCAGCTAATTTTTGTATGTTTCGTAGAGACAGGGTTTCACTATGTTGGCCAGGCTGGTCTCGAACTCCTGACCTCAAGTAATCCACCCACCTCAGCCTCCCAAAGTGTTGAGATTACAGGCAGGAGCCACTGCACCCAGCCACATTCTTATTACATGTGCATGAAACATTCCACAGAATGCACCATATTCTGGGGCTTCAGACAAGCCTCAGCATTGAAATCACAGAATATGTTCTCTGACTACAACTAATTTAGAAATTGTTAACAGGAGATATTTGAAAATCCCCAAATATTTGGAAATGAAATAACACATTTCCAAATAATAAGTGAGTAAAAGAAGAAATTAAAAGGGAAATTAGAAAATATTTTCAACTGAATGAAGATGAAAATGAATAAACATTTCCAAATTTGTGAAATGTGGCTAAACAATGCTTAGAGGGAAATTTATATTATAGTTTTGAACACTTGTTAGAAAAGACAAAAAATCTGAAGTCAATGATCTAAGCCTTTACCTTAAGAAACTAGAAGAGACAGAAGAACAAATGGAACCCAAAGCCAGCAGAAAAAAGGAAATAATAAAGAGTAAAGCAGAAATCAATGAAAAAGAAAACAAACAAAATCAATAAAACCAACAACTGGTTCTTTGAAAAAACTCAAACTGATGACTTCTAGAAAGACTGATCAAAATCGAAAGAGAGAAAATACAAGGCACATTTCAGCAAATTTCTGGATAACAGGTAGTATATGCTGGTACTTACTACATGCAAAATAATAGCATACGCACTTTGTCTGGCCTACTGTACTGATCCCATAATAACCTATGAGGTAGGTACTACTACTAACCCCAAATACGAATTTTTTTTTAAGAGACAGGGTCTCACCCTGTCACCCAGGCTGGAGTGTAGAGGCACAATCATAGATCACTGCAGCTTCAAACTGATGGCCTCAAGCAATTCTCTCACCTCAGCGTCCCAAAGTGCTGGGATTACAGGCGTGAGCTACCATGCATGGTGTCACTAATTATTTTTATATATGTACATTTACATATGTATGTCCATGCCAGGAAAGAAAAGCCTGAATATCCACTCTGAAGGGATAATAGTGGCTAACTCTTAGAGGAAAACTGAAATTGGGGTGGGCAGCCAGGTGAAATTTCTGCTTTTATAATCGATACATTTTTATAAGAAAACATTTATTTGATGTATATTTTTAATTGGAACGAAAATGCATCAGACATTTTAAAAAATTCAATTACACACAAAAAAGTAAGCAAAGAATAAATATATGGGTTTTACTGGGTTGGAGAAAGGGAAGAGATTATGAAAGTCCATCCATGATAAGGAACTCCTATAACCCAAAACAAAAAACTCAATTAAAAAATGGAATTAGCTGGGTGTGGTGGTGCCCGCCTGTAGTCCCAGCTACTCGGGAGGCTGAGGCAGGAGAATGGCGTGAACCCGGAAGGTGGAGGTTGCAGTAAGCCAAGATCATGCCACTGTACTCCAGCCTGGGTGACAGAACAAGACTCTGTCTCTAAAAAAAAAAAAAAAAAAAAAAGAAAGGGCAAAAGGGCCAGGCACAGTGGCTCATACCTGTAATACAGCACTTTAGGAGGCCAAGGTGGGTGGATCACCTGAAGTCAGGAGTTCAAGACCAGCCTGGCTAACATAGTGAAACTTCGTCTCTACTAAAAATACAAAAAATTAGCCAGGCACGGTGGCGGACACCTGTAATCCCAGCTACTCGGGAGGATGAGGCAGGAGAATCACTTGAACCTGGGAGGAGGAGGTTGCAATGAGCCAAGATTGCACCACTGCACTCCAGCGTGGGCAACAAGAGCCAAACTCCATCTCCCCAAAAAAAAAAAAAAAAACAAAAAACGGGCAAAGGATTTGAATAGACATTTCTCCAGTGAATGTATACAAATGGCCAATAAGCATGTAAAAAGATGCTCAGCATGACTAATCAACAGGGAAATACAAATCAAAACAATGAGATGCTGTACCTACTCACACAAATTAGGATGGTTATCATCAGAAAACAAAAAGTGTTGGTGAGGGTGTGGAGAAATTGGAACCTTAGTATACTGCTGCAAGAATGTAAAACAATGTAGCCACTGTGGAAAACAGTTTACTGCTTCCTCAAAAAGTTACACATAGTGCCAGGTGCGATGGCTCACATCTGAAATCTCAGCAACTCAGGAGTCTGAGGCAGGAAGATCCCGTGAAGCCAGGAGTATAAGACCGGCCTGGGCAACACAGTGAGATTCTGTCTCTAATTAGTCAAGCGTGATGGCTGGGCAACAATGTCAATATATTTAATGCCAATGAACTGTACACATAAAACTGGTTAAAACGGTAAGTTACATGGTATGTATATTTTACCACAATATTTAAATTTTTTAATTAGTTTTTAAAAAATTGTTACCAAAAAAATACTAAGAATCCATTCAAGTTATTTAGAAAGGGAGTGTCAGATCAACCTTTCCAAAGTGCCAAAATTCGCAAGATCACCTGGTTGCTTGCCCCATACCCAGCTGTCCAGAATTGACTTGGCCCTATATATAGGTGCAGGAGTTTCTTCTTCATCTTTTTTCTCTTTGTCATTCAGATCTTTCTTTGTCCCACTTGGTTCGACACTATCATCTGCAGAATTAAAAATTTTTTAATCTGTCACCGCTTTTCAGAATGTCATACCGTTAGCCTCTGCAAATGTCCCTCCCCGAAAAGTTACAACACACATGATTAACTGAATGCTTGACAACTTAAAAATAAAATACATCAATCATACCTGTAACAGATCCAGTATAATTTTCATAAAGAAACCAATATATTGGCCGGGCGTGGTGGCTCATGCCTGTAATCCCAGCACTTTGGGAAGCCATGGCGGGTGGATCAGGAGGTCAAGATATCGACACCATCCTGGCTAACACGGTGAAACCTCGTCTCTACTAAAAATACAAAAAATTAGCTGAGCATGATGGCAGGCGCCTGTATTCCCAGCTACTCGGGAGGCTGAGGCAGGAGAATGGTGTGAACCTGGGAGGCAGAGCTTGCAGTGTGCTGAGATCATGCCACTGCACTCCAGCCTGGGTGACAGAGCGAGACTCCATCTCAAAAAAAAAAAAAAGAAACCAATACAACAAATTATTTAAAGGATGTCTTCCAAAATGATATTCCATCTACTTCCTAGTACATTTCTTAACTGAGAAACTTAAGTCTTTCATATTTACCTACTTCAATTTCACACCAATTGCTTTTATCCAGTGAGTCTCAGTGCTTGTGTATCCATGGGAAAAGGGAGGGTGTAGAACAAGAGTATGATTCAAAAATCTTTTAACTCTTTACAAGGCCCTACTCCACTGCCAACTGGGAAGCACTGCTATGCAGGGGCACTGTCACTGCTGGCATAATTCAAGAGCACTGGGACACAAAGGAAAAGCTGAGAAAAATCACTTTAGGCCACTGACAATGTCAAGTTTCAGTCAAAAACAACTGTCATAAAACTCCTTACACAGTAAGCGAAGAGAAGAGAGAACTAACCTTAACCTTGAAGTGTAAACACACTCCATCACAGAAGGCTGTGACTAAATGTCTAACAACATAATTAGAAAAATGTATCTCAATCGGGGAAAGACATGATATCCCATCCAGATTACAAATAATGACTATCTAAAAATCTCGAAGGAAACAGTTCCTCTGTTTACAACACTTCTGACACCAAATGTATGGACTTTTGCACCAAGCAATTCTCCAGTTCTCTGCGACACCCAGCTTTGTGTCCCACAGTGCAATTCAATTCTGAAACTAACTACCTAGAATTAGCACAGACCCCACAGGTTAATAACAAGAGAGAAAAGGTGAATGCTGAAAAAAATATCCAAAGAACTAATGGCTGAAAACTTCCTAGGTTCAGCAAATGACATAAACCCAGGCAGACTGAAGAATCTGCACAAAGCCCACACAAGATAAATCCAAAGGAAGCCATGACGAGGCACATCATAATCAACTGCTAAACACTAAGGACAAAACCTTTTGAAAAGTGCCACGGAAAGTAGATACAGAAGAATTTCTCGTGTGGCCTGAAATTAAGACTAAATATTACGTGCTGCCTTGACATTGGTAAAATCAAGAAGGCCTCAAATAGCCTAACCACAAGGTCTCCCCTGAGCTCTGCTCTCACGGATAAGATCCCAAAGCCAAACAACCTCCTTATCGCGGAAACCCGACCCCAGCCTGCTCATCCCTGCCGGCCCAGAGTTATTCAAACAAGCCAGTCACATCTTCCCATGGAAGCAAGGTCATCTCACCCTCCTGTTACTACAAAATGTGCCTCCCACAGCCCCTCGTGGTTCGCTCTGTTCCCAAGTGCAGCCCCCGTGTGGCATGCGGTGTCCCCCACCCCAGGGCTGTGAGCATGCGTGACTAATAAACTGCTATTTCATCTGTCCAGTGTCGGTGTCCTACGTTCAGCCATCCCATATCCCTAGGGCAGGAATCTTCTAGGGTTATAAACAGAACTTTAATCAACCTCTCCTTGGTTATTTTACTGGTTCCATGATACAGCTTTTTCTGTGCAAAAGATCTGAACAGAAACTCACAGAGGATACAAGAGTGGCAAAAAAGAACATGATATTCAGCATTGTTAGCCATTACAGAATTGCAAATTAAAACCACAATGAGATCCCACTAGACTTGTTAGAATGGCTCAACTAAAAATCACTGATAACACCAAGTGCTAACAAAGACACAGAGCAACAGAAACGTGACAGATTGTCAGCGGGAATGCAAACTAAAACAGCCTCCAGTTTACCAAGGTAGACACCTCGAGTCACAGAATACAGAGTAGAACCCAGCCAGGAACACGGCTCAGGTGAGAACACAGGTGCTGGCTCTGAATGCCAGACTCTGCCGTGTGTGTGTGTGTGTGTGTGTGTGTGTGTGGTCACTAACCACAGCCCACAGGACAAACCCAGCCCACAGCCTTTTTGTGTATGGTCTGAACACAGAGAAAGTATTTTAGTTTTGTTGTTCTTTTGAGATGGAGTCTTGGCTCACCACAACCTCTGCCTCCCAGGCTCAAGCGATTCTCCCAGGTTCAAGTGATTCTCATGCCTCAACCTCCGAGGAGCTGGGATTACAGGGGTGCATCACCATGCCCGGCTAATTTTTTGTTTTCAGTAGAGATGGGGTTTCACCATGTTGGCCAGGCTGGTCTCGAACTCCTGACCTCAGGTGATCCGCCTGCCTCAGCCTCCAAAAGTGCTGGGATTACAGGTGTGAGCCACCACACCCAGCCACCGTATTTTATAGTTTTTAATAATTGAAAAATAATCAAAAGAAAAACAGTATTTTGTGACTTGCAAACATTCTGTGGACTTCATCTTTTCGTGTCCATAAATAAAGTTTACAGAATGAACGTCCCCAGCCCGCTGACGTAGTATTGTCTGTGGCTACTCTGGCACTACAGCTGCAAGGTCCCATGGCTATGACAGAGACCATAGGGTCCATTGAGAGCTTAAAATATTTACTATCTGGCCCTTTACAGAAAGTAGGCCACCCCTACCCTACATCTGGCTATAAATTTTACAAATTTGACAAATTCTGAGACCCTGTCTCAGAAAATAAAATAAAATATTCATAGTCTTAATAATGGAAAACAAAAACATTTACTGAATGCCAAAACATCTCCCTAACAATCCCAATCAGTTGGGATCTACATAAAGAACAATTATGCTCTGCTTTCCAACCATGATTTTTAAAAGAACAAAAGACAAAAAAATTCATCAAATGTGGGCTGGGCATGGTGGCTCACACCTGTAAACCCAGCACTTTGGGAGGCCGAGGTGGGCAGATTATGAGGTCAGGAGTTCAAGACCAGCCTGACCAAGATGGTGAAACTCCGTCTTTACTAAAAATTCAACAATTAGCTGGGCATGGTGGAGGGCGCCTGTAATCCTAGCTGAGTACTCAGGAGGCTGAGGCAGAGAACTGCTTGAACCCGAGAGGAAGGGGTTGCAGTGAGCCAAAATCATGCCGCTGCACCCCAGCCTGAGCGACAGAACAAGACTCCCTCTCGAGAGGAAAAAACAAAAAAAATTCATCAAATGTAATGAATAAAACATATACTTTGGATTTTGCCATGTACTTAGCTTTTCTTAGAGCACCTTTTAGAACTATTGTTTCACAGAAAACACTTTGGGAAACGTTTTAATTTATAAACAAATACTGGAGGGCTAGGAAGAAGAGGTTAAAACTTTTTAAAATATACAGAATGAATTACTGATACAGAAAAACAAAAAAAGGTTGCTGATTCCTGTCTTGGAAGACACTGTCATATGGACACTCTTAGCCTCAGCATCCAGAGGTCCAGAAAGGGAAAATTTCAAGTCAGAGAGAATTCTATATATACCACTTACTTGGAACATTCAGCCCTCAAAATCCCAACATCATGACCTCAGTTTCAACACAATTGTCCTTCGTCCTTATGTCACTGCTTTTGGTGCTGCCTGCTGTCAAGGCAGTGGAAGCCAGTGATGCAACTGCTCTCTCGTTAAAAGGTGTGGTTCTCAGTATTACAGGTGTTTGTACTTGCTTGCGGGTATACGCACGAAAGATAAAAATGAACAGATGTGACTTTGAAGGGCCTAATGAATGAAACCTCACCCTGAAAACCTTTGTGCTACTGAAACTAAATGTAAGCTTTGGTGTCTGAAAGTTTCCAAGAATTAGTAAGTAGGAGAGTTTTACTTTCTGAGTTGATTCCATGAAATGGGAACAAATTGGTACATAAATGGATTTTGCCCAGAATCCTAGGAAATCGCCACTGTTCAGTCGTAATCACTGCCTCCTAAATCACTGAGTCTGTTCTCTGTATTTTTATTAGACTTTTGTCATCTCCCAAATTCAGATATCCAATAGTCAGCCAAAAAGGGAAACTTTTATCTCTGGAAAGAAAAAAAATCATTTAGAAAAATGTATTCAGTGTATCTAATACTGAAATGGAGAAAAGACTTAATGTTAAAGAAAAAAAAAAACACTATAGACATTGACATGGAAAAGAGATTTAATGTTAATAAAAACTTCATATTAACTGAGTAACACCTCCTGATGAGAAGTGCTATATTAAATATAAACCCATTATGTTGTTTAAAAAAAAAAAAACATGAAAATCAAAAGCACTAAACAGAGTGAAAGAAGCCAAGACACAGAAGAACCCGACTACATGATTCCATGTATGGAGTTCTAGAACAGGCGCAATTTGTCAATGCTGGAGAAACATCAGGCCAGCTATTGCCTCTGGGAAGAAGGGGCAGGACACCAGAGAACTTTCTGAGCAAGAGTCATGATAAAGATGTGGGTTACACGGGTTACATTTGTCAAAACTTGTGAAATGGTAAACTCAAAATAGATACATTTCATTATATATAAATTTTACCTGAAAGTCAAAAACAAAGTTGAACTAGAATCAATTACATACATGAGTGTCTAAGGAGCTAGGTGAGACAAACGGTGGATGGACAGACAGCAGGATGTGGAGCCAAATACGGTGGTAGAACATGGAGGTGGGTCTGCAGCCACTCACTGTACACGTCTGTCAGTTATTGTGTGTGTGTGTGTGTGTGAATATTTTCAAACAAATATAAAAAATAAATTAAAATAAAAACACAGGTAACTCTGCTTGACACTGAAACTGAAGAGGGAGACTAATACTTTTTCCCATGGTTTGTTTTGTGTTTTTTGTTTTTTTTTTTTTTTGAGATGGAGTCTCACTCTGTCACTCAGGCTGGAGTGCAGTAGCACAATATCTGCTCACTGCAACCTCCACCTCCCGGCTCCAAGCAATTCTCCTGCCGTGCCCTCCCAAGTAGCTGGGATTACAGGCGCCCGCCACTATGCCTGGCTAATTTTTGTATTTTTTAGTAGAGACGGGGTTTCACCATGTTGGCCAGGCTGGTCTCAAACTCCCAACCTCAAATGATCTGCCCGCCTCAGCCTCCCAAAGTGCTGGAATTACAGGCACGATCCACCGCGCCCGGTCCCCAAGTATTTTCAAGTGGACACCATCCCAATTCATTCCACAAAAGAAGAATAAATACTTGCCAGGCACGGTGGCTCACGCCTATAATCCCAGCACTTTGGGAGGCTGAGGCGGGCGGATCACGAGGTCAGGAGATTGAGACCATCCTGGCTAACACGGTGAAACCCTGTCTCTACTAAAAAATACAAAAAATTAGCCAGGCGTGGTGGTGGACACCTGCAGTCCCAGCTACTTGGGAGGCTGAGGCAGGAGAATGGCATGAACCCAGGAGGTGGAGCTTGCAGTGAGCTGAGATCGCGCCACTGCACTCCGGCCTCAGCGACAGAGCAAGACTCCTTCCCAAAAAAAAAAAAAAGAAGAAGAAATACTTTCTTCAGACTAATGCTCTCCCAACTGAGCTATTTCAACTTAGAATAAATACTTTCTAAAGTGGTAGCTTTATCCACGTTGATGACTCTCAAGCAGGGGGACCAACGAACTTCAACAGTGGTTCTCAACCAAGGATCTTTTCAGATTCAACAAGTTTAGGGTGTATACAAGCATCCATTTTTTTAAACCTCAATGGGGACTCTGAAACACAGCCACTGTTATGAACAACCTAATGATAGTCCTATTGAGCATGCAAAACTACAACGCTAAATAAGATTGTTCAATGGCATTTCCTTGCAGGCCAAAGGCTTCCAATAAGTGTTTAATACACCCCCAAAGAACACCACAAATGCAGCAAGACGGTTTTGCAATAAAAATGCCTTCAATTCACGTAAAACAATAAAATCCGGGCAGCTTGTATTAACTACCATTTTAGACAACAATCTCCAAAGTAAAAAGCAAAACTTCAAAGAGTTAAGCTCAAAGCTCCTGTTCCTATAGCACATTACAAAATTTCTATAAAATGCATTTTATAATGGTCTTTACCAAATAAAAAACACTAGTTAAAGGCCCTTACCTTTTCCAGGAGGGAGCTATCCGTTCTGGGTTGATTCTGTTCCAGTGTATACAATTTCTCCATCTTTAACCATTTCATTCCACAGACCACAGAGCCCATCTCTTGTGAATGCAAGCTGGCAATGATAAACGAGATAAGCTCACACTCACACTGCAATTTTTAAAGAATGATATGGGAAAAAATCTCAATCCCCCTTATGTATTCGATCATTCGGTAATAAAATCAATGATTTACTGAATTAGTGACTTAATCATTTTACATTTCATGAAAGTCATCCAAGAAATATAAATGAAAAGGTGCATAATAGTATAAATACTATTCTACCTCTTATGTAACATACAAGAAAAATGACACGTGGTCGGGCGAGGTGGCTCATGCTTGTCATCCCAGCACTTTGGGAGGCCGAGCGGGGCACATCACGGGGGATCAGGAATTTGAGACCAGCCTGGCCAACACGGTGAAACGCCGTCTCAACTAAAAATACAAAAAATTAGCCAGGCGTGGTGGCGGGCGCCTATAATCCCAGCTACTCACGAAGCCGAGGCAAGAGAATTGCTTGAACCCAGGAGGCAGAGGTTGCAGTGAGCCAAGATCGCGCCACAGCACTCAGCCTGAGTTGATAAGAGCGAGACTCGGTGTTAAAAAAAAAAAAAAAAGAAAAAAAAAAAAAGAAAAAAGAAAAAAAAGACACACACACAAACACACACACGTGCATATGCTCTGAAAAGATAAACCGAAAGCAAGTACCAATGACTACCTACGGGGAAATGGGGAGGGGACATGGACAAAGGCAGCAGGACCAGAAAAAGCAACAACATTGTGAGTATACTTTAGATGTCTTTACTTCTGAAACATACATGACTTTCATCCTCAAAAATTAAAATTAAATCATAAAAAAGCAAAACCTACAACTGGCAACAAGCAAATTAACCCATGCATATACAAAGAAAAGTATGTCAAGGGACTTTTGAACTACATATCATTAATAGAATATACTATAATGAAAAATAAAATATTTATCGGTATTGATAACACTCTCACAATTTTAGAACTACTTCATGTTGCACAATAAAGCAGTGTAAATACAATAAAACATGTTTATGATAAAGTATTAAATGTTCTTAGAAATTAAGGTTTTAGGCCGGCCATGGTGGCTCACACCCGTAATCCCAGCATTTGGCAGGCCAAGGCAGGTAAATCACTTGAGATCAGGAGTTCATGACCAGCCTGGCCAACATGGTGAAACCCCATCTCTACTAAAAATATGAAAAATTAGCCGGGTGTGCTGGTGCATGCCTGTAATCCCAGTCACTCGGGAGGCTGAAGCAGAAGACTAGCATGAACCCAGGAGGCAGAGGTTTCAGTGAGCCGAGATTATGTCACTGTGCTCCAGCCTGGGTAAACAGAACGAGACTCCATCTCAAAAAAAAAAAAAAAAAAAAAAAAAAAAAAAAAAAAAAATTAAGGTTTTCAGTGGAAAGGAGGAAAAAAAATCAAAGAAATTTTGAAAAACAACTTAAATTGGAAATCTATGAACTTTATTTTTGAATATATTTGCTTACTCTGTTTTTTAAAGGACTAGAATCAAAGGCAATCTGACAGCAGCACCCAGATTTTGGTCTCTTAGAACCATTTCCCGATAAAAGACGCTAGGGCTCTTGGGAAAATAAGTAGATTCAAGGGCCAGGGCAGACAAAGATGAGCCTGTTTCCTCAAAGAAAAAGCTGTTTCCTCAAACATGGCCAGGTGCGGTGGCTCACGCCTATAATCCTAGCATTTTGGGAGGCTGAGGCGGGCAGATCACTTGAGGTCAGGAGTTCGAGACCAGCCTAGCCAACATGCCGAAACCCCATCTCTTCTAAAAATACAAAAATTAGCTGGGCATGGTGGCAGGCACCCATAATCCCAGCTACTTGGGAGGCTGAGGCAGGAGAATAGCCTGAACCCAGGAGGCGGAGGTTACAGTGGGCCAAGACTGTGCCACTGCACTCCAGCCTGGGTGACAGAGCAAGACTTTATCTCAAAAAAAAAAAAAAAAAAAAAAAAAAAAAGCAGCTGTTCAAAGACGATAGGGACTCCTGGCCAAATTTATAATAATTATAATAACTGTGAGCATCAAAATAAAAAACGCCTTTGCTTGTCAACATTTGTGAGTCAGAAAAGGCTTCCCAGAACAGGAAAAGGGAGCATTTCAGACACTGGGGGAAGGCATCCATTCTGAAAACTGCGTATGTGACAGAAGCTCCCTTGTCTGGCAAAACAAAAGCCATTTTTAATTAAAAGAGACAGATGTTTGCCCATCTTTTTTTTTTTTAACTTCTGTGGATACACACTAGTTGTATGTATATATATATGGGTTATATATTCTATCTAACTCTTTTTTTTTTTGGAGACGGATCTCGTTCTGGCACTAAGCTGGAGTGCAGTTGTGCGATCTCAGCTCACTGCAACCTTTGCCTTCTGGGTTCAAGGGTTTCTCCTGCCTCAGCCTCCCGAGTAGCTGGGACTACAGGCTCACACCACCACACCCAGCTAATTTTTGTATTTTTGGTAGAGATGGGGTTTCACCGTGTTGGCCAGGATGGTCTGGGTCTCTTGACCTCATGATCCACCTGCCTTGGCCTCCCAAAGAGCTGGGATTACAGGCGTAAGCCACTGTGCCCAGCCCTATCTAACTCCATTTTTATACCCATTAACCATCCGCACTTCACCCCCACTTTATCCTTCCCAGTCTCTGATAACCATCATTCTACTCTATCTCCATGAGTTCAATTACTTTCATTTGCTTAGCACCTACAAATAAGTGAGAACATGCAAAGTTCGATTTTCTGGGTCTGGCTCATGACATTCTGTTCCTGACTTAACATAACGACCTCCAGTTCTATCCATGTTGTTGCAAACGGCAGTATCCCATTCTTTTTCATGGTTGAATAGTACTCCGTTGAGTATATATACCACATTTTCTTCATCCATTCATCTGCTGGGAACACTTAGGTTGCTTCCAAATCTTGGCTATTGAGAATAGTGCTGCAATAAACATGAGAGTGTACATATTTCTTCAACATACTGATATTCTTTCCTCTGGGTATATACCTACCAGTGGGATTGCTGAATCATATGATAGTCCTATTTTTAGTTTTTTGAGGAACCTCCAAGCTAATCTCCATAATGGCTGTGCTAATTTACATTCCCACCAACAGTGCACAAGGGTTCCCTTTTCTCTATATTCTTGCCAGCATTTGTTCTTGTCTTTTGGATATAAGCCATTTTAATTAGGGTGAGATAATATCTCATTATAGTTTTGATTTGCATGTCTCTGATGACCAACCATGTTGAGCACCTGTTCGTATTGCCTGTTTGTCATTTGTATATCTTCTTTTGAGAAATGTCTATTCAAATCTTTTGCCCATTCTTATTGGATTATTAGATTTTTTTCCTATAGAGTTGCTTAAGCTAATTATATATTCTGGTTATTAATCCTTTGTCAGATGGGTAGTTTGCAAATATTTTCTCCCATTCTGTGGGTTGTCTCTTCATTTTGTTGATTGTTTCCTTTGCTGTGCAGCTTTTTAACTCAATGTGATCCCACTTGTCCATTTTAGCTTTGGTTGCCTGTGTTTACGAACTATTACTCAAGAAATCATTACCCAGTGCAATGTCCTGGAGAGTCTCCCCAATGTTTTCTTTTAGCACTTTCATAGTCTGAAGTCTTAGGTTTAAGTCTTTACTCCATTTTGATGTGATTTTCGTATATGGTGAGAGATAGTGGTCTAGTTTCATTTTTCTGCATATGGGTGCCCCATTTTCCCAGCACCATTTATCAATGAGGCTATCCTTTCCCTCATGTATCCTCCGGGCACCTCTGTCAAAGGTGAGTTCACTGTAGATGTATAGATCTGTTTCTGGGTTCTCTATTCTGTTCCATTGGTCTAGGTGTCTGTTTTTATACCAGTACCATGCTGTTTTGGTATACCTTTCTAGTAAACTTTGCACTTGATCTAAGCCAAAAAAGACCAGGAAGTGACTGTAGTATAATTTTAAGTCAGGTAATGCAATTTCTCCAGTTTTGTTTTTTGCTCAGGATGGCTTTGGCTATTCTGTCTCTTGTGATTCCATACAAATTTCAGGATTTTTTTTTCTATTTCTGTGAAGAATGTCATTGGTATTTTGATAGGGATTACATTGAACCTGTAGATTGCTTTGGGTAGTACAGACATTTTAACAATATTGATTCTTCCAATCCATGAACACAGAGTATCTTTTCCTTTTCTGTGTGTCTTCTTCAATTTTCTGCATCAATGTTTTACAGTTTTCGTGGTAGAGATCTTTTCACTTCTTGGGTTAGGTTTATTCCTACGTATTTTACTTTATTTGTAGCTATTATAAATGGAATTATTTTTCTTGATTTATTTTTCATATTGTTCACTGTTGACATATAGAAATGCTACTGATTTGGCTGGGCAAAGTGGCTCATACCTGTAATCCCAGCACTTTGGGAGGCCGAGGCAGGCGGATCACCTGAGGTCAGGAGTTCGAGACCAGCCTGGCCAATGTGGTGAAACCCTGTCTCTACTAAAAATACAAAAATTAGCCAGGCCTGGTGGCAGGCGCCTGTAATCCCAGCTACTCAGGCGGCTAACACAGGCGGATCGCTTGAACCCAGGAGGCAGAGGTTGCAGTGAGCCGAGATTGTGCCATTGCTTTCCAGCCTGGGCCACAGAGTGAGACTCCATCTCAAAAAAAAAAAAAAAAAAAAAAAAGAGAGAGAGAGAGAAATGCTACTGATTTTTGTATGTTAATTTAGTATCCTGCAATTTTACTGAATTTATCAGTTCTAATCATTTTTTGGTGGAGTTTTTAGGTTTTTCCAAATATAACAATCATCTGCAAACAAGAGTAACTTGGCATCTTCATTTCCAATTTGGATGCCCTTTATTTCTTCTTCTTTTTTTTTTTTTCTGAGATGGAGTCTTGCTCCATAGCCCAGGCTGGAATATAGCGGCACAATCTCAGCTCACTGCAATCTCCACCTCTGGGGTTCAAGTGATTTCCCTGCCTCAGCCTCCCGAGTAGCTGGGACAACAGACACCCGCCACCACGCCTAGCTAATTTTTATATTTTTAGTAGAGATAGGGTATCACCATGTTGGCCAGGCTTCAAACTCCTGACCTCAAGTGATCCACTCACCTCAGCCTCCCAAAGTGCTGGGATTACAGGTGTGAGCCACTGCACCCGGCCTTTCTCTCTCTTATCTGACTCCTCTAGCAAGGGCTTCCATTATTATATTGAATAACAGTGGTGACAGTGGGCATCCGTGTCTTGTTCCAGATCTTAGAGGAAAGGCTTTCAGTTTTTCACCTTTCAGTATGATACTAGCTGTGTGTCAGTTGTATATGGCTTTTATTGCGTTGAGGTGTGTTCCTTCTATAACCAGTTTTTTGGGGTTTTTATCATGAAAGGATGTTGAATTTTATCAAATGCCTGTTCAGCATGAATTTAAATGATCATATGGTTTTTTATCCTTCATTCTATTGATATGATGTATCAAACTGATTGATTTGGATATGGTGAACCATCCTGGCATCCCTGGGATAAACCCCACTTTGGTCATGATGAACGACGTTTCTAATGTGTTGTTGAATTCGGTTTGCTGGTATTTTGTTGGGTATTTCTGCATCAATGTTCATCTGGGATACTGGCCTGTTTTGTTTTTTTGATTATGTCTTTGTCTGGTTTTGGTATCAGGGTAATATTGGCCTTCTACAATAAGTTTGGAAGTATTCCCTCCTCCTCTATTTTTCAGAATAGTTTCACTAGGATTGGTAATAGTTCTTCTTTAAATGTTTGGTAAAATTCAGCAGTGAAGTCACTGGGTCCTGGGGTTTTTCTTTGCTGGAAGACTTTTTATTATTACAGTTTCAATCTCATTACCTGTTATTGGTATGTTCAGGTTCTGGATTTCTTCATGGTTCAAACTTGGAAGGCTGTATGTGCCTGTGAAATTATCCATTTCTTTTTCCTTCTTTTTTTGAAGACACAGTCTCACTCTTTCACCCAGGGTGGAGTGCAGTAACATGATCTCAGCACACTGCAACCTCCCCCTCCCAGGGCTCAAGTGACTCTCGTGCCTCAGCCTTCCAAGTGGCTGGAATTACAGGCACGCAAAACCACACCTGGTTAATTTTTGTATTTTTAGTAGAGATGGAGTTTCACCATGTTGGCCAGACTGCTCTCAAACTCCTGACCTCAAGCGATCCACCCGCCTCAGCCTCCCAAGGTGCTGGGATTACAGGTATGAGCCACCACGCCCAGCCTGCAAACTTATCTATTTCTTCCATGTTTCCCAATTTATTGACATATAGCTGTTCATAGTCTCTAATGACCCTTTGAATTTCTGCAATATCAGTTGTAATGCCTACTTTTTCACCTCTGATTTGGGTCTTCTTTTTCTCTTAGCCTGCCTGAAAGCTTGTTAATTTATCTTTTAGAAAAACCAACTTTTCATTTCATTGATCTTTTGTATTATTTTCTTCATTTCAACTCCATTTTATTTCTGCTCTAATTTTTATTATTTCTGTCCTTAAAATTATGGGTTTGGTTAGCTCCTTCATTTCTAGTTCTTTAAGATGTATCATTAGGTTATTTATTTGAAGTTTTTCTACTTTTTTGATTTTCCTCTTAGTATTGCTTTCACTATATCCCACAGGTTTCGTATGCTGTGCTGCCATTGCCATTTGCTTCAAGAAATTGTTTAATTTCATTCTTAATTTCTTCACTGACCTGTTGGTCATTCAGGAGCATATTGTTTAATTCCCATGTGTTGGTGGAGTTTCCAAAATTCCTCGTTATTGATTTTTAGTTATAGTCCATTGTGATCAGAGAAGATACTTAACATAATTTTTTTAACTTTAATATGGCAAAAGAGGAATCTAGCTTCATTCTTCTGCATATGAATATCAAGTTTTCCCAACACCATTTATTGAAGAGATTGTCTTTTCCCCAGTGTTTGTTCTTGGTACCTTTGTCGAAAATGAGTTCACCGTAGATGTGCGGATTTGTTTCTGGATTCTCTATTCTGTTCCGTTGGTCTGTGTCTGTTTTATGCTAGTACTATGCTGTTTTGGTTACTATAGCTCTGTAGTATAATTTGAAGTCAGGTAATCTGATTCCTCCAGTTTGTTTCTTTTCAATTACGAGAGCTTCGGCTATTCTGGGTCTTTTGTGGTTCAACATGAATTTTAGGATTTTTTTTTTTTCTGTTTCTGTGAAGAATGTCATTGGTATTTTGCTAGGGATTGCACTCAATCGGTAGATTGCTTTGGGTAGTATGGACATTTTAACAATATTGATTCTTCCGATCCATGAAGATGAAATATTTTTCCATCTTTTGTGTCCTCTTTAATGTCTTTCATCAGGGTTTTAGAGTTTTCATTACAGAGATCTTTGTAATTATCTTCTTTGGTTACTTCCCAGGTACTTAATTTCATGTGTGGCTACTATAAATGGGATTAGTTTTCTAATTTTTTTCATATTGTTTACTGTTGGCACACAGAAATGCTACTGATTTTTGTATGTTGATTTCGTATACTGCAACTGTACTGAATTTATCAGCTCTAATCATTTTCTTGTGGAGTCTTTAGGTTTTTCCACATATAAGATCATATCATCTGCAAACAAGGATAATTTGACTTCTTCCTTTCCAATGTGGAGGCCTTTTATTTCTTTCTCTTGTCTGATTGCTCTAGCAAGAACTTCCAGTACTATGTTGAATAACGGTGGCCACACTGAGCATCCTTGTCATGTTCCAGATCTTAGAGGAAAGACTTTCAGTTTTTCACCATTCAGTATGATACTAGCTGTGGGTCTGTCATATACGGCTTTTATTATGTTGAGGTATGTTTCTTCCATAATCAGTTTTAAGAGATTTTATCATGAAAGGATGTTGAATTTTATCAAATGCCTTTTCAGCATCGACTGAAATAATCACATGGTTTTTATCCTTGACATGATGTGTCACATCGATTGATTTGCATATGTTGAACCATCCTTGTACCCCAGGGATAAACCCCACTTCATCACAATGAACGATCTTTCTAACGTATTGCTGAATTTGGTTTGCTAGTATTTTGTTGAGGATATTTGCATCAATATTCATCAGAGACATTGGCCTGTAGTATTCTTTCTTTGACGTGTCTTTGTCTGCTTTTAGTATCAAGGTTTCAATTTTTAATGACTTATTTTGTGGCCTAACATATGGTCTAACCTTGAGGACGATCCATGTGCTAAAGAGAACAATGTAAATTCTGCAGCCATCAGATGAAATGTTCGAGAAATATCTATTAAATCCATTTGGTCTACAGTGCAGATTAAGTTTGATGTTTCTTCGTTAATTTTGTCTGGATGATCTGATCTGTCCAATGCTGAAGTGGAGTGTTGAAGCCTCCATCTATTAATGTATTAACGCCTCTCTCTCTCTTTAGCTGTAATATTTGTTTTATGTATCTGGGTGCTCTAGTGTTGAGTGCATATATACATATATTTATAATAGTTATAGCCTCTTGCTGAATTGGCCCCTTTATCATTACATAATGACTTTTTTGGTCTCCTTTTATAGTTTTGGTCTTGAAATCTATTTGGTCTGATATAACCGCTATGCTCTTTTGTGATTTCCATTTGCCTCTCCCTTTTTCCATCCCTCTGCACCGTCCTGAAGAGATGGTCTCCAATCTGAAGAAGCAAGCAGCCAATGAACTGCCCGTGGGGAGGGGCAGCCTCCAAGAGCCCAGGGTTTCAGTCCCACAACCACAATGGATTCAATTCTACCAATGAGGACCTGAGCTCCAGATGACAGCGTGCCCTAGCCAACACCTTGACTACAGCCTGTGACACCTGAAGTAGAGGATAGAACTAAGCTATGGCCAGACTCCTGACCCACAGAAACTGTGAGAGTGTAAATGCTTGTTGTTACAAGCTGCCAAATTTGTGTTTGGTAACTTGTTCTGTAGCGACAGAAACCAAGCCAGCATCCTTCAGTTTTTGTAGAAGGAACAGCTTTCTCTCAGCACTGTTATTTTTTCTGTTCACATCACTAACAGGATAACTGCCATAAACATACTTGGAACCAAAACATATGACTTTTGGTAAAAATATCAGCTGGTGGGGGAGAGGTAAACTCCTTCCTAAAAAGTGAGCCCTGGCCAGGTAGAGTGACTCACATCTCTAATCCCAGCACCTTGGAAGACTGAGGCAAGAGAATCACTTGGGCCCAGGAGTTCAAAACCAATCTAAGCAACATAGCAAGACCCTGTCTCTACAAAAAAATTGTAAAATTAGCCAGAAAGCTGGGCATGGTGGCTCACACCTGTAATCCCAGCACTTGGGAGGCCACGGCAGGTGAATTGTTTGAGCTCAGGAGTACAAGACCAGCCTGAACAACATGGCAAAACCGCATTTCTACCAAAAATACAAAAAATTAGCCAGAGGTGGTGGCGCGCCTGTACTCCCAGCTACTTGGGAGGCTGAGGTGGGAGAACTGCTTGAGACCAGGAGGTAGAGGCTGCAGTGAGTTGAGATCACTCCACTGTACTCCAGCCTGGGCAATAGAGCAAGACCCTGTCAAAAAAAATTTTTAATTTAAATTTAAAAAATTAAAATAATATAAAAAATAAAATTAAAAAGTGAGCCAAAAACATTCAGGGCCCCTGAAGTTTAACGAGTGAATGGAAAGCTTTGACTCTTCTAGTCTTCAGTCAGAGGAGAGCAGTGAATACGTGCACTGGGGTTCAGTCCAAACCCTACCACAATGCACATGATAAGAGGCTAACAGTGGTCAGAACTCACAGCTCCATGTGGGCCGTGCTCCAGGAGTTTCAGACTATCTTTAGGCACTCAAGGGAATATGACATTTGACCCGTGTCTTAAAGTGTTTCAGAAAACAGAAACAGAGAAGGTGAACTAAGAAGCTATTACTGGCCAGGCACGGTGGCTGACGCCTGTAATCCCAGCACTTTGGGAGGCCGAAGCGGGTGGATCATGAAGTCAGGAGATAAAGACCATCCTGGCTAACACAGCGAAAACCCATCTCTACTAAAAATACAAAAAATTAGCCAGATGTGGTGGCACGCACCTATAGTCCCAGCTACTCGGGAGGCTGAGGCAAGGGAATTGCTTGAACCTGGGAGGCGGACGTTGCAGTGAGTGGAGATCGCACCACTGCACTCCAGCCTGGGTGACAGAGTGGGACTGCATCTCAAAAAAAAAAAAAAAAAAAAAAAAAGGCTATTACCAAGGGTCCAAAAAAGAAAGGATGACAGCAGAAGTCAACACAGGGAAGTACAGTCTTTAAGATTATTTCAGGCAGGGCACGGTGGCTCACATTTGTAATCCCAGCAGTCTGGGAGGCCGAGGTGGGCAGACTGCTTGAGCCCAGGAGTTCGAGACCAGCCAGAGCAACATGGTGAAACCCGGTCTCTACAAAAAATACAAAAATTAACCAGGCGTGGTGGTACGCACCTGTAGTCCCACTACTCAGGGGGCTGAGGTGGGAGGATCACCTGAGCCCGGGGAGGTTAAGGCTGCAGTGAGCCGTGACGGTGCCACTGCATTCCAGCCTGGGCAACAGAGTGAGACCCTGACTTAAAAAACAAAAAAAGAAACTATTTCAAATCACGTAAGTTAAATCAAATGTGAAAGGGAAAATAAGGGAGGGAACAGAAGAGGAATGAGAATTAGTTCCGTTTTAACCACTAAGATTTGCACTAACTACTGAACATAAACATGGAGCTCCTCCCCACTCCACCAACCCTCAGTAAATATAGATCCAGATCTTAGCAGAGTGTTCAGGGCTAGAGACTCAAATCTGGGAGTAGTCAACAAATGGACTGTAGGTGATGTCCTGGAGAAGATGCCAACACCCAAGCAGAGAGGGGAGACCCCTGCCCAGCCCTGAAAGCACTCTAAGATCGCCCCAGACTGGCTGGGCTCCACACATCAGTGTTCTGCGGTACAGCCTAGATTGAGAAACATTAGTGTTACAGAGGTACCATTTAAAAAAAAAAAAGCCAAAAGATGGAACATTTAAAGACTAAGCCAAGGAGGAAGCCCAGTTTACATGGAAACAAGAATAATTACCACCACCTTTCGATTATTACCTGGGTAGCACTGGGAAGGAAGAGGATAGGCCAGACCTTGTCCTTCTGAGTAACAAGGAATTCTTTTTTGGAAGGTAGACACTGGACTCCTGGAAGGACATGCACTGTGGAAGCCTCCTAGGAACTGATGACCCAAATAAATGGTAAGCACCATTCAAAAAACTATTTGGGCACCTTAAAGGTGGAACATTACTAAGGCAATAAAGCAAGCCTCACTGGAGGAGGTCTCCAGAGAGTTAGACTGTGAACAAGCAAAAGTGAAGCCCAGGAGAAGAGCTCTCCAGATCACAGACAGTACAGGATCCTGACTGAGGAAGCAGCAGCCTGGGAACAACTGGAAGACAGCCGTGGCACTGAGAAGAATGGAGACTACAGGCAGGGCGTGGTGGCCCACGCCGTAATCCCAGAGCTTTGGGAGGCCAAGACAGAAGAACTGCTTGAGGCCAAGAGTTCAAGATCAGCCTGGGCAACATGGTAAGACCATGTCTCTACAGAAATGTAAAAATTACCCAAGTGCATGGCACGTGCCTGTAATCCCAGCTACTCAGGAGGCTACAGCAGGACGGTCACCTGCACCCAGGAGTTTGAGGTTACAGTAAGCTCTGATCACACCACAGCATTCCAACCTGGGTGACAGAGACCCTATTCATTTAAAAAAAAAAAAAAAAAGAAAGAAAAAGAAAAAAATGAATGGGACTTTCCATTTGTAAAGTGAGAGTATTTATTTCTACAACTGTCTCCAATTAGCTTTTTATTAGTAGCTGACTTACCTAAACGTGCCCAGTAGCTTTTCAACTTTTGACTTTTTTGGTTCAGATCCCAGAAGCTTCTAATTAGGTTATTTGGGCTAAGAACTCTTTTCCAATCTTTTCCAATCTCACATTCCTATCTTACACCTCTGAAATGACATGGCAAGTAAAGGCACTTTCATCGTCAAAAGACCCCAGCAAAAGAGGCAGTAACAGGCTCACTTTTTGTAAGTTACTAAACTGAAGCTCAGAAGGCCAATGACTTGACCAAAGGCCACACAACACTGAGGCTGTGAGAGGCGGGATTTGGGAAGAGGCCCAACTCCAAGGCTTATTCGCTTCCCACCAACACCATAACATGCACCCACACCTGCAGCACGGCAGCCAGGGCAAGCCTTCACGCTCCCATACATAGGCCACCAATATTTTAATACCAATCAGGACTAGGCAAGCAAACAGTTAAGGCATTTTTTTTTTTTTTTTTTTTTTTTTTTGAGACAGAGTCTTGCTCTGTCGCCCAGGCTGGAGTGCAGTGGCGCCATCTTGGCTCCCCGGGTTCATGCCATTCTCCTGCCTCAGCCTCCCGAATAGCTGGGACTACAGGCGCACGCCACCACGCCCGGCTAATTTTTTGTGTATTTTTAGTAGAGACAGGGTTTCACCGTGTTAGCCTGGATGGTCTCGATCTCCTGACCTTGTGATCCACCCGCCTCGGCCTGGGATTACAGGCGGGAGCCACCGCACCCAGCCCGTTAAGGCATTTATTAAAGTGACTTCAGAACTATAGAGTCAGGCAATAAAATCCAAAACTGAATAATATAACAAATGAATATCTGATTAATGTATAGGTTAGAAAATGTTTCTTTTTCATGTCCTTACAATTTGACAGAAAAGTAATCTTCAAATATTTGCAGATGAGTAAAGGTATATGGCTTTTTTTCTTAAACCTACAGAAAAATACTAAACACCTACTGAACGTAGGACAACATATGAAAAAATGTTAAGAACAGGTTCCTAGAACAATTAGAAAGGTCAGACAGGAACATTAAGTACGTCGATTTGAAGACATCCTAGAAGCAGCAAGGGAGTGAGGTCTTCCTAAAGTCTAAGACCCACGAGAGGAGGAAAGAGGCCCAGAGAACCTAAGCACGCAGGGATGAGACTGAGAAGCAAAACGGAGCTTCTGAGAGACTCCCAGGGCCCTCATACAGGAGAAAGAGGCCTGGCAGATCCCATGCTCTGAGCTGGAACCTCAAAGGGCCACACACCAGAAATACAGGTGAGTTAGAAGTAGACCAGCCTTCACGGAAAACCAGCCCAGTTTCGCATTCTCTCAATTTCCAAAGGGACTGCAGTGACCTGGGATTGCCTAGAACATCCTCTCTGGAGGAAGATATTGTTACCTAGAGCCTCGATTTATTGCTACAATATTGCATATACAATATCTGAAAGTCAAGCAAATATAATAATGACAAAGATACAAGACCACATCATTGAAAAATGAAAAAAAAATAGAAGTCATTAGAACAGACCGAGTAGATCCTGAAAACAGAAACATAAAGACTTCTGTCATGAAAGAAGAGCCTGAGGAATGAACTGAAGTGTTGACACTCTGCTCAGCAGATGTCAGCTCGGGGCAATGGGGTGAGGGAAGTGGGAAAGCGAGACAAGGAGATCAATGAAGTAACGATATGCAGTATATGACTTCACAGTCAGCTAAGTGTGATTTTAGCCTACTCTGCCTATGTAGGAGCCATTCTTATTTCCTTTAATTTCCTAAAAAAAGAAAAATATATATTAAAAAAGAGTGATTTTATATTTTTCAATGGTTGCCACATAATCAAAAGAATCATATGTCAGCCAAGCACAGTGGCTCACACCTGTCATCTCAGACTTTGGGAGGCCAAGGCGGGCGGATCACGAGGTAAGGACTTCACGACCAGCCTGGCCAACATGATGAAACCCCATCTCTACTAAAAATACAAAAAAAAAAATTAGTGAGGCATGATGGTACACGCCTGTAATCCCAGCTACTCCAGAGTCTGAGGCAGAACAATTGCTTAAACCCAGGAGGTGGAGGTTGCAGTGAGCCAAGATCGCGCCACTGCACTCCAGCCTGGGCAACAGAGCAAGACTCCCTCTCAGAAAAAAAAAAAAAAAAAAAATCATATGTCAACAAATGAAAATTATATGACATTCAAATTCTGGTATCCACAAAGTTTTCCTGGAATATAGCCATACACATGTTTGGCAGCTTCTCGCAGGACAATGGCCAAGGTGAACTGTTCTAAAAGAGCACGTACGGCCCACGTAAACATTTACTATCTGGTGCTTTACAGAAAAAATGTGCTGACCCCTATGTTAGTGCCACCTCTTCTCAATGAGCTGCAAATACAACCAACTGTTCAGCCAGCACATTCACTAGGCATATGTGGCTTTTCCAGAAGGTTTGCAAGAAGAAACTACACCATAAAATAGTCCAAAGAGGAAAGAAAAAAGGGAGGAATAAAAACACTGAGTTCCCTCATCTCTCCTTGTAAAGTGGTGAACGTTCATACCACAAGGAATTCACACCCACACACACTCGCCACACCTTCCAGGCTGTGTCACTGGCTCCTTGGTAGGCAGTCAGGAAGCCATACTCCAACTCTCTTGCGTGACATCACAGCGGAGACTGGAGCTGAAGGGTGGCTCACAGGCATGAGTCAGCCAAGAGGGACAGAGAGAGGCGGCTAAGGAATCTATGGGGTCGGACAAGGTTTATAAACACACTTTTAAAATAACTACCTTTAATAGAGTCAAGCAATTAAAAGATCCTATTAACAGCCGGGCACGGTTCATGCTTGTAATCCCAGCACTTTGGGAGGCCAAGGCAGGCGGATCACGAGGTCACGAGTTCAAGACCAGCCTGGCCAATCTGGTGAAACCCCGTCTCTATTAAAAATACAAAAATTAGCCAGGTGTGGTGGCGGGCACCTGCAGTCCCAGCTACTCGGGAGGCTGAGGCAGGAGAATCACTTGAACCCAGGAGATGGAGGTTGCAGTGAGCCGAGATTGTGCCACTGCACTACAGCCTGAGCGACAGAGCGAGACTCCTTGTCAAAAAAAAAAAAAAAAAAGATCACATTAACAATTTCAACACAGAAGTTGAAACTAGAAAAAAGTACCTAAAGTGGCAGTTAAAGAAACTGTCAAACATTTCAAACTAAACATTTTAAAGGGATGTGTTTAATATAATTATACCTCAATAAAGTTGATATGTTTAAAAAATGGAAATTCTGGAATAGAAAAATATAATAGTAAAATTTAAAACTCAATGGATTTGATTAAAAACAGATTGGGAAGGCCTGTGCTTCCTCCACCTATAAAGGATGAATTCTGTAGAAATCACTTCCTTGCTATAATCAACTAGAAAACCAGACAGAATATACCGAAAAGCTGTTACCAAAAACTGGACAACAGACAGCCCAGAGCTGGGATCCCTGAGAGAAGGGAAACACTGCCCAGAAGCAGCTTCCAGGCTGCAGCACAGGAAAGGGGAACCCAAATAGAGCCCAAAGAACTTGCTGAGCTCAGGAGACAGATCAGCTATACGTAGGCCAAATGACAAGAATACAGCAAGCTCCAGAGATGAGTGGAGGGGCCCCTTGAGTATCTGTCTGAGTACTACTCTGAGCATAGGTTAAGAAAACTATGGAATACTGGGGAAAGCAGCACTAGAAAGTAATAAGCAGCATTGCCATGATGCACAGTCTGGGAAAAGCCTGTGTTTCCACAAACAAGGACAGAAAGATCTTCTCATACACCAAGCATCAGGTGGAGTCCTGAGAACAGTATTGCCTTCGTTGTATGGATAAATGAGCCCAAGAGTAAAGCCTGTGTGGATCAGCCTAACAAACCTCAGAATCAAGCTTTGAAAAGATCAAACTGACCCCATGTAACTTACATGTATGGCAGAAGAAAACTAAGGCTCTTTAAAAAAATAAAACAAAATCCTGCACAGAAGATAAAATTAATGCCTAGCATTCAATCAAAAATTAGCAGGCATACAACCATGCCCCCATAACTAGGGCAATCAATCAATAGAAATGACAGAATCAATCAACAGAGATGGATCTAGAAGTGATCAGAGATTACAGAATTCACAGACAAGGACATTAAAAGCTCTCTTACAGAAATGCTCCCTATACTAATAGAAGGAAAGCATGAATGTTATAAGAAGTGAAACAGAAGATATAAAAAGGACTCAAATGGAATCTCTAGAAATGAAAATACAAAATGGATGGATGAGATTAACAGAACTGCATAACAGTTACAACCATAATCTACAATGTCTAAGCACATGGCTATGCCATGCTCTCTCCCTTAACACTCATGCAGTCTAGGTTTAACAAATAACTGTTTCATGCCCATCATCAGTTGCAGGTTGATCTACAGTCATCCAGTTGTCTAAAGATCTTTCTCCACTCCATTCCTAAGGAAGGGCTCATGAGAACAATACTTCCTAAGTTACAGCTCACTGAGAAGTTTGTGTGTTTTTCATCTGAAAAGTCGGTTTTGCTGGAACAAAAAATGCTTTACTCACATTTTCTTTTCTTGAGTGCCTTAAACAGGATACTCAATTTCTTCTTCATAAAGAATTGTCATCTGCTGGGCTCAGTGGCTCACTGCTGTAATCCCACCACTCTGGGAGGCCAAGGCAGGTGGACTGCCTGAGCTCAGGAGTTCAAGACCAGCCTGGGCAACATGGTGAAACCCCATCTCTACTAAAAATATAAAAAATTATCTGGGTGTGGTGGTGCACACTTGGAATTCCAGCCACTTAGGAGGCTGAGGCACGAGAATGGCTTGAACCTGGGAGGTGGAGGTTGCAGTGAGCTGAGATAGTGCCACTGTACTCCAACCTGGGCAACAGAGTGAGACTCTGTCTCAAAAAAAAAAAAAAAAAAAAAGGAATTGTCATCAAAGTCCTACGGCTAAACCCTTTTCCTTTTTTTTATAACAAGTATTGCTAGTCTTTTCCAAGAACCAAAGTTAAAAGTTAGTTCTTTAAAACACCAGGCCAGGCACAGTGGCTCACACATCTAATCACAGCACTTTGGGAGGCCAAGGCAGGAGGATCACTTGAATGCAGAAGTTCTAGACCAGCCTGGACAACAAAGCAAGACCCTGCCTCTACAAAAAACTTTTTTTTTTGCTGCAAAATGCTCTTAATTAACCTGACAAAATGCCACATACAGGGTTACTGCATCTTTTTTATCATGGAATTTTGAAAACAAAAATTGTTCTCTTGAGGCAGCAGTATTTGGATATTAGAGGTAAAAACCACCCTTAGAATCCAGTCCTAAAAACATCAATGAATATTCCTATATTTACAAATTCTTCTATTTCTACATGTCATCTATCAACAGGATTATGAACCTGAAAGCCTGAGAATAGAATTTATCAAGATACTCATGTTTGTACTTTTTTTATCTACTGCCCTTTTTTATTTTTTTTGAGACAGATTCTCGCTCTCTCACCAGGCTGTAGTGCAGTGGCGCGATCTCAGCTCACTACAACCTCCGCTACCTGGGTTCAAGCGATTCTCCTGCCTCAGCCTCCTAAGTAGCTGGGACTACAGGCACGTGCCACCACACCCAGCTAATTTTTGTATTTTTAGTAGAGATGGGGTTTCACCATGTTGGCCAGGATGACCTCGATCTCCTGACCTCAGCCTCCCAAACTGTTAGGATTACAGGCTAAGCCACCACACCCGGCCATCTACTGATATTTCTAAGCATGAAGTGACATTTTTTTTTTTTTGAGAAGGAGTCTTGCTGTGTTGGCCAGGCTGGAGTGCAATGGCATGATCTCGGCTCACTGCAACCTCCACCTTCTGGGTTCAAGCAGTTCTCCTGCCTCAACCTCCCAAGTAGCTGGGATTACAAGCGCACACCACCACACCTGGCTCATTTGTATTTTTAGTAGAGACAGGGTTTCACCATGGGGGCCAGGTTGGTTTTGAACTCCTGACCTCAAGTGATCCGCCCTCCTCGGCCTCCCAAAGTGCTGTGATTACAGGCGTGAGCCACCGCGCCCAGCCGAAGTGACAATATTTATATACAATAAGTTTAACTGTAAAAGCTTACATTTATGCGTGGTCATTTTTAATTGATGATTAGATGAAGAGACAAATAAATGGTCCCAGTTTAGCTACTGATATACTCAACAAACCTTGACGGACCTGAGGGCATTATGCTGAGTAAAGAAAATCATTTCCGAAGGTCACATATCACTTGGTAATCTCACAGTAACAAAATTATAGAGATGGAGAACAGATCAGTGGTTGGCAGGAGTTAGAGATGGTGGCAGAAGAGAGGCAGGAGAGAGATCTTTCTGGTGATGAAACAGTTCTGCATAGGAAATTGTAGTAGTAGTTATATTTACAGACACTTGATAGAATGGCACAGAACTACGCACACACATTGTACCAACTTCAATTTCTGGGTTTTTATACTCTATTATGGTTACATAAAATGTAACCACTGGGGCAGTATGCGCAAATATACAATGACCTCTCTAGTTTCTTTACAACTTCCTGAGAGTCTATTATTATTTCAAAATAAAAAGTTTTTTTAAAAATTGCTTCATGCATATCTAGTTTCATGTGCCACTTAAAAAAGAACCCAAAAATAGAAACTGTAGGAAATTCATCTGAGTGCAGCTTATGCAAGAAGGGGCAGGATAACTCCATTCTGGACCTATGCTCAAAGACATGCACCTTTACCTTACAACAAAACTGGCGAACAGGCATGTGTTTTAAGAATAAAAAGCTTTTAAGGTCTCATATATTGGTTTTTATGATTCCTTTGCTTAACTGACTTTTTGGTTTGCTAAAAAACTACCAATCACATCAGATTAGAAGTACTTTCACGGTAAAAATAAAAAGTGATGTGACTGACACCTCTTACCTCTGTAATGTATTACTCTTCACGAGAGCAGTGAAGGAAAACATGGTGATTCAATCACTCCACACATCAAGCAGAAAAGAGTGTTGAACAGGCCGGGCGCGGTGACTCACGCCTGTAATCCCAGCACTTTGGGAGGCCGAGGCGGGTGGATCACTTGAGGTCAGGAGTTCAAAACCAGCCTGGCCCACAAGGTGGAACCCTGTCTCTACTAAAAGTACACAAAATTAGCCAGGCGTGGTGGTGGACACCTGTAGTCCCAGCTACTCGGGAGGCTGAGGCAGGAGAATGGCATGAACCCAGGAGGCTTGCAGTGAGCCAAGATGGCACCACTGCACTCCAGCCTGGGAGACAGAGTGAGACTCCGTCTCAAAAAAAAAAAAAAAAAGTGTTGAACAATTAAACTGTTTATATGTAATAACCAGATATATATGCCTGGCATAAAATGAGCCCTGCATTAGAGGTTGCTGGATGTAGGGTCCTAGGCCTGACGTATCCAAATAATGTCTATGATAAAGAAGTCAATAAGTGCTCTCTATAACACACAAGCATTATAAGTTTTCACACTCCAAAAACTCTTCCTTTCTAAAGTTACTAAAACTTTTAAGGGCATTTCAAACAAAAACAGCTGTGGAAAACAGATCGGTTAAATCCTATGGCTAAGAAACATCTTCCTATCCCATGTATTATTCATTACCCAGGTGTCAATTCTGTTTCCAATACAAAAGTCTCAAGCAGTGAAGCGCTTCCCACTCCAGCTGGGAGAGCCATCCTCAACAAGATAAGGGTAAAACCTGTGAGCACAAGGCTTCCATCTGCAATTCCTGTCTGCAGGGAAGCTCCCCAAAGAGGGAAACCATGTCTTATTCCTTACGGTAAAACACCACCATTCATTCCTTGTGTTTAACAACCAATGCTGGTGGAACATAAAACAAAACTTAGCAATCACTTTTTTCATGCTACTTAGACCTGTAACACATTTTTCCTCTGGTGCACACTATCCAAAACCTAGTCATTTCCCTTACTCCTAGGAGGAATTTAGATGACTTTTTTTTTGGCCAGGTGCAGTGGCTCACGCCTGTAATCCCAGCAATTTGGGAGGCCGAGGCAGGCAGATCGCTTTGAGGTCAGGAGACCAGCCAGGCCAACACAGTGAAACCCCATCTCTACTAAAAATACAAAAATTAGTCGGGCATGCATGGTGGCACACACTTGTAATCCCAGCTACTCGGAAGGCTGAGGTGGGAGAATCACTTGCATTCGGGAGGCGGAAGTTGCAGTGAGCCAAGATTGCACCACTGCACGCCAGCCTGGGCGACAGAGCAAGACTGCGTCTCAAAAAAAAAAAAAAAAAAAAGACTTTCTAATCATATTGGAAATGTGTAACAAGGACCAAGTACTGTGTATTAAACTTAATAAATCAAAACAACAGGCCCTCTAAGATATAAATGGTGCTTCACTGTATGTTTATCTGCCCAACCCATCATAGGAACTCAATTCAGCATTAAACTGGTTTTAGATCAAGACACTAGAACTCATGTTTAGCAGTTATTAAATTACAATTATTAAGAAAAAAACTTCATTACGTAAAGTCCTTTACTCCAAAAAGTTTCTCAAAATACATAAACACTAATATAAAAACAACTATTAAAACTTTGCCTGAATCTCAGGATTTCAGAAATATGAAAGTACTCATCTCTCACGTCTCCCATCCACTTAAAATGACAAAACAGATCATTATAGCTAAATCAAAGGAAATGTTTAAAGAGAAACAAACCCAAAGAGTAACTACACCAATTCTTGACCCAATTCTCTGTACTCTGTCTTATGTAACATTACACTATGAATAACAATCCCATCATCCACAACAGCTTTTTTTTTTTTTTTTTTGAAAAAAAAGCTCTCATTGTCCAGGCTGGAGTGCAACGGCACAATCTTGACCCACTGCAACCTCCACCTCCCGGGTTCAAGCGATTCTCCTGCCTCAGCCTCCCGAGTGGCTGGGATTACAGGCATACACCACCACGCCTGGCTCATTTTGTATTTTTAGTAGAGATGGGGTTTCACCATGTTGGTCAGGCTGGTCTCCAACTCCTGACCTCAGGGCATCCACCCGCCTCGGCCTCCCAAACTGCCGGGATTACAGGCGTGAGCCACTGCGCCCAGCCACACAACACAGCTCTAAACACTGGACTCTCATATCTACCAACACTCAATACCTGTTTAAAAAGAAAAAAAAAATTAGGAAGGGGCAATAACACTTCAGTGTAAGTATCCATGATCAACTACTGCTTAACAGCCTACACGACTTTTGATGAACAGTCAAGGCACATTACTTAATACTTAAAATGGTTAACCTTAGGGAGTAGGAAAATACAGACACACACAAAATATTTCAAACACTTCTTTTTGCTGCTGATAAGGAGTTCCAAAAGTAGTTTTTCCAAGCCATTTCCAAATAAAAGTAGATTGGGTGTAAAGAACTGTCTATCGAAATATTACCGTTATTATTTATTTAATAATGTCCTGACAAGCTTGCAATTATCTCATTAAATCAAAAAATTAGGATCTAAGGCCAACATTGTTTCCTCATATTCTTGATGTGAAAATCTGAGCACTCCTCTTAATAAGGAGTTACAAAGACAAAACAAACAGCTCAACTGAACTAACTCTTGTCTCTCCAGAAACACAAACACAAGACCTCATAAAATGAGTGAGTTTCTATAGGCCATAATTACTGCAACTTACTTCTCCAATTTTCCCCTCCACAGTTAACTCAACAGCTCAAAAACGATCAGTAACAAACAACAGTCACCATGATATGGTTAGGAGTGTGGCAGATTTCTTAACCAGTAATAATAAATAGGAAAAAAATTTTCTCTATTAATAGATCTCAAGTTTCGTGCACTTGCAAGAAACTAATTAAAAGGCAGCCGCGCACGATCTACAAAAACAGCCATAAGACTGTTACATTTTAAGTTACAGGAAATAAACCTGCTCCTCTAATTCAGCAAGATACAACTGACTTCCCCTTACATACCCTAAAAAAAAGCCTTACACGGGAAATTTAAACATGGAAGCAGAAACACACCAAGAAAAAGACATGTCAAACCCCACCTGTATATCTGTTTTCAACCATTTGGAGTCGAGGCGAGCCTGGGCAGCCAAACACAAAGATTCAGAGGGCATCTTTTCTCCAGCTTCCTCCCAGGTCTCAGGCCTGCAAGTAAACACATACGCTGAAGACCTAATGCTTTTTAATAGTTTACAAAGACACTCCCGAAAGGTTCAATGCAGAAAAGAAAAAAGAGAGAGAGAACAGAAAGGGGGGAGAGAAGAGCTGGTGGAGGGGAGAGAAGGGGAGAGAGGGAAAGAGGGAAGAGATGGAGAGAGAGGGAGGTGGGGAAGGGAAAGCCTCCTTCCAAGGTAGGCAGGGTGTGCCGAGTTTCTGCACCACGCTGACGAGACCTTGAGAATGGACGGTCACAGGAAGCCAAGTTACAATGTCATCCCCCTGCCCTCAAATCCAAGAAGTACACACACATAACAGGGAGCCCATCGTTTTAACGACAAATGACAGCAGCATGAATCTGCCGCTTTACCCCACAGCAGGGCGCGTGCGTGAAACAAATTACTCAAAAGGATCGCCTGCAGAAAAACCCACAGCCACCACCACTTAAGAGATGGAGAGAGGCCCGAGGCTGCCCCGCGGGTGGTCCGCGCAGGCCCCGGTGCGGCCGCCGCGCCCACGCCCGCCTCCCGGGCTCGGCCGCCCGCCAGCCCCGCGCCCGTACCGCCCCCGCCACCGGCCGCCCAGGTGCCCCAGGCCAGGACCTGACGCGCAGGGCCCGGCCGCCCCGCCCCGCCGGCGCGCGGACGCAGCCTCCCAAGAGCCGCTGGCTCAGCCGGCGCCCGCGATCCCGGTGCCTCTCGCGGCCCGAGGGGCGGGCCGACGCGGGACTGCCGCCCCCCGCGTACGGCCAATCGCAACGAGGCTGCTCCGTGGGCGCAGCCAATGGGGAAGAGGAGCCCTTCGCCGCTCCTCCCGACTCTCCCGCTTCCAGCAATCCCGCTTATCTTCCTACTTGGAGCGCCCTGGCTGCGGCCAAGGCCAACAGCGGGCGCCGGAAGGCGGGATTTCCGCCGCACGCACGCACTCCCGCACTCCCACGGGAGACTGCTTGGCCCGGAGCGCTCTTGATCACGCCGCGGCGGGTGGTGGCGCTCACACTAACTATAGCTATCCAGGGCGCCGGTCGAGTGGCGAGACCAGCTCCCCTGGGTATGAGAACGCATCTTTGTGCGGTCGGCTGGCTGGGGCCTGAAGAGCTTCCTCCTGTGTGTTCAACTGAACGCAGCAAAAGTCTTGGGCAGATTCCATGGAGCAGCTGTGGAAGCACTGTGCAGGGAATCGAAGAAGGAAACACCTCCAGCGACCACAAAACAAAATTGAAGAACTATAAAACAATATAGGCCGGGCGTGGTGGCTCACGTATGTAATTCTCAGCGCTTTGGGAGGCCGAAGCGGGAGGATCCCATGTTGCCAGACTGGGCAACATAGCAAGACCCCATCTCTAAAAAATAAAAATAAAAAAATTTAACAATTAGCCAGGTGTGGTGGCACACACCTGTGATCCCAGCTGCTCGGGAGGCTGAGACAGGAGAATCGCCTGAGCCTGGGAGATCAATGCTACAGTGAGCTTAGATCGTGCCACTACACTCCAGCCTGGGCGACAGAGTGAGATCCTGCCTCTAAGAAAGAAAAATAACGGCCGGGCGTGGTGGCTCAGGCCTGTAATCCCAGCACTTTGGGAGGCCAGAGCAGGTGGATCATTTGAGGTCAGGAGTTCAAAACCAGCCTGGCCAACATGATGAGACCCCTTCTCTACTGAAAATACAAAGATTAGCCAGGTGTGGTGGCACGTGACTGTAATCCCAGCTACTCGGGAGGCCGAGGCAGGAGAATCGCTTGAACCCGGGAGGCGGAGGTTGCAGTGAGCCGACATTGCACCACTGCACTCCAGCCTGGGGGACAGAGGCTGCACCACTGCAGCCTTGACTTACCGGGTTCAGGTGGTTCTCCACCTCAGCCTTGCCACTAGCTGGGACTGCAGGCACATGGAACCACACCTGGCTAATTTTTGTAGTTTTTGTAGACGGGATTTTGCCATGTTGCCCAGGCTGGTCTCGAACTCCTGGGCTCAAGTGATCCGCCCGCCTCAGTCTCCCAAAGTGCTAGGATTACAGGTGTGAGTCACTGCACTCGGCTAATAGTAATGAACTTTGAACAGAAGGAAAGTTGTTATTATTTTCTTGGTTATGTTCTATCTATATTTTCTAATTTTTCTAAACATGTAAAGATAAAATTCTAAAAACTCAGACCTCAGAACAAAAAAATTAGAGTATAAATATTTATTTTAGTTAACTTGTACAAATTTGGTTTCTGGAAAAAGAATGGAATAGATTTTCTGAGAAAAAAAATCCACCACTTTGGCCGGGCGCAGTGGTTTACGCGTGTAATGCCTGCACTTTGGGAGGCTGAGGCGGTGGATCACCTGAGGTGAGGAGTTCAAGACCAGCCTGACCGACATGAAGAAACCCCTGTCTCTACTAAAAATACAAAAATTAGTCAGGCCTGGTGGCACGCACCTGTAATCCCAGCTACTCAGGAGGCTGAGGCTGGAGAATCGCTTGAACCCAGGAGGCAGAGGTTGCAGTGAGCTGAGATCGCACCATAGCGCTCCAGCCTGGGTGACAAAAGGAAAACTCTGTCTCAAAAAGAAAGAAAGAAAAGCAGACTGGCTGAAAGGATTGAAGAACAAAATATGATCCACCAATGTGCTATCTACAAGATAAACATTTTAAATACAGAAACAGATTGAAAGTAAAGGGATACAAAGATACAATTAAAATAGTAACCAAAAAAGAGCTGAAGGGGCTGTACTAATATCAAATGTAATACACTTTAAATTAAAGCAGGGCTGGGCATGGTAGCTCAGGCCTGCAATCCCAGCACTTTGGGAGGTGGAGGCAGAGAGACACTTGAGCCCAGAAGTTCGAGATCAGCCTGAGCAACATGGCATAATCCCATCTCTACAAAAAATACAAAAATTAGGCGGGCATGGTGGTACCCACCTGTGGTCCCAGCTATTTGGGAGGCTGAGGTGGGAGGATCATGTGAGCTGGGGAAGTTGAGGCCGCAGTGAGCTAAGATCGGGCCCCTGCACTCCACCCTGGGCAACAGAGCGAGACCCTGTCTGAAAATAAAAAAAAATAAAAAACGGGGTTGAGAGACAAAAAAGGACATCCTTTTTTTTATTATTGTATTTTGAAATGGAGTTTTGCTCGTTGCCCAGGCTGGAGTGCAATCATGTGATCTTGGCTCACTGCAACCTCCGCCTCCCGGGTTCAAGTGATTGTCGTGCCTCAGGCTCCCGAGTAGCTGGCATTACATGTGCCTGCCATCACGCCCAGCTAATTTTTGTATTTTGATACAGACGGGGTTTCACCATGTTGGCCAGGGTGGTCTCCAACTACTGACCTCAGGTGATCCACCTGCCTTGGCCTCCCAAAATGCTGGGACTACAGACATGAGCCACCGCGCCAGCCGAAACCTTCATTTTAAAAAAGGCTGGGTCAGGCATCATGCCTCATGCCTGTAATCCCAGCACTTTGAGAGGGCAACGCAGGCGGATCACCTGACGTCAGGAGTTCGAGACCAGACTGACCAACATGGTGAAACCCCGTCTCTACCAAAAATATAAAAATTAGCCGGGTGTGGTGGCACACACCTGTAATCCCAGCTACTCAGGAGGCTGAGGCAGGAGAATTGCTTGAATCTGGGAGGTGGAGGATGCAGTGAGCCGAGATTGTGCTACCACACTGCAGCCAGGGTGACAGAGTGAGACGCCATCTCAAAAAATAAATAAAGGCTGGGTGCCAGATGTGGTGCATAGGCCTAGTTTGTTGACTCCTGTACTTAACATATAAAACTCTAAAGAACAGTGGGAAGGAGCTTCCCTCTAGAGGCACAGGAGCGGCCAAGTTGGTCCCTGAGCAGTGACTTTATAATAACATGTTACACTGTGTTTTTTGTTTTTGTTTTGTTTTTTGTTTGTTTGAGACGGAGTTTCGCTCTTGTTGCCCAGGCTGGAGTACAATGGCGTGATCTCAGCTCAAAACAACCTCTACCTCCCAGATTCAAGCGATTCTCCTGCCTCAGCCTCCAAAGTAGCTGGGATTTCAGTCATGCAACACCATGCCCGGCTAATTTTGTACTTTTAGTAGGGATGGGGTTTCTCCATGTTGGTCAGGCTGGTCTCGAACTCCTGACCTCAAGGGATCTGCCCGCCTCGGCCTCCCAAAGTGCTGGGATTACAGGCGTGAGCCACCACACCCAGCCTTTATTTTTTTTCTTTTTTTTTAGACACAGTCTGACTCCGTTGCCCAGGCTGGAGTGCAGTAGCACGATCTTGGTTCACTGTAACTTCTGCCTCCCAGGTTCAAGCGATTCTCCTGCCTCAGCCTCCCAAGTAGCTGGGATTACAGGCATGCACCACCACATCTGACTAATTTTTGTATTTTTAGTAGAGATGGGGTTTCACCATGTTGGCCAGGCTGGTCTCAAACTCCTCACCTCAAGTAATCCGTCCACCTCGGCCTCCCAAAGTGCTGGGATTACAAGGCGTGACCCACCGGGCCTGGCCCTGTGTGTTGTTTTATGTATGTTTCTATATGTGTTATATTTCACAATAAACTAAATATTAAAACAAAGAATAACTGATAGCTATGCACAAAGGTATTTAAATTTCACCCTCACAAATAATTTTTTTTTTTTTGAGACAGGATCTCACTCTGTTACCCAGGCTGGAGTGCAGTGGCACCACCTTGGTTCACTGCAGACTTGACCTCCCAGGCCCAAGCGATCCTTCTACCTCAGCCTCCTGAGTAGCTGGGACTACAGGCACACTCCACCACACCCACCTAATTTTTGTATTTTTGGTAAAGATGGGGTTTCACCATGTTGGCCAGGCTGGTCTCGAACTTCTGGGATCAAGGAATCCTCCAACCTTGGCTTTCCAAAGTGCTGGTATTACAGGCGTGAGCCACTGTACCCGGCCAAGAATAGTTTCTTCTCCTTACCTAGGTAGAGACCTCTGCAGAAATGCTGGGAGATCTTTGGAGAGGGGAGATTTTTTAAATAAAAAATTTAATACTTGGAGGGGCGTGGTGGCTTACCCCTGTAATCCCAGCACTTTGGGAGGCCAAGGCGGACAGATCAGGAAGTCAGGAGATTGAGACCACCCTGGCTAACACGGTGAAACCCCATCTCTACTAAAAAAAATACAAAAAATTAGCTGGGCATCGTGGCGGGCGCCTGTAGTCCCAGCTACTCGGGAGGCTGAGTCAGGAGACTGGCGTGAACCTGGGAGGCGGAGCTTGCAGTGAGCCGACATCGGGCCACTGCACTCCAGCCTGGGCGACACAGCAAGACTTCGTCTCAAAAAAAAAAAAAAAAAATTAATGCTTTGGGATGCCAAGGCAGGTGGATCACGAGGTCAGGAGTTCAAGAACTGCCTGGCCAAGATGGTGAAACCCCGTAAAAATACAAAAATTTGCCGGGCTTGGTGGCAGGTGCCTGTAATCCCAGCTATTCAGGAGGCTGAGGCAGGAGAATTGCTTGAACCTGGGTGGCAGAGGTTGCAGGGAGCCAAGATAGCACCACTGCACTCCAGCCTGGGCAATAAGAGTCAGACTCTGTCTAAAAAAAAAAAAAAAAAAAAAAAAACTGATCTAGTTCAAAACCTCACTTTGAATCCACCCACATTGCTCTAAAATACTTTCATCTTTCCTGTGGCTAAAACCTTAAAGCCTTGCCAGTAACTCCCATTGCACTTAAGGAAATCCAATCTCCCTTGTTGTGGCCCCTGAACAGGCTGCTGCTGGCCCACCACGGTGCCTCTAGTTTGTGTAAAATGCATATGTTAATTTATAATATATGAGGCTTTTTTAGCTCTAAAAGGCTATTATTCACTAGTTGCTGTGTGAATCAGTATTTCTGGGTGCAGTTAGAAATTATTAGAGTTGATGCCCAAGACTCATCTCCATCAGCACGGGGGAGGCATCTGCTCGTTTTATGGTCAGTGACTCTGGGCCTCCTGCTGGGCTAAGTCCTGAGGTGGGTCTGACTCAGGTCAGAGCTGTGCACCCCGGCCCTCCTCCCCAACGTGCATGAGTGCTCTTTAGGATGGAGCTGAACACTGGCTTCTCAAAACCACTTGGCCCCATCACAGGCCCTGAGAACTGATTGGGTCACTCTGGTGGGCTCCCCAGCCCTAGCCAAGAAGGGTTTCTCTAGGGAGCCTGGCCCCCCACTTATGAGACCTGGAGCCCCAAAGATCCTGACCAGGGGCCTGCCTCCTCCAGGGAGGGGCCACTCGCCCCCACCAAGCTCCCTTCACAGAGACCCATCCAACAGAGCTGAGGAAAACCATGCCTCATAAATGAATAAATACATAAATAAGGATGCCGGGGACCTGTGGATTTTGTAATTCCTGAAAGAAGGCAGAGTGGCTGGCTCACAGCAAGCGCAGTAGGAGATACTGCTCCCCGGCCAGGCTGTTCTCTGTCTCTTTGGAGGGAGCCCTAGGGTACAAGAAAAGCCAGAGGAGACCAGCTGGCCCAGAAGGTGCCTCTCCACCCCTTCCCCAGAGTTTCTGGGAAACAAAGCCCACCCGAGGGACACATGCCTTCTTGGGAGTTGTACCAGGCCTCCTTCCTCATCCGGCCATGCAGTGGTTTTCAGTGCCCGAAACAGATGAATAAAATAGGCCCTTTACTGGATGTTCTTCAGGAACGTGCACACTTCTTTGGATCTTACCATCGTTTTATCTCTATTTAAAGTTAAATGCTGTGTTATACAGAGTATTGGTAAAGATGTAGAGCTACAAGAACTGTCAAGCTGGCAGTAGCATAAAATTGTATAAGCACATTGGAAACCTGTTTGGCAGCTTCTACTAAAGCTATATCTATGCCTACGTTCAGAAATTCCATCCTAAGCATGTACACAAGAGAAACGAGTGCATATGTC
Organism: Homo sapiens; assembly: GCF_000001405.40. Classification (NCBI taxonomy): domain Eukaryota; kingdom Metazoa; phylum Chordata; class Mammalia; order Primates; family Hominidae; genus Homo; species Homo sapiens. The sequence continues at coordinate 754,089 of NW_021160017.1, forward strand.
CACAAAAAGACTTATATAAGAATGTTCACTGCCATTTTTATTCATAAGAGCCCCAAATGAAAACAACCTAAATGTCCATCAACAGGAGAGTGAATAAATGGTGATACAGTCACATCATGGAATACTACACAGCCAAAAAAGAAAAATGAAGTGGTAGGAACACTCAACGACATGGGTGAATAGAGGGAGCCAGGTATGAGAGACAGTGCACAGTACCAGCCCACCTAGATGAAGCGCAGGAAGGCAGAACTGACGATGATTGAAGTCAGAAGAGTAGTTTCCTTTGTGGGAAAGTGTAGGTCAGGAAGGAGCCTTCTGGGGTACTACAAATCTGCCGTATTTTGGCTGGGTGCAACAGCTCACACCAGCACTTCGGGAGGCATAGGCGAGAGGGTCACTTGAGCCCAGGAGTCAGAGACCAGCTTGGGCAACACAGCGAGATCCCATCTCTACAAAAAAATTAAAAATTAGCGTGGCATGCTGGTGTGCACCTGTAGTCTCAGCTACTCAGGAGGCTGAGGCAGGAGGATTGCTTGAGCTTAAGAGTTTGAGGTTGCAGTGAGCTCCCAAAGTGCTGGGATTACAGGTGTGAGACACTATACCAGCCTGATTTTTAAATACTGACCAAGCCTTGTGTTACTGGGATAGGCATCACTTGGCCACAATTTACTACTCTCTTTCTCTTTTTTTTTTTTTTTTTTTTTGAGACAGAATCTCACTCTGTCACCCAGGCTGGAGTGCATTGGTGCAATCTCAGCTCTCTGCAACCTCTGCCTCCTGGGTTCAAGCAATTCTCCTGCCTCAGCTTCCTGAGTAGCTGGGATTAGAGGTGTGCACCACCACACCTGGCTAATTTTGTTTGTTTGTTGTTTGTTTTTAGTAGAGATGGGGTTTCACCATGTTGGCCAGCCTGGTCTCCAACTCCTGACCTCAAGTGATCCACCCTCCTTGGCATCCCAATATTCCTATGATTACAGGCGTGAGCCACTGCGCCCGGCCCTATTCTGTTTCTATATTGCTAAATTTGACTTGCTAACACGTTTTTGAGGATTTTTCTGTTGATGCTCACCAGGGATGTTGGTTTGCAGTTTTCTTTCTTTGTATTACACTATCTCGTCTGGCTTTCTGTCAGGGGAAAGCTGACCTTATACAAAGTATTGGCATGTGTTCCCTCCTTTTCCATTTTCTCTAAGGGATTGTGTAGAATTAGTGTTATTTCTTCTTTAAATGTTTTTGAATCCATCTGAACCTGGAGATTTCTTTCTAAAAGATTTTACGCCGGGCACGGTGGCTCGTGCCTATAATCCCAGCATGTTGGGAGGCCGAGGCAGGTGGATCACCTGAGGTCAGGAGTTTGAGACCAGCCTGGCTAACATGGTGAAACCCCGTTTCTACTAAAAATACAAAAAATTAGTCGAGCTTGGTGGCGTGCGCCTGTAATCCCAGCTACTCAGGAGGCTAAGGCAGGAGAATCACTTGAACCTGGGAGGCAGAGATTGCAGAGAGCTGAGATTGCACCAATGCACTCCAGCCTGGGTGACAGAGTGAGACTCCGGCTCAAAAAAAAAAAAATTTTTTTACAAATTCAATTTATTTAACAGATACAGAACTATTCAGGTAACCTGTTTGTTTCTAGGAGGATTTTCCTGGTTTGTGGCACTCGGACATTGCTTTATTTCATCTAAGTTGTCTGATTTTTAAGTGTCAAGTTTTCCTTAGTGTTCTATTGCTAACCGTCTGAAGTCTGTGGGGCCTGCAGTGATGTCCCTTCATTCATTCCTGATACTGATAATTTGTATCTTTTCTGTTTTTTTCTTTGTCAGTTTTCCTAGAGTTTTTCAATTTTGTTGATCTTTTCAAAGAATGATCTTTAAGTTTCATTAATTTTTCCCTTCTTTTTTTGCTTTCAATCTCATTAGTTTCTGCTTTTATCTTGGCATTTGTTCCTTTGGCTTGTTTTGCGTTCACTTTGCTCTTTTTCTGGTTTCTTAAGGTGGAAACTTAGATTACTGATTTAGACCTATCTTTTTTGTAATATATAATGATTTGATGCTATAAATTTTCCTCTAAGCAGTGCTTTAATTAACCCCACAAATTTTGGTGCATTTTCATTTATGTTCAAAATATTTTCTAATTTCTTTTGAGAATTGTTCTTTGACCCATGGATGATGATGATGATTATTATTATTATTATTATTTTTCTTCAATACGGAGTTTCACTCTTGTTGCCCAGGCTGGAGTGCAATGACATGATCTCGGCTCACTGCAACCTCTGTCTCCTGGGTTCAAGCGATTCTCCTGCCTCAGCCTCCTGATTAGCTGGGACTACGGGCACCCGCCACCATGCCCGGCTAATTGTTTTGTATTTTCAGTAGAGATGGGGTTTCTCCATGTTGGCCAGGCTGATCTTCAACTCCTGGCCTCAGGTGATCCCCCCAACTTGGCCTCCCACAGTGTTGGGATTACACGCGTGCGCCAGTGAGCCCGGCCTGACCCATGGATTATTAAGTATGTTGTTTTATTTTGAAGTGTTTGCAGATTGTTTTGTTAATGATTTCTAGTTTAATACCATTGTGATTGGAGAACAAACTGCATATGATTTCATTTCTTTTAAATTTGTTAAGATTTATGTGTCAGGTTATGTTCTCAGTGAACATTCTGTATGTGCTTAAAAAGTATATGTATGGTCTGTATATGTATGGTCTGTATATACATACATGTATACATATATGTGTAAAAAGTATATGTATGGTCTGTATGTGCTTAAAAAGTATATGTATGGTCCAGCACTTTGGGAGGCCGAGGCAGGCAGATCACAAGGTCAGGAGATCGAGACCATCCTGGCTAACAGGGTGAAACTCCGTCTCTACTAAAAATACAAAAAAAATTACCCGGGCATGATGGCGGGCGCCTGTAGTCCCAGCTACTTGGGAGGCTGAGGCAGGAGACTGGCTTGAGCCTGGGAAGCAGAGCTTGCAGTGAACTGAGATCATGCGACTGCACTCCAGCCTGGGCGACAGAGCTAGACTCCATCTCAAAAAAAATAAAATTTAAAAAAAGTATATGTAAAGTGTATGTATGGCCGGGCACGGTGGCTCACGCCTGTAATCCCAGCACTTTGGGAGGCCAAGGCAGGTGGATCACGAGGTCAGGAAATCAAGACCATCCTGGCTGACATGGTGAAACCCCATCTCTACTAAAAATAAAAATTAAAAAAATAATAATAATTAGCCAGGCGTGGTGGTGAGCACCTGTAGTCCCAGCTACTCAGGAGGCTGAGGTAGGAGAATGGCGTGAACCCAGGAGGCAGAGCTTGCAGTGGGCTGAGATCCCGCCACTGCACTCTAGCCTGGGCGACAGAGCGAGACTCTGTCTCAAAAAAAAAAAAAAGTATATGTATTTTGCTGTTGTTGGGTGAAGTGTTCTATAAATTAGATCCAGTTTATTGAAGGTGTTCTACAGTTCTCCTAGATTTTTGCCGATTACTTGTTCTCTCACTATGAAAGATATTGTGTGTGTTATATGTGTCTAACAATTCATTGTCTAGTTAGAGTTGCTATTATACCACTTCAAGTGGATGGAGAGCCTCACTGCCATCCATTAATGTGCATTAATCATTTTGAGAGTGAAAAGATTTTTTAAAATGTTTTTACTTTTTTAGGTATGGCCAAGTGAGATGGGGCTAGTGAAATGGGTGGGAGAATTGGAAGCTGATAGTGTGTGAGCTAGACACCCATGAATGCTTTTCCACTGGGCAGTTAGAGGGATGATAGGTAATAATATAAGGCAGCTCCATCACACAAGCTGGTGACTCCTGTGCGACAGACCAAGAGCTGCATTTGGAGATTCATTTCCGATTGTTGCGTTTCCTCTTAGAGCATTGCTTGGTCATCGTGTTCTGAGTGGTCCATTGGCCTCCATGTCCCTTTTGGGGTGGATATTTGCTCAGTGACTTTTGAGCAGCTGGATCTCCTGCTTCGGCAGGTGAGTGAGGGGATGGATGGCTCCACGGACTGGCCCCCGCCCCAGGAGAAAGAGTGCGTGGCCGTGGCAACGCTGAATCTTCCCCGACTTCAGGTATTCGTGATTTCCCTTCCTCTTGCTCCTTTTATAAGTGTCTTAGCGATTTGTAAGAAGGTTTATGTATTTTGAAGGACATAGGTTTTAGCCTGCTGGGGGAAGTATTTTAAAGTAAGATTGTAATGCACTAATAATGGACGCAAGGCTTAAAAAACTTGATCTGTTTATTTTATGTTTGTCCTGGAAGTCAGCCTCGGCATGCAGGAAGAGTGTATATGGATTGTGTTATTTTTGCTATAATCATTAGTTTGTTGGTATTCTTACTGTTTTACTGTTGTTGCGTGTGGAGAAATGACTGGGTGAGATCACAGGTGATGGAGAGAGACAGCGCTCAGCTGAGAGACCAGTGCTGGCCTGTCTCTCCTCTGTCCTGTGAAAACCCTGCTCCAGGAGGGTCCAGTCTTTTGGTTTCCCTGGGCCACACTGGAAGAAGAATTGTCTTGGGCTACACATAAAATACACTTATGATAGCTGATGAGCTTAAAAAAAGAATCCCAAAAATATCTCATGATGTTTTAAGAAATTTTACTTTGGGCCACATTCAAAGCTGCCCTGGGCCACATGCTGCCCTCGGGCCGTGGGTTGAACAAGCTTGATCTACTCAGTAAGCTCGGCTCCCAAAGCAATACCTTCCTTTCCTCACCATGAAGGCTGTGGTTAGGGTCAAAATAAAAGCTACAAAAGCCTTCCTCCCTAGCAAAACTAAAGCTGAAGTGTTTGATCATCATCTTTTGTCTTTGTAATAAAACCCTCTAACTTAATGACAAGAACCACGGTTTTCTCAACATAGTAATTTTTCCCTTTTATTACAGTGGTTTCTTGTAACAACCCGTCATGTCCCTCTTCCAGCCCCTCCCCTTTTTGCCCTGCTTCTAGAATGTACAGAACTGAGTGTAGTGTTTAGTTGCAGTAATGAACTGAGCAGAGGTCTGGAGCATGCTTCTCCTCTAGTCCTCTGTAGCACTCATTTATCACCATATCTGTGGCATCCTGGCGTTTGCGTGGTTGCGCCCCAGGTGTTTGCTGCCCCTCCTGGTTTGCGGTGATGTGTCTGTTCTGGTCAGTGCTGTGGGGCGTGGCCTTGCGTATGTCTTAGGCTGTCGAGGTGTCCCAGCGTATGGTTTTGCATTTGCCTCTCCGGGGTCCTGAGGGTTCTGTAGGTTTCACAGACTCCAGGTGAGTTTCGGTGGTCATTTCCTGACCTGTGATATCTATACCTAGATGAGTGGTGTGCTTTTGATTTCACTTCTACTCACAGGGCAAGGCCGGGTCTCTGATTTCTCATGGGGCCTCTTGCTACCCAGAGCCTGGGACGGGCAGTGTGTTGCCCCCTGGCTGCGGTTGGCTGGCAGGCAGGTGATCCTGAGTGGCTCCCAGCCTTCTGCAGGAAGCTCGGGTTCAGTGGGTCCTTGTGTGCATTCCCGTGTGGGAGGTTGTGCTGAAGCCTGGCGGCTTGGCTCTGCTTTCAGAGCCCGGAACCTCTTGACTCCTGCTGTGTGTGCCCACGTGAATTTTGGTTTTGCACTTGAGGAGTTTCCCTGTGTACTCTCAGCTCCGCAGTCTAATTTTTAGCAGCTCTTTTTTTTTTTTAGACAGGGTGTCACTTTGTCACCCAGGCTGGAATGCAGTGGTACAGTCTTGGCCTGCCAGGTTCAAGTGATTCTCCTGCCTCAGCCTCCCAAGTAGCTGGGACTACAGGTGTGTACCATCACACCCGGCTGATTTTTTTATAGAGATGGGGTTTCATCATGTTGGCCAGGCTGATCTTGAACTCCTGATCTCAAGTGAGCTTTCCACGTCGGCCTCCCAAAGTGCTGGGATTACAGGCATGAGCCACCGCCTGTGGCAGCTTTTGTGGTTACATTGTAGCCATTATTTCTGTGTTTGGTGCAGATTGTTGGGGCGGGGTGGAGGTTGCTGTTGCTAGTTGTTTAGCTCTTCTGCTCATCTTGAGCTTTTCCATATATGTGTTCATAGTGGGGTTAAAAAAAATTCCTCTAGAAAATACTTCAACTATTGTGGGTAAGAGTTTTTTTTAGTCCAGTTTTTAAAAATACGTAAACTGAGAAGTTATTTTGTCTATTTAGATAATACTTCAAATTGACTTTTATTCAGTGTTTAATAAGACTTTGAAATTCACTCATTTTTAGGGGTTCTAAGTGAAAATTGTTTTTCTCCTTTCAGTTGCATGCTGCCATTAGTCACCAGGTTGACCTGGAATTCCTTGGTTTAGGTCTGGGCAGCGTCTTCCTGAACAGCCTGAAGCAGAAGGTGGTGACCCTGGCAAGCAGCGCAGACGTGCTGAGCACCGTGCAGTCGGCCTCCCAGGCCATGCTGCAGAGCGGCTGGTCCATGCTGTTGCCCACCGCTGAGAAGCAGGCCCGGGCACTCTGCTCTCCTGTCCTGCGGAGGTGGGCTCGGGGAAGGAACAGGAGAGGGCATGGGTCAGGGTGCTGGGAGGGGATGGCGTTTCACTCAAATTGGCACACACTTTCTATTTCAGTTTCAGGCAATGAAGTGAGCATAAGTCCAGGTCATCGATTGGTGATTGATCTTCTGGTGGGCAGCTTGATGGCTGATGGAGGGTTGGAGTCAGCCTTACACGCAGCCATTACTGCAGAGATCCAGGTATGGCCTTGGAGGCACACGTGACCTGGTGGTGGGCTGAGATCGGAAATACCACACTCACACATGTGAAGAATAACTGAAAACAGTAAAACACTAAACTTATATCCAAGTATTTTTTTAAATTAAAATTCTTTTATGTGCTAATTTTAAAAATTATTGAGATGATTTGTGATAAAATACTGCATGTTGTCTGTTTCAGTGAAGTTAACAGGTAACCTGTTCCTCATGTAGACCATTCCCGTCACCCGGAAAGATCCCTGTGCTCCTTGGCACTTGCAGCCAGGATACTCCCCTGCCCTGAGATTAGATTCATTTTTCCTGCTCTGAGTGTCGCAGCAATATAACTGTATAGTATGCACTCTTTCCTGCTTTGCCTTGGAGAATGATTTTCAGATTCACTCACTGTTGTGTGTATTGCGACTTCGTTTTTATTATTGGGAAGTTTTCCATTTTATAGGTGTAGTACTGTTTGTTAGTTCATTCTCCTATTGAAGGACATGTAATTGTTTTTGGTTTTTGTTTTCTTTTTTTTTTTTTTTTTTTGAGACAGGGTCTTGCTCTGTCACCCAGGCTGTATACAGTGACCTGATGTTGGCTCACTGCAGCCTTGTACTCCTAGGTTCAAATGATCCTCCCACCTCAGCCTCCTGTGTTGCAGGGACCACATACATGTCACCATGCCCGGCTAGTTTTTTGATTTTTTTGTAGAGACAAGGTTTCACTGTGTTGCAAGGCTGGTCTTCAACTCCTGGGCTCCAGTGATCCCCCCACCTTGGCCTCCCAAAGTGTTGGGATTACAAGCGTGAGCCACCGCGCCCAGGCTTTCTGGTTTTTGGCCGTGTAGAGCTGCCACAATTGTGCTGTGAACAAGTACTTTAGTGAACATATGTTCTCCCTTTGGATAAACACTTGGAGTGGAATTTGTTAGGTCCTGGGGTTAGTGTGTGTTCATAGTTTCCCAAAGTGGCTTTGCCATTTACATTTGAACCAGGACTTTTGTGTGTGAGAATTCTAGCTCCTTCTTGTCCTTACAGAGCAGCTGGATGCTGTGTGTGTGGAGCCGATCACATTGGGTTTTGTGTGAGCCATTAGCAGGGTTAAGGATTTTAGGGACTTCACAGAAGGAGGCTGGAGAGCATCAGCAGAGGCAGCCTAGACCTTGGATCTGTAAAAAGAAGACACTGTTTGAAACTGCACAGATGAGTTGGGGTTTCCAACAGGGCAGGTGGGGGCCTGTGGGTGGATGGGTGTGGCAGCCACAGAGGCTGGGATAGCTTGGCACTGGGGTCAGGGCTCAGCCAGCCTGTGTGCCTTCACACCTGGTAATGAGATCACTTGTAAACAATTTCTGTTTATCAATTACAGGATACAAAAAAAGAAGCACGGAAGGAAAAAGAAATTTATGAACAGGAAGCAAATGCCTCAACATTTCATAGAAGGAGGACTCCATTGGATAAAGACCTTATTAATACGGGGATCTGTGAGTCTTCTGGCAAACAGTGTTTGCCTCTGGTTCAGCTCATACAACAGCTTCTTAGGTAAATCATATTAGCTGTATTGTATTGTGTTTTATTTATTTACTTTTTTGTTTTTTGAGACAGAGTTTCGCTCTTGTTGCCCAGGCCCGAGTGCAGTGGTGCGATCTTGACTCACTGCAACCTCCGCCTCCCAGGTTCAAGTAATTCCTCTGCCTCAGCCTCTCGAGCAGCTGGGATTACAGGTATGCGCCACCATGCCCCACTAATTTTGTAGTTTTATTAGAGACAGGGTTTCTTCATGTTGGTCAGGCCGGTCTTGAACTCCCGACCTCAGGTGGTCCATCCACTTTGGCCTATCAAAATGTTGGGATTACAGGCATTAGCCACCACGCCTGGCCTATTTATTTACTTATTAATGGTGTTTTTTTTTTTTTTTTTTTTTTTGAGATGGAGTCTTGCTCTATCGTCCAGGCTGGAGTGCAGTGTCACGATCTTGGCTCACTGCAACCCCCGCCTCCTGGGTTCAAGCTATTCTCCTGCCTCAGCCTCCCGAGTAGCTGGGACTACAGGCGTCTGCAACCACACCTGGCTGATTTTTGTATTTTTAGTAGAGATGGGGTTTTACCATATTGGTCAGGCTGGTCTCAAATTCCTGACGTCAGGTGACCCACCTGCCTTGGCCTCTCAAAATGTTGGGATTACAGGTGTTAGCCACTGTGCCTGGCCTGTATTGTATTTTAATAGGTGATTATTGGTTTTCATATTAAGATAGTGAAATCTAGCGCAAGGATCTCAAAAATTTGTTTGATGATTGAAGGAATATTCTGAAAATTACCTAGTATAGATGTTAGGATAAAGAGCAGACCCTTTTCAATATAGGTGAGAGGAGAAGTTGGAGGGTGTGATGATACTCAAAAGTTTTTCACTGAAGAGAAATTGGGGCGTGCAGTAAACATGTAAAAAGATTCTTACTAATAAGCAGGTGGATGCAAATGAAAATCATCATGGAAGGTTATTTTTAAAACTGATTGTATCATTGCCTCACTTTATATATTACAGAGTTATACATACTACTTTGTAAGATAACTTTTCTTTTCAAAACTGAAGTCAATGTGATAGAATGGTGAGCATTATTTTGGAAGGCCAGACTAGGAGGAGGTGGGAGGAAGAAGTCAGACTCAGCCTGTGAACAGACGCTAACCTTGGCAGAAGCCAAAACAGTCAGACAGTGTTGTGTAAAAATGATCATTCAAGAAGAGCGAAACAGCAAGGTGATTTGTGAAAGAGATTTATTAGAAAATGAAACACATTTATACCTCTGTTCAATAAAAATCTGCTTTTCGTCAACTGATGCTCCTGGTTTTTGTTTCTACACATAGAGAAAGCAGAGCCCTGGCAGCTTGGGTCAGGCAGCCGAGTACAGACCAGGGAGCCCTGGGCAGTGGCTGCAGCTCTCAGCTGGCCTGTTCATGGGGCCATGGTGGGCTGTGGCGTGGGGTGGGCCTGTGGCGTGGGGTGGGCCTGCGGCGTGGGGTGGGCCCGCGGCATCGGGTGGGCCTGCTGTCCACAGCCAGAAAAACTAACTTAGTGCACACACAGTGAAATTTTGAAACAGGAAGTTTTAGAGCTAGTTTCTGTCATAGATTTTAGTAAATGCTATTTTGCAAAACCTTTTTCTGATGTTTGTTTTGTTTTTCTAATCTGATAATGCATATTTCACACATTCTGGTCTTTAACAAATGGAAATAAAGAGAACTAAACAATATAGTTTGTGTCGATGGAAAGAGCTTGGGATTTGTTCTCAGAAAATTTCAGTTACAACAGTTTGTTCATATAGGTGGACTTCCAACACAGTAACTATAGGAGTAAGAATAAAAGCTGTGTTTACTTTCACAGAGTTAATTAAGAATACATGAGAAAATGGATGTTAAAAACCTTGTAATTAAAATGTACAGTTACATGCAAAGTTTTAAAGTGAGCATTTTCCAGAGGTGCTTTTCTAAGTTCTTGAATGCCTCTCCCTTTTCTGAAGTGGCTGCTTCGTGGGGCTGTTGGTCTTTGGCAGGGGGTGAGTGCAGGGTTCCTGTTGTGGGTCCTTTGTTCTCACGAGGGCAGTGCCCGTTTTCCCCGTCTCCTGCTTGCCCAGACTGTTCCCGTGCGCAGAGAGACTGGCCTGTTTGACCTGCAGCTGTGCTGTTTGAGCTGCAGCTGTGTAGCCTGCGCTGGCCCATCTGGCTACACTCAACACCGTTTGCTGATCAGCACTTGAAGTCTGTCCGTCATAGCTGAGACACTGAATATTTTATCTGTTTAATTTTTATTCATTAAAATGCAGGTTTGAAAATTTGATTCTGTTATTAGAAAGCACTTAAGTATGTTTAGAATCACTTGGCCTTGGGAGTCTACTTTGTCAACTGTGTATTTTATGAGTCTAAATGGAGATCAGATGTTTTCAATGCAAATTTCACGGTCCAAATTGAAATGTGTTACGTATGTAAGCTACTCAGATGGTTTTTGAGGACTTAATATGAAATAACCTATGTAAAATATCTCAATAATTTTTCTTAGATTGATTTCATGTTGAAATGGTCATATTTTTGATCTGTTGGAATAACTATGATACATTATTAAAATTATTTTTATTTTTTAAGATGGAATCTTACTCTGTTGACCAGACCGGAGTGCAGTGGTGCAATCTTGGCTCACTGCAACCTCCGCCTCTTGTGTTCAAGTGATTCTCCTGCCTCAGCCTCCTGAGCAGCTGGGACTACAGGACTACAGACTCCCGAGCAGCTGGGACTACCACCACGCCTGGCTGATTTTTGTATTTTTGTAGAGACAGAGTTTCACCATGTTGGCCAGGCTGGTCTCGAACTCCTGACCTCAAGTAATCTGCCCGCTTTGGCTTCCCAGAGTGCTGGGATTACAGGCATGAGCCACTGCAACCAGCCATTATTACAATTAATTTTATGTGTTGTTGTTTTTCTTGTTGGTGTGTTTTTTGTTTTTTTTTTTTACTTTTGTTAATGTGACTAAGAACAATTTTTTTTCCCCACCCGGAGATGGATCCTCACTCTGTTGCCTGGACTGGAGTGCAGTAGCACAATCTCAGCTCACTGCAGCCTCTGCCTCCTGGGTTCAAATGATTCTCCTGCCTCAACCTCCTGAGTGGCTGGGACTAACAGAAGCATGCCACCATACCTGGTTAATTTTTGTATTTTTAGTAGAGATGGGGTTTCACCATGTTGGCCAGGATGGTCTTGAACTCCCAACCTCAGGTAATCTGCCCACCTCAGCCTCCCAAAGTGTTGGGATTACAGGCGTGAGCCACCGCACCTGGCCATGTTTATTAATACGACTAAGAACATTTTGAATTGCACCTGTGGCTCCATTGGTGTCCTGGGCAGGTGGCTCTGTGCTGTCCACACAGGTTGTCTCCTGTGTCTTCGTCTTCGCTGCGTGTGACTTTTTGGTTCCTGTGGCACGTGGGGTCCTGTATGGGACATTGGTTCTACAGCAGATTTATAGTAAGGATGTACCTACTAAAAAATACAAAATAAAAAGAATAGACACAAACATAGAAATAAGTATCACCTCACAAAACTTTTGGAAAGTAGAAAAAGAAAAATGCATTCGCAGCTTTCCAGTAGCCGATATCCAGGCTGTCTTCATAAGCATGGATCATGTGTCCCTCTCCTGCATGGGTAGACACTGTTTTCTCACCTTAAGTGTTTGTGAGTGAAGGATTCTTGATGTGTTGACTTGGCAGATGCAGTTGTTGAACAGTAGTTTATCTAAAGATCGTAAGAGACTTTTGGAGACATTTCATGTCCTTTTTTCCCTTGGAAAACGTGGGTTGGAGAAATCGCTGCTTGCCAAAAATAAGCCGTGAAACGTATTTCAGAGTAGATCGTTATTTACATGCTGGCGAGGAGCCACAGAATACCATTTACATTTGAAAATAGAGTGCTGCGAAGTTTTTATAAGTAGTGAATCCCATCAGAATTACACATTTTGATTATGGCTCTAAATTTTATATTAAATAAACTAAAAATTTCATTGTATTGTATTACCGTCTCTTGCTCCTTCAGGTGTAGCATACATGTTAGATTCTAGACCTGTTTCTTGTGTTACAGTGGTGTTATCCAGGCAGGGTATCATGTAGTGAAGGTGATGTCTAGTGGTGGTGGTGAGCCCAGTGAAGGCGCATCCTTGCCGTGTGTGATGAGGGCCTGTGGGTTGCTATGGGATTCCCCAACCCTGGCTCCTCTGTCTCCTGCTTCTGTCCTTACTCACACTGCTGGTAGTTTTCTGGTGTGAGCCACGGGGGCAAGTGGGATTGACAAGCCTGCTGTCACATTAGGAACCTGAGTTAAAGTGGAGCTGAAAGCATGTCCTCGCTCTTGATGTTGTGCAGAGAGCCACCTGTGCTCCTGGCTCAACAGGGCGTGTGTGGTGGGTCTGGAACCAGGCCCTGGTTTGGCTCTCCTCCCCTCCATGTTCCCCTGTCCTGTCTGATTTGCTTCACACTGACATAAGAGTTACTTTCCCTCGGCCTCCCAAAGTGCTGGTATTACAGGCATTAGCCACCGCGCCCAGCTAGCATCCTTTCAAGTACTGGGGTACACCCAAGCTCCCAGCTTCTAGCTAGGAGTCATTTTGTCCCTCTTTATCCCAAAGGACTTGCCACCATCTTTGGTTCCCAAAGCCCAGGAGGGTCCAGGCTCTTCAGCCTCCAACCACTTTGCATTTCTTGTCTGCTTTTCGTTCATGGAGATAATTAACTTATTTTTCAGCCTGGGCATGTCTTTTTTATTTACTTTATTTTTTATTTTTATTTTTTGAGATGGAGTCTCACTCTGTCGCCCAGGCTGGAATGCAGTGGCGGGATCTCATTTCACTGCAGCCTCTGCCTCCCGGGTTCAAGTGATTCTCCTGCCTCAGCCTCCTGAGTAGCTGGGACTACAGGTGTGCACCACTATGCCCAGCTAATTTTTACATTTTTAGTAGAGACAGGGTGTCGCCATATTGGCCAGGCTGGTCTCGAACTCCTGGCTTCAAGTGATCCTCCTGCCTCAGCCTCCCAGAGTGCTGGGATTACAGGCACGACCACCGCACCCAGCCTTTATTTACTTTGTATATCTCATCTATTACTGCTGCAGTTTGCAGAAGAGAGGATGCCCTCAAACCTAACTTCTCCAAACCATCCCAAATGGGAAGTCTGCTCCACGTCAACAGCATTGTTGCTTTTAAAGACTATACGTCAACATGGCAGATTATAGCAAAAGGATGTCGAGGGAGCAATAGGAAAGCAAGCCTGAGAGTCCTGGAGAGAAGGTGGCAGAGCTGCCTTTTGAAGGTGGTTCCTTCCTCAGACCCTGCCCTTCCTGCCTTGTTCCTCCAGTTGCCAGATTTGCTGTTGGAGCTCCTCCACGGGCGAAGAGGTGAGGCTGGACTGAGAGGGAGATGGAGAAGCTGCCAGAGATTCTTTTGGATCTAGAATTGAGACAGCAGTTCCAGCCAGGTCCAGAGGTGGGGGCTGTCACCCAGCCCCCAGGGGAATGGTACTGATTGCAGAATGTGGCGAGAACTCCCTGGCTGGGAGAGGGAGGTGCTTGCTCCCTTGAATCACCTGAGCCCAGGCTGGAAGGCCCAAGGGGGAGGACGAGGCCAGCTCACTCCAGCTCCATCCCCTCCCTTTAACCCTAAGCTAGTTAACCCTCCCAGACTCCAGTCCTTTTTCCTAAGTGCCCTCCCTGCAAAGTCTGCACCGAGCAGCGCTCCCTCGCACCAGCTCACCCTGCACTGTCTTGTCTTTCAGCAACCCCATGGGTTTGAACTTGAGACGATTCATGTTCCTAAAAGCCTCTTTGGGCTGAGGGAAGGCATGGGTGGCTCTGCCAGTTTTGGAGTGGGGGCCGACTCTTCTCAGAGCCGCTGCAAGGGCCAGGGCCACCCTCCCAGGCGGGTGTCTCTGGGCTGGGCAGCAGCTTTGTAGGCAGCCTGGGTCATCCCCACTGGTCTGGGAAGCTGGGGGTGCACCGGCTCCTGCTCCTGATAGGGCCAAGGCACCTTCCTTACCTAAGAGCTGACCTTCTTGAAGAGTGGGCACAGAGGAGCCGGCAACCTGGGCTGTGTAGGCACCCAGGAGAAAATCTGCAGCTCAGTATCAGAAGTCTCCACCAGCACGGCTGTTGCAGAGATGGGGAAACTGGGCTGAGAGGGAAGGGGGCTTGCCCAAATCACCAGCCCTGGAATGTTTTGAGCTTTGGGGGTGGATCTCCCAGGAAACGTGTTTTTATGGCACCACCGCCTCTGGTCACCCACCCCGAGGTGTGGCGGGCCTGGACAGCCAGCTTGACTGAGGGCCAGGCTGGTGAAGTCAAAACTACCACTCAGGAAGAAGACCTAGCCCTTCTCCAGACAGAGTTCAAATGTGAGGACTGCCTTCTTTGGGCCTCAAATTCCCCACATGAATTCCAAGGACCCCTCTAGCTCCTACACTCTGGGCCAAGGTTTCCTCTGAGCCGCAGTCAGCCTAGAGGACCTAGGATACATCTTCCTTGGACAGAGACCCACCATAGGGGCAGCAGGAGGTAGGGGTGGGGGTAGGCAAGATTCCTGTGGGGAGGTGGAGCTGTCATCAGAGATGGTGTCTGCAGGCAGTGGGTGTATCGTGGCTCTGCTACTACTTGCTGGGTGGCCCCATGACGTTTCTTTCCCCACTCTGACCTCAGTTTCCCTATCTGTTGTGTGGAGATAAGATGCCTGCCTACATATTTGTGGACTGGGATGTGTGTGGGCCAGTTGCAGTGTTTCTTGGTGTGGTCCTGGGGCAGGCTGCACCACCCCATAGAGATTTCTGGGCCCCACCCTAGGCTCACAGGACCAGAATCTCTGGGAATGAAGCCTGGGAATTTGCATTTCCACAGGCATCTGGCTGATTCTGACATGACTGAAAAGCACTAATAGTATATAGCAAGCTCTTTATAAAAGGTAAATTCATAGCTGCCTTTTACTAAACATAAATCTCACCTTCCCTTCCTCAGTTAAGGACACACACCGCAGTTGAAAATCACTGTGCCTTTCCAGATGCAGAATCTGACCTTTCCGATAAGATTCTGTTAACTGCTGCTTTCTGCAGTTTGTATTCCAAAACAAGGGGAATATGTTTCCATTTTTTCAATACAAATGTTTAAGTCGGATATGCTTTCTCAAACTGGACACACACTCACACAGCTTAGGGTTTCAGCTATGGCTTCCTCTCAAATTATTAGCCTCTTTCTGCCAGGGAGCAGTTTTTCCCAGACAAGACCCTGGACAGAGGTTGGTGGGGCCCTCCTCATCAGAATCACTAGATTATGACTGACCCCTAGAGGTGGCTTTTCTGCTTAAGTGTCAGCCCATGGGCTGGGTTGTGACCCCCAAAGCTGCGGCAGAAGCTTCCACCCATCCTGGGCCCCCCCTGCCATCTATGGGGAAAGGCCTGTCCCTTGTCTTCTGGGCCCAGCCGGCCTCACAGGCATTCAGCAGATTGGAAAGTCGAAGCATGTGCTGTGCTTGGCTGGGCTCTCCTGCGCCCCTTTTTGGGGTGAGGTGGAGTGCATCCAGCCCCCAGAATCCCTGCCGTTTATTCCCACCCCTCATCCCCACCCCCATACACACTCACAAGTACAAACACAAGCACAGTCACTGGCACACACCACTCTGGACAGCACCATTTCCAGCCTCAGCGGGGCAGTTTCCTTACAGGGAAGTTAATGAGGCACTAACGAAGGCTCAGGGGACAGGGGGAACCTCTATTGAGAAGAGGCTCCTAGACCTGGTTCTGCCTCTGAATTGCTGGGGGTCCTTGAGAAAGTTGCTATCCCTCTCTGGTCTCAGTTTCCTCAGGTGAGAAATGGGGGGCCGGCCAAATGGTCTAAGGTTCTGGGAACCTCTAAATCAGAGCCCGTAGCTGGTGGTCAAGATGAGGGAGAGGCCCTCAGGGTCAGCCGAATGCCTGAGAGGCCGGACAGGCCCAAAGGTGAGCAACGTGAGCACATCAGGTGGGCTCAGAGCTGGCGCATGAGCCCCACAGCCTGCAGAGCAGCCCTGTACTCGGGAGCCCGCTCGCACCAACCCAGTGGGACTTCAGAGATGTGGGGTCCAGCCTTTCCTACTATTGCTGGGCTGAGGGCTGGGAGCTGCAGATTCTGACCCCACAGCTGCCTTAGACATGCCAGATGGTCTGGGGCAAGACACACCCCTCTCTATGAAATGAGCAGCCAGTCCAAATAGGTACATTAGAGAAGGGCTGTGGGATGGACCCAGCTGTAGCCTGGGGCTACAGACTGGCTTCCGGGGTACTCAAGCAGCTGGCCTCTGGGGTAGCAGCCCCAGGTATGAGAGGCAGGACTCAGAATCTAGGCCAAGCCTCCATAGGAATCCCCTCTGGAGAGCCCGGGCACTCTGCAGGAGGGGCAGCAGGCAGCAGGTGCACCAGGAGCATGTTTCACAAGGTGCCCAATATCGCATCTGCTCAGATAGGCAGCGAGTTGGAAAGTGGATGCAATAGGCAGGGTGGTGGCTGCTCCCCACAGCCAGGAGTCCGGCCCAGCACCCACCTGAGTCCGCCTCAGTCCTGCTCAATTGGGTTATCTGTGCTCTTGGCCCTCTGGTCCCACCCACAGAGGGAGGTCTTTGGGGCGACCAGGTGAGCTGGCCCTTGTGGGAGGATGTAACTGACTCCTGAGCCTGGCGAGCCAGGCAGCCCCTCGCCAACATCCCCACCCCTACCTCTCCAGCCCCCCCGCATTCCCTGATCCTCCCATCCGCTCCCCTGACCCAGCAGTTGCCTCTGCTCACTCTCTTTTCCTGCTCCCAGGCTCGCCTGGTCATGTGTCCTTCACTCTCCTCTGAGTCTCCCTCTTTCCAAGCCGCCTCCACTCTACTTGACACACTCTCCCTTAAGACACCAGAGTACACAAGTGCAAGTCTCTGCACCTCACCTTTACTCCCAGACATGGGAGGGAGATGACATGAAGACCCAAACGCCACTTAGCAGGAGATCTGGGGTATGCAGAGGGGCAGAACGGAGGCTGTGGAAGCTCCAGGGGCTCCCTGCAGGAGGCCACATGTAAGCTGGCTATTGAATGTGGCTCTGAGCTGAGATCTCTCCTTGAAGCTCCAGACCAGGGGCCAGCTGCTAGCTGGACCCCTCCATTTGGTGCCTCAGAGAAACTTTGCACTCTCTAGGTCTAACTTTGAACCCAGAAAATTCCCCCATGTCGGCCCTGTCTCTTCATAGGGAAAGCACCACCTCAGACCCAGTTCTGCACCAAACCCACATTTGAGTCACGAGGCTCCTGCCCTGCACTGTGAGCACTCTGGATAAGCCAGTGCTGAGGGGGAAAGAGCTCTGAATGCCAAGCCAAAACATGAGCTTCAACTCCACCTCCAGCTCTGAGAGCTGTGGGTAGGGAAGGGCCCTCGTCCAGTTTGCTGTAGAAAGATCAGTCTGCCACTGTATGGCACATGGATGGCAGGGGCAGAGTGCAGGTGGAGAGAACAGAAGGTGGGCAGGGCGGGGGAGGCAGGGACATGGCTGTAGCCGTGGAGATGGGAGGACAGACAGGACTTGGTGGCCACTTGGGTGAACCAAGGGAGGAGTCAGGAAGAGACACCCAGTTTTGTATCAGATGTGTAGAGCGTGGGATGCTGTTCATTGACGGAGGGAGGAGGAGGAGGAAGAGGTATGGCATGGGGAGGAGGTAGCTGAGCTCTGTCGTGAATGTCATTTGAAGTCCCCAGGGAAAGCCAGGCCGGCCAGCACCTTCACTGCTTCAGCCAGCTCTCAGGGTGTCTGTGCTCCCTGGCCCTCTCAGCTCCTGCTTCATAGCTGTCAGCTGCAGTGGGAGACAGCTGCACAAGGGCCCAGCATGTCTGTGTGTTTACCCAGGGGACTGCCGCATGGCCCATGCCGAGCAGAAACTGATGGACGACCTTCTGAACAAAACCTGTTACAACAACCTGATCCGCCCAGCCACCAGCTCCTCACAGCTCATCTCCATCCAGACGGCGCTCTCCCTGGCCCAGTGCATCAGCGTGGTAGGTGCAGAGGGTACCTGTGGCTCAGGCTCAGGTGAAGAGGCAGCTCATGCCCAAGCCCTAAGCAGTCAATGTCCAGAGGAATGAAATGACTAGAGTTGACTTAGACTCACCAGTACACGGTGGGGAGGCTGGAGGAGGGTCCATGAGGTTTATAGGTGTCCAGTATTTAATGAGGTCATGGTTTTGTTAACAAAGAAGAAATGAGGGTGGGAGCGAGATCACCACTGGCTAGGCAGCCAATGGGCCTGCATAGACTCTGCTCAGCTGAGTCTCCAGCACGACCATGAGCTTCTCCTCCTCATCCTCCCAGCCCCACCCTACTCTCTCCCCCAGCTTGCTCAACAGGTGACCTTATAGGCTCCCTACTCTTTGCAGGGAATAAGAACCAGACTGGGGGAACTGACGGGTACAGAGGCCCAGGTGTAGGCGCAGGACCACAGGCAGTGAAGCGTCTACTGACCCAGGCGGGTGAGGGTCTGGAGAGTGGGCATGGCTGCTGCAGGCATGGAAAGCAGGCACAGATGGCGGCACTCCCAGGGCCCATTGTCAGGGTCTCCACATGTGGACGTGTGCAGAGGTGGGGGTGCTGAGGGAGGAGGGGCAGGGAATTTCTCATCTTCTCTCTACTGCCTCTGAGTTGGAGATGTCAGAGGGAGCCATGGCCCACTGTAAAGTAACACAATGTCCCCACCCACAGGATTAGAACCCCTCCCCTGGAAGCAGCTCTGAGGGGAACAGTCACATGTAGAGAGTGCAGGGCACTGTGTCCAGCCGGGGGAAGGAGGTCACCAAGGGGGTTGACCCCCCTCTGGCCAGGTGGCTGCCTTCTGACACACCAGCCTCTGTCTCTAGCACGGTGGCCCCCACACACCCAGCCTGTGAAACCTACAGCCCTCAAGAAGGCTTTGGCCAAATTAATGAGCGGCTCCCTCTCCCAGGAGGAAGCACAGGTGAAGGATGTGGAGGGCAGTAGAGTTGTGTGTGCTCCGCCCCCTTTCTCCGCAGTCGGATGGAAAGAAGGGGGCTTTCAGCCAGGCTCGCCCAGGCTGGGGTCTGAGTGTCACTGTCCAGCTATTGGCTTCTTGCTTAATGGGTGAGCCCAGCTGCTCCCGTGCAGCTGCCGCCCTAGTGAGGGTGAACCGGCAGGCGAGTTACATTTCTGAAAGCCTGGGAATACAGTAAATATTAGGCTGTGGGCTGCTGGGCCAGGAAGAGTTGTTTATTTTTCAGGGTTTGTTTATCTATTGACTTGATGAGGGAGGGTTATAGGTACAACCAGTTTAAAGATGGAAATTTTGAGAGAGCAGGCAGGGATTTAGTGCTGGGTAAGCCTGGTCAAAGCGGCTCTTTTGGGGCGGCCAGAATCCAGTACCAATGTCCTCAGCATGTTCATCAGCTGCTGGGGGAGTGCGGGACAGCATGAAAGCACAGGAGAACTTTCTGGATGATAGAAATACTCTGTATCTTCAAAGGAGGTGGGTTCCATAGTAATGTTAAATGAGTTAAAACTCATCAAAATGTAAACCAGACCTGTGCATTTCACTAATAGAAATTATACCTCCAATTAAAAACATGTTTTAAAAGACAGATGGGCCAGATGCAGTGGCTCATACTTGTAATCCCAGCACTTTGGGAGGCTGAGGCAGGTAGATCACCTGAGTCAGGAGCTCGAGACCAGCCTGGAAAACATGGTGAAATCCTGCCTCTATTAAAGGTATAAAAAAAAATTAGCCAGGCATGGTGGCACACGCTACTCGGGAAGCTGAGGCAGGAGAATTGCTTGAACCCAGGAGGCAGAGGTTACAGTGAGCAGAGATCGTGCCATTGCACTAGAGCCTGGGCAACAGCGCAAGACTCCATCTCAAAAACAACAAAAAAAGGACAGATGAAGGTTTTCAACTTTCAGTAAAGGCAGAGGAGCTTGTTACGGATTCGCCTCCCCACAAGAGCAGTTAGAAAAACTGGATAAAAATGTGCCCCGCCCCCAATCAAAAACAATTGTTGGAAGGTAATTGGAGACCTCAGTAAGGACTTGAGTGACCAGGCCTAGGAGGTGATCCTGACAGTCTGTAGTGCTTTCCCACATTTGGTGATTGGTCAACAGTAGAGGGCTAAGAGGCTAAGAAACTGAGTATGAAGTGGTAGTTAAGAGGCTGGAGAGCCTAGCTGAATGTTTGGCACTCTCACAGGGCTGAAATGACCTAATGAGAATTTGGGTCCCAGGAAGGAGATGGGACCTTGGTGGGGACCCTGGAAGGGCCACCCCTGGGAGTCCAAATGAATAAAACATAGACCAGCCATCAGAAAACCTAAAACCTGCTTTGAACCAGCTTAGTCCCAAAGTAGATGAAGGCGATCTGCCCTTACTCCAATTGTGTGCCATAAACTCAAAGTCAATACTCTCTGGAGGCAGATAAAAGTTTACTATGAATGTCAAAAGACAACACAAGACTAAATGAGAAAGACCAAGAAGAAAACTAATAGAAACATACATGTAAGGAAGAAACTTTTTTTTTTGAGACGGAGTTTCGCTCTGTCACCAGGCTTGAGTGCAGTGGCACGATCTCAGCTCACTGCAACCTCTGCCTCCCAGGTTCAAGCGATTCTCCTGCCTCAGCCTCCCAAGTAGCTGGGATTACAGGCATGCGCCACCATGCCCGGCTAATTTTTGTATTGGCCAGGCTGGTCTTGAACTCTTGACCTCAGGTCATCCATTTACCTCGGCCTCCCAAATTGCTAGGATTACAAGCGTGAGCTACCATGCCTGGCCAGTATTTTGCCACAATTTAAAATAAATAAATTTTTTTTTTCAGGTTTGTGCTCAGACTATATTCTAAACAGTCACATGGCGGCTTACTCTTCTCCAGGCCTTGCTGCCGGCTTTTACATGTTTATTGTCTTTGCCTTCTTGTCATGTGCTCATTAGATGGCAGCTTCCAGGTGCTCCTAAGGGGCCAGGAAAGAGAGTGAGAAGGCACGGAGGTTGCCAGATCATCCCCCTTGGGGCCCCGCCCTCATCAACTCCCTCAACTGGGTCTCCTGCAACTATTGGTGGGCCATCTCGGCCACCGCTTCACCCTGAGCTTCCTGCTGCTGCAGCTGGGCAGTGCCTCCTTCTCAGAGGCCAGCTGCTGATAGGCGGCCACGTACTGCTGCAGGTGACCCAGGTAATGGTCTCGCTGCTGCTGCAGACTCAGCCTCTTGGCTCTTCAGCTCCACCTGCAGGATAGGCGTCAGGGTAGGTAGTGGCTGGCTTCCAGATTCTGGGCCCATACACAGGGTAGTGAGGGCACTGCGGGGCTCTGTCGCCTACCCAGGCCCCTGGCCCTGGCCCCTTCCTCCAGGCCTAAATGACTGCCTCCCTTGCCTAGAGGCCCATGCCTCCCTCCCCAGCCTCAAATCTCACACCCTTCTTCCCACCATTTAAACTGTAGGCCACAGACTGGTGGAAAAGCAGAGGGAGCCAACCACCATCTGCTAAGTTGTGGTGAGGTCGTTCTGTATGATCTCCAGGGTTTGCACACACCTCCGCCTGCTCCCCCCAAGAGCTCGGCCTTCTGCCCCAGCTTCCCCAGCCTCTCCTCCAGCTCCTGCAGCCTCACCTAGTGTTCCTGCATCTTCTCCTCCTGCTGCCGCAGCCTCACTTCCTGCTCCCACATCTTCTCCTCCTGCCTCCGCATCTTCTCCTCCTGTTCTTGCATCTTCTCTTCCTGCTCACACATCTTCTCCTCCTGCTCCCACATCTTCTCTTCCTGTTCCTGCATCATCTCCTCCTGCTCTCGTATCTTCTCCTCCTGCTCCCGTATCTTCTTCTCCTGCTCCCTTATCTTCTCCTCCTGCCTCCACATCGTCTCCTCCTGTTCTTGCATCTTCTCTTCCTGCTCACACATCTTCTCCTCCTGCTCCCCCATCTTCTCTTCCTGTTCCTGCGTCATCTCCTCCTGCTCTCGTATCTTCTCCTCCTGCTCCCGTATCTTCTCCTCCTGCTCCCGTATCTTCTCCTCCTGCTCCCTTATCTTCTCCTCCTGCTTCCACATCTTCTCCTCCTGCTCCTGCCTCTTTTCCTCCTGCTCCCGTATCTTCTCCTCCTGCCTCCACACCTTCTCCTCCTGCTCCCGTATCTTCTCCTCCTGCCTCCACATCTTATCCTCCTGCTCCTGCCTCTTCTCCTCCTCCCATATCTTCTCCTGCTCATGCATCTTCTCTTCCTCCCTCCACATCTCCTCCTGCTCCCGTATCTTCTCCTCCTGCCTCCACATCTTCTCCTCCTGCTCCCGTATCTTCTCCTCCTGCTCCCGTATCTTCTCCTCCTGCCTCCACACCTTCTCCTCCTGCTTCCGTATCTTCTCCTCCTGCTAGTGCATCTTCTCCTTTTGCCTCCATATCTCCTCCTGCTCCCTTATCTTCTCCTCCTGCCTCCACATCTCCTCCTGCTCCTGCCTCTTCTCCTCCTCCCGTATCTTCTCCTGCTCGTGAATCTTCTCCTCCTGCCTCCACATCTTTTTCTCCTGCTCCCGTATCTTCTCTTCCTGCTCCCGTATCTTCTCCTCCTGCCTCCACATCTTCGCCTCCTGCTCCTGCCTCTTCTCCTGCTCGCGTATCTTCTCCTCCTCCTGCCTCTTCTCTTCCTGCTCCCGTATCTTCTCCTGCTCGTGCATCTTCTCTTCCAGCTCCCGCATCTTCTCCTCCTTCTCCCACATCATCTCCTCCTGCCTCCGCATCTTCTCCTCCTTCTCCCACATCATCTCCTCCTGCCTCCGCATCTTCTCCTCCTTCTCCCACATCATCTCCTCCTGCCTCCGCATCTTCTCCTCCTGCTCCCGTATCTTCTCCTCCTGCTCCCGTATCTTCTCCTCCTGCTCCTGTATCTTCTCCTCCCACTCCTGTATCTTCTCCTCCTGCCTCCACATCTTCTCCTCCTGTTGCTGGTTCAGGCGGTTCCACAACTCGTTCTCTTCCACCTGGGCTTGGAGCTTTGCTGACACACTCTGCAGCTCCTTACCCAGGTGGTCAGCCTCCGCCTGCAGCTGCTGCTGGAATAGTGAAAGTGTTTTTTTGAACCTCAGAAGGAAGCAGAATCATGAGCTAGCCACATAAATGTAATCTATAGGCTGGGCGCGGTGGCTCACGCCTGTAATCCCAGCACTTTGGGAGGCCGAGGTGGGCGGATCACGAGGTCAGGAGATCGAGACCATCCTGGTTAACACAGTGAAACCCCGTCTCTACTAAAAATACAAAAAATTAGCTGGGTGTGGTGGTGGGCACCTGTAGTCCCAGCTACTTGGGAGGCTGAGGCAGGAGAATGGCGTGAAGCCGGGGGGTGGAGCTTGCAGTGAGCCGAGATTGCGCCACTGCACTCTGGCCTGGGTGACAGAGTGAGACTACTTCTCAAATAAATAAATAAATAAATAAATAAATGTAATCTACAAAATAATGGTTTTCATCCATGATCCTTTAAAAAAATATTTTTAAGCCCTAACTCTTGAGATTCTGATTCCCCAGGCAGGGCCCCAATTTGTACATTTTTAGTACACTCTAGAGGATTCTATGGCGGGACCAGAACAAGGACCCAAATTTTCCAGCTCTTGGCTGGAGCCTCCCCATACCCTGCATGATCCCTAGACCATGGTCCCAGCTGGATGGGTCTCCCACAACCCCCGGGGCTGCAGCTGCTCACCTGTGGCAGCAGGAGCTTGGCCCTCTCCAGTTTCCTTTTTAGCTCCTTTACGTTGAGCTGGATCTCAGACTTTTCAGATTCTACAAGTTGAAGTTTTTCTTGTAGTTCGGCATTTTTCTCCTTCAGCTCCTCATCAGTTATGCTATGGCCAGAGGCAGTAGAGAAAGGAATGAATGAAGAACATAAAAGACCACTTTGGTGATTGACCCCCTACCCTCGCCCCACAACCACAGAACCATGGCGCTGGAAGGGACCCCAGGAATTAAAAGTCCCAGGTGGCAGGCCAGAGAGAAGACATGAGTTGCCTGAGGCTACCCCATGAGTCAGTGGCACAGCCAGCACTAGAGCTTCCGTGTGCACACATGAAAACATGTATGAGCCTCTCCCCACACTCACCTGGACCCCCCACCTCCCAGCACACCACCCATGCTAAGGGCCCCCAGACCTCCCATTCCACCTTCCCCCATCCTACGTGTTCCTGTACAGTTCCAGACTCAGGGCGTCCCTCTCCTTTGTTAACTCCTCAATGTACTGCAAATAGAGAAAGGTTAAGTCAGGATAGAGCAGGCACAGCAGTAGCTGGACGACCAGGAACAACTGCTACAGTGACTACTCCACAGTAACACTTCCTCACTCTCAATCACACCTGACGTGTTCTCAAGGCATTTCCAAGCCCATGGTCTCATTTGTTTTTCTTTCTTTCTTTCTTTCTTTCTTTCTTTTTATTTTTTTTTTTGGCAGAGTTTCATTCTTGTTGCCCTCACTGGAGTGCAATGGCACAATCTCAGCTCACCACAACCTACACCTCCTGGGTTCAAGCAATTCTCCTGCCTCAGCTTCCCGAGTAGTTGGGATTACAGGCATGTGCCACCACACCGGGCTAATTTTGTATTTTTAGTAGAGACGGGGTTTCTTCGTGTTGGTCAGTCTAGTCTTGAACTCCTGACCGCAGGTGATCCGCCCACCTCAGCCTCCCAAAGTGCTGGCATTACAGGCGTGAGCGAGAGCACCTGGCCCTCATTTGTTTTTCAAAGAACTCAGTGAATGTGGAAGGGACAGGGAAAGAGATTGAATTTAGAGCTGGCTAACAGGGGCCCAGAGCGATCAGATAATATTGTTATTGCTATTACTGTTAGTACTACCACTGTTCGAACCTTTCTTGAGTGCTTCACCAGGCACTATGCTAACAATCCCATTTAATCCTCACAACCTCCATAGGAGATGGTTACCATTATTACCTCTATTGTGTAGATGAAAAACATGCGGTATTAAAGGTTAAGTGCTGCCTAAGATCACTTGGAGCTGGGATTTCAACACCCAGGTATATCTGATTCTCTAAGCCCATTCTTCCGCTGGAGGTAGGGGCACAGTTAAGAAGGAGGAAATTAATCCTTTGTTGAATTTTTGAAAGGATGATACGTTCGCATAGTCCAAAACTCAGAAAGTCCAGAAGGGAAATATCTCCCCCCAACACTGTGCCTCTATCCTGAGTTTTTTAATGAATCCTTACAAACGTGTTTTATGTATGTTACCATAATACGTACACACACACACATATACACCTGCCCCCTCTCTCCACACAAATAATAACATACTCAAGATACTCTTCTGTACCTTTATGGTACAAGTACCCTAACCGCCACTTAGGACTTGGCCAAGGCCACAGCCAAGTATGGGCAGGGCGGGCACTTGGCCTCTGAGCTCTATGTCCAGTGCTCGCTCCCCACAGTGCTCCCCAACTCACCCACAACAGCCGACTCAGCCCCAGTCTGCCTCTAACAACCACACACAAAAGCAGCAAGAAATGGCCATGCTGCCTTCTGGGCAGGACACTCCATCCTACAGAAGGGACCTTTAGGCTCACTCCTCCATCTGCGAAGCTGGGCTCCCAAGGGACGGGGCCGTGTTTGGACTCACCCTATCCGCCTTCTTCTTCTGTGTAGCGACAGCAGAGAGAGCCTGCTCTAACTCTCCTGCAAACTTCCATGAATCATGCAGGCGGCTGATCAGATCCCTGGCCTCTCCTGGAATGAGAGACATTCAGATGTGGCCCAAAGGACTCCCCCTAAAGGCCTGTCAAAGTGCCAGGTTGAAGGATGATGGGGTGCCAGATTCCCACCTTCCAACTGCTTGACAGCATGCTGGCTGTAGTAGAGTGCCATCTGAAGCTCAGTTTTCTGACATGTAAGGATTCGTATGGTATGAACCTGGGCCTTTGGGAGAAAAGACAAGCAAATGCTGAAAGAGAAGCAAAGAAACATTCTCCAGAGGGCAGGAGGGAACTTCACACCCTCCACTCACCTCTAGCTCCCTCCTTAGGGCTTCCTGATGTTGGTGGCTTGCCTTCTGTTCCTATAGAAAGAGGAAAACAGAGCTCTTGCTAGGTGGAGGCAGAGATGGCACAGCAAGAGACATGCCCCCAGAATGGCACCACTGCCCCAGAACAGGCCCACCCATGGGACCAGTTTATCAGGGACCCTGTGGGGATGGGGTGGAATCTTGGGGGTGAGCCTTCTTCCCCAGGCTGGGAGTGGGTGAGATGAGCCTGGGGCCTCTACATCTGAGTGCCCCCAAACCCAGCGGTCATGTCGTGAGCAAAGAAATCACACTACTTCTTCCAGCTGAGCTCGGTTCTATTGTTTCTGTGGGGAGAGTCAAAGGAAGGTGACTGAGGGTGGCCCCCTTGACTCTATTCCCCAGGCCAGGAAGCGATAGGCAGGGGCCAGGAATGGATTTAAAAGGCACAGTTCTCAGACCCAATGGGAACATGAACTGGTCAACTCTCCTCAACTCCCAAAGAAGAAGGATTTGGGTCTTTTTGGTTTTTGCCCACAGCCACAGAACTCAAAGTCTGAAACTAGATTCTCTTGAAAAGACAGTAACAGAAACCTTCAGAGGTGGAGTGCGAGAAAAGCCCACCCTTCCGCCAGCTTGTGATTTAGAAAGGTGCATTCACTCAGCAAACGTTGAGCACATACGGGCCAGGGACGGTTCTTCACAGCGGGAATAGAGGTCAGAAAAGGCAGACAGGAGCCCTTGGCCCCGAGGTTTCCATTCTAGTGGGCCTTTAACTCTCGGGCTCTCAGAGCTAACAGAAACCTCTGATACTCTCTAACTCTACCTCAGGAAACGCAAGCCCAAGAAGGAGAGTTTACAGCAGGTCCTGGACGAGGGATTAACATAAAAACACAATGACAAATCTCATTTAAACTTCACAAACGTAAGGAAAATAATACCACTCGTATTTTACGGATGTGAAAAGAGAGGCCCAAAGAGCTCAAGCAATTTGCGCTAAATCATATCCCTAGCAGATGGAGGGGTAGGATTCAAACCCAGAATTCTTAGCCAGTACCTGGCAGTTCTTCCACAATCTTAACAATTACCCTCCACCACCCCTTGGGCCCTCTGTCCCCAGGAGCCCGGCCAGCCAAGACTCACATCCTCAGGCGAGTGGCAACCACCAGAAGTGGTTGTCTCAGGGTTAGTGCCATTATTTATTTTCTTCTTTTTGGTGTCGCTTGCTGCTGTACCAACACTAGGGTTGGTCTGGGGATGATGGTCTGTCAACTGTGGAAAGGAAGAGCAGTGATACTCATGAGAACTACAAGCTCCTACAGTCACATCCTGCTTTACAGTTTATACTAAATACTCTTATAGACCATCTGATTTAATGCCACCAACTGTAGGAAATGTTGTCACAATCACTTAGTGACTGAGAGAGATTGATACCATGGCTGAAAAAAAAGGCAGTAATGGAACTTAAACTCAGTCTTCTGACTCTGAGCTCTGGGATTTTGCCCTAAATCAGCAGCTGCCAGGGACCAAAACCAGAGGCAGAGGTAGAAAAGCAAATATTAAGTAGGCAGGAACTGTGCACTATGTGGTTTAGGGTTATTCACCCTCACACGTCTGTTAGTGTTAAAAAGTACACCAGTACCTCTCAAACCTTTACATCAATGTCTCCTCATGGCAGAAGGCAGCCTTTCTGCTAAATCTGGGAATTTAACAGAAAGAGGACAACCCAAGCCTCATTTCAGAGAGAAGTCTTGTATACGCTTATAAATCTATGTGACTTTCATCCCTAAGTACATTAATGTTTTGCCTCTCAATAGAATCAAGGGAAACTGATGCTTCAGAAAGATGCCCCATATTTATCCTGTGGCACTCAAAGTACCCCAGGTTGAGATGAGATGAGGAAGACTCAAGCTAAGTTCAGTTTCCCAAGATCTGTTCCACAGAAGATAAGCAGATCTCACTCCAGAACCAGTGACTGAGGGGCACTCTGGTCCCAGAACAATGGAGAATTCAAATCTGAGGTGCAGAACTGAGAAAAAATGTTAAAGTCTCTCTGGAGAGTAGAAGCCTGGGAGAAAACCAAACCAAACCCATTCTCCCATTGCCACCCAGAGACACTGTCAACGTGTTGAGCTCATGGGGGAGGTGTAGGCTTTTCACACTGTCAAGGTCTGTGGTAAGGAAGTCAGGCAGCCTGAAACCTCTCTCTTCTAGGTCCCACAGTCCCCATTCCCCTTCCAGCTGGAAACCTGTGCTGCAACCAGAGGAAACAGAAGTGGGCAAGAACACTTAGGGGACTGGGTCCTAAGACCAAAGGCCGGTCTTGTGGTAGTAATGACAGTTTGTAGCGGGACTGTGACATCACTACATTCTACTCCTCGGTGGAGTGGTTGGGGGGGACACATGAGTGCAATGCCCAAGTTGCCGCTTTGAGACTGGGGAGGGGGTCACAAAATTGGGAGCCAGGTCCTTGGAGACGTGACCCCAAAGAGCCCCGGGAGGTCAGGCTTGGGGCGGCAGGAGGTGAGGGCCAATTAAGGAGCAAGGAGCTCCAGGAGTCACATCCCCAAAGTCACCCTGTGGCAACTGGTGAGGGCAGGTTCTGGGGCACCCAGGTCCTTGGAGATGTGAGCTCAAGGAGCCCAGGGAGGTCGGGTTTGGGGTAGCAGGAGGTAAGGGCGGAGTATGGAGTTGGAAGCCCCAGGAGTCACCTGCTCAAAGTCACCCTGGTGTGCCGGGCAGAGCAGGGGCAGGACTTATGAGGGGGTTGGGCTGGCTGACAAGATTTTGGTGTGGGGAGCCCAGAGGCACTGGGGTGGGGGGCCCAGCCTGGTGTCCCTCAGGAGTGGCACAGACTCTGGCAGCAGTTCGGCTGTCAGAGGGGGCCTCGGGTTGGGTTGGGGTGTTGGTGCGTTTACCTGTTCCTTGGCCTCGGCCAATTTGCTCTGTCTGGTTTCTTTGGACATCATAGGATGGGTAGGGAGGTGGGGATGGGTAGGGAGGTGGGGATGGGTAGGGAGGTGGGGATGGGTAGGGAGGTGGGGATGGGTAGGGAGGTGGGGTTGGGGCCACATCAGCATGATCCAGGTGAGGACAAGTATATACCTCCAGTCACCTCTACGTCGCTGTGTGACTGAGCCAGAGGAGGCGTAACCAGGGCTGCACTAGAATGCAGAATAGGGGTGTGGCCTTCATGCTTGAAGCCCATTGGTCAATGAGAAAGATGAAAGGAAAAGGAGGTGTGGCCAGACAGCAGCGTGTCATCAAGGACCTGTGTTGTCACAAGGAAAGCTGCCTATGCAACCGCTGTCCCCGCCCACTCCAGGAGAGGGGCGGGGCTGGCTTTCACTTTAAAAACTTTAAAACTTTATTACCTCAATTGAGGTACAAGTCCTATTAAAATGGAAATTTTATAGTGTGCTTGATGATTGATAAAGCAGACTTTATTATCCAACATTCCAATAAGATAATCACAATGTTTTCTCTTTTTTGGAAAAACTTTCTCTTATTCTCCTACATTAGCGTTTAGTTTTTTTAAAAAAAACAAACAAACAAGAAACATGTCTAATATCTTTAAAAATACAAAGCTTTGAGCCAGGCGTGATGGCTCATGCCTGTAATCCCAGCACTTTGGGAGGCTGGGGCGGGTGGATCACCCGAATTCAGGAGTTCAAGACCAGCCTGGCCAACATGATGAAATCCTGTCTCTACTAAAAATACAAAAGTAGCTGGGCATGGTGGCAGGTGCCTGTAATCCTAGCTACTTGGGAGGCTGAGGCAGGAGAATCCCTTGAACCTGTGAGGCAGAGGTTGCAGTGAGCCAAAATCATGCCACTGCACTTCAGCCTGGGCTGCTACAGAACGTGACTCTGTCTCTAAATACACACACACACACACACACGCACAGACACACACACACACACACGCACAGACACACACACACACACACACACACACACAAGGCTTTCCATTTAATAAGCACTCAAAGTTCTTTACAAGGTTAAAGCAAATACAGGACCCTTCTAAAGTAAGGCTAAATGCTAAGTGATGGGGGAGAGAAAAAGGACATAAATAACTCCTACTCTCATGAGTTAATCACTAAATCCGATTTTTCTAGAATCACCTGGCCTCTAAGCCCTGAAAATGAAACTGAATTTCTCACTCGATACTTGGCTATGACTTGCAATCATGAAAACCAAGAATTGTGTTATGTCACTGTGTATTGCTTGTTACCTGGGATCAAGGGTTGACTTTTTCATGATTTGCTCCATTACCTGTGTGCTTCTTCTCCCAGTCCAAACTACGCTTTTTTCTAGAGTTCTACAATTTACAGTTAGTATGTAAGGGTGGCTCTCAAACATGTAGTCTCCGGACCAGGAGCACCTGGGAACTTCTTATAAATGTAAATTCTCAGGCCCCACCCTAGACATGAATGAATCAGAAACTCTGCAGTAGGGCCCAGCAATCCGTGCTGCAATAATCCCTCCAGGTGCTCAGGAACCTCTGCCATACAGCAGGTAGAAAAATGTGTTTCCTTCTGTAGGTCCAAAGCCAGGGATACTATATGTTCTGTCTCAATATGAAACAATGACATGCAATTAAAAGACATAAATCTCCTTCCTACTTCCACCCTCCAGCCAGTGTGTTTTATTTTTATGAGTTCAATAAGAAAACGTGTGGCAAGCAGAGATTTCATCTAAAAAATATATCTACAGGTATCAGTTCTCATCCAGCCTGATCTCATCCAATATCATTTCTATCCTCTTACATCTAAAGTTTTAGAAAAGGATTTTCACAACGTAAGACTCAGGCGCACTAGGAGTTCTATGATAAAAGACCAAGTAGATCTGAATGTCCAAACTTACTAGAGAAGAAAAGTGGACTCATTGGCTATATTTTCAAATTGCATTCAACAGGAAATTAAAGTTTTGAATTTTTTCCACCTTCATCCTTCCAAGTTAATAGAATTAAACCAGAATACTCCATTCTTCCAAAGCCTGTAGCCAGGCAAACTTTTACTGTATTACTTCTTGCTTTTCAATGGATATAAAGCAGAGTCCTGGTAGGCACATTTTGTATACCTGCAAAGATGCAAAACTAAACAGTTCCCTCGGTTCAATATTAAAACAAAAGTCCTGTAAACCTCAGATGGTGAGTGTAATACTTCAGCACTAGCACGAAAGCCTCAAATATAAAAAGATACCAAGAACCTTGCTAGCAAACCAAAGTAAGCTCTTGGCTGGGAGCAGTAGTTCACGCCCGTACTCCCAGCATATTGGCAAGCTAAGGTGGGGTAAGTCAGGAGTTAAAGACCAGCCTGGGCAGCATAGCGAATTCATATCTCTACAAAGAAAATTTAAAAATTAGCTGGGCTTGGCGGCACACACCTGTAGTCCTAGAGCTACTTGGGAGGCTGAGGTGGGAAAATCACTTGAGCCCAGAAGTTTGAGGCTGCAGTAGCTATGATCATGCCACTGCACTCCAGTTGGGGTGACAGAGCGAGATCTAATTATTACATTCTGTCCTGCTCCTGTTTCCACTAAAATCACTAACTTAAAATGTGTTCATTCAGCAGGATAAAAATTAAGTGAAATTTGACTTTGGTGCTTTGCTAGCAAAAAATAAATAAATAAAGTGAAATGACAAATTACTTACTGGGAGAAGATCTTTGTAAACTCAATGACAGATTAAAGGTTTGTATCCTTAGCCTATAAAGAAATCTTTAAAATTACTCAGAAAAAAAAATGAATGATTTGCAGCAGAAAATGGGCAATGGAGAAACCAGCACTTCCCACAAGAATAAAAATGGCCAATGAGCAAATGAAAAAGATTCAAAAGCACTAGAAATCAAAGAAAGGTGATGAAAACAATGAGATTTTCTGCTTAAAGACCAGCGAAGACGACAAATGGAAGGCGGAACCTGGAGCTCTGTCCCTGTTGGTGGGAGCGTAAACTCAACCAATTTTCCTATAGGATGATTTGAACATTTGTTTTAAAAATCCTAAAACTGTTTTATATTATTTTCTTCTAGAAATTCTACTTCTATGAATTCAGTGCAAAAATCCTCACTCGAGTCCATTAAAATATATATAGAAGGAAATCCACCTCTGGGGTGGCAATGATTCACTTAACATACATCCAGCTGTTGAAAGTGATGATGCCAGGATATATTTCTCCCATAGAAACATGCTTAAAATATAGTAAGTGACAAAAGACCATGTATTGTGATTCTACTTTTTAAAATGTTTACAGCATAAAAAGTGTGAAAAGCAACAAACCGGAATGTTTTGAGTGGCAAAATTAAAGATTTTTCTTTACATTTTGTCATCCAAATTATTACAAAAACAATGTGATTTCCTTTATAATCATGGAAAAGTGTTATTTTCATTTATTTATATTTACATTTCTTTTCTTTTTCTTCTTTTTTCTCCTGTATGTATCCCACATAGGCTACAGAGCTTAAATCCCTGCCTCTTGAGAGAAATCAGCCCATTTTCAGGACATGCAATACACAAAGCTGCCCCATCTTCCCTTTATTTTTATTTTTATCTTATTTATCTTATTTATTTATTTATTTATTTATTTATGTTGAGATGGAGTCTCACTCTGTTGCCCAGGCTGGAGTGCGGTGGCGCATCTCAGCTCACTGCAACCTCCATATCCCGAGATCAAGCGATTCCCCTGCCTCAGCCTCCCGAGTACCTGGGACTATAGGCATGCACCACCATGCCCAGCTAATTTTTGTATTTTTAGTAGAGAGGAAGTTTTACCATCTTAGACAGGCTGGTCTCGAACTCCTGACCTCAAGTGATCCGTCTGCCTTGGCCTCCCAAAGTGCTGGGATTACAGGCATGAGCCACTGTGCCTGGCCTGTCATATTATTTCTAAACATTTGAGTGACATTTCAATTAAGTGAAATTTAATTCTTACTGACCTGATCTCTTATCCTCTGTTTAATGATACCTTCCAGTTGAAAGGTGTTTCCTCTGTAATCACGGGTGCCAAAGGAAATACAACATGTATTCATTAGGTGGATATCCACTAAACCACGGATTCATGCATTGTAGTCCTTAGACCCTCAGCATCAGAAACACGTGGGAACTTGTTAGACATGCAAATTCCTGGGCCAGCCCCACACCTCCTGAATCAGAAAGTGGGGAAGGACAGCTATCTGTGCTTTAATAAGCCTTGAGATGCTCCCTGAAGTTTGAAAACTACAGAACTAGAATACATATGGTAGTAAGTGCTCATACTTTATCCAAGGTACTAGGGACTCTTCCCCGCTTTTCCATTCTCTTTTCTGTTGAAATAAAATGAGAGCTCCTTTTGACTTAATGGGTATAAGAAAGAAGGCAATGAGATGACCAGGGTTTCAAGTTAGAGTTCAAAATTTAATCAGTGGACAGTGACAGGATGCAAGCCTTCTAAACAGATTGCTGCAAGGAAGCTGATTATAATCTATACAGTAGGTATCATTAGTGTATTGATGTTAAATTTTGGGGGTGGATTAATGGTATTGTGATTATATAGGAGAAGTCCTGGTTCCTAGAAGATATCTGCGAAAGTACTTAACAGTGAAATGCTCTGATACTGCCAACTTACTTTGAAATGATTCAGAGGGAAAAAGGGCACATATACAATCTTCCATACGCAGAAGACAGAAAACAAGTGTGACAAAACATTAACTAGTGAATCCAGTTGAATAGCATACAGATGTTCACTGTATGATTTTATCAACTTTTCTGTGTTTGCAAGTTTTCAAAATAAAAGTTGAGGGAAAGAAACATCACCCCAAATCTTTCTATGAAATGGGACCACAGAAAAAGCAGAGAAGTGAACACTTTGCAGAAAAGAGCACTGCACCCATCCGGACAGCATGGTCAAAGTGCAGGCTCTCCTCCAGGAGGCTCTTCTCTGGTCTCTTCTGTGCTGTCACTTCCCCCACATGCAGCCAAGGCTTTTTTCTAACAACTCTTTTTCTAAAGATGTAATTTTTGTCATTCATCTAAGAAAGAGAAGAAAAGAATTAGTATACATTTAGAAAATAAAATTACACTTACATTTGTGAAAAAGCAAAAAATACTTTGAAAAGTGGGGAAGCAAGAAATGTACTGTTCTACAATTCTGTTCTGTTCTTACCATCTTTTTATTCTGCCAATGACTTCCTATTCCTGCTGTGTATGGTGGGGTGAGCTGCAAATGATTTCTTTTCCTCATTGATTTAAAATGTCATGTTTATAATGTACCAAACTCCCCCAGAAGCATTTGGGTTTATTTCTGGGCTCTATTCTATTCAAGTAATCTATCTGTTCACAAGCCACTATCAATTTTGATTATTGGAGCATCCTAAAGTTAAGTAATTGTTGTTTTTGTTTTTGAGATGCAGTCTCTCACTCTGCCACCCAGCTGGACTGCAGTGGCGTGATCTAGGCTCACTGCAAGCTCCACCTCCCGGGTTCATGGCATTCTCCTGCCTCAGCCTCCCGAGTAGCTGGGACTACAGGCACCTGCCACCACGCCTGGCTAATTTTTTGTATGTTTAGTAGAGATGGGGTTTCACCTTGTTAGCCAGGATGGTCTCGATCTCCTGACCTCGTGATCCGCCTGCCTCGGCCTCCCAAAGTGCTGGGATTACAGGCGTGAGCCACCGCGCCTGGCCCTGAATTTGCTTGAGTTTTTAGCTCTCTCACCCATTTCAGGATTGTCACCACCCATATCTGACACGTCCTCCTCCTCCTCTAAATCTTCTAGGTCCTCCTGGCCATCAGCCTCTGTTTCTGAACCAGCCTCTTCATGCTCCTGTTCTTCACTCTCTGGGAGAAGACTGATATCTTCATCTTTCTTTCACTAACCGCATTCTGGAAGCACTGTAAAATTGCTTCATTTTGCAATTCCAGTTGTTGCAAAGTCTGCTCATCATCAAAACTTTCTATCACAAGTTTTTGTAAAGGGCTGCCATGGATTCTACCATTCTCTACTGTTTTATTAAAGTCATAAAGCACTTTTGTTAAAGAAGTGAACTTTGGTTCCAATCCATCTTGAAACCTATTGGGAGGAATTAAATGAGATTTAGAATTATAGATAATAATTTCACAGCCCTCTTAATTAAAAGAAAAATAAAAACCTCAACTCTTCTGTAAAATCAAATTTGAATAAAGTGTAAGTATAGATTCTGGCCCCAACAACATATAAGCTGATGAGCCACAATGATATATAAAACCTGTCAACCAAGTATTTGTGAATCAGCTGTATAGATTGTTGGCAGGAAAAGCATTACAAATCTATTTGCTTGGAGATATATAGAGAATTAGCCTTAAATTTTCTACTCTGCTACATTATATACCACTCCATTCATTCATTCCCTTATTCACTCAATGATCAACATTTGCTTTGGCTACAGTGGTCAAGGAAAACCTCTCCTAGATGTGACATCTGAGATGAAACTTACAGACAAGTATAGTCTTATAAAGATTGGGAAACATGTATTCCAGGCGGAAGAAACAGCAAGAACAAATTCTCTAAGATGCAATTGAGCTTGGTAAGCCTGAGGAATAAAAAAGTGAGCATGGCTATAGCGTGAAGGAGGCAGAAGGTGAAGTTGGAGAGACTGATGGGAGCCAAATTCTGCAGGGCTCAAGGGTAAGAGTTTGCCGTTTTAAGTGTAATAAGAAAATGTGAGAAGATTTTAAGCAGAAGGATGAAATGATGATTTATACGAAGGAAGAAGAAAGGGAGGAAGGAGGAGGAGGAAAGTAGAGTGATTAGAAGGTTGATGCAGCATTCCAGGCAAAGGATGATGGTGATTTAAGCTGGAGTTAGAGCAGTGAATATGCTGAGTACAGTTTGGAGGTAGAACTGACAGGATTGCTAAGGAATTAGATACAGAATAGAGAAAAGTGAAGACATCAAAATAGCAGCCTAGTTTTATGTGCGAGCAACTGGAGAGACAGAACTGCCATTTACTGCGATAGGCAAGGCTTGAGTGGTGGAGCAAGGGGAAAGGACTTCAGCGGATGGCAGAGTGTAGGTGGGTAGAAACAACATTCTACTGTATTTTGGACACAGTGAATTTGTGATGCTGAGAGGACCAAAATTTAAAAAATTGTTAAAAGCCGTACGGTGCGGATATCCCAGTTGTGCGCTACTGAATTCCAACTAAGCTCAGTCTGGAGTTGCTTGTGAGCAAGGAACTCAAGGGAGAGGTTGGAGTTTGAAACATAAATGAGTCGTAATTTTATAGGTCATATTTGAAGTTCTTCAACAAAATACACATAAAACGTTTGTGTTGGGAAGAGACATGAAAGTTCTAATTCTCAAGAAGCTTAGTGGGGTAGACAGACAAGTGACAAGTTTGTGCTTTCAATAAAGTATGATGGCAGGTAAACACTGAGTGCTTTAGGAGCACAGGCGGAAGGAGAAACCAACACAGTTGTGTGTAGGGGGATGGGGGCCGTAATAAGCCTCAAGGGGAGCTTATAGGCGTGAATAACTGAGGTTAGGTTGATTTCAATAACATTCAACTGAGAGATCCATACTGTAAAAGTTTTAACAATTTTTAAAATTTTGATAGCCTAGGTCCTCTGAAATGTGGGGAAAAGTGATTTACATTTCCCCTTACCTTCCCCCAGCTCCACAATTTGCCAGGGGTCTGCAACCCGTGTCCACGTGCGACCGCAGTCGCACCCGAGCCCGGGATCTGTGCACTTACGTGAGGATGCACTCGGGCCAGCCAGTGGCTTTGCCCACCTCCCTCAGACACCGCTCCAGGGTCCGTCAGCGCCAGGCCCATGGGCCATGGCTGTCTGCAACTCCCGACACAAGCTGCAAGGCAAGAGAGCCGCTGGGAAACCGCACCGCAAGGATGCTGGCATTGGAACAGGAATTAAAAGAAATGAAAAAATGTGTAAGCAAAAACTCAGCTGTATGTAAAAAAAACCCAATTCCCCCTGAGAATGAGAAAGAGCCTTAGTCCTTTAAAAAAACTACCTGTTTTCCTATGGCTAGTGAGCCTTATCGCTCCCTTCCCAGGCATTATCAAAACCCTAATTCCCTAACTGTGCAACTGCAAGGTCACTAAACAAACAAATGCAAGTCACAAAACATATTTTTCCTAAAAACGTAAAAAAAAAAAAAAACATAATGCGTGCTTCAATTAAATAACTCTCTGTTTCTCGCTTCTGTAATATGCTTCCCCCTGCACAGATCTACCCGGGCTCCACAAAATGCTAAAAGATAACTCTTTATTCAGCTCAACGCTTTGATCTGCCTGGCGTGGTGGCTCACTCTTGTGATCCCAGGACTTTGGACGGCCAAGTAGGGTGGATCGCTTGTGCCTTGGAGTTCCAGACAGGCCTGGGCAACATGGTGAAACCTGGTCTTTTTGTTTTGTGTTGTTTTGAGACGGAGTTTCGCTCTTGTTGCCCAGGCTGGAATGCAGTGGCTGGGTCTCTGCTTGCCGCGACTTCCGCCTCCCGGGTTTCGGTCGTTGTCCTGCATCAGCCTCCAGAGTGGCTGGGATTGCAGGCATAAGCCACCAAGCCCGGCTAATTTTGTATTTTTTTTTTATTTTTATTTTGGTACAGATGGGGTTTCTCCCTGTTGGTCAGGCTGGTCTCAAACTCCCGACCTCAGGTGATCCACCTGCCTAGGCCTCCCGAGGTGCTAGGATTGCAGGCTTGAGCCACCGCTCCCGGCCCAACTTATTAATCAGAAAGGAATAGATCGTCCTGGTGTGGTGGCTCACGCTTGTGATCCCAGTACTTCGGATGGCCCAGCGCGGGGTATCCCTTGAGCCTAGGAGTTCCAGCCCTGCCTGGGCAACATGGTGAAACCCGGTCTCTCTCTCTCTCTCTCTTTTTTTTTTGAGGCGGAGTTTTGCTCTTGTTGCCCAGGGTGGAGTGCAGTGGCTGGGTCTCCGCTCGCAGCGACTTCTGCCTCCAGGGTTTTAGTAGTTCTCCTGCCTCAGTCTCCGGAGTGGCTGGGATTGCAGGCCTGACCAACATTGCTCTGCTAATTTTTTTTTATTTGTTTTTGGTAGAGACGGGGTTTCTCCATGCTGGGCAAGCTGATCTCAAACTCCAGACCTCAGGTTATCCGCCCACCTCGGCCTCCGGGGATGCTGGAATTGCAGGCGTGAGCCAGCGCACACACCCAATTTATTTTTATTTCATTTTTTATTTTTATATATATATACTTTTGAGACGGAGTCTCACTTTGTCACCCAGGCTGGAGTGCAGTGGTGCGCTGTCTCGGCTCACTGCAACCTCTGCCTCCCAGGTTCAAGCGATTCTCCTGCCTCAGCCGCCTGAGTAGCTGAGATTACAGGCACCCGCTAGCACACCCATCTAATTTTTTTTTTTTTTTTTTTTTGTATTTTTAGTAGAGATGGGTTTTCATCATGTTGGCCAGGCTGGTCTCGAACTCCGGACCTCAGGTAAACCCACCTCGGCCTCCCAAAGTGCTGGGATGACAGGAAGGATCGGCCTGGCGTGGTGGCTCACGCTTTTGATCCCAGGAGTTTGGACGGGCCGAGCGTGGCGGATCCCTTGATCCTAGGAGTTCTAGACCAGCCTGGGCAACATGGTGAAAACCGGTCTCTCTCTCTCTCTCTTTTTTTTTTTTGAGGCGTAGTTTCCCTCTTGTTGCAGGGCTGGAGTGCAGTGGTGCGGTGTCGGCTCCCCGCGGCCTCTGCCTCTGGGTTTGGGTGGTTCTCCTGCCTCAGCCTCCGAGTGACTGGGATTGCAGGCGGGAGCCACCCTGCCCAGCTCTTTTTTTTTTTTTTTTTTTTTTTTCTGGTAGAGACAGGTCTCTCCATGTTGGTCAGGCTGGTCTCAAACTCCCGATCTCAGGTGATCCGCCCGCCACGGCCTCCCGGGGTGCTGGGACTGCAGGCGTGAGCCACCGCTCCCGGCCCAATTTATTAATCAGAAAGAAATAGATCGGCCTGGCGTGGTGGCTCACGCTTTTGATCCCAGGACTTTGGACAACCGAGCGTGGGGAATTGCTTGAGCCTAAGAGTTCCAGACCTGCCTGGGCAACATGGTGAAAATCTGTCTCTTATTATTATTTTTTTTTTTTTTTGAGGCGGAGTTTCCCTCTTGTTGCCCAGGCTGGAGTGCAGTGGCTGGGTCTCCGCTCGCGGCAAATTCTGCATCCCGGGTTTTGGTGGTTCTCCTGCCTCAGCCTCCTGAGTAGCTGGGATTACAGGCGCCTGCCGCCACACCCGGCTAATTTTTTTTTTTTTGTATTTTTAGTAGAGACGGGTTTTCATCATGTTGGCCAGGCTGGTCTCAAATTCCTGACCTCCGGTGATCCACCCACCTCCGCCTCCCCAAGTGCTGGGATGACAGGCGTGATCGGCCTGGCGTGGTGGTTCACGCTTTTGATTCCAGGACTTTGGACTGGCCAAGCGTGGGGGATTGCTTGAGCCTAGGAGTTCCAGACCGGCCTGGGCAACATGGTTAAACCCAGTCTTTTTTTAAATTCCTTTATTATTATTATTGTTTTTTTTTTTTGAGACGGAGTCTCTCTGTCGCCCAGGCTGGAGTGCAGTGGCGCTATCTCGGCTCACTGCAGCCTCTGCCTCCCAGGGTCAAGGGATTCTCCTGCCTCAGCCTCCTGAGTAGCTGGGATTACAGGCGCCCACCACCACACCCGGCTAATTTTTTTTTATTTTTTAGTAGATCGTGGTAACTGCCTTAAAATGATGATTGTTCAGAAAGTCAGTTTAATTTAGATACTAAGGATATTGAGGTTATGTAACATTTGAGCAAGTTCTAAAAAAAAGAGAAATAGTATATTTAATTGCTAATAAAGTATTGTCAACTCACAAATATATTCACATAGCATACATTTCAAGAGCAGAATAACCATGAATATAAAAGGAATTAGCAAAAACGAAACAAAAAAGACATGAAGAAATAAAAACAGATGGAACAAATAGCACAAAATACGATGAAAGTTATAAAAGAAACTATGCCAACAATCACAATAAATGTAAATAGACTGAATAATTAAGAGAAAATGACTATAAAACAGAATTAGGGCACGCGTGGTGGCTAATGCCTGTAATCCCAGCACTTTGGGAGGATGAGGCAGGCGGAGGGATCACAAGGTCAGGAGTTCGAGAGCAGCCTGACCAACATGGTGAAACCCCATCTCTGCTAATACAAAAATTAGCCGGCGTGGTGGTGAACATCTGTAATCCCAGTTACTCAGGAGGCTGAGGCAGGAGAATCGCTTGAATCCAGGAGGCAGAGGTTGCAGTGCCGAGATCACACCATTACACTCCAGCCTGGGCAACAGAGCAAGACTCCGTATCAAAAAAAAAAAAAAACACACAAAAAAACACAAAAAACAGAAAATAAACAGTATGAAAAGACATCTAAAACATAAAGTCACAGAAAGACTGAGAGAGATTGAAAAAAGATACACCTGTCATATGTACCTAACCCAAAGAAGGGTTGGAAGCTATATTATTATCAGATAAAATAGGCTTTGGGCAAAAAGCAATATGGGAGATTTTTTAAGGCCACAATATAATGATAAAAATTCTAATAAACCAAGGGAGAAGGTAATCTAAAATGTTAATGTATCTAATAACTAGCACTCAAAATACATGAAAGCAAAATATGACAAAATTGCAACCCTCAGAGGGCAATTTAAATACATATCTCAGTATCTGATAAAAGAGACAAAAACAATCAGCATAGACATAGAAGATTTACATCTCTCTAGAAAATTAACAAGCTTGACCTAATGTACAGAAAAAACATATCTCTCCAAAGTGACAGCATTCACCCCCCCAAGTACATATGTACTGAGCCATAAGGAAAATCTCAACAAATTCCAAAGAAGCGGAATCATGCACCCATCTTTCTCTCTAACCATAATCTCATTAAACTAAAAACAATAATAAAAAGATAAAGTAAAAAGCCAGAAAGGCAGATGCTAAATGAGAAAGTGACAGAAAAGTTACAGATTTTATTGAGCATACAAAGCTTCTATGGGGTAAAGCAGTCAAAGGGATATGCAAATTTACACAGAAATCCAACCGATATAAATCCTTGAAAGATACTACATACAGATATTTCATCAGTTCTCACATGCCAAACCCAGCAAAGCCAAACTTTGGAGCCTCCCCTGCGA
Organism: Homo sapiens; assembly: GCF_000001405.40. Taxonomy (NCBI): domain Eukaryota; kingdom Metazoa; phylum Chordata; class Mammalia; order Primates; family Hominidae; genus Homo; species Homo sapiens. The sequence continues at coordinate 795,486 of NW_021160017.1, forward strand.
GCAGACCTGCCACAGGAGGAGAGGCAGCACAAACCTCCCTTTGCAGTGAAAATGCCACATTGTGTGTGCTTCTTACCCCATCACCTCTTTGGAAGTGGCCCCACTCAGCGCTAGCTGAGAATCGCTTCCCTCATACCACTCTCAGTAGTTCACCCCAAGACACACGGGACAACTCTGTACCTGGTAAGTCATTGTGAATCCAATTAATAATGGCATTCAGAAAGTTAGGAATCTTTGAATTATTAGATTCATAGTGATATTCAAAAGAAAGAAAACGACATCATTTCTGTTCCACGCATGTTGCCCACATTCACTGCGTAAAAGGCAAAGGGAACTGTGAGTACCCACAAAGAACCTGATATTGACGGCACATACATTTCTTCATTAGGAAGAATAAATTTAGACTGTAACAATTTAAAAAACCAGAAAATACAACTGTACATTTTAGTTCTTATTAAAATCCAAGAGGTTTAACTTATTTGCTCCTTGTTTAGGTAATTAGTGTCTAAAACATTTCAAAGATAACATATATAGTGGCTACGATTTCTAGTACTTTTTAAAAATTCAAGCCCAGTCTCTTCTAATTAAATGTATAAATGATTTATCTCTGTCTTTCTTAAAAAGAACCAAGAGCCCCAATTAAAAAGTAAAACTTAAATTTCCTCTTAAAAAATTGTTACGTCAAAATTATCTAATAAACCATAGTTCAGAAAATAATTTCTGAATTAAGAAAATATGAATAATAAAACCAACAGTTTATGTGCTGAATTTCACATTTTTATTTTTTATTATTTTTAAAATTTTGTTTTAAGTTCTAGGGTACATGTGCAGGAGTGTTACGTAGGGAAACGTGTGCCATGGTGGTTTGGTCCACCTATCAACTCATCACCTCAGTGTTAAGCCCAGCACGCATTAGCTATTTTTCCTGATGCTCCTCCCCCACCCGCCCTGACAGGCCCCAGTATGTGTTGTTTCCCTTCCTGTGTCCATGTGTTCTCACTGAACCTCACATTTTTAAATACAGCATATGCCAGGTGTCATTTCAGTACCCATGATTATACATAGTATAATTATACATAGTATATGTATATGTGTAAATATATGTATATGTGTACATATATGTATGTAATATGTGTATGTAAATATTATGTAAATATGTATGTAAATATATATGTAAATATGTATGTGAATGTATGTAAATATGTATGTAAAAATATGTACGTAAATATATGTATGTAAATATATGTATATATAAATGTAAAATATGTAAATATTTGTAAATGTAAAATAAATGTAGAATGTCAAATGTAAATGTAAAATGTAAAATAAATGTAAAATGTAAAATAAATGTAAAATGTAAATGTAAAATATGTAAATATATGTATATGTGTAAATATATATGTGTAAATATATATGTATATGTGTAAATATATATGTGTAAATATATATGTATATGTGTAATATATATGTATATGTGTAAATATATATGTATATATAACACAGCATACAGCATATGCCAGGTGTCATTTCAGTACCCATAATTATACATAGTATAATTATACATAGTATAATTAGACTACTATGTTAGCTAAAAAATGTTGATTAGATACAAATGTATAAATTTATCTTCTCTAAACGTGGAAATTCTCTAGAGGCTATTTCCAGCTTCTGTGTGGATTGTAGAGCAGGCTGCTACCTGTACCCCAAAAATGAACACCTTAAAAAAAAGACAACTTTCTCAGCCTCCCTATTGCACACACATATGAAAAATATGTTAAATTCAACGCCAAATATTCCTGAGATCAACACAGCAGTGATCCCAAAGAGAAAATTTCTCTTTGCTAATGGGCACAAACTTGAAGGGCAAAGCAGTGGAAGGGTAAGTCTGCAGACTCGCGTGGGGCTCAAGTCAGAATCACGTGGAAGATCATTGCCACATGTTTTTGTTTTTTTAAATAGCAAACACCACCAAGTGGAGCCCGCCGGGTTTAGTAGATATTAAACCTCTAAGGAGTGGCACATCCGAGACTGAAATTCCCATCTTTTGATTCCCAGCTCAAGGTCTCTGAAATGCCAGCACCAGCTGTGAAATTGTTCTTCTGCATTTTCATGGAGACCTTTTCTTCTATACTGCCATACTCTTTTTTTTGGAACAGTTATACCTGATCTTCCTATTTTTGTGTGTGTTCCACTGAAACTTTTTCACTCTAAATACTTCCCTCTTTCCAACTGAGCATTTACATCTGTAACAAGGACAAAAACATCTAACATCTCTCTCACCCTTGGTTTGTGTTTTGTTTTGTTTGTTTTTGAGACAGGGTCTTGCTCTGTCACCCAGGCTGGAGTGCAGTGGCGTGATCACCGTTCACTGCAGCCTCGAGCTCCTGAGCTGAAGCAATTTTCCCACCTCAACCTCTGAGTAGCTGAGACTATAGGTGTGTGCCACCACGCCTGGCTAATATGTGTATTTTTTGTAGAGATGAGTTTTTGCCATGTTGCCCAGGCTGGTATTGAACTCCTGGCTTAAGTGATCCTCCTGCCTAGGCTTCCCAAAGTGCTGGAAGGAATTACAGGTATGAGCCACCGTGCCTGGCCTCACCATTGTTAAAATTATGGAAATCGTGTTTGCAAAGCAGGTTGGCCTGTTTGGAAAAGGGTGTCATAATTTCTCAGGTAACTCCAAAAAGAGAAAGCTACGAAAATTACCTTAATACATTCATTACAGTCTCAGTATAAGATTATAGCTTCCTCTCCCAAAGCGTAACCACAACCTGACGCAGGATGAGTTGGTTTGAAAATACCGCATACAATATCCTCTTGAGTAGAATCATAATTTAGAACTCTAAAAATGACCAGAAACAAAACTGTCCAAGTTTGTTTAACGTAATGTGTTTCAACTTATTTGACTAGAAAACCCTTCATTCGTGCAACACTTATAAATATCCCATGGCAAATCTAGTTTTCTATGAATAATGAATGAAACATTTATAATTTAAAACTAAAATTGTCTTCTAAGCAGAGATCTACATATCAATAAAATGAAGAAATAAAATTTCCATACTGTTTGCTTCCCAATACAAGGATTAGAAGGAAAGGGAAAAGAGTAACAGCGAGAATCAATAGCCCATGTCTGGCCAGGCTCCATGGCTCAATCACACCTGTAATCCCAGCAATTTCAGAAGCTGAGGCGGGAGGATCACTGGCCTTTAGTGATCCTTGAATGAAACTCCATCTCTAAAAAATTAAAAATATTAGCTTAGAGAATCATTTGGGCCCAGGAGTTTGAGGCTGTATTGAACTATGACTATGCTACTGCATTCCAGCCTGGGCAACAGGCTGCTTAAACCTGGAGGGGCAGAGCTTGCAGTGAGCCGAGATCGCGCCACTGCACTCCAGCCTGGGCAAAGGAGCCAGACTCCGTGGCAAAAAAAAAAAAAAAAAAAGAGATTCTATTCACAATAACAACAAAACCCTGAGAATATATCTAGCAAAGTATACACAGGCCTTTCATGAAGAGTATTGCCATAGCCTGAATGTGTCTCCCAAAATTCATGTATTAAAACTTAATTCCCAAGATGATAGTACTAAGAAGTGGGGCCTTTAAGAAGTGATTAAGACATAAGGGTGAGCCCTCATGCATGAGATTAGTGCCTTCCTTATAAAAGGGCTTGTGGGTGGTGGTAAATCTGTCCCTTCTGCCTCATGAGAACATAGCATTTGCCTGCTCCAGAGGAAGCAGCATTCAACGTACCATCTTGGAAGCAGAGACCAGGCCCTCACTAGACACTGTGTCTGCTGGAGTCTTGATCTTGTTCTTCCCAACCTCCAGAACTGAGAAAATAAACTTCTGCTCTGTGTAAATTACCCAGTCTCAGGTGTTTTGTTATGGCACTATGAAGGGACTAAGACAAATATAAAAATTACCCAGGGACTTAAAGGAAGAACTGACTAAACTGAAATATATGCCATATATATTATGAATCTTAGGACTCAATGCTATAAACATACTACTTCTCAACAAATTAATCTATAAATTCAAGAAATTCCTACACAAATCCCAATAGAATTTTTTTGTGGAACTCGAGAGGCTGATCCTAAAATTCATACAGTCACTTGAGGGACCAAGAATAGTGTAACAGGGCTGGCGGGGCTGGTGGCTCACACCTGTAGTCCCAGTACTTTGGGAAGTCAAGACTGGAGGATGGTTTGAACCCAGGAGTTCAAGACTAGCCTAGGCAACATAGCAAGATGTTGTCTCAAAATATTAAAAATAAATAAATAAATAAATAAAAAGAAGGTTAAGTATGCACATTTTGTTGTGAATTTCAATTTTATAGTGATTTTTTTTTTTTTTTGAGACAGGGTCTTGCTCTGTCACCCAGGCTGGAGTGCAGTGGTGCCATCTTGGTTCACTGCAACCTCTGCGTGGGCTCAAGCAATCCTCCCGCCTCACTCTCTGGAGTAGCTGGGACCACAGTTATGTGCCACCACACCTGACTAATTTTTATATATTTTTTTTGTAGAGACGGGGTTTTTCCATGTTGCCCAGGTTGTTCTCAAACTCATCCACCTGCCTTGGCCTCCGCAAGTGAGATCACAGACATGGGCCACTGTGCCCGGTCTAGTGCGCTTTTTTTTTTTTTTTTTTTTTTAACCAAACAAACGATGAAGTCTCAGGAGTAAAAGTTGATACACAAGTAAATTTTATTGGTAATGTTTTTGTGTGGTCTTTAAGCAGAGGGAAAATTAGTCTGCATTATGGTGTATCCAGACTAAATAACTGATATTAAAATGAAATTATCCTTAGGATTTGCAATCTTAGAGAAAACTTTTTCATTTTTTTTGAGTTACAAATTATCTTCACTTACATTTGAGAACAGTGAGTCACAGAGGGATTAAGTATCTTACTCAAGATCTTGCAAGTGTTTGGTTTGAACCCAATCTTTTCACTCTGCAGAACTCAGAGTCACTCTTATTTGGAAACTTTTTAACTGATGTGGATCCTCTAATATGGGCTTCCTATTATTCATTCCGTATTAGTCAGAAGTTTTGCAAGCAGGCAGAATTCATTTTGCCAATTACGGGATTTTCCCTCAGTTGCAGTCAAGGTTCATAAAACTATAACTATTTATCTTTAATTATAAATTTTGTTTTTGAGACAAAGTCTTGCTCTGTTGCTCAGACTGGGATCCAGTGGCACAGTAACAGCCCATTGCAGCTTTGAACTCCTGGGCTCAAGGGATCCTCCGCCTCAGCCTCCCAAGTATCTGGGACTACAAGTGCATGCCATCATCCCTGGCTAATTTTGTTAAAAAAAAAAAAATTGTAGAGATAGGGTCTTGCTTCGTTGCCCAGGCTGGTCTCAAACTCCTGGCCTCAAGCAAGCCTTCAGCCTTGGTCTCCCAAAGGGCTGAGATTACAGGTGTCAGCCATTGCACCTGGCCAAAACTATAACTATATATACACACACACATAACTACATATATATGTGTGTGTGTATGTATGTGTGTGTGTATATATATTTTTATATATAAATAGATATATCTGAAAGGCATCAAAAGAAAAAAGCTGTAACTTTTAGTCTTGATCTTGATAGTGACTTCATTAGGCTATCTGTTTAACATCAAAGATGCAAATTAATGCTTTCTTTGGGTGAGCATATTAAAAATGCAGAAAATATTGGAGTAGTTTTTTATGTTAAATAAATTGTATTCTGTGTATTTAAGGTATACAACATGATTTTGTGGGATGCATATAGATGGTTAAAAAAATTACTACAGTGAAGCAAATTAACGTATCCTTCAACTCAGATAGTTACCCGTTTTCTTTTTGTTTGGTGGCAAGAGGAGCTTAAAATCTCATTTAGCGTGAATCCCAATACAGTACAATTTTATTACCTATATTTCTCGCGTTGTACATTATATTTCTAGGCTTGTTCATCCTACATATCTGCTACTGTGTAACCTCTGAGCTATGTCCACCCATTTTCTCTCTTGCCCCCCAAGTAATTTCCTAAAGTGTCTCATATAAAAAGGCAGTAGCTTTCAGCTTAAACTTTTTCTCTGTATATATTTAAGTCAATTTCTTTGAGGTATGTTTTTCTCTCCAGAATAGTTAGATGTAGGCATACCACTTTAATGTTGACACTAGTTCACCTAGAACTTATCTTCTGCAAATCTGTCTCTATGTCCATCTCTGTCTCCATCTTTGTCTCTATCTTTATCTCTGTCTATCTATCTATCCATCCATCCATCCATCCATCTATCTATCTATCCATCTATCTGTCTATCTAACTAAAGCAAATTCATGCCCTTCTCCTATTTATGGAATCGAGACCATAAACAGAGGTGAGGGAAAGAATTTGGCAGGAATTGCGATGTGTATTACCTGTGGCATAAGGAAACTACAGAACTAGGGTCAAAAGTATACTTTCTAGTTCTTTCCCATGGCTTTTCACTTTGATGTAGTCCTTATCAGGCAACTGAGGTTTTATATAAGTCCCCTGATTCTTAGAACATGAAGGTGTAGTATTCAAGTTTGGTCCCTTGAAACCACAATTTTTGTTAAAAAAATTTAAGAAAATTGTATGATTTCCTCAGCAAATACATATTGATCATCTGTTATACAGCCATGAGAAGTGGTTCTGTTGAACACGTTTATTTTATCAGATCCCAATTCTAAACCAGGCATAGAATGGAAACCATGAAGGTAGGATGAAATAACTTCTGAATGTTTGAAAATAGTGTACTTAAAAATAAATATCAGGTGTTTTTGTTTTGTTTTTTGTTTTTTGTTTTTGAGACAGGGTCTCACTCTGTCACCCAGGCTGGAGTGTGGTGGTGCCATCTCACCTCATTGCAGCCTTGACCTCCCAGGCTCGGGTGATCTCCCACCTCAGCCTCCCAAGTAGCTGGGACTACAGGCACATGCCACCATGCCCAGCTAATTTTTTGTATTTTTTGTAGAGACAGGGTTTCACCATGTTGCCCAGGCTGGTCTAGAACTCCTGGGCTTAAGCGATCTTCCCACCTCAGCCTCCCAAAGTGCCAGGATTACAGGCATGAGCCACCATGCCTGGCTGAAAATACCAGGTTTTTAAGTATCAGCACTGCCTCTTCAATCTTTTCTATTACTATGTTGTGCTCAGTGGTATTTTTTATTGAATTAGAGCAGTGCTGTTCAATGGAACCTTCTTTGAGGATGGAAATCTTTTATGTCTCTGCTGTGTGGGTATGGTATTAGCTGGGTATGGGGCACCTGCCTATAGTCCCAGCTACTCAAGGGGCTGAGGTGGGAGGATCACTTGAGCCCAGGAGGCCGAGTCTGCAGGTTCGTACCACTGCAATTCAGCCTGTGTGACAGAATGAGACTCAGTCTCAGAATAAAATGAAATAAGGAAATAAAAATGTAATTGTTGAAATAAGAAACTAGTGGATGGATTAGACACGAGAAGAAAGAATTAATTGTTTAGACGATTCTCTCCAAAAAGTAAGTCAGCATGTCACACAGAGAGACATGAGGATAGATGATAGGGCAGAAGTTGGTGGGCTTGGAGGGGAGAGGAAGATCAGAATGAGGTCCAAAATGTGTCTTAGTGAAATCCCAGGAGGAGATATTAAAATTATATTAGAAAGTGAAAGAAATAGAAGTTTTATTTATTTATTTATTTATTTATTTTGAGAAGGAGTCTCGCTCTGTAGCCCAGGCTCGAGTGCAGTGGCACGATCTGAGCTCACTGCAAGCTCCACCTCCTGGGTTCACGCCATTCTCCTGCCTCAGCTTCCCAAGTAGCTGGGACTACAGGCACCCACCACCACGCCTGGCTAATTTTTTGTATTTTTAGTAGAGATGTGGTTTCACCTTTTTAGTCAGGATGGTCTCAATCTCCTGACCTCATGATCCACCAGCCTCAGGCTCCTAAAGTGCTGGAATTATACGCATAAGCCACTGCACCCGGCCCAAAAGCTTTGTGTTTTTACAAATATTACACATGTTTCTTGTTTAAGAAAAAAAGTCTTCACAATAACGTAGGAGAATAAGAGAAACATTTTTCCAAAAAAGAGAAGTCATTGTGATTATTTTATCTTATTGGAATGTTGGATAATATAGTCTGCTTCAGTAATCATCAAGCATGCTATGGATTTTCCATTTTCATAGGATCTGTATCTCGGTTAAGGTAATACTGGTAATTTTTGTACTCTATGAAAAATATAGGCCAAAATCATAGACCTTGCATAGAAGCTGGATCATGAAGACAGCTCTGGAGGAACACACAGGTACACACACACAGACACACATATATATAAAGTATACACATATATATTTTTTAAAAGCTTTTAAAGCAAAAGCCGGCCCTGCCCCTCTCCCAGAGTTGGCGGCCTCTCCCCTCTCTTAGAGTGGGTGGGGACAGTGGTTGCATGGGCAGCTTTCCTTGTGAGCCAAAGGTCCCTCTGGACACTTGATGCCTGGCCACGCCCCCTTTCCCTTTCATCTTTCTCATTAACCAATGGGCTTGGAGCATTAAGGCCACGCCCCTATTCTGCCTTCTACTGCATCCCTGGTTACGCCTCCTCTGGCTCAGTCGCACAGCTACCTGGTAGGTGACTGGAGGTGTTGATCAGTGCTTGGTGGGATTTTGCTGATGTGGACCCAAGCCCGCCTCCCTCCCCACCCTGCGATGGCAGAAGAAACTCGACAAAGTAAATTGGCAGCAGCCAAGAGAAAGGTAAAAACACACCAGGTCACGGACCCCCAACCCAGCCATAGATCCTCTCCAACGACAAGACTGCTGCCAGAGTCCATACCACTCCCGAGGTTCACCGGACTGGGACCCCCACACCGGTGCCTCTGGGCTACCCCCACCAAAGTTTTGCCAGTCAGCCCCACCCCTTCAGCAAGCAGCCCAGTCTCTGCCCTCACCAATCACCCCAGGGTGACTTTGGGCAGGTGAATCCTGGGGCTCCCCGCTCCTTTACTGGGCCCTCATCTCCTGCCACCCCAAGCTTGACCTCCCAGGGCTTTTTGGGCTCACATCTCCAAGGACCTGGGTCCCACAGCCCCAGACCCCACCCTCACCAGTCATCCCTGGGTGACTTTAGGCTGGTGAATCCTGGGGCTCCCTGCTGCTGACTCTTCCCTTCCCTCCTGCTGCCTCAAGGTGGACCTCCCTAGGCTGTGTGCACTGGTGTCTCCAAGGACCTGGGTCCCAGCTCTGTTTTTCCCTCCCCTATCATGGAGCGGTGACTCGGACATCATGCTGATGTGGTCCCTCCCCCTCACCAGGAAGAGTGGAATGTAGTGATGTCACGGTCCATCCAGTAACTGTCATTACTGCAAGACTGGCCTTTGATCTTATGACCCAGTCCCCTAAGCATTGCCACCCCATTTCTGGTTCCTCTTGTCACAGCACAAATTTCCAGCTGGAAGGGGAATGGAGATTGGGACCTAGGAGCAAGAGGTTTCAGGCTGCCTCACTCCCTTAACATAAACACTGACAGCGGGAAAAGCCTACACTTCCCCTGTGAGCTCAAAACATTGACAGTACCTCTGGATGGCAACTGGAGAATGGGTTTGACTTGGTTTGGTTTTCTCCCAGGCTTCTACTTTCCAGAGAGATTTTAACAAATTTTTTGTGAGTTCTCCACCTCACATTCTAATTCTCCATGGTTCTGGGACCAGACTGCCCTTCAGTCAGTGGTCTGTGAAGTGAGATTTGCTCATCTTCTGTGGAATAGATCTTGGGAAACTGAACTTGACAGCTTGAATCTTCCTCATATTATGTAAACCTGGGGTACTTTGAGTGCCACAGGATACATATGGGACATCTTTCTGAAGCATCAGTTTCCATTGATTCTCTTGAGATCAAGAGAAAAAACATTAATGTACTTAGGGATGACAGTCACATAGGTTTCTAAGAGTATACCAGACCTCTCTCTGAAATGAGGCTTGGGTTGTCCTCTTTCTGATAAATTCCCAGATTTAACAGAAAGGCTGCCTTCTGCCATGAGGATACATTGATATAAGAGTTTGAGAGGTACTGGTGCACTTCTTCACACTAACAGACGTGTGAGGATGTATGACTCTAAACCACATGGCATACAGTTCCTGCCTACTTAATGTTTACTTTTCTACCTCTGCCTCTGGTTTTGGTCCCTGGCAGCTGCTGATTCTTGGTAATACCCCAGAGTTTGGAGTCAGAAGACTGAGTTTCAAAGTTCGTCTGTCGCCTTTTTCTTTTCTTCTTTTTTTTTCTAGCCATGATATCAATCTCTTTGAGTCACTAAATGATTGTGACAACACCTTGTACAGTTGTTGGTGTCATTAAATCAGATGGTGTATAAGAGTATTTTATAAAAACTGTAAAGGAGGATGTGGCTGCAGGGGCTGATAGTTCTCATGAGTATTACTGCTCTTGTTTCTGACAGTTAAAAGAATATTGGCAGAGAAACAGCCCTGGTGTTCCAGCAGGAGCCAAGAGGAACAGGAAAACAAATGGCAGCATCCATGAGACAGCCACTTCTGGTGGTTGCCACTCACCTGGAGATGTGAGTCTTGGCTGACTAGGTTCCTGGGGACAGGGGACCCAAGGGGCACTAGAGGGTAATTGTTAAGATTGTGGATGGACTGTTGGGTACCTGTGAAGAATTCTGGGTTTGAATCCTGCCTCTTTGTCTGCTAGGGATATGAATTAGGGCAAGTTGCTTGACCTCATCGGGCCTCTCTTTTCACATCTGTATAATAGAGGTGGTATTGTTTCACTTCCATTTGTGAAGTTTAAATGAGATCTGTTATTGTTGTTTTTATGTTAATCCCTAGTACATGGCCTGCTGTAAACACCCAGAACACCCAGGATATGGTCATTGCTGTTCGATTTTCCTCATCCCCAGTCTCAAGGGGAAGCCAGGACAATGAGAACAGTCACTTGGCACAGGAGTCACTGAAAGGGCCGCAGGGTGCTGTGGTGGGGAGATAAGAACCATGAGAGAAGTTGGCACAAAGGAGTTATGGGACAAAGGGTCCAAGATAGGCAGAAAAGAAAATTGTGCCAGTTGATGGGGAAGAAAAGAAGTCAGAGGGCTTAGATACTGAGTGGGACAGAACATCTTCATGTGCACTCTCATCTCTTGTAGTCAGCAACAGGTATCCACGGGGAGAGCCCTACATCATCTGCTACCCTGAAGGATCTGGAGGTAAGAGGCTCTGGGCAGAGGTGCAGTGACCCTGCAGGGCAGCCCTCCAACCTCCTCCTCCAGGTGGGACGGGGTGCCCCTCTGCCAGCTGAGACAGTCCACACACACCCCAGCCCTAATGATTGCTCTCTCTACCTCTCCCCCCACTCCTCCTCCACCTCCTCCTCTCTGCATGCGCCTCAGAGCCCGTGCCAAGAACTAGCAGTAGTCCCAGACTCGAGGTCCGTAAAAGTCAGTCAACTGAAGAACACCATCAAATCTTTGGTAAGAGTCCACTGGGGTCCCCTGATTCCACGCTGCCAATCCTGGGCTCTAGTTTCTCCTTGGGGCCCTGAAGAAAGGGGACAGGGGCCCCTGGTGCCAAGGGCAAATAGGGAGCTGGGGCACCCAGGCCTCACCTGGAGGGACCCCGGAGCATGCAGCATGGCTCTTTTTTTGCTGCCCTGTTTGCTGACTCTCCCCTCTCCAGACGCCCCTGCTCGAGTCCTTGCTACACACGCCCTGGGATTGTTGCCTCTTGGGGAAGTGCTAGCCTGACTGGTTGTCAGGGGCCCTGTATTTCTGCCATGACTCAGTCCCTAATTTGCTCTTTGATTCTGGACAAGCCACCTCTCCTTTTTGGGCTCGTGTTTCCAGAGGAAGTAGTGAGTATCATAGGTCTCTGTTAGCTCTGAGAGTCTGAGATTTAAAGGCCTCCTAGAATGGAAACCTCAGGGCCAAAGGCTCCTGTCTGTCCTTTTCCGCCCTAAATCTGCTGTGAAGAACCGTACTTGGCCCGTACGTGCTCAGTAAATGTTTATTGAATGAATGCACTTTTCTAAATCACAAGCTGGCAGAAGGGGGGGCCTTTCTCAAACTCCATCTCTAGAGGTTTATGTTACTGTCCTGTCAAGAGATTCCAGATTCAGACCTTGAGTTCTGTGGCTGTGGACAAAAGCCAACAAAGACCCAAATCCTCTGTCCTTGGGAGCTTGAGGAGAGTTTACCAGTTCGTGTTCCCACTGGGTCTGAGAACTTTGCCTTTAAAATCCATTCCTGGTCCCTGCCTACCACTTCCTGCTCTGGGGAATAGAGTTGAGGGGGCCACCCTCCATCACCTTAATGTGACTCTCCCCACAGAAACAACAGAAGAAACAAGTGGAACATCAGCTGGAAGAAGTAACATGATTTCTTTGTTTGCTCGCGACATGACTGCTCGGTTTGGGGGACACTCAGATGTAGAGGCCCCGAGTCTCGTCTCACCCACTCCCAGCCTGGGGAAGAAGGCTCACCCCCCAGAGTCCACCCCATCCCCCACAGGGTCCCTGATAACCCGGTCCCATGGGTGGGCCTGTCCCGGGGCAGGGGCAGTGGTGGCATTCTGGGGACATGTCTCTTGCAGTACCATCTCTGCCTCCGCCTGGTTAGATCTCTGTCTTCCTCTTCCTACAGGAAAAGAAAGCAAACAACGAGAAACAGAAAGCTGAAAGGGGGCTAGAGGTGAGTGGACAGTGTGCAGTTTTCTCCTGTCCTCCGGAGAATGTTTCTTTCCTTCTCTTTCAGCACTTGCTTGGCTTTTCTCCCAAAGGTTCAAATCCAGAGATTGAACATACAGAAAGGGAAACTAAATACGGACCTGTACCACACGAAACGTTCTCTCAGATACTTTGAAGGTGGGAATCTGGGTACCCTGTCATCCTTCAACCTGGGACTTTGACAGGTCTTCAGGGGGAGTCCTTTGGGCCCCATCTCAACTCTCTCATTACAGAAGAGTCCAAGGATCTGGCCGTCCGTCTGCAACATTCATTGCAGCGTAAAGGAGAGTTAGAGCGGGCTCTCTCTGCTGTCACCGCCACACAGAAGAAGAAGGCGGAGAGGGTGAGTCCAACCACCTGCCCCGTCCCCTGGGAGCCTGGCTTCACAGACAGAGGAGTGAGCCTAAAGGTCCCTTCTGCAGGATGGAGTGTCCTGCCCAGAAGGCAGCATGGCCATTTCTCACTGCTTTTTTGTATGGTTGTTAGCGGCAGCTTGGGACTGAGTCAGCTGCTGTGGGTGAGTGGGGGGGCACTCTGGGGAGAGAGCACAGGACGTAGAGCTTGGAGGCCAAGTGCCTGCCATGCCTTTACCTGGCTGTGGTCTTGGCCAAGTCCTAAGTGGGGTATTGGGTACTTGTACTGTGAAGGTACAGAAGAGTACCTTTAGTATGTTACCATTTCTGTAGAGAGAGGAAACGTGTGTGTGTGTGTACATATTATGATAATATACATAAAATATGTTTGCAAGTGTTCATAAAAACTCAGGAGAGAGCAACAGGGTGGCTGGGAGATACTTCCCTTCTGTACCTTCTGAGTCTGGGACTATGTGAATGTATTATCCTTTCAAAAAGTGAACAAAAGATTAATTTTCCCCTTCCTAGCTGTGCCCCCACCCCCAGCAAGAAAAATGGGCTTAGAGAATTGGATAGATCTGGGTGTTTAAATCCCAGCTCTGCCTAAGTGATCTTAGGCAAGCACTTAACCTCAAATACTCCATGTTTTTTCATCTACACAATAGAGGTCATCATAGTAACTGTCTCCCATGGTGGTTGCGAGGATTAAATGGGATTGCTAGCATGGTATCTGGTGAAGCACTCCATAAAAGTTCAAACAGTGGTAATAATAACAGTAATAACAATAGCAATATTATCTGATCTCTCTGGGCCTCTGTTAGCCAGCTATAAATTCGATCTCTTTCCCTGTCCCTTCCAACTTTACTGAGTTCTTTAAAAACCAAACCACGGGCTTGGAAATGCCTTGATCTTTACTGACCGAGTTGTATATTGGGCCTAGCCCTGGCCCTTTTAAGGGGCACTGTGTGGAATGGCCCGGCCTCCCCAGATTGAAACTTCTCACTCTTCAGCAGTTCTCCAGCCGCAGTAAAGCACGTATGGAGTGGAAGTTAGAGCAGTCCATGCGGGAGCAGGCACTGCTGAAAGCGCAGCTGACACAGGTGAGGTGTTCAGAGGGAGGGATGTGGAAGGAAGATGACCCCAGGTAACCAGGAGCAGGTGAGGACCAGTGACAGCCCTTCCTAATTTCTGTGCCCATTCTTGCAGTTGAAGGAGTCACTTAAAGAAGTCCAGCTAGAGAGGGATGAATATGCTGAACATCTAAAAGGAGAGAGGGCCCGGTGGCAGCAGAGGATGAGAAAAATGTCGCAGGAGGTGAGATCTGACCCTTCAGCCCCCCCACATTAGATAGGTCACTGGATCTTTCTGGGCACCTGTAAAATGGGAATAGTAGAGCCAGAGGTGGTCCTGGGACTGGGCTTTGTGGAGGTGGGGGCAGAGAGGGAGATGGTAGCATGTCCAGCCTCCAGCCCCTCTCTCCAGGGCCCTTTCCCCCTGTGCTTTGGGCAGGTTTGCTCGTTGAAGAAGGAGAAGAAGCATGATAAATATCGGGTAGAGACGCTGGAGAGGAGCTTGTCCAAACTCAAACACCAGATGGGTAAGATGGGGCTGGCGTGACCTGGCAGCAGGACTGGCATCAGAGGGCTGTGAGGGTGGCTTGGAGTGCCCCAGCGAGGTGGGTGGATGGGAAGGGCTTTGAGGCAGAGGGAAAGAGGTCTGTGCCAGGAGACGGCAAGTCTTGTCATCTCAATGAGCCTCAGTGTCCCCATCAGCAAAGAGGGCCCGTTGTCAGCCACCCGCAGTGCTCTTTCTCTGAAAGTGGTTTGGAAGACTGGCTACCATCTGGGTGCGAGGAATCATTAGCAGTGAGGCCAAGTTTGAGGAGCCTGAGAGGAGCTGTGCGCCAAGAGGAGGGTTTTTCTTTTCCGAGAATCCAGAGGCCCTTATTATCTGCTTCCTTTCTCAGCTGAACCCTTGCCCCCGGAGCCCCCAGCAGTGCCCTCTGAGGTGGAGCTGCAGCACCTGAGGAAGGAACTAGAGAGAGTGGCAGGAGCGCTCCAGGCCCAGGTGGAGTACAATCAGCGCATAAGTCTCCTGAATGAGGGGCAAAAGGAGAGACTTCGGGAGCAGGAGGAGAGGCTTCAGGAGCAGCAGGAGAGGCTTCGGGAGCAGGAGGAGAGGCTTCAGCAGCTGGCCGAGCCACAGAACAGCTTCAAGGAGCTGGTGCGTTGCCCCAGCTGGGGAGCCTGCCCTCCTCCCTAGCCCTCCAGGCCTTTGTTTCCCCACCTATAAAATGTGGCAGTGTAGCCCTCAAGTGAAATGTTACTCCTAAAGGCACCTGTGAGCCAGAGCCCTGCTCTGGTGGCTGTGGGAGACAGGGGATGATTTTTCTAACCTGCCTCCACCCTTCCCGGTGCCATGGGAGGCAGTCACCAAGTTCTGGGGTCTCCAGCTGCAGTGGGTGGCTGCTGATTGCTTCTCTCTGTCCAGAACAATGAGAACAAGAGCGTACTACAGTTGGAGCAGCAAGTAAAGGAGCTGCAGGAGAAGCTAGGCAAGGTGAAGGAGACGGTAACCTCCACCCCATCCAAGAAGGTCTGGGAGGTGGGCACCAGCCTCTGGGGAGGGGAGGTGCCAGGCCAGAGGCAGCTCCAGCCCGGGGGCAGGTGACCCCAGCACCCTCCAGGGCAGTCCTGTGGCTGTTTCTTGCTTCCTGCCCTCTGATTTTAGAGGTGGGTAGCCCTGGGCTCCTCCCAGGTCTGGACATCATCATTCCAGCTAGAGACATGGAGCACCCCCAATCACAGGGGAAGAGACAGAGTGGTATAACAGTCTTCTTATGCCAGACGCGGTGGCTTACGCCTATAGTGCCAACACTTTGGGAGGCTGAGGCAGGAGAATCACTTGAGGTTTGGAGTTTGAGATCAGCCTGGCCAACATGGTAAAACCTCATCTCTACTAAAATTACAAAAACAAAAAACAAAAAAAGGAAGAAAAATTAGTGGGGCATGGTGGTGGCGCATGCCTGTAATCCCACCTACTCAGGAGGCTGAGGCACGAGAATTGCTTGAGCCCAGGAGGTGGAGGTTGCAGTGAGCTGAGATTGCACCACTGCACTCCGGCCTGGGCCACAGAGTGACACTCTGTCTCAAAACAAAACAAAAAGACTCCTTAGATTAAAACTGGATTCCAGCCTCAGTTCCACTGGTCACCATTCAAGTACTTCGCATCTCTAAGTCTCTGTTTCTTTAACTTCAAAAGGAAGTTAGCATTTTCCTTACAGAGGTGCTGAGGATTAAATGAGATAATACATGGGAAGCATTAGGCCTGTAGCACATTTAGCAGATGGTGGTTGGCTCCCACTACTTTTCTACCATTCTGTGGCCTACAGTTGAAATGGTGGGAAGAGGACATGAGATTTGAGGCTGGGGAAGGAGGCATGGGGTTCTAGGAAAGGGAGGCAGTCACTTAGGCCTGGAGTAAGGGGCCAGGGGCCTGGGCAGGCGACAGAGCCCCACAGTGCCCTCGCTACCCTATTAATGGGCCCAGAATCTGGAAACCAGCCACCACGTGCCCTCACACCCAGGGTCTTCCTGCAGGTGGAGCTGAAGAGCCAAGAGGCTCAGAGTCTGCAGCAGCAGCCAGACCATTACCTGGGTCACCTGCAGCAGTACGTGGCCACCTATCAGCAGCAGGTGGCCGCCTATCAGCAGCTGACCTGTGAGAAGGAGGCGCTGTACAGGCAGTGACTGCAGCAGACCCAGCTAATGAACCAGCTGCAGCAGCAGGAAGCTTGGGGCAAAGCGGTGGCCGAGATGGCCTGCCAAAAGTTGCAGGAGGCCCAGGGGAGGGAGCTGCCGAGGATGGGGCCGTGAGGGGGACGACCTGGCAAACTCTGTGCCTTCTCACTCTTTCCTGGCCCCTTAGGAGCGCCTGAAAGCTGCCAGCCAGCAGAAACAGCAGCTAACGGCCCAGTTGAGCCTCATGGCTCTCCCTGGGGAAGGTACGGGAGACCGCTCAGAGGAAGAGGAGAGAGCCCCAGGAGGAAGGGGGGACTGCTAGCAGCATAGGATTGAGGAGTTGGAAGAGACCTTTAGAACAGCTGGTCATTATACTAACCGGGTGCCTGCACTAAGTTCAGCATCAATATGGTGACCTCCTGGGAGCGGGGGGCCACCAAGTTGCCTAAGGATGGCTGAACTGGCCGAGGTCAGAAAGGGAGCAGGTCAGAACTCCCACACCGACCAGTAGTGGGAATGTGCCTGGGCAGTATAGCAAGATCTTGGTTCTTCAAAGTAAAAATAAATAACAGCAGCTCATTCCTCTCTGGGGAGGGCCTGGCTCAGGGTTACACAATGAGGGTGGAGGCAGAGGTGGGCCCACAATACTTCCCTTGTTGAGTTGTCTGAAGACCCCTCTGGCCACCCCCCACAGGACACGGAGGAGAACATCTGGACAGTGAGGGGGAGGAGGCACCTCGGCCCATGCCGAGTGTCCCAGAGGACCTGGAGAGCAGGGAGGCCATGGTGAGCCTGACTCCCCCTGCACCCATTTTGCCACCTTTCTCTGTGGTCCCTCCAAGACCCCTTTATGCTCTTCGTTTCCCTGCCTTCTGATTTCTCTGGACCCTCACCCCTTCCGAGAGCCAGTGGTCAGACACCATTTCACCTGTGGCCAACAGGTGCACTCTCTGAGGCCCCAAGGGAAGGGGCTGCGCTCCACCTCTCTGCCCCATTTCTTCTGTGTATGCCCCTAGAAGAATGCTCACATCTTGCCCTCAGGTGGCATTTTTCAAGTCCGCTGGAGCTAGTGCCCAGGAGAAGCAGGCACAGTTACAAGAGCAGGTGAAAGAGCAGAGGGTGTGCTGCCAGCGCCTGGCTCACCCGGTGGCCTCGGCCCAGAAGGAGCCAGAGGCAGCGGTCCCAGCCCCAGGGCCTGGGGGCGAGTCTGTGAGTGGGGAGACCCACCGGGCCCTGCAGGAAGTCATGGAGAAGCTGGCCCATGCCGGAACTCACCTCCGCCTTCTCCATGACTTGAAAATGCCACCTGAGGGCAGGTCGCTGCCGAGATGTGACCCCATTATTTTGGCTCCAGAGCGGCTTTATGGACCACCTGGAGGAGAAGGCAGACCTGAGTGAGCTGGTGGAGAAAGAAGAACTTGGATTCTTCCAGTACTACAGAGAGAGATGCCATCAGTGAGTGGGAGGCCAGGGCATGGCAGGGGGAGCTGCAGGGCTGTTGGAGGGGCCCCAGCGTCTGAGCCCTGTCCTCCCGCAGGAAAGTTTATCACCCTATAACAAAGCCAGGGGGCAGTGCCAAAGATGCAGCACCGGGAGGAGGACACCATCAGGCTGGCCCTGGACAGGGAGGAGATGAAGGTAGAGTGTGCAACATCTCTGCGGGGGTGGGGGTGGCTGTGACGGTGAGCGCTGGCAGCAGCGTGACAGCTGAGCACCCCTCCCTCCAGGTGAAGCTGCTGGAGCTGCAGGAGATGGTGTTGCAGCTGGTGGCGACTACAAGGGACACAGCAAATTCTTGGTGACTGCCCAGAACCCTGCTCATGAGCCCAGTCCAGGAGCCCCAGCCCCCCAGGAGCTTGGGGCTGCCCACAAGCATGGTGGTGAGTAGAGCCCTCAGGCGGGGTGGGCAGGCAGGAGCAGGGGGGCTCTCACTGAGCTCAGATCCCCACCTCCCTCTCTCCAAAGATCTTTGTGAGGTGAGCCTCACTGACAGCGTGGAGCCTGTGCAAGGAGAGGCCAGGGAGGGTTCTCCCCACGACAAGCCTACTGCACAGCCGATCGTGCAGGACCACCAGGAGCACCCAGGCTTGGGCAGCAACTGCTGTGTGCCATTCTTTTGCTGGGCTTGGCCGCCAAGAAGAAGGAGATAAACATGACCATCGTCAAAGAGCTGCTCAAGAAATTTTTAAAAAAGAAACAAAGTTATGGGGTTAATCTCCTACACAATTCATTTACTTCGTTTGAATGTTATAGCCACTTATGATTATTTGTGTTTCTAATTTATAGTTTAAGTTTATTTGTAAATAGTTAAAAGAGAGTGGGTCTCTGTGGCTTTCACTGATGTTCACTCTGGCATACTTTCGCAATTTTCTTTTTCAATTTCATGATTGTAGGTCATTAGCATGCATATTGAGTTTGCCCTTACGTGGTGGGAGTTCAAACACACAAAGACCCACTATTTGCACAAAACTATTCTTGCTGGTTTGGAATAGGCTGCCATGTGTTTTTAATGTTATTGCAGCATGTATATTCATTACAGAATTCAGATAAAATTTGCCTATGTTCTGCTATTGTTTGATCTAATCTTAATCACAGTGAGCTCTTCATTAGCACAATATGTGGTTTGCCCCAAGTGTGCACTATTTAATACTTTGTAATATGCCACCAAGAGTACTGACATTTAGAGTTGTTTAAAGGCCGAGAACTGGAAACAGCCTTTCCCTCATTTTCTGTGTATTGGTGATGGGAGTAATAACATTTTGGGGGAGCTTTTTAAATTTCACAGAAGAGGAAAGTTGCCTGCTCTGGCAGGTATGTGCAAGATAGAGTGTGTTTCATTTGTTCTGTTGCCAAGAATTAGTGCTGTACTATTGTAGTTCCTTTAGGATTTGTATGTGCTCTGGGCTCATGAAGATATTGCATCATGAGCTGCAGCAGTTGTACTCTTTTTTGATGACCTAAAAAGGGCTTATTTCTGAGGAATGAAAGGTTCCCATCATTGACTATGGATGTGGAAAACCTTTCCTAGCTTAGAGCATTTGTATCTATATTTTAAAGTCAGAGTTCATGTTACCTGTTTTAATCACATGACTGCATGTCCCAGTACACAAAAGGGCACTGGTTGGCATTCTTCTTAATGTATTTAGTAAAGATCAGAAGAAATCCTTTAAGAGTTTAAATGTCCCTGGAACACGCATACAGGCTCTAGTCAAGAATGAATTAGAGTGAAGGAAAGCTGTGTGACACCTGGCATTCCTCTGTTCATGGAGCTTCTTTGAGGCTTGAAGATTGATTTTACCATCTAGACCACTCTGCCTATTCTTCAACCACCTTGGTTACTTTGACATAGGAATTGACTTCTTTTCCTTGAATGGAAAACACTTTGAAATAATAATAAACATTGTTATAAACTAATATATGTGAGAGTGCTTAGTTGAAACAAAAAGGAGTTTTAGTAGACAGTATTATACTATCTTTGAAAATCAAGGAGAAGTTTATGCAACTTAAAATGTGTACAAACTGCAGTGCAATCTACTGTTGGTGAATGTCAGTGTATTATCAGGAAACATGTCTATACAATCACAGAGTTATATTTCCTCACAAACTTCTTTGTGAAGAGTGAAATGTGTTTCTGTACCTCTGGGTTTCACTTACGGGCATATTTTGTGCAGTAGTTATGTGATTGTGCCTATGCATGATGAATGAATGAATTTCAGTTGTACATTGCCTAAATCATAACTTGATGATGCTTGGGAAAGACTCAACAGTTAAAACTTCATGAAGTTCTAATGTCTGTGTTCCAAAACACATCACATTATTAGGATGTAGGGAGATATGTATGTGTGCTCCCTGGGGTGGGGATTTCTAGTTACTAGACCATCTCCATTTTTAGCATTTGGCATCCTCATGATACTTTTATAAATACGACATTAACAGGAGAGCAGCAGTACGATTTTGCCGATGGAATAACAGATTTGCCGGCAATCACTGAAAGAGTGCAAATATCGGGTCCTTGTGACTTCAACGGACTCTTCCAAATTGTATGAATGTATCAATGTATTAGATAAACCCAGTTTCAGAATGATAAAGAAAAAATGTTAGACCAAATAATGCGGCTAGTTAACAGTGGTACGATTTCTAGCCCGTGGCTTTAAAATGCACTTAAAGTCCTGTCCTTGCCTTTTATTTTCTGAACTTGATGTTTTTGCATTCTTTGAGTTCAGTTTAAAGACAACTACGAGCATCTGTAACCAATCTGACAATAATGTGTTCATCAGGTGCCTATGGATTAAATCACATACTGGCATATTTAAGCTGAATGTCAATCTGGAAAATAAATTGACTGTATTAACAGAAATACCACTCTTTGTGTAGATATTTGTCGTATATTTAAGAAAAAGCTAAAAAGAATGGAAATCGCATGACTATAACTTAAGTCTTTCTTCAAAGTGCATGCAGTCTTTTGCGATACCTCATTCAGCCAAGTATTGGTATTCTTCCTCATTCGGTATAAGGCAGCTTTCAATTTGCTTAGAAGGCAACATTGGAAGGTTAGAGTTCATCAGAAACAGAATTCTAAAATGTGAGTTCAATTCAATAAATTTGAATTTCTGTAGGAAGAATCAAATCACCGATTTAAAGAGTGCAATATATAATAATCATTTTTAAAGTATTGGATTAAATCTGATAGGTTTTCCAGAAATGAACAAAAATCAGCTCTAAAACCAAAGCTGATTTTTAGAAAATTTGAAAATGTAAATCAGCCCTATCCATACTATAGTTTCTCTAAAACTTTATCTGAAAGAGTCATTTTAAAATAACTATTAAACAATGTAACTGCTATCTTAATGTTCTGAAATAAGTTAAAACATTTTAAAATATGAATACTGTAAAGGAAATAAATGGTGGGAAGGAAAAGTAGAGAAAGAAATGCCAATTCCAGTCCAAAGCTTTATTTGCCAAGTTTTCTTAGAATGAATTTTACCAATTTATGAATTCTTGTAAGCGGAATGTAAAACGGAAATACTGAAAGACTTTTGCCTAAAGTGGCATTATTGACTGCTGGTGTGATGATACTGTAATGTAATAAATTATTAAGTTGTTGCAAAGTGCTGTTTTTGCCTTAAAATTTTATTCTGTGTGTCTTGAAAAATATAGTATTAAAGGTATTGATACTGTGCAAATGCTGAGCATGCTTGGCATGAGATAATGTTTCATTTTTACAAAATTGTAATATAACTATGCAAGGGTTTATTAAAAGAACACAAAATAAAAAAGTTATGGGATTAACAAAAGTTATGGGGTGAAAAAGTTATGGGATAAAAAATGTAAAAAAGTTGTGGCAAAAAAATCTTGTGACCAAAAAGTAGAAGAAAGTTTTATGAAAAGTTACCAAAAAAAGTTATGAAAAAGAAGTTATGGGATTAAAAAAAAAAGGCATGGGATAAAAATAAAAATTAAAATTAAAAGCAGGCCCCTGTCAGCAAAGCCTGGAGAAGTGGGGCTGGGGTCTCTCCACCACCACACTGTCCCTATCTCCCCTTCCCAGTCACCCCTTTACAATTAGGGTAGCAAGACAAGACCACTGTCTAACGAGGAAAGACAAACAGACCCTTTGCCACCTTGACCAGAGCTGAGTCCTTAAATTTCTGGATGATATTGTTATTTAAGAGCCAGAGGCTGGTGGAGTTGGTTTGTTTGGAGGAGGCCTCATGGCCTCCTTACTCTCACCATAGCAACTTTTCCCTCAGTGGGGGCTCGAATCTTCTTATTCAGAGAGGTAGCTGAGGCAGGACAGTGGGGCTAACTGTGGACCAGGTGAAGGCATGGGCTGCTGGGGTGGCCCCCCTTCCCCGGTGTATATATTGTGTCTGTGTAAGGTTTTGTATATTCCAGAGGGTAGGGCCACCCCTGTATCATACCTAGCGGTGGTTGGAGGTGGCACATGGGGAGGAGGTTCTAATAATTATTTGTGGCTGGGAAACTTACTTATTGCTAGCATAGGACAGAGGAAGAAGGCAGGGATGGGGTCATGGCTTCCCAGTGGTGTGATCACAGTTCACTGCAACCTCCAACTCTCATGCTCAAGTGATCCTCCCACCTCAGCCTCCCAGGTAGCTGGGAGTATAAGCATGCACTACTATGCCTGGCTAATTTTTAAATTTTTTGTAGAGAAAAGGTCTTGCTATGTTGCCCATGCTGGTCTTGAACTCCTGGGCTCAAGCGATTCTCCCATCTTGGCCTCCCAAAGCACTGGGGTTACAGGCATGAGACATTGCTCCTGTCCATAAGATTTTCTCTTTATTACTGTTTTGTTGTTGGTGGTGGTGTTTTGTTTTGTTTTTATTTTTTGACAGAGTCTCGGTCTGTTGCCTAAGCTGGAGTGCAGTGGTGCAATCTCTGCTCACTGCAACCTCCGCCTCCTGGTTCAAGCAATTCTTATGCCTCAGCCTCCCGAGTACCTGGGGTTATAGGCATAAGCCACTGCGCCTGGCTAATTTTTGGATTTTTAGTAGAGACAGAGTTTTGCCATGTTGGCCAGATTGGTCTTCAACTCCTGGCCTTAAGCAATCCGCCCTCCTCAGCCTCCCAAAGTGCTGGGATTACAGGTGTGAGCCACTGCTCCTGGCTAAGATCCCATCTCTATTTAAATAAAAAAAGAAAATTCAGAATCTATGGAACACAGAACACCAAAGGCCAGTTATTTACCTCTCTGAGGTAATCTGTGTAAACAATTTGATATATATCCTTTCAAGTTCATACTTGCTATGCATACATATATATACACACATACATTGACATATTCCCCCTTCCCTGCTGTCTTGCTATTAGTCTTCTTTTTTTTGTAGAAATTGGACCAACTCTATGTTCTTTGCTGGCCCGTATTTCTCCTATTCAGTGATGTGTTATGAATATCTGTTTAAGTCAATGTATGCAACTCTTTAATATCATTTTAAAAGGTTACGACATAGGATCATATGAAAGCATTAGAATTTATTCCAACAGTTCCCTTTTGCACATTTAATAATTTCCATTGATTTGCCAGGAAGAACATTCTCGTGTCATGGCTAAATCCTTTTGTATGGACATCCTTAATTATTCCCTTAAGATAAACTTTTAAATAAAGTTGCTAGATTAGTCTCGTTTCTTAAGTTCCTTTTTGGTAGTTTATATGTAACACTGTAGTTTTATATGTACTTACAAATACCTATAGTGCCAGTAGAAAATGGGATAAAATTAAACTCTTTCACATATGCCAAATATATTTTGATTTAGCGCTTTATTAAGTGCATGATTACAGTCTCTGTATCTTTTGATTTACCTTTCTATCTTTACAATTTTCAGCCGAGACACTTAGCGGTCACACAATAAATTAAGGTTTTCTTTTTTTAATAATCTCCATCTTTCTAAATATGGTGAGTCACAGTCAGCTATTTTTGGATTGTTGAAAGCTGTGACTGTTCTAAATCGGAGCCCAGAAATCATGCCACTTACCAAATATGCTTTGTCTTCCAACATCAGAGTGTCTGGTAGAAGGTGACTGTTCTTGGAATTTAAAAAATCTGAACAGGACAAGACAAGAATCTGGACACTTTTTCTGTTTCTGATAATATGATTGAGTAGGTAGACATGCTGGATAATCCTTGCAAAGACATACTTGAACTTCCCCAAAAAAAAAAATAAAATCCAGAATCTCTAAGAATGAAGATGGAGTGAAAATCAGAAGGGCTGCTGAGAGAATAATGGGGAAGCAGCCCCAGTTATCAAGGGACATGTCCATGTGTTCAATAGAAAGTTTCAGATGTAAAAAAAAGTTGAGAAAAATAATATATATATTATATATAATAAATGATATAATTGCCCTACATATACACATCATCAACAATTTTTCATTCATGGTATGGACAGTTTTTTTTTTTTGGTTGTTTTTTGTTTGTTTGTTTGTTTTTAAAGGTGGGATTTTGCTGTGGTTGCCCAGGCTGGAGTGCAGTGGCATGATCTTGGCTCACTGCAACTTCCACCTCCCAGGTTCAAGCGATTCTCCTGCCTCAGCTTCCCGAGTAGCTGGGATTACAGGCACCCGGCACCACATCCGGCTAATTGTTGTATTTTTAGTAGAGATGGTGTTTCACCACGTTGGCCAGGCTGGTCTTGAACTCCTGACCTCAGGTGATCCACCTGCCTCGGTCTCCCAAAGTGCTGAGACTACAGGCGTGAGCCACCACACCTGGCCACAGCCAGTTTTGTTTCATTTATATTCCCACTTCATTTATATACATTCCTTCTTCCTCTGAATTATTTTGAAGTAAAACCTATACATCCTATCATTTTTAATTACCTTATATGTATCTGTAGAAGACAAGGAATTCTTAAAAATAAATATATTCACAATGCCATTAAATATCAAAAAATTAATATTCTGAAAATAGCCACAAATCCAGAGTTGACATTTTGTTGACTTTCTCATAGGTGATTTTTTTTCTAGTTTATCTATTTCAATCAGATAACTGTTTGCTCATATTTACATTCCTTACTGAACAATGTCTAAACTTAAACTGACATAAAATGGAGATGATCTTCTAACCAGATGCTTAGTGTAAGAAAAAACTTCAAACTGCAAGAGGAGTCCCTCCAAATACAGAAAGGATCAGTATTTTAAGAGGTATGTTAACTAAAATGTGGCAATGTAAGGAGCAAAGCAGGAAGAACCTTTAAGTCCTCAACTTACAAGTCAATTTCCTAGTCAGTTTCCCTGGTCCTTCCACAACAACCTCCCCCATCTGTTTTCTCTACAATGGAGGTAACAATAGTAGCTATTCCAGAGCAGGAAAAGGCTTAGAGCAGTGCTAGAAGAGGGTCGTGGCTATATAAAGTTTAGCTATTTGTATATTGTAACAAACCTACAACTTTTTTTTTTTTGTCAATAATACATTTCTTTTGGAAAAGTGGCACCCTCCTGTGGGGGACACCTGCAGTTCCACTAAGCGAACATCGGTGTCTGCTAACCTTTGCCTCTTTGTCTCTCAATAATATACTGTCAAGCTGTTCCTTGATTTAGCACTTTTGTATACTTTTTTTTTTCCTCTCCCGTTTCCTGAGACACAGTCCCTCTCTGTTGCTCTGTCTGGACTGCAGCAGCGCCATCATGGCTCACTGCCACCTCCACCCCCGGGCTCAAGCAATCCTCCTAGGTCAGCCTTGGGAGCAGCTGGGACTACCTGTGGGGCGGCTAATCTTTGTGGTTTTTGTTTTGTTTTTCCGTTATGGGACCGGGTTTCGGGCCAGGCGCAGTGACTCACGCCTGCAATCCCAGCACCCCGGGAGGCCGAGGCCGGCGGATTACCTGAGGGAGGAGCTCCAGACCACCCCGACCAACATGGAGAAACCCTGTCTCTACCAAAAAAAATAAAAACTAAACAACTAATGGGGTATGGTGGCACATGCCTGCAATCCCAGCCACTCAGGAGGCACCATTTATTAATCTTTTTGACATCAGATGCTCAGTGGCTCACACCTGTAATCCCAGCACTTTGGGAGGCCAAGGCAGGTGAATCGCTTGAGCCGAGGAGTTCAAGACCAGCCTGGCCAACGAGGTGAAACCACGTCTCTGTTGAAAATACAAAAATTAGCCGGGCATGGTGGCACACACCTGTAATCCCAGCTACTCAGGAGGCTGAGACAGGAGAATCGCTTGAACCCAGGAGGTGGAGGTTGCAGTGAGCCGAGATCACAGCATTCCACTCCAGCCTGGACAACAGAGTGAGACTCTGTCTCAAAATTAAAAAAAAAAAAAAAAATTAACCAGCCATGGTACCACACACCTGTAGTCCCAGCTACTCTGGGGCTGGTGGGGGAGGACTATTTGAGCCCAGGAGGTCGAGGCTTTAGTGAGTTTGATCATGCCACTACACTCTAGCCTGGGCGGCAGAGTGAGTTCTTGTCTCAAAACAAAACAAAAATAGTTTCCAGCCAGGCGCGGTGGTTCACGCCTGAAATCTCAACACTTTGGGAGTCCAAGGTGGCGCATCATCTGAGGTCAGGAGTTCCAGACCAGCCTGGCCAACGTGGTGAAACCCCATCTCTACTAAAAATACAAAAATTAGCTGGGCATGGTGGCTCATGCCTGTAATCCCAGCTACTCAGGAGGCTGAGACAGGAGAACCGCTTGAACCCAGGAGGCGGAGGTTGCAGTGAGCCAAGATCGCACCATTGCATTGCAGCCTGGGGCAACACAGTGAGACTCTGTCTCAAAAAAGAAAAAAAAAAAGCTAGGCGTGAGAAGTGCCTTGATTTTGTATTTTCAATCTGCCAATACTTGCACAGGCTCTGGCTGCAAAACTTTTGCCGGTCAAACATTCGCATTTGAGAAACCACGTCCCTGCTGAGAGAGAGATCTAGACACAGCCTTAACTACATCATCAGTAGACACATGACTGGTTTTTTTTTGTTTGTTTGTTTGTTTGTTTGTTTGTTTTGAGACGGAGTCTCGCTCTGTCGCCCAGGCTGGAGTGCAGTGGCGTGATCTCAGCTCACTGCAACCTCCACCTCCTGGATTCACGCCATTCTCCTGCCTCAGCCTCCCGAGTAGCTGGGACTACAGGCGCCCGCCACCACGGCCGGCTAATTTTTTGTATTTTTTAGCAGAGACGGAGTTTCACCGTATTAGCCAGGATGGTCTGGATCTCCTGACCTCGTGATCCGCCTGCCTCGGCCTCCCAGAGTGCTGGGATTACAGGCGTGAGCCACCGCGCCCAGCGACATATGACTGTTTTTAACCAGAGGGAGGAAAATGGCTTTCAGATGGTTGTGTAGCTGGTTTTAACAGCCTTCAGCAGCAACACTGGCAGCCTCCGACCTCTCAGACCGAGTAAGCCAAGCGAAGCCTGTATGCGCACGCTTGCAGCTCAGCGCCCGCGGGGACTCCGGAAGCCTCTCCCAAGTGGCGCGGTCCGCAAGGGGCGGCTACAGCTTGGGCGCAGGCGCCGCTGGCTCACCGGTTCTCTTGGGCTCCCCTGGGACGCCGTAGGATCGCAGGCGCGCAGCCCTCCCGGCCGCTCTGGCCGCCCTGCTCCTCCTTTGAAGAAAGATAGGGCCGCTGGCAGGGGCCCTCCGCAGCCACCGGGGATGGGGCTGAGGCCAGTTTTTGTTTTTAGTGCAGCCGCCGCCAGGCCGACCGCCGGGCTTGGCTGCAGCCACGGCGACACTGGCCCGAGTTCTGCGAGGCTGGGGGTGCTGGCGGGCTTGGAGGTTGCCTGGCAGCTGCTGCCTGCAAAAAGAAAAACAAACAAAAAAGCAGCTGCAGCTTGGGCGCCCAGGGCTAGCGGGGCATGGCCTGGGCAGTCTTGGGATTGCGAGCGCGCGCGGCCTGAGAGTCCGTACCCTTCGCCGTGCCTCCTGCCCTCCTCCTCTGCCGGACCTCAGAACTGCTGGCCAGGCCGTCCGAGGGAGTCCGGACCCCACTCCGCAGCCTACAGAGATGGGGTTGAGCGGCAGGTTCTCAGTTCTCGCCCCTCTGCAGCCGCCGCCGGGCAGACCGCCTGGCTTGGCCGCAGCCACGGTGACATTTGGCCCTGGTTCTGCGATGCTGGGAGCGCGAGCGAGCTTGGGAGTTGCCAGGCAGCTACTGCTTGCAGGCGGAGGGCGGCTACAGCTTGGGTGTCCAGGCAGTGGAACATGGCCTGGGCGGCCTCTGGATCGCGAGTACACCGAGCCTGAGAGCCCGCCAGGCCCTGCCCCCGCCTCTGCCAGAGCTCAGGACCGCTGGCCAGGGGCCCTCCGCAGCCACCGGGGATGGGATTAAGTGGCAGGTTCTCGGCCCTGTGTAGCCGCCATCGGGCAGACCATCTGGCTTGGCTCTAGCCACCGGGACATCTGTCCCCGGTTCTGAGATGTTACGAGTGCAGGCGGGCTTAGAGGTTCCCCAGAGGCTGCTGCCTGCACACAGAGGGTGGCTGCAGCTTGGGTGCCCAGGCGGGCTGGAGGGGCCTGGCCCGGGAGGCCTGCGGATCGCCAGGGCGCCCAGGCTGAGAAGCCCCAAGCCGCGCATCCCGCCCGGCTCTTCCACCACAGGGAGACAGGAGCTGCTGGCATGGGGACTCCGCAGTCACCTGTGATGGCTTTGAGCGGCAGGTTCTCAGTTCTCACTCCTGTGCAGCCGCCGGGACATCTGACCCCGGTTCTGCGACGCTGGCAGCGCGACCGGGCTCGGGAGTTGACAGGCGGCTGCTACCTGCACACACAGGGCAGAGGGCAGCTGCACCTTGGCCTGGGCAGCCTCCGAAATGCGTGCGTGCCAGGCCTGAGGGCCCCCCTGGTGGTGCCACCCGCCCCGCTCCTCCTCTGCCGGAGCCTGGAGCAGCTGGAATGGCCACTCTGCAGTCACTAGGGTTATGGTTAAGTATTCTTATCCCATGCATGCACACAAAAAAGGTAACTATTATGCGAGGTAATTAATATGTTAATTGACTTCATTTTGGTAATCATTTCAAAATGCGCATGTAGATAGAAACATCACATTGTAAACTTTGAATATGTACAATATTTATTTCTCAAATATACCTCAGTAAAGCTGAAAAAAAATGAACAGGATTGAAAGGATAAGCACACAGTTCTATAATAGTAGTTGGACACTTCAATACCTCATTTTAATTAATGGATAGAAAAACCAGACAGAAGCTTCATGAGAAATAGAAGACTTGAACAACAGTATAAGCCATTTAGAGCTAATACACATATACAGAACAGTCCACCCAAAAACAGCAGAATATACATTCCTTTTAAGTGGATATGGAACTTTCTCTAGGATAGGTCATATCTTCGTCCACAAAAATATGTCCTAATCATTTACAAAAGTTTTAAATCATACAAAATATAATTTACAACCACAATGGAGGAAACATAAATAAAAAATGAAACCTGAAAAATTCACAAATATGTAGAAATTAAACAATACACTCTTAAACTACCAGTGAAAGAATAAATCATAAGTGAAATTATAAAGTATCTTAAGACAAATAAAAACAAAACATACCAAAACTTAGTGACTGCAGTGAAAGTAGAGTTTGAAGGAAAATGTATGGACATAAACAACTACATTTAAAAAAAGCTCAAATCAGTAACCTCACTCTACACCTAAAAGGCAGTATAAAAACCAGAGAAAACTAAATCTGAAGCTAGCAGAAGTAAAGAAATAATAAAGATTAGAGCATAAATCAATAAAATAGAAGGTTGGAAAGCAGTAGAAGAAATAAACGTAGCTAAAAGTTGGTTCTTTGAAAAGAGTAATCTCACCTCAGTAGCCTAAGATTCTTCTTTAGGAACGTAGAGAAAGAACAACAACTTAAATCTAAGGAACTAAAGAAAGGAGCTAATAACAATTAGGGCAGAAATAAGTGAAATTCAAAACCAAAGAGAGAAAAAGGGAAAGAGAAGAGAGACTACAGATTACTAACAGCAGGACTGAAAGACAAGCTATCAATACACACTATACCATAAATAAGTAAAGCTAAAAATAATTTTATGCACACAAATCTAATAGATGAGATGAAAAAAATAAATTCCTCTAGAGACACAACACATACTACCAAGTCTCACTGAAGAAGAAACAGGTAACAAATAGTCCTGTATTAATTAAGAAATTGCATTTGTAAATAAAACCTACCAAAAAATCTAGTCACATGTTCTTTCACTACTGATTTCTATCAAATATTTGAAGGATAAATAATTTTGACTGTACACAATCTTTTAGAGAAAATAGATGAGATGGGAGCACTCCCAACTCATTTTATAAGGCCAGCATTACAATAACACCAAAACCAAAAAATGATATGGAGAGAAAAGAAGACTATAGACAAATATCAGTCATGGACATATATGAAAAAATATCAACAAAATATTGTGACATCAAATTGAACATCTCCCCATGTAGGATGATTCATTATGTCCAATAAAAACAAGGCTGATTCACTATTAAAATCCAATCCAAGTAATCTGCTATAGAATATTTTTAAAATATTCTTCTCAAGAGATGCAGGAAGAGCATTCGATGAAATCCAACATCTATTTCTGACCAAAACTCATACAATTAGGAATAAAAGAACTTAGGATATATGTTTATATCTGTATACTATATGGTGATGACTGAATGATTTTTCCTTAAGACTGGGGACAGGTCCTATTCAATATTGTATTAGAAAATTTGCAAAGTGCAATAAGACAGGAATAAGAAATAAATAACATACATATTGCAAAGGAAGAAGTAAAACTGCCTCTATTTGCTGATAAAACTAATCTTTATATACACAGTCTACAGTATTTATGAAAAGCTTCTAAAACAAATACGTGAAATTAAGTGTTTTATTATCAAAGGTCAATATAGAATGTCAATAATTTTCCTATGTGTGAGTAATTAACAGTTGAAAAAATTAAATTACTATTTAAAATAGAAGCAAAAATTAAGTGCTTAGGTATTAATGTAACAATAGAAGTGCAGGATCTGTATGCTGAAAACTACAAAATATAAATGCAATAAATAGAAAATTTAAAAAGAGGGGAATGAAATATTTATGAATTCAGAGTCTCAATATAGTTAAGATGCCAGTCTTTTCCATTTCTGCTTGTAGAGTTCCTTCATTAACAATGAAAATTCCTGTAAGTTTTTTTTTTTTTGTAGATATCACCAAGGAGATTCTAAAATTTACATGGAAAACAAAATAACTAGAATTGTCAAAACACTTCTGAAAAAAAGTTAGAGGACATAAACTACTGATTACAAGGCTTACTATTATGCTACAGTTCTCAAAATATTGTGGTTTTGTTAAAATATTGTTAAAACACTAGATACGTAGACCAATGGAATGAATACAGACCCCAGAAATAGACCCACACAAATATATTCAACTGCATTTTGAAAAAGATGCAGAGGAAAAGGGGAAAGTATAATCTATTCTGTAAATGGGGATGTAATAATGGGATCTCCCCATGTAAAAAAAAAATGAAACTTAATGCATATTTTACACCTTTTACAAAAGTGGACTGAAATAGACCATATAAAAGTGTAAAGTATACAGCAATAAAATACTATCATAAAACAGGGGAAATTAGGTATGACTTTGGGGTCATTGATGAGTTTTTAGATAAAACACCATACACATGATCCATAAAAGAAAAAATGAAAAAGCAGACTTTGTTATATCTAAAAATGCTCATTCTGTGAAAGAAGCATTACAAGAGCAAAAAGCTAAAACAATCAGGGAAAAATATTAAGTCACTGTATTAGTCTGTTCTGCTGCTGCTATAAAGAACTGCCTGAGGCTGGGTAATTTACCAGGAAAGAGGTTTAATTGACTCACAGTTCCATGAGGCTGGCAAAGCCTCAGGAAACTTACAATCATGGCAGAAGGCAAACAAACATGTTGTTCTTCACATGGTGGCAGGAGAGAGAAGTGCTTAGCAAAGGAAGAAAAGCCCTATATAAAACCATCAGATTTTATGAGAACTCACTCACTATCTGAGAACAGCAGCATGGGGGTAACCTGCCTCCATGATTCTACTACCTTCTGCCAGGTCCCTCCCACAACACATAGGGATTATGAGAACTACAATTCAAAATGAGATTTGGGTGGGGACACAGTCAGACCATATCAGTCACGTATCTTATACAAGCTTTTATCCAAAATGAATAAAGAACCCTTAAAACTCAACAATACAAAACAAACAATCCAATTTAAAACAAGCAAAAATCTTGAGCACGTACATCTCAAAAGAAGACAGACATATGGCAAATAAGCATATGAAAACATGTTTATTGTTATTAATAAGGGAATGCAAAACATAACTACAATGGGATACTACTACATGCCATTAGAATAGAAATAAAAAATTAAAATATCAAATGCTCCTGAAGATGTGTAGCAACAAAGATTCTCTTTCATTACTGTTGGGAATGTAAAATGACATGGTCACTTTAGGAGATAATTTGGCAGCTTTTTATAAAGTAAAACATATGTCCAGTGTGAGGTTCAGCCATTCCACTCCTATGTATTTATCAATGTGTAATGAAAACAAATTCACATAAAAGCCCGTAGTCTAGGCAAATGTTTTAGCAGCTTTACTCATAATCTCCAAAACCTGGAAACAACCAAGACATCTTTCTTTTTTTTTTTTTCTTTTTTGAGACGGAGTCTCGCACTGTCACCCAGGCTGGAGTGCAATGTCACGATCTTGGCTCACTGCAACCTCCGCCTCCCAGGTTCAAGGAATTCTTCTGCCTCAGCTTCCCAAGTAGCTGGGAATACAGGCACCCACCACCATGCCTGGCTAATTTTTTGTATTTTTAATAGAGACAGGGTTTCACTATGTTGGCCAGGCTGGTCTCGAACTCCTGACCTCATGATCTGCCTGCCTTGGCCTCCCAAAGTGCTGGGATTATAGGCATGAGCCACCGCACCCAGCCTAACCAACACATCTTACAACAGGTGAACAGATAGACTATTGCATCAATACCATCAACTGCTATTCAGCAATACAAAGGAACAGACTATTCACTTACACAACAGTACAGATGAACTTACATGTGTTTTGCTGTGTGAAAGAAGTCAGCCCCAAATGTCTACATATTGTATGATTTCATTCGTATAACATTCCGGAGAAGGCAAAATTATAGGTCAAGAAAACAGATCAGAGTTTGCCCACAATTGGGAGAAAGGGAATGGTTGATCACAAAGGCATCACGCACAGAATTTTAGGGTGATGCGGCTGTTCTGTGCAGTGCTGGAGGGTGGACACGTGTCTCTATGGTTTCTCAAACCCTACCAAATGCTACACTACAAAACCTCTTTCTTATTTTTTGCAAAATAAAAATAATAATAAAAAAATCCACCAGGAAGTCAGAGGATTCCAAGAGGAAAAAGAAACTGATCAAAGACACTTTGGAAAATGGTATTTTGATTGGATACTCTAAGGTTAAGACCAAACAAGCTGCATAGAAACACTCCACTTTGGTTGGTAATTTTGTTTATCACAGGGGCAAATGATAATTTTGACACCAGGCTAGAAAAAATAAGTAAGTAAGTTGCAGATAATGTGAGCTAGAGTTTTTACTGTTATGAAATGACTTTTTCTTGTAGTGTTGAGAATGTTTCTTTTTTTTTTCCCAATCATGTGTTAATTCTCCCCAGGATTCTCACCAACCTATTCAAGTATATTTTAAAATACTTATGATTTTAAGACAAAAACACATGTGTTTTCAGCCCAGTTGGAGAAGCCTCATTACTATCACATCCTTTGTGTTCTAAATGAAAGTCTGCACATAAAACAACAAAGGAGCATGGGAAGTGTTGGAAAAATATAATAAGGAAGACAGACTCCCTGGGGAATGACACAGTGGTATGTTCCTTGGGTCTCCTGTTCTTCTCATCTGCCCTGGAGAGAGTGCTGCAGAAGCCTCCAACCAGAAACCACACCCAACAAAACCAAACCTAATAAAACCCCAGCTGTCTCAGCCAAAGAACCTGGAAAATAATGGCCTAGCAAGGAATACCCA
Organism: Homo sapiens; assembly: GCF_000001405.40. NCBI lineage: Eukaryota > Metazoa > Chordata > Mammalia > Primates > Hominidae > Homo > Homo sapiens. The sequence goes on from NW_021160017.1 coordinate 829,824, forward strand.
CCTGAGTGTAGCCAAACATCAATGGAAACCCCCCCTGCGAACACCATAGTTCAGTGAAATCAAGTGTGGAGCTGATGATCCACTTCACTTACACAGAGTGGAAGGAATCAGCAGTGCTCTGATTCCCTTGCCGGATGGTGTCAGTGGGGCCAAGAAGGGAGATAAATCTTCTGTCTCCCACATTGCAAAAGAAGGTGGCATTCTGGTATTTCCATTTTTTTTTTTTTTTTTTGAGACGGAGTCTCGCTCTGTCGCCCAGCCTGGAGTGCAGTGGCGCGATCTCAGCTCACTGCAAGTTCCACCTCCCGGGTTCACGCCATTCTCCTGCCTCAGTGTCCCGAGTATCTGGGACCACAGGCGCCCGCCACCACACCCGGCTAATGTTTTTGTATTTTTAGTAGAGACGGGGTTTCACCGTGTTAGCCAGGATGGTCTCGATCTCCTGACCTCGTGATCCACCTGCCTCAGCCTCCCAAAGTGCTGGGATTACAGGCCTGAGCCACTGCGCCCGGCCTACAGTTATCTTAAATATAAATTGTGTACATGTGTCAATTAAAATACAAGGAATATCAACCTGAACACGGAAACACGATACAAAAATACGTACGTTACTTATCTCAATTGATGCAGAAAGAGCATTTGCCAAAATATAGCACAGTTTTATGATAAAAACTTTCAGAAACCTAGAAATACAAGGAAACTTCCTGAACTTTATCAAGAGTATTTATCAAAAACAAACAGCTATGTCATGCTTAATGATGAAAGAATGAATGGTTTTCCCCTCAGGGTGGAAACAAGGCAGAGACACCTGCTCTCAACAATGCTATTTGACAGAGCACCGAAAGTTCTAGTCGGCACAATTGGGCAAGAAACAAGGCATACTGATTGAAAAAAAAGAGAAAGAAGGAAAGTGGCCTCTATTGCAGATTACACGATTGTCTTTGTAAAGTCTCAGAGAAACTAAAAAAAGTCTTGTAGAAATAATATTTAGCAAGTTCACAGGATAAATGATCCATCCTCCAAAATTCATCATATTTCTATGAACTAAAAATGAATGTGTGGAAACTGAATATACCTTTACAATTGCTCTAAAGAAAATACTTAGGCATAAATCTGACAAGACATGCAGAATCAAGATGGCAAAAATTACAAAATGTGCATGAATTGAGAGAAGAACTAAAATTCAAACATACCTTATTAATGGTTTGGAAGACTCACGATAGCAAATATGTCAACTCTCTTCAAATTGATGGGTAGACTTAATGACAGTCATATCAAAACACCAGCTACATATTTTTATGCATATAGATAAACCTATTTTAAGTTTATATGAAAAGGCACATGATACTGGTGGAGAGATGGACACATAGGTCAGCAGAACAGAATGAAGAACTCAGAAATTGACACAAGTAAATATGCCCAACTCATTTCTCATTTTTGACAATGGTACAAAAGTAATTGAAAGAGAAAGAATAGTCTTTTTAACAAATGTTACTGGAGAAAATAAACACAGGCTCAAAATCTCAGTGTAAACCTTGCACTTTATACACTAATTAACTAGAAATGGTTTGCAAACTTAAATATAAAAGGTTGTACTATAAACCTTTTAGGAAAAGAGTTCTAAAGAAGTTATTGGGATCTAGGGCTAGATAAAAGTCCTTTGTTCTTATTTACATGTATCTTTTAATTTTTTTTTATTTTCAGTAAAAGATCAATGTGTACGTGTACTTATTCTAAAAAAGAAAAAATGTTCAATGTGCTCTTCCAGGTTAATAGACAAATCAAATAGACTCACCTTTCTTTATGAACCCATAGTGTATCAGTGATCCAGCCATTATTGTTTTCCTGAGAGGAAAATTCTCTTTATGCTCATCACACTTTTGGAGCATTGAACCAGAGGGCCTAACGTGAGGTGAACACGCTGCCAGTGGAGGTGAGCAGGAAGGAAATTTCCAAACCCAAGAACTGACAGAAACTGCTGGAGAGAGAAAGTTACTTGGGCAAGTCTAGAGACCAATTGCGTTGTGCCCTTCTCTGTAGAATAATAAAAACGGAGTATTCAAGAAAAAAAATAGGACAAGTGATACTAACCAAATGATGTTACAACACACCCATGTCTGTATGTGTATACAGACCTATGCACATATACACACATAGATATGTGTAATATGTGTGTATTTATAACTGAGGTTAAACTGTTAGGCAATAAGAATGCAGTCCTATTTTTCTACCCTCTCTTTTCTAACATCTTTCAAACAGATGATGTTTTGTAAGATTTTCAATTATTTTCAATAATTAAAAAAATTTCAAACAGAACAAATATGCATGCTGAATTATTTCTCAATCCCCTGTTTTACATGTGGCTTTAAGTACGTGACCTGTTATATAGATATTTCAGCATCTTAGATGTTAAAGTAAACACATAGCTGCTCCTCATTTTTGGAAGGGTGTATTTACAATATATGTGTCTGATGCAAGTTGTATATTTAAATTACTTAAAAATACATCTTCTTTGGTAAGAGTTTTTAAAAATAAATTTGTGGCACATTAGAATGTTTTTAAGAAAAATTGCTTTTTAATTTGTATTATCTAAACTTCAGAATTTTACTCTGAAGTATTTCAAAACTTACAAGAATATTCATATTTGATCTATAAAATAAGTAACTTAGATGGAATAATTTGAATTTGGAAATTTCTTTATACCACTAAATTTGAAGTATCAATGCCACATTTATTTTTACAAATTTTCCTTGAAACATTATATTGGCTACTGGAAAGAGCTAATACCCTTTATGAAAATATGATTTTAGTGATGCAACTTATATATGAGGTAGATTAGGAAGCTTTACTTCCTGTGCCCATTAACTAAGAAGATTTTATGAAACAATTTTTAACAGGGGCCACAGTCAGTACCGGGAGTGTGGTCAGGTGGTCAGGCACGCCTCCCTCCTCATTGGGCCCACCAGAAGATTTCAGGGTTCTAGGAGAAACATACCCAGGCATGCAGAGATTGTCACAAGGGAGGAAGGGCCAGGGTGGGGAACCCAGCACAGGGGGCCTGCCCTCACAGGGGAGTCGGACAAGGTTTTCTGAGGAAGCTGTGTCCAAGCCGAGATCCTTCCCGCTCCATGTGCTCCAGCACAAGGCCTGCAGGAGGAGCCCTGTGAGCAAGGCCAACCTAGACCAGCCGGGTGGATTCCCTTGGCATTGAGGGGGAGCATGGCCTGAGGAGCTGAGCGCGGTCTCCGAAGGACGGCATCAGAGGAACTGTCACCGTTTCTATCATGAACACTTACAGTTTGACATCAGCATGGGAGTTGTGATTGGGTGATCTTGGGAAGGGTCTGTCAGCGGGTCGGGGGGTCGCTCTAAGTTGGACGCTGTCTGATAGAGGAGGCTTTTCTATTGTTCGGCATCTCATATCTCAAGGAATCTTATCTAGAAGAGGGCAGAGGGCCGCCAGGAGAAAGCCGCTGCTGGTAATGAGGAAGATGCTGCTCATTTTCACCAAGTGCAGTGCTAGGGATTTTAGCGGGTGGCAAAGTGACCTTGATATCTTTTCTCTGTGCAGGTCTCTGTTAGAGTCACTGTGAGTGTCTCTGTGGGGATCTCTGTGTTGGTTTTGAAGGGTCTCCGTGTGCGTCTCTGTCAGAGGTTTCTGTGGGGGGGTCCCTCTGGGGGGGTCTTCATGGGGGGGGTCTCAGTGTTGGGGTCTCTGGGGGTCACTGTGGGGAATCTCTGAAATCTCAATGAATGTGGGGTCTTTGTGGGAATCTTTGCGTGTTGGGGTCTACCGGGGGTCCCTGTGGGGTTCCTCTGCTGCAGGTCACAGGATCCTGGGTCCCATAGATGTTGGGCCCACACTGGAGCTGCCCAGGTCACCACCCCAGACAGGACTTGGCTCCAACAGTAGCCTGGACACCCAAAGTGACACCAGGGCGTGTTCGAAACAGGTCCCCGGTGTGGGTCCCGCCAGGCCTGGGTACAGACCTGACACCTTGTCCTCAGCCTCCGCAGCCCCTGCAGGTGCAGAGCTCTCCCTGGGCAGAAGGCCCCTGGGCAGAGCCCTCTGAGGAACTGGCTCCTGCCTGCCCTGCCCTTGCTCCTGCCTTCCCTGGGGATGGCCAGGAAGGACCCAGTACCAGGACGAAGGGAGTGCAGGACTGGGCCCTGTGGGGACTGTCCCTGCCAACCATGTGACCAGATTCTCTGAGCCCCAATGTGTCCCTTGCCAGCACCTGGGCCTGGAACCATAGATGTGCTTTGTAACCCAGGCCAGCCCTTGCCTTCTGGGTCCCCCTCCCCTGGCAGTGGCACTGACCACTTTTGCTTGTAATGGTCACCAGACTGCAAGGACCCTGGTTACAGCTGTGGGCAGCTTGTGGATCCTGCACTTGCAAACTTATGCTCGTCTTCCCTGATTCTTCTCCCACCTCTCACCCTGGGCCCCAAGGTCTCCTCCTGTGATTCCTGACCACAGAGTCCTTCCAGAGGGGCAGGCAGCAGCCCTAGGTGCCTCCTGAAACAGACACCCCACACTAGTGGGCTGGGAGACTGCCCTGGAGAGTGAGGCAGGGGACACCAGACATGAACCCAGGGGTGTTATCAAGCCTGAGCCAAGTGCTGGAGGGGCCCAGGTCCATCCCAGATCCGGAACTCAGCAGTCAGGAAAGGGTCTGGGGAGGGTGTCATCTCTTCCCCACCAGGAGATCCCAGAAAGAGCAGTCCCCCCTCTGACCCAGGGCCAGCACAAGACACCCCCTACATTCCCAGGCTACTGTGAGGCAGGGAGGCTGCTGGGATCCATCACTCCTCCAGCCTGAGGGGAGCCTACCACCCCCCAGTCCGTGACGCCCCTGTAGACCCATCCCCTACAGCAGCACAGAAGTCGCCTTAGAACAGGGAATGCAGTGAGCCAGAGCCCGGGTGGGATCTCCGTAAGGTTTGCTGTCCTTACATATCCTGAAGGCTCTGGGTCATGATCCAGTTTGGAAACCAGACACAGTGTGGGGACAGGGAGAAAAGGGGGTCCTCCAGGTCCCTGTCAGCTTCCTCTAGGCCCAGCCATTCTGGAAGCCGCACTCAGGAGGAGCTGACACTGAGCCCTTGCCTGCAGCCTAGCATGGAACAGACAGAAGCCACCACCTCTGCAGGGAAAACAGGTATATTGGGAACTTCTCCGTGGAAGTCAGGAACACATGGGGACTGTTGTCACCCACGCAGGACAGGTTTGTTGTGTAGGCGTCCAGTGTTATTTGGATAGAACCCCCTGTCTCCTCCAGGAGAGGTGTGGGAAGCCTGGTCTGGTTCAGGAGGCAAGACACCTCTGTGTAGACCTCAGTTCCTGCAGCTGTGGATGGGGCTGCCCGAGGTGCTTGCCACTCATGGCCTGTGGTGGTGGGGACCAGCTGGGGACACAAGCTCCCTGGGAGGTGGGGGCCCAACTGCTGTCTCTGTCTCTGATGCCCTTGTTTTTGACAGGACATTTGTGGCCCTTGGGGGTGGCTTTGGGGCTGCAGACCAGCCCCATCTCTCTGCTATGTTCCTGGTAGTAGTGACTCCTGTGGCAGCAGGAAGCCACATTCTCCTGGGCGTGGAGGTCGCCTTTGTGGCGACTGACCTCTGAGGGACCACGTCCCTGCTGAATCCCCAGTTTGTCCACCAGGATTTGCCCCATAACTCTGATGATGGTCTGGGCTTCATCAGCCATGCTGTCCATAAACAACCTTGCTGGGCCAGACCCCCAGCTCTGGACAGCATCTGCCCAGGCTTGCCTTTCTGCAGGACGTCTTCCTGCCCTGAGCCCCTCTTCCTGGGATGTAGACCCTGTGGACGGTGACTGATCTTTCTCTGGAAGTTGCTTTCTGGTGGTGCCTGTCCCTTCTCTGGCTGAGGCTGATTGTATTTCCTTTCTTGTTTGTCTCCTATTTCCCTCGTGTGGGCAGGGTGGCTCCTCCCACTGGCTTGGGAGGTCCTGGGTCCTTTGGACCTGTGTCCCTGCTCCCCTGGTCTGGGCCTCCTGTGGGCCTTGCCCTTGTCCAAAGAGCCCAGCATCTTCTGACTCTTCTGTGGGGCCTTCACTTTTGGGCTCCCAGGTTCCTGCTGCCCCAGTCTGTCCCCTCCCTTCCATAGGAGGGCACATGGCCCCTGGGAAGCTGTCGTGTTCCTCCTACTGAGCACACTCTGGGAGGTGGACAGAAGGGCCTAAGTGGGTGGCCTGTATGTGGCTGGGAGCATGTCCACATGGCGGCCTGGAAGGCACAGGCCTGTGGCGCCCTCCTGGAGGAGGATGCTGGAAACACGGCCTGGCAGCTGCTCCTCTGAGTCCACCTGCACTATGAGCGCAATCTCACTGACAACCTGTGCTTTCAGGCACAGCTGCCCTGGATCCTGAGCAACACAGATTGTAGACACTGAGGGGTTACTAGTGGTCCCCAGAGTCCCTGTGCTCCTCAGATCCACCTGAACACTTCCTGATCTTGCCCTCACACTGGCTCCCAAGGTGACTTTCCAATCAGGGGGCTTTTCCTCCTTGGCCTCCAGTGCCTCCAGGGCATCTCTGGCCCTTGCCCACTGGGACCCCATGCTGAGCTCTTGCAGGGCTCTGCTATGACAGGGGTCTCCTGGGGACATGCTCTCAGTCTCAAGCCATGCCTCATTCCCAGCCATTTCTGAACCCACACTCCCCTCGAGTCTGGGTTTCCCGGACCCCAGGACAGTCCCTCTCTGCCAGGTTCTGCCTACAAGGTTGCATATGGGGGACTGAGAAGATGCCCTGCCCTCCTGTCCAGTCAGAGAGGCCTCTGATTGCTCATGGGTGTCAGCTGACTGGGACCCTCTTGGGACCCTCTGGACTTCCTCCTGCTCAGTTGGTGGGGCAGGGACAGGGCCACTCATGGTGGGGGCTGACTTGCTTGTTGTTCTATTGTCTCCTGGACCATTCTGGGGAGGTTTTCCCGACAAAATGGCAACCTTGGCTACAGATTCAGCCAGAGATTCCCAGGAGGCCCAGGGGAGAATGGTGGAGTGTGGGAGGGGTGGAGGCTGAGCCTCCCCTGACTAGACATTTATGGGCTCTAAGGACTGAAGTTCTGGACCCCACCTGTGCCTCACACAGAACTTGAAAAGATGTGCTTCCAGCATCTGCTGGGTGCAGGGATGGAGGAAGGACAGCTCCTGGGAGGTGTTCACGTGGGCTTTCCCACCCCTCCAGGATGTCACCTTTCTCGATTTCCTGTGGGTGTCAGACTTGGGAATGGCATGTTTGGCCATGAATTAGGAGCGATGCACAGACACAGGGATCCAGCCCTCCTTGATCTCCCCCACCTTCCTGTCCAGATGGACCTGTGGCTTGTTTTCCAGATGCTGCTTTTCTGGGTCCCTGGGTGCAGAACTTACTGATTGGTACTTCCAGGGCCTCCTGAAATCACCTTCTGCTTCCTCCTTGTCTTTCTCCAGAACCTTCACTGAAGTCCTTCCTGAGCCTTGATCCTGGTTCTGGCTCTAGTTTGGACCCTAAGCACCCCTTCCCAGAGAACCTTCCAGAGCTCCTGAGCCCTGCTTTCTGCACATCCTTCGTGCCCTTTCCTACAAATTCAGAATCCCGGGAGGGCAAGAGGGCCCCCTGCGTGGCTTCTGCCTGACTCTGGGGCCTCCCTGGGAATTCCCCCTTAGGCTGCAGCAGGTCTCCAGGTGCCTTGAATCTGCTGGGAGGCCACGGGACTGCTCCTGGTGGATGGCACTCCTTCCTTGCCACCGGTGCTCTGGGAGCTCAGGGCTGGTGGCAATCCCGGGAAGGATGGGGGCTGACTTAGGGTTCAGGGAGGCTGGCCTCTCCTGGGGAAGGTGGGAAGTGGGCTGGCTCAGGACAGCCTGAGACTTTTTGAGGAGAGAGGGCAAAACCCTCTTCCACTTTGGTCATTTCTGCAAGGGCCACTCAAGATACTTTTTTCCAGTGGGGATGACAGACTGTGCCCTCTTCTGGGATGTAGGGCAAGATGCTCCACAGACCCTAATCTGGGGTGGAGAAGAGGTTGGGACAGGGGTTGAGATTTGCCCCACTGTGTCTGGATCCCAGCTAGAGGCGGGGGCTGGGACTGGGGCCAGGTTGGAGTGAAAGGTTGGGGCTGGGCCACGTGGTGGGGCTGGGGCCGTGCCTGGGAAAGCTGTGAGGGTGTCTCAACCTCAGTTTCACCTGGAAGGGAAGTGGAGGCTTTATCCGATGGTACAGAGTGCTCATTCTGTGAGGAAATGTTCCTAGAAACCCAGGCCATGGTCACCAGGGACTCGCTATTGAAAGAGGGGAGATCCCAGAAGAGATGGCTGCATTTCTGCTCTAAGTGGTCCCACATGGCCATGGCGTCAGAGACCTGCTGAGGATGGGGCAGCTTCTGTGGTAGGTTTGCCACGTTCCAGAAGGGATTTAGAGTCGTGATGTCCCACTCCTTCCCCAGTGATGTCATCTGCGGGTAGTCTGCCCACCCCCATTCTTTCTCCTGCCACATCTTCATCACTGCTCTCTTGGAGATGAGTCTCCAGCAGCTTCTGCACGTTGGGATGGAAGAATGTGCGGCCACCTGCCTCCATCTGCCTGGGTGTGGGGTCTCCCCAGAAGGAAGCCTCTGGGGGGTGGTTGGGAAGATGCTGTTGCTGGGATTTGCCCTGTGAGCAGGTGGAGAGGCCCCAGGTGGTGGCAGCCTCCCTCCAGCGGGAGAGGTCCCGGATGGGACCGCTGGAGCACCCAAGGCCAGAGATCACCCTGGTTGGAGAAGGTGGCCCCTGGTTGTGTAGAGGGGAGCTCTGGGGGACAGGGCGTATTGTGGAGCCACACTGAAGTCCAGCCAGGCTGTGTTCGGGTGGAGGTGGAGAGGAGGCCACGGGAACATGGGGCTGTGGTGAAGAAGGAAAAGCATATGTGGCCGGACTGCAGGGCATTTTAGGGGAAGCAAGGGCTCTGGAGGCCTGGAGGCACTCAGGGTTGAGCGTGGTCCAAAAGGCTCTGAGAAGGTCATTGTGTCTGGTGACAGGTTGGAGGCCAGAGGAACTGGGGGAGTCCTTGGGGACAAGCTGTCAGGAGATGGATCTTGCATGCATTTCCTATGCGGCTGGTGGGCCTTAGCAGGAGCTGGTTTGTACATATCACCCAGGGCTCTCCACCTAAGGGCAGATGGGAGCCACCCTCCCCAGTGAGCTTTCTCAGGTGGCTGCACAAGGCACAAGCTGCAGCCAGGGGCAGGTGGGGTTGGGAGGTCGGGAGGGCTGGGCACCTGGTGCCCACAGCTCCTCCACCTCCGCCACTGCTGGCTTCACAGAGCTCTGTCTGTGCCTGCCCAGGGCTTCAGTCCACTCCCGCCTCTTCCCAGGACCTCCCCCTCCCAGGTCAACACTGGACCCTGGGGCTGCCTCAGAGGCCCTGGTAGAAAGGACGACATGGAGAGAAGGGGAATCTCATCTTTCCAGAAGGTTGGTCAGGTCCTGAGTCTCCTCCAGCTCCCTCAGGAGGATTCTGCAAGCTGGAAGTAAGGAGACAGAGTTATGGCGGGGAGGGCGGTGCCAGCGAACCTCATGGGAGGCTGAGTGGTGGATGTCTCTTTAGGGGACACCATGGGGAACTAGACCCTGAAGCCCATGCATCTGTGTCCAAGGCCACATGGCCCCAATGGTGACAGCAAGGTGTGCATTGTGCAGAACTTTGTCATTTGCAAAAAGTGCTTCCATGTACAACCCCTCATGGGTGTCACAACCATCTTGTGGGGAGAGTGGATGGGGTGGTCTCTAAGAAGAGTCAGCCATGGCCGAGGAGAACAGCTGTCCACATGGACCTGGGGTCTCCCTGACCTCCCCCCATATCCTGGCAGGCCTTGGTCCCTTCCCCACAGCGCCCCCTTATGGGCAATACCGGTTCCCGGGCCCATGGCTTCATTCCCACAGGGAATATGAGGAGGCCCCGGGTTCTGATTTCCCTCCCAGGAGCTTCCCTCTCAGGCCTCTGCAAATGATTCCCTCAGGGACAGACGATGCTCAGTCACCTCTGGGGAGTCTCAGGGATTAGTAGGGCCTCACAATTCAGAGCTGGGATCTTCTTCCTGCTCCTGGGCCTCCCCTATCTCTTCCTTTGATGCCGAGAGGCAAGCAAGGGTGAGGGGCTGGGACCAGTTCTCAGTCTCCTCTTCCCAGACCAGCTGCACACACGCAGTGCTCTTGAAGGACACGGCTTTCTGCCTGTAGCTCAGGGAGCTCTGCGTGCGTTTCTTTTACTCATGTTTACCATTGATGAAATGTTTTCTGTTTTCCTTCTTAGGGAAATGCAAGCAGGGGTTTTCTGTGTGACTCCACCCTGGATATCCCCAGTCCCTGCTCCTCCGCTGAAGGCATACCCAGGCTCAGGCCTACAGGCACCTCTGAGCTGCCAGTAGGATTCTGCTTCAGAGGAGGCCAGACGTGAATCCAGGCTCTAGCGGGAGGCTCTCAGGGGTTCAGCACAGCTCCCAGATCACCCCACACAGAGGAGCCTGGACCCCCAGGCACCTGCCTTGGAAAGGGGCTGATGAGCCAGAGCTGGGGCCTGTCCTCCCACAGAGACCTCACCCCTCTCCTGATCTGGTCCTCGCCACTGAGTCCAGTGTTGGGTTTTGCCCTGATGCCTCCCGCGCATGTCACAGATAGTCTGGGAGCTGAGGATGGAATCCTCTGCCCACTCCCACCCCTGCCTGCTCTGCCCTTCCCTAGAGGGATGATGAGATTTCCCATCGCAGGAGAGTCTCTCATTACTTAGGAAAAGTGGAAATGAGGGGAGGAAAAGAAGAGAGAATCTTTCTCTGTGGGGCTGGGCTGAGGGCTCCTTACCTTCCTGCTGCTCCTCTTCCTCCCATGCGGGGGTGAGGGTGGGACACTGGGGAGGTAGGGGGCTAATAGGAAGAGGAAGCCCAGGCTCCACACTGAGGTGAGGATGAAATCCACAATCCAGGGAGTGGAGCTGGGGCCCAGCCACGTGGCACTAGGGCTCTTCAGAGGAAAGAGCATTTTTTCCATCTGAAGTGCAATGTTGCCCTCAAGCAACTGAGCCCTGGGCATCGCTTTTGGGACTAGGGACTGGAGCCCAGGCCTGCATCACAGAGCTGGGGCCTCCTCCTCACCAAGGGCTCCTGGGGGCAGGGGAGGGGCAGTGGGAGGAGGAGGCTGAAGCGCAGCCCCTCCTTCAGGTCCCAGTTCCAGTCCCTCCACCCTCCTGGGTCCCCCAGATCTTTCCTTCCCACTCCAGTTGCTCACCCTGTCAGAGACAGCCCTGGGTCCATTTTCTATTCTGTTCCCTGGAACACAGATGTTACCTGGTTTTGTGGAGATCTCTGTGCCAGTCCCTCAATCTCCTGCATCTTTAAATCTAGACTTCTCCCTGGAGTTTCTGTTATTTCTCCAGTTTCTTGCTCTTAGGAACTCATTTGTTTGCAGTTCTAACTTTCCCCCTTAATATGTTCTTGCCCTGCATCAACTCAGACATAGAATTTACATTTTTTGTACTTATTGATCGTTGTGAATTTTGATTACAATTTTCATAGTTTTTTAAAAGTTTAATATTTATTTTTGTGGGCACACAGTAGGTGTATATGTTAATGGGGCACATGAGATACTTTCATACAGGCATGCAGTGTGTAATAATCACAGCATGGTAAATGGGGTGTCCATCACCTCAAGCCTTTTTCCTTTGTGTTACAAACCATCCAATTATACTCCTTATTTTTTAAATGAACAATTAAATTATTATTGACTATAGGCATTCTATTGCTGTCAAATACTACAAATACCCAGTTTTATTCATTCTTTCTAATTACCTTCTTTATCCATTAACCATCCCCGTCTCTCTCCCCCTGTGCCTTCCCAGCCTCTAGTAACCATCCTTCTACTCTGTATCTCCATGAGTTTGACTGTTTAATTTTTAGCTCTCACAAGAGAGAACATGTGATGTTTGTTAGTCTTTCTTTGCCTGATTTCACTTAATGACCTCCAGTTCTATCCATGCTATTGCAAATGATAGGCTCTCATTGTTTTTTTATGGCTGAAGAGCACTCCACTGCTTATATGTACCACCTTTTCTTTATCCTTTCATCTGTTGATGGACACTCACTAGGTTGATTCCTAATCTTGGCTATTGTGAACAGTGCTAGAAGGAACATGGGAGTGCAAGTATCCCTTCAATATACTGATTTCCTTTCTTCTGGGTGTGTACCCAGCAGTGGGATTGCTGGATCATGCGGTAGCTCTAGTTTTAGTTTTTGAGGAACCTCCTAACTGTTCTCCATAGAAGTTGTACTGACTCACATTTCCACCAACAGTGTATGAGGGTTCCCTTCACATCCTCGCCAGCATTTGCCATTGTCTGTCTTTTGGATGAAAGCCATTTTAACTGGGGCGAGATGAGATCTCCTTGTAGTTTTGATTACCTTTCTCTGATATCATTGATGTTGAGCACCTTTTCATATACCTGTTTGCCATTCATATGTCTTCTTTTGAGAAATGTCTGTTCACATCTTTTGTGTATTTTTTATTATTTTATTTTAACTTCCGGGGTACATGTGCAGGATGTGCAGGTTTGTTACATAGGTAAATGTGTGCCATGGTGGTTTGCTGTACCTATCAACCCATCACATAGGTATTAAGCCCCGTATGCATTAGTTATTTTTCCTGATGCTCTCTCCTGCTTCTGACAGGCCCCACAGTGTGTTGTTCCCCTACCTGTGTGCATGTGTTCCCTTTGGTCAGCTCCCACTTATAAGTGAGAACGTGTGGTGTTTGGTTTTCTGTTCCTGTGTTAGTTTGCTGAGGATAATGGCTTCCAGCTTCATTCATGTCCCTGCAAAGGACATAATCTCATTCTTTTTTATGGCTGCATAATATTCCATGTTGTCTATGCACCACATTTTCTTTATCCAGTCTATCACTGATGGGCATTTGGGTTGATTCCATGTCTTTGCTTCTGTGAATAGTGCTGCAATGAATATATAAGTGCATTCATCTTTATAACAGAATAATTTATATTCTTTGGGTACATACCCAGTAATGGGATTGCTGGGTCAAATAGTATTTCCCATTCTAAATCTTTGAGGAATCGCCACAATGTCTGCCACAATGGTTGAACTAATTTACATTCCTGCCAACAGTGTAAAATTGTTTCTATTTCTCCCCAACCTCACCAGCATCAGTTGTTTCTTGACTTTTTAATAATTGCCATTTTGACTGGCATGTGATGGTATCTCATTGTGGTTTTGATTTCCATTTGTCTAACAATCAGTGATGTTGAGCTTTTTTCCTTATGTTTGTTGGCTGCATCTATGTCTTCTTTTGAGAAGTGTTTGTTCATGTCCTTTGCCCACTTTTTAATGGGGTCTTTTGTTTTCTTCTTGTAAATTTCCTTAAATTCCCTGTAGATTCTGGATATTGGACCTTTGTCAGATGGATACATTGCAAAAATTTTCTCCCATTCTGTAGGTTGTCTGTTCACTCTGATGATAGTTTCTTTGCTGCGTGAAACTCTTTAGTTTAATTAGTTCCCATTTGTCAATTTTTGCTTTTATTACAATTGCTTTTGGCGATTTCAACATAAAATATATGCCCATGACTATGACCTGAATGGTATTGCCTACATTTTTTTCTAGGGTTTTTATAGTTTTGGCTTTTACATTTAAGACTTTACTTTATCTTGAGTTAGTTTTTGTATAGGGTGTAAGGAAAAGATCCAGTTTCAGTTTTCTGTGTATAGCTAGCCAGTTTTCACACCATTTATTAAATAGGAAATCCTTTCCCCATTGCTTGTTTTTGTCAGGTTTGTTGTCTTGCCTAGAGGTTACACACTGAATTACCATTTGGAGATCATCCATTCCCACCTGGTGTGGATCAAAGATAACAGGGGCCAACAGGAGAAAGTTTGAGCCTTGCCAGGTCAACACTGGTGCTGAACAAAGTGACTTGCGTCTGTTTTGCTACATGTATTTTGCTTTGGCTGGGATGGAAAATATTAATTTGATTCCCCATGCAGCCTGTTGAACAGCATCTTGCAAAATTGGGAAGCTTATGCCTATGGTTCCATCAAACAGAAAAGCATAATTTTATTTTGTAATGGAACTTGGCTCCCATAGCTATGTTACACTGAGCAAGGTCATCAAAGCTGCTCTGTTCTTCTGAAAGCTGCAGAGAAAGGGAACCCAGAAACCTGGTATGCTGGCGAAAAAAGGGTAAGAAATTCTTACCAACCAAGTTTCTCATATTTCTCTCTCTCTCCCTGTCTCTCTCCCTCCCTCTCCCTCTGTGTGTTTGTGTGTGTGCGTGTGAATGCAAATGGTAAATATCACTGTTTGTCTTCTCTCCTCTGTTTTCTCTTTTCTACAAATAGAAAAAAGGATTTGTGAGACTAGTCTTAGGCTGTAGCAAATCTGGAGCACTTTGTGCTAAGAATTTATCTTTCTGCTTTGTTCTTTAATGGAGAGAGAGGTATCACAGGAGAGAAGGTGGGCTTAGGACCCCTATAAGCCTGCCTTTCAAGCCAGCCTGGCAGCTGGTCATTTACAAACTTTGCTGGGGGTCCCCAAGACCAGTGCCATATAAAGTTTCCATCTTTTCGTTTTATGCCCTTGAGAGCTTAACCTTGTGACCATGTGGGGATACTTTCTCTTGGTGTCTGCCATTCAGCGGACAGGAATTTGGGGATTCATGTCATAGCACTAAAAATTATCTTGAGCAGGTAGAAGCTTTTGCAAGGTCAAAATTGGCACCTCTAGGCTCCTTCTGGGAAGAGCAACAGAACCTGCTGAATGATGTAGCTCAATAACCAAGGCTTTTGTCTTTTGACAGTGGCTGCCCCAGGTTCAATTCTTGGCTTTGGGAATGATTCCCTTCTTGTTTGTTATTTGTGTAACTGCCATTTTTTGAGGGATTCCCCCCTTTCTATGGATAATTTCTGATTTCCTGTCTTGAATTTTCCTTTCTGTGAACTACCCTGGGGAAATTCTAACTCTTGTTTAAAAAAAACTACTTACCATCTCTTTGAAACACATCATGAGTTCATGGTTAAGTTATAACCTTAGTTAAAACTTATTAATTTCATGTGAGAGGTTACCTGGTATAGAATTCAAAAGCCAGAAATGTGGGGTGTCCTCACTAGAGCCTGGTAATAAGGGATTTTGAAAGTTTTTTTTTTTTTTTTAAACAGCAGAGCTCTATGGTTAAAAGTGGCTTAATTAAAAATAGACATCCAGGGTTGGGTGGGGTAACCCTAGATATCTATTTTCATGCCTGTAATCCCAGTACTTCAGGAGGCCAAAGCAGGAGGATTGCTTCAGCAGGAGTTTGAGACAAGCCTGGAAAACATAGACCACATCTTAAAATTAAATAAATAAATAAATAAAAGTACTCAAACTATATCTATTTAAAAGGCCTTTATCTTTTCCTCTTCTAGATTCATGTCTTTCTGGAATAAGTTCTTTTCTTCTGAATTGATTTTCTCCATTTTTTCTTCTTGCCATGCTTAAAGCACACCTGAGAGAACCTAGATAAATTCTAACAGCCTGGGACTCATAGGGAAAAACAGAGGAGGCATCACAGACCCCATTCTGGGAAAAACCTCCATTTTCCTCATGAAACCCCAGGAGCTGAAAGTTGATAGATCTCCCTCAAAATCTAAGTCTCGGTTCAATTTTCAATTTTACATTATGTTACCTGACTTTTTTTGTTTTTTTTTTTTACTTTTGGGTATATCAGAAATTGCTTCACATTATGGGAGAGCTTTTAGCCATGGTTTATAATAACCAGATAGGAAATACACTATAAGGGACTGCTAATGGCAATTAGGAGGAATACTTGGCTCCTTGCATGCTTGGATCAGAGAAGCACACTCTTGACCACCTAGAAGGTATGAAAACAACCCTATCCCCCACTGAGAGATGAGAATCCCATGGGGGATGGGCTGATTACAAAATGGGCTGATTGGCTTTGGATTGTCTTGCAATAAAATGCAGGGTAGAAGCACTGCACTAGCTTCTTCTGTAGTATTTCCCTCTTTTTGGGGGGAATCCAGGATCCCATATAAAATGGCACCCTTAATTTGGGGGATCTGTTTTTGCCTTCCAGCTGTGCCTGCTTATTAGGCCCTAGAAATTGCATGCTTTCCCAGCCCTATTTTTCAAAGGGCTCCAGCCTGAATCTAGTAATCCCACTAGGAAACTTAAGAACTGGCAAATGAAAAATCTTACAACTACTGGATCTTCTGTCTGTCTATGTATTTATATATGTTTTGTGTGTGATGTTTACATAAAAGCTCTAATTAATTGGTTTAAAGAAAAGTAGGCACTTAAGTCAAATATTTTGTCAGTAAAATTAAAACTAATGCCCTTTAGTTCACCTAACTTTAGTAATCTTTTGGTAATAAAGACAGATTAAAAATTATTGATAAAATAGGCTGGGCACAGTGGCTCACACCTGTAATCCCAGCACTTTGGGAGGCTGAGCTGGGCAGATCATGAGGTCAGGAGATCAAGGCCATCCTGGCTAACACGGTGAAACCCCATATCTACTAAAAATACAAAAAAATTAGCCAGGCGTGGTGGTGAGCACCTGTATTCCCAGCTACTCGGGAGGCTGAGGCAGGAGAATGACGTGAACCCTGGAGGCGGAGCTTGCAGTGAGCTGAGACTGCGCCACTGCACTTCAGCCCGGGTGACAGAGTGAGATTTTGTCTAAAAAAAAAAATTGGTAAAATAAAATGTCTTCAAAATTTAGACATTTGGTCTAAATTGGGTCTGATGTTAGGTTTGCTAAATGCTTTAAGATCATAAACTGCTTCTTTAACTTTTAAAAATTGTTCAATTTACCTAGCTTGGAGTCATTACTTTCTAGATAAGGCCCGGTGACATGTGAAATTAGCCCCCTAGCTGCTCAAAGAAGGTTAAAAAGAAAAGAGATTTTGTATAAGAAAGGATCTTGTATGGTAAATTTTTGTCCTAAAGTGAAATGACTGGTTGTTGAAATGACCATTGTCCAAGCATGTAATAGATGGTCTAAGCCATGAAAGGATTCATGAAAGGGAATTTATGCAAGAAACGTTGTACAATTTAAAGGTTATTAGGCTGCCTAAATGCTTCACAAACGCCACTGTGACTCTTAACTATACACTTACCTGCGTTACTGCTAGGTAAGTGCTGGGCATATGTGGAGATAGCCACATCCCATAGCTATGCTGGAAAAAGTCAGACTTGATCTGCACTTCTGTCCTTTGTCTGTCCTAAGCTCCACACTTGGTACATAATTAAAATGTCCTACTAACCAGGTTTTTCACCAAAAATAGAAGTTGCACAGAGTTAACAGTGTAACATGTATTGAGGCTACTGAAGAAACATTTCCACATTCAAGGCATGTAAGAAAAGTAGAATGTACTTTTGGTAAAAGATTATAAGAAGACCTGGGAATATGGATTTCTTTCCCAAGTTTAGAGGGTTATTGTTTTAAGTGAGACAGGAAAAGTCTAAAGGTTTTTTTTTTGTTTGTTTGTTTTTTGTTTTTTGAGATGGAGTCTCGCTCTGTCGCCCAGGCTGGAGTGCAGTGGCGCAATCTCGGCTCACTGCAAGCTCCGCCTCCCAGGTTCACGCCATTCTCCTGCCTCAGCCTCCCAAGTAGCTGGGACTACAGGCGCCCGCCACTACGCCTGGCTAATTTTTTGTATTTTTAGTAGAGACGGGGTTTCACCATTTTAGCCGGGATGGTCTCGATCTCCTGACCTCGTGATCCGCCCGCCTCGGCCTCCCAAAGTGCTGGGATTACAGGCGTGAGCCACCGCGCCCGGCCTAAAGGTTTAAGCAAGTTGTGAAAAGTTTATAAAAAATTAATTGTAAAAGAGATTCTGTGTGTAAACATATTGGCTAAAGTTAAAGGGGTATTAGTCAATGTTTCCATAAGTTGAACATTGGAATAAAAGCATAACAGAGTTTTCTTAAAACATGGTTCTGCTCTGTAACAACAACAACTAAATTGTAAAGGGTTATAAAAGGTTTATAAGAACATTAACTTATGGTCAAACTAATTAAAGCTGGATAGATTTATAAAATTTTAATAAAAACTAGCTTTAGCATTAAAGGTGCAATAATGCAAACATGAAATTTGGTTTTCTCTTTTGAAAAAGATTCTTGTGTAATATTGAGAAGCAATGAAAAAATTTTGTTTGCCTTTTAAGGGAGGGGAGAGAGAAGTGACCAATTCAGGGGACGGCTTCACTGGGTCTTGTAGTTTGAGAAGCTGAGTCTCTTTTCTATCAAACTAAAGGTTTTTTCCTTTTTAAAACTTTGTGAGTTATCATTTTGGCTAAATAACTGACTTATGGTGACCTGGCATTCTATTTTGTGACATCCAGTGTTTTAAACCATATTTGACAAACCTGACAAGATCAAATTAGAAGTTAAACAAAAATAGGTCCCCTACAGTCCAAAAAGATATAATCTGCTTATTTAATGTATTAAAATCATGCAGAAAACATGGCCAAATATAAAATGATGTTTAACTTTCTTTGGGTTATATTCATATAAATACGTTATTAGCATGTGTTTCAAAACTGTATAAGATTCTTATAAGTTTGATATGCCTTAGCATATGTTATCAGTAATAATTATAATTGATACATTAAATTATTGTGTGCCACAGAGGTTAAAAATTTTCTTGTTTTATAATCAGCTATGAAACTTGGATGGGTGCTCTTGAATGCAAGTTTCTGATAGCTTTGGAGATTGCAACATTAGAATAAAGGAAAAAACGTTCAGGACTCTCATGGAGAGCTGACTTGTTCAGGAACATTAAGCAGAACAAGAGTTTACTGAATGGAATGAACTAATAGAAAACTGAACTAATCTTTTCCTTTTTTTTTTTTTGCTTAAAATGTGGCTGTTCCTTTTCATTTTTCAGAGAGCCAAGAAAACTTTTCTTTTGATTACAGCTTTTAACAACTGAGAAAAATATACTCCTGTGAACAAAATTTGGAGCATGTTTGTTTCTCTCTACCTGATTTCTCAAGAATCTGGAAGCTATTTGCAAGTATTCTTAATTTATGGCAACATAATTATTTGCATAAGTGCAATAAGAATGTTTTCTTTTGCAACAGGACACAATTGGAGAAACTGTTTATTTTACTAAGGTTTTGACTGGGATGGCATGCTTTTGTTTAAGGAATCAAACTTGATTTACAAAGCCAATAAAAACCCCTAGGGTAAACTGGCCTCATACCTTGTCTACGCAGTCCCTGTACAGGGTTCCTAACGTATGGTAAGTAAAGAATGTCACTTTCCAAAAGGCCCCGGAATCTTAAGTTATCTTGGGATCTCAAGAAGAGGGGAATGTACCCAACTCATAGGCATTTGAGGGTACAAACCCATGGCTGGGATGGGCTTTAAAAAAAGTCTATCTAAGACTCTTTATGCAGAGTTCCATCAAAGCCAACTTAAAAGGCCCATGTGAAAAATAATTATTCTTGCTGTGCTCTTTGCAAATAATCATGCCAAGTATAATAAAATTAAAGTTTATTTCACAAACAAAATCGGTCCTATCAGGATTTGTTTTTAATAAAAATAAGAACTGAAGAGAGAAAAAATTGTTTCAAAAACTACAGTACACCTGTTGTTAGTTGTTTTTGAGGATGTTTTTTTCTGCCATTTAGACTGAATCCTAAATTTTGGGAGGCTACAAGTGCTCAAACTAATGCTTTTAAGTCTTTACTTTTAAAACTGGGAATGGCACTCCTTGTTCCGGAACTCATTACTTACCTTATTGTACACTGTTTGTGTAAATGTCGTACTAAAACTGTAGATGAGAATACGAATGCCTTTGTCATGAAAGCCTTGGAAGCTCAGCCTGGCCTGCGTGAGTACACTCAAACAGCTCAGACAGCTGCAAAGCAGTTCCACTCCTCTCACCTTGGGGTCAACACCTACCCCACTATGCCCCCTGTCTGCAGGAAGAATCCAGAGTGATCGACGGCCTTTTCCCATCTTCATAGCCCACACCTTAAGAATAAGGTGCTATGAAACCCTAAGGGAGGGATTGAAACAGCCTTTGCAAAAATTATAACTGAGAAAATAATGACAGTGAAAGAGATCAGACCTAACCGACTCCATCTTGCTTCTAACCTTTAAGCTGTCCTTGTTCATTCCTGGGCATAGGCCGAACTAACCTCGGGAAGGAATTTGCAGACCCTGCACTCGATGGATCAGCTGACACCGCCTAGACTGGTAATCTGGCTCAATCAGTTCTGAGATCCTACCCAGGAACAGAAGATAGCAAGGAAACCTCACTTCGACCCCCTATGATTCCATCTCCAACTTGATCAATCAGCACTCCCCACTTCTCTAGCCCCTACCCGTCAAATTGTCTCTAAAAACTTAAGCTGAGCACGGTGGCTTACGCCTGTAATTCCAGCACTTTGGGAGGCCGAGGCGGGCGGATCACGAGGTGAGGATTTGGAGAGCAGCCTGGCCAACATAATGAAACACCGTCTCTACTAAAAATACAAAAAAACAGCTAAGCGTGGTGGCGGGCACCTGTAATCCCAGCTACTTGGAAGGCTGAGGCAGGAGAATCGCTTGAACCCTGGAGGCAGAAGTTGCAGTGAGCTGAGATCACACCATTGCACTCCAGCCCAGGCAATAGTGCGAGGCTCCATCTTAAAACAAAACAAAACAAATGCTCAAGAAGTCTGATTTGAATAATAATGAAACTCTGGTCTTCCGCAAAAATAAAGTAAAAATACAGGTAAGTTAATTCTAATAAGGTCTATTGTTACAAAGTCTTTTTGAGTTTCTATACAGCAGAACAATATTACAAGACAGAACCTTCAAAAACCACTTCATTGCAACTCTGAGTCCCTAAGGAAAAGAGAAAAAAATGTGGAAAAATCAAACGCTTTTTTAATGGCACAGAGGTCATTGTTTTCTTCTATAATTGCAACAGCAAAATCTAGATATCTGGGTATATATACATGTATATGTGTTTTTTACATTTTAGATAGCATGCCATTCTCCATTTTATGAAAATTTCATATAGAATACATATATTTGAAATATGAACTGAAAAACATTAAGCATTAATAAAGAAAATAATGAACATCTCCTACTGGAATAACTTACCATTATTGTTTTTATATTTATCAACAGCTCTAGAACTTTAACATGGACATATATAAAAGTGACCACTTCCTTAGAATTCCATTTTGAGTTCTCGTTTTGTTGTGTTTTATTTTGTTTTGTTTTGGTTTTGTTTTGGTTTGTTTTGAGACGGAGTCTCGCTCTGTCGCCCAGGCTGGAGTGCAGTGGCACAATCTCGGCTCACTGCAACCTTCGCCTCCCCAGTTCAAGCGATTCTCTTGCCTCAGCCTCCTGAGTAGCTGGGATTACAGGCGTCTGCCACCGCGCCCGGCTAATGTTTGTATTTTTTTTAGGTTTCACCATGTTGGCCAGGCTGGTGATTTCCCGTTTTGAAAAGTAAAGGTTTCAGCCGAACGGAGACCTACTTTCTGCTGTGTCACATCGCCCTCTGGTGGCTAAATGGCTTTCTTACACAGTAACCCCAAATAATAACTATCATATAAAAGAACTTTTTAAAAAATCGTGATAACATTAAAATGATTAGAAATATATAACTCATAAGCAAAGTCACAGCACTATGATATTTACATGTTTATCACACGTCAAATACATTTAAATATTTTGTGATGTGTGAATCTTCACATTCCTGAACCACCTATAAAGTTCCATTTCCCAAGGTTAAATTGAGGCAGGATTTTTAAAGACTTTTAACTAGCTAACAGAGAAAAGTGTACAATTTCCATTAACCTCCCCAGTGACAAGCTTTCTCAAGACCCAGCGAGGTTGTATGTGTGTTTGTGTTTTGCTTTTGTTTTTGTTTTTGTTTTGAGACGGAGTCTCGCTCTGTCGCCCAGGCTGGAGTGCAGTGGCGCCATCTCGGCTCACTGCAAGCTCTGCCTCCTGGGTTCACGCCATTCTCCTGCCTCAGCCTCTCGAGTAGCTGGGACTACAGGCGCCCGCCACCACACCCGGCTAACTTTTTTGTATTTTTTAGTAGAAACGGGGTTTTACCGTGTTAGCCAGGATGGTCTCGATCTCCTGACCTCCTGATCCACCCGCCTCGGCCTCCCAAAGTGCTGGGATTACAGGCATCAGCCACCACGCCCGGCCGTGTGTTTGTGTTTTAATATGGTTTTTCTGTGTATAAAAGCTATACGTGTTCATCTTAGAAAATTTAGAAATGACAGAATTTGATTTTGCTTATTCTAAATCCCTTGGGATTATTTCCAGTATAGATGGCAGTGAGGAAGGAATAATTTCAGGACACTGGCTTTCTTCTTCCACAAGACCCCAGCTGGGCAAAGGGAACTGGATGGCCTTGGGCCTGTGGCCCCAGTGCACCCTCCTCTGGGGCCTGTACCTGGCTCTGGATAGTAATCCCCACTGCAGAATGGAAGAGGCTGCTCCCACATAAGCCATTGAGTCCAGACTCCAGAAACCTGGGTCCGTGCAGTACTCAAAAAGGAAAGTACCGACCACCCAGACCAGAGCTGGCAAGAAGGCGAAATGGGATTGATTCATTCATTCAACAAATACTCGCTGAGCTCCAGCCGAATGCTAGGCACCATGTTCAGGATATAGATGATTGATGTAATCCCTGGCCTTGGCAGTTTGGGGTAAAGAGCTATCATCACTGCTGACTTCATAACAATCACATGCCTTCAGAGATAAAGTGAACACTCACTTCTAACAAAGCAAAAATAAGAAGAAAAAGAAATGCACACTCCCGATTTCTTTGTCCAAAGTGGTATGACTGGGTGATTTGTGACCTTCCCATTTGCATGCCCGATTGCCAAAAAGCATGGCAATTACCCCACACACCTTTACTCATCCCAAACTAACTATGCTGAAAACACTGCACAATGGAGATTTCCTTTATGCCTGCTCAGGCCTAACAGTTCCATATTCACTGGCCTGGCTGTCTTCTCCAAGCTGAAAGAGGCAGAGCCATTACCAGTATTTTTCTTGGAAGGGCAGGAAGTAAAAACACATCTGAGTAACACTCAAGAAAGTATTGTTTATGTCCAAGATGATGAATTAATCTTTTTTTATTCTCTCTTTCTCTTTTTTTTTTTTTTGAGACAGTCTTTCTCTGGCACCCAGGTTGGAGTGCAGTGGCATGATCACAGCTCACTACATCCTTGACCTCCCAAGTTCAAGCCATCCTCCATCAGTCTCCAGAGTTGCTGGGACTACAGGTGCACCTTGCCTGGATAAATTTTTTATTCTTTGTAGAAATGGGGGCTCACTATATTGCCCAGGCTGCATCTTTATTCTTTCATCCCATCCTCAACTAAAGTCATGTTACTGTAATAGAAGTGAAATACCATAGCCCCGTGTGCCTCAGCAGGCAGGGGCTGTCAGCACTCTTCATATTGCTGAGCATTTCAAAGCTGTGTTGGCAGCTGTTCCACAGTCGACTTCAGGGTCCCTGAGATGATTGGCTCTTGGAGATGATCCAGCAGGGTTCTGGTAGCTGAGCTCATCCACCAAGTCCACACTGGCAGTGAAAATGGCTTCTGGGCTTGGGGCTTTCTGGGCCCAGCCCCAGGGCAGACTGAGTCAACACATGAAGGACAGCCTTCTGCACCCACAGCAGACAGGGGAGGGGCAAAGGGAGACACGCGGTCCCAGTGGGGCAGGGAGGCTAGAACACGGCCACACCCTTTGCGAGCCACAAACATTTTTGCTGAGCACAAAATTCTCTCCAGCTGGGCAGACAGAGGAAAAAAGCAAAATGAATGAGTAGAGCACGTGGCACATCATCAGGGAGTTCCATGGAGGAAAGTGGAGCAGGTGAAGGGCAGGACGAGGGACATGGAGTGCCAGCTAGGGGCTCGAGAAAGTGATGGCAAGAGCTATGTAAGGCTGACATTGGGATATGGTTCTGAAGGGAGTGAGGATGGTGACGTGGCTGTGTGTGGAAAGGGAATGTCAGGCGGGGGTGACAGCAGGGATAAATGCCTGGAGAGCATGGCTGTGTGTGGAAAGGGAATGTCAGGCCGGGGTGACAGCAGGGATAAATGCCTGGAGAGCAGAGTGGCCCGCTATTTCCCAGGAGGAAGGACCTGTGGCTCAAGTGTCAATGAAAGTGAGCGGAGAGGGCTGAAGTCGGGGTAACAGGGCCAGCCTGTGTGCAGCCCCCTGGATGTGGGCGAGGGAGTTGTCTCTGCCGTGTGAGAGGAACAGCCACAGGAGGGCTTTCAGGAGAGCGCATGGTGTGAGGTTTTTCAGACTCACTGTGGCTACTGTGGGAAGAGTGTTTTAGGTGCCTCCCCTTTACCCCACTGGGTCAGCAGGGTTTCTGCCCTAGGCCTAGGGGGATGGCTGCACACACACGCACGACACTTGACAGAGGAGATGAGCACTGGCTTATTAGCCACATAGACAGACTCATACCCCGAGGAGGAGAACCCCAGGCCATGCAGGGGGAATCCGCGGGACTGAACAGCCCTGAGCTCAGGAGAGGGTCTACATGCATTGCAATTAAAAAGGAAATGCAGCCGGGTGTGGTAGCTCATGCCTGTAATCCCAGCACTTTGGGAGGCCGAGGTGGACGGGTCACCTGAGGTCAGGAGTTTGAGACCAGCCTGGCCAACACGGAGAAACCCCGTCTCAACTAAAAACACAAAAAAATTAGCCATGTGTGATGGTGCATGCCTGTTATCCCAGGTATTCGGGAGGCTGAGGCATGAGAATCACTTCAATCTGGGGGGCAGAGATTGCAGTGAGCTGAGATCACACCACTGCACTCCAGCCTGGGTGACAGAGTGAGACTGTGTCTCGAAAAAAAAGAAAATGCATGCCGTCAAGTCCGCTCGTGCCGAGATGAGGTGTCTCCAGTTGTCCAGCATCACATCGCGGTACAGGGTCCTCTGAACAGGGCCCAAGCGCTGCCAATCCTCCTGGCGGACCCCCAGCCACGTCCTTGAATGACACTGATACCTGTAATTGTGCATTTCTCAGCACTTTGGGGGTACGGAAACAGGGACATGGAAAACACATTTGGGATGTGATTCCTACTATGTTTATTGTTGCAAATCTAAACAAGTTACTGTAAGGTATGCCTATTTTAGTTCTAGTTTTGCCTTACGCTTTTGGGGTAACTCAAGCAGTAAACATATTTTGAACATCGTAACTCATTTGTACATGAGCGTGCATTAGATACATATACTATCATGTACTAAGCTAACACTAGTATTGTTTTAAAAAATTCTTATTTAGGTGAAAATCAGTGTAATTAGAGTTTTCACAATTTCCTTTCCACACTTTAAAAGATCATCTTGGGCATTCCCTGGGCTGTACACACCCTCCTTGAAGATCCTGCTGTGGCTACTGGGGAGTCTGTAAAGTGATCCATGTAAGGCCTGAATGTGCTGTATCAGACTTATGTCAAAGAAGCAATGCTTCAGAAGAGTGGACGGTGGCTGAAGGGGAAGCCAGAACCAGAGACCTGAAAAAGAGATGACCGCCTTCACTAAAGCAACAGCAATGGGGAAAGGAATCGGGGACTAGTCCCATGGCAGAAGCCGCAACGGAATTTGTCATCCATTTCTTGAGTGGCTTCCCTGAATGAGTAGCTGGGTCAATGCTGGTGCCATCTATAGTATTAAGGGAAAGATGGCAAAGTCAGAGTCTATAAATGAGGATTCTACGGCAGTTCTGGACCTTGTGGAACTTTATGTCTAACTGGAAAGATCCAGAAATGGCAGTTTTCACTAATCTGCGAAGTGCAGAGGCAGGGGCAGCACGGGCTCTGAGGACTGAGATGAGGAAGGACAAGTGGAAAGAGAAGAGGATCGGTTTTGTGGATGAGGCCATCAGACTTGACTCATGACAAACCAGGAGGAATGGAGAAGCTGATGGGGCAGGGTTCAAGGTCCATGCAGCCCCAGTGAGAGCATGAGGTGAAGCTGTGTCAGAACAGCAGGATGTGTCCGGGATTTAGTCGCACCTGAGAATAAAGTTACATGGTGAACTTTTCTCATCACTTTCCCCAGTGGACAGTAAACCCCACTGTGGGAAACGGCATTTTCAGCTGTAACTGTGCAGATGCCACACCCCTGGGCAGTCCTCACTCTGCAGGCTCCGATTCTCACAGCGCCCAGTGATGCCAGCAAAACACTTTATCAGGAGTGTCCAATCTTTTGGCTTTCCTGGGCCACACTGGAAGAAGAACTGTCTTGGACTGTACATAAAATACATTAACACTAACAAAAGCTGATGAGCTAAAGAAAAAAAATGACAAAAAATACCTCATAATGTTTTAAGAAAGTTTACAAATGTTTGTTGGGCCTCATTCAAAGCTGTCCTGGGCTGCATGCAGCCCGGGGGCTGTTGGTTGGACATGAAGGGGATTCTTAGAGAGATTTCACTGCACTGAATGCTCACAGTTTATTTACATAACAGTTCAAACTCCAGTTATCACTGTGCCTTCAAAGTGCACACGTCGCTCCTAGCACCTCTGCCCACCAGCCTCTACATGAACACCAGGAGCACGTGGCGATCGGTGACCAACCACACCACTCCCTTCAGAATCTGCAGGGCCCTTCCCTCCGCATGCACAGCTCGGTTCCTGTACAGACAACACCACGTGTAGTCATCTTGCTTCTTAGATTCCTAGTAATAAAACCACTCGGAATGTTACAAAGATAAAAACTGGAAGAGTGGATTGGCCAACAAAGAGGAAAGTGCAGGAAAGAAAGGAAGAGTGACAGCCTCGGAAGTACCATTCAGACCTCCAGGAAAGGGCACTGTGGTGCTGCCTCTGTGGGTGCTGACATTGCACTGGTCAGGAGGTGCACCAAGCCAGGCTAGGGGCCACCAAGCCTGGCTTTTAATACATTTTTATAAAGAAATAAGCTTGAACTATCGGTGTGTCTAAAGATTTTAAATTACAATATATGAAATAAATATCAGTTTTCCTGAGTTTCGTTTTCATGTGTTCATATGAAGACAATATGCAATGGTAAGAGACATGTTAACGTGTGGATAAAAAAATTCAAAGGTTGCAGAACACTCATGATTTTCTCCACTGATTATTAAGATCACTTTATAGTTTTGGCTTGCATGGTCGTTCTTATAGTCACAGACTACTATGCGAAGTGAGGACTATGTCGATATAAGGAAATCTTTGTTGGATAGAAGAACACTAGGAGTTTCAAAAGGAGACATGGGAAGAAGTCATGTCCCCAAAGTCCTCTATTTGGTACTGAGAAGCTACTCACTTCGGTATAAGGAGGGGGTGACAGACTTTCCAGAGGGAGGAGGCATTATCTGAGTTCAGACGAAAGATGTGCTGAGCAGGGCAAGAGACAGGTGACCTGGTTCAGGAGAGAAAACAAAACTTTGAAATATATTTAAGAATATAAAAAACTGGCCGGGTGCGGTGGCTCATGCCTATAATCCCAGCACTTTGGGAGGCCAAGGCGGGTGGATCACGAGGTCAGCAGTTCCAGACCAGCCTGGCTGAGATGATGAAACCCCGTCTCTACTAAAAATACAAAAAATTAGCCGGACTCAGTGCAGGTGCCTGTAATCCCAGCTACTCGGGAGGCTGAGGCGGGAGAATTGCTTGAATTTGGATGGCAGAGGTTGCAGTGAGCCAAGATCATGCCACTGCACTCCAGCCTGGGTGACAGAGTAAGACTCCGTCTCAGAAAAAAAAAAAAAAAAGGATATAAAAAACTGATAGTTTTGACCTAAAAACAGCAAAACGAGAAAGACCCAATGCCCAACTGGATGTGGCAGGAGCTGAGAGGGCGGGAGGGTGGGTTAGGGTGACATTGTCCCCAGGGAGCAGGGGGATGGGTGTGATGTGGGAGCCACCCCAAGCCGTCCGGTGCCTGGCCCTGGGGTGACCAGGTGAGGGAATCAATATTCCTGCAGGACAAGAGCCACATAAAGAAGGTAGTGGAGGGGGGAGCCTATAGGAGCAGTTAATTTGCTTGTGAAAGGCGTGTTTATCACCTCTAAGAATTAGCTGGCCCTGGGAGGAGCAGTCTTTCCCCAGCCAGAGAGGCCCCAGATGCCAGAGCACCAAGAACACAGAAATAAATAAAAACATGGGTAACGTATTTGTCTGTAGTCAAGTCACTGGTGGGTGGAAGCCATAGGCAAATGGTTTCCATTTGTGATAATGGAATTTCCACGAGAGAAAATGCACCACCAAACAGGGATTTGGAACATGAATGATAAGCGTGGAAACATTTTGCAGAGAGCAGGATCGTAAGCTGTCAAGAGACTTGCAGATCACAAGCATTACTATCTTAATGGACATCCATTCTCCCTCCAGGTATTCCAGACTTTATCCCCGCCAGAGGCAAGAACATCATAAAGACATCGACCTCCACTTCTGGAAGCCAGTACTGAGCTCTGGCTTGCCACACTGCCTTCCTCTTCCATTGAAGAGCCAGCAGGGACAGCAGCCTGTGTGAGCTCAGGGTTGTCACTGCAAGGTGGTTGCTACATGACTTACACAAAGACATTTTTCAGATTTCACTTTTCTTTTTCTCTCACGAGGAATCAGTTAGGTTTATGCTTCTTATCAATGCACATATTTAAACACATAGTATCCCTCATGGCCTTGGCTATCATTATGCTCAGAAATAGCTTTGTACCAAGAGTAACTGTGTATGTCTACATGCCAACTTTGCCTTGCAATTGATCAGTTCTATGTTTTCTCTGGTTAATTGGACCATTGGACTACATTTAGACACACAGACCTTGAACCCCCCTACAGAAGCCATTGTAAAGCAAGGTGGTTGGTTCCTAAACAGATCACCTGAAACCTTCTCATTTTCTGTTGTTCTGGAAGGAGTGAGGAGGACAGGAAGGTGTCACAGAGCGGGGAGGAAGGAGAAGTGGAGTTGAGTGAGACCTGAATGGTCTTACCGCTCCTACATCGCATCCACATGCCTGAAACCCTGGACCCTGGGCCAGGTGAAGTCTTCCCTGGGGTGTACTCTTCCTTGGCCCTTGAGCCGAAGCAGGAGGGCCCCGTAGAGGCAGCACAGCCTGTCCACCCACAACGCTCATGAGTATGTGGACTCACATTTGTAGTTTTGCAGAGAGTTAATGTCAACTTTGTTGTCCATTGACTTATTAACAACTTATTTCTCCTTTGCACGGAAAAAATTCAGAGAATTGATAATATAGATTACAGTAGCCAAAGAATGAAACAACATGGTATAGAAAAAATAGCCTTATTGTTTGGCTGCATTCCCACTAGCGCTGTTGAGACTTGGGAGCACCAGGCAAGTCTCTGAAAAGGGGATGAGGAAGCCGAAAGCAAGCTGCATTTTGCTTGGCTCTAACTTCCTCTGGGTTTTCCCAGTGAATCTTTTGTTATGAAGTTTCTGGTCATTTACTGCGACAGAGAGAACAGCAGAGCCCTGAATTTTCCTCCTGGCCCTGTTGTCCACACATGGGCTATCTTAGATATATTATTCATTCTCAAGATGTCTTTCACCTTTCAAGCTCAGCACCTTTCTCCAGAAGCCTGCTCCTCTGTGCTGTGTTTCTGGCCTCAGTGAGTGAGGACAGTCACCCAGCCATCACGCGAGGAACTCAGCGGCCATCTGTGCCTTCATCTTCCTTGCAGTCAGAGGATCACTAAGTCTCACTGTTCTTCTTTAAAGCCCTCCCCATTTCTGCCCTGAATTACTGCAGCCGCCTCCCTGCTCTGCCATCCATCTGGGCATTACTGCCAGGGTAATCTTTCCGTATGTGAGTGCTGCTGATATTGGTTCTCCAAAAGGACTGCTGTGGCTCCTGTCTCCTTCGGGGTGAGATTCGAGCCATGGAGCAGCAGCTTCAGCATCCAGTCCATTTGTTGGGTCTCAGGTCCTCCAGTTTTCCTTGGATTCTCCTTCCTCACCAATCCACCGCACACTTCACTCCAACCACACAAAACACAGTTTTCAGAACAAGCCACACTGCTTCATGCCTCCCATCGGGGTCTCTCAATCTCCGTATTATTTATGCTCGGGGCTGGAGAGCTGTGTTGTAGGGGCCTGGCCTGTGTGCTGTAGGATGTTAGCAGCAAACCTGGCCTCTACCCACCACGTGCCAATAGCATACCCACCCCCCAGTTTTGATAACAAAACACCTTTGGACATTACCAAATGTGCCCTGAAAAATCATCCCCAGTTGAAAGCAGTTGCTCTTTGCTTTTACAAATGCTGGTCCTTTTACCTGGAATAACCTTCCCTTCATACTGAACTCCTACCCAGTCATCTCTTCGAAACTTCAACCCAGTCATCTTCAAAGCTTCAAAAGTCAACCCAGTCATCTCTTCTTCTCTGGTGACCTCCTTGCTCAGGCACAGCCAGAGCTAATCCTTATTTTCCTGGTGAAGCCAGCATTCTTTGTAATACCTCTAAAATCAAGCTCATCTCACTATACTGGAGTCTTTTGCTTGCAAGTGTCTTTCTTTGCACTGGCCTATGAGTGTCCAGGAGAAATGGCAGAGATCATGGCTTCTTTGTGCCCTCCTTGTCTGGGGTAGATCCTAGCAAGGCACACACCTGGGGAAAGTTTGTTCAAAGAAGGAACTGAATTCATCTTATTCTCTCATGTTAATGGCAATTAAAACATGTTCCTTTATGGTGATGTTGACACCAATATTTTGTGTTTACTAAGATAAAGTCTAAACCAAAACTGGAGCCTAATTTTGCTTCTGAGGTTCTGATTTAGAATGCTAAAAGGAAACAGGTGTGAAAGCTAAGCACTTATTCTACAGGTGGGAATGTCAATGATGGGGAACAAAATCAAAATTCCTTATGGAGCCCAACCAAGCCGTCGTTTCTTCTCATCATAAAACTGATCTTAGCGGCATTTATTTAGGGTCTAATATATGTCATGCTATACTAAGATTTAATGAGATCACTATCTGATTTCCCAAATCTTTCTGAAACAAATAGATTAGCAAATTCTACCATAAACTTACACAAATTGGCATCAACTTTTGAAAAGCTGGCATTTGCACATAAATTACTATTTCATGATGACTCTATGTACAACAGATGTCTGATGTATTCTCCCAGCTCTAGAATAGTCAATAGAGGAATAAGAATATCAAAATTATTAAGCAAATCCAGAAAGTGAAATTTTTACCCAGGCAACTGGTCTTATCCCTTCAAAAATCGATGTAAATCACTAGACAAGGAAAACACGTTACCAAACACTAAAGAATTAATCCTGGAAAAGGTAAACATACAGGTAAATATAAAATACTTTTATCTTGCTTTTCATAATTTTTTATGAAATAATTTACAGTTTAAGCAAAAATAACAAAGCATGATGGTGTTTAGGACGTATGTAGAAACAAACTGTATGAAAGTATGGCTGTGGCATGTCATTGAAACATATACATATATGTTTTCATCCACAGTTCCTTGTTCATAACTCTCATAGCCCTTGTGACAGTAAACAGAATCTCTCTCTCACACCTTCTCCTGCCCTTCTTTCCCCTGCCCATGGCTGGATTCTGTGGGTCATGAGACCCTCATTCCAAAGAGGGTTTTGTCTCATAACCTGGAGGAAGGAAGGCTACACAGAGAGGCCAAGAAGAATCTGAACACACAGGCCTTGCTGGGTTTAGAACCCATTTTGTCCAATCACATTTCCACAGTCACCCATGCTTCAATCAGGCCTATCCAACAAATTCCCCATATAAAGACCCAAGAGGACAGGGTTTGGAAGCTTCTGGAGAGCTGAACACATGAAGGGTGACTAAAAGGTGAAGAACTCATTCACGTGCTGAGAGGGTGGTGCTCCCTGAATCCACATGGACACAAGCTCCTGCACCTGGGACCCTTCAAAATCTTCCAGACCTCATCCTGTGTGTATCTCTTCATATGGCTGTCCATCCGTATCCTTTAAAATGTCCTTCATAATAAACTGGTAAACAACATAAGCATTTCCCTGAGTTCTGTGAGCCACTCCAGCAAATTAATCAAACCCATAGAGGGGATTGTGGGAAGCCCAGCTTGAAGCCAGTTGATTAGAAATTCCAGAAGCCCGGACTTATGACTGGTGTCTGGGGGTGGGGAAGTGGCAGCCTTGCAGAACGGGCCCTCTCTTTGTGGGATCTGATGCCAGCTCTGGGTAGATAGAGTTGGAATTGAACTGGAGGACGTCCAGCTGGTGCCCACTGCAGAGGTGACTGCCTGCTTGCTGGTGAGGAGAAAGCCCCCACATACTCAGGGTCTCAGAAGTCTGCTGTGTAGATTGCTGTTGTGTTGGTGTGGACACAGAGGAGAAACAGTTCGGGTTTTTCCTAAGAATGACAGTAGCACAAAAGATGGGAGGAGGAGATAGAAATATATTGTTGCAAGGTTTTTACAATATACGTGAATGGGTATCATATTATATGAAATTAAATGGTGATAAGTTTAAATTGCAAAATATAAATCCAGAGAATTCTTCTGGCCCTTATCCAAGACCATCAAGGCAGTACTTCTCTGAGTCTGCAAGAATCACAGTGTTACTGGGTTTGGGGTGCCCCCTAATACAGATATGGCTTAGACTGCAACACCCAAGTCCCTTGGAATACCTGGAAAGCTTTCCCAGAAAGGATGGGTACAAACAAGCCCAACTGCAAAGATGACACTGCCTAACTCTTCAATGCCCAGACACTACCAAACATCCACAAGCATCAAGACTCTCCAGGAAAATATGGCCTCGTCAAATAAATAAGTCACCAGGAGCCAATTCCAGAAAGACAGAGGTATGTGATCTTTCAGAGAATTCAAAATAGCTGTTTTGAGGAAACTCAATGAAATTCAATATAACACAGGGAAGCAATTTAGGATCCTAGCAAACACATTTAACAAAGAGATTGAAATAATTTTTAAAAATCAAGCAGAAATTCTGGAGTTAAAAAATGCAACTGACATACTAAAGAATGCATCTGAATCTCTTAATAGCAGAATTGATCATGAAGAAGAAGGAATTAGTGAGCTTGGGGCCAGGCCTGGTGACTCACGCATGTAATACCAGCATTTTGGGAGGCTGAGGCTAGCAGATCACCTGAGGTCAGGAGTTCAAGACTTCCCTGGCCAACATGGTGAAACCTCATCTCTACTACAAATACAAAAATTAGCCAGGTATGGTGATGGGCACCTGTAATCCCAGGTACTAGGGAGGCTGAAACACGAGAATCACTTGAACCCAGATGGCGGACGTTGCAGTGAGCTGAGATTGGGCCACTGTTCTCTAGCCTGGGTGACAGAGCAAGACTTTGTCTTTAGAAAAAAAAAAAAAAGATTTAGTGACCTTGAAGACAGGCTAATTGAAAATACCTCCTAGTCAAAGGAGACAAAAGGAAAAAAATGAAATAGAATGAAGCAGGCCTAGAAGATCTAGAAAATACCCTTCAAGTGGCAAATCCAAGAGTTATTGGCCTTACAAGGAGGTAGAGAGAGATAGGGGTCCAAAGTTTATACAAAGGGAAATTTCTTACAACTGCATGTGAAATGAATCTATAATTATACACACAATTTTAGTTGTAAAAAACTAGATAAAATAGTCTTTTTGAACAGACATTTCACAAAAGAAGATAAAAAAAGGCCAATAAGCACATGAAAGATTCTCAGCATAATTAGTTCTCTGGAAATGCAAATTAAAATCATAATGAGATACTACTACATACCCATTAACATAGCCAAAATTACCCAAATAACCACCCAGAAAAATACCAAATATTGGCAAGCATACATTTCTGTATGAGAGAAGCAAGGATGTCATATATTTAATGGAAACTATCACACATTCCTGGTGGAAATATAATGCAATGAGTTTTATTATCATTCTATTTATACATTTTTAAAAAAGGGAGCAACGGCAGGTCATTTACTTATAAAAGTCTCAAAATCATTCTACCGGTGACTTCCTTTCATAAATAACCACTCTCTATAAAACACTTGCCAAGAAACACATGGATCCTACAAGGGTCGGGTGTTACTCTTATCAATCATTATTGATAAACAATTATGATGAGGGGACCCAAAGAAGGCGATGTACCCGCTGTGGCACCGGTGGCCACAAGGTGGCGTGAATGTCGAGCGGCTGCCCCAGCCACCTAGAAAGAGATTGGAGCAGCCAGGCTTCCAGAAGCAGAGGAGGCCTCACAGAGGGCACCGAGACTAGACAGGAACCTCTCACCTTGTGAATTTCCCTAAAGAGGGGTCTTCCTAGATAAGCTTTGAAGGAAGACCCAGTACCTACACAGTAAGGCACAAGTTACTGTGAAGAAATCTACGTCAAACTAGATGAGGCCTATGTTACCTTAACTACGGCCTCATTTACCCTACCTAGGACCTGATGGGGCTTAAATTATCCTACACCCACATTATTCTAGATCAGGGTTTCTTAGCCCTCTCATTATTGACAGTTTGGGCTGGAGAATTCTTTGACTCCTCGGTTTGGGGAGCCTCTGCCCACCTGCCCAACTGTGGCAAACAAATTCATCTCCAGTCCTTGCCCATGACCCTTACTGGGCAAAATTGCTCACAGTTGAGAGCCACTGCCCCAAATAAGGCTTAAATTACTAGTAAGGCTGATATTACACCAAAACCAGTCTCCATTTTCTTAGATCAATGGTTCTTAAACTAGAGCCTGCAAAGAATCCCCGAAGGAGCTTGTGAAGCTGCCTACACCTGAGCCTTCCCCCGGAGTTCCTGGTTTCTGTGTCTAACCTATTTCTAGATGATGTAGATGCTGTCGATGCAAGGACCTCACTTTGAGAAGCACTGTCCCAGATGGTGACTACATTACCCATACGCACATTTCTCTAAAGCCTCCATTTCCCTAGGACCACCTTATCCTAATTGAGGCTTACAACAGACTTGAGGTGTTCATGTTACTATTTTTATTATTAAGGTAAAACCAGGAAATTTTCATAGAAAAGAATTCAAAAGCTTCTGAACAAGGTATTATATGCATAGAAATACCTCAACATAACATAGATGCTGGGAAACAAAGGCATTGTCAGCCTTGGGCATGAGGAAGGGCAGGGTGCAGGCAGGGCACAGGCAGGGCTGCTGGCTTCAGCCCTGGGTCTTCTTTGAAGATGGAAAAGGAAAACAATAGAAGACATCAGTTTAAACAAATACTTCAGTAATTTTCATGTTGAAATTAGAAGAGCTTCTGTTGCACTTTGGGAATTGCTACTTTATTTTGACTCTAGATATGAATAAGCAAATAGCATGCTACTGCAATCAACTTTGACAAAGACAAAATTGTACTGGTGACTTTTTCAAGGGCAGCTTATGGAAGACGTCCGATTACAAACTTGGTGAATGGCGAAGAATATTCATCCCTCACAGATTTTTTAAAATTATCTTGGTTTTTAGTAAAAATCACGTTGTCTTTAACAGCCACAGACACCAAAGAAGTTCTACCACATCATTTTTTCATATGATTACGGCTCATTTATAAGAATTTCTACTATTTCAAAGTGTATTTATTTGTAACTCAAAAGAAGATCAGTCTATTTTTCTGCCTACTCGGCTGTAGAATACCACCCTCTACTAATGGCTCATTGACTCAAGGTTACCTTAAAGGAAACCAGACCCAGGGTCAAGAAGGAATCAAGCCCTGTGCATACTCAGTGCTATTCATGTGTTCACAGAATGATTATGGGACAGACATTGCACGTGGGCATTTGTTTCATATTTGCATCACGTGGAGGTTTACATAGCAAATATTAACTATTCCAGGCCAGGCCTGATGGCTCACGCCTGTAATCCCAGCGCATTGGGATGCAGAGGCGGGTGGATCACCTGAGGTCAGGAGTTCGAAACCAGCCTGGCCAGCATGGTGAAACCCCATCTCTACTAAAAATACAAAGTGAGCCGGGTGTGACACCACACACTTGTAATCCCAGCTGGCTCACAGAGCATTTTTCTCTAAGCATCTCAAGCCCAGTATGAAGTGGACGTGTCCTGGCTCAGAATGTTCCCTCAGTGACAGCAATTGCTCCTCACACCACCTCTTACAATAGGAATAGGCCTTAGAAAACCCAGCAATCTATTGGGATACTTCAGCGCAGCAAGCAAGGAATCACTAAAGCCACCAGGGGGCCCCTCCCCTGGAGCTCCATATGCACTGATACCTCCAGACACATGGCAAGTGCAGGAACTGATGGGGACTTTGGGGCAGCCTCTTTTTTTTAGGATTCTGTGGTTGAAGATTATATCAGATTAGAACTTTATGCACAGACCCTGTTTCTCAAAGCCCCTGCCCCCACACTCACAGTGGAATATTTGCACAGTAACAAACCTCAAATTTGCCCTCCTTCCTAGTGTCTTGCCAATGAAAAGTGCTTCCGACTCTGACCCTAGTCCTGCTTATGTTTGTTGTTTTGTTGTTTGTTTTTTCCAAGCAGAGCTAAAGCAAGCTCAGTACTATTGGAGATTTGGAAAGTGCCTTCACATTGTCTTTGCCAATTCTCACCTGAGAGCCCTGCAGACGCCCCACGAGAGGAAAATCTAAGGTCATTGAGGGAGGGGCCGTGATCTTGGTCCTGAAGCTGTTGCTTTCAGAGGCTTTAAATCACTTCACTGTACTTGACTTGTTCTCTCCCAGTGCCTTTGGTTTCCCTAAGTTCTAGTCCTTAGACAGAGCATGTGCCTTGCAAAACTTTTCTCTTTAATCCATCTTAATCCTAGTGAGCAGGTGATATGGTGGGCAGGGGAGCAGTATATGTTCAATGATTTCTTGCTGTGCTTTCTTTAGGCTGTACCCTTTACAAGGAGTCTCCAGTCATACAGCTGATTTTCCTCCGTCCTCTACTCCACCTCCTGGCTGCAGCATACACAGATTATTGTCTTGAATCTGACCCCAGTTGTTTATTAATTATAACCCTTTTCATGACACGGGAAGGCTAAGATGAAGCTGTCTGGGATGGAAAAGAATCCCTTCCTCTCACATAGAATAAAGATCTTGAAAAGTATTTTTTCTTTGTAGGGTCTGTCTGGAGAAAGTTCTGGGCATATTTATCAGAAAATAGTTCTCCGGATGACAGAGCCATGAGGGCATCTGTTTGAATTCTCGTCTTGAGAACCCAGAAGCTTTTGGAGGGAAATTCCATAAAAGTGTGAGGTGTGTGGCCCCCAGTTCTTACCCTACCCTTTCCCTGCTTCTCCTCCAGGCATTTATGGAATTACCATGTAACTCTTCGCACCAGCTTGTGCTTTCAATGGAAGAATCACCCAATCTATCAATTTAGAAAGGAGATTTTATTTCTGAAAAAGGGTTGGAGCTGCAGGACGGCCATCTTAACAGGCTGGAAAGCAAAGCCTCCCACAGAGACTGTGAGCAGGCACTTCAAGAGAGGGAAAGACAAGAAATGAATTCATGCGAATGGATTGGCCAAGCGTACACACTCAGCAGGCTATAGAAGGACCTATTGATAGTCACATGACAGGCAGGCTCTCATGTGTAATAAGCAAACACAAACGTTACATGCATTTCATATTTGCTTTTGGGTGAGGACATGAGAACTAGATGAATTACAATCTGGCTCTGTACACGAAAACGGCTTTGTGCAGGGGCAGAAAGACACACAGTGCACAGCCTCCGGAAATTGGCCAGGACAAGTCCATGGTCAGTCTCAGCTCTTTTTCCTCAACTTCAGTTCTACCTGGTTCCACTTCAGCACTGTGCCTGGAAACTCCCTTAAGGAAGCATCTGAGCGTGCATTCATCAGAGGACTCCTTTTGTTTATTTCCCACCTCTCAGCAATTACTGTCCTTGTTACCTGTTGTCACACATCATAAAATTGAATTTAAGAAATTTCACTATGTTTTACAAGTATTTCTGGTGGAAAGATACATCTGGTCTCTGTTGTTAAACCTAGTTTGAAAGTGAT
The DNA here is from genome assembly GCF_000001405.40 of Homo sapiens. Classification (NCBI taxonomy): domain Eukaryota; kingdom Metazoa; phylum Chordata; class Mammalia; order Primates; family Hominidae; genus Homo; species Homo sapiens. Next base: position 867,804 of record NW_021160017.1, read on the forward strand.
CATCTTGCACAAAAAATATTAGAATTAATTTTATGATGTTCACCAAGATTTATCTTGGAATGTATACAAATATTCAACCTTAAATTTCAAGGTATCACAAAATTTTGTTACATATATATATATATACTCTATATGTAGTGTTTATTTTGTCTTACATATATATTAATTATACCAATAGAATTATATAGTGTTATTTTGTTTTATATATATATAAACACTATATATAGTGTTTGGTATATATATAGTGTTTATTATATATAATATATATAGTGTTTATTTTGTTATATATATAAACACTATATATAGTGTTTGGTATATATAGTGTTTATTTTATTATATATAATATATATATAGTGTTTATTTTGTTATATATATATAAACACTATATATAGTGTTTGGTAGAATATCATACCTAATTTTAAAATATTCAAAATATCTATATCTGTCACATAAGTAAAGCACAAGCTCTACATTGCCCTAATAGAAGAGCTTCCTATTTGTCTTTCTCCCACAATGTCAGGGGATGAAAGCAGGTGGTCCCCACTGAGAGTACTTCCTGGATTAGATCCTTGGAATGTCAGTTTCCTGCCTGATCATCTCATTTTCATTCCTCAAATCAGAACATGAATTCCATCTTGAGTTAACTTCTCCTCCAGAGTATGAAAGCATCATTCCTGCTGCTTCTCCTCTAGGCTGATTCAACAGGATGTGCTTCATCTTTTGCACTGTGAAGATATTCTTTGGGGTCAAAAGCCCCTTCCTGGCTATCTGGTTGTCTGGCGATGCGCTCATTATTGTCCCTAGAACCTTCCTGTATCCTGGTCCCTGGAGTATGCTCTTGGCCTGGGGGTTCAGTTCCTTCCTGAAACATGATGTTTTGCTCAGCTCCAGCATGAGGCTGTAGAACTGGCTCAGTTCCTAATCCTGGAAGCTGGGAGGAGTTTTTCAGGTGGTAGTGGCACAGAGGGCAGGTCTCCTGGACATACAGCCATTTCTTAAGACAGCCTGCATGGAAAAAATGAACGCAAGGCGTGATCACAGCAGATTTCATGTCCCAAACAGATTCTTATCGAAGGAGTTACCTGATAACAGATGGCACAAATATCATTGTGTTTCTCAAGCTGCTCTTTCGTAGCAATGGGTAACGATTTAATCTTATTCACAGCATCCCTGTGGAGAAGAAAGCTCTTCCACCCCAGCTGGGCCTGAAGCCACACGTTATAGTAGGAATGAATGGATGATCATTGAGCCCATCACTGTCCATTCTCCAAAGATGGTCTCTGAGACGCAATAGGCCACCATACAGACGGCCGCAAGAAACTCCAGCAGGTGGTAAGTGCCATTCACATAGTAGATGACATCATCCATGTTTTCCACCGGCTCTTTTCTGAATTCCTCAACCGTAAATCAGACATAAATAAAAAGTGTTCCCAGAACCTGAAGAGAGGTAAGAATGCTGCTGGAAATAATGATAAGAAGCCAAAAATCCAGGTGGAAAAACTGGCAAATCATATAAGCCATATGAGCAGGGAATACCAATAAAAATAAACAAAGTCGCACAGCACGGAAGTGTTTCCACAAGCTCTTGTCTCTGGATGCTCCCAGTGCCAAAAAAATAGGATCTGCAATTTCTAACATAGACTGTAGGATAGAAGCTGCAACAATGAAAAGGATAATACTGAGCAGGAATGCCCGATGAACAACCTGCAGTTCTATCAGCCCAGTCTGCACTGCCAGGATTAACAGCGTTACTCCTCCTGTCATGCCCCAATTCATGGCAGGATCATTCCTGAAAGCTCGATAACCCTGCAAGTAAAACTCGCAGAGTGTGAGAACACCCAAGGCAACAAAAGAAACCGTGAAGACCAAACCCAAAAGAGAGTAAGGAGTGCTGCAGCATTCTGCAATACTTGTCAGAAAAAGGAAAAGAAGCCTCTCACGTGATGCCGGCTGATCTCGAGTACTGAAATAGGAGTAAATCTGAAGAGCAAATAAGATGAGCCAGAAAACCATGAAAAGAACAGGGACTACCAGTTGATTCCACAAGGACATTCCCAAGGTGAGAAGGCCATATACCTCCACTACCTGAACCAATTCTCTGTATGCAGATTTAGCAAGGTTATAAGGTAGCAAAAGATTAGACCCAAGAAAATAGAGAACTTCCAATCCAGTAAAAATCATAGCAAATTTATTGATGATAACAATTGTCTCCAAAGGAACCAGGCAGAGTCGTGCTAGCAGAGGAAGCACGTGAGCTGAAAACAGCCAAATCTGCTTTGTTTTCATGACACAGGAGCATAAAGTACACACCACCAACTGACCTATTAAGGCTGTGGTAAACCGATTCATAGAGAGAGGTTCTAAATACATTGGTCCCTCACAGGCAAACTGCAGTTCACTCCGAACGTAGTCCCTGGAAATTTGATGTCCAGTATAGAAAAGCAGAGCAGTCAAAAAATATAGATAAAGCTGAACCAGATGTTGCCTGGGCAATGTTAGCAGCACCACACTTAAGATATAACCTCAGGCTGTGGACTCCCTCCCTGGGGAGCGGTGCTGCCAGCGGCGGGCGGGCTCCGCAACTCCCCGGCTCTCTCGCCCACCCTCCCGTTCTCCTCGGGCGGCGGCGGGGGCCGGGACTGCGCCGCTCACAGCGGCGGCTCTTCTGCGCCCGGCCTCGGAGGCAGTGGCGGTGGCGGCCATGGCCTCCTGCGTTCGCCGATGTCAGCATTTCGAACTGAGGGTCATCTCATTGGGACTGGTTAGACAGTGGGTGCAGCCCACGGAGGGCGAGTTGAAGCAGGGTGGGGTGTCACCTCCCCCAGGAAGTCCAGTGGGTCAGGGAACTCCCTCCCCTAGCCAAGGGAGGCCGTGAGGGACTGTGCCCGGTGAGAGACTGTGCCCTGAGGAAAGGTGCACTCTGGCCCAGATACTACACTTTTCCCACGGTCTTCAAAACCCGCAGACCAGGAGATTCCCTCGGGTTCCTACACCACCAGGACCCTGGGTTTCAACCACAAAACCGGGCCATTTGGGCAGACACCCAGCTAGCTGCAAGAGTTGTTTTTTTTTTTATACTCCTGTGGCACCTGGAACGCCAGCGAGAGAGCACCTTTCACTCCCCTGGAAAGGGGGCTGAAGGCAGGGAGCCAAGTGGTCTAGCTCAATGGATCCCCCCCTACGGAGCCCAGCAAGCTAAAATCCACTGGCTTGAGATTCTTGCTGCCCGGACAGCAGTCTGAAGTTGACCTGGGATGCTCGAGCTTGGTGGGCGGATGGGCGTTTGCCATTACTGAGGCTTGAGAAGGCAGTTTTCCCCTCACAGTGTAAACAGAGTCACCTGGAAGTTCAAACTGGCCGGAGCCCACCACAGCTCAGCAAAGCTGCTGTAGCTAGACTGCCTTTCTAGATTCCTCCTTGCTATGCAGGGCATCTCGGAAAAAAAGGCAACTGTCCTAGTCAGGGGCTTATAGATAAAACCCCCATCTCCCTGGGACAGAGCACCTGGGGGAAGGGGTGGCTGTGGACACAGCTTCAGCAGACTTAAACATTCCTGCCTGCTGGCTCTGAAGAGATGAGCAGATCTCCCAACACAGCGCTCCACGCTGCTAAGGGACAGACCGCCTCTTCCAGTGGGTCCCTGGCCCCCATGCCTCCTGACTGGGAGACACCTCCCAACAGGGGTTGACAGACTCCTCATACAGGAGTGCTCCAGCAGGCATCTGGCAGGTGCCCCTCTAGGACGAATCAGAAGAAGAAGCAGGCAGCAATCTTTGCTGTTCTGCAGTCTCTGCTGGTGATACCCAGGTAAATAGGATCTAGAGTGGATCTCCAGCAAACTCAGCAGACCTGCAGCTGAGAGGCCTGACTTTTAGAAGGAAAACTAACAAACAGAAAGGAATAGTATCAACATCAACAAAAAGGACGTCCACACAGAAACCCCATCTGAAGGTCACCAACATCAAAGACCAAAGGTAGATAAATCCACAAAGATGAGGATAAACCAGTTCAAAAGGGCTTAAAATTCCCAAAACCAGAACACCTCTTCTCCTCTAAAGGATCACAACTCCTCATCAGCAAGGGGAACAAAACTGGACGGAAAATGAGTTTGACGAACTGACAGAAGGAGGCATCAGAAGGTGGGTAATAACAAACTCCTCTGAGGCAAAGGAGCGTGTTCTAACCCAATGCAGGGAAGCTAAGAACCTTGAAAAAAGGTTAGACGAATTGCTAACTAGAATAACCAGTTTAAAGAAGAACATAAATTACCTGATGGAGCTGTAAAACACAGCACAACAACTTCGTGACGCATACACAAATATCAATAGTTGAATTGAACAAGTGGAAGAAAGGATATCAGAGATTCAAGACCAATTTAATGAAATAAAGTGTGAACACAAGATTAGAGAAAAAAGAATGAAAGGAATGAACAAAGCCTCCAAGAAATATTGGAGTATGTGATAAGACCAAACCTTCGTTTGACTGGTGTACCTGAAAGTGATGGGGAGAATGGAACCAAGTTGGAAAACACTCTTCAGGATATTATCCAGGAGAACTTTCCCAACCTAGCAAGACAGGCCAACATTCAAATTCAGGAAATACAGAGATACTCCTCGGGAAGAGCAACTGCAAGACACATAATCTTCAGATTCACCAAGGCTGAAATGAATGAAAAAATGTTAAGGGCAGCCAGAGAGAAAGGTCGGTTTACCCGTAAAGGGAAGCCCATCAGACTATCAGCAGATCTCTCTGCAGAAACCCTACAAGCCAGAAGAGAGTGGGGGCCAATATTCAATATTCTTAAAGAAAAGAATTTTCAACCCAGAATTTCATATCCAGCCAAACTAAACTTCATAAGCAAAGGATAAATAAAAACCTTTACAGACAAGCAAATACTGAGATTTTTTGCACCACCAGGCCTGCCTTACAAGAGCTTCTGAGGGAAGCACTAAATATGGAAAGGAAAAACCAGTACCAGCCACTGCAAAAACATACCAAATTGTAAAGATCATCAACAGTATGAAGAAACTACATCAACTAATGGGCACAACAATCAGCTAACATCATAATGACAGGATCAAATTTATACATAACAATGTTAACCTTAAATGTAAACAGGCTAAATGCCCCAATTAAAACACAGAGACTGACAAATTAGATCAAGACTCAAGACCCATTGGTGTGCTGTAGTCAGGAGACGCATCTCATGTGCAAAGACTCACCAAGGTCTCAAAATAAAGGGATGCAGGAATATTTACCAATCAAATGGAAAGAAAAAAAAATAGTGGTTGCACCCCTAGTGTGTTATAAAACAGACTTTAAACCAACAAACATCAAAAAAGACAAAGAAGAGGATTACCTAATGGTAAAGGTATCAATGCAACGAGAAGAGCTAACTATCCTAAATATATATTCACCCAATACAGGAGCACCCAGATTCATAAAGCAAGTTCTTAGAGACCTACAAAGAGACTTAGACTCCCGCACAATAATAGCTGGAGACTTTAACACCTCACTGTCAATATTTGACAGATCAATGAGACAGAAAATTAACAAGGATATTCAGAACTTGAAATCAGCTCTGGACCAAGTGGATCTAATGGACATCTACATAAATCTCCACCCCAAATCAACAGAATATACATTCTTCTCAGCACCACATCACACTTATTCTAAAACTGACCATATTATTGGAAGTAAAACACTCTTCAGCAAATACAAAAGAATGGAAATCAGAACAAACAGTCTCCCAGACCACAGTGCAATCAAATTAGAACTCAGGATTAAGAAACTCTTCAAAACTGCTCAAGTACATGAAAACTGAACAAGCTGCTCCTGAATGACTACTGGGTAAATAATGAAATTAAGGCAGAAATAAATAAGTTCTTTGAAACCAATGAGAACAAAGATACAATGTACCAGAATCTCTGGGACCCAGCTAAAGCAGTGTTTAGAGGGAAATTTATAGCACTAAATGCCCACAAGAGGAAGCATGAAAGATCTAAAATCAACACACTAACATCACAATTAAAGAACTAGAGAAGCGAGAGCAAACTAATTCAAAAGCTAGCAGAAGACAAGAAATAACTAAGATCAGAGCAGAACTGAAAGAGATAGAGACACAAAAATCCCTTCAAAAAATCAGTGAATCCAGTAGGTGATTTTTTGAAAAGATTAACAAAATAGATAGACTGCTAGCCAGACTAATAAAGAAGAAAAGAGAGAAGAATCAAATAGACACAATAAAAAATGAGGAAAGGCATATCGTCACTCATCCCACAGAAATACAAACTACCATTAGAGAATACTATAAGCACCTCTATACAAATAAACTAGAAAATCAGAGGAAATGGATAACTTCCTGGACACACACACCCTCCCAAAACTAAACCAGGAAGAGGTCGAATCTCTGAAGAGACCAATAACAAGTTCTGAAATTGAGGCAGTAATTAATTGCCTACCAACCAAAAAAAGCCCAGGTCAAGACAGATTCACGGACGAATTCTTCCAGAGGTACAAAGAGGTGCTGGTACCATTCCTTCTGAAACTATTCCAAACAACAGAAAAAGAGGGACTCCACCCTAACTCATTTTATGAAGCCAGCATCATCCTGATACCAAAACCTGTCAGAGACACAACATCAAAAAAATTTCAAGCCTATATCCCTGATAAACATTGATGCAAAAATCCTCAATAAAATACTGGCCAACCAAATCCAGCAGCACATAAAGAAGCTGATCCACCATGATCAAGTCGGCTTCATCCCTGGGATGCAAGGCTGGTTCAACATACACAAATCAATAAACATAATCCATCACATAAACAGAACCAATGGAAAAAAACACACAATTATCTCAATAGAAGCAGAAAAGGCCGTCAATAAAATTCAACACCACTTCATGCTAAAAACTTTCAATAAACTAGGTATTGATGGAACATATTTCAAAATAATAAGGGCTATTCATGACAAATCCACGGCCAATATCATACTGAATGGGCATAAACTGGAAGCATTCTCTTTGAAAACCAGCAAAAGACAAAGATGCCCTCCCTCACCACTCCTCCTATTCAACATAGTATTGGAAGCTCTGGCCAGAGCAATCAGGCCAGAGAAAGAAATAAAGGTATTCAAATAGAAAGAGAGGAAGTCAAATTATCTCTGTTTGCAGATGACATGATTGTATATTTAGAAAACCTCCTCCTCTCAGCCCAAAATCTCCTTAAGCTGATAAGCGACTTCAGCAAAGTCTCAGGATACAAAATCAATGTGCAAAAATCACAACAATTCCTATACACCAATAATAGACAACCAGAGAACCAAATAATGAGTGAACTCCCATTCACAATTGCTACAAAGAGAATAAAATACCTAGGAATACAACTTACAAGGGATGTGAAGGATCTCTTCAAGGAGAACTACAAACCACTGCCCAAGGAAATAAGAGAGGACACAAACAAATGGAAAAATATTTCATGGACATGGAAAGGAAGAATCAATATTGTAAAAACAGCCATACTGCCCAAAGTAATTTATGGATTTAATGCTATCCCCATCAAGCTACCATTGACTTTCTTCTCAGAATTAGAAAAAAAACTACTTTACATTTCATATGGAACCAAAAAAGAGACTGTAAAGCGAAGACAATCCTAAGCAAAAACAAACAAACAAACAAAGCTGGAGGCATCATGCTACCTGATTTCAAACTATACTATAAGGCTACAGTAACCAAAACAGCATGATGCTGACACCAAAACAGATATATAGACTAATGGAACAGAACAGGGGCCTCAGAAATAATGCCACACATCTAGAACATCTGATCTCTGACAAACCTGACAAAAACAAGCAATGGGGAAAGGATTTGCTATTTAATAAATGGTGTATGGAAAACTGGCTAGACATATGCAGAAAACTAAAACTGGACCCCTTCCTTACACTTTACACAAAAATTAACTCAAGATGGATTAAAGACTTAAATGTAAGACCTAAAACCATAAAAACCCTAGAAGAAAACCTAGGCAATACCATTCAGGACATAGGCATGGGCAAGGACTTCATGACTAAAACACCAAAAGCAATGGCAACAAAAGCCAAAATTGACAAATGGGATCTAATTAAACTAAAGAGCTTCTGCACAGCAAAAGAAACTGTCATTGGAGTGAACAGGCAACCTACAGAATGGGAGAAAATTTTTGCAATCTATCCATCTGACAAAGAGCTAATATCCAGAATCTCTAAGGAACTTAGACAAATTTAAAAGAAAAAAAACAAACAACACCATCAAAAAGTGGGTGAAGGATATGAGCAGACACTTCTCAAAAGAAAACATTTATGAGACCAACAAACATATGAAAAAAAGGTCATCATCGCTGGTCATTAGAGAAATGCAAATCAAAACCACAGTGAGATAGCATCTCATGCCAGTTAGAATGGCAATCATTAAAAAGTCAGGAAACAACAGATGCTGGAGAGGATGTAGAGAAATAGGAATGCTTTTACACTATTGGTGGGAGGGTAAATTAGTTCAACCATTGTGGAAGACACTGTGGCAATTCCTCAAGGATCTAGGCCTAGAGATACCATTTGTCCCAGCAATCCCATTACTGGGTATATACCCAAAGGATGAACAATTAATCCACTATAAAGACACATGCACGTGTATGTTTATTGCAGCACCGTTGACAATAGCAAAGACTTGGAACCAACCCGAATGCCCATCAGTGATAGACTGGATAAAGAAAATATGTCACATATACATTACGGAATACTATGCAGCCATAAAAAAGAATGAGTTCATGTTCTTTGCAAGGACATGGATGAATCTGGAAACCATCATCCTCAGCAAACTAACACAGGAACAGAAAACCAAACACTGCATGTTCTCCCTCATGAGGGAGAGTTGAACAATGAGAACACATGGACACAGGGAGGGGAACATCACACAACAGGGCCTGTTGGGGGGTGAGGGGCTAGGGGAGGAATAACATTAGGAGAAACACCTAATATAGATGACGGGTTGATGGGTGCAGCAAACCACCATGGCATATGTATAGCTATGTAACAAACCTGCACGTTCTGCACATGTATCCCATCACTTAAAGTATAATTAAAAAAGGTAACTTTGCAAAATATTTAGAGAGATTTATTCTGAGCCAAATGTGAGGACCATGCCCTGTGACACACCTTAGAAGACCTTGAGAACATGTGCCCAAAGTGGTTTGATTGCTCTTATATCTAATGTCTTAGAGAGACATTTGACATCAATCAATACATGTGAGATATGTGTTGATTTGGTCTATAAAGACAAAACAGCAAGAAGTGAGGCAGTGTGGGGAGGGGATTACAGCTTACAGGTGGATTCAAAGTTTTTCTTATTGGCAATTGATTAAAAGACTTAAGGTTTTATCTAAAGACCTGAAATCAGTTGAAAAAGTTTCTAGATTTAGAGAGCGGGCTTTGGAGAACAATATTCTTATTATGCAGATGAAGTCTCTTATGTGGCCACCCTTAGAGGCAATAGATGGCAAGTGTTTTCTATTAAGACCTTTAAAAGATGCTAGACTCTCAGTTAATCTCCTCCATATAACAAAAACACCTGGAAAGGTAAAGCGATTCTCTACAGAATGTAAATTTCTCTCACAAAATATAACTGTGCAGGGCAATTTAAAATATGTCAAAAATATACTTTAGGGCAAAAGACTTTGATTCCTCTCAAGGCCTGCTGTCATGTGATGCTATTCTTGAGTCAGGTTAGAATTTGGTATCTTACTGCTACAAAGAATCTGTTTTCTGAGCCTTAAGATCTGTTTGAATGAAAATGCTGGTTAGTTGTGCTTGAATTCCAAAGGCAGGAGTGCATAATGAGGCATTTCTGATCCTTTCTTGCTAACATGGCCTAAACTAGCTTTTCAAGTATCTCTGGAACTCCTTTTTGAAGAGGAAGGGTCCATTCAGCCAGTTGGGTTGCTTAGAATTCTATTTTTAGTTTATAGGACATATATGAGACTTATCCTAATCAGGGGTATCAGAAAATATTCATTGAGGTAATCACTTTAAAGTTGAGACATGAAAGATGGTCCCAGATTCCTCCCTGCAAACCTTCTCTCCTGATACTAGAAGAAAAGTTACAAGAAACAAATGTTAACATTTCTTCTGTGTTCAAAATTGCCCCCCATTAGGAAAATAATTAAACTTGCAAGACTTATCTTTAGAAACAAGTAATCTAGTTGATTTCTAAAGTCCTTTTACAAACCCACAGATTCTGATTAGTTTACAGATTACATAGAACATCCCATCTAATGGGAATCTGCAATTAGCTGGATTCCCCTGCATTTGATTTTTAAATGTTGAATTTATACAGATACATAACAGTTCAAAACCTTTATGTGGTACATGTGATATTTTGATAAAATAATATGTGCAGTGATCAAACCTGGATAACCGGGATATCCTTCATCTCAATCATTGATTATTTCTTTGTGTTAAGGACATTCTAAATTTTCTCTTCTAGCTATTTTCAAATATACAATAAATTATTAACTGTAGTTGTCTATGTACCATTTTAGCATTCCCAACAGCAGTAAGTGAAAGTTCCTGATTTTCAGCTTTCTCTTCACCATTTGGTATTGTCTATATTGTTTATTTTACCCATTTTAGCAGGTTAGCAGTATTTTTTGAATATTAAATGTACATTTACCTAATAAAAATCAAACTGATCACTTTTTATCTTTACTTTTAGATGTGGTTTCTCTTCAGGTCTTTGCCCATTTTAAAAATAAATTTTGTGGTTTTGTTTTTGTTCAATTATAAGTCAATTTATATATTTGTGATAAAAGCCCTTTTCCAAATATTGGATTTGCAAGCAAATTCTCCAAATCTATGGCTGATCTTTTCAGTCTCAGTTAAGGGTTTATTTTCAAATATCTAGGTTAGTTTGTCCATCTATGAAAAGAGGATAATCTTAATTCTAAATTCTTAGAATTATTAGAATAATAATGTAAGTTGAAATTATTCCAGTATCTGGCCCTTCACAAGTTTTAGTATAACACCAGTGAGAAAAATTTGCAGATTGTTCTGTGTAGACCAGAAATCAGAAGGTGATAAAGGGGCAATTAGATTTGAATAATCCGGAGATATGAAGTGTATTTGGTATTCACCTCCTTCTATTTCTCTATGAAGACAAAATGGATAGATGACCTCTCCATGTGAAATGGGACACATAAGTTTTTAAGATGATTCTGAAAGACAGTTCCTTATACAATCACTCAGGTGATGTTCCAAACACAGGGCTGTGGAGGGGATGGTGGCTGCCGGTGGTTGCTGTCAGCCACAGGGTTGGTTTGTTTCCCACAGGTTCCAGAAATAGTTTCTAATAACAAATGTCATATTTTGTTTAGAATTGATTTATTTTTTATAATTTATTTTCTCCCTGTAGGCAGCACTCAGAAGTATGTTCTCAGAATAATTCCTGATCCTCTGTGAGTTCCTGGTGCAGCTCCTGGAGGCAAAGCCTGCATGGGGGAGGGAGCCCTCCTCACATGCAGCCCTGAGGCTGCCACGTCACTTCACCCACCGTTGCCCTTCAGTCACTTCCTGAACACTTATGAGTTGATCTTCCTGAAACATGTGGTATTTGGCAGTGTCTTTCCCAGGTAAGATAATACTTCCATTCTGTTTATCCCTGCAGGCACCTGTCCCTTTCTGGAATATAAATTGGTTTCGATTGTGTGGTAGTGGATAAGTGGGGGGAGGAGGTTTGTGTGCATCTTGTCATCTTCCAGAGTGCACCCCTCATGGGGTTGACAGTGACAAGCATGCAGATGGGCTTGCTCAGCTGGAAGATGACAGGCATTTTGGTAACCTGTGACCCCAGTGAGGCTCTCTCGCTGCAAGATCAATCAGGCTCAGGCCTCTGGCTAAAGTGCAGCCAGCAAGGGGTCCAGTGCCCAACCCTGAGAGCTCCTTCCAGGTACCAAACCACTTTCTAAGGGAAGCTTTTTTCCTGCCTGGATCCCATGCATGTGTTTGTATTTTCTTCACAAAGGCCTTTATCCAGAAACACCCCCCAAGAGCTTATAGTGTTTTGAATTCAACTGAAGGGCATTATTCATGAAAGCCCTCATGGCCAAAGTCTTCACTTCTCATTAAAGGACATTGATTATGGGATTCACCAGAAGCTGCTGGCCTTTCACAGGCACAGACCTTCCTCTACACCAGTGGTCCCCAACATTTTTGGCACCAGGGAACGGTTTCGTGGCAGACAATTTTTCCATGGATGATGGCGGTGAGTGATTATGGGATGAACTTACTCCACCTGCATTCATCAAGCATTAGATTCTCATAGGGAGCACTCAAACTAGGTCCTTTGCATGCCCAGTTCACAATAGAATTTGGATCCTAGGAGAATCTAGTGCACAGCTGATCTGACAAGAGGCGGAGCTCAGGCAGTGATGCTCACCCGCCGCTCACCTGCTGTGCTGCCTGGTTTCTAACAGGCTGCTGACCAGTTCTGGTTCACTGCCTAGGGGTTGGGGACCTCTGCTGTAAATGCTTGGAGACCTTACCCTCTGGGAAGGGGCATAGAAAAACAAGTCAGATGAGCTCCAAATCAATGTACATTTTATGGATTCTTGAGGAAAGAGTGCAAAGAGGAACGTCCCCACCCACTTTCCCTCTACCTGGCATCATTCCCAGTAATCCGCTTGAGGAACCCGGGGTGTTTCAAGATAGTTTAGGCTTGTTATACTAGGGGACGCCAGAAAAGGAAACAATTAATGTGTCCATGCGGGTTTGTCAGTTGCAAGTTATTACTTCAGTGCAGGGTATTGATCACGGAGAAGTCTGTGCGTATCTTGGGCAGGAATACATGGGAACTCTGTTTCTTCTACTCAAATTTGCTGTGATCCTAAAAGTGTTTTAAAATAAATGTAATGTAAAAAAAGTGGCAAAGACATTTTGGAAGAAATGTTGGCCACTTCTTAGAAATTATGTTTAGTCTTACCACGTGATAAAGCAATCCTGCTCCAAATGATTTATCCATTCGATTTTAAAATGTTATGTCCCCACAAGGCTTCCATGGGAGTGTTTGCATCAGCCTGATTGATTGCTGCCTTTCCCACTCTGTGAATTTTACTTACAGGGTGAAAGTTGAAAAGACTATTTCCTATATAATTAGAGTGTATACATCTTTCTATTGCTTCTTTTCCTCAATTACTTAACCCATTTTCTAAACACGTTTAAACCTCATAAATCCTGTCATCTTCTCACCCCCAGCACAGCTGCCTCCTTCCTCAAGGTTTCTGACACTCTCAGGATGTGGGTTTTCACACTGCGTGTCTTGCACATTAATATACGGCTGTGTCCTCAGATCTCAGGCTGCTCAGCTCCATGTAGGCTGTGTCTGTAGACGTGTCCCAGGTCGTGGTGACTCTGCCCTGGAATTCTGTGCATATATTGTTTCACCATCTTCAGGATCAACACGTTCCATCCACTCAAGCCCTTTTCCAGGGGCCTGTCGCCCCCAGTGTATGTAGTGGAAGGTGAAGGTGTATCTGGAATCACCTTCACTGAGGACCCAGGTTTCCTCACCTCAGCCCCAGACTGCACCGATTGGACCTGGGAATGGGCACCTGTGGAGAGGACAGAGAAGTGGTTGAGACTCCACTTAACTGGACCCAGTCCCCTCATCAGCCCTGGAACTTAGGATTCTCTTCCCTGTGGCTGCTGCCACCAAGAGGAGGATCCTCCCGGTCCAGTCCATGGTGAGGTGCCGTGCTCTGGGGGCTTCTGTAGGGGAGGGATGTGGTTGTTGTGTGATGCTCTCTGGGCAAGGACAGATCTGTATGTACCTCGGTAGACAGCAGTGCATTTGCATATTCACGAGGCAGGTATTTCATAGCTCAAGGCACCTCAACCTGAGGAAGAAGATAGGTGACACACGGACCACGCCACAGTGGGATGCAGAGCTCCCTGCCCTGAACTTTGTTTAATGATATTTGCCCTCTGTTATGCTCAGAAGTCCATGAAGACAGAACTCGTTTTACAGAAAACCAGAATCTCCCAGGACATTGTCCTCAATGTCATTTCTTGTTCATATGGCACCCTGACAACCTGAACTTTTCCTGGGCCTTGACCTCTGCACATCTAAATTCTGGGATGAGTGTATCTTCCGACAGTAACACCCATTGAATTAATAAAACCACTCTTCAATTCCTAACTATAAATACATTTGAAAAGACTAGACATTTCTCCTTTTAAATGCTGTTTGCATTCAATTATTTGGTTAGGTATAGGCTACATATATAATAGAATACTTAAAGACACATCAGTACTTACTACATTCTTATTTAGATTTTAGGTTATTATTGCTTTGAAACAAAGAACATTCAATTCCTGAGAGAAAACCCCTCCCCAGCCTCCTGTGAACCTGCTCCAGGGCTGGATCCTGTGCTGGGTGCGCCCTGAGCGCCCCCTGCAGCTCAGCTCCTGCCCTGCAGGAAAGTTCCTGTCTGGGCTCATAGAGAATTCTCCTCCCAGCGTCTCAAGCACAGTATGAAGTGGCCTTGCCCTGACTCAGAATGCTCTTTCAATGGCAGCAATTGCTTCTCCCACCATCTCTTACAGTAGCAAATAGGCCTTAGAACACCCGACATAATCTACCGGGAGACCTCAGCACAGCAACAAGGAATCACTAAAGCCACCAGGGAGCCCCTTCCCTGGAGTTCTAGGTGCACTGATAGGGTCCGGACACATGGCAAGTCTAGGAACCGATGGGAACTTTGGGGCAGCCTCTATTTTTTTTTAGGATTCTGTGGTTGACGATCACATCAGATTGTAACTTTACACAAAGACCCTATGTCTCAAAGCACCCCCCCCACACACACACATACACTCACAGTGGCACATTTGCACAGTAACGAGACTCAGATTTGCCCTCCTTCCAAGTGTCTTGTCAATGAAAAGTGCTTCCAACACTGGCCATAGTCCTGCTTGTGTTTGTTGTTGTTATTTTTTCCAGACAGAGCTAAAGCAAGCTCAGTATTACTGGAGATTTGGAAAGTACCTTCATGTTCTCTTTGCCAGTTCTCACCTGGGAACCCTGCAGATGCCCCATGAGAAGTAAATCTAAGGCCATTGAGGGAGAGGCTGTGACCTTGTTCCTGAAGCTGTTGTTCTCAGAGGCTTTGAATCACTTCACTGTCCTTGACTTGTTCTCTCCCACTGCCTTTGGTTTCCCTAAGTTGTAGTGTTTGGACAGAGTCTGTGCATTATCACACTTTTCTCTTTAATCCAGATTAATCCTATTGGTGAGGAGGGGAGGTGATGCAGTGGACAGGGGAGCAGTATATGTTCTGGAAATTGACTTCCAATGTTTTCTTGCTGTGTTTTCTCTAGGCTGCACCCTTTACAAGGAGTCTCCAGTGGTACAGCGGATTTTCCTCCATCCTCCACTTCCCCTCCTGGCTGCAGCATCCACAGATTATTTTCTTGAATCTGACCCCAGTTGTTTATTAATTATACCCCTTTTCATGACACGGGAAGGCTAAGATGAAGCTGTCTGGGATGGAAAAGAATCCCTTCCTCTCACATAGAATAAAGATCTTGAAAAGTATTTTGTCTCTGTAGCATCTGTTAGGAGAAAGTTCTGGGCATATTTATCACAGAATAGTTCTCCTGACGACAGAGCTACGAGTGATTCTGTTTGGACTCTCATCTTGAGAACCCAGAATTTTCTGGAGGGAAATTCCATGATAGTGTGGGGTGTGTGGCCCCCCAGGAGTTCTTACCCCATCCCTGTCCACACCTGTCCTCCAGACATTTATGGAATTACCATGTTTCCGCCAGCTTGTGCTGTCAACTGAAGAATCACCCAATTTATTGATTTAGAAAGGGGACTTTATTTCTGAGAAAGGATTGAAGCTGCAGGACGGCCATCTTAACAGGCTGGGAAGCAAAGCCTCCCACAGAGACATTGAGCAGGTACTTCAAGACAGGGAAAGACGAGAAATGAATTCATGTGAATGCGTTGGCCAAGTATACACACTCAGCAGGCTATAGGAGCTGTGGATATTCACATGGCAGGCATGCTCTCAGGTCTAATAATCAGACAGACACGCTACATGCACTTCATGTTTGCTTTGGGGTGAGGACTTAAGAACTAACTGAATTACAGTTGGGCCCTGCACATCAAAAGGGCTTTGTGCAGGGGCGGAAAAAAAACACAGTGCACAGCCTCTGGAAATTGGTGAGGCCAAGTCTATGGTCAGTGGTCTCTTTTCAGGAGAAAGTTACTGAAATCCATCTCTTGTCCAATCAAAGCTCTATTTATGGCTTGTGAAACAAGGTCACAATTACTCCATGTCTGAAGTTCCATGAACTGCAAATGTTTTAATATTGCTTATCTCAGGACCAGTGCTTGTTTAGCTGTTAGAGAAAAACAAAAAGCCCTGTGGCAGTCACAACATAGTCTATTTTTTAAGTGTAGGGGTGAGTGACTTAATCCCTGCCTGGCATGGCCTTAGGTCTTGTTTATAATTGGGTATCTTATTGCCACAGAAAGTTTGTCCCGTCAGTGTTATGATCTCTATTTTAATGTCTTTCTAGTTTTTGGGTCCTGGTTTTCCCTGCAATTTCATTTCTTCAATAGATCCAAGAAATCATTGATAATCAATTTTCCAGACTTTTATTATGGTAAGAATGTGGGTGATGATTGACATGCTCTTTACATATTAAAGCAGAAATCTGAAGTAGCTTCAGAGATCACGAGTGACGTGAAACAAGTAGAAGGAATCTCATCTCATTAAGTGTAAGTGGCACCACGCAGATATAGCTCAACATACAGTGACACAGAAGAATCACAGCACATGACACATATGTGAAGTTTTTATGATTCTGAGCCTTTGCCCAGGAAGCTGTAACTCAGATGGTACTACAGGGATGGACTCAGTTCTCTCTCAGGTGATACTGTTTTGGAAGCTTATTTCCACTCTTGCACTGGATTCAGTAGCTGCACCTGGGCCCATACCCCTAAAACAAACTCTCATTAATTAAACACAAGACCCATCAATAAGAAAGTTGTCCCAGGGAAGGTGCACAGCAGGGACCTCTGCTTTTGGGAACCTGTGGCTATGCAGGCAGGGTCAGGAGTGTGACCCATTTTCTTCTCCTCCCCCTGCCTGCTGCACAGACAACTGAAACCAGGAGCTTTCCATTGCTAAGTATATAAAATACGTGATAGTTCCAGGGAAATGTAATACACATATGAAGGAATGAGGAACCTACATAAAATTAAAATAAAATGAATATATTAAATATACAACACTGTAAGAGATAATCACGGAAAAGACAACAAATATAAAAAACCTGTGTGTATACGTGTGACATAGTGTTCTTGTAAATTAAATCGTAATTTGCTTATGAAGTCCTTCAAGTAGGTACAGAATATTTGCCTTTTGATTGCCACAAAGATGAAGAATCTGGCACCAAGACTCCAGGGCCATGCTAGTGACTTTCCCTCCTATCTCCTGAGGACACGGTGCTTCCAACTCTGAGGATCAGGATACTGAAATTGACTGTGTGAGAAGAGAAAGTGGGATTTTCTGTGGGAAAAGACTGTTTTGAGCATAATTTTCAAGTAATAAATATATTCTACCAGGAGACACACTGCCATCATGCTGACGGTGTATGTTGCTTTTGACATTAACATTATGATCATCAATATTATTGGGGTGTTCCCTAGAAAATGACCAATTATCACAGAATTAACGAGTCATTTTCATTTTAGTTTTTTTTCACACTTCCAGCTAAATCCACTGAGTTTACTGAGTTTGAGCATGGAAATTTCAGGGCATGGGTTACAAATGATGGAGTGGAAGTTTTCCTGGGAGTTAGATATAGTTTCGCTAAAGGAGAACCAAGGATTTTGCTAGAAGCTCCCCTCCTGGTCTATCCCAGCACCTGCTCCTCAGTGTGCCCCTTCCTGTCTGACTCCTAAGCATCTCTGTGGTCCTGGACAATGCATGTCTGGGGCATCTGTTTCCTAGATGTGCATCCACAGGGCAGGCTGCTGTCCCTAATTGTTGAGAGGGAGCTTAGCCTGGATCCACCCAGGTGGCCCCACCCTGAGCACTGAGCTTCCTCCCAGCAAGGAGACAGGGTCAGCTGAGCGCCTCCACTTCACAGAAATTCTAGGAGGCAAATTCAGTCAAATCTCAACATAGTTTTGGCATGCAATCCAGCACCCATGCTCCTAGGTATTTATCTATCTGACTTTCAATGTATGACCACAAAGAAAACTACACATGAATAATCACAGTAAGTTCATTCATATTTGTCAAAACTAGGAACACTCAAGTAGTTCTGTAGGTGAGTAGATAAACAGTCGGCGGTAAATTCATAGAATAATATTCAGCAATTATAAACAAGAGCTATCAAACCATAAAAATACATAAATGAATTTTAAATGCATATTGTTAAGTGAAAGAAACAAGTCTGAAAAAGCTACATAATATGTTATTTATTTGATATTCTGGAGAAGTCCAAACACACAAAGTGATTCTGTATTTGCGAGAAATTTAAGGAGATGATGAAAATGGGTAAAAAATAGATTTAAAAGGGTGATGAAAGTATTATGTATAATATTATAATGGTAAATATGTGATATGAATTTGTTGAAATCAACAGAATATACAGCATAAAGGGTTAATTCCAATTCACAAAAATATAAATAAATAGGAGATTAGGAATTCCAGGATAGAATGCAGACAATATAGAAAATATCTAATGTCATTACAAATGTATGAAATCAGAAGAGGTGCCAAGTGACCTCAGAAATAGTGTAGTCAATAAAAGAATAAAGAAAGTGCACGTCAGAACTGTACCCCAGCTGATGATGTTCCACAAAAGAGCAAAACATACACAATCTGGTTCCACTCTACAGAAATCCTGGAACTGGACTACAAAGGGAATAGACAGGGTGTGGCAGGAGGGGGTTCCTCACGGTTGGAGTGCGAGGTTAGGGACAGGAATAGAAGGTAGGTAATAAACATTCATGTGGTATTAACTTAGGGCAGATGTGTCAATATATTTGCAAGTTTAGCATAATATAGGTATAAAAATTAAATAAAAATAGTTTAGATGTGTGTGTATATATGGGTTAATACACAACACATACCTCCTAGAGTCATTACCTGAGAGGTTCTACAAGAAAAGACAGCAAATTAACAAAAAATACACCCAGAATCAAGATTTGAGTTTTGGTTCCTTTCATAGCAGAATGGTATGCAACATTTCTTGGAAAAATGGCTAATCCTAGGGCTTGGAAAGAGAATATAGGAGTAAAGTCTACAATTTCTCATGGTACCCAGAAAATAAGAAAGGGTTCCAAAATGAAGAATCGCTCCTTTTGCAAACCTTATGGTAACAAATATAATATTTATAAAAAGTGAATTAGGTAATATGTTAATGGAGAAATAAACATCATTATGAAATGCTATCTTAAACAAAAAATAAGAGAAAATATTAGTTTAAAAATAGAACTTATAGTCGATTTAAAAAAGCAAGACCAAACTCTTAGCTATGCACAAGAAAGTTACTTTACACATTCACAAATATAAAAGGATGAGAAAACATGGATTATGAAAATATGAACCGAAATAAAGCTATAGTAGCTGTGCAAATTTCAGACAAAATAGACATCAGAAAAGACTTTTAGGACTTAACAGGGATATTACATAGGATAAAGTTACCACTTTTTTTTAAAGATGCCAAAAAAGACTTAACAAATATATAATAGAAGAAGAATACCCCATTCATTGTGATTTACAGAACGTGACAAAAGAAATAAAGATGTCAGTGACACCATGCACGGAAGGGTGTCCTGGGGACTGTGAGGCTTCTTTGTACTCATGGAGGGCACCACCAAGAACTTCCTCTTCAATTTCTCCCTGTAGCCGCCCACACCAGCCCTGGTCTTGGAGGCTGCTGAACCACGATTATGCTGCCATCAGTGAAGGAAGCTGAAATTGTGAAAGTGAAACACCATGGCTGGTCATGTGCCAGATGATGTTGTGTTCTGCAAAGTATCTCCAATCCTGGGTTGGATCCAGTAGGTGCACTTGGGCACCCAAACCGGAAACAGGGATTCTTGTTCCTTAAACACAAGACATTCCAATGAGAAAGCTGCTCTCAGATGAGTTGCAGATCAGGCAGGAGGAGATGGAGGTGTCCTTGGCTTCCCAGAATTGCTGAAACTTGAAGACCAAGGCCACCTCTGAGAGGCAGAGACCCACTTGAGTACATGGCATCAGCTCTGTCTTCAGGAATCTTTGGCTGTGTGGGAGGATAAAGGATGTGATTTCTTTCTTTCTCTCACCCAACGTGCTTCAGAGACAGTAAAATGGAAAATTAAATAAATATGTTTTCTTTCCATGTTAGGGGAGAGAACATGTATAATTCATGGCAATACAAGTGCTCACTTCAGAGCCTGCAGGAGCAGCAAGTGCACAATTGACGGTCGCAAGTACTCTACCCCAGGAAGCAGATGCCCTGAGATCATCCCGAGTCCTGCCCTCTGGATGCCATGCATCTGTGGGACATGGGCTTGTGCCTGGGATCTTGTAGCTAGTGTGGAGAGCTGAGCACAGCTCCATTCCTCCACACTGTGTGACCTAGGATGTGGTCTCTTCCTCAGAGCTTTATTCTAATAAGGTGTTAATATAAAATAGCAGCAGTAACTTTACCTGTAACGTTTTAGGTAGGAGCCAGTGCTGTTCAGAATCGTTAACCACCGTTGCTGCCTCCACCCTTAGAAACCGGAAAAATACCTGTGTGACCTGTCATCTCAGGCCTCAGATGACCACATTGCAGAGAGCACACCTGCTTTGTTTCTGTCACTAACATTGTATTGGATACTGGAAAACATGTGTACCTGGTTATAGAATGTATCTTAATTAGGTTATATTGGATAAAATTAGAATTAGTAGGTGACACTTAAAACTTAGCTGAGGGGATTTCTAAGCAAAGTGTGGATGGTGTGTTTTGATTTCTCCTTGCTTAATATAATGAGAGGAGATAGATAAATCAAAGAGGAAACTATTGAACAATGTGGAATGAGGTATTTTATAAGGAAGGAAGGCTCTCACATCTTCTGGAAACCCCATAAACTTTTAAAAAATAAAGGAACTTTAAGACACATTTCTACATTCTAGATACATGACTAATATAAACTTGGATTTTAGTGCAAAAAGAGGTTAATTTTCACAGAAGATGAAAATTAATTAGATGAATATTCATACACAATCTACAATTTTGTCTTTACATATTTTTGAAATTTAAATAAATTGCATCAATATTATGTATCCTTCTGCAACTTGCTTTATGTTTGGTTTGTGGAAGGGGAGTTTACATCATTCATTTTCAGTTCCGAATATATCCAACTGTATGAATATATCTTATTTATCTGTTCTCCTGTTCTGTGTTGTTTCCAACTTTTAATTAATATTAACAATGTTATATTGAACATTGTTCATACACATGAGAGTTTCTCTATGTCAAGGAGAGAGTTCCTTAGTCATAGAGTGTAAGTATCTTTATCCTTTTTAAAAATTGTAAATTATTCTTCAATCTGATTGTACCAGTATATAATTCCACCAGTGGTTGGAGAGAATTTCCACTGATGTACATTCTTTGTCAAACACCTGATACTGTCAAGTTTTAAAATTTACCATCCTGATGAGCATTAAATGCATGTTTTATTTGCACTTTCTTGATTACTACTGAAGTTGAGTATATTACCCATATGTTTACTGCTAACTCAAGTTTCCTCTTCAGTGAATCATCTGTTTATATTCTTCATGATCCTAACAGATGTTCTTTTTCTAATTTATTTGCACGATTTTGCATATGTTTAGGATACAAATCCATTGTATCCTAGATAAACTGCAAATATCTTCTTTCACTTTGTGCCTTGTCTTTTCACTTTTTATGGTATCTTTTAAAGTACTTTTTATTCTAATGGTCAAATTTATCTTTTTCCTGTATGATTTATGTGTACTTATTGTTTTAGAAATCCTTCCTTAATCCAAGGTGATAATACTATTATCCTGCACTTTCGAAGAGTTTTAAATTTTGCTTTCACATTTTTACTAGCTTTACTGAGGTATACTACACATACCGCAAAATTCACACACTTTGTAAATGAACAATTGACTTTAAAGAATTACATAGAGTCATGCCACTATCATTACAATAGAGTTGTAGATCATTTTTATCATCCTAAAAAGTTCCCTGTGCCCACTGGCAGTTAATTCCCACTCCCATTGCTAGCCCCATTTAACCACTTATTTGCATTCTGGACATTTAATATAAACAGAAGCATACAGTATACAGTTTTTTTGCATCTGGCTTCTTTCACTTAGCATTAATAGTTTTAGGACTCATTATGCCATAGTATGCATCGGCAGTTTGTTTCCTTTTAATTGCACAATAGTATTCCATGTATGGCCATAAAACATTTGGTTTATCCATTCATCAGCTGATTGACTTTTGGATTGTTTCTAGTTTGGAGCTATTATTAATAATAGTACTGGCTGGGCACACTGGCTCATGCCTGTAATCCCAGCACTGTGGGAGGCTGAGGTGGGCGGATCATCTGAGGTCAGGAGTTCGAGACCAGCCTGACCAACATAGTGAAACCCCGTCTCTACTAAATACACAAAAAAATTAGCTGAGTGTGGTGGCGCACACCTGTAGTCCCAGCTACATGGGAGACTGAGGCAGGAGAATCACTTGAACATTGGAGGCGGAGGTTTCAGTGAGCGGAGATTGTACCACCATACTCCAGCCTGGGTAACAGAGTGAGACTCCATCTCAAAATAATAATAATAATAATAATAATAATAATAATAATAATAATAGTACTAAGAATATTCATGCAAAGTCTGGCTATGAACATGTTATCACTTCTTTTGGATACATTCCTAAGTATTGTAATACTTTTTAAGAAATTAGGAAATCCTTTTGGAACATGGCTGCAGGATTTTGCATTCCATCAGCAATACATAAGCATTCAATAAGTAGTCTGTGCTGTGGTTTTGTTTCCATTCAGTTCTAACTAACGTCTAATGTTCTTTATTTCTTTTTTGACTCAAGAATTAGTTATGTTCTTTACCTCCAAATACCTTGCAATTTCTCAAACCTCTTTCATTCAAATTTAATTGTGTGGTCAGGTAATATACTTTGATTTATTAGTTTTTAAATTTACTGAGACTTGTTTTATGTTTTATAGCCCAACTCATAATACATTTTGGAGAAAGCTGCATGTGCACTTGAAAACAATTTTGCTAGCTTTAGGTGGAGTGTTTTATAAATGCCAAAATATTGCCCAATAGGATGTCGAACAGGGGTGGTGAAACCAGGCTTTCATTATTTGTTAGTTATTCAAAGGGGATGCTTCTAACATTTCATTACTAAACTGGACTGTGGAAAGTTTTCAGTAGATGTATGTTACCAGATTTAAGAAATTATTTTCTATTTGTGGTTTGCTAAAAATTTTTATGATGAATGATACCGAATTTTAAAAAATTTTTTGCACACATCATAATTATATAGCCATTCTCCTGTTAATAAATAGATGAAATGTTGTCCTGATGTTAAACCACCTTTACATTCTATCACTACCCTCAACTTGGTTAAGCTGTATACTTTTAAAAAGTAACCGATAGACTCATGTTCATAGGGGAGATTGACCATAAATTTCCCTTATAATTCCCTTGTAATTGGATAATCCATATCCAATTTTGGTGAATAAAATTTCATCTAATTTTATTAGGTGAAACAGTGGCTGATTCCTTCTTTATCTAGCTAGGCATGGGAAATTATAAGTGAAAATACAGATTTTTGGCCTTGCCGTTACTCTGTTTAATAGTCTCGCTTTGTGTTTCATTCCCTTCTGCCCTTCATTATTTCTTTTGCCTTCTTAGGCTGACAATTAATGAGGTAAGCATAACTGAGAACCTAGAAAAATGAAAATCTAAGTACCTTTCTGCTTTCAATATAAATGTTTACAACTATGAATTTTCTCTAATATCATTTAGACCTAATCTCACAAGTGTAAATATACATATTTTTTAACATTTTTACTGCATTTTATAATTTGCATAATGAATAACTTCTTGTTATAGTTATTTAGAAGACACATATTTCTATTTTCTAACTTTAATTTTTGTCATTGATTTCTTGTTTAATTGCACTGTTTGCAGAGAAAGTCATCTGCATGACAATTTATTTAAATTTATTAAGCCTCCTTTATGGCCTCATTTAAATAATTTCTATAGTTCTGTGTGCTTAAAAAGAATGTGTATGATACTCAAGCCAATGGATTTTTTTTTTTCAAATTATACTTTTGAGATTTTTTGTAACTGATCTTTTAAGGAGAAAAATATGTTAAAATGTGTAAAATACTCTTCCAAATTTAGTCAATAATAGATTTCTATAACTCACCTACACTAAGTGTATATGCATTTGAAACTGTTTTACGTTCCTAGTGAATTATACCTTTTTCATAATATGGTGCCCCCTTCATCCTCATTAATTTTTTTGCCTTAAAATTTTTATATATTTAAATAATGCAATACCAGCTTTTAACATTTAATTTTTAGAATAAGTAGTACATTTACTTAGTTAAAAATATATGATGACATAAAAAGATACACAGAGAGATTTTACAACTCATCTGTTACATTTACACATCACTCACAGCTCCCCCATACAAGTGAACACTTTATGATTTCTCATTTCCATACCACTTTCCCCTTCTCTTTTAAACGCACTTCATTTTTAGAGCAGTTTTAGGTTCACAGTAAAACTGAGCAGAAAGCAGGGAGTCCCATATGTCCCTACCCCTACATACACACAGGTTTCCCCACTGTCAACATCCCTCACCATAGTAGTATATTTGTTATAACTGCCTATTGACTTTTTAAATGCAAATAAAAATACATCATTTGTTCCATTTCTTTAACAGACAGCATTTTTTTTAAGTATATCATCACTCTATTCATCAGACATGGCACCTTTATTAGCACTAAAATCTGCTAAGTATTTGGGTCACTCTGTGGACTGCACTTTGCTCTGTTTATTCACAAATATGTACTATATTGTTTTTATTAAATATTATATTTCTTTTAATATTATACAGCTAACTTCCCTTTGTTGTTCCCCTTGACCTTGTGTTCTGGAGTTTCACTTTGTGATAAGATTCCATGCTAATTTTCCCTGATTGATTTTACTTCCAAAATCTGAGAAATCAGCTCTTTCATCAATTTTGTAAAACTTCAGTAATTTACTTTGAATATTGCCTCTTCTTCATTCTCTCTTCCTCTTTTCTGTAACTCCTATTATTCATATTTCCTTTCCTTCTTTCTCCATCTCTCTGAATTTCATGTTTGTAATCTTGTTTATTGGCATTGAATTCTAGGTAATTTCTTCAGTTCTATTTCTCAGTTCACCAATTCTTTCTGAAGCTTTGTTGAATCTGTTTACTGTTTCCATATAGGTGTTCATTGTAATTATTACCTTTTCATTTCCACAAGTTACTTACGATTTTTAAATTACATGGTTTATTTTAAAATTACCTTGTTTTTAAAATCTTGTTTCTTTTAATATGCTTGATTTTCATTTCTGGCATATGAAAATTTCCTTTACTTTTGTGTGCACACCTATATGTTTAATAGGATTTTTGACATATTTTTATCCAACATTTGTAAGTTTTTAGTAGTTCAAAGTGTTTCAGGATATCTAGTTTTTACACCCATCAGTTTTCTCTTCTAAGAACTCTTAATAGTCACATGTGAAGTCTCTTATTTTGTAAGGCTTTATCTTTTCTCTCACTCTCTATTTTTCACCCATGCTTTGAGATCTTCCAGTCCACTCATCAGGGTGAACTGGTTAAAAAATCATCAGCTAAAAGAGTAGATTATTATCTTTCGTGCTCTATTTGAATCTCAAAAGCTCTTTGTATAAATGAAATTTAAATGTTCCACAATAGCCTCTACCATAGTTCTACTTCATTGGGTACATAGTTTGATGATTCTCTCATCCTGCTTCTGGCTAGTAGGCCCCTTTAGATGAGTTGCTATTTTTCACTATCCACAGAGTCAAGGTCAAATCTCATGGCTGTGAATTTTAAATGATGAGATCCCCACAGGTGGTGTCAGGCAAAGCACCCTCTAAACTTACTGACTTGTAGTATAAAACTTAGCAAGCTGTAAGTCCTGCACCATGAGCCCCTGAAGCCAGCATCGTAGCACTCCAATCTTCCTACACACCGACCCACAAAAGTTTAAGGACAAGAAGATTTATCCCACCATTTCAGATACTTCTTGGCTTTTTGTGGACTGAAATAGGTCAATTAAAGTTTGTTTTAAAGTTTTAAACTTTAAGTGACTGTCCGTTTCTCCTGTAATTTCTATTTTATGAATGTTTCTATTTTATCATTATGAAGAATTCTTCTTTATCTAACGGTTATTGCTTTTTGGCTTGTATTCTAATTTGTCCAATATTAAGATCATGATTCCTACTTTTTGCTTTCTTTGTACTTACATAATAAATCTTTACTCATCCTTTTACTTTCAACCTTTCAAAACCACTTTGGTTTTTTTGTATGTTTCTTGCATATAGAACTGGGTTTTATTACTGTGATCAATTGTGATATTTTTCTTAACAGGTGATTTATAAAAGCTTCTACATTTATTTTTTATGACAGCATGACTGGTCTTAAGATATGTCATATTTTATGTTACGCTTACTGATCTTTACAGATTTTTTAAGGTTCCATTACATATATTGTTCTTAGTTTTATCCATACAGATCTTTAATATTTTGGAAGCTCTATAATTTTATAGAACTGCTTATCTTTTTAACTATGAAAGAATAAGTAATCTTCCATCGGCTTAAAAAGGGTATTTCCTTACTATGAGAAATGTAAATGTCAGCATATTTACTCTTAATTTTTTCCTTTCATCTACATCATCAAATTTTAGTCAACAGGCCTACATTTGTAATATTTCATCTTTCCGCTTACATGGAAATTCTGACTCTTTGCACTTGCTCTACTTTCCTTCTTTTCTCAATCCTCTCCCAATTCATTACAGTTGAGTCATTTCTACATTATTAGCATATATAAAAAGTAAATTCTGGTCTGTCACAGTAATATGAACGTGTATTTTATTCTTCGTCTTATGGTTAAATTTATTCAGTGCTCACCAGCTGTCCTTAGCAATAGTTTCTCCAGTCATTCGTAGTTGGTTGGACTTCATCCCCAGCAATTTCCTCAAGATTTAGTCACAGAAATAATTTGCTGTATGGCTAAAAAATATTTGATGGCATTTTTTTTTTACTTAAAGGATAGTTTGGCTCCCACTTTCTTCATTTAAGTATCTGATGATTGTGGTAGTTTTTTGTACTGAAGGTTATTTTAGAGTCTAAAGCCAGACTCATTTTTCTCCTTATTTTGTGCACTGTTATACAAAGTATTCTTATATTTAAGTCCAGTAATACACCTTGATGCTAGCCACTCTAGGTCAATTTTCCCTAGCACACAATATGTCCTCTAAATAAGAATGGCAAAATCTAACATCAAGACTTCATTAAATTATAGATTTAAATATTTGTCTAGTTCCATTGTTCTGCTTTTATTTGGGAACTCCATTTATGCCATTATTTATTTATTTATTTATTTATTTAATTTTGAAACAGTCTCCCTCTGCTGCCCAGGCTCTGGAATGCAGTGGTGCAGTCTCAGCTCACTGCAACCTCCGCCTCCTGGGTTCAAGCAATTCTTTTGCCTCAGCCTCCTGAGTACCTGGGATGACAGGCGCTCGCCACCATGCCTGGCTAATTTTTGTATTTTTAAGAGACGGGGTTTCACCATGTTGGCCAGGCTGGTCTCAAACTGCTGACCTCGTGATGTGCCCGCCTCAGCCTCCCAAAGTGCTGGGATTACAGGTGTGAGCCACCTCACCCAGCCGATTTATGCCATTATTGTAATTTGTTTTTCTCTCATGTCACTCATTTTCTTTCTAATCCTAAACTCACATTTTCACCTATTCATATGATTTGCTTTTTTCAGTTTTATCTTCTGTGTATTTCACTATGATACTAGCCAGGGTTTTGCCTTTGAGCAATCTCCAATTTTATTTTTTTGTGTATAGTTCTTTTCCTCCAATACTTGTCCAATGTTTTATTAGCTCATAATTAAATACTTCCATGCTATCTGTTTTAGTCTGTTCTCACGCTGGTATGAAGAAATACCCAAGATTGGCTAATTTATAAAGGAAAGAGGTTTAATTGACTCACAGTCCTGCATTGCTGGGGAGGCCTCAGGAAACTTACAATCATGGTGGAAGGCAAGGAGAAGCAGCCACCTTCTTCACAGGGTGGCAAGACGGAATAAGGGAAAGGAGGGGAAATGCCAAATGCTTATAAAACCATCAGATCTCATGCGACTCACTGTTACAAGAACAGCAGAAAAGAAACTGCCCCCATGATCCAATTATGTTCCCCTGGTCCCTCCCTTCACACGTGGGGATTACAATTCAAGATGAGATTTTAGGTGGGGGAACACAACCAAACCATCTCACTATGTTAACATTTCTAACAACTTTTTTTTTTCAGATGGGGGTGTTGCTACATTGTCCAGGCTGGATTCAAACTCCTGGGCTCAAGCAACCTTCCTGCATAAGCCTCCTGAGTAGTAGGATTACTTCTCCAAATTATGTTTAGTGGTTCTTTCTCAGAAGCTACTTATTTATTTTTAACTTATGACAGTAAATTTCTAAATCAAAATGCTATATATTCCATAGCAATATTTTTATGCTAAGTGCTATTCATGTACTGGTTACCTTAACTTTTTTTTTCCGTGTTTTTTATCTGATACATGCACTGATGATGTGCCAATTCTTTGATACAGTCTAATCTGCCTGGCCCATCAGTCTACAGGATGCTTCCATGCATATGTGTAAAAGGGACAAGGGTAACCTTTTTGCTTTCATAATCCAAAAACTTTCTCTTTCTCTATAGCCACAGAGATAGACTGCTTGCCACAAATACAGCTCATCTGTGTAATTCTTTGTGATATCTTCTCCTTTTCTGAAACCAATCTGATTCAAAAAAACTCTGCTATCAGGCATGATATATGTGTATCTATTATTTCAAAGAAATGATCTATTTTTTTATTTATTATTATACTTTAAGTTTTAGGGTACATGTGCACAATGTGCAAGTTAGTTACATATGTATACATGTGCCATGCTGGTGCGCTGCCCCCACTAACTCGTCATCTAGCATTAGGTATATCTCCCAATGCTATCCCTCCCCCCTACCCCCACCCCACAACAGTCCCCAGAGTGTGATGTTCCCCTTCCTGTGTCCATGTGTTCTCATTGTTCAATTCCCACCTATGAGTGAGAATATGCGGTGTTTGGTTTTTTGTCCTTGCGATAGTTTACTGAGAATGATGATTTCCAATTTCATCCATGTCCCTACAAAGGATATGAACTCATCATTTTTTATGGCTGCATAGTATTCCATGGTGTATATGTGCCGCATTTTCTTAATCCAGTCTATCATTGTTGGACATTTGGGTTGGTTCCAAGTCTTTGCTATTGTGAATAGTGCTGCAATAAACATGTGTGCATGTGTCTTTATAGCAGCATGATTTATAGTCCTTTGGGTATATACCCAGTAATGGGATGGCTGGGTCAAATGGTATTTCTAGTTCTAGATCCCTGAGGAATCGCCACACTGACTTCCACAATGGTTGAACTAGTTTACAGTCCCACCAACTGTGTAAAAGTGTTCCTATTTCTCCACATCCTCTCCAGCACCTGTTGTTTCCTGACTTTTTAATGATCGCCATTCTAACTGGTGTGAGATGGTATCTCATTGTGGTTTTGATTTGCATTTCTCTGATGGCCAGTGATGGTGAGCATTTTTTCATGTGTTTTTTGGCTGCATAAATGTCTTCTTTTGAGAAGTGTCTGTTCATGTCCTTCGCCCACTTTTTGATGGGGTTGTTTTAGAAATGATCTATTTTTGAAATTTAAGGTGGGCCTCTCATCTTCAGAAACTGTACTTTCACTGACAGTTCCTATTTGCTATAATTGAACTCTCTCACCATGCTCTTTGTATTTTCTCTTCTCTTTAGCCTTAACAGCTTTTACCCAACCTTAGCAACTTTAAGCAGCTGATACCCATATTCTGGAGTTCATACATTTGCATCTATCTTGATAAGAGAGTACAGTTTTTTACTTCTTGTTGTATCATTTATACATTCTACAGGAAAAGGGGAAAATAGGACATCTTAAACACCATGTTTACACAGGAAATTGCCTGCATGTATTTTTAATTTTGTATTAACTGAGTTTTCGTTTTTTTTGTACATTTTTTAATGTGCTTTCTTGATATTTGAGGAGGTTGCATCTTGGGCTACAATCCTTTAACTTTCTCCAATCAATTTATTTTAATTAACTGAAGTTAAGTAAGTGATCTTTATCTCTTAAAATAAAAAGGGCATATGCTTCTTCACTCCCAGTACTCTATCACCAAGTGAACTTATATATATCCATATATATATATATATATATATATATATATATATGTATATATAAATGTATCCTTCTCTACAATCCTGGCTTTGTTTGAACTATTCCTTATATCCATAGTATATCTAGTCTCCCTTAATCATTGTTTGGTACCAAAATTTTAAAAATATTTAAACTTCTAGGCTATACAGCTTGTTAGACATGTCTTGTCTGAATTTTGTGCAGTTTTCATGATTATTACAAATAAGCGCGTTGCAAATTTAAGCAAGCACCAAAAAAAAGGGCAACACTGAGGTTTTCAAAGGAACCCCATCTAGTAACATTTAAATTACAGTTGCACTACTTCCTTGGCTTCATTTGTAAGGAAATCTACTCTTAAAACTATATTCATACACTGGATAGTGTAGTACGAACTGCAATCACTAAGCCAGCAGTAGTTTCTTACACAAAAACTGTTCTTAGAAAGTATTCAGATTCTGTATTTTGGGAAAGAAATGAAGTATTCTAGCATCTTGAAGTCACAAAATTAATTAATAAGCCCTACTGTTAGAAACTAATAACAAAATACTGACTCAGCATGTAAGCATAAGATCAACTCTCAGAAAGACCTCAACATATACATGATATTTCCTTGTCAAGGAAGCTTTCCTTGAAATCATAGTCATATGTGCATCATTATATCTTGACAAAATATTTTATTACATCTATAGATAATGCTTTCTTTTCAGGAAGCATATAGAAATAAAACCTTGTTACTTAAATTGTAATCTTGTTCCATAATCTACTATTAATAAATTTTATAAAACACTCTTACTACTTCTACCACATAAAGCTATTATTTTCCAGTGTTAGATTATTCAAGTCAAATTTCATGTTACATTACATATAAAACTCATAAAAACATAATCTCAATAGTTATTTCTAGAATGCATTACAACAAATATCAATTTACTTCTGACCTAAATGCTTCAGAAAGTATCCCAGAACCTTCAAAGCTTGAACCCAAATACTTTCACTTTTAGAAGCCAATAAATTGTAGATCACCCTAAAAAATATATAAATAATGTTTAAAAACTTACTAATATTAAAAACAAAAATACACTACATACTTTACAAATAAATTATACATATGTGAAATATAAAACTTCTCTGAAGATTTTATTCTCAGGATTATAATTCCTTGGAAAAATTAAAAACTGGCATGCTTTAATAATTTTTCTTTAAACATGTCCTTCAACCATATACTCAAAAGGGCAATGTGACTGGTATTCATAAGTACTGCCTCCCAACATACTAAACACGATTTTCAGTTTTAAGACACATGCTTGTTTAGGCCACATCTCTTCTAAGAATTGGCCCCAACATTTAAACTTGATAACCCTATTTTCTTTCTTTTTTTTAAATTTTTTGTTCTTAATTTTAATATAGAGGTGAGGTTTTGCCATATTGCCCAGGCTAGTCTGGAATTCCTGAGTTCAAACAATCCAACCACCTCGGACTCCCAAAGTGCTGGAATTACAGGCGTGCGCCACTGCACCCTAACCCTCTTGTCTTGGTATGACTGATTAGATAATAGGTAGGCACCTGCCTAGTTAGTGCTCTTTTTTGAGAATTTGGAATGAGGTCTAAGAAACAATATCTCCTCTTTGCTGGGCTCTTGGATTCGAAAATTGTTTAAAACAGAAACTAGAACAGCAACGTTTTGTTTCTGCTCAGAAAGGCTAGTCAACATACAGAAGGAAGGATTAAACAGCTTACAGAAAGCAGCAGAGAAAGCAAACTTGTTTCCTAATAGCCCTACAATTCCTGGTTCCTACTCTAAGATTTTTTAAACAAACATATTATTCAGTTTTTACTTTAAAAGCTTGAGAAGTTTTCTGTTACTTGGAGCAAAATAGCCTCCACTAATATACAACCTAACCTATACAATCACTTCAAGTACTACATAAAAGTAGGGCGATATTCATTATAATATTCGTAAGTGTTTAGAAATTTTATTCCATATTTTTTCTATTTAAAAAAATTATTTGTTTCCATAAAGTAGAAGGGACAATGACAACTATATACACTGGCAACTAATTCTAGAATATAAGGTTCTTTAGGGGCTATAAAATTATAGTTTGCTTTATTTTATTAAATATTGTTTCTTAAAAAATAAAATGCCATGGTATATTTTGAGGTAAAGTACTCAGCTGAAGAAGAGAATCTAGTAAAAGATGCAATATAATTTTCATAATTTCAGTGATACTTACAAGGGGGCACAAATAGCTTAAACATAATGTCATTATTTTTAGTTTTACCAACAGCTTATACTATTAAAAAAGAAAAGATGTTATTGGTACTGTTTCTTTTTCTCTTTTTTTCTTTTATGCTTTGCATTTCATCTATTAAAGAATAAACTACAAGAAAAGTGATTATTTCCTTTGGAAGATTTTTTTTTCAAATCCCACATTCATAAATATGTATAGGTTTACACTGAAATCCATTTTCAAAACTTTTAGGAACCAAGATCAGTAATGAAAAAAGACAAGTTTGAGAATAGCAAAGTCAGACATGTCAAAAAAATACATTCAAGAAATCATAAGAAGCAACATTAAACAGCAAAAATAGTCTTGAGAACCAAAGTAAAACTCACAGTCTGGGCCAGGCATGGTGGCTCACGCCCGTAATCCTAACACTTTAGGAGGCCAAGGTGGCAGACTGCCTGAGTGCAGAAGTTCAAGAGCAGCCTGGGCAACAGGGTGAAACCCCGTCTCTGCTAGACACAAAAAAAATTAGTCGGGTGTGGTGGCACATGGCTGTAGTGCCAGCTACTGGGGACGCTAAGGCATGAAAATTGCTTGAGCCCAGGAGGTGGAGGCTGCCGTGAGCCGAGATGGTGCCACTGCACTCCAGCCTAGACAACAGAGCAAGACTCTGTCTCAAAAAAAACAAAGCAAAGCAAAACAAAACAAAACACAACACTCACAGCCTAAAAATGTGGTTACACTCAAATATAGAATTGGAAGTTCTCACAGAGTTTCTACTGCCTAGGAATAACTTTGAGTAGGAGGAAAAAAGTTATTAGACTCCACCCTGGGTCAAGAGAAATTACGACTAATGTTGAAACATGAAAATGTCTAAGGCCATCATACATGTATATATGTAAAGATGTGATACAGTATGAATAAGAAATTTGTTAATGAATGTTTACTTGTAATATACATTGTTACTAATTAATAATAATCCTAATTCATCTGCTTAAGCTCACTATATTCAGCCAGCAAATGATCTAAGCTATATAAGACAGGTAGTTGTCTATTCTTTTCTTTAAACATTTCAAGATATAAAAATATCACATTTTTAGCTGCTTAGTTCAGTGTTATCACAAGGGCTTCCTTAAGCTGAATTAGCATACCATCAGAACTAAACTCAGTTCATTCTTTTTGTTCAGATGTTATACTGAATTCCATTGTATGAATTAGAACAGACCAGAATTTTCCTCCCAAAATACTTCATATACAACTGTTAGCCTTTAATGGCTATTTTCTAGAATAAAGACATATAAATGCTTTAGACACTTTCAATATTTTCTATCTAATAAGCCTTTTTTTTCACCTTTTATACTATTCTGAACCAGCTTTCTCCCCATTTTTGAAGTAGAAAAGCTGAAGTGTCAAGGAAAGGCCGTTTTTTAATCTTTGTGATTGTTTTTAACATAGTGGCAACAATCTGAAATGTTCTGCTCATGGTCAGCCATGAGCACAAAGCCTTTTAATCTGTTGTGCTTAATCAATTCTTTCATACCATACATTTAAAACACTATGTCAATCCTAAAGATCTTACCAAATAGCACTCTCATATGTAGGATCGTATTTCCAATGTGTCAAAACAATAGAATTATATTTCTGCATTTCATCATATTAGACAATCTAAGTTTAGTATCTTCCACAAGGGTAACGGGGATATCTTCAACTGGTTCACTAAATTTATCAGATAATATAATAAACAAAGCAAAATCTCAGGACAAGGACACTAATTATTGAATCTAAATATAAGTTCAGAAGAGTGAGTGTAATTGTACTACCTTATTAGATCAAACCATATGAAATTGCCATTATTTGGTAAAATCAGTTAAGTATCAACAGTTTCATATAGTTCAAACTCAAGAGTAAAAAATTATAACAGTTTTTAATCACTAAATGTATAATCTTTTTCAAATAGATTGGCAGGCCTTTGAATTATAAACTCAAAGGTAATAGTGATGTCACAAGGGAGATATGCATACAGAGATAGTGATCGCTTCTCTAATTTGAAAAGGAGTTCTTCAAGTCTAGAAAGTTGTTATCCATTGATATAAATGGCCAAGTAAAAAAAGCACTTAAAAAAGCCCTTGACAGTCACTGATATATTCTTTCCAAACTCTTTTTCACAATAAATCTGTAGAAATTCACTGAGTTATACATGGCATAACCTTGATATCCTGCTCATCCCACTAATTAAAACTCCAGAAAAATAAAAAGGAAGAATTCCTTAAGAAGCTAAATTATAGGGTTAAGTTCATAAAAATACTAACTAAGAAATTATATTTCACCTGTCTACCAAGTTACTTTTCAATTGCCACAACAAAAGTTGGTTTTGAATTTCTTTAGGCTTTGGCCTCTTAACTCCAGAACATCTTTCATCTCTATTATTTCCATTGCACTGCTACTGTCTCAGGTCATCATTTTTAATACTGATGAATAAAATAATCTACCTACGGATATTGCTACATCAGTTTGTCCTTCAACTCATGTTTCACACTGGTGATTGTAAATCTAACAAAATAGCAATCTGAGCACATTTCCCCTATTTAAAATTCTTTAATTTTCATCACCAACTGAAAAAAAACGAAACACTAAAGTTACTACCATCCTATGAACCTTCCAAAACTGGCTGTAATCTCTGTCTCAGGCCTAATATCATAAAATTTCATTGTATCCTCTTTTGGTAAAACATACCTTGCTTTTTCGTGTCTTCTTGAAAAAAAAATTGCTCTATTCACAATTTGTAATGTCCTTACTATAGCAAAAACAATTTACTCTTCTTGATTCCTGAGACTACTGTTTATACACTTCATCAGTTTCCTGAGTATTGGAGGATCAACAGCAGCATTCTCCATTTATACTCTCTTATGTGTAAGATGCTATATTTATTCAAATATTCATAGAATAGGAATTATTCTAGGAGGAACAACTGTGCTCCATTGACGTCTAATAGTAATACTAATATTATAATCATACCTTATTCCATTTCTTTGATTAAATACTGGTATCATTGAGGCTGGGTGTTCTGACATTAAAGCCACCAGTAACTGTAGCACATCATGAATATTTTCATCCTGCATAAATCACCAATATTGATTTAAATTTTACTCTAAAGATTGGCTTAAATAATTAAAATAAAAGGTCCATAACATGTCCTACCTCATGTATTGTAAGAAGGTAATTTAATATACTCTGAAGTTCATCTTCTTTGACCCTTTGATCTTAATTTTTAAAAAATATTTTATTATTTTACATCTAAAATTAAAATTTTAATTTAAAAGACATCAAAATAATCATTTTAAAAGAAAATAAGAGTAAGTTTAATGTAGTGATATTTGAATTAAAATCCCCACACATTTCACAATTTATAGACTATATTATTTCAAGTTAATTAAGTAAATATTTAGAAAATCTTATCAATTTTTAAGTCATTAATATTTGATTGACATTCACTATAAAAAGTTAGCCTATTTTGACCATCGAAGTATTCTTATGACTATTTTCTAATCATTCTTTCTTGAATACAAGTGCAAGACTATACAGTATCAATTTTTGTGTATTACCTCAAAATTTATATTTATTTTCACTTTGTTTTCATCTTAACATTTAAAAAATCCTACTACAATAAAATACATTATGTAAGCCTTCTTAAACTGGCACACAGACCATTTTCTAGAATAATGGTCAATTACTATAAGAATAAGGGCTCAATTCTTATTCATATGTTCCTTGTCCATTTCTGTCACATCCCTTAATAGGGAAGATTTCAGAGAGCATTTAACCAGAAGTTAGTTAAGTTCAATAAAGTTAATATTAAGATGTGCAGAATTTTGGAAGCAATTCATTAATTAAAGGTAGCTATTACTAATTTAACAATAATAATTTTAAAACATGCCAGAAATTCCTTTCTACCTATATACTGTAATTCTAAATTATATAAAATTATTTTACTTTTAGTATGAGCTGTTTCAGAAAAAGTAGCATAAATGCCCTCAGTGATATAATTTCTTTTTGTGATGGCTGGGGACCATCAAGAACAAAACAGAAAAAAAAGTAAAAATAAAAAATACAAGATATTAAATAAGCTTAATGCAGTTATGTTGGGATACTATGGCATTCTTGAATAATTATATTTATTAAAATTACAATATTTACATTAATGCTATAAAATTTTAATAATATATGGGTATCCAAAAATTAACTTTCAAATTTTTGGCAATTTCAAATTATTTACTCAATGTCTGATTTTGTGGAAAAAAGAACTTTTAAAAAAGTTGTAATATATTAGTATCCATTTATAAATGTATAATCCCCAAGTATTTACATTAATACTTGAATACTTTTTTCTGTTTTTATTACATTAATAGGTTTCCCAATATGTCTTCCATTCTCAATTAAACTTGTCTTCATTTAAGGACTGTCTCCATTTTCACCCCACACATTATTTAATAAAGCTCAGAAAAAGTGACACTGTTTTATTTTAATTATTTGTTTTGCAGCCTATTTCTTCTATGGCACTTGTATAAAGAAAATACATATTATGGTGGGCATTTAATAAATGCTGTGTCAATAAGTGAAAATGAGCATAAAATATTCAAATGTACATATCAGTTCTATCATAATGTACAAATTTTAAAGTAATTTCAAAATATCTAATTACTAATAAAATGAAAATATAAAATAATATATAATATGCGTAATATACAATAAAGTATACTTTTAAGAAATGTAGCTAGATTCATAAAAATCCTTTAACATTAAGCCTTTCTTGTAGCAACCAGTATTTATCTACTGCTTTACAAGTTTTAAAAGCATAATCCCTTCATGTATAATCTATACCATCTGCTTATTCACTTAATATTTACATGAAGATTATTACATCTGCAAGCAAGTTATTATCCAAAAAATCCATCCTGCCTATTATAATAAAAGAAATATTTTCCCTATTTCCCAGACTGCTCTCCACCTTTTATTGCCCCACTCCCACTAAGATGCACAGAGTACTCTTCCCCTCCTACTGACACTGGGTATTACTTAAAAAAAACTTTTCATTGTAAAATATTGCCTATGTACAGAAAACATACATGATCAACTTAATGAATTATCATAAAATGAACACCTGTATAAACAGTTCTTTGACCAAGAAATTGAACACTGACAGTAGCCTGACAGGGAAACCTGTCAACTATTGGTGTGCTGGTAAAGGAATTATCTGCAGAGTGGAGGGATGAGGTCCTGATTTTGAGCATTTACGTATTTCTGATTTCTATCATATTAATAATAATCTGATTTCAAGTTCAAGTTACCAATGGTTTAACAACCAGCTCATAAAATTCCTGAATATCTAACAACTGATTGTGTCCCCATCCTGCCCTGCATGCCAAAGCCCTCACCATGCTCCAGACCTCAGCTCTGTGCCACATTCCTGTTCCTGATCACATCCCCACTCCATCCAAGAAAAGACAGATTCTGTCTTAGTAATAATTTCCTTAATCTTACTATTTCTGCCACCACTTAATAAAATTGGACAAGTTTTATAACATCTCTGTACCTAAGATTTGTTTTCTTCTTTATTGTTAGGGTAAGAATAATAATACTGCTTGTCATAGGATGTCTTGTGAGGATTAAATGGATCAGCGTATGTAAAGAAATTAGACTAGTACCAGGCCCATTTTAATCATAATCACTCAAATGTTAGCAATAATTACTTTTATTGTATACTGCACAATACAAACAGCATGTTGCAAAGAAATATATATATTTGTGTGCTTTGTGTATGATATAAATCCATTTCTGCAAAATAAAATACAAACCGATTTATCTAACAAATATGAAACTCAATGAAAAAACAAATCCCAAAATAATACTATTTATGTAAAATATAGAAGCTAAACAATAAATTAATAATACATACATAAATAGCAAAAGAGTAAAGCATAGTAAAAAATAATAAGCACCCAAGTAAAGAAAAGAAATAACGTAAAATTTGGGATGGAGTGATTTCTATGACGGGGAATAGAAAAGAGATGTGGCCACGCATGAGAATATTCAGGCTCATTGGTAATGTTCTGTGTCTTAGGCTTACTGATGTTTAAATAGGGTTCATTTTACATTTATATTCATATTTATAACATGTTTATATATTACATTGATATATGTAATTATACCACTTTGTGTTCGTGATGTATTCAGAATAAAACTTTGAAACACCTATGTGTATGCATGAGTAAGTTCATGTTTGTATGAGCAGAGAAAAAGCAGCAGAAGGATATGCAAGACTGGTAACATTGGCTACCTAGGAGAGTAGTAACTTTTTATTCATAAACCTTTGTATTATTTCACTTGCTACCATGAATATGTATTACCTGTCCTATAATATTTTTAATATATCTCAATGTTTTTACAGTTAACTATATATAATAATAATTTGAGACAAAAGCGTTAAGTAAAAAAAAAATCCTACTTCTCAAGGTGAGTGCCTACACATGAACAGTTCTACGAAAACTAGTGTAGTGCACATTATCTTTAGAGTGTCCTTAAAAGAAAGCATTTGTTTAAAATGGTATTGAAAAATGCTGTCATTTAGAAAATGATACACTTCAAGTCAGAACCTTACATTCTACTATATAACAAAATTAATTTCAAAGTATTAAAATGTTAAAGTAATAATTTAAATGATAAAGAAAAATAAGTGCTCATTCCACTTTCCTGTCACTTTCACTTAAAATATATGTACTACTGGTTCTCTTCCTTTCCCTCTCTTTGATGTAGCTAGAGCCAGTGAGGCCTCAGGGACACGGGTTCTATGGAGGGAGCAGAGGCCCTGGTGATACCCAGGATCTTATAGAGCCAGAGGCAAGTGAGTCTGGAAGGACTTTCAGGGTGAGGGCCAAGGAGACAGTAGAGGTCAGGAGGATGGCCAGTGCCAAAGAAACAACTGGGGCTGAAGAGACAACAAGGACCATTCAGAGTCAAATCTGAGGGTATGATTAGAGATGACTAGCAATGTTAAAGCTGAGAAGGTTATGGCATGTGTATCAAAATATTGGTTTTGTAAAGTAGAATAAGAAAACATATAAATATATTAAAGACAATAGGAGCAAGACTTCTCACTATTGAAGAAGAAAGCTACACATTTAAGAAGTTTGAGGCTAGGTCGAGCCATGTGACTGGAATTGAAGGTACTGCTGTGAACTCATGGTTTTAATATAGATAAATCAGTTGAGATGTACCTATATACATAGATTCAAACATCATTTCCTAGATCTGTCCACTAAGAGAATGTAGAAGCAATGACATTCAAAAACCAAGAAGCACACCTCACATCCAGATCTTGGTTTCTAAAAACCATATCCACCAAGCAAACCAGGGCTTCTTGGAAAAATGGCTAATTTCAGGGCTGGGATAAGGAAAGTGTAAGAAAAGTCAAAAACATCTTGTTTCAGAAAGTAAGAAAGTATTATAAACTTATGGGCATTTGTCCCATAATCCATGTGAAGGGTCCTACTGGCCAAATCTCGAGCATCAAAATAATGATACAACCCAGGAGACAGATAAACCACAGCCCTAGGACTAAACCAATCAGGCCACTTGTTTTTGTACGTTTCACTAGAACAAGCCACACCTATTCATTTACATACAGTCTGTGGTTATTTCTGCAATACAATGTCAGAGCTGACTATGTGCAACAGAGACCTTATGGCTCCGTAAGCCTAAAACACTACCTGGCCCTTTGCAAAGAAAGTATGCCAACTGTTGATATAACACATTGAATACATGAGTCCATACTGATATAAAAGATGATAGACAGATAGATCAATAAACAGACAGATCGATAGATAGATATAGATAGACAGATAGAGTGGAGTAGTAAAACAAGTTCTTCCTTACAGTAGATATGCCAACTTAATCAATGTCTTAGAAAACATCATTTGTCAGTCATCATAATAAAGATAATTTTTAGTAAGAATCATCAGCACACTAAAACAGGCAGGTGAAACTTTGTTGAGGAACAGGATATTTATATAGTTTCAATGTATTTCTCCATCAAATACTTCTTAACTACCAAAGAGAAAGAAGTGATTTTTATAATGAAGAAACCTGGAAGATAATACCTTAATCAAATGTTTAAAGTTGACATCACTTGTAAAAGCACAACTCAACATCATGTGTCTCCTTGACATGATACAAGGAGACAGACAATATGACTTCTGTGTTATTTCTTGTAAAAATGAAAAACCTGCAT
Organism: Homo sapiens; assembly: GCF_000001405.40. Taxonomy (NCBI): domain Eukaryota; kingdom Metazoa; phylum Chordata; class Mammalia; order Primates; family Hominidae; genus Homo; species Homo sapiens. Next base: position 908,934 of record NW_021160017.1, read on the forward strand.
CATCATGAACAAATAGAAAATTCAAATTTAAGGGTATTCGAAAAAATAACTGGTCTGTATTCTTCAAAAATGTCAAGGTCCTGAAAGACAAGGAAATAGTAAAAAACTATTCTACATTGAAGAACATTAAAAGTAACAAGGCAACTAAGCACAACATATGGTCCTCAACAGACTTAGGACAAAAGAATTTTTTTCCTAGAAAGGACCTTATTACTGTAATTAGTGAAATTTGAGTGGGGGTCTTTGAATTAGATGATAGTATTGTATTAATGCTAACTTCCTGATATTAATGGATATCCTCTGGTTATTTAACAAAGTGCCTTTACCTTTCAGGAAATACACAATAAAGTATTTAGAGGTCAGAGGGTATCATGTCTACAATTTATTATCAATTGATTCAGAAAAAAATATGGGCATGTGTCTGTAGGTGTGTTTATATATATATAAAAAGAGCATGAGAGAATAGTAAAGCCTAAAGTGGTAAGATGTAAAATATTGAGAATCTACTGAGGGACATATGAGAATTCTTTGTGCAATGTTTGCAACTTTGTAACTCTTCTGTAAATTAGAAATTAATATTTTAAGGCAGAAATTATGATGTGTGAATATATGATTTGTTTAGACTAGAGAAAACTCTATCATAGAGTAGCATTTAAGAATGAGATCTCTGAGTCAGATAGATATGATCCAAATTTTGGTGCTGGTTGGTTTGCACCAACTTTCAGTTTCCTAATCTTTAAAATGAGGATGATATCAAAAACAAAGTTACATATAGATGCAGTCTTATGTATGGATATCAAAAACAAAGTTACATATAGATGCAGTCTTATGTATGGATATGAATATGTCTATTTATCTATAATTATATTATGTTTTTTATATATATATATTACTAAACAAATTAACAGGTAGAGTGCTTGGCAGAAAAATCCAATACATTTTAGGCATTACCAACTTAAAAGCAATGGAAGAAGCCATAGAAGGACAAAATAACAGATCTGAATATAAATAACTTCTAAAGCCCCATTAATAAAATAAAAAGAGATAAAAGTAAGCTTGTATAAATATTAAAATAGTAAAATGGGAGGCCGAGTTGGGCAGATCACGAGGTCAGGAGATCGAGACCATCCTGGCTAATACGGTGAAACCCCTCTACTAAAAATACAAAAAATTAGCCAGGCGTGGTGGCGGGGGCCTGTAGTCCCAGCTACTCGGGAGGCTGAGGTAGCAGAATGGCATGAACCCGGGAGGCAGAGCTTGCAATGAGCCCAGATAGCACCACTGCACTCCAGCCTGGGTTACAGAGGGAGACTCCATTTCAAAAAAAAAAAAAAAAAAAAAAAAAAAAATTGGAAAATGCTATTTTTCCTTATCAAAGGGATTATTATAAAACTATAATATTCAATGTTATTGTGAGCACGCTAAAGGAAGTACTCTAACATACTACTGGTAAAACTAAAATAATATGACATTCCTGAAAAAAATTTAAAATATTTGTCATTAGCCCCTTTTTCAGTAATTTTAAACAAATCAAAGATGGAGGTAAACACATATATATATGAGAGAATCCTCTAATATGTATAAAATCAAAACTTTAGAAACAATGTAAATGGTACATCCTCTTACATTACTACATTGAGCTGAGAAAAGGACAAGATAGAAAAATTGAGAAAATCTCAATTTATAATTAAGAAGTTTAAATATTTTTATATATGTATGCAATGAGAAACACTGGAAGAAAACATGCCAAAATCGTATCAGTAATTATTCTTGGGGTTTGGGCCATAAATATATATTTTCTTCTGTATTATTTATTTTCTTTTTTTTGTATAATTAGAAAAACTGGCTATATTTTCAAAACAAAAAAGATATCACAGTGAAGAATTAAATTAGTTTCCACTACAGTCAGAACAAAGGATAAATCTGGAATAAAAATATGAAAACATGTAACAATCTGAAAATGTTGAAAGCAACTGATGTACTAGAACACACTTACCAATATCATTTAACTGTTTTTAATATTATAAATGTGTCTTCCTGAATGGAAAAAGGCATACAGGCTAAAATAAAGACTATTGTTGCTTTTTACCTGATTTTATTCCAAAATAATTTAATATTGAAAAGCCCTAAACTTCTTTACCACAAACAATTCTCAATATGTCAGTTTGCCACATAAGAAAGAAAACATTTCAGTGATTTCATAGTCATGTACACGGCTCACACTTTAACAGTACTCAGAATACAGAATATTCATAGGCAAATGTAAATACAGTGGAAGTGTTATACATACCTCATCCTTTAGGTGTAATGCCACTACTGTCAGCAGGATTAATAACCCAGTAGTAATATTTTAAGGTGTGCATTATCTTTAATAACTGTTCCTATTCTGCGTATGGTGGTGTAGATGGTAGCAGTTCCAATAAATTCAGCAGACAAATATGTATATAGGGAAAGTTGAACCTAATACAGAATATTAACAGATCATTAAAATGAACTTAAAATGCCTCAAGTGCTTATATTATAAATATGCATTGTTTTAATTTAAACGCAAATTAGTAAAGGCCAAGAAATGATCATTTATTAAGAGGTTAAAAATAACTTTCTTCTTCAATATTATTTATATTTTAAAAATATATAGCCAGGCGCGGTGGCTCAGGCCTGTAATCCCAGCACTTTGGGAGGCTGAGGCGGGTGCATCACCTGAGGTCGGGAGTTTGAAAGCAGCCTGACCAACATGGAGAAACTCCATCTCTACTAAAAATACAAAAAAATTAGCCAGGCACGGTGGCACATGCCTGTAATCCCAGCTACTCGGGAGGCTGACGGAGGAGAATGGACTGAACCAGGGAGGCGGAGATTGCGGTGAGCCGAGATCGCGCCATTGCTCTCCAGCCTGGGCAATGAGAGTGAAACTCCGTCTCAAAAAAAAAAAAAAAAAAAAAAAAAAAAAAAAAAAAAAATATATATATATATATATATATATATATATATATAAAATCTGCAATTAACGTTTTCTAATAAACTTATTATAATAAGGTAGTCTAACAGCTGTGGCAATTAAATAATTTTAAAATGATTAATTTATTGAAATTAATCTGATAAAAAGATTAAAATATTTTAAAAGTCAACTAAAGCTCTTAAAGTATATTTCAGTAGCTTTCAGTGTATAAATTTCTTCATAGCAACAGAACATCAGTCAGCTAAAGCCTATCTAAAAACCTATATATTTTTGTCATATATCCTAAAAGTTCATGCAATTTCAAATTCTCCTCCCCTGTGGCCATAATATATATAGTTTGATTTCACAATCTGACCATGTGAGCACAGAGATGGCATGTCGGACATCTTGCTTAAAAGAGTTCTCAAAATTAAGATTTGGGCTTAGGCAATAATTAATAACTCAGAGAGATATTATTAAACTGTAAAAGATAGCTCAAAATCAAAATATCCCTCATTATTGATTTCCACTAAGACTAAATTCTGGTATACAAAATAATAAGAAATTTCTGTTATTATCTGGAAAAATATTTATTTCATGTATATATTTATTTTTAAGTGAGTATTATTTACATGTAATGATATAAATTCTGCCTTCAAAATGAAAGCAATTTTCCAGCAAAATGATTACAGTCATAATACAATTAGTTATCTGTTCTCTTTCCTAGTCTTTCAAAAATTGGTATAGCAAATTCTCTTCATTGGAGAAGTATGTATCACATCTAAAGATGTTAGAATGCAGTGTTACACAAAGATTCTTTTTTACCTATAGTTTCATTTATTTTACTACTTATAAATATTTTGATCTCCTGATACTGCCTAACACAATTGCTGCAGATTAACTATAAAATAAGCTAAAATGTTCAAATGTTTTCCACTGGATACTTTAGATCCAGCAACTATAATGTATAACATTACACTAAAACAAACTGAGTAAGTATAAAACTCATACCTTTGCAGGTGTATGTATCCAGATGGCTGGGTTAATAAACAAAATATGATCACAAAGCTGCTTCAGCAAAGGTGCTCCATGAGATAAACCATCAAGGTATTTTGCAAAAGATAAAAATTGCTCCAAGACAGGTCTAGTTATATGAACTCTTGATGACTAAGAAAGAAAACAGAAATTCTAGCTTGAAATATCCAGAATATTAAATTGTATAATTTCTGACTTAGCATAAGCACACATGAATTTTTCATATGCTATCACTAATAAATATGAAATACATTTATATTATTTGCTATTAAAATATAATTTTATTAAGAGATCTAAAATTTTAGCTATTTCTTTGAGTGATAGCTTGTTATTTGAAGCCTAATCTAAGACAATTACAGATAAATAATTCAAGTTAAATAATGCCACTATTAGCTAAAGCTAAAGAAATGAAATGTTATAAGAATGGCTTCATTTCATTTTTTGTAGAAATTGACATATAAGAAGAAATCTTAGACATAAAAATAGAGATTGTTTAAAACATGTAAAAATATTGCTTAAAAATATGTAAAATATTGCTTAAAATATTATTTCCTTGGTCTGCTCTTCATAAATACCGTATCCCTGGATATATTATGCTTTCACAGCTTCATATAACACTATGTCTATGCTGAGTACTCACTTCAAGAATTTTCAACTGCTATCACCATATACCTATTACCAATGGTATTTAAACAACAGACTCTCCAAAATTGAAACCGAACCTTAAAGCTGCACCATCTCATACAGTAGCCAGAAGCCCTATGTGGCAACTGAGCTGCTGGAATGTTGCAATTGAAAGTGCGATGTGTTGTGAGTATGAAAACACTGGGTTTTTCCAGCTCAGAATATTTTTAAAAATCGTATTTTCTTATTGAATAGATGTTGAAATAATATTTTGCATATTATCAAAATAAAATACTAGACTAAAGACATTATTAAGATTAATATAACCTGTAATTTTTTACTGGAAAATATTAAATTGCACCTGAGGTTTGAATTGTATTTTAATTGGACAATGCTATCCTAGAATACAATTTCAGATAAAAATGCTATATTAAAAAATGCTCTTCACAAAAGCTGATAATTCAAACTCAAACTTCAAAAAATATATCTTCCGACACAAATCTTTTCTTCCTCATCTAGTGATACAGTTTTGTAGTATCACTATCCTTTCAGTCATAGGGTAAAGAATCATGTACCACTCAACCCTAAAGCACACATCACACAACACATCTTTCCTTCCTATTCTTCACTGACTGAAGTCTGAATATCAGTTTAAGATGATCAAAATTTAAAAGGGATGAAACTGTCTTACCAATTTTACCTCCCATATGATTTAGCTACATTTCTCATGATCATAAGGACAACTCAATAAATTTGACTTAAGCACATCATGAATTTTCACACTTCTACATAAAAGGTCACAAACTAAAATGATTGCAAATAACTAACAACAATGTGTAAACCAGTGTAGGAGACAAAAAAGAGTGGTGAGGAACAAAACTAAACCTTTTTGTTGAGTCCCACAGAATATTACTGTGGGCCAGTTTCACCCACAGGACACATTTTCTTCCCCTGCTTTCTCTGTCTTGCTCCCCCAGTTTGTAACACCCTTGCATACATTTCCTTTACCTTAAAGGTAGAGCTCAAGACTTTTATTTTAGTCATTTAGAAAATATACATGCTGATTGCTCACTGTCAGTCAAATACGCTCCCTGGCACTGTCAAAAAAGCAGCTAACAAAATTGAAGTAAAAACTCTGTCTCACAGAACATATTCTAAGAGATGATAAGGCAGGAACACAGAGTAAATAAAATAAAAATGTACAATATGTAACATGTTAGAGGTTACTAAGTTCAATGAAAGAAACTATGGAGCAGATAAAACATTTGTAGAAGAATGGTGAACAGGTTTTACTAAGAAGGGGGCATTTAATTGGTTCAAATTATTATAAGGTTACAAATAATTTAGTATTAATATAATAGAATTCTTTGTCTGACAAAATTACCAATGGTGCTTACATAAGCAATAGCCTACAAAATTCAAAGCAAACCTTAGTACATAATTTTCACTGAAAATTTTATGAAAGATGGTGGAAATTGATCTAAATAAATAGCTGAGTTAATAAAGGAGGGGAACCAAAACAAACATTTGAGTTTAAAAAGTAAAGATTGAGTATTCATATTTAAAGGAGTATCAGTGAAAATAATATAGTACTTTAAATTAAAAATATTTTATTTGTAAAGGAATAAAATTAAAATAAGAGATCAATAGTTATTTAAAACTTCAGCCAGCTCCTTCACTAAATATAATTTCACATAGCTTATCTTATACATTCTATTTTTATTCAGTAGTAATGATTTCAAGAACATGATCTGATAACATTGTACTCTCACACTTAAAACTCTAAAATAAAATACAGTCAGATCCTGTTAATAGATAAACATACTATGTGACCAGACTGTAGCTCATAAAAATTATTCATCATGTCCTTATAAAGAACATTAACCTGTATTATAAAATCAGGCTGACCATTATAAACATATCCACTTGATGAATTCATAATATAGAAACAAGTTTGGAACTTGGACCATGATATTAAAAGGTATACTAAAAGCATCACAAGGCCTTCCACATTACTTAAAAAAAAATGGGGGGGCCTGCTGTTTTCACATAACAATTAATGCTGTTGGGTGGCAGATTTTCATTCTAAAATTATTCTTTAGAAAATATTTTATTGTCTTTTTATTGATCTCCTCAAAATCCTACTATTCTGGATTATAAATAGTGTATAAATGTATAAATGAATATTCTCTTCAACAGCATGTTACCTTTACCTCTTAGAAGTACTTATTCCTCCTTCCTTGTATTATTGTTAGTAAAAAAAAAATCTCTCTTTCGTAATATAAGAAAGAATATTATCTTATTCATCTTTTGTCTTCCTGATCCCTACCCTAATTTCTCAGGGAACATTTAACTGAATTAATGTCAAATTCAAAAATGGAGTAAGAATAGAATAGGTAGGAAAAAACAAAGCCTGGGAAGAGAAGAAAGAAGATTCTAACTCTGCTTTTAAATGTATTTCATTTGATTAACAGTTTCAAAATATTTTTATATTTTGGTATTTGTTTTCATTTTCTCAAGTAAAACTACTTTAAAAACAGATCTACACTTGGATAATTTATAGTTATAAATCTGTAACCTTTAGATGGAACAATTTAAATCTCATAGAAAATGTAAGCCCTGGAATTTGATCTATATATTAATTTTATGTGGTGACAGAATACATAATTTTTAAGAAGTACTATAATGTGACATGGCTAACCATATTTGGAAATAATACCTGAGAAGTTATAAAAATAGTTGCATTATAGCATCCAATCCAGAATTAACTAAACCAAATAGGAGCACTGGCGGTTACAAAGAGAAACTTCTGTTCAATAAAGAGAGATTGTTCCAACATTTAGATTAGCCTATAATGGAACAGGTTATCAGAAATGTTCATTTTTATTGTAGAAAGCATTATACATACACACACATATACCCATAACATGTATGATTATATATTCAATAAATTGTGTAAAACTATTTTAATTGTAGAGGTACACCATAGTCTATTATCCATTCTGCTCCTCCCAGGACTCCAAGGTTGTGCTCCAAATAGCCTAATCCAACCAGATTAATCATTTGTTGTTGTTTTGGTGGAGTGATGGGGAGGGTGGCAGGCAATGATTAGTTCAGAGACTCAGTATCAAAGTGTAGCATAGCAACAATTGATTCAAAAGAAGGCCAGCCAAGCTCTAAGCTAACCAATCAAATTGGAGAGAAGAATCTTGCTCAGTAATTGACAGAAAGGAGCTTGCTTTCTTCACCTGGATGTGAAGGTCTATAGCACTAATTCTCTCTGGCAGCCTTGTGACCTCAAACAGTATCAGCTTTAGCATAAAATCAACACTGTAGCTGGTACAGCAGAGATATAGATAAAACCTGGGTCTCTGATGACATTATTGAGACTCAGATAACCCAGCCCTGAAACACAACTTATGTTTGCTGCTTTTCCAACCTTTTGCTGCCTTTCCAACCTCCCTGTCCTGTTTTAATGCTTGAGACGCTCCCTTGCCTACTGGTTTCCAGTTGAGTTTGACTAATTGAAGACATTAGCAAGAAATTAAGGGACAGAAAGAAAATGAAGTTGGGTATACATTTTCCAGATTTTACCCCTTCAGTACACTTACACTATACTCCTTTCTTGAAGACCACAGTCCCATCAGGCACCCTTCTTCTATAGCTACAATAACTTTCTCTTTGGGTTATGCTAAACACTTATTCCCCTCATCTCTTCAAATCTTCCCAAGCTCCCTGCTTTCAACTTTTTGAATACCCTTGCATTAAACTCTTCTCAAAAACCTAGGTTGAGTACGCCATCTGTTTCCTGCCAAGAATATAACTGATATGCCATCTAACACTAGACTTTGTTACATTAGTATATTTTCTTAATGTTTAAGATACTTTGAATCAAATTTTCTACCAACCACAATCAAAAATATCCTATTGAATATACTGGATAACCTCTAAGTTTTCCACAAGATCATATTTTGGCAAAACAAAACAAAAACACCTTAAAATTTTTTCATGGAACAGTAAAATTGTTATTAATAAAAGGCCTCGCATATACTATCTTCCTAAGATATCTTCTATGACAAGGAGATATAAAAGCTAAGTGGCAGTTAACCAGTAACCTGTTATTAAGTTAAGAAATTAAAAAATCAAACTTCTATTACCTATACTATTAATACTAACCTGGCCACTGATTATTTAAAAATAACACAATATGAGCATTCCTCTGAGAAAGGTAAAAAAGTTACTGTTTCTTAGGTAATCAGACAAGCATGCAAGGACTTTTCATATACTCAATTCAACAACTATTTACTGAGCCCAGCACTGTGCTAGGTGCTGAAGATATAACAATAAGGGGAGACAAAAAAAAATATACATACATATATATATATATATATATATATACACATACATATATATATATATATATATATATATATATACACACACATACATATATATATGTATATATTGCCCCTGCTTTCATGAAGCCTACATTCTAGCAGGAGGAGGCAGAAAATTGGTAAAAAATATAAAACACGCCAGAATGGTGCTGTAAAATTAGCAGAGTAGGTAAACACTGATGGTTATGGAAGGGATACTAATTTATTTAGAATGATTGGAGAATATTTCTGTGATAAGGCATCATACAAGCAAAATCCTGAATGAAGCATAGAATCAAATTCTGTGAGTATCTGAAGAAAAAGTGATGGAAACAATGGGGGAAGTAAATGCAAAAGTCCTTGGGTAAATTCTTATCATTTTAGTTCTTAAGGGAAAGGCAAAAAGACCTTTGCCTAAAACAGAGAAAGCAAGAGAGTGGGGAGAGATGATGTGAGGTGTAAGGCTTATGACTTCATTATGAGAAGGATGAAGACTTGAATAAGATTTGGCACATTTTAGGACAACTAGTCTAACTGCAAGTGAAAAACGGACTGTAGGTAACCAATGGTGAAGGATGATCATGGTTTGAACTAAAATGGTATCAACGGACATAGTAAGGAGTTGAGAAATAATGAGGAAGTAGTAATTGATTCTGGATATGTTCTGAGAGTAAAACAACATAATTTCCTGAGAGTTTGGATCTAGAGTGCAACAAAAGTAGAGTCAAAAACAATTAACTTTTTGGTTTCAACTACTTGTTGAATGGTAATGCCACTAAATAAGACAAACAACTCTGAAGGATGAAAAATTTGAGAGAAAAATCAGTTTGGATAATTTAGTCAAGAAGATTACTAGAAATCCAAGTGGAACTAAAAACAGGAGAAACAATTGAGGGTAATTAGTATTTACAGGATCACGGGAGCTGTAGAAGTGGATAATCTCAATTAGAGTAAGGTACTGTGTAGATGGAAAAGTGAAATGCTTTCCAGGATTAATCACTGGGAAAGAAGAGTCATCAGAGTTTATAAAGATGAAGGAGAACTAATGAGAGAGAATAAGTAAGAGAAAAACAAAGCAAACCATGGCAAAACACAATGCAAGAAAGCATTTCAAGAAGGAAAGACTGTTCAACCGAAATATTCACAGGTCGAATAAGATAAGGACTGAGAAATAAACACAGGACAGACTGTGAAGGCCACTGGTGACAAAGACATGAGCCATCTTAAAGGACATGGAAGAACGAAAGACAGGTTGGAATAGGAATAGATTTAGGAGTAAGTGAGTGTCCAGGAATATAAGGAAGGTTTAAAATCTGAAAAATAATCAATGTAATTCACTAAGAAAAATGAGAAACATCATACTCATCTCAAATACTGCAGAAAAGATGTTTGATAAAATCCTGTTTATAATAAAGAAAACTCTTAGAAAAATAGAAATAGATAATTCCTTAATTTAACTAAAAAATCTACAAAAACTAATTATTAAAAATATCATACTTAGTGGCTAATTATTAACAGCATTGCCCATGAGATCAGGAATAAGACAGGGATGGCCACTATCACAACTTTTATTCAACACTGTACTGGCAGTCTTTAGGTGGCATAACAAGGCAAGGAAAAAAATAAAAAAATAAATATTAGAAAGGAAAAAACAAAACTATCATTCTCCGATGTTATTATTGTCTACAAAATTTTTTTAGAAAAAATCTACAAATGACTAGATTTAATAGAGGAATAGAAAGATTGGTATATAAAAGTTCAACATAAATATCAATTATAATTCTATGTACCAGTAACAAATTAAAAATCAAAACTTTTAATTGCTTCTTGGCCTTTTGGGTAAGATCAAGTGCAAAGAATTAAAATTTTAAGGGCATCAAATAATATCAAATATCTGCAAATAAATCCATCAAAAAGACAGAAACTGTTCTATACAGAAAACTACAGAAGAAAATCTAAATTAATAAAAGAATATACCAAGTATATGACTTGAAAGATTCAATATAGGAAAGATGTCAATATAATACAATAAAAATCCTCATGTTTTTTGGTGGAAGTTGATAAGCTGACATATATGGAAATGCAAAGACTCAGAAATGGCCAAGGCAATCGTCAAGAACAACAGTAAAGCTAGATGACATACTCTTAAATATCAGGCTGCACTAAAAAGCTATACAAATTAAAATACTGTTGGAATATTACTTAGCAATAAAAAGGAATGAAAAAAATATGCTATAACATGGATGCACACTGAAAACATTATGCTAAGCAAAATGGACCAAATACAAAAAGACAAATATTGTATGATCCCACTTACATGAAATATTTAGAATAAGCAATTCATAAAGCCAAAAAGTGAATTATGGATTGACTAGGGGTGGGAATCATGAAGAGATATAGGGAAAATTGGTAAAGGAAATGAATAACAAAGAAGATAAAATATTCATTTTCCATAATTATATATGAAAATGTCTAATCTTATTCAAAATCTAGGAAAAGTGCAAATTAAAACCACAATGAAATAATATTTTGCATCCACTAAATTGACATTATAATATGAAATATTAACATACATTTTTATTTGAAGGCTTTTACAAATATTTCTAATTATAAGCTAAGTTTTAAGTAAAAGAATGTTTAATTTAGGATTTTCTGATACATTCTCAAGTAAACAAATGAAAGCACATTTAAAGGGGTAAGTCCTCACAGAAATCCTGTCACACACAGTAATCTTACAAAGGCATTTCATATGTTATCGAATTCATGTTAAATGTAGCTTATCATACATCTTCTAAACAATTCTTAATACTCTAGATACAGAAAAAGAGTATTCTCTTATTTTAAAAAATAAACCAAAGAGCCTTAAGTTCTTAATAATGTTATGGAAAAAATCATCTCAATAAAGAAATGCTACCAATGATCAATCTTAACAATCTACCACTCTTCAATGCTTAATCCTTAAGGAAAGGTCAGCACTAGTTTCAAAGACATATTTTTTATATATATAACATATATATGTATAAAGACATGTAATATATAAAATATAGCATATTTTAGAACTTGACTCTTTTTGTGACTAAATAATATTCAATTGCATGTATATACTACATTTTGTTTGTCCATTAATCAACTGATAACATTTCAAATGTAAAACAATTGGAGGTAAAATTAAAACTGCTTCAAAGTATCTTCTCAATTTTTTTCCAGAGGAAATGTATGTTTATCCCTTAGTTGAGATCTCACTTCTATTACTTTTCAAATAGTCTCATTTTCAGAGCAGCTGAATATTATAGAGTTAACTAACTGATAAGAGGTTTGAGAGTGCTAATAAAGGGCACAGGTATTTGTTATTAAAAAAAACAGCAACATGCTGGCTGGACGCAGTGGCTCACGCCTGTAATCCCAGCACTTTGGGAGGCTGAGGCGGGCGGATCACGAGGTCCGGAGATCGAGACTATCCTGGCTAACACGGTGAAACCCTGTTTCTACTAAAAACACAAAAAAATTAGCTGGGCGTGGTGGCAGGCGCCTGTAGTCCCAGCTACTCGGGAGGCTGAGGCAGGAGAATGGCGTGAACCCGGAAGGCGGAGGTTGCAGTGAGCCGAGATCGCGCCACTGCACTCCAGCCCAGGCGACAGCGAGACTCTGTCTCAAAAAAATAAATAAATAATAAAAAAATAAAAAATAAAAAAACGCTTATTCATGAAATCTCACTAATTTTTAAAGGAAATCACATGATACAACTAAACTCTTGTGAGATCATAATCAGAAATTCAGCACTCATAAAAGCACAGCTGTGACTAAAGCAAAAGAGGTCATAAAACAACATAAATGACACAAAATAGGAAAATGTAAACCCATCTAATTTTTATTGTTTATACTATGTATAGATGAGAAAAACTACTTTAAATAGTCATATATATTAAGAGTAGGGAAAAAGAGCACAAAATAATGTTTCTATTACTACAAAATAAAAATTTTGACCGCATAATTAAAAAATAACACAAAACCTAACAGGTAAATCCATGTATACTAAATATAAAGATTTTTATCTTAATAAAAAAGACTTTCAAGAAACAGTCTAAGGCCAGGCGCAGTGGTTCATGCTTGTAATCCCAGCACTTTGGGAGGCCGAGGTGGGCAGATCACTTGAGATCAGGAGTTCAAGACCAGCCTGGCCAACGTGGGGAAAACCCTGTTTCTACTAAAAATACAAAACTTTAGCTAGGCATGGTGGTACGCACCTGTGATCCCAGATACTAGGGAGGCTTAGGCAGGAGAATTGCTTGATTGAACTCGGGAGGTGGGGGTTGCAGTGAGCCAAGATCGCACCACTGCACTCTAGTGTGGGAGACAGAGTGAGACACTGTCTCAAAAAAAATAAAAAATAAAAAAAAAGTCTAAGTGAAAAGATAGCAAAGAAACAACTACAGTACTCACTTCTTATCCGGAGGCGATGCTTCCAAGACCCCTAGTGGATGATATATACGATTTTCAGTCTGAGAACTGAGATAGCTACTAAATGACTAATAGGAAGACAGTGTATACTGCATGAAAAAGCTGAGCAAAAGGAGGATTCATGTCCGGACTTGATGAAGAGGGACAGTACGAGATTTCATCACTCTACTCAGAACAGCACACAATTTAAAAGTTATAAATTGTTTATTCCATTTAATATTTTTGAACTGCAGTTGTCCATGGGTAAGTGACACCTTAGAAAGAGAGAGTAGAAATAAAGGGGTACTACTATAGAAAAACTTAAGAGAAATGATACTTATTGCTTGAATAGATATAGATGAAATTTTTTTCTTTAGTTTTTTAATTCAAAATTTAATTATGCTTCCAATACCCAGTTAATTCCATGTCTACACTTAAATCTAAGGTGTTTGTGAATTAGCAAATAGTATAATCTCTACACAGTCAATGGAAAGTGAAATTATAGAAAAAATATAATTAGTGATTGTCAGCTGTCCAACTGTGAGGCTACACAATAAAACCATCAACACATCACCTACCTTTTCAAGTAATTAGCCAATAACTAAAAAGCCTTTTCCACCCAGCACCTGTTCTTGCATGGCTACTGAACTTTTAAGTAGTTCAACCAGGAATGCCGAAAGAGTAGCACTGCATGTAAAGTACAGATATCATTATGTAATCATCACGTTTATTCTAAACACAGTGTTCCAATTTCAGTATTTTATTATGCCAAGAGATAACCATATTCAAATCTAATCTCTATTTTATTGACAATGACTATTATGCCTTATATTATGAAAGAATATATTTCCTGATAAGCATGAGAAAACTATTGTCCTTTACAAATTAAATATAATAAACTGAATCATAACTGTGTAGTTTTTTTACATTCCAAAGTAAAACATCAAAGTTTATCTCTACATATATTTATAGGTCTGGCTTCAAGTAAACCTAAGAAACATACACACATCATTTTCCATAATAAAGACTGTATCATACTATTATTTTGAATAACAAGCTATTGTAGAGAATTTTAAATATAGATGCAATATTGCTTTGTAAGAACAAGCCCTATTTTTAAATAAACTTTTCATTTAGAACTATTCTTCAAAAACACTTTGTTAAAAAAAATCCAGAGGAATATGTAACATGTCACTTATGTCCAGGTATGCCCTAAGAAAAGCTCATGAGAGCAAAGAAATGATTTATGTAATATTGAAATGAAAAGTGACAATTACACAGTATATAAACAAATACATAAAGGCAGACAGAGGCGTCAAAGATTTAGCACTTGGTATGTCTTTGGAATGAATGAAGAAACAAAATAGAAAATGACTGCATTGAATTAAGCTTTGATAATATATTACTTCACAGTTACATATAATGATTTTAACCAGCAACACTGATATATGAATATAGTATTCTGAATAATGGAAATACATATTCCTTCATTGTATATGCTTAATGTAGCTCGTAATAAATTGTTATATACCAGATTTTATCAACAATTAAAAGAATATCAATTTACAATGTTTTATAATATACCCTAAATTACCTATTTATATTCATAAGAAAGGGTAAAACCACAAATTTCTAAACATATTTTAAATGCAGAAGTACTCATTCTTACAAGTAATTCAATTTGGTAATAAGGAAAACTTGAAAATTATTAAAGCCCGAAAGGAATCTGAAGTTATTCTAATTTTTGAATTATTCTAGCTCTTCCAGTTTCAATAGGGATAATGTATTTTTCTCATAATGTGGCTACTTTTGTTCAAATCAGAAATGTTCTCATAACAAGAACCAACAGCAAAATTATCATTGTCATTATTATAAAAATTGATAGTTTAATGAATTACATATCAGCTAGACAAAATATAGTATCCAGAAATAAAGCACTTCATTATAGGAAATTAAAATTCAATTATATTAACTGACCCTATATCCTTAAACCACAAAAAATGTAAACTATCACATATCAATGATTTTTTTTACTTTGTCCTTAAGCCAAAGATAGACACTTACAAGAAAACTACAACTACCAATGAGTCTCTTGGGATTTTAAAAAACGTTTCTGTAAAGAAGCACAGCTATTAAGCAATCTAGTCCATTTTAAATGAATTGAATAGTCAAGGCCACTTCACAAATAATTGCTAAGTACTATATTACACATAACACATCTGCCTAGATGTGTAAAAAGAATAAAGAAAACCATGCATAGAGATTACACAATTTCCTAATCTGTTCATAGAATTCTTACATACACCAAAGTTAGTGATTGAGGGAAAATGGATTCCTAAACATGAGCACTGCCAAAAAGACAGACTAGAAATGCCTCACAGTGGTCCTTATGATCCATGAAAAAAGGCAAAAAAGTATTTTACAGTAAATCACCCTACTATATAGAACCATATACAATTGCAAGGATGACACAGATTTTCTCATTCTTTTATGTCAGAATAACTACTCATTCTCAAATATCTAATGAGTTAACTCAGACCTCTAAACACAGTGGAGCTCTATTATAAAAACTGAAATATTAATATTATTATTCCAAAATCTTAACAAGACTCTGCTATCCATGAAGTATTAATTTCACTTCAACATTAACTAGGACACCAATTGAAATGTCAAATGCATTCACTAACAAAGGTAGTTTCAATTTATACCTAAAACCCAATGCAATAGCAATACCACATCTTTGCAAAAAAAAAAAAAATCTTTACAATAAGGTATAATTGACATGGTGGACGTAATAGTAAATAGATGGCCATCTTTGAAGAGGTACATTTTCAAACATAATTCAACAAACTTACCAGTAACTAAAATGCATCGGATTGTTGCAAGGCTCACAATAAACTTGCAAAATTCTGTGTACTGCCATACAAAATTTCTCTCCATTCTTGCCTATTTCCAACTTCCCTAGATACAAAGGCAAATATAAAAGATACTTCAGCCCATTCCTATATCTCCTACATACAACTTCCTCTCTAGAACGCATCAGTTCATCTGCAGAGGATCTAAATATATACTCTAGGATAAACCAAAAAGCAAGTATCGTTGTCAGCCAAAACTAATACAACATAGAACACTCTCTTGAAAACTATATCAATACCTAGGAAAAGATTTTCAGAGGAGTATTTTATTTTATAGACCAAAAGTATGCTGATTATTATGTCATGATATATAATTGCTCAACTTTTCAACAGACAGTACTATAACACATGTTCTATAAGTAGCAATTCTACTTCAGGAATGGATGAGAGTTTGTAATCCTGTATCTTTTTAAGGAAAATGATGCTAATAATCTAGTGGGTGTTTTTTCTTAAAAATAATTACCATCTTGTAATTCTTAATAAGCTTAATTTAAGTTAGAAAATAATGTTTATTTCAAGTGTCAGATCGTAAAGGGTTAGACCATGGGAAAAAAATGAAAGAAATAGCATAATAATACCTCTTATAAATTAGCATATTTATTATTTCTCCAGAGCTTTTTGGCCTTTATTGATAAAGAATGCCACAACAGTCTTGGCCCACAAATACCTGAGAATATTTATTAACTATGTATAAAAACATAACTAACCTGTTTATAATATACATATATTTATATGCCATTAAAATTTAAATATAGATTTTGACTTATTTTACTATAACTTTATCCATTTCAATTTGTATTTAATTTTTTAAAATAACTAATGTAGATAACTCATGTAATGTGATCCATGAAGTTTTATTATTTTTGAGGTACTTTTATTATTTAGAATTCAATATATCATAAAGATACACCTAATTCATAACTAAAATGATTAAGAGTGAATATATAAACCTAAGTTCTGTTCAAAGGTAGCTCTCTGAAGACATAAACTGGCTATTCAATTTGGTTTTTACTGAAAAAGCAAAGTACCACAGCTAGATTGGCTTTTTAAATAAAGATCTTTTTATTAAGAAGACTGGAAATAACTTACGTAAAAAGTAAAGATTCCCCCCCTAAAATCCAATACCTCCTCCACTTTTAAAAGAATGTTGCAAAGTAATCAAGTAGATTAAGTTTCAAATCGGATTTACGGTTATCAGTAAGGGGGAAAAAATCTTTTGACATTTTCAAAAGGTTTCATCTCTTAAGCCTAATTTAGGACTGAATTACAGTGAAATATTTTAAAAGATGATTAAAATTACGTAAAATATTTAATATCATAGTTTCTATAGTATTTCTCTCACTACAAAACTCTTCCTAAATAAGAGTGATCATAGCAGAAATTGACTTCACTGTACATTAATCAATTCAATTCCACACCCAAAACAATTTTGCATCCAAGATAATTTTCAGTGACACAAAAAAACTCACAGTAAGTTCTAAGAGTTAATTTCCTTCACAGTTCAACATTAGAAAGGGCTAAACCATATGCTACAATAGACCTCATGTGATATTTCCAACATGTGGGTTATCTTAGAGTTGGTCTATGATGATTTTCTCTTCCCTTGAGAATAAGTCACATTTTCCTGACCATTTTTAGAATAAGTACTTTTGGATTATATGCTAAATAGTGTGACTATTACTCTGTACAATACTGTAGAGAAACTTTCTGGCCAGAAAGTTTCCTATAAAAGCAAAAAATGGGGATATCAGTCCATGCAGACTGACTGTTCCATATTTTGACTACCCTCGCCTGCTTTTATTCAATCTTCACAATCCTCAGATAGATGTTATCTATATTATGTGCAGAGTTTACAAATGGTTATTTTTGAGAAGATCAGTTTGTTAGGAGCTCACCCCTCTATACAAGTATCAGAAATCCTCTGAAGTGATCTTTAATTTTGGAGGTTGTGTTATACTTTTTCTCTTATCAGTTAGAACTTCTTTATGATATAGCAAATTATAAAAACTATTATACTATCATATTCATAAATGAAGGAGAGAACTCAAAGCTAAATTTTCAAATATCTGGCCATGAAGACTAACTGCTTGCCACACGGGATTAACAGAACAATGAGAAAATGTCTAGTAATAATTATAAAATATAAAAACTTTGTTAAAATCTGATTTGCAAGCTTATGTCAAAGGGCCACCTCATACACAATCTTGAAGACATTAAATAACCCCAAATAGCCACTGTAAACTTACCTGGCAGTAAATTTTACTATACTAGACAAATCTACAGTGAGATTTTCTGTTATTTTAAATATTTTCTGTATTTCTGTATTTTCCAAAATGAACGGTTTATTTAGTTAATAAGTGATACCCTAACTTATTTACTGTTTCCAGAAAATAACCAAGTACAGAATATATACTGATAAGCTGCAATGCTCAAAACCAAATATCAACAGAAAAAAATTTACCTAGCACTACAGTGACCAACAGGTCAAAATCATTTGTGACAGGCTCCATTGAATATATAGTTTGATGGCATTATTTGAAGGTAGAATTAACTTATTTTATTAATTTTGAAGCCCATATGTTGACATGCTATCTACACTAAGCTCAGAATCATAAATATTGTCTGACCATTACAATGAAAGTTCCATATAACTGAAGGCAATAAATATAAATACTGTTATTATACAACACTAAGTAATTTAAACTCCATTTTGTGATTTATCCAAATGTCCATTAGTTAATTATATTCTCTACACCTTAAAAGTTCCGCTGTAGCCCTCTACCCCGCTTCACTCACAGAGAGTGACTTTAGCAAGATAATTTTGACTATGTGTGAACTACTCAGCTTTTCTTCTGTCAAAACACAATCTGATCATTTGCATTCCTCCTTCTCTATGTTCTCTGAATTTCTAAAAAAAAAAAAAAGGTTTTTAATATAAAAAATTTTTGCTGATGCCTGTCATGGTGCAATTGTACTTATACTATTTACAAATTGAGGAAATGCATGTACCTTTGGCTTTATCAACCCCCACTAACAACAAGGGGTGCAGTGAGCTGAGAACTTTCAAAACTTAAAAAAATACTCTCTGATGTAATGCCCAAATTTACAGGTATCTCTCTTAAAAGTTCTGACTTTAGGTACTCTACACTGTGTGTTAGGATATTAAGGATACACTACGTCACATGAGCTGTGCACGTATGATGACCGGGGTTACTGCTCATTATCACTGTTGTTAAAAAGAATGACGAGAAAGACGTGTGAAAAGAATACTACAAACTACAGAGATTGCAAAGCTGTTCAGGACAAAGTTTGCTTCTCTGTGAATAGAAGAATTACAAAATTGCTTATATTCAGCCCTTTTCCTTGATGTTGCCAGGAAGCTCCCATCAATTCTGAGATTTCACATTAGCAATCATATTGGATTTGTATCTTCTTGATACTCTACCTTTTTATATTTCATTTGTTTGCTTGTCACTCTATTTAATATCATTCTATTAGAGCTTAAAAAGATACTGCAAGCATTTTATGAAACAACTCAAAGAAGTAGAAAAGAAAAGCAGGCAGCATATTAATAAAAAATGTGAATTACAAAAATATTCCTATGCAAGATCAGCAATGGCAGAACCAGGATGCAAACTCGACAAAAAGACCCATGAAAGAAAAAGTAGCTGGACAAGCACAAATTCATTTCTAGAGCTAGTAGGACAAAAACAAAAATGATATGGAAAATATATGATAGCAAGTATTGTTACCTTGACATAAAAATAATAGCATTATTATCCTTCAATATTATCATGGTTATTAAAGTCACTGAGAAAAAAAGATCTTTTAATATGGGTAAATTCAAACTTTCCTCTCTCGCTCTCTCTATATATATATCCGTGTGTGTGTGTGTGTGTGTGTGTGTATATATATATATATATATATATATATATGACAAAAATAAAAACAGAAATACCAATGCAAAAATACAGAGGCCAAAGAGGGAATTTTTTTATGTTTTTCCTTTCCATTACACAATCTTCACATTAATTAAATTGAGTTCAATAAAAAAACCACACTTCCGTACAAGACAAGTACTCCTTCAGAATTATAAACACTTTGACTATAATGTGTAATTCTCTTTCAGCTCTAAGTAGTTTGAGACTTCACAATTCCCAGTGTGATTTAAACAGAACCCTAATATGTTCCCCTAGCCAGGTGTACCGCACATTTAAAACTAACTCATATATGTGCATGCTATATCTTACCTAGTCTTTGTTCTTAAAGTTTAAAAAACAGAAAGAATGATAAATTACATTAATTAGTTTTGCTAAATTAGTTTACTCACTACTGTACCTACTTCCTCACTGCAATTAAAGCAAAAATATAAACTAAAATTAAATAATTTCAGGCCCATGAAATATATTATCTTAGATTCCTTCTAAATCTTTAACTCTTCTTTCCAAGTTACCAGTAATATTAACAAGTTCTTTATTATGTTCATTATGTAATATATATTTCAAATTTTTGTATTTTAAATACTACATTAAGCAAAACAGTTTTATAAGATTATTTCAGAATTGTTAAAAGGCATGCTATCAATATTAGAAAATATTCTGAAGAATAAAAAAGTTTATAAAAAAAGTTGAGAAAAAAGCACCTTTGAACCGAAAAGAAACATATAATAAAAACTGACTACATTCCAAAAAATAGAAATGACTCTTAAACTGTATTAAAGAAAGATTTTCACTAAAAGTTATATTACATCACATTTTACATCTAAAACGCTCTCTAGAATTTATAAAATTACAGTTATTACTACCTTATATCTAGGTCCTAACTGATGAATTGCAAATATCTGTGCTGGGTTGAGTGCTTCACTGAATGGCAACAGGTTTAGCACAGAATACGCTATTTGCATCGGCAGTTTCTGATGAACCACGAAAGCACTTGTCATAGCTCTATTTTTAAAAGTCATTAAAAATGCATTATTTTTAATGATGAAAAGGTTTAAATCCTTAAATCGGCCTTTAGGAATATTTTAAAATATAACAATAATAATAGAAGAAAGCATCAATTAAGACTTTATTATTTAAATAATAAATGCCAGTCAAGTTTTTTGGGAAAAATGACCAATTACATGTTTTACACTTACATTTAAGCAAACAAAACAATAGCCACCTACTCAGTCTTCCGACTTACTTTTCAAATATTATAGTTAAAGGCAAAAGAGCTTATATTTATTTATTTACAAACGTTAAAATAATTTAAAACTGTCATGATGTATAATGATCCATATATAGAGAGATTGATCTGAATCAAGGGAATGACTATTCCAAAATGTAATCATGAAAACATAGGGTCTAATTTTTTAAATTCAACTTTATTTTTGAAATTATGAATCTATTCCTCTATTCCTCCATATTTAGTAAAACACACAAAGAAAATAAATCCCCGCTCGTGTGTGAGTAGGAACTACACAGAACGAAACACACAATAAGACTATAATCTGCTGCTTAAAGCAGATGGTACAGTGCTCTCCACATTGAGGAATTCAGCACTGAAGAAGCCAAAAGCTTAAGATCTTTCTAGCCTCTACATCTTACACCCCACCCACCCAAACCAGGGAAAGCAGTCATGGCTCAGTTCCCTTCCCCTATCCTCAAAGGCTATTTCACACCTTAGAATGAATAAGCAAGAATCATATATGTAAGAAGTACTTTTGGTCCTTCAATAAAGTAACAAAAAGAATTGTGAATGCATACAAAGGCAAAAAGAACTGTCGTCATTAAATACCCAATCTTTAATTAGAAGTATAGGAACTTAAACTTTAACTGCATAAAGTATGTGTCATTATCTAGAATTCTCCACTTCTTAGGGCACTATTACAAATAACCAAAAAACGAAGTCTTTTCTTTCCAAGATACTGTCTTCTCATTGAATGAGTCAAGACGACCACTGGGATTTCTTCCACTCTATAATAAAAAGACTCTGCAGAGAAGATCTCCTCTGGAGAGAAGATAAAAAGCAGAATTTCATCTGTCTATTCTAATTCTGAAAACAACATTCTATTAAATATTAATTGGTTGTGGCACAACCATGAGTTTCTACGGCAGGGAAAAGCAACTTTTTCTATAAAGGGACAGACAGAAAATATTTTAAACTTTGCTTGCCACACCTGGTTTCTGTCCCATTCTTCTTTGATTCTGTTTGTGTCTCAAGAAACAAACAAACAAAAAACCTTTAAAAATTAAAAGCCAAGATTCTTAGGCCCCAGCTTACACAAAACCAGAAACAGGGGGAGGGTCAGATTTGGCTCATAGGGTGTAGTCTGCCAAGCCCCGATCTAGGGGACAAACTGTGGACCATACACACAGTGCTAGTTAAACGAATACAAGACACGATAAGCAAATCCCTGCCCTTTGGGAAATTAAAGCCTAGAGAGAGATGCAAACAAAACTGAGAAATGAATTGTGTTTAAGAGGTAAGTTCTTGTAAAACCAGGTATGCTTGAAGGGTTGTATATTATTG
The DNA here is from genome assembly GCF_000001405.40 of Homo sapiens. NCBI lineage: Eukaryota > Metazoa > Chordata > Mammalia > Primates > Hominidae > Homo > Homo sapiens. The sequence goes on from NW_021160017.1 coordinate 931,772, forward strand.
AGCTTGGAAGTACTTTCAGCATTAAAACAAACCTTTTACTTTGACTCTGACAGGCCAGAATGTAGACAATGGAAAGCCCCAAGTAGAGAAACCGTAAGGACCCTTGAGGTTTTAATTCAAGTTGTTCTCTACCTAGAATCCAACTGTGTCACTTCTTCCACTGCTAACATACTGGTAGAAACTCATATAATCTCTTTATTTTATTGCAATAAGCCATTTAAGTGATCTTCCTGCTTCTGTAATTTCCCTTCAAAATATTCTCAATACTGCAGGCAGACTGATGTTTTTAAAATAGAAGCACACATCACTTGTCTGCTGAAAACCTTCCAAGGATTTTTAAGCTGAGTAAGATGCGAAAGCCCAGGCCTTACGTTTGCTTATGAAGGCCAAAATGATTTCTGCCTAACCTCATCTCTTATTATTCTGCCTCTACCTCCCTCTGCTCCAGACAAACTGCCTTTTCCTTGAACTTTCCTATTCCGCCTCAAAGCCTTTGCACTCACTGTTCCCACTGAATAGAAGAAGTTCCCCACATACCTCGCTTGCTCAACTCTTCCTACTAAAATCATCTCTGGACCATCCGGCTCCTCCCTTCCCTACAACTACACTTTCTGTATCCCCAATTTATTTTCTCCATAGCATTTATCACGATGTAATTAATAATAGTGACTATATGTTATCCTTCTGTTTAGGGTCTTCTTTCTGTATCTAAATAAGGGGTAAACCACATTTTTTAGTGCTTGATGCTGGAATAAATAGAATACAGGATTCACGGTTTTTTTAATCTAAAAAACTTAAAACTTTGGCCAAATGTTCCTGTTTTTGTATCACTAATCATGTCTTTTAACAATTTTCTTATACTAAATTTAACAATGAAAGATTCGTTTAATAAAAAAAAACTTTCAAAGTTTTAAGTTTCTACCAAACTATTTTATTATTCAACTCATATTGTAATGATAGCTCATACTCTCAAATTAAACCACAGACAGAAAAATAGACTTACATCATTTGTGTTAACATGCCAAGCCATATCACCATAAGATACCAGTTGTCCATTAACGTAACACTGAATTTCATTGTTCCTCCATCGATTGTAAATGTGGACAATGCTGATCATGTACCACTTACATAAAAAATTAAATATATCAATATGTAATGTTTGGTTATTACGGTCTAAAATGCAATTATAACATTCATAAAACCCTAGAAGAATATGCTGACAGAACTATTAATGATCATCTAATACCACTTCCTCAAGCTCCCCCTCCCATCCCTCATTTCACAGATGGTAGAAGCGGCACATAAAGAATATTCATGGAGAAGACAAGAACTACAGCCTCTTGACCTCCAGAGTGATATTCTTTCCACTATACCAAGATTCAAAATTGTGGAAATACAATTTATTTATGTTCATTCATTTAAAATTTACATTGTGCTAGGCACTGCAGATACCCAAGGCTGACTAGTTCTCCTAGAAATTATGAGCTATAAAAGAAATACATATGACACAATTAAACAAGTGTAGAATTATAAATCATGGTGATTACAGTGAGGAGAAAGAAAACAAAAACAGGAGAAGAAACAAGAATACAAACATGAAATAGAAGCAGTAGCAAAAGAAAATGAAGAGGAACAAGAAAATGAGAAGAAAACACACAGCGGAAGAAAGGAAAAAGAACAGGTATGGGAATTAGAAGGCCTATAATACCTTTTATCCCCTTCTCGATTCATAAAATTTGAGTAACTCAAAGACTATCACAACAAAAAACAAGCAAAAGGATACACAAATAGTCATCCCCTAAATTTTGTTAAGAATGAGACAATGCTGCCACTCACGCCTAGCTCAGGCACCAGCAGGAGGGCACCCTCCAGAGATTGCAGGAGAAGGGGGAGAACTCTTCTTTGCCCTAGGTGTATCACCACCACTGCCACCGAAGCCTGTGTTACAGCACCCACAGGTTCCTCCCCACCCCAGAGTGGGATGGGCCCTGCAGTGCTCCCATTCCCCCTTCCCGGCCCCCAGACTTCCTACTGCTACCACCACTAGCGCCAATGCCAATACAACCACTGTCGCCCTCAATGTACCAGCCCACCCTACCAGCTCCTACCACCTGGCCCCCATGGGTGCCCTCCTCCCGCTCCGGTCGATGTGTGGTCTCCATCGCCACCACCAACCGCATGAGGCAAGCTGCAGAACCACGTCATCTGCAGGCTCGACCCTACCACAGGCGACTCCTCGCCTTCTCCTCCTTCAGCCTGGCTTGGAGTAGCTGGGCAGGCAAAGCCAGAAAAGCCCAAATCAGGATTCAGACAGTGGAACCGTTAGAGCCTCATCTTGTCACGCTGGTGACTGGGTGGCAGGCATCAGTTTCATTGAAGGCACTCACATCCACCCTCCAAAGTCCAGCCTCTCCTTCTGGCAAAAGCTGGCCAGGAACTGGGGTCTGGGGTGGGAGTGAATGCCTTCACTGAAACCGGCCCCTGGCCAACTCCAGCTGACCAGGAATTGCTGGGCCCACCAGGGCTGCCCTCCTCAGGGAGCCCGAGTAGGAGAAACTCAGAACCAGCCAGCCCTCCCCACCCAAGGGCTGGTTCCCATTCCTGACGCCTCCACCCACAGTGCCCTGTCCCCTGCTTCCCCCGTGGGTGCCTATTACTCCCTGCCCAGTAGTCCCAGGTGGTCTCCGCAACACAGAGCATGAGGGCGTGCCGGGAAACCACAGTGGGTGTGGGGGCCCTGCCGTGCAATCTAGCACGAGCAGGAGAAGATCGCCTTCTAGAGTCTGGAGTCCGGGAATAGAAGAACGATCCCTTACCTGGAGACCACCAGAAGGAAAGAGGCGGCCACTACTGTCGCTGCCGCTGCCGCCACCTCAGCTCGCCAACACCGCTGGCAGTGTAGCCCCCACAGCACCCCTAATCTGACCCCTGCCACTAGCAGTGTAGCCCCCGGATAGCACATCCAACACACCCTAGTTTCAGGCAATGTAACCCCAATACCTCCCCCAAAGCACTCCCCCCACACTGCAGGGAGTGTACCACCCAACAGTGCCCCAAATCTGACCCAGCCACGGGAGTTGCTGCACTAGATACCATCCCAAACCCACCTCCTCCCACCCCGCCACGGACAGTTCAGCTCTTGATGGCGCACCACCCCGAGTCAGCACCCAACAACGCCCCAGGCAGTGCAGCATCCAACAACGTCCCTAAACCACCCCCCACTGCCAGCATTGTAGCCCTGGATAACTCCACCCAACCCACCCCCTGCCGCTGGCAGTGCAGCAGAAGATAGCGCCCCTAATCCTTCCCCAGCCACCGGCAGTATACGCTAGTGTACACAATCTGCTTTCCCCGACCACCCCTGCCACCGCAGGCAGTATAGCCCCAGATAGCCAGCCAACCTGCCCCACCACCAGCAATGCCACCCCGGAGAGTGCCCCCAACCAGACCACTGCCACAGGCAGGGTAGCCTCTAGCAGTGAGCCCCAGTAGGACACCCAACCCTTGCCCCCAGAGGCGTGCAGGGCAGCCCCGGGAAACTCACCTACCCCATCACATTTCTACCACTGTGGCCGAGCTGCAGTCTCCGACGTCACCACCAACCACAGCGAGGCGAACCAACCAGAGCGAGGCCAGCCACGGTGGCACAGGCTCCAGCCTCCAGCATGTGGCAGTGCCTCTTCCTTCTCCTAGTCCTCCAGCCCAGCAGGAGAAGCTCCCGCTGCCGGGCGCTCTCCTACTGCTCTGTCGCCACCACCAACCACAGCGAAACAGTGTCCCACGCTCCAGGGCTCCAGGCTCCATCCATCCTCCAGCTTCAAGCAGGAGAAAGGTTGCGGCCTCTTCCAGTTCTCTAAGCCGGTCACGGGATAGCTCTTCCTCTAGACACAGAAGAGCTTGAAATGACCTGATACGACCTCAGCATGCTTTATATACCGAGGTTATGCAAATGCATTTCCTGGACTACATGTTCTGATTGGATGAGAGAAAAAAACCTCTAGGCCTACTCTGATTGGACTTTGTTTTCATGCTGTGATTGGTTGTGTTAAGACTTGCTCTCAACCAATCAGAACATGATAATAAAGTCCAATCAGAGTAAGCCTGGAGGTTTTTTCTCATCCAATCAAAACATGCAGTCCAGGAACCTCCGTGGGCATAACCGCAGTATATAAATGATGCTGAAGACAGGTCAGGTTTATTCAGGTTCCTGTATTTTCCTGTCGAGTTGCTAGCTGCCCGTCGTAGAGGACTAAAAAAAATTAATGAAAATTGCTAAATCAATGACGCTTTCAGAAGTTCCCTGTTTTTGACATCAGAGTCATATTATAATGCTCTATTTTCTGTTTCCTCACCTAAACAGAATTTTGCTTCAGGCAATTTTTTATCTGAACTTCTGTTTGTAGAAACCAGGGACATTTATTGAATTGTTTCTGGCTGGCTATTTGATCTTAACAAAGCATTTAAATGATACTGATGCCCTGGCTTGAGCAACGGAGCATCCCAGACTTTCAGTTAGTTGCACATAGCACACATACAATTCATTTGAGTTACAGCTAAATGCAATTACAGGCCTCAGAGCTAATATATAGATCACTTTTTATTTAAGGCAATTCACCTTTGAATTGGTTAACCTTTAATTGTTTATAAAATAATAAGATGGGAAACAAAGTTGCTACCCAATATGTTAGTTTCCCCAAATAAACACTTATTTAAAGGTTCATTTGTTAATCAAGTATCTGGAAGTTGAAATACATTTTTATGAAAGGAAATAAATTTTAGGTGATGATTAGGTTTTTATCAAGAGCTGAAGTTTTTAATAATGAACAGGGAGAGATACTATGGCAAAACAGTAATTGAATAAAACATAAATTCAATAAAATGATATGAAAAATCAATGACATTTATCCTGAGTCAAATATAAAGAGAATTAAATTGAGGATGATAAAATGTTTCTAATCATTGTTCCACCAGTATTTGACCTTGAGCAAACTGCCTGGGGGCCATATTTGGTAGACAGATGAGGATGTACACTTTCTTTTAAATACTTGAGAATTAGCTTAAGTGCTATCATTTGATAACTTGCTCGGTATTTCATAAATGCCAGGAAATTAACTCAAATCCTTTGATGAGCTGCATTTTCTGTATTCAATTTGTGTAAGTTCAACAAATATTTATTGAGGGTCTTCCATATGCTGGGTATGTGTCTTCGCAAAATAAAGTACATTATGAAAGATGTGATGCTCAATAGTATATCATCAGTGAATTGCAAATTAAAATCTAAATGAGATATCACTATATATCCACTGGATTGTCTAATATTTTAAAGTTGTCAGTATTAAATATTGGGAAAAATGTGGAGCAGCTGGAACACTCATACATTGCCAGTGGGAGATTAAAATGGTGCAGCACTTTGTAAAGCTAAACATATATTTACTATACTACCCAATAATACCACTAAGTATTTACCAAGAGAAAACAATTGTCTACACAAAGACTTGTACATGAATGTTCACCGTAGCTTTATTCATCATAGCTAAAAACTGGAAACAACTCAAAAACAGAAAAGTAAATTGATGAGCAAATTGTGGTATATCAATTTAATGGGATACCATCCAACAATGAAATAAATAATGAACGATAACACTGATTGACATCAATAATCTCAAAATCATTATCCTATGTTAATGAAGCCAGACACAAATAAGTATTTTGTATATTATTTTATTTGCATAAAAATTTATAACAGGAAAATCTAATCTATAATGGCAAAAAGTAGATTCATGGTTGTCTGAGCTAAGGGGTAGAGGAAGATTGATGGACTGCAAAATGCAAAAGGGAACTCCTTGAGGGTGATGGAAATAGTCTATATCCTGATTAGCAAGGTGGTTACATGCATGTATACCTTTCTCAAAACTCATAGAACATACACTTAAAATGTGCAGTGCTGGCTGGGTGCAGTGATATGGCTCATACCAATAATGAACAGGGAGAGATACTATGGCAAAACAGTAATTGAATAAAACATAAATTCAATAAAATGATATGAAAAATCAATGTTTGACATTTATCCTGAGTCAAATATAAAGAGAATTAAATTGAGGATGATAAAATGTTTCTAATTATTGTTCCACCAGTATGTGACCTTGAGCAAACTGCCTGGGGGCCATATTTGGTAGACAGATGAGGATGTACACAGTGGTATGGCTCATACCACTGCACCCAGCCAGCACTGCACAATAAATGTCAAACATTGATTTTTCATATCATTTTATTGAATTTATGTTTTATTCAATTACTGTTTTGCCATAGTATCTCTCCCTGTTCGTTATTAAAAACTTCAGCTCTTGATAAAAACCTAATCATCACCTAAAATTTATTTCCTTTCATAAAAATGTATTTCAACTTCCAGATACTTGATTAACAAATGAACCTTTAAATAAGTGTTTATTTGGGGAAACTAACATATTGGGTAGCAACTTTGTTTCCCATCTTATTATTTTATGAACAATTAAAGGTTAACCAATTCAAAGGTGAATTGCCTTAAATAAGAAGTGATCTATATATTAGCTCTGAGGCCTGTAATTGCATTTAGCTGTAACTCAAATGAGTTGTATGTGTGCTGTGTGCAACTAACTGAAAGTCTGGGATGCTCCGTTGCTCAAGCCAGGGCATCAGTATCATTTAAATGCTTTGTTACGATCAAATAGCCAGCCAGAAACAATTCAATAAATGTCCCTGGTTTCTACAAACAGAAGTTCAGATAAAAAATTGCCTGAAGCAAAATTCTGTTTAGGTGAGGAAACAGGAAATAGAGCATTATAATATGACTCTGATGTCAAAAACAGGGAACTTCTGAAAGCGTCATTGATTTAGCAATTTTCATTAATTCTTTTAACCAAAAAAACTGCTCTTTTGTAGTCCTTTTTAAAAGAGAAAAAAAGGGAAAAATGCCTTACTTAGCCCTTGGCACACATTTTATTATTCATTTCTAACATGGCATGTCACATTGACAACTCGTTTTAAGTTTGAATTTTTCTTACTAAGTAATCATTTTGTATATGCTATTTTTTCATTGAATTACAGTGTATGAGAAGCAGTCTCTCAAATCACCACATAGAATATGTGACAATCAGTTTAGTTTGTAGTCAATGTTCATTATTCCTCTATGTTTCTTTATTTTGGTAGTTTAGTCATAGTTCTTAACAACTGCCTTGAAATTTAGAGATAAAAATAATGTCTAATTTTAGTATCTTTAGTCACAAAAATAGCTGTGGAACAAACTATAGACTAGGAAGACAGAAGGATGAGTCTTCAGATATCCTATTTCATATTAGTTGAAGAAGATTTCTTAAAACATTCCTGTTTCTCCCTACATTTATTCAGGAATTGGTTGAGGGAAAAGGAGAGTAGAGAGAAATTCAACAGATACTTAATTTCTGGTTGGTGCTTTGCCTATATATTACCATGCTGTTGCATTACTGACACTTATCACAGTGTGGGTTGCTAGTTATTAAATGTAATGGAATAACCTGATTTATTGTTTATAACACGCATAATTTAGAAATGTTGAAGATAAAGCTCTTCAGTTTAAATTGATAAATTATCCAAGATTATATATTAATATGTGCTTGATTAAGTCGGTGAACTCAGATTTGGGCAATTCTGAGGTTCATGCTCTGTCCAATACCATAGTAAAAATTTACAAAATATTTCATGAAAGGAGACATGTGACAATTGGGAAAGCCACAAGAATTTATGAGTTAATACTTATGAAGACCTCTGAAAATCCATAAGTATAATAGATTTTTATTTAGTATGTGTTTTTCAGAAGAAATAATTTTCAGGTATTTGCTTAGTTTTTGAATAGTTAAAATTAGGCTCTTAAAATTTATTTGGAACCTGGACAACATAGTGAGATTTTGTCCTTACTTAAAAAAAAAATTATCTGGGTGTGGTGCTGTGTATCTGTGATCTCAGCTGCCTGGGAGGCTGAGATGGGAGGAGAGTTTGAGCCCAGGAGGTCAATGCTGCAGTGAGCTGTGTTTGCACTACTGCTTACCACCTCTGATGACACAGACCTTGTCTCAATTTTTTTTTTTTAAATTTGGCTTAAGTCAGTCACCTTTTATATTTAATTATAATGCAAAGTCAGTGATGTTTTGATATTTTAGATTACATATCATGGAAGATTAAAATCATCACATTATTTTGAATTTTTTTCTACTAGTTGGTGAAAAAGATATTTTTTTATGCATGCTCTAAATCTAAAATATGTATAATCAAGTCATAATCCTTAATTTACAGAAACTTGAGTATTTTATTTGGGGTATATACTATTATTTTAATATCTAGAATGGGAAACTCATTGTGGCAGAAACTCAAACAAGAGCTTCCTCTAAATTTGATCTTCCTCTTTCTCTGAACGTGTTACTATGCTTTCTAAGCATTATGAGGTTCCAGAGAAGAGATTTTCACTTTAGTTTGTATCAAATTCATGAGTGAATAAATTCTACAGTGTGCTTAAAACACTCTGAGAAGTAGGATAGGGAAAAACTCTATAATCCTCTTATGGGTTTTTTTTAATGTGTTAATAAAATAATAATATGCCATCTACTTAAAATCCTTTTTGCAACAAGGTGCAGGGATAAATAAATAGTCCAAGTAACATGATATTTTCAATTTTAGGCAAAAGCTCTGACAAGACTTTGATCCTTCTTCAAGGCCTGGTAGGTCTGAAATAATCTCATCCGCACATGAAAAACATTCAAAGCATTTAAAGGACCTGGCTATAATTGCACAGTTCATGGTGGCAACTCATAGAATAAAGTTCAACTAATTCATTCCTTAGTCACATGTCATCCATTAGTTTAGCAATCTTGGATTCCTTAAGATTAAAGTATAATGAATAGTCTCTCTTCATTTGACTAACAAAGGGGACTAATGCCTTCCGCAAAACAGAACTTTTTCTTTCCCTTTCATGATACTGTATTTATGTGTTCTCATAACAAATCTTTCCTCTTTCAGTCGCTCAGAACAGATAAAGATAAATGAAGAATAATCTATCGATATTAGCATAATTCTGTGAAGAACTATAGCAATGTCTTGTTTACAAAAGCCAATTATACAAATGTTATGCATAATGCACTCAGGAATTCATTTAAACCAGGGGTTTTGAGTTACATGTTATAAGTACTAGACAACAGCTGTTTCCCTGGTGTATGATGGAGCCAACACCAGTCAGAGGTATATTATTACATCTGATTATCAGTCAGGATAAGGTAGGCAATTCTCTGGTAACAAACCATCCTCAAATCTCGGTGCTTATATAGGCACTATTTCTTGCTCCACTAGATGGTTCATACTTGCTCACACTACCCATCATGGGTCGTTAGGAGATCTCTGCTTATGGTCACTCAGGAATTCATCTGACAAAGGAGCCACCACCTTGAATATCATGGGTCACTGTGCTGGAAGCAAAAGAGAGAAATGTGGTGGGTTTACCATCAACATTTAAGTACTCTGGCCCAGAAGTGGATTGTCACTTCTACTCATCACTTACGGGTGACAAGTGCTAGAACTGGTCACCTAACCCCACCGCAAGGGGACCAGCATGTACAATCTTACCATATGGATGTAAGGAGACAGAACAGGAAATATCTGTGAAACAGTGGTATTGTCAAAACCAATGTGTAAGATTAACTTCTGCTTAAACAAGTATATGTATTATTGCAGCAGTGCTGGTCAAAAATAACTGCTGGATGGAGTAGTAGGTTACAGAAATTATGTAGACTGGGTACAACTTGCTGCAAGTAAGAGATGAGCTGCATAGTGCTAAATAAAGATGGCATACTTTCTGGAACATATGAGAAATTTGTCCTTTTAAGTATAAAGGAATGAGGTCAAGACAATAATCATTTTCACTGAAGCAGTTAGTTACATGGAGCTGACGAGTTGTTATGGATACTTTTCAGACACTCTGGGACAGAATTTTACGGTGGAAGTATGCACTGTAATGATTCAGGACTTGACTGGCGATATTTTGGGTATCTTAACCTCCTCCTTAAATAGGCTACCAAAAATTTGAAACCAAAAGGGCTGAGAATCACTGCTTTAAAAAGTGAGTTATGATTGGAGGGAATAGGGTCCATCCTCTAATAAACAGTAAAGAAATCAGAAGTCCTGGCTGGACGCAGCGGCTCACACCTATAATCCCAGCACTTTGTAAGGCCCAGGTGGATGGATGGCTTGAGCCCAGGAGTTCGAGACTAGATTCGGCAACCTGGCAAAACCCTGTCTCTACACAAAATACAAAAATTAACCAGGTTGGGTGGCGCACCTGTGGTCCCAGCTACTTGGAGGCCGAAATGAGAGGATCACTTGAGCTCCAGAGGTCAAGGCTGCAGTGAGCCAAGATGGCGCCAGTGCACTCCAGCATGGGCTGCAGAAAGAGACGCTGTCTCAAAATAAATAAATAAATAAATAAAATAAATAAATAAGTCCTGTTGTCAAGAAGTCAGTAGACAATTTTTCCTAACACAATGATCTTAAGGACTTTATTTTTCCCATTTTTATTTCATTTTATTTACACCAAATTTCTTACTGGGTTTTCAATGCAGCTTAATGCAATATGCAATGATTTTATGTTTTTATCCACTGAGATTTGTGGATGGTTTGTTACCAGAGTATTGCCTACCCTATCTCAAAAAAATAAATAAATAGCTATATAAGAGTTTATATAAGCAATTTACTTATTGCTTATATAAGAACACTTATAAAAGCATTGAGGCTGGAGTGCAGTGGCATGACCATGGCTCACTGCAGCCTCGACCTCTCAGGCTCAAGCGACCCTCCCACCTCAGCCTCCTGTGTAGCTGGGACTACAGCTTACCATGCCAAGCTAATTTTTAAATTTTCTGTAGCGACAGGTTTCACTATGTTATCAGGGCTGGTCTCAAATTCCTGGGGTCAAGTGATCCTCCTGTCTTGGCCTCCCAAAGTACTGGGATTACAGGCATGAACCACCGCACCTGGTTTGATCTTAAACACAACTTTTCTTGAAAAAAAGTTACCATGACAAGTGCTAATTTTTTTCTCCTACTATTTGTTTTGAAAAATTTTAAACTTACAGGTTAAAATAATAGTACAATAAATATCTATATATCTTTTTACTTAGAGTCACCATTTGTTTACATTTTTCCATATTTTCCTCTATTTTAGTCTGTCTACAAACATATACATAAACATACTAAATGTATATGTATACACGTATGTGTGTATATACATTCATATACTCACACATACACATCAATATTACTTTTCTTTTGTGAGGCTATTAGAGAATAAATTTAGACACAGCATTTTTGTCCTAAATACTTCAGTATGTATCTTATAAGTACATGGATATTCTTCCACATAAGCGTGACATAATTATCACACTCAAAATTTAACAACAATAAAATTAAATATTTAATGTACAGCTCATTTAAAAATTGTCCTTGTGGTCCAAGTAATAACCTTCATAGCCACCTGCCCTTCCCCCATCCTTAATCCAATCATGAATGAAGCCTTCTGTTTAGTTACAGCCGAGACTGCTGTGGGAACCTAGATCTGCTTCTTTCATAGGGAATAACCTCAGGCAGCCAGGACTTGCTCTGCCTGTGGGGCTCACAGATTGCATGAAGTGCAAGGATGAGCTGAAAGTGTGGCTCTGAAGCAGCAACTGATGGGACAACTCTGAGGTCATCTACTTACCCTCGAGGGACTGAGGCAGCTCTCTCTGTGAGATTGCTGATATGCAACTGGGCTTGGCCTCTTTATTCTTCTTGGACCGACTTGACTTCTCACTTTCCTGTTTCTCCTGGGAACACTCGTAAGGAATGGCTCAGTGAATTTCCTTCTCAAGGTCGGCTTTGGGGATATATATTTACATATATGTATACATGTAACAAAACAAAGACCATTCCTTTTACAGATTATTCTCAATTTGGATTTTTCTGATTGTTTCATCATGATTAGATTTAGACAAAATATTGTTGACAAGAATACTACATACTACATAAGTGATGTGTCTTCCTAATACAGGTTTTTGAAATTTTAAATTCTGATAACTGCTTTTCTTCCAAGAAATGCCATTATCTTTTGGCCAGCACTCAAATGAAATACAGACATTCTTTTAAAATCGAATGTATTCTATTTTATTATGTTTTGCATTTCCCCTCTTGAGTTTCTCCTAGTTTACTAACCTCTCTACAGAGTAATAAAATTATATTATATTTTTATTCATAAGAAAAAGAAAAAAAACCTCATGCAACTGAAATTGCCTTAAATTATTCATCTCTCACACTATTCTTACTTTGATGTTTAATATTATTATTTTATCTGCTTAATCCCATAACATATATTCTGACATAAATCTGCAAATTGTTGAAAACAATTTACTTAACATTTCAACTACTTAAAATTTTATTTTATTTCAGACACCTAGAAAAATAGTTCTAAATTCTACAAAACCAAAAAAAAAAAAAAAGGGGGGGGATTTTTCTTGGACTCTGTTCGAAGTTTCAAGCCTACCATCAGATCTGTCCCAGACATAACTTCTCAGAAAGCTCTAATGGGATTTTGCCCTGTATAGTTTCACTGAAACAAAAAAGTGACAGCTGCTTCCCCTTCCTTCCCTTCCTCTTCCCTCTCCCCCACCCTCCTCCTCCTTCTCCTCTTCCTTCTTCTTCTTCCTTCTTGCACATGTCTGATCTCTTTTTCCTGGCCTCTAATTTAGCAGCCAGTGATTGGGTGACGAATGACTAATCTGAGGGTCGGAGCTTCTTTCCTGAAGCTTCCTGAAAAAAATCCCCCAGTAATTATAGGTTGCAAAAAACCTCTTCTACTTATTTAGCCATTTGCTCTTTTAGGTTCTTTTCATTTATTTCAAATTAAATGATACTTTCTTTTCTCCCAAAATTCAAACTGGAGTTTCTTTGACTTCCTTCAGGTGCTGCTACATTAATTCAATGCATGTTGCATTTTTAATGAATAATTTTAGGTAGTGAATTTCAAGTTCTGTATCAATTTCATTAATTCTACTTAAGTTGGGTTCCCACCGTAATGAACTTTTAAACATGTGTATTATTGTTTGGCCAAAAGCACCAAATGGGTGTTCAGCTTACATTCTAATGACTTCCCTTCCTTCCTTCCTCGCTCCCTCTCTCCCTCTTTTCCTTCCTTCTTTCCTTCCTTCCTCCTTTCCAGCATCAGCTTTAGCAAGGAGCCCTAGCAGAAGACACCAGAAGGTTTCCAGCTGACTTGTCTCTTTTGTTCCTAAACCACTACTAACAGCAATATTAGTCATCACTTCCCCCACTGCCCACTGTGCTATTTAAATCTCCCTCTTTGGGTATATTTTTTCCTAAGTTTCCTTTTTCACTCCATAGTCAGGGATGTGGGGGAAACACTCCAGGCAACACCTCCCACACGCGGCCACATAAATATTTATTAGCTTTTTATTTGTATCAATCTGTTCTGTACAACCTGTACAGCTTTTCATTGCTGACATCCTTTTTATTATTTCAAATAATAGTTTAGTATGAGAGTTAAAAGAAACATATCTTTGTTCTTGTTCTGAATCATAGAAAATTTAAACCGTCACAGGCCAGTGAGAATGTATGATTCCCTTTTGAAACATTTAAGAGGCATAATTTTGACAGTCTTTGTTTAACAAAGACTTTGCTTTGTTTTGACAGTCTTTGCTCAGTAACTCTTATATGACTGGAAATTTTCTAAAGCTACCTTAGATCAGTTGATAGGCTATGTTTTCTCTTTCAATCTGTATGAATTCAATAAATGTTTTAATGAGAGTTTTCTAAGCACCAGATGCTGTATCAGGTACTAGGGATGACTATGAAATGACTCAGCTCCCAACAACTTTATAATAGGGCTTAAGCAGTGTCATAACTAATACAATCCTAATAAAAGCATGCTGTGTGTTCAGACCTAAAAGCTTGTTGTGTGTGTGCATTTAGGTAAACAGTTTCATCTCTCTGGACCCTAGCTCCTCTCTGTAAAATGAAGGAGTTGAATTCAATGATATATTCTATTATATAACACCATAAAAACACTTTACCATATGGTGTGCTGGTCCTGGACCTGTTTGCACTCAGATCCATCCTTCTGCTCTGCCTTGTTCTGGGGTGAAGAAGTTGATCCTCGGCAGGGTGACTTTTTCAGGCTCCAGAGAATTTCTGAAAGGACTGAGTCAACGGGCAGCAGGAATATATCAACCATGGAAAATTAGAGAGCAGAGTGAGGAGTGGTTTTTGGGGGAGGGAGCTATCAAGACACTCCCTCCTGTTTTCAGCCTAAGGTGGCCTCTCCAGTGGCTTTATCTTCTCTGTGACTCCAGCCCCCTTTGTATCGAGGCCACCAGAGATCCAGTCTCCCAGAGTGGTCCTCTTGGTGCCAGTAATTCCATGTTTTCCTTTTGTCTCTCCAGCCCAAGAATGATAAAGACTTCCTGCTATCGTCAATCTCCCAGGATTATTTTAGAGCCCTCTGTTTAATTCTCAGCCTCTCCACTCTTCATGGACCCACCACTGCTTTCCATTCCTTCTGCTGTGAACATTTGAGATGATTTCTGCTTTCTTGGTTAATCTATGGCTAACCACAGTGTTCACCTCTAATTTATTTTATAATTGAGGAAGGAAAATATGAGCATAGATACATTAAAGGAGCAGACCCAAACTAGCTCCTTGTATCCAAACAAAATGAAAGAAGGTTGTATCCAAACCTTCTTTTGATGCTGGTATCTATTTTTTGGTGCTTAGATACCAGCATCAAAGGAAGGTTTGTTTTATGCTTATTCTCATGGCCCAATAACGAGATGCAGATGAACTGGATAGAAGGGAGTTTATTTATATAACTAGGTACAGAGAGAAGGCTGGGAAATATTGCCAGACCAACTCAAAATTATAAAGTTTTCCAGAGCTTATACACCTTCTAAGCTATATGTCTATGTGTAAGTATGTAAGTGTGCATTCATCTAAAGACATAAGTAATAAACTTTTTTTTTTTTTCTTGAGACGGAGTTTTGCTCTTGTTGCCCAGGCTGGAGTGCAATGGCGCGATCTCGGCTCACTGCAACCTCTGCCTCCTGGGTTCAAGTGATTCTCTTGCCTCAGCCTTCCAAGTAGCTTGGATTACAGGTGTGCACCACCATGCCAGGCTAATTTTGTATTTTTAGTAGAGATGGGGTTTCTCCATGTTGGTCAGGCTGGTCTCAAACTCCCGACCTCAGGTGATCCACCTGCCTCGGCCTTCCAAAGTGTTGGGATTATAGGCATGAGCCACCCCGTCCGGCCAAGTAATCAACTTCTAACCTATAACTAAAATCTGAGTACTGAAGACCTTCCTCTGGAGCCTTAGTAAATTTTCTTAATCTAAATGGGTCCAGGTGCCAGGGTGATTACCCTTATCTTGTCTCCTGCTAAATCATGGAGGTTCCTTTAGTCCCCAATAAAGCTTGTTTGTGGAGGTCTAGGGAGTTCCTTTAGACCCCCAATAAAACTTGTTTAATCCTAAATGGGTCCTGTTAGGAATTCCTTCGTTATCTTGTCATGCTTCAAGGCCCAGGGAAGACCTAGGCAAAAGCTCTTGGTGGGCTTTGTTACATTCCAGCCTTTGTATGAGGACATTGGCCCCATCAGTTTTTAATATTTATCTTAACCACTCAGTCAGTGCTGAAACAGTTGTCATGGAGGCCTGCCTATTCAGCTGTTAGCGAGACCTGGCCTGCCACACTTTCAGTCAACTATTGAAGGACACACAAGATTCTCTTTTATTATTATTAAAGCTGCCATGTTGAATCTCTTGAAAGTTAAGGCCCATGTAAATCGAGGTGGGGGAAACCTTTAGTGAACTACATCACTCTGTGTGCTTCCTGGTTCTTAGGACAGATGACTTTATTACAGCCTCTGAATCTATCAAATGTGTCCATTTTTCACCAGGAATGTTAATTAAAAATAAAATTATAGTGATAAATGTATTAGCAACCTAAAGTTTGGTAAGAGAAAGATATGTAAAAAACCTCTTTTTTAAAGACGAGGCTTAGGCATCCTGCTTCTTCTCCAACTCTTTTATCTCCATTTCCTTTAGGTTGGTAAGATACTTTCTTTATTTCTAGCAATTTCACCAGAAAGGTCAACAATCAAACTTACGGTGGTTTTACTTTAAAATGATAGGTAGGCAAACTTGTGGAGATACTCTTTTATTTAATTTATTCATTAAAAAAAGAGGTGGGATGAAAATCCACCCATTCCCACTACCCCTTACTTTGGGTATGGGTGCGAGAGAGGAGAAGTTCATGGTGATTGGGTGACAAGGAAAGTGATAGTACCATTGCTGATACAGGGAGAGTCCCAGAGAGAGAAACTAGCTGGAGGTTAGAGTATTACTTTCCTGTGGTAGGTGGCTTAAAACAGACATTTAGTGGATAAAACAACACACATTTATTTACTCACAGTTCCAGAGGCCAGAGTCTGAAATCAACATCACTGGCTTAAAATCAAGGTGACAGCAGGGCTGTCTCCCCTCTGGAGGTTCCGGGGGAGAATCTGTTCCTGACCTCTTCCGGGTGTCTGGTGGCTGCCAGCATTCCTTGCCTTGTGACCACATCGCTTCAATCTCTGCTTCTATGGTCACACTGATTTTTTCCTGTTCTTTGATGAAGTTTCCTTCTCAATCCCTCTTATAAAGAGACTTGAAATTGCATTTAGGGCCCACCTGGATAATCCCCAGGAAAATCTCCCTGTCTCAAGATTCTTAGTCACATCTGCATAGTCCCTTTTGCTATGTAAAGTAACATTCACAGGTTCCAGGGCTTAGAATGGGGACATCTTTGGGGGCCTTTATTCAGCCTACTACAGTCAGATAAAGCACACAGAAAAGCTGGTGTGGGTTTTATTCGTATGTTGTCTCTGAGTGTTTTCAAGGTTAAGATCTTTCAAGGACTAAAGAATATTGGTTAATTCCTAACATCCTGGGCTATACAATTAGTGTAGAAAGAATATGCCCTTTTGGGGTGGATGAGTCAAAATGCTCACACTTTATTAAAACCATTATAGTGAATTTTACTGTTTGTTCTGTGGATGTTACAGAAAAAGGCATATTCTCTGTATAGTGTAAAGCTTAGTCATGCCTATTAAAGATATTTTGTCATTCCGGAAATTCTGTTTTATCTCCTAGATGTATGTTACAGTTATGTTAAAGTTTTATGTAAGGTTTCCTTTCCTTCCTAACAGTTTTTATTTTATGTATTTCCTCAGTGTATGGATTGTTTGTGATGCTTATGTTTGCACTGTGCATTGTAACTTTTACAGGTGTATAATAATCATTTTATCCATTTCATATTTTTTGCCATGATACATGATGCTGTGTCTGATTCTAATATTTCTACCTGTCTATTCCTCTAACTTTTCTATGTTCCTTTTGACCAGGGAAACTTTTGAATCCCTTTATTTTCAACATTTCTTTGTCAATTTGTTTATACATGTGCTTCTTATAATTAGTAAATTTAGATTTTTACCTTTTGATATAATCTGATTTTATTTGCCTTTTATTGTTATCTTTTAAGCCATTTATATTCACTATGCCAAGTCAGGTATAGTCTTATTTTGCCATTTTATTTTATTCTTTGTGGTTTATACTTACTGTTTTCTTCTTCCCTATACATTATATGTCATTGTAGCTCCTCTTTCTTCCTATTAGTTATTTTTTCTACAAATTTTATTCTATATTCCCATTTGTAGAATGCACATTTTTGTTCTACAGTTATATATATATTCACATATGCACATTATATGTATATAAAAATATACATATACACAGAGATTAGCATATATATGTAATTTTCAACCAATTATAAGAATGGAAGACTATTACTGGTTCTCCTATATAAGAGACTTATCACACTTTTACTTTCCTCTTCTCTACTCCTGCTCAACATGTATTAATTAATTAGTTTTTTAGGTCAAATTCCTGGTATTAAAAATATTATTTTTTATTTTGTTTATTTTCTTTCCCAAGAAATATATTTGATACAAGAATTATGTAACATATTGATGTTAAAAACTAGTAATTATTTATTAATGTGAATTTTAATGGGTGCAGTACACATAATCAATTTTTAATATCATATTACCTCTTGAGATGTAACAGTTTTATTTATTCTTTTAGTCAGCTGTGGTATTTTCTCAAGTATCAAAGAATTATTTCCCCCATGAATGGTAAATGGATACTTGCATTTTCTGATTTCCTCTCACTTGACTAAAAGTTTGGTTGCCTGCAGAATTTTTTAATCTGAATTCGCTGATGGATACCTGGGTTGCTTCTACTTTTTAACTACTCTGAATAATGCTGCTGTGACAGTCATTTAAAAATATAAAAAAAATTAAGCATTTTTTTGGGGACTGAGATATGCTTAAGATAAATTAACCATCATAGGAGAACATAAAACATAAATATCTAAGGGTGAACTAGAACCCAAAGGCCTAGTCTGGGTCATAGGATATTATGGAATGAAAGAATAACCCATACTGATGAAAATGTCACTTACCAAGATGATGATCTTACAGTGTAGGAACAGCAATTGTTTAGCTACAAAATGTGTGGTAATCATGACTTGCAGAAATAAGACTGGTAAAGTCTCCCAGAAACTTTCAGGATTCCTAAAACCAGTCCTTTGTCCAAAAGTCATCTTCATAGTAGTGGCCATATCCTGAATGAAGTTACTCAGTTCTTAAGAGCATACTGTCTAGGTCTGAAGAAGAATACGGAGAGTGAAGGCAGATTCATGGACCAAGGAAGATATTCACAAATAGAACATACAATGGGGGATGAAATGATTTTAAGGAGAAATGACAATGATAATGACAGTGGTATGTAGTATGTAGGGGGACCATTGCTTTCAATCTTGGAAGATGAGTTCAAGTTTTGATTGCATCAAAATGGAGTCACACTGAAGTTCTCAGGTAGAATTAGCCATACATCCTTTGCTTCTGGGTTTCTGAGATATTGGTGACAAAACTGAAACTAAGAACAGATCTATTGTCAACTATGATTGTCTTGCCTCCTTTTTTTCTCTGATCTTGTTTACTGCCTGAGTTTCCCTTCACATTTTACCACCACAACTAAGCAGGGACCTTATTTATTGAGTACATTCTTGCATATTTCTGCTTTAACATAGCATTAGTTCAGTATCGTATGAGTGAATTTGGGGGAGAAGTAACCAGTGTCTGTATCTGCTACAGACAATGAGAAGATTGTCTTACTGCAATATTTTAGGCATCTGCCTTGACTTCGAATGAATGTTCCTGTCCATACCCTAAAGGAGAAAAGAGTTGCACTCATATTATTAAATATCCTCTAGATTTTAGCGAATATATGGACTACTTTTTTTAAGCGAATCTGTAAGGGCAGTTGTCATTGTGGAGAACTGTGGGTTTAGTTAGTCTCCCTTAATAATACAAATGGAGAAAATTTAGTTGAGAACATTGTTGAATTTTTAGTGGTCCAGCGATATCTCTTTGTGGAGAGAGCATTTGCTTTATTAAATCTCCATTAGATAAACTCACATTTTTATAGGAGTGTTAAGAGAAAATCTCTCCAAGTGTTTAAGCCTGGGAAAACGAGAGAGAGGAAATACAGAACGAGGTCATGTGAACCGTCAATTGTGAATAAGAGGAAAAGTCAGAACCAAAGAAAAGCCCTTAGTGTGCAGAAGAGGTAGAGATTGAAAATGAGCTGTCAAAAAGAAATGCGGGGGATAAGCTAGAATAAAACACCTAAAGAATAAATTTCAAGGAAAAAGAGGAACATTAATAGGGCTAAATTTGATTAAACTTGACTGAGATAAAGGGAGAGAGAAAGGTGGTTTGATTTGGGGATTAGGTTATTAGTGACAATCTTCATAAGCAGGTTTCAAACGACTTGTAGTAGTAGAAACTGGGATGAAGGGAACTGTAGTAATTTAGGAAGGACAGGTAGAGTATCAGTATCTTTGAAAAGTTTGCAGGTGGTGAGATCAATGAGGATAAATGATAACTTAATGGGGTGTCACAAAATCACCTTAAGTTGGCTGGTGAAGACTTGGGCAGTTTTTAGGAACAGATTATATTAATATTAAAAATAGGAAAAAAGAGCAAAGAAATATATTAGGACTTCTAGCTACATGGTAAACAATAAACTCTGGTTTCACTAAATATATTTGACACATATTATAGAATTTTCCTTGCAAATGTTGTTACAAATTATATGATATTTCCTCTTTTCCAATTTTCCTCTTACAAGGTAAATTCACCTAATCTTTATTATGATATATTTGTAAGGGGAATTGAATTATAAGCTTTCTCAGGTTAAAATAAGGACAAAACAAAAATTTTCTGATAAAATTTTCTTGCAGTATGCCACCATTTGCCAAAGGAAGTCAGCCATTGTAGCCTTTTCTGTAATCTTAAGTTTTTTGGACAGATATCTATTGTGCAAACTAAAATTTAGTTCTAATTCCATTCATATTAGATATATTTATTTAATACAGTATTCTGCTTAATACAGACTTTATAAATAGAATCACATTTTATTTTTAAATGTCATATCCTAGAGGAATGTTTGTACAAATCATTTAAAAATGAATAGTTTACAAATAACTTAGCTTTAGTCTTTAAGTATTTACATACATTTATTTATGATTTGTCACACATAAAAGGACATTCTTCTTCTTAATTATATCTTGCTGATACTTAATTTTAAAGTTTTTTTTTGTTTTAATTACACAACTGGTGGTGACAATATAACCCTAGATGGCTATGGTATATTTGTTCAGGTGCCTTGAGAAATACCAAAATTTTCGACAATGTTTTTTTTCCTTTGGGTCAGATCTTTTTTATTACAATGAAAGATAAATTTCAGTAAACTAAGAGACAGAGACTCTACACAGAGTTTCAGTTTCCCCTTAGCTCCTATAAAATGGAGTGTCATGCTACTGAGATATCTCATGCACTGCTCTTGCCTTCTGTCTGAAGATGGGATTCATGAATTACCTGAATCATCTGGATCCCTAGAATTGGATTAGTGGCTCAGACAACTCCATCTTTTGGGACAGATGATAGAAGGTATCTATTTCCTACAGCTAGGTTTTTGCAGTAAGATTACATAACTCTTATTTGATCTTTCTCATTATTTTTTTCAGGACATAAATTGTGTTCCAATTCTGATATCCAATGATCTTACCTCATTTGGGGTAGGTTAAAGTAGATACTCATTAGGACTCTAAGGAGCATATTTTTCTACTTAGTGCAAATGTCAGAAAGTAAGTAATCATGTTTAAACTGACAAGAGCTTTAACCAGGAAGTTGCCTACATCACAAGATCTCCTTCCTGTGGTAGTGTGCATGGAGTCTTCCACAAAGAGACAGACAGATGCCTGCAATAACCGGCTTAAGAAAAGATAACCATCAATACCACTGGTTGATTTCATCTGCTCCTATGAGAAGGACAGATTGTACATGGTGCTGTCGGATGATCTCAGAACATAAAGAGATTTCCTGAGAGATCGTTATAATATTGGGATAAAACTTTACTACAAAAATCTCATAGAGTGAATGAATGATAGAGGTAAACAAAAGTTTATTCTATTAAAACTTACATTTTGCAGCTTATTACAACATATGTTATGATTTGAATGTGTCCCCTCCAAAGTTCAATCATTGCCAATATGATGGTATTAAGAAGTGATTAAGATAGGTATTAAGATGGTCTTTAAGAGGTGATTAGGCCTTACAGTCTCTTCCTGGCTAATGGAGTTAAAAAGCCCTTACAAAAGAGGCGTCCCGCAGTGCTTGGCTAGTTGCCCTTCCACCTTATGCCATGTGAGGATGCAGCAAGAAGGCCCTCACTAGATCAAATGCCTAGAGCCTTGACCTTGTATTTTCCAGCCACTGAAACTGTGAGAAAGTAATTTTTTTTCTTTATAAAATAGTCTGTGGTATTTTGTTATAGGAGCACAAATGGACTAAGACAACATGCATGTAATTAACAAATGGGTCTTGGGTATAGGCATGAAGGAGATAGCTTTCCAGTTTGCTAAGAGATGTCTAAACTGGACATCCTTAACAGCTGCCCCTCCACCCATAACCATTGCACCGGTTTCTATATAAAAGGTCAGAACTCTGCCTTTTACTTCGAGAACTTCTTTTCTGGGAAGATCTAACAGCTTACTATCCAACCCATTATAACTAGCTATAATATTCTGTCAAATTCCTTCAAATTGATTTCTCTGTCTCAGACCACCATAACCCATCACAATTCTGAAAGCTGAAATAGGATGAGCACCCTCTTCTCTACAGATAGCCCTATATGGAACCCTTGGCTTCTGCTGAGATAAGATTTGAGATAGGAGAAAGAGAAAAGCTAGTTTGCCAACCAGAGGGAGGATGATGTGTTCAGTTTGCAAATGGTAAGATTTAGATGTTCTGCAGACAACTAGAAGTATTGGAATCCAGGCTTGGATGAGAGGTTTGGTTTGGTACATCAATTGAGTAGTCATTAGTATAAAAATTACAACTGGGCCGGGCGCGGTGGCTCATGCTTGTAATCCTAGCACTTTGGGAGGCCAAGGCAGGTGGATCACCTGAGGTCAGGAGTTCGAGACCAGCCTGGCCAACATGATGAAACCCCATCTCTACTAAAAATACAAAAAATTAGCTGGGCTTGGTGGTGGGTGCCTGTAATCCCAGCTAATCGGGGGAATGAGGCAGGAGAATTGCTTGAACCCGGGGGGTGGAGGTTGCAGTGAGCTGAGATCGCACCACTTCACTTCAGCCTGGGCAAAAGAGTGAAACACCATCTCAAAAAAAAAAAAAAAAAAAAAAACAACTGGAGCTAGAAGGCAGGATTGGTAGGCAAAGGGGAAGTAAGTGGAGAGAGATGGGGATTGAGGACCCAGTCTTGCAGCAAGAAGAGGAAGAGAGTTACTGAAGGAGATGTGAAAGCCAGGTAGAGAGGTAAGAGAAACCTATTACAACGGCCCCATCACAGGGGGCCTTCACAGTCACACAGGCTTCACATTTGGATCTCTAAATGAGATCATGTCTCTATATTTTGTGAATATGTATTAAACGTTTAATTTAGAAGCAATAAATATTTAAAACATACTGAAATGTTGGGACACTGTAAAAGAAATGGGCTGTGTGTAGTGGTCACACCTGTAATCCCAGTGCTTTGGGAGGCTGAGGTGGGAGGACTGATTGAGCCCAGGAGTTTGAGACCAGCCTAGGCAACATATTAAGACCCTGCCTTTACAAAAAAAAAAAAAAGTTGGGTATGGTGGCGCATACCCATAGTCCCAGCTACTTGGGAGGCTGAGATGGGAGGATTGCTGGAGCCCAGGGATTTGAGGCTGCAGTGAGTCATGATCACACCACTGCACTGCAGCCTGAGCAACAGAGCAAGACTCTGCCTCAAAAAATAAATAAATGAATGAAAGAAATGAAAGTTGCTTGGATTCTTACTAACTTGTGATTAGTCTTGGGAGGAAAATTAGAAGACTGTTCCAGGAACAGGCAATTGAGGTTGTCAGAAAAGTGAGATGTTGGCAAGATGTCAAAGAGAATAAGAACTGAGAGAAGACCATGATGTTCAGCAAGGGGGCCACTAGAACTCCATAAGAGAGAGGCCTGGGTATTGTGGTCAGAGGAAGTCAAGGAATTAGTAAATGCTAAAGAAAGTGGGACAGGTCTCAAGCATCCTTTAGAGAAGTTTGGCAATTAGAAGTGTGTGTGTGTGTGTGTGTGTGTGTGTGTGCGCGCGCGCGCACGCCAGTGTTCATTTTTACCTCTCATCTCCTATCTCGTCCAATACCTAATATTCTCTAGGGAAATGGAATCCTGGCTGAAAGGCAGGCTTGTCCTTCAGCTGTCACAGTGCCCAAGAAGCGCACAGCAGGGAGTCTTTTTTTTTTTTTTAAATTTACGCTGTGGTGCTGGGAGCCAGAGACAGAGACAAAAAAAGCTGTCCTGGAGTCTGTTGCATTGTGACTGAATCAAGTTATCCATAAAAGGACTCAAAATAGGAGTCTGGGTTCACAGCTTAAAGGAATGAGGCTAAACAGCAGAAAGGCTCAAGCAACCACTGGTGGAGGGGAACAAGTAAGAACTTGTCTGGAGAAGTCTGGAGCCAAGTATAAATACCCACTGCTGACATTCACACATTCCCAGCTTGCTTGTCCAAGGGCAAGCAGGAGTCATTTACAGCCTGAACCTAATAGGCATCTAATATTGTTATGTGTTGTCATATCTCAACCACCACCATCACCACCACTCCCAGCTAGCACTCACAGAGCACCTGACCTGGGATCAGTGCCTGAATCAGAAACAGAAACTTCTAGACTGATGTGGTTCAGTGGTGCTTACATAGGCTATTGTTTACTACATCTGCACCCACCTTTCAGGAAGCATTTGGCTTGTACATTTAGCTCTGTGGCCCACTGAAGAGAATTTCCTGTGGGCAGTGGGGTGAGGAACCCTGCCTTAATCTGTTTCTCAGGTATTCTTCTCCCCTGCTTTTATGTGTCAGAACCTGTATAATCCTTGTAGGGCCTATCCAGGAGTAGGCAGAGCCAGAGTGCCCATTCCTGATGTCCACAAAGTACAGCAATGCACCCAGGCTTGATTTGGAGCCACTCTTGCCTTCCTGACTGTTTTCAAAGATATGTCGCATGGCCTCTGAGCCAGTGCAACAAGCCTTGCAGGCATTGGTATTTGCACAACAAATAGTATTTTTTTTTTTTTTTGCTTAAATAAGGGAAATAGGGAATATTTATCACAGCTATACATTTATTCATCATTTAATTCCCATTTATTTATTCATTAATTTATTCAAACACTTCTTAAGCATGTACCATGTGTCATGCCCATCTTAGAGGCCACAAAGGTTCTAAAACTATTACTTGTGGACAGAAAAAGAGACCCATATACATGTAGCATTATGTCTTATTGGAATTCAGAGCAGGAAGAGAACACATCTGGCTGGGGGCAGGATGAGGAAGGACCTGATAAATTTTCTATTGAACAATTACTCTAAATAAGTGTGCTTTCTTTAGATGGTAAGGATTAGACCAGGATTCAAGATTACTGGATTTTGAGTCAAAGTTTGAGCTCCCTGGGGGAAAATCTGCATATATGCAGAGTCATGGTGGTAATTACAGTATTAAGCCCCATTTTGGAACACTTTGATCTGATCTGGTTCAAAATTTTATTTCCTGAAAGGTTTACTCATGTCATATTAAGGTACTCTCGTCTTTTTATTTGCAAACTCATTTAAAATCTAAATACTGCTGCTCTCTGCTTTGGACTTGGCTGCTTTTCAATAACAGGAAGGAACAATACTGTTTTCATCAGTTTTGTACATGGGCCACGAGAGGGCAGCATTTTACTTCTTTTAAGATTTAATGCTGGTCTACAAAATGCTGAGCTGTGCCTGGAGGGCTTTGTGGTGTGGAAAATCTTCAGAAATGTTCAGTGAAACCCAGCATCCTCTGATTCATCTTTAAAGAGGAGAAAAATTATTCTATGCGACTCTATTACCAATCTTTGGGCAGAGAACCAAATAATTCGGCCAGGCTCTCAGTCTTCATGGTTGAAAAGTTATCAGGAAATTTAAAATTTAAATTCATAGTTACAGAGCCACTAGTGAAAATTTGCTTTTTAATGAACTTTTTTTTTTTGGTCTACATTTTCACCCTCTGCGGTGGGGGCTCTTTTAAATGCCTCTGTTTAACCATACTGCATCCAGAAATGTATACATATCACAAACCTGTTGGTAATGACACCAAGGCAAGCTCCGTTTCCTTTCCCATCATCGGTGGACCACACCTACACCAGCGCTTCCTTCTGCGCATCCTATGGCACCCGTCTACTTCCTGCTTTGGGAATCCCCACAGAGGCTAGCACAGTGCTGAACTTGTAAAACGTACACAATAAACGTTCTATTTCTTGAACGACATTGGATGATAATGCAATCTCTCTCTTGTGAGAGAGAGGAGAAAGAGAGAAGTGAGAGGAGAGAGAGACAGAAGAGAAAGGTGAGGGGGGAGGGGAGAGAGACACAGAGACAGAGTCAGAGACAGAGAGAGACCAAAAGGGAACAGCTGGCAGCAGCAGGGAGGCAGGCTTGAGGAGTTGGTGTCTGATTTACGTGGGGGCCACAGATGGGTTTGATCAGGTGTGAAGTTTACACGGCGCTGGGAAGGCTGGTTGCCCCACCCTAATCTTACGCAAATGGGCTTTCCACTTGCTCAGCGCCATCTCGTCTACTCTTTACTGTACACGTGGCTGGCAAAGAGAAGGGAAGATAGAGCTCTCGTTTTGAACATGTAGTTCCAGGTAGTATTTTCCTATTGGCACAACTTCACGCATTTGCCTGTGCAGGCTTCCACCTCGCTTGCCTATGTCTACAACTTCATTTTACAGTCTGCTCTTTGTTAGGAAAATAAATGATTTGAGGGCTGCTTTTAATTAAAAGGTAAAACTTACCAAGGACTCCTGTACCCTCACTATCTGCCTAACTAATTTCTTCTTAACTCCTATATCAACAAAACCCCACGATAATTTTTTTCCTATGAGAAAATATTTTATTTGAAGAAATTAACGTAAGCTGTGTGTGGTGGCTCACACCTGTAATCCCAGTGCTTTGGGAGGCCAAGATGGGAGGACCCCTCGAGGCGAGAAGTTTGAGACCAGCCTGGGCAACATAGGAAGACCCTGTCTCTATAAAAAGTTAGAAAATTAGCCGGGCATGGTAGTGTGCACCTGTAGTCCCAACTCCTTGGGAGGCTGAGATGGGAGGATCATTTTTGGCCCCAGGAGTTTGAGGTTACAGTGAGCTGTGATTGTACCACTGCACTCCAGACTGGGTGACAAAACAAGACCCTGTCTCCAAAAAAAAAATTAATATAAAATGTGGAACTTTTCGCTAGTGGAGATGAATGAATATACTGTGCAGATTTATGGAAGTATGACATCTAAAAAGACCAGAATAATTCCTAAGTGAAAAGCGGAAGGATATTCCCTAGAAGAGGGCATAACTGAATGTGTGGGGAAGGTTTTCAAACTTTACTCCTTCTAATGCAAACCTCTGTGACCCCTTACAACCCCTTCCTCTGGATGGGTATCATTCCATATCATTACAGGCAGTACTGAGAGGGAGATTACAAATTGTAAACATTTTCAGAGGTGGGGGGAGAAAAGATGGAAACCATAAAGACACAGCTATATAAAAGGTTAATTGCATATATATTTGGTTATGGTAATTTCTGTATATATGCTTCATATCTTTTACAGTCAGTGTGTTAGTGGCAAATAAATACGTAGAACTTACTTCAAAATATTTTGTTGTTTCTTAAAGTGCCTAATTGTACCATAGTCCAACACGAAGCCCTTTTATAAGAGAGATGGAAGAGCATGCAGAATCTAATCATTAGATTCAATAAGTAAATATGTATTGAGTACTGATGAAGTACCAACTAAACATTATGATTCATTTTGATAAAACAAAGCCAGTCACATTAGTAAGAAACAGCTCACTCTGGCTGGAGAACTTGTTCCCTACTTTCACAAGGTTGACTTCTTAATCCGATCAAATGAAAATGTCATGTTCGCCAGAAAGGCCATTTCTGACCATCTAATTTATAGACTGAACACCCCTCACCCTGTCATTCTACTTTATAGCACCTTGTTCTGTTCACAATTTATAATTGTATTATCACTTGTTTACTTGATTAATGTCTGTCTCACTCATAGATCGTGAACTCCATGAAAGCAAGAATCAAATCTGTTTTGAAGCACTCCCAGCATTTAGGGAAATACCTGAAGTAGAAGGCATTCAGTAAATACTTGTGGAGTGAATGTATATATTCTTGTTCTATATGTGAAAACACCATTTATTCATACAGTTAAACTATGATGTCAGTATTATGTCAGATTATTATAATGTCATATTCATTAACAACGAGACCCATAGTAAAAACAAAAATGTATTTGACAAACTGTTCATTAGTAGGAAATTGAGTTTAGTATAGATGAAATTTTCAGGTAAGATATTCTTATCTTTTTGAAGATATGACAGCATATTTAAGCTTTGGGCAAGGCAGACTTTTTTTTTTTTTTTTTTTTTTTTTTGAGACAGATTTTCACTCGTTGCCCAGGCTGGAGGGCAACGGTACGATCTCGGCTTTCCGCAACCTCCGCCTCCCGGGATCAAGCAATTCTTCTGACTCAGCCTCCCGAGTAGCTGGGATTACAGGCATGCGGCACCACGCCCGGCTAATTTTGTATTTTTAGTAGAGATGGGGTTTCTCCATGTTGGTCAGGCTGGTCTCAGACTCCCAATCTCAGGTGATCTGCCCGCCTTGGACTTCCAAAGTACTGGGATGACAGGCGTGAGCCACTGCGCCCGGCCTGGGCTATTTTTGTTTCCCACAGATGTTTACACCAGAATGGCTGTTGCCCGGTTTGATTGCGCCAGTGTCTGACGGCTGTGTGGTGCCTGTATCATAACAGTTGTTAAATAATTTGAATATATAATGTTTAAATATGTAGCTTGTCTTTGATCTTTTGACAACAGAGATAGCTTCATTTACCTAAAGGGGTACTGATTTTAAAAATTAATTCATTTGAATTTAAACACAGCATATGCTAGACAAAACTCTTAGGGAAAGAATATGTATATATGTGCATGTAAACCACACAGACTGAAAGAGAAGCATTCAGTACATAAATTATTAGGCTCAAGTAGGAGGTTACTATAGAGTTAGCTGCTACTTATTTTCAGAATTTGATTTTATATTTTGAATTGGAAGAATGCTGATCTGGGAGTCAAAAACTCTTAATTTTGAGCCATGGAGGCATAACCTTGGGTATTTTAATATTGGGCTTAGTTTACTGGCTTGCAAAAGAGATGAGTGGACAAGATATCTTTAAAGTCTATTCTAGGCATGATTTTCATGATTCTGCAGTATATGTTCCTTTTAAGAAGTGAGACATTACCAGGATAAATATAGGAAAAACTAGTAGTATCCCCTTACCCCCTCACCCTCCTGAGTAACCAATTTAATATGCACAGAACATCCTTCTATCATCCTTTTTGGTACACACAAACATATATAAACAAAAATAAATGTATGTAAGTTTTCTTGCCTGAAAAAAGTAAAATAAAATATACATTACTCAGATGTGTTTCCTTGCTAATAGACATCTGAATGTCTTCAGTTTTTATTTTTGTCACTATAAATAATATTTCAGTAAACATCATTGTAGAAGTATCACTATATGCTGATGCTTTTGTTTTTTTTCTGTCAGATACATTTTTGAAAATAGGATTTTTGGGTCAAAGGTATATGCAGTTTTCATTTTAATAGATAATTGCTAATTTATTTCTAAAATATTTGTGGTGATTTAGAATGGTAACAGTGCCAATTGCAAGCACTGAGTTAATATTTTGTTTTCTATTGCTGCTCACCTGAAGGCTAAAAATGATGCCATTTTAGTTTAATTTGAATTATCTAGATTTTGTTGGAACAAGAAAAAATAATTCTACTTGCATCTCTTCAAATGATGGGTCTGCATACCGTCTACTATGAATTGGCAATTCGTAGCCTTTGCATATGTCCATTTTAATATGATCAACTTTTAGATATTATATATACTGTAAATATTTTTTCCAGTCTTTAGTTTGTCTTTCTGCTATGGTTTACATAGCGAGATATACTTGTTTTTTATAAAATAGGTGGTTTGTTTTCTGTCGTTCTTAAGTGAGAAGATCTTCACCAAGGGCTTCCTTCTGGAATTTTTATAGGTTTATTTAAAAATATTGGCCGGGCGCAGTAGCTCACACCTGTAATCCCAACACTTTGGGAGGCCGAGGCGGGCGGATCACGAGGTCAGGAGATCGAGACCGTCCTGGCTAACACGGTGAAAACCCATCTCTACTAAAAATACAAAAAATTAGCCAGGCGTGGTGGCGGGCGCCTGTAGTCCTAGCTTCTCGAGAGGCTGAGGCAGGAGAATGGCGTGAACCCCAGAGATGGAGGTTGCAGTGAGCCGAGATCGTGCCACTGCACTCCAGCCTGGGCAACAGAGTGAGACTCTGTCTCAAAAAACAAAACAAAACAAAAATATTTAATTCACCTAAACTTTAAAAAATATATAGTCTAAATTTGTATTTTTACATGGGGTTTTTAATGGAGATG
Source organism: Homo sapiens (assembly GCF_000001405.40). Taxonomy (NCBI): domain Eukaryota; kingdom Metazoa; phylum Chordata; class Mammalia; order Primates; family Hominidae; genus Homo; species Homo sapiens. The sequence goes on from NW_021160017.1 coordinate 962,058, forward strand.
TACTGAATTAAAAGCTCATTTTGTCTATATAAAGCTCTTATGTGTACTTGGATGTAATTCTAGATTCCGTGCTCTATTCTCTAGATTTGCTTATTCATGTGCCAGTGCTATACTATTCTATTTTTTTTAAAGGTTTAAAACATTTATCACTAAAGATACTAGAATGTTCTTTGAAAACCTATTAAGACATTTAACTATTCTTTTATGCTATTCTGATCAAAAGAAAGAATAAAAGTTTAGGAAAGGGAAAAATGCACATTTCTTAAAAAAGTTTATTTCTAGCCCTGAAAGAACAAAATTATTGAACAAAGTCATAAAATACAGCAGTTAATGTCAATGTATAACAATTAAATAATTGAATGGGATTAAATTAAAAATAAAAGACATTATAAAATTTGAAGACAACAGAAAAGACAAACTATAATTTTACTTAATTCCATTTCTATCACAACAAGAAAAAAAAGCCAATGCGTTCCAACCAAAGATGCTGAATTCCAAACATAATTGTTTCTCTTAATAAAGAATAGAAGTGTGCTTGACAGAATTATCATCCATTTCTTTCTGCCTCTGTCTTGGCAGCATTCTAGAGAAGTGAATGGGAAAGACTTCCGTTCTTTCAAGGCCAGGCCAGTGCTTGCTTCTTCTTTCTAACTCCAACCTCGTCTACCACAGCATCTTTGCCAGAGTGTTCAATCAGTGTGTTGACTGAGAAAAAAGAATGTGTGTATATATTTTTTCTTATATACACACACTATCAAAAAACTGATTTCACCAGTTTCAATACCTACTGTGGGAGCAGCGGAGACAGGAAGACAATCTGCTTCTTGTATTATTATGAAGTTCCACTATAAAAAACCCCAAATGAGTATTAATCTGGATTTTAGCTATAATCTATAATATTTTGACACTGACATTTCACTAGATGTGGATCTCAGTATATTTAAAAAGATTTAGACTCAAAAATGGATGCAAATTCTTTAAGCACCTATTTTGTTTTTTTCTAATTTTAGCTACTACCTGATCAGATCTAAAATTATTCTGGCTAGAATACAGTATATACAAACTTATTTAAGTGAGCCCTATAAAGAAATACTCATAGGTAGTTTAAAATTTCTTGTTAAAGGCACAGGCTCGTTTACAGTTGGTGGTTACTAGACTCTAAGCAGCTTAACATTTATATGTTAAAGGGAAGAGAATTAGTACTATGTGCCAGGCACTCGACACATGAAGACAGAGTTGTATTAGCCTCGGTGTCTTACGCTTCACAATTACTCATTTACTATTCTAGGTAGGATAAAATGTTCCATGTTTCATAGTTTCCCAGTTTTAACTGTCCCTAAAAGCAGCAGAAGAAAAAAGAAAAAGTCTAAAATATAATAAATAAGTACTATAGTAATACTGTCCTAATAACACAAGAGGACTATTAAAGTAACTTTTAGATTTAAATGGGAATTTTCATTCTAAAGTGATGACAAAAAGGGTAAATATAAAAGGCAATTATTTAAAAAACATGAGGCCAGGTGTAGTGGCTCGTGCCTGTAATTGTAGCACTTTGGGAGGCCAAGGTGGGCAGATTGCCTGAGCTCAGGAGTTGGAGACAAGCCTGGGCAACATGGTGAGACTCTGTCTCTACTAAAAATACAAAAAATTAGCTGGGTGTGGTGGCACGCACCTGTGGTCTCAGCTACTCAGGAGGCTGAGGCATGAGAATTGCTTGAACCCAGGAAGCGGAGGTTGCAGTGAGCTGAGATCATGCCACTGTGCTCCAGCCTAAGTGACAGAGTGAGACTCTGTATCAAAAAAATAAAAATAAAAATAAAAAATAAAAAACATGAATCTTGATTCAGATATAATTTTTCTTTCAACAAGTTCTCAATGTTTTAATTTAAAATTAATAAATCAAAATTCTGTATTGCTTTTAAGATTTTGTTTAAAAATGACACATCTCAAAATTAACCAAACTATATTTCTGCTAGAGGTTAGTTTATCCATGTAACTTAAGAATAAACCACAGTGTAGCTCCCTTAACCAAAGAGCCAGGTTTTAATGACTGAAGTCAGCTGCCAGCAATGGACATGCAGGTAACTATCGAAGAAGTTGTAGCTACAAATCCCAAACTGCTTCTATCAATGGAAAAGCCCTTTGTTGAGTCACAAGCCTGAAGTGAGGCCTTGGCACATAGTCAGTGAGAATGGTCTTTGACTTAGAAGGGAAGTGCCTCTGAGTGCATGAGGATCACAGTCTTCTCATCTCGTTGGTTTTCTATTTCATTGGTAGCATCTTCTTTATCATAATCCATCCGTTTACAAAGAATGTTAAAATTTGGAACTCAGGTGGCACTGCAGCTTTCTGACAGAAATAAACCAGTTTCTGTAATTCAGTAATAGCTGTAGAAGGCCAATATATTCCAGAGAAAAATGAAATCAAGAATTATATTGAAAACAGAGACCATTAAGTGCCCTAAATATGTTTCATTAATTATTTTACTCATTTTTCTGAAAATCTTGCCTTATCAATAAAAAACAGTCACTTCTCTCCTTATAATTGTATCTTATCATAGATATAGTGGGAATAAAATAATGGAAATAAAACCCTGCTAGTTTCCCCAATGTATACTACAACAGCAAAATTATTTTTTATTCATGATTTATACTACTGCAGGATGGCAAGCAGGGGGGAAGTTAATGGGGGAAGGGGATGGTGGGAACAAAATGCCAGAACCAAACCAAATACTTGAACAACCTACTCCAAAGCAAAACAATGAATAAAGGAGAAGGAGAGGAGATGAAAGAAGAGAAGAGAAAGGGAGGGGAGGGGAGAAGGGAGGGCACTCAAATAATTAATGCTACAGGTCTCAGATCTTTCAGAATCTTTAAAAGAAACAAATTATTGCTCTCAACACGCACATTTCATTTTCCTTTCTTGTTTTTTTAAATTAATAGTCTCTACCTATTTGAAAACAAAAGTAACTCAACATCTCAAATGATCTATAAATTCATCAAGAAATACTCTGTCGCTCAAGTTCTCATAGATAACACCACACTGATGATGACCTGGAGCGATGCCGCCGCCTCCAAGTCTCTACAGTTGATTTCCTATCGGCTGCTTCTCTGTAACACTAACATTCTCTTTCATGAGTATAATCTCTTCTCACTATATCAGAGATCACCAAGGTTCACGTCTCTCACTCTGCGCCTGCTAGTCCCAAATATTTTTCTCCTTTAAGTGGAAAAAAGCTAATTTTAAATTCCCGAAAATTCACTGGTTATTATATTATTTGCCATGGGAGGGGGGTATCTGTGAGGTGAGAGAGGATTAATGAAAAACAAAAAGAACAAAAATAAACCTAAAATTGCAACATATACAGAAATTTATTTCCAAATTGAAGGGGGAAAGGAGGGAAGAAGGTAGTGGCACTAACCAAAGTCACAAAGCCCAGGTTGGAACAAGAACAAATCACTTTGGTTCCTAGAGCCAAGCCTGAAGGGGAAACAGGCAGAAGGGAAGACGAAATGGGAAGAAATATACGGTCAATGGGAATCTTTTTCTATCTCAATGATTTAGTTATAAATAGAGATTATTAGTCTTCTCTCTATACATGTAACAAATGCCAAACTTACTACCACAAAATTTCTAAAACTGACTTTTTCACATTTGTTAAAAAAGGTAAAAATCAAATACTTTTCTTCCCTTCCTTCAGGTCAAGTTCTGAACTAAAATATTACATGTAACAACAGCTGGTCCTAACTTTTATAAAAAGTGAAACTATATAGAGCTCCTTTGCCAACATAAGGAGCTACATAATTTCTATTACACTACCTAGGCATGAGAAACTCAAAAGCAACTCAAAAGGAGCAAGTCCAGGAAAAGGAAAGCTATGAAGGAGAGAAAGACTAGCAGATGAAACAAATACTCTGAAAAACTCCAATCTGCCATTCAAGTATTGGAAATACCCCAAAGGGGACAATGAATGGGATCTATTACAACAAAGTCAGCAAAGTAAAATGCAAATCTCACATATGATAAATGGCCCTGATAGGCGGTTTGCTGAAAGACCTAAGGCTAGTGATTCAGTCCACAATTCCTTTTGGACCCTAAAGAAGGGGTTCATATAAAAGTCATACTTTTCTTTTTGCAATTTTCTCTTGGTTGTCTTCAGAGAATAGTCATTTGCTTCTTTCATTCAGGTTATGCAGATCATTTCTTTAAACCCCCAAAAGAGTAATAATTTTCATATACTAAAAGGCTTCTTGTAGAAAATGGAAAAAAGAATATGAGGCCACAGCAGTGATGTTAACGGTTACTCTTCATTGCTTCTTTAGCTGCCATGATCAGTGGTGTCAAGCTAGATAACAGTTTGGCTAGTTTCAGGAAAAGATGCTGTAATAATTCTTTGGCTGAACCCCTTTTTTCCACATCTGTTTCCAAACATCGATCCCGAAATATTGGGGAAAGTGTCTCTGGATTCTGAAGTTCTGGGATTCCATTAGTTGCTATTAGGCACAAGGCCCTCAAGGGATTTTCATTGAGGTATGGAGGCTCTCCTTCTACCATCTCAGTAGCCATGATACCCAGAGACCATACATTGACTTTAGGGCCATAAGCCTTCCGTGTAACCACTTCTGGTGCCATCCAGTATGGCGTTCTGATCACGGTACTGCGTTTGCTCTGCTCAGGGGTGATCTGGGCACAGAAACCAAAGTCAGTGAGCTTAACTGATCCTTCCATTCCCAAAAGTACACTGTCACTTTTGATGTCTCTGTGGATCACTTGATTAGCATGTAAAAACTCCAATGCCTGTAAACTCTCTCTGCATACAGCGGCAATCTGTGCTTCATCCATGCAGGTTTCTGTTACCACATCAGTGAGTGACCCCCTAGCAAGGTATTCCACGACCACAAACAATTCATCTCCTACCAGGTAACTGTCCAAGAAGTTAACTATGTTGGGATTTTTTAATTCTTTCATTACCAGAATCTCATTAATGATCAATTCCTTCTTTGGCTGTTTCTGTAAATTAATTTGTTTGATAGCAACCTTCTGTCCCAGTGCAACGTCAGTAGCAGTGAAAACTGTACCAGAAGCCCCTTGTCCAATTTTTTCATATCTTGTATATTTTTTTCTTAGGGTCACCTATGCTCACAATAGTTCTTAGTTTCTCCATAATCTCTTCATCTGTCATCTTAGTCTTCTTTTTCTGTTTGTCTAAAGACTTGGCACCACCATCAACATTTGAATCACCAACTGGTGCAGGAACAGGGTCAATTACAGACCGTGCGTAAATTGATTTCATATGATCCGGTGGTGGGGCAATAACGGGAGGGGCAGTCTCTTCATCATCGTCCTCCTCCTCTGTCACTACTGCAGGTGCTTCTGTTCCCTTGGCATTCAGTGCTGGTGTTCCAGAAGGGAAGCCATCTTTCTCAGGAGGAGTAAAACTCAGATACTTCTGCTTCACTGTGTTGGAGTCGTAGAACCTTAAGACATCCAGCACAGCCTGAGGATTCTTCTTTTGCTCTAGTTTGGTGATATTTGAGGTCTGTAGTAATCGAGCCCAGTGTTCTGGCATGCCAGTGAATTCTCCAGTAACAGCATCAAAGCCAACATGGATGGTGTGTTCAAAATCAGATGGAGGAGAAATTTCTGGCCGTTCCTTTTCTTTCTTTTTACTTCCTTTCTCTGTGCCTGAGAATATGGGGATGATTTTATGCCTGGGCTTTTTCTCCTCTGGAACAGAAGGCAAAGGTTTCAAACTGTGATTGGCTGACAAAGGGTCTTTGCCTCCAGTGCTAAAGATGGTCCTGCTCATTCGCACAGGAGGTGCTGGAGGCTTGTCTTCCAGTTCTCCGTTATCACACATGATTCAGAATTATGAAATGGCCCCAGGTGAGGCAAGGTCCCCACCCCAGTGAGGCGCCTTGGTCAGAGCTCCTGGGAGGTTGTGGAGGCGCCTGGTACCAAAACAGAGATATAGACCAATGGAACAGAACAGAGCCCTCAGAAATAATACCACACATCTACAACCATCTGATCTTTGACAAACCTGACAAAAACAAGAAATGAGGAAAGGATTCCCGATTTAATAAATGGTGCTGGGAAAACTGGCTAGCCATATGTAGAAAGCTGAAACTGGACCCCTTCCTTACACCTTATACAAAAATTAATTCAAGATGGATTAAAGACTTACATGTTAGACCTAAAACCATAAAAACCCTAGAAGAAAACCTAGGCAATACCATTCAGGACATAGGCATGGGCAAGGGCTGCATGTCTAAAACACCAAAAGCAATGGCAACAAAAGCCAAAATTGACAAATGGGATCTAATTAAACTAAAGAGCTTCTGCACAGCAAAAGAAACTACCATCAGAGTGAACAGGCAACATACAGAATGAGAAAAATTTTTGCAATCTACTCATCTGACAAAGGGCTAATACCCAGAATCTATAATGAACTCAAACAAATTTACAAGAAAAAAACAACCCCATCAAAAAGTGGGTGAAGGACATGAACAGACACTTCTCAAAAGAAGACATTTATGCAGCCAAAAGACACATGAAAAAATGCTCATCATCACTGGCCATCAGAGAAATGCAAATCAAAACCGCAATGAGATACCATCTCACACCAGTTAGAATGGTGATCATTAAAAAGTCAGGAAACAACAAGTGCTAGAGAGGATGTGGAGAAATAGGAACACTTTTACACTGTTGGTGGGACTGTAAACTAGTTCAACCATTGTGGAAGTCAGTGTGGCGATTCCTCAGGGATCTAGAACTAGAAATACCATTTGACCCAGTCATCCCATTGCTGGGTATGTACACAAAGGATTATAAATCATGCTGCTATAAAGACACATGCACACATATGTTTATTGCGGCACTATTCACAGTAGCAAAGACTTGGAACTAACCCAAATGTCCAACAATGATAAACTGGATTAAGAAAATGTGGCACATATACACCATGGAATACTATGCAGCCATAGAAAATGATGAGTTCATGTCCCTTGCAGGGACATGGATGAAGCTGGAAACCATCATTCTCAGCAAACTATCGAAAGGACAAAAAAACCAAACACCGCATGTTCTCACTCATAGGTGGGAACTGAACAATGAGAACACATGGACACAGGAAGGGGAACATCACACACCGGGGCCTGTTGTGGGGTGGGGGGAGGGGGGAGGGATAGCATTAGGAGATATGCCTAATGTTAAATGATGAGTTAATGGGTGGAGCACACCAACATGGCACATGTATACACATGTAACAAACCTGCACGTTGTGCACATGTACCCTAAAACTTAAAGTATAATAAAAAATAAAAACATACAACCAAACAAAAAAAAGAATGCTGGAAAAGCACAAATGTAACATTTTATGTGGTGGGACAGCCCTTTCAAAAGTGTTTTCCACTGCTTATACTGATGAAGGTAGAAAAAAATTTCACTTATTTTAACTCTTCCTTTAAAAACTTCTTTTTGGTGGCTCATGTCATGCATACTCCACAAGTCCTGCAAGTTAAATGCTCTTAAATATTTGATGGTCTGGTCTTAGCAAAACGGCAGGTTTTTACTTTTACATTTTTAGCTATGTTTTAAATTATTTGTAATCCAGACACTGAAGTTTTATTTTGTTGTGAATTGAATCTGGGCAGAGTGTACAAGGGATCTCTCTGTATTATTTTTACAACTACATGTGAATCTATAATTATCTCATCAAAAATTCACTGAAAAAGGTATCACGGAGCCCATGTTTGCTGTTACCGTCTTTGCTCCTCCCAGGTTACAATGCCCCGTGCCTCTCAGTGCACAGTGAAAATGCAGCAGACGTTTTTGATGTGAGCTCCATGGAATGGATCCAGACTGTCCCCTTCAACAAGGTAATTTGACCTTAAGATTATGCAACTAAGGAGTTAATGACTGAAACGCGGAAACAGAAATAATCCATTGTACATTTACTGTAATGGGTACTTGCTAGTTTGGAGGCTTAACAAAGAGTATAAAAAACAAAACCCTACAAAACATTATATTGATTAATTGCATTACTAGTACTAGAGCCATTTGTGACATCTAGTTCCATTATATAAAGTAGTATTGTTATAGATAAATATATTATTTATTTATACCATACAGCACAGCAGTTATTTCCCATATTCAGTTTAAAGTTACTTTGTTTATCAGTAATTACTTTATCAGTAATTTTTACTTACCAGTATAATTTGTTCCTTTTATACTTACCAGTATAAAAAGGAACACTTTACAGGGTAAAAGGAACATTTTTACAGGGTAAAAAAAGAAAAAAGCATATAACCAAGGCTGTGTTTCAGATTCTCAATAGGATTTCACAATGGTGATGTTTTGCAAAACAAGGACATTGACAGTAACTCCATCTACTTACCTTAGGCAGATTTTCCTAGTTTTACTTTCACTGTGTGTGTATTAATGTCTGTATAATTCTACCACCTGCGTGAGTTCATGTATCCACCACTAGTCAATATACTGAATGGCTCCAGCACCACAGTGGGTCCCTCAAGAGCCCTTTTATAATCACTCCCCCTCCCTCCCACCTCCTTCCGCTTTCCTAACCCCTGGCAATCAGTAACCTCCATTTCTAAAATTTTATCATTTCAAAAATGTCTAACAAATGGCGTTATATAGTATTCATGATTAATCTGCTAAGTCCAAATTTATTTTTCTAAAAAAACCAAACTTTGGATTAGAAACCCAGGAGAATCCCATTGCAATATTCTTATCATATAGCAGCTACATCAAAAAATTTTTGGAATATATACAGTTCAAATAAATAGACAAAAACAAGTGATGCCCATCAGTCAGATGATAGAGTAACTTCAATTCATATGGTCCAAGTCTGACAAAAATGCATTCTAACACCTGCATCTAACACCAGCTTTATTGAATAATTTCATCACGTTTCAAAATCTGTGTCTCCTAGACCAGTTGAGCTCACAACAAAAAGCAATTGTAGAGAGTTAGAAAAATATATGAAATTAGTGAACAAAATAGTGAAACCTTCCAACCAGGAATGTTTTTGGAACTTTCTTTGTTAATAATAGTTCCTTATGGTTCCTAAATATTCAACCTCCCAGCATGAATGTGTCTCCCATCAAAAGAGCCACAGAATAAACACAACCTCTTTTTTCAACATCCCTCTTCCTATGCTCACGTCTCCCATCTTTTTCCCTTGTCTTACAGCCAAATTCCTGAAAATGTTATTGATATTCCTTGCCCTCCACTTCCCACCCCTATTCACACCTCCATCCAGGGCAATCTGACTTACACCTTAATCACTCCATTAAAGCTGCTCTCATACAAGTTATCAGCCATCAGTTGTGAAAACCATCTGACCTGTTTGTCTCTTCTTGGCTGCCCAGCGACACCTGACCCTTCTTTCTTCAGCCCCCACGCTGCTGCTCCCTCGATTTTCCCCACTTCCCTGAATTCTCCTTCGCTGTTTTCTCTGCTCCTCTTCCTCTGGTCGAAGCCCTCTTCCTTTCTCGCTCTGCTTACTCAGCATGTCCAAAGAGTCAGGCTGACACTACCAGAAGCGAGTCATCGATTTTAGCGTGACAAGTGGGATGGCTAGAGATTGTGTGCCATGCACAGTACTGTTCATGAAGTGTTCCTACAACCAGGCTTCAGAGCTCCTTCCCCATTATAGGAAATTCAGGGCATAGAAGTGAAGCAGTATCATGAGGGAGAACAAAGACAGGTGCAGATTGTGGGACATTATGAAGGACAACAAATCAGTGGCAGGGAGGACTGCTCAGGATGAGAGGACCTTTGTGAGAAAGTGGTGTGCAGGGTGGACCTTGTCCGGATTCTGATTCCAATAGACAGACTGCAAAAAGAGAAATACTTGTGATAATCAAGTATGTATGACTGTGGACTATGTATGGGATGATAATCAGAATCATTGAGCACATCTTCAGGAGCGATCACAGCAATGTGATTATGGGAGAAAGTGTCCCTACTTTTAGTGATACATGTTCAAGTGTGTAGAGATGGAACAACATGATGTCAGGGATTTGACTTGAAATATTCCAACAACACAACAACAAAGAAAATACTTCAATGGTCACATCTCTTCCTCCATACCCACCTAGATCTGCTCCACCTTGTGTTTTATGACCTCAGAGTCTATCAGTGGCCTCCGCCCCTTTGCTCAAGTTGGAAACCTGAGAATCATTGCTGATTCTCTTACACGTCAGCTTCCACTTCCAACCAAGTGTGAAGCTTTTGCAATTTTATCTCCTCAATATTCCTCATATCCTCTCCTCTCCATCCCCACCGCTACTATCATACATAATTTTAATTCACAATTTCTCCCGTAACCCCCTAACTGGTCTCTTAGCCTCCAGTAAGTAGTAATTGAATTCCCTTAATTACTAGTGGTGTGGAGCATTCATTTGTGCGCTTATTTGCCACATGTATCTTCTTTGTTGAGGAACCTGTTCAAATACTCTGCCCATTTAAAAAATTTGGGTTGAGTTGGGGAGCGGTGGCTCACACCTGTTATCTCACCACTTGGGAGGCCAAGGTGGGTGGATCACCTGAGGTCAGTTCAAGACCAGCCTGGCCAACATGGTGAAACCTCGTCTGTACAAAAATACAAAAATTAGCCAGGCATGATGGCGGGTGCCTGTAATCCCAGCTACTCGCAGGGGTGGGGGTGGGGGATTGGGAGGCTGAGGGGGGAGAATCGCTTGAATCTGGGAAGCTGAGGTCACAGTGAGCCGAGATTGTGCCGTTGCACACCAGCCTAGGCAGCAGAGCAAGACTCCATCTGAAAAAAATAAAATTTGGGTTATTTATTTTCTTATTATTGAGTTTTTAAAATTCTTCATACATTCTGGATACAAGGTTTTTTTGTCATATCTGATTTGCAAATATTTTCTCCAAATCTGTGGCTTGTTTACTTCTCTTAGCAGTAAATTTCAAAGAACAGAAATTTTTAATTTTATCAATTTTTTATTTTTATTTTTATTTTGAGACAGAGTCTCACTCTGTCACCAGGCTGGAGTGCAGTGGTGCGATCTCGGCTCACTGAAACCTCCGCCTCCCAGGTTCGAGCGATTCTCCTGCCTCAGCCTCCCGAGTAGCTGGGACTACAGGTCCCAGCTCGTATAGCCAGCACACCCAGCTAATTTTAGTATTTTTAGTAGAGAAGGGGTTTCACCATGTTGGTCAGGATGGTCTCAATCTCTTGACCTTGTGATCCACCTGCTTCTGCCTTCCAAAGTGCGGGGATTACAGGCATGAATCAACGTGGCTGGCCCCAAACTTTTATCACATTTTAAAAAGTTTTATACATTGTGCTTTGATGTTGTATCAAAGAATTGTTTGCCTTATCCAAAATCAGAAAGATTTTCTTCATTGTTTACTTTTAGGCACTTCCTAGTTTTAGGTTTACATTTAGTTACATGACCTATTTTGAATTAACTCTCATATATGCTAAGAAATATAGACAAAAGTTGATTTTTTTGCATATGGTTATCTGAGGTTCTAGCACAATTTGTTGACAGCTTTTGCAGCTTGTTGGAAATACTGTATATATTAAAGCAACAGAATAGAGGATCCTGCAATATATATCAGCAAATGTATAAACAGACACATAGATATAGAGATGGATATACACAAAATATTTTTGTATCTGTATATACAGTTCTGAATTTCATATCATATATATTATAGTTTTATTGTTGAAATCAGGTAAAGTTAATTTATCAAATTTGTTCTTTTTTCAGTTATTTTGGCTCTTCTAGATCGTTTGCATTTTCTTATGAATTTCAGAATCAGCTTGTCAATATCTACCAAAAAATATTAAAATCCTGCTAGAATTTTGACTAGGATTGTGTTGAAACTATCTATCAATTTGGGGAACATTTATGTTCTAAATATTGGTTTCCAGGGCATGAAGACAGTGTATCTCTCCATGTATTTGGGTTATCTTTAATGTTTCTCAGTATTCCACAGTTTTCAGTGTACAGGTCATGCACATCTTTTGTCAGATTTATTCCTAAGAGTTTAATATATTTTGATGCTACTTTAAATGGCATTGCTTTTAAAATTCCAATTTCTGGTTATTTGTTGCTAGTATAAAATGCAATTGGTTTTTGTATATTGTTCATGTATCCTGCAACCTTGCTAAACTCATTTATTAGTTCTAATAGCTTTTTTTGTATTTTATATTGAATTTTCTACATAGATGTTCATTTTGTCTGTGTGCAGTTTTGCTTCTTTCTTTCTATCCTGGACGTATTCTATCTCAGCTTCTTGTCTGGCTAGGATTTCCACAACAATGTTAAATGTAAGCGTGGTGAGAGCAAACATCCCATCTTGTTCCTGATAAGACAAACAAGAAAGCATTGAGTGTTTCGTTACTAACAATGATGTTAGCTGTAGGATTTTTCACAGATGCCTTTTATCAGGATGAGGAAGCTCCCTTCTAAATGTTCCAAATGTAAATATATGACTTCATCAAATGTGTTTACTGCATCTATTGACATGATCATTTATTAATATGGTGCAAATACATTGATTGATTTGAGGATGTTCAACCAACCAACCTTTCTGAGATACATTATATTTGTCCACGATACAATATAATTTTTATGTATTGTTGGAACTGATTTGCTAACATTTTGTAAAGAACTTTTATATCTAAATTCAAAAAGAATATTTGTTTATAGTTTTTTTGTAATATCTTAGTCTAGCTTTGGTATCAAGGTGATACTAGCCTTATAAAATAAGTTGGTAACTAGTTCCTACTCTTCAATTTTCTGAAAGAGTTTAAGTATAATTGGTAATATTTCTTCCTTAGAGGTTTGAACAAAAAACTTCAGAGAAGCAATCTGGGGTTAGAGTTTCCTTTGTAGGATGAGCATTTAATTAAAATTCAATTACTTCAATAAATATAGAGTTATTCAATTATCTGATTCTTCTTGAGTGAGCTATAGCAATTTGTATCTTTCAAAAAAATTCTCATTTCATCTCAGTTACAAAATTTATTAGGTAATGCTGTACACAGTATTCCCTTACTCCATTTTTAATTTTTACAAAATCTGTGCTGATATAGTTTCTTTCATACCTGATATTAGGAATTTGTCTCTTTTTTGTTTTGATGATCAGCCTGCTAGAAGTTTATAAATATTTGGTTTCATAGATTTTTCTCTATTTTTTTTTTTTGTTTTATTGATGTTCACTCTGATCTCTAGTATTTCCAAAATTGTTTTTTGTGTTTAATTTGCTCTTGTTTTTCCAATTATTAAGGCAGAAGCTGGGGTAGTTAATTAATCTAAAATCTATTCTCTTTTCTACTATAGTGTTTAATCCCATAATTTTACACACAAATATTGCCTTATCAGCATTCCACACATTTTGAAATATTGTTTTCACTCTCACTTAGCTGAAAATGCATTGGTTTCTCTTTTGAAATCTTCTTTAGCCCTTGCAATATGTAGACATGTGTAATTCATCATCCTAATACTTGACGTTATTCCAGAAAAGTTATTATTATTAACTTCTAATTTATTTCCAATGTGGTCCAAGAACATACTTCATATGACTTAAATCACTCCAAATATTCTGAGACTTGCTTTCTGGCACAGAATGTATTCTATCTTGATAAATATTCTGTGTTTGCTTGAGAAGAGTTTATATTATGTGACTGTCAGGTGGACTGATTTATAAATATCAATAAAATCAAGTTATTTGATAGTTTTATTTTTTTAAGTCTGCTGTATCTTCACTGATTTTTTTTCTACTTGTTCTACTAATTATTGATAGTGAGTAATGTAATCCCCAACTATAATTGTGGAATTGTCTATTTCTCTTTTGAGTTCTATTGGTGTTTGTTTCATTTGTGTTGAAGCTCTGTGATGACATACGTAGTGCTTGTTATTCTTAGAATTATCACGTCCTCCTGAGAAGCGGACCCTGTTCTCCTTATAAAACGACATTCTTCATCCCTGATAATATTCTCTTATCTGATGTCTACTTTATCTGATATGAATATAGCCACTCCAGCTTTCATTTGATTCATGGTAACTCTTTTTCAATCTTTTACTTTTAATATGTTTGTATCTTTACATTTAAAATGTCTTTCTTACAGGCAGCATGTACTTGGGTCTTCATTCTTTTCATCAAAGCTGACAACCTCTACCTTTTAATTGGGATGCTTAGAACATTTAACAAGATTTTTGAAATGGTTATGTTACACCTGTGATCTTGTTATTCATCTTTTACTCAATCCATCTGTTCTTTGCTCCCCTTTCCTGTTTAGTGCCCTGTTTTGGATTTTGTTGTTGTTGTTGTTATTCCATCTCATCTTCTTTGTTGGCTTATATGATAACAAAACTTTTTGTTTTGTTATTTCAGTGGTTGCTTTACAACTCTAAGTTACTGCAGCCTACTTTCACATGTTATCTTACTTCATGTGTGGTGTAAGAACCTTCCAGTAACATGCTTTCATTTTTCCTTTCCTGGCCTTTCGCTATTGTTGTCCTGCATTTCACTTACACATAAATTACAAACTACACAAAACACTGTTGTTATTTCTGTATAAAATTCAATTATTATTTCAAGATTTTTTAATGGAGGGGTCTTATACATCTTCCTATACAGTTACTTTCCAGAGTTTTTCATCCTTTATTACAGATCAATATTCCCATCTGATATCATCTTTCTTCTGCCCGAGGAGTTCCTATTTTATTTCCTGTGCAGCAGGTCTGCTGGTGATACATTCTTACAGTTTTTTTCTGCCTGGATATAACTTTATTTCCCCTTCATTTTGGAAAGTTATTTACACTGGTTACAGAATTCAGAGTTAACAGTATGTCCTCTCTTAGAATTTAAAATATTTTTTCTATATCCTCCCAGATTCTGGTATCTGTGATGAGAACTCTGGCAGCATCCTTTGTTAATCTTTATGTATGGTGTGTCCCATCCCTCTATGTCTGTATCACTAGGGTTCAATACTTTGATTACTATGAACCTTTGTGGAGTTCTTCATATTTCTTATAGGTGGGCTTTACTGAGTTTCTTGGATAAGAGATTTATAGTTTATATCAAATTTGAAAACATTTTGGCCATTTTTTTGTATTATTTTTTCTGTCCCTCCTCTTTTCAGTCCTTCTAGGACTCAAATTACATGTATTATTGGCTGCTTGAAGGTGTTCTACAGTTTAGTTTCTTAATATCCTTTTACTCTATTTCCTTTTGGATAGTTTTTATTGCTATGTCTTGTATTTGGCCATGTTTAATCTGCTATTAATCATGTTCTGTGTATTTTTCATCTCAAATTTATAAGTAAGAGTTTTTGGGTGGGCATGGTGGCTCACACCTGTAATCCCAGCCTTTTGGGAGACTGAAGTGGGCTGATCATTTGAGCTCAGGAGTTTGAGACCAGCCTGGGCAACAAGACAAAACCCCATGTTTACAAAAATTAGCCAGGTGTGGTGGCACATGCCTGTAGTCCCACCTACTCAGGAGGCTGAAGTTGAGGATAGCTTAAGCCCAGAAGGCAGAGGTTACAGTGAGCCGAGATCACGCCACTGCACTCCAGCCTGGATGACATAGCCAGACCCTGTCAAAAAAAAAACAAAAACTTTCATAACCAATTATATAACCATTCTACTACTTAGAGGAACAAAAAAGTCAATAATTCACGATTTAAAAGCTACTAAAAACATAAAATATAAAACTATGCACTAAGGAGTTTTATATATAAATTTACCCATTAAATAAATACGTGTATGTACTTCTTTAATTTAAAAAATTCTAATGACTTACAGTTTATACCACAAGATTATTTATACAAACAGATTATTCTCATTCCAGAGTGGGCTTTTTGGGGGATGAAGTTTACTAAGCAATTTACAATGTTCTGTGAAAATCATCAGCTTTTTCAGGTTCTGTAGTAAAGTTATAAAAGTTCTAGGCACCATATCTTTTTAAACCATAAGAAAATACGAGGGCACATGTGTGTATGTATGTATGCATGAATGCTTTTATGGCAGTTTTATTCGTAATTACCAAAAACTGGAAACAACCCAAATGAAGTGGGGAATGAATACAGAACCTGTTGTACATCCATACAACGCAATGCTACTAAGCAACAGAAAGTAATTACTGATACATAAAAACATGGATGAATCTCAAAATACATTAGGTTAAATAAAAGACGTCCGTCTCAAGAAGCCACATACTGAGTCAAGCAGGGGGATCCCTTGAGACCAGGAGCTTGAGGCCAGCATAGGCAATATAACAAGGCCTCCCATTTCTATTAAACAAACAAAAATTAAAACAAAAAGGCTAAATACTGCGTGATTTTGTTTACACAGAATTCTGAAAAGAAAAAAAAAAAAAAAAAGACAAGACAGAGAAAAAAACAGATCAGTGGTGGCCAGAGACTAGAGGTAAGGAAATGGGCTGACTATGGAAAGGGTCATGAGGAAATTTTTTGAGAAACTAACTCTATATCTTGATCATCATGGTGGTTGCACAACTAGATGTGTTTCCCAGTCTTACAGAACCATATTCAAGTACACCTTAATAAAGATAATTTTCAACCATACATATGATAGAATCATAATTATTACTCTTATACTAAGACCAAATAGATGCTGCTTAAACCACTGAGGCAAGAACACTAAACCTTGGTCTGATCTGCCTCCAAGTTTGAAAACTCCCTTCCATTAACATTTTGCCTAAAAATTAAACAATATTTGTAAATTAGTCACAAAATCCTTTAAGATTAAAATATACATATATTCTTAAAGAAAACTACCTAGTGCTTGCAACCAAGTCATTTTAGGAGAAAATTAGCTTTGTTAAGAAGGGAATAAAGCCCAAGTAATAAATATTAACATCCATCTTTTCCAGAATCATGATGGTCAAAACAATGAGACTCTTCTCCTAATTTTGGTTCAAAATACCAAAATTTTTACTTCAAAAACTCTCTAACAGATTATTATAAAATCTTAACATTTGCCTAAAAGTCTTTAAGTATTTTCACATAACTAGGCAGTATAACAAAAAAAGAGCACAGGCTTAGGCTGGATGCAGTGGCTCACACCTGTAATCCTAGCATTTTGGGAGGCCAAGGCAGATCGCTTGAGTCCAGCAGTTTGAGACCAGTCTGGGAAATGTGGCAAAACCCCGTCTCTATAAAATACATTAAAACATGGCCCATACCTGTAGTCCCAGCTACTTCAGGGGATGAGGCAGGAGGATGGCTTGAGCCTTAGAGACAGAGGCTGCAGTGAGCCAAGATCACGCCACTCACTCCACTCTGGGTGATAGAGTGGGACCCTTTCTCAAAAAAAAATTTTTTTTTAAAGCACAGGCTCAAGAACTCAACCCACCTAGGCAAGTTATTTAACCTAATTTTCCATCGATTGTATCATCAGTAAAATTGGGATAATTTTACCTACCTCTAGGAATAATCCTAGACTATTACATGAGTTAATACATGTATTATAATAAATCACAGGGTAATGCCTGGCATAGTTAACTAAGTCTCAATACCAACCTAACATAAATGAATGACACCAATAATCGCCAGCTGTGTAGTCTTTGCATACCACAATTCTGCCCTGTAAGGTAAGTGGCCTAAATTCAATGGCATAAATAAAGACCTATCTAGTAATACTACTCTATATTCCTATTATTTTACCTGAATTGCACCTACCTAATTCAGTTTGCAAAAGAAAGGTTAAGTATTATACCTCTTATATATATAAAAAAGTGAACTATAAATAAGTTAAATGACTTACCCAAAGAAACAGTAACTTGAAGGCAGAGCCAAGATGAGGATTTGGTATTGAGACTCCTTAAAACTTTGTCCTCTCCAAAATTTTTAGCCCTCCATGAATTCCTTCCCTCCTAACAAAGATACGGGTATAATGCACCCCCAAAAACCTCCAATTTAATAATTTAAAAATTTCATTAAGCTATACATTTGATTTGTGCACTCTTCTGTATGTTTTATATCATAATAGAAAGGTTAAGTGGCTTATTACCTAATACACTAGTATTCACTTGTATTCACATATGAATACATACACTTGTATTCACATATGAAGAGAAGTAGTGGAAAAGTTACATTAAAAGCTAAAAGGTGACAAACTAAGCAGATTATGTTCTTTAAAATTTTGTGAGAGGCAAAAGTTTTTAACTGAGGTATATAATACATGTACAAAGAAGTGCACACTTCCTAAGTCTACTATTCAATGATTCTCATAAACTGAACACAACCATGAAATCATGACCCAGATCAAGACAGAGAACATTACCAGCACACCTACAATCTCCCTTGTCCTCATCACCAAAGATAACCATTATTCTGATTCCATTCCCATCTGTTAGTTTTGTCTGTTTTTTAAGCTTTACAGAAATGGAGTGCTCGCTTCGGCAGCAAATATACTAAAATTGGAACAATACAGAGAACATTAGCGTGGTCCCTGCACAAGGATGACATGCAAATTGGTGAGGCTTTCCATCTTTTTATTATTACAGTAGTATTATTTCATATCCAAAAAAATGATCAATATGAAGAATGGGATGAACTAATTAATACTGTGATTGAAGACAATAGCATTATTTGCCTGGGAAACTAAAGACAAAACAACTGGAAAACTACTAAAACTGTTAAAGGAGTCAATTTGCTACTTATGGAATAAACATATACTGTATTCACAGTAACATATATTATGGAATTAAAATCACATTTCTGGCTGGGCACAGTGGCTCACATCTATAACCCCAGCACGCTGTGAGGCCAAGGTGGGAGGATCACTGGAGCTCAGGAGTTCAAGACCAGTGTGGGCAACATAGTGAAACTTCCAAAGAATAGGACTAACTCCACGTGTAGCATCTACATGTGGACAAGCAGGAGTGTTTCCTGATTAAATAACCTAAGTGTCATCTCCATGAATGCATGTATACAACTTTGTTGGATTGAAGGCTCCTCATCTCAACCCCACTGGAGGTAAATGCTATAAAAGTAAGTAATTCAAGAAAGTTTCATCCAAATTAACTCATGTAAAACAAAAACAAAACAAGAAAAATTTGCCACATCAAGGTAATGTTATAAAATGTGTAATGTAACTACTGTCTTTATTTGTGTCTCACTTACAAAGTAGATCTGAACTATGGATTACTACTACTTACTTTGATTAAAAAAACACTGATGTGAGATATTTTTGTAAATTTTCTTTACCCAAAGGTTCACTGCAGCCATAAAAAAGAACAAAATCATATCCTTTGCAGCAACATGATGCAGCTGGAGATCATCATCCTAAGCTAAACATTGGGTAAACATGGACATAAACATGGGAACAATAGATACAGGGAACTAACAGAGAGGAGAGGATGGGAAGGGGCGAAAGCTCAAAACTGCCTACTGGCGGCTGGGTACAGTAGCTCACGCCTATAATCCCAGCACTTTGGGAGGCCAAGGTGGGTGGATTGCTTGAGTCCAGGAGTTCGAGACCAGCCTGGGTAACAGGGCGAAACCCAGTCTCTACAAAAAAATACAAAAAATAGCAGGGTATGGTGGCCCACCACTGTAGTCCCAGCTACCCCGGAGGCTGAGCTGGGAGGATCGGCTGAGCCCAAGAGGTCAAAACTGCAGTGACCAGTGATTGCAATATTGCAATCCAGCCTGGGGGACAGAGACCTACCTTGTCTCAAAAAACTTAAACAAAACTACGTGCTGGGTGCTATGCTTACTACCTGGGTGATGGGATCAATTGTACCCCAAACCTCATGCAATATACCCATGTAACAAACCTGCACACTATTATTATTGCGAGAAACAGAGCTAATTTAGAACAATATATATAGCTTGACCCAATTTGAGGAAAAATTTTACATTTGTATATTTGTTGAAAACAACTATCAATAAAGAACTAAAATTGCATACTATTCATTCATATGACTGAATACTACACAGCTATTAAAATTAATGAAGTAA
Organism: Homo sapiens; assembly: GCF_000001405.40. Classification (NCBI taxonomy): domain Eukaryota; kingdom Metazoa; phylum Chordata; class Mammalia; order Primates; family Hominidae; genus Homo; species Homo sapiens. The sequence goes on from NW_021160017.1 coordinate 982,054, forward strand.
GGCAGGTGCAGTGGCTCACACTTGTAATCCCAGCTACTCGGGAGGCTGAGGCTCGAGAATCACTTGAAACTGGGAGATGGAGGTTGCCGTGAGCCAAGATTGTGCCACTGCTCTACAACCTGGGTGACAGAGTAGGACTCTGTTTCAAAATAATCATAATAATAATACTACTAATAATACACATATATCAGCATAAATAAATGTAACTTTCCAATTACAGAATGTATGTACCAAAATATCACATAAATTTGAAACACAATAGTACTACATGTTAAATATATGTAGATATTTGTAGGAAGAATATAAGTGCATGAGCTAAAAAGATAAATAACTTCTGCATAAGAAAATAGGATCTAAGAGGATGACAAAAGGGACTCCAACCATATGCATATTTTATTTTTAAAAACAAATATAGGCCAGGCACAGTGGCTCACCCCTGTAATCCCAGTATTTTAGGGGGCCAAGACGGGCAGATCACTTGAGGTCGGTTGGAGACCAGCCTGGACAACATAGTGAAACCCCGTCTCTACTACAAATACAAAAATTAGCCGGGAGTAGTGACAAGCTCCTATAATCCCAGCTACTCAAAAGGCCAAGGCACGAGAATTGCTTGAACTTGGGAGGTGGCGGTTGCAGTGAGCAGGGATTTTACCACTATACACCAGGCTGGGCAACAGAGTGAGACCCCATCTCAAAAATAATAAATAAAAACATATATAAATACACTTTTGAAGCAAATCTGATAAGATGTCAGCATCTATGAAATCTACTGAATGGGCTGGGTGCGGTGGCTCACGCCTGTAATACCAACACTTTGGGAGGCCAAGGTGGGCAGATCACGAAGTGAAGAGATAAGAGACCATCCTGGCCAACATGGTGAAACCCAGTCTCTACTAAAAATACAAAAATTAGCTGGGTGTGGTGGCGTGTGCCTGTAATCCCAGCTACTCAGGAGGCTGAGACAGGAGAATCACTTGAACCCAGGAGGCAGAGGTTGCAGTGAGCTGAAATTGCACCAGTGCACTCCAGCCTGAGCGACAGAGCGAGACTCCATCTCAAAAAAAAAAAAAAAAAAAAAGGAAAGGAAAAAAGAAAAAAAATCTACTGAATTAGTACCTGGTGTTTGTTAAATTATTCTCCATATTTTTCTAAATTTTTGAAATATTTAAACTTTGCTCTAAAAAAGTCGAGATTTTGGAATTCAGAGACAGGCTTTGTAGATTCAGTACAGGATGTGTGTGTGTGTGTGTGATAAGCCTGTTATTCTGTACTATAAAATCTCTAACTAAAAAAAAATTATATTAGGTTGGTGCAAATGTAGTTGCAGTTTTCGTATTGTTGAAACTTGCTATTTGATACTGGAATACATTCTTAAATATATGTGGTTATTTATATACCATTTTAATGCACATTTCTCACCTTTTTTGCTAATAACATATTATTTGCTGTTTTATTCTTTTAGACAGTGGAAATTATATTATAAAAAAAAGCAAATTCAAGCGATTTTCTTGAGTTCAAAATGGGTCGCAAAGCAGTGGAGACAACTCGCAACATCAACTACACACTTGGCCCAGGAACTGTGCAATGGTGGTTCAAGAAGTGTTGCAAAGGAGACGAGAGCCTTGAAGATGAGGAGTGTAGTAGCCGGCCAGAAGAAGTTGGCACTGACCAATTGAGAGCAATCATCGAAGCTGATCCTCTTACAACTACACGAGAAATTGCCAAAGAACTCAATGTCAACCATTCTACGCTTGTTTGGCAATTTAAGCAAGTTGGAAAGGTGCAAAAGCTTTTTTTTTTTTTTTTGAGATGGAGTCTCACTCTATTACCTAGGCTGGAATGCAGTGGCACCATCTGGGCTCACTGTAACCTCTACTTCCCGGGTTAAAGTGATTCTCGTGCCTCAGCCTCCCTAGTTGCTGGGATTACAGGCACCCACCACCACACCCGATTACTTTTTGTATTTTTAGTAGAGCTGGGGTTTCACCATGTTGGCCAGGCTGGTCGTGAACTCCTGGCCTCAAGTGATCTGCCCGCCTCAGCCTCCGAAAGTACTGGGATTACAGGCGTGAGCCACCACGCCCTGCCAAAAGGTGAAAAAGCTTGATAAGTGGGTGCCTCATGAGCTGACCAAAAATTTTAAAAATCGTCGTTTTGAAGTGTTGTCTTCTCTTATTCTACATAACGACGACGAACCATTTCTTAGTTGGATTGTGACGTTTGACAAAAAGTGTATTTTATACAACAACAGTGATGACCAGCTCAGTGGTTGGACCGAGAAGATGCTCCAAAGCACTTCCTGAAGCCAAACTTTCATCAAAAAGAGGTCAGGGTCACTGTTTGGTGGTCTGCTCCTGGTCTGATCCGCTACAGCTTTCTGAATCATAGTAAAACCAATACATCTGAGAAGTATGCTCAGCAAATCGATGAGATGCACCGAAAACTGCAAGGCCTGCAGCTGGCACTGGTCCACAGAAAGGGTCCAGTTCTTCTCCACGACAACACCCGACAACATGTTGCACAACCAACATTTCAAAAGTTGAATGAATTGGGCTACAAAGTTTTGCCTCATCCACCATATTGAACTGACCTCTCACCAACCGACTACCACTTTTCCAAGCATCTAGAAAATTTTTTGCAGGGAAAATGCTTCCACAACCATCAGGATGCAGAAAATGCTTTCCAAGAGTTCATCGAATCCCGAAGCATGGATTTTTACGCTACAGGAATAAACAAACTTATTTCTCATTGGCAAAAAATGTGCTGATTGTAATGTTTCCTATTTTGATAAAGATGTGTTTGGGCCTAGTTATAATAATTTAAAATTCGCAATCCAAAACCACCATTAATTTTGTACCAACCTAACAGTACCTACATTTATTACCTCAACTGCTCTTCAACTTTCTTTTTTTGAGACAGAGTATCCCTCTGTCACCCAGGCTGGAGCGCAGTGGCACAAATCTCGGCTCACTGCAACCTCCACCTCCAGGGGTCAAGTGATTCTCCTGCCTCAGCCTCCTGAGTAGCTGGGATTACAGACGTCCACCACCACGCCCGGCTAATTTTTGTATTTTTAATAGAGACGGGGTTTTGCCATGTTGGCCAGGCTGGTCTCAAACTCCTGATCTCATCTGTCCACCTTGGCCTCCCAAAGTGCTGGGATTATAGACATGAGCCACCGCGTTCAGCCTAATCTTACTCTTTAAAAGAATAAAGTAAGGGCAGACAATAACGAATGTCTTAACCCAGAAATCTCACCTTTTTGAATGATGTTCTCCATTCACAGAAGCATTTAAAACACTACAAGTGTGCAGTAAACAGCAAAAGCCAACAAGCTCTAATCACTTAAACTCTAGAGAATATATGACACAGCTCTTCCTAAAATATCACCAGATGGGTATATAAACGTAGAACGGCTTAACTCCCAGCTGTATATTAACACCAAATCTCCAATAAGCCTATACTGTCATAATAAAAATCATTTGCCTAAATCTCTTCCAATTCATATTAGATGTATTAATATAAACCATATCCTACCTGAGTTGCTACAACTCCACTTGATATTTAAAACACACCACAACACACAAGCACACAAACACACACACACGGATACAGAACTTGGGAGTTCAGGCTGAGTTCTGCATTTACAGAGTTCATAGAAACCAATTTTTCTTAAGGTATCTTTCATAATTCTCAATCAGCTTATTAAAAAGAGAAAAACTAGATGGCTCAGTCCTCTTGTGTTTAACTGTGATCAAATCCCACAATGTCTTCAGTCATAGTAGAGTTCACAATGATAAAGTTCAAATAAGCTTACCTGCCCCATTCCTCCCATACTACTTCCTACAGCTGCCACTCGTCTTGGGAACTGGAGCCAGTTAACCACCCACTTTCTCAATGGTGACTGTGACCTAAACCTTCACAAGACATCCAGTGAAAAATAAAGACTTTAAAATAGCAGTTTTTGGCTGAGCGTGGTGGCTCAGACCTGTAATCCCAGCACTTTGGAAGGCCATGGGCAGATCACCTGAGGTCAGGAGTTCAAGACCAGCCTGGCCAACATGGTGAAATCCCATCTCTACTAAAAAATACAAAAATTAGCTGGCTGTGGCCAGCTTGTGCCTGTAGTCTCATCTGCTTGGGAGGTCGAGACATGAGAATCACTTGAACTTGGGAGGCAGAGGTTATAGTGAGCTGAGATCGCACCATTTCACTCCAGCCTGGGTGACAGAGTGAGACTCTGTCTTAAAAAATAAAAATAAAATAGTAATTTTTCCTACTTATAAAAGTAATACATGCTCATTGTAGAAAAATGGGAAACTATAGAAGAATAAGAAGCAAAAAAGCCACATTATCCCACCGAGACAGAAATTAATCACTACTAATATTTCCATTCATGGCAATCCAGGGTCTCTTCTGTATATCAAAGTGTATTAGTTCATTTACCAAACAGGATTTTAAGTACTGCAGAACAAGGGGGAAGTAGCATACTAATTCTTTGGAAGACTAATTTTCTTCAGTGTAAAGAAGTTACACTTACTGCTGAGTAAGTCAACCATATGTACAGGAAACTGGAGAGAATGACAAAGGTGAGGGAAATCATGCCTGCTTTTTCTTCATTCACTCACAGCAAACCATGGAGTCCATGTTTTGGGAACCATTATGTATGCAAAGACCAACTAATGAGTATGTTTCCTTTACAAATAGCAGCCTACTAAATAAACAAATACATACATACATATATACGAATATACAGTCTTGCCACAGGAGTTACACACACAGTGAAAGGAATGACATTAAGAGTATTTTTAAAATTATTATACTTTAAGTTTTAGGGTACATGTACACAACGTGCAGGTTAGTTACATATGTATACATGTGCCATGTTGGTGTGCTGCACCCATTAACTCGTCATTTAACATTAGGTATATCTCCTAATACTATCCCTCCCTGCTCCCCCCACCCCACAACAGGCCCCGGTGTGTGTGATGTTCTCCTTCCTGTGTCCATGTGTTCTCTTTGTTCAATTCCCACCTATGAGTGAGAACATGCGGTGTTTGTTTTTGTCCTTGCGATAGTTTGCTGAGAATGATGGTTTCCGGCCTCATCCATGTCCGTACAAAGGACATGAACTCATCATTTTTTATGGCTGCATAGTATTCCATGGTGTATATGTGCCACATTTTCTTAATCCAGTCTATCATTGTTGGACATTTGGATTGGTTCCAAGTCTTTGCTATTGTGAATAGTGCCGCAATAAACATACGTGTGCATGTGTCTTTATAGCAGCATGATTTATAATCCCTTGGGTATATACCCAGTAATGGGATTGCTGGGTCAAATAAATGGGATCTAATTAAACTAAAGAGCTTCTGCACAGCAAAAGAAACTACCATCAGAGTGAACAGGCAACATATAGAATGGGAGAAAATTTTTGCAATCTACTCATCTGACAAAGGGCTAATATCCAGAATCTACAATGAACTCAAACAGATTTACAAGAAAAAGACAAACAACCCCATCAAAAAGTGGGCGAAGGATATGGACAGACACTTTTCAGAAGAAGACATTTATGCAGCCAAAAGACACATGAAAAAATGCTCATCATCACTGGCCATCAGAGAAATGCAAATCAAAACCGCAATAAGATACCATCTCACACCAGTTAGAATGGCGATCATTAAAAAGTCAGGAAACAACAGGTGCTGGAGAGGATGTGGAGAAATAGGAACACTTTTACACTGGTGGTGGGACTGTAAACTAGTTCAACCATTGTGGAAGTCAGTGTGGTAATTCCTCAGGGATCTAGAACAAGAGTATGTTTTTTGTCACCATGAAAGTATCTTAAGAGACAGTAAAGGGATATGTGAAAGGTTGATCTAAAATTCATGACCTCTTCCACAAAAATAGTTTCTGTGCACATAAGATGAAGGAACAATCTAACTACGGAAAACGTAACTGTTGATTTTATAATGCTATAACTTATTTACACGTATAAATAAATATGCAGGAGTTTAAACAGTTAGTCCACAAATATTGATAGCTTACTCTGTACCAGGCAATGTATTGACTGCTAGGGAGTAAGGGAGAGAACAGCCACCAGTCCCTATTTCTGCAGAACTTTCAATCTGTCTCTTGAAGTATGATGTCAAACACTAGGCATGTGGCCTCAAGCAAGTCACAACAGTCCTGATTAAATGATGATCTCAAATCCTTGTGATGATCTAAGAAGATATATGTGAAAGTAGCTTATAAATCATGTTACCTAAAGTAAAAAGAGATATGTAGCCATTTGTGTAAAGCACTGTTTATAGCAATCATCTTCAATAGAAATTATCTTTATTTATTTATTTATTTTTTGAGATGGAGACTCGCTCTGTCACCCAGGCTGGAGTGCAGTGGCGTGATCTCGGCTCACTGCCACCTCTGCCTCTGGGGTTTAGGCCATTCTCCTGCCTCAGCCTCCTAAGTAGCTGGGACTACAGGCACCCACCACCACGACTGGCTAATTTTTTGTATTTTTAGTAGAGATGGGGTTTCAACTGTGTTAGCCAGGATGGTCTCGATCTCCTGACCTTGTGATCCGCCCACCTTGGCCTCCCAAAGTGCTGGGATGGCAGGTGTGAGCCACCGCGCCCGGCCTCTCATTTCTTTTAACTGGCAAAAAATAATCACTCAAGTTGCTTAATATAATCTCTTTTGACAGTCTCTAAGATTTTGATATTATCTTTCTCTGCCAATGACCCATATGAAGTAACTGAAATTAATTTTCCCATGATGGGGGAGAAAAGATTCACTTTTTTCTAATACAAAAAGCTTTATTTCCTGATTTCATAATTTATAGGGGTTAGGGGGCAGGCAGCCACAGATCAAAAGCAACTTATTCAAACTCAAGAAAAAAATTATCTTTTAATCTAAGAATCACCATGGAAAGTTTGTTATAGGCTCAGGCTAATCCAAATAGTTAGTGACAGGTTAATTGTGGTACTTTGAAAGCAAAGGAGAGCAAGTAGCAATTATTCTTCCCTTCACTCAGTCTCTAACACCTAACCTCTTAAAAAACAGGGAGATATATATTATAGCCAAATTGCTTTCCAAAAAACATAATTTTTAAAAATATGCTCTACACAGTATCAACTGTTTGTATCTAAAAGAAATAGACTATTTACATTGCTTTTTATCCTACGATTTATCCTTTTCAAATTCAGCCACCTCAACGATGCAAAAAAGTATCAAACTGATGCTTTAAATTTATTTTTGCCCTTATTGCAGATACGACTCTAAAGAGCATGGGGAGTTTTTTTTTTTTTTTTTTTTTTGAGATGGAGTCTCGCTCTGTCACAGACGTTGGAGTGCCGTGGTGCAATCTCGGCTCACTGCAACCTCCACCTCCTGGGTTCAAGAGATTATCCTGCCTCAGCCTCCCGCGTAGCTGGAACTACAGGCGTGTGCCACCACGCCCAGCTAGCTTTTTGTAGTTTTGTAGAGATGGGGTTTCACCGTGTTAGCCAGGATGGTCTCAATCTCCTGACTTCATGATCCACCCGCCTCGGTCTCCCAAAGTGCTGGGATTACTGGCGTGAGCCACCATGCCCGGCCTAGCATGGGACATTTTAAAGGCATTCATAATCCAACTAAACAGGACCACCTGCAAAACTAGTGAAATGCCCAAAAACAAACATCTATAAATGCCCAATATTAAACCTCAAGGGTCTAAAGCAGTAGTATCCAAAGCAAGTATAACATACCTCCAGGAGATCGGGCATGGTGGCTCACACCTGGAATCCCAGCACTTTGGGAGGCTGAGGCTGGCGGATCACTTGAGCCCAGGAGTTCAAGACCAGCCTGACCAACATGGTGAAAACCCATCTCTACCAGAGAATACAAAAATTAACCAGGCATGGTGGCAGACACCTGTAATCCCAACTGCTCAAGTGGCTGAGGCACAAGAATCACTTGAACCCAGGAGGCGGAGGTTGTAGTGAGCCAAGATTACACCACTGCACACCAGTCTGGGTAACAGAGCAAGACTCTTGTCTCAAAAATATGTATATAGATCATATATTATTATATATACATATATATTATACATATACACACACACATACATATACACATGCGTGCACACACACACACCTCCAGGAGTACCCAAGAAGCCCCAGGGTAAAAAAGGAAAATATTTGAACTTTATTTTTAATTATCATCCTTGTTAATTTTTTGTTTGTATTTTAAAGTCCACAATAATCAGTTACTATATGTTTATTACTTGTAAATTAAATATCTAAGGATTAAGAACTGATGCTCAATATTTTTCTTTTTCTCTTTTTTCAAAGCAACAACATGAAGTTGTATCAATTTTTTTTTCTGACTTCATTCTTCCCATCCCATCAGTTTTTTGTTTTTTTTTTAAAGAGACAGGGTCTCACTATGTTGCCCAGGCTGGAGTACAGTGGCTGTATTCATAAGCACAATCACAGTGAACTTTAGCCTTGAACTCCTGACCTCAAATATCCTCCTGCCTAAGCCAACTACGTAGCTGGGACCACAGGACCAGGTACCACACCTGCTTAATGCTCAAAAGTTTTTGGTGATGGGGTAAGCAACCAAAGTTTGGAGACCACTGGTCTACACGACTCATTGTCACTGAACTTTCATTTTTATCAGCTCCCTCCCAAGAGTTAATCTATGGAAGTAAGTCCTGATGCTGAAAAAGAAACAGAAGAAAAACTGTTTCAAACTATTTTGAACTCCCAACAAGCTAAAGATGACAAATCACTAGCAAGAATATATGGAATTGAATACTAATATGCTGCTGACGGGAATTTCAAATAGACATCCTATCTAAAGGGCATCTTGAGTATATCCACATTTAAAACACACATACCTTTTGACCTAATAAGCCCTTTTTTTTTTTTTTTTTTTTTTTTTTTTTAGAATGAGTCTCACTCTGTCGCCCAGGCTGGAGTGCAGTAGCTTAATCTCGGCTCACTGCAGCCTCCGCCTCCCGGGTTCAAGTGATTCTCTGTGCGTCAGCCTTCCAAGTAGCTGGAATTATAGACCCTCGCCACCACACCAGACTAATTTTTGTATTTTAGTAGAGATGGGGTTTCACCATTTTGGCCAGGCTGGTCTTGAACTGCTGACCTCAGGTGATCCACCCACCCGCCTTGGCCTCCCAAAGTGCTGGGATTACAGGCATGAGCCACCATGCCTGGCTAATAAATCCGCTTTTAAGAATTTATCCTGGGCCAGGCGCGGTGGCTCAGGCCTGTAATTCTAGCACTTTGGGAGGCCAAGACGGCCGGATCACGAGGTCAGGAGATCGAGACCAGCCTGGCCAACATGGTAAAACCCCATCTCTACTGAAAATGCAAAAAATTAGCTGGGCGTGGCGGTGCACGGCTGTACTCCCAGCTACTCAGGAGGCTGAGGCAGGAGAATCACTTGAACCTGGGAGGCAGAGGCTGCAGTGAGCCAAGATCATACCACTGCACTCCAGCCTGGGTGACAGAGTGACTCTGTCTCAAAAAAAAAAAAATTATCCTAAGGAAATAATAGGACAATTCAATGCCCAAACAAGTTCATCACAGTACTACTTTAAGAGAAAAATTGGCAATATCCATTAACAACACAGAACTGCTATAAACTATGATGCATCCATATTATAGAACACTAAATACTCATTTACTCATTAAGGGGATATCAATTTTACATGGAAAGTTGTTCTTTTTTAAGGTATTTCAATAGGTATGCATAAGAAAAAAAATGAAAACACCAAACATCACATCCAGATGGGATTACAGGTTATCTCTACTTTTTTTAAAAAAGAAAAACATTAAAACTGTTCTGGGCCAGATGCATTGGCTCACGCCTGTAATCCTAGCACTTTAGGAGGCCAAGGCAGGTGAATCACCTGAGGTCAGGAGTTAGAAACCAGCCTGGCCAACATGGTGAAACCCTGTCTCTACTAAAAATACAAAAATTAGCCAGGTATGGTGGCGGGTACCTGTAATCCCAGCTACTCGGGAGGCTGAGGCAGCAGAATTGCTGGAACCCAGGAGGCAGAGGTTGCAGTGAGCTGAGAAAACGCCACTGCACTCCAGCCTGGGTGACACAATGAGACTCCATCTAAAAAAAAGTTCTGTAGCTTTCATAATCAGAAATAATTTCACTTTGAAATTTAAAATGAGATTAAGTTAAAACTCCAAATTATTGTCCTGTATCACTTCTAAAACTCTTTGTAAACACTCTGTCTTCCCATGTCATTTGTGGATCAGTCCAAATACTTAATCTAATATTTGGTTTATCTCATGGAAAAATGATAGGCATATAATAAACAACAACCCTGTTTCAAGTTAACCATCTTGTCTTTATACCAATTCTTGCCAGTTATGTCATGATTTATCAATATACTTATAACTTCCTTATATTCTGCCAGATTATAAATCTATGAATAATTCTGAAAATTATTCAGAAATTTCTATCTCTCTTCTGCAACTAAGTTACAAAAGTATTAACTACTTCGGGAGGCTGAGGCAGGGAGAATCACTTGAACCTGGGAGGCGGAGGTTGCAGTGAGGCGAGATCATGCCATTGCACTCCAGTCTGGGTGACAGAGCAAGACTCTGTCTCAAAAAATATATATATATATGTATTAACTACTAAAGAAATTAGATTTAGACCCCAGATAAGTGAAATCAGAAAAGCTTGCTACCATCTGTCACAACAGAATCATTCTGAATATCTATAGTTATCAGATCAAGACAATACCTGTGTGGTTAACAAGTACTCCACACTCCATCTTAAGGGAAAAGAGTACTTAAGAAGATTATTATAGCATAAGTTTATGTGCTTTGTTCATTAATTCAACAATTTAGAACAAAGCTATGAGGTATTTCACCGCTAACAGAATAGCTTTAAGGTAACCCATCTTCACAATTTTCTCTTTGTTTTCATTTGTTTCATGCCTTACTATTTTATAGACAGTCATTCTATCGGCATTGCACAAGTACTATGTCCCTAAACAACTACGACCAAGTTTTATCACGACCCAAAAGAAAAAATAACTTTCTAGGCCAGGTGCAGTGGCTCATGTCTATAATCCCAGCACTTTGGGAGACCAAGGCAGGACTACTCAAGCCCAGGAGTTCAAGACCAGCCTGGGCAATGTAGCAAAACCCTGTCTCTACAAAAAATGAAAATAATAATTTTTAAAAAGAAAAAATACATTTTACACGGCAACCAAGTATACATACATAAACATATCTTTTAAAAAGAAAGGTTTCCCAAATCAATATTTACTTTTACTTTACACAATGTACTGATATATTCTTTTTTAAAATGCTTTTTAAAATAAGTACATTGATTTCATTACCCTATGACACTGCCACCTGCTACTTAAAAATGTAGCCTTAAAACTTTATGCAGAGTGTGCTAAACTCCTTGCTCCTACCACCTTCTCCCACGACTCCAACATCAGAAAATGGGTAAAATCTAGCAAGTCTATTCTAAGTACAGACCTTGGCATAAATGTGAGACACCCCAGGTTCCTCTGAAGTCCCTGCAACATTGTGATTATTCCAACTGGCAGACAGGATACATTTGCTGAAAGGTTTCTCCAGCCAGACTACAGAAGCAGAAACCTTTTCTGTTGCCTTATCAGTGATATTGCTAAATTCTGCACTTGACAATGTGGACCAGGTTTACTACTGCTCCACAAGCCAATTCTTCCAAGAAATAAAACAGGATTCCAATATAATAGGATTCTAATACCAGACCCTTACATTTTTTGAATACTTTTCATACACATTATTCCGTTGCATTCTCCCCCTGGCAGTCTGTTAGAAAAGTAGAGAAGCTGCTCTTCTTCCTTTCACTAATGAAGGAATTGGAGCTCAGAGGGGTTACGTGGCTTGCCAGAAACAACACGGCTAATGAAGAATACAACGCAGGCTTGAACCCAAGATTTACTCATCTATCCACTTTTATGCTACAATTTTCATTTTTAATATCTGATACAAGTATGAACTTAAAAAGTATATTGTTTCTAGATACAAAAGCAAAGGTGAAAGCATGATATCAATATTGATGATACCAAAAAATTAAGATTAAAAATAGCAATGACATGTTAATAATTTTGGAGGCCTCTAAAGTTACTGGCAGTCCTAGTTCAATCCAATATGAATCTGATATCATCTTATATCTTCAATCAATGTTACATGATTATAAATTTATGTATATATTCACCATAGAAAATTACAGAATTGGGTGGTAAGAAACAACTAGCTATATAAATTGCACATACTCCCCCAAACCATTCTCAAGTCTTGTGGCTTCACACTAAATTATGAAGTTCCCAATGTAAAACCTGATTTGATTTCATCACTAAGCGAATTACAACAGCATAAGCATGTTCTTACTACATAATACTTGCAACATACATTCAATTTCCGAAGCACTTTTGGACAATGTCTAAAATCCATAAGCTAAAAGCAGAACCCAACACAGAATCTTGTTTCTTTTAAATGGCAAAGGTTAGTCTACCTATATGAGATGAATACCAAATAACATAATTAGAACTTATTAAAAATTTACAGAATCAGGCTAGAGAAACTACTTGAGGTCAAAGACTATAGGCCCTTAATTGTATAGATGAGAAAATTGATGCCCAGAGAAGTTAAGTGACATTCCCAACAGCAATTAATGACACAGATGGAATCAGAATATATGTCTATCTGTCAATCCAGAACTTCCCATTATTCTATATTACCTCTGCATTTAATGTGCTCTTAAAAAAGTCACTAACATCTAAAACACTTAAGACACATTAAGACTCAAAAACCAGGGGACACAACAATGTTCACGACAGTCTTCAGAAAACAATTTCTTAAAGGAATCTCAAAAATTCCAAACAACAAGCACTGAAAGCTGGCTCTTTATTTTTTTTATTTTCTTTCCTATCCAGAGCCCTACTTGATCAAAAACTGGCTCTTTAATCCATTGCAAATTATCAAGTAGCTTTTAATAACTAACACGGCTATAAACCACCATAACTGTTCTTTTTTCCATATCAATACTATTCACTTACTAAAAAAAAAATCTGAGGGTATAGAATATGCTGATAACTGTGCTGGGTATTGGCGACACCAGGGAACAAAACAGACGAGGCCTCTGGCTCTTCTAATGGACAGCTGGGTGCAACTCTCTAAAAATACTACTTCATGATTTGACAGGATATTTGCCAAAGTCCTTCACTACTCTACACAACTATAACAACATTTTCTTCCACCTCTTCCAAACTTATAATAACCTTCACCACACCCCCTCTAAAACGTGAATACGTCCTTTGGTAACTCAGCATTCTACTTCACTAAAGAAGGTGTGAACGTGTTAACTAGAACTACAGCAGATTTTTAAACTGACTTTACCACTCCTCACGGCCTGCGGCAAATTTCAAGAACTTTTCACAATCTGTAGTAACCCTTCCTGGTTCACAACCCTGATATCAAATGACTGCTAACACACCCATCCTACCCTCCACTAGAAATCTGAGTCAGATGGTTTAGGAGCAACCATGTTAGGGAGCATCTTCAGTGGACCCCTTTATGAGCCAGAAGCTGACTTACTTCCTCTCCTTCTCTGTTTATTTCCTCTGGATTCTTGTGTATCTCTGGATACAATGTATCTCCAATTAATCAGCATCTAATTTTATCAAGTGTGTTCCTGATAACTTGTGCACAAATTAACTTTTGGCAACAAATCTGTTTCACCTACACAAATCCATTATATTTTAAGAGATGCTCAATTTGCATCCTTTAAGTTTCTCATGCTTCCCCTTCTCCACTTCTTAAATTCTTAAAAAGCTATAAACTGCATAAGTTCGAGGAACTTAGGTCGTCCATAATATTGCTAATGACCAGCCTTAAACTAGACAACCACTGAAGAACCTGGCCTATGAGCTGAGAAACTTGGGTTCTTTTATGGCTGGCCATTAACGACAAGTGGGGCTGTACCACTGTGCTGGTCACTTGAAGTTCTCTGAGTCACCTGAAAATGAGGGAGTAATTGGAGCCAAAAGAGGTCTGTCGTCATAGGCAGCCAATCTAGAATTCTAGAATCCTCCAAATTTAGTTTAATATCACATACTATACTGGGTTACTCAAAACAGTGTCATTCTGGCTGGGGGTGGTGGCTCACGCCTGTAATCCCAACACTTTGGAAGGCCGAGGCAGGTGGATCACTTGAGGTCAGGAGTTCCAGACCAGCCTAGCCAACACGGAGAAATCCCTGTCTCTACTGAAAATACAAAAATTAGCCAGCCGTGGTGGCGCACACTTGTAATCCCAACTACTTGGGAGGCTAAGGTGGGAGTATTGCTAGAATCCGAGAGGCGGAGGTTGCAGTGAGCAGACATCACACTACTGCACTCCGGCCTGGGCGGCAGAGCGAGATAACGTCTCAAAAAAAAAAAAAAAAAAAGTGTCATTCTGTAAGCTCTTCTAGCCTGCCCAAGTCATAGGCCCTATAAAGGGAAGACTTTCTGCATGCCATCAATGTCTCCTGTCCTACTGAACAGCCCTGAATTTGAAAGGGGATGGTCCCCCACCACCTCTCCATGGACAAATCATAAACATTTAACATTTAAAAAAAATCATCTCCTGTAATTCAACCCAGGCCTCTCATGGCATTACCATTCACATAAGAGAAAGTTGAACCTCAACTGGAAAAGTATATGGTTTGGGGATGTTGTTTTGTTTGTTTGGGTTGTGGAAAAACAGATGTCAGAAAACAAAGTGGATATCAAGATACTAGAACAGTAAGAATTTAGGCCTCGGTCTGCAAACGACATTTGAACATCAATATGTAATAGTAGTTCATGTCCAAAACTCACAAGTGAGATTATCAAACTCCAGGGGAGTCTATTAATGTGGCCATAAAATCTACCCCATAATTTTGACATAACTTTTCCAGCCCAAAATACGACTGACATCATCTTATGGGTCCGGAAATACCATACATCAAGGAAAATTTCTACCGGAGAAATAACACTGTAATCGTTTGGGGAGCAGTCTGACCAGTGTTCCCTGAGTTACGCCAACCGCCCCCAACCATCCTTCCCACCTAATTATTACCAGGTCAGGAGGATGTCCTGCTGCACGCTCAGGCGGTCGCTCCTCCTTTCCACAAGACCCAGGCCCGCACCGTTCGCCCCGGGGCTCCCATGGCCCCCGACCTCCAGTCTCCAGCAACGATGGATCCCCACAGACCAGGCAGGGGGCGAAGGGCGCACACCCACCTCCCGGGAGTCAGTGGGAATAACCCCGGGCGCTCCCAGGATACGTCCCACACCCGGAGCCGCACGGGCCCATCCCCGCCAGGTCTGGGCAGGCAGCCGGAGCCCGGGACCCCGCCTCCCCCGCACCTAGGGTCCCGGCCGAGCTCGACCGCTGAGGTCCCGTTCCCACTCCCACTCCCAGCGCCTCCCCCTGGCGGCGGCGGCCGCCCGGGACGCCCCTCCCCTGGCGCTGCCTCCTCAGAGGGTGACAGCCGCCTGGCCGGGGCCGTACAGAGGCCGGCCCCTCCTCCAGCTCCTCCTCACCCCGGGAGGAGACAGGGGACGGGGATGGGGTTCTTACCAGGCAGCAGGACATGGCAAGGCCCGCCACGGCACAGCCTCCTCCTCCACCATCTCACCAGGCTCCCTGCCAGGCCCGGCGCAGGGCAGCGACTGAGCTACTAGGGCGTCTGGTCCGGCTGCTACTCCGCCGCCGCCGCCGCCTTCTCACAACCACAACAACACTGCAGCAGCGGCCACACAGAGTGCACTCCCGACGCCGAGCCGGGCGACGAGCGGAGACGCGCGCGCACGCTCGGGCGCTGAAGCCGGTGTCCGGGAAAGGGGGCGGGTCTCCGGGAAAGGGGGCGGGTCTCCGCCTGTTGGACGGGGGCGGGGCCTGGACAGGTGGTCACGCCCCAGGAGATAGGCGGGGCTGCAGCCCAGACGAATACCAGCGGCTGGGGAGAGGCTCGCGAAAAAGACCAGCGGAGGCAGAAGGGCTAGACAGATGGGAATTGGGCGCAGGAAAAGCGATGACAAAAAAAAATCTGGAAGATAACCAAAGGTGGTCCTACAAATTTTTAGGAGGCGTCTTTCCCTGGGCAAGACATGGCTCACTCTACTTACCAGAAAAATAGAACAACAGTGGTTATCTTTCACCTGCAATTGTGGTCAGGATAAAACCAGTTTAATATAGTGCAAGTAAATGTAGTGTTTTAGAAGATGTATTCAGGATACAATTTCTTTTTTTCGTTTCTTTTTTTTTTTCTGTCGCCCAGGCTGGAATGCAGTGACATCTCAGCTCACTGCAAACTCCGCCTCCCGGGCTCAAGTGATCCTCCCACCTCAGCCTCCTGAGTAGCTGGGACTACAGGCGCAGAACATCATGCCCCGCCAATTTTTGTATTTTTTGTAGACACGGAGTTTCTGCCATTTTGTCCAGGCTGGTCTCGAACTCCTGGGCTCAAGCAATCCACCCACCTCGGCCTCCCAAAGCGCTGGGATTAAAGGCATGGACCGCCGCACCCGGTCCAGAATACAATTTCAAGCTGATTCAACTTCAGCTCCTAATCAAAAGCTTAGCGGGAAGAAGTGAATTTTCAAACAAAATAAACCCCTCCCCCCAAAATTGTAACCTACCCACATTAGCCTGCAGAATTCCACAAACCAGGATTGCATTACCGCAGGCCCTAACAGATTCACCTCCTCTGAGTTGCCTTTTAACATTCTACCCTTGACTTTTCTGGAAACTGTCTGGGAGAGCTAGTCAAATGAAATCTATTCCTGCGTCTGTTGTAAAGTTTTTCCACAGCACTTTCTGAAATTTATTTTCAATGTTTATTGTTTTTTCACTCCACTTAGAAGGTAAAAGCTACTTGAAGATAAGGATCTTGTTTGTCTTGTTCATCACTATTTCCCCAGCACCTAGAACTGTGCAGGCTAAGTAGTAGGCAGTCGAATTTCTTGATAGCTGGCTGGGCGCGGTGGCTCACGGCTGTAATCCCAGCACTTTGAGAGGCTGAGGCGGGTGGAACACCTGAGGTCAGGTGTTCGAGACCAGCCTGGCCAGCATGGTGAAAACGCGGATCTACTAAAAATGCAAAAATTAGCCGTGCATGGTGGCGGGTGCCTGTAATCGCAGCTAATTGGGAGGCTGAGGCAGGAGAATAGCTTGAACCTGGGAGGCAGAGGTTGCCATGAGCCAAGATTGCGTCACTGCACTCCAGCCTGGGTGACAGAGCGAGACTCCATCTCAAAAAAAAAAAAAAAAAAAAAAAATGGCTAACATTTATTCATACAACTCATCTAATTGAATCTTCACAACTTTAATAGGTAGACGCCGTTATCTCCATGTTACAGATGAAGAAAGTGAAGCACAGAATAAATTGCATGTATTAAAACAAAATTCAAACCCAAACCCAGCAGACAACAAACAAACAAACACACAAACACACAAAAAACCACTGTACTCTCACCCACCAGGCTGTACTGCCCAGTGCATGACACAATAGCCTGAAATAAAATCTCAAGTAAGAAATTACTTTAGGCCGGGCACAGTGTCTCATGCCGGAAATCCCAGCACTTTAGGAGGCCAAGGCAGGTGGATTGCTTGAGCTCAGGAGTTCCAGACCAGCCTAGGCAACATGGTGAAATCCCACCTTTACAAAAAATACCAAAAAACTGGCCAGGCATGGTGGTGCGTGCCTGTAGTCCCAGCTATTTGAGAGGCTGAGGTAGGAGGATGGCTTGAGCCTGGGAGGCAGACGTTGTAGTGAGCCCTGATTGTGCCACTGCACTCCAACTGGGTGTCAGAGCGAGAAAAAAGAAAGAATGAAAGAAATTACTTTAGAGGTAAATTCTTGGAAAGCCCTTGCTTTACTACCAGAAAAACCAGTGCGCTTCCTGCTTTTTGATAACTCTTATGCAGCTGGTTGTGTCTCTCTTTTCACTCTGGCTTCCAGAAAGCCCAGGGCTAAATGTGAAGCTCAGCAATGACCCTTGCTTGGCCCCTAAGGTCCACTCTTGCCTCGACTTTGCACCTTTATTTATATGTGGCTGTCCTGATTTTCCCTTTGTGTTATATGACTGTAGGCTTTATGGAATGGGAGAAGAAATAGTAAACACATAAAATTGATGAATGACTTAAAGACTTTTATTTTATTTTTGAGACAGAGTTTCGCTCTTGTTGCCCAGGCTGGAGTGCAATGGCAGGAACTTGGCTCACTGCAACGCCTGCCTCCTGGGTTCAAGTGACTCTCCTGCCTCAGCCTCCTGAGTAGCTGGGATTACAGGCATGAGCCACAACAGCCGGTTAATTTTTTGTATTTTTAGTAGAGACAGCGTTTCTCCATGTTGGTCAGGCTAGTCTCGAACTCCCGACCACATGTGATCCGCCCGTCTTGGTTTCCCAAAGTGCTGGGATTACAGCTGTGAGCCGCCATTCCCGGCTTATTTTTATTTTTATATTTTATTTTATTTTCACACAAGGTCTCACTCTTGCCCAGGCTGGAGTGGAGTGGCTCACAGCCACCAGGTGATTTGGGCCCACAAGTCACCCTTGCTAAGAGGCAGAGTCCAGAGCAGAAACTGGGTAGATGCCAAAGGCAGCACTCCCTACTCCACACATGGGTTTCTGTCAAGTAAATCACCAGCCAGGTGAGGTGCATACAGCATCTAGGGAGATGGGACACCGTGTTGTCCCCTCCTTCAGCCAGGAGGCCCCACACTGAGCGCCACTGCCTCCACTGTCTGATGCTACAGGAGAAACGTTTCCTGCTGGTTAAGGAAGTAGAAACTGCAGATCACTTTTCATCTTATTGGAAATCACTCTTTGACACTCTTGCCTCATCTTCACTCAGTACACATTGACTCTACCAGCAATAGCGTAAAAATAAACACAGATTAAGGAAATAGGAATCCTTTATTCCTGGGACTTAAAAGCTTGACTTTCTCCAGTAAGTCAATTACCAGTGCCCACGGCAGGAAGAGCTCTGATGCCAGGGTTGACAGCACGCTGGAAAACCGGAGGAGTGTTTGCATTTCTGGGGCCTCAAGTAATGAGAAGTTCTTCCAAGAACACTGACAGGGGTATTATTGCCCTATTTTAGAATTATTACTCTGAAGATCAGGGAATTTCAGGCGGTTGAACTCATGCCACAGCACCTGTGCTTTTCTGGTAGGGGAGGGATGGAGTCCAGCTCAGGAGTCCCCCGTCATGGGAGAAAGCACTGTGAGGGGATGTCTGTGGGGGAATTAGAACCCTATAGCAGATGGGATAGGGTGGGGAGTCTACATATTTTTATTTGGATGTTTTGATGGAGTAAAGTTCCAAACCAAGCAAGTATCAGGCAGGGGGCAGTCCAGGCTGTGGTGCTGTGCTGTGAGGCTGGGAGTCCAGGCAGGTCCTGTGTTCACTGGTCACTTCCACAGCCTGAAGCCCCTCGAAAGGACATCTGCACAGAGGCCCGCTAGTGACTTCAGGATGCTGATGATGCCCTCAAGGTGAGAGCCAGAGAAAATCCCGTCAACTCTGTCAACCAAGGGCATCAATGGCCACGTGTGTGGTTTTCTCCTGCAAAGAACAAGCCAGTTTGCAAACCATGCTTTTGAGGCTAGAAAAATGGCTGTATTCCTTCAGTGTCTCCTGAAGGCTGGGTCCCCTGAGAGTTGATTCAAATACTGTATTCTCGTAAAATATGGTAACATTTAGACCTGAAAAATGGCCTGGGGGATAATCTTATCAAACCTCTGATGTGGTTATTTTGTAACTGAGTATATTGAAGGCTGGGGAACAAAGCCATCTGGTGCCAGCATCCTAGCTGCTCTCTCTCCTCCAGGGGCTTGCCTTGGTTGGGGGCCTTTCCAGCAAAATTAGGCTGAAGAAATGAGATTTTAGTTAAACAAGGCCCACTGTTGCTTTAAGACAAAATGTCAAAGTTTTAAAAAATGTATTAACTTGTTCTTTTGGCCAAGAAATCAATAGATGCACTTCCTTTCCACTGTGCAGGCACTGAGCTGACAGAGGAGTAAGAGCTTGAACCATCTACGTGGTCTGAGTGACCACATCCTTCACTTGGAGCCCTGTTCTACAGCAGATAATTCTGAGTCACCCCAGCTAATGGCTGTGCACAGCATCCTGATGCTCTGATTAGGCTGAGGGGCTTGTGGCGTGGTGGCTAGGCTGTCTCAGAGAGCACCTCAGGCTGGGTGGACCAGGCTGACCCAGAAGAGGGCAATGGGCCTTTGACAGGGACTAGCTGGCTACTATCTGCCTCTTCTGCAGTTTGGGACACTTAGGGTCATGGGTGAAAGTGTTTTTCCACATATAGTGGCCCGAAAGGAAAGGAAACTCATGCCAGTGTTCAGAAAGCGTGCGGGTTTCTCAGGTAACGTTACTGCAGCCACTGATGTCTAATCCAAAGAGCTCTGAATGCTTGCCATAGAGATTTGTAGTTTTAATACTGAAGCCCCGAATATTCTGATTTCCTCATTAAGACCGACCTAACACGAGCTATGCAGTCAGCTAAGGTATCAACGGGAGGAAATTGCCAGTGTTTCCCTCTTATTTTCCTCTGAGGTCATCTGAAAACAACCGCAGTGAGGACGGAGTTCGTGCGGCCCTGATGGCTGTGTGTTCCCAGCTCCAAGCATGCACTAAATATTTAATTCATTTGAATATAAATAAGTTAATGAATATGAATACATTAATAAATTAATTGGCATCGTTTTAGTCCTGTTGCAGTTTCAAACTCACCGATTTATCCAACTTCTTTGCACTGAGTTCTTATTCAAGTGAAGTATTCCGGTCTTGTGACTTGTACTTCTGACATAGTAATAGAACAACTAATATTTATTTAGAACTTTAGTTTACCAAGCACTCTACATTTTATTTTATTATTTATTTGTTTATTTTTTTTAGTAGAGACAGGGTTTCACCGAGTTAGCCAGGATGGTCTCGATCTCCTGACCTCGTGATCCACGCTCCTCGGCCTCCTAAAGTGCTGGGATTACAGGCTTGAGCCACCGCGCCCAGCCTACATTTTATTTTTACATTTTGTCTTTACAAACCCCCACGGGGCAGGCATTCTCCTTACACGCAGTGTTAATTGGTGACACAGAGGCTCAGGGGTTTAAATGGTTTCACTGTAAACAATGTAATCTAGTAGGATGTTGCTTTCCTATTTTTCCTAATACTACCATGTTTAGATGTGGGTGGCTGAGTGGGAGTATATGATTTCCTGTGTATGTATAGATGTAACCCACACTCACAGGCGGAAAGTTCTGCAGGCTGAGAAGCGAAGCCCTCTGCTGAACAACCACCACCAACATTCTAGGACCCCCACACCCTTGGTTCTGCAGGCTATACCCCTCCCATCTGCTTAGAAGCAGAAAGAAAACTCTGCGGTTACTTTTCCCTTTGACAATAAGCCGCGGTTCTCTTCAACGTTCTCCTGGGGACTTGGGTCAATGTTCCCCCATGCAAATGTTAGCCAGGCCCAGGGTTATTGTTTCCCCTACCCCTGAGGATTGATCATGGCATGCAACTGCCCCATATTGTATTTTGGTCACCCCCATCGGCATCCCATCTGCTGCTAGTGCCTCTGGCCAGCTTCTCGCATGGTCCTGACACGGTGCTGTCACTCTCACATTATTTGCACACATTGTTTACCTATAGCTGGACACATTGTTCATAGGAGCCCAGCTGGTAAAGTAAAAATATTCCAAGACTGTGCTGATAAGCTACTTCTTCCCTGCATCCTGGGCTGGTGAGAAGCTAAAGAGGAATGAATGCTCTGCCTGTGAAGAGGCCGCACTGCAGAGAAGAGGAGGCAGAGATGCAGTCGTCACGGCCCTAAGACCCTGCCTGGACCCGGTTTTGCAAGTCGAGGGAAGAGTTTTGCACAAATTCTCACTGGGAGCATTGTCAGGGCTGCAGCCACATCACTTTTTTTTGATCTGAGTCCTTTTAACATTAGCTATGATGTCAAAAAAGATGAAATTGAAGTTGCCAACATCTGGTGGAAGGCAAAAACCAGTGAATTTCTACCCAGGGAGAGTTCCTCTGCAGGGTCCCCGCTTCTGGTGGCCTGGAGTTGGGGAGGCCTCTGGAGCAAGTCAGGGGATTAAATTCTGGGTTTTCTTCCATTTTTTTATTTTCCTATTTTGACATCTTTGAAAAATGGCTCAGCCTCATAGTGTATGGGTCTTCTGATTGCTTTTGTCTTGATTTTATTCTGACTGAGGGGCAATGGCCACTGTGGGCTCCTCATCCAGGATGAAGAGGGCCCCTCTGTGGCCTGGGTGCATCCATGCTCTTCACGGTGGCCTCATGGATCGTCATACAAAGGATGATCTCAGTGATGAGCTTGAGCCTACCCAAAATTAAATTATATGGGTTTATAAGATTCCTCCTCAGGATCAGTATCATCAGGCCTGTCCCTGCTGGTAGCAAGGCCGTCTTTATAATGTGCTGTCATGGTGGTAAAGGCATCACTCACTTGATGGAGATCCCGAAGACCAGCTCTACTCGAGAGAGATTTAAGCTAAGTTGCCTGGGAGTCCTTGGTGCTTTTTCGAGGTTCTACTGAAGACAATGCCATCATCCAAGTATCTCTGAATGCCAACGTAGCTCTTGCCTCAGGAGCTCTGAGACCCATGTTATCTATTTTTGAACTGGCCAAGGCCCCCCACAGCAAGGAAAGGGATGCTCTTCCCATCCTTGTCAGCCCTCGTGTCTTGTATTCCACCCCACAGCCTCCTAGCAAGCATCTCAGTGTCTGCAGGTGAGCATGGCTGAGTTCAGTCTTGCTTACTGCAACTGTAGACATGAGGTCTGTGGAAGTAAGAATCCTCTCATTTGCTGACTGGCATTTTGTTTAAGTCCCATGTCACTAATCTCTGGCGAGACAATCCTCTTTGTGTTTCCTGGTGATGGACTTGAGTGATTTCAATGTAAACAGTGGCTCCACCTGGGAGTGTATCCCCTTCCCACGGGAAGGGGGTGCATAGCCCCTGCCAGGTTTCTGCTGTCCTCTCATCCTCCCACTGGGCTTTTCCCCTGCAGATGGCCTGGTGCCCACACTGCCTGCAAATGGTCACTCTTGCTTGTCCCAACACCACCTCCACTGCAGCTTCCAAGAGCCCTAGAAGGGCCGGGCCCTGGCTGAGCACTATTCCTAGGCCCTGGATGGCGGGTGTGGAACTATGTTCTCATCAAGGTCATTTCCTCTTCTATTTTCATCATGTTAAGTAAATCCCTCTCTCATCATGAAATGCCCTGGAGAGAACAGATGCATGGCTGTGGAGTCTTGTTCTGGGATATGTCAGGTACGGGCTCAGGTGTGTGGAGGCTACAGGGGGTGGACATGAGTGGTCTTTCTCTCGCTGTGAATCGCATGTTTTGTGCCAGCCCAAGGGTTCTGTGAAGGAGAATCAGCCGTTTACCTGGCTGAGTCTAACCCTGGGATGGCGACAGCCGAAACCCCAGCTCCATTCCCTGACCTTCCCTAGGCTGCCGCATGGGTTCCCTGGCACTGTCACTGGGCTAATGCCTTCTGTCTCCTCCTGGGGTGAGGCCAGCCTTTACTCATAGTTTCTGCCCATTCCACATCATTCTGCCTCCCACCCTTGGCTTTTTCAAAAATCTGAGCCAAGCGTGTGCAAGGGGTTAGAAACATGCTGTCCACAGGGAACTAAAATACACTGAGATGAGAAACCAGCAGCACCTGCTTTGGAGCTGTCACACCTGGGAACTGAGAAGCAAACTCTCAGAGATGCCTGGAAACCTTGGGAGCACATGAGTTCTCTGCATATATTTCGGTTGCAGATGAGTTTCTAGTCAAAGTAAAAAACACATGAAGGGCATTCATGTTTCCAGGAACAGAAGCATCCTGTCTGATTTTTCAGAGGTGAAGGGAGCAGTCTGAAGGGGCCGTGGCATAAGTATGTCTACAATCAAAGCTCACAGCCAAGGCCCTGGGGGAGGTTCAGGTGTACCCCAGGGGGTGCGCCCCATCCAGCACTCCACTGACAGGGGCCTCATCTTTATTAAATTCTAGGCCTTTTCCTGGGCACTAGTTACAAAAGGTGGGTTCAATGAACCCTAGGTTCTGTGGCTGCCACCCATCTCAGGGTCGCACAGGTAATGATTGCCACCCCCTCCACCTTCTGCTGAGGGTCCTGGTGACCCCCTGGTGGTGTAACCCAGGCCCTCACCCCTAAGGGGTCCTGAGCCTTGCTCACCACAGAGTCCTTGGTCTAGGGCTCCCGCACTTGTCCACATGCCATCAAATGCTGTGTACCGGGAGGTACTTGCGTGGAGCCCCTCCTTCCCCAGGCAGCACAGCCCTGCTTCTGCTAACACCACGGTCCAGGTGGTACCCATTTTTCTGCCTGCAGGTCCCATGGAGGAGTAGCCTGAGGACAAAGCAGCACCCGGAGCTTGTTTTTTCAGAGAACCTGGCCCAGCCCTGGCTAGAAGCCCCACAACTGTGGAAACCAGGGCCTCCTGCTTTTCAGAGCCTAGATATGCAGGATATAGATGCCCCTCAGAGGTCCTGGCTGTGAGGTGGAAGGTTGGGGGACACTGGGCTTCCTACTGCTGTGCTCCCATTGCCACATCTTCTACCTGGTGGGACAAGGCAGCTAGCAAAGGTGACAGATTCACCCAGACACTGTGTCCTCCCACATCCTGACCTGGCACCTGAGCCACCACTGCTGGGTCTGAAGCTCCCAGGAGTGTGTGTGTGCTGTGACCAGCAGACCTATGGCATGTGCCCTCTTCCTCCCTCTGTGGTGTGAAATCATTTCCTCTGATGGTGTCATGTGAGGTCTTTGTCCTGATGGGTAGAACTTTCTATAAACCATCCCATGGCCCCGGGGAAAGGCAAGCTCATCCCTTCAGGTTTAGCTGTTTCTGTTAAATGCAACCCTGTCCTTCCCAGGGCCTCAGGGCCCCGTGCAGTTGTCCCAGCCTGGCAGGAAGTTCCCTTGAGGATTGTGTGGAGGGCGCAGCCTGGGCCTGACTCGTGACCCTGGCAAAGAGCAGGTGAGCCCTGGGGCTGACCACCTGCACTTCCTGTTTGGTGGTGGGAGATGTGGGGCAATATTTCTTGCATTTCCTTTAGAGAGCATCTCCCAGCCTGCCCAGACAACCAGACCCCTAAACATGTGACTTGTAGGCAGGCCCTGGCTCTCTGTGGTGCTTTTCTGTCTCCTCCAAGCACCTGTGACTCCCAGGCTTCCAGCCCTGCCAGCTTCCCCCATCTGAGCTCCTGATGCAGGGTGAGGACTGTATTGTGGCAGACAGCATGCCGGTTTACACAGTTCTGGGACGAAACTGTATGTATACATTATTTTATGTCCCGAGTAAATGAATCCTATTTATGGATACTTTTTTTGACACAGAGGGAAGAAAGGCATTGGTGAGATCCACGGGCCAGAGCTCAGCCTGTGCTCAGGCTCTGGCAGCAGCTGTGCAGCTCTGGAGCTGTTGCAGAGTCGGGAGGTGCTGTGTCTTTGCTCCCTGTGTTAAAGGCTTCATTTGTGTCTTTGTTCAGTTTGTTTTCTTTGACCCCTGTTCAGCAATACTGAAAATCAAGCATTCCTAAGAGGTGGAGACTTTGCTTTGGAGCAGGGGCGGGGGCATTGGGTGGAAATGGGGAATAGGTTGATAGTGGGAATTTCATTTTCTGGAGCTCACGTGCAGCCTCTTGATGGCCTCGTCACAAGTTCACCTGATGACCTGAGTGGCCACTGTCCTTCTCCTGAGTGAGTTATGTGCTTGCCAGGCACATGAGCAGTGCATGCTCACATTTTTCAAATGAAGGAACTGAGAAGGGTTTGTCAGCAGATTGTAAGCCTGAAGCTGCCAGTGTTTGGTCCACAGTAAACCACATGTGGAGAGCTTAAAAAAATTGCCCTCAAATCTGGCAAGAAAATGACAGTAATAAATTAAATTATTACTGTGATACACATGTTTCTTTCACTACAATTAGATATATTACACATATCACAATTTTGCAGAAGTTTCTCATCTATCAGTATTTATTTATTTTTTTTTGCATAAGTTTCCAAGGAATCCTAATGATGGGGACTGTCTCTTTTAAAATTAAATTGTGTAAATAACTCCCAGAGCCATGCTGGTAAGAAACAAAACAAAACAAAAAGAACTAGAAACATGAACAAACATTGGATTTCTGCTGTAAAGAGGATGCAAAGCAGGCCTGCCTGCTGCACCTCCCCAGAACTAATCCTTGAGCCAAAACAGCTTCCTGGTGAAGCCTTGCACTCTCTGTAACAGGGCGTGGGGGGACCAAGACATGCGGGCTCCAGATTAGACCATCTTTACCTAGTTATGGGATTTCAGTCATGTCTTTTAAATTCTTTGAGCTGCAGTTTTCACATATGTAAAGTGAAAGTATTTTTAAAATTTTAATTTGTGTTATGACCTTGTATAAAGTTAAAATAGTACATTTGAAAGCTGAAGTCAAACGTTCACGTGTGTGCATGCAATGGCTTCTTAATTATTTTAGGGCTTAACCTGGTTTTACTGGTACTGTTACTAGCACTGCTACTTCTCCATGTCTCTGAAGACTATGAAATACTTAGAACTTAAGCAACAAGAAGCACCTGTCAAAGCGTTCTATGGCTGATGACAGATTTGACACAGCTGGATATAGTAATATGTTCGATGGTGCCCAGATCATTGCTAAGCAGAGACTTCATGCTATTCTAAGTCGAAAGTGTCCCTAGAATTCTGAACCTGCTGAAGCAGCCTTCAGAACTGAAGTTGAGAAAAGTACATTTTCTTTTTTTTTTTAATTATTATTATACTTTAAGTTTTAGGGTACATGTGCACAATGTGCAGGTTAGTTACATATGTATACATGTGCCATGCTGGTGCGCTGCACCCACTAACCGGTCATCTAGCATTAGGTATATCTCCCAATGCTAACCCTCCACCCTCCCCCCACCCCACAACAGTCCCCAGAGTGTGATGTTCCCCTTCCTGTGTCCATGTGTTCTCATTGTTCAATTCCCACCTATGAGTGAGAATATGCGGTGTTTGATTTTTTGTTCTTGCGATAGTTTGCTGAGAATGATGATTTCCAATTTCATCCATGTCCCTACAAAGGACATGAACTCATCATTTTTTATGGCTGCATAGCATTCCATGGTGTATACGTGCCACATTTTCTTAATTCAGTCTATCATTGTTGGACATTGTTGGTTCCAAGTCTTTGCTATCGTGAATAGTGCCGCAATAAACATACGTGTGCATGTGTCTTTATAGCAGCATGATTTATAGTCCTTTGGGTATATACCCAGTATTTTCAGTTAAAGAAAGTCTGAGAGACCGTGTTGCCATCACACCCAAACCCCAATAAATAAACTTGTTCAGGATGAAGAAAAATAACAGTTGGAAATTCTACTTCACAGAAAAGATGAAAGTGTGCCAAAAATAGTAAATATGTGGAGGGGAAATTACTGTTTTAATGACATCCTCCAGGAATTACAACATGTACAAAAGAAAAATCTATGACAACATGGCACAAAAGATGAGAGGATGGTAAGGTAAGGTTTTTATATTTTATATACAGTGTTATGATATTTAATATACATTAAGTATTTATATTTTAATTTCTGAACAACTCACCAAAAATAAATAAATGAAACAAAGAGTCATAGTTAAAAAAAAAACAAGGTACAAAATCCATACTAAAAAAAAAAAAAAAGAAAACCCCATAAAACAAACAAACAAACCAAAACTACCATAATCCAGAAGAAGATGAGGAAGGCGGAACAGAGACTGTCAAAATAAGTAAAAAGGAAACCTCAATAACCACTTTTAAAACGAAATACACTTATGAGATAAAGATATAAATAGATTTGAACTGAAAAGATGGACAAATATACACTATGCAAATCTTTGTTATCAAAAACTGCAGCCAGTGTATTAATGGCAGATAAGACAGACTACAAGAAAGACAAGCTTCACCAGGGATAAAGAAGGATGTTTTATACTAATAAGTCCATTTGCTTAGAAAACCTAATAAGCATAAGCATGCATACACCTAAGAAAAATAACAAAATACATGAAGCAAAAGTTATTGAATTAAAATGATAAATGCATAAATCCACAATTTGACAATTCTAATTCTTATATCTCAGAAATTAATAGAAAAAAAACTACAACAATAAGACTACAAGGTATTAATAGGAGAGATTATAACCAGAGCACTGGGAGAAAAACAGCAATATCCAATATGCTTACAACTATTGGTTGACAACTCAAAAGTTCCCAAAAGAATTTTTGACACCAAATAAAGGTAAATAGCCTGGAAAACCTACAAGCCAGCATAGGAAGGAAGTGGAAAATGAAACATTGATTTAAAATAAATCTGGAAGTCCGGGCGCAGTGGCTCATGCCTGTAATCCCAGCACTTTGGGAGGCCAAGATGGGTGGATCACCTGAGGTTGGGAGTTCGAGACCAGCCTGACCAACATGGAGAAACTCTGTCTGTACTAAAAATACAAAATTAGCTGGGTATGGTGGTGCATGCCTGTAACCCCAGCTACTTGGAGGCTGTCGTAGAAGAATTGCTTGAACCTGAGAGGCAGAGGTTGTCGTGAGCCAAGATCTCCCCATTGCACTCCAGCCTTGGCAACAGGAGCGAAACTCTGTCCCCCAAAAAAAAGAAGAAAAGAAAAGAAATCTGAAAAAACGAAAAGAGAATTGAGGATAAAGCTTTGCAAATACAAAATCCAAAAATCAAATGATAGAAATAAGTTCAAATATATCACTTTTTCCTACCAAACATAGAGGGATTAACCTCATATATTAAAATACAAAATTATCAATAACTAAGCAGCACTTTCAAATTAAAGAAATTAAAAATTAAATAGTTTATAAAAATTTTAAGTAAATATTCACAGAAAGCAAGCTGCTATCACAAAATTAATTTTAGTTTAAATAAAATTTAAGGAAGAAATAATAAACAACAAGATTGACACTGCACATGGAGGGACCATAGAACCGGGTAGGTGAACCAACGTCAAGTCCAATGCTGGCCTCACCTCCAGGACATACAAAGAAACTAACAGGATAGAGCAGGTCTAGAGAGGGACACTGGAACTCATACTTCTGAATTTAAATGGGAAATAGACAAAGATGTTATGTGTTTATAAAAGGTTTTAAATCACAACAAATGCTGAATGTACATCACTTTCTAGTATATGTAATACTTACCAAATGGGACCCATATTAGGTTGCAAAAGAAATTACAAAAACCCGGAGATAGGGACCAAAGGACTAAAAGAAGTCAGAACAAAAAACACGCCCCATATATTTTAGGGAAAAACAGCACAGTGATTTAATGGTAAATCACTATAAACATGAAGGCATTCACCTAGAATAGAGATGAGATGCCAGAGTTCAAGACGACAACATGTGTCAGCCTGACTTTCTGAATGACTGCACAGGCAAGGCTGCCATCCATGGAAGCGCAGAAAAGGACACCCCTTAGGTCCTGGATGGAGGAGGATGACCCCCAATACTGGATAGAGAAAGATGCCCTCCAATTCTGGGATGGAGGAGGATGCCCCCCAGTCCTGGATGGAAAAGGATGCCCCCTAGTCCTTGATGGAGAAGGATGCCCCCTAGTTACTAGATGGAGAATGATGTCCCCTGAGTCCTGGATGGAGAAGGATGGTCCCCCAAGTCCTCGATAGAGAAAGATGGTCGTCCAAGTCCTGGATGGAGAAGGATGCCCCCCTCAGTCCTGGATGGAGAAGGATGCCCCCTAGTTACTGGATGGAAAAAGATGTCCCCCAAGTCCTGGATGGAGAAGGATGCTCCCCAATTCCTGAATGGAGAAGGATGCCCCCTAGTTCTACATGGAGAAGGACAAACCCAGTCCTGAATGGAGAAGGATAACCCCCCAGTCCTGGATGAAGAAGGATGCCCCCCAAGTCCTATATGGAGAAGGACAAACCCCAGTCCTGGATGGAGAAGGATGCCCCCCAAGTCCTATATGGAGAAGGACAAACCCCAGTCCTGGATAGAGAAGGATGCCCCCCAAGTCCTAAATGGAGAAGGATGCCTCCAAAGTCCAGATGAAGAAGAATTTCCCCCACTCCTGAATGGAATAGGATCCCCTTCAAGTCCTGGGTGGATAAGACACCTCCCAAGTCCTGGGTGGAGAAGGACACCCCTCAGGTCCTGGATGGAGAAAAGATGCCCCCTAGGTCCTGGATGGAGAAGGATGTTCCCCAAGTTCTGCTTGGAGAAGGTGGCTCTGGGGACCTCATGGGGAAGGATGCCCCTTTTCCAGCCTCCCCATCCATACTTATCCTGACTTGTTAGTGTAGAACAAAGAGATTTGGAGGAAGAAACACAGGACTAAACTTTAGTCAGAATGTTTTCCTTTTAATCAACATTTTATAAATTCTAATTTTTATTTGATAAAAATAAGTGAAATGTATGACATAAACACAGTGTAACAACCGATTAGACCTATTTTTCCGATCTGAGTCCTGGCTACCGGCTCTATTAGTCATTCTACTTTTCTGTATTTGCAAAGCTTCTCAAAATTAAAGATAAAAGAGTTTATTGCTAGTAACATGTATAAATAGACATTGAATAAAATGTGGCTCTTTAAAAATTAGTTTATTCTATGGGCTTCTTTTGAAAGGTTATGGTGTACTAAAATTACTGGTGGATCTTTATTACAAGCTCACTGGTAAAAATAGTCAATATGGGAATATTCTAATTTGTTAGAAATTAGTGTTGAGTGAGTATTAATCAAAACTTTAAAACCAAAATACATGGACATAAGAATAAATTATTCGACTTAATTATCCACTGACTTTAAATTCTAATTGCTAAATTTACTTTTTGCCCATTTCACCTCCTTCAAATCTCCAAGTAACTCTTCATTTTTCTCTCCTGTCAATATTTTATTCTCCCTTATTTTTTTTTCTATTTCCTGATTTTTTGAACAACTCCAAGGGAGTTGTGTTTTGCTTGTGTTGAATGACGTCATTACACCAACCCGTTAGGCAACTAGAACGTCACCAAGGTGAGCACTAGGAGACTTCAGACCACGGAGCCTCTCCTGATTTTTGACTCAGGTTACCTGGCAACTGTGTTTAAATTATGAGTTGTTTAATTTTTTTAGATCCCCTATAGATAAAGAAGGATTTTAATAACCATCAATTTAAAATGCACTGGGACACTTCATGACTGACATTTCTTGCAGTTTCTGTGCTGTGGCCTCATGAGTAACTGTCTGTAAGGAACATCATGTTCCTCATTCTGCCCTTGCTCCTTGGGCTCCAAAGGGAAAGACCAGAAATTCTGTGGATATAAAACATGGAAACATTCATTCTTTAAAGGAAAAGGCGGTAAAGCAGAGATGAGGAAAGGATGGTATTGAATACATGCAAATGGATAAAATATGAATGATCATGTTCTCATGTTCAACTCAATTTTTAAAAGTGGATGTATGAGCAGTGCGAGCATTTAGTCAGGGCATGGTGGGCCTGTGGGCTAGAACAAGAGGCCACACTCAAGGAGAGATGGCACTCACGACGGGGGGCCTCTGCTCCTTTATGACTCCCCTTCCTCAGTGACCCAGAGCACCCTCCTATCACAGCCTGTAGGGGAGAGGAAGGTGTTAGGGCACTTTGAATCACAGCGGAGTGTGTGTCTACATGCTCTCCTCACATGCCACAAATCTGCATCGCTTTACAATATTTCAATAGATTATGAGTAAGGAAGATCGCTGCAGAACCAGTAAAAGCTGCCCTCCCAGACAATGCGCTAAATTGGGTTTTACAAAGTATTGTGAGAGATCTCGGGAGAGGGGGAGCAACCTGCTCATAGATTTTGCCAAAATCAACATTTAAACACCTCCGTTAGGCAGAAGAGCAGTGCTACTGGAATTAGTTAGCAGTTCTTTCCTGCTGGACATCTCTCAGCCTCCAGACCCTACAGAGAAGAGGCCATGACCTAAAAGCAGTTTAAAGGCTTGAAAAAATAGAAGCTAAGGATTAAGCAAATATCGAAATTTAGAAAAGGAGAGAAGACTTTATTTCTTGTAGAGGGTTACAGCCTGCAAGGTGGCCACCCCACAGGCTGGGAAGAACAGCCTCCTGCCGAGACCAGAGATGGGCACTTCCAGGAGGAGGGGTTGGGGCAGGAGCTTTGGGGTGAAAAGGTTGGCTAAAGATACACAGTCATCAGGAGACAGGCATAACAACATAAAACCAGTTGTAGGTAACACAGAATGATTCTGATATTGATGTTCAATTCCACACACTAACAGACGTGAGAACCTCATTCACCGCACGTGGAGAAGGCACTGTATCTGCTCCGTGGTGGTCCCGATGACTTGTGTTTATCATTGCCTGGGTCTGCATTTTCTCTTCTCTAGATTTTGCTTATCCTGCAAAGTTTGTGCTGGGACATCATTTCTAGGATTGAGTTTAAGCTGAGCCTCAGAGTTTTTATTGCAGCTACGGTGGATATGGCTTGGTTCCCTGCAGTACTCTCTGGAAAGTACCTTCCTCCATTTGAAATCCCTGACGTGGTACCTCCTACAGCCTGCACAGCTCTGGCCTCTGCCATGGGTCTCATGGCCTCTTCTGCTAAAACTAGAGAGGAGGTTCATCCCCTGCCTCTTTATAGAGAAGAGCCACTTGCTGACTGAGCTGAAAAGGGACTCCCCACTGAGCAGGCTCACCAGTGTCCCGACAGCTGGGCAGATCATGGGGACGGGGAATTCTGAGCAGACCCTCTTCAGAAGTTGAGTCTCAAGGGGCCTTGGGGAACTTGGTCAGCAGATGGCAAGACTTCATCTGTCAGTGGGCGGGTCAGCTCAGCGGGACTCCTGTCTTTGGAACTGAGACTCAAGTCTCTACTCTGTACCAAGACAGAGATGGAGGCCAGGAAACAAGACACACAACCATTTTCCATCATCGAGGGGCAAGGCAGGGCTTGGCATGAGGCAGAACCGGGCTCCATCAATGCCACATGTCAGGAGGAACCCCTTTTCTGTTTCAATCCCTCCTGCCCATTTGTGGGAGGCATTAGAGAGGCCTGACATAGTTTTTTTTCTCCACGGCCTGAGGACGTGATAGGATTTCATTCCCGCCCCACCTTGTGGTTGGATGGAATCATGTGCCCAATTCTGGTCAAGATCAAGAAACTGAGGTATCATTTTTGTTTGTGTGGGACCAGGAAAATGGCTCTAATTTGGCTTTGTGTTTGTGCATGTGTGTGAGAACGGACAGGTAAATGTGTGTAATGGAGAGTGGGTAGGTGAGTGTGTACGTGTGTGAGAGTGTGTATGTGAGTTGTGTGAATGTTTGTGAAGAAATGTGTGATAGTGGTGTTTGAACTTGGCAGTATGAGTGTGTATGTGGAATATAACTGTGTGCGGATGTGTAAATATGAGTGCATATGTGTGTTAATGTGTGTAAGTGTGTGAATAAGCCATGTGAGTGTGGTGTGTGAGCTTGGGTCCATGAGTGTGTGTGCGTGTCTGTGTGAGCATGACAGAGTGTGTGAGTTTGGGGTGTGTGCAGGCCACAGCCAGTCCCTCCTGGGGTACTAGATCTTTCCAACCCAAGCACCTCAAGTCGTTCTCCTTCCTCACTCCATCCTGAGCTTCCCAGCCAACTGCCTCTCATCCAAACTCCCACAGGGAAACAGTCCCTGGGACTAGGGGCTCTGAGCATGGCACAGTGCCAAGTCTCCTCCCTGGCCACCTCCTGAGAACCTGGGTGTAGCACAAAACAGTCAAATATGTTCCTCTTCTGTCATCACTAACTAGAGCTCCACAGCTTCCCAGATTGCCCTGTTAGCTCTTCACCATAATTAGCTATTTTCTGATATCATACTAACATTCCTTAATTATTCCCTCAGAAACAAAGCAAATCCGTGGGATGCAGAGGGTACGCTGATGACTTCTGCTGGGGAGAGAAGCCCAAACACACGTCCTGGGCAGAGCCCAGAGACCTGGAGTGTGGCTGCCAGTGGGCACCCGGCTGAGGGACAAGCAGGTGGGCCTCAGTGGTGGCTGCCAGGTCCCTGGACGCCGGGGGCCACCGGCTTTGCCTCTCCTCTGCCTCGGAAGCACCGGAGGCTTTGGGGATCTGGTGGTCCTCCGGCCCTGAACGTGGACCTGGTGTGACAAAGGGAAGTTTGCCATCTCCATCCTCCTCAAGCTGCCTGTGCACCCCAGTAGCACTCACCCTCTCTGTGCTCCCGTCTGCACCGCATGTCCTGGGGTCCTTCTTTGTGCTGCACCCAGTGACAGGAACCAGTGTCCCGACTGTGACTTACTTCCCCCCTCAGGGACACACAAGGACTTTCACATCGAGGCTACTTTTCACCCCTTCTGCCTCCTGCAGGGACGCTGCATGCAGAGGCAGGAGGACAGAGGGGCTGGTCTCAGGTGTGGCTTCTCTCATACCTGGCGCAGGTGGCCACTCCCCTTCCCCCCCCCCACTCCCCCACCCCACCTCAGCTCCCGGGTGTGAATGAGAAAGGGGAACCAAGAGATCATCATTACATGGGACATGCCACAAACCCCAAAAAGACCCATTTGGTGAAAAGAAGTAAAACAACCACAAGGCTATTTTGGCCTGAGGTGGTCTCATGGCTGAAGCAGCCGCTGGTCTCTTGCCTGGGCTACTCAAATAGTAACCCGGTGTGTCCTCCCATGTGCATTTTCCTTCGGGTTGAGCAAAAACACTTTGTCATCCTCCCACTCCTCAATAGAGCAGAAGGGAATGAAAGGCAACTACAGGGCCTTACAGAGCTGCTCCGGGGGCCGCGGGAAACTTATCAGCATCCTAGAAAAGACAAAACCAGTGGGTTGCATGTGGCCTCTGACACCTGCCACCCTGACTGCAGGGAGTGGCCTCCCCCACCTTTCACCTTCCCATCATTAGTAAGCAAAGTGACCCCCTACGCCTGGACAAAGCGCTCAAAAGCCCAGGCCCGCGGGTTAGCTCCAGCCGCTCGGCTTGACAGGGGCCAGGGAGGCGGGCCAGCCCCACAGCCAAGTCACAGCTCCAGGGCCTGGTCGCACCTGAGCAGCGCGGCCTCGGGCTGCTGCTGGCGCTGCAGGATCCGCGCCTGACCCTCCAGCCTGCACAGCGGGCACTCGGCCGGGAAGCACCTCTCCAGCAGGCGGCTCAGCACCACGTTCACGCGCCCGCGCCTGTGGCCGCGCGGGCCCCAGCTCCACTTAGCGCTCACAGACCGTGAGCCCGCAGGGCAGCGTCACAGGCTTGTGCAGCAGCCGTGGGCAGCCAAGCAGGTCGCGGGGCGCGCCGGGCGCCAGGGCCGGCCCTCCCTAGCCCTGAGCTCGCCGCCAGGCTTCCCCGCCAACAGTGGCCGTTCGCGCAGGCCGGGACACACCAGGCCGCCCGCCAGCTCCCCCAGCTCTTCCGGACTCAGCGCCTCCAACCTCCCGGCTACATGGAACGCGCCCAGGGCCACCGGGAGGCGGCCGGCGCGGGCCAGCGCGTCCCCCAGCCTCAGGCACCGGCCGCGGTCGGGCTGCGCCAGCAGGGCCAGCATGGAGCGGAAGAGCCCGGCGCTTTCTGGTACTTGCTCGCGCGGAAGGCCTCGTCGCCCTCCTCCAAGCGGTGGGCGATTGGCTTCCCGCAGCAGCAGCCCGACACTGGGGCGGCGGCGGCGGGACCGGCTCAGTGCTGATTCTCGCGGGGCTGCGACCGTGCGGGCCTGGAGCGAAGGCGCGGAGCAGGGGCGATGAGCTGCTGCTGGGAACTGGCCGGCGGGAGCGCGGCCACAGCCTTCGCCTGCAGAACCAAAAAAACGGTTTTAAAAATCTTTTTAACATCCGCAGAACGTGAAGAATTACATTGGAAATTGGTTAGAGATTGTATTGGACCTATAGATTGATTTGAGTATGATGGTCATTTTAACAGTATTAACACTTCTAATTCAAAAAATGGGATAACCTTGTCTTTACTTGTATCTTTTCAATTGATTTTTATCAATGTTTTATAGTTTTCATTTTAGACGTCTTTATTTTGCCAGGCATTTTTTTTATAGCTATTTTCAATGGGGATTCCTTTTTCAGATAGTATGCTGTTGGGTATAGAAATGCAACTGATTTTTCTATGCTGATTTTGTATTCTAAAACTTTACTGTATTCATTTACTGTTTCTGTTTTTCAGTATAGGGTCTTTTATACATATGACATGATCTATGTCATCTGCAAACAGGGACAATTTGACTTTCTTTTTGTTTTTCAATTTGGATGTCTTTTCTTTCTCTTTTCTAATTGCTCTAGCTAGGACTTCCAGTGCTATGTTGAAGAGAAGTTATTAAAGTGAACATCCTTGTCTTGTTCTTGATCTTAGAGACACAGTTTTCAATTTTTCCTTATTCAGTATCATGTTGGCTGTGGGTTATCACATATGGTCTTTATTTTATTGAGTTATACTCTTTTTATAACTGATTTGTTAAGAGATCTTATGTTTACAAAAAACATTGAATTTTGTCAAATGCTTTTTCTGTATCTATTTAAATGATTATATGATTTTTATCTTACCTTATCGAATGTGGTGTATCACATTTATTGATTTATATATCATAAGCCCTCCTTGCCTCCCTGGAACAAATACAGCCTGATTATGGTGAATCATCTTTTTAATGTGCTTTCAAATTATGATTGCTAGCATTGCTGGTTTTGAATTTTTGCATTTATGTTCATCACTGATATTGGCCTGTAGTTTAGTTTTTCACTGTTCTTGTTGCATTTTGGAATAAGGTAATTCTGTCTTCATAGAATGAGTTTGGAAGAGTTTCCTCCTTTTCACTTTTTTTGGAACAGTTTGTAAATAATTAGTATATGTTCCTCTTTAAATGTTTTGAAGAATTCAGCAGTATAAGCATTGGATCCTCGATTTTTATTTTCTTCTCCTTCCCTCCCTTCCTTCCTTCCTCCCTCCCTCCCTCCCGCTGTCTCTCTTTTCTTCCTCTTTCTTTCTTTCTTTCTTTCTTTTTCTTCTTCTTCTTAAATATTTTTGGTTTAGAGACATGGTCTTTCTTTGTCACTCAGGCTGGAGTACAGTGGTGCAATCATAGCTCACTGCAGCCTCAAATTCCTGGTCTTAAGTGATCCTCCTGCCTCAGCCTCCCAAGTTGTTAGGACTGCAAGTGCACACCACTAAACCTGGATAATTTTTATTTTTATTTTTGTAAAGACTGGGTCTCACTATGTTCCCCAGGCTAATCTGGAAATTCTGGCTTCAAGTAATCCTCCTGCCTTGGCCTCCAAAGTGTGAGATGACATGTGTGAGACACTGTGCCAGCCCTCCAGATTTTCTTGTATTGAGAGACAATGCTTCAATCTCTTTATTTGTTATTGGTCTGTTCGCATTTTGTATTTCTTAATTCTTCAACTTTGATAGGTTATATGTGTTCAGAAATGTATTTATTTCTTCTACGTTTTCTAATTTATTGGCATATAATTTTAGTACTTTCTCATGATTCTTTGTATTTCTGTAGTAACCATTTTAATGTCTTTTTTCATCTCTCATTTTATTTATGTGAATCTTCTCTCTTTTTTCTTAATCTGACTAAAGATATATCAATTGCGTTTATCTTTTCAAAAAATAACTTTTTATTTCATTGATCTTTCATATTTTTGTCTCCATTTTGTTTATTTGTGCTCTGGTCTTCATTATCTATATTCTTTTACCAATTTGGGGCTAAGTTTGTTCACGTTTCTATAATTCCTTGAAATGCATTCTTAAATTATTAATGAGAGTTTTCTTTCTTTCATATAGAAATTTATTTCTACAAACTTCCCTCTGAGGACTTTTTCTGCTGTATTTCGTAAGTTTTTATATGTTCTGATTTCATTTTCATTTGTCTTAAGAATTTTTAAAATGAAACAAAATTTATTTTTTAACCCATTGTTTGTTTAGGGGCACGTTGTTTAATTTGTATGTATTTGCACAATTTCTGAAGTTCTTGTTGTTTATTTCTAGTTTTATTCTATATTGTCAGAAAAGATGTGATATAATTTTGATTTTTTTTTGAATTTGCTAAGGCTCATTTTGTGCCTAGTATATGATCTATCATGGAAAATGTTCCATGCGCAGTAGAGAAGACTGTGAATTATGCAATTGTTGGATAACATGTTCTGTAAATGACTGCTAAGTTATTTGGTCTAGAGTTCACTTTAAATATGATGTTTCTTTGTTGATTTTATGTCTTGATAATCTGTTTATTGCTGAAAGTAGAATGTTACTATTATTTTATTGCTTGCTGTTTCTCCTGTTAGATCTATTAACGTTTGTTTTATATATTTAGGTCCTTCAATATAGAGGGCATATATATTTACAATTATATTATCTTGTGATATTGATCCCTTTATCATTATATAATGGCTGTATTTGTCTGTTTTTATAGGATTTTGTTTGAAGTATATGTTATCTGATATAAATATATCTATACTGGCTTTCTTTCGGTTTCCATATTTATAAAATATATTTTTCCATCTGATCACTTTCAATTTATGTGTGTATTTACAGATGAAGTGAATTTCCTGTAGAAAGTTTATAGTTAGGTCTTGTTTTTAATCAGTGTAGCCATTATATGTCTTAAATGGGATAATCCATTTACATACAAGATAATTATTGATAGGCAAGGACTTGGTTCTGCCATATTATTACTTGTTTTCATGTTTTTTTTAATTTGTACTTTGATTGATTGATTTCTCTATCTTCCTTTGTGATTAAGTGCTTTACTCTATCAGTGTGTTTCGGTTTTTTTTTTTTTAATTTTTAGAGTATCTTTTAAAAGTTTTTGCTTTGTGGTTACCACAAGGCATGCAAAGAACATTTTATGGTTACAATAAGTTATTTTAAAGAGATAGCAACTTAATTTTGATTCAAAAAGAGGGGAAAAGAAACCACTCTACTCTTTAACTCCATCACTCCCTCACATTTTGCATTTTTGATGTCTTAATTTACATCTTTGTATATTGCTAGTCCTTAACAAATTATTGTAATTATTATTATTTTATTTGTATTGTTTTTTAACCTTCCTACTAAGGATATATAAGTGCTTTACATCCAATTATTACCATATTAGAGCATTCCAAATTTGTCTGAACCCTCACTTCTACCTGTGGGTTTATACCTTCAGATTTTTTGTGTTACATATTGCTGCCATTTTCTTTCAGTTTGGAGAACAATATTTAGCGTTTCTTGTAAGGCTGGTTTGATTACAATGAATTCCTTTGCTTTTTGTTTGTCTGAGAATGTTTCAATCTCTCCTTTATTTCTAAATGATAGCTATGCTGGATACTTTATTCATGGTTGACAGTTTTTTTAATTCAGCACTTGAATCTATTATCCTACTCTCTCCTGGCCTGTAGTGCTTCTGCTGAGAAGTCTGCTGCCAGGCATATTGGAATTCTCTTATGTGTTGTTTCCCTTTTCTTAGTCCTTTCAGGGTCTTCTCTTTGTGTTTGACATTTGAGAGTTTAATTATAAAATGTCTTTGGTTGTCTTATTCAGATTAAATATGATTGGGCACTTTGACCATCCTAAACATTTTAATCTTTCTCCAGGTTTAAAAAGTTTTCTGTTATTTCTTCGAATAAACTATCTCCTTTTCATTCTTAGTTCCCCTTTAACACCAATGATATGTAGATTTGCTCTTTTGTTGGTGTCCCACAAATCTCATAAACTTTCTTTGTTTCTTTTCATTCTTTTTTTCATTCTACTCTGACCATGTATTTTCAAAGAGCCTGTCTTTGAGCTCACTGTTTCTTTCTTCTGCTTGATCAGTTCTTCGGTTGATGCCTTCCGTTGGATTTTCAATGTGTTAATTGAACTTTCCTGCTTCAGGATTTACATGTGATTTTTCCCATTATTTTGATTTCTTTGTTGAATTTCTCTGGTAAATTTCTGAATTATGTCTCTGCTTTCTCAGTGTTCAGGCTCTTCTTAAAACAGCCATTTTGAATTCTTTGCCTGCCAGATCATTCATCTGTATGTCTTTAAGTTCAGTTGCTGACACCTTGTTTTGTCCATTTGGAGAGGCAACTTTTCCTAAGCTATCATTATTATATGTAGATATACATCTCTGTCTACACATTGATGAATTAGATATTTATTTGTGTCTTCTCAGTCTGGGTTTGTTTGTGACTACTTTTAAGTGGGCTTATTAGGAAATGTTGAGCGGACTTACCATCGTATTCCATTTTAGCATTAGAGAGAGTCCAAATCCCACGTTAGACATAAGTCTTCCAATGGCTCCACCACTGCTGCAACATTTGCTGGATGGGCCCATGGGTGATCCACAGGGAGCCCCTGGCTATGGGGGAGAACAAGTCAGGCCGTCAAGCGTGTAGTCTGTGTATTATGTTTCACATGGTGGCTGTTGCTGGCCCCACCTCCTCTTACGTCCTTAACATGCCTCAGGTGGTTCATCCCTTTTGGCACTCATGGTGCCACTTGTGGGCTGATACAGGAGTGAGTCTACTGTGAAGGCACTCAGTATAGTGGAAAAAACAAATATCAACCTCCTGCTGACTTTTTTCAGTGTAAAAACTATAAGCCCTATGGGAGTTTCTGCAGATGGTACCATAATGGCCTGAGGGAGGAGTATCACAGTCACAGAGTATTGGTTCTCTCACTCTGTAAGCCATGGTTTTACCCATCTTCACAGGCCAAAGGTGCTTCATAACCTTGTTCATGTATTGAGGTTCTGTTGGCTCTTGTAATGGTAATTTCACATGTGGACAGTTGTTCATATTGATGTTTCTATAGGGGTATGATAGCTGGAGAGGTCTGCACCACTGTCTTGCTCTGCCTCGATCATTATTTTTTTCTAACAAGAATTTGTCTCCTCCTAGTTTTTCTTTTTCTCTTAACCGACCTAGGTATAGCCTTTTAATCCTTCTCCCTCCTCTGCTTCTAATGTCATTGCTTCTTTGTATGCCTATCATATCTACATGCTACATGACCTTCAGCTGGTTATGTATAATATATAAGACTTAATATCCTATAAAATAGAGGTAATAATAGCATCTACTTGATAGGAAAGTTAAGAATATTAAATGACACCATTGATGTTAAATGGAGGTAACTTTCTGAAATGTATTAATGAGACATGATTCTTTGTTCTAGTCCACTTCATAGACTAGACTACTTTGTTTGAGTTTTCTCTTTTCAGTCAGAGAAAGCAATAAAATTGTAATGGTAAAAATTAAATAAAATTTAACTTAAAATTGTGTTCTGGTCTTCTCATTGTTCAGCCGTGGAAAGCAATAAAATTGTGATAGCAGAAATTAAAAGTGAGCAGAGACTTATTTAAAAATTGGTATTCTCCTTTTCAATGCCAAAATAAGAACTAGAAACTTTTAATAAGGCAACAGTCTGAAGAAACAATTTATTGAAGAGAATATGGGTTTCTAAATCCTAACAAGTTTTTTTACGTATGTGAGTCAAGTTTGGCTGCCTTGAATCCTATTATGACTTTAATGGAAGTTCTAGTTAGGGTGGAAAGTGTCAAAGAAAACAGTTGCACCAGACAAAGTTAAACACATAAAAAAGCTGTTATTGAAGACTATTGCAAAAGGGCAAAGAGGCCAGAACTTAGTCTGAACTCAGCTCCGCTGAAACAAACAGCAGTAGAGATTTTAAGAGCCAGGATGAGGGGGAGATCATAGACCACTTGTCTTTGATAGTTGTCTTTTTCCAAAGGAATATTAAACTATCTTTCATCTTTATGACAGAAGGTGATTTTACAAATTAGAGGAATATGCCCACCAAAATTTGGCTCTTACTCTCTCATGGAGTCTGGGAGATAATGGTGTTATCTTTTTTGAGAATTACATTTCAAAGGGATGGCTCTGAGGTCCTTGAAATGGACATTTCTGAAGTGTAAAACTGGCACGTGGGCTCTTAGAAAGATTTATCAAAGAGGCAGAGAAAGAATTTACAATGATAACATTTCTAAAATATGCTAAAGAAAAAAAGAGGTGAGGAGCCAAGAATCAGAAATAATCCTGTCTAAAATTTTATCAAACTGAGGGGATGGCTTTAGTCAAAGGTTTAGTGTAAGGGGAATTTCTATGAAGAAGAGGAAGAGAAGAGCTTTTAACTACACAGGAAGAAGAAAGTTCCCAGGAGATGTGACTATGGCTCTGCCTGTGTCTCTGATCAGGTATTCAGCCCCAACATCCTCCTGGGACTCGCTCAAACAGATGGATAGGAAAAAATAGACAGTTAAAGAAAGATGAGAAAATATGCAGGCTGGTGTCTTACTTCTCTAGTGCACATAGGGTGTCCCAGGAATGACAGAGTGGCAGGACAGGGGGAAGTGCCTGAGAGATCAGTTCCCTTACTCTCAGCCTGTGAGTGCTGTCTGAAAAGCCAGTCTCTCCAAGCTTGGTGGAAGGGGGACTCACACCTGGTTTGACAGGACCAGTGGAGGCCCCTGGTGGGACATGCTGGCCTCAGAATGTGAGGTCTTGGAGGCTAGAGGAAAATGGCAGTGGGTGACCAGAAACTTCATCACTGAGTGCCAATACATGCAAAATCAAAGAGAAGATGAGCCATGTCAGCAGATATCAGTGAAGAATGCCCAGAGAAGACTCCACTGACCATACACAGCACAGACCAGCCTGTTCCAGAGGACAGTGCAAATGGCACGCCACAGCAACAGAGGCGACTTCGACCCCGCCCACGCCATCAGCAGCTCGGACCCTAGGGTCAGATACCACCACAGAGGCTAATTCCAGTGGTCGCCCCGCATATCAGGAAGACGGGAACCTGCACTCAGCACCATCCCCGTGGCTGCACAGGGCCCAGGACTCGTAACCCGGCGCTCTGGTTGCGGGCCAAGAAAGAGCGTAACCTAGGGTGGCATGTCGGTGAACTCGGCGACCCTCTGACAACCTGGGAGCAGCCCCAACAGCCTCAGTTGTGGGCTCAGCTGCAACTGCCACCTGCCGATGGTGCACGGGAGCAG
Organism: Homo sapiens; assembly: GCF_000001405.40. Classification (NCBI taxonomy): domain Eukaryota; kingdom Metazoa; phylum Chordata; class Mammalia; order Primates; family Hominidae; genus Homo; species Homo sapiens. Next base: position 1,025,148 of record NW_021160017.1, read on the forward strand.
CAGCGGCAACCCTCGACCCTGTCCCCGCCACCAGCAGCACGGACAGCAGGGCCAGATAGCGCCGCGGCGCCTAAGACCTTAGGCCACGCAGCTGCAGGAGGACGTGAAACGGGCGCTGACCGCCCCCCAGAAGCTATGCAATCCCCAGCGCAGGCGAGTCCTCACTCTGGGCGCGGGCCAAAGATCAGACACTACGATGAAAGGACGGTGAACTTGGTGACCCTGAGGTTCGCAATGGGTTTAGCAGCAGCTGCCAACTGCAACCAACCCTGACCCTGCCCGCGTCACCAGCAGCAGTAACCCAGGGCCAGATGCCGCCTCAGCGGCTAATTCAGGTAATCGTCCTCCAGCTGCAGCAGGGCGGAAATCCGCTGCTCAGCCCCACCTCGGCGGCTGCACAGAGCCCAGCGCCCGCACAACCCGCTCTTGGTAAGGGCAAAGGAAGAGCGGACCTAGGGTGGGAGGACCCTGCACTCCCTGACCCTCAGGCCGTCTGGGGCCAGCCCTGCCAGCCTCTGTCTAAAGCTACGCTGCAACTGCTACCTGCTCATGGCGCGCAGCGGTGGCAAACCCGGACTCCGCCCGCCGACACCAGCGGCCTCGAAACCCTAGAGACAGACTCCACCTAGTGGCCAAAATCAGGCAGTCGGCCCACAGCTGTAGGAGAGCGGGAACCTGCCCTTCAGCGGATTCCTGGAGGCTGCACAGTGCCCAGCGCCAGCCACCCGGATCTGGGCGCGGGCAAATGACCCTCAGGCCGTCTGAGACCGGACCAGCCCTGCAGCCTCAGCGGTGGGCTCAGGGGCGACTGCCACGTGCACATGGTGAACTATAGCAGCTGTGGCAGCCCCCGACCCTGTGCAAGCCACCGGCAGTGCGGACCCCATGACCAAAAGCCGCCGCGGCGCATAACTCAGGCGGTCGGCCCCCCAGCAGCCAGAGGGCGGAAACTTGCAGCTTAGCCCATCCCAGCGCCTGCACTGTGCTCAGCGCCTGCAATCCCACTCTCTGGGAGCGGGCAAGGAAGACTGGACCTTAGGGTGGGAGGGCGGTGCATTCGGGGACCCTCAAGGCTTCTGGAATAAGCCCTTCCAGCCTCCGCTGCGGGTTCAGCTGCAGCTGCCAGCTGCACACTCCTGGAAGCAGCAGCGGTGGCAGCTCTGGTCTCTGCCAGCTCCAGCAGCAGCGCGGACCGCCGAGCCAGAGGTCACTGCGGCGCCTGTTAGGAGGTTGGCCTCTCAGCTGCAGGAGGGCGGGAATCTGCACCCAACCAGATCCTCATGGCTGCACAGTGTCCAACGCCCACGACCCTGCAATTTGGGCGCCGGCCTAGGAATAACGGACCCTGGGGTGGAAGGGCGGTGCACTCAGCCACCCTTAGGCAACCTCAGACCAGCCCTGACAGCATCTGCCTGGGACTCAGCTGCAGCTGGCACCTGCGCATGGCGCACGGCAGTAGTAGTGGCAGCCCTGACCCTGCCCTCAGACACCAGCAGCAAAGACCCTAGGGCCGGATGCCTCCAAGGCATCTAAGTCAGGTGGTCGGTCCCATAGCGCTGGGGATTGCAGCGGTCGCCCGCTGCAGCGGGGCGGAAATCGGCTGCTCAGCCCCATAGCAGCTGTGGCAGCCCTCATCTCTGTCCATGCCACCAGTAGCACGTACCCCAGGGTCAGATACTGCGGTGGCGCCTAATTCAGACTGTAGCTGCAGCAGGGCAGGACTCCGCCGCTCAGCCCCATCCTGGAGGCTGCTCAGAGTCTAGCGCTCGTACACCGCGTCCTGGGAGCAGGCTAAGGAAGAGCAGACCCTAGGGTGGTAGGGCGATGCACCCAGAGACCCTCAGGGTGTCTGGGACCAGCCCTGCCGGTCTCTGCCACGCGCTCAGCTGCAGCTACCACCGCCAGGTGGCTCCCGGCAGCAGCGGTGGAAACCCCGCTGACCTTGCCCGCCGCCAACAGCAGTGAGGATACCACGGCTGGATCCCTTGCCAGGGCGGGAACCTGCCGCTCAGCATATTCTGGGCAGCTGCACAGGGCCCAGCGCCTGAAACCCCGGGCTCTGGGCTCGGGCCAAGGAAGAGTGGACCCTAGGCTGGGAGGGCGGTGCACTCGGCGATCCTCACGCTTTCTAGGACCAACCCTGCCGGCGTCTACTGAGAACTCAGCTACAGCTGCCACCTGTACAAGGGCGCCGCAGCAGCAGAGCAACCGGGCACTTTGCCTGCACCACTAAGAGCCAGGACACCGGGGACAACGCTGCCTCAGCGCCTAATTCAGGCACTCAGCCCAGCAGCTGCAGCAGGGCAGCAACCTTTGCCCTCGGCCGAAGCACCTTGGCTGCACAGTTCCCGGTGCCCGCGACCCGGAACTCTGGGCGCAGGCAAAAGAAGAGCGTACACTAGGCTGGGACAGTGGTCCACTCCATGACCCTGAGGCTGTCTGGGAAACTCCTTGTCAGGTGATGGGCCCAGCTGCAGCAGCCAGCTGCACATGGCGCGCGCAGCAGCCTTGGAGGCAACCCCAGACCAGGCTCCTACACCAGCCAGGCGGATCCCAGGGCCAGACGCCGCCCACCGGCTAATTCAGCTGGTCAGACCCCAGCTGCAGGAGGGCGGGAGCCGGCCGCTCAGCCATTTCCTGGCTGCTGCCCTGTACCCAGCGCTTGCACACCCCGCTGTGGGCTCCAGCAAGAAAGAGCTGACTCTAGGGTGAAAGGGCCCTGCACTCAGAGACCCCCAGGCTGTCTGGGACCAGCCCTGCCTGCCTCTGATGTAGGTTCAGCTGCAGTGGTAACCTGCACAAGGCGCGCAGCAGCAGCTGTGGCAAACTCCGACCCTGCCAGTGCCACCAGCAGTGCGGACCCTTGGGCCAGAAGCCTCCACAGCGCCTAAGTCAGGGTGTTGGTCCCCAGCTGCAGGAGGGCAGGAACTGGCACTCAGCCCCACCTCAGAGGCTGCATGATGCCCAGAGCCAGGGCCCAGCTCTTCTAGCGCAGGTTGTGGAGGGGCCAGGGGCCACCCAGACTGGAGGGCAGTGTCATGATCACAGCTCACTGAAGCCTCAACCTCCCAGTTTCAAGCTATCGTCTCACCTCAGCCTCCTGAGTAGCTGGTAGCTGGGACTGCAGGCGGGTGCCATCATGTCTGGCTATTATATTTTATATACATTTTGGAGAGACAGTGTCTCACCATGTTGCCCAGCAGGTCTTGAACGCCTGGAGTTCAAGCGATCCTCCCAACTTGACCTTCCTCAGTGGTGGTGGTGGGATTATATGTGTGAGCCACTGTGCCCTACCTGCCGCTTTTCTTATAAGGATACTTGTCATTGGATTTAGGGCCCATCCTAATCCAAGATGAGATGCCCTCATCTCGAGGTGCTGGATTTAATTACATCTGCAGATTGTTTTCCAAATAAAGGTACATTCACATGTTCCAGGTAGACATATCTTTTGATAGACCACCATGCAATCCACTCTAGGAGTATTAAAGTGCCAGTGTGGACCGAGGCACCAAAGAATCACATTATTATGTCATATAACTTGCCTTATTTGTAGTGACCCGTGGGCTTGGAAACAGAACCATTTGCAGCTGTCAGGGAAGTGCACAGTGCCTGACCTTTCCCGCAGCCTCCTCCCCACTGGGCTTCCGTGAGAGGATCACCCCTTGGAGTGTCCAGAGATTCCTGTTAAATGCTAAAGACCACAGGAGAGTTTGGGCGGGGGAAGATGTTTGGGGAGCAACTTAGTTGTCCTGAGGTGCCCATCACCCTTCACCGTTTCAGCAATATGGATCTTCCAAGGATCTGGGAATGGGAACCAGGCATAAGACAGATACATGTGAGTGAGAAGAGGCCAGAGTCTTTCTCTGTGTAGGCACCATCCAGCCCAAGATGAGCATTGTTCCAGAAACACATGCACTCATGATGCTAAACCCAATCTATTGAGGACTTAATACAAACTGTGATTTTTTTAAGCATTTAATTCTTACCACAGTCCTTTGTCATCTTATTATCTCCATTTTACAGATAAAGAAACAGGCACAGAGGGTTTAAGTAACATGTACAAGGTCACACAATCACAACTAGTAAAGCCAGGATTAAAGTCCAGTCAGTCTGCATTCAAAGCCTGTGCTCCTGCCCCAAAATGACAAGTAATGACTTAAAGGCAAGAAAAACACACTCTCCTCTACCCACCATCCTCATACAGACTTCCAGCCCAGGATCTAAACCATTCATTCATTTGCTCTCATATTCATTCATTCATTCATTCAGTTCTTCATCACACATTTAGTGAAGCTCTGTCATGGAATGTCCAAACAGAAGGTACAAAAATGAGGCAGGTATATTTTCTCCCATCTAAAGGGGGATGACCACGTGAAGAGAACTGATGGGCTGTGTGTCCCATGGCCTTACAGGGCAGTGGTGGAGGGTGGCCCAGGTCATCCACTCTCTGGGGAGGCAGAACCAGAAGCACCAGTTGGACAACTGCTAAAGAGATGTTTGTGCAGCCTCATATGTTAAGTCCTATATTTTGAAAGCTTTTTAAATTTTTTCTTTAAGATTTTAGATGCTTACCACTGAGTACCAGAGGGATGTAGCCTGATGCCCTTATCAACAAAGTCAGGGATGGTGGCACACAAGGTTTGACTACTGCATACACGGTCACAGTGCTACCCCCAGATAGCCTGATTTCCCTGCCTTCTCTGGTGGGGAGAAGGGCTGGCAGAGCCATTAGCATGGGCTTCAGCCAATCCTGGCCACTTTGATGCTCCTGGTGCTGACCCAGGGTCCTGGAGTATGGGCTGAGGCGGCGGGGTAGAGATGTTCAGGGCAGTGGCCCCTTTCCATCCACACTGGAACTATTTCAGTATTTTACCACCAATTCGGCTATTCCCTTATCGGCTGGCTGAACATCGGCCCTGCTCCAGGTCTCAGTTTCCCCTTTGTAAAGGGAAAGCCCTGGATTCAGGGGTGACTAGGTCATCATGGTCTTGAGATTCCAGGCCTGTAGGCAGGGGGAGAGAGGTTCACTAGGAGTGCAGAAGACCAAGGTTGGGGAGAGGCAGAGGAGAGAGTGGCCTCCCTTTGGCCCAGGTGGGAGATTCACAGAGACAACCTTCCTTCTTCTCCAAGGCAGGACTTGTTAACAGTGAGCTTCAGGCAGTCTGGCACTTGGGACTAACTAGGATGTCACCCTCCCTGCAGCCTCCACTCCATAGACAACATGAGAGGAGTGTGTAAGTATAACTAGGAACAGGCTAGTGTCCTGATATTCTCTGTGATAGAGGGGACAGCCCTCCTCAGAGACCCGGGGGAGCCCAGAACCATGGACAGCCTGAACACACTTTACTTTCTCAGCAGTGGCAACCAGAACCCTAGCCTACTAAAGCCGAAATTAAAAGGAGAAAAACCTAAATTCCTGCCTGTACCAGGCTGACTCACATCAAGGCCCTGCTAGGATTAAGCTAACTTTATATACAAGGCCAAGCAGAGCCCAGAAGGAATGGACTCCAGGAACAGGGATGAGAAGAACAAGTTCTTCTTATCAGCTTCCCCCTTTGAGATTCTTTCCTAGGCCAGTATGTCTTTGCTCTGCTCTCATAACTATTTTTGTAACTATTTCTGTAAGTTTGTAAGGATTTTGTAAGTTCCTGTTTTCCATCTGTGCAACACTGAGAAGGTCACAAGACATGTCTGAGCAAGCCTAAAATAGTAACCATCTGCTGAGGGCCTGCTGGACGGCCCAGCAGAGGTCACCAGGCATGTTTGAGTCATACACCTGTCACTGTTTGATTAACTGCCTTTGTTCTGCTTCTGTAAGCTTGCTAAGCCCACCCTGTGAGTTTCACGCAGCTGCATGCTTAAAAACCAGGCCCCATCTTTGTTCCAGGCTCAGCCTTTTGGATGCGAATCTACTAGGCCAGTGGCCACTTTAATAAAATCCTCCTGTCTCATCCATTGGTCTCTCCAGTCTCTTGAATCCCGCAACACTACAATGGCTCCAAGACAGCATGTGGGATCTAAGTAATAACTTTTTATTTTTTTTATTTTTTTTATTTTTGTACAAGACTGGGTCTGGCTTTTTCACTCAGGCTGGAGTGCAGTGGTGCAATCACAGCTCACTGTAGCCACCTCCTGGTCTCAAGCCACCCTCCCACCTTAGCCTCCTAAGTAACTTAGGACTACAGTTGTATACCACTATGGTTGGCTAATTTTTGTATTTTTTGCAGAGACAAGGTCTCACTGTATTGCTCAGGCTGGTTTCAAATTCTTGAGCTCAAGAGATTTACTAGTCTCAGCCTTCCAAAGTGCTAGGATTACAGGCACGAGACACCGTTCCTGGCCAGTAATTTTGTTTTATTATATTAAGGTGAGGTTTATACCACATTCTTCTGGTTACAGAAGTAATACATGCTCATTGTATACACTGAAAAATGTAAGCAGTATAAAGAAGAAAATAAAAAAGGATATGAAAATCACTAGTGGTCCCATTGCCTACCGTAACATTATGTGCTGCTTCTTAATCTTTACTTCCTCTCCCTCCGTGTGTGTCTTTGTGTGTGTGTGTCTGTCTGTGTGGTTTTTTGTTTGTTTTTTTGGCACATAGTACAATAGCTGACATTTATATCTTCCCGACCAGTGTTGAGCATGGTGTTAAGCAATTGACAAAGTGTATTGTATTTAACTCCTACAGAAAACCTAAAAAGGGGAAGGGCAGTATAATTAATAGAATTTTCCAGATGAAAAGACTGGGGCCTGAGTTGAGGTTACATTTTATATATGGCATTATATTGTACTTCAGACATGTAACATAGTAAGTGTCCTGGAGAATCTTGGTCTGTTAGTCTGTATAATAACATAAGCATCTTTTGTGGGATTAATAGTTTTTCCAAAGCATGCCTGGGATGTTTGCATAATATTCTAGTGTTTAAATATGTTGCTTATTGCCAGGTGTGGTGGCTCATGCCTGTAATCCCAGCATTTTGGGAGTTCGAGACAGATGGATTGCCTGAGCTCAGGAGTTTGAGTCCAGCCTAGGCAACACGGTGAAACCCCATCTCTACTAAAATACAAAAAAATAGTGAGGCGTGGTTGGTGTGCCTGTATTCCCAGCTACTTGGGAGGCTGAAACAGGAGCATTGCTTGAACCTGGGAGAAGGATTTTGCAGTGAGCTGAGATCGTGGCACTGCACCCCAGTCTGAGCAACAGAGTGAGACCCCATCTAAAAAAAATGTTTATCAAACCATTTTCATCTTTGAAACATTTCAGGTCTCTTCTTTGGCTTTTTCGCATTATTAATAATACTGTGATAAACATCCTTCAGCAGAAACCTTCATAGGCTAGCTTCCTAGAAGTAGAGGTATTAGGTCCAAGGTTTTGAATTGTTTTAAAGCTATTGATTTATCTGGATAAAATTGCTTCCAGAGATATTGTCCCATTTTGCTTTCCAATCAGTGGATCTCACCTTCAGTATTTTGTGCAATTAAAAAAATAATGTTTCTCCTTTTAAAGATTATATTTAAAATAGCTTTTAAATATGAAAAATTTGTATCTACAAATAAGAGATAGTGACAAAAAATAAATAATAAAATAAACACAAGAGCAGAAAGTAGATTGAAACATTAAAATTCAAATCACAGGCCTCTGTTATGGAGAAGACAGCTGCAATAGCTTTTCTGTTCTTTTATCTACATTGGTAGGTTCTTCTTTTAATTAATTTTTACCCCAACTTAAGTGCTGGCTGGTTTGGCAATTTGTTGCTGGGATGGAAAGAAGAAATGTGCACCTTGTCTTTTGCAGGTTATGAGAGCCTTGTCTGTCCTTGTGGTTGTGTGGGTGTCTGTTAGATTATTGTGAATACTGAGCTTTGAAAATAACCTAACAGTCAATCAATTGCTGAGCTTCTATTACCAGTAGTGGGACATAATGTACATCATGTAGATAGGCAGGCTTGTCACTGACAAGGGGGCTGACCCCTGGAAAACCAGCACAGAGCCAGCTCTTCTGTGTGAATCCACTCTCTCCAGAATATACCATAAGTCATGGAAAGAAATAAGAGTCTCAGGAAATGAGACTCTTACCGCGATGAGAGGTGAACCTTGAAATCTATTTTAGCAATTAGGAAGAGAAGTCCCATTTCGCATCCCAAATCAAGTAGAGGCCTGCTAGTCCAAACATAGTTTCTGAATAACCTGAGTCACCTGGGCCCTGAGGAATCCTGGCCTCTTAGTCCACATTTGCAGAAATATCAGGAGGTCAATCAGGAAGCTGGTTAGGCAGCTCAACACAGGGTCAGAAAGCTCCTAGGTATGCAAATAAATGTGCACACTGGAAATTGAGTTCTGTAATTTTTCCATGACCTAGAAAATTATGATGATGAAAATGTTCTACATTCATGCTGCCTAGTTCAGTAGCCACTAGCCACATGTGGCTATTGAGTAATTGAGATGTGGCTAGTACAACTGACCAGCTAATGTTAAATTTTGTTTTATTTGAATTAATTTTAATTTTAATAGTCACCTGTGGCTATTGGCTACTGCACTGGATAGCACAGAGATGAGAAATAATAGAAACCTTTTTTGTTGTTGTTTCAATGGCTAACATTGTCAAAAGCTGAATTCCTGTTTTATGTAAAATTTTGGTTTATATTTTCTCAAAGAAGGGAAGTACAAAAAACAAAACAAAACAAAACAAAACAAAAGGATGATCAAGCAGAACTTTGGTAAGGAAGGGTGAAGCAGAGACACTTAACTCAGAGTGGGGAAAACAGCAATGACCTTGTTTGAAATGCAGCTCCTGTCTATGTGGCTCTCTGTGCTCTGTTGGGGTGTCAGTTCTTTACTTCTTAGTTAAAGCAGTTATTTCGGCGGTGCAATGCTTTTTTGTTCAATAAGCATGACTTTTTACACAGCTGGTTTATCTCCAGTATGGAAACTCTCTGCTTAATCATCTTGATTTCTCTGGGCTTGTTCCTACTCTGCAGATTTAAGCATGACACTTGTATCTCTCTCTCCAGGCTCTGATCTAGGATGACAGCTTCTATGATGTGCCCATCTACAGAAATATGCAAATTGCAACTTTAGGAAGATTAAAAGAGGGCCCTGCAAAAGGCATCTACAGGCCCCATGTGCTGTTCACCTTTCTTATTTATTGGTGAAGTGAGTCCTCATCCATTTATTGGGCAGTTGCAAGCAAAGGAATTAACTATGACAATTCACCTTGATGTACAACAATTTAGTCTGTTTGGAGTTTCCACTGTTGGAAAAAACCTAGTTATCCTAATTCCTAATCTTAGGAAAAAAACTGTTCCTAAGAACAGTTACAGATAGTATAGTGATAGCTTTTTTTTTTTTTTTTTTGAGACAGGGTCTTGCTCTGTCACTCAGATTGGAGTGGAGTAGCATGATCATGGCTCACTGCAGCCTCAACCTCCCTGGGCTCAGTGATTCTCCCACCTCAGTCTCCTGAGTAACTGGGAATACAAGCACATGCCACCATGCCTGAATATTTTTTCTATTTTGTTTTGTTTTATTTGTTTTGTTTCGTTTTGTAGAGATGGGGTTTTGCCATGTCACCTAGGCTGGTATTGAACTTCTGGACTCAGGTGATCCTGTCTCCTCAGCCTCCCAAAGTACTGGGATTACAGGTGTGAACCAGCATGCCATGCCTATAGTGATACCTTTAAGTAACCCTCTCTTTTCTTCTTTTGGGCAATTTTTCAAAGCAACAGGCACTTTATTAAATAAGAAAGTTGATGTGCTTTCCTAATGCCTGCTAATAAAGTAAAGAACCAAGGAACCTCTGTGATTTCAATGAAATCCCTCCAGATGTTATAGGCTACTTGTTACAGACAGGTATGATAGGAAGTGTGGTCAAGCTGTGATAGGCAAATAGATCTTGCTGAAGAGGAAGAATGATTGGCTAAGATAATGTCCCAGGACAGCTGGCATACCTTTAGACACAGCTAAATTGAATGCTTTCTGAGGATGAGTGTATTAGTCTGTCTCACATGCTATAAAGACATACCTGAGAATGGGTAATTGAAAAAGAAAAGAGATTGAATTGGCTCACAGTTCTGTGGGCTGTACAGACTTATGCTTATAGGGAAGCCTCAGGAAACTTACAATCATGGCAGAAGGTGAAAAGGAAGCAAGCACATATTCACATGGCTGAAACGAGTCAGGGGAGGTGCTTTTTAACTTTTTAAACAAGCAGATCTTAGGATAACTTTATCATCAGACAGCACTAGGGGGATGAGGCTAAACCATTAGAAACCACCTCCATGATGCAAACACCTTCTACTAAGCCTCTCCTCCAACACTGGCAATTACAATTCCACATCAGATTGGGGATGCGGGGGTGCACAAATCCAAACCATATCAAGAAGCATGTTAAAAATTGAGGGAAGTTCTAATCAAATGGCAAGTCAGGACATGGCATTCCATCAACATAACACTCCTCTCAATACATTCCAAAATGGGAGAAAGGAAAAAGTGCAAGGATGAAGAAGGGACACAGCAAAATGACAAGATGACTAACAAGATGACCCCTGTGGAAAGCATTTACTGATTCAACAACCAAATAATGAAGAAAATAAGAGCAAATTTGCTGAGTTTCTATGCTCTTTATGTTTATTAGGGAAGGGCAAAAGCCAGTCCCTCGACATTGTTACTGTTAATTAACATCATCACTGCCTGCTCTTAAGTGTCTAGATACTTTCAAGAATCTAGTATTATCCTCACTTAAATGTTTTTTGGATGTGCCCTGTCATGCATGTGATATTGCAAAAAGATTCTACATTAACCACAGCAAGATGGCTATGTAATAATTGGGATCACTTTAGGGGAGCATATTTCTACCACATTTTGAGATGGAAAATGAAGTAAAGATATCCATTTGTCAATTTCTTCTACATTATGCCAAACATTCAAAGAGATTATTTTATTTATTTCAAAGATGTACACATGTTGAAATTAAAATTTAAATTAAGAAAATTTATAAACTGAGTCAAAAGAAAAGTAAGCGAGGCAGTTCTGCACGCCCTGAAGTGTCAGGCATATATGACTAAAGTATTCGGCATTTGGCCAGGTGTGGTAGCTCATGCTGTCATTCCAGGATGTTGAGAGGCTGAGGCAGGTGGATTGCTTGAGCTCAGAACTTTGAGACCAAGCAAGGCAACATGGTGGAACCCTATCTCTACGAAAAATATGAAAATTAGCCAAGCATGGTGGTGCTCGCCTTTTTATACCACCTACTGGAAAAGCTAAGGTGAGAGGATCATTTGAACCCAGGAGGTCAAGGCTGCAGTAAGCTCTGGTTGCACCACTGCACTCCAACCTGGGTGCAAGAGGGGGACCCTCTGCCCAGGACTCTTGGGATATGACTATACCCATAGGGACTGCCCGCAGTAACCTCACATTTGAGTGGAAGTGGAGATCATATGTACCTGTACCAATATGTAGTGAAAAAGGAAAACATAAGAAATCATGGCAGAAATGGCACAAAGTATAAAAGAGGCTTGGTGTAATTGAGAGAGGCATTCTGGTGATAAAATTTGAACTGATTTCTGGAGAATGGGTTGAATTCCAATAGAGGGAGATGGACCAAAGTTAATTCTGATGAGGGAAATGTCTTGAGCAAAATCTAGAAAAGGGAAACATGCCCATTTTAAGTGTTAATGAGGGTCCAGTTGGGGTACAGTGCAGGAAGAGAGTTCTAGTGAAAAGGTAGTTGGTCTGATAGGACAGGGTCTTGCAGGCAGAGGCAGATACTATCATTATTCCATTGTTCAGATTGGAAAACAGACACAGAGAGCCCAAGGTCACAAAGCCAGAAAGTGAATCTGGGCAGTCTAGCGGTAGCACCCTCTTCTTAAATGATCTATTAAAGGGCCTCTTCTCCAGGCACTCTAAAACTCTTCTCCATCTTTAGCTCCCCCAGAGTACAGTGAGGCCCCCTGTCTACCTCACATGATGGGGTCTCAGAAAAGCAACAGATCCCAACTCATACTAGCTTTTAAATAAAAAAAAAAAAACCTTGCAAAACAAGAAGTGCAGAGGTTGGGAGAGAGCCAGCACTGGTTAATTCAGCAGCTCAACAATAAATCCAAGACCTGGGTATTGGTTCACCTCTCCACACCACCATCCTCATGGGCCAGCTTCTACCTCCTCCTGAATGCTGTGTCTTTGCCTAGTTTTCTCCCTGATTTTAGCTCAAGTGCTGCTTCCTGGGGGCAACCTTTCCTGCCTCCCTCTTGGGGTCAGTCCACCTTCCCAGGCTCTTGCAGCACCCCTGGGTCTGCTGAACTTTCCCTTGTTACATAATTCTGTGACTAACATCACCTCTTTCTGTTAGACTCTCAGCTCCACTAGAGAAGAAATTCTGTGCATTTTTGCTCACTATTGAACCCTGGAGTCTACTACTCAAATATTTGTCAAATGAGTAAATGGTAGCTCTGTGCAGGGCCGAGGAACACAAGAACCACAAGAAACATGCAATCTGCCAAAATACTCATTACAGCTCACTCTCCTCTGGTGACATTTCCCTGAGGCACATTCCTGTTGGTTTCTTCCCCTCAAGAAGCATTCTTCTTTCTCCTTCCTATAAAAGCCAGGATTTTCTCAGATAGCCACACCATGCCCCATGCAAAGAGATTTGGATTATTCTATCATCTTGAGGCATTTCTGTGGAAACTGCTGTCAGTCCAGGTGGCCCATGACCTAAGCTGACCCAAGCCGACTGAAGGGAGGACATATTCTATGCACTCTATGCAGTTCCACAGGGTGCTGGTTGTCCCGGCTGCTGCTGGTGGTCTTCATGTAGCCAAGGTATCACTAGTGCATATGGAGAAAACAGAGCAACTGGAGAGAAACCGAGTAGGTAAAAGTGGGCAGGGCTTGGTGATGTTTGGGGATATGATATGAGCGATAAGACAGAGGATGGTCTTAGGAAAATCTCCTGTATTTTCCTTTTGGACAATGGTATAAATGAATAAAAGTTCCAATCACTGGGATAGAAAACACTTGGAAAATATGAGATTCATTCAGGCAAGCCTTTCATACACTATTCCATAATCAGTTTCATAAGTGAAAGGGAGTCAGAACTCATTTCTACCTTGTTTGCTTCTATCATACTGTGTTGTACCCTGTTGGATCTACTTATCACATTCCTCCTGCTAGTGGACTTACCTGCTAATGTTTGCACTTCTGCCTTGCCAGCATGGAACCTCTGAGACAGCAGGAGCAGTGTGTGTGCATGCATGTGTGTGTGCACTTTTGTGTGTGTGTGTGTGTGTGTGTGTGTGTGTAATTGGATTCCCCACAGCACATTATTGTTTTATCCATAGTAAATGGTGGATGAATATTTGCAGGATTTAGCTGGACTGCAGCATTGTGGAGGTCAGATAACCACATTTTGACAGACAAGTTGCATTCTAACCTTGAAGCAGACAAAATGCCCATCTTATCAGCCTCGCTCACATCAGCTGTGCCTTTCCTTTGTGGTTGTATGTTTATGAAGCTCATCCAACAAGCTTCTTAAAAAGGGGATTGGACCTTCGCCAGCCTCAGGCTGCATGGCAGGGTGACTGTGTCTTTGAATATCCCAGACGGAGGCTGGTCACCCTTTTGTCTTTGGGTGAATAGACTACTCAGGAAGGCAGGGATGCAGGCACCCCCATTTCTTGTTAATGAGTTTGCAATTTATTTTGGCAGATCTAAAATAATAATTCAAAGGCAGTGTAGAAGAAGATGGGGACATTACTTTTAATTGTTTAATATTGTTATGACATGACATGTGCTTACAGAAAGAGAGGCAAGCCACCATCTTCAAGGGAGGGCATAGTCATCGACTGTGATCCTGGTGTCCATGTTGGAATATCATGGCAACTGTCTCCCAGCACTGAACTCGATGACTTCTGCTGCATTCCCAGTGTTAGCTGAGTTGCTTAATTTACTTTCTTCAACGCCATGTGTGAAAGGGAAGCTAGAAAACTGCACTATGTATGGCTTCGTGCACTGAAAATTTGACATTATCAAAGGAGGCATGATCTTGTTTCTCTCCATCCCTCTCCAAATGTTTTCTATAATTATATTCAGAGGCTCATGGGTCTTACCATGGGTGATCAAGGAAGGGCTGGTAACTCTTTCAACCACAGGTAAAATATTACAAACATCTGAAATATGCATTTTTACAGGTGAGAGAAATGAGGCCAGAAAAGTTAAGTGCATCATGTTGAGTACAATTTTATTTGGTGATCAGGCAGCCCTGGGTTCAAATCCTGGCTCTATTGCTACCAATTAAGCCACTTAACTCCATCTGAGCCTCAGGTTGCCCATCTGCATAATAAGCAGTAATAGCAGCTGTCCTGCAGGACTACTGTGAGAATTACAACTCAGGCAATGATCATGATATTTCTTGGCACAGAGGTGTTCACTACCTAGGTAGTGTTATTATTATTAGGCCTAAAGTCACAAAGGGAGTTTTTGAGAACGCTGGAATGAAAACTTGTTCCTCTCAGCTCTGAGCTTATTAGAGCCCACCGTTTTGCATGAATAAAGCAGCCCTGGAGTCTCTCAGGGGAGGGTGTTTGTAACATCTGTTCAGGCACGGTTTCATTTGCTATATACCCAGAGACTAGCACGGTACAAGTTGTGGGGAGATACTCATGTGAGTTGGCGGACTTTGGGTCAAATATTTTCCCTAAACCCAGGTCTCTATGGCATTCTACAGTACACTCTGCATCCTTCTAAGGGACACTGGAAGAGCAAATGGATTGTACAGTGAGTTACAAATAAAATGGCCAATCTCAGCATGAAAGGCTGGGGGTGTTACCTGAATGAGGATGCAGACCACTCCATCTACATACAAGCAAACCTAAGTGACCATGAGCCTGCCGGAAAGAAATCACATGCTATGTAAAGGCTTAGTAACAGTGATGAATATTTGAACTTGAACTCCAGCTCCAGAGCAGTTCAGTGGCCTCTCTTCCAGGAACAGAAGCCAAAGCAGCTCAGGATTCTTGAAGGCTCTGAAAGGTCAATGACAATCCTGGTATATGTCAAGACTTTCCCACCAAAGAAGGGCTCCATGTGTAGAGACTTAGAAAGGATTCCCAACTTCCGCCCCTTCAAAACCAGAAACAAAGGTGGGGGACAGCCCAATTAAGTGGCCCTAGAGATTTGCCCAGGAGCTGGAGCCCTCCGGAGAAGTCCAGTTTTCCTATGCAGGGAGAGGACTGGGAGTTCTCTGGTCACAAGCGTTCTGCCTTTGTTTTCATGAAGCTATGTCTCTTACCTGGTAAGAAAAATGGAACTTCATGCAGCTGCTGAAAACTTTAACCAAAACCCAAAGATGCTGGCACAAAGAAAGGAGGCCTGAAGAAAACAAGTGACCATGGAAACACATTTAGCTCTTAATCTGACCAATTTCTCATGGGCCAGGCCTGGTGCCAGGAATGCTGTGATGAATAAGGCCTGAGCTGAGATTGTGAGGATGAGACGGAGTCCACCCTGTGGGGATCTGGGATGATAGAAGGGCTCCGCAGATAGAGGACCCGGTGGCCAGAAGTTCTGCTGAGTGGAAAAGGGCTCGGAGTAACTGAGGTCAGCTGGATTCCTTAAACATTGCCCAGAGCCCTTGAAGCCATCTAAGGGCACACTTCTCAGGCCTGCTCCGAACCACACTCAACTGGGAATCTTTTAAGGACAGCTGCTCTGTTAGGCTTGCCTGAGATGGTGCAGTTTTCCCCCGCGGCGGCAGAGGCACAGACAGTTAAGAATGCAGGAGCGGGGCCTCACAATGCCTTGGACTAGGGCAAAGGAGGACCCCCGCCTCTCCCCTCCCGGGGCTAAGACATGGGAGGACCCCGACCGGTGGATCCATTGACTCTGGCACCAGAGGATCCCCGCTCTCCAGCGCCCTAGACTGAGGCAACAGAAGACCTCAGACCTGCTCCATCCTGAACTAGAGCACAGTGGGACCCGCGACCTGCCGTGGTCTCAGGCACTGGAGGACACCTGCAACGCCGTGCGCTAGACTATGCTACTGAAGGACCTCTACCGCGGCTCAGCCCTGGACTAAGGCACCGGAGGATCCCCGCCCTGCCCCGCCCCGCGGTGTCCTGGACTGTGCACTGCAGAACCCCCACCCTTCCACACCCTGGACTCTGGCTCCCGAGGACCTTGGCCCCGGCTCGCCCTGAACTACTCCTGCCCCTCAGCGCCCTGGACTGTGGTTCCAGAGGACCTGGTCCTGGGGCAACTTGTGCTACCGCGTGGACTCCAGGACCCCAGTCCTTCCACGCCCTAGACCAAGACACGGGAGAACCTCTGACTCGCCGCCCCCGAACTAGGGCACCAGAGGACCCACACCTTGCCGTGCCCCGGACTACAGCACGGAAGGACCCCCGATCCGCCGGGCACTGGGCTCCTGCACAGAGGGACCCCCGCCATGGAGGTCTGGACTACCCCTGCCCCACCGCACCCTGGACTACTGCACGCCAAGACCCTCGCCTGAACACGCCCTACACTCTGGCATGGGGGAACCCGGCCCCGCAGAGCCCTGGACTCTGGCATTGGAGGACTCCTCGGCTAGGTTCTGGACTCCTGCACCAGAGGACTCCTGCCCTGCCACACCCTGGACACCTGCACTAGAGAACCCTGCCCCGTCGCCCCCTAGACTATGGCACGGGAGGACCCCTGCCACCGACTTCGGCACGGTAAGACCCCTGACCCGCCTTGCACTGGATTCCAGCACTGGAGGACCCCCTGCCACGGCGCTCTCTGGACTACCCCTGCGCCACCGCGTCCTGCACTACAGCACAGCAGGACCGCCGTCCCACCGCGCACTGGACTGAGGCACAGCAGCACCCGGGCCTCGTGGTTGGTGGACCGCAGGACGAGGTGACCCCCCGCCCCGCTGCGCGTTGGACTATGGCACAGGAGGACCACCATTCCCGCATGCCCTGGACCACTGCAGGACAGGTCCCCCACTCCGCAGCGGCCTGGAATATGGCACTGCAGGACCCCCGCCCTGCTGCTCCACGGACTCCACCACTGAAGACCCTCGCCCCCCTGCACCCTGGACAAAGGCACGGGAGGACCCGGCTTCACCGCCCAGTGGGCTATCACATAGGAAAACCCCCAGCCCACCCCCATCGCGCCACAGACTCTGACAAGAGAGAACCCCTGCCCCCTGCTCCCCGGACTACAGCAAGGCAGGAACCACCCTCCTCCAGGATCCTCACTATGGCAACTGTGGAACCCTGCCCTGGTACGCCCTGGACTAAGTCACCGAAGGACCCCGACCCCACCACACCGTGAACTCCAGCACTGGAGGACCATTGCCTTACTGCGGACTCAAGCACTGGACTATCGCAGGGCTGGATCCCTGTCCCGCCATGCCCTACACTATGGCACGGGAGGACCCAGCCTCACTGAGCTCTGGACTCCAGCACCGGAGGACACCTACACGGAGGACTCCTGCTCCGCCACGTCCTGGACTCCTGCACAAGAGAACCCCCGCCCCGCGGCACCCTGGATATAGCAAGGCAGGAATCCCGCCCTGCAGTGTTCTGGACTGCGGCACCTGAGAATCCATGCCCCATCGCGCCCTGGACTGCTGCTCCACAGGACTCCTGTTCCACTGCACCCTGGACTATGGCACCAGAGGACCCAGCCCCCTGGCGTCTTGGACTAAGGCACAGTAGGACCCCGCAGCATCGTGTACTCCTGCACAGGAGGACCCTCGCAGGGCTGCGTCCTGGACTGAGCTACTGAAGGAGCCTCACCCCTGCCTCACCCTGGTCTAAGGCACTGGAGAACTCTTGCTCCGCAGAGCTGCGGACTCTTGCACGAGAGAACCTGCGCCCAGCCGTGCCCTGGACTGTGGCACAGTAGGGCCCACACCGGGCCATGGACTCCTGTACTGGAGGAAGAGTGGTGATAAATGTCCAGGTTTACAAGTTGAAAAGTAGCAGTCAATGTGCTACAATGGATGGATTTGATGTAAAATTACAAATGCTGAAAACATTATGTGTAATTGCCTAGCCAGATCAATTACACAAGACAAAGAAATAAAAGAAATCCATATAGGGAAGGAAGAGGTAAGATTGTTTCTGTTTTCTGAAAATATAATCTTAAGATACAGAAAATCTTTTTTTATTATTAATGTTCTATTTACTTATTTTTATAATATTTTATAAATAAACTTTTTTCATATAAAACAGGCCAAACATCTGACATTCAAAAATGGCTACTGTTATAAAATCAGAAACATAGTCAGAGTGTTGGGAATATTGAAATTTCTAAATCTTTATGAATAACACAATCACTTAAGTTATATCCACAAAGAACAGAAAAGAGGCAAGCTTGAAAATATGAGGATAGAAAGATGTCACAGTGATGTGTTTTTAGAAACAGTACCTTCACCTCTAAGCAACTTTCAGGTAGGTGATAGCTAGCTCATAGGCACCAGAAATTCATAACAGAAATTAAATTACCCAAAAGGCACAGAAGAAAATGTTAACACAAGTATAAAAGTAATTTTATGTAAGGTTAAAACCTATTTTTAAAATGCTTCCAAATATGTAAAACTATACACAAGTCCATTACACATTCAGCTTAAGTTTACCATTAAAAAGTGTACACACAATACTGTAACTGTAAATACATGCCACCGTTTATAATGTAGCATTTACCACCACAGCACCCAAAGATATTAACAGAAACCAACTCCCCACTAAAATCTAGGGAAAGGTTTTAGAGCTAGTGAAATAATTTATTGCAGACCGTATTTATTATAAAGAAACTATTGGCTCATTCTACTGTATCCACACTCCCTCACAATCTTAAGGGAGATACAATAAGTCCACTCTCTTCTCCTAAAATGATATTTAGCACATTTGACAAGGAGGAGTGGTTGCTTTATTCCTTTTTCTTATCTTTTTTTCTTTTTCTTTTTTTCTTTCTTTCTTTTTTTTTTTTTTTTTAAGAATAAATCACTTTCACAAAACTGAGACTCAAACTTTTTTGAAGCTCACCTTGATTTGCTGGAACTACACAGAGACATGTTTGATCACACAACAGCAACTGTACATCCTCCCAAGTCTGGAATACGGAACTGATGGAGGACACTTACTTGCTTAAAATGTATTTGATTATTCTGCATTTATGATAAAAATATCATCCAGGGATCATATTCAAGAGGGTAAATTTAGGATTACATGTTTCTAGAACATATAATATGTAATGCCATCCAAAACCAACAACAAACAACATAGAGCACTGAAACCGAAGAGCCACTTAAAATTTAGAATTAGGAAATTTCAATCTATAATTGTCAAACAATAAGTGAGTTATAATAGTTTTCTAATTAGAAAAATATCACCTAAAGTGGAAAGCCAGCATTTAGTTGGGGACTATGAGATACTACATCCTTGGTCTGGCTGGCCACCATTTTAAAGACCACCACAGATCTCAAGGCATGAGACCTCTCACCAACAAAATCTATCCCTGCTATTGCACCTAGTGCCATCTCAATATGTGGCAGACAGCAAATGTTCTAACTTAATCTGATAGATGCTCCTTTAGCATATAAAAGAGCTTGCTAAGTCCCTATTACCTGTAGCAGTCTATCAACTAAATATTTAAGAAGTCATTTCATAGGCAAGGTTTATGAATGACTTAGAAGTAAAATTAGTAATTTCTAAACCACTGTAGTGTTTTCTATGTTTTTAGAGATATTCCCAACACAGAGTTTTCCGAGGAGCTGTGAAAACAAGTACAAACGTACATAAGTAATTTTGTCAGGGATGTTTCTGTACTAATTTGGGGGAGACTTGTGGGCCATAAATAAATGAGATACACATCCTAAAAATAATGGTAAAAATTATCAAGTACCACTTTCAGATGGTTACTCAAGTATCAACTTGGTATGCAAGTAAGTTCACCGATTTCTTCACCTATGATTTCATACTCAAAGTGCTACATCTTACTTAGGTACTGATAACATTTAGAAACCTTTATAATCAGCCTCTTAAAGAAAATCCAGCCTTTTCAGATGGTAAACTTGTCTTTACTAACTTTAATGCCCGTAACTATTTCGATATAACCAAACAAAAATTTTTAAAAATATATTCCTTACAGCTCCTGATTAACTTATTTTTTGATACATTCTGAGGCTAGTAACAAAATTTAGACCAGAATAGGTTTTCATATATCAAAAAAAGGAAAGGAACACGGAGAGCACAGATGAGACGTATGGAGGCTCTATACTATAGACCCATCCTTGCTCTGTGCGGGAATCATCACAGGAATCGCGCCCATTGGACTTAGATTAGGGGCAGCTACCTTAGCAGGTGGGAGAGTCGGACTCTGAGGAGTGCGTTCAAAGTCTTCACTTGGTACTTGTTTATACTGAGTCTTGGAATATCCTTCCATGTTGGAAGGAGATATGGATCCCAGGGATGAATGATTACTGCCTATGTAGCTTCTGGCAGTGGACGTGCGGCTCTTTGGAGGCGGCACATCTTCCTTGATATCGTGATGAACTTCCTTTTCATATTTTTCTTCTCTGCGCTTTTTACGACAGCAAAAGATGATAAGACCAATGAGCACTAGAGCAAGCAAAGTTCCTATAATGGCTCCTGCAATTAGTCCAGCTTTATTTGAAGGAGGGACAACGTTTACACGCAACAGGCACTGATCAGAGCCCACTCTGTTTCTGATGTACAGCTGTATGTCCCAGAGTACTCAGAAGAAACATTTTTACAGATATAACAGATGAAGTCATTTCTGCTAACCATGAAGTGGGCATTTTCTGTGAGTCAGACAATTTTTGCCACTCATACTGTAATGGAAGTGAACCTTCTTTTGGTTCACATTTTAATTTAAAGTCACTTTCAATTTCTTCTGATCCATCAACGTAACATCTTGTACCTGAAGGCTTACCAAGAACTACCAGCTGAATCTTCCTATTTGCAACACCAGGAGCTCTTTTCACTTTGCACTGATCTGTGCCAATATCTGACAGCTGAAAATTCGTTACATTTATTGATGCATCACCAGATTTGAGATCATTACTCTTAAAATGTACTCGGCCTTTCAGATCTGGATAGTAGTCATCATAAATTTTGTCTCCAGAATATAAAATAATCACTTGATCCACCTTCTGATTATCAGCTGGTGATATCAGCCACTCGATGTCCAGTGGTCCCTGGTCTTCAGGACTAAGCGTAAATTTGCATGGCAGATAGGCAGTTTCCCCTTTGGCTTTTTCAATCATCTGCTCAGGAGTAGTGATACTCCAACCTCTGATGAAATCCGCGGCTCTGCACAGGAGCACGAAGCGCAGCAGGAGCGCCATGGTGGCTGCCGTGCCGTGGGCGGCGGCTGCAGGTAGGCGGCTCTCGCTCCAGGTCCTAGGCTCCCCGCGCCTGGCGCACTCAAGGTAGAGAAAATCTTAAAGACTCCACCACAATAAACGGTTAAAGCTGATAAAGAAATTCAATAAAGTTAATAGTTACAAAATCATACAGATAGCATTATTGTTTCTATACATTAATGACAAACTATTACCTGAAAAATAAATTAATAAGGCAATTCAATTTATAATAGAATCAAAACAGATATAAAAATATGTAAAAGACTTAGGAGTAAATTTAATCAAGAATGTGAAAGATTTGCACACTGAAAACTATAGCACATTGATGAAAAAAGTTAAAATGGCATAAATAAATGGAGAAACATCCTTTATTGATTGATTCAAAAATTAGTATTGTAAAAGTGTCAATGCTACCCAAAGCAATCTACAGATTAAATGCAACCACTATCAAATTCCCAGAAATAGAAAAATTACTGCTAAAATTTGTATGAAACCACAAAAGACCCTGACTAACCAAAGCAATCTTGAACAAAAAGAATAAAGCTGGAGGCATCAGACTACCCGATTCCAAACTATATTACAAAGCTATAGTAATTAAAACAACATAGCAGTGGCATAAAAACAGACATGTAGAACAGTGCAAAGGGATATAGAACCCGTAAATAAATCCGTATGTCTGTGGTCAATTGACTTTTTGATAAAATAACTAAAAATACACAATGAAGAAAGAAAATTATTTTCAATAAATGGTGTAGAAAAAACTGACTATCCACATACAGAAGAATAAAATTTGACTTTTCTTTTGCTCTTTATACAAGCATGAAATCAAAATTAAAGACTTAAATGTAAAACTACTACAAGGAAATATAGAAGAAGACTGTATGACATTGGCCTGAGCTATGATTTTCTGTAGATTATTCCAAAAGCACAGGCAACAAAAGCAAAAACACATGAATGAGATTGCATAAAACTAAAAAGCTTTTCCACAGGAAAAGAAGTGATAATAGAATGAAGAGAACCCACAAATGGGATAACATTTTTAAACCATACATCAGATAAGGGGCTCATATAATAATATATAAGTAACTCAACCTACTCAAACATAAGAATAAAACTATGCTTATTAAAAAAAATAAGCAAAGAACCAGAATAGACATTTCGTAAGGCATACAAAAGGCCAACAGGTACATGAAAAAATCATGAACATTTCTAATTATCAGAGAAATGCAAATCAAAGCCACAATGAGATATCACCTCACACATTTTACTAGGGCTATTATAAAAAAAGATGGAAGATAAGTGTTGATGAGGATGTGGAGAAAAAGAAACCCTGTGCACTGTTGGTAAGAATGGAAATTAGCACAGCCATCTTGGAAAACAGTATGAAGCTTCCTCAAGAAATTATAAATATATTTACCCTATGATCCATCAATCCCACTTCTGGATACGTGTCCAAAGGAATTTTAATCAGTATGTCAAAAACAGACATCTGCAATTTCATGTTCATTGCAGCATTATTCATAATACCCATGAATTAGAAACAACCTAAGTGCTTATCAACTGAAGACTAGATAAAAATATGTGGAAAAATTGGAACCCTTCTACACCACTGGTGAGACTTTAAAATGTAAAGCAGTCTCGCAGTTCTTCAAATGGTTAAACATAGAGTTATCACGTGACCCAGCAATTCCACTCCTATGTGTTTACCAAAAAGAAAATAAAACAAATGCTACACAAACAGTAGTACACAAATGTTTATAGCAACACAAAGTAGAAAACAACAGAAATGTTCATCAGCTGAGGAGTGGATAAATAAAATGTGGTGTGTCCATAAAATAGAATCTTATTTAGCAAGAAAAGGTAAAAAACTGTTAATGCATGCTCCAAAATGGATGAACATTAAAAATATGTTAGGTGAAAGATGTGAGTAAAAAGTGACTATGTGTTATTATAATTCCATTTATGTGAAATGTCCAGAATAGGCAAATTCATAGTCAGAAAGTAGACGAGTGGTTGCCTAGACTAGGAGGGGTTTAAAAAAGACTGGAGAAAATGGGGAAAGATTGCTAATGGGCGCAAGTCTCTTTTAAGGAAAATAAAATGTTCTAAAATTATATTATGATGATTATTTGTCCATCCAGTTAATATACTAAAAGAATTTGAAGTTTGTACTTTAAATGAGTGAATTACACAATGTATAAATTATATCTCAATAAAGCTGTGGAAAGTTAAAAGTATATGTAGGATGCATACAAAAATACTACTTATCTTTATAAATGAATGAAAATCTGTCATTTGCAAAAACATGGATGAATTTAGAGGACATTATGCTAAGTAAAATAAGCCAGACACAGAAAGACAAATATCTCATAGTATCACTTATATGTGAAATCCAAAACTGTGCACTCATAGAAGTTAAGAATAGAATGGTGGTTTATCAGAGGCTGAGCAGGGTGGGGGGCAGGGGTGGAAAAAGGGGAAATATTGAATGGGATAATGCTTCAGTTAGGAGAAAGACATTCTGGTGATATGGTGCACAGCAAAGTGACTGCAGTTACTCATAATGTAGTGCATATCTTAAAAGTGCTAAAATAGTACATTTTAAATGTTTCACCATAATGTAATACATATCTGAGGTGAAGGATACGTTATTTAGCCTAATTAGTCCATTTCACAATATCTACATGTATCGTACCACATTGTACCCTATATATATTTATTTATCAATAAAATCAACATTTTAAAAAGTGAGGAACACAGATGTGCTAGATCTTCATCTAAAGACATTTCTGAGAAAAGTGTATCTGTTTTCCTTCAGAAGAAATTTACACTTAATAGATATTATGGTAACTAAAGTAAGGCAGATAATTTTGGCCATCAGCTTTTATTGTGGGATAATCTCTTTTTGCTGACCTTGTAAAAGCTGTGGCATATTAACAAGTAGGAACATTTTTTTTATCATGATCAGGTAAAGATTCTGCAAGTTTCTATTTTGAATATTTCCCCAGGAATCACAAAGTGTGAATGCCTTTTATTTCAGAGGTCTAGCCCTAAATGGTTTAGTCAATTACATCATGCATTCTGAAATAAGTACTGGTGCATTTGGGAAGGTACTATATATAATTGTGTTTTAAATTTAACTATCATATAAATCTACTTTTCTAGTTAACAGTTTATATTTTATAGAGGCCCTCCATATACATAAGAGCTTTTCTGATAGTATATCCATTAGATTTCAAAGATAAGTAAAGGAACAATTTTGCTTTTATTTATTATTATTATTATTTTTTAAGGCTAGTCAAGTGAAGCAGTGGGAGTGGAGAAGGAACTGCTTTAATTTTTATATGTTGGTGTTACAGGCTATATGTGACAGGCTGTATATTTTTCTGCTGAATTTTAGAAACAAAATGAAATATTTATTTCCTATTTCATTAGATTTAGGGATGATGATTACATTGAGGGGTTGGGACTAGACTGAAGGCACCACATCATCAATCACTTGGAAACAATATTTTGCCTATGTGTTATGTTATATTGACAAAAACTTTTATTGTGGCAGGCAATATAGCTCCCTATTGAAATATGTGAAAAATGTAGAGAAAAAAGGACAATATTAGTTATCAAGGGATATTTAGGCCTGAGATGCATGATGCTAATATTCAAAACATACACTTTTTAAAAATTAGATTTAAAATGTAAATTGAAGCAGAACATTTAGAAAAAGACATAATATCTACTATAAAAGTCCTGGGTTAGAAAAGTTAAAATGCTAAATGAAAAAATAATGCTTCTTGGGTGGCTTAAAATCGAATATGAGACAAAAGATTACTCAGAAATTTTTCTAAGATTAAAAACGTGTATACAGTTTCTTTGATATAAAATGAAATAAATGTCTGGATATAACTTTAACAGAATAGAATAGGGAGACAAGGGCAACGAGCAGGTGTATGTAGAATAAAGTGAACATATTATTGTAATAATGAGAGGGACAGAGTTGAATGATTGCTCTTGGAGACAAGGGATTTTGATGTCTAAGTTAATGACAAATCTTTTGTTTGCAAGTTTAAAAATGTAACTTAAACCTGGTGAAGGAATAAAGGGTGGTTGGAGGGATGATTCTTTGTACACTAAACTTATTTTAATGACTAATGAATTAATCATAAGTTCAAATGATTTTATGGAGGCCCTTTCTTTATTTGATATTTCTGGACTCCTTTTTTCTTTGTGTGTGCTCCATTTTTACCTACTTGAACAATTTTTACCCCCAAAGTTTAGGAAACACTGTAACCAAATGTTCCAACATGATATAATCCCTGAAGGCATTTGCAGCTGGGGGAGTAGGGGAAAAGGGGTTTCTCTTTCAACAAATGCATGTTAACCTCGGTGAAAACTCAGAAGTTTAAACATGGTCCCCCTTGGGTCATGTGGCTACCCCAGGACCAATCATTGCACCAGACATAGGAGATAATCTCAAAAGCCAGGTTGGAGTCAAGGTTCTCCAGTGGAATTTCCACTTTAGAAATCAGTTTTGTCAGGCTTTGTGTTTGCATATTACAGACATGATAGCCATATAGCTATCTATTCCAGTAGAGATGAAAACCTAAGAGCATATGCCCATTCAAAGGATTTTACGTGAATCTTCATAGCAGCTTTACTTGCAACAGCCAAAACCTGAAAATAGTCCAAATATCCATGGACAGGTGAATTTGTGACTTATAAACTTACTATGGTATCTGTATATAATGAAATAATACTCCCTAGTAAGAACAGAACAATTGATAGATGTAGCAACATGAATAAATCTCAAAAATAGTGATGCTGAGTGATCAGAAAGTATACATACCCTATGATTTTATGTATTTGGAAATAAAAACTCACGGATAGTGACTAGAAGTGGATCAGTGGTTGCCTGTGGATGGAATGGGGATAGGCAGGAAAAAGTGAGTAGAAAAAGCACAAGGAAACTTTGGTGGTAAAGGTAATGGATATGTTTGCTATTTTCATATGTTGTTGGTTTTGTAGAGCTACAAATGCCAAGAATTATCAAAATGTACAATTGAAGTATGTGCAGTTTATTGCATGTAAATAAACCTTTTAAAAATTAACCGATACAAATTGACTTACATGACCAGAAAGCTCTTGAAAAACTCTCCTGTTTTCTCCCCTATTTTTATTCTTGCATGCCCTTATAGCCTGTGTTAACACATTTCTCATCTTACCGTTATTTTGTGTCTACATTTCACCAAGTCAATATAACTATCACCATAATTTCTTGGTTTCTCTTTAGTTCATTAGTAATTATGAGTAATGTATTGAAATGTTAAAGATATGTTCATGCATTCAGAATGCTCTGCTCTCTGATCCACATAATAGTGAATTATGCTCTCAATAATTACACAGTATAGTACTTTTTTTTTTTTTTTTTTTTTGAGACGGAGTCACACTTGGTTACCCAGGCTGAAGTGCAATGGTGCATTCTGGGCTCACTGCAACCTCCACCTCACGGGTTCAAGTGATTTTCCTGCCTCAGCCTCCTGAGTAGCTGGGATTACAGGCATCTGCCTTCATCCCCGGCTAATTTTTGTATTTTTATTGGAGACAGGGTTTCACCATGTTGGCCAGGCTGGTCTTGAACCTCTGACCTCAGGTGACCTGCCTGTCTTGGCCTCCCAAAGTGCTGGGATTATAGGCATGAGCCACCACCCCTGGCCAGAATATTGCTACTTTTGCAAATAGCTACAATTGACCCTGATCTGGACTTTGAGTTGATCACAGCTTTGTAAAAGAGGATAGCATTGTAAAACTGCAAAATTAGACTAATAATAACATAGAATGCTTTCAGTATAAGAAATAATACTATCCTAAGCAAAAATAAATAAATAAATAAAACTGGAGGAATTATATTATCTAACTTCATATTATACTACAGAATTACAGTAACCAAAAGAGTAGGGTACTGACATAAAAAGAGGCCCATAGATCAATGAAACACAATAGAGAACCCAGTAACAAATCTACATACCTACAGTGAACTCATTTTTGACAAAGGTGCCAAGAACATACACTGGTGGGAAATGGTGTTGAAAAAACTGGATATCCATATGCAGAAGAATGAAAACAGACTAGTATCTATCACTGAATACAAAAGTAAAATCAAAGTTGATTAAAGATGTAAAGCTAAGACCTCAAACTATAAAACTAGTACAAAAAAACTTTGGGGGAAATCTCCAGGATATTGGTCTGGGCAAAAATATCTTGAGCAATACCCCACAAGCACAGGCAACCAAAGCAAAAATGGACAAATGGATCACATTAAGTTAAAAGCTTCTGCACGGAAAATGATACAAGCAACAAAGTTAAGAGATAATCCACAGAATGAGAGAAAATATTTGCAAACTACTCATCCAACAAAGGATTAATAATCAGAATATATAAAAAGCTCAAACAACTCTTTAAGAAACAATCTAATAACCTGGTTAAAAAAAAGGGGGCAAAAGATTCAAATAGATATTTCTCAAAAGAAGACCTACAAATGGCAAACAGGTATAAGAAAAGGTGCTCAATATCACTGATCATCAGAGAAATGCAAATCAAAACTACAATGAGATATCATCTCACCACAGTTTATAAGACTTGTATGCAAAAGACAGGCAGTAACAAATGCTAGCAGGGAAGCAGAGAAAACGGAACACTTGTACATTGCTCCTGGGAATGTAAATTAATAAAACCACCAAGGTGAACAGTTTGGATGTTTCTCAATAAACTAAAAGTTGAGCTAGCATATGATCTAGCAATCCTACTGCTGGGTCTATACCAAAAATAAAGGAAATCAGTATGTCAAATACATATCTGCACTCCCATATTTGTTGCAGCACTGTTTACAAAACTAAGATTTGGAAGAAACCTTAGTGTCCATCAACAGATGAATGGATAAAGAAAATGTGGTACATATACACAATGGAGGACTATTCAGCTGTAACAAAGAACAAGATCCAGTCATTGTCAGTAACACTGATGGAGCATTATGGATCATTATATTAAGTGAAATAAGCCAGGCGCAGAAAGACAAATGTTACATGTTCTTACTTATTTGTGGGATCTAAAATCAAAACAAACTCATGGACATAGAGAGTATAAGGATGGTTATCAGAGGCTGGGAAAGGTAGTTGGGGGGGGATTTTGTGGGAAGGTGGGGATGGTTAATGGGTATAAAAATAGAGAGTTAATAAGACCTACTATTTTATAGCACAATAGGGTGACTATATCCAATAATAATTTCGTTGTACATTTTGAAATAACTAAGACTGTAATTGAATTTTTTATAACTTGAAGGATAAATGCTTGAGGGGAGGGATACCCCATTCCCCAAGATGTGCTTATTTCACCTTGCATGCCTGTATCAAAACATCTCAGGGACCCCACAGATACATACACATACTATGTACCCACAACATTTTTAAACAATCTAATACAATTTTTTAAATGGCTCTTATTTTTTGTTAACTTCAATTATTGTAAAATATATTCTATTATTTATGATTTGCCTTGTTTGAAAACAAATTTTAAAAACACTATTTAAGACCAGATAAATGGACTAGGAGTAACTTGCATAAAAATGACAGAAATTGCTGCTACTTCTTCTAATTATTGAGATGGTATTTCTATATTTGTGAAATTATCTGATAGAAAATTGAATTGTTTCCAACATTATTTTTCATAATTAAACATGTTATATTGCTACTTCTTTAAAAGTAGCCTTTAAAATATTACCAATCTATTTTAAAGTCTACTTGCCAAAACATTAAACTATTCTTAAAAAAAGTAATTTATTTAATTACCTAACATCCTCAAGCAATGTCCTAATTTTCTCAAGCAATTATCTGATTTTCTCAAGCAATTGATATTAGCAAGTTGTGCTAGCTAACTGCTGAGAATCATTGTCTACATATGAGATAAATCATCTATCAATCCTTTAAAGAAGACTTTATGAGCCATAGAGATTGTAGTCCAATCTGTATCACTGACTTTAAACATTGGATAATTGACACTCCGTGTTGTCTGTAAGCCTATTTCACAGCAGCTGAGTGATGTTAATAGGTACCTCTTGGAGTGCCATTTTCCTTGTAACCCTTAGATTAATTCAGATTGACTGAGTTCTGTGTCAGTGGAAATTGCCAGAATTATATCATGCTGCTTTGCATCTAGTTTCACTTTTCCAAAAGCCTACACAGATTTCAGATGTTTAGAAAATAGCTCTTGTTTTCCTTCTGGGTAATCTTTTTCATGTCACCACTCTTGTCAGCATCTGCATTGGGCAAATTTCCTAGGACCTCCCTTCTGCGTCTTTTAAAATATGAAAACAAAATCAATGTAGCGCAGCAAGCCAGGGAAAGTCTGCTTTGACTGACTTACGGCCATAGTCACCCAGCAGTTCCTTCAGATGTGGCTTCCCAGGTCAGCCACTGAGCCCACCGCTGTCCTCCTGCCTGCAGAAGTGGCTCTGTGAGCCGTTTGAGGAGAAAATGGGGGACTTTGGGCTTCAGCCCGAGGAGAACACGGTGGAGATGGAGGAGCCCCTGGGCGTCCGCAGGTTAACTGAAAACATGAGAGGACACAAGCACGGGACCAAGTCTGTCACTAACCTGTAAAGTACTCTCACCAAGCCGACTGGGCACTTTGTCTGAGCGCCTGCCTTTGCCACCACTGTGTGCAGGAATGCCTGGGTCATGACTGGGCCATCCCAGTGTTCTTATTTCTATACATTCCGAGGTTACCCCTCAGCAAAACTCCAGAGGCTGGCAGACACAGCGGAGCATCCTGCAGTAGGGATCCGAAGCCATGGAATCTCCAAAGGACCACTTGACCGCGTCCCAGAAGCTCCAGCTCAGGCTGGACATTGCCCAGAAAGCCCACATCGTCTTTGGCAAGACCTCCCGGATTGTGGTTTTGATTTGCATTTCTCTGATGGCCAGTGATGATGAACATTTTTTCATGTGTCTGTTGGCTGCATAAATGTCTTCTTTTGAGAAGTGTCTGTTCATATCCTTCGCCCACTTTTTGATGGGATTGTTTGATTTTTTCTGGTACATTTGTTTAAGTTCTTTGTAGATTCTGGATATTAGCCCTTTGTCAGATGGGTAGATTGCAAAATTTTTCTGCCATTCTGTAAGTTGCCTGTTCACTCTGATGGTAGTTTCTTTTGCTGTGCAGAAGGTCCTTAGTTTAGTTAGATCCCATTTGTCAATTTTGGCTTTTGTTGCCATTGTTTTTGGTGATTTAGACATGAAGTCCTTGCCCATGCCTATGTCCTGAATGGTATTGCCTAGGTTTTCTTCTAGGGTTTTTATGGTTTTAGGTCTAACATTTAAGTCTTTAATCCATCTTGAAAAGTTAATAATAATAAAAATAATAATATGGAAGAAATTTAAAAAAAACCTCCCAGAGACCAGGAACTTGGGGCGCGCGGCCTGAGATCACCCCAAGCTCTGGGTGCCTTCCTGTCCTTCTGCTTCTTCCTTGGCCGCTTTAGGGGGCGCGCCTTGCCATGCGTCTCCCTGCGGGCGGCGCGGTGGTGCTCCTGGATGTCACCTCCAGGCGCTTTTGAGACTGCGACCGGCACCGGGCACCAGGCACCTGCGGATTGGCCTCCCCACGCCGGGTTCAGGGACCTCCAGCGCTCCGCGGTGCAGGCTGCAGGCGACCTCAACGTGGAGCTGCTGCCAGCGCCACAGGCCCCAGGGGAGGCCCAGGATGCTGCTTCCCCGCCCCAAGAAGGGCAGTTTGGAGGAAAGTCTTTGGCCTGATGGAAGGCGGCGCCCATCGGGGGCGGGGCTGAGAACTAGGCCGGCGCCGCTGCCTGGTAAGCGGGGACCAAGAGGCCCACGGCCTCCATCAGGAACCAGGTGCTTCTCCAAATCCCGGACGTCCAGGAGGAACAACGGCGTCAAGCTGGCTGACACCAGGAACACCCAGAAGTCCCCGCTCCTGTCTGTCCTTCCGCACTCAGGAGCGGGGATGGCCACAGGGACACCATCTGCCCACAAACCGCTGGCGTTTGCTGCCATGGTGCGCGGAGATGCGGTCCCCGAGGAGGCCACTTTCGGCCAGGACGCCGGGATCGTATCAGCGGCAGCATCCCGCGCTGACACTCAGTATTGACTTTCCCCGGACATTGCTGGATTTTTTCCTTTTTAAAACAATTTTGCAGTGGGAGAACAAAAAAGGGCATCCTCAGAGCTTTTACAAAATTCTCCTGGACCTGTTGTTCTATGGTGTTCACCTCTGCGTTTTACGCACCACTAATGGGCCAGAGCTCCTAAGGCCTATAAAGGCCCCACCCAGCGCTTTAGACACCCCTGAGGGACACTCGCGGCTCAGGAGGATAAATGTTCTCAGGGGCCTGCTGTGAGGAGGACATGCAGCCCCTCAGCCACCACATCTTCCTCCATTCCAGCCTGGAAAGAGAGACCTTGCCCTCCACCTTACAGGCCTTCCTGACCTTGGGACCCACTCTAGAGGCCACGCGCATTTCCACTGCCAAAGCAATGACACAGGAGATGGAAAGAAATTCTTGGCCAGGCGCGGTGGCTCACGCCTGTAGTCCCAGCACTTTGGGAGGCCAAGGCGGGCAGATCACGAGGTCAGGAGATCGAGACCATCCTGGCTAGCAAGGTGAAACCCCGTCTGTATTAAAAACACCCAAAAGGTGGCCGGGCTTGGTGGCGGGCTCCTGTAGTCCCAGCTACTCGGGAGGCTGAGGCGGGAGAGTGGCGTGAACCCGGGAGGCGGAGCTTACAGTGAGCCGAGATTGCACCACTGCAGTCCAGCCTGGGGGACAGAGCGAGACTACGCCTCAGGAAAAAAAAAATTATTTTGCCTTCACTATATGCCTAAGTAATTTCTCTATTAGAGCCCAGAGTCGTGGGGCCCACACCGCCAGCTGACACATGAAAGTGTGGCAACGATGTGGTGGTGTCTCTGTGTGGCAGCGTGGTGGTGTGTCTGTGTGGTGGTGTGTCCGCATTTCTGTGTGGTGGTGTGTCCGTGTGGCAGAGTGTCTGTGTGGTGCTATGTCCATGTGGTGGTGTGTTCATGTATCTGCATGGTGATGTCTCCGTGTGACAGTGTGTTTGTGTATCCGTGTGACAGTGTCTGTGTGTCCTTGTTTCCACATGGCAGTGTCTGTGTGGTGGTGTCTGACAGTGTGGAGGTGTGTCCATGTGACAGTGAGGCGGTGTGTGTGTGTGTGGCAGTGTCCATGTGGCAGTGTGTTTTTGTGTTCGTGTGAGTGTGATGGTGTGTCCATGTGACAGTGTAGTGATGTCTCTTGTGTGTGTCCCTGTGATAGTGTGGTGGTGTGTCCATGTGGTGACGTCTCCGTGTGTCTGTGTGTCCCTGTGATAGTGTGGTGGTGTGTCCGTGTGGATTTCTCCGTATGTCTGTGTGTCCGTCCATGTGAATGTGCCAGTGTGTCCATGTGACGGTGTCTCCGTGTGGTAATGTCTCCGTGTGTCTGTACATGTGACAGTGTGGTGGTGTGTGCGTGTAACAATGTGGCGGTGTTCCCCTCCCGGCTTGCGGAGCTGGCGTCTTTCCCTCTCAGCCCAGGACGCCCCAGGAGACCCCCAGCTTGGAGGGCAGGAGGTGGCTTCTGTGGAGGGAGGCGCAGGGAGCCCCAACAGCCGAGTTTTGGGGTCCCCTGCATTGGGTGGGAGTGAGGAGAAAGGTGCCCGGGCAGCCAGGACAAGCCTGGGCCTGCCCTAAGGAGGTGACCCACTCCGGGCCTGCATTTTGGGGCGAGCACTCCAGCTCGGTCATCTTGTCCTAAGTCCTTTGTGTGCCGTGGAGATTGCTGAGTTTTGAAGAAGGGAAGGTCATCTTTGTCGCGGAAAGCCTGATGTGTTTCTCTATTGCTGTCACTTTTCAGCCTCATGGCTGGCGAAACATCAAACATTGGGCACCTTCTGCCAAGAAAACTCCCGGAAGAAAATGTGGGGACTGGCAGTATCCAACCAGAGGAGTCACACACAGATTTCTGTTTGGTTGGAGATCGGCCGTTTTTCCCTGTGGGTGGGGGAAGCGCAGCAGCTCTGCAGCGGGAAGGAAGGGGGGTTCTGTGTGGCCAGGAAGGTCCTGGCCCGGGGCGGAGGGGCCAGAGGTGATGTGCGGCGAAAGGCTGTGCAGGGCAGCGGGCAGTGTGCATCGCCCCTACTGCCGGGCGCCCAGGAGGAGGACAGGTCCCGGCCTGGCAGGAGCAGAGGCGACGGGGCTGGAGTCCCCGCACCAGGCTTGAGGGCCGGCGGAGCCGCAGGCTGTGGCGGAGGGGGACTCCCGGGCACCTGGTGGGTGTCCCCATGACCAGGATGCACACCGGGCTCCGGAGGCCAGGCGGACCAAGCTAGGGGTGCCAGGGGAGGCTCGAGGTTCCCTCGGTGGGAGGTGGGTCCCTGGACCCTGGTCTCCTGCTGCTGTCCCCCCTTCGCTCAGGGGCGCCCCGCCAGGGTCGCCTATCTGGGACCTCAGCGCAGCTCCTAGTGGGCGGGAGGCTGAGGCAGAGGCCTCCGGGCCCAGCTGGGTCTGCAGTTTCCACCACTCGTGATGCAGGGCGAGCTCAAGCTGTGCCACCCAGGCAGGAAACCCTCCGACCTTGCCAGCTTTGGCGCCAGCCTTGGTGACTCTCTCCAGCTCAGCTTCAACACCTTTCAACAGTTCTGTGTTCTCTATTATCACAAGAATTCTTTCTGTATTTCCTATCCTTTATCAAATAGGAATTTAAATATGCATATGGAGTGATTATCACAGTTGAAACATTAAACAATATACAATTTCATGTGTCTTTTTTGTTTAATGTATAATTTTCTAAGAAGTAAAATTATGACTCTACTGCAAATATAAGATAAACACATATCAACAATGTTTTTCAACTCAATAAGCGATGAGGGTTCCAGTAACAGGTTCAAATCATTGCAAGGAACATTAAAGGAGCTTTACAGCCAATGTTAACGTCAGATCGCTGGGTACTTACAGTACTGGTTAGTATCCAACATAGCCAGAAGCTGTCATCTTTGTGAGTTCTCTCTTCCATGGCACAGAAATGATGCGTTTTTCTACTGTACAAAATATTTATCTTTTCTACTACTTCTGCACATAAAAATATTGCTAGTCAGAAAAGACCAGAATTGCACTGAAAGAAAATCTCAGTAATATCTCTCACCTGTATTCTTACTTTTTCTTCCTTTATGAAATATCTTTCAACTGCATTTTCTATCTGAAAGTTTATAGAGAGATGAAAATGAATAAAAGCATAGTAAGTGAATATTTTGATAACATTTTGCAGCTTTATTCATGTCTAACGAACATAAAACACACTTCCAATATTTAAAGTGTAAATGAGATGAATTTGATATGTACATGTGCCCATTAATCACCATGAAGGGGACAATGAGCATATCCAATACTCTCAAAGCTTCCCAGTTCTCTTTTGTAATGCACACTCATACCTCTCAGGTGTGAAGTATTGAGCTTCACACACACACACACACAAATATATACTGGGATATCTAATTGTTTCAGAAGCATTTGTTGAAAATGTTATGTCCATGAATGGTCTAAGAACTTTATCAAAAATTAGCTGATAGATGATATACATGTGTATATCTATATTTGTACTACATTGTCTTAAGTATTACTGTAATGTTATAAGTCTTGAATCCAGGTGCTGTTAATTCTCCAGCAGCACCTGGTTTCAAAGTAACTGTTTCCTTTCAAAGTAATTTGCCATTATAGGTCCTCTACCCATCGATGTACATTTCAGAATTTTAGTTTCTCAATTTCTAAAATAAGAAATCCAGCTGTGATTTGATTGGAATTGTTATAGATCAATGTGGAAAGAGTAGACATCTTAACAATATTGAGATTTATGACTCATAAATTCCATTTATTTAGGTCTCGTTTATTTTAGCAATATTTTGTAGTTTTGTAGTTTTCAAATGTTTCTCTTTTTTGCTGGTTTATCTCTAAGTACTACATATTTTGATATTTACAATAATATCAAAATTATGGTAATATTAATGCAAATGTTGTTTTATTTTTTCCTCCATTAATTGTCAGGTAGTTTTAAATCATAATTTAATTGTATGATAAAACTGAATTTTGCGAGAAATGTATACATATTGTATATATACTTTTTTTCAGTTTGGCAGATTGACTGCATTATCATATCATAATTTAAAATTGCACTAATTACCACTCAGCCTCCTCTCAAGGACAATATATCAAAATATATAGCATGTTTCAGTTTACTTAGCATCATGAAACTCTCATATTGCACTTACTTTTGGAAACCTGGAATAATAAAATAATGTAAATGTCAGTTCACAGGCGACATATGAGTACATGCGACAATTTTCTAAATATCGACCTATCGCTCTTTAATTCTATGTTAATATTGTCAATTTTTTCCTCCTCTTGCAACTCTCTTATGCAGCTTATTGACTTTTGGTTCAATTCCTTCCCTGTTTTCCCCCCAATCTACTTTCTAATATTTTACTGATGTTGTGCTCCTTTTTATTTGGACACTTTTAAAAAGCTGTGTAATTTCTCCTTTGTATTAAAATGCAAATCCATATCCAAAATAAATGAGCGGAGGGACCAAAAAGATGTTTGTGCAGCGTGTCCGTTAGCAATATTATTCACAATAATCAAAGGGAGGGAGCAGCCCATGTGAATATTGATGGATGAGTGGTTAAACAAAATGTGGTATATACGGCAACATAATAATATTCAGCCTTAAAATATATTCTCACACATGCTACAAAATAGATGAAACTTGAAGACATGCTAAGTGAAATAAGCCAGTCAGAAAAATTCAAACATTCTATCATGCCACTTCTATGAGTTACTTAGTGAAATTTGTAGAGACAGAAAGTAGAATGGTGATTGCTAGGGGGAAGGAGAGGGAGAGGAATGGGAAGTTGGTGTTCAATGAGTAAAGCATTTTAGTTGGAGAAGAAGACAAGTTTTGGAGGTCTATGGTGGTGACTGTTGCACAATAGTGCAAATATACTTAATGCCACAAAACTGTGCACTTAAAGTGATTAAAAAGGTAAATTTTATGTTGTGTATATCTTTCCAGAATTATAAACCTGCCATCACAGTATAGAAATAGAATATATTATATAGCGTTAGGTGATGATATTTTACACATTTGCACATAATTAGAATTTCAAAGCCTTAATTTCAGATACGGTAGTCTAAGACATAACAATATTGATGTAAGAAAGCCGTAAGAAATGTTTATTTTCAATCAGATTTACTAAAAAAATTTATTGAACTGGTCAATTTTCTTTGCCAATATTACTGTATTCTTATTTCTAGTAATAG
This sequence comes from Homo sapiens, assembly GCF_000001405.40. Lineage (NCBI taxonomy): Eukaryota > Metazoa > Chordata > Mammalia > Primates > Hominidae > Homo > Homo sapiens. The sequence goes on from NW_021160017.1 coordinate 1,061,908, forward strand.
AGGTGTGAGAAAGCATCAAGGAAACTAAAATTGCATTATCATACTGACTGCATACAATAATTCTGAAAACAGCAGAAGTTATGTATATCCCCCATAAGTAAAACATGAGTAACACAACAGAACAAAAATTAATAGGAGACAATTCAAATAATGGTGACCTGTTATTCTTATCTAGTTAAGTACTATTCTTTTCTAACAGGAATTTGCTATTTCAAATATATTATCTGAGATGTCTATATTTATATTTTGAGATGCCATACAAACTTGAGTCAATGACATAGAATTTTACAAATCAAGAAGCTTATTCTGGGGTCATTTCTTTTGACATTAAACTACTAAAGAGGCATTAATGATCCATAAATTATATTATCTACATTTACAGCATTTAAAATGTGTTCAGCATGAAATATTAGTTACAGGATAAGTGAAATAAATTAAACATGGAATAAAGATTTATCCTTAAATATAAATTACAAAAAGACTTGGTATTAGTTTTTCACAAGTGAAGCATTCTTATAAAATGTCATAACCTTTTTGGGGAAACTCTGGGAAAAATGGAGAAACTCTGAAGGGTTTTAAGTATCTTTCCTGAAGCTACAGACTCCATAATCTCTCTTTACAGGGAGCTCCTGCAGCTCCAACAGAAATGAGTGGCTGAGATTCCTGGTTGCAGAGCAGAGCTTCTCATCCAAACCCTTTCCCTTTTTAGTGTCTGTGTATCAGTATAAAAGTTCTATAAACTGTAGTTACTTATTTTAATCCCAAAGCACAGTAACAATATATTTCATCCAAGGGTTGGCAGTTTCTGTGAGTGTTTTGTCTAATTCTCCAAAACTCTATCTACAGGATTCCAAACAGCCTAAAAAGTAAAATATTTTAAAAAGGGGAAAGGGAGAAAGGGAAAGAAAATAAAATTAATAGCCCATTCTGTCACTGTTATTAAACACCAGAATACCTTTCTGTTAATCTAATTAAAATTAGTGACATCATTTAACATTTATGTCTTCAACAAAAGTTTGGAATCCTGAAAAAGACATTTAATTTCCTAATAAATATATTTGAATTGAATTGAAATCCTTACATATTACTTTAAATAAAGAACACAAGATGATTTATGATGTAGAAAATTCTATCCCTCATTGTCCAAAATCTAATAGTTAAATTGAACTTGTTAAATAATATTTTTGGCCAGGCATGTGGCTTACATCTGGAATCCCAATACTTTGGGAGGCAAAGGCAGGTGGATTGCTTGAGCTGAGTAGTTGCAGACCAGGCTCGGCAACATGGTGAAACCCAATCTTTACCAAAAAAAAAAAAAAATTTTAGCCAGGCGTAGTGGCTTGCCTGCCTGTAGTCCCAGCTACTCAGGAGGATGAGGTGGGAGGATCACCGGAGCCTGGGGAAGCTGGGGCTGCAGTGAGCCATGATTGTGCCACTGCACTCCAGCTTGGGCAACAGACTGAGACCCTGTCTCAAAGAAAGACAGAAAGAAAGACAAGAAAGACAAGAAAGACAAGAAAGACAAGAAAGAAAAGAAAGAAAGAAAGAAAGAAAGAAAAGAAAGAAAGAAAGAAAGATAAAGAGAGAAAGGAAGGAAGGAAAATTAATAGTTTTGGTGGCAATAATCTTTATGGAATTTTGCTTTAATGAAATAGATTTAACTAAGTAGTGACATGATCTGCTTAAGTGTATTGACCCTAGCAATCAGAGGCCTCCGTATCCCCACAATGACTTAACAGTTACATTTGACAAGCCTTGATTCTCCTATCCTACGCACAGCATAGTCAGAATTTCAGAATTCCAACTTTCCCCATGCTATTTGGGCACGTTGCTTAACATCTCTAAGACTCGATATTTATACTCTTAAGATACTACTAATAATAGTACCTAGTTTTTATGATATAATGTGCATCAAAAGCATTATACTTTCAGGCAGATGGCAATTCCTCAATAAATATTTGCTAATGTTTTAGTACAAACAGGAAAATTGGATTATGATATTTATGACACTGTTGATTCTCCTTCTAGAAACATTTGTTTCTAAAACTTGTTTTCAAATTAGAGCACTATTTTGTATTCAGATTGAAAATACTATATGTTCAGATTTTTTAAAAAACAGTATTGCATGAATGTTTTAATTAAAATATTCCTAAATGAGCTTGAGCAAGGAGGACAGGGGAGATAAGTAAAATAAGGCTTTGTGGCATAGGAGACATTTGGTGGAAATCTTTCAGCTCAACTAAGATTTGAAAAAAAAAAGAGAATTTTTATAAAAAATGTAAAGGCAGGATTTACACTGATGAGCTTGTGGAGAAAATACAGAGTCTAACATAATTCAAAAGAGACTAATCAGTCAAAGTGGTTTTGAAGGAATATCTTGAAGAGAGAGAACATAAAATGAAGATCAGGTATGTAGTTATTTTAATAATCTATCCATGAGATAAAAAGCATTGGGTTTTATTTGTCAAAATGGGACAATAGTTCCAAGAACCATTATTTGCTCAGCCTAAAGAGGTTTTTACATTTTGAACCAGCGACATATTGTGCTAAGTAGGATAATATCCAAATTTGTGTCTATATCAATAATTTTGTTCTCAATTAAAAACACTTTATTCACACAACTGATGATTATCTGCATTTGATTTAGTGCTGAACTGTCAAAGGGGGACTAACAAAAACAAAATATTAGAGTTGCAAGCAGTGTAAGTGGAAAATAATGATCATATTGAACTCATCATTACTGAAATAAGAAAACAAAGCAAAAAATAAATAAGAAAAAAATTGACTACGTGAACATTTGCTTCTCTCCTAAGAATCAAAACCCTTAATTTGCTGTGGCAAAAAAGCATCTGGGTCCATGAACCCATGCAAAAGTCTACTGTTTCTGGGAGATAAGAAGAAGCAAAACACATCAGCTTCCAGAGAAGGTTAAGAAACCTCTCATACCCTACCCTACCCCACCTGACACCAGGCAAAGGATCACTGCTTCTGGGAGAGGGATGCAAGAAAAATACTCCTCCATCAGGAGAGGAACAAGGATTGTTTTGGGGCCCAGGATTTTGCACTAATGCAGAGTCGTGCTACTGTGGTAAAGGTTTGGAAAGTCTCCATCCAGTGACCACAGACAAAGGTACATTGTTCCTATGGAAGGAGAAATAAAAGAGTTTGCCCTTATTGTGGGGTTGAAAACTTGCAATGATATAAATCAGGGGTTTTCTACTACTGAGGTGGGAGGAGGGTAAGGTATTATTTCTTCTGCAAAAAACAACACAGGTAAGTGACAGTTTGACTCCCACTAGAAAAAGAGTCAAGAAGTGTTAAAAATACCCCATCTCTGAGTGTCCAATGATGAAACTGGCTCAAAAACAACACAAACCATCCCTCTGTCCCCAACCTGAATTTTTTGCCTAGTCACACACACACACACAAAATGATGTTCTACAGTTAGAGAAGAACAAGAAAGTGGAGAGAGACCCTCTCTATAACATAGGTTGTAAGGACTACCGAAAGCTAACTGTGGAACAGGATCATTGGCATATGCTCTCCAGAGTCTAAGGCCCCACACAAGGCACATCATATAGCAGTCTACTGCTGGAGAAATCTGAGTTACATTGTTCACTGAATGTTTCAGACACCGCAGCAAAAAGCAACCTTTGTTCCTGCCCACACTAATAGCATGACACAAACAAAAATGAAACAGAAATATAAAACAATCTCGACATAAATAATTATCTCATGATCTACTGTTTTTCTACATCAGATGATTTGCATTTTTTAGAAATTGGGAGACACATAAAAGCAAGTTAGAAATTTGAGTTATGAGTTATAATATTTTCAAAGGATAAAAAGTCAACAGAATCAAATTCAGAGATAATTCAGATGTTGGAACTAAATGAAAGTAATTTAAAATAATAATGATCAAAATGTTAAAGGATCTAGTTAAAAAAAGACAACATGTATGGAAAAATGAGGAATTTCAGCAAAGATGGGAACAGTAAAAGGCAAAATCTAGAAATAAGTGAAAGCATGAGAACAGAGATGAAGTATTACATCAGCAAGCTGATTAGCAGACTGGTCATCAGAGTTAAAGAAAGAAGCAGTAAATTTTATACTAGGTCAATACAAATCATTTGAATGGTAGCACAAAGGGAGGAAAGAGAAAAACCAAATAAACCAATGAACCAAGCAAATAAAATACTCCAGTGAATCAAAGAATTTTCTGGTAATATGAAATTAACCAAAATACAATTAATTGGAATTACAGAAGGAGAGTAAAAACAGAATGTGAGAGAAGAAAAATTTGAAAAAGATGACTGAGGAGACCAAATAACCTCAAAATATACAAGAAAGATTAATACAAAATTTAAAGAACGCTAGAATAATCACACTAGTGAAACTGCTGAAAACCAACGATTAGCATAAATCTTGAATTCAGTCACAGAAAAAATAAGAACACTGTGTAGAGAGATAAACAGAAACAAACATTGTAATGAACTGCTTGTCAGTAACTCTACAAGTCAGAAACCAATGATACAAAATTCTTAAATAACTGAAGAAAAGCCAACCCCCAATCTTATATCCATTAACTGTAATACAGCAAAAATAACAATTAAATGACATTTGCAGATTAACACTGGAAGAGTCCCTTGCTAACAGGCATGCACTAAAATAAATGTCAAAATCATTTCTTGAGGCAAAAGGAATATGGAAGCAGGTGAAAGTTGAAACTACACAAAGAAATAAATAATGCCAGAGAAGATATAAAGATATATAACCCAATTATTTTACATTGCTCTAAAGATAATTGATTGTCTAATTTTTTAAAAAAAGAGTAACTTTATATTATGGAATTCATAATATTTGAGACTATAATGCATGACATAAATAGTATAAAGGAGAGAGGAAACAGAAATATACATTTTAAGGTTTTTATACCATAGTTGGTATAGTACAAATTATAGGTTACTGTAATAAGCTAGAATAGGTATTGAAATCTCTAGAGAAACCATGAACATTTTTAAAAAATGGTATGTGCATTAATGTTTTCATAGAACTTCCAGCTTTTATTTATTTGTTTGTATTCATTTAATTTTATTTATTTTTTTTGAGATGGAGTCTCGCCCTGTTGCCCAGGCTGCAGTGCAATGGTGTGATCTCAGCTCACTGCAACCACCTCCGCCTCCCAGGTTCCAATGGTTCTCCTGCCTCAGCCTCCTGAGTAGCTGGGATTACAGGTGCCCACCACCATGCCCAGCTAATTTTTGTATTTTTAGTAGAGACGGGGTTTCACCATGTTGGCCAGGCTTGTCTCAAACTCCTGGCCTCATGATCGGCCCACCTCAGCTTCCCAAAGTGCTGGGATTACAGACTTGAGACACCGTGCCAGGCCCCAGCTTTTAGTTTTTAAGGTAGTTGTTGTGTTATTACATGTGAAGTAAGGTTATTCTTAAATATCCATGTTTTGAGAATTAATGATAATGACAAGTTAATTTATCTCAATCTAAATGACATTTTAATATTAAATATTTAAATATTTTTATTACTTTTCCTTTTTAACAGAAGTCATTCTAACTGGTGTGAGATGGTATTTCACTGATGTTTTGTTTTGCATTTCTCTGATGATTAGTGATGGTATGCATGTGTTAATATGTTTGTTGGCCACATATGTGTTCTTCTGAAAACTGTTCACGTTCTTTGCCCATTTTTTTATGGGGTTATTTATTTTTTGCTCGTTGATTTGCCTAAGTCTCTTATGGCTTCTGGATAATAGGCCTTTGCTGTATGCATAGTGTGTGAATATTTTCTTCCACTCGGTAGGCTGTCTGTTCAATCCCTTGAGAGTTTCTCATGCTGTGCAGAAGAAGCTCTTTAGTTTAATTAAATCATACTTGTCAATTTTTATTTTTCTGGCAATTGCTTTTGAGGACTTACCCATAAATTCATTGCCAAGTGCAATGTCCAGGTGAATATTTCCTAGGTTTTCTTCCAGGATTTTTATAGGCAGAGGATGTAATCTCATGTCAATGGGTCTTAATAATCAAATGACTCCACACTGAGAATCATTACTGTGAAAAATCGATTTTGTTATAATGATAGAAATTTAAACATATAAAAGTAAAAACAGATGCCACCTCTTTGCTAGAACTCTACAAGGCAAATTACTATAAGAGAGCCATTGCAGTGAAATAAGTGAAAGCACATTATAAATAAACTTACCTGATTTTACAAACTAACCTGTAAAGGGATTTGTACTAATTTTTCCATTGCCTGCATTGCCCTTTCTTCTAGATCCAATTTATATTTTTGTACTTCACCAATGTGTCTTCACCAATGTGTACTTTCCATACGTTTTTTAAGATTTAATATTACTTTTTCCAACATCTTTTTAGCCTCCTCAAGATTTTTACATTCCTGTTGTATTTTTTCATACATAATAACTCCTGTTGAATACCTTGATTGTTTTGAGTCAAACAGACATATTTTGAAGATACAGCTTCCAGCTCTGCTGTAAGATCATCAAACTACATTAATAAAATAATATAACTTGAAAATGAAGTAGGCTGAGAATAATCTCATACAAAACCAGTAACAAATTTTGAAATACATTTACTTGCAATAAAATGTTATCTATAATGTAGATTCTTTAAATGTTAACCCTTAAATTACTCAGAAATTCAAGAACAAAGTAAAAGCCACCATAAGTCACATATATTCTTTACTATCATCTTTGCCACAGAACTTTTGCACTTGATCTTTCTTTTACTTTTCTGATAATTTGTGTTTTTTCCTCCTTAAATGGCTCTATGTTAACTCTTATTAGAAAGTTTCAAACCCCTTTCTCTCATCATCATGCCCCAAAATTTGTCAAAAAAAGTTTCAGAGATATAATATTGAGTTATTTAGGCCAAAGTCAATAAATGGCTCTTAGAATAAGACTTTGAAAATAATGTAATACTCTATGCTAGGCATGGTGGCTCATGCCTGTAATCCCAGCACTATAGGAGGCTGTGGCAGAAAGATTACTTGAGGCCAGGAATTTGAAACCAGCCAGAGCAACATAGTGATAACATAATCTCGACAAAAAATTTTATTTAAAATTAACCAGGCATGGTGACTTATGCTTGTAGATCCAACTAGTTGGGAGACTAAGGCACAAGGATGGCTTGGACTCAGAGTTCATGGCTGCAGTGAATTATGACCAAGCCACTCCACTTCTGCCTGGATGACAGACAGAGACCATATCTCAAAAAAACACAAAATAATCCTATAAATAAGGATTCTAATGCCATAAGCCTTTCCCTAGGCTGTAAATGTTTTATGCTAATTTGAATTGCATTTTTAAAAGTAATGACTCTTGGGGTAGAGGCCATAGAATACAGCACCCAGATATAAATCCACATATTTGCCTTACAAGAAATAAATCCACATTCTTGCCTTACAAGAGCTCCTGAAGGAAGCACTAAACATGGAAAGGGACAAACAGTATGAGCCACTGGGAAAACATACCAAATTGTAACGACCATCGACACTATAAAGAAACTGCATTAACTAATGGGAAAAATAAACAGCTAACAACATCATGACAGGATAAATTTCACATGTAACAATATTAACCTTAAATGTAACTGGGCTAAATGCCCCAGTAAAAAGACACAGACTGGCAAGTTGGAAAAAGACTCAAGACCCATTGGTGTGCTGTATTCAGGAGACCCATCTCACATGCAAAGACACACACAGGCTCAAAATAAAGGGACGGAGGAATATTTACCAAGCAAATGAAAAGCAAAAAAAAAAAAAAAAAAAAAAAAAAAGCAGGGGTTGCAATCCTAGTCTCCGATAAAACAGACTTTAAATGGAAAAGATCAAAAGAGACAAAGGGCATTACAAAGCAGTGCCATCTGCTTTTCCTCAGGACTCTGCTCCATCAGCCATCAGGTGGCAGCCATTCAGGCTGTTGGAACCTGGCCATCCATGCTTCTTTGAGTGGGTGAGATTAAAGGCTGGTCCAACTGCACCAGGAGCATGCTTGCAGAGGTGGCTGCTTGCTCTTTGAGCCAGCTTGGCTTTGCCTGGCATGCACAGGCCCCAGCTACTGACAAGCTGCTCTGAGTGAGCTTGTCCTGCCTGGGGCCAAATTCTAAGTCTGGCCAGGGCCACAGAAGGGCAAGTCCCCTGGGTGGTAATCCTGACTTTTTTCTGCACTTGAACATAAAGTCCTCCTCAAGACGGCCTGTGGTCTGCCTCTTGGCAACCAAGAAGCCTGCAGTGCCATATAAGCTCGGAGGCATGGACTAGAGCCCCAAAGGCAGTGAACACCCTGCTCCTGAGCCTGCTGCTCATTTCCTCTGTGTGGCTCCATTTGTAGCACAGTTGTTGTACTGAGGCTTGTGCATGCTGGGCAAGGACAAGCTGGCTCAAAGAGGAACCAGCCACTTCTGCAAGGGTGTGCCAGGAGCAGGTAGACCAGCCACCAACCTCACTCACTGCCTGCCAGACATGGCACATCAGTTCTTCTACCCTAGAGGTAGGGCCCCAGTGCCATCTGCTTTTTCTGAGGCCTCTGCTCCATCAGCCATCAGGTGGCAGCCACACAGGCTGTGGGAACCTGCCTATCCTTGCTTCCTTGAGTAGCAGAGGTTGGTGGCTGCTCTACCTGCTCCCGGTGCACCCCTGCAAAGGTGGCTGGTTGCTCTTTGAGCCAGCTTGGCCTTGCCTGGCATGCAGAGGCCCCAGCTACTGACATGCTCCTCTGAGTGAGCTTGTCCTGCCTTGGCCCAAATTCTAAGTCTGGTCAGGTCCACAGAAGGCAGAGTCCCCTGGGTGGTAATGCTGGCTGCTTTCTGCATTTGAACACAAAGTCCTCCTCCAGACGACCTGTGGTCTGCCCCTTGGCAATGAAGAAGCCCGCAGTGCCATATGAGCCCTGAGGCATGGACTGGAGCCCCAAAGGCAGTGCACACCGTGCTCCTGATCCTGCTGCTCATTTCCTCTCTGTGGCTCCATTTGTAGCACAGCTGTTGCACTGAGGCTTGTGCATGCCGAGCGAAGCCAAGCTGGCTCAAAGAGGAACCAGCCACCTCTGCAAGGGTGTGCCAGGAGCCGGTGGAGCAGACACTAAACTCACTCGCTGCCGGTTGGGGCACATCAGTTCTTCTCCCATAGAGGTCGGGCCCCAGTGCCATCTGCTTTTCCTCAGGCCTCTGCTCCATCAGTCTCCAGGTGGCAGCCACTCAGACTGTTGGAACCTGGCCATCCATGCTTCCTTGTGTGGGTCAGTTTGATGGCTGCTACATCTGCTCCAGGCACACCCTTGCAGAGGTGGCTGGTTGCTCTTTGAGACAGCTTGGCCTTGCCTGGCATGCACAGGCTCCAGCTACCGATACGCTGCTCTGAGTGAGCTTGTCCTGCATTAGGCAAAATTCTAAGTCCGGTCAGGGCCACAGAAGGCAGAGTCCCCTGGGTGGTAATCCTGGCTGCTTTCTGCACTTGAACATAAAGTCCTCCTCAAGATGGCCTGTGGTCTGCCTCTTTGCAACCAAGAAGCCCACAGAGCCATACTAGCCCGGAGGCATTGACTGGAGCCCCAAATGCAGCACACACCCTGCTCCTGAGCCTGCTGCTCTGTTTTCTCTGTGTGGCCCCATTTGTAGCACAGTTGTTGTACTGAGGCTTGTGCATGCTGGGCAAGGCCAAGCTGGCGCAAAGAGAAACCAGCCACCTCTGCAAGGGTGTGCCAGGAGCAGGAGGACCAGCCACCAACCTCGCTCACAGCCGGTCGGTGTACATCACTTCTTCTACCCAAGAGGTAGAGCCCCAGTGCCATCTGCTTTTCCTCAGGCCTCTGCTCCATCAGCCATCAGGACGCAGACATGCAGGCTGTGGGAACCTGGCCATCCCTACTTCCTTGAGTGGGTGAGGTTGGTGGCTGCTCCACCTGCTCCAGGTGCACCCTTGCAGAGGTGGCTGGTTGCTCTTCGAGCCACCTTGGCCTTGCCTGGCATGCACAGGACCCAGCTACTGATACACTGCTCCGAGTGAGCTTGCCCTGCCTGGGGCCAAATTTTATCTCTGTCCAGGGCAGAGTCCCCTGGGTGGTAATCCTGCCTACTTTCTGCACTTGAATATCAAGTCCTCCTCAGGATGGCCTGTGGTCTGCCTCTTTGCAACGAAGAAGCCCGCAGTGCCACACGAGCCCTGAGGCATGGACTGGAGCCCCAAAGGCAGCGCACACCCTGCTCCTGAGCCTGCTGCTCATTTCCTCTCTGTGACTCCATACCTAGCACAGATGTTGCACTGAGGCTTGTGTATGCCAGGCAAGGCCAAGCTGGCTCAAAGAGCAACCAGCCACCTCTGCAAGCGTGTGCCAGGAGCCGGTGGAGCAGCCACCAAACTCACTTGTTGCAGGTCAGGGCACATCAGTTCTTCTACCCTAGAGGTAGGGCCCCAGTGCCATCCGCTTTTCCTCAGGCCTTTGCTCCATCAGCCATCAGGAGGCAGCCATTCAGGCTGTGGGAACTTGGCCATCCCTACTTCCTTGAGTAGCTGAGGTTGGTGGCTGCTCCACATGTCCCAGGTGCACCCTTGCAGAGGTGACTGGTTCCTATTTGAGTCAGCTTGGCCTTGCCTGGCATGCATAGTCTCCAGCTACTGACATGCTGCTGTGAGTGAGCTTGTCCTGCCTTGGCCCAAATTCTAAGTCTGGTCAGGGCCACAGAACGCCAAGTCCCCTGGGTGGTAATCCTGCTGCTTTCTATACTCGAACATAAAGTCCTCCTCAAGACAGCCTGTGGTCTGCCTCTTGGCAACCAAGAAGCCCGCAGTGACATATGAGCCCTGAGCCATGGACTGGAGCACCAAAGGCAGTGTACACCCTGCTCCTGAGCCTGCCTCTAATGTCCTCTGTGTGGTTCCATTTGTAGAACAGTTGTTGCACTGAGACTTGTGCATGCTGGGCAAGGCCAAGCTGGCTCAAAGAGCAACCAGCCACATCTGCAAGGGTGTGCCAGGAGCAGGTGGACCAGCCACCAACATCACTTGCTGCCAGACATGGTACCTCAGTTCTTCTACCCTAAAGGTAGGGCCCCAGTGCCATCTGCTTTTCCTCAGGCCTCTGCTCCATCAGCCATCAGGTGGCAGCCACTCAGGCTGTGGGAACCTGGCCATCCCGGCTTTGTTGAGGGGGTGAGATTGGTGGCTGGTCCAACTGCTCTAGGCACACCCTTGCAGAGGTGGCTGGTTGCTCTTTGAGCCAGCTTGGCTTTGCCTGGCATGCACAGGCCCCAGGTACTGACACGCTACTCTGAGTGAGCGTGTCATGCCTGGGGCCAAATTCTAAGTCTGGCCAGGGTCACAAAAGGCTGAGTCCCCTAGGTTGTAATCCTGGCTGCTTTCTGCACTTGAACATAAAGTCCTCCACAAGATGGCCTGTGATCTGCCTCTTGGCAACCAAGAAGCCCACGGTGCCATATGAGCCCTGAGGCATGGACTGGAGCCCCAAAGGCAGTGTACACCCTGCTCCTGAGCCTGCTGGTCATTTTCTGTGTGGCTCCATTTGTAGCACAGTTGTTGCACTGAGGCTTGTGAATGCCAGGCAAGGCCAAGCTGGCTCAAAGAGCAACCAGCCACCTCTGCAAGGATCCACCTGGAGCAGGTGGACCAGCCACCAACCTCACCCACTTAAGGAAGCAGGGAATGTGTGTTTGTACCATGCATTGCACTACAAGTACATTTCTCCTGAGTTTGGTGGCCTAGGTTTTCTTCTAGGTTTTTTATGGTTTTAGGTCTTAAGTTTAACTCTTCAATCCATCGTAAGTTAATTTTTGTATAAAGTGTAAGGAAGTGGCCCAGTTTCAGTTTTCTGCATATGGCTAGCCAGTTTTCCTAACACCATTTATTGAATAAGGAATCCTTTCCCCATTGCTTGTTTTTGTCAGGTTTGTCAAAGATCAGATGGTTTTAGATGTGTTGTGTCATTTCCGAGGCCTCTGTTCTGTTCCATTTGTCTATATATCTGGTTTGGTACCAGTACCATGCTGTTTTGGTTACTGTAGCCTTGTAGAATAGTTTGAAGTCAGGTACCATGATGCCTCCAGCTTTGTTGTTTTTGCTTAGATTGTCTTGGCTACGCGAGCTCTTTTTTGGCTCCATATGAAATTTAAAGTAGTGTTTCTAATTGTGGGAAGAAAGTCAATGGTAGCTTCATGGAGATGGCACTGATTCTATAAATTACTTTGGGAGATATGGCATTCAGGCACAGAAATGTCCTTGTGTTAGGCAATACCATTCAGGACATAGGCATAGGCGAAGACTTCATCACTAGAACACCAAAAGCGATGGCAACAAAAGCCAAAATTGACAAATGGGATCTAATTAAACTAAAGAGTGTCTGCACAGCAAAAGAAACTATCATCAGAGTGAACAGGCAACCCTCAGAAAGGGAGAAAATTGTTGCAATCTATCCATCTGACAAAGGGCTAATATGCAGAATCTATAAAAACTTAAACAAATTTACAAGAAAAAAACAAACAACCCCATCAAAAAGTGGGCAAAGGATATGAACAGACACTTCCCAAAGGAGACATTTACGCAGCCAATGAACATGTGAAGCAAAGCACTGGTCATTAGAGAAATGGAATTCAAAACCATAATGAGATACAATCTTACGCCACTTGGAATGGCCATCATTAAAAAATCAGGAAACAACAGAAGCTGGAGAGGATGTGGAGAAATAGGAATGCTTTTACACTGTTGGTGGGAGTATAAATCAGTTCAACCATCGTGGAAGACAGTGTGATGATTCCTCAAGGATCTACAACTAGAAATACCATTTGACCCAGCAATCCCATTACAGTGTATATACTCAAAAAAATATAAATCATTCCAATATAAAGACACATGCACACGTATGCTTATTGCGGCAGTGTTCACAACAGGAAAGACTTGGAACCAACCCAAATGCCCACCAATGATAGACTGGATAAAGAAAATGTGGCATATATACACCATGGAATACTATGCAGTCATAAAAAAGGATGAGTTCATATCCTTTGCAGGGACATGGATGAAGCTGGAAACTGTCATTCTCAGCAAACTAACACAAGAACAGAAAACCAAACACCACATGATCTCACTCATAAGTAGGACCTGAACAATGAGAACACATGGACACAGGAAGGGAAACATCACACACAAGGGCCTGTCAGGGTGGGGGGCTAGAAAAGGGATGGCATTAGATCATGGGTTGGTGCATGCAGCAAGCCACCATAGCATGTGTATACGTATGTAACAAACCTGCATGTTCTGCACATGTACCCCAGAACTTAAAGTATAATTAAAAAAAAATAAATTTGCTTTTAATTAAGCTTTTCAACATAGAACTTGTAAAGAAAATACTTCTGAATCTTTTACTACCACATCATAGCTGGGACAAACTGCTGATATTTTAAAAGTAACACAAATATCAAACAGAAAGAACTAGACTTAGGAACCAAACTCAGGTTTCTGTAGTGAACAGGGCAGAATCTTAACTTTGGGTCGCCACCACTACTCCCTCAGTTTGGCCTTGGCTAGCAAAAGATGCAACCACTTATGTAAAAAATAAAAATAAAAAAGTTAAAAAAATCATTTCTGCTAACTGGAATTTTTTTTTTTTTTTGCAGCCACATGAGTTTTAGCCAATTCAGAAGGCTTGTTCCCCACAATTTGGAGCATTCTTTGGATTTGACCAAGTCAGGAAGAGATGGGAGAAAAGTGAAACAACAACAACAAAACCCCAAACATAAACAAACAAAAAGAGTTAAGCAAAACAAACAAATGCACAATTCATATGATTACTGAGTGTTCTAATGGTAACGAGAAATTAAAAGCAGCTGGTGAGTAATCTTAAATTTTAGTCATTAAGGAAAAATTTTAAGACAAAACTCTAATTCAGCTACTTACCTGGAAATAAGTCTCAGGCTGGTGATTGTTCTCTGCCATCTTAGAAGCTGGAAAAAACTTACACTCACCTTCCCTGTCAGAAGCAAGCTGAAACTCAAGAAAGGAGGTGCCTGCTCTCCATCATCACGGAAGCAGGAAAACTTGCCTTGTTGGAAATAAGTAAAACTTCAGAAAAGGAGTTGTATAGCAAAATCAACCTTAGATCTCAACCAAATTTTGGGAGATCAGGGATTCTCTGCAGGGGAGAAGCTCCCTAACCTCAGCACATTATCCTATTGGTTTGGGCAATAAAGATAGCCCAGGTTGGTATCAAGCAATAATGAGATTTATCAAAGGTCAGGACCACCTTTGTAATCTCCTTCTCTCTTTTTTTTTTTTTTTTTTTTTTTTTTTTGAGACGGAGTCTCACTGTCTCGCCTGGGCTGCAGTGCAGTGGCACGATCTTGGCTCACTGCAAGCTCCACTTCCCAGGTTCACACCATTCTCCTGCCTCAGCCTCCCAAGTAGCTGGGACTACAGGCACCCGCCACCATGCCCAGCTAATTTTTTGTATTTTTCGTAGAGACGGGGTTTCACCGTGTTAGCCAGGATGGTCTCGATCTCCTGACCTTGTGATCCATCTGTCTCAGCCTCCGAAAGTGCTGGGATTACAGGCGTGAACCACCGCGCCCAGCCCTCTGTCTTTTTTTTTTTCTTTTTAATCTTTATTGGTATAGTCTGCTTTGTCAGAAACTAGGAGTGCAACACCTGCTTTTTTCTATTTTCCATTTCCTTGAAATATTTTTCTCCATTCCTTTATTTTGAGCCTATGTAGGGCACTGCATGTGAGATGGGTTTCTTGAAGACGGCATACTCCAATGGGTCTTGGTTCTTTATCCAGCTTGCCCCCTGTGTCTTTCAATTGGAGCATTTAGCCCATTTCCATTTAAGGTTAGTAATGGTATGTGTGGATTTGATCCTCTCGTCATGCTGTCAGCTGGCTTTTTTGCAGACTTATGTATGTGGTTGGTTTTTAGCATCACTTGTCTGTGTACTTCAGTGTGTTTTTGTAGTGGCTGGTGGTGGTCTTTTCTTTCCATATTTAGTGCTTCCTTCAGGAGCTCTTGTAAGGTAGGTCTGGTGATAATGAATTCCCTCAGCATTTGCTTGTCTGAAAAGGATCTTGTTTCTCCTTCACTTATGATGCTTAATTTTGCTGGACATGAAATTCTGGGTTGAAATTTCTTTTCTTTAAGATGTTGAATATCTTTTCTGGCTTGTACAGTTTCAGTTGAGAGGTCTGCTAAGTCTGATGGAATTTCCTTTGCAGGTGATGTTGCCTTTCTCCCTAGCTGCCTTTAACACTTTTTCTTTCATTTTGACCGCAGAGAATCTGATGATTATGTGTCTTGGGGATGATCTTCTCATGGCATATCTTACTGAGGTTCTCTGGATTTCCTGAAGTTGAGTGTTGGCCTGTCTGGCTAGGTTGGGGACATTCTCATGAATGATATTCTGAAATGTGTTTTCCAAGTTGGTTCCATTCTCCTCATCTCTTTCAGGTACATTAATCAGTCATAGATTTAGTCGTTTATATAATCCCATATTTCTCGGATGTTTTGTTCATTCCCTTTCATTCTTTTTTCCCCCATTCTTGTTTGCCTGTTTTATTTCAGAAAGCCAGTTTCCAGGTTCTGGGATTCTTTCCTCTTCTTGGTCTATTCTGTTGGATGGTCTTGCACATGAGATGGAGCTGGTCTGACCTCAGCCCTCCCTAGTCTGCTTGCCTCTCCCAGGACCCCAGCCTGGCCACATCTGCTTACAGGGCACTCTCAGGTGCCCACACATACTACAATAATTTTCATAATGCAATCACACACAATCACCGTGTGACTGCATTATGAAAATTCTTCTAGTGTGATTTACAGCTCTGTCAGGTCAGTTATTTTCTTCTTTATACTTGCTATTTTGTCTGTTAGTTCCTGCAATGTTTTACAATGATTTTTAGCTTCCTTGTATTGGATTACAACATACCTCTTTCACTCAGGGAACTTTGTTCCTACCCATATCCTGAACTCTGCTTGTATCATTTCAGACATCTCAGCCTCAGCCCAGTTCTGAACACTTGCTGGAGAGTTGATGCAGTCATTTGGAGAAAAGAAAGCATGCTGAATTTTTGAGTTTTCAGTGTTCTTGCACAGTCTTTTTCTCATCTTTATGGGCTTATCCACCTTCAATCTTTGAGGCTGCTGACCTTTGGACAGGGTATTTTTCCTTTATTATATCTGATGACCTTGAGGATTTGATTGTGGTGTAAGGTGGATTCAGCCAACAGGTTTTGTCTTTGGAGGATTTTAAGGGGCCAACATGCAGCTCCCAATGCTTGGACTGTGTGCTTTAACTCTGGGGAACTTGTATTGGGCCACAACTTTGTTCTCTGGCTCCTCGAGGTTTGGAGTCCACCGCACTGAGGGGACCAAAGTGCGGCAGCTGTGGCAGAATGCTAGCAGATGCAAAAGTCCCTGCCTCCCTGTGGGCATTCACCTAGTGGTGGAGGCAAAACAGCTGGGGTGTGGGCCAGGGGGCCCCTGCTGACTGTGTGTGCTGTTGCACTGGAGGTAGTTCTGGTTTGGGGTGGGTGGCTGGCCAGTGAAGGTGCCTTCTCTGATCCCCCCCAAGCAACAGTGGTCACTCAGGGTATAAGAAGGTCCCTTTTCCTCTGCACAGCATTACCTCAAGGGTGAGATGCTAGCAGGGGTGGGGTTTTTGGTTCTGTGCCCACCATGGCTTCATCTTCAGTGGCAGTTGGTGTGGGTTGGGGTGTGTGCTGCATTCCCATATGCTGTTAGGGCAAGTACAACAAAACCCACCTGTGTAAACACACACAGCTAAGTGATGTAGAAAGTTTCCATATAAAGGGCTGCAGTATGGAGAGGTAATGTGCAGGCTGGTACGTGGCTGTAGAGGTCACCTTGCTGCAGCTCTCCACTGATCAGCCACGGTCCGCTTGTACAGAAGCTATGGTGTGGGCACCCAGAAGTGCCCTCTAAGCAGGTGTGGCCTGGCTGGGGTCCTGGGAGAGGCAAGCAGACTAAGGGGTGCTGAGGTCAGACCAGCCCCATCTCATGTGCAAGACTGCCCAGCAGAGATCAGGTCTCAGAGGAGAACTCTCTCAAAAGTGAATCCTCAGCACAGCACAACTGCTCTACACAAACGCGGCCAGACTTCTTTTTTAAGCAAGTCCCCCTTTTTAGGAAGAGAACTCTTAGACCTGATCTGTGCTGGGCAATCTTGCACGTGAGATGGGGCTGGTCTGACCTCAGCACTCCTTAAGTGCTGGGATAAAGTGTCTCATAAGAGCAAGTGGAGCCTAGAGACATAGATGTCCCTGCCCTCCGGGCTCCACATCAGCTGACTTGCTGCTCCACCACTTTCCTTGTCTCCTGGGGGCTCCACCCCAGAGAGGTGTAAGTTAGGAGTTACTTAATGTAATCACCCCAGGATGGAGGGTCTGTGCTGTGGGCCCAAGCCAGGGTTCCTTGTCTGGTGATGAGCAGTAAGGGGTGTGTTGTACCCGTGGAAGATGGACTGACTTGTTCCTTGTGTCAACTGCAGCTTGTTGGAGGTGTCAATATGGCACTTAGGGTCTTTGCTCCCTTGATATTCTGAGGGTAGCAAGGGCAGTTCCACTGCAGAGGCAGTGGCAGAGAGGATTTCTGTTGCTCCTGGAAGCTCTGTCCAGGGAGTTGCTGAGTTGCTACTGGCTTGAAGGCTCAAGTGGGGGGCTGGCTGGAGACCCAGGCCAGGAATACCTGCCCATCATGGCCCACCCCTCTCTCTGGGAACTCTGTCCCAGGAAGGTTTCAAATCTCCATTGGCCAGGGAACACTGGTGGGTGTAGCTGGAGGCCTCAGGTGGGAGATCCTGTCCAGTGACGAGGAACAGGATCAGGGGCCTGCTTACAGAAGCATTCTGGTCATGATTTGGTAAAGCAGCTGTGCTATGCCACAGGATCTCTTCTGTCCCTGGTGAGTTTGTACTCTCCAAAGCCCGCACGCTGGAATGACTAAGTTGCCCAAACAGGAAAGATGGTGGCCTGCCTCATCTTTTCTCTCAGAATTTATCCTGTGTGATGGAGCTTAATTTTTAGGTTGTTAATTTTACTGTCAGCGTTAGAGTTGTTCAGAAAGAATCTCACTGTTATCTTTTAGGTGAGATATATAAGAATTCATTTTCTCCTGTAAATAAACCTGTTGATGTTTGTTCTCTGGAAAGAAGTCCCTTTCAGCTATCTGACTTTGATCACAATCATGTAGAGCAGTAGTCAGTCTACAATGACATGATTGAATTTCCATTTCCAGTGTTTCCTAGTTGTGTCTTACATTCTCCAGTTCAGAACTGAGCATTCTCAGTTGTCAAAATCCTAAGCTGTCCACTGTACTTAAATACTGGTTTTCGTTAATGCTTCTTCATTCAGTTGTATAGTCTTTAGAAGTTTTTCTTTTACACTTTCAATTTCCTCCAAAATTTTATTTTCCCTTAGCTGGTTCTGATGTTTTGTTTCATCTAGTTCCAGTCTTAGCTTGGCAATTTCTTCCCGCAACATGCTGTTTTCACGCAAGAGATCTTCTTCTTTCTTATGACTAAGAGAAAGCTAAGTAAACAAAGGGAACTTTTAGTTAGCACTCAATAGAATGACATATCATGATTTCTTCTAAAATCAAAGAATGACATTTATATTTGTATAATGAAATAATTCCCATAGTGGATATTTAACTGGAAAAAAGTTGGACAAAACTTCAAATCTAGAAGAGTGTAAATTCCAAAAAGTTGAAATATTTATCTAAAGACCATGAAAAATAAATCACTAGAGGATTTTTAAGAATTTCAGAATTGGAAAAGCCTTTCTCTGAATTACAAAAAACCCAGAGGCATAAAATAGAAGATTAATACATTTGGCTACATTTTTTAAATTGGGTTTACACTCTGATATCTAACCTACAAACCACACCATCATAAGAGCCTCAGCTATGCATATATTAGGACAGAAGCAATTCCTCAAAGTTCTTTAAGTTCCTTTTTCTGAGGAATGTTTTATCAATATACTGCTTTTCTAATATTTTTACAGTCAGTTATAAGAATTACATTTATTCATAACTGTTAAATCTAAGCATTGTACCCTTCTACAATGTACACACCGGCATCTAAGCATTGCACTTCTACATACAACACTCAACTCATTTAAGATCACGATTCTTAAAAGGAGAGGTCAAAAAATATATGCAGCCAGGACCAGTGGCTCACACCTGTAATCCCAGCACTTCAGGAGGCTGAGGCAGGAGAATCGTGTGAACCTGGGAGGCAGAGGTTGCAGTGAACTGAGTTTGTGCCATTGCACTCCAGCGTGGGTGACAGTGCAAGACTCCATCTAGAATACACACACACACACACACACACACACACACATATATATATGCAACGTGCAAGATTTTTGCCAGGTCTTCTGATGCTACTGTTAGTGATCCTCCACAAAATCAGTTGCTTCTGTGGTGTAAATATATAAATACAAAAGAAGCCTTTTATTTCAAAATACAAATGGTAAATAAGATATAACTTACAAGGCTTTTCTTAGAAATCATGAGATTATTTGCCATTGCAATAACTTTTCTTTCCTCTTCATAATGTTTGAAACATTATAGTAGTAAGTGTGAAATACAGGAAACGTACTGAACTATTCATCTGGGAACAAAATACTTATCAATAAATTATCACTAAATGTGTATCATGGCATGTCATTGTTTTCAAAGCTCTTTGCATTGAATTGAGAAACTACTCGGAGCAAACTGTTCCTCTCCTCAAAAGCAAGGATAATGACATCCACAATGTGGCCTCTGACCCAGCTGTACATTTCTTACTTTCCTATTAGTGAAAATAACAAACTGACTTCTCTATTAATATTTTAAAAAGAACTAATGTCCCAAAACTAGCAAATCTGTTGTTAGTAGCAAAACTTATTTTTGATATTGGAAAGATAATCAATTCTTATGAAAAATATCAAATGCTTTTCCTTTGGATTGAGGCCATTGTGAAGGTCACTACTCGACTGTTGCAGGCAAATGCAGTTGAATTAAGAACATGGCTTTATCCTATGTGTACATATATAGATATATGACCAAGGATATACAGGGTGTGTGTATATATATGATTTAAAAATCCTTTATACCTTCCAAAATAAAGCTTTTTAAAAATATACACACATATGAAAACATTTGATAATGACTAAAGAAAATACCTCAGAATTCATTTCCTTTTCAGCCACTTCTATCTGCTTTTGTTTATTAGTCAGAATCTCATCTTGTGATATTCCAGTGTTCTGTTCTTCAGAAAGTTGTTTCTGGGTATCATTTTGTTCGTCACTAGAAGAAATTTTAATTTTCATGAAATACTGGAGGTGTCCCTAAAATGATCTACAGGGCAAAATGGCACCATCAGATGTCATTCACACAATGTATATCTGCACATTAATCCAAGACAAGGCAAAGGGGCCTCACATCTGTTAACCCTGCTCTCCCAGTCATGTTGGCACCAGGGACTAGTTTTGTGGAAGATAATTTTTCCATGGACCTGAGGTGGGGGATGGTTCCAGGATGATTCAAGCACATTACATACATTGTGCACTTCATTTCTATTATTACTAATATATAATGAAATAATTATATAACTCACCATCATGTAGAATCAGTGGGAGCCCTCAGCTTATTTTCCTGCAACTAGATGGTCTCATCTAGGGGTGACAGGAGATGGTGACAGATCATAAAGCATTAGATTCTCATCAGGAGTGAACAACCTAGATCCCATGCATGAGCAGCTTGCAATAGGGTTCAAGTCACACTCTTATGAGAATCTAATGTCACCGCTGATCTGACAGGAGGAGCAGCTCAGGTGGTAATGTGACAGAGAGTGGCTGTAAACAGATGAAGCTTCACTTGCTCATCTACCACTAACTTCTTGCTGTGTGGCCCAGGTCCTAACAGGCCAGGGACTGGTACTGGTCTGTGGCCTGGGGATTGGAAACCCCTGTGTTAACTCAAACTTTTTATGTTTATTTTTTGGAAACAGTTTCCACTTATATTCTTTATTCCTCTGTAATTTATAGACAAATTAGAAATTCCCTTTGGAACAAGACAGGGTCTAATATTGTGTTTTTAACATAGAACTTTGAATTAATTTTATCTGTGTATGAGAGAGAGATGTGAAATAAACTGATCATTAATCGCTTTCAATTTCACTTTTATTTCATGCATATTAAGAAGAAAACTGGGAAGCCCTAGGCAGAGCAATTGGGCAAGAGAAATAAAGGGCATCCAAATTGGAAAAGAGAAAGTCAAACTCTCTCTTCACCAATGATACGATCTTATGCCTAGAAAACCCTACAGACTCCTACAAAACACTCCTAGATTTGATAAATGAATTTAGTAAAGTCTCAGAGGTTACAAAATATACAAATACCAATGAATAGTACCACTATACACCAACTACAACCAAGCTGAGAGTCATATCAAGAATCCAATCCTTTTTACAATGGCTGCAAAATAGTAAAATACCTAGGAATATACTTAATGAAGGAGGTGAGTGATCTATCAAAGGATAACTGGAAAACGCCACTGAAGAAAATCATAGATCATACAAATAAATGAACATACATTCTATGTTCCTGGACTGAAAGCATTGATATTGTGAAAATGCCATAGTGCCCAAAGTAGTCTACAGAGTCAATACAGTTTCTACCAAAGTACCAATGTCATTCTTCACAGAGTTATTTTAAAAAGCTGTCATTCATGTAGAACCACAAAAGAGCCTGAATAGCAACAGACATACCAAGAAAAAGGAACAAACATGTTGGCATCAAATTACCTGACTTCAACTCTAAGGCCACAGTAACAAACATCATGGTACTGGTATAAAAGTAGATACACAGATCAATGGAACAGAATAGACAACTCAGAAAAAAGGCCACTTACAACCAAATGATCTCTGAGAAAGGATACAAAAACATACACTGGAGAAAGTACACGTTATTCAACAAATGGTGCTGGGAAAAAAAGATAGTCACATATAGAAGAATAAAATTGGATCTCTATCTCTCACCATGTAAAAAATTAATTCAAGATGGATTAATGGCCTAAACCTAAGACCAGAAGACATTAGCCTAGGCAAATAATTTATGATGAGGACCCTGAAAGCAAAAGCAACAAAAATAAAAATAAATAAATAAATAAATAAATAAATAAATAAAGACCTAATTAAACTAAAAAGCTTCAGCACAGCAAAAGAAATAATCATCAAAGTGAGCCAACCACTTATACAATGGGGAAAATATGGGCAAATTATGAATCTAACAAAGGATTAATGTCCATAACCTACCAGAAGCTCAAACAAATCAGCAGGAAAAATACAAACAATTCCATTAAAAAGTGGGCACATGACATGAATAGACATTTTTCAAAAGAAGATGTACAAATGGTGAACAAGAATATAAAAACATGCTAAATATTACTAATCATCAGGGAAATGTACAATAAAACAACAGTGAGATATCACCTCACTTCAGCCAGAATGGTCACTACTAAAATAAAAAAAACAGCAGATGTTGGTGTGGATGTGGTGAAAAAAGAAGATTTATACACTGCTGGTGGGGATACAAATTAGTACAAATCTATGGAAAACATTATGGAGAGTTCTGTTAAAGTAGATCTTACCATTCTATCCAGCATTCTCATTTCTGGATACCTACCCAAAATAAAAGAAATCATACTCTCAAAAAGACACCTATATACATATGTTTACTGCAGCACAATTCACATATGCAAAGATATGTTATCAGCCAGTGTCCATCAACTGATGAGTGGAATAAAGAAAATTATATATATATATATATATGTATGTATGTATACCTGAGACTGGGTAATTCATAAAGGAAAGAGGCTTAATTGATTCACAGTTACACATGGCTGGGAAGGCCTCAGGAAACTTACAATCATGGCAGAAGGTAAAGGGGAAGCAGGCAACTTCTTCAAAAGGTGGCAGGAGAGAGAGAAGTGAAAGGGAAAGAGCCCATTATAGAATTATCTGCTCTTGTGAGAACTCACTATCAAGAGAACAGCATGGAGGAAACCGACCCCATGATCCAATACCTCCCAGCTGGTCTTTCTCTCAACACCTGGGAATTACAATTTGACATGAGATTTGGGTGGAAACACAAAGCGAAACTATTGGGGGGGGTGTATCCTTACTTTTAAAATATCAAAATGTCATTATTTATATTTCAAAAATAGCAATTTTTATTAGTAATGATTTTGTTTGAAAATAAAATGACCTGGTAAATTTTCTTCAATTTTAGCCTAGTATTTAGTCAAAATATAAAAAGCTGAATTTGCCAGCAGAAAACTGTAATTACTTTTAAATGAGGTACAGATGTATAAGAATATCACTGTTATTGTACTGAGAAGAAAGTGAATGAGAAAAGGAATTTAAAAAGAGAGTATCACTACCATATACATACATGAACTGACAAAGAGACTAAAATCTCCTACTGGAGATTATGTTAGGACTTGAGCAAAAGCTTCTAAAAATACAAAAAACAGAAAGAAAATAATTAATTTTAAGGAATAAATTATACAGAGAAATATGTATTTTAAAAAAGGAAAACAGATCTTCCTGAGAGCTATTATTAACCAATTCATCTTGACCAAAATTTTAAAATGAAGTCTACAATTCTGGAATATAAAGTACTTTCATTTTGAACATAGTTAATTGAAGGCAACTTTTATACAGAAAATTTTTGGTTAAAGTTGACTCTAACTTAGGAAAGAAATGACTTGTACCAATGGTAACAACAAGCCACCCAAAAGCCAGTTTGAAATCTAGTCAATCAATCAATGACCACTGCTCTTGCTCACCAACCAATATCAATGTGAGCAGCTTGCTTCTGAAATACAGCCACGCAGCAGCACCTGCTCCACCAGAATAGACAGTGCCTGACCAGTATTCCTCTTACTATAGGAAGCAAAAAATTCCAACTCTGTATCTTTATTTCAAATACCAAAGGTTCATAATCCCTTGAAAAGAATTTGTAAGTCCATTAAATGTGCCACCCTAATTTTTTTTTAAATAAAATACTAGTGACCAGGCACAGTGGCTCATGCCTGTAATCCCAGCACTTTGAAAGGCCGAAGTGGGTGGATCACCTGAGGTACAGAGTTTGAGACCAGCCTGACCAACAGGGTGAAACCCCATCTCTATTAAAAATACAAATATTAGCCAGGCGTGGTGGCATGCCCCCGTAATCCCAGCTCCTTGGGCGGCTGAGGGAGGAGAAATGCATGAACCAGAAGGCGGAGGTTGCAGTGAACTGAGATCATACCACTGAACTCCAGCCTGGGGGATACAGCAAGACTCCATCTCAAAATAAAATAAAATACCAGTAAAGTTTACAATTCCTCTGACTCAGTTTACCATAATTACAATTATGTTTACTAGTAAAAGAATAAATAGTGAATAACCACAATATTGGGCTTTTCTCTCTAAATAAAAAAATAATATAAAGAATGTAGCTTATTATAAAGAGCCAAAACAATTTTTAAAATGCATGTAATTACCGGGCAAAACTGTTAGAATGAACCATGTCAAACATTTTTAAAGTGAGAATTAATCAAACAATATATCCAGGATAAACTCCATTCACTCATTTAATAAGTATTTATTAGGTAGCTTCATCCAATATGCTAGGCCTTTTTCTAGGCAGTGAGGATATGGTAGTGAAAAATAAAAACCCCATTCATGAGAGTGAGAAAAACACACAATAACAACAGACAGATAAGGCAAAATATACAGTATGTTAGAGGAGAAAAACTAAAGCAGGAAAATGAAATGTTTATGTGTTTCATGGGGAGGGTGGTGGGAAAGTTGGGGTGGTCAGAAAAGTCCCTGCTGAGAAAGGGGATTTTTTTTTCTAATACAAAAAACCTTTTATTTGTATATCAAAGACTCTAAGAAATGACGACATAAGGTTAACGGCATTGATGTCAAGATACAAATGGGTTTGAAGTTAGAGATGTTAAATCACTTTGTTTCACTGAACCTTCCCTTCATTACGTTAGAGAGCATCCCTGGTAGGCACCCAATTGAACCTCAAGCATGACGCGTCTAGGTAGCACGCTGTTCTTCCTCAGAAAGTGGTTGTTCCTTAATGTCTTTCTTTTTACCCTTTTTCCTCTTCTTCTTAGAAAGGGGGTTTTAAATAAAGAACTGAAGGAATGGAAAGAGAAAGCTAGGAGGATAACTGGGGAAAAAGCATTCCAGACACAGGGAACTGCGAATCACAGAGGTGTGCCTGGCATCTTTAAGCACTAGGGGTAGATAAGGGACGGCAAGAATTCAGTTTGGCTGAAGCAGAGCAAGGGAGATAATTAGGAGGAACTTTGACACATACTCCGAGTGAAATGGGAGATAATCAGAAGGGCTGGGGCAGAGGAATGACACAATTTGACTTATGTTTTAAATACATCCACTGAGTTAAGAATTGATGAAAAGGGAAGTTTTTAAAAACCAGGACTATCAATTCCCAGTCTATGACACTCATCTAGACTGCAGATGAGGGTGGCTCAGATGTACAAGATATGACTGACTTCTGGACATATTCTTCAGGTAGACCTGACAAGATTTACTGAGAGATTAGATGTGAGGTGTCAGAGAGAGAGAGAGATGAGTCAAGAATGACACCGAGATATTTGGCAGAGCAACTGGAAGAGTTGCCCTTAACCAAAAATAGGAAAGACTACATGAGGTGCAGATTTCAGGAAGGACATCAGTAGCCCAATTTTGGATCTGACAAGTGTGTGATACCCAATAACTAACCAAATAGAGACGTCAAGTAGGCAGGCTGATATAGAAATCTGGAATTAAGGAGAAAGATCTGAGCTGGAGACATACATTCAGAAATCACTAGCATATACACAGTAGAAAAAGTCACGAGGGGCCAGGTGCAGTGGCTTACACCTGTAATCCCAACAGTTTGTGAGACCAAGGCAGACAGATCCCCTGAGGTCAGGAGTTTGAGACCAGGGTGGCCAACATGGGGAAATGCTGTGTCTACTAAAAATACAAAAATCAGCTGGGCACGGTGGCATGCACCTGTAATGCCAGCTACTCAGGAGGCCGAAGCAGGAGAATTGCTTGAACCCAGGAGGCAGAGGTTGTAGTGAGCCGAGATCACACCACTGAACTCCAGCCTGGGAGACAGAGTGAAACTCTGTCTCCAAAAAAGAAAAAGAAAAAGTCACAAGAAAGAAGACTGAGGAGTGAGCCCTGGGAAACAACAATGTCCAAAAGGAGAAAGATGAGGAGGAGCAAGCAAAACAGACCATGATGAATGGACTAGAAAGGCAGGAGGAAAAGCCTGAGGGAGTGAGGTCCTGAAAGCCAAGTGAAGATGCCGTTAGGGAGGAGATGCCCTCCATTGGCTCAAATATTGCTGACAGATTAAATAAAATGAGGTGGAAGAAAAGTGCCTAGATTTATTACAGAAAAAAATTAGTGATAATCTTGAGGAAAAACAATGCTGGAGGACTGCTGAAATTGAAGACTTACTGGCATGAGATCAAGAGTGAATGAAAAGAAAATTTGAGTTCGTGAGTGTAGACAGTTCTTTTAAGGACATCATACTTAGGAGTCATGGCTGAGAATGTTGTAATTTTCTTCCACAGTCATGGAAAAGTAATAGACAAATAGTTTCAAATTTTACATAAAAGGTGTAGTTTTCAAATTTTATATAACAATTATATATTTTAAAGCTTATAAAAATTATACACATGTGGCATTAAAAATGCCAGACCAAGGTGTTAAATCTTAAAACTATAGAACTAAAAGTTGCCTTGACCATTTCTAGATTACATAAGCTAATTATCATTTTGTTCATGCTTATACATAAAGACCAAGAAAAACTAAAAGTTTCAAGGAGAGTATTTCTTGCTTGATAAAAATCAGCCAATTCTAGGACAGTTGATGCTCATCGAATATACAAAGTAATTGATCACCATAAAATACTGAATTCTATTAACAGGAATAAAGTGGCAGAAATGCAGAAAATAATCTTATTTTACAAATGAAATTTTTAAAAATATATGAAGTCACTGTGGAAAAATATGGTGAGGTGAATACCAAAATATATCTTTTTCTCAAAGGAAAGATACTGTCACACATGCTGGGCACTTTTATAAATAAGTGTTACTGCATTAGCAGCACCTTCCTTTTAGCACAAGGGTCAGCAAATTAGCACCTGTGGGCCAAATCCAGGCCACTGACTGTTTTTGTAAGTAAAGAATCTTGGAACACAGCCATGCTTATTCACTTTACAGTCCATAGAGTCAATTAGCTGGGTGTGATGTTGCACACTTGGGGTCCCAGCTAATAGAGAGGCTGAGGTGGGAGGAGGATCACTAGAGCCCAGAAAGTCAAGGCTGCAGTGAGCTGTGATCACACAATTGCACTCCAGCCTGGGCAACAGAGACCCTGTCTCAAAAAAAATAAATATATATAGTCCACAAAGCCTAAAATATTTACTAAATGGCTCTTTGCAGAAAAAGCTGGCCAGCTCCTGGTTTAGCAGATGAAAGATACTTTGATATATTTTAATAAAAGTTTTACCCAATATACTCAAATGTTTATATTAAATATAGGTCCCCATGTACAATCCCTTGGCAATATTCAGATTGAAGGTCCAATATTTTGGCACTCAGGCACTGACAACAAAAATTTAATAACTACCAATCTCGTTGCTAACAAGGTACAGTGTCAATGTAGCGTGTAGCTTCCATTTGCAACACAGCAGATATTACAAGAATTCTAACAAAATTATCTTAAGATGTGTTACCAAACTAAATGCTTTAAATACATTTTAATTGTGAAATAATCAGTATACTCTAGATCTAACCTCATTTGTAAAAAATGTTTGCATACCGTATTATTTTCTGGGTATGAAAATTGAGCCATTTCCTATTGGTAAGGATTTACTTTTGATAATGATAAATTCCTATTGATAAGGATCCATCTTTTTGATATAATAACGCTGTAAGAAATGTCCTTATACATAAGTATATATGTGACAAATCTATACAAATATCCTTAACATACATATATATACTTACTATGTTATATATGTGTGTGTGCAAATATGCTAATAAATTAATGTTCAAAATATATTTACCAACAGTGTATGAATTGTCTTTTTCAATGAGACCATTTCCTTTGCAGCAACACACATGGAGCTGGAGGCCATTATCCTAAGCAAACTAATGCAGGAACAGAAAATCAAATGCCACATATTCTTACTCATTTGTGGGAACTAAACAATGAAAACTCATGGACACAAAGAGGAGAATAACAGACACCAGGGTCTACTTGAGGGTGGAGTGTGGCAGGAGGGAGATGACCAAAAAACTACCTCTCGAGTATTTTGCTTATTATGTGGCTGATGAAGTAATCTGTAGTCCAAACCTCCATGACACAGTTTACCTATATAATAAACCTACACATGAACTTCTGAAGCTAAAATAAAAGTTCATTAAAAAGAAAAGGAAATGCCTTTTCCCTCACATTTGCCAATGCCGGTTATTTTTCAAATAAATTAATGACTGGAAAAAACGGTAACTCATTGTTTACTGATTTTCATTTTTCTGATTAACAGGCAAGGCTGAATATTCTAGTAAAAGTATAAAATTTGTTCATCATGAAAGCCCAAATTAGGATTAGTTTGACAGCATATAGTTATCTCCTATAGGCTTACCTGTGATACTCTTCATTCTCAGTGTCAGGAAATTGCTGATTTTCAGGTTTTCTGCTCTTCCTTTGTGGAATTAATCCATCATCACCATTGCCAGCACTGGCACCATTAGTCAGGTTTTCTGGTAATCCCACAGGATTACTTCCATGCTTCTTTATTTCTTCTTCAACCTTGAGTGGAAGTTTGATATTAAGGATGGTTATCACTTTATTGAATAAAAATAACCTTTTTAATTGATTTTATCAATTGACTCAGTTTGCCATTATTTTAGTCATTAAAAATATTTCACACTTAAATTTGATCATATATACAGAACTATAACCGTATAATTTTAAGATGTAATTATCATGTCATTAGTATATCACTGAAATTTTTGTAGTTTGCTTGATTCCAGCTGTTTGACTGAATAAAACAGAATTTTCCAAAATTCAAAAAGGGCCCTCCTTCATTTTGTGCTTTTATTCCCAAAAACTCTTCAGAATCTTATATATGAATTTACCCCATTTGACTCGTGGGAACACAAAAATAAAACGACATAGACACAAAATGTGTCTTCTGTCTTTACCACCTAGATTTTACATTAAACACTCAGATGTAGAGGATGAGACACTGGGGGGCTTCAGGAATAGAAAGGAAGATGGCCCTTTTCTGCACTAAGATATTCTCCTCTCCCACTGCCTTTGATCGTTCTTTTTTCATTTGGTTCCTGGATATCAAAAACATGATGGTGCTCACTGAAACATGAAAACCAAAGTTTGCCACAACACAAGGAGCAGAGTGAAACTGCTGAGGTGCAAGCATGGAATTCCAGAAAATTAGATGCTCCCCAAATTTCACATTCAATAGCTATACAATTTTCCAGCTGGAAATTACAAAGAATAAGTAATTATCTTCTTTAGCCACATTATCTAGTGATAATCAGACTAAAACCAAGAAAGATAAAAGGATTGGTCCAAATCTCCTAAAGAGGCATTACCTAGCATTTTATGGCACCATTCAGGATTGTTCCATAATAATGAAAGAATCTCTCTAGGGTTTGTATCTCTTGAAAACTCAATGTACAGAATTCTTTCTGAGTTAAATATTAAATTTTTCACTGGTGATTTATGCTACTTACATGATAGGATCATGTATGCGTACACTTACTACACTTTGTTAAACAGCATAACATAAAAATCTAATTCCACAGAAACATTTGAACATAAAGGTATACCTCTCTATCACAGTCCTTATTTATTTCTGGTTCTTGAGACATTTTCTGCAGATGCAAAAATAGAAGGTTAATTTGCTTGTTGTATTTCCGTGTATGTCTCCTCTTTTGGAATGCATGTTAAAATAATTTTATTCTTAAGTAATCAAGTATGGACATGAAAAATTAGAAAATAAAATAAAATTTAACTTAAAATAATTAAATAAATAAATAATTAAAATTAAGAATTAACTTTTTAATCTATGTTTAGCTACTGCCACATCATTGGCTTCTGACTAACATGGGAAAATAATTCACCTTAGACAAAGGGAGAATAAAAACATGAACCAGCAAACTTAACTTTGTCACCATTTGTTTGGACTAAACTTAATTTGTTATGTGTTAAATCTACCAAAAATGAATTAGCAGATGATTTGTAGTGTTCCAAGGGCTTCCTCACTTGAAAAGAGTATATCTCATGAAACCCTAACTAGTGAGCCCCTATAGTGCACTGAAGTGCTTTTTAAAAAGATTCCTAATTGGATTGTAGGCACGCTTTAAATTATTAGGAGCTGAAATCAACACCAAAGAGGAAGAAATGCAAATTCTTAAATTTTAATTGAAATTATATGCTGTAATATGATAGTGTTATGTATCTAGATGATCTGCTTAAGTCCAGTTCTAATATATTCTAAGGTGTACTAATTACAGTGGATAAAAATTTTTTAATAATCTGTACTGATTTTCTGCAACTGAAATAAGGTAGAAGGTTATTGTGTTTGTGCACTAACACCAAATGTCCCATTCTGCAAGATATGATTCTTGTAATAGGCAGTTGGGTTGCTTTTATGACCTGGTTCCCTCCCTGAACAGAAATGCTGAGGTCAGTGAGAGACCACAAGGCAGAATATGTCTTTAACCTTGGTATCTGTGACTGACAATATAAAACTGCAGATTTTCAATCACTGGCCGTGATTATTCTTTAACCATGAATCCAGCTCAGGGACCTTCAGTGTTACATTGTTCACAGTTCTATTGCTTAATAATATAATCCAATAATTGATGGTACTTTATCATGTTAGGGTGTTGTAAAAATAAAAGAACAAACAAAGGTCTGGAATATGTTTTTGCCTCTATTCCAAAAGGAAAGATTAGCTATAAGCTAATCAAAAAGGCAGATAAGAATATTTTAAATAAGAATACCATAAAATAAGAGTATTTTAAATTTTATAGTGGTTACGTTTTTAAGCTAAATATCAAATGTCAAGTTAGAATTTATTAATTCTTCTGTTAATGAGATTGCTGAATTTATTAAAATAAATTTTAAGAATCTATTAAAAAATTCTTAAAAAAAGAATCTATTGATTCTTAAAACCTAGTCTGAAAGGTAATTTCATTTGGACTATCTAATATTATTCAAGCAAAGAAAACAACATTAAATCAAAAATTTAAACTTAAAATTTTCCATGCCTCTGGCTGGCTATTTTCACTGACTTTAAGCCTTTGTGACTCTTCCTCTGATGTCAGCTTTAAGTCTTGTTCTGTTGAGAAATCCATATATTCAGTTAAAATGAACCACTTAGAACAGTTAAAAACTATTGCCTTTATAAAAATAGATTGAAGACAACATTTTATTTTATTTCATAAACTGAGTGTTTAGTCTTTCATGAAATAGTTACTTAGGAAATAATTCTCCAAAACTTCAACAAACCACTTGGGGAGACACCTGATGTGATTCACTCACAAATTCATCCACCCAACATAAATGAACAAAACCACCAGAAACACAACTTTAAAATACAGTAGAAACATATAAGGTAACTCAGTATGTTGTTCACTTCCTAATAGTGAAGCAGTAAATGTAAAGAAAAGGAAATTTAGTTTTAAAGAGAAACAAGTTTTCCTGCACTTAGCTAGTCTGACTCTAAGGATAGTAACAAGCAGGCCCAGGAAAGGTCATGGTGACCCTGTCTGAGAAGCCAGAGCCCACAGGTATGGGCTCCAGACATCCCAGAGCAAGGTTAAGAAAACAAATTCCTTTACCATCTCCCCTCCCCCTCAGCATTTATTCATAGCTATTTTTACAAATGCATATATTTTGCAAATTCTTGTTTTCCCTCAATGCAGCTGCAAGGTCGCAAGCTATGCAGTGGTTGCAAAACTGTCACTATATGATTAACTGCCTTTGTTCTGCTTCTATAAGTTTGCCTATATAAGCCAAGCCCTGTCTTTGTTCAGGGCTCAGCTTTTTGATGCAAATCCGCTGAGCTGGTGTGCACCTAAACAAAATCCTCTTGTTTGACCCACTGGGTCTCTCCTGCCTCCTGTTTTCTGCAAAAATAGTACCTTACAAACGATTTCCAAAATTACTACTGACACCTTTATTAGTGTACAATGTCTTCTTAACATCTAAAATGTTTCCATCCACTATTATGACAAATTTATTTTCATTTTTCTTTTTTTTTTGTTTTAGCTGGGGTCTTGCTCTGTCACCAGGCTGGAGTGCAGTGGCACAATCTCAGCTCACTGCAACCTCTGACTCCCTGGTTCAAATGATTCTCCTGTCTCAGTCTCCTGAGAAGCTGTGATTACAGGCACACACCATCATGCCCAGCTAATTTTTGTATTTTTAGTAGAGATGGGGTTTCACCATTGGCCAGGATGGTCTTGATCTTTTGACCTTGTGATCCACCTGCTCCAGCCTCCCAAAATGCTGCAATTACAGGTGTGAGCCACCACACCCAGCCTTGTTTTCATCTTTTAAAACAATGCTATGGGAAGTCTTCCTTGATTCTGCAGATCTTTCCCCAGATAAACAGGTAACTCCTTCCTTGAGGTTGCCTTAGGACCTCACTGATTTTTCTACTGCACCTTTACCACCTGAACTGTACACTATTCCTCCACATGTCTGTCCCCTCTGCTCCAAGACTGCAGAGGACAGTCTTGCACATCATCTTTGTAAAAACAGTCTTTATTTTACTCAGAAATTTCTTATTGAGTCCTGCTACATACATGCTAGGTGTTAGGGTTTAAAAAGAATGAAAATAAAGCCTGTCAGGGATGGCTTTTCTAGAACACCTGCCCAAGCAGAGACTTAAATATTGAGGCTAGCTAGATTAAAAGTGGTAGAGGGCAAGAAAGGGTGACAGCATGCCACACAGCAGCAAGAGCAGGAGCGAGGCCTGAAAGAGTGAAAGTATTTGCCTGCAATAGAAGGAGGAGTGAGTAGGGCATTAAGAGCCACTCAGTAATGCCAGAGAAAGGGCACACAGGGAAAAGGGCTAAAGATGTAGAATAGGGCAGAAGTCAGATTATGAAAGCCTTATGTGTACCTTTAAGATGCTTAGACATTAACGTTCAAGAGTGGTCCCTGGTCCTATCTGTATTAAGATGTAGATCATTTTAATGCCAAAACCAATATTCCTAGTGAGCCATTATTCATTAAGACAAGGTGACAGCTAGCTCATGTGGACACAGCTGAGATGATACTATGTAGCAAATTCCCAATAATTCTCATGAACACTTGGAAAGTCAATTCTATAATAAGTCATAGAAATTATAATAAATCACTTAATATTTGTTTGGGAAGGTGCTTTATAAAGTTATAGTGTATATGAATATAACTAATAGTTGTGAATTCAGAGCTGTGAGAATAAAGCAAAAAAATCACACTGTGTTTGAGTCAGCAATCTTTAGATTTCTATCTAGTCTTCCTACCCAGTCCATAAATTCTAAGTATAATCCTAGTACTCGCTCTCAAGTTTAAGTTAAATGCTAGCCTATACAAAAAATACTCTTTCTCTTACTTCTTTTTTGTTATTTATATGTTGCTTTGTTTAAAGGAAGAACACAAAAATGCCCTGCTAAAGGGATTCTGTTTGGCTGCAGGCTGCAAGAGGGGAAAAACACAAAGCACATTTTGCAGAAAATGATTTTTTAGAAGTCAGAACTATGACATGAAGTCAAGCAGGGCACTCTAGGACTGACTTTGCTGTGCTTCCTTAATATGCTCCTTGCTCTCTTTCTTTTCTGGAAGCTGTGACTCACACAGGTCATGGAGAAAATTTCGTACTCCTTCCTCATGCCCAGCTTAAATACTAGTGTACAACGTGGAAACCTGTAAATTATCTGACATTTCTCTCTGTCCTCCAAACCTTTCTCATTCAATTATCACTAAATCATATTGACTATACCTCTCTTCTGCCTCTGCTTTATATTACCACTTCCACTGAGAACATAAACATTTACAAAATGGCTTTTATTACAAAAAAGCCTTCCAACTATTAATGTTATTTCTCACATGAAAAAAATTAAGCAAAACAAATGAAAAAAGCATAACACCAAAAAAAGGCCAACACATTAAAATGAGTAATGGGGATTCCAAACTTTATTTCACCATGGGCAGGTGAAAACCTTAGAATACATTGATACTAGTCCAAGGATGTGTGACATGGAAACTATAGATGACTACTGCAAAAGCTTCCTTTGTCTCCTGGTTTCTTTACATGGTTATCTTCCATCAATCCCAGCAAACTATAGGCCACAGGACAAATCCAATCTGCCTTTTGGCTTTGTAAATAAAGTTTTATAGGAGCTCAGTCATGCCTGTTTGCTTACATATAATCATGGTGGCTTTCACACTACAACAACAGACAACAGCCTGGTTAAGTAGATATGACAGAGACCACATAGTCTAAAATATTTCCCACCTGGTCCTTTACAGAAAAAGCTTGCTAACCCATTTTACACCATAAGCAGAATATGCCTTAATATTCAAATTTAATCTTGTAACTCCCCTGCTCAAATTTCTCCAATGAGCCCCTGCAGCACACATTGTTGGCTCCTATCAATAGCCATTCCTTATTCTTTCTTGCAGAAGAAACACAAGTCTATTGGGATATTTATTATCCCAATCCCCCTCCTCAGCCTCAGAAAGAGAAATGTTTATTCTAAGCTAATCATGTATTTGCCATCCCATTGCCTGGTTTGGGAATGAGCATGTGGTGTGACCCAGCCAATGAAATGTTACAGGAAGCCCCTTGCATGCTTCTAAGTTTTCTCCCTGTTTAAAAGACACATGTGAAGAAAAGCAGCCCTTGAAATGTTGTGTTGTGAGAACAAGATGTTTGGAGCTGCTGCGGATTAGCCAACCATGAAAGGAAACATGAAGAAAACACTGCCAACAGCACAGCTGAAAGAGGGACAAATGGGATCCTAGGATATCACTGAACAACCAAAACAACTCTGGTTCCTACTGTTTTAGCCACTGCTCATCTAGTATTTACAGTCCAAAGCATTCTACCTGGTAAATTTCCCATGGCCCACAGGGTAAGACCTACTCATTTCTATAGTATTAAAAAAGTCTATCATAAACTTGCCTTAGCTAAGTATTCACCTCATTCCCAAACTCTGGTGTCTCACACTTTTGGTACTAGCAAAAGTGAACTGCTCAGAAACCCTGCAAAGTTCACTCGGCATCCTGTCTTTTGCAGTTGTTGCTCTTCCTGCCAAACAGGCAATCTCATCAGATGTTCTTCTGGCAAACACACAAACTTGTTGCATGTTCCTTCTGCCAAAAATTATTCTTCTGCTTCTTTACCTAGAAAAATTCTTCTCACTCTGCATGCTTACTTTGAATCATACCTACTTTTTTTCAAAACTTTCATTCCTCATCACGTATGTCTGGCACATAATTAATACATAATAAATCATAATTATAAGCTTCCAGTTGGCATCTAGCACACAGTAAGCACTGAATAAAGTAGTAAAATAATAAAAGTGACAATGATAATAACAAGCTCCTGTCTGTATTTTTAATTGTGTGTGTTCTGTAGCATTAGAAAAATGATTAGTATCTAAAAGACATTTGATAGTTATTTGTTAAGTGGACAAGTGAAAACATAGAAATGTTTTCTTTGTAAATTCTGTTGAAAAAGCACAGAAATGAAATAGAGACACCTCTATTATGAGCACCTTAAAGATCAAAACTACATCTATTCCATCTTTGTCTTCTGCAACTTATAAAACCTAACTTACAGAAGCTTTTTGATAAATAGATGGCTAAATTAAAGGTGTCCTCATCCAGTTTGGATTATACAATGTATTAGGTGTCCACAACCAGGTGGCATACTAGTATTTTTGTTAATGTGAAGCATTTTTCTACTTTTATTATAATCTGCTGAGCCTAGAGTTGGGCAATTTGTATATTTATTATGACAATCTTTTGGTAAATGGTAGCAGAGCATCTTGTTCTAACAAAATTACTGTTATCAAGACAATTGACCAGCAGGTAGAGAACACATCTTGTTCCAACAAAGTAAATGTATCTCTTTCCAACTTCAAATGAGGAGGAATGAAGTCAGTAAGAGTGAGACCTTGTTGGGACAAGGATATGTAACATGACTTGTGCTTTGGCGTTCTTTTGTGATCAAAAATTCCTTACTTTTATTTTTTTATCTACGGTAGGACCACCCAGAGCAGGGGTCCACAACTCCCAGGTCACAGACTGGTACCAGTCCATGGACTATTATGAACCACACCACACAGGAGGAGGTGAGCAGCAGGCAAACCAGGGAAGCTTCACCTGTACTTACAGCCACACCCCATGGCTCATATTACCGCCTGAACTCTGCCTCCAGTCAGATCAGTGATAGCACTAGATACTCATTGGAGCATGAACCCTATTGTGAACTGCTCATCTGAGGGATCTAGGTTGTGTGCTTCATATGAGAAACTAATGCCTGATGATCTGTCACTGTCTCACTTTGCCCCCAGATGAGACCATCTAGTTGCAGAAAAATAAGCTCAGAGTTTCCACGGATTCTACATTATGGTAAGTTGTATAATTATTTCATTATATATTACAATGTAATAATAATATAAAGTAGCACAATAAATGAAACATGGCTGAATAATCCTGAAACCATCCCCACCTTCCCCCAGCCCATGGAAAGACTGTCTTCCACAAAACCGGTCCCTGATGCCAAAAACATTGTGGACAACTGACCTAAAGTAATTCATTATCACAAGTCTTACCTGGATTGCTGTTTTCAGAAGAGATTTTTAGCATCTGTTTTTCTTTATAGTCAGAAAGTAATTCACAAATTCTATGTATAAAAATGTAATAAACCAAATTACTATTTTAATACTGATATAAAAAATACTTACCAAATGTAAGATTCTTAGAGTATTTCAAACAATATCATAATATCAGAATTTAACAGTATTATCCCATACACTTATGAGTACATTCTACAAACTTTTCTTTAAGCTTCTAATTAAAGAAGAAAAAAAATTAGGTGAAATGCTCATAAATCAAGGGCACTGTGACCCAGTAAATCAGCAGGCATTAGCATGACATAATAGAAAGTGTCCCAACTCTGCATAAGTCCTAGCTCCATAATGAACAGCTATTTGTTCTTGGACAACTTTCTTCTCTTAGGCTCAATGTCTTCTTCTACAAAGTGAGGACTTTGCTGCCTTATTTCACTAGGTTGTTATAAAGATTTAACAAGGTAACATTTTTTAAATGCTCAGAGAAATAGTAAAGCAATGGAATAATCTGTTCCTAAACTTTATGACTAAAATTATCTTGGAATCCCAAATAAAACCCCATGTGTATTTTGTTCATAGGTTCTAATATGCAAATGCTGTAGTTTTCAGGAAATGTTATTAAGTCCTAATTTTGCTTCTTAGTTGTCCTACTCCTTATGGCTTATCATTCAGGGCATCTCAACTGTGTCATAGTTTGTAACTAAATTTTTTCATAAATCTCTCATTAAAGTAGATAATGTGATTGTCCACTATTACGGAGTTGACCAATTTGTTGTGCTAAGGGCAGAAAAACCAATGGATGTTAAGACCTGGCTTGGAGCAATGATCCTTCTCTACAGACTCAAACTCTGAGCCAGCAGATGTTTGTTAGGATAATGCTTTATATTGATGTTCAATTCCAGCTGACATGGGAGACCAAAACTCTACTTTTATTTTTTTTCAGTTTTCATGAAGAAGCTGCAAATTGACATTCTCTAATTTTTGACGTACATACTTATAATATATTTTGCACTGAACACATTATTCAGCTCTAAATCATCTCACAGACCATCTTCCATGACTATTTTTGCAGCACAAATCACATTTCGATATTTTGGTGGCACCCATTTTGCTTTGATTCACACTGTTTCCTTAGAGCTAGCCAGCAAATAGTGAAATGATCTTCCAGTGACTGCACAAAATATGGAATGCTTCAAAGAGTTGTGCTGCCTCCTTATGCAGAAGCCGTGCTAACTTTCTCTGTATTGTTCCAATTTTAGGATATGTGCCGCCAAAGCAGGCACAAAGCCCTACTTTTACACATGATTTGTGATGAGTCATGGGCAAGGCTTGGCTCTTGTCCATGACTCATCACTACTTACTTAACCCACGTGAGATTCTGAGAATTCTCTTCAATGGCTTCCTGTGAGGTACAATTTGAAAATATTTTAAAATCTTGAGCTAGAGATGGAAGTAGCTTGGACGATTTTCATTATCATGTAAATCAGATCACTCAAGGGGCCAACCACAGCTGGGAGCCACTGCTTGGGGAAGGCTCATATGGGACTTTCTACTGCCTAAGGTTCTACACAGGATATAAAGGTGCCTCACTGTGTAGATCTGGTAGCAAAGAAGAAGAAACAAACACTGATCTCTTTCTGCCACATTATTTGAACCCCTCTGACCCTTTATAACAAGCCCACCTCATATCTGCTAGAGAAAAGACCAACAACGGCCTGAAAGGATCTCTTACCATGAAGGTCTCAGCTAATTCTTAGCTAAGATGTGGGTTCCACATTAGGTTCTGAATACAGGAGGAAGGGTCAATTTGCTCACTTTGTGTGCGGATAAAGTCAGGATGCCCAGCGGCCAGAGCAGGGTGCTGGTGCTTTGGGAACAATGGCTGAGCATATAAGCATAGGTAAGGGAACTAAAAAATGTTGTAACTTCAAAGTCACTGTGTGAATCCCCATGAAGACTTGAGGGATCTGAATCAGTAAGGGCACCTTGGTGTCAAAGGTCAACAATTACCAGGCAGCAGAAGCAGTTTGAGTGGCAACAATGCAGCAACAGAAACAATGGAAACAACAGAATGATTGGAATGTCCTTTTTTCTCTCCTCCTTCTGACTTGATAAAAGGGACTGTCTTCCTTGGATTTAGTGAACCCCTTTGGTTCTTGAAAAATTCAAGGAGTATGTAGGAGACAGTCCCCAGAAGACAGTACAAGGCTTTCTGCTAAACTGGACATTTCAAGACCCAAATAACTAATCAGAAAAATCAAAGATGTGATACTCTTTTTTATGCCATGCATAGGTGTTATACTTGGATGAAATGAACAATATTGGGATCTCTAAGGATAAAGGTCTTAAAAGTCCTGAGGTAAAGAATCCTGCACCCATTGGTACTTCTAACTTGTCTTGCTTTTTGTCTGATTTCTGGCTGATGCAGGGGACTAACTCACTGCCACTCTAAAACTACCTGAACCAAACTATGACATCTCACCTGATATGTAAGATGCAATTGTTATAATTATTTTAAACCTCAATTTAGCATTAACTAGCCTTTTCATGTAAACACTTACACATGATGATGACTAGAAACAGCATACTCTCTGGCCGTCTGTCCAGATAGATCTTGAGAAGATACATCAACATTTTGCTCAAGTAGAAGATTGACTATACTTGCTGATCCACAACATACAGCAAGTATGAGGGCAGTTCTAAAATTACAGAGATAATTTCTCCTTTAGAAACTGTAATAAAGTTATTTTAAAAGCTAATTTGATATACTTTACCAATTTGACATCTTGCCTGTCCATGCAGAATCAAACATTTACATGCGCTAAAAGACATAAGCATCTTGGGTGCTCAAGAGTTCATCTTTGTAAAATACCACCAAGGTTAAAAGGAAGGGACAAAAAGGAAACCTCTTATCTCAGTGGGGTATTGCATAGCAGAAGCTACTAATTTAAAGTCCTTTGATGGGCAAGAAACAATGCTAGGGCCACTTATCTGAAGTGGACAAAGATTTAAGTGAAGATTTTGTCACAGCTTCCCTAGACTGATATGCTGTGATAGAAAATTAGCTAGGGGCTAAGATAAATAAGAGCTCTCTGCATGCTGAAAGCAGTAATATTAATAATAATGGTAAGAATAGTAGTCACAGGAGTTTCAGTTAATGATGCCAATAAGCATGTGCTACGCACTGAATTAAATGCCACATGTATCTTTCTTGCTTATGCACAGCCAACTTTGAAGGATATATTCTCCTACTTTTCACATATGACAACATATTGGGTGGTAAATCACGTTCCCAATGTCACACACGTAGCAAGTAAGAAAGTTAGGAATTAAACCCAGTCTTGTGTGAATCCAAAGCGTAGCTCTTTTCTCTTTGTCACCCACCTACAGCTTGCCTTCATTAAAGGAAAAGTGTATCCACTTAAAACTATCTTCACTCCCTCTCTCCATACCAACTAAAAATAAAAACATCAAAATACACTGGAAATAAAAAAGGAAAAAAGCTGTTGAACCCACAGTATGTGGGAATAGCAATTAATTGTCATGTAGGGATAAGCTAACATTAATATTCTTCAAAGAAAGCAACTTAAAGCAGAGTCATTGAAAAGACAAAAGGATTTTCAACTCCTATTTATGTTTAATACAGCATATTTAGTGGAAAAGCATATAAGATACAGAGGTTAAAACCTACTAGAAAGGGTTAAAAAGTTCAATACTGAGTCATAAAGTAAACTGAAAGTTAAAGTTCAAACTTCATAAAATTAATATGAAATCCCTTTAGCTAACATAAGATCATGTAACCAAAAACATCATACAACAAATAACATCAGTCAATATAATAAGAGAAGATGAATCCTACTAAAACAGTTCTTTATGTTGCCCAGTCCAAATAATTGCTTTTCTACTTAACTGATTTGTGTTGATACTGATCACTATGTCCCAATAAGTATAATTTGATCTTATTAATTTATTATTTATGACTTGAGTGACTGCTATCAATCTAGAACAACACACAGATTAAAAGAAATAACCATACCTTCCATATCTATCAAGTGCATTTAAATTAGCTTTTTTCTTGATTAAAAATTTCACCACTTGCTGTTTTTGTTCATGTACGCCAAGCAAAAGTGGTGTGAGGCCACACTGTAAAACAATATAAAACAAAAACAATATGTAATTCAAAAAATTATGTATCTCTCAACTGAACTGGAAGCTTATGGACTTACACTCACAGAAAGTAAATAAAATTTGGTCGCTTCCTTCTCACTCTTCTGTACTTTCCCACATGCCACTCCTTCCCTTGGAAACATCCCTTCTCTGCCTCACCACATTAAATCTGATCATCTCAAAAACTCACTTTAAACATTTACTGTTTCCAAGACTCTTTGTTTCTAAATGAGCATTTGGCATGGCACTTTTGGATGATTTTTTTTTTCATTTAAACAAAAAGCTTCTTGAGGGCAGGGGCTGTATCTTTTATCTCTATTATTATCCAATCCTAAGACAAAATTGTTGTGTATAAAGCAAGAATTTGAATGTAAAATATTTCTTTAGTTTCACATGTTTTACCAAAGTTCAAGCTCCAACATGCAATAAATATTGCTATTAATACTCACACTGCCCATTTCAAGAATTTTTTCCAACATTTATTCATTTAAAATCTATTTGTATTTAATTTTTCCAGATTGTTAACTAGATAGATAATCAGTTCATAGGATTACTGAAACTAAGAGATTTCCTATCTGTATTCTTAATAACTCCATGGTTTTGAGTGTTTAAACCTGCCATCCTGATTAAGCCAAAGCTCTACAAACTTAAGAGACATACTGGATAGCCCACAATATAGCTTCAATTGACAAAAAAGGTTTAGAATTTGCTACAATTCTGAGAAAACTCTGCTCTTAAAAACGACTTACTGACCTAAGCACTTGAATGATTGAACAAAGGGACACAAAGTCCTGAGAGAGCCATCCTCTACTTATTGGAAGACTACTCACTGCAAATTTCTAAAGACCTTCTGAATGGCAGTGAATAACTGATGGTAGAAAGGAAAAGGTATTATTCTGTAAGCTGATAGATAGTGCCAATAATATTTATTTTAATGTCCCAACGACAGAGATAAGTCAGACTAGGCCAGGAATGGTGGCTCACACCTGTAATCTTAGCATTTTGGGAGCCTGAGGTGGGTGATTCACTTGAGCCCAGGAGTTCAAGATCAGCCTGAGAAACATGGCAAAAACCTCATCTCTACTAAAAAAAAAAAAATACAAAAACAGATTGGAGGACCACCAGAGCTTAGGGACGTCAAGGCTGTGGTGATCTGTGACCGCACCACTGCACTCCAGCCTGGGGAACAGAGTGAGACCCCATCTCAAAAACAAACAAACAAAAATTTAGATTAATGTTATTGGAAAGGAAAGATTTAAAGGAATTAGCACATATCCAACTCCAACTCTTCTAGAAATATCTGAAGTTTCTGAGATATAAGAATTTACATATTACACTTCTGTATTCAG
Source organism: Homo sapiens (assembly GCF_000001405.40). NCBI lineage: Eukaryota > Metazoa > Chordata > Mammalia > Primates > Hominidae > Homo > Homo sapiens. The sequence continues at coordinate 1,104,422 of NW_021160017.1, forward strand.
TGGTTAAGCAGGAGTGTATCCGGATTTTGAGAAATTTGTTGTTGTTGTTGTTAGAGACAGGGTCTCATTATGTTGACCAGGCTAGAGTAGAACTCCTAAGCTCAGGCAATCCTCCCACCTCAGCCTCCCTAGCAGCTGGGACTACAGCCATGCACCACCATGCCTGGCTTCAAGGAAACATTTTTAAACATACATATCCAGGCTTTATTAGACTTACTCTATCAAAATCTTCAGGGGAAAACCTAGACCTGAAGATTATTTAAAAATTTTCCTGAGGTAACTGGAATGCACAACTCTAGCTGGAAGCTAGTGCAATAGACAATTATTTCAGTCTCATCTCTCATCACATAAACAATTCCCTTTATCATTTGAGGATTTGGCCAAAAAGAGGAAAGAGTAGGAGAGAGACTCATTTGCTGAAAACACCACAAAATTTTCCCTGGTAAGAGTAGAACAAGGTCTAGTAAACTCAAAATCCAACCTGATCTTTTTACTTATAAGCCCCTTATCTCCCACCTTCCCATCAAGACATTCTAGAATTGAAAGCAGAGTTGAGACTCTAATTGGCCATTTCTACCAGAATAGGATACTAAGTTGGTTAATTACTTGTTATTCCTTCTACTCAAGGGTTTCCCACTACATTACCACATATTCACTGCCAATCTGGTTCCTCAGAGGCCTCCTAAAATTGATCTCTAGGCAGTTTACAACCCACTAACTCCCTCTCCCAAACTGAAAACTGTCATTCTCTAAAATGGAAAAGAACCCTGTCTCACCATATAAAGGAAACAAATGAATGAACAACAATAACAACACACACACACACACACACACACACACACACACAAACAAAAACAAAAACAAAAAAAAAACCTCTTCATGGTCTTTTCCCCCATTACCTAATTTCCAAGTTGGCCTTGGTATTTCTGATTGCTGCATTTTTCCCTTTCCAATTCTGCCTCATGAGCAATCAGAAATATCTTAAGCCTTGCCACTGAGAGATACATCACCTCATATCTATTAGTGTTTTTTTAGGAATTTGCCAAAGTAGCAGGATTACTATTCACTGAAACATGTTTAAGTTTTCTTGGAGTTTTAATGTAAAACCTATTTCCAGGGCAAATTTTGTCATTTTACATTTGTTAGGGAAAAAAAAACTTGGCAGGGAAAAATTGAAAAAAAAAAAGTATTACCTTTTACAAATTCCGTGTTTTTTTTTTTTAAAAGCATTAACCACAAGTGCACTGAAAAAAACTGTACCCTCTAATGCTTCTTTAAAAGTAACAATATTTAAAATAAAGTCTTAGATAATTAAGTCATTTCAAAATATTTTCATTCAGGTTATGCTTGAGCTTCCAAATACGGAAAACTGGCCCTTACACAGGTCAATGTTAACACGAATGCATTTCAGTATTTTGAAGATAAAATTGGTAGATCTATACCTTGTTTTTTGATTCAATATCAGCACCATATAAGAGCAGTGCTTTGGCCATTAATTTATCTTCATTGTAGATAGCATAGTGTAGAGCGGTATTTCCATACTCATCTTGAATATTTCCATCAGCGCCATGTTCCAGCAACATTAACACACATTCATCTTCCTGGCATTGTACGGCCTGTCAGTATTAGACCAAAAACAAATTATAAGTCCTAGGAATTCAAAATAACATTCCACAGCTTTCACCAACTAGTTATATTTAAATGAGAAAACTCATTTTTATGCTATCTATTGAAATCAAACCCATCTCACGCTGATATAGTTGACTACTGCATACCTTTATCAGAGCTGTCCTTTTTTTGTTGTCAAGGACGTTAAGTTGACATCGTCTGTCCAGCAGGAGTTGTACTACTTCTGAATTTCCATTGGCAGAGGCCAAATGTAGAGCAGTCCTATGAGAGTGAGAAGACTTCAGGAAATTGTAGTGCACTAGCTAATGCCACATTAATGATTCATGTAGTTGCAAACACTGAATAGCCTATTACTCTGCCTTCAAAACAAACTCAATTTTCCTTTGAAGAAAGCACACTACTTATTACCTCTCATTAGTCACTGTATTAATGAAAGAGCAGCCTATTTGAATAGAAAGAGCATAGCTCTTGGATGACATTCAACTTGGGCTGGAATCCTACTTGAAGCTCTGTCGCTTCCTAGCTGTTGCTTAGCCTTTTTGTGTCTCAATTTCCTCATCAATAAAATGGGAATGAAAATAGTCAGTTTCTCAGAGGAAACCACTGTAATGCTTAAATAAGACTCTACACAAAATATAGAATAGTTCCTAACACAAATAACAGCTCAAAACTTGTAAGATATTATAATTTTTACTAATACCACTAAAGACAACATTTGAATTAAGTGAAACGATACAATTATACCTACACTTTCAGGTACATTTTAAAGATTACAGGTAGCGTTGTACTGTATTTTATTGAGTCTAAGATGATCATTGTCTCCATGTTTTAACATTTCTTACACTGAAATACCACTTATTAATTCATGATTTACTATAATTATAATTGGCAGCATTTAAATAATTTTCTTAGTGAGACATAAAATAATGGGGCATCATACAATCCCTGGTGCCTTACATTAAGTAGAATATGTTATAATATAACAGGTCTGGGGCAGTTCCAGTCAGATGACTAGCATTTAGATAAATTTTAGTTCTTAAAAGAACTATGGAATAAGAGGGCTGAGGTGAAAACAAAAACAATTTTCTAAAATAATCTATTTCTTACTTTGGTTTTCAAAAACTTTAAGCCAAAGAAATCTTGAAATTCAAATGAATAGCATGGGCTCATTTTTTTCAATACTTAGATTTATACAACGTATGTACATCAGATATTTCCAATCATTCATATTAGGATTTAAGACTGTTATAAATTTTCTCTTTTTAAAATGGATTTATGAAACTATTTGTGGAGCTTTTTTCAACTTTTACATTCGGGGATACAGGTGCAGGATGTGCAGGTTGGTTAACATAGGTAAACGTGTTCCAAGGGGGTTGGCTGTACAGATTATTTCATTACTCAGGTGTTAAGCCTAGTACCCGTTAGTTCTATTTCCTGCTTCTTTCCTTCCTCCCACCCTCCACCCTCTGATAGGCCCCAGTGTGTGTTGCTTCCCTCTAGGTGTCTGTGTGTTCTCCTCATTTAGCTCTCACCTATAAGTGAGACCATGCAGTATTTGGTTTTCTCTTCCTATGTTAGTTTGCTAAGGATAATGGCCTTCAACACCATCCATGTCCCTGCAAAGGACAGGCTCTTGTTCTTTCTTTTATGGCTACATAGTATTCCATGCTGTTTATGTACCACATTTAAGTTCTTAAAACAGCTAAAACAGTGTTTACCCAAGTCTTATACATTTTCAAAAGGGCAGTTAAGGGTTATCTTTTACTATTTTCCACCTTCAGAAGTGCTTTTGTTTGAAAGGAGGGAGGAAAAGCTTCAATTGAGATTAAGTCCTAATGCCCCAATTTTGATTCTCTCAGCTTGCTCAGGCGCAGCAGGTAAACATGAAGTTTTCAAAGGTGGAAGGATCCTGAGAGATAGCAGAATATGCCTGCCATATAATAGGTGTCTGGCTTATGTTTGATGACTAAACGGATTGAAAGAATGGATAAACATAGGTTGGAAGTTCAATATTTTTAAAAGAAAACTCCTGTTGAGTAGAGCAATACATTTGCGATAGTAACGATCATTTATATTTGCTATTTTAGTTTTCATAAATATATAACTAAACTAAAATAATTAATCCATACTATTTACACATCAATCTATATATAATAAGATGTATACACAATAAAATCTACCAGAAGAGGTAAACAGAAGCCCTCTACTTCTGAAGAGGGTAAAAGTTCACAGAAGATAGCCATCCACAGGTATAAAAATAAATAATAGAATGTAAGAAATTATTTGTATCTATGCAAGTAGCATATTCCTTCTCTTCCCAAGGATTATTTCATTACTAATGAAACTTAACTAAAACTTTGCAGATGTTCATTGCAGAAATCACAGATAAGAGAAAGGGAAAAACTTCACTTACAAATCCCCAGAAATAAGTTTGATTATATTTTCCACATATTTCCAGCTAACACAAGAGCAGATTCTATTTGTGTATATGTATAACAAACTGATTTTTTCTCACTTGATACAGCAAAGTACATCTCTGCATGCCGACATATCTCTGTATCTACTGACACCCTCAATGGTTACATATTATTCCATCCTATGGATGCACTGAAATTTGTTCATAAAATCTTTATATGAGTTCTTCTCAATACATGGCTATTTTAAGCAATACTAAGAAAAACAGCTGTGTCTGTTTCATATAGATATTTCGGTATAATGGAACAGATGGGTAAAAGGCATACACATTTTAAAAATGTGGTTCTTACCATCAAAGTGTCTATTTGAAAAGTCGCAGCAACTTAAACTTTCAGCAGGTATATAAGTACCACTGTTCTTCACCCTCACAAACTTTGTGGACACAAAACAGTATTTCATTCCTTTATATTTATTTATTTATTTTTATTTATTTATTTTTTTGAGATGGAGTCTCACTCCATCACCCAGGCTGGAGTGTAGTGGTGCAATCTCAGCTCACTGCAACCTCCATCTCCCTGGTTCAAGCAATTCTCCTGCCTCAGCCTCCTGAGTAGCTAGGATTACAGGTGCATGCCACCATGCCCAGCTAATTCTTTGTATTTTTAGTAGAAATGGGTTTCACCATGCTGGCCAGGCTAGTATCAAACTCCTGACCTCGTGATCCACCTGCCTTGGCCTCCCAAAGTGCTGGGATTACAGGCATGAGCCACCATGGCTGGCCTTTCATTCCTCTTCTAACTTAAACAGAAAATAGTCTTTCATTCCTCTTCTAACTTAAATTCCTTCTCTTAGCAGGAATGCTATGTTTTCCTATGTACACAGGTCACTGGTAGACATGCAAAAAAGTACCTTGCCCAATTTTAAATTGAGCTTATTTTATTATATCTGCATATATATGCCGGTTTCAGTGGCTCATGACTGTAATCTCAGCACTTTGGGAGGCTGAGGTGGGTGGATCACAAGGACAGGAGTTCAAGACCAGCCTGGCAAAGATGGTGAAATCCCGTCTTGATTAAGAACACAAAAAATTAGCCAGGCATGGTGGTGGGTGCCTGTAATCCCAGCTACTTGGTAGGCTGAGGCAAAGAATTACTTGAACCAGGAACCAGAGGTTGTAGTGAGCTGATATTGCACCACTGCACTCCAGCCTGGGCTATGGAGTGAGAGTCTGTCTCAGAAAAATAAATAAATATTTGCACATATAAATAGGCATTTGTGTTTTCTTCTGGTACTTTTCTCCTTTTGTATCTTTAAAATTTTTAATCTATACTCCAGGAACTTATTTTTGTGACATAAAAATCTAGGTAGTTTTCTCCAAACAGCATGCATTTAATTTATGAATAATTCACCTTGTTTTACCAATATGAAACATCACCATTATCAAGTGCTAAATTCTTACATATATTTGGGTATTTCTGGATTTCCTATTCTGTTCTGTTCACTTATGTCTTTTCAGCTGTTAGTAAACAATTTGTGGAAATAACACACGCACATTTTGATATCTGGAAAAGCAAGTCTTTTTCCATTCTGTTACAAAAAATCAATTTATCACAATGATAAAATACATCATGTGCAATTTAAAGACACTAAGACTTTGCTATTTTTATTTGGCTTATGTAAAAGTGATAAACACAGAAAAAGCTCACATCTTAAGAAAAACGAACCTTCCTATTCAAAGATATGAACCATACTTCCCATTTCAGTTTCCTTTTAAGGTTACTCAGTAAAGAACGTGTTTACATAGGGTACACATCGATATAAAATCCATATTGGATTTTATTTGAAAAATATTTAGCCCAGAAGTTGATATATTATGGGACTTAGTTCTCAATATACACCTTTCTATAGTGTATAGAACATTGTTTTAAAATGTGTACATTAAAAATAATCTGCTGCATCGACTTAATTTTGCGAGTTAAATCACTTTAAAACCGTCTATTAGTGTTCTATAAGGGAAATTATAATTGGATTGGAAATCAGCTAAAGTTTTGTTTTTGTGTTGCTGTTTATAAAGGGACCTGGGCCCTGACATCTCTGAGGTTTCCACACCCAGGGTGGTGTGGGGCCTGCGGAGGAAGAGAAAGCCTGGCTCCTCCCTCCCTGCGCCAGGAGGGTATGTCCCCATCATCCCCCCATGTCCCGCCTCCTCCCATCCCAGGCCCGGTTACCTCTTTTGCTTGTCCCTCTTGTTCATGTCAGTGTCCCTGAGCATGACGATGAGATCCTTTCTGGGGACTTTACCCCACCAGGCAGCTCTGTGGAGCTTGTCCAGATCTTCTCGACGGACGTGGTACCTCGGCTCCATGAAGGCGCTGTCGTCGTAGTCTCCCCAAGTGCCCACGTTGCTCTTGCCGCTCCCCCTGCAGCAGGGGAAGCAGTGACAGCACCACTTGCCCATCTTGCTCCTGAGTGTCTTCATAAAGGAGTTGTCATGGTCTCCAGAAGTGCCCACATTGCTCGTGCCGCTCCCCCTGCAGCAGGGGAAGCAGTGGTGGCAACACTTGCCCATCTTGCTCCTGAGCGTCTTCATAAAGGAGTCGTCGTGGTCTCCAGAAGTGCCCATGTTGCTCTTGCCGCTCCCCCTGCAGCAGGGGAAGCGGTGGTGGCACCACTTGCCCATCTTGCTCCTGAGATCAAATGGCTTCTTCACAGCAGAGGCAGCGGGCATTGAACAAACCTCAGCCACCATCTGCTTTTAACAGCCAGGGGAGGCCGGTAGTAGCGAACAGATCGCGTCTACCAACCAGTTTCACCAACTAGCAGGAAACCCTGGGTTTCCAATCTGTTTGAAGAGAAAGGTCAATCCCAGCCAAAACTTGCCAAGCCCAGCAAGGGAGCCCAGCCCACCCCACCCAGGGAAAACCCACACCCACCCGGGGAAAGCCCACGCCCACCAGGGGGACCCCACGCCCACCCCAGGAAAGGCCAAGCCCCCCCTCCCAAGGAAACACCCAGCCCAGTCAAGGGAATGCCAAACCCAGCAGAGAAAAGGTCAAGTCCAGCAAAGGAATGCGAGGGAGGAAACGCCAATCCAAGCAAGAAACACCAGGCAAAGCTACTAACAGCCAAGCCAAGCTAGGAACGCAAGGCCAAGCGAGGAACGCGAAGCGAAGTGTACCCGTTACAGGTAAGCCAAGCCGTTATGCGCGTGCGGGGCGCGCGTGCGGGGCGCGCGCCTCAGACGTTATGCGGCGTGTGCGTGAGGCGTGCGCGTGTCATTGCACGTGGTCCAGGAAGTGGCCGATGTGTGCAATCCGCGTGCGCAAGTCTTGGCGCCACAAATGTCAGTGACAGCCTTGCGTTACTGGCAAAGTTCATGGGAGTTGGCCCAGCTTTCTGGCCACTGAGGAGAGAAGCCTGTGGTGGGAAAAAGCCTCTTGAAGCAGGACTGGGGCTAGAGCGCCTGGAACTCGAGGATGCTGACAGCCTCCTCTGAAGAAAGCCCCCAAGACACTAGTGGTGGCGCTGTTGCGGGTGGCCGCCGCTGCAGCTTAGAGCTCTGGTTGGCGGAGCTGGATGCAAATGGCCTCAAAATCTCCGAGCACAAGACGCCCACGGAGCCCAGGGCCTGCCTGAGGCGCCTTCCACACCTGCTCCTCCTTGGTCCGCACCCAGAACACAGGGCCATCAGCAACGGGGCACTCGGGGCCACAGAATCGGGGCTGGGCTGCTAGCTCCTGCTGTGGTGCCCCCTGCCTGGTGTCCAAACCAGGGCCAACAGCTGTGGGGCTTCTGGCCCGGGGTGCTTCGCTTCACTGGCATGCAGTAGGGTTGAGGTGCAGGCCGCTGTCTCCAGGCCTGCAAGAGGGGGCTGGGAGGAGCACCTACCACTGATGGGGAGATGCAGGAAGGCACCCCCACGTGCAGATCCTGGGAACAGGACACTGCCAGCACCAGGGAGCCAGATCGGAGCCTCCCTGGCAGCCTGTGAGCTGGACCCAGGCAGTGGCACCTCTACCCTCCTGCTGGGACCCTCCTGCTGTGCAGGCTTATGCAGCCAGGCTCCAGGCTGCTTCACCCATACTGCAGGTGCTTTGGTGTGGGAGGAAAAATGCATTCTGGCCGGGCACTGTGGCTCACGCGTGTAATCCCAGCACTTTGGGAGGCTGAGGCGGGCGGATCATAAGGTCAGGAGATAAAGACCATCCTGGCTAACACGGTGAAACCTCATCTCTACTAAAAATACAAAATACTAGCGGGCATGGTGGTGGGCGCCTGTAGTCCCAGCTACTCGGGAGGCAGGAGAATGGCGTGAACCTGGGAGGCGGAGCTTGCAGTGAGCCCGAGATCGCATCACTGCAACCTGGGTGACAAAGCAAGACTCTGTCAAAAAAAGAAAGAGAGAGAGAGAGAGACAGAGACAAAGACAGAGACGGAGACAGAGAGACAGACGGAGAGAGAGAAAAATGGATTCTAAGCCTGGGACACCGACCTGCTCTTGCCAACAAAAGCAGAGGGGAAGCCAATTGCAAGTGCAAAAAAAAAGTTTTTATTTCAGTGGGATGAATGTCTAGGTGTGCAGTCACTGGAGTAAACGTCACTGGGACATGCTGTGTAATTCTTTGTGTACATTGCTGAGTTCTACTGCTAATGTTAGCCCATTGCATTCATGAAACTGGTAATTTATGACATCCCTTTTTTCTTTATCATTATTAGTTAAGGTTTGTCAATTTTATAGATATTTTCAAAGAACCAGCTTTATTTCTTTGCTTTTCTTTGTTGTTTTCTTTTGGCTGTTTCATTTATTTCTGCTCTTATCCTTATTATATTCTTTCTTATATTTGTTTTGATTTTATTTTGCTACTATTTTCTACTTTCTTGATGTGATAGCTTGAATTTTTATTTGAGAGATTTCTACTTTTCTATTATATATATTTAGTGAAATACATTTTCCTCTCAGCACTGACGTCAACTGTGTTAAATCAAGTTTGATATGTTGTATTTTTATTTTTATTCAGTTTAATATATTTAATTGTTTCCCTTGAGACGTTCTCCTTAGAAGTGTGCTTGCTGTTTAGCACTATTCACAATAGCAAAGACATGGAATCAACCTAAATGCCCATTGGTAATAGACTGGATGAAGAAAATGCAGTACCCATACAACATGGAATACTATGCACCCATAAAAATGAAGGAGATCATGTCCATTGCAGGGACATGGATGGAACAGGAAGCCATTATCCTCAGGAAACTAATGCAGAAACAGAAAGCCAAACATCTAATGTTCTCACTTATAAGTAGGAGCTGAACAATGAGAACACATGGACACAGGGAAGTAAGCAACACACACTGGGGCCTGTGGATGGGGGAGGGAGAGGAAGAGCATTGGGAAAAATCTCTAATGCATGCTGGGCTTAAACCGAGGTGATGGGTTGATAGGTAGGGAAAACCACCATGGCACAAATTTACCTATGTAACAAACCTGCACATCCTTCACACCTACCCCAGAACTTAAAATAAATAAAAATGTAAAAAAAAGAACTAAAAAAGTATGCTGTTTATTTTTCAAGTATTTAAGATTCTGCTGTTATTTTACTTTTATATTTTTAATTTGATGCCATTTTGGCTGGAGGATACATTCTACAGGATTTCAGTTTTTAAAAAATTCTTAATGTTTGTTAAAATCCAGGATACAGTCCATTTTGGTTTATGTTCTGTGGGTACCTAAATGTTCTGCTGTATTCTGCTGCTAGGGGGTGGAGCCTGTTTTTTTCTTCTTTTTTTTATCTCCAGGTACAATTTGCCCTATGAGACACCTGATATAGTAAGTAGCCCATCAGGTATCCAGCAGTAAAAACTAAATTAGTGGAAGGAAGTCCTGTCCCAACTGGTTTGACATATTGTGGCTGAATTTTTAGGTTTTAGTGAAAATAATAATGATGGCTTGATCTTCAAAGTTGTTTTTTTTTTTTTTTACCATTTCCCAAATAGCTGGGGATTATTGTGGTGTAACCACTTAAAACTCTGATGAAATGTGGAAAGAATTTCTTTTTCTAATTGATACTTTGTGAGTGCAACTACTTTGCATTGTGCAGAGAGAAAAAAATATATTCCAGGCATTCGCCAAATCAAAAGTGCATGAACAAGTCCCTAAATTTCTTCCTGTCCTCAGATTTCCACCATAAAGTTTCAGACCAAATAAAAAATTGTTTTTTCACTAATTTTCTTTGAGGAAATGTAAGAGAAAAAAAAGAAAGAAACAAGTGTTTTGAAGGGTAGAATTTTGGCAATTATATGAGATTGTAAAATCCGAATGTGGATTAGCTTCAACTCATCAAAGATTCAAGAACAGCTACAGTTCTAAGAATGAGCCAAAAAAAAATGGGTATGCATTGAGGGGAGGGAATTAGGAAGGGAATTTATAGCCATTCAGACATTTCCCAACATTAAGCCTTCATGAATTTTGCATTGGAAAGAAATATTTATAAATTAAGAAACTCAGTATCCAGTCCACCCTGTGATAAATACTGCAATGTGCCCAAGCATTCCAATTTGAGTATGGCTTTGTGCTTTGCCAATCATAACAATGGGAGATAGAAGTAATAAGAGCCTGCATGAAGCACTGTGCTAATGATAATTTTCCCAGTAAGAACAAAAGAGAGGCCATTACTTTTAAACATCATTGAATATAATCAAACACTGGGTAGGCTTGTCTGTATTTAGATTTTATAACTCTACGGTTATAGCTATAAAGTAAAAAAGACATATTATAAAATTTCTGTCATTAAGAAAAGTATTTATTATTACAAATGTGAATTTCTCTAGACGGTAAATTCTTTGGAATTAGTTGACTTCATGTAAGTTGATTTGTTCAGTAACACAGAGTAGACTTCTTGTAAATAGGAACAAGTGTGCATCTGATCAAGATCCACTATTTTCTTATATGTATATCCCTTTTCTGCCTTCCCTCAGAATACTATCTTTCACAAAACAACACACATCTCTTCCACCAACTTCTCCCCAGAATATTGCATATTCGATCAGTGTCCACAAATGTTAGATACAGAATGTTAAATTACTATTAGGTTCGCACAAATGTAGTTGTGATTAATGGCAAAAATCGCAATTATTTTTGCACCAACCTAATAGTAACATTGAAACACAATATTAGTTATTCAACATCAGAAAGATCTTCCAGAACAGTCATCACCACAGATGGGCCAAACTATTATTTGTAGGGCACTGCAGTAAGTTAGAATTTTATCAAATTCATAAATTAATGGATATTTTGTTAAGGGATATGAACAGCCTGTAGTATAAATTTGAGCTATACATTGTTGGGAGAACAAAATAATAAAACGATATAATAGTAGCAATCAAGTGGTGACCTTTCTGTCACACTTACAATTTTCAATGCACTTGTCTACTTATTATTTCATGTGTGGATGGGTTAGCTGAGTGGCGGGGCCATCAGATGTCATATATACAGATGACTCCCTTCTGTACACCATTCTGCCATTAGTTGATGTATATTTTACTTTTGCTTTTCCCTTCCCATTTCACTACTAGATAAAAATCCTAATCTTGAGTTCTAAATCACACCTAGTTTTACTCATGTGTAGTTGTACCTGACAAAGAATTACACTACATAAATTCCATCCATTAGAGGTGTGGCCGAATGGACAGAAAACCATTAACATTGATTACTTCAGTGCATGTGGGATTGCAAATGCAGATGAGAAGGAGAAGATTTTTATTTTTTCTTTATATAAGTTTACATTATGTATTCTAATGCAAGGCTCAAGTATCATTTATAGTGAAACATTAAAATGTTCTTAAAAGTTCATGTCCTTAATGTTCTGTAAAGGAAGCATAAACTCATTTATTGCAACAAATGCAACAATTTATTTCATTCCTCAGATTATTGATCCTGATATAAATAAAACTGTTCAGAACTTGCACAGAGATATTTAAACGAACAAAGAAACAAAAAATCTAGGGAAGAAGTGAAGAAAAGAATGCTTTTTAAATTACTTAATCATTGTTGATGGACTGACAACATCCAACTTACATCTCCTGAATTAAACCTGATATTTTCTTGGAGAGTAGTGAGGAGTAGTTGAGGGTAGATAGGAAAGAGAGTGTATTTTGAGAAATGTAAAATTTAGAGAAGCTTAATTTAAACACTCCCTGTGTGTCAAAGAGCTATTAAATAAAATTTTCATGATTTTAATATAAGTGAATCTGAACTAGCATATGGTCTAAGTTTCTTTTAAGTTGCACATGGATTTAAAATATAGGGGAAAAAGATCACTTGGCAAATATGTTTTTGGTTTTGAAAAACTTCCAAATGTTTAAAAAGTACTTTTCAAATCAACCATACCCATATGCATCCAGGTTTTCTCATCCTCACCAGTGAAGGATAAAAAGAAATAGAATTAAGGCAAAATGGATGGAGAGGTGATACATATGCTGTAAAACTATGTCAGAAATATCAGTTGATTCTTTAGGGAATTGGTTAAAAAAATAAATTTAGTCCTTATGACAATTTAACCCAAAGAATCTAACACTTATTCTTAGTGGCTTAGGATCATGGATGATATTAATCTGTCACAAGATGATTCTATGACTATTTCCAGAAGTGGAAAAGTGCAGAAATAGAAAATGCATATGATATTGCTATTTTATTTTGTTCCAAGTCTTGTTACTATTGGTGGAAAACAGTTTTCCAAAGGAATGAACATTTAGATAAATTATGGCATGAAGAATCATTTTCAATCCTTTATGCATAGATGCATTGATAATAACTGAACATCTTTGGCATCTGGCTTCCAGATACAGTGACGATTCCTTCAAGACATCTAGAAATTAAATAGATGTGCGTGAACACTTTAAAAAATGTAAATACATTAAATGTCAGTTATTTTGAAATAAGTTATTTTTTTAAACAGGAAGCATTTTTAATTAAAAATTAGAAAATAGCTATATTTGGACAATTAGTTACTCAATGTTTTTTCCAAATAACAGATGAAATATACTTTGATGTTTTTTGTTTTAAATAAATGCAAATATATGGATGCAAAACAAATCAAACATTGCTACAAATGAAATATATGTGCTGTCAGTAATTCTCAAACATTGAATAATATTCAGTGAACTTCAACACATACCTTTGGTGGCCCGTTAAAATTCATTATAATGAATTTTGAATTAGATTCCAAAATGAACACACTATTTTCTTAGCTTTTAGCGTCTGTCGTTTTTTTCTATATTCATTTTTCTTTTTTTTTTTTGACTGAGGTGGCGTCTCACTCTGTCACCCAGGCTGGAGTGCAGTAGCGCAATCTCGGCTTACTGCAAGCACCGCCTCCCAGGTTCAAGAGATTCTCTTACCTGAGCTTCTCAAGTAGCTGGTTACAGGTGCGTGCCACCACACCCAGCTAATTTTTGTATTGTTGGTAGAGATGAGGTTTCACCATGTTGGCCAGGCTGGTCTCGAACTCCCGACCTCAGGCGATCCACCCACCTTGGCCTCCCAGAGTGCTGGGATTACAGGCGTGAGCCACTGCACCTGGCTGGTTTTTTTTTTCTATTTTCATTACTAAGACTAAACAATAGTTATGTGACTGAATACAGCTGATCATTTTACCAACTCCTTTCAGCAAATTCATTTTGTCATTTTAATTAAGTTCAAATTTAAGAAGTGAATAAATATAGATACTATAGCACATATATTTCCCAAAACATAATATAATATGTGTGTGTGTGTGTGTGTGTGTGTGTGTGTGTGTGTGTGTGTGTGTGTGCATTTGGGAAATAAAAGAGTATTATATTTTACTCAAACAACATCAAACATGCAGTCAAGTAAGTTTGATGAAGAAGATAATATTTTAGCCTAAGAATGAGAATTCTGTAAGACAATGTGTTACTTTATAGTATCAGTTATGTGACCCTTCCACACTGATATTTTGGGTGCAATTGCACCCTCTTTGCCATATACTCTTGGGAGAATAGAAGGTTCTTCACATTTTTCCATTCATTGTAACTTCTCCTGTAGGACAGCCCACAGATACATTTCCTAGACTATATTAAGGAAACAAAAGCAAACAAATATGAGAAAATAATAAAGGTAAGTGTCTGGGAGGGTGAGAAATCAAATTCAGTGGGGTTTAAACTATATCTCATACAAGTGTCCCAAAGTTGTGCTTTTGGAGAAATTCACCTTGGATAGAGACATGGTCAAGTGACCATGTCTCTTTACCTTTACCTTTTTTAAAAAACAATACATAGCTGTATCCTTGGAAGAGAGGCAAGGAGTGCTGTAGGGTGACTATCTTTGATTTCTGTTGTGGTTCAGAGGAAGTGTAACTTTCTTAAAAGATACCTTGACTTTTGTCACATTTAGCTATTCGTTCCTTTTTATTTAGGAAAAAAAGGCTGAGCCTGCTGTGGCTTGGGCTCTTATTATCTTTTCTTGGGCTTCTTGGATCTCATAAATGATAACTCTACTTTTATTGTTGCCTTCTCCAAAGGAACCTGAATACCAGCATCACCTTCATTTACCCTAAAGCATGATTCTCTGCCTAAGAAAACCCCTATGGTTGACATTTACATTTACTTTATACCTCTCTTAATCTTTTGAGGAATGCCTCTCTACCTATTCTGCATGGTAAAGTTCTAATTAATTACAACTATGAAACAGATATTTCCTTCTTTTCTTATGTTTCAGATATTGAATTACTTTATTATTGCCAAGCACAATCTGCTTTGCTAAATTATTCAGTATAAGCTTGCTTCTTCCATTAGACTTTGGAATTCCTGAGATAAGAAATTACGCTTTATTCTGAAAGTGTGCTTAAATCAATGGAAAGTTGGTTTGTCCAAACTGGATATAGAGGAATAGAGTTATTCTGTACACAGCCACTTTTAGTTGCAAGAGCAGCTAGAAATAGGAGTTATGCTACCTTTTCAAAGACATGTCCTCAGCCAGGTGCAGTGGCTAGTGCCTGTAATCCCAGCAATTTGGGAGGCTGAGGCGGGTGGATCATGAGGTCAGGAGATCGAGACCATCCTGGCTAACACGGTGAAACCCAACTCTACTAAAAATAAAAATAAAAATAAAAATAAAAATAAAATAAAATAAAATAAAATAAATTAGCTGGGCATGGTGGTGAGTGCCTGTAGTCCCAGCTACTGGGGAGGCTGAGGGGGAGAATGGCTTGAACTCAGCAGGCGGAGCTTGCAGTGAGCCGAGATCGCACCACTGCACTCCAGCCTGGGTGACAGAGCAAGACTCTTTCTCAAAAATAAATAAATAAATAAATAAACAAAATAAAGGTAGGCTATACTAAGTTAAAGATGCTGGCTGTAACCCTAGAGCCATCACAAAATAAAATAAGGTAAAATACAGATACAGTAAATAAGCCACTAGTGAAGACAAAATAGATACAATGAAATTAGAAAAAAATTAAAATCCTTTAAAAAGCCCCATTTGCCTCGATTTTCCTAATTACACAAAGGAGGCAAAGTGTGAAAAAGGATAGATCACGTTCCTCTAAGGACCCATGTCAGGTATCTGTGGAATGCAGGCGGTGCAGGAGGGTGGGAATGGGTGGGTGCCCAGCGTTGCTAAAGCTATGGAGTGTCTTCCCATTTTTAAAGAAATCCAGAAGTGCAGATCTATTCATTCAACCATTCATTGATGTAAAATCTGGTTTCTAAGGTGTTCAGTTTGATGACTAATATATGTATATTTTGCCATCAAAATCAAACTCATTCACATTCCCATCATCTCGCAGAGCTGCCCTCTTTCATGTGTGTGGTGAGAACAATAAGATCTACCTCCTCAGCAAATGTCAAGTATACATCGCAGTGTTGTTAGCTATATTCACAATGTTGAACAGTAGATCTCCAGAACTTATTCATCTTGCATAACTGAAATTTTATACCCTTTGACCAACATCTGCCCATCTCTCCTTCCCCCAGCCCCTGGCAACCACTCTATACCCAGCAATCCCATTTCTTTGGGGATATAGCCAAAGGAAATAAAATCAATATCTGGAAAAGATACCTGCACTGTTATGTCCATTTGGGCATTTTTAACAATAGCCAAGTAATAGAAACAACCTAAATGTCTGTCAATGGATAAATGGATAAAGAAATGAAAAAAAATACACACACACACACACACACACACACACAGTGGGATATTATTTAGCATTAATGAATAAAAAAAATCCTGCCATTTTTGACAGCATGGATGGACTTGGAGAACATGCTTGGTGAAATAAGCCAAGCACAGAAAGACGAATAACACATTGTCTCACTTATAGGATGACACTGCATTCACGTTTCAGCCACCTCTGCCACACCCACCCATGCAAACACACCCACCCATCTCAGTTCCTGCCCCTGACTGGGGGACAGGGTGGGCGCTCTCTGGCACATGTTCCACTCATGCTTCTCCACCTCCAGCTATTTTAGGCTCTGACACTGAAAATGAAATTCTTACCAAGACGATATGTGTTGTGTTGACATAAAACTGATAGAAAGTGTACCAAAAAACATGGAAGTTTTAAACATAATCCACCAAAAGAACATACTCACAGTCGACGTTTCTTTCATTATTAAGAATGAATGTCCATAACCCTCACTAAGACAAAAGTCATCCCATTTGTCTACATCTTTTTTCTTTGCAAACACACACTGAATGACTTTGTGTGACAAGCTGTGAAGTTTTACCAATTCTTCAAACTCTTTGATTTGCATTATGCTGTTTAATCCTGAGAGGCGAGCAGCTGTCGCTGGTAATTCTAAGCCTAGAATTCCACCACCTAATAGGTGAAAATTATAGTAGGCTGATCATAAAACCATGTTGTTAACTTTTTAAAATTTAATGACTACCAAGGAATTTCACCTTAATGATACATCTTTTGAGAGATTAGAAAATGAAGAAATGCACGTGTTCAATGATCCATTTTAGAATTTAAAAAGTCTTTCAAATGAGCATCTTATTCATATATTGTGAAGAACCACTGGAAACAGTTATTTAATAATGTGGCTAAACGCGTATTCAGAGTAATGCTTCCTGTATATTTGCACATTTATACACTTATGTCCTGCTCCTGGAATAGACTTACCAGTTTCCTTTTCAGAAAATTTCAGAATTTCTGGAATGTGCCGAAGTACTAGTGGGTAACTTAGATTTGGAATACACTGTATTAGGTGTAACTGGAAAACTGAGAGGCTTCCTACACTGGAAGGTCAAAGATCTTTCCTGGAGGAGAGTTAAGAATTTGCCTTTTCTTACCATGACTCTGTTAAAAGAGAATATAAACAATGCAGTTTCACAAAAGGAAGGGGACAGTGGTGTAAATAAACCTCCCCATCATGTTCTGGTGGCTTTCCTGTAAGTCTTGAACGTTTTCCACTGGGTGTTACAGTCGAGAGGCCCCCACCTCCTGAGGAAGCAAGACCCCGAAACCCCGAGACGATGGGCTGTGCTGCTTTGGCCCCATCTTGCTTGTGTTGTTTGAAGAGGCCCTGCTGCCACCCAGCTGTCATTAACGCCACCCTCACCTCCCAGGAACTGCATCACTCGGACGGACAAGACACCTATGTAATGACCATAGTAAGACCCCATGTGCGTGGCTAATGAGGCAGTGCCCAACGTGGCGTGGAAGCCCTGCTAGGGAAATCCCGCCCCCCCACCCCAGATGCGCCACCCCAGACCTGCTCTCGGACCTGCGGCCCCTGGCCCCTGGCCCTTTCCCGTTGTCACCGAGGCTTCTTGCTAAGAAATGGAACTTCAGAAAACCCCCAAATATATACTGCATTAGGTAAGGGTTTCATTCTAATGGAGTCCCATGTGACCCTGGCTTTCCGTCCGGCAGCAATGCACTCCTGTCTATGAATGAGATGAAAAGAGTGCCCACAACAAGCCAATTTCTTTCAGGAGCGACTAAGACATGCGCATGTCCGGGGGTGCCTCAGAGCACCCGGGAGGGACCCAGGCCTGGGCAGGGAGGGGGGGCCGGCCCTAGGGGAGCAAAGCTCTTGAAACTGGCCTCTGTTGCCGGGCTCCTGACCCTGCCCTCCCATCCCTGCACTACAAGAGGACAGCGGCGACTACAGGAGGCGCCGAAGACGCTGCTGAAGGCCCTAAAGAAACTTCAGCAGAACCGGAACTCCCCTTGCAGGTCCAGCCGCGGGCCCTGCGCCCTCCCGCTCAGCCGAGCGGGGCCGAGGGCGCGTTTGCTGAGTGTCTGGTGGCCTCTACCCAAGCGCCTCTTCAGAGGGCTGTTCCTGCGGCCCAGAGACTGCTTGAGGCGCTCGGGGAAGGAAAAGCAGGCGCTGGTGCGCCGGGGGCTCTGCTGGGGACGGCGCGGAGCTGACTGAAGGGCCGCTGCGGTAGCGCAGGGCGCAGGAGCTGCTCCGCCCCGGAGCGCCGGGAAGGTTGGCGCTGGCAGCCTCCAGCCCCTGCCAGCCGGGCGAGAGCAGGCGGAGAAGGAGGATGCACCGTCACCTATGGCTCGCCTCCACCGGCCGGCACGCAAGGTGAGCTCTGCGTGCGCCCGGCGGGACAGTGAGGTAAAAGGGCGGGAGCGCGGGAGAGGACTCGTGGCCCCGGCTCAGCCCGCACCCCTCTCCTCTGGGATCCCGAATCGCGGGCTGCGTGGTGGGCCAGGAGAGGTGCAGAGCAGGCGGGGCGCCGCGGCCAGTCCGGAGCGCAAACTTTCCCTGGCGACTGCAGCGCTGAATCTGGGCGCAGGAGAGCGCGGGGTCCGGGCTGCTCAGCCCTGCCCGGCGGGGTACCTGGGCACAGCGCACATGGGTCAGCCGGTAGGAACTGCGGGATGGGGGACACCCAGCGCCACCGTCGGGAGCCGTAGGAGCGAGATGGACCACCTGGAAGGCCCGGGTCAGCCCTTGGGCTCTGAGGCACGCGGCGTCCCGGCGCTGGTGGCAGGGTGGACTCGGATCCCGCGAGGGTGTCGCGCTAGTCGCGGGGGCTGCTTGAGGCCGGGGGACTTCGAGCTGCCGCTGCACCACTCGCTCCCAGCCCAGGAGGAAGGCGCCGGCTGGCGTTGCGCTCTGCTCGGACTCAGGGCAGGAGCCGGGGAGGTCTGCAAAAGCCGGGAGCGAGCCGGGGAGGGCCCGCGAACTGGAGAGGCTCGGCGCGCCGCTGCGGACGCGGCGGATGGCCGACCACGGGTGCCAGGGGAGGCCCAGGCTGCGGCGCCGCAGGGCAGCCCCCGCGCCCACCTGCCCCTGCGCGCCGGCCCTGGCGAGCCTCTGTGGAGGTCAGGGGACCGTAGCCTCTCCTGGGGTTCCTGCCTAGCGACTGAGGGGCGGCAGGAGGCGCAGCTCCGGTTTCCCGCATGCAGCGCCGCGTGCTCGCCGCCTGGTTTTGTCCGGGTCAGGCAGACCAGCCCCAGGACGCGCCCAGCCGACCCACGCATGGCAACCTGCCCTTCTTGGCAGGAGTCGCAGAGGGCTTTGGCTTCTGAGGTGGAAGTACCTGTTATGTCTCCTAATTCCGGAGTTTGCGGGGGTTTGGGCTGGCGGGGGGCTCATTGGGAAAATGCTTTTCAAAGCATTCTGTTTGGCTGCCGTGAGCACCTATTTGCCTTATGTGCATATTGAGAAATGTGTGCTTCTACTAAGGTTAGTCGCTGAGCCCAGGGACAGTGTAGGCCTGGATTTCAAATGCATTAATTAGGGTCCAGCACCCAGCCTAGAGACTTCCACAAATGCAGTAGTTATTTAGTCACGGGGACTGAATGCGGAGAAAGTAGCCACACCGTTATAGGCAATTGTTATACCCTTGTGATCCTGCAGAAAACCTGTTTCTTAAATGTGCTTCCCCCCTCTTTCTTTCTATGTACTTTCAGTGCCTTGCAGAACTAGGAGTAGCGTGCTGACTTTGAACACGTGGTAGATATTTCAGAAAGGTAAAATTGTTAGGCTTGTGGATTTGACAGATACAAAATACAGTTGCTCAGACAACTAAAGCATTTATTTTAATAATTGGACTAATGTTTCATTTGATAACATACTAAAAAATAAAACAGGTTGGGCGCAGTGCTCACGCCTGTAATCCCAGCACTTTGGGAGGCCAAGGCGGCGGATTACGAGATCAAGAGATCGAGACCATCCTGGCCAACATGTTGAAACCCCATCTCTACTAAAAATGCCAAAATTAGCTGGACGTGCTGGCGTGCGCCTGTAGTCCCAGCTACTCGGGAGGCTGAGGCAGAATTGCTTGAACCTGGGAGGCGGAGGCTGCAGTGAGCTGAGATTGCACCATTGCACTCCAGCCTGGCAACAGAACGAGACTCCATCTCAAAAATAAAATAAAATAAAATAAAATAAAATAAAATAAAATAAAATAAAATAAAATAAAGCAGAGTATTTGAGACATAGAAAACAATAAATTACGATGACTCTGCACTCTGAGTAGAAGTAAAAATAAGCCAACTTGTTAATCTTTTTATGTTTCAACTTACTGCCCGGTGGGCGTGGTGGAAAATTCCTTGCGTGCAGCTGTGCCAGGGAAGGACAGCCAGCTTCCTTTCTCTAGGTTACAGCAGGGAAGGACAGCCGGCTCCTTTCTCCAGGTCACAGGATCTGCTCTGCTTGGATTTGATACGGTGGTTAGTGCAGCCCATAGTCCAGTTGCTGCAGCAAAAGTTGCTTGAGTCTTTGATAGGAGAGGACACTTGAAAGCAGGAAATGAGAAACACATTTTGATCTTTATGTAGGAGCTCATTGTTCCTGACTCTCTCCTGGGATAAAGGACAGGGAAGAGTGGACTTTTTTGCACTTCTAGTTCCTTCTCCCTGTAGCTGTAGTCGTAGCAAGTAAAGGGGTTGTACTGATGCTTTTTAAGGCATATTATCAACATACAGCCATGACTTGTCCAGAGAATCTCACCTGACAAAAACTCAGAGAAGAAAGAGAAAGAAGATGAAATGGCTGGTTTTCAGGTAAATGTGTCCCAGTTCAAGGGCTGTGACATGGATAGACTGCATGGTGGTGAAGTCAGGGCTTTTAGGGTATCCATCATCAGAATAACATACATGTCTCTGAATTTTGATATTAGCCATCCTAACAAGTGTGAAATGATATGTCATCATTGTTTGTATTTGCTTCATGATTGAAGATGTTGAGCAGCTTTTCAAATACTCTTAGTTTACGTCTTCACTAAAAAAATATTTCTTTACCTGTCTTTTAATCATGTTATCATTACTGTCATTATTATTGTTGTTTTGGTTTTTTATTTGTATGAGTTCCTTACATATTTTGGATATTAACCACTTAACAGTGGTTTGCAAATATTTTCTCCCAACCTGTAAGTTTTCTTATTGTTTTCTGTTTATAAGTTTTTTAGTTTGATGTAGTCCAACTTTTTTATATTTGCCTTTGTGGCGCACTTTTTGTGTCAGATCCAAAAAAATACTGTCAAGACCAATATAAAGGAGGTTGACCACATTTTGTTTTCTTTTAGGATTTTTAAGAATTCATGTGTTTTATTTGTCCTTACTTTGAGTTAATTTTGGGATATGATGTAAGAAAAATCATCTAATTTTATTCTTTTGCTTGTGGATACCCAATTTTCTTAGCTCCAAATAATAAAGGGATTTCACTTACTGCATTGTGCATTTTCAATATCCTTGTTCAAGATTAATTGATTTTATAGGCATAGGTTTTTTTTTTCTAGGCTCTCTACTTTGTTCTGTAGGTTTTCGTGTTCATTTTTATGCACATGCTGTCTTTTTTTTATTACTATAGTATTGAATATAATTTAAAATCAGAAACTATAGGGGCGGGTGCGGTGGCTCACACACCTGTAATCCCAGTACTTTGGGAGGCCGAGGTGGGTGGATCATGAGGTCAGGAGTTCGAGACCAGCCTGACCAACATGGTGAAATCTTGTCTCTACTAAAAATATAAAAATTAGCCGGGCATGGTGGCGAGCACCTGTAATCCCAGCTACTCAGGAGACTGATGTAGGAGAATCACTTGAACCTGGGAGGCAGAGGTTGCAGTGAGCTGAGATCGTACCATTGCACTCCAACCTGGGTGACAGAGTGAGACTCCATCTCAAAAAAAAAAAAAAGATCAGAAACTATAATATCCTTAGCTTTCTTCTTCCTCAAGATTGCTTTAGCTATTCAAAGTCTGTTGTAATTTCACATAAATTTTAAGCTTGTATTTTCTATTACTGTGAAACAAGTTATTGGAATTTTTATAGGGAGTTTATTAAATCTATAGATCATTTTGGATAATGTAGAATTTTAACAATATTTACTCCTCCAATCTATGATAGCTTTACATTTTTTGTCTTCTCCAGTTTCCTTTATCAATATTTTATTTTTCAGCATAAAGATCTTTCACCTTAGTTGTTAAATTTGTTCCTAAGAAATTTATTGTTTTTTATTTTATTTTAAATGAAATCATTTTCTTCCTTTTAATTGGATAGTTTGTTGTTAGGGTATAAAAACACAATTGAGATTTGTATGCTGTTTTTATATTCTGAAAATTCATTGAGTGCATTTATTAGTTTAAATAGGTTTTTGGTGTACTATTTATGGTTTTTGTATATAAGATCATGTCATCTACAAAAAGTGACATTTTTTCAATTTAGATGGCTTTAAAATATTTTTCCCCAAATTGTTCTACTTAGGACTACTAGTATGTTAAAATAGAAGCATTAAAATTGGGCACAAGGTGGCTTCATTGTGACTCCTCTTATTTCGAGCAGACTCAACTGCTTTCAGAACTTTGATCTGTAGGGCAGATGCCAGGGCCAGGGTTCTGAAGCTGGGTTTGCATATGGCGGCCCTGATAGTAGGTGTGTGGATGAAGTGTGACTTCTGCTGAGTACCTGAGAGGGTTTTCTCTCCCTTTGTGGGTCTCTAGGTGGGCAGAACTGTCTATAAACTATGGTGAAGAGGGCTGAAACTGAGTCACAGACCTGCTTCAGAGGCCACAGTAAAGGTGAAAGGTTAAATTCTGTAGGTCTGCCTCCATTATCATGAATGTCTCTCCCCAGTTCTCTGTATGGGAAGGACTAATTCCAGACCATAACTGGGAGGCATTGGAGATGGTTACAGAGTCACTTCAGGATTCTCAGTGTGACTGAGTAGGATGGGTCAATTCCTAGTCTGTAGACAAGATCAGGGGTTCTCAGATTTGCCCCCTGAATGAGGGCCTGCCTTCCCAAAACAGCCCTCCTCAGTCTTTGTTTTTCACAGGGTATCATAATGCCCTCTCTAATCCCAAAGCTCCCATAAAGGCACTTTTGTCCATGGATGGCTGCAAAAGTATTGTAGCTGTGGGAAGATAAACAAGAGTGATCCCCTTATTCCAACATCCTTGCTGATGTCACTCTCCTTATATGGTTTCACTTTGTATTTTGCTGTATTACAAATTTGTCTGTTATTTTAGATTCATTCAGAACAATATGCTATAATTTCCACACCATGTAAGAAGTAAATCAGACAGGCACTCCCTATTTATTAAAATGTTCATTTGTACATTACAGTTAACTGAAATCATATAGGAATCATTAACATTTTTGTTTTCTCAACCTATATCTAAATGATAAATTACAAAAAATTATTTCAAAATATTTGCATTGTATATAACTCATATTTTACAACATACATGGTTTTACTTTATTTCAAAGTCTAATGCTTTTCTTTGCTTCTAAAGAGTGAATTGCAGCCTTTTTATTTTCTGTGAAAATAGCATCAATATATTAATAGTAACACATTATCTTTACTGTCTTTACATAATCATTAAAAAAATTTTACTAGAGCATTTTCTTAATGTCTGTAATGCATTTTCTGTAAAATTTTACTGCCATACAGTAGACATCAATGATTACAAGTATGTGTGCTCCATAGGTGCACAATCACAGGTGAACTCGGTAGTTACCTAGAAAAAGGTGTTATAATGATATATCAATGTTGCATACAGAATTTTATAGGTAAATGTTTATCTTGTCTTGCAATTCCTAATTACTGTGTTTTTAGTAAGGATACATTTATAGGCAGTTTATTGTGTTTCTGTTTTACCTATGTATTATAATTTTGAATGACAATTTGCAACTCTGTATATATACTTTAAATCAAGGTGGGGTTTAATTCAAAGATGAATTAACCAGCTGTCTATCACTGTTAAATTATACATATGTATGGGCATGGTTGTCTCTATAAATATAACACCAACTTTGTTTATGGTTCATCTTGTGTATTTCTCCTCTTGGCTGATTTTTTTTTTTTTTTTCCGACGGAGTCTGGCTCTGTTGTCAGGCTGGAGTGCAGTGGTATGATCTCGGCTCACTGCAACCTCTGCCTCCCAGGTTCAAGCGATTCTCCTGCCATAGCCTCCCAAGTAGCTGGGATTTCAGGCGTGCACCACCATGCCCAGCTAATTTTTAAATTTTTAGTAGACAGGGTTTCACCATGTTGGCCAGGCCTGGGTCTTGAACTCCTGACCTCAGGTGATTGGCCTGCCTCAGCCTCCCAAAGTGCTGGGATTACAGGCGTGAGCCACCGCGCCCAGCCCGTCAAATATAGTATTATTTTTTGTTTCTAGATATCCCATATCAGTGTATTCAGACAACCTGTCTTGTTGTGACTGCCTTTATTTAGCATGTTAAGATTTTGATTTTATATGTTACATATGCTGATTTTGCAAAGCTGAGCAATATTCTATTTTTATATTCCAAATTTTATTTATTCATTTAAGAAAGTTTAAGCTGCTTTAGCCTATCAGCTTTTGTCAATAATGCTGCATGGGTGTGCAAACAACTCATTTGACCACACATGTGTAGCTGTATTTCTAAGTTTTCTATTGTTTTATTGTTCTTGTTGTGTGCATTTATGCCAGCACCAAATTCCTTTAGCTACTGTAGCTTCACAATGTATTCCAAAATCAGGAGGTGTGACACCCCCGATATTGTTCTTGATATTTCAAGATTGTTGAGTCTTCTTGGTCTCTTTGTAGTCTGTATAATTCTGGGGTTGCTTTTTTATTTCTGCAAAAATAAACTGAGAATTTGGAAAGGACTGTATTGAATCTGTAGACCACTTTATGTAGTCTGGACATCTTCATAATATTAAGTATTCCCACCCTTGAAGAAAAGCATGTTCGAGGGTGTATTGTTTAACTCCCATATATTTGTGAATGTTTCATTTTCTATTTTATTCAATTTTGGTTATAAAGAATAAGCAGTAATATTTCATTTTAAAAAAAGGTGTTAAGACTTGTTTCATGGCCTAACGTCTTCTATCAAGAATATTTTCTGAAATATTGAAAACATTGTGTATTTTGTTGGATGAGGTGTTCTCTACACATGTTGAATTTGATTTTTATAGTGTATTCAAGTCTTCTGTTCACTGTGTATTTCTTGCTTCAATGTCATCAATGTTTGCTTTATAAACTGGAAACCCTGATGTATGATATAGATGTATAATTGGAAACCCTGATGTGTGATGTAGATGTAGATACAGGTATAAGCACACACACAGGAATCCACACACAAACAACATATACAATTTTTATAGGTTTCCAATGAATGAACCTTTGTATTATTTAATGTCTTTTTTATGCTGTAGTTTTGAATTAAATTTTATAAAATATGATAATGATTGACTTAAAGTCTTTTGTCACAGTGACTACTTCTGCTCTCATTTGGCTAACATTTGCATGGAATATCTTTTTCCATCCTGCTTTTAGTCTATCTTTGTGATTGGATCCAGTGATTCTCTTGTACACAGAATATAGTTGATGCTGTTAATACAATTTTTAGAATCTCTTCATGAAATATGTCTTTTGATTGGGAAAGTTAGTCCATTAATATTTTTAAAGTATTCTGAAATGGAACTTACTATTATTATATTAATCATTGTTTTATTATTGTAGCCATTTTGTTCCTTTTTCATCTTTCTTGCTGTCTCACTGATTTCTCTGGTGATATGGTCTGATTTCTTTCTCAATTTCTATATTGTATTTCTCTAATATTTGTGGTTATCATGAAGATTACAAAAATCTTCTTAAAATTACAATATATTTTGAATTGGTAAGATATTCAGATGCATAGTTTTTTTCAGTATGTCTGCTCTCAACTTTGTAAGTCACAAATTATATTGTCATATTGTGTTTATAACTACTTTCATGTTTTTGTCTATCAAATTTTGAAAATAGAATTGTTTTCTGTATTATAATTTTAATACAATTTCCTGTTATGTGCATGTCTTTATTAGAGAGTTATGTGTTTTTTATATAATGTAGGTTTTTTCTAGAATTTTATTTTTAGTGGAAGAGACACCCCTAAGCATTTTCAGTAAGGCAGATATACTAGTGATGTACTTTTACTGCATTTTGTTACTTTGGAACTTTTTTTGAAGACTTTTCCTATAGTATTCTTGCTTTGAAAGTTTTTGTTTCAGCACTTTGACTATATCACTTAACTTTTTTTCTGGCCTGCAAGGACTGTGTTGATAAATCCACTGCAAATCTCAATGAAGCATGCTATAGATGACACAACAGGTTTATCTTACTGCTTGCTTCCAAGATTCCTTTTGCCTACGACTTTTAAAATTTTGCTTATAATCTGTCTTGTTATGAGTAACTGTGTTTATCTTAGCCAAACTAATTTAAGCTTCTTGATATTTTACAAGTATTTTGTTTGAGAATTTCTGTCTTTATGACTTACTGTAGTCTTCAGCTCCATAATTTTTGAAGGTTTTTATAATTTTTTGTGATATTCTCATTTTGCTGCTTTCATTTAGTTGTCTATGTTCCCATTTCATACACTGAGCATCATTTAGATGGTTATTTTGAATATTTTCAAGTAATTTGTATATCTCAATTTTTTAGGGTTCATATCTGGAAATTTATTGTGTTTTTTTGGCCATGTTACTCTGGTACTCTGTTGTCATCTTTCATTGTGATTTGAGCATTAACAGAAAGCTGTCACAGTCTTTATAAAGTGGTTTGGAGTCTGACACCAATTGACCAGGCTAGAGATTCTGGAGGTTTCTAAAGCCTGTTCTCAGGCTGTGTCTACTCTGGGATTGTGTGTTTATTTTCTTTCTTCAGAAAGAAGTCAGAAGTTTACTTCTATAAGCATCATGCTGCATTGGAGAGGAAGAAGGGCTGTGGTGGGTAAATGCAACAAATTTTCCTTCCTCTACTATTTGGCTTTTGGCATTCTGCTTGCCTGGGGTGCTGCAAACTCTTGATTTTTAAACTTATCACAATGGAATTTTGTTCAGGATATTTTTGTTAAGTGTATATGTATATGAAGAAATTAGGGCCTATGATTTTTATTGTGCCACTTTGCTAATGTGCTTGACATAACTTTATACATTAGGTTTCTAACACGTACTCACCTGAATCTAATAAGTGAGGTAATTTATTTTCCCTTTTCCCAGATGTGTATTCTCATTTTATGGAAGACATGTTGCCAGAGTAAAGCACAATATATTCATCTTGAAATGTAATACTGAGAAGATATGGAAGTTATGGAAGTTGTGGCCTTCAGAATTGACACTTACGGAGAGACTAGAACAGCGTGGGTGAGTTGTGAGGGGCAGGAAGCATGTCTTAATGGACTTAACCAATTTTCGTCAACTATTCACAGTAAAATCTTTCAATGTACAAAATTTAGTAATCTGATAAACAATAAACAAAATATTTGAATAGGCATTTTTCATAAGACGTACAAAGGGCAGACAGGCATACGAAAAGGTGCTCAACATTTTTGATCATCAGACAAATGCAAATCAAAACTACAATGAGATATTATGTGACTCAGTTAAATGGCTTATATCCAAAAGGTAGGCAGTAACAAATGCTGGAGAGAAGTGGAGAAAGGGAGCCCTTGTATGCTGTTGACAGGAATGTAACATTTTGAAAATTCTTCAAAACAACTAAAAATAAAGCTACCATATAATTCAGGAATGCCACTCCTGAGGATTCACTTACTAGAAAGGAAATCCATACATTGAAGAGATATCTACCCTCCCATGTTTGTTACAGCAGTGTGCTCCAGCCAATATTTGGAAGTAACCTGATGTCCATCAAGAAATGACTGGATAAAGAAAACATGGCACATATACACAATGGAATACTATTTAGCCATAAAAAATAAGATCCTATTATTTGCAACAACATTGATGGAACCATAGATTAAGTGAAATAAGCCAGGCACAGAAAAACAAACTTTCCATGTTCTCACTTATTTGTCGGAGCTAAAAATCAAAACAATATAACTCATGTAGGTAGAGGTAGTTGCCAGAGGCTGGGAAGGGCAGTGGGGAATGTAGGGGACGGTAGGGATGGTTAATGAGTACAAAAAAAAAGAAAGAATTAGTAAGACCTAGTGTTTGATAGTACATCTGGGTGACTATAGTCAATAATAATTTTAATTGTACATTTTATAATAACGAAAAAAGTAAAATTAGATTGGTTGTAACACAAAGAATAAATGCCTGAGGGGATGATGGATACCCCATTTTCCATGATGTGATTATTGCTTTCTATGCCTGTATTAAAGTATCTCATATATCACATCAATATATCTCCAACTAAGTACCCACAAAAATAAAAAATTTAAACCAATTCAAAATGCCAGAATTTCTATACATTAACTATAAACTACCTGAAAAAGTCAAGTAAACAATTTTATTTATAATAACTACAAAAAGTTTACTCATAAATGTAACCAAAATGGTGAAAGATTTCTATATTAAAATTAAAAAACACTGAGTAGAAAAACTTTCTAAATCACAAATAAATGGAAAGATATTTCTGGTTCATTGATTGGCAGAATTAATACTGTTAAAATGTCTACACTGAGCAAAACAATCTACAGATTCAAAGCAGTCTCTTATCTGTATACAAATGAAATTATTTAGAATATTTCAAAAATTCTAAAGTTCATATGGCATCACAAAAACACTAAACAGCAACAGAAATTAAGCACAAATAATACAGCTGGAAGCATTACACTACCTTTGAAATACACTACAAAGCTTTAGGAATTGATATAGTATGATAACTGGTTTAAAAAGAGAAACATAGGTGAATAAAGCAGAATGCAGAGCCCAGAAACAAATTCATAAAATTTCAGGATCTTACACAAAGGTGACAAGAACACACAGTGGGGAAAGGACAGTTACTTCAAAAGTGGTGTTATGAAAACTGAGTATCTCCAGGCAGAACAATGAAATGAGACCCTCCACCAACATAAATCAAAGACTCAAAACTCTGGAACTGCTACAAAAAACAGAGTGAAAGCTCCATGACATTGGTGGGGACAATAATTTTTTCTTATTTATTTCACCTCAAAATCCCAGCAAACAAAAGTGGAAGTAGACAAATGAGATTACTTGAAAACTGAAAAGCTTCTACACAGCACTAGGTACAACCAACAGAAGAAAAATAACGTATAAATAAGAGAAAATATTTATGAGTTATATATCTGACAAAGGGTTACTATCCAAAATAGACAGGAAACTCAAACAACTATAGAACAATAAACAAGTAACTATTAAAATGGGTGAAAGATGTAAATAAACATTTCTTAAAGGAAGACATACAAATGGTAAAAAATATATGAAAAAAATGCGAGGTAAATTATCATAAGGCTAATCTAAGGTTAAGGCTAATCTAAGGTTAGGACTAATCTAAACCTCTATTAGATAACAACTCACTACTGTTAGAATGACTATTAATAAAAAGCCAAAAAAATAATTATTGGCAAAGATGTGGAGCAAAGGGAATGCTTGCGCACTGAATGTAAATCAGCGTAGCCATTATACAAAACAGTATGGAGATTTCTCAAACATTAAAAGCTGAACTATCATATGATACAGCAATATCATTATTGGGCACATATCAAAAAAATCAAGTATGTGAAAGAGACATCTGTGCTGTTATGTTTATTGCAGCACTATTCACAATAGCCAAGATATAAAATCAAACTCAGGGTTTATTATCAAATAAAATGATAAAGAACATGTGGCATACATCCATTCTGTACGAATGGATTATTATTCAGCCTTAAAATAGAAAATACTGTCATTTTCAATTACATGGATGAACATGAAGGAGATTATGTTAATTGAAATAATCCAGACACAGAAAGACAAATACCTCATGATTTTGCTCATATGTGGAATTTTAAAAAATTGATCGCATTGAAGTAGAGACTAAAATAGTGGAACGAGAGGCTAAGATATTTTGGAAGGGGATTGGGTAGATGTCTTTCAAAGAATATATAATTAGTTAGATTAAAGGAATAAGTTAAAAAAACCTGTTGTAAAGCCTGGTGACTATAGTTAATGATGACATACTGTTATGTTTTAAAAATACTGATATAGTCAATGTTAAGTGTTCTCCATCACAAAAATGATAACTATATGAGGTAAAGCACTTGTTAATTAGCCAGAATTTAATATTACACAATGTATGCATGCTTTAAACCACATTTTACATGACAATACATATAATTTTATCTGTCAATTTAAAAAATTTAGAAACATGAAAAGGTAGTGTTTCAAATAAGCAGTCTGTGTCTTATTCATAAGCTTAGCAGAGTAGTATCAAAATATATAGTTTTTGTGGTGTTTTTGTCATTTCACTTGTCAGTCATAAGCATAGAAACTCAGATATTTACCAGCATGTGCAAGAACCAGCACAGTGCCTGGGAGAATCCTATGTACTTTAGAGCTTTTACTTTGAGCTCCAGGTACCTGGAATTCCTGGTATAGAAGACACTAAAAAGGCAGGTGCTGCTAATGGTTTCGCCTCTGGCCCTTCTGTAAACACTGAAAACAAGTTTGCATCCAAAATCACTGAGAAAATGTTTTAATCCAAAAGCCTGCCATTGTCTTTGAGATTTCTCTAAAGAGAATGACCTAGAATTTGGCTGTAATTAGGTGTCTGAGAATAAAAACTGTGGACTGTAACTGTGCCCATTCAAATAAAAGAAGTTATAATAATATGAGTGAGAAATTTCCCAAGATGGCAATACGAATCCGCAAAAAAGATTATTCCAAATTTTAAACCCACAAAGGTTATTTTATTTTTGTCCAAAACTTATTATACCCACTCAACAACAGAAGATTCTGCATGGAAACAAAAGCAGTGGGATAAATATTTCATAGAAATTTGAATTTAAAATATTTTACTTACCACTAACTCTCCTTAATACAATTTTATTTCTAAGACATGTCTCTAATGAGATATCCAAATTTTGATTTGTTTTCTTATGTAGCACTAATAATACATGGCCCACTGGTATTAATACTTCACTTAGTCTAATTTGATATTTACCATTCTTTGTGTTATAATATAATAATGTTTAACAATGCTATCTGTCCAACGATCTAATCCATGGATACTGCGTTATCTTATCTAAATTAAGTGACAAGAATGTTGCATTTGTAATCTATAAATGACTTCAAATTCTCCAGCTACAAAGAATTTTTAGGCACATTAAAAATAATTCTAACTTGTCCTCAGAACCTGCAGAGTACTGTGTGAAATAACATGGGGTGGGGAGAACAGTGAGCAAGCTGTTGCCATAAGACAGGCAAAGAAAGAGAAGGGCTATAATGCATATGTATTTGGGGGTGAAGATAAAAAGACAGTGAAAGAAAAACTGAAGATAATTAGAAAATAAAAGAAGCAGAATTTATCTGTCTAAATTTAGAGTTAGTTGTGCAGCCTGACTACAGATTTCCTCTCTCACCATGCAAAACCAATGCCACTTCTTCACTCTGGGTGTTTTTAATCTCTTATATGAAGATACAAACTCACTCGAGCAGAAATATTTCCTGATAATTGTAAAGCATTTGTTACACACCTAGCACCGTCTTGTGTTTGTTTACTTCATACAAATGGCAAGAAAATCCCATGGCTTATGAAGCCTCCCGAGTTTTTACCTTAAAAGCATGGCTCAATAAATTCAATAATTATATCAAATATGTCTACTATAAAACATGAAAGAAACAGTAATAAAAACATTTTGCTTAAATAGAATTGTCTAATTGAAAAGATTAAATATACTAATTAAATAATAAAATTTAATAATATACTCACTGCAAAATTACTCAGATCTTCAAATTATTTAGTTAGCACCATTACATTTTACCGAAAGAGCTATAATCATTAGGCAGGTCACGTAAAGAATACTTCATGAACTTTGAAAGAAGAAAATTGTATATTAGGTCTAGCATGAATAGAAGGCAAGCTAGAACAAAGGGTTTGGATGGGGAGATTCTGAACCACAAGATTTTAGAGATGAATGGAAAGCAGAGGAAATAAATTTGCTTTCAGAATCTGTGAGGTTTTAGTTTGCTAGTATATCATAAACACTCATGAAATCATCTGCTTTGTTCTGATATATTTTCCTACTCAGAATAGGTCCACACTCACATAAAAACAATTACTTCTCCAATTCTTTTATATCTAAAGTTTATCTTTAGAGTAATATATTTAGAAATTTTACACCATGTAAATTAAAACTAAAATTTTGTGTTTGTAGAACCAGAGATAACATGTTCAAAAAAATGTAGGCTGAATTTTCTAAATAGTTATTCAGAATTCAGAAATGTAGGGCTTTTGATTATACTCCTATATAATCTTCAGTATAACCATCACAATAACTTCACAGTTACAAAATAAATAAAAATGTAATACGTGGGAACAATATTCTCTAAATTATTTGAAGTATAAGGCCACTGGGAAAAAGAATCACTACAGATGTTATTCCACCATATTACTTAATGGTATAGTCTTACCATGTTTTACCTACAAGCCTGAGTAAGGTAGAATAAGTTAATGTTGACAGCAGGATGACACTTCAATCAATGCACAAGACCCTTAACATATTAAAAATATTTTTTATTTGTTAAAACAAATAAAGTTTACAAATAATCTGAGACATATCAAAATCCACTCTATTTTATTAGTTTTATGTGCATTTGGTGAAACAATTTTCTTCTAAATTTTACAGTGTTTATTAATAAAATGCAGAGGATATGCACTGAACACCTACCTCATGCATCGCTTACAACACTGTTATCACTTAACCACAAACAGCCTCTCCACTTAGATTTTCTTCATGTATCTTACATTTCCAGGTCCTTAATCTTTTATGGAGAAGTATATAAATGATGACCACCTAATACAGAAGGACCGCTCAGAGCTGTAATGCATCAAACATTGACCACATGCTTCCATATAAACATTAGGAATAAAGGCAAAGCACTAAGTTATTCGAAAGTTTAATTATATCAATACTTGCTATTCAAAACATTTAAAATTATTTTAATGCAAATAATTACACTCAATATAATTTTAAATCTTCAAGAAGCAATCTCCTACTACTTTTATCCTACATACAAATAAATTATCCAATTATTTTAACTTTGGATTATTCTCTATAATGAACACTCTGAATAATTTAACTCATGACAGGATTCATACAATTAACCTTTTAAACATTTGTCTTATAGTTTACATCACATTGATTACCCTTTTATCAGATCTCAGTAGCACCAAAAACCTGACAATGGTATAGACACTGCCCACTAGCCTCTAGACACCACGGTCATATGCCCATGGCAACGTTGAGGAGGTTGAGATGATGAAGTCCATCTTGTACATGCCCACCGAGAAACTCACCGGCAGCAGGATGTGCTGATGGCTCTTGCCTCTGCAAAGATCCTTAGGTAGAGGCTGGGGCTGTGAAGGTACCAGGATCTCCTGTAGTTCCTGAATGAGAGTCATCATGTAGACACTTGAGAACAGCATTATTTGTTTAAGAAAAACATCTCTGAATAATGACAGAGTGAAAAACAGTCCTCTGATTATGGAGTTTATTGGGAAAAGTGAACAGTATTTACTGACATGCAAATTGATCTGGGTCACATTGGAAGAAGCCACAGTGTAAAAGATCAGGCTACTACTAACAGGAAAACTGAGAGACCATGAGAACAAATGGAAGGTAAAAATTGTGGATTTCCATTTAAACCTCACCAACCAGGAAATGCTGGGGCTGATGTTGACGACCTGCAGCATGCCCAGGAGGCAGGTGGTACAAATGGAGAGGACCCTGATCACCCTCCTCAGGTAGAAAGATGCCTCATATTTGAAGTCATTCTGAAAATTCAGTGATTCAAAGAGCTGTGGAGACAAGAACACCATGGTGAGAAGGACCACCATGTGGATGAGGGCCACATGACAGACTGGTAGGTAAGTGCGCTCTGGCCTGAGATCCAGAAAAAGCAGAAAAGGAGAAGACGCAGAAAAGAAGGAGAAAAGTGTTGGCTGAGATGCCAATACCAGCTTAGAAATGAAAGGCATTTTTCATGGGAACACAAGTGCAAAGTAATCATCTGAATTACAAAGACAAACATACTTTGTACATCAAAATATGAAGTATAAAAAACATTTTGTACTTCACATCATCTGTATTATATATTCTATGGCCAAAATTATCATAAACATTATTTTTATTCCACTAATTTTTTTCTTAATTAATCCTCTCATATAAATCCTTGATATATATAGTGTATGTGTGCATGTATGTATATATAATTTGATGTATAATGTTGAGAATGTATTTTGAAGAATGTATATGAAAAACTGGCTCACTTTTTACAAAGCATTTCTTAATGAAGAGTGATGGTTACATAACAATAACTCACATGTTTGTATAGTTGAGCTAAAGTAAATTTTATGTTAAGGGAAAATAATCACCTAAAGAAAAAGTTGAAAAAAAAGTTTAACTGACTCACATCACAGCACTCAGTTTCTCTTATTATTTCTTTCACTTTTAAGAATGCTTATAATTACATTAGGCCCAAATCTGTAATTCAAGTTAATGTTTTTGTTTTAGAGTCAGCTGGTTATCAACCTTGATTTCATCTGCAGCCTGAATTCCCATTTCTCATATACCATAATACATGCCTAGAACCTGGTGGTTAGACATGGGGACCTTTGCATGGCATTATTCCACTTACCACAAGTCCTATTAAACGAATCCCTTAAAATAATTCTGGCTCTGTTCAAGTTTTGTTTTTATCCCAGAGAAATCTCATGAAAGCTTTATTTCATCTCAGGAGGAAATTGCTAAAATCCAGTTTTCAATGCTACAAGTACATGGACTACCTTTTTCTACTTTATGGGATCCATGAATTTGCATTAAGTGATAATTTTCTTGATGCTTCACTTTATACAGAGATACCCTTCCATGGAAAGATGCCTTTCCAAGCCTTGGAAAAACACCAAGGTCACTAATAGTAAAGATAATTCTCCATCTCTTAATCATGATATCTCTGTATGAGAACCCTTCATAAAATTTTATTGAATAATTCTGCAATTACTTTCTTCTTTGCCCTGAATACAGTCATCACTATTGTATCCAACTAATTCAGCCCGCAGCTTAGAATAATAGAGCTCTGGCTCATGCCTATAATTCCACCGCTTTGAGAGGCTGAGGCAGGGACATTGCTTCAGATAAACAGTTTGAAATTAGCTTGAGCAACACAGTGACACCCTGTGTCTATCAAAAATAAGAAAGAAATTAGCTAGGCATGGTGGCACGTACCTGTGGTCCCAGTTACATGGGAAGCTGACATGGAAGGATCACTTGAGCATAGGATCTTGAGGCTATAGTGAGCCAGTGAGTTGTGATGGTACTAATGCACAAACCACAAATATAAATGTGCAAGGCAATGAAGATGATTTGACAGTATTTTTTACCTCATACTCAGAAATTAACATCTGAGTTAGAAAACTGCTAACCAATTTTAAACCACCTGATATGGATGAGTTTACAAAAAGGAAATTGCATAGTTTATATATCAGTTTTTATTTTTTCTCCTAACACATAATCTAGTATAAGTACACATTTATCTCAATGTCCAGAACCAAACAATGGATAGTTGCCACCAAAATATACTGATGCCATCAACATGATATGGTTCTTTTGTCATGTTAAACCTAAAAGAAGCTCCAGGATAGTATCAGATTAAAGCCATAATAATCTCCATATATTAAATACTGCAGTCTAGTTCCAGAAAATAAACATGGACAATTAATATACAAATAACTACTTACTACTTATGTAGAAATCACTTTTACTAAATATACTGTGTGTATTAAAAGTTATATCACAGAAAGAGGTAATACAATTAGATAAAACAACATACGTAAGAATTCTATTTTTTTCTCCCCATAAGGTATCCAGATCACACACTTTAATTCATGCCACACCCTCTCTAATGACTACTACATACCGCAAAAGAATGTATCTGCTAATTATCAAACTTTATTTTTCTCTAATGAAGGTTTTCAGGTCATTAATGCTGAGTCTGGAGAAAAGAACAGTGGCTCCCATGAACAAGGGTTGACAAATGTAACACACTTGGTTATATTTGAATTTCAGGTAAATGATGAATTGTTATTTGTATATACTCCAGTAATTGCTTACACATATTATACACAGATATAAAAACATTGCATAGCTATACTAAAAAGTTATTTGTTGTTTACCCCAAATTTAAATGTAACTTATGTTTTCTCTATTTTATGTCACAAATGTGCCACAACTACCATAGAACTATTGTATAATTTGGGACAACATGTTACAAACATGGGAAAACAGAATAAAAGAAAAAATATCAAAGGTTTTATAAAGGCTGAGTGCTGTGACTTATGCCTGTAATTTAAGCATTTTAGGAGGCAGCAGTGGGAGGACTGAGCCCAAGAGTTTGAGACCTGCCTGGGCAACATAATGAGAACCCATCTTCACAAAAAAATTTCAAAAATTAGCCAGGCATTGTACCACCTGCCTGTAGCTCTGGCTACTTGTGAGGCTGAGGCAGCAAGTTCACTTGAGCCTACACGGTCAAGGCTTCTGAGACCCCTGATCAAACCACTGCACTCATTCCTGGGTGTCAGAGTGTGAACTTGTCTCAAAAAAACATCAAAACATGAGATGCAGCAAACTACTGAGAGAAATTCACAGCAGTAAACACCTACATTAAAAATAAACAATTCTAAATTAATAACCTAATGTTTGGCAAAAATAGTTAAGGGCTAATTAACTACTCATCACACCTTGGAGAAAGAATATCAGTGCGGCAAGCAAAAGTCATGTAGAATATCTAAGAGAAAAGACTGAGGAGTGAGGTGCCTGGGGGATTCGGGCTTTGAAAATTATCCACATATTCCTGAGAATCCAGAAGCCCATAAGCATGTTCAGGGTCAATCAAGGGACAGGCAAATGCTCACAAAGACCTACGAAGCTGTTATCTCTCATGTCTGCTTTACCTCCAAGCCCTGCACAAGCAGGAAGAAAAGAAAACAGCAAAGTTGTAATCTTTCTGGCTAAGTAAACCCAACTGCAAGAACTAGTAGATTTATATTTGATGTGAGCAGGCATTTGAGAAAATCTCTGTCAAATAGCTAGCTCACATGAAGCTAATAAAGCAGAGATTTTTATTGCTAAACACGACAAAAGGATGATATTTTAAAAATAATTTTGAAAACTCACCAAACAAACAAGTAAAATTTACAATAAGCAACAAAAAAACCCAACGGGATGAGAGAGAATATTATTTCAGGGTTGTTGTAATAGAAAAAGTCTAGTTTTCAGCAACAGCAATGAAATACAAAGCGTGCAAATAAATTAATGAAAAAATAATGGCCCACTAATAAGATAACAGATATTAACAGAAACAGTCCTAGAGGAATCGTAGGCATTGAAAAATCTAGAAAAAGTCTTTAAATTACCTGTCTTAAATGTGCTGCAAAGATAAATAACATCAAAAGGAAAAACATTTCAGAAGAATAGTGTCTCATCAAATAGAAAATATTAATAGAGATAGAGATTATAAACTGAAGCCAAACTCTAAAGTTGAAAATTAAGATAACTAAAATAAAAAATTCACCACAAAGGTTCAACAAAAGATTTAAGTAGACGAAAGACACAACCAGCAAGCTTGAGGTCACTTCAATTCGTATTATCCCAACTAGCAGAAATAAAAAATAATGAATAAAGATGAACAGAGCCTAAGATAACAATGGGATACTATAAAATGTGCCATTACAAGCATTATGAAAACTCCCGAAAGAAGGGAGAAAGATAAAATGGGGCAGAAAGAACATCTGAAGAAATAATGGCTAAAAAGTTCCCAAGCATGATGAAATACGTGAATCTACACATTCCAAAATCTCATTGAATTCATAGTATAAACTCAAAGAACTCTACACCAAGACAAATTACAATAAAACTTTCAAAAGCTAAAGAGACAACTTTGAAGAAA
This sequence comes from Homo sapiens, assembly GCF_000001405.40. Lineage (NCBI taxonomy): Eukaryota > Metazoa > Chordata > Mammalia > Primates > Hominidae > Homo > Homo sapiens. The sequence continues at coordinate 1,142,827 of NW_021160017.1, forward strand.
GTTATGGAGAAAAGACTACTATTTGCAATGCATCTACACTGACATTAACAACTCACTAAAAACTAGAGTCCAGAATATAATTTCTCACTAAAAACTACGGAGTCCAGAATATGATAGGACAATATATTTAAAGTGTAGAAAGAAAAAAAAAAGCCAACAAAGAACTCTATTTTCAGCAAAACTGCTCTTCAAAGATGAAGGACATCCTTGAAGACCTTTGAAGACACTAAGAGCTATATAGATTAAAACAAATTTAACAGCTTGTCACTAGTAGACCTGGTATGCATTAAATGACAAAGGTTATCTTTTGGGTTGAAATGAAATGACAAACTAGGTAATAATGCAAGGCCATATGAAAAAATGAAGAATGCCAGTAAAAATGAGTACATGGCAAAATATAAATGCCACTATTAAAGAATATTTTGTAACTTTTATCTATTGTTCTTTTTTACATGTAATTTAAAATACTAATGCATAAAATAATTATAAATTTTTGTTAATGTCATACAATGCATAAAGATGTAATATGTGACAAAACAACATAACATTGGAGGAGCAGATCTCTATTGAAACAGCTTTTAAAATAAAACTGAATTACGAGCGGTATTAATTTAAAGTACAGTTACACAGTGATGAGATTAATTGTCATCCTTAAGGTAGCCACTAAAAATACAACTAAAGAAAGAAGTGAAAGAGGAAATGAGAAGAGAATCAAAACTGTTTTGGAAAAATACTAGAACATTAAAGATGTCAGTAATATAAGAGTTAATTAACAAAAATATACAAGACTTTAGAAAACAACTAGAAAAATGGCAGAAGTGTGCCCTTCCTTATAAATAGTTTAAATAGAAATTAACATCTACAATTACAATGCAAAGATTGGCAGATGGTTTAAAAATAAACAAAAACATGAACTAACTTTATGTTATCTACAGGAGAATCTCTTTAGTCCTAAGCTCACAAATAGGTTGAAAGTGAAAGGATGGGTAAAAAGATTCCACACAAATAGTAAGCAAAATAAGCTGGGGTGGTTACCCTTAGACAAGATAGGCATTAAGACAACATTGCTATAATTAATTGACACAGGAAATTTTATGTTAAAAAATTATAAATCTATCAAGAAGATAAAATAGTTTTAAATATGCATGTACCTAACAAAGACCCCAATATATGAAGCACAAATGGCAGAATGGTAGAAGTAGAAAATTCTCAATGTGAACTGCTGACTTTAATATACCAACTAGACCTAACGGACAAATTCAGAAACACCTAATCAAAAACCTTGAAATGAGCAAAAATTGATTGCATTTTCAGATTGTTTTCAAGCAAGCAATTTAACCACCTTGCTATTTTATGGCATGCTTATTTTTTTAAAAAAAGTTATGATGAAATATGCATAACATCATACTCAATACAAAGTTTCTGGTATATTTATAATTATGCAACTATAGCCATGGTATAACTTTAAAATATTTCCACTATCAGGACTAGACAATCATTACTGATTTCCCTTTTATGGACATTCCATTTTATCACCTTTATTGTTTGGTTTGGTTTCGTTTTTGAGATGGAGTCTCTGTCATGCAGGCTTGAGTGCAGTGGTGCGATCTCAGCTCACTGCAACCTCTGCCTGCCTCGCGGGTTCAATAGATTCTCCTGACTCAGCTTCCTGAGTACCTGGGATTACAGGCGCCCACCACTGCACCTGGCTAATTTTGTTTTTAGTAGAGACATGGTTTCACCATGTTGGCCAGGCTGCTCTCGAACTCCTAACCTCAGGCAATCCACCTGCCTCAGCCTCCCAAAGTGCTAGAATTAAACGTGTGAGCCACCATGCCTGGTCCATTTTTATTACCTCTTTATTATTGTGGTATGATTACTATTTTGTATAAATGGAATGATACACTGTATTATGTTTTGTGTCTGGTTTATTTCACTTAATGCATGTGAGGTCAGTTATGTCATTTTTTTTTTTTTACTAATTTTTTGTATATTTTAGAAAATGCATTTAGAAGAGAATAAAAAACTTTTAAAATAACTTCCATATTTCTCAATGTTGTGCATTTTTTTCAAAAAATAAGCAAATATTTTATTTTTTTTGGTTTCTTTGAGACAGATCTTATTCTATCACCATGGCTGGAGTGAAGTAACATGATCATGGCTTACTGCAGATTCTACCTCCTAGGCTCAAGTAGTCTTCCCACCTCAGGCTACCAAGTATCTGGGACCACAGCTGCACACCACCATGCCCAACTAATTTTTAAATTTTGTGTATAGATGGGGTCTCATTATGTTGCATGGGCTTGTCTCAAACTCCTGCGCTCATGAGATTCTCCTGCCTAGGCCTCCCAAAGGGCTGGGATTACAGGTGTGAGCCACCACACCCAGCCTATTTTTTTCTAAAGACAGGGTCTCATTCTGTCCTCAGCTCAAGTGCTGTGGCGTAATCATAGCTGAAGGCAGCCTCAATGTACTGAGCTCAAGTGATCCTCCCTCACTGACCCAAAGTGCTGGGATTACAGGCATCAGCCACCATGTCCAGCCTGAAATAATATTTTAATTAAACATTAAGAAAAATAGAAGAAATAAGATCTAGTGTTTCGTAACACAATAGGACAACTATAGTTAACCGTAATTTATTGTATAAAAGATAGAATTGTTGAGTAAGGTGTGAGCACCAGTTTAGGGTTTTGGCACATTCTTTACACTTGAAGAGTTTCTATCTGGTATGAATTATTTGATGTTGAGTATGGGTTGAGTGTCTGTTAAAAGCTTTGCCACATTCTTCACATTTGAAAGGTTTCTTTCCAGTATGAATTCTCTGATATTGAGAAAGGTGTGAGCTCCTGGTAAAAGCTTTGCCACATTCTTTACATTTGAAGAATTTCTCTCCAGTGTAGATTCTCTGATGTTGAGTAAGGTGTGAGCCCTAGATAAAAGCTTTGCTGCATTCTTTACATTTGAAAGACTTCTCTCCAGTGTGGATTCTCTGATGTCGAGTAAGGTGTGAGCCCCTGTTAAAGGCTTTGCCACATTCTTTATGTGTGAAGTGTTTCTCTCCAGTATGTATTCTCTGATGTTGAGTAAGGTGTGAAGCTCTGTTAAAAGCTTTGCCACATTTTTTGACACTTGAAAGGTTTCCCTCCAGTGTGAATTCTCTGATGCTGAGTAATGTATGAGCTTCTATTAAAGGCTTTGCCACATTCTTTACATTTGAAGGCTTTCTCTCCAGTATGGATTCTCTGATGTTAAGTAAGGTATGAGCCTCTGTTAAAAGCTTTGCCACATTCCTTACACTTGATAGGTTTCTTTCCAGTATGGATTCTCTGATGTTGAGCAAGGTGTGAGCTCTTCTTAAAGGCTTTGTCACATTTTTCACATTTGTAAGGTTTCTCTCCAGTATGAATTTTCTGATGTCCAAGTTGTAAGCCCCTGGTAAAAGCTTTGCCACGTTCTTTACATTTTACTGATTTCTCTCCAGTGTTAATTATCTTATGTCTCTTCAGATGTGACTGACTAAAGACTATTATACATTTTTTATTACATCTTTGTGAGCTCTCTCCAATATAAGTTCTTCGATGTTGAGTAAGTTTTGAGGATGGGTTAGAAGTTTCACCACATTCATTAGGGTTGTAAGGCTTTTCTTGAATATGGATACTTTGAGGATTGATAAAACACTTTCTCACATTCATTACATTTGTAATAGTTTTCTAGAAAATGAGTATTCTGATGTTTACTAATATTTGAGTCATGGCTAAAATTTATCTGATTTTTATTACAAAAGACAGATTCCAAAAATTGATGTTGATATTTACTCACAGGAATACATGGTTCTGTAGGAGTAGCTGGCAGAAACTGAGGCTTCTTCAGAAATATTCTATGTTCTTCATCTCCTTTCACAGTTAAATTTTTGTTATGAGAAGTTGTCAAATATTGGCTACATAAATTATAATTCTTTTTGTCCTTCACCTATACTTTCCCAGTTTTTCCATAAGCATAAATTTTCAAGGCCACAGCTCCCATATCTTCCCAGTGTTGCTTTTCCTAGTGTTGCTTTTTTGAATGACTCTTCTATGCCTTGCTCTGGTAAAATGCCTTGGTTGTAATAAGAATATATAGCTCAAAGTAGTAAAAATAACTAATTATTCTACATACTGAATTTAGCTGAATATACTTTACAAATCCAATATGAAATTTTACCAAGCTGAGAACATGAGCACAATGCCATAGTAGAAAACCAACAGAGGACAGAGCAAGATGGCTAGATAGAAGGCTCCAGTGATCATTTCCCCTGGAAGGACACCAATATAACAACTATCTATTAAAAAGCAAACAAAAACCTTCATAAGAATAAAGGCGAGCACTCACAGTACCTGGTTTTAACCCTGCAGTACACAAAGAGGCACTAAAACAGGGTAGGAAAGACAGTCTTGAATCACTAATGCCACTCCTCACTCATGCCCTGGCAGTAGTCACATGCTATGTAGACAGAATCTGTACACTTGGGAGAGGGAGAGCACTGGGATTGTGAGCATTGAACTCAGTGCTGCCCTATCATAGCAGAAAGCAAAACTGGAATGAACTCAGCTGATGCCTGCCCACAGAGGGTGTGTTTCAACTGGCCCTGGACAGAGGGGAATCACCCTCCCAGTGATTGGAACTTGAGTTCTGGCAAGCTTCACCACCATAGTCTAAAATGCTCTGGGGCCCTAAAGAAACTTAAAACAGTCTAGGTCACAAGGACAGCAACTCCCAGGTGTCATGCTGAACTGGGCTTAGAGCCAGTGGACTTGGGGGCCACATTACCTACTAAGATACAAGCTGGGGCAGCTAAGAGAGTTCTTATACCACCCCTCCTCCAAACTGAGGCTGCACAGCTCACAGATTCAAGAGACCACTTCCATCTACTTAAGAAGACAGAAAGAGTAAACAGGACTTTGTCTTGTATTTTGGATACCAGCAAGGCCACCAGTCAGAGTTATAAAACATCCTTCTCAGCCACTAGCTCCTAATTAAAATTTCTAGGTACATACTGGACTATAAGGAAATCTGCTGCCTTGAATGAAGAAATCCGGTACTAACAAGACCCATCAACTGCTAAGTAAAGGGCCCTTGGCCTGGAATAACCTGCAGTGATAACCAGGTAGTTTGCTGTGAGCTTTCATTGAGACTCTGAGGCTTGCTAGAATCAGGTGAGACTCGGCACATTCACAACTGTGGTGGCTACAGGGAGACACTGAAAAAGGTAGAGGAAAAACTAGAGAACTTCATCTTGCAACTTAGGTCCCAGCATGGCCAAAGAGAGGAAGAGCACCAGTGGGCTCTTGGGGTCCCTTATTCCAGGTCTTGGCACTTGGATGGCACTTCTGGACCTGTACTGGGACAGAAGGGACACCACTGACCAAAAGGATGAGTAGCAGGCCAAGCATCATTCACTATAAGTGAACTAAAGAGCCTTGAACCTTAAGAGAACATTGGTGGAAGCCTGGCAGTATTCCCGATGGGCCTGTGGTGATGGCAGCAATAGGATGAGGCCCCTCTGCCTGTTGAGTAAGGAGGGAAAAATGGGAAGAACCGAATTTCATGGTTTAATTGCTAGCTCTACCACAGTACAATAGAACACAAAGTAGACTCCTAAGGTTATTGACTCCAGCCCCTGGCTCCTGGATGGCACCACTGGGCTTGCCCAGAACCTGAGGGAACTCACTACTCTGAAGGAAAGGATACAAACCTGGCTGGCTTACCACCTACAGATTATAAAGCTCCAAGACCTTGAGCAATTACTGGTGGTACCAGGTAGGGTTACAGCTCACCATGGGTGTGATCAAGTGCTGTGCTGGTTTCAGGTCTGACCCACTGCAGTCCTACTGATAGCAACAGAAGACAAACTCCTAGGCAGACAGGGATGGGTGCACTGGTGAAACTCGACCTTCAAGGAAACAACAGTCTAAAAAGCCTGAAAACTGAGCTACCAGTTCCAGAAAGAATTCATGGACTAGAGTGAGAACTTCCATCCCTGTCTAACCTGCTCTCTATTGGTTCTTTGAGAATGATGCCTTTTAACCAATTGAATGGTGTCTTTTCCAAGCCCACCCATGAACCAATCAGCATGCATTCTCCTGTTTTAAACCCATAAAAATCCCAGACTCAGCCTCACAGATGGCTACCTACTTTCAGGTTCCCTCTTGCTGCTGATAGCAAGACCAGAAAACAAAGAACAAAATGGCAAGAGTAAGTCTTTATATAATCAATAACAACACTGAATGTAAATGGACTAAATTCTCCAATCAAAAGACACAGAGTGGCTAAATGGATACAAAAATTAAGACCCAGCGATTTGTTGCCTACAAGAAACACACTTCACCTATAAACACATAGATTAAAAAGATTTAAAAAAATTCCATGTCAAAGAAAACAAACAAAAATAGCAGTAGTTGCTACACTTATGTCAGACAAAATAGATTTCAAGACAAAACTAGAAGAAGAGACAAAGATGGTCACTCTATAATAATAATGAGTTTAATTCAGCATGAGGATGTAAGAATGTTACATACATATGCATCCAACACTGAAGTACTCAGATATATTAAGCCAGTATTATTAGAGCTAAAGAGAGAGACAGGCTCCAATATAATAATACCTGGAGAATGCAACATCACACTTTCAGCATTGGATAAATCTTCCAGACAGAAAACCAACAAAGAAATCTCAGGCCTAATCTGCACTATAAACCAAATGGACACAATGGATATTTACAGAACATTTTATCCAATGGCTTCAGAATACACATTTTGCTCTGCAGTGCATGAATCATTCTCATGGATAGACCATATGTTAGGTCACAAAACAAGTCTTAACACATTTTAAAAATTAAAATAATATCAAGCATCTTTTGTGACTACAATAAAAAAACCTAGAAATCAATAACAAGACAAATTTTTGAAACTATACAAACACATAGAATTTAAACAATATGCTCCTGAAAGGCCAGTGGGTCAATGGGGATATTAATAAATAAATTGAAATATTTCTGTAATATGTCACAATGGAAATACTTAGGATTTACAGTAAAAGCAGTACTAAAAGTTTATAACTAAAAGTGTCTACATAAAAAAATTCAAATGAACAACTTCATGACAGATTTAATGCAGTTTCCATGAAAATACCACCAGTATTCTTCACAGAACTAGAAAAAAAACCCTAAAATTAATATGGATCAAAAAAGTGCCTACATAGCCAAAGTAATACTAACCAAACAAATAAATAAAAAATATGGGGTCATCACATTACCCTACTTCAAATTATACTACAAGGCTATAGTTATCAAAACAACATGGTATTGGTATTAAAATTTACACACAGACCAATGAAGCAAAATACAGAATCCAGAAATTAAGCCAAACACAGGCAACTAAACTAATCATCAACAAGGCATATAAAGACACAAATTGGGGAAAGAACACCCTATTCAATAAATGGTGCTAGGAAATACTGGCAAGCCACACACAGAGGAATAAAACTGGATCCCCATCTCTGACCTTATACAAAAATCAATTCAAGATGGATCAAATATTTCAATCTAAGGCCTGAAAGCATACGAATTCTAAATGATAACATAAGAAAAAAAACTCTTCTCGACATTGATTTAGGCAAAGAATTCATGACTAAGACCCCAAAAGCAAATGCAACAAAAACAAACATAAATAAATGGGACCTAATTTAACTAAAAAGCTTCTGCACAGCAAAGGAAATAAGCAGCAGAGTACACAGACAACCCACAGAGTAGCAGAATATATTTGCAAACTACAGATCTGACAAAAAGCTAGTATCCAGAATCTATAAGGAACTCAAAGAAATTAGCAAAATAATAATTCCATCAAAAAGTAGGCAAAGAAAATGAATATATATTTTTTCAAAAGAAGATATACAAACAGCTAATAACAACCTAAAAATGCTCAACATCAATAATCAAGGAAATACAAATGAAAACCACAGTTAGATATCAAATAACTCCTACAAAAATGGCCATTTTTTGTAGGCCAAAAAAAGTCAAGAAAACAACAGATGTTGGCATTGGATGTGGTGAAATGGGAACACTTAACAAAATAATGTCATTTGCAGCAACTTGGATGGAGCCGAAGGTCATTATTCTAAGTGAAATAACTCAGAAATGGAAAACTAGATATCGTATGTTCTTACATATAAGTGGGAGCTAATCTATGAGGATGCAAAGGCATAAGAATAATGTAAAAGACTTTGGGGACTTGAGGGGGAAGGCTGGGAGGCGGGTGAGGGATAAAAAACTACATATTAAGTACAGTGTGCACTGCTCAGGTGACAAGTGCACTGAAATCTCAGAAAACACACTAAAGAACTTATCCATGTCATGAAAAACCACCTGTATTTCCAAAACAATTGACACTTTAAAAAAAAAAAAACCTAATGACGTATCTTAGAGAGCTAGAAAAACAAGAGCAAACCAAACCAAAATTAGAAGAAAAGAAATAATAAAGATCAAAGCAGAAATAAATGAATTTGAAATAAAATACAAAAGGTCAATAAAATGCAAAGTTGTTTTCTGGAAAAAAAAAAAGAAACCTGACAGACCTTTACTCAGACTAAGAAAAAAAAAAAAAAAACTCAGCAGGCAGTGGCTCATGCCTGTAATCCCAGGACTTTAGGAGGCTGAGGCGGGCGGCTGGATCACCTGAGGTCAGGAGTTCAAGATCAGCCTGGCCAACATGGCAAAACCCCGTCTCTATTAAAAAACACAAAAATTAGCCAGGCATGGTGGTGGGCGCCTGTAATCTCACCTACTCAGGAGGCTGAGGCAGGCAGAATTGCTTGAAGTCAGGAGGCGGAGGTTGCAGTAAGCTGAGATCGAGCCACTGCACTCCAGCCTGGGCAACAGAGCAAGTCTCCATCTCAAAAATAAATAAATAAATAAAAGAATAAAAGGAAAAGACTCAAATAATATCAAAGATGAAAAAGGAGACATTTCAACTCTACAACTTATACTGCAGGAATTCAAAAGATCATTAGTGAGTACTATGAGCAGATAGATGCCATAAATTGGAAAATCTAGAACAAATGGATAAATTTCTAGACACATAGAACCTAAGAAGATTGAATTATTAAGAAATCCACAACCTGAATACACAAACAAGACGTGATGAGATCCATAATACAAAGCCTCCCATCAAAGAAAAGCCTGAAATCTGATGGTTTCACTGAATTTGACAAAACATGTATAAAACTAATAGCAATCCCACTTAAACTATTTCAAAACAGAGGAGGAGGAAATACTTTCAACCTCGTTCTGTAAGGCAAGCATTACTCTCATACTAAAATCAGACAAATGCATATCAAAAAAATCTATAGGCCAATATCAGCAATAGATGCAAAATTTCTCATAAAAATACTGGCAAGTAAAATTCAGCAACAGATTAAAAGTTTATTATTCCTCATCATCAAGTAGGATTTATCTCATGGATGCAAAGATACTTCAACATATGCAAATCAATTAATGTAATATACCATATCAACAAAAGAAAGAACAAAAACCACATGATCATTTTAATTGATCCTGAAAATCATTTGACAAAATTTAATATCTCCTCATGAAAGAAACCCTCAAAACTATAGAAGAAACATACATGCAGCCAAAAAACACATGAAAAAATGCTCACCATCACTGGCCATCAGAGAAATGCAAATCAAAACCACAATGAGATACCATCTCACACCAGTTAGAATGGCAATCATTAAAAAGTCAGGAAACAACAGGTGCTGGAGAGGATGTGGAGAAATAGGAACACTTTTATACTGTTGGTGGGACTGTAAACTAGTTCAACCATTGTGGAAGTCAGTGTGGCGATTCCTCAGGGATCTAGAACTAGAAATACCATTTGACCCAGCCATCCCATTACTGGGTATATACCCAAAGGACTATAAATCATGCTGCTATAAAGACACATGCACATGTATGTTTATTGCAGCACTATTCACAATAGCGAAGACTTGGAACCAACCCAAATGTCCAACAATGATAGACTGGATTAAGAAAATGTGGCACATATACACCACGGAATACTATGCAGCCATAAAAAATGATGAGTTCATGTCCTTTGTAGGGACATGGATGAAATTGGAAATCATCATTCTCAGTAAACTATCGCAAGACCAAAAAACCAAACACCACATATTCTCACTCATAGGTGGGAGTTGAACAATGAGAACACATGGACCCAGGAAGGGGAACATCACACTCTGGGGACTGTTGTGGGGTGGGGGGAGGGGGGAGGGATAGCTTTAGGAGATATACCTAATGCTAAATGACGAGTTAATGGGTGCAGCACACCAGCATACCACATGTATACATATGTAACTAACCTGCACATTGTGCACATGTACCCTAAAACTTAAAGTATAATAAAAAAAGAAACATACCTCAGCATATAAAAGTTATATATAGATATATAGATATCACATATAGTATGATACTAAATGGGGAAAAATGAAAAGCTTTTCCTCTAAGATTGACAACATGACAGAGATGCACACTTTCACTACTGTTATTCAACACATGGCAGCTAGAGCAATTAGCAAGAGAAAAAATAAAGGGCAAGCAAATTGGAAAGGAAGAAGTCAAATTATGTTTGTTTGCAGATGATGTGGTCTTATATTTGGAAAATCCTAATTCACTAAAACACTATTAGAACTCACAATTTTAGTCAAGATATAGGATTAAAAAGTTAGCAGCATTTCTATATGCCAACAGTGAACAATGTGAAAAAGAAATCAAGAGAGTGGTCCCATTTACGATAGCCTCAAATTAAAATTAAATACCTAGGAATTAACCAAAGACGTTAAAGATCTCTACAATGAATACTATAAAACATTGATGCAAGAAATTTAAAAAGACAAAAATATGTATTTTATGTTCATGAATAAGAATCAGTATTTTTAGTGTCTATATTAACCAATGCAATCTACAGACTTAATGCAACCCTATCAAAACATCGATACTCTTCACAGAAACAGGAAAAACAATCCTATAATGCAGACAGAACCACGAAAGACTCAGAATAGCCAAAGTTCTTGTAAGAAAAAATTTTGCCTTTATGTGCCTGGCTTATTTGTCTTACCATATGATCTCCAGTTCCATCCATGTTGTTGCAAATAACAGGATCTTATTCTTTATAAGTGAAAAGTACTCCTGGGGGTGTGTATGTACATTTGCTTTATCCATTCATCTGTTGACATGTTGCTTCTAAATCTTGGCTAATGTAAACAATGCTGTGTGAAAGGAAAACAAATCTTTGGACCCCAAAATCACTAAGCTAAAGGGAAAAGTCAAGTTGGGAACTGCTTAGGGCAAATCTGCTTCTCATTCTATTCAGTCATCCCTCTGCTCACTGCAAGTCCTACCAGTACACAGGAGAAATTTTAAAAATGAATAAAAGCAAAATAATTCAATGAAAACAAAAAAGCAACTGTCATTACCTCCATAAGAGGTGACTGTGTAGGTAGAAAATCCAAATGTAACTGACTAGCTGTTAGCTTAACTGTACAAAACACTATTAATATTCCTAAATTCTATCCATACTTAGAAAATAAAATACAATAGCAAACTTCACCTGCTCCACCCTATATTACTCCCTATGTTGATAACAGTTGAGATGTCTCATGTAGCTGATTTATTTAAATATTTGCACCAATTCAGATTTAATCAAATTTTACTATTATTTTTACTTCTTTGTTTTTGCCGACTATTGATTATTATTATTATTTTTTTAAGACAGTCTCACTCTGTGGCCCAGGCTTGAGTGCAGTGGCACAATCTCAGCTCACTATAACCTCTGCCTCCTCGGTTCAAGTGATTCTCCTGCCTCAGTCTCCCGAGTAGCTGGGATTGCAGGTGCACACCACCACACCTGGCTAATTTTTGTATTTTTAGTATAGACAGAGTTTCACCATGTTGGCCACGCTGGTCTCAAACTCCTGACCTCAGGTGATCCACCCACCTCGGCCTCCCAAAGTGCTGGGATTACAGGTGTGAGCCACCACACCCAGCCTGATTAGTATTTTTAATGCATTTCTTTGAATTCATTTTCTCTTCTTTATGGAGTGCATCCTCCAGTTTTGTTTTTTTGGTTTTTTTTCCCCTCACAGAGTTTACAGGTAGTCAGTAGTATATACTTCTGAATAAATTCTGTCTTAGGTTGGTTTCAGTGATAGTTTGGCTGACTGTAAATTTCTATTTCCAATGTTCTTTTCTGTGAGAACCCACTATTGATTTCTGCACTTCTTTTTGCTTCTGATGTCACCACCCTGATCAAATCAAAGTCTCTCTCATTCCTTTGAAGCAAATCAGTTTATATCATTCTGGTGATATAAAATGTGACCTTCATGTTTCTGGGTATGCTTTTTGTTTTTGTTGTTTTCCATTTATCCATTTCAACATAACATGAACTTTTATAACAAAAGCACATTATCCTTTTCCAGTTTCTGGAAGTTTTTCTCAATTATTTTTGTTACTAATTCTTTGAAATTTATTAAAACTGGCTTTATGCCAAGTAAAGTGGTAACTATTACATATGCAATTTAAATGGCTGCATAATATTCTCTAATCACTATATATGTCCATTAAAATCAAAGTGGGAAATAATCTATTCGAATCTTCTATATCCTTATCCTTTCACTTTATTTTATGTGTTCTACTTGTCCATTTTATCTAGTTTTTTTCCCTCTCTCTTCCTGCTTTTCTTTTGAATTTATTTATTTATTTATTGAGACTCAGTCTCACTCTGTTCCCCAGGCTGGAGTGCAGCGGCATGATTTCGGCTTACTGCAACCTCTGCCTCCCGGATTCAAGTGATTCTCGTGCCTCTGCCTCCTGAGTAGCTGGGACAACAGGTGTAAGCCACCATGCCCAGCTAATTTTTTTCTTTGTATTTTTAGAATAGAAGGAGTTTCACCATGTTGGCCAGGCTGGTCTTGAACTCCTGACCCCAGGTGATCCACCTGCCTTGGCCTCCCAAATTGCTGGGAATACAGGTGTGAACCACTCTGCCCAGTCTCTTTTGAATAATTTAAATCCTTCTACCCTCACCCACCAATTCCATCTTTTTTCCTTTGATTGGTTTGGAAATTAAACCTCTATTGGTTTGGAATCTTTACTATTCTTTTAGTTGTTTTCCTTGAAATTTTACACTGCATTTTGCATTACAATTTAACAAAGGCTAAAATTAAGCTAATTTTAACTCCCTCCACAAAATAATGCAAACACTGTAGAATGCCTTCACTCTGATCACCTCATTTTTGTATTTATTTTCAGTTGTTCGCTTATTCTGTCTTGTTTCCTTTAATTCCACCAACCACAAACAGAAGTTGTTTTACATACAGCTTTCTTATTGTTGCAAATACGTGATTAGAGTTTCAGATGTGTCATCTGCTTACTAGCTACTAGATTCTAACTATTCATAACTGCACTCCTTAATCTTTTCCTTTCTTGCTAACCTTCTCTATTAACATTTCTTTATTGAAACTTTGTTGGTCTTAAATGCTCTTAAGTCTTAAAGATTATATTTTTCTGTAAATGACTACCTCAATTTTATTTATTTATTTATTTATTTTTGAGACAGAGTCTCACTCTGTCGCCAGGCTGGACTGCCGTGGCGTGACCTCGGCTCACTGCAACCTCTGCCTCCCAGGCTCAAGTGATTCTCCTGCCTCTGCCTCTCAAGTAGCTGGGATTAGAGGCACCTGCCACCACACCCGGCTAATTTTTGTATTTTTAGTAGACACAGGGTTTCACCATGTTGGCCAGGCTGGTCTCAAACTCCTGACCTCAGGTGATCTGCCTGCCTTGGCCTCTCAAAGTGCTAGGATTACAGGCATGAGCCACCACACCCGGCTCTCACCTTCATTCTTGAAATACGACTCTACAGTTCTTCATTGGTAATGATTATTGCCACTGACTCTCCTTCATGGTGGTTTGTTTCCTCTGTCTACAATTTTCCCTGGAACCTCTGCTGCTCCTGGTATGCACCACTCCAAACTCACTGAGGCCAGACTCTGAGGACACGCCCATCTTTTGTAGTCACTCTCGTGATTGTCGTTATTTGATGAATTTATTTTTTAAATTAATTAATGTATTTTTTTGAGACAGAGTCTTGCTCTGTTGCCCAAGATGGAGTGCAGTGGCGTGATCTCAGCTCACTGAAACCTCCGCCTCCCAAGCTCAAGCGATTCTTCTGCCTCAGCCTCCCGAGCAGCTGGGATTACAGGCACCCACCACCAAGCCCAGATAACTTTTGTATTTTTAGTAGAGATGGGGTTTCACCACGTTGGCCAGGCTGGTCTCGAACTCCTGACCTCGTGATCTGTCCACCTCAGCCTCCGAAAGGGCTGGGACCACAGGCGTGAGACACCCCACTGGCCATGAATTTATTTTATGGAAGAAGATAAACATACTAAAGATTTCATAATTATTTTTCACTAATGTTATACTAACAAGAAGTTACATTATTAAATAATTGCACTAATACTGGTGCTCAATATTAGATAGTGGTACAGTTACTTTTTTGTTCCTCCCATATAAATTTCTCAGCTATGAATTTGTCTTGCCACAAAAGAGGCCTAAAGGATAAATCTATTCAGGCAGATTTGAGAAGAGTAGTTGACTCCCCCAAAATACACATTTTCCTATTTCAACATCATTGTTAATGAAATGAAGTGGCAGTGCTCACCTGGAAGAAAACACTTGCAAAACATACATCCAACAAAAGATCTGTAACCAAAATATACAAGAGCTCTTACTGTTCAATAGTAAGACGATAAATCACCCTAATAAAAAATAGGCAATGGTTTAAACAGATGCTTCACCAAAGAAGACATACAGACAGAAGCAAGCACAAGAAAAGATGCTCTAGATTGGGCGCCGTGGCTCACGCCTATAATCCCAGCACTTTGGGAGGCCAAGGCGGGTGGATCACCTGAGCTCAGGAGTTCGAGACCAGCCTGGCCAACATGGTGAAACCCTGTGTCTACTAAAAATACAAAAAATTATCTGAGCATGGTGGCAGGTGCCTGTACTCCCAGCTACTTGGGAGGCTGAGGCAGGAGAATCGCTTGAACCTGGGAGGTGGAGCTTGCAGTGAACGAAGATCGCGCCACAGCACTCCAGCCTGGGCGACAGAGCAAGACTCAGTCTCAAAAAAGGATATATATAATGATATAGCACTGCATATGTATCAGAATGGCTAAAATTAAAGATGGACCATACCAAAGCTGGTCAAGATATAGAGCCACTGAAACTCTCATACACTACTGCTGAAAATGGAAAATGGTTCAACTGCTTTGGGAAACAACTTGGCAGTGTATTAAAAAGTTGAGCATGCACTTACCATATGCACTAGGCATTCTACTACCAGGTATTTAGCCAAGAGAAACAAAGGAATATGCCTACAGAAAGGCTAGTTCACTACTGATCATAGTCACATTGCTTGATACTTGAGGTCCACAGGAGCAGTAATAGTGACTAAAATTCACTGAGATTTACTAAGTTCCAGGTATTACTTTCATATATTAATTTGTTTAATCTTCATTAACATTTCCATGAGGAAGCAGTGAGGGAGGAAGGACATCTCTCTGGCCAGCCAAATTCCTGGCCAGCCAAATTCCCTTAAGTCAACCATCAATCACTTACCATCGAGGTCAAGTTCATCCTCCTCCAAGGGAAGGCTGAAGATACTGATGGCGGCTCAGTTATGGTATCTCTCAGGGAAGGGAAAAAACTGGCTTCTTCCCTAGAGAGTGGGGCCGTGATCAATGTGGCCATGATTAATGACACACATGTCCTTTTCATGATGAGTTTCATGGTGCATCGCATGCTAGCCTACAGACTGTACCTTTCCACTCTTCCTGTTTCACTTTGCAATGATATTCACTAGAAAAAGGATCTTTTTATGGGCTAACAGGCAGCCAATCTTCCAGCAAATGAACTGGGTCACTTAATGAAGAACCATAAGTTGTCATCAATAGTGATGCAGACTTCTCAATGATCAGGTTTGCAGGTTTACAAAGACAGATCAGTAGTTCTTCATGACAAAGAACAGTAAATGATTATGATCAAAATTGTATTCTTATAATCTAAAACACCAATATTGTCTTTCTTTTTCTTTTTCTTTTTTTTTTTTGAGACGGCGTCTTTCTCTGTCACCCAGGCTGGAGTCCACTGGCGTGATCTCAGCTCACTTCAATCCCCGTTTCCTGGGTTCAAGCAATTCTCCTGCCTCAACCTTTCAAGTAGCTGGGAGTACAGGTGTGTGCCACCACGCCCAGCTAATTTTCTGTATTTTTAGTCCAGACGGGGATTCACCATGTTTGCCAGGCTGGTCTCAAACTCCTGACCTCAGGTGACCCACCCACCTTGGACTCCCAAAGTGCTGAGATTACAGGCATGAGCCACTGCACCTGGCTAATGCCTTGCAGTACACATCTAAAGAGAGCATTTGACTTTATCTAACCAGTGCTTGACTCTGAAATCTGTTAACTGTATGTCTTCTATGTCTGAAAGTATAAGTATTTTTTTTCCAATTCCTATGCTAAGTGCTCTATTTACTTCCTTATCTCATGTGAACCTTACAAACCATACGAACGTATTTTTTAGAAATTTTCCTTGAAACTTTAAGAAAGCAAATGGCAATGTGGTGTGTGCTTTCTTAAACTTCCTTAAAACTTTATTCAGTGTATCCTCTTCCCAGCCTCACTTTTTGTGACTCTTGGCAATGACTGCATCTTTCACACCATAGAAAATAACCTGCTCTGAAACATCAACGCTCACAAGCTGGTCTTACCAGAACCTCCATGAACCAAATGCTGCAAAGAAGCCTCAGAATCACAGATGCATAACATCTAGCTAGCCTGATAACATTACACAGCTGTTTATTTTTTATTTTTATGTCTATTACTTTTAGTGTAGCAGTTTTCTTATACTCAAATGTCTAAACATTGAAAACTCAGCCAATGCAAAGCTATACAACAAACCCTTTGACAGCCTTCGCACATTTGAACAGTATTATTTTTCTTAAATGAGCCAATTCTGAGACACAAATTTCATAATTCTTGAAAGATTTTCTTCCACAATAGAAATTTTGGTTAAAATGATTTATTTGACCCGAATCAAATTATGGAATTATGTTCTAAAACTAACTGTATTACATTTATTACATCTATTGGCCCTCAAGCCAAAATTCTGCCAGCATTTCTCGTCTTCGTGCTGTGCTCACAAGGACCAGCAGCATGTGCTAATACTGACTGTCTGCCCAGTAACATGCTAGAGTATGAGGAAGGCACCTCAGGCACATGGAGGCAATAGCTGCAACTGGGTCAAGGCACATGCCCTATTTCTTCATCACTCACACACTCAGAAATCCACAATGGGGAATATGCATTTTGCATGGAAGAAGAAAAAAATGACTCAATCCTAGCTAGGGGGATTCCCACCTCACTCCCTCACAGCACTCTCTACCCAACCACCTTCCCTCGCCACACTCAGACATGCTCACACCTACACACAAGGATGATCTGGCCACTTCTCCCATTAATTCACCACTCCTAGAAAAACTGTATTTGGCTTAACTTTATCAAGCTGTCTGGCTGCCTGAAGATTTATAGATGTCAAAATAAAAAACTAATTACAACTCGGAATACCGCAGTAGCACCTGATTTAATGTCTAAGGCAGCAGGCCAGTGAACATACTGAGAAAGGAGAACCCTCACACACTCTCCATAAAGGAGCCATGATGAGGATCAGCATGGAGGATCCTCAGAAAACTAAAACTAGAGTTACTATATGCCCACAATCCCACTGATGGGTATACATCCAAAAGAAAAAAAACAATATATCAAAAAGATATCTGCACTCCCATGTTTATCTCAGCCCTATTCACAACAGCCAATATATGGAGTCAACCTAAGTGCCCATAACAGATGAATGCATAAAGAAATGTGGTATGTATACACAATGGAATACTATTCAGCCATAAAAAAGAATGGGATCCTGTCATTTGCAGCTACAAGGCATAACTGGGGATCATTGTGTTAAGTGAAATAATCCAGGCACAGAAAGAAAAATATTACATGTTCTTAGTCATATGTGAGAGCTGAAAAAGTGGATCTTATGAAGACAGAGAATAAACTGATGATTACCAGAAGCTGGGAAGGATTTGGCAGGGGAGGGCTCAGGAGGCTGAGGCAGGAGAATTGCTGGAACCCGGGAGGTGGAGGTTGCAGTGAGCCAAGATCGTGCCATTGCACTCCAGGCTGGGGGACAAGAGCGAGACTTCATCTCAAAAATAAAATCATAAAATAAAATAAAATTGAAAAAAGTTCCCGGTTATCATGTTGTTGAGTAGTACTTAATCAGAATATACTTGAAAACAAAAGATTCTTTGTGGTTTTTTAACTCTTGGTAATTAATCCATTTTAGGCAGTCTTAAAAAAATGATGTAGGACAGGGAAACCAATATGAAATGGGTAGTCTGAAAAGCAGTTATTAGATATTGACCATCATTTTAGGAAAGGCAGGCTATTTACCCCACTATATGCTCCCAGGTAAACTTGTCTTCAATTCCTGTTAAGTCAAACGGGAAAAACCAAACTTGCCATCTCTCTATATTTACTATCATTTAAAAAATTCTGTTAAGAGACACCAAAACATAGTATTTCGTACCTCCTTGCAACATAAAAAATTGGCTTCCCAGCTTTGGAATTCCCAGCTTGGTAAAAAATACTTAATGTTTTCAAAGCCTTGATCTCTTCTTTTTCACATACCTGATGCCTAAAAGAAAAAGAACAGGGTAACTGTGAGGCTTTGTGTTGTCTACTGAGTATGTAAAACAGCCCATAATTGGATAAACAATAAAATGCTAAAATGAAAAATTATTTTAAAAGCAACAGGCATTCTAAAGGGTAATTTGACAACATGCACAAAAAATCTCAAGATATTACTCTTTGAACCACAAAAGCACTTTTAGGACTATTCTAAGAGAACTACTGGATGAGGATATTAACCATAGGATTGTTTTTACTCATGACTTCTTTGTGTCAGACAGAAGTTTATGATTTTTTAACGAATTCATTTTATTAATCTTTTCCTTTCTAGTTTATGGATTTTGAATGGATGAAAAAGGCCTTGCTTTGCCCATGTTTTTTTTTCTTTCTGATTTATGGGAGTCTATCCTCATAAATGGTATGAAAATATTTTTTCAGATCATTACTCAGTTTTATCAACACCATTTATTGAAAGTCCATCCTAATCTTGATTTCAAATACCACTTTTATCATATATTATGTTCCCATATGTATTAAAGCCTGGTTTACTTTTTATATAGTCTGCTCAAGACTCAGTGTGCTTCTTTAACTTCAAGATTAATGTCATTCATCAACTCTAGAAAACATTCATCCTTTACCCTTTCAAATATTACTTCTTCCCATTCTCACTGAGCTCAATTTCTAGGGAACACCTACTAGACATATTTTGGAACTTCTCATTCTATCTTCTGCATCTCTTAATCTCTTTCATATTTTCCATTTCTTTGTCTGTAATGACTGTATGCTAGGTAATTTGCTTAGAAACTACCTTCAGCTATAAACTTAATTAATTAATTAATTAATTAACAGATGGAGTTTTGCTCTTGTCGCCCAGGCTGGAGTGCAGTGGCACGATCTCAGCTCACTGCAACCTCTGCCTCCCAGGTTCAAATGATTCTCCTGCCTCAGCCTCCCAAGTAGCTGGGATTACAAGCACCCGTCACATGCCTGGCTAATTTTTATTTTTATTTTTTTTTTAGTAGAGATGGGGTTTCGCCATGTTGGCCAGGCTTCTCTCAAACTCCAAACCTCATGTGATCCACCTGCCTCAGCCTCCCAAAGTGCTGGGATTATAGGCGTAAGCTACTGCACTCTTCCTAATTTTTTTTAAGTATACATGTTTTCTTTTACACTTAGTGTATCTATGAGTATTGTGATTTGGGAAGGAGACTGTATTAACTCAGCCCATCATGCTGCTGGTACCAGGTCAGCATTTTAAAAATATTAATGGAAACAACCTAGATATCATTTGATAGGAGAAAAACATATACATGTGCATAGATAAATGACTGGGAGACTATACACCATACGTTAACTGAATTATTTCTGAGCAGGAGGATAAACAATTTTTAATTTTTTTTTACTTTCTTTAGATTTCTATATTGAGTAATTCAATAATTTTTTTTAAATAACAGAATATTGGCTGGGCATGGTGGCTCATGCCTGTAATCCCAGCACTTTGGGAGGCTGAGACCGGTGGATCACCTGAGGTCAGGAGATCGAGGCCATCCTGGCTAAAACGGTGAAACCCTGTCTCTACAAAAAATACAAAAAATTAGCCAGGCATGCTGGCGAGCACCTGTAGTCCCAGCTACTTGGGAGGCTGAGGCAGGAGAATGGCGTGAACCCAGGAGGCAGAGCTTGCAGTGAGCCGAGATCATGCCACTGCACTCCAGTCTGGGCAGCAGAGCGAGATTCTGTCTCAAAAAAAAAAAAAAAAAAAAACTGAGGCTATTATAAAGCTACCTTCATTTTTTTAAAACAGAAAATGGGTCTCCAAAAGCATCAGTGGGAATTTAGAACAAAAATAAGATCTAACATTTATTAAACACTTTACAAGTACCAGATACTGTCCTAAGTATACTATATATATTAGATCACATAATCTTCAAAAGCACAAAAGACTGCTTTGTAAGGAAAGGTAGGATCTTAGAAAAAAAGGAGTAATAAAAACATTTTCCTAGAAAAATAGAAAAATGGCCAGGATGTCCTCAGTGATGTTAAATTTAAAAATTGTTTGTTTTGATGTACTCATCTTTATATGTATTTCTATTTACTTATTTTTTTTACTTCTTTTAATTTATATTTTTACTTATTTCTTTATTTATAGACAAGTCTCATTCTGTAGCCTAGGCTGGAATGCAGTGGTGCATTCACAGTTCACTTCAGCCTTGAGCAAACCTCCCACCTCAGCCTCCCAGGTAGCTGGGACCACAGGTACGCACCACCACACCTGGTTAATATCTTATTATTTGTAGAGATGGAGTCTTGCTATGTTGCCCAGGCTGGTCTCAAACTCCTGGCTCAAGCAATCCTCCTGCCTTGGCATCCCAAAATGCTGGGATTACAGACATGAGCCACAGTGCCCAACCTATTTATTTATTTATTTAAGACAAGGTCTCACCATGTTGCCCAGGCTGGTCTTGAACTCCTGGTCTCAAGTGATTCTCCAACCTTGGCCTCTCAAAATGTTGGGATTACAGGTATGACCCACCATGCCTGGCCTAAAAATAGTATTATATTTTTGTATTATATAATTTTCAATTAGGTAATATGAATATTCTGTACAGAAAATATGCCCTTAATTACATAGGAATAAACGTTTGCTACACTAAGAAAAATCTAACAAAGCTAAAAATAAAAATTAATTTGGAAAGTACATTATATACCCATACATTCTTATGTTTATACATTCTTTCATATATTCATATATTCTTTTAACAGTATCAATGGTTTGGAGTTATGTGTACAAAACCATGACCTATATGTAATACAACTAACAACAGGCACTTACAATTCAAGGCATATGATATACAAAGCTTTAACTTCTCATCATCAGATTTTGTTTTTTTCTTTCTGTTTTGGCAGATACTGTGAACACAACATTCAACTCACAGACACTATGGAGACCTTACTAAGCATAAGGTACTGTGAAATGTACTTTAAAAGATTCAGCAAACTACTCTCACTGTATCATCATAGAGTCAGTGTCTAACCATGAAGATCTTTTTGTTCACAAGCTAAATGCCATGAAATGGGATTCAAAACAAATGTCCACAGAAATTTTATAGCAATACTGAAGTAGACTATATTTTCTGAGCCTTAATCTAAAAGAAGTTAAAACCATTCATCTTTATGAGGGTTCTGAAAAGTGTTATAGTGTAGTAGAAAAGTTCTGCACTTAAAACCAAAAGACCTATGAATCAGGTGTGGGATCTCACACAAGCCAGTTATTCACACTGAGTTGCATTTTCCTTAACTATCATCTGAAAATAATGTTTTCTTCATTCCCTGGTAGGTATTAAATGTGAAAACTTATGAAAGCAAGATGATAAAATATGATTTGTTACTACTATTATGGCAATCAACATATAAAACATATTCTTTCTATATATATATATATATATATATATATATATATATATATATATATATATATATATATAAATAATATATAGAATAGGAGAAAAGTTGGGTCCCCAAACATGGCAATGTGATTATTAGATGCATCTTTCCTCATAGTCTTCTATCATATCTAACAAGTGGCCTAGTGGTAAACTCTGCTTCTCAACCAAAAAGAAAGCAGTCTACATTTCAAGGTTGTACTTTACCTCATCATAAATTCCTCAAACTTTTAACTGGTAAGGTTAAGGCTGGACCGGTATGTATCTGCCACAGGTTTGTGCTCTGGAGGACCGAGGTATACAAGAAGTGTTGCCATTTATCAAAAGGTCATCTTCCAACAGCTTTATGATCCCTAGATATAGCAAACTACTTAGAAAAAAGTAGCAGTTCACATTTAGCAGTACACATTTCTTTAACTTGTAACTGTTGCTTTTCCTTTAACTGTCAGCTGGTGGTCCCTGTTGATTTGTAAACAGCACCCAAAAGACCTCAGGCCCATGTCTACTTCAATCCATTAATAATGCATAAAAGATTAAAATGCTCTGTGGTTTAAACTCCCATCTCCCAATTGCTTACCCTTAGCTTCATAGTCCACTACTTTTCCTGTGAATGTGCTAACCACTTTTATTGGCATTTAAAAATAATTTGGACTCATTTTTCCTTTGTAAGGAACTCCTCATACTTAGGAATTTTGTCCCTTTACAAGTTTATATAACTAGATGGGACAGCAAGTAATTTATGTTAACACAAGAGACTAATAAGAGCTAATGAAACAATGCCCAAATTAATAATTTCAATTTTTAAGTATTTTTTCTTTTTTTTTTTTTCCCCTGAGATGGAGTTTTGCTCTTATGGCCCAGGCTGGAGTGCAATGGCACAACCTCGGCTCACTGCAACCTCCGCCTCCCAGGTTCAAGTAATTCTCCTGCCTCAGCCTCCCAAGTAGCCGGGATTACAGGCGCCTGACACCATGCACAGCTAATTTTTGAATTTTTAGTAGAGATGGGGTTTCACCATGTTGGCTAGGCTGATCTCGAACTCCTGACCTCAGGTGATCCACCCACCTCGGCCACCCAAAGTGCTGAGATTACAGGCATCAGCCACAGTGCCAGGCCAGTATTTTCTATATAAAGCTTTATTTGCATATACTTAGAGTATCACAAATGAGTTTATCATAGAATTGAAACACTGACAATATTTTAATTACTGAATTCCTATGAATTAGCTGTTCTTCAGATTCAAATGCCAACACTAATTTGAACTTCTTTGGGTCTATGACAGTTTGCAAGCCATACAAACCCAAAGAGCTAATCTGTGATTTCTTAACTTGAGAAAATAATAATAATAACCACCACTGGAACCTACATAGGTTTGTTGATTATTTAACATGACTTAACCTTTCGTTTGTATTTTTTTGAAAAAAAAAAAAAAAAAAAAAAAAAAAGACTTTCTCTTTCTAAACCATAATTCTTAGTCCAAGAAGATGCAAAGTTTTTAAAAAGCACTATTCATGACCAATAATTTTATTGATCTAAATTAAAATGGAGAATGTTCACTATCCTCATGACTGGGAAATCTTACCTGTTGTTAGAAAGACACTGGCCAATTTTCTCCTGATTGTTCCGGAGTAGATGATGTAAAGCGAGCACATTGCCGTCACTGCTGAAGGAAAGGCTATGATTTACTGCATCACTTGTAGGACAATCAGATGCCATATCAAGAAAAAACATTAGAAAATGCAAAGTCACTAGAATTTTCAACACCAGAGACACACCATACTTATGTTTGAATTAAATTTATACGAAGTAACTTTGTGAAGCAACTGAGATGACAATTACAAATATGGAGGGCTTGTTCCCACAACGTGATTTGTCATTAGACAAAGTAAAAAGGACAAGGAGAAAGTTGGCTTTCCATTTCTGATACCTGGCTTCAGCTTCTGTAGTTAAAGAACAGCAAAATTGAGATGGATGAAACTTTGGAAAGAGGCTGGTATTTTACAGATAAGGAAATGAAGGTCCAGACAAAAGACCTCCCCAAAGATATATAGCCTGTTAGGTCAAAGCCAGTATTAAAACTTTGTTCCTTTTAACTTTCTTTGGGCCCTCAGTCTGCCAGAATATGAATCCTGTGCTGACATTCACTCTCTTTCCAACATGGCTTGTCATTCAGCAATATACCTTTTAAACTCCAATTTTCCTAAAAGAATAAAAGTCAGTAACAATTACAATGATGATAAACTGGAAGAGAGAGTTGTACAAGGCTAGCTTAGATGATAAGGATCAATTAGATTCACACTGCATGAAAAGCAGAATTCCAGACATAAATTTACAAAGCACTTTCTTATGAATTATCTCATTTTTTCTCTCTAAAAACAACTCAGGCAAAGAGTTTATCCCCACTTTACAGATAAACCAATAACTCAGAGAAATAAAGTGAAATAACTGGTTATGGAAATCCAGCAGAAAAGTTTTCTAAAATCATAAAGTTCAGTTACTCATGAACAAAATCTTACGTGTTTGCATTACTTGGTTTAAAGAATAACATTTTAGTTTAGATACACTTCCAAATTTAAGTATCACAAATATTCTGATACTAATAAAAACCTTATTAAACATTCTTATGCATTATCAATACCAATTTGGTTTTAGTTTTAAATAAAAGGAATCCTATTTCTTCCTTATCCCCATATTGTACCATCCTCAAATCCTTTATTTAACTAGACATGTCCAAAATGCCTCTTGGTTTTCAAATATGAAAATCACTACCAAATTATAAAAAATATTAATTTATTTCAAGACTGTCTTTTATAGTAAAATAAAATAAGGCAAGCTATGTCTTGACCTAGAGCAGGAAGAGAAAAAAACCTACACGGAACTTCATGTAAAACAGGTACATGGATTTATGTGAAACTGAAAATATTTGATTCAAACAGAGCAAGTGAATAAGTGGCAAGTAGCTTACCTTCAAGCTGCATCAAAGCTGCTTTTCACAAAATCATTGAAAGGCCGCATATGCTCTTCTTTTGTGAAGAGAACATGATTGGCAATACTCTGAAGTATTTACACAATAAAACAGGGTTATAAATAATCAGATTATTTATTGTATGAAGTTTATACATTAATATATTCTTTAAAAATATGAATTTTCTTGATATAATTTCTGCTAGTAGTTAAAATCAATCATTTCTCATTCTATATTTTAGGTAGTGTTTCTATTCTTCCTAATTATAATTATATTTACATGTACAAATACATATTAAAAATGTTTAATGTCTTAAAATAAAAAATCCTACAGCCTTCACTGTAGTCTGTTTCAGAATGTCTAGAATGATTACGCAAAAAATGATCCTCATGACACAAGACATCTGCTATAATAAAACGTATTCTCATGAAAATAAGGTCCATCAGGTACCTAACTAATGAATTCCTTTGTAATATAAACAAAATAAAAACACATAACTGAAAACCGTAGGGTATTTCCAATATAAATGTAAGAGGAAGTACTGTAAGAAAAGCTGAAAATTTAGTTGGAAGGGGAATTTAAGATAGCTAGATTATCAAAATAATTCACCTTTGACATTAACTTCAAGCCCCTTCCGATTCTAGGTGGTGGCTTTTTATCTAAAATCCCTGCTTCATACAGTGAGACAATATCAGGATTCATAAATCTGAGGAACATGGCACTTCCTGCTGCACTGATACTGTTCTGAGGGAAACGTTGGCTAACCCCCTAAAAACAAGTTGAGACTTGAGTATAAGGTTTGAATTAAAATAGGGGCATGGGAACAAAGAGTTCAAAGGTCAACATTTGCACAACAACTCTGAGTCAATCAGTCCTCATGAATGACACATTTCTATTTTTTCTTCTCCCAAAACATGAGAAAATAAAGTTTCCTCTCAATTCTAGTCTTGTATCATATTAAAGTACAATTTAGGTATCTCAGAGGAAAGAAAAACCTCATGGATGAGATGGGTAGAAGAAACCTGAAAACAGATCTTCACTGTATCATCACCTATACTGCAAGTTTGAGGAGTCATGAAAACAGACCAAATTTTCACACAAAGATGATCATAATTTATTAAGATTAACAGACATGAAAGTGTGGTCAACATTATAAGGTGAAACTAAATTTTCAACAACACACCCCCAAAACATCCTATACCTGATAGTACATATTTATGTTTTGTTGTGTACCAGTTACAACTGAATTGAAGAAAAAAATGCTTGCTATAAAAAAACAAAATCTTAGATTCCTATTGAGGAAAAAAAACTTACTTACAAGTAATGTTATTGCCTGTTGCCAGCTTCCTTTATAACAACCTACCTATTATTTGAACCATGGAGGGATGGGAATTCTTGGGCACCTAAAAGAAAAAAGGATCTCAGCAGAACAGCGAACCCCTATGTCTACCTCAATGTATAATTCTGTCAAATAAAAATAATTTAAGAATTCAAGAAATGGTTGTCCAGCCTGAAAAGTAATGTGAACCCAATATTTAAAGTGGATTGATTTTCTCTTTATAAAACATTCTACATTAAGATAAAGTAAAAGGTACCTTAGACTGGGAAGAGTGCCATAAAATGGGTTCAGCCCCCATCCCTTCCCAGTGTCCCCTGCTTTAAATCATGTTATAGATGAAAATTATATTATTTTGGAATTTACATTTTTATATATACCATATATATTCATTTTTAAAGAACACTTAATGTAACATTTTAATCTCTACAGCTATTCTTGCTTAGTGTGGCTAACTGCTGTTTAAAGTAGCAGTGATTACAAAACTGTAGCATTCCACTCAATGTTTTGTGATTCCGAGGATAAACCTTCCTTTCAAAGGATATTGGTGTGGGGGACCCAGATTTACATGCAGAATATCACGTAACTATTTTTTGCACAATGCCTCAATAAATTAATATTTCCTGTCCTAAATTCACATGGCTGACTCCAGATTAACTCTGGAATCGGGATTATTTCACTTCATCCTGTTCAACGCAGTGCTTCATGAAGTCCACATTTTAAATGCATTCTTATCACTGCTTATAATCTCAAAATAGCTTTCTGTAATCTCTAATAGGAAGTTAGTAAAAATTAGATCTTAGAGAATAAAGTATTTGTAAGCGGTGAGGTGTAACAATATAGTCCCACCTTCAGTTACACTACACACAGTTCAGGAAGCTTTCTTTATGTTACAGTGTTTATTGCATGAAGAACAACCTTAACCCTTCAATAAGGGGAAACTGGTGAAGGTGGCTAAATATAGCTGCTTTATTAGAATGGCTTTAAAACCTAAATACCATTTATTTTTAGCTGAAATATATAAATTTAGAATTAGATATAGAAGTTTTAGCTAAAAGTATAAAAAGATAAAGAATTAAGAAAAAATTTGAGTGCTTTGACTATTCCAGTATAGTGTTCAACCTTCTGGGGATGAGGAACCTCTTTGAAATCTGATAAAGGTTAGAAAAATGGATGTATGCTTTCACACAAATTTCTTCACATAATTTTAGAATATTCATAGACCATCACTGCTACTGAGTGGTTCTCTTAAAACTCCCAAATTTTAATCTCAAAACAGACAATTCTCTGGTTGGGCATGGTGGCTCACGCCTGTAATCCCAGCATTCTGGGAGACTGAGGCTGGTGGATCAATTGAGGTTAGGAGTTCCAGACCAGCCTGGCAAACATGGTGAAACTCCATCTCTACTAAAAATAGAAAAATTAGCTGGACGTGGTGGTGCACGCCTGTAATCTCAGCTACTTGGGAGGCTGAGGCACGAGAATCGCTTGAACCCAGGAGGTGGAGGTTGCGGTGAGCCATCGTGCCACTGCACTCCAGTCTGGGTGACAGAGCATGCAACTGACTGTGTAAAGTGATATGTAAAGTCATGGAAAAAGGAAAGAGCCTTAACTAGTAACGGTCTGTGGAGGTAGAAGTCAAAGACATCCTTCTCCTGTCTGTCCCTGGATCTAAGGCAGATAAAAAGAAGGATAACTTAAAAAAAATTACAGATATCATTAAAGAAAAGCATATTTGTATATAACTTTTATAATTAAAAACAAATTTTAATGATCAAGAGGAGAAGTTATGAGGGCCTTGCTTCATGCAGTGTTAGCAAAAAAAAAAAAAGAGCACTTTTATGTGAAAAGATGATAAAACTGGTAGGATCCACTTCAAAGCTAACATGTTGCCCATCAGAGGATGTGATCTCAATTCGT
The DNA here is from genome assembly GCF_000001405.40 of Homo sapiens. Lineage (NCBI taxonomy): Eukaryota > Metazoa > Chordata > Mammalia > Primates > Hominidae > Homo > Homo sapiens. Next base: position 1,171,331 of record NW_021160017.1, read on the forward strand.
AATAAAGCATCCAGGAGTTTTTATAGATAGGTAGCACCATATACCTATAGAAATGCATGAGTAGGACTTCATTATGCCTGCTCCATACATTTTACCTTAAAAGAAGACAATCAGCTCTGCACATTCTGTACATAATCATTACTTGACATACCTCAGCACACACACACACAAAATGAATGATACAAACCTTGAAACAGAGTGTCATTATTTTACTGGCCAAACTGTTGCCTCAGAGGAGAGTCTGAATGGAGTCAGTCTGCCAATTCTACTTCTTTACAAAACATGTTCCAGAGCAGTTGGTAGAGTAAATGCCAAGAACCAAATAGAGTAACCAGAACTCAAGCCAGTTCATCCTGAGAACAAAACAAAATCAGGTTAGTGCATTTTTGTTCTCAGGTAGATAGCTGAAGAGTGGCAAAAACATAAACCCAAAGTTGACAACTACTTGCTAAATTAAGGCAAAGGTGACTGATTAATATTTCTCCTGAGATTTATCTGCGTATATTGTTTATGATAGATGACTATATACGATGTCTACGATAGCTGTTAATTCCAAGGATTAACCGGTGAAAGCTATTAAGAGAGGCCTAGGCTTTACCAGGAGACAAAATCTCCAAGATTCAGTTCAAATTACATCACAAAATGAAAGAGAACAGAAACAGAAGATGACAGCAAATACTTTAGTTTGATTTGTACAAGCATTTGCACAGAGCAGAAATAAGACTGATGATCAGAAGAGTTCTACTCTCTTCTCATACAGTCAGGGGAACTCAGTGAATGCTGAACATAGACTAGGTAGAGACATGACAAAAACAGAAAGACTATAGGATTTTTGAGAAATCAGGAAGAAAAGGAACTGGGCGTTCAGAACCCAGAGATCAGCCAGATTTACATACAAAGCAAGGGGGACAGGGATGAGGGCTGAAATTCCAATTACCTAAATGACATCCTTGTAACTCCCTGTAGTAAAGCAGTTTGGGGTACACTCAAGAAAAATGATCTACTGGTAAATCACTGTTTAATCACAAGAAGAAATTTATAGAGAATAGGGGTAGCCATAAAAAGATGCCTCAATCCTCAAGCAGTAACAACAACGGCCAGGATCATGGCCCATAGCTCTCTAATTCTTGCCTGGTCCCAGGATTACAATAATGTGATAGGTGAGATCTGGCCTAATAGAAAATTCCTTCTCAAAGTCATTTAATATAAAACTCAACAACAAATTAAAGCTACTTGAATTTAACTGATTCTTTATTTAAAAAATTACTGAGTATTTTCAGTGCTAATCATAGGTAGATCCTAATAAGATAATTCACAATAGTCATTTTCAAAACATTTGAACGTTTGTGAAGTAATTTTAGGCTTTAGGAAGATTTCAATGATTTGGGGCTGTTGCTAATCAATCAGTATAAAATTTCAGTTATACAAGGTAAGTTCTAGAGATCTGTGGTGCAGCATTCTGCCTACAGATAGCAATACTGTATTCTACACTTAAAAATATGTTAGAGGGTAGATCTCATGCTAGGCGTTCTCACCAAAATAAAATACCAGAGGAGAAGCATTTCAGGTGGTAGCAGCAGCAAGGGTGCTTAAGGCAGAAACAAGTCTAACAAGGAGGGACAGAAAGGTAGCTGGTGTGGCTTTGGTGAACAAGAAGGAAAATGGCATAAGATGATGTTAGAGATGAGGCAGGGCCCAAATCAGGTGGAGCCTTGTAGGACAGGATAAGGAGTTTGAATTTTACTTTAAGTACAGGTGTAACAAATATCCTACAGCTTTAAGCAGAAACAAATCTACAATGACAGATTACCTTATTAGTTATACTTTACTATAAGTGAAACCATTTTTGGTACACTAAAAAGGAAATAGCCTTTTAACACTGGAAAGGAACCACCACCCTTCTCAACGTTTTCACATGTATTAGGAATGATGTGATTTGAGGAAAATTTTTCATTAAATTAAGAGAGAGACCTAATAGCCATATGATGTTTTCAGTGTTTAAAACAAACAATATCATAATATCAAATGCAAATACAGTGCTTACATTTTTAAAAATTGTGTAAGATATTATGGGGAAAAGAACAGCAAACTGGAGGTAGTAAACAGGCACAAATCGTGGATTCCAATTCCAGCGTTGCGACAACTGACTGAAATTAGGTTTAACTTAATTACCTTCTCAAATATATGAAGACAGCGGAGTAGATCAGTGATTTTTAATCAGTGTTTAAATGGAATTTTTCAGTGGGATGAAATGATATAGGACACTATTCAGGTCTAGCAGTGCCAACCACTTCCCTACAGCTGAAAAGTCACCTAACTAAACATCTAAGATTTCTTCTGGCTCTAAAATTTTATCAATTCATTCAACAAACATTTATTGAACAAATATGTTCTGAAGGATTTGCTATGTGCCAGGCACTTTTCTTCCCCACTTACTCTATGCACTTACCCACTGAGAACAAGGAACCACACTGTTCAGAGCCATCACTATAGGGAGCTCTCCTTGATCACCCATCACTGTGACCAGTTCCACCAATTGCTCAAACCCATCAGCCAATACCGTTTCTGAAGTGTGTCAAATTCTGTGCCTTGTTGAGGGATTTTCATCAGAACTTCCATAAATGTAGCTGTCTGGAGATCCTTGTAGTACCCTAAACCTGATGTGGACAAATGGATGCAAATTTACTAACATGGCCTTACTGAAGTAATTTTTGCTTATCTTACAAGCCAGTTCTCTAGGCTGTGTATTTCTATATGAAACTTTCATTTGATCTCACCTATGGAGTGCATGAGACCACCGTCTATGCTGGCACTGAGTAAGTTTGACATTGCAAGGACTGCACAGTGCCTCCGTGATGCCAACCTCCGAGACATGCCACGTTTCCTGCCACCTGTTTGTGCACTTTCATCTTCAGCTTCACTGCAGTCACTCAAAAGGTTCATAAATAGTGTGAAGTATCTGAGAAATAAAAAGACTGACCTTTACATAGCAAAGGCCGTATCAACTAGAAAGCTAACCAGACATTCCAAAACTATCACATGTGCACGGTGTGACTGGCCCTGGATTAACTGCTTCTCTCCTCTCTCAGGATAATCAGCCAGGGTGACTCATTATGAAGCATGCTGTGTTGGGCATGATTATACCTGATATAGCCTAGCATACCTTTCATAACATAAGCATCAAATAGATGCAATGTTTCCTGGTAAATGTGTCATTTTTAATGTTTAGTATATAAAATTAGTGGTCCAAACAGCTTACACAATGTCACTTTTGTAAATGACTTAGTGAAGCAATCTGGGTTTTATTACAAGCAAAATTTCAGGGATCATATTATTTTCTTTAAAAATCATAAAACACAGTTATTTTCCTAATCCTAGTCCTGCATGGGGAACATTTCTTTGTTTTCTTTTTTGTTTTTTTGTTTTTGTTTTGTTTTGTCTTTGAGTGTGTGTGTGTGTGTGTGTGTGTGTGTGTGTGGCGGCGGGGGGCTTTATTTGCTTTTGCTTTGTGTTTTTTGGTGACTGAAATTTACTTAAGAAATAACTGTGTCCCCTTTGGCTTCCATCAATTCCACACCATCTCCTTCCTCAGGCTGCACAGGGAGACCAGCTAGAAGTGAAACTACTGCTTCCATGCTTGCCTGGTCCAAATCTCTGAAAAAAAAAAATTAGAGACCATAAATCTTTCAGGTTATTTCACTTCCTCTCAAATAAACCTCTTATTAACAGATATAAACTTTAGGAACTACCTGTTTCATTAAACAAATTATTAGCACAACCCAAATAATTTGAATTAATATGCAGATCCTAGAATACAAAATCATCTCAAATGAGGAGAAGACAATAGTAACTTTCTACAAAGTAATCTTGGCAAAATGACTATCTTCAATCAGAAGCATGTACAATTGGCCCTCTGTCTCAGCGAGTTCTGTATCCACGGATTCAACCAACCATGGATTGAAACTATTTGGGGGAAAAAAAAGTAGGGTTTCATCTGTACTCAACATGTAAAGATTTTTCTTTGTCGTTATTCCCTAAACAATATGGTATAACAACTTGTGTTTATATAAGATTTATATTTATTAGATATTATAAGTAATCTAATGATAATTTAAAATATATGGGAGGATGTGCATAGTTTATATGCAAATACTATGACATTTTGTATCAGGGACTTCAGTCTGTGGATTTTAGTGTTCATGGAAGTGAGATGTGGGCAGGAGTTTGGGGGGTGGTTCCTGGAACCAATTCCTGACAGATACTGAGAGACGACCATATTATAAAGCTAGGCTTGGTCAAAGAAACATATGTAAAGGCTTATTATACAGTCCATAGTGTTTAATCACTTTCTGATATGTGTCAATAAGCATTTATCATTAAAGCAGACTTAATTACACTTAATTACTTCCTTTTTTTTCTGTCTCTGGTGCCTGAATCAGGAAATCAATTATTTTTTAGAAAGACCAACACAATGAGTTCCTCAAATAATACCTTTTTCTATCTAATCATAACATAAATGCAATCTGAGGCTTTATGTACCTTATTTCCCAATAACGGTAGACTATTCTTCATAAACTGACAACACTAACTTCCCAAACATACCGCTCTCGCACATTTATTTTTACAGAAAGTCTATCAGTCAAAAAAAAGTAGTAATAAAGATTAGTATCTTTACATATTTCAACCACAAAAGTTTGACATCTAAAAAATTTAAATACACATAAAATACAAGTATAAAGCTGTAAGGAAGTAATTATAATTCTTACAGGAAAACCCACTAATACTTGAAGGTCATTCTCTTTTTTACCTTGTAATACATTTTACATCATCATCTGCTGCTTGGTTTGATGTTCCCATAACCCAGACTGTCAGGTATTCTACAATCTTATTCCTAAAGAATGGCGGAGAAAAGAGAAACAGCAAACAATTTTTTTGAAGCCACACACACACACACCTTTAATTGTGTAAGATTTCTTACAGTGCAAATAATTTGGCAGATAACTCAGGTGACATGACGACTTTATAAAAGAGATACTGATGTCACAGACGTAAAAGCCAGAAGGGAACAAGCAACGTGGATATTTAACCTCCAACATGGCCCTTATTTATGGTATCAAATTGGAAACAGAATCAAATTCTTAGCTCAAGTACAGCACAGTTTTAGAAAAAGGGAGGCTTGCCACAGGCACAAAGCTTACGGAAATTTGAGGAGAGACGTAGAGAAACACAAACATGTAAATTGCTCTCTTTTTATGTCTTCCTTCCTACCAATAACCAGATATCTACTCTATTTCTGTACTTCATTCAACAAATTAAGATTTACAAGACCCTACATTGCTCTTTTGAGAACTCACCTAAATTTCATCTCTTGGCAAAATAAGAGGTCATCTCTCCTTGCCATCGTTACTTCAACCAACTGACACAGTTTCGTTTTATTTGAATTGCATGGACCATATTCCCAAGCACACGAACATACCTATACAGACACAGAGACAATAAAAAAATTATCAGATATAGACAAAAGAGAAAGCATTCAAAGTACTTTAGTCATCAAATAAAATGAACTAAATGTAAGTCTGAAAACAATATTTATTTTTATGAGAACATACACACCTTCTGGTTACCTGACTGTCACACCCTAGTTTGTGTGCAGTAAAGAATGGCAAATTATTTTATCAATTACTACCAATATCAATGTGTAAGAGGTTTTTCTGATCTCTTAAAGTATGTTTCTGCTACATTTCAGTAGAACGCTTACCTGACCAGATATAACATCATTGGTTCAATGCTAGCTTGCCCTAGATGTTCAGAGCTGCCTTCAGTATGATTATCTAGCAAGTTCTTCATTATAGCTATGGTTTGCTCTACAAATTGAGTGTTGGTATCCATCAATAAAAACTATAGAAAGAACAAATGTATTAATCATTTGCCATCAATGCCCAGAAGACAGACCTCTAGAGAGATGCAACCGACTGATCTAAACACACAAACACAGAAGTGCACCCACAGGCACACAGCCAAACAAGCATACAGATACATGCAGACACTCATACCCATACACAAGGCAGGTATACCCTCAGGCACACATACACACCAGAGTTCCTAAGAAGCAAGCTGACCCCTACATTGAGATGACTCTTCTTTCTGCAATTTTTTGGCAATTTTTAAAAACTGTGAGCACCTAATTTAAATAATTGGAAAGAAAAAGCCTTCCTTATTTCAAACAAGGTGAAAAATAAAAAAGAGCACACTTTACCTGTCCTTGGGAGTCAAAAAACTTGCTGATGGCATTCTTCAGTTTGTTAAATAGCATCAGATAAAGAGCAGGACTCAATTCTAGACCCACCAGGTCCTTAACATTGGCCCGTATTTGAAGTCCCACTTTCTCATGGTTACACACCATTAAGGACAACAGCTGATCCATACATTTGCTGACAGGTGTACCTGCGTTTCCCTCTGAGGACATCACTGAAATCATGGAACCCTGACATTCACTGACTGGACCCATGGGTGGGCTATAGGTTGCCAGGCCAGAATTACTTCTCTGCTGGAGGCACACTCCCCCAAGGGCACAAAGGAAGCCAGTCATGTTGATCCATTCCTGTAGGGAGTCTGTGTCAGACAAATCTGCGCGTCCTCCTCCACTCAGATGGGATATTCGACTCCTAACAATGGTCATGTGAAACTTTCAGCAGCCTAAACACAAAATTTTTGGGCAAAGCATGAATTAAACCTAAATTAGTTGAGACTTGACAAATTACTCTTTATCCAACATTTCTTCCATGACAAAAGTACAAAAAATGTAAAAAACACATTAAAATCAACCCCAAAAATTACCATATACATTTTTAAAGAGCCACTGATTTATTTTTGTCATACACTAATATAATCGCCCAAGTATCAAATTTCTTTTAAAAAGCTTTGATTTCACATGGATGAACCTTGGAAACGTTATGCTAAGTGAAAGAAGCTAATCACAAAAGCCCACATATTCTAAAATTCCATTTACAGAAAAGATCCAGCAGAGACAAATCTGCAGAGACAGAAAGTAGATTCAAGGTTGCCTAGGGCTGGAGAAGCCGGGGGAAGAGAGACAAGAAAGTGGCGGGGAGGTGGGGTAGGGTGTTAGAGGCAGAAATAGCTAAAGGATACAGGGGTTTTTTTTCCTCAATTGATGAAATTGTTCTAAAACGGACTGTGGTAATGGTTGCACAACTCTGGGAATATACTAAAAACAGCCACTGAATTGGACACTTTAAATGGGTGAATTGTATGGTATATTAAACAGTTATCCCCCCAAAAGCTTTCATTCTAAAGCTACATGTCCCCTCCAAATAAAGCTATTAGGTACACAATTTTGCTTCATAAAAACATAACATTTTTCTTATTGTAATTAAGTATGACAGAAAAAAAACATGGGGGAATAACCAGTTTTTATAAATCGCCTAATAATGAGAGGAATATGAACATTACAAATCAATTACACACAAACACCAACTCATCAATTTCCAGAGTAACAGATAATATAGTCAATAGTAATAGTTGAATGAACTGTCCACATTTTAAAATTTCATTTAATCTATGGGTTCAATCTTTTGCCCAAGACATTCCTTAATTAGAATACTTAACAAAATAGCAAAATGAATTGTTTCCGTGTTTTTTTTCTCTACCTCTGTTGCTCCTCTTCTGAAAATTCTGTGAAACACCCTGATGAAGGGATAAAGAGCAAGAAAAGGTCTCTGCAACAGTCTCTAGCAGTGCTGCCCAGTATTTCTGTGATGATGGAAACATTTTCTCTCTCTGCTGTCCAGACTGTCATATGTGGCTACTGGGTACTTGCAATGTGGCTACTATATGATTGAGGAACTAAATTGTATTTAATTTTCATTATGTTAAAATTTAAATAGTCACACGTAGCTAGTGGCTACCATATTACGAAGTACAGGTCTAGATAAACCACAACTAAATATCAGTCTTCAGACAACTATATGCTTACTTTACTGAGTGACTCGTGAGAGATTACCAAAGAGAAGGACATATATTTAGCAGATCAGTTAATAGACAAAAGTCAACTTTACAGACTTACCTGGCTGTCATCCATTTTGGCTTTTGGATAGTTAAAGATTAGTTTTGTTGCTTGTTCCCATTTTGCATGTGTATCTTCCCAAGCCTAAAATGAAGGCAATTATCACTTGAAAGCAACTTTAAGTCTAGAGCTAAACGTCAATCAGCAATGGCCAAGTTTCAAACTTGATGTATAATAAGTACTCAGATATTACACTTCTAACACGCACATATCTTGGATTTACTTCAAAAGCTATTCCTGATTACACATATGTGACAATAGGTTTCCAAAATTGAGGGTGGGCGCCTAGGAGGGGTGTTTCTCTTGCTAAGAGCACACCTCAGTGTTTCCTGCAGTGGGATGCTAAGTGCGCCTCCGCAGTGCCATCACTCTTTCTGAAGTGCTGCTGTTCCTAAGCAAATACAACAGCCAATCAAGTCACTGCACTTAGAGCCCTGCCTGCCAATGGAGAACCTCATAAGCCCTACCCAAAAGGCAGAGTAGGAGGAGCAGAGCAAATGCCTCAAATGATAAAGCCAAAAACTTCCTTTCACTAACCTCACAGGAAAGGTACTTATCTTAGACTCTACAATGTCCACAGCACAAAATAGCTATTCCCACCTATAATTTACTCAAAACATATGCCAATGTGCATAAAACTTCACTATCTACAACTTAGGTGGAGTAAATTATATGATCACAACTGATAATAACATATACTGCCAGTTATTTTTAAAACGTATAGCATATTAAAAACTCAGTGGGAGACTATTTCAAATGCTTTTTCTTTTCATCTTTGTTTCATTTCTTTGTTCAGAAAAGGATTTCAAGTAAGCTACTTGAATTTCCCCTGTAAACTTACAAAGTAGTAACCTTAAATACATTCTCACAATTAGATGTCACGTGCTTCAGGCAGGTTGAGTAAAAAAACCACTATTCACATTTACCTGTTGACATCACATTGCTGACAGAGGCAAACTCCATGAATGTGCTACAGTTGGGCAAGAGGTGATGCACTGACACTTCATCCACCCCACACCAGGTATCTGCTTCCTCACAGAGGTGGCGGAAACAGGACATGGCAACCAGAACAGCTTCACTGTCAGGGTTCCACAGAAACATGTACAGCGCCACACTTCTAGTTTGGTCTGCCCTTGTTGGCAAATCGGGGAAGGGGGGGCGGGGGCGGTTGCACTTCATCCTGCTGCACTATCCTGAGAGTCAAAGTTGTAAGACATATATTTGCAACTTGGGTAATTTTATGTATAAAACCCAACAATGCAATAAACTGTGTGTGTGTGTGTGTGTGTGTGTGTGTGTGTGTGTGTCTCAGCATACAATAACTCACAAGAGTTTTCTCCTTTAATCATCACAGGAATTTTTCAAACCCTCAAATATCTTGTCCAAATGAGAAATGAGATTATCTGGACCAACATAAAGCTACTCTCTGTCCAATTTCAAATCAAATAGGTATTATCCTATTCCAGATTCCAGAAACATAAACTGATTCTAACATAAACAGGTAAAACACTGTAACATAAATCTGCTGCAGTAATGATATAATGTACTTACCAGTCAATTAGAAATGACAAAAAAAGAAGTAGGCCGGGCATGGTGGCTCATGCCTGTAATCCTAGCACTTTGGGAGGCCGAGGTGGGCGGATCATGAGGTTGGGAGATCGAGACCATCCTGGGCTAACATGGTGAAACCCCGTCTCTACTAAAAACATAAAAAAAACAATTAGCCGGCCGTGGTGGCGGGCACCTGTAGTCCCAGTTACTCAGGAGAGGCTGAGTCAGGAGAATGGTGTGAACCTGGGAGGCGGAACTTGCAGTGAGCGGAGATTGCGCCACTGCACTCCAGCCTGGGCGACAGAGTAAGACTCTGTCTCAAAAAAAAAAAAAAAAAAAAAAAAAAAAAAAAAGAAAGCCTAGGTTTTAAAGACCAATAAAATAGTAAACGTGAACGAGGAAAAAAAGAAATGAGGAAACAGTTACAAACATAGATACTGAAGGTAATTATATGATAATATAGAAATAAAATACAGCCTTTAATTGTACAAGTAAAATATATAAATATTATATACAACTCTGCACTGATAAAATTGAAAAACATGTTTTGTAGGAAAGAACAAACCATGAAAAGTGACTTTAAAAATAATAGAAATTCTTCAAAAAATTAAAAATAGAATAACCATATGATCCAGCAATTCCGCTTCTGGATGTATATTCGGAAGAATGAAAGCAGGGCCTTGAAGTTATTTGTACACCCATGTTCACAGTAGCATTATTTATAATAGTCAAAAGGTGGAAACAACCGAAAAATCCATTGGTAGATACATTTAGATCAATAAAATGTTGGTATATACATACGATATCATTCAGCTTTCAAGAGGAAGGAAATCCTGACATGCTACAACAAGATGAATACTATTTCAGCCATAAAGAATGAAATCCTGCCTTTCAAGGCAACATGAATGGAACTGGAGGACATTATGCTAAGTAAAATAAGCCCATGTCAAAAAGACAAATACTGTATGATTCCACTTATGTGACATAGTGAAATTCAGAGAGACAGAAAGTAGAAGGATGGTTGCAGGAGTTGCAGGTAGGAAAGAATGGAGAGCAGTTGAATAGACACAGAATTTGTTTTGCACAATGAAAAGGTTTTGGAGATTGGTTGCACAACAATGTGAAAGATAGTGCTACTAAACTGTGTACTTAAAAATGGCTAAGATGGTAAATTTTATGTTATGTGTATTCTACCGCATAAAAAATTTTAAAGAGAGACAGAAAAACTACATAGATCCATAAGGCAGCTCAAATAAAAGGTGATTAAAGAGTTATTTTAAATAGACAATAGATAGGCTAGTTCTAGAAACAGCATAAGAAACCAGTAGCAGTACTTGACTTAGGAAGAAAAGTATAAACTGAAGGTCAAGAGGGAGTAGGAAGCTTACTTTTCCACTGAATTCCCTTCCTGATGTATAGTGAAAATTTCCATTATGTCAATTTATTTTTTTCTTTAAAACTAATAAGCAAAAGTCAAAGGAAATCTTAAGAGCTTCTAAACTTGATGATTTTACAATGAATTTCTATCTAATCAGATAATTTCTATTACTTAAATTATTCCAGACCATAGAAAAGAGTAATAGTTCCCAAATTCATATTCTAATTTAGCACAAATAAGTGTTAGAATAACTACTTTCAAAAGTGATAATGCATATTATGTTAAATATACACATGTTCTAAGAATCAGAAAGCTGAAACACTGGAAGGAAATGTTTTATTAAGTAGCTACCCAGTACATTTGCCAATAGCCAACCAGATTTACCTCACGCACACACACAAATCAACATACTAAAAGTAAGGATTTCCAAACATATTTCCACTCCAAATTTAAAGTGAAAGTTTAAATAACATATAAACCATCTGACTGGATACAATTCAGCCCTAAAGCTAGAGTTCAGGGCCCCTTATCTTTTGTTCATTATTAATTTTAAAATTTTTGATGTATTTATTAGTATTTATGAATAACATAGTAACATTCCCATAGATTTGCAGAGATCAAATCGAGGTAATTAGCATATCCATAATCTCATTTATCATTTCTTTGTGCTGGGAACATTCAACATCCTCCTCCTCTTTGAAACTGTGTAACATATTGTTGTTAATTACAGTCATCTTACAGTGCTATACAACACTAGAACTTGCTCTTCCTATCTAGCTGTAATTTTGAAACCTTTAACAAATTGCTTTCTACCATCCCTGCACCCTATGCTTCCCAGCCTGTAGTATTCTGTTCTACTTTTTACCTCTATGAGATCAACATTTTTTTAGCTTCCACAAATGAATGAGAACACACAGTACTTAATGTTCTGTCCCTGGCTTACTTCACTTAATATGATGTCCTCCAGTTCAATCCATGTGCCTCAAACTATAGGATTTCATTCTTGCTTATGGCTAAATAGTATTCCATTGTGTATGTATACCATATTTTCTTTATGCATTCATCTGTTGTTAGATACTTAGGATGATTCCATATCTTGGCTATTGTGAATAGTGCTGCAATAAACACGGGGGTGCCGATGTCTCGTCAATATACTGATTTCCTTTTCTTTGGATAAATGTCCAATAATATACTGTTGGACCATATAATAGTTCTATTTGCAGTTTTTTGAGGAACCTCCACACTGTTCTCCATAGTGGCTGTACTAGTTTACATTTCCACTAGCCACATTTAAGTGTTCACTTTTCTCCACATCTTTGCCAGCATTTGCTATTTTTTGTCTTTTTGATAGTAGCCATTCTAAGTGGGGTGAGATGACACCTCATTGTGGTTTTGATTTGCATTTCCCTGATGACTAGTGATGTTGAGCTTTTTAGGAAAACATATTTGTTGGTTATGTGTCTGTCATCTTTTAAGAAATATCTATTCAGGTCATTTGCCCATTTTTCAGTTGGGTTCTTTTTTTTTTTTTTTTTTGCTATTGAGATGTCAAGAGTTCCTTGTATATTCTGGATATTAATCCTCTGCTGGATACATACTTTGCAAATATTTTCTCCCATTCTGTAGGTTGTCTTTTCACTCTGCCAATTTCTTCCTTTGAATTAATATTAATTTTTTAAAGAAAAGTAACTTAAACGCTTGACAATATGGAATTAAAAATACAGTACCTTCAAGCTGGGTGCGGTGGTGCATGCTTATAGCTGCAGCTATCTGAAGGCTGAGGCAGAAGAGGATCGCGTAAGTCCAGAAGTTTGAGACCAGCCTGGGCAACATAACAGCAAGACTCAGTCTCTTTTTAAAAAATGGTATATTCAATTTGGGGAACATGCTACAAATCCTCAAAAAACGGGTACAGAAGAAACATACTGCAACACAATAAAAACCACATGAGAGACCCCCACAGCTAGAATCATATGGAATGGGGAAAAATGGAAAGCTTTTCCTCTAAGATCTGGAACATGATAAGGATGCCCACTGTCACCACTGTTATTTAACATAGTACTGGAAACCCTAGCTAAAGCAATCAGTGCAGCCCCTGATATGGCCCCCAACCCACCCTGCCCCCTGCCACCAGCAGTGTAGCCCCCCCGCAATAGCGCACCCAACACACCCAAACCGCCCCGCCTCCCCGAACCACGGGCATTGCAGCACCCCATAGCACCCTCAACCTGAAACCACCAACCCCCCGCAACAGCCGTGCAGTGCAGCCCTGGATAGGACACTTAGCCCACCTCACTGTTGCCAGCAATACAGTCTGGGATAGTTTCCCCAACAGGCTCCCCGCCGAGGGCAGTGCAGCCCCGGTTAGGGCCCCCAAACCACCCCCCGGTGCAGGCAGCACAGCCCCAGATAGCACACCTAACCAGCCACCCAAGGTGGGCAGTGACGCCTGAGATAGGGCCCCAAACCCGTCCCAGGCCAAGGGCAGTGCAGCCCTGGATAGCCACTTACCCCGATGCTTTTCTACACTCTGGCCGGTTGCAGTGTCCATCGCTGCCACCAACCGCAGCGGGCAAGGCAAGCCAGCGAGGCAAGGCGAGGCAAGCCGGCGAGGTGGTGAGCCAGGGAGGCCAGCCACAGCCCGGTAGGCTGCAGCCTCCAGCATGCAGTGGCTGGCACCTCCTACTCCAAGCTGGCAATGGAGCAGCTATGAAGTCAGACGCCGACGAGGCTGGACTAGTGCAACTCTATCTCTTAACATGCTTTATATACCGAGATTATAAACTACATGTTCTGAGTGGATGAGAGGAAAACACTAGGCCTACTCTGATTGGACTTTATTGTCACGTTCTGATTGGTTAGCCTAAGACTTGTTCTGATCCAATCAGAACATGAAAATAACGTCCAATCAGAGTAGGCGTAGATGTTTCTTTCATCCAATCAGAACGTGAAGTCCGAGAACCAGGCCTGCACAACCCCCAGTATATAAGCTATGCTAAGGGGGCGTCGCGCTGTTGCAGGCTATCGTGTGTTAGCCTCTACTTCTCCCGCAGAGTTTGGAGAAAGCGGCAGCAGAGTGTGCTGCCGCAGGCTGGAGCCTGGAACCTGGAGCCCTGGAGCCTTGAATGGTGTGTGGTGGCAATGGAGAGAGGCAGCTGGCAGTGACAGCTGCTCCGTGCTTGGCTACAGGAAGGAAAGAAGGAGAAGGCACCTACCATAGGCTGTAGGCTAGAGCCTGCAGGACTGCGGCTGGCCTCGCTGGCTCGCCTCCCTGGCTGGCCTCGCTGTGGTTGGTGGCAGCGACGGATACTGCAGCTGGCCAGAGTGTAGAAAGGCAATGGGGTAGGTAAGCTATCCAGGGCTGCCCGCGGCGGGGGCTGGTTGGGGTATTATTCCGGGTGTCACTACTTTGGGTGTACTAGAGTGTTATTTTGGGCGTCACTGCTTTTAGGTGTGCTATCCGGGGCTGCACTGCCCTCAGCAGCGGGTGGGGGGGGGGTTGGTGGGGGGCGGGTTGGGGTCACTATCTTGGGCTGTATTGATGGCAGCAGTAGGGCTGGTTGGGGGCGCTATTGGGTGCTGCACTGCCCGCGACAGGGGCCGGGTTGGGGCTGCTATTGTGGTTGCACTGCCGGCGGCATGGTGGTGGGAGGGCTGGTTAGGGTGCGGACTGGTGGGGGTGCTTACTGGTCGGGCTTCATTGCTGACAGCGGTGTGGGGATGCTATCTGGGGCTGCACTGCCCATGGTGGGGGCTTGTTGGGGGCGCTATGTGGGGCTGCAATGTCCATGGCAGGGGAGAGGTTAGAGGCAGTATCAGGTGCTACACTGCTGGTGGTGGGGCGGGGCAGCGGTGGGTGCGGGTAGGTGCTTGGAGGGTGCGGTTTCGGGCACTATCGGGCCAGACTGCCCATGATAGAGGGCAGGTTTGGGTGCGCTACTAGGGGATACACTCCTCACAGCAAGGGGCGGTTTGGGGGTGATACCCGGCCGGTGGCAGGCGGGGTGGTGGGGTGGGTTGTGGGCACCGTTCGGGGGCTGCACTGTGGTCAGTGGCGGTGGGGCGAGTTAGGTGCTCTATCAGCTGCTGCACTGTTTGTGGTGGGGGCTGGGTTTGGTGTGCTATCGGGGACCATATTTTTGGCAGCGGTATACAGGTTAGGGGTGCTGTCGGAGGCTGCACTGCCCATGGCGGGGTGCGGGTGGGGTGCACTATCCAGGGCATCATTCCCCCTGAGTGGGGGATAGTTGGGGGTGCTATCTGCTATGTAGGGCTGCACTGCTCGTCGTGGGGAGGGGGTTGGGGACCTTAAGGATCCATGGCTGCACTATTGACGGCATGGAGCAGGTGGCCGTGCTCTCCGGGGCATCACTGCCCGCAGCCGGGGGTTAGTTGGAGGTCCTATCCGTGGCTGCATGGCCGACGGCAGACGGTAGGATGGGGGAGTTATCTGGTGCTGCGACGTCCGAGGCAGGGATGGGTTGGGGGCGCTATTGGGTTTTACATTGCAGCGGCGAGGGGCGGTGTTGGGGGCGCTATCCCAGAGCCAACATCAGGCAGCGGATTAGGGGCGCCATCAGGGGCTGCCTTGCTGGTGGCGGCAGAGCTTGCAGCAACAGGGTCTCCAAGGAAGGAGCCTTCTTCCTCTTTCTGGATTTCAGACTCTAAAAGGCGATCTCCTCCTGCTCCTGCTAGAGCGCAGCGAGCGCACGGCGTTTCCGCAGTAATCCTGAGCACGGCAAGGACCCCTTACCCGCCGTGGTTCCCGGGGCCACGCCCTTTTCGCTCTGTGTTGCGGAGACCACCTGGCACCCCTAGGCACGCTGGACACGGAGTGGCGGGGACACCACGGGGAGACAGGGCTCTGTGGGTGGAGGCATCAGGATGGGGAACCGGCATTTGGGTGGGAGGGCTGGCTGTGTCTGAGTTCCTGCTGATTTTGTTCCCCAAGGAGCGCAGTCCTGGTGGGCCCAGCGGTTCCTGTGGATTGGAGCCAGGCAGTGTGATGTTACCAGTCACCACTCCAGGTCCCAGTTCCTGGCCCGCTTGAGCCAAAAGGAGAGGCTGGACTTTGGAGGGTGGATATGAGTGCCTTCACTGAGACTGGCCCCTGCCACCCAGTGGCCAGGATGACAAGGTGAGGCTCTAACGCTATCAGTCTCTGCATTCTCCTCTAGGCTTTTTTGGCTTTGTGTGTCCAGCTGTTCCATGCCAGGAGGAGGAGTTACATGCTGGAAGCTTGCAGATAGCCTGGGGCTGCTGCTCGCCTTGCTGCGGTTGGTGGCAGCTACCGAGACTACCTCGCACCAGAGCGGTAGGAGGACGGCCAGCTGCGGCCATGGCAGGGGCAGGGCTGCGGCAGTGGCCAGGTAGTAGGAGTTTTGTAGGGTGGGCCAGTGCATTGAGGGCAACAGCAGCGATGGTTATAGTGACATCTGTGCTAGTTGTGGCAGCAGCCGCAAGTCCAGGGGCCGGGAAGAGGGAGTAGGAGCGCTGCGGGGCCTGCCCGGCCAGGCCTAGGGTGGGTTAGGAAGCTTCGGGTGCTGTACCACAGGCCTCGGTGGAAGTGGTGGAGGAACAGCCAGGGCAAGGAGGAGTTCTCCCCCTTCTCCTGCAGTCTCTGGAGGGCGACCTCCTCCTACTGGCGCATGAGCCCGGTGTGAGTGTCAGCATATTATCTCACTCTTTCTTCCAATATAATACAGTCATGCACTGCATAACAAGGTTTCACCAGTGATGGCCTGCATGTATCAGGGTAGTTCTATAAAATTGTAATGAAACTGAAAAATCCTCATTGTCTACTGACAGCATAGCCGTCTTAACCTTGTAATACAACGCAATACTCACGTGTTTGTAGTGATGATGGCGTAAACAAACCTACTGAGCTCCTGGTTCTATGAAAGTATAGCGCATATAGGCCAGGCGTGGTGATTCACACCTGTAATCCCAGCACTTTGGGGGGCCAAGGCGGGCAGATCACGAGGTCAGGAGATCGACACCATCCTGGCTAACACGGTGAAACCCCGTTTCTACTAAAAATAGAAAAAATTAGCTAGGGGTGGTGGCAGGCCCCTGTAGTCCCAGCTACTCGGGAGGCTGAGGCAGGAGAATGGGGTGAACCCGGAAGGTGGAGCTTGCAGTGAGCCGAGATCGCGCCACTGCACTCGAGACTTGGCGACAGAGCGAGACTCTGTCTCAAAAAAAAAAAAAAAAAAGTATAGCACATTTAAGTATACATAGTACATAAAAGTTGATAATGAACAACTATGTTACTGGTTTATGTGTTTAGTATACTATGATTTTTGACATTATTTTAGAATGCATTCCTTCTACTTACAAACAAAAAAGTTAACTAAAATAGCCTGAGGCAGGTCCTTCAGGAGCTGTTTCAGAAGAAGTCATTGTTACCATGGGAGATGACAGCTCCATGTGTGGTATTGCTTCGGAAGACCTTCCAGTGGGAGGAGATGTGGAGATGGAAGACTGATGTTGATGATCCTGACCCAGTGTAGGCCTAGGCTAGTGTGTGTGTATTTGTGTGTTAGCTTTTACCAAAACAAAGTTTAAGAAATTTGTATGCTTATTTTTTGTTCTGAATACTTACCAAGATACAACTTACAGAGAGGAAGCATCGAGGCACCTGAGTGTGTCTTTTTAACGCTGACATTATCATTGAGAAAAAAATTAAAACACAGAAAAAGCTATTTTTCTTAAGAAAAAGTTTGAGTGTTTTTAACAAATCTATGAATTGATTTGCAATTTCATGGTATCTTTATTGGTAATGTACCTTCAACAATGCAATCGTGCACATACTTTACTGAGGAGGCACTTAACACAGGCTGAATCACCTATAGATATATTCAACTGATTACCTGTGCCTGTGAGAATACACGAGGTAAACTCTAATGATGTATCAATAAGTAGAAAGCTATGAAGCAAATTGAGACAATTATCTAAATCATCCTGTCAGAAATTCCCTTTTTATCTGGACTACTAGGCCAATAAAATATCATTAATTTCTGGAACCTGTGAAGTTTGCCTCTGTTCAGTTAATTAGGGAAATGAGTCTCTAAACAAATAAATAATGTAAACCAGCAGATTGTGGTCTCCACAAGAGTCAAAGGCAAATAACTGCTCTCAACCATTTGTAAATCCAGTCAAGGAAAAATAGTTTTGTCATAACGAAGAATATTTTATTATAAAATTTGTTATATGATATTGATTATATAAAATATTTTAACATCACATTAAATTAATATGTTGAGGGAAATTAGATTTTGAAATGTTTTATTCTCATTGCTCTATCTTAACTGTATCTATTTGAATGTTCTAGTAGCATGTAGAATCTAATAAAATATCAACTATATAGGGACCTGAAAATACATTGTAGCTATTACTTATCTTTGCGTTTTCAATGTCAGAAAGTTCATTGTCATAGGTAATCTAGTAAGCAAAAGTTAATTTTTCTGAATTTAATTAATTTAAATAATTGTATCATGTGCATTAACCAGTTCATGTAATCCAAGTTAAATTTTACATGCCCTATGGCAAGAAGTTCTAAATCCCTAATGTACATCTCTAAAAGACATGATTTCTTTCCCCAGACTTATCTCATCTTTTTATCTATCCATCTCTTTCTTCCACTAACAAAAAATTCTTTTTATCTATCCATCTCTTTCTTCCACTAACAAAAAATTCTATCTCAATAGTTGTAAATCAGTTGTATCACTAGTCCCATTCCATCTATGAGAAAACTCCAGTTCAGGGATGTTAAGTGACTTCATTAATGCCCCACAGCTAATCAGTAGGAAATAACCAGGAGTGGAGGCTAGAAACCACTCCAGATCTATAGTCTTAACATTGTGCTATGTTTGCTGTGTACTTTCTGACATACAAGTCATAAAAGTATTTCTCAATTCTCTGGGAAATTTCTACACTCCACTCTTGCTCAGCCTGTTCATATACCCAGAGCCCATCACTTATGTCAGCCTTTTGAATTTTACAAATTTTGTTAAAATAAGATACCATTCCTGGTGCTTTTTCCAATTCTAAATAGAGTGATTTTTATTTTTGTGCAATTCTTAACCATTGGATCTATTCCCTTATTATGCCATTTGTCATTATTTACCAGCATTGTTTTTACATTTTTATAGGTATTCTCTTCTCTACTAATTTAGGGGCTCTTTGAAGATAATAATTACCTTGCTGTACTTTAAATACACCAAAATTTGTTATGATTGCTGAAGAAGTAAAAACAAAGTGAAAGCTACCAATTTTATTCAGTTGAAATAGTGGTATACCTCAGATATCGTGGATTCAGTTCCAGGCCACTGCAATAAAGCAAGTCAGACGGAAGTGTTTGGTTTCCCAGTGCATCTAAAGTTTATGTTTATACTACACTGTAGTCTAGTAGGGGTGCAATAGTATTATGTCCATCTTACCATTTCTGTCTATTCAATATATTGGCTATGGGTTTGTCATAAATAGCTCTTATTATTTTGAGGTGTTTCACCAATACCTAGTTTGAGAGTTTTTAACATAAAGGGACGTTGAATTTTATCAAAGGCCTTTTCTGCATCTATTGAGATAATCATGTGGTTTTTGTCTTTGGTTTTGGTTATGTGATGTATTGTGTTTATTGATTTGCAAATGTTGAACCAGCCTTGCGTCCTAGAATCCACCTGGTCTTGGGCTTTTTTTGATCAGTAGGCTATTAATTACTGCCTCAATTTCAGAACTTGTTATTGGTCTATTCTGGAATTCAACTTCTTCCTGAATTAGTCTTGGGAAGGTGTGTGTGTCCAGGAATTTGTTCATTTCTTCTAGATTTTCTAGTTTATGTGCATAGAGGTGTTTATAGTATTCTCTGATGGTAGTTTGTATTTCGGTGGAGTTAATCATTTTTTTGTGTGTCTATTTGATTCTTCCCTCATTTCTTCTTTATTAGTCTAGCTAGTGGTCTATTGATTGTGTATTTTTTTCAAAACACGAGCTCCTGGATTCATTGATTTTTTGGAGAGTTTTTATTTCTGCATCTCCTTCAGTTCTGCTCTGATCTTAGTTCTTTTTTTCTGCTAGCTTTTGAATTTGTTTGTTCTTGCCTTTCCAGCTCTTTTAATTGTGATGTTAGAATGTCAGTTTTAGATCTTTCCCACTTTCTGATGTGGGCATTTAGTGCTATAAATTTCGCTCTTAACACTGCTGTAGTTGTGTCCCAGAGATTCTGGTACATTGTCTCTTTGTTCTCATTGGTTTCAAAGAATTTCTTGACTTCTGCCTTAATTTCGTTATTTTTCCAGGAGTCATTCAGGAGCAGGTTGTTCAATTTCCATTTAATGGTGTGGCTTTGAGTGAATTTCTCAATCTTGAGTTCTAATTTGGTTGTGCTGCCGTCTAAGAGACTGTTTGTTATGATTTTAATTCTTTTGCATTTGCTGAGGAGTGTTTTACTTCTGATTACATGATCAATTTTAAGGTGCCACGTGGTGATGAAAAGAATGTATACTCTGTTGTTTTGAGCTGGAGAGCTCTGTAGGTATCTATCAGGTCTGCTTGATCCAGAGCTGAGTTCAGGTCCTGAATATCTTTGTTAGTATTCTGTCTCAATGATCTGTCTAATACTGTCAGTGAAGTATTAAAGTCTTCCACTATTATTGTGTGGGAGTCTAAGTCTCTTTGTGACTCTTTGCTTTATGAATCTGGGTGCTTCTATATTGGGTGCATATGTAGATTAATAGAGTTAGCTCTTTTTGCTTAATTGAACCCTTCACCATTATGTAATGCCCTTGTCTTTTCTGATCTTTTTGGTTTAAAGTCTGTTTTGTCAGAAACTAGGATTGCAACCCCTTCTTTGATTTCTATTTGCTTGGTAAATTTTCCTCCTTCCCTTTATTTTGAGCCTATGTGTGTATTTGCACGTCAGATGGCTCTTTTCAAGACAGCATAGTGATGGGTCTTGGCCCTTTATCCAGCTTGCCTTTCTGTGTCTTTTAATTGAGGCATTAAGCCCATTTACATTTAAAGTTAGTATTGTTATGTGTGAATTTGATCCTGTCATCATGATGCTAGCTGGTCATTTTGCAGAATTGTGCATGTGGTTGCTTCACAGTGTCCCTGGTCTGTGTATTTCAGTGTGTTTTTGTAGTGGCTGGTAACAATTTTTTCTTTCAATTTTCAGTGCTTCTTTCAGGAGCTCTTACAAGGCAGGCCTGAGGGTGACAAATTCCCTCAGGATTTGCTTGTTTGTAAAGGATCTTATTTCTCTTTCACTTATGAAGCTTAGTTTGACCAGATATGAAGCTCTAGGCTGGAAATTATTTTCTTCAAGAATGTTGAATATTGGCCCCCAATCTCTTCTGGCTTGGAGGGTTTCCACTGAGAGGTCCACTGTTATTCTTATGGCTTTCCCTTTGTAGGTGACCTGGACTTTCTCTCTGGCTGCCCTTAACATTCTTTCTTTCATTTCAACCTTGGAGAATCTGATCATTATGTGTCCTGGGATTGATTTTCTCATGGAGTGTCCTACTGGAGTTCTCTGAATTTCTTGAAGTTAAATGTTGGCCTGTCTTGCTAGGTTGGGGAAGTTCTCCTGGATGATATCCTAAAGTATGTTTTCCAACTTGATTCCATTCTCCCCATCTCTTTGAGGTACCCCAATCAGTCGTAGGTTCTGTCTCTTTACATAATCCCATATTTCTTGGAGATTTTGTTTAGTCTTTTTTATTCTTTTATCTCTATTGTTTCCTGCCTGTTTTATTTCAGAAAGATAGTCTTCAAGCTCTGAGATTCTCTCCCCTACTTGTCTCCATTTTTCTCGGGAGGTATTTTAACAAAATTTAAAGAAATTACCACACCGTTTACAATTACTGTGTATGTTTGTGTTTATGTGTGCACGTGTGTGTATGATGAACCCAAGGAAAGAATATTCTAAAATGAGGACCAGTAATGTTATTTTCTATAGTTTTTTCTTAGTACTGAACCCAAAAAAGGAATATCGAGAATGTTTCAGACAGTAGAGTAAGATAGAGATAAATCCTACAATTGCCACTTATAATCTGGGTAACTTTGGGAAAATTACCTTTCTTTTGAACTTATTTTATTAACTTTTAGAATGAGAATAATAAAAATACCCTCCTCATAGGACTGTGGTGAAGATTAAGAGAACTAATTAATATAAAACACAGCATGGGGCCAAGCATATGGTAAGACCTTAAGGAATTTTATTTCGTTAATTATAAAACACACATTTCTCCCTACATTTTAACATCTCAGTAGAGAAAATGTCTTAGAATTTATGTTCTTATAGTTGATGAAGCAAGGATTCTTACCTAAATACATGATTTATAATTGAAACATAGTTTTTTGTTTAAAAATGTTAGAAATCAACACTATGAAATCAGATACCAATTCTGTCAGTGGGGATAGTTTGCAGTGAGGGAAATAAAATGGAGAATTTTGCAAATTAGGACAAAATTAATATATGTTCTCTTTATTTTGAGTTTATTCATATTTATTCCACAAACATTTGAATGGATATCCATGTGCCAAATTCTGTGTAGGACAAATTTCATAAGATGAATAACATATATTTGTCTTCAAAGATCTAACACATGTTCATGGAAGACAACAGAACCATATAAGTACAGCATCAGTTATAAATATCTAAGCTAATTGTTTACATAGAAGCAAGACTTAATTCATAGGAGAGGAGAGGGTGGGGAAAGACAAAATGAAAGATGTGATTTCTGAACTAAGTCTCAACAGACTGGTAACATGAGTCAGGTGAAAGGTGAGAGGAAGTACGCTCTAAAAGGAGGAAATAAAAAAGGACTTGGGAGAAGAAGAGAGAAGAATCTCTCTTAGGAAACTACATGATATTTAATTTGGATGAAATATTTGCAGAAGGAGTAAAAATTCTAAGCTAGAAGTTTAAGAAGGGTCAGCTTACGGAGGACCTTGCCTGGTTATGCTGATGGGCTTAAACTGTGGCAGGAGTTAAATGAAAATACTCTGAAACAGTTTAAAATGGAGGGGTGATACACTCACAATTTTATTTCCAAACTGTTGTTCAGAATGAATTAAAGTGGATAGGATTGAAGACAAAGAGGATGGTTAGGAGCTTATTGTGATCATCATTAACAGTGGTATTGCACATGTAGTAAAATGGGCAGATTTGAGAGATTATGAAGGTGATAGAATCTATAGTACTTGATGATTAATGGAATGTGAAATAGAGATAGAAGTTAAGTTGTAATAACCACATCTCAGTTCAAATGATAAACAAATGCCATGCAGATCTAGAGCAGGGGCCATGTTCCCAAACAATTTGCCTGAGCCATTGTGCCTAACACAGTGCTGAGTCCACAATAAACCAATGCCAAACAGTTGTGCATTGATATATCATCCATTCTTCTGGAAATTTGAGGATTTCACATACAGATGTCCATATTGAATTAATACATAATTATCAAGAGAAAAATAGCCCTGAGTCAACATTCTAGAAATGTTCAATTGTCTAGAGTGGATTTTCTCATTGTCCTTTTCCATAACAACATAGTGACTTGGAATATAACGTGGCACTAAAAAATAGAAGAATAAAAAGGGTCTTTGAAGCAATTCCTTTTTATCTTGCTTTATTCTTAACAGCAGTTCTCTGGTCTTAATTCTTTTATGGTTCCAGGAGAATTACATTTCAAATTCCGTAATTGCACAGGAGAATTGGAGTCTTGTAAAAATTTAGAATACTTCGTTCAAAGGCAACTTTTATTATGAACTGAACCTATGCTGTGATGCAGCCAAAGAAATTGTTTAGAGCATCATTAAAATAACCTTTTTAATAAGACCACTTTCTCTTGAAAAAGTGTAGTACCCTCTTATTTAATATTACCATATTACAATTGACTGTATGTTTGCTGAAAGTCTCATAGTATGGTATTTAGTTTATTGAACTAGCACAAAATATACATGAACTTTATCAGTTTTCATTTTCCCTTTAACAAACCAAGAACAATATTAAATGACATTTTATGACATTTGATAGGTATTTAAAATTTGTTATTGCGGCTCTTCAGTGAACCATAAAATAACAAGTGTCACAATATGGCTGTGCTTTCATTATGAGAAATGCAAGCAGGAAACATTTAAATCAGCATCATTTTCCATCAGTGTTTTGCTCCTGATTCTCTGCCAAGTTCATTATCTCCTCTGTGCCTAAATTTGTCCATATGAAAAATTAGGAGAAAAAAGAATAAATTAATACTTGCCTCTAAAATGATCTGAAACCCAGGTATGGAAAATCTTACACAAGTTTAAAAGACTGGTTTATCCACTACTGTCCTCATTCGTTTGAACAGACCGCAATGTTCTGTGGGAGAGTAGCTGAGAGACTGATGCAATAATAGTCCTTTTCACACCTTCCATCCAGAAAGACAATTTTTTTATTTGCAGCTGAAGCTATTATATCCAGAGCCTATGGCTGTTTGCCTCTTTTAACGATGGAAATTTTGAAAGAGAAACAGCAAGTAAAATGTGAAAATGTCCTCTGGGATATTATTTTATTACTACATGTCCCTTATTTAGCAAACTAGATGCAATATAAAAAATTAAGTCTGGTGCCTGGTTGGCAAAAAATCAAATAACAGGTACTAAAGAAATAATGATGAGCTAACCTAAGCTCTGTGTGTGTGTGTGTGTGTGTGTGTGTGTGTGTGTGTGTGTGTGTATGTGTGTGAGTGCACGCACGCCATAAAGCCAAGGTGGAGAGGTGAATGAAAAAGTCATTAGAGGAGAGGGAAAAGCCATATCGCTTGAAAAAAGCACCATGGTATCATGGTGGAAGAATGGGCTTTAGACGCTGGCAAGCTTGGGTTCCAATTATGGCATTTTGTAGTGCGCTATTTATTTCTGAGCATTAATTTCTACAATGAAAAAATGCATAATACCATAGGGTTTGAAGGATCAAGTGAGATGATTGAAATAAAGTATGAATCAAGATGTCTGTCATTAATTCTCTCTTTTAATCATGGGATCTATTGACAATGCAAAAGTGTACCCAGTATAGCAGTAGAATGATAGTGTATCTCTTGAGATAATGTGTCAGGTTGTTCGCTAATGCCTTTTTCATAGAAATATTGTTGAGCTGCCTTCACATAGATAGAACATCTGGGTTACAACCACTTTGCAGAAAAGCTACCAGGTACAGCTTTTTGAAATTGCCTGCCTGGGTTTAAATTACAGTCTTGTAGTAACTCTTTGGTGCATTTTAGTAACTGCTGAACCGTGTGATGTTGAGTCAATCACATTGATTGGAAAGGAAATTTAACGCATCAGACAATGGAAAGTTACTAAGGTTAGTTGACATAGAATGCTCTTAAGTTAGTTCATGGTAAGTTATGCAAGTAGAGGAGATCATAGATAACTAAATAGCAGGCAAACTGCAAAAAGACTAGCAGAAGTTGGCCAGGCATAGTGGCTCACGCCTGTAATCCCAGCACTTTGGGAGGCCAAGGCAGGTGGATCATGAGGTCAGGAGTTCAAGACCAGCCTGTCCAACTTGATGAAACCCTGTCTCTACAAAAATATAAATTAACCAGGCATGGTGGCTGGCACCTGTAATCCCAGCTACTCAGGAGGCTGAGGCAGGAGAATTGCTTGAACCCAGGAGGCAGAGGTTGCAGTGAGCTGAGATCGTGCCACTGCACTCCAGCCTAGGCAACAGAGTGAGACTCTGTCTCAAAAAAAAAAAAAAAAAAAAGACTAGCAGAAGCACATCAGTTGTTACTATTCTGTAGCAAGTTCAACCAGAATGTATCTCTTTGCTGTTCTCACAGCAAAAATTATAAATGTTTGAGGTGATGGATATGCTAATTACCTTCATTTGATCATTACACAATCTATACATGTATTGAAGCATCATATTTTATCCCATAAATATGTATAATTAGTATATCAATTAAAATTAAAAAATGATAGCAACAACTATTACTCCTTTATATTACACTACTACAAGCGCTTTGTTTATAGCTTATATCCTTGGGAACCTTTTTTCTATTGCATATAGAATGTATAATACAGTCTGTGCTAAATGTCATAGAGCTTTTACAAGCCAGATAAAATTTGACTGTACAGTTAAGAGGTCAAAAAGCCATCTGCCACAATGTAGAGCCCATCTCAGGAAATTAGGATATAAAAATTTTCCAGCAAATGATTTGTAAGAAGTCATGAGTTTTATGGGGAATAACTGGTTAGCCTGGTAACAGATCTAGTGAGTTCTGAAGAATCATATATCCCATCTATGCCCATATTGAAATAGTGGCAGTGCTAGGTTTGTTCTATAATGAATTGTGGGTAGCTGTTGCAGCCTTCTCCTACTCCATATCTTTATTGTGGTCACTGACCTTATATTATTAAGTGTGTACAATATAGATTTAAAGGGTAGACATTGGGTCACCTTTGATGAAAGAGTCTTACTTCAAGAATATGTACCGTATTCTCTCAACTGACAGTAATTAATGTCACTGATATGGACAGTATTCATATCACCATAATGAAGCCATAAAACATTGTGGCTAAAATAATTTGTGAAGCTCATTTTGAAGAACTTGTGAAAAGCTAGGCCTTGGTGCCAAGGATAGAGAGAAAAGCAACAGTAATGAGGAAAGCACTGACACCTCTTTGGAGGAAAATGTGGCCATATTGACCAAAATTTAAAGTGTGCACACTTAGGCCAGGTGTGGTGGCTCACGCCTATAATCCCTGCACTTTGGGAGGCCGAGGTGGGTGGATCACTTCAGGTTAGGAGTTTGAGGCCCGCCTGGCCAACGTGGTGAAATCCCATCTCTACTAAAAATGCAAAAATGAGCCGGGTGTGATGGCAGGTGCCTGTAGTCCCAGCTATTCAGGAGGCTGAGGCAGGAGAATCGCTTGAACCCGGGAGGTGGAGGTTGCAGTGAGCTGAAATCATGTCACTGTATTCCAGCCTGGGCGGCAGAGAGAGACTCTGTCTCAAAAAAAAAAAAAAGTGCACAGTTTATGACTCAGCATTTTCACTTTCAGAATATTTCTTTCAGATATTGTGTATTTTGCAAATTTCTACATAAATTAATAAGCTTTCAGCATTATTTGTCATAGCTGAATCTTGGAAACAAATATGTCTATTAATAGGTGACTGAATCAATAAATCATGTTACATTTAGAGAATGAAAAACTACACAGCCATTAAGAATTAAGATAGATGTATACATTTTGATAAGAAGCAGTATGTCCAAGAAGTAGTTCTAAGTGAAATAAAGTACAGAAACGTGTGATTAGTACGCTATAATTTATTTAAAAACGTGCTTACAAAGTAATGATAAATGATTGAGGTGACAGATATCCCAATTACCTTGATTTGGTCACTACATACTATATACCTGTATCAAAATAACACGTGTACCTTGTAAATATGTAAAACTATTACCTGTTAATATTATGCATTATGTAAATTAAAAATTAAATGCCCAAAGCCATGTGTTTATACACATATTTGTAAATGCACTGATTATCTATATGTGACTTAGGAATAGCAGTTTTCTTTTAGAAGAACTGAGGGTCTTGGGTGGGAGAGCTATCTTACTGTCTAAAAATACTATTCAATATTTATTTATTTTTTTCTATGTGGCTGGATTACTTAAGTAAAAGAAAGCTTTGAAGGCAAAGCTAGTGTACTGTGTGTTTCACTTAGGACATCACTTAAGACAAACCAATAGTTTGACACAGGAAGATTGTTATTGATGATTGGAACATACTAAAGTAAAAAAATCTGTCCTCACATTCTTTTCATTTCTTCCTATAAACAATAAAAGAGATTCTTACCCTTTTGTTCAAATTGAAATCTCCCCCTTCACATTCTGTATTCCATCCTCTACCACAGTTACAGGGAGCGAGTACCTTTGCTTACCACCTTTCTCTCCTTTCCCTGCTCAACCTTACCTTACAAAAACAAAAACATAATTCTTCCTTGATCTAACATCCCCCTTCAGTTTTCATCTCTCTCCTCTCCTTTAGCCAAGCCCCATGTCTATACCGGTTCTCTGTATCTCTCATTGTCACTTCACTCCTCAGCCTACAGCAATCTGGTTTCCTTCTCCACAATGTCTCTGAAATTTTGCCAAAGTCACCAGTGATTTCTATGTACCTAAATCAAATGGTTACTTGTAAGTTCGTGAATTGTTTGACTTTTTAGCAGTGTTTGACCAGACTGACAACTCTCTAAATGAAAATTCAAAGAAAATCCCATTTTCTTTGCTTATTTTCTTCTGTTTTTTTTTTCCCCCTCTCTATTTACTTTTCCTGTTTCTTTTTTGGTATTTTGCTTCTCCACCTATCCACTATATATTTATTTGTGCTTATTATGGCATTGCTGGTGGCTTGATGTTAGACTCTCTGCTCTTTTCTCATACATATTTCTTAGGCAGTATTTCTTAGGAAGTATATACCCACTTCAGGTCCAAATGCCCTTTCTGTGCTAACAGCTTCTAATATCTAATATATCTATTACCCTCTCCTGAGCTTGAGACTTTTCTGTCCAATCGCTAACTGGTTGTCTTTACTTGGATATCTCAGTGACACATAGTTGACCATGTGTACAAGTGAACTCATTGTGTTACCTCAAATTTTCCCTTCTGGGGTTTGCTATGTCACAAATTAATTACTTTTTGGAGGCAGATTTCCTTACTGTGATATCAAGAGTGAGTGAAAAAAGTGTCTGGTGAATAGTAGTTATTTCACAAATATTTATTGACTCAAGGATTGAATCAATTAATGATACCATGTATGATAAATATCATCAAATGTATAGTACAGAACATTTTGAAACATTTAAAATATTGAAAGACAAGATACCGAAAGTGCAGATTATCCTAATGTGGTAAAATTATGCTACCTCTCTAAGGATGACTATGAATAACAAGGAAAAAGAGTTAATCAAGCATTAATTCCCTGTTAAATTTCTTTCTGCTTAAAATTTTGGAGTTGTTTTTCTATCTTGTACTGAACTCTGATATGTATAGCAATGTATGTGTGAAATGCTGTGATTCAAGGGTAGAAACTAAATTAAAAAAAGGGAAGAATCAAAATTTAACAAAGTAGCTAATCTTTCTGAGGGCAAGTTGTCAAAATTTTGGCAATGGTGTTGAGTGTATGCAGTGTATGCATGACCAATATCCAGAAAGGGGTATCCTGGAAGAGGTTGTATATAGTACTCATCTTCACTCAGTGAATTTTTGACTGAAGGAAAATTTTAAAAAAATTTATTAGATACAAAGTAAGAACCCATGGTCCTGAGGGCTTTCTAAGGTAAAAAGACAAAAGGCAAGAAAAGATCTTTGCATCAAAGAGCTTAAAGTATTATAGTTAATTTAAACATATAGTTGTTTTACATTCTTTTAATAAAGGTTTAATCATATGCTTACATGAAGAACAAAGGAAGCTTAAATGTTGTAGTTGTTACTCTGTTCACCAGTATTTTGTTTTTCCTCCTGAGTGCATGATAGAATTGTACCTCCCTGACACTTGGAAATTAGATGTGACCAAAAGACTACCCTGATTTGCCTATCGATTTCTGAATAGATGTAATGGCATGCAATTTTCAGATGGAAGTTGTAAGAGCTAGTGTGTGATTTGCCTAAGAAGGATGGTGACATTTTACTGCAGAGATAGAAAGTGAGGGCATATGGGCAGAAAGACCAGCATTAGCAAACCCATGGAAGACAGGGATTGAATTTATAGACATAGAGATACCTGAAACAGGGCAGCAAAATAATATTTTCAAGAACATGTTTTCTATCAATATTTCTAATTTAATTTTATAGCATCTAAGAAAGTGGTATACCACTCACATAAAGTCTTAAACACTCTACATTTTAATTAAACTTTAATTATATCTTTTAATTTCCATGGCTGGCTTTAAATTAAATTTAATTCTACTTACCAGGATTTTAAGAGCTTCTGAATTTGTCCTATCCTCAACTTTCTGCAACTGGGTTTACAGCTGTATTTTCTCACTACTGTTAATTGAATGCTGATGGTAGGGATAGTTCTTACTATTTTTTCCCCCTGTAACTATGTTCACTTAATTCAAGGTCCTCAGGTCTCTGTAAACCTTTGCATTCAAAAAACTAAAAAACTCCACACTGCTTCCTACTGCTTAAGATTTTTCTTATTTCTGCCCCACAGGTTTTGGCTCAAGCTAAAGGAAGGATTGTGCTTGCCGTGATTGTAGATAGGCACAAGATCATATATTTCAAAGGAAATCATATTCAAATTCAAATACAACCTAATGGTGATCTTGTGGTAAATGTATCCACTAACACTCACTTTCTATTCCTTCCTAGTAATTGTTCAGTCTCCAGAAATTATTTCCGTAATTTATTCCTGTTATTTCAGAATTGAATCTTTGAAGGGAATAAGCCCACTGAATTATATGTTGATACAGCCATTCACAAATTGCTTCTTTAATACATTCTTCAAAATGTAAAAATGTTGGTTTCAATTGGTCACTTTCTTCTCCAAACAATTTTTTTAAAGTGGATCAAACATGAAATAAGTTTATTTCTTTCTTTATTTTTTTGAGACGGAGTCTCGCTGTCACCCAGGTTGGAGTGCAGTGGCGCAATCTTGGCTCATTGCAACCTCTGCCTCCTGGGTTCGAGCAAGTCTCCTGCCTCAGCCTCCCGAGTAGCTGGGATTACAGGTGTGTGCCACCACACCCAGCTAATTTTTGTATTTTTTAGTAGAGACAGGGTTTTGCTATGTTGGCCAGGCTGGTCTCGAACTCCTGACCTTAAATGATCCACACACCTCGGCCTCCCAGAGTGCTGAGATTACAGGCATGAGCCACATGCTGGGCCGAAAGAAGTTTATTGCTCACTTAAAATCTGAATGGGTGCTCCTGATTGGCAGGTTCTTCAAGTGCTGATTCTGGAATTCAGGACTTCTCTTTGACTTCATCATCTTCATAAATGTCTTTCAATGTCATTGTGCTCAATGGTATCAAAAATCATCAAGGCCCTTGTATGGGTAGGGCCTGAAGTGTTGCACAGCAGTTTTCATTGTTTTCTCTGAACTAGAACTCGGTCACATGACCACACCTAACTCCAAAGGGGACCCAGAAATGTGATCTACACTTGAAAAAGAGGAAATGGATTTGTCTTTTTCACACAATTGATAACTTCTGGGTTGACTAACATCTACCTTGTTTGATCTATATGTGGAGAAAAAGAGTTTATAAGAAATAAAGATGGGTAGCTCTGTGGATTTCTGGGCATAAGATCCTTCTGGATTTAGTGGGCAAGATCTTCAAACTGCCAACTGGGCAACATGGATGAAAAATTTTGGGTCTTCTGAATAATTTAAAAAGCAAAGAAAAAGAAACTTGACATTTTGGAGACAAACCTGTGTGAGTGTTTTATTGGTACAAACGTATTTAACACTAGGGGTTTTGTACAATTTTTTGCCTTTTCTACTAGAAAACAATGTAAAGTGATTTCACAATGTGAAGAGAAAAAAAAATTGCCGCTGTGACCAAACGCACAGTCTGTTGTGCAGCAACAATGGGCTTCGATCAACTCAGTCGTGATTCAGCTGTAGAAATGCTTTTCCTTCACCTTGTTTGAGCTTTTCCTTTCTTTCCTGTTTTGATTTGCAAAAGAAAATGTCTTTTTTGTGTGAACTTGTGTTGTACTCTGTAGAAAATTACGGGTTTTACTTTAATGGTTTAAGAAAAAAAGCAAGAAGAGCCCTCGTCGCTTTTCTTACTTCATCACAGAGTTTGTGTAGTGAATTTAAAAAGAGAAAAAAAATTGTTAAAATTTGGAGCAAGGGAGTATGTTTTTCAAAAGAACCTCCTTCCTTTTTTTGTGTGTTTTTCCTTTTGTCCCAATGGGGAATCTAAATCTGTTTTAATTGCACAGACACATGGACAAAAAGTCATTTTTTATCTGCCAAGTGTGGTACCGTTCTTTGTTTGTTATTAAACTGTTTAGACCCAGAATTTTTTTTTCTTCTCAGTTTCTGAGATTAACAAAATTTGAAGGTAATGGTGCCTCTCATGGCAGAAAAAGTTTGTTAGCACAAAGATAATTTATTAAGATTAGAAGAGGAAACTCTGGAAGGAATACTGCTATGTTAACAGCCTGATCTGTGTGTGTGTAAGTGTGTGTGTGACTGCACATGAGCGTGTATGCATATTATGTAGTTTTTGTCTCCAATATGATTATCTCTGAAGATGAAACATACTCAAGCCTGCATAATGCACGTTAATTGCCCCCACTGGTCCCAGGATTGAGATCACCAGAGACAGAGCCTCAGACTCTGGAAGGGATAAGTAATGAGGAATGGGGAGATTTGTGGCATGTTCTACATCTGAGTAAAGCCTGAAAGGGGCCTTTGTAAAGAAAAGAATCAAAAGGTGCCTTACTTAGAGGCTATTTGACTCCTGGGCAACATTTAGGATACGGAATTATGGGCAGGTGGAGCAGTAACTTTTCTGTATCTCGAAGTCCACTTTGTTTCAGATGTTGGTATAAAAAGGAGCATAAATTTTCATGACTATTTTCCTTCACAAACAGCTTTATTATTAGGCTTATTAGACACAGAATTAAGAATTTTTTTGTCAAATAGTAATTTTGTCCTTGCAGATTATCTTCAAAAGGATTATATTCTTAGAAGACAGGAAAATGGGAGTCATTGCTGCCTGTCTAACTAGTTCAGGCTTAATTTGCTAGTCAATGAAAAACAAGATGTACTAGAAGAATGAAATGTTCAAAGCTTTATGGAAACAGCATTTTGCAAGACCATTTGGTGCAGGTTTGGGCAATAATTTGGACTAACTCTCTTGTTTATTGTTCTCTTTCACACAGATACAGCCTAGCACATATTCACTCATTGTGTGTGACTTGGAGAGAAAACTTTGTAGGTGGTAGCTAATTTATTTCATGAAATTTAACATTCTGATTCAAAAGAGTCAAAAGAAAAAAGGACTGGGGAATCTAAGAGATATCCAACATGACCCTTCAGTAGGCTAATCTTTTGGTACAGAAAGGTCCTCAATGCACAATTACTGTGCTGAAAGTGGATCTCGCCTGTGAGATACCCCATGCAGAGGACTATCTGTGGCAAATGGAAGTGAAACCTTGCTTTTTTTTTTTTTTTTTTTTTTCCTTGTTCTCGTCCTCTGCCTCTTGGGCAGAATTTAATTACCTCTGTCCCTTCCCTGGTATTTGTTTGTATGTAATTGCCCCAGGTCAAGCTTTTTACACTTTTTCCTTGGGCTATTGAAATAATTTCCAAATTTTTTTGCTAATTTTATTAACCTGCACCAAATGGTCTTGAAAAATGCTGTTTTCATAAAGCTTCAATTATTTCATTCTTCTACTAATACATCTTGTTTTTCCTTGACTAGCAAATTAAGCTTGAACTAGTTAGACTGGCAGCAAGTCCTCTGCCATGTGATTACCATATATTTATACCTTATGTCTCACAACTTTTTGCAAGCACACTTGTACTATTTTAGACTCTTCTCTGGGTATAATTTTTTGTATCCAAATCTTTCTACATTTTTATTATATGCAAATAATATTTTCCCGCCATCG
The DNA here is from genome assembly GCF_000001405.40 of Homo sapiens. Classification (NCBI taxonomy): domain Eukaryota; kingdom Metazoa; phylum Chordata; class Mammalia; order Primates; family Hominidae; genus Homo; species Homo sapiens. The sequence continues at coordinate 1,204,974 of NW_021160017.1, forward strand.
TTATGGAAAATTCTATATTTTGTCAACGTTCATTTTCTTCTCAAAAGCCTTTTGTTATTATTTCCAAATTAATATTATGTGTGTCTCAGACAACCACAGAAAGTTTTGTTTTTGTCACATTCTACTGCTACTGTGTCAATGGCAGCATTTTGATATAGGTGGAGGGACGCTCACATCAACCCCATAATTTGTGTCAGCTTCTCCTGAAGTTATCAGAAGCATACAATTTAAGTAAAAACAGTATCTTCGCTATCCAAATGATGTTCCAAGGTAAATCTCCTCAGATCTCTTCCAGTACATGTATGCTCCAAGGCCTGCTCTATGTAGAACTTTTGGAGCCATCAACGTACTGCTTGAGGTTGCTTTAAACAAAAGGTATTTGACATAAGCTCTATAAGATCAGGGACTCTTTTTTATTTTATTCATTGTTCTTTATCTTCTAGAGCAATAATTTGCAAAATGACTATTTATTGAATAAACTAGGACGGAGGTGAAAAGGAAAGAACAGCTCATCCTTCCAAGGGGAAGAGAGCAGTATCCCAAACCCAAATTGAAGAAAATAAACATATATCTATTCACCAGAAGAGATAGAAGGGAGACAGGGCAGAATTTCTGTGGTTCTTACTATCTCTGTCACCTCTACAGGCCAAACCAGTGAGGACCTTGGAGACTACTAATATCACTGGATTTGTGAATGAGTTCATCCTCTTGGGCTTCCCCTGCCGCAGGGAGATCCAGATCCTCCTTTTTGTGGTCTTCTCTCTCATCTACCTTCTGACCCTCCTGGGTAACACATCCATCATCTGTGCTGTGTGGTCAAGCCAGAAACTCCACACACCTATGTACATCCTACTGGCCAATTTCTCCTTCCTGGAGATCTGCTGTGTCAGTTCTGACGTGCCCATAATGGCAGCCAATCTCATCTCCCAGACACAGAGCATCTCCTGTGCTGGCTGCCTGCTCCGATTCTACTTCTTCTCCATGTGTGCTGCAGAGTGCTTATTTCTGTCAGTGATGTCTTTTGATAGGTTTCTTGCCATTTGTAGACCTTTGCACTATCCCACCTTAATGACCCATCACGTTTGTGCTCATTTTGTGATCTTCTGCTGGGTGGGTGGCTGTCTCTGGTTATTGACCCCTTTGACACTAATATCTCAGGTGCTCTTTTGTGGTCCAAACACTATCGACCATTTTTTCTGTGATCTGGCACCTTTGCTGGCACTGTCTTGTGCTCCAATACCTGGAATTACTCTGACTTGTGGTATCATTAGCGCTCATCATCTTTCTTACCTTCTTGTATATCCTTGGGACTTATTTCTGTGTTCTAAGCACAGTGCTACAGGTGCCTTCAGGCTTAGGAAGGCATAAGGCTTTCTCAACTTGTGGCTGTCACCTTGCTGTAGTGTCTCTCTTCTATGGTTCTCTTGTGGTGATGTATGTTAGCCCAGGTTCTGGGGACTATCATGGGATAAAGAAATTTGTGACCTTGTTCTATACTTTGTCAACTCCATTCTTTAATCCTCTGATCTACAGTTTCCGGAACAAGGGTATGAAAGAGGCACTAAAGAAATTTCTGAGGAATCGCCACACTGTTGATTGAACCAGTATGGCGATTCCTCAGGGATCTAGAACTAGAAATACCATTTGACCCAGCCATCCCATTACTGGGTATATAACCAAAAAATTATAAATCATGTTGCTATAAAGACATATGCACATGCATGTTTATTGAGGCACTATTCACAACAGCAAAGACCTGGAACCAACCCAAATGTCCAACAATGATAGACTGGATTAAGAAAATGTGGCACATATACACCATGGAATAGTATGCAGCCATAAAAAATGATGAGTTCATATCCTTTGTAGGGACATGGATGAAGCTGTAAACCATCATTCTCAGCAAACTATCGCAAGGACAAAAACCAAACATCGCATGTTCTCACTCATAGGTGGGAATTGAATAATGAGAACACTTGGACACAGGAAGGGGGACTTCACACACTGGGGCCTGTTGTGGGTTGGTGGGGGGAGGGATAGCAAAAAAAATTTATGTATGTGTTATAGTAGGAAATTTCTAAAGGATCCAAGAGGCAAATTTAATATAATTCATCATTAATGTTTAGAAGGATGAAAGATCATGAGACCAATGAGATCATGCTTTTTTCCATTTTATTCTACTTTTATATATTGGGAAGATAATTTGAAAGAATTAATTGGACCCATGGTTTCAGTCTTAGGAAGTTATTACTATTATGGTCCAGATATGTTTGTACCTTAAATAGATTTTTTTATTTTTGCAATTCTACTTAATATTTTCATCTATTTCTCTAAAACTGAGCTTCTGCTTACTCTTTTGGTTTTCAGTACATACTGTTTGGTATGTTTCAACATCCTCAGATTCTGCCTTCATTGAAGCAAGTTGTTTCATTTTTTTGAGAGCATAGCAATGGTTGAATGTATTGCAACTAAAAATAGTTTTCCACTGATCCTTCAAATTACCAGATTAAAACACACACACACATACACACCTCCAAAACTCAACAATTCAGGGACAATTTTAAGCTCTGCTTTTTTATTCTTTATAATTTGAAGTATAACTTCTGGGGCTAACAAGGGCCTTCAATAATATTATGTTGACTTGATTGACACCTCACATTTTGCCAATGCTAACACTTTGGCATATGTAGACACAAGAAGGTCAGGTGATGCCCAGTGCAAACCAAAGAGCCATAGAATCTGTGAGATCGCTGACAATCTAGGCCTACTAAGCACTTTTTTTGTGTGTGTAGTTCTTCATTAAACTCTGGAAAAGTGTTCCTTGGGTAATTTCTACCCTCTAATTTATTTTTTTGAGTAGCAATTTATTAATAATTTGCAGTACTGCACTCCATGAGGAAATCTTGTGCTAAATCTTGATTCTGGGGTAACTCCAGCACTGACTTTACTACCAAAGTGTAGTTAAATATTTGCAGCATTCTGCTGGATATTTTTACATGAAGATCTATTTCAAATTCAAATGTCTAATCCTAAATTTGTTAATCTCCTTTTAAATTAGCTCTAGCCATCCTTATTTTCTCATGGATCTATTGATTTATAGCATGAACTTGAAATCTTGAGAGTAGAATTCCTTACCATCTCATTCCCACTTCTAATCTGTCATTAAACAGATTAGGCATCTTCCCTGGGATCATTTGTCATCTTTATGCTCGTCTTTTTTGTGCAGGTTCCTAGCACTCCATATCTGTGATGGCATAATCACTTCATAAATGGTCTGTCTCTGTTATCTCCCATGTCAAATTCCAGAATTATGTTCTTGAACCTCCATCACTTATTTTCTCTCTACCTAAACACAGGAAAAAACCCCAAATTCTTTAGCTTGTAAATGTTTTTAGGTTCTTCTGAATTTCTTCTTAAACTTTATTTTTACCTTAATATGTGTCTCATCACTCCCATTTGACTCACTCTCTCTAATTCACAGAGTATAATCTTAGTTTTACAACCTGAGCTTAAAATTGTTCTATTCATACCTTGCCCATGTTTAGATGCCTCATACAAAACTTTCCTTGCCCACTACAGTATATCATAATGTTATTTTCTAAGTTCATTGCCTTTTGAATTTTGCCAAATATTTACTCAAAATTGGTCTGCCTTTTGGGTATCTATTACAGCATTGTTTGTGCTATTTTTTACTTTCCTACCAGTTAGAATATAAGTTTCTTTAGGGCAGGAAATACGATCTTTTTACTGCTCCTGAATGGCTTCTGCAATAGTAATAGCTCAATTATTGAGTTAACAAGGTTATTTGACAAACATTTATTGAGCTCCTATTATGTATTAGGCATTATCTGAGCACTGAAGCTATAGCAGTGATACCTATTCCCATGCAGTTTATATTACAGTATGGGAAGACAGGGATCAATAAATAGAGAAATAAATATGTAGGATACAATATTTCCTGTGGTGATACATTCTTTGAAGAAGGGCAAAGCAGATGATGGGAATAGATACTAGTGAGAGTGGGGATGCTCTTTTAAATAGAATAGTGTGGGATGGCTTCATTTAAGCTAAATTTTGAGGAGACCTATAGGAAGTGAGGGAGTTCTGTCCTTCCTATTTCAAGTTTACGGTGAGCAAGAAAGCAAGGCAATCATCAAAATGAGTGTGGAAATGCTCTAACAAGTACACTTAGAGATCCAAATCCAAATGGTGGCTATTAAGAAAGGCAAGAAGTTTGGTTTAAAAATGTGCCTGAAGATGCACCATTGAAAAATGGCAGCAGTGTGCAGGGACAATGCCACCTAACCCGCGTTCAGAGCGAAGCCACCTGGTCGGCCACCGGCAGCTTGGGGAAGAAGGGCATGTGGCGCGCCCACTCCACCTTGCTGAAGAGCAGCCGTGAAATTTTTAATAATATTTTTATTTAACCCAACTCACCCAAAATAGTATTTCAACATGGAATTAGTATAAACACTATTAATGAGATGTTTACATTCTTTCATCCCACCAAGTGTTCAAAACTGGTATTTGATTTTATACTTGGAGCACATCTTAATTAGGACTAGTCACTTTGCAGGTGCTCAGTAACCACATGTGGGTCGTGGCTATTGTATTGGACAGTACAGGTTAAAGAGAGGTCTAAGGACTAAATACAGACCTCAAATAATATTGAGGTTAAACAAATATTAAATTGACTTTATTTTTCAGAATGAAGTTTCTTTGCCTGGAGAGAACAAGCATGCTCTTATTTCACGTATTTTCCTAATTGAAATCCTGATTTTGGAAGGGGAAAGAACCCACTGAGTGTGCTACATGTTGGAACTAGTGACCTTACACATCCATGCTCCATCTCCTGGGAAAGTCTTTCCTGAAGAATTGTATCTTCAGTCTGTTTGTCCTGATTTGTCCCAAACTGACAGAAGTACCTGCAGAGCTGGCTAAAATTTCCCTTTCAGACATTGCTGTTTAGGTGAGAGTACAGAGTGGTTGGGAGGGTCAATCAGTTGTAGAACAATACTTAGGTATAATCCAATTTATATACCCACTCAAAACCCAGAGATTTTGCTTCTATATGTACAGAAAGAGGACTTAGAAATACATCCACCAAACTAAACACGCTGCTGAGGAGGCATGTGTGTGTGTAGAGGTGTGGAGATGTGAAAATTTTCACTATTTTGTAGTTTTTTCTTTACAACGACTATTCACTATAAAATATATGATTTATTTGTATAATTAAAAAGTAGACAAAATGGAATACAATTCATTTCAGTGTAGCTAAGCAAGCCCCAGTTAGTAAAACTTTTATGTTTTTATGTACACATTTAGACTAAAAACATACTTTAAAATATTTCAATTTTATATATGAACATCTTTTTCAAGCACAATGAGAGCTTAGATACAAGTGAGGATTTTAGTTATTCAGTTAATTATGGTTCGTTGGCCCCCTCCCCCAAGTCTAAGAATTTTTGGCTTAAAGAGAAAGAGTAAGTGAAGAATCCTCTATATCCATTCTTCACTAGTTCTAAGAAGGATGAAAGGCAAGTGCACAACACTAAATCTCACTGCAGCTTACAGAGATTTTCCAGATGATAATTTATTTACCTTTAGTTTAACTTTTTCTCTCAGAACTCCAGATAATGCAGTAGTAACTTATAAGCAGCACAGTATCTTCTAACATCATTCATCATGAGATAGACAAGTCCTCAACTACCCGAGACACTGTTTTACCCCTTACTCATCCTGCTCCCCTTTCACTGCTGTTGCATAGGTGGATAATTTGATTTCCACCCTGTGTAATCTCTAGAGGAAACATAGCTCAGAGATATGGAATAGTCAAAATGAATGGGTTGTTTGAGTTATTTCTCTCTCTCTCTCGCTCTCTCTCTGTGTGTGTGTGTGTGTGTGTGTGTGTGTTTGCTGTCCAGTATCTCCATCCCTTTTTATGTTTGAGGTAATCCCAATATTATCAGGCTTGGAGCTTCTATTTATGTAATTGTTGTTTATATTGCCAGATATTAGCTCTCCTAGCTTCCCTTGCACTTAAAGTTGTAGGAATGTACTCTTGCCTTTACCAGATACAGCTATACCAGGCTTTGAATCAAGAAGCAGAAGTAGGAAGAGCAACAATGTTGAAATATTGGCATAAGAAATGACAATGAACAGGCTGGGCGCAGTGGCTTGCGCCTGTAATCCCAGCACTTTGGGAGGCCAAGGTGGGCGGATCACGAAGTCAAGAGACCAAGACCATCCTGGCTAACACGGCGAAACCCCGTCTCTAGTAAAAATACAAAAAAATTAGCCGGGCGTGGTGGCTGGCACCCGTAGTCCCAGCTACTCAGGAGGCTGAGGCAGGAGAAAGGTGTGAACTGGGAGGCGGAGCTTGCAGTGAGCCGAGATCGCACCGCTGCACTCCAGCCTGAGACGGAGCAAGACTCCGTCTCAATTAAAAAAAAAAAAAAAAGACAAGAAGGTAGCACACTTATTGCAGAAAAGACAAGTTCCTAGAACAGAATGACAGTGGTGCTCATGTAGCATCTTGGTGGCCTATAGCACAGCCATGACTGCAGTCATGATTTTTCATCATCAGTTCTGCATGGTGGTTTGCATATGTATCTTTGAATTTGAGCCTCAACTCTGGCTCTTCAGCTTTCATTGGTTCTGTGAGATTCCTGCTACTCCATCAATAAGTCCTTTTTCATTTACATAATCAGCTAGAGTCAGCTTTTATTGGATGTAAGTGAGAACACTGGCAGAATTATACTCTAATAGAGTTATCTCAGGTGGGTATAGTCTCTACAATCTGCAGAGGGCAAGAAGAACTAACGCTTTGGCATTGCAGGTTGCTCTGAATTCTCCCTTAGCTCCACAGTGGTCTATGAAGCTTTATCCCTTAACGTATTTTATTGAAGAAAATATTCCAAAAGTCAAAATAACTTGGAAGAGGATTTGAAGATGTCTGTGTGTGTCTGGATTTTTTTCACTTAGCATAATGTTCTACAGGTTCATCCACATCGTCACTAATGGAAGAATTTCTCTATTTTTTAAGGGCCAAATAGTATTCCACTGTGTGTATATATCACATTTTGTGTATCTACTCATCTGATGACAAATACCTAGGTTGCTTCCGTGTCTTGGTTATTGTGAATAATGCTGCAATGAATTTGGAAGTACAGATATCTCTTTGACATATTGATTTCAATTTCTTTGGATATATGCCCAGAAGGGAAATTGCTTAATCATATGGTAATTCTATTTTAAGTGTTTTGTGGAACTTCTATACTGTTTTCCACGGTTATATTAATTTACATTTCCACCAACAGTGCACAAATGTTTACTTTTCTCTGCACCCTCAGCAATACTTATCTTTCATCTTTTTGGTGATAGCCATTCTAACAGATATGAGGTGATACTTCATTCAGTTGAACTCTTAAAAGTAGAGAGTAGAATGGTGGTTAACTAAGGCTGGAGGGAAGAGGCGGCTGAGGGGAGGAGAGATGTTGATCAAAGGATACAACAATTCAGTTTGATGGAAGGAATAAGATTTAGTGATCTGTTTCATAGAATGGTGACTATAATAAATAATAATGCACCACATATTTAGAAACTACTAAAAGCGTGGATTTCAAATGTTTTAACCACAAAAAATAAGTATAGGAGATGATGAATTTATTAATTAGCTTGATTTAATCATTTCACAATGTAAATGATTATCAAAACATCACATTGTATCCCATAAATATATAATTATCATGTGTTCATTAGAAATAAAATTTAACAAATAATAAAAGAGGTATATGTTCACAGAAAAAACTTGAATATGAAGTCTAATGTAGACTGGATGTTTTTAGTCAAATCATTAACTTTCTCTTCAACATATTGGAGACAACATCACAAACACCTCTCTTTCCTATCCCCCTAATTTTTGTGCCTTAGTTAAAAATATGAAAATTTCAGAGTGTTGGCAGGTGATCAGGTTAAGTAAAGAAGTTTATGTTAAGTGGTGACTTTTTTTAATTTTTTATTTATTTTTTATTTATATGTACTTTTTATTATACTTTAAGTTCTAGGGCACATGTGCACAATGTGCAGGTTTGTTACATATGTATGCATGTGCCATGTTGGTGTGCTGCACCCATTAACTCGTCATTTACATTAGGTATATATCCTAAAGTTATCCCTCCCTCCTCTCCCCACCCCACAACAGGCCCCGGTGTGTGATGTTCCCCTTCCTGTGTCCAAGTGTTCTCATTGTTCAATTCCCACCTATGAGTGAGAACATGCGGTGTTTGTTTTTTTGTCCTTGAGATAGTTTGCTGAGAATGATGGTTTCCAGCTTCATCCATGTCCCTACAAAGGACATGAACTCAAACATTTTTTGTGGCTGCATAGTATTCCATGGTGTATATGCACCACATTTTCTTAATCCAGGTGGTGACTGCTTTAAGGTAGCTTATATTTTGGTTGATAGAGTTGATTCCCTGGTATCCTATGTTTATTTTCTGTAACGGTAGATGTTTCTTCACTATAAGCTCAGAAAGTATAGAAGCCCAGGTTTGAGTAAGAAATATTTAATTATTTGGCATATTTGAATGTATGCATGCCCTTCTATGCATTCTCTTCAGAGCTGGAACAGGAATTTCCCTTAAGAATCTATACCATTTCTAGTTTTTATTTGCTGCGCACCATGAACACCTTACCAAGACTTAGTAATAAGGAAAATACAAATTAAAAAACATTCTTGTTTCAGTGACGGATTCTCGTTCTTTGATATTATAGATAAAGCAATTTAATTTTTGTGAGTACAGTGAGTAGATGCTGTTTTTCATTATAGAAAAACCTATAGTTGGCAAGGAAAAAACAGTTGATAAATTTAAAACACATTTAAGATACATAAAGTTGCATTAGGATAAAGCCAAAATACAAATTAGAAACATGGGTCTTAGCTTTGTACATACCAACTGAATTACATATAGTTTTAGGACTTAAAAAATCTCCAAAATGGAAAAATGATACATAGATGAATAAAAATTGTACAGATCTTACCTACGATGAAACTTAGGACTTTGTATACTTTTTGCTTTGAGATAGGATCAGGGCTCTTTGTGTGTAATGAGTCACGCTTTTATGAGTAAGAAGCCAAGTGCTCAGACATCACCAGAAAATAGTTTTTTTTTAAATGAGAGAAATTTTGCATTTCTTATGGAATAATTGTAGAAGAATGTATATCATTTCAGTGTGTTCCAAGATATTTCTTTTGATGGCACTCCCAGCACTTTTTTAAGGGCATCTGTCATATCTTTGTTCCAGAGACTGTAGGTCAGGGGATTAAAGAATGGGTTTGCTGTGCAGTAAAACAATGTCACAAATTTCTGTGTCCCAGGGTGGCTCCTGGAGCCTGGACTCACATACATCACCATGACTGAGCCATAGAAGAAAGAAACAACCAAGAAATGGGAAGCACATGTAGAGAAAGCTTTGTTCCTGCCTGAGCCAGCTGGGACCCACAGAACAGCTCGCAAAACTAAGATATGGGACCCAAGAATGTAGAGGAAGGTGATGAAGATGATGAGAGAGCTTACTGTAGCACAAGTCAGAGTAGTTTTGGGAACTGGGGCACAGGACAGTGCCAGCAATGGTCCCAGGTTACAGAAAAAATGGTCAGTGATGTTAGGGCCACAGAAAGGCACTCGGGACATAAGCACTGCAGGCATCAGTATGGATAGAAAACCACCTGCCCTGCAGAAGGCCACTAATCGGACACACAGGTGGTGAGTCATGACTGTGGGATAATGCAAAGGTCGACAGATGGTAAGGAACCGATCAAAGGACATCACAGACAGAAAGTAGCCCTCTGCAGCACACATGGAGAAGTAGAAGAACTGGAGCAGGCAGCCAGCATAGGAGATGCTCTTGATATGGGAGATGAGATTGGCCAACATTTTGGGACATCAGAACTAATGCAGCAGATCTCCAGGAAAGAGAAATTAGCCAAGAGGATGTACATAGGTGTGTGGAGTTTCTGGCTTGACCACACAGCGCAGATGATGGATGTGTTACCCATGAGGGTCAGAAGGTAGATGAGGGAGAAGACCACAAAGAGGAGGATCTTGGTCTCCCTGCAGCAGGCAGGGGAAGCCCAGGAGGATAAATTCACTCACAGGCCCAGAAATGTTATTGGCTTCTACGACACTCATTCTTCTAATCTATGAAGGAAATGAACGATAGGGACCACTACAATAGCCATTTTCTCTCTCTTAAAGTGTTATATTTATTTCTTTTGACTCCAAGACAATCTTTTAATGCACTTTTGTGAAAAGTTCCATATAGTTCTCAATTCAATAACTCACCTCCCATCTTTGTCTTAGTTCAATGAAATCAGGGTTATGGGAGAATGTGGCTCAACATGTTACTACGTGATCCCACAGCCTCCACTATATCATATCTCTGTTTTTCAGAGTGTAAGTTTCATTGACATCACATAACATAGGGTCCAAACGACTTTCTCTATTTGCATTTAAATTAATTCTGCTTTGATGTAATGTTTTGTAATACACATATTCAAATATTTATACATATAATTTCTCCCTATTAGAAAATTTTGTATTGTATTTTGAAAAATTCTAAGAAAAATCAGTTTAAACATAATCTAAAATTGAATTAGGTGAGTACAAAAAGAGAACCTCATTATGTTGTCAATAAATTATGTTTTTAGGAGATCTGTCCTGGATAGTTCTGTTGACTGAAGTAGGGTACTGAGGATGCTGCCACAGATTTCATGCTAGCACGTGTTTGTTTGTTCCGTATAGTGGCATTTAACTTCTATTTGCTGAGCAACAGCTAATTTGACACAGAAAAGTTGCCTTCAACCCTTTACTAGGAAGATCTTGCTCTATGATAGAAAAACAGCAAGAGGCAGATGGAAAAACATCTATTTCCTTAGCTCAGATGCCTTCTCATCTTGTTACTATACTGGTGATGAATTATCTTATATTAAAAAATAAACCATAAATTTAACTGTAAAAATGTGAGAGGAATACACCAGTGTAGAATGTTAGTGTCAGAAAGGACCTCTAGTCTTATTAAGCTCAATTTCCTCGTATCACAGAAACTGAGACCAGAGAGGTTAGAATGATCCAAAGTTATGTTGGCTGTTAGAAGAAAGAGGCCTAAAACTTAGGTGTTCATATATTCAGTTCAGACTTTTTCTCATAAGCCTCTGCTATTGTGGGACCCTGCTTTTTTTGTCAGCTCAGATGGTTGCAAAAGTATATTGTGTATGTATTATACTGTTCCTTCCTTTGAATTAGATCCCTATTTATAATAAAGGAGGACATTAACCAGGTTACTAACCAAAGCTGACAATTGCTACATCATATCCCCTATTCACCTTTGACCTGCCCTTTGCCCTAATTCTTGGCACCATTTATGGCATCAATCTACTTTTGGACACTTTCTTTAAAGAACATTTGACTTCTAAGATAGTAAGCATAACAACAACCACTGTCATGTATTAAATGTTTATTGTGACAGTTACATAATGTTCATTATCTCATTAAATCCTCCTCCCCTCTCCTCTCCAGTTTTAGAGTAGAAAAACACTCTCACATGTTTAAATGTACCATTTAAATTCTATTGTGCTTCTAAATACATTGAATCTAAAATTAAAGTTTTTATTCTGTCCAGCTTTCAGCTATGTATATAATGTGCTAGCTGTTTTCTCTCATTGCATCTGATTCCATTTGTTCACATGTAACTTGCTTCTATCTAATTTTTGCTTGTGAATTTGAAAGATTTGCCTCTGGACATCTGTGTTAGGAACTGAGGTTATATATCATAGGAAAATATTATTTACATATTTCTTATAGATTATGTAGTTTACATTAGATACATCACCTGAGGCCAGGTTTGTGTCCTTCCCTTCCATGCAGCGAGTCCTCCAGGCCCCAGGTAGGTCTAGAGGTGTTGTCTGGTACCCAGGGACTGGAGTCAAAAACCTTAGATGTCTACCTGGTGTTCTATTATACTGCAACTGAGCTGGCCCTCAAGCCACAAGACACAGCCCTTCCCACTCTTCCCTCTTCTTTCCACAGGCAGAGGAGAATGACCCTGTGGCCACCACCATCACAGGCCTATGGTGAGTAACTGCCACACTCCCACCTGTGTGTACTTAAGGCCCACAGGCTCTTCAGTCAGCTTGTGGTGAATGCTGCTATGCCTGGGAATCACCTTTCATGGACATGGGCTCCCCTCTGGCCCAGAGAAGCTCCAGAAATGCCATAAAAGAGCCATGGGCTAGAATAGGGAACCTCAAGAGCCCCCTTGATGCACTATGCCCATTTGACTGTGCTGGTACTTAAGGTACAAGACAAAGTCCCCTTGACCTTTCTCTTTGCTTCTCTCAAGCAGAAGGAGTCTGTCACTGTAGTCACCACAGCTGGGAATGTGCTAGGTCTCACCTGAAGCTAGTATGTCTCGAGTCTCACCCAAGGCATATGGCATACTATTTGGGTGTTGCTTCTCATTATTCAGGGCCCAAGGGCTCTTTAGTCAATAGGTGATGGGTCTTGCCAGGACTGGTTCTTTCCTTCAAGGCAGCAGGTTCCCTTCTAGCCCAGGGTGTGTCTAGAAATGTCATCTGGGAGCTAGGGCCTGGAATGGTGCCTCATGACGGACCAATATTCTTTCTTACTGTAATGAGCTGGGATCTAAGATGCAAGACAAACATCATCTTTACTCTTCCCTTTCTTTTATTCAAGCAGAAGTAAAGGATCTCTTTTGGAGCCACGAGCTGTGCTGCTGGGGTTAGGGGAGGTGTGGGCAAGGACTCTCTTAGCTGCCCCAGCTGTTGTTTCAGTAAGTCATGTGTTCCCAAGTCCATTGGCTCCAAGCCCAGCTCAGCACCAGGACTTGCTGTCCTTGTGGCCTAGACTGCCTGTCAAATTTATTTAGGACCCTAGAGTACTCCAGCTCATGGCGGCAAGGCTTGCCAGAACTCAAGCTCCATCTGCTGGAGTGGGCAAATTGCCCTCTGGCTGGACCTTGTCTAAAGGCTCCCTCTGTGGGTCTGTGTCAGCTGAGTTCAGCACAGTTTTGCTTTCCACTGTGATAGGGCAGCACTGAGTTCAATGCAAAGTCTCACGATTGCTGCACTTTCCCTCTCCCAAACACACATTTCTCTGTGCCATGTGGCTGCTGTAGTGGGGATGAGGGAGAGTTGGCATCAACAATTCACGGCTCTCTTTCTGACTCTCTTTAGTGCCTCTTTCAATGATACGGAGATAAAACCAGGTATTGTGAGTGCTCATATTATTTTTGGTTCTTATGAAGGTGCTGTGTTTGTGTAGACAGTTGGTACATTTGGTGTTCCTGTGGGAGGACAATTGATGGAGCTTTCTATTCCACCATTTTGCTCCAGCCACTTCCAAATGCTTTTTCTTTTTCTTATCTATTTATTTTTGAGATGGAGTCTCACTCTGTCACGAGGCTGGAGTGCAGTGGTGCAATCTCCGCTCACTGCATCCTCCACCTCCCAGGTTCAAGCAATTCTCCTGCCTTAGCCTCCTGAGTAGCTGGGGTTACAGGTGCACACCACCACACCCAGCCAATTTTTGTATTTTTATTAGACATGGCGTTTCACCATGTTGGCCAGGATGGTCTCGATCTCTTGACATCGTGATCTGCCCACTTTGGCCTCCCAAAGTGCTGAGATGACAGGCGTGAACCACTGCACCCGGCCCCAAATGCTTTTTCTGAATCTATGGAGATTATATGTTTTTAGTATTTTTGTTAATGTGGTGTACTACATTTATTGATTTGCATATGTTGAATCATCCCTGCATCTCAAGGATAAATCTCTCTTGATCATGAGGTGTGATACTTTTAATGTGCTGTTGAATTCTGTTTGTGAGTATTTAAGTTTGTTGAGAATTTTTGCATCTTTATTCATCAAGAATATTGACCTGTAATTTTCTTATCTTATAAAGTCTTTGGCTTTGATATCACAGAAATACTAGCCTCATTTAATGAGTTTGGAAATGTGGTTTTTCTTCAATAATTTGGAAGAGTATATAAAGAACTGGTATTTTAAAAAAATGTTTGGTGGCATTTATTAACAAAGCCATCTCTTCCTGAGCTTCTTTGCTGAGAGGTTTTTAATCAGTTTTTTATTGCTGATTCAATCTTCTTATTCATTATTGGTCTGTTTAAATTTTCGGTTTCTTCATGATTCAGTCATAGGAGGGTGTACATTTCCAGAAATTTATCATTTCTTCTTGGCCTTCCAATTTATTGTCAAATAATTGTTTATAGTAATCCCTTATGATCATTTGTATTTTTATGGCATGAGTTGTATTGTTTCTTCTTTCATTTCTGATTTTATTTATTTGAGTCTTCTCTATTTTTTCTTGGTTAGTCTAGCTAAGATTTGCCAACATTATTTTACATTTCATCGATTATTTCTATTGTTTTCCTATTCTGTATTTGATTTATTTAATTTCTGTTCTAATCTCTGTTATTTAATTCCTTTGGTAAATTTGGGCTTAATTTGTTCCTTTTTACTTCCTTGAAGTTTAAAGTAAGGTGGGTTTGTTTTTGGACATTTTTCTTATGTTTAGAGTAGATGTTTATTGCTATACTGCCTCAATACCACTTTAGCTGCATCCATAAGTTTTGTTATTTTGCGTTTTTGGTCTTTTTTTATATGTAGATACATTCTAATTTCCCTCGATATCTTTTTGACATAATGGTTTTTCAAGAGTGTATTGATTTCCACATATTTGTGAATTTTCTAGTTTTGCTTGTTATTGATTTTAGTTTTATATCATTATAGATAGAAAAGATACTTTTCCTACTTACATAATTTCTATATTCTTAAATTTACTTGTGCTTGTTATGTGGCCTAACAGATGACCTATCCTTAAAAATGTTATATAGTCACTTGAGAAGAATGTGTATTCTGCTGTCACTGGATAGTTCTGTACATGTCTATGAGGTCCTTTTGTTTTATAGGATGTTTAAGATTGCTGTTTCCCTACTGGTTTTCTGCTAGAGAGTCATTCCCATTATTGAAAGTGGCGTAATGTTGTGTCTCATTGTTATTTTATTGCTGTCTATTTCTCCCTTCAAATCTGTCAATGTTTGCCTTATATATAGTTAGGTACTCTGATCTTGGGTGCCTATACATTTATAGTTGTTCTAACATCCTGATAATTGACCTTTTTATCATTATATAATGACCTTTTTTATTTCATGTGACAGTTTTTAACCTAAAGTCTATTTGGTCTGGTATAAATTTAGCCACTCCTGCTGTCTTTTCGTTATGATTTGCATGGAATATTTTTTTCCCTCCCTTCACTTTCAGCCTTTGGGCATCCTTGAATCTATAGTCTCTTGTTGACAGCCTATAGTTTGATTTTATTTTTTAATGCATTTGGACGTTCTTTGTCTTTTGACTGGGGAATTTTTAATCCATTTACAGTCAGCTGGATGTAGGTTCCACATCCACAGAGTCAACCAACCATGCATAAAAAAAATCACACACCCCCATAAAAATAACAATGATAAAAAATGGAATAATAAAAGTAATGCAAACTAGATGGTGTAACAAGTATTTATATACTGTTTACATTCTATTAGATATGATAAGTAATCTAGAGATGGTTTAAAGTATAGGGGATGGTGTGCATGGGTTATATGCAAATACTATATCACTTAATATAAAGAACTTTAGCATCCATAAATTTTGGTATCCACAGGCGATCTTGAAACCCATCTTTCATGGATACTGTGGGACAACTGTATTTACAAAGTTGTATTAATAAGTAAGGACTTGCTATGGCACTTCATTTTATTTTTTCTGTCTGTGTTATAATTCTTCTTTCTTTTTTCTCTTGCTGTTTTCTTTTGTGTTCATTGATATTTTTGTATTGATATGTATTTATTTCCTTTTCTTTTTCTTTTGTATATTTTCTGTAGTATTTTATTTTTTTGGTTACCTTGGGGCTTATGTAAAACATCATATATATGGAGGCAAAGTTTATTCTAAGCTAATAACAACTCATCTTTAATCACATAAAAAATTCTGCACTTCTCCCACTTTGTTATTGATGTCACAATTACATCTTTTATATGTGTATATCTACTATTATACTTCTGTAGTTATAGTAATTTCTACTTTGTTGTCTTTTGACTTTCATATTAGAAAAAGGTGCACCACCATTACAATGTTGCACAATTTTGTATTTGTTTAAAAAATTAGCTTTTCCAGTAAGTTTTATATTTTAATATGCTTAGTTATGCTTAGTTTTGCTATTTAGTATTATTTTGTTTGAGTTAAAGAGCTCACCTGTCATTTATTTTATGACAAATCTAGTGGTGATGAAGTTGTCTCTCTCAGCTTTTGCTTGAGAAAGTCTTTATCTATTCTTCATTTTAAATTTTTTTCCAGAAATTGCATTCTTGGTTGAGAATTTCTCTCTTTCAGCATTGTCTTGCTTCTTCAAAATTCACTCTTTTTGACTTTTGACATATAATTATAATATGTCTTTGTGTGGACTTCCCTTGAATTTGTTTTATTTCAGTTCCATTTGGCCTCGTGTATCTGTATGTCCTTTTTCTTCTACAGATTTGGCAAGCTTTTAGCCAGCACCGTACTTTCCTTCTTATTTTTCTCTTCTCCATCTGGAACTTTTGTGATCAGTATATTATTTCACTTTATGATGTCCCTTAAGTCCGTAGGTTCATTGGCTCTTTTTTATTCTTTTTTCTTTTGCTCCTTTGTCTATATAATTTGAAATGACTGGTGTCTGGATTAGCTGATTCCTTCTTCTGTTTGATCAAGTCTACTTGTGAACACCCCCTAGTGATTTTTTTATTTCCGTCATAGAATTCTTAGCTCCAGAATTTCTAATTGTTTCTTCTTGTAAAATTTCTATATCTTTACTTCAATATTTTTATCTTGCTCATCTATCATTGTTGTGATTTCATTTAATTGTGTCTCAGTGTTCTCTTGTGGCATGCTGAATTATCATGGAGCCCCAGAGCTCTCCTTTCCTCATGTGTGCTTCTTCTTTCATATGTGATAACTATAATGAACTTTAACAAATCTCAAATTCGAGTACATTCCCAATCACCTTCTAAAAGTAACCTCCTAACCTCCACTGATTCCTCAGATGTGGTAGTTTGAAAGTTGTTCCCATAGATTTCAACTACAGGCCAACCAGAGGGGACCCATGGCCACTAGAATGGTCCAGTGACCTTTATACTTCAGTGTGTGTAAGAATCACCTGGGATCCTATTTAACATTCAAGTTTCTGAGCCTTCCCCTAGCCAGTAGATTTTATATACAAAATGTGAGGGAACCATTACCCTTTTCAAGTGATTAAAAAAAAATCAGAGGTGAAGCAATTAGATTTGGCTACATTTAATTTGATGTTTTATCTTTCAAGAGATTGGGATGGTTCTAGTGAAAATTATAGCTAATCTGAATACGGCTTCTAACTGTTACTGGGTGTTTATGTCATTTCTTTACTCTGATCAACAATATTGGGCAGGTGTAGTGGCTCACGCCCATAATCTCAGCACTTTGAGAAGCCAAGGCGGGAGGTTCACTTGAGCCCAGGAGTTTGAGACCAGCCTGGACAACCTGGGGAGACCTCCATCTCTGCAAAATAAAACAAACAAACAGACAGACATAAAAACACCTAGCTGGGCGTGTTGGTATACACCTTTGGTCCCAGCTACTTGGGAAGCTGAGGTAGGAGGATTGCTTGAGCCACAAGGTCAATGCTCCAGTGAGCCGTGATTGTGTCACTGCACTCTAGCCTGGAAAACAGAGCAAGACCCTGTCTCAAAAAACAAACAGCATACGTCTTATTGTTTTGTTCGCTTATTTCTGAAATAATCTCGTTAGTAAAGCACTATACTTGATAAACAGTCTGATTTAATGAATAAGGATTTAAACTTTAGATTTTGGAGAGACAAGATTAACTAACTGTTGATCACAAGGAGCACACTGTGCAACAAGCTACTCTGATAGGACAAAAGTCCTAGGAGGGCTATATAAGCAAAATCTCACTCAAGGACTGAACTTTAAGCCCTATTCACTTTTAGCTAATCAAGTGATGGGCAAGTTGACATCTATAGGGAAGAGAGAAGAGGATGTGTTTCTGAGCTTTCCTTCTTCAGTCAGGCAACTCTGTGATTCATTAATTTCCTCCCTTCCTCCTCCACACCCTGGCATGTTGGCCCATAGCCACAAGGTGGCAGGATAACCAGTAACATTTTATTCAAGCCAACTGAAGCCCTGCGGGGGCTTTGAAGTTCACACACACTGTCCACCTTCCACATACTGATGCTGGGAGCAATTTAGAGCAAACATCATCCAGAGTCATATTACTAGATGACTGGATTGCTTCTTTTGTCCCTCAATCCTGCTCTCCTTTCAGTGCTAACTCAAGGAAACACTAAGTTTACACTTTGCAGGAGCCCCTGGAATAGTTAAAGCTTTAAACCATTTCACATCCAACTCAATGATCTGTTACAAAAAATACCTGTTGGTTTTCTGTCACTTTAATGGATACCTAGCTTCCTTTTATAAATTGGCATTACAATAGTCTGGTATTAGTATTGATCTGGAATCTATGTGCTTCCAGATCAGTCCCATTCCTTTTACTTTTAGAATAAGACAAAATGTAGCTCAGACACCATTCTTCCATGAAACCACATCTCTCTAAGAAGATGCTGGAAAGTCAGTCTTTCTCAAAAAGTAGTTTTCCCCTCAAGTTTCAACACATTACTCCACTGTAAGTTTAGACAGTATAAATATGTATAAAATATATATATATAATATATATATATTTTAGTATAATATTATGCTTCAGCTTTTCCTGCATGTTTTTCTTTCTTTTCTCTTACACCCTTCTCTGTGATCTCATCTGACAATCACTACCATGGCAACCAAGCCTCTGTGACGTTCCAGCAAGCTCATTGTCTTCTCTTCACTAAACTTTAGTTAGTAGTTGGTCCCAGTCAGTAACGCTCTGGGAGGGCTCAGGCCACATCACGAAATGTGACAGGATAGCCTTGAACTCATCAATTGCTGGGTAAGAAAGAATTTTAATGCAATGGCAAACAACCAATCAAACAAGCAAACAAAAACAATAAACCCTTCCTTGAGGACCAAGAAGACATTGATTAGCTAACCTAAGAGCTCCAGGTGGAGACCTAGGTCCTGATTGGGTTTCTGAATTTGACCACTAGGCAGAAAACTAGCACCCAAAACCAGTTGGAATAAAATTACCCACCTACAGTGGAGCCAAGGCCCCCAGATCCTTTTTGTCAGGTAAGAATAGGTTGAAATAACCTGGCTGGTTGTGGGACAGGCCCCCTCTGTGAGTGGTGCAGTTAAGGACACCCAGACTGCCCTTTCACTCTGCTTTCCCTGGGGTAATGTGTATGGCTCCTAGTCTTTCACGTTCTCTTCTGTAATTCGGGAGGAGGAAGAGAAGATACTCACTGCACATATTGTGTCAGTTAATACTAATCTGAGAGCAATAATTTACGATCTTTTGAGGTGAGGTTTGATTTTTACCACTGTGCTGTTCCTGTCTCCTAATATGTTGTATCAGATTGTAACTAAGTTGAGGTGAGAATTAATTGAGGACTATATATTTGAGCCTCCTTAGAATCTCACCCACCTTTGAGATAACTTCATGTTTTAGGTTTTCTCAAGTCAGAGTGTTGAGTCCTTAAATCAGTATATGCTGGGCAGTGAAAAAACACTGGTACACTTTGATTGCCTAAGCTTAGTGACCAGCAGGGGCGGTGGGAGGCAGGCCTTTTTAACACCTGTCTTTGCTGAGTTTCATGCTGAAAAAGCCTTGAGGCTCAGACTCAGCCCACAGGTCTCTGCACTCCCTCCATCTCCCTTCTGCCCTTTCCATGCATAGCCTTCACAGCAGTTTTTTGTGAATTATTTATTTTTTTGAGCTCTCTCTTAAGGATAATTTTTCTTAAGAAATATTTACTCTCAATATTATAAAGGTGTAGAAGTTTATTGTAGAGAAATGTGGGAAAACATATTGGCAAAAAGAATATAAGGATAAAACCATTTAAGGTTTCCCCTTCCATCTATACTTATATTTATAGTTGGGCTCTAATGGCGTTTAAATGCAAAATGTAATATACATGTTTATTTATATTTTTAAAATAATAATTGATTAGTTAATTCAACAATAATAATTGTTAACATTCCAGACACTACTATAAATACTCATGAATACAGCAGTGAACAAAATGGATAAAAATTCCTGACTTGTGGAAGTTATATTGTAATGGGGGAAGACGGGGTAAATAAACTATGTGGCATGCTTGGGGGGCGATGAGTAAAGATGGAGAAAAATTAGAAGGTTCAGGTCAATAGGAAGTGTGTGTTGGAGGTGACAGGTGGCAGGTGTACATTTTTCCCTCAGCTTAATTAAGGTTTAATTTGAAAACATTGTATATATTTATGGTATACAAGGTGATATTTTGATATATGTGTACATTGCAAAATGATTAAATCAAACTGATTAACATATCTGTCACCTCACATGCTTGCCATTTTATTGTTGTGAGAACATTTAAGATCAACTCTCTTAGCAATTTTCAAGTATTCTTTTGGCCCTTAGTATCTGTGGTTCTGCATCTGCAGATTCAATCACAGATGGAAAATATTTAGAAAAAAATAAAAATAACAATATGACAAAAAATAATTCAAATATATAGTGTAACAACTATTTACATAGCATTTACATTGTCTTAGCTACTATAAGAAATGTAGACATTATTTAAACTACATGGAAGGATGTGTGTAAGTTATATGCAAATACTGCACCATTTTATATGAGGCGGTTGAGCATCTGCTGATTTTGTTGTCTCCAGGGTGAGCTGGAACTAGTCTCCCCTAGATATAAAGAGACAACTGAACAATATGTTATTATTAATTACAGTCACCATGCTATACAGTACATCTCCAGATCTTATTGATCTTGTTTAGCTGAGACTTTGAACTCTTTAACCAATATCTCCCCATCCCCACTGGGTGTAATTTTCAATAGCTAGTCAGGGAAGGCCTCACTGAGAAGGTGATATTTGAGAAAAGACTTGAAGGAAGTGTTGGGGCAAGAAATATAAATATCTAGCAAAAGAGCATTACAGGCAGAGGAGATGGTATGTGTAGGCGCCACAAGGCAGGGGGATGGCTGGCATGCTTAACACACAGCAAGAAAGCCTCATCTCTTCTTCATGCCTGCCTCACATTGAATATATTTAAATATGGTTCCCTCCCCATCATAACCCTGCAATGGCCATTGCAGAAATCACCAATAACATTCATGTGTCTAAGTCTTATGGACATTTTTTTTTCAAGATGTATCTCTTCTCAGCAGAATTCAGCACTGCTGTTCCAACACATTTTTTCCTTTGGCTTCAGTGTCAACTCTATTCTACTTTGCCTCCTGATTGCCCAGAAAACTCCCACATTTCTGGCTACAACTCCTCTATTTGATTTGTGGGCTTCTTTTCCTTTATTTGGCCATTAAATTCTGAAGCTCTGTGAGGCTGAGTTCCAGGCCTTCACATCTTTCAATGCTATACTATTGTCTAGGTCATTTTCTTCTCCAAAGCTTTGGTTATTACTTATTTGCCAATGAGTATATCAAATTGTTAATACAAATTGCATCCTCAGAGTTCCAGATGACAACTGCTACATGGTATTAATATTTGACTGCTGGATGATAGTTTTACTTGAATGTTTCAGGGGCACCTCAAACTCAACTCCAAAATTGATCTAATGAACTTTGCCAAACCACATTCCCTTCTTGCATTTCTGAGAGAATGGATTCCCATTCATCTGACTACAGTGCTACCCTGAAAGCAGATCCAGAGACTAAGATTCACCTGCAGGTGATTCATTTGGTAGGTATCAGAATCTCTGGTAGGAGAACTGGGAAGTGGGGCAAAGACCCTTATCAAGAGTGAACTATGAAGCAGTTACCAGAATGGATAACTGTGGATTAAACTTGGAATAACTCTGAGATCCAGTGTAGATAACTCATCTCAGAAACATGCTGAGAGATAAAGGGTATTCGTACAACAGTTTCTGATAGTCATTAGTTATGGACTGTCTCCTAGCGGCATTGATTCCTCAGCATGCCCAACCTGCAGCA
Organism: Homo sapiens; assembly: GCF_000001405.40. Classification (NCBI taxonomy): domain Eukaryota; kingdom Metazoa; phylum Chordata; class Mammalia; order Primates; family Hominidae; genus Homo; species Homo sapiens. The sequence goes on from NW_021160017.1 coordinate 1,227,179, forward strand.
GGGACAGCAAAAGCGGCTTCTGTGATCAGAGAAAGCCCTCAGGTAAGGAAATGCAGGGGTGAATGCTGGAAGTCAGGCTGGCATGCACTGAAGTATTAGGGTGAGGCGCCATGGCAAGGTATCTGACCATCTTTCTAACCGTTCACCTCCATTTCCAATCTTTAAATACATTTTACTTCCCAAATATGTAATAATATGCATTTCCTTCAATTTCTACCACCACCTCTACTGACTGCCTCCATCTTTTTCAAATATACTTGCCTCATTCAGCACATTCACATTGTGCAACCACCACCTCTTTTGAGCTCCAAAACACTGCCATCACCCCATAGAAAACCCCAGTCCTCTTCCCCTCCATCCATGGCCGCCACCTGGAGTGTGTTTGGCCCATGGAGGACACTGCACATTGTTGGTGGGCATGATTAAATAGTTGCTGCTTTTCTGCAGTTATCACTGTATTTTGAGTGAAAGTTTCATAATTTTCAGTGTTTTATCTGGGTTGATAGGATCCAATTTTAGTTCTTGAGTTTCTTTTTTGAGCAACTATAACAATTTTCAGGATTAACATGTCATGACATTTATTCTTTACTAGAGGTCTTCCAAAGAACAAAGATAAATTTACTTATTTTAAAAACAGAATAAAATTCATCCTGTCTTGCAAAAATACACAAAAATACAAAAACAAATATACTTGCCTCATAATTAGTTTCACATTTACCCTTGTCCTTCTCTAAACTCTTCACTACCGTGGCCACAGTTACTGTTTCAAAAAGGGAGATGAAATCATGTCATATTCTATTCTCTGTGCCTGAAATCCACTTTTCACCCTCATCTCCCTTTATTTAAAGTATGTTATTCATTTTTCTAGGGTCTCAACTCAAGCATTCCTTTCTCAAGAAGCCTTTTATGGTATGAAGAGTGAGACAGAGTTCCCTGCGCCACCTCCATTGAATCATGTTAGGCCTTAATGTACCTTTCCTTTATAACACTTACTGAATGATTAATTTGGCATTTATTTACCTGGCTATTTTATTCAGTGTTTAGGATTTATACTAGATTGTAAGCTCCTCAAGAGTGTTCCAGGTCTAGTTTAGGTCACCATGTATCCCTGATTAGTACCACACATCCCAGTGCACCATGGTTCTCAACAAATAACATGTTATATAAATCAATAAATGACAGGAACAAAGATGTTTTTCAATTTGTATTACAATGTTTTCTACTATCTGGCAGAATCTTAGTAGGATTTAATAGAAATCAGGCAATGTCTACTCCTTAACCTGACTTTGAGAGAGAAACACTGATTTTTAAGAATCACTCCCAATTCTGACTTTTTCTCATCATTATGTGGGTGAGGTAGAGATATTTCTGAGGCTTTTTTGTTCAGGAACTTGTCTCCTTGGACATTTTAACTAGGTCATCACTAGATCATTGCTACATGAAGTATGGTCTATTGACCAGCAACATCAGTGTCAGCTGGAGACTTTTAGAAATGCAGAATCTCCATTCTGACTGGTGTGAGATGATAGCTCATTGTGGTTTTGATTTGCATTTCTCTAATGACCAGTGACGATGAGCTTTTTTTTCATGTTTGTTGGCTGCATAAATGTCTTCTTTAAGAAGTGTCCATTCGCATCCTTTGCCCATTTTTTGATGGGGTTGTTTGTTTTTTTCTTGTAAATCTGTTTAAGTTTTTTGTAGATTCTGGATATTAGTCCTTTGTCAGATGGATAGATTGCAAAAATTTTCTCCCATTCTGTAGGTTGCCTGTTCACTCTGATGATAGTTTCTTTTGCTGTGCAGAAGCTCTTTAGTTTAATAAGATCCCATTTGTCTATTTTGACTTCTGTTGCCACTGCTTTTGGTGTTTTAGTCATGAAGTCTTTGCCCATGCCAATGTCCTGAATGGCATCGCCTAGGTTTTCTTTTAGGGTTTGTATGGGCTTAGGTCTTACACTTAAGTTTTTAATCTATCTTGAGTTAATTTTTGTGTAAGATGTAAGGAAGGGATCCAGTTTCAGCTTTCTGCATATGTGATCACTAAAAAGTCAGAAAACAACAGATGCTGGAGAGGATGTGGAGAAATAGGAATGCTTTTACACTGTTGGTGGGAGTGTAAATTAGTTCCACCATTGTGGAAGACAGTGTGGTGATTCCTCAAGGATCTAGAACTAGAAATACCATTTGACCCAGTGATCCCATTACTGGGTATACACCCAAAGGATTATACATCATTCTACTATAAAGACACATGCACAAGTATGTTTATTGCAGCACTGTTCAAAATAGCAAAGACTTGGAACTAAACCAAATGCCCATCAATGATAGACTGAATACAGAAAATGTGGCACATATACACCATGGAATACTATGCAGCCATAAAAAAGGATGAGTTCATGTCCTTTTCAGGGACATAGATGAGGCTGGAAACCATCATTCTCAGCAAACTAACACAAGAACAAAAAACCAAACACCGCATGTTGGCTCACTCATCAGTGGGAGTTGAACAATGAGAACACATGGACACATGGAGGGCAACATTGCACACTGGGGGCTTTTCAGGGGTGGGGGGCTAGGGGAGGGATAGCATTGGGAGAAATACCTAATGTAGATGATTGGTTGATGGGTGCAGCAAATCACCATGGCACGTGTATACCTATGTAACAAACCTGCACGTTCTGCACATGTATCCCAGAACCTAAAGTATATATATCTATAAAAAGAAATGCAGAATCTCATGCCCCTCTGACTCAATAAGCATTTAAAAAAGTCTGTCAGTATTTTGCATCACTTTGTTCCTCCAAGCCTTGGCCCAACACCTAGCACATAAGATGAAGTTTTGGGTGATGAATGAATATGCTAAAAAATAAGAGTGAAGGAATATATGAAAGGAGGGAAAGAACACCATGGGAAAGTGAAAATATATCATACTATGATATTTGAGTATTAGATCCTGACAATTTAGTTTCAACACTTTTGGTTTTGTATGATATGAGGAAATAGTGTTCACTTTGTCGGTATTAAGCTCATAGGTGTTAAAGCAAACTAAATATGGCCTGAGAAGGACTTGTACTTCCATATTTGAATCCTTGTGGATGAACTGTAACCTAGCTTAATAGGCAGACAAAATTGAAAACCTAACTTACGAGTATGCACCTGCAACAAATAGCTAAGTCTTAGCCAATCTCAGTGGCCATACTTCAATCATTAATACACTGATGAGGCAAATGCCAATCTGTAACCAATGCAGCTGTTCCTGTAACTCACTGCTGATTTCTGTATGTCATTTCCCTTTTGTTTGTCTATAAATTTACCACCACATGGCTGTGCTGGAGCCTCTGTGAATCTGCTGTGATTCTGGGGGCTGCCTGATTTGTGAATCATTCATTGCTCAATTCAACTCCTTTAAATTTAATTCAGCTGAAGTTTTTTCTTTTATCATATGTCTGGAAAAATCCTATAAGAGTAATGTAAACAGCATTTGCTTTCCAGGGTGGGATGCAGTTCCAGGAGAAAGGATACCATTCATTTCTTCTGAACGCCTTCAAGAGACATGTGAATGATAAATGTGCCTGATAACATCTCAGGCACGTTTGTGTTATGAGAGGAAACTAAGGAAAATCTGAAAGTTTCTTGGGTGTATAAATAGAGATGGCTGGAAGAAGATGGGGGAAAGTGAAAGCCATAACTGTTGAGAAAATTAAGCTTGTTGAAATATGCAAATTGGGTCTCGGCTCCATACACGGTGCTGATAGTTAGGACACTGAGACTGTCTCAAGAAGACAACCTTAAAGGCCTGAGAATCCAGTCTGTTTCCCTCTTCTAGGGCACCTCCTTCCCAGAAATGACACCATTAACACTTTTTAGCACTTATGTAAAGGTCTGGATCATTTGAAGTTACATGCCACTGTAGGACATTTTCTCTCTGAGTTGTTGGTAGACATTTAAACTGTAGAGAAAATTTTGCACAATTTAAGTAACTATTTAGAAAATGAAACAAAAAATGGACAAATATGAAAAATATAGAAAAATTATTAATGGCACAGTTCATTTACATCAAATTGTTACTAATACTTTGCTGCATTACTCCTATTTTTTCTACTTCGAATCATATTATGACTAATTTTGAATTCTACTTTTTATTCTATTTTTATCACTTTAATAGCCTATCTTAAGTCTTTACCCATATTTTGGGATAATCTTTAAAAATATTTACTTTAATACGGGGAAGCATTCTATCATGTACACATACTACAGTTCTTAACGATAATCTACTGGTGGATGTTTCATTTATTTACATATTCCATTCATTCTCCAGGGCTTATTTTTCAATGAGGAAGCTTGAAGAATTGAGATAGATAAGAGGAAATGTAAACGTACAAAGTAGAGTATGTCTGAGGGAGGAGTACGAAACCAAGAAGCTGAAACTCTTGTCACACTTTATTTATGTGATGATTTTAGAGCATTGGTCCTATTGGAAGGACACTGGCAGGGTCCCTAAAACAGCACATGCTGCACTGAAGAGAACCTTGTTTCTTAAATGAGCTCTAGGCAACAAGTACATTTCCTTAGAACATTTATAGAAAATATGAGATACAACGAATGTCTTCGTGTACCTATGTATTGTTTTTATCTTTAACGATTAGGTATGCCTATCACGCAATGTTTTTTACAGATTTTGCTGTCAAAGGCTCCTCAGTGGCTGCTTCAGCCAGCAGCTAGGACTTCAGGTCAAAGTCCTGTTATGCTGATGCAGCTTCATTTCCTGAAGCAAGATCACTCCCACTTCACTCTGATGGGAGAGTCTTCTTTCTTTACAACTATTAAGCTAAGATTTTTGAGTTAACATTTTAAAAATATATTTTTCCTTTTATTTTTAGTTGACATGTAATAATTATATTTATGAGATATAGAGTACTAGTCCAATACACATAGACAATATGGGGTGATCAAATCAAGGTAATTAGCACATCGCCTCATGCATTTAGCACTTCTTTGTCTTGTGAACATTCAAAATCCTCTCTTCTAGCTTTGTAAAAATACACAATAAATTATAGTTAACTATATTCACCTTACAGTACTACAGAAACATTTAAAACATTATTTCTTGAGATCTTGGTTCTTTAGGTGACTGTTGTGGTGGTGATTAATCAGTATCATGAAAATACTTCTGTTGTCTATCATGGTATTTCAGAAGACTACAGTTATAGAGCTGGGTGCATACAATTACCAACCACAATGATATGCATTTACATATTTCACCTTTTGACCTATTTCGTCATGAATATAGTTCATCTGTTTATAACTCTTATACTTGTGTGACTGTTGATAGAAGGCCTGAATGTTTATGCTTGCAAAAATGTATGTTATCGCTTATTTTATTGTGTAAGGTGATCTTTGAAGTGTTCTGCTGTGTTTTTATTTTTGTGTTTTTATATGTTACTCAAATAAATACCTTTTAAAAATGTAAATAAATATATCTTAAAGAATTTTTAAAACTATTTTTTCCAGAATTAAATTTTCAGGATTTCAGTCTTTTGGGATGGCGATTTTTGGAATTTTAGACTTTAAGGATTTTGTTCTTTTGATTTTCAACATTCGATTATGGTGTTTGGAACTGTGTCTTTCAAGATTGTGATTGATTCCAAATGCAACACAGGGTTAAAGGAAAGTGGAAAAGACATGAAAAAAATCTGAGCTGTGCCTTATCTGAAGCTGTTGTGTGAGAATTATAGAAACATGTAGAGAGTAGACATCTAAAGTTAGGTTTCTGTCTGCTGGAATACATGAGTCAACCTCATCTTCCTTGGTCTCCCATTTGAGAAAGTGTTCAGCAAAGAGGAACACAGTGGCGCTCACATCCAAAATTTCTTAGAAGGCCTTTAAAAGGGTCAGTGTTGGAAGGTAACATTATCAAGTATAGCAGTTATTTGGAGCCCACCCAATAACCATATTGTGGTTACAAGCAGATGTAAAGGGCACTGCAGTCTTTCCTGATTTAGGAAGCAACGATTACACCTGACTCTTTAGGAGAGTATGTAGCAGACACATTTTGAGCCATGGCTATCATACCCTGGACAGCTCCTCTTGGAGGAGTGGTGACTAAGAGCACGCTGTGTGTACACTCAGTCTTCACTGCTGACCTCCAGTCTCCACCTGCTTCATTTTTAAATAAATGTGCCAAGGTTTATTTTTGACCCTTCTGGATCATCCAACATTTCCAAGTGGACTCATCTAGGGATAACAGTGAGAAAGTTTTGGGAAGATCTCAAAAAGTGTTTCTTAACTGAGATCTTAATTGGTTCAGCCTTTAGGGAAAAAGGGAAAGATGATGAGGCCTGGGTCTAATCTGAATAATCAGTTGACCTTAAGCCTGAATCAGAATATCAAATATAATTGGAAGCCTTGATATATGTTTTTATACTAACATAGCTATGTTTTCCCACAAAATAGATGATACTGGATTTAGGACTGAAAATGTAAGAACAAGGGGTTCTATGAAGTCCAAGGATATAAAGACAGAAGTCAGTTATGGCAAAGAATTTACAAAATGCTTCAAAGGCTTATCTATCTCTTCCCTTCTTTCTACAATTCTGCACATGTGCCAGCCCCAAGGGTTCTGTACTTACGTTGAGATTTTTGGATCAATATCTGTTTTAGTGGTACTTAACTTTAAACTATTTGCCCACTTGTTTCATGAATTTGTCATTTTAGTTTCACTTAAGAAGTACATTGTCAAACTATAGTGAATTTGGCGAAGAACAACTAGAGGGGACTTAGAAGTACGGAAAATGAGTAACAGTAGAAGGAATTGGGATATTTAAATTGGAGAACAAAAAGTTTTATTGAAACAAATGAAAGGTAATTATTTAATAAAGCAAATGAATTTGTCCCATTTAATCTCTAAAGTACAGAATTACTATAATTCTATAGGGTGACACATTTTAATTCATCATGGAGACTTACTTTTTAACAGAGAAATATATGCAATGATGGAACGAGCTGAAGAACAATACTTTCTATCAGTTGCTTTTGTCAGATATAGGTTGGGAAAGTGGGAGAGGGTATCTAAGCATCAGATGCAAATTTCTTTCAATCTTGAAATTCCATGATACGATCTAAGATATTTCAAGAAAAAAACCATTCAGGTTGATTTCAACAACATAAAAAACTGTAATGGAAAATATTAAGGCTAATTAGAACGTGAAGTTTTATTAACATTGATAACAATAATAATATTTTCTAAGGAACACTAGTTGACAGCAGACAAAGGGAGGGGGGATGAAATACTGGACTTGTGGTCAGCAAAGTCCCAGGGTTATGCCACAGGACTACAAGTACTCCAACTCTATTAAGGAAGAAATTGCTAATTTTTTTTTTTCCCCTGAAGCAATGTGTGTGGAAGTCTTTCACTTTCTGAGCCAAAACTTGAGGAGCTGACCCTGAGGTGGCAGTTTTCCTGGGGGAGCTGCTTAGATAGCTTTTCATGCAGGGATAGTCCCTCAATGCATTACCTTTCAGAGGCTATGGCATCAGGCCTCTATCCAGAAGGGGAGGAGGACTAGAGAGCGCTCAGGGGAGAGGGCGATAAGAGAGAGATTTGCTTGTCTAGGTGATGTTGCTGAGTAGCCCAGTGTGGACTCTGTGTCAGAGAGCTCCAAAGTACAGCAGCAACTTGGGGTCTTTACAGCCCCAGAATTTATCTTATCTATGGCATTTGAGTTAACAGGATTCAGCTTACTGTAAAGAAGTAAACACCCTAGGGGGCTATATAAAGAAGCCCTCTTTGGCCCATTTGTCTAACAGATGGTCTCTGAAATTGTTTGCAGTGACTTTTTACCTTTTTTTTTTTTTGCTGTGTTTTTCCAGATTTAGACATTTATACTTTCTCTCAAGCTCATGTCATGCCAACAAAAAGTAGAGAATTAAACTAATTAGTCTACACTAAGGTTTCCATTTACAAAAGAGAATTTATTTTAATATTATGAAAACAACATGTGCTTATTTTAGAAAAAAATAATAACACAGGAAAGTATAGGAAGTTTAAATCATCCACAATACCATTTCTAAGACCATTTCTAGCCTCCTCTGTTTCTCTGTATTTCGTATATTAGATATCTATGTAATTATTTTCAAAATTGGAATCGTAGTGCATGCAGTTTTGTTAATACTTTTGTTTAATATATCATGTGTCTTTCCCCATAGCACTATGTGTTCTTTGAAACATGATTCTTAATGAGAACATTATAGTCCATTTTTATCAATGTACTTTATCCTTCTGTTTGGGGGCACTTATAATTTTATGCAAAATCTCTGTAAATTTGTGAAAATATTCTCAGAAATAGATAACGTGTGTGTATTTTTAAGATGTTTACCTCGTTTTTGCCCATTTAACTCCGTAGCAAGGTAAGCTGTCATCAGTTGGAGGTAAGCGGAAGACAGTAGAGAGTACAGAGCCCTGGACTGTGACTCAGAGGATGAGCACCAGATCCAGTTTGCTGTGCCACAGTGGTAAGTCACCTAATCTTTATGTGCTTGGATTCCTCATATGTAATACAGGATCACAACTATTGTTCTCACTCATGCAATACTACTATTGTGAGAACCTCATGAATTAGAGAAACTCTGAATTTGCAATTTAGCTTTAGAACACTGACAAGTAGCTCATTGATTCTTGCCTCATTCCTCTGGAATAAAGTAGCTTTTTATCAAACAAGTGAACACATTGCTTTCAGTGGAGGCAGAAGGAATTCATTTTGAAAAATGCACATAGCATTCTCCAACCCATTTTTGCATATTCTTTTTTAAGGGAATGCCTTGTGTGAGAGGACTAGCAGGGTATCAGAACTGTTTTTTGAAAGAACTTTGTTTGCAGGTGCTTTCAAATATGTTGTCTTCAACTATCATTTTCAGTGTAAAAAGCGGGCTTGGAGTAAGCACTGCCTGCAGACCACTTTTGTGAGCCCTCCCTTCAGTGATGTGATGGCAATCCAGGCCCCTGCTGGGAGAGATTTCTGCCTGGTTAAACCTCTCACAGCTTCTAATCCTCTCTTTCTCATCTGGCTTTCCTTAGCCTTCTCCAAAGTCACTCACAGAAGGCATCCCACTCAACCTCACCTTGGGGTAAATCAAAATAGTCCTCCTTCTGAAGCTACCGGGTAAAGCGGTGGTAGCTGTGCAGCTGCTGCTGATCAACAGGCTCCAGAAACAGCAGCAGGAGGTGAGCAGTCCCTGCGTTGGCCACCAAGTGGTAGGTGGCCAGCCCTACCTCCAAGTTGCACTGTTTACTTATTCATCTTTCATGGTAAAGCCTCCAGTTGCCTATTATGAAATCAGCAATAATCATGTGTCCCCTATCTGGGTCCCTGAAAAGATGGAAAGAGGCAGATCAGGCTGGTGCTCCGAGAATGACAGACATCAAACAAGAATGAAAAGTGTCACCCTCCTTGGACTTATTCAGTAACTCATGCCCTTGAGCAAAGGAGGATTTTCTATCAAAGGACATGGATTTCTGTGTCTTTCTCTTGAGATAACATTGCTGGGTGACCACAGAAAGCTGGCTCTGGAAGCACAGAAGCTGCCTTTCCTTGAGTAATAATGTCTCTTCAAAGGGAGCTGGAGCATGAGTAGTGTACATGCCTCAGATTTCAGTGAAAAGTTCAGAGGAGGCCTGAGAAGGTCCTGGGAATGAATCATCTAGATGACTCAACCTTGCAAAGCCATCCACCTCATTGTGGATATCATTCAATACATTTGGTGCTCCATCATCCTATTTCCATGGCTATTTCCTCACATTTTTCAAAGTCTGTTTCTTGAGCCCTGACTGTGTCAAATAGCATGCCCTGTTATTCTTGGGCTTCCCTCTCTATTCTAGCATTCAGGGAGATTTCAGAGGCTGGGGTAAATCTCAGACCAAGAAGACGCAATGGTTTTGAGGTAGAGATCCTAGGAATATAGAATTCTGAGCTATGCAGTGGTCCTTTGCTTTCAGGAAATCAAGTTTGATAGTATCACCTGAAGCATACTTACATTATCCACAAATGACAGCTCCTTACTTGAGCAGTTAAATTGTGGCAAGTCTTAACACACAGATTCCTCTTAAATGCCATCTAATCCCTGCCTGGCTTCAAGCCTCTGGCTTCCCTTGGAGAGGGGCAGAGTCTCTCTGTGTGAGAGATTCTTCATTTCTGCTTTCTGCCCTGTCAGTTTCTACTTACTTGCTCTTCCACCTTGTCCACAAGGCTTATCTAGCGGCTGTTTACCTCTGAGCAGAGAAAATGGAAGTCAGCAGAGACAAGGTTGAAATTTCTCAGGAAGGATTTTTTTTTCCACTTTATCGTGCAGCAAGAGTAAAGCCTTTTTTTCGGTGATTCTTTCCTCCACAATGGCCATTGGCTGCCCTCTGTCACACACAGGTGTGACTCCCTTGTTATTAACTGTCAGGTGGGAATTTCTAGGGAAGAAGGAGAGTGCTTTGTTAACCTCTTAACATCTCCCCAAATTGCATCATATTCTCTCCCTTTCCCCTCCCAGCTACCTTTTCTATTTTTGATTTCCTCTTTTTCAGTCTGATTTGGGGATTTCAGTTCCCACTAACTTTGTATAATATCCTCCTATCTCTGAAAGAACAAGTTCCATCTCCATTTTCCAGGAGAGTTTTTTTCCTTGCAGTAAGAGCACCCCATCATCTCTCCATTTCTACCTCCCCATCCCAGTGCTCCCTTTATGGCAGTACAATTGAAGAGGGACCCACAGTCTTGCTGAAGGAACATGACCTTCCTACTGAAGTTGGGATTACGGAATAGAGGGAGAAGAGGAAAGATGGATGTTTATCTGAATGGTCGGATCTTGTTTTCCAGAGGACACAGGCCAATGGGAAACTTTTGGGAAGGAAGTCAAAAAATCAAAGCCAGAACTGGGTTTTGGTAATTTAATCTCCCAAAGAGAGAAAAGTCCCCATACTCTAATTCATATTTTGTTTGACTTGACTGAAGCCCTTTTGAATATTTTTTCTGCTTCTGTTCTGTTCTTGCAATAACAATGACATAAGTTTGCCTTTGGAGACATTAAAATAGTTTTCTCATCTCTTGTTCCAAGCATTTATTTTATTTTATTTTTTTGGCGTATTTATTTATTTATTTATTATTACAGTACTTTTAAGTTTTAGGGTACATGTGCACAATGTGCAGGTTAGTTACATATCTATACATGTGCCATGCTGGTGCGCTGCACCCACTAACTCGTCATCTAGCATTAGGTATATCTCCCAATGCTATCCCTCCCCGCTCCCCCAACCCACAACAGTCCCCCGAGTGTGATGTTCCCCTTCCTGTGTCCATTTGTTCTCATTGTTCTCACCTATGAGTGAAAATATGTGGTGTTTGGTTTTTTGTTCTTGCAATAGTTTACTGAGAATGATGATTTCCAATTTCATCCATGTCCCTACAAAGGACATCAAGTCATCATTTTTTATGGCTGCATAGTATTCCATGGTGTATATGTGCCACATTTTCTTAATCCAGTCTATCATTGTTGGACATTTGGGTTGGTTCCAAGTCTTTGCTATTGTGAATAATGCCGCAATAAACATACGTGTGTGTGTGTCTTTATAGCAGCATGATTTATAGTCCTTTGGGTATATACCCGGTAATGGGATGGCGGGTCAAATGGTATTTCTAGTTCTAGATCCCTGAGGAATCGCCACACTGACTTCCACAATGGTTGAACTAGTTTACAGTCCCACCAACAGTGTAAAAGTGTTCCTATTTCTCCATATCCTCTCCAGCACCTGTTGTTTCCTGACTTTTTAATGATTGCCATTCTAACTGGTATGAGATGGTATCTCATTGTGGTTTTGATTTGCATTTCTCTGATGGCCAGTGATGGTGAGCATTTTTTCATGTGTTTTTTGGCTGCATAAATGTCTTCTTTTGAGAAGTGTCTATTCATGTCCTTCGCCCACTTTTTGATGGGGTTGTTAGTTTTTTTCTTGTAAATTTGTTTGAGTTCATTGTAGATTCTGGATATTAGCCCTTTGTCAGATGAGTAGGTTGTGAAAATTTTCTCCCATTTTGTATGTTGCCTGTTCACTCTGATGGTAGTTTCTTTTGCTGTGCAGAAGCTCTTTAGTTTAATTAGATCCCATTTGTCAATTTTGTCTTTTGTTGCCATTGCTTTTGGTGTTTTAGACATGAAGTCCTTGCCCATGCCTATGTCCTGAATGGTAATGCCTAGGTTTTCTTCTAGGGTTTTTATGGTTTTAGGTCTAACGTTTAAGTCTTTAATCCATCTTGAATTGATTTTTGTATAAGGTGTAAGGAAGGGATCCAGTTTCAGCTTTCTACATATGGCTAGCCAGTTTTCCCAGCACCATTCCAAGCATTTATTTTTCAAGCACCGTATGTGGGCCTTTTGTTCTGTGGAGAATAGGGGAAATAAATTTAAATTTATTTTTTTCCATAGACATTTGCAAGAGTTTTTGTAGTGTCTTTTTTTTTTTTTGGCTTATCAACATTTTTGTTTTTTAAAAACTTTTCTATCCACCAACTCTTTTCCTGTCTCTTTTGCAGTTCATTTGGGTATAAAGTTTTGCTTAAGAGGTGTATCAACCTCCTAGAGTGAGGCTTTTGAGAAGAGGGGCTACTTCTAAACTTCTATCACTTATGTCCATTTTCTTAATTTTATACCCAATACATGTGTGGCAAAGTTTGTTAGCTACATATTTAACACCCAATTTTATTATCTTCCTAACTAATACAACCTCAATTTTATTCAATTTGAGAATGTGCCCAGTTTAAAAAATTAGATGTTGCAGTCTCTTCTGTTTATGGTGATTATCATTTGACATGCTTATGTTCCGATATATAAACGGAATATAGTTTTGCCACTGTCTGACACTTCAGCAGCCATCTTCAGGTAATAAGGTGAACTTAAGGAAAGAAACACATACTACAAAAGATTTGTCAAAAAGGCAGGGAAGCCTAGGTCCCTGATGATATCTTGGCACTGCCCACCTCTGGACTGCAGTGGACTGATTATCTTTAGAAGCACGCATGAGAGAAGAAAACTAAACCTTTATGTTGCATAAATTACTGTAGCTTGAGTTTCTATTATATGCAGCTGAATCTAAGTCTACTATGTGCAGCAAATTTGAGTCCCTGGATAGATCTTGAGTTTCCAACACTTAAGTAAAATGTGGAGTAATTGAATTACTTAATAAAAAGTAATAATTATTTATTCCAACCATAGATACTTTGCTTCGTTGGCCATAGTTGAATTATTATCTTTTAAAAATGGTTCTGTTTTTATTAAGATGACTAGTAGTATATACTTTTGATAGATAAATGGCTTATGTTCTTTAAAAGAGATGAGTGCCCAGTTTGCTCATAATAAAAACTCAGAAGAGATAAACGTTTAAAATATGTTCTTATAATAAACACAGATAAATAAAAGGTAGGTATCCATGGTGTACATGTGCCACATTTTCTTAATCCAGTCTATCTTTATTGGCCATTTGGGTTGGTTCCAAGTCTTTGCTATTGTGAATAGTGCTGCAGTAAACATACATGTGCATGTGTCTTTATAGCAGCATGATTTATAATCCTTTGAGTATATACCCAGTAATGCGATGGCTGGGTCAAATGGTAATTCTAGTTCTAGATCCCTGAGGAATCGCCACACTGACTTCCACAATGATTCAACTAGTTTACAGTCCCACCAACAGTGTAAAAGTGTTCCCATTTCTCCACATCCTCTCCAGCACCTGTTGTTTCCTGACTTTTTAATGATCACCATTCTAACTGGTGTGAGATGGTATCTCATTGTGGTTTTGATTTGCATTTCTCTGATGGCCAGTGATGATGAGCATGTTTTCATGTTTCTTTTGGCTGCATAAATGTCTTCTTTTGAGAAGTGTCTGTTCATATCCTTTGCCCACTTTTTGATGGGGTTGTTAGTTTTTTTCTTGTAAATTTGTTTGAGTTCATGTGGCACATATACACCATGGAATACTATGCAGCCATAAAAAATGATGAGTTCATGTCCTTTGTAGAGACATGGATGAAGCTGGAAACCATCATTCTCAGCAAACTATCGCAAGGACAAAAAACCAAACACCGCATGTTCTCACTCATAGGTGGGAATTGAACAATGAGAACACATGGACACAGGAAGGGGAACATCACACACCGGGGCCTGTTGTGGGGTGGGGGGAGGGGGGAGGGATAGCATTAGGAGATATACCTAATGCTAAATGACAAGTTAATGGGTGCAGCACACCAACATGGCACATGTATACATATGGAACACACCTGCAGGTTGTGCACATGTACCCTAAAACAAAGTATAATAAAAAAAAGGTAGGTATCAAAAACATAACAATTCAAACCCTCTTTTAATTAAAGTTGGTTCTTGTATTAGTAGTAAGCAGGGAGCTTGGGGGGAGAGATGTGTACAAGTGTAGATGGGAGGTTCCCAGGTAAAGTTCTTGATTGGGAAGGTTCATTTGATTGTATGACATGTTCCTCCATTCTCTCTGTCTCTGTCTCTGTCTTTTGTTTTTGTTGTTGTTGTTGCTCTAAGCATCTAGAATGAAAACCACAAGGCCAGGGTTTGCTATCAAGGACCACTCTTTCCTTTGCAGAAAAAGCTGGTTCTGAGTGAAATAGAAGGACTAGGGTGCCAAATTAACTCCTCTCCACAAAGTGACCCCACATGGAAAAGTACTTGAGAAGCTCTGTAAAGACATGGTAAAAGCTTACCAAAGACAGTAGCATTATCCTTTCCCTTACACACAAAGTGGAGGGGAAGTGTGGGTAAGTGGTGTGTCTAAAAGCATTGCTTTAATTTATGCATCCATTTGTAAACACTAATTTTTTGTTAACTCCATGTTGTTTGTAAATTGAACAAAAAATGCATATTTGTCATGGAAAAATTAGGAAATAAAGATATTAGCATAAAAGAGGAAACAACGAATCTTAATTACCCATAATCCCATGACTTCATGTTTGTGTAAGATTATATAATACTATTGTTTCATGATCTGCCATTTTCACTCAGTGACATATTTTGCACATGAAATACGTTTTACATAAATATTTGTATAATTTGACTAGTTATTACCTTAAAACTACTGGAAAGAAATCCCTTAGTTCTTCTACTTCACTCATTTCTTCTCTACAGTATTCATTTCTGGGGTAAATCCAGCTCTTTGGCTTGCATGGCCATGTAGTTCTGAAGTTAGCTACACAGGACTTAGCCACATTTCCCAGAATAGGATGTATGGTACAGCAGAATTCTTACTGAACTTGAAGTCAGAAGAACTGGTTCCTTCACTTACTATGGGTGACCTTGGACAGTATACTTGATTTCTTTGAATCTCATCAGTGAAATGAGTATGGGAATGTCTACCTTAACTGTGTGATGACAGAATTTGTGAGGATGAACTGAACAACTATATAAAAGTGTTTGGGAAATGCTGAAGAGCCCTACAAATGAAAGACATTAATAATATTAACTGAAATAGATTCCATAAATACTATGTGTAAGATCCTACCTTGATTTACCGCATTTAATCATCAAATCCACTGTCTGACAAAAGTATTATCATTAGTTCTATTTTATAGTCTAAACAAATCTAGGCAGAAAGGTCAAATAATTTGCATAAGCTCACACAATCAGTGACTTAGATTTGATCCAATCTATTTCGTTCGATAGTGTTGGTCTTTTCCCCTAATAGTAGTAAAAACTGTGGGCTCCATTGTTAGCCTGCCTGAGATCAGATGCCATCTCCAACTAGGCAAGTTACCTTTTCTGCCTGTTTCACTCTTCAAAAATTAGAGATACAATAATACCAACCCAATTTCTTTGGGTTTCATAAGTAGGAAATAAAATAATACATAGAAAAGACTTGGAACATTGCCTGACACAAAATAGGTGTCTTAAAACGTTAATTATTATTATTTTCAATGTTGCCAAGACAGCGAACCCTGTGGTGGTGAATTTGCATGTGAAAACCTGTTAAACTGATACACACTCTTTCTTTTCTCCTAATATTGTCGCACTTGCACCTTATGTCCTAAGTTTTCTAGTAATCTTGAATGTACATAATGTTTAGTTGTGAAATAAATTTTGCTTTGTGAGGGAATTAGTTGTAATTGAGGGTAGAATCAAAGTTTGTTCAGCGAATTCCATCTATTCAGTTGTAAAGGCAGCGAATAAACACCATGACTTGTATTTGAAAGTAGAAAATACCGACTTTCAATTGTCATTTCCCCCGAGGAAATTCCATTAACCAGCACAATTGTTTTTAAATATCAACCTGAAATAACACTGTATTTTTACTGCTATTCTTTCTCCCTCCTTCTCTCTCTTTGGGATACAGTTTGGCTTTGAAAAAATATGGTATATATGCGGTGTTTGGTCAAATAATTTAGCACTATGGAAAAGGTTGTGAACCAGTCATAGTATTTGAGGTTGTAAGAAGAAACCTTTGAAAAGGTAGTGGCTGCACAAATGTATTAACTTAGTACCACAAAGTAGGGAGTTCTGAAACTGTGGTGGAAATATTGCCTGCCTTGACTACCTGTTCTTCCTGAGTCCATTTGCTGATCAGAACTCAGGTAACTTAAAAGTCATATACCCTGGAAAGGAGTATGGAAACAGGAAAGATCCTCAGCGGCTATACAAGTGAGAGATATGGCAGAGTTCTAATAAGATTGACTAAAAGCTTGATACTGTCTTACATCCAAGGAGCAAATAATTGTTCTACCTGGAATGTCCAGGCCCCAATTCACAAATGCATTCCTACCTTTTGAACTGAATAATGATCTCTTTCCCAATAAACTGTTATAAGACAAAAAATCTGAAAGGAAAATTGTTGCACATACATCATATTCTTATATTCTGTATTTTCTGGGACAGTCTGTTTCAGATTAGATGATGAGTCCTAATTCAGGTTTGCAAAATATTATCAAGGCAAATCTTTATGGAGATTTTATTGAGATATTATTTTATAACAAAAAATGGGATAACTGTAATGTTCATCAAAAAAATTGGTGGTAGAAGGAAGGAAGGTGTTGGAGTGTTCAGTAACCTTACCCCAGAATGCCACAGTACAAATTCTGTGAGAAGTCATTCTTGTGTAGTAGAGGCATTCATTTTTCTCCTAATATCCCTTCTGAAAATTCCCTTTTACTAGTCAGCTCTTAGCTTCTTGGAAAGAAGGCCCTTCGTCTAGGACAATGTTCATCTCCCCACATAAAAATTCACAATTCATGGCATGTTAGTTCAATAAAATATTATGCTTTCTAAGAATGATAATTATGAAAACTTGCTATAAATGGGAGCAAGTTCAACATTAAATCACATGAAACAGACATATTAACAAAAATAGATACATTAGAGCAATTGAACTATAAATGCTTTTTTCCTTTAAAAATTTTCCTTCATGTTATTTTCACATTCTTTTAGCAACAAATGACAATGAACTGCCATTGATTTTATTTTTTGAACTTAAGCAGTGTATCCACAAGTACACCATTGCCCTGTCCAATTTTTAGGGGGAGATATTCTATTATCTAAAACTCAATAAATTGACCCATCACGTTTTTGGTGATACCTTATTTAGGTAAAAATATTAGGCATTTAGAAGAATGCATTTGTGAATATTTTGACTGATATTACTATAGATGGAATTAGAATCTGCCCTTTAGGGGCTCAGAAGGAAGTAATGTTTGGATGTCATTAGGCTAGAATATTTTATTGTCCCACAAAAATGTTGATAAATTGCTTATAAGGGCTTATTTATTAGAAATGACCATGTCACCAAATAATAAAGCCAAATATGATAGGAATCACAATCAGAAAATATGTTTTTTCTTCTTTTATTTACAACCAACCAAACAAAATAACATAGCTGTAATTTTGTCAATGTCAGAACAATAAATTTAAGTCAAATAGAACTTAAAGAATTTTTATCACAGATGAATCAGATGGAAACTATCCAGAAAACACCCAAATATGTACATTCCTCAGTTAATACTCAGTCTAGGTGCCAAAGGGAAGCCACACGCTTCCATTTATCTATATAATTTGGCAACTTTAATTTGTAAGGGGCCCAACAGGTGTTTAATTTCATAGGCTGATATAGTCAATATCACTAGATCCATATTTTTTAGATTTAAATAACTATATAATTCTGATTTCTCTTTGTTAGACTGTACTCATCTGATCATGGAGGAATAATCTAATATGGCTTAGATTATGTTGGAACTCCCCAGAACTTTCCTCAGGGCTGCCTTTATCTCCTTATTCTGGAGGCTATAGATAAGGGGATTGAAGAGTGGGGTCACCATAGCATAGAACAAAGTTTTGATTTTCTGCATCCCCATAGAGTGTCCAAGTCCTGGACTCACACACATGACCATAAGAGAGCCATAGAACAGTGATACCACAGCCAAATGAGACCCACAGGTAGAGAAGGCTTTATGTTTCCCAGTGCTCGAAGGCATACCCAACACAGCTTTCAGGACAAGAGTATAGGATCCAATAATAAAGAGGAAGTTACCAAAAATAACTAATGAGCTTAGAGTGTAGCAAAACAGTTGGATTCTTGGGGCACAGACACAAGCCAATGCAAATAGTGGCCCTGGGTCACACACAACATGGTCATTAATGTTTGGACCACAGAAGGGCATCTGAGAGATGAGAACAGTGGGGATCAGGAAACACAGAAATCCACAAACCCAGCACAGTATGACCAGTTTGGCACAGAGATGCCCAGTCATGATTTATTAGGATAGTGCAAGGGATGGCAGATAACAAGGTACTGATCAAAGGCCATCACAGTCAAAATCAAGCATTCAGATGTACCCAAAGAGAAGAAGAAATAAAATTGGAGAAAACATCCAGCAAAGGAGATGGTTTTTTTCTCTGAAAGGAAGTTGACCAACATCTTGGGAACTGTAGAAGAGACATACCATATCTCTTAAAAGGAGAAATTTCCCAGGAACATGTACATGGGAGTGTGACGTCGCCGGTCACACCACAGGGCGCAAGCAATGGCTCCATTTCCTGTTATGGTCAGTGCATTTGTTGTAGTGAAGAGTGAGAAGAGGAAGATCTGAATTGTCCACTCAAAAGATAAATCTTGGAGTATAAATTCATTTACTAAAGCAAAGCTGGAATTTGGCTCAGAGACATTCATTGGGCCAGTGACCTGCAAGGTCAAGAGACACATTATCAGTCAGGACTCTTTTACAAAATGAGTTCCTTTTTTAAGAATGAAGAGAAGACAATGAACATGAAGTCATTTTTCAAAAGAATAATTAGGAAGATAATATAGTTTAGTTTTTCTTGGCTATACAGTATATGAGTTTTGGGCTTAGTAGGTAGCTGATTGAACAAAAACTTCTGCCAGCTTCTAAATCTCTCCTTAATATGCAATCGTGATAGAACTAGGTAAAGTTAAATTCCTTTTGTAAGGTCATTATTTTGGGACAGAAATGATTTAATATAGTTTCTGGATAGCATACAACCCAAAATTAGTACTTTGAGAAGGCACAAATGTGTTAGTTTCTTACTGCAAACCCAACTTATAGTGCAATAGACTCAGCAAGGAAAGTTTTGACCATTTACATTTCAGCTAAACATATTACTTAACATTATTTACATATGCAAAAGAAATGCACATATTTTAAAATAAATTGGTAGCTATCACGTTAAAGCCATTATCTCTGAATTTCTATTGCTGCTGTTGTTAGCTTAAGTGATTATCTAATGTTGCTTACCAATATTGACTTTTAATATTAATATTGTAAAACTGCATTGTTTTCTGTAGAAAGGGAAGGCTTTAAGTTTCTGATTAATCTTTTACCTTAATTTCATAAACTGATACAGTGATTATTATATTGATAAAATCAATACAGTATTGATTTAGTCATTATGTACAAAAGTTTGCAAAGATCTAGACATTAAACTTTATTTTTGAAGGTATTTCATAAAATTTGGAGATTGATTTTCCTTATATGCTTTTTATAAAATTGAAAAATTTTACTAAATGACAGAAATTAAACACTTTTTTTTGTTATAGGTAAACTTCCTCCTACATTCTTCTAAAAATATATTTAGGGATTTGAGTTACCTGAAAAAACTTTTTTTTCCTCAGAAATATGGAGGGATGTGAGTTCTAGATGTCAAGAGGGCTTGCATTTTGAGAAGAAACACAAATTTTCAGAAGTTTTTCTTCCAATTTGATCTCTACACCAGTGCTCTAGGAATTCTTTTGGTATGACTAGTTAGAAGTTATGTTTGTGCCTCTTTTAGTAATAGATGCCTCTTTAATTGGCTTCCAACCAGAAACATTAATAAACCAACATTAGGAAATTATGGAAACGGATTGACATGGGAGTGTCATGATTCTCAGCAGTGCTCAAAAGGTGAAGCCATCATCGTTTTGACATGAACCAAATCTCTAAATGATTTATTTTATAAACCATATTCTGCCTCCAGCTAGACAGTTTTATTGTGGCCCCAAAATTAAAAATGCACTTTATAAAACTCACTTTCTCCTGGGATGTAGCTTCTATAGCATTAGGAAAGTTATCTTCCAAGCCAATGAATCTTTAAAAAGTTAATGATTAGATATTCTCTGAAGAATCAGTAAAGAGTAATGACAACTATTCTAAGACATCATTATTTACAAAGAGCTTGCCCACCAGACGGATTCCAAAAAATCTTCCAGAAGACACAGTCTGAGGAGAAATAAGATACAAAATGTTACCAAAAGTTCTGACATAATGTTTAGGAACATTTCAAGTGTTACTGTGCATATGTTGGAGGATATACAGCCCAGTGAGGAAAATACTGATGTTCCAACATTGTCACATATTGAGCAAAAACTTACAGAATTTAGAAATAACTTTTAGAAGGATGGCACTTTTTTGGCAGATTCCTTTAGATATGAGAAAAAAGTATAAGAAGTAGCAACGTTTAAGTTAATTGACAGAAATACTTGAGAGGAACATGTGACTTCCCAATTAACATGAGAGAAGTATTGACTTTTATTTGTGTCCCTTCTATTTTTACTTTATGGCATTTAGGGGCCAATATAGTGTAGCTAAACACTCATGTGTGAGTGAATGCTCATACCAAGTGCTGTGAAGTAGTTGAGGACATCAGGGATGTATGCCCTAGGACTACAGACATCTGTCTAAAAGCACACTTCCACTTTGAAAGACTATGGAGGAAAATGTTTATTCAGACCTTTATTATCACTTAATCATAATACTTAGAAACTCCTAAAACATAGCTTTGATCTTGTTGTCTGCTCCAAAAGCCATCAATGATTTCAAGTTCCCAAGTTCTCCACAAATTGACTTCAAATTACTTTCCTGGTGTTATCTTTCCCTACTCTCTTTTACAGATAAATTAGACAGTAGACAGCATTTCATTCTCTGAATAGGTTCAGTTTCCTATGTTCTCTTTTTTGTGATCATTTTCTGTGTTTGGAATTCTATTTATCTCCACCTACACCTGTAAAAACCCTCCTTCAAGATCCAGTTCAAAAGACATTTTTCCCCCCAGAATGTTTTCCCCTCTTCCCCTAAGCAAAGCACCTTTTCCATCCTTGCATTTTTTTTTTTTTTTTGAGACATAGTCTCGTTCTGTCCCCAGGCTGGAATGCAGTGGTGTGATCTCAGCTCACTGCAACCTCCGCCTCCTGGGTTCAAACAATTCTCCTGCTTCAGCCTCCTGAGTAGCTGGGACTACAGGTGCGTGCCACCATGCCCAGCTAATTTTTGTATTTTTAGTGGAGACAGGGTTTCACAATGTTGGCCAGGATGGTCTCTATCTCTTGACCTTGTGATCCACTTGCCTCGGCCTCCCAAAGTGCTGGGATTACAGGTGTGAGCTACCATGCCTGGCCCCATCCTTGAATTTTTATTTTACCATCTTTGTGTCTTTGTCATGATACTAATCATAAGCTGCCCTATATCAATGTTCATCCATGATATTGGCTTGAAGTTTTTTCTTGTTGTTGTGTCTCTACCAGGTTTTGGTATCAGGATGATGCTGGCCTCATAGAATGAGTTGGACAGTTCTCAGTTTTTTGGAATCATTTCAGCAAAAATGGTACTGGCTCTTCTTTGCATATCTGGTAGAATTTGGCTGTGAATCCATCTAGTCCTGAGCTTTTTAAAATATATATATATTTTGGTTGGTAGGCTATTTATTACTGATGCAATTTTGGAGCAGGTTATTGGTGTGTCCAGGAATTTACCCATCTCTTACAGGTTTTCTAGTTTGTGTGCATAGAGGTGGTTGTAGTAGTTTCTGATGGTTATTTTTTATTTCTGTGGGGTCAGTGGTAACATGACCTTTTTCATTTCTAGTTGTGATGTTTCTTTCAAAAGATTAGAATGGTAAAAATTATATCTATTCTGATTAGGGCTTCTAGGCATTATTAAATGTTTACACCTTTAATTTACTCTGGTCAACAGTATATTTTTGGGGACTTTTTCTTAAATAATCTTGTCACTAAACCACTATACTTTATAAACAGCCTGATTAAATGAACATGCATTTGAACATTAGACTCTGGATAGACAAGATTAATTAACCTTTGACACAAGAAGCTCACAGTACAACAGGCCACTCTGATAGGACAAAAGTCCTAGGAAGTCTATGTCGGCAAAATCCCACCTAAGGGCTAAACTTTAAGCTCTATTCACTTTTAGCTAATTAAGTAAATATACTGCCATCCCATGCTGATAGTGATGAGCAGTCTCGGGGGAGTTTGACTTCTATAGGGAGGGAGGGAGGTGATGTGTTTCTGCACTTTGCTTCTTCAGTCAGGCATTCTGTGACTTCTTCATTTCCTTCCGCTCCTCTTCAAGCCCTGGCATGTTGGCTCAGAAGCACAAGAGGGCAGGATAATCCTCACTGTCTCATTCACACTGACTGAAACCCTGGGCTTTGAAATACAGACTCACTCCTCCCAAGCTCTACTCTGATGCTGGGAGCAATTTAGAGCAAATGTTATCCAAAGTGACATTACCTAGATCACTAGGTTCTTTCTTTCACCCACCTCCAATCCTGCTGTTCTTTCACTTCTAAGTCAAGGAAACTCCAAGTTTACACTTTGCAGGAGCCCCTGGAATATTTGGGGTTTCATATTGCACATCAAAACTATTTCTCACTGACCCAATCATCTATTAAAAATCTTGTTGAATTTCTGCCATTTTAATGGCTATCTGCCTTCATATGAAGTTCTTGGTATTATAATAGTCAGTGTGCTTCCAAATTAATCCCAATTCGTTTACTTTTACTTTAAGATGAAATGTAGGCAGAGCACAGTGGCTCACACCTGTAATCCCAGCACTTTGGGAGGCCAAGGCGGGTGGATCATGAGGTCAGGAGTTCAAGACCAGCCTGGCCAACATAGTGAAACCCTGTCTCTACTAAAAATAGAAAAAAAAAAAAACAGCCAGGCATCGTGGCAGGCACCTGTAATCCCAGCTACTTGGGATTCTGAGGCAAGGAGAATCGTTTGAACCTGGGAGGTGGAGGTTGCAATGAGCCAAAGTCGCGCCACTGCACTCCAGCCTGGGTGACAGTGCAAGACTCCGTCTCAAAAAAAAAAAAAAAAAAAAAAAAAAGAAGAAATGTAGCTTAGAAACCATTCTTCCATAAAACCAAAACCATATCTCCTTAAGAGGATGTTGGAAAATCAGCCTTTCTCATAAAGTAGTTTTCCCCACAAGTTTAAACACATTACTCCACTATAAGTTTAGAGACTATTTTAAAAAACTATTATGCTTCAGCTTTTCCTGCAGTTCTCTCTTTCTTGTCTCTTACATACTTCTCTGTGATCTGGTCCAACAATTATTGCCATGGCAACAAAGGCTCTGTGACATCTCTAGCAAGCTCATTGTCTTCTGCCTTATTAAACTTTAATGGGTAACTAGTAGACAGTAACACTCTGGGAGGGCTCAAACCACATAACCAAATGTGCCAAGATAATCCTGAGCTCACTATTGTCAGGTAAGACAAAGTATTTTAGTGCAATAGCAAACAATTAATTAAACAAACAAAAACAAGAAACCTTTCTTGGGACAGGAAACCATTAATTAGCTAAGCTCAGAGCCACTCATTGAAACCAGGTCCTGATTGGGTTTCTGGATTTGACCACTGGGCAGAAACTAGGACCCAAAACCAATTGGAATGAAATGGTCCGCAGATATTGTTTTCATGTAAGGATAGGTTTGGAAGTATCCAGACTTAGTGGTGGGCCAGGCCTCCCCTGCGAGCAGTACAGTTCAGGACACCTGGACTGCCCTTGCCCTCTGCCTTCCCTGGGGTAATGTGAATGGCTTAGTCTTTCGTGTTCTCAACTGTAACATGGAGGAGGAAGAGAAGAGCCTCACTGCACATATTGGGTCATTAAGAATGATCTTAGAGCCATAATTTACAATATTTTGAAGTTAGGTTTGATTTTTACCACTCCACTACTCCTCTCCCAATATGTTGTGCCAAATTGTAAGTAATTTGCAATTAGAACACATTGAAGACATATATTTGAGCTCCTTAGAGAGTCTCACCCACCTTTGTGGTAACTTTTTGTACTTCAGGTTTTCTCAAGTCAGAGTGTTGAGTCCTTAAATCAGTGTTGGGTAGTGATAAAATTTTGATACATTGGGTAGTGATAAAATTTTAATTGCCTAAGTTTAGTAAATGGGGGACAGGCTTGCTTATCAACAGTCTTTGTGGCATTTTATGCTGAAAAAGCCTTGAGGCTCAGACTCAGCCCACAGTTCTCTGCACTCCCTCCACTTCCCTTCTGTGCCTTTCATGTGTATCCTTTACAGCAATTTTTTTTTGTGAGTTCTTTTCCTTTTTGAGATCTCTCTTAAGGTTAATGGTGTACAGTAGATATCCAGAACTTATTCATCCCTTTTAGCTGAAACATTGTACCCTTTGACAAATGTCTCCCCATATCCCCTGGGCACAATTTTCAATAGGTAGTTAGGGAAAGCCTCAATGAAAAGGTTGGGATTTTGGGATGCTGATAACATTCAGTTTCTGGAACTAGGTACCTTTACACAGGAGTATCAGTTGATAACAATTCATTGAGCAATATACTTAGGATTTGTGCACTGTACTTTTTGTATGTTATAGATGAATAAAAAATTCAGAAATCTCATAAAGGTGATATTTGGATAAAGACTTGAAGGAAGTGTGGAGGCAACAAATATAAACATCTGGGGAAAGAGGGTTCCAGGCAGAGGAGATGGCATGTGTAGGTGCCACGAAGCAGGAGCACACCTGGCATGATTGAGACGGCAGGGAGTCCTCATCTCTTCTTCACCTACGCTACATCTCTGAAATGGCCATTTCAGAAAGCATGAAATTTATTTACATGAGTTTATTTTAACAAATGCTCACTTTTGATATTTTACAAGAGTAACTACAAGTTTATTATAGAAAAATTTGAGAAAACATACATATGCATGAGAATACAACATAACCATTTAACATTTAAAATTTTTCCTTTCATCACACTTATATTCATAATGTTTGTAATTAAGTGTAAAATTTACTATACATGTTTATATTATTTATATTTATATTTTAATATTAAAAACTGATTAGTTAATTCAATAATAATAATTGATTGTGAATGTTCCAGGGACTACTCTAAATGCTCATGCACATAGCAGTGAACAAAATGTACAAAAATTCCTATGTGGAACTTATATTCCAAAGGGAGACAACAGGTGTTAAATAAATAAGTAAACTATAGTATATTAGGGAGTGATGAGGAAACGTGGAGAAAAATTAGAAACGTCAGGTCAATAGGGAGTGTGTGTGGGAGCTGGCAGAGGTGCATTTTACCCCCAGCCTTACTAAGATGTAATTGACAAAAACAGTATATAGATTCACATGAGAAGAAAAAACAATTCACAGAACTAGCATTTGACTGTTTGGTGAGACATTCTGGAGTTTAAGCTGTCATTTAAACCAGTTACGATTTTCCATAGGGAGCTACTCTGTCACTTGGGTCTTTTCCCAGTTAAGCAAGGCTACTTTCCATGGAATCATTATCCAGTATATGAGGCTCACTTGGCACTTGTTCAATATGCGCTTGCCTTATAATAGGTGATTGGATATTTTTTATCAAAAAACTATGCATTTGTGGCATACAAGATGATTTTTTGATATGTATACATGGTGAAATGATTAATTCAAACTAATTAACATTTATCACTTCTACATACTTTCATTTTATTGTGTGAGAACATTTAAAATCTCTTCTAAAAATTTCAAGTATACTTTTGGCCCTATGTTTCCATGAGTTCCGCATTCAGGCATTCAACCAACTGGATAGAAACTATTAGTACAAAAAACCCACAAAAAATACAGTAAAAGCAATAAAAATAAAAAAATGCAGTATAACAACTACTTATAAAACATTTATATTTTATTAGTATTATAAGTAATCTATAGATGATTTAAAGTGTGTGGAAAAATATGCGTAGGTTACATGCAAATATAAAATGATATCATTTTATATAAGGGACTTGAACATCCCAGGATTTTGGTGTCCTTGGGGAGTCCTGGAACGAATCGCCCCCCTGATATTGCAGATATTTAGGGACAATGGTATAACACATGACTGTTAACTACAGTCACTATGCTGTACAGTAGATCTCCAAAACTTATTCATTCTGTTTAGCTGAAACATTGTACCTTTTGACCAATATCTCTCAATTCCCCTGAGTGGAATTTTCAATAGCTAGTCAGGAAAGGCCTCACCGAAAAGGTGATATTTGGTCAAAGATTTGAAGGGAGTGTTAGGGAAAGAAATATAAATATCTGGGAAAAGAGCATTCCAGGCAAAGGAGATGACATGTATAGGGACCACAAGGCAGGAGCATGCCTGCCATACTTGAGAGACAGTAAGGAATCTTCATCTTTTCCTCATGTCTTTCTCACCTCCAATATATTTAAATATGGCTTCCCCCCACCACACCCTTAAAATGGCCATTGCATAAATCACCAATAACATTTGTGTTAGTCCATTTTACGTTGCTATAAAGGAATACTTGAGACTGAGTAATTTATAAAGAAAAGAGGTTTATTTGGCTCATGGTCCTGCAGTCAGTACAAGCATGGCATCAGCATCTGCTTAGCTTCTGAAGCCTAAGGAAACTTCTACTCATTGAAGAAAGCAAAGAGGGAGCAGTTGTGTCACATGGCAAGAAAGGGAGCTAGGTGGGGAGGGGGTTGTCCCATACTCTTTTTAACCATCAGATCTGATGGTAACTCTACTATGGGTAAAATGCAAACCCATTCCTGAGGGTTGGGTTGGATACCATCACCATCCCATGAGGGATTCACCTCCATAACACAGACACCTCCCACCAGGCACCCCCTCTGACACTGGGGATCACAATTCAGCCTGAGATTTGGAGGGTGCGTTGAAGATAGTGTGAGCTGTAGGCTTGTAATACATGGTCTTTATTATGTTGAAGTATATTTCTTCTAAACCAACTCTGTTGAGAATCTTTTCATGAAACAATGTTGAATTTTTCAAATGCTATTTCTGCATCTAATTAGATGATTATATAATTTTGGGCTTCATTTTGTTAATGTATATCACATTTATAGATGTATGTATGTTGATCCACCTTGTATCCTTGGGGTAAATCCACTTGAGCATGGTAAGTTACCTTTTTAACGTGCTGTTGAATTCAGTGTGCTAGTATTTGATTGAGGATTCTTTCATCTATGTTCATCAGGGATATTGGCCTATAATTTTTCTTTTCTTTTCTTTTCTTTTTCTTGTTCTTGTCTGGCCTTGGTGTCAGAGTAATGTTGGCCACGTAAAAAAAGTTTGGAAGTGAAGTATTCCTTCCTCTTAGATTTTTTTTGGAAGAGTTTAAGGATTGCTAATTATTTCAGTGTTTGGTAGAATACAACAGTAAAGCTATTCTGGGCTTCTCTTTGATGGGAGACTTTATTACAATTCAATCTTCTTACTCATTTTTGGTCTGTTCATACTTTTTCTTCATGATTCAGTCTTGGTATCTTGCATGTATCTTGGAATTTATTTATTTCTTATACTTTATTCAATTTGTTACTGTACAATTTTTCATAGTACTCTCTTATGAGCTTTTTTTTCTTATGAGCTTTTATATTTCTATGGTATCAGTTGTAATGTCTCCCTTTTCACTTTTGATTGTATTAATATTTGAGTCCTTTCTTTTTTTTCCTTGGTCTGGCTAAAGGTTTGTTGATTTGTTTATCCTTCTGAAAAAACACTCTTTATTACATTGAGTTCTTTTCTATTGTAGTTTTAGTCTCTATTTTGTTTATTTCTATTCAGATCCTTGTTATTTCTTTCCTTCTGCTGACTTTGGGTTTAGTTTGTTCTTTTTTTATTAGTTACTAGAGTTGTAATATCAGGTTGTTTATTTTATATTTTCCTTTTTAAATGTTTATGGGTACACAGTGACTGTATATGTTTATGGGGTACATGAGATATTTTTCTACAGGCATACGGTGTATAATAATTACATCGCGGTAAATGGGATATTCATCACTTCAAACATTTACCCTTTCTTTGTGTTACAAACAATGCAATTATGCTCTTTTAGTTATTTTTAAATGTACTATAAATTGTTTGGCTATAGTCACCTTGTTGTTCTATCAAATACTAGATCTTACTTATTCTATCTAACTGTATTTTTATGCCGATTATCCATTCCTCCCCTTAACCCTACTATTCTTCCTAGTCTCTGGTAACCATTACTGTATTCTCTATCTCCATAAATCCAGTTATTTTAAGTTTTAGCTCCCACAAATAAGTGAGAACATGGAAAATTTGTCTTTCTGTCCCTGGCTTATTTTATTTAACGTAATAACCTCCAGTTCTATCCATGTTGTTGCAAATAACAGGATCTCATTCTTTTTCATGGCTGTATATTACTCGATTGTGTACATTAACCACATTTTCTTTATTCATCTGTTCATGGACAAACAGGTTGCTTCCAAATCATGACTATTGTGAATAGTGCTGCAATATGCATGGGAGTGCAGGTATCTCTCAGATATCCTGATTTCCTTTCTTTTGTGTATATACCTACCAATGGCATTGCTGGGTCATATGGTAGCTCTATTTTTGTTTTTTTTGAGAAACCTCCAAACTGTTCTCCATAGTGATTGTACTAATTTACATTCCCACCAATAGTGGGTTCCCTTTTCTCCATATCCTAGCCACTATTTCTTACTGCCTGTCTTTTGGATATAAGCCATTTTAACTAGGGTTAGATGATTCGTCTTGTAGTTTTGGTTTGCATTTCCCTGATGAGCAATGATGCTGAGCACTTTTTCACATGCCTGTTTGCCATTTATGTGTCTTCTGAGCAAGATCTTTTGCCCATTTTTAAATTGGATGATCAGAATTTTCCTATAGAGTTGTTTGAGTTCCTTATATATTCTGGTTATTAATCCCTTGCCAGATGGATAGTTTACAAATATTTTCTCCTATTTTATGATTGTCTTTTCAACATCAATTGAAATGATCCTATGGTTTTTGTTTTTAACTTTATGTGATGAATCACATTTATTGATTTGCATATGTTGAATCATCCTAGCATTTCTAGAATAAAACTCAATCGATCATGGTGAATTAAATTTTTAATGTGCTGTTGGATTTAGTTTGTTAGTATTTTGTTGAGGATTTTTGCAGCAGTGTTCATCAGGGATATTGGTCTGTAGTTTTCTTTTGTTGATATGTCTCTTTCTGGTTTTATATCAGAGTAATACTGGCCTAATAGAATGAATTTGGATGTATTCTGTGTTCCTATATTTTTTGGAATAGTTTGAATAGTGTTGGTATTAATTCCTCTATAATATTTGGTAAAATTCAGCAGAGAAGCCACCATGTCCTGGGATTTTCTTCGCTGGGAGACTTTTTATTAGGGCTTTGATCTCATTACTTGTTATTGGTTTGTTCAGGTTTTGGATTTCTTCATGGCTCAAACCTCATAGGTTGTATGTATCTAAGAATTTATCTATTTTATCTGGATTTTCCGGTTTATTGGCATATGGTTGCAAGTGATCCTTTTAATTTCTGCAGTATTGGTTTTATGTCTTAATTTTATTTATTTGGGTCTTTTCACTTTTTCTCTTAGGTAAAGTTTTGTTGATTTTGTTCATCTTTTCAAAAAACAAACTTTTCACTTTGTTGATCTTCTGTATTGTATGCTTTGTTTCCATTTCATTTATTACTACTCTGATCTTTATTATTTATTTTCTTCTAATAATTTGGGTTTGTTTGCTTTTGCTTTTTTAGTTTTTAAAGATACATCACTAGGTTATTTGAAATTTTTCTACTTTTTTGGTGTAGGCACTTGTAGCTATAAACTTTCACTTGCCAGGTTTTGGTATCAAAGAGATGCTGGCTTCATAGAATGAGTTAGGGGGGAGTCCATTCTCCTCATTTTTGGGAATAGTTTAAGTAGAGTTGATACTAGCTCTTCTTTGTATGCATGGTAGAATTTGGCTGTGAAACCATCTGGTCTAGGACTTTTTTGGTTGGTAGATTTTTATTGCTGCTTCTATTTTGGACCTTAATATTGGTCTTTTAGGGTTTTAATTTCTCCCAGATTCAATCTTGGGAGGTTGTTTCCAGAAATTGATCAATTTCCTCTAGATTTAGTAGTTTGTGTTCATAGAGGTGTTCCTAATAGTCTTGGAGGATATTCTGTATTTATCGGATCATCTGTAATGTCACCTTTGTCATTTCTTAATGTGATTATTTGAATCTTCTCTCTCTCTTCCTCTTGCTCTCGCTCTCTCTCTGTTACTGTAGCTGGCAGCCCATCAATCTTGTTTATCCTTTTAAGGAATCAACTTTTGGTTTCATTGATTCTTGGTATTAATTTTCTGGTGTATTTCAATCAGGTCTGCTCTGGTTTTAGTTATTTTTTTTTCTGCTAGCTTTGTTTTAGCTTTTCTAGCTATTCTGTTGGATGCTAGGTCATTAATTTGAGGTATATCTAACTTTCTGCAGTAATTGTTTGGTGCTATAAACTTTTCTCTTAACACTGCTTTTGCTGCATCCCAGAGATCTTGGCATATAGTGTCTCTGTTTTCAGTTATTTCAAAGACTTTTTTGATTTCTGCCTTAATTTCATTGTTCACCCAGAAGTCATTCAGGAGCAAGTCACTTAATTTCCATGTAGTTGTGTAGTGTTGGGTGATGTTTTTAGTCTTTATTTTTATATGATATACTATTCTAAGCTGACAACAATCACAACTGTATGCTTTATTTGCCAACAACAGCCGTACACTTTATTTCTCCTCTCCCACATTTTACGATTTTGATGTCAAAATATACATCATTTTCTTATGTGTATCCATTGACTATTTTTGCTCCATGTGTTTTAATAGATTTGTC
The DNA here is from genome assembly GCF_000001405.40 of Homo sapiens. Taxonomy (NCBI): domain Eukaryota; kingdom Metazoa; phylum Chordata; class Mammalia; order Primates; family Hominidae; genus Homo; species Homo sapiens. The sequence continues at coordinate 1,258,644 of NW_021160017.1, forward strand.
TTTTAACCATTGTACTATAGGAAAAAATTGCTTTACACATCATCATTACAGTCTTAGAATATTCTGGATATGACTTTGTATTTCTTATCCCATTGCATTTGTGTTCTCATATGTTTTATATTTTTAATTAGCAGCCTTTTAATTCAGCTCAAAGAACTTCCTTTAGTAATTCTCTTAAGACATATTTAGTGGTGATGAACTCTCATAGCTTTTGTTTGTCTGGAAAAGTTTTTGCTTTTCTCTCATTTGCCAAGGACAACTTTGCTGGGTTAAGTAGACTTGTTGGCCTTGTTTTTTCCCTTCAGCACTTTGAATACATTATCCTACTCTCTCCTGGTCTCCTGAGATTTTGTTGAGAAATCCAGAGACAGCTATTTTTGATATTCCCTTCTATGTGATATGCTTCTAATTACTTGCTGTTTTCAAAATGTTTTCTTTTTCTTTAATTTTTGGTATTTGAATTATTGTACATCTTGGATAACTCCTATTTGGCTTAAACTTGTTTGGATAACTCTGCATTTGCTGTGTTTAGATGTTAGCAACTTTCTCCAGATTTGGTAGTTTTTTAGAATTTCTTCTTCAGATATGCTTTCTGGTCTCTTTTCTATTTCTTTTCTTTCTGAAAACTCCTATTAGATGAATATTAGGTCTTAATAGTTTCCCTTCATATCCAGAGTCTGTCTTTATTCTTTTTCAATCTTTTTAATTTTTTCTCTTCTGACTGAATTATTTTAAATGTTTTGTCTCTAGCTTATTGATTGTTTCCCTTCTGCTTGATTGAGCCTGTTCTTAGAGCTTTCTATTGCATTTTCATTTCAGTCATTTTATTCTTTAAGATTTCTATATTTTTATTATTCCTATTTGTCAAACATGTTATATTGTTTATTATTTTTCAATTTTTTTAATTATCTACCCTTATATTATTGTAGTTCACTAAATTTTTTTTATTATACTTTAAGTTTTAGAGTACATGTGCACAATGTGCAGGTTAGTTACATATGTGTACATGTGCCATGCTGGTGCGCTGCACCCACTAACTCGTCATCTAGCATTAGGTATATCTCCCAGTGCTGTCCCTCCCCCCTCCCCCCACCCCACGACAGTACCTAGAGTGTGATGTTCCCTTCCTGTGTCCATATGTTCTCATTGTTCAGTTCCCACCTATGAGTGAGAATATGTGGTGTTTGGTGTTTTGTTCTTGCGATAGTTTACTGAGAATGATGGTTTCCAATTTCATCCATGTCCCTACAAAGGACATGAACTCATCATTTTTTATGGCTGCATAGTATTCCATGGTGTATATGTGCCACATTTTCTTAATCCAGTCTATCATTGTTGGACATTTGGGTTGGTTCCAAGTCTTTGCTATTGTGAATAGTGCCGCAATAAACGTACTTGTGCATGTGTCTTTATAGTAACATGATTTATAGTCCTTTGGGTATATACCCAGTAATGGGATGGCTGGGTCAAATGGTATTTCTAGTTCTAGATCCCTGAGGAATCGCCACACTGACTTCCACAATGGTTGAACTAGTTTACAGTCCCACCAACAGTGTAAAAGTGTTCGTTTCTCCACATCCTCTCCAGCACCTGTTGTTTCCTGACTTTTTAATGATCGCCATTCTAACTGGTGTGAGATGATATCTCATTGTGGTTTTGATTTGCATTTCTCTGATGGCCAGTGATGGTGAGCATTTTTTCATGTGTTTTTTGGCTGCATAAATGTCTTCTTTTGAGAAGTGTCTGTTCATGTCCTTTGCCCAATTTCGATGGGGTTGTTTGTTTTTTTCTTGTAAATTTGTTTGAGTTCATTGTAGATTCTGGATATTAGCCCTTTGTCAGATGAGTAGGTTGCGAAAATTTTCTCCCATTTTGTGGGTAGCCTGTTGACTCTGATGGTAGTTTCTTTTGCTGAGCAGAAGCTCTTTAGTTTAATTAGATCCCATTTGTCAATTTTGGCTTTTGTTGCCATTGCTTTTGGTGTTTTAGACATGAAGTCCTTGCCCATGCCTATGTCCTGAATGGTAATGCCTAGGTTTTCTTCTAGGGTTTTTATGGTTTTAGGTCTAACATGTAAGTCTTTAATCCATCTTGAATTGATTTTTGTATAAGGTGTAAGGAAGGGATCCAGTTTCAGCTTTTTACATATGGCTAGCCAGTTTTCCCAGCACCATTTATTAAATAGGGAATCCTTTCCCCATTGCTTGTTTTTGTCAGGTTTGTCAAAGATCAGATAGTTGTAGATATGCGGCATTATTTCTGAGGGCTCTGTTCTGTTCCATTGATCTATATCTCTGTTTTGGTACCAGTACCATGCTGTTTTGGTTACTGTAGCCTTGTAGTATAGTTTGAAGTCAGGTAGTGTGATGCCTCCAGCTTTGTTCTTTTGGCTTAGGATTGACTTGGCGATGCGGGCTCTTTCTTGGTTCCATATGAACTTTAAAGTAGTTTTTTCCAATTCTGTGAAGAAAGTCATTGGTAGCTTGATGGGGATAGCATTGAATCTATAAATTACCTTGGGCAGTATGGCCATTTTCACAATATTGATTCTTCCTACCCATGAGCATGGAATGTTATTCCATTTGTTTGTATCCTCTTTATTTCATTGAGCAGTGATTTGTAGTTCTCCTTGAAGAGGTCCTTCATGTCCCTTGTAAGTGGATTCCTAGGTATTTTATTCTCTTTGAAGCAATTGTGAATGGGAGTTCACTCATGATTTGGCTCTCTGTCTGTTATTGGTGTATAAGAATGCTTGTGATTTTTGTACATTCATTTTGTTTCCTGAGACTTTGCTGAAGTTGCTTGTCAGCTTAAGGAGATTTTGGGCTGAGACAATGGGGTTTTCTAGATATACAATCATGTCGTCTGCAAGCAGGGACAATTTGACTTCCTCTTTTCCTAATTGAATACCCTTTATTTCCTTCTCCTGCCTAATTGCCCTGGCCAGAACTTCCAACACTATGTTGAATAGGAGTGGTGAGACAGGGCATCCCTGTCTTGTGCCAGTTGTCAAAGGGAATGCTTCCAGTTTTTGCCCATTCAGTATGATATTGGCTGTGGGCTTGTCATAGATAGCTCTTACTATTTTGAGATACGTCCCATCAATACCTAATTTATTGAGAGTTTTTAGCATGAAGGTTGTTGAATTTTGTCAAAGGCCTTTTCTGCATCTGTTGAGATAATCATGTGGTTTTTGTCTTTGGTTCTGTTTATATGCTGGATTACATTTATTGATTTACGTATACTGAACCAGCCTTGCATCCCAGGGATGAAGCCCACTTGATCATGGTGGATAAGCTTTTTGATGTGCTGCTGGATTCGGTTTGCCAGTATTTTATTGAGGATTTTTGCATCAATGTTCATCAAGGATATTGGTCTAAAATTCTCTTTTTTGGTTGTGTCTCTGCCTGGCTTTGGTATCAGGATGATGCTGGCCTCATAAAATGAGTTAGGGAGGATTCCCTCTTTTTCTATTGATTGGAATAGTTTCAGTAGGAATGGTACCAGTTCCTCCTTGTACCTCTGGTAGAATTCGGCTGTGAATCCATCTGGTCCTGGACTCTTTTTGGTTGGTAAGCTATTGCTTATTGCCACAATTTCAGCTCCTGTTATTGGTCTATTCAAAGATTCAACTTCTTCCTGTTTTAGTCTTGGGAGAGTGTATGTGTCGAGGAATTTATCCATTTCTTCTAGATTTTCTAGTTTATTTGCATAGAGGTGTTTGTAGTAATCTCTGATGGTAGTTTGTATTTCTGTGGGATCGGTGGTGATATCCCCTTTATCATTTTTTATTGCGTCTATTTGATTCTTCTCTCTTTTTTTCTTTATTGGTCTTGCTAGCAGTCTATCAATTTTGTTGATCCTTTCAAAAAACCAGCTCCTGGACTTTTTAGAATTCTTTGTCAGTCATTTTGCAAATCTCCGTTCCTTTAGGGTCCATTGTTAAGAGTTTTATTAGTTTATTTTGGAGGTGTCATCATTCCTCGATTCTTCACAATCCTTTTGTTCTTGCACTGCTGTCTGTTCATTTGAGGAGGTAGCTACCTCTTTTTATAGGTATTAGTTGGCAGGGATAGACTTTCATTATTTAGTCTAGCCTTTCATTCTAGATTGGCCAACTGGTACCAACCCTGGGAAGGTAGAGCTTGCTTTCTGCTTTCAGGTTCTCCGGATGGCTCAGCTTTTGTCTTTGCTCTGAGTTCAGTTGGGACTACTGGCTGGGCTCTGATTTTTGGTATGACCACTAAATGAGCTATGCAATCAGACAAAATTGCTTGCTCGGATGGTGATTGTCTCTGACTGGGCCGGGCCACAGGATGTATTTCCTGGCTGGATGGTACCACTATTTGAGTTCTGGAGTTGTATGGGGTTGCAGGCTTACTCATAAAGTTAAGTGGGGACACTGCTCAGGATGGAGAGAACAGCTACTACACTTGGTGGGAATGCACATTTGATGTTTGCCTTCCTGACTGGGTAGGACCTTGGGGTGGGCTTTGAGATTTGAGCCAAACCACTGTTTGGATTCCTTGTTGGGGTGCATATAGCCCTTTCACTTTGCCAAAATGCACTGCGGCAAGTATCTCCATCTCTGAGTGGGCTTTGGGGATGATTTTGAGGCTGAGTTGAACCACTGTTAGAGTCCCCAGGTAAGGCATTTCTAGACCCTACACTGTGCTAATAATGGGCTGTGGTATGCATCTCCCTGCCTGGCTGGGTCCCTGTTGTGGGTTTTGAGACTAAGCCAAACCACTGTTTGGGCTTCTGAGTGGGGCAGGTCTAGCCCTTGTACTTTACCAAAATATGCTGTGGTCATCTCCCCCTCTGGACAAGGCTTTGTGGTAGGATCTGGGGCTGGCATGGAGGCTGATTGTCTAGGGATTCAAGCCAGGTAGAACTTCCTATTTCCCGGGGCAACCAGCTTGACTTTGTTGGTTTGTTATACTGTTCGCTAATGCCCCTAATCACATACCACTGCTGGTGGTTACATAGACCTACCACCAAGATCTGCATGTTTGTCACTATGAGCTTTGCCTTCCTGCTCTGTTTCTACCTGACCACAGGTAGTCTAGCCATGCTATTACCCCTATGCTCTTTGCAAGGTGAGACCAGAGTTGGCTTCCTGGGGGAGGTATCTTGGAACACAGGGAACGTGAATGTCCACCTCTAGTTCTCTTTTCCTACTGTAGAAACTGTGGGCCTAGAAAAATTCTAAGTGGTGTTGTGCTGACTTGGGAGAAAGGGAGAGGTGATGTGGTCAGAGTGAGGCTATTCTTTTTACACTTCTCATGTGGCATTTTGTTTGGTTATTTAGTTCACACAGGTTTCTCAGGCTTAATCTTGAGTTTTGAAGTGTTCACATAGGAGTTTTTGTCTGTGTACAGTTGTTAATTGAACATTCTATGAAGGGTAGGGAAAACTGGGACGTCCTATTCTTCAATCTTCCTGATGTCACAGAGAATCTGCATTTTGAAAAGATCCATACGTGATGGTGATTGATATGGATATTAAAGTTGAGAACTACTAGGTTAAACATCTGTTTTCATGTGAAACATGAAAAATAAGCTAGATTTTGAGTTGCAATTATAGGGTAATACACATTTTTCAACTTTTTCATCTTTAATCTTGTTCATAAGAGGCTGCAACTGATCCAAAAACAACTTATTCCCAGGCTATAGCAAAGGTTTTCAAACTCAAACAATGTAGAATTACAAAATGTAGAGTTCACATCTTCTCTGGCTAAGATAATGTTGACTAATGAAAATAATGGTAGATTGGAAAATCTATTTGAGTTACTATACTTTCTTGTACCTAAGATAAAATACCCATATGATGATTATTGTTAATCCTCTACAGAAACATGATGAAAAGAAGTTTTAGTTGAGCAGAGGAGATAGAAAGCAAGATCACAGGGGGTTGGGGAGTGAATATGAAATGAAGAAGTAGAGGTTGACTATACTCTTTCATGTCACTTGGCACCCTCCAAAGTAAAAGGAATTTGATGTAATCAATTTGCCACCCATTGCTGGCTGGTTTTCTCAAAGATTGGTGCCATATTGAGGGCTTAACATTGGTTTCTCATCGAGGCTGCATCTTCAGTGGCTCAGTGATTTGTCACCAACCTTGGTAAGATAATGCCTGTATTTTTTGGCACGTGCATATTTTCCATTTATACAGCTTTCTTTATATTCCCTTTTATAAGCTCTGAGGTGAATGAAATCAGAGCTGACTGACATTTTTAGATGACTCATTCTTTTCACTTAGCTATTGAGTGCCTCCACTCTGGAGGATACTCTCTAATGGGCACAGAGTTGAGAAACAAAGATCTGCATACTTTGTGCTTATTCTCATAGGCCCATACATAGGCCTCCACCTCAAATTTCATTAAATCTGATTTTTCTGTATTTTGAGGGGGTTTGCTTAGTGAAACTTTTTTACAACAATCATTATACTACACATATCCTTATCTTGCATAGCAAGCTATTTCTCCCAACATTCAAAGTGGACAACTAAGTATATTGCTACCGAATCACTGGCTTACGAGGATTTCCTCCACCACTACATTCTATGGCTACCCTGGAGAGGCGTTAAGCTGCAGCATTAGTCAGTTTTTATCTTGTCTAAGTGTAGATTCAGACAATCCATTTGTGATCCAAGCCTGAGGCTCTTTCTTCATTTATTAGCTGGTTGTGTGAAATACCATGAAGCCATAGGTATGAACTGAGGAAGAGATATTGTCACAATGAAGGCATGTTTGTATCTTATGGAAATGCTTTTTACTGTATCTAATAGTTTTCAATTCATTCTATCAAGTGCCAGCAAGCTCAATATGAGATAGAATTTAATATTGGTAAGATAAGATTGGTTAATGATCAATTTGAAGATAATTACAAATATGGGCACTGTGCACATTTATAACAGTTGAGATTATATTTTATTAAGAATTTCTATCATTTTTTCTCATATAATTAAGAAATATAAACAAAACTGGCATGGACAGGTGAAACTCAGTGTTAAATTTATCAGCACTTTAAAGAGATCCCACCGTTGAAGTCAGTTTGAATGAAGTTCTAAATTGTTTGTATTTTCTTCCTATATAAAAGAGGTTTTCAGGCAAGTATTTAGCTATTTAATTTACATTTCACATGTGAGGTATAATAAAACAACCACTCTTTTCCCCAGAACTCTCATAAATCCTGCCTTTCAAACCCAGAAAATATTCTCAACTCAGCTTCCTTGTGACACAAAAACTAATTGCAGTTGCACCTCATTTTGTGGAGCAAATAGCTATGATGGCTTACAAATTAAAATTCTGTAAACTACATTTCATATTGTGATTCCTTTTCATTAAGTTTTTGAGAGTTGTATTTGAAAAAATGGCATAGAACGAAACAAAAGTCAAAATTAAAGCAAGATATTAGTCAAATATTTTATAAAATGGATTTTAAGAGTTTTATTTTAGTACTGTCCAGCAGTACTCAAATAAGTCACACAGTATTAATACTAAATTAGTTATGGTATCAAATCCTGTGTTTAAACTGGGTTTACAACAAAGAAAGCTATATCCTGAGTAATGCTCACCTTTTTGTTTAGGTCTTTGCTGCACTATATTCCAGGTAACGAATCTGCTTTAAATTCCTAATTCTTGGTTGTGTACTCTCTGAAAAAACACTGAATATCAAACTAAGGCTATTAGTCTATTTATATAATGTAAAGACCACTTGCTACATTTTGACAAGCTGGACTACTTAAAACTTGGCTCTTTTTCAGCCAGTATCTCTTAGTGGATAATGATTGGATTATAGTGTTAATTGTGAGAGCAGTCTATGATATCTGTCACATGTGTTACCAATTGCTTTAGCTCAGTAATACAAAAAGGACGTCTGCATTCTTTTTAAAAAGTTGAGTTACATATACACGTTCTGATTAGCATAGACATAGAATTTTACATACGTATTATTCACTTCAACAGAAAATCTAATTCACTGTTGAAACATTCTTAAATAAGACCACAGTAATGCAGATTGTGGTGAGTGGTGTTTAAGATGTTAATGGCTCATTATTATAGCAGTTCTTAAATAAAACAATAAATTTGTAGACAAATATTCATGTATAATAAAGTTAATTTGATAAATGAAAATTCTCTTATTTATATTTTATTAACATCTTTTCCAGTCCTGAAGATTTTCCTCAGATAATCTTTCATCTCTTTGTTCCTGAGACTATATATTAGAGGATTACAGAGTGGTGTTATCACAGAATAGAACAAGGTAATGATTTTTTCATTTTTACTGGGTGTGCTGATCCAGGACTAACATACATCACCATGATAGAGCCATAAAATAAGGTGACAACTGCCAAATGAGAGGCACAAGTGGAGAAAGCTTTTCGTTTGCCAGCCTCTGAAGGCATCCGTATTATAGCCAGAATCACCAGAGCATAGGAACAAAGGATAAAGAGAAAGGTGCCAATTATGAAGACAGAATTGAATGTGGAGTAAATGAGCTGGGTGATGATGATGTCTTCAGAACAGGACAGCATCTTCAATGGGACGGGATCACAAATAAAATGGTTGATAATATTTGGGCCACAGTAGGATAGCTGTGAAATGAGAATCACCAGAGTTAGGAAGATTACAAAGACACATGACCATGCAAAAATGATGAGGCCAGTGCATACTTGTTTAGTCATGATGCATGGATAACGTAGAGGGCGGCAGATGGCAAGATACCTGTCAAAGGCCGTGATGCAAAGGAAGAAGCCCTCATCATACCCCAAAGAAAAGAAGTAGAACTCTGCAAAACAACTCATGAATGAGATGGACTTGCTTGTGGAGAGGAAGTTGGCCAGCAGTTTAGTTGCAGTAACATAACATATTTCCAGGAGAGAGAAATTTCCCAAGAGGGTGTACATGGGAGTGTGAAGGTGCTGGTCCTACCACACAGCACAGACAATGGCTGCATTTCCCATCGGGGTGAGAGTATAGGCTACTGAGAAGAGACCGAAGTAGAGGAGCTGCATTTCTGGGCTTGAGGGAAAGCCCATGAGGATAAGGCAGCTAACAAAATTGATAGTTTCCATGCTGAACACATTCATTAGTCTGGAAGACATGGAGATGGCAGAGGTAACTGAAACATGAAAGGGAGCGTGCTGTTTCTTCTTGGAAACAACCAAAATTCTTCATCATGTATATTATAAAGTAGTAAACAATTAGACTTTTGTTTAAACAACAAAACTGTGACTTTCATGACTCAATTCCTACACATGTTTATTTTAATAAATCACAACAATAGAAGGGAAAATATGAATTGTGGAGAGTTTTTTTTCTTGCTAAGAACACTAGACTTGAAACCAGGAATGCAAATTTTGTGATTCCAATAAATTACCTATATACAATGGGTCTACTCTTTCTTCTGTTTACCTGCATTATTGATACTGTATTTATCTGGGTATGTAGTTCTTTCAACAGTACTATGAATACCTGATTCATTATTATTAGTGGTATAAAAATAAAATACAAAACCAAGATATTTAAAAATACTCTTTCTCAATATAGTGCCATGCCAGGGCACAAATTAATATTTACTTTCAATTTCAGCTACTCCCTGTTACTTGTAGTGTTTTAAAGTGGTAATAAGAAAGAACTCTGTCATTAGAGAATATATGGTCTTTTATGCTGTTTCATGTATCTGTACCAATGTTTAGCATAAAAAATACATTCTTTCATTTTTAGGCAGCTGGATACGCTATATGCTGTGAGGAAGTGTGCCATACTTTGGCTCTTAAATTGCTCTGACTAAATATTTTTATATGCTTCCAGGTGAATGTAAGAACTTCATATGCCTATTATGACATTGACCTTAGGGAGAACAGCTGGTCTGCGTGACTGTGGCCAAGTTCAATGTGCTTGTTTTTTGTTAACCATGGTCAAGTCAGCTGCAGGAAAATAAGAAAGGCAGATAAAGTTTATATTACAAAAGTTTCCATGTTTTTTATTCACTGCTTTCTTCCACATGTTCCTTTTCTTCCTTTGACCTTTGGTGTTATTTTGCATCTCACTGTGGTTGTTTTCTGAGGCCTTTCCTATCTAGGCAAATCCGAAACATAAAACTTTTCCCCTGATTACCCTCCGGTTAACTTCTAGCCCAAATAACAACAAAAACAAGAAAAAGTCATATGAGCTGAAGATTTTTGTTTCTTAAATAATAACTAATTTGTATAATACCAAGTCTTATTAATGTAATGGAACTGAAAAATCAGTATTTGGGCTTAAGAAAGAAAATATTGCTGGAAAGAGAAATATGCCATATTTCTTCTGCTCACCAAGTAACAAAAATTGCCAAAATATACCCTTCTCCAGCAATTCATCAGTTAATATACATCTTCACTTGAAATACTATTCTTTTTGTATATATGGCTATTCATATTTTAAAGGGATATGAACCATAATTGGAAAATATTTTCCAGATTTCAGGGAAACAAGAAGAAAAACTTATATTTTTCAGCTTCATTCTTTGCCAGCTTTTCATTCTGAGATATATTTTTAGTTTTCTCAAAGACAAGAAGAAAACATTTTCTATGATTTTTGCAAAAAAAACTGGGTGACTCACATGTTATATACTTCCCATTCGCTCTTTGAGTGAATGCTGAGAAGGTCAGGGACAGGAGACAAAATATTATTCCCCAGAGCCAAAGACATGTGAAGAACTTCCAAGAAATTGCATGATCCTGTTTGTTATCTCTCATGGGTTGCAAAAAGTAAACCCTAAAAGATTTTCCCCACCTTCAAAGCATATATTAATGGTCAAAATGCAAGCTCAAGTGAGTGTATTATATATATCTATTTACTTGCACTATAGCCTTTTGGGACTTGGAGCTCTGTCTCTCTTGGGATATTTTGATAGTGTTTGTTTAAAAGAGGATAACATTTTGAATTTTCACAATCAAAAGCCAGTTCTTACTGTCCCCTAAAGAATAGTGAAAATGTAGAAGCAGATCTTATATTTTCTTTCTTCTTTCGTGTTCATGTATTGTCAAAACTTCCTGAGGAATAATTAAGTAGTAAAAGGGATTGTCATTTTAGCTACAGTGGTTAGCTTTACCATAATACTCTCTAGATCTATTTTGAAGAAAAATCATTCTCTGGTCATCAAATATTTGTACCTGCAGAGTTATTAGAGATATTTGAGTTGAATTTTATGTAGAGCACAAGAAATTTGATTGACATTTAGTTATTCCACAGATATTTACTGAATGCCTACTGGATACTCAAACATATACTCTATATATTTTTAATTTTTTGAGGAACCTCCATATTGTTTTTCATAATGACTATACAAATTTACATTACCACCAACAGTGTATAAACGTTCCCTTTTCTCTGCATTCTTACTGACTATTACCATCTTTTGTCTGATCATGAACATTCTGACTGGGCTGAGGTGCTATCTCATTGTGGTTTTGATCTGCATTTACCTGATGATCAGTGATGCTGAGGATTTTTTCATATGCTTTTTGGTCATTTGCACGTCATATTTTAAAAAATATCTAGTCAGGTTTTTTGCCCACTTTTAAATTGAATTATTTGGTGGTAGTGTTTTTTGCTATTGAGTTGCTTGAGTTCCTTATATATTTTGAATATTAACCCCTTATCAGATGTATAATTTGCAAAAATTTTCTCTTATTCTGTAGGTCATTTTTTGGTTCTGTTGTTTCTTTTGAGCAGAAGCTTTTTATTTTGATGTAACCTCATTTGTCTATTTTTGTTTTTCTTGCCTTAGCTTTTGCCTACATCAATGTTGTGTAGTTTTACAGCTTTAGGTCTCATGTTTTAGTGTTTAAACTATTTTTTGTTGATTTTTTGTATATGGTATGAAGTAAGGGTATAAGTTCGTTCTTCTGCATATAGATACCCAGTTTTCCGAATACCATTTATTGAAAAGACTGTCCTTTCCCCATTGTGTGTGCTTGGCAGCTTCGTCAAAATATTAGGTGACTGTGTATCACCTGTGGATTTATTTCTGGGCTCTGTATTCTATTCCATTGGTTTATGCATCTGATTTTATGCCAGTATCATGCTGTTTTGGTTACTATAGCTTTACAGTATACTTTGAGGTCAGGTAGTATGATGCCTCCAACTTTGTTCTTTTGGGTCAAGACTGCTTTGGCTATTCCAGGTCTTTTGTAGATTCCATACGTATTTTAGGATTGTTTTTTCTATTTCTCTGAAGGATGTCATTGTTATTTTGATAAATCCATAGCTTGTTTTGGGTAGTGTGAACATTTTAACAATATTAATTATTTGAATCCACAAATGCAGGATTATCTTTCCATTTATTTCTGTCTTCAAATTTTTTTCATAAGTGTTTTATGGCTTCATTATAGGTATCTTTCACATCCTTGGTTAAATTAATTCCTAAGAATTATATTTTTTTATTTTGGAGCTATTGTAAATAAGATTGTTATCTTGAATTCTTTTCAGACAGTTGATTATTACCACATAAAAGTGCTGCTGATTTTTGTATGCTGATTTTGTATTCTGCAACGTTACTGAATTCACTTATCACTTCTAAGAGTTGTCTTGATAACGTTTTTATGTTTTTCTCTATATAAGATCATGTCATCTGCCATGAGAAACAATTTGACTTCTTTTCCAATTTGAATGCGTTTTATTTCTTTCTCTTGCTGATACTCTGGCCAAAACTTCCAATACTATATGAAATAGGTGTTGTGAAAGTGAGAATCCTTGTCGTTTTTCAGTTCTTAGAAGAAGGATTTTCTGTTTGTCCTACGTCAGTATGATTTTCACTGTGAGTTTCTGATATATGGCCTTTATTATGTTGAGGTATGCTCCTTCTATGCCTAAATTTGTTTAATTTTTATCATGAAGCAATGATAAATTTTATCAGATGCTGTTTTTGTATCTATTGAAATGATCATACACTTTTTGTCTTTTATTCTATCAGTGTAATGTATCAAACTTTTTGATTCATTTATACTGAATAACCCTTGAATTCCTGGAATAAAACCCACTTGGGCGTGGTGAACTGTCTTTTTAATGTGTTATTGGATTCAGTTTGCTAGTATTTTGTTGAGAATTTTTGCATCTAAGATCATGTTATTGCCTTGTAATTTATTTTCTTTCTTTTCTTTTTTCTTTCTTTCTTTTTCTTTTCTTTCTTTCTTTCTTTTCTTTTTTTTTCTTTCCTTCCTTCCTTCCTTTCTTTTTACTTACTTTCTTTCTCTCTCTCTTTTCCTTCCCTTCCCTTCCCTTCTCTTCTTTTCTTTCTTTCTCTCTCTCTCTTTCTTTCTTTCTTTCTTTCTTTCTCTCTCTCTTTTCCTTCCCTTCCCTTCCCTTCCCTTCTTTTCTTTCTTTCTCTTTCTTTCTTTCTTTCTTTCTCTGTCTTTCTTTCTTTCTTTCTTTCTTTCTTTCTCTCTTTCTCTCTCTCTCTCTTTCTTTCTTCTTTCTTTCTGACAGAGTTTCGCTCTTGTTGCTCAAGCTGGAGTGCAATGGTGCCATCTCAGCTCATTGCAACCTCCACCTCCTGGGTTCAAGTGATTCTTCTGCCTCAGCCTCCCGAGTGGCTGGGATTACAGGTGCCCACCACCATGCCCAGCTATTTTTTTTTTGTATTTTTAGTAGAGATGGGGTTTTATCATGTTGGCCAGGCTGATCTTGAACTCCTGACCTCAGTTGATCCACCTGCCTTGGCCTCCCAAAGTGCTGGGATTACAGGTGTGAGCCACCGTGCCTGGCTTTTTCTTTTTTTTTAGTTTACTTTAAACTTTGGTATGTATGTGGTAGGTGCATATATTTATTGAGTACATGAGATACTTAGATACAGGCATGTAATGCATAATAATCACATAATGGTAAATGGGGTATCCATTCCCCTCAAGCATTTTTATCCTTTGGGTTACAAACAATTCAATTACACTCTTTTAGTTACTTTAAAATGTACAATTAAATTATAATACACAATAGTCATCCTCTTGTACTATTAAATACTAGATTTTATTCATTCTTTCTAACTACTTTTTGTGCCCATTAACCATCCCTACCTGCCCTCCCATCCCCCTAACCACTATCTTTCTCAGTTTCTGATAACTTTCCTTCTACTCTATATCTCCATGAGTTCAATTGTTTTAATTTTTAGCTCCCACAGTAGGATTTATCCCAGGGATGCAAGAATGGTTCAATATGTGCAAATCAATCAATATGATAAACAATAAACAGTATGAAGGAGAATAAGCATATGATCATTTCAACTGATGCTGAAAAATTTGATAAAGTTCAACATCCATTCATCATAAAAATTCTAAAAAACTGGGTATAGAAGGAACAAACTGCAACATAATAAAAGCCATATATGACAGACCCACAGATAGAATTTTGCTGAATGGAAAGAAACTGAAAGCCTTTAATATCTGGAGCACAACAAGAATGCCAACTTTTACCACTTCATTGACTATAGTACTAGAAGTCCTAGCTAAAGCAGTCAGACAAGAGAAAGAAATAAAAGGCATCCAAATTGGAAAGGAAGAAGTCAAATTATCCTTGTTTGCAGATGATGTGATCTTGTATTAGGAAAGACCTAAAAACTCCACCAAAACACTATTAGAACTGATAAACAAATTTAGTAAAGTTGCAGGATACAAAATCAACATATAAAAGTCAGTAGCATCTCCATATGTCAACAGTGAACTGTCTGAAAAACAAATCAAGAAAGTAATCCCATTTACAATAGCTACAAATAAAATTAAATACCTAGGAATTAACCAAAAAAGTGAAAATCACTACAATGAAAACTATAAAACATTGACGAAAGAAACTAAAGAAGACACAAAGAAACGGAAAGATATTCCATGTTCATTAGCTGAAACAGTCATTGTTAAAATGTTATACTACCAAAAGCAATCTACAGATTCAATCTCTATCAAAATACCAATGCCATTCTTCACAGAAATAGAAAAAACAATCCTAAAATTGATATAACCAAATGACCCAGAATACCCAGAGCTATCCTGAACAAATAAACCAAAACTGGATAAATCACATTACCTGACTTTAAACTACACTATAAAGCTATGGTAACCAAAACAACATGGTACTGGCATAAAAAACAGACCCATAGGTCAATGGAACAGAATAGAGAACCCAGAAGCAAATCCGTACATCAACAGTGAGCTCATTTTCTACAAAAGTGCCAAGAACATACATTGGGGAAAGAACAGTCTCTTCAATAAATGGTGCTGGGAAAACTGGATATCCATATGCAGAAGAATGAAACAAGACCCCTATCTCTTGGCATATACAAAAATCAAATTAAAATGTATTAAAGGCTTAAATCTAAGACCTCAAAAAATTAAACTACTAAAAGGAAACATTGGGGGAAACTCTCTTAGATATTGGTCTGGGTAAAGATTTCTTGAGCAACACTCCACAAACACAGGTCACCAAAGCAAAAACGGACAAGTGGGATCACATCCAGTTAAAAAGCTGCTGCACATCCAAGGAAAAACAATCAATGTGAAGATCAAACCCACAGAATGGGAGAAAATATTTGCAAACTGCCCATCTGACAAGGGATTAATAACCAGGAAACAACTCTATAGGAAAAAACCCTAATAATCTAATTTAAAAATGGGCAAAGGATCTGAATAGAGATTTCTCAAAAGACAATACAAATAGCAAACAGATACATAAAAAGGTGCTCAAACACCATTGATCATCAGAGAAATGTTCCTCAAAGCTACAATGAGGTATCATCTCACCCCATTTAAAATGGCTTTTATCCAAACACAGGCAATAGCAAATGCTGGTGAGGAAGAGGAGAAAAGGGAACTCTCATACTCTGTCAGTGGGAATGTGAATTAGTACAACCACTATGGAAAACAGTTTGGAGATTCCCCCAAAAACTAAATGTAGAGCTACTTTACGATCTTGCAACCTCATTGCTAGATGTAGACCCGAAAGAAAAAATAGCAGTATAACAAAGAGTTATCTGCATTCTCATGTTTGTTTTAGCTTTGTTCACAATAGCCAAGATTTGGAAACAACCTAAGTTTCCATCAATAGATGAATGAATAATGAAAATGTGGCACATACATATACAATAGAGTACTATTCAGCCATAAAAAAAAATCAGATCATTTGCAACAACATGGACGGAAATGGGGATTATTGTGTTAAGTGAAATAAGCTAGGCACAGATAGACAAACTTCCCATATTCTCACTTACTTGTGGGAACTGAAAATTAAAACGATCGAATCATGCAGATAAAGAGTAGAATGATGGTTACCAAAAACTGAGAAGGATGGTGGAGGTGTGGGATGTGGAAAAATGGGGATAGTTATGGGTACAAAAAGATATAAAGAATAAATAATATTTAGTATTTGATAGCACAACAGGGTGAATATAGTCAATAATGATTCAATTGTCATTTAAAAATAACCAAAAGAATATAATTGGATTGTTTGTAACACAAAGGATAAATGCTTGAGGGGACGAATACCCCATTTACCATGATGCGATTATTATGTATTGTATGCCTGTACCCAAATATCTCATACTCTATAAATGTATACACCTACTCTGTACCCACAGAAATAAAAAATAACAAAACAAAAAACATTGTTTAGCAAGCCCAGCTAAGGGTCATCTGACTCTCTAGCAAATGTGATTTTGTTTAACTTACTATATATGAATTATGGAATCTCAGACATTGTATAATTACATATAGCTAGATGTTATAGAAAACTGCTACATTGTATCTTTTTAGTGTGGTAGAAAAGATAATCCCAAAGATTAAGGTCGTATTGCCCCTTTTTAGAGCTGTATGAAAAAATATGAATATTTTTGTTATGTTGATATTTTTAACTTTTAAGTTCAGAGGTACACGTGCAGGTTTGTTATATAGGTAAATCTGTGTCATGAGACATTAACTGGATTACATCAAATTTAACAATTTTATTTTAGTGTTCATTTTTTTGCTGTGATTATGTAAAATCACACTTTTCATATTCTTTTTGGAACGGACTTTGTTATCCTGCTATCCCTCATTAATTAAATACAGTTTTTGATGTGTTCATTATGTATTTGTTTGAGAATTATGTTTTATGATATTTAAAAATTAGACTGACAGTCTATAAAAAATTAAATTACTAATGACAACAGCTGTGTTTTCTGGATACGATCTATGAATAAATGCCAGTAGGTAAGCTGCTTGAGGTTTCAAGAAATCAGGTGTTGTATCAAGACACTCTATATTACCTTAAAGGATAAATACCAAGCTATCCCTGGAATTATCTCAGAGATAAATACCTTAGGTTGGTATTTATCCTTCAGCTTCTGCTACTTCAAGGAGCATGATTGAGATAAAAACCAGTGAGAATCTTCTTCAGATACAGACTGAGGCATTGAAAATGGATGGCATATACAAACAAATCAATGACAAATTACAAATAAATCAATCCAAAGTAAGTAAAATAAGTGGGTTCTGTTATGCAACAGGTCTAATTGCTTCAGAGCCTGCAGGTCCCAAGGTCAACTTCCTAGCAAGAACTAAATTTAACAGAACTCAAACAGCAGCAGCCTAGGGAATCCCAGGGCTCATTAAGCTAAGTAGTGTTGTAAGAACCATAGCAACCTCAGATACAGCTAGAGTCCTAGGGATAGGAGATATTTCCAGTTCATACAGCCAGCCGTCAACTAGGGCTTGGCTTATAAGGAAGCAATTAAGACATGTGCTGGGCAGCTGTGATGGTCACCTGAGGATTGTCCATTTTGCTGGCCTGAGGCTGAAGAGAGGGTTGGTAGGATGAATGGCAGGATAACATCTTCCTTCCTTGAAACCACATAGCTTCTGACAAGCAAAGATGTAGGTTTCTCAGATATATTTACTCAAAGCTCCCCTCCCCTTCCTGCTCCTCTGTCTGACTCTGATGCTATTTTTATGTTTACTGTTGTCCTCACTCTTTTTCTCTATATACTCTGGCATTGATCATTTTTAAATTTAAGAGATCATTTGAGTTTTGTTGTTTTAAATTTACACTTAGAAACATTCACAGAACAGTGAAATTCCTATAGCATCAAGGAATTCTAGGGCTAGTGGCATCTTAGAAGACAGTTGCAATATTTGGATACGATAGGACCAAATTTACATAACTGAAGGCACAGGTTTCATGGCAATATTGTCTTAAGACTACCTAATTCTGTTATAGTCCCTTCTAGATTCTGTTTTCCATTTCTTTAATTATTAAAGTTTCTTTTTACTAAAATCTTCTTTACGTTCCACAGGTACAATATAGAATGCAATGTTTCAAACAAGGCCAAAGAAGTTTAGAACAGAAAGATTGTTTCTTTCTCAATAGAGAATACCACTATAGGTACCATCTTCAACTAATGGTGTCCACTTCTTGGTTTTCAGGAGAAATTTAAAAATGCATCAAATGCGTCTAAAAGGAATTCATATGGAATTGAAACTCCAGCTAGCCAATTATTTTCTATTGTTGAGATAGTCAAATTTCCTCCTCTAATAATGCATTTAGCTCCACACAGACCAAAATAAATACAAGACAAACATAATAGCAAAATATGGTATACTGTTATGCTTAAAACACACACATGCACAAGTTACCAGGAGAAAAATTTTACTCCTTTTCTTCATATTTTCCTCATAAACATCTCTGGTTCCTTGTTTAGAAAGACGAGAGACCAGCTGCTCAGCTGTACACAAGTAGCCTTTGATTATTTAAGGTGCTTTAGTTTGTCCTCTTCTCTCTAAGCAGGACCCTTCCATAAAGACTTTCATTTTGCATTAAGCATTCTCAATTTTTTTGGCTCATTTTGTGTACTTAAAAATATTTTTATTGACTTTTTCACATTCTTAGGTTATTTTTAGGATATGAAACATGAAATGCTTGGTAGGGTCTGATCTTACTGCTAATGGGATAATGGAGCTGGTATTTTTGAATGTGGCTTTCCAAGCTCTGCAGGGCTTTGGCAAGGGAAATTATATTGTGACTGGGGTTAGTTTTGGGATGTAGACATTCATTCATGTTGTTGGGTGTATTGTTCTTTTTATTCTTTGCAGAACAGTGACAGGCTTAATTTCCTACTGTGATCAGACTTCAGAAGCTGGGAGATGACTCAACCAAATGTGGAAATGTTATTAAACCTAAAAGGGAGCTTTCTATATTGTTTAGTATTATGTTTTATATTGTCTGAAGATTGCAAATTTACTGTCATTAAAAAAAAAATCCAAGAATAACCAGAATCCAGCCCTTACCTTGATTAAAACTCAAATAACTAACATACAGGGCTGCCTATTTTTAACTTATGCAAGTGTAAAGATTTTTATATCATTATTAATCAAAATCTTATCACAGTAATCACCTAGGAACTGTTCAGAATATTTATAGTGCTGAAATTTCCTAATATTAAATCTTACTTTAAACAAGTAGGCCATAAAATCAGGCTTATAAATGGTTTGTAGTAATTTGGGTTATAACATATTTTACATATTCTTCTCTTATTTAATCTATCCTTCTGATTTATTTAATTTTAATATTGTCTGTTTTAATGTAATCTTTTCTTTCCCAACATATGTTCAGTGGAAATAACAAGTGTACCGTACACCCTTGGTATACTATGCCCTTCACATTAGGAAATAATCACATTGTTTCTCAGCCATATTCTGAGACTAAATTATAACAGTGTGTAGGATTATGTGTTCCCATTGTTTTCTGGCTTCTAGAAACCTTTTTTAATTAAAAAAATAACTTTGGTTTCTCTTTCTCAGACTTTTCCAGTTTTCCCAAGATTATTTTAAAAATTAGATGCATAATTTTAATGAGACTTGACCCCTGTTAATTATACATTTTAGATAACTGAAAAGAACATCAAAATGATGTTTTCTTATGGAACTTTACAATCCTTGGTGCATCCAAAAAAGATTAGAGAATTTCCAATATAGCAGAGCTCAAGTAGGGCTGTACACATAACAGCAAATCGTTCCCTAACTTGTATTTCTTGCTTTGGTTTATTTTCCAATTGACTCTAGAAAGTGAGGTGATTCCTTCTATCAGTTATGAGATTATAGATTTAGATGCACCTGTGCACTTGGCTATATAGGTAGATGAAGAGGATGGTCACAATCATGGTGTGACAGAGGCGTCCAAATGTGACTTGAGCCCCAAATCTCTCTCTCACTGGCTTATCTTGGAATAATACCCTAGAGAAAGTTTTCTTGTCATTAGAGGTTTTCATTTTTAGAATTTAAGTACTTTTCTGCATTGTCTATGTAAATACCTGATATCTATTATGAAGGATTTTATTGGATAACATTCTCTGAATGACTTGATAGAACCAAGTGCAACATGGATTACAAAGCTTGGAACACAAAATAAAATCTTGTCTTATTTCATATTTTGTCTATAGCTGGTTCTAGATAAAAAAAAATTCTAGACAGGGAGACATCTACTAATTTTTAACTACTGCAATGGAAGAAATGTATCAACATTCTCTGATTTTCTGTTTGTAATCCAAGGTACTGTCACCAAACATTGGGGATGAATATGAGTGTAGAGCAGGGGAAAATATATCTAACAATATCTTAGCAAATCTTTTATTTTCTTATGTATCTATGGTTGTTGAAAAGTCCAGAAGCAACACAACTCTGGTTTCTCTTATTACTTTGTCCTGTAAAAGGGTCATGGTGGGCTTTTGTGCATGCCTCCACGATATGGGTCATGGCTCTTGGTCTCTTGTCTTGGTGATTGGTGTCTTTTAATCATTGTCCTACTCATCCCCAGTCTGATGCTTCCCTAAATCTTAAAGATTGAGACTGTTTCTTCTTACCTCATTTTTACAAACTTCCCAATTTCTGTAACCTGGGATAGTAAAGACAAAAAATATGAGCTTTTTCAATCCTTCCTAAATGATTTGTTTCCTAATATATTTATTCACAGTAACTACTAAACTTTGTACAACATAGCAATTTGTTGTTTACAAAACATTCTTCCTTCGATTTGATAAATTATTGAGCTTCTGCTATGCAGTAAATATTGTGTTGTGGATACAAAGATGAGTAAGATATTTCCTCATCTTGAGAGATCTAGTTTTTTTTTATGGTGCACATAGGCATTACATTTGATTCTCAGAACAATCTTGGGAGATATTATTAACTCTGCATTAAATTGAATAACCAAAGAACAAAATTCAGAGAGGTTTATTTCCTTGCCTGAGAGTACTCCATTGGTAATGGTGGAGCTAGGCATTCGATCTAGATACTCCATTCCAGAACTTTTGTCCTTAGAGGACATTATTCTGTCTATTAAAAGAAATGGAAAGATTAGCACTTACCACCTCATGTCCAGGTCATTGTGTTTCTTTCTAGTTTATTGTGAATGCAATTTAAAAGTAGTACAGGAATAAAGAGTTGGAAGAAGTGAACAAAATTCAATGTTCTATCAATATAAGACTACTGCCTATACTACCTCATAGAATTTGCTAAAATAATTTTTATGTAATTTATGTATTACATACTATATATATAGTGTATATCTATATCTATCTATATAGATAGATACGTAGATAGATTGATACCTTAAATCTCCCTTGTTCTGATTTAATTCTTCTTTCTCTAGGTCACTTGATATTCTTGGCTTGATGAAAAAAAACAAGATTCTAACGTGACAGAACTTGTTCTTCTGGGCCTATCATCTTCTTGGGAGCTGCAGCTATTTCTCTTATTACTATTTTTGTTTTTTTACATTGCTATTGTCCTGGGAAACCTCTTGATAGTGGTAACAGTGCAAGCCCATGCTCATCTGCTCCAATCTCCTATGTATTATTTTTTAGGTCATCTCTCTTTCATTGACCTATGCCTAAGCTGTGTTACTCTGCCAAAGATGTTAGGGGATTTCCTACAGCAGGGCAAGAGCATCTCTTTTTCAGGATGCCTGGCCCAGATCTACTTCCTCCACTTTCTAGGAGCCAGTGAGATGTTTCTGCTGACAGTTATGGCCTATGACAGGTATGTTGCCATCTGTAACCCTTTGCGCTACCTTATAAGTCATGAACCCCCAGCTATGCCTTTGGTTGGTTCTTGCCTGCTGGTGTGGGGGTTTTATCCACTCTATCATGCAGGTCATACTAGTCATCCAGCTGCCTTTCTGTGGCCCCAATGAACTGGACAACTTCTACTGTGATGTCCCACAGGTCATCAAGCTGGCCTGCATGGACACCTATGTGGTAGAGGTGCTGATGATAGCCAACAGTGGTCTGCTCTCTCTTGTCTGCTTCTTGGTCTTACTATTCTCTTATGCTGTCATCCTGATCACCCTGAGAACACACTTCGGCCAGGGCCAGAACAAGTTCCTCTCTACCTGTGCTTCTCACCTGACAGTGGTCAGCCTGATCTTCATGCCATGTATATTCATCTATCTGAGGCCTTTCTGCAGCTTCTCTGTGGATAAGATATTCTCCATGTTTTACACAGTGATGACACCTATGTTGAGCCCCCTCATCTACACACTCAGAAATGCTGATATGAAGACAGCTATGAAGAAGCTGAGGATAAAACCATGTGACATTCCATTTCCTTGTTAAAGAATGAGCAGAAGAGGTGATTTGAAAAACATACTCTTTCTTGGAAGACTCTTAACTCATCTTGTACATGTCTAAAAACCATTTTGATGACTTTGGTATAAAAAAGATAGCCTAAAGATTATAATAGATCACTCTTGATTACAATTTAAAAGCACAGGTGGCACTCTGGAAAGCCACCTATGCCTTTTGACCATAATCAAGAGAACTCGGGAACTCAGTAGAATTTACTGGCCACAAATAACAAGCATTAATTGAAAGATCAACTTTTCTATCTTCATGTTCTAAGTACTCTTCATTTATTCAATTTGTTCCACTTTTTAATCTATTCAAATGAAACAAGATATATCTCTTTTTGTGTTCCTTTCCTCCAGCATTTAATGATTCCTAGTGTTAGGAAGTTCCTTCTGATGTCTCATCAGATCCTCTTCTGAAGTAGTGTGAATTTCTTTGTTCTGTTATAACAAAGCCTGAGAACAGTAACAACCACCTATGTAGTAGTATTTACCTCAGAACTGTGTTCCACAGTGTCCCAAGTTTTAGAAATGTAGTCAGGCATCACTCTAATGAACATATGCTCTTAGCAAAGTTTACGTGTGAGAGAAAGGAAGTCCAGGAGTGCAGGGGTGATGGAAGCTGTTAGTATTCTGTTGTAGAGGCTTCTCAAGAAGAGGTACCCAGTTTCACATTGAGTTTTTCTTTGAGTGGAATTACAGTGAGGGTGAATAGGTAAGCTGGCTCTTCAACTGACCATAATGTTTAAGAGTTTTAGCCTCGAAAGGAGGAAGAAATGAACTGTGGTTGAAAGCACTCATTCTTGAGATGCTCACAGTTATTACCTCTGAGTCTCAAACATGTTTGAGGAATAAATTTACCTAACTTCATTTTTGAAAATGAACTCTGAGTTAAGTGACTTGCCCATGACCACTTAGAAAAAATGTAATCAATCAAGAAAGCTGCTTGTAATCCCAGCACTTTGGGAGGCCAAGGTGTTCAGATCATCTGAAGTCAGGAGTTTGAGACCAGCTTGACCAACATGGAGAAACCCCATCTCTACTAAAAATACAAAATTAGCCGTGCATGGTGGCGCATGCCTGTAATCCTGTAATCCCAGCTACTCAGGAAGGCTGAGTCAGGAGAATCACTTGAACCCGGGAGGCAGAGGTTGCAGTGAGCTGAGATCGCACCACTGCACTGCAGCTTGGGCAACAAGAGCAAAACTCGGTCTCAAAGAAAAAAAAAAAAAGAAAGCTAATAATTATATAATTAAGTTAATATTTTATTTCTCCTCAGAAAGTGTATTTATCCCAATTATACAGATTGCTTCTTTCTTTCTCTTTCTTTCTGTGTCTCTTTCTCTCTTTCTTCCTTCCTTTCTTCTTTCTCTTTCTTTCTTTTTTTTTTTTTTTTTTTGAGACAGAGTCTTACTCTTGTCTCCCAGGCTGGAGTGCAGTGGCACGATTTTGGCTCACTGCAACCTCTGCCTCCCAGGTTCAAGTGATCCTCCTGCCTCAGCCTCCTAAGTAGCTGGGATTACAGGCACCGGCCACCATGCCTGGCTAGTTTTTGTATTTTTAGTAGAGACAGGGTCTCTCCATGTTGGCCAGGCTGGTCTTGAACTCCTGACCTCAGGTGATGTGCCTGCCTCAGCCTCCCAAAGTGCTGGGATTACAGGCGTGAGCCACGACACCTGGCTAGATTACTTAATTTCTATAATACCTGTATAGGAGCTTCAGAGCTGGAAGATCCCTAAAAAGGTTAACTTAAACATTTATATTTAAGATTATCTATCTCTGACATAGGATCCTTGCAATATTTTATGGCTATGAAAAGTCTTTATTCTATTTACTATATAATAAGATAATGACAAATTTTTATAATGTTTTTTATATTTTGTCACTTTATCTCCTAATGAATTGCCATAGAGAGGTATTTATGATTACTTAGCTGAAAAATATACTTGTGAAAAAAAGTCTGAAACTCCATCTAATACTAGGATATACTGGAAAATGCCAATAACCCTGGTCATGTAAGAGCTTTCTTGATATAGGGACAAAAAATGTATTTTTATTTTTGTGTTGGGAGTTAATGACTTCATATTTAAGAAGCCATATGTACGTATGTGTATATGTATATATTGCTACAGAAGGACTCCTCACAGACTAGGAACTAGGCTGCCATTTGGGAGATTTCTAAATAGTATGGGTGAGGGTGAGAATGGCATACCTGGAACATCATGTTCTTCTTTTTTGCTTTACTCTGCTCTACACTTTTAGAGTTTTTTGCATACGTTGAATATCCTGAAGAGCAGTATGATATCCTGAAGGTAATATTTTGAATATCCTGAAGTGCAGGAAACTGCCCGAGAGTAGTGTGTGAGTTACCAGAAAGATTTGAGTGGTGCTAGGGATTACCAGGCATGTTTCAAGAACATAGAGCTCCAGGCTTTCTCTTAGTATAAGCCGGCTGCAACATCCCCTTTTTCTGATGCTCTCTTTCATAGCAAAATGTATAGTCTTGGCAAATCATTTTAAATGTCCTGTTGATAGCTGGAATTGGTAGCGTTATTTTAAGAAAAGCAAGAGCGTTTTGTATTCCCTTTTGCATTTTCAAGTCTCTCTTTGTTTCCAGGAACAAAGCCTACTTGATCGTGGTGAATTAACTTACTGATGTGCCGCTGAATTTGGTTTGCTAGTATTGTGTTGAGGATTTTTGCATCTATGTTCATCAGGATATTGGCCTGATGTTTTCTTTCTTTGTTTTGTTTCTGCCAGATTTTGGTATTAGGCTGATGCTAGCTTCATAGAATGAGTTAGGGGGGAGCCCTTCCTTTTTGATTTTTTTGGGAATACTTTCAGTAGGATTGGTACCATTTCTTCTTTATATGTCTGGTAGAATTCAACTGTGAATTCCTCTGGTCCTGGGCTTTTTTTGGTTAGTAGAGTTTTTTTTTTTTATTACTGATTCAATTTCAGAGCTTGATATTGACTTATTAAGGATTACAGTCTCTTCCTAATTCAATTTTAGGAGATTGTGTTGTTCCAGGGATTTATCCGTTTCTTCCAGATTTTCTAATTTGTGTGCATACAGTTGTTCATAGTATTCTCTGAGGATCTTTTGTATTTCTGTGGGATCAGTTGTAATGTCATTTTTGTACTTTTTGACTGTACTCATTTGGATCTTCTTTTTTTTTTACTTTTTTTTAATCTAACTAGCAGTCTAACAATCTTATTTTTTCAAAAGACTAACTCTTGGTTTCATTGACGTTTTGTATAGATTTTTGCACCTCACTTTCATTAAGTTGTTCTCTAATTTTTGTTATTTCTTTTCTTCTGCTAGCTATGGAGTTGGTTTGTCCTTTATTTTCTAATTCCTTGATGTGCAAAGTGCAGGAGGATGAAGCTAGACCCTTGCTTTTCAGCATGTAAGAAAATTAACAGGATAGATTAAAGATTTAAATGTAAGGCCACAAACTATGAAAATCCTAGACCAAAATCTAGGAGATATTTAGAGACTTTTAATCTAATTGAGAAATTGGAAACTGAGTCTTCCTCTCTTGATTAAATAAAATGTTACTTTTCTATAGGTGAGTAGCATACATTATATTTGAAGGATTCTGAAATTTTATACATCAGATCTTATACTCTGACTTCATGCTTTTATTTACAGCCTCAAAAAATTAATTAATTTATTTAAACAAAGTTCTCACTCCAAAGTAAATTTCTGACAAGAGAAGTTGGAGGTGGGGGGAGAGAGAGCGCTGATTAGGGAAAAACATTAAATTCAATAAAAAAGACTCAGATTCTCTAGGTTCTTGTATGGAAAAGAGGAACTATAAGACTAATTATGAAAGAAATTCAAATGTGAGTCAATAGTGTGGAAATCAAGCTAAAGACAAGAAAAATATTCATGAACTATGTTCAAGAAATATGAAGAACTTTCTCTACCATATTTAACATCATATAGGTGTTTTCACAAGACTCTTACTGATAGGCTTTACTATGCTTACCATGGTTTATAACGTGTTTATTTTTGCAGAGAACCAGAGTCACTCCACGAGTCCTGCCTGGGGCCCCATGAAAGTGGCCAACAATGTCACTGAGTTTATATTCCTGGGACTTTCCCAAGATTCTGGAATGCAATTGATGTTCTTTGTCTTATTTCTCCTCTTCTACGTCGTGATCATGGTGGGAAATTTGCTCATTTTGCTTATGGTCTTTTCTGACTCCCGACTACACACACCCATGTATTTCTTCCTCAGTAACCTGTCTTTTGTGGACATTGCCTGTTCCTCAGCCACAGCACCCAAGATGATTGAAGACTTTGTTTCTGAGAAAAAGACTATTTCCTACTGGGGCTGTATAACTCAGATGTTTACCTTCCACTTTTTTGGTTGTGCTGAGATTTTTGTTTTGACTGTCATGGCTTTTGATCGCTATGCTGCTATCTGCCAACCCCTCCGTTACACTGTCATCATGAGTGCTAATGCTTATACTGTGCTGGCATCACTGTCCTGGTTGGGGGCCCTGGGTCATTCCTTTGTTCAGACCGTCCTGACCTTCCAGCTGCCCTTCTGTAATGCTCAGGTTATAGACCATTACTTTTGTGATGTCCACCCAGTCCTAAAACTTGCCTGTGCTGATACAACTCTGGTAAATATGTTGGTGGTTGCCAACAGTGGTCTCATCTCCCTGGGGTGTTTCCTCATTCTTTTGGCCTCCTACACAGTCATTCTGTTTAGTCTTCAAAAACAGTCTGCAGAGAGCTGACACAAAGTTCTCTCTACCTGTGGATCTCATCTGACTATAGTAACTTTCTTCTTTGTTCCGTGTATCTTTATTTATCTCCATCCACTACTTTCCCATTGGATAAAGCTGTGTCTGTGTTCTATACCACCATCACCCCAATGCTGAACCCACTCATCTATACTCTGAGGAATGAGGAGTAAAGAATGCCATGAGGTGGCTATGGAGTAGCAAGATCTCCTTGAAGGAAAAGCAGAGAGGATAGTTTGTCAGAATTGCAAAATCACTGAATTAGTGGATACCTTCAATGATCCCTAATTTACTAATAATTAAAAAAACAGTTCCTAAAATGCAGCTTTTATATTTTGTCTAACAGGAAATAATTTGAGGCTATTTTAGACGGGCTAAACTTAAACCTTTCCATACTTGGCAAGGTTTATTCTCTCTTCTAGAGTACAAGAGTTAACACTCCTACTCAATATCTCATTTAACCTCGTTAAATCCCTTCTATTCACATCAAACTCTCTTAAGCTACCATTCAGTAATTTAGAGTGGGGTTATAAGAGAAAGATATCCCTGATCATATCTTCTCACCATATCATGTCTCTTCAAAAAAGAGGTCTAATTTACCAGAAGCTGCACCTTTTCCCTCCTTCTTTTGTTTTCTTTTTCGTCCTTCTCTAGTCTTTTCTTATACATATTGCAAAATCTAGTCAGGGAAACAGATTTGCAAGGAGATAATTACAATACAATACAACAAATGCAGACATAGAAATACATACTTCCTATAATGAAGAGGGTTAGTATAAATCAACAAATTGCCCAAAGGATGGTTTCTGTGCAGGAAAAAAAAAAATAGAACTTTACATATTTTGAGGTGGACAGCAATTTCTTCAAAGACCCTCTTGGAGAATTTGAATACTCTTCTACCCATTACTATAATACTATCTTTACTGAAAGAAATCTTACTTTTTTGCCAATAAAAACAGACTAGATTAAAGCAACTAAAATGAGTTGGTATTTGTACCATTGAAATGACTAAGGAGATGTAATTCTATTATAAATTTTTAGTTGAACTTGTCTTCAGTTCCTTAAAACAACAAAATGGAATAAGCACATTTTCTTCTTGTGGTATTCTTAGTAAAGTTGAAAAATAGTTAAGTATTCTCAGTATTCTGGAAAAGGCATTTTTCTTCTAAGAAATTTTCTTAGATCTTGTCTCATGACTGATGTTGTTCAAGAATTCTGCCCTGATTATTTTTGTTCAACATTTATTTTCTATATGCCTTAAGCAATCCTGTATGCAATTTATAAAATATCACTTACCTTTTTCTCTTTTTTAGTGGATTTTTATCTGAGATCTACAACTTATGAAGAATACAAATGATGTATATTCTTTTCTACTCTTCATGTATGGACTAGAGGGGCTTGCACAGTAGGTACTTGTCAAAATCTGTTGATTGTAACTCCAATTTCTATTTTTTTCCTTAGTAATGGGGACCTGACATTATTCATGGTGGCCCAACTAAAATATTGCATTGACTTGCCTCAGGCTCTTTTAAACTTCAATTCAATAATTTAGAATGACCTTATAAGAAAAAGATATTCCTTTTGAAGCCCAGTGGACAATCTGATGTTAATAGTAGTTGGTTGGTGGGACTTTTGAAAAGTCTTTAAAATGGTTTGTCTACTCCAGCCCTCTCATACATGATCACCATTAACATTTTGATTATTAAAATTTCTTTATAGTTATTGCATGTCCTTATAGTTATTTTCATATTACTTTCCCTTTGCAAAAGGGTCATTCTATCCTTTTTTTAAACTCCTG
Organism: Homo sapiens; assembly: GCF_000001405.40. Classification (NCBI taxonomy): domain Eukaryota; kingdom Metazoa; phylum Chordata; class Mammalia; order Primates; family Hominidae; genus Homo; species Homo sapiens. Next base: position 1,287,824 of record NW_021160017.1, read on the forward strand.
ATTTTTTAAGATAGACAACAAACCCACAAATTATATTAAAAATGATAGAATACATTAGGTTTCCTTTTCCCTCCTAAGAGCAAAGTATTAATAATAAAAATAACAACACTTGCAGTAAGAAAAAAATGGCTGAGACCCACAGGAACAAAGAAACAGGACAGGAGTTAGATGCAGAGAAGAGATTTCAACAAAAGTTTGGAAAAGGTAAGACAAAAAAGTAGTAACTGATTTGGGAGGGTCGGGAAGGCTAAGTCTAAATTCCCAACAAGAGGAATAGTGAGGAAAAGGGGAGAGATTCATTTCCTGGAATCCCTACGATGATTGGGATGCAGGATGCCAGGTCAGCGGGAGGTGAGGTTCAGGGCTGCTAATGAAGATTAAGAGAAAGGAACAGTTCAATCTTCTATCCTCTCTTTCTGCTCCCAGATGCTAACGGTAGCATATGAGTCACAGACAGAACATTGGCACCTTTGTTTAAGAAACTGAATGTTAATGTCACATCTGCCTTTGGAGATTACAAATGAAATGGCTACCTTTCTACTGGAACCCTGACCAGAAGCCTGCCAGTTAGTAAGCTGGCTTAAGAGATCAATCTAAAATTTACATAAGGCTTTTGAAAAAAAGAAAAAAGTAAGTCTTTAAAAAAGCCAAAAGGAAACTGGTGGAATTAGAGGTAATTCGGGGGGGGGGGGGAACTGTAAAAAACTGTATCTTCTCATCAATGAAAGAAAATATTTGTAATCTTGAAATAAGAATATGATGTACTGAAAAAATATAGAAAAATTATTTTTGGAAGGTAAAATCAAAAAGAACAATAAAATTAATATGGCATTAAAAGAAATAAAACAAGTAGTCAAAGAAGTCATAAAAGTACAGTCTCTATGAAAGTAGAATGAAAATGTCAAAGAAATAGAAAACATGAAAGATAAAAACAAGAAACACAAGGAATCAAGTTAGGGGCAAACCATTCAACTCACACATATTCCAGGAGGACAAATTAAACAGAAGGATGGATTTAAAAGAAACAATGAAAATAAATTTCTTAGAACAGAAAAGCTTAATTTTCTCGATATGAAAGATTTACTGAATGCCCACCACAAGATTTAAAAAAAATCCCAAGGCACGTTATTATGAAATTTTATCACCTTAACGATTGAAAATATTGTAAAATTATTAAGAAAAAACCGTATAGCTCACGAATGAACAGAAATTCAAATGGCATGAGTATGCTCTGTAGCAAGCTCATCCTTAGAATACAGTGGAAAAGTTTCTCACACTGATTTTCAGGCTAGAATTCTATACAGAACAAATCTATCAGGAAGATAGAATAAAGCATATTTAATCATACAAAAATTTATAAAGTTTACTTCATAAGTACTCTCTTTTTTTGAAAGTGTGGGATAATATATCCCAGCAAAACAAGAGGAAGAAATGAGATCAATAAACTAATATATGCAATGCAGGGTGGCTAAAGCCACTTTAAAAAAAATCCCAATCTCTTTTTTCTTTCTTCATGTGAGTCAGGTAATGTATATATGTCATAAGGTTTGAGGGAGGTACATTTCACACAGGAGTGCAAAAACTCAGTCATCACGCTTATGAACTACGAAGGGATCAAAAGGCACTTTTAAGATGACAGATGTACAGTAGGCATAGGAGACAACAGAAATGGATGAAAGCAGAAGATGGAAGCCCTCCAGGTTCATAAAACAGAAAGGAGAGTGTGAAAATTTATATTATCTAATATATAGAAACATCTTAGTTGTAAAGGTACAGTCAATAAGATGAAACAAGTTGATACACTCAAGGAAGGATACATTTATAGAAAATTATATCATTTAGAGTTCCAACAGGAAGTTAATGACACACTTAATATAGGATAATTTGATAAACATTTATTTAACGAGATGCTGTCTATGAATTTATAGGTATAGAGTACCACACAGGCCAGGGGTAAGATGGGGTGGAGCTGTTTACACCATTGTGCCTGAAGGGACTGAGAGAGGGAGGAAATACAGAAACCCCAAAAAGAGATATTTATGATAGCCATTTGAAAGGAGGAATGACCTTCAGTGGGAGGTCAACCAGCATGTGGCCACATGGTCTAGCTTATTCTCCTTCATTCCCCTTTTCCAGTTTTATTGAAGTATATTTGACAAATAAGAATCATACATATTTAAATGTGCAACTTGATGTTTTGAACTATGTGTACACTGTGAAATGATCATCACACTTAAGATAATTAACATATCCATTACCTCACAGGGTTATGTTTTTCTGTGTGTGGTGTGAACCCTTAAGATCTACTCCCTTAGTACATTTCAGTTGTCCAATACAGTATTGCATTGTAATACAGACACCATGTTGTGCATTAACTCTCCAGAACTCACTCATTTTTGCATAACTGAAACTTTGTAACCTTTAGTCCATTATCTCCTCATTTCTCCCTTTCCTTTCCACTCTTGGCAACCGCCATCCTACCTTCAGTTTGAGTATTTTAGATTCCACACATAAGTGAGATCATGCAGTATTTGTCCTTCTGTAAGTTGCTTTTTAAAGGCTGAATAATACTCCATTGCATATATATACTACAATTTTCTCAGGCTTTATTGAGGTATGATTTACAAATAAAATTTGCATATATTTAGGGTATATGCATACTTATGAAATGATTACCACAACCAAGCTAATTAATATATTCATCATGTTACATCATTACCATTTGTGTATAATGTGTGTATGTGTGTGTGTTAACACTTGAGATCTACTTTCTTAGCAAATTTGAAGCTACTGTACATTTGGTCTCCAGTACTTACTCATCTTGTAGCTGAAAGTTTGTACCCTTTGACCAACATCTTTTTCCTGGCATTTCCCAGCCCCTGCTAACCACCACTCTACTGTCCATTGCTATGAGTTTGATTTTTTTAAATATTGCACCTGTATGGGATATCATGTAGTATTTGTCGTTATGTATCTGGCTTATTGCACTTAGCATAATGTCCTCCAGGTTTATCCATGTGGCAAATGGCAGGATTTCCTTCTTTTTAAGGCTGAATAATCCATTGTGTGTGTTTGTACCACATTAAAAAAATCTATGCATCTGTAGATGAACACTTAGTTTGTTTCTATATCTTGGCTAGTGTTACAATGCTGCAGTGAATTTGAGAGTGCAGATATCTCTTTAAGATAGTGGTTTTATTTCTTTTGCATACATACCTAGAAGTGGGATTGCTGTTATTATATGAGAAGTTTTTTTTTTTTTTTTTTTGAGGAGCCTACATACTGTCTTCAATAATGGTTGCACTAATTTATATCTCTACCAAAAGTTTACAAGGGTTTTGTATTAGTCCGTTCTCACACTGCTAATAAAGACATATCTGAGACTAGGTAATTTATATAGGAAAGAGGTTTAACTGACCCACATTTCAGCATGGCTGGGAAGGCCTCAGGAAACTTATAGTCACAGTCATGGTGGAAGAGGAAGCAAACATGTCTTTCTTCACATGGTGGCAAGAGAGAGAAGACTGAGAACTGAGTAAAGGATAAAGCCCCAGGTAAAGTCATCAGATCTTGTAAGAACTTACTCACTATCACTAGAATAACATGAGAAAACTGCCCCCATGATTCAATTACCTTTCACTGGGTCTCTCCCATGACATGTGAGGACTACGGGAACTATAATTCAAGATGGGATTTGGGTGGGGACACAGCCAAACCATATCAGGTTTCCTTTACATCCTTGCCAACACATGCTATCACTGGACTTTTTGATAAAAGGCAATCTAACAGGTGGTTGGTGATATCTCAGTGAGGTTTTGATTTGCCTTGATGATTTCTGATTTTGAGCATTTTTTCCATATACCTGTTGGCCATTTGTGTATCTTCTTTGGAAAAATATCTATTCAGATCCTTTGCCCATTTTATGAAATCATTTTAAAAATATCTTTTGCCCATTTAGAAGCTTGTTTGTTTGCTATTTGGTAGTATAAGTTCTGTATATATTTTGGATATTAACTCCTTATTGGATGTATGGTATACAAATATTTTCTCCCTTTCTGTAGATTTCTCTTTCATCAAACAAATAAAGATGAGACCAATATCCAGGAACTTTTCCCCATGTTTCCTCCTAGGAGTTTATGGGGCCAGGTCTTATGTTAAGTCTATAATCCACTTTGAATTAACTTTTGTGATTGGAATAAGAGAAGCACGGATTCTTTGCATGTGGATATCCAATTTCCCAACATCATTTATAGACGAGTCTGTCCTTTACATTGTATATTCTTGGTACCTTAGTTGAAAAAATTAGCTGACTGTAGGTATGTGAGTTTAGTTCTGAGCTTTCTATTCTGTTTTATTGGTATACATGTTTTTATGCCAGCAACATCTGTTTTGATTATTACAGTTTTGTAATGGAGTTGAAATCAGGAAGTTTAATACCTCTAGCTTTGTACTTATACTCAAGATTGCTTAAGCTTTTCATGCTCTTTTATGGTTGCATATGAATTTCAGAATTATTTTTTCCATTGCTGTGAAAAATGTTCATTGCCATTTTGATCGGGATTGCGTTGAATGTACAGATCATTTTCAGTAGTATGGACTTTTTAACAATATTAATTCTTCCAGTTCATGAATATGGGATATGTTTCACTTATTTTTGTCTTCCACAATTTATTTCATTAATCTTTTATACTTTTCAGTGTACAGATATTCTACCTCTTTAGTTAAATTTATTTGTAAGTATTTTATTCTTTTTGCTGTGCTCATAATGATAACTTTTTCTTGACTTTTTCTTTCTATAGATCATTATTGGTGTAAAGAAATGCAACTGAATTTTTCTGTTGATTTTGTAGTCTGCAAAATTACTGAATTTGCTTATTAGTTCTAACAGTTTTTTAGTGGAGTCTTCAGGATTCTTTCTACATAGGATCATGCCATCTTCTAACAGAGACACTAACTTTTTTATTTGGATGCACTTTATTTCTTTTTCCTAATTACTTTGGTTATGACGTCCAGTACTATGTTGAATGGAAGTGGGGAGAGTGGTCTTGTTCTTGATCTTAGAGGGAAACATTTCAATTTCTCATCGAGTATAATGTTTATCATAGGCTTGTGATATACAGGCTTTATTGTGTTGAGGTACATTCCTATAATTAATTTGTTGAAAATTTTGTATTGTGAAAGAATGTTGAATTTTGTCAAATGATTTTTCTGCATTTGTTTAGATGATCTCATGGTTTTTATTTCTTATTCTGTTAATGTGGTGTAGCACATTTGTTGATTGTGTATGTTGGATAATTCTTACATCCCAGGAATAAATCCTACTTTGTCGTGATGCAAAATCTTTTTAATGTCCTGGTATATTTGGTTTGCCAGTAGTTTGTTGAGGATTGTTGGACCTTTGTTCACAAGGGACATTGGCCTATAATCTATATTTCTTGTTGGTGTCCTTATCTGGGTTTGGTATGAAGGCAGCGTTGGCATTGTAAAATGAGTTTTAAAATATCCCCTCCTCTTCAACTTTTTGGAAGGATTTTAGAAGGATAGGTATTAGTTCTTTTCAAAATATTTGGTAGAATTCAACTATGAAGCCATCAGGTCCTAGGATTTTCTTTGATAGGAGATTTTATTATTGATTCAATCTCCTTACTCATTACTGTTAAGATTTTCTAGCTTTTCATGATTCAGTCTTGTAGGCTGTATGTGTCTAGGAATTTATCCATTTCTTCTAGGCTATCCAATCTTTTGACTTGTAATGGTTCATAGTATTATCTTATGATTCTTTATATTTTTTGTAGCATCAGTTGTAATGTTTCCTTTTTCATTTTGGCTTTTATTTATTTAAGTCTATTTTTTCTCAGTGTAGATCAAGTATTGTTGATTTTATTTATATTTCCAAAAATCAATCTTAGTTTCATGATCTTTTCTACTGTTTCTCTAGTCTCACTTTCATTGATTTCTTTTCTAATCTTTGTTATGTCCTTTTTTTCTAACTTTGGGCTTAGTTTGTTCTTTTTTTAGTTCATTGAGCTGTAATGTTAGGTTGTTAATTTGAGACCTTTCGTCTTTTTTTTGTAAACATTTATTACTATACATTTCTCCCTTAAAACTACTTTTGCTGCATCTCATACCTTTTTGTATGTCATGTCCATTTTCATGTGTCTCAAGATATTTTTACATTTACCTTTTGACTTCTTTTTTTGGCCCATTGGTGGTTGTTTAATTTCCATATGTACATGAATTTTCCAGTTTTCCTGTTATTATTGATTTTAGTTTCATACCACTATGGTCAGAAAATATATCTGATATGATTTCAGTCTTCTGAAATTTGTTAAGACTTGTTTGTGGCTTAACATACAATCTGTCCAGGAGAATATTCTGTGTAAGCTTGAGAAGAATGTGTGTTCTGCTGTTGGATCAAATATTCCGTGTATGTCTATTAGATTCATTTAGTCTGAAGTAGTTCAAGACAATGTTTTCTTAATAATATTCTTTCTGGATGATTTATCCATTGTTGAAAATCAGATATTAAAGTTCTCTATTAATATTGCATTGCAGTCTATCTCTTGCTTTAGATTTGTTAATATTTGCTTTATATATTTAGGTGCTCTGATGTTGGGTGTATTCATATTTATAACTGTTCTATTATCTTGATGAATTGACTTTTTTACCAACATCTAATGACCTTCTTTGTCTCTTGTGACAGTATTTAAAGTCTATTTTGTGTGATACACATGTAACTGCTACTGCTCTTTTTTGGTTTTCATTTTCATGGAATATTTTTGTTTTTTATCCCTTTACTTTTAGTCTATGTGTGTTATTAAAGGTGAAGTGAGTTTCTTGTAGGCAGCATTTAGTTGGATCTTATTTTTATAAATCAATTCAGCCACTTTTTGTCTTTTGATTGACAAAATTTGCTTATTTATAGTTGGTAAGTAAAGATTTATTATTGTCAATTTATTGTTTTCTGGTTGCTTTGTAGGTCCTTTATTCCTTTATTACTCCTTTGTTGTTTTCCTTTGTGATTTGATCATTTTCCTCGGTGGTATGCTTTGATTCTTTTCTGTTTATCTTTTGTGTATTTACTATAGGTTTTTAATTTGTGGTTGCCATGAGGCTTACATAAATATTCTTATTGTTTAACCAATTCACTTAAAGACGATAACATCTTCACTTTGATTGCTAAAGAAGCTCTGTACTTTTACTTCCCTTCTCTTACATTGTGCTTTTGATGTTACAGTTTACATTTTTTATATGTCTTAAGAATTTATTATAGCTATAGTCATTTTTCATACATTCATCTTATAACTTTATAATGATGTTGTGATTTACACCACCACCATTATGGTGCTTGAATATTCTAAATTTAACCATATATATACTTTACCAGTTAGTTTTATATTTTTATATGTTTTAATGTTACTAATTAGCTGCCTTTTATTTAATCTTAAAAATCCCCCTTTAGCATTTCTTGTAAGGCAAGCAATAGTGAAGACTCACTCAACTTTTCTTTTTTTTTTCTAAAAAAGTCTTTATCTTCTTCATTTCTGAAGGACAGCTTTGCTGGCAAAATATTGCTGGTTGGCAGTTTTATTTTTCTTCCATTGCTTTGAATATATTATTTCATTCTCTCCTGATCCTCAAGGTTCCTGCTGAGAAATCCACTGATAGCTTTATTTGGGTCCTTTTTTATATGACATGATTCTTTTCTCTTGCTGCTTACAAGCTTCTCTCTTTGTTTTTGATTTTTGCCAGGTTGATGATAATGTATGTTTGTGGATTCTTTTTTTGGTTGAATTGACTGGAGAACTTTAGGCTTCATGCATCTGGATGCTCATTTCTTTCCTGACATTTGCTAAGTTTCCTATGATTATTTCCTTAAATAAGCTTTCTATCTAATGCTCTCTCTATTTTTCTTCTGAACCTACTATAATTCTAATGTTAGCTCTCTTGATAGTATTCCATGGCTTCTGTAGGTTTTATTCTTTTTTTTCTTTTATCTCCACTTACTGGATGATTTAAAATGCTCGGTCTTTGAGTTCACTTATTTTTTTATTCTGCTTCACTTAGTCTGATGTTCAAGCCTCTATTACATTTTTTTAGTTTAGCTGTTGTATTTTTCAGCTCCAACATTTCTGTTTGGTTCTTTTTAAAATATTTTCTGTCTCTTTATTGAGCTTCTCATTTTGTTCTTGGATTGTCTTCCTGATTTCATTAAACTATTTATTTGTGTTCTCTTGTAGTTCCCCAAGATTCCTTAGGCAATTATTTTGATTTTTTCCAGGCAATTTATAGATCTCCAATTCTTTGGGGTTGGTTACTAGAAATTAATTTTGTTCCTTTGGTGGTGTCATGTTTTCCTGCTTCTTTGTGATCTTTGGGTGTTGATTTTGTCAGTGACTAAACCTGCTGGAGTCCTCTGTGGAGTTAAGTACTATAGTTTGTGCAATGATAATTGTGGGTTCCTTGGTAGTAAAAGCAGTGTGGTATGTGCAGCTGATAATGACAGGAGACAGACAGATTCCTAGGCAGACAGGGATAAGTCCCTGGTGAATCCCAACCTTCAAGCCAAAGACAACCTGAGGCCTGAAAACCAAGCCGCCAGTTCCAGGTGGAGTCCACGACCCAACTGAGAACTTCCTCAGTGCCTTTTAGTCAATTAAATGGTGCTTTTTCCAGGCCTGCCCATGAACCAATCAGCACAGATTCCTCCATTCTGAGCCCATAAAAACCCCAGACTCAGCCTCACAGATGGCTCTCTGCTTTCAGCCCCACTCTTACACAGAGGGCTGCCCACTTTGGCTACTCTCTTGTTGTCAAGAGCTTTTCTGCCGCTCAATAAAAATCTCATCAGCCTTGCTCACTCTGCGGTGTCTGCATGCTTCATTCCTGTTGGTTGCAGGACAAGAATCCAGGATCCACTGAACAGTGGGTGCGAAAAGAGCTGTAAGATACACCTCCTGTTCACCAAGCTACAGAAGTGAAAAAAAAATGCTGGGTGCCACAAGTCCCCAATTGCTGAGCTGTGGGCAGCAGGACTGAATGAGCTGTGACACATCCCCATTTGCTGAAACTGCCAGCAGTGAGAACGAACAAGAGCTGTAACACTTCCTGGGGGCTCAGACCTTGACTCCCAGAGCAAAAGCTGTAACACCTCTTCGGGCTCCACAGTTGCTGGCATCTCTGAGTTTTTGGGCACTGCTGCATCCCCCTTATCCAGATGCCAGCGCTCAAGGCAGAAGTCAGTCATAGCATGCCCAAACCAACCGTGGGCTGAGCACTGAGCTACGGTGGGTGTCATGGCATCTGGGTGAGTGAGCATGAGTGGAGCACAGCCTGCCAGGCCAAATGAGCAGGACGAGCTCAGAGGGCCTGAGTGAAGCCTCAGCAGAGGCTCTGCTGGCCATCGAGATTTCCACTTGGCAAAGTGGCCCTCAAAGAATCCTGTGTCACATCCATGAGGGCTGTTGAGGTCCTTGGTATAGAAGGCTACCAGAATTCCGCTCAGATCAGGCTACTGGGGACTGCATTGATTCCTACCACAGGACTGATACTGATAGACCTCATCATTTCTCTTTCTTACCAGCAGTTTACAGATTTCTCTCCTATGTTGGTCTCCCTAGCAATCTGGGATGGGTGAAACTTAAGCTGGTTGTTTGGGCAATGCTCCAGTAGGCTGGGTAAGATGGTTCACTCCACTCTTCTTTTCTCTGCAAGGGGAACTTGCAAGCTGAGCAGTGACCTCTCCATACTGAGCACTGCCAGCCTGAGGAAGATGACGCAGGCAAAATGAAACTGTTTTTTCTACCATTTTTTTGTGTTTTTTCTTGAAGTTTTTCTGTCTGCTCTGTTGTTTTAACTTCTGAAGTAGATTCCTGATCTCTGCTAGATATTTTCATTTGTGGATATTTGCCCAGTTGTTGTTCCTTTAGGAGGAATAAAGACTGAGATCACCTACTCTGCCATTCTAGCTGATGTCTAACACATTTTCTTTGTTCATCTGTCTATGGACTTTTAGGCTGTTTCCATATCTTGGCTTTTGTGAATAATGCTGTAGTAAACATGGGTGTAAAGGTATCTCTTTGAGGTTCTGATTTCAATTCTTTTGGACATATTCCTAAAAGTGGGATTGCTGAATCATATAATAATTTTGTTTTTAATGTTTTGAGGAACTGACACATTATTTTTCATAGTGACTGCACCATTTTCTATTTCCACCAAAAGTGTATAGGAGTTTCAATTCCCTAAATTCTAGCCAACACTTCTTTTGTTTTTTGATAATAGCCATGCTAATAGGCATGAGGCAATATCTCATTGGTGTTTGGATATGCATTTCCTTAACAACTAGTGATGCTGAACATATTTGCTTATACCTGTTGGCCATTTGTGTATTTCCTCTGAGAAATGTCTTCAAGTTTTTCACCCACTTTGAAATTGAAATTGCATTATTATCATTATTATTTTTGCCATAGTATGACTGATTTTTAAGTGCTTCTTATATAATGGAGTTATTTAAATTTATTTTTTTCTGTTCATTATTTGCCTGTTAAATTTGTCTTTATTTTCTAGTAATTTTAAATTGTTTTAATTTCTAACATTTTCCCCTATATTTGTGTTTGCCATTGATAAATTTTAAATTTCATTATCAAATATGCTATAACTCTTTTCTTATTGTTTTTCCTTCATAGGGGCAGGATATACTTAAAAGTTTTTATTTATTCCAAAATAATTTAAATAGTCTCTCTATGTTTCTAGTAATTAAAAAAATTACTCCTTTGCAATTTATGTTAAGTATAAGTTATAAAATATAATTCTTTTAAAAAATCTGGTTAACCAGTTGTTCCAGCACAACTTATTTTGTCCTCTGGGACAATAGAATTGAAAATGCACGTCATACTCTAGAGAGCACATATTGTACATCGTAGCATTTTCCACCCCTAATCCTGGGAAATTCGCCATTTTTCTTACTTCTTCTGTGAAACTCAAAAGTTGTGTTTCTGTGCTCTTTGGATGAAGTGCAAATCAACTTTTAAATTATTCCCTCAGGGCTTATGTTCCTACTTGGCTTCTCCTGGCCTCCAGAGGATTGATTTTTGTAGTTACAGCTCATGCTGCTAGTTAGTTTACTGTTACATCAGGGCAGAAACTGATGCATACCAACATGTACCCAGGATAAAGTCCTCCACTGCGGGTGGTGGAAGAGGCTTCTTCTACCTCCTCCCCATAGTTCCTGAAGGCACCAAGACTGTCACAGTAATTGGTAGGTGGAATGTTGTTATAACATTTACATAAACCATCCTATTTTTGAGACAGTAGGACAGATAATAATGATGGGAATAACTATGTAAAATGCTCAGAGATCAGTGGTAAGAAACAGAAAGCAGCATGTAAGGAAATGTCTTAGGGAACTGTGATGATAGTATAGAGTAGGTTTTAGCTGTGGAGTGGGTGGACAAATTGTTTCTTTTCAGCCTTGGTCTGAATAATTAAAGCATTTTAAAGTCAGGGTTGAACAGGGCATTGAAGAGACAGCTTCATCATTTTATACTCATAGGATGAATCATTTCTAAGCAAGCTCAGAGAAGGCTGTTTTGATTTATGGGTCTTCAGAGCGTGACAGATTATTAAAATAAACTTCCAAAATTTTGAATCCTTTTACTCCTGGAAGAAAGTCAGGAAAACCGCAAGATCTTTAGTTACTTCTTTTTATTTTTATTTTTATTTTTATTTTATTTTATTTTTTTATACTTTAAGTTTTAGGGTACATGTGCACATTGTGCAGGTTAGTTACATATGTATACATGTGCCATGCTGGTGCCCTGCACCCACTAACTCGTCATCTAGCATTAGGTATATCTCCCAGTGCTATCCCTCCCCCCTCCGCCCACCCCACCACAGTCCCCAGAGTGTGATATTCCCCTTCCTGTGTCCATGTGATCTCATTGTTCAATTCCCACCTATGAGTGAGAATATGCGGTGTTTGGTTTTTTGTTCTTGCGATAGTTTACTGAGAATGATGATTTCCAGTTTCATCCATGTCCCTACAAAGGACATGAACTCATCATTTTTTGTGGCTGCATAGTATTCCATGGTGTATATGTACCACATTTTCTTAATCCAGTCTATCATTGTTGGACATTTGGGTTGGTTCCAAGTCTTTGCTATTGTGAATAATGCCGCAATAAACATACGTGTGCATGTGTCTTTATAGCAGCATGATTTATAGTCATTTGGGTATATACCCAGTAATGGGATGGCTGGGTCAAATGGTATTTCTAGTTCTAGATCCCTGAGGAATCGCCACACTGACTTCCACAATGGATGAACTAGTTTACAGTCCCACCAACAGTGTAAAAGTGTTCCTATTTCTCCACATCCTCTCCAGCACCTGTTGTTTCCTGACTTTTTAATGATTGCCACTCTAACTGGTGTGAGATGGTATCTCATTGTGGTTTTGATTTGCATTTCTCTGATGGCCAGTGATGATGAGCATTTTTTCATGTGTTTTTTGGCTGCATAAATGTCTTCTTTTGAGAAGTGTCTGTTCATGTCCTTCGTCCACTTTTTGATGGGGTTGTTTGTTTTTTTCTTGTAAATTTGTTTGAGTTCATTGTAGATTCTGGATATTAGCCCTTTGTCAGATGAGTAGGTTGCGAAAATTTTCTCCCATTTTGTAGGTTGCCTGTTCACTCTGATGGTAGTTTCTTTTGCTGTGCAGAAGCTCTTTAGTTTAATTAGATCCCATTTGTCAATTTTGGCTTTTGTTGCCATTGCTTTTGGTGTTTTAGACATGAAGTCCTTGCCCATGCCTATGTCCTGAATGGTCATGCCTAGGTTTTCTTCTAGGGTTTTTATGGTTTTAGGTCTAACGTTTAAATCTTTAATCCATCTTGAATTGATTTTTGTATAAGGTGTAAGGAAGGGATCCAGTTTCAGCTTCCTACATATGGCTAGCCAGTTTTCCCAGCACCATTTATTAAATAGGGAATCCTTTCCCCATTGCTTGTTTTTGTCAGGTTTGTCAAAGATCAGATAGTTGTAGGTACGCGGCATTATTTCTGAGGGCTCTGTTCTGTTCCATTGATCTATATCTCTGTTTTGGTACCAATACCATGCTGTTTTGGTTACTGTAGCCTTGTAGTATAGTTTGAAGTCAGGTAGTGTGATGCCTCCAGCTTTGTTCTTTTGGCTTAGGATTGACTTGGCAATGCGGGCTCTTTTTTGGTTCCATATGAACTTTAAAGTAGTTTTTTCCAATTCTGTGAAGAAAGTCATTGGTAGCTTGATGGGGATGGCATTGAATCTGTAAATTACCTTGGGCAGTATGGCCATTTTCACGATATTGATTCTTCCTACCCATGAGCATGAAATGTTCTTCCATTTGTTTGTATCCTCTTTTATTTCCTTGAGCAGTGGTTTGTAGTTCTCCTTGAAGAGGTCCTTCACATCCCTTGTAAGTTGGATTCCTAGGTATTTTATTCTCTTTGAAGCAATTGTGAATGGGAGTTCACTCATGATTTGGCTCTCTGTTTGTCTGTTGTTGGTGTATAAGAATGCTTGTGATTTTTGTACATTGATTTTGTATCCTGAGACTTTGCTGAAGTTGCTTATCAGCTTAAGGAGATTTTGGGATGAGACAATGGGGTTTTCTAGATATACAATCATGTCGTCTGCAAACAGGGACAATTTGACTTCCTCTTTTCCTAATTGGATACCCTTTATTTCCTTCTCTTGCCTAATTGCCCTGGCCAGAACTTCCAACACTATGTTGAATAGGAGTGGTGAGAGAGGGCATCCCTGTCTTGTGCCAGTTTTCAAAGGGAATGCTTCCAGTTTTTGCCCATTCAGTATGATATTGGCTGTGGGTTTGTCATAGATAGCTCTTATTATTTTGAAATACGTCCCATCAATACCTAATTTATTGAGAGTTTTTAGCATGAAGGGTTGTTGAATTTTGTCAAAGGCTTTTTCTGCATCTATTGAGATAATCATGTGGTTTTTGTCTTTGGTTCTGTTTATATGCTGGATTACATTTATTGATTTGCGTATACTGAACCAGCCTTGCATCCCAGGGATGAAGCCCACTTGATCATGGTGGATAAGCTTTTTGATGTGCTGCTGGATTCGGTTTGCCAGTATTTTATTGAGGATTTTTGCCTCAATGTTCATCAAGGATGTTGGTCTAAAATTCTCTTTTTTGGTTGTGTCTCTGCCCGGCTTTGGTATCAGAATGATGCTGGCCTCATAAAATGAGCTAGGGAGGATTCCCTCTTTTTCTATTGATTGGAATAGTTTCAGAAGGAATGGTACCAGTTCTTCCTTGTACCTCTGGTAGAATTCGGCTGTGAATCCATCTGGTCCTGGACTCTTTTTGGTTGGTAAGCTATTGATTATTGCCACAATTTCAGCTCCTGTTATTGGTCTATTCAGAGATTCAACTTCTTCCTGGTTTAGTCTTGGGAGAGTGTATGTGTCGAGGAATTTATCCATTTCTTCTAGATTTTCTAGTTTATTTGCATAGAGGTGTTTGTAGTATTCTCTGATGGTAGTTTGTATGTCTGTGGGATCGGTGGTGATATCCCCTTTATCATTTTTTATTGTGTCTATTTGATTCTTCTCTCTTTTTTTCTTTATTAGTCTTGCTAGCGGTCTATCAATTTTGTTGATCCTTTCAAAAAACCAGCTCCTGGATTCGTTGATTTTTTGAAGGGTTTTTTGTGTCTCTATTTCCTTCAGTTCTGCTCTGATTTTAGTTATTTCTTGCCTTCTGCTAGCTTTTGAATGTGTTTGCTCTTGCTTTTCTAGTTCTTTTAATTGTGATGTTAGGGTGTCAATTTTGGATCTTTCCTGCTTTCCCTTGTGGGCATTTAGTGCTATAAATTTCCCTCTACACACTGCTTTGAATGCGTCCCAGAGATTCTGGTATGTTGTGTCTTTGTTCTCGTTGGTTTCAAAGAACATCTTTATTTCTGCCTTCATTTCGTTATGTACCCAGTAGTCATTCAGGAGCAGGTTGTTCAGTTTCCATGTAGTTGAGCGGCTTTGAGTGAGATTCTTAATCCTGAGTTCTAGTTTGATTGCACTGTGGTCTGAGAGATAGTTTGTTATAATTTCTGTTCTTTTACATTTGCTGAGGAGAGCTTTACTTCCAACTATGTGGTCAATTTTGGAATAGGCATGGTAGTTACTTCTTATAGTTCTTCAGGATGATCTCTGTGAAGAGGAAGGGAAAGGTGAGGCTTGAAATATTTCATTTCAAAGGGATTAGTGTTAGTAGTAGCAAAAACTTTGAAAATAAATAGAAAAGCAAAAAAGAAACTTAAAAGCAAAGAGACTCTTACTTGAAATAAATGTGGGTGAAATATGTATTTTAACAAAAAGGATTCCAAAAAGCAAAATTAGGAATTATGTAGCAGAGTAGGGAAAGAAGAAATGAATTAATAAAAACAATTAGATGTTGTGGTGTTTAATTTTTGTCAAAGTCTACTGATCTATTTATTCAATAAAAAATCCATGTAATCATCCCATCCATCCATCCATTTAACAAACACATATTGAAGACCATAACATGCTAGGAACTACTTTAGGCAGTAGATATATAAATGAGACATACTCCATGACCTCAAGGAGCTCAGAGTTCCTGTTATATTTTGCAAAATACAAACTGAAAAATTACAATGTAATGAGTTAAAATTTGTACTGGAGGTGTAAACAGTACTATTATGGGAGCCATAAAAATATGACATTTTTATGGAACTTATATATACAAAATTCATACAAAATTTCAGGCATTTTAGAAAACAAGCTTCTGAGAATAGCTGAAGGATTTAAAAATAGTGATACATCAACAATGTAACAGGACTGTGGGTCTGGGAAAAATGTGGGGAGCATTATATGCATTAATCACTACA
Organism: Homo sapiens; assembly: GCF_000001405.40. NCBI lineage: Eukaryota > Metazoa > Chordata > Mammalia > Primates > Hominidae > Homo > Homo sapiens. Next base: position 1,303,732 of record NW_021160017.1, read on the forward strand.
ATACCTGTGAAGTAGGTACTGTTATTATTTCCATTGCACTAATGAGGCACACTGAGGCAGAGGTAAGTGAGTTGCCCAGGATTACACAGCTAGTAAGTGCTTAGCTGTGGTTAGAATGAAGGCACTGAGAAATAAAATAAAAATGAAACCCTTAGCTCCCCAAGCTACTGAATGGACCCTCTCTTGGCCAAGGGCACCCCAGAGTAACCTTAAAAGCTGAGTTTTCATCCATGACAAGATGGGCGGTCAGAGGTGCCTTCTTACATCCCCGCCCTCACTTAACTACCATTAGACTTTCCTACCTAAGTGCTAAATAGAAACCAGCTCTTTTGAAAGACTCCACTGCTGATATCAACAAATCACTGAAGCAGTCCCTCTTTTTTTGTGGTTTTAACATGGCAATTAACCAGCATTCCTTCCTGATAAGAGACCAACTATATGCTACTCATGAAGGGGCATGAAGCACAATTGTGCATGTGCATGGTTGTCCTTTCATAAATATTCAAGATTCCTCCTATAGCTTATTGAGCATATGTATTTGGCCACCTCACTCAGTACATATTCCTTTTGACACTGTCTCGAAATATTTGTTTCTGGCTCCTGGCCAGAGGCTATATTTCCCAGCCTGTCATAATAGCCACCCTTCAGGCTACAACTCTATGAGAAATAAAGGTCCTCCTTTCCAAATTTATGAACCCCATCATTCTTCAGTTGATAGCACTGACACCCCATATCTAAGTATATTAAAAGAGAAATAAGCTGCAAATATATATAATATATAAATATGTAATATATGGAAATATATGATATATACATATTTATATATAATTTATATTATATATAAAATATATTTTAATATACTTTAATATATTCAAGTAAATTAAAAGAATATATTAATAGTTGTATATAAAATAAGTATTTTAATATACTTTAATAATGTTAATGTATATACTATATATTTTAATATACTTTAATAACATTAAAGTGTATTATTAAATATAATAATATATTAAAGTATATTAAAAGAGAAATAAGCAGCAAATGATCTTCAAAATAGTCTCATTGAGATCAGCCCTTCTCTTATCCTAATGGTTTCTTCTTGCCTAGTTTACTGTGGGCAACAATGCATACAGAAAATCAATGTAATAACTACATCTTGATATTTTCTGCTACTGGTTTATTTATGACACTCGAGGTCCCTTGGCTACCTATACCCATCTATATGGTGAAGATGCTTCTGTATACTCCTTCCTCACCATCCCACAGAATAAGTGAGCTCCATATCCTAAAAATAGGAAAATTAATTTGCATTCTTTCTAAGTGTTGTATATATCCACAATGGTGATGATATCACTGTTTCTCCCTATTGCTACCCAAATCATTCTTAATTTACCTTTCTGAGAATTTTACTCTCAACCTACTTTTACTTTAACGGAATCATAGGATTTTAGAGGTAGAACATTTCTTAAAATTCTAGTTAAAATCCCTCCTTTTGCTATGAAGAAACTGTCATAGAGGAAGATCTCACGACCTCAACATCACGCAGATTCTTGTTTTCTCCCAAAGCATTGCTTCTCTTGAGAAGATTTCACAGTTCACTCACCGACAGGGAATGCACCTGTACTCCTAGGTATTTCCATAGTCATCCTCTAGGTACTACATCCCTGTAGATTAAGAATGGGAATTTTCTAGATGTTGTTAAAAGAGGAGCAGAAGCTTAGGAGGAGTAGGTGGGTGGATGTAAGATGAAGTAAATCTTCTTAAGGAACTTATCCAACCACTGCTCTAAGAGTAAGGACTGATTTGGAATAGTCATCCCCTCCTCAATGGCAACCTTAGAAAAAAATGCCCTAAGTCAATCTTCATGAGTGGCTTATCTCCCCCAAGAATTTCCCATAAACATAATTGCTTGCTTTGGGTTTTTTTGGTACAATTCCCAGCTTTTCTTGGAGTGTTACAGTGCATACCCAAGTATGTATAGTTTATTTAGCCCAATTTTATTAAGGACGTGGTATGGGCTGGATGAACCTCATTTTAGACACAGAAGATAGGAAAACAATATTTTTAAATTGCCATTGTGGAGTTCAAATTCCAGCTGCCTTTGGTAGTATGACAATAGCAACATATGATCCATTGATAAACCCTGGAGTTGCATCTCCTAAATATTTTCTAAACAAATTATTATTCTCTTCAAATAGTTATTGCTGTATTGTTAGTTTAAGCCATATATATATATATATATATTCTTGTAATGTTGTCTTACTCTGATTTATTCACATAGCAGCCAGGGTGATATTTCTAAATTGCAAATTGTATTAAGCTATTCTCCCGAGTTTTATTGTAAAACATATTGAAAGAAAATTGGAAATCCAATTTTATTATTGTGGGCTACATTACTTGGTCTTTGACTAACTCTTTATTTTGTTCTTATGCTTCTACCAGTTGTGGGTCTTCTACAGTTCTTAGAAAGTCTTTCATGACACAAGGCCTTTTCATTTACTATTCTCTATTCCTAAAATGCTTTTCTTCAAACTTTCAAAGTTAGAAAAACGTCACCAACTCAGAACCTTTTCTAAAATACTCCATCACACACATACCACTCCCATCATTATTTACTCTACCATTGCCTTTTTATTTCCTGCTTGTCTTTTAGCACTAGTAGCAATTATTTTATTTTACTTATTTATATTTTATTTTATTTTTATTTGTTTACTTATTTATTGTCTGTCTATATTTTCAGAATGGAAGTTTGATGAGGCAGATATTGAGTGTTCCTTGTTCATTGTTGTGTCTCAGCAGGTAGCATATAGTAGATACTCTCTAAATGTTTGCGGGATAAACAAATGAATAGTTTACAGAAGTGACACAGAAGCTATATATTTAGGAATAGACTTTTTAATATCACATGTAGATAGCTTTGTTTTGACATGTGTTAAATGACAAGTGCTGGACAGAATAAGAATTGTTGCGTCATTTATGGTATTTTAGGTAATGGTTATGTTAATGTAGGGAAACTAGGTGCTTGTTCTTCCTTGAAGTGACATGGTGTAGTGGTGTGTGTGTGTGTGTGTGTGTGTGTGTGTGTGTGTGATGAGTAGTGGCTGAGCATTACTAGCTTTGGGAGTAGGGGGTTTGATTGGCTGCCTGACTATTGGATTGAGATGCTCCAGCAAAATATTTCTTTTCCACTTGACACTTGTGAAGGGTGGAGGACAGAGACACTCATCAAGGAGTGTGGAGGGATGAATCCTTTGTATTTTTGTCCTAAGGAATAAATGTGGTTGATTTTGGTTCTTAATGCAAAGTATATACATCATTAGTTTCTAATTTTATGTCATATGTTGAACACTGAGGTACAAAAGAAAATCTCTTTGACACTTTTTTCTGGTAAAATCACCCTTTCTATTCCATAATACCTGATGTATGTCTGTCTTTTCAAGACATCAACACTCATTCACCTAAATTCTTTCTAGATTAGTGCCATTTTCTACTTCTGTTTTGGTGGAATGGGTATGGAGTAGAGCAGAGGAAGAAGGGGTGATTTGTGTGACGACACTCAGAATCATTGCATCATGTCCCCATAATAATAAAAAAGCATATGATCTTGTAATGGTATTTACTGCTTTAAAATATTCATCTCCTTTCAATAATAAAGGGACAATTATTTACTTAGGAACAAATAATCGCTTCCATCTGGTCAAAAACTACATAGCATAATAGCAAAATATGTAAATGAGCTGAGTAATCATAATATTTCAGATGCTTTTGTTAGAAATTTATTTGATTGTTGGAACCTCATAGTTGACTTATCAGTGAATGTAAATGAGTTAGTATATAACTAGCTCATAGCCCTCATAACTAATAACACAATGTTGTGTTATTAGTTATGAGGGCTATGAGCTGCCTCCTCCAGGTAAGTACAATAAGATCATTGTTTCTTGGAATGTTAGGAAATATTTCATTCTGGATAACCTTATTATCTTTCTTTTGATTAAAATCTTCCTAAACCAAATTTTAAATTTTTCAATCTTATTAAATATGCTTCATTAACTCACTGAGGTCCACACTGGGCAATTTATGGGCAAGGGGAAATTGATCCCTTTTCTAAATAGTCCCACACTATTCAATTTCTGAGTATTTTTACCTTTCTTCTGCTTGCTACCAGATTCCTGGAAAACACTGGTTTTATGTGTGTGTGTCTGCTTGTAGTAAGCCATCCCTTTTTCAAAATACAATGCTTCTATAAGATATTGAAAGTCATTTATCTATGTTTGTTAAAATTATGTATAAATTGAGTCAGTAGGTTCCAAAAATGGCGCATTTAATTTCTTTTCTCAGTAGTATACATAGTGCCCATAAGTGTTTGGACACAGCCACGTCTATTTGGTTTTACAGAACCTTAACTTTTTAAAAATTCCTTTTCATATTTAATTTTTTTAAGTAATAGGAGAGGCAATATCATAAAATATCACATCAACAGAAAAGAAACAACTCTCTTGTATTTGCTGTTGGTTACAACAAAACTTACTTTGGTGTGGCAGTTTTTAACCTTACTTAAAGAAAAGCATATTTGGTAATGTGAACTGTTATTTCATTTTTATTTGACAAGTTTTGTGCTACTTAGTGGTGTCAGATTCAATACAGGGCAGTAAGCAAAATTTTAAAAATAATATTATTCCCATTGTCACCTTGAAACAGCAGAGCAGATCAGCTCAGAATCAAATTGGGTAGCAAGCATACTCATTTCTCAGATCAGTACACCTACTTACGTTCCTGCTGTGGTGAGCAAATTTTATACTCAATGTAGTATCAGGTATTGATGAATCTGGTCACAGCTAGAAGAATTTTTTATATAAGGCCTTGCATAGCTGTATGTTGTGGCTGGTTACCTGTTACCAAGGATTAAGCTGTACAGTTTTTGGTTATAGTTATGGAAAAATATGTCCCTTCACTACTTATGAAGCCTTGGGATCTCTTTTCTGTATCACAACTAAAGTACTGCTAGATCTGTGTGTGTGCTATTAGAATGCAAGCCTAAGTTTCCAGGTTGGCAAGATTTCCCAACAAAAAAAAAGATATAGAAAAAAGAGGCCACATCTCTGATTGCCAGTCTAAAATTTGGCTACACTCAGAAGTAGCTTCACATATTGCTTACTAATGTAGATGTTTGGGGGAAGAAGTAGTGCATTGCCAAATTTCAGAAAAAGTAAGTTTTTAACATTAACAAGCTGAGATTTGAGTTTCAAATATATGCCACACTTCATATAGTTTTAATGTTTCCAATTTATAACTTCATCACATACTCTCTCCCTCTTGGTTTATCAGATATAAAATGGGCAACCAAATGTATCCTCGTGTAATCTGTTAGTGACAGGGAACGTATGACAATTTTGAAAGCAGTGATATAACTCTAGGTAAATGCTATGTCTACTAATTATAGTTTCTTAATTTTCATAGCTATATTATGAAAAGAGTAAATTGAAGAAATGGAAACTGCAAATTACACCAAGGTGACAGAATTTGTTCTCACTGGCCTATCCCAGACTCCAGAGGTCCAACTAGTCCTATTTGTTATATTTCTATCCTTCTATTTGTTCATCCTACCAGGAAATATCCTTATCATTTGCACCATCAGTCTAGACCCTCATCTGACCTCTCCTATGTATTTCCTGTTGGCTAATCTGGCCTTCCTTGATATTTGGTACTCTTCCATTACAGCCCCTGAAATGCTCATAGACTTCTTTGTGGAGAGGAAGATAATTTCTTTTGATGAATGCATTGCACAGCTCTTCTTCTTACACTTTGCTGGGGCTTCAGAGATGTTCTTGCTCACAGTGATGGCCTTTGACCTCTACACTGCTATCTGCCGACCCCTCCACTATGCTACCATCATGAATCAACGTCTCTGCTGTATCCTGGTGGCTCTCTCCTGGAGGGGGGGCTTCATTCATTCTATCATACAGGTGGCTCTCATTGTTCGACTTCCTTTCTGTGGGCCCAATGAGTTAGACAGTTACTTCTGTGACATCACACAGGTTGTCCGGATTGCCTGTGCCAACACCTTCCCAGAGGAGTTAGTGATGATCTGTAGTAGTGGTCTGATCTCTGTGGTGTGTTTGATTGCTCTGTTAATGTCCTATGCCTTCCTTCTGGCCTTGCTCAAGAAACTTTCAGGCTCAGGTGAGAATACCAACAGGGCCGTGTCCACCTGCTATTCCCACATTACCATTGTGGTGCTAATGTTTGGGCCATCCATCTACATTTATGCTCGCCCATTTGACTCGTTTTCCCTAGATAAAGTGGTGTCTGTGTTCAATACTTTAATATTCCCTTTACATAATCCCATTATTTACACATTGAGAAACAAGGAAGTAAAGGCAGCCATGAGGAAGTTGGTCACCAAATATATTTTGTGTAAAGAGAAGTGAAAGATAAATTATACATTTTATAGTTCCCCTGAGGATCATTGTCCTAAAGCAGGAAGTATTTGCAGTAATAATGCTGCATTGACTTCCTCCTTTCATTTGTGTTATTAAAATTTTACTATAATTTTTCTCTATTCATTCCTCTTTATATTGAAAAAATAGAGGCATTAAGATGAAAATAAATTTACTCACACCTACCCTGAAATTCCCAACAGATCATTATTAGAATTTGAGATATAATAATCTGCTAAAGTACATTTTAACTAATTGTTTATTGAGTACTCTGCAGAGGCTCTGGCTTTGACGGGAACATGTTGAGAAAAATAAATAAGACATGGAGACGTGTCCATTACAAATATGAAGTAAATGGCAAGCATATGGATGCAGCTAGCTTCAAGTTAGCAAATAAATATTTTTGTCATGTTTCAGTGTTGGCTCAGTGGAATGGTATCTGGTCAACATCTTGCTGGGTCTGGAAAAACAGATTATTTGTCCTTTATCTCCTCTTATTTCCAGAGTTGATGGAAAATGAGGATTTTCCATCAACTTATAAACTGAAATACCTTATAAAGGTATTTCAGTTTATATTTCAGGTGGTGTCTATTCAACAGTTTGGAGACAGAACTCAAAATTTTATCACATTATGAAAACAATTTTTATGAATTCAAAGCAGAGTATAATTTGGCTGATACATGAGATTCATGTCATTCCAGATGAAGCCTCCAGGCAACTAGCAATTTTTGTAGCCAGTCCCTACTTACATCCTTCAGAGTGAAAGCAGCCTTGGGGAGAAAGCTTCTAGGTTGACTGGGATTGGTAGACATCTAGCCGTGTAATTTTTTTCTAAACTATCATCTCCTTTGCCACTTTTGTATGTTTTCCATAATTGCTAATTCTGCCTCTCATGTTAAACTTAAATTGGTAGAGTGCTGTTTTTGTTAGTGCTTAATTCAGAGTTCTTTCCCATTGACAGACCTAGACGTATTGGTTCCCATGATCCCTTAGAGAATTATTAGGGACTGATTTCCTATTCTCAAGCACTAAAAACTCACTCTCCAAGCTTCAGAATGTAAGAGGTAGATTAGAACATTTGATTTTATAGGTTATGTTTTTTACTTAAATTTATTAGTTTTTAATTTCAAAACTAGGGAATCTTTTCATTGAAGGGCAAGAATGCATTGGGTATATTAATCTTTAGTCTTCTTTTTTAAATTTGATAATGTAATATGGACTAAATTTTAAGTGAATTAGATCCTTGTCAACATTGGGAATGAATATATAGAAACAAATGGTATAACTATTCCTAGAGTTACTATTTATTTACAGATATATTATTTATTAATTGAGGAGGTAATTTGTGCCAGACCCAGTGTATCTCAGATGCACAGGATGGAATGGTGGTACACAAAGCTTGTTTTTTGCTTTGGGAATTTTTCCTTATGGTGACCTTCTTCGATCTTCAATGCTATGTTGCTTCTCTTCTAGGAACCCAAAGGCACAGATTGACGTTATAAGTCCTGATTTTTGACTTGACTTCTCATCACCTGGAAGTGAATAAAGCAGTAGACTTCTCTAACATTTTGTAACACAGCATGAAAAAATATAGAGTACAAAAGATATATATATATAATATGATAAAATGATGAGTTACGTTTCTAAATCTTTTATCATCTTACTGTCATTTCTCTATATTTGGTCTAGCCAGACTTCTATTCATTTTGTCACTTATCTTTCATCAAACTAGGGCTGATGTTCTTGGGAAAGGGACCACTGATTTGATATGCTCTTCAAACACCAGCACACTGTACTATATAGAAAGATATTTACTGAAAATACTGAAGCTAGTAATACAAAGGAAAAAGGCATAAAAATAGTGTGATAACTAATTGCTTACTTAAGAATATTATCTGAAATTAGAAACTAATATCAATGAAGAAAAGGGGAACTTTTGGCAAACTCTAGTAAGTAATAACTGAGCCTGATACATGGAGGCCATAATTGGAATAAGGACTGAGAGCAATTTCACCCCTTGGAGGACATTTGGAAGTGCCCAGAGACATTTTTGGTGGTCACAACTGAGGACATATATTGGCATCTTGTACTGTTTAGACATCTTACAATGCACAGGACAGCCCCCAGCCCCTGACTCCCACATGGATTATCTGGCCCAAAATGTCAATAGTGCCAAGAATAAAGAACTCCATCAGGCTGAGAAACTCTGACTTAAATAATGGGCAGGGATAAGGCAGGTTAGTGTAGAAGAAATAGGTGTTAACCTCATATGCAATCTTGTCTCATTGAATATTGTTTCCAAATAGCTCAGGATCCTCAGCAGTCAAATACAAAATATGCTTCAGGACTCCTTTTCCCTATATAACTCCTACATTTTCTTTCAGTTACTTTTAAATGTCTTTTAATCTCTTTTTTTTTCTTTCAGTCTCTCCTACTCCTCTTTCTTTCAAAACTGCTGCTGAGCTACTATGTTTAAAATCAGCAATATCTCGGTTGAGTATATTATCTTTAGCTCAGTATTGTGATTATACTTTCAATTATACACTGACTTGTGTGAAACTTTAGAACCCAAGTCCCATTCATCTTCTGGCTTTTTGCTAATCTCAATATTAACCAGAATTTTATTATTATATCTGGTTAAAAGAGAGCTTTATTGCTCAAACAAAATTAAAGTTCTTCTGTTTTTTTAATTACTAAAATAATATATATTCATTAAAAGTTAAAAACATATGAATATATAAAGAACAAAACAAGTATCACTGGCAATCTCTTTTCTCAGGGATTTTCTTCAACAAAGTTTATAAAGTCTCACCCCTCCAACTCCATTGGAAGCAGACCAGTTGGCCTATCATGCATTGTTCCAAAATATAATTACCATTAAATAGAGGTCCAGGTGAAGACAAGCTACAACATGCTTACATAAATAAGTATAACCCTCAGATTTTATATCCCACAAAACTGGCATTTAAATAAACAGGCCACAAAGTTTTAAATATGCAACAAAAATCTGTGAATGTTGTTTTTAAGACCTCTTTGATGAAATTATCAGAGAACAAATTACAGTCAAACATGTGACTAGGACAAAAGGCTGGGTTTCTGACACACACACACACATATATACATATATATATACACACACATATATGTATATATACACACATATATGTATATATATATATACACATATATATGTATATATATACACACATATATATGTATATATATATATACACACATATATATATGTATGTATATATATATATACACAGTAGTCCTCTTTTATCCATAGGAGATATGTTCCAAGACACCTGTGGATGCCTGAAACCATGGATAGTACCAAATCCTATATATACCATGTTTTTCTTATACATATATGCCTATGATAAAGTTTAATTCATAAATTAGGCACAGTAACAGATTTATAACAACCAATAATAGAATAGAACAATTACAACAATATGCCAACACTACTCTTGCACTTTGGGGCCATTATTAAATAGAATAAGGATTACTTGAACACAAGCACTGTGATGCTGTGTCTAACTGATAACCAAGGTGGCTACTAAGTGATAACGTGCAGGTGGCATGTATAACATGGATACACTGGACAAAGGGATGACTCATGTCCCTGGAAGGATGGAGAAGGACAGCTTGAGATTTCATCCTGCTACTTAGAATGGGGCATAATTTAAAGCTTATGAATTGTTTGCTGCTGGAATGTTCCATTTAACATTTTTTGGACTGAAGTTGACCATGGACAACAGAAACTACAGAAAGCAACACTGTGGGTAAGAGGGGGCTACTGTATTTAATCTAGTATTAGGCTTATTAAACTATAAAGACAACTAAGCAGACGTTGAAAACAGAGATCGTCTTCAAGGGAAAGGCAGTCAGGATAATATCTCACTGGTTTCCTTCCTTCCTTCTTTCCTTTTTTTTTCCTTTTCTTTCTTTCTTTCTTTTTTTTTTTTAAGCAGAGTCTCACTCTGTATCCCAGGCTCCAGGGCAGTGGCTTGATCTCGGTTCATTAAAGTCTTCGCCTCCCGGGTTCAAGCAGTTCTCCTGCTTCAGCTTCTTGAGTAGCTGGGATTACAGGTCCATGCCACCATGCTCGAGTAATTTTTGTATATTTAGTACAGAAGGGGTTTTGCTATGTTGGCCAGGATGGTCTTGAACTCCTGGCCTCAAATGATCCACCTGCCTCGGCCTCCCAAAGTGCTGGGACAGGCATGAGCCACGGGACCCGGCTGATCTCTTTTCCTTAACAACAAAAAAGTAAACCAGTGAAGAGTTATATTATGACAAGAGAAAAGAGTTTTTATCTCAGTGAAAATATAATCAAATAAGAGCATCTTCAGAGCTGGATTATACTCCTAAATGTAGTAACTAGAAATATAAAGTATCTAGAAGAAAACACAGAATAATATATTTGCTTACACAATTGGAATAAGCAATGATATCTTAAGCAGCACAAAAGCAGGTGTAATAATAAAAAGTGATCCAATGAACCTCAAAAAATTAAAAATTACTGCTCGTCAAGATACACTATCATCAAATTATTAAGGAAATCATACACTGGGAGGAAAATTTGGTCTCTCTTAATCTCCCTGTTTCTCTCTGTCTTCAAGTAAAGAAAAATCAGCAAAAAATTTGAACAGACACTCCAGAAAAGAAGATACAGAAGTGATCAGCAAGTTCACGAAAAGATGCACGTCATTACTCAGCAGGGAATGGTCCACAACACACGATCAAGTGTTCAGGCAGAGCGCTCTCCCACTACTCTGAGGAACAGAACAAAATGGCAGAGAAGGAAAAGAGGAAGGGGTTTATCAAGTGCCCCAGGAACATATAACATACTGGAGACTAGACACGTCCATAAAAATGACTCAGTTTCCCCATTGCTTGTTAGTGCTGCCTGGTCAGTGGGCCAGATTCATCCATGGCACTAGGAAGGCAGTCAGTTCTCATCCCCTTCGGACGAATCTTTCTAGAAACTGATATAGCCAATTACCAATACATCCTCACCCTCACGTGCTCTCTCCTGGACTCCGGATGCTCTACCAACATGAAGAAATATATTGAGTGCCTCCAGGTGCTCAGTCCCAGGCACTTGACACTCTAGACTATGCAGCAGCGCTGGGAGGACTCAGCTTTCCGAGCTCCACAATTTTATGTTGGGAGCCTGTGGCAACTACTGACAAAAACAATGTAGCTGCCATCAAGATGTAGTTCTTGTCTGCTGCACTGTTTTAAAGGTGCCCGGTATTTATTTTAATCAGGAATGGTAAGACACACTGTCATGGAAATGACTGTCATGAAGGAAGAAGTTTTTAGACTCACAAATCCCTAGAAATAAGAGGTTGGTTAGGTGAGTGGGGAAATGAGAAAAATGTGGGTAAGAGCCTTTATCATGGTTTCTGTGGAAATAAATGGATGGGGCAGGATAAACAGGTTTAGGATTGGCTAGATTGAATAATTCCAGTGGGCTCTGGAGGATAGGGGCTGTCTCTAAGTGTCTGGCACTTGGCCCTGGGGTGATTAGGGAAGGCAAATAGTGGCCTGGAGTGTAATAGCGCTATAGGTGCCTGATAAAAGAAGCGGCTGGAGTATGGTTTCTAGATTGGTTGCAAGTGAGGCTTTTACCATCTCTAGGAATTGGCTAGCCATAAGAGGGATAGTTCCTCCAGTGTTAGGAAGGCACAAGACATTAAAGCATTAGAAATGCAGAAAATATAATGGCATAAGTAAAACACAACACCAAATGTTGGTGAATTAATTGTTGGAATAACTTGAACTCTCATACATTGATGTTGGGAATTTACAATGGCTAACCACTCTGAAAAACTTAATAGAAACTTCAGGTAATTTCAGGTAGATGTAAACAAACAGCTACCTTATGACCTGATAATCCCATTCGTGTTTAGCTAAGACATGTCTATGAAATGATTTAAATTCGCATGCTAATGAAAACCTTATTGGTGGCCTAAGATTTGAAACAACCCAAATGTCCATAAAAGGATAAAATGATAATAAACAAACTTAGGGTTAAGTATATAATGAAACATTAGTCCGCAGTAAAAAGAAACAACTACAGAAAATGCAACAATACGCATGAATCTCTAAATCGTAATGCTGAGTTTAAAAGCCAGATACAAAATAACACATGTCATATGCTTCTGTTTTTATAAAATCCAAGAAAAGGTAAAACTAATCTATGCTATTAGGAATTAAAAGATGAAAGCTCATTATGATGTTAGATGGTGGGGGTGGATGGCAAAGATCACAAGAAACCTTTCTGGAGTGACGGAAATATTCTTTATCTTGTTTACAATACTAGTTTCTAAAGTGCATATATTTAACACAAGTTACTACGTTGAACACTTAAATGTGTGTATTTTAATGTATATACATTGTATTCTAAGAAATACAACCAAGAATTTATTTTCATGCTTGCTTGTAAATACAGATAAATTTCTTGAAGGATACAAAAATTAATATTAGCTTCCAATTTTGAGGTATGGGGTGAAATGGACATATAGGGGACAGATATAAGAAGGAAATTTCTCACTGTATGAATTATTTTTTATTTAAAAATGTAAATATATTACCTATTCAAAAATTAAATACATTTTTAAAGTCAAGTATATTTAAAGTACACTGCCTAATTTCCAACCTTATGGTAATGCCATTAAAAATTCTGAGTTATTCTTGCTTCCATACCTCTCATATGCAGTCCTTCAATAAGTCCCATTGATTATCTCTCCAAAGTTTATCTTTGGTATAAATTCTTCTGTCTTCTTTTTTACCTCTTATCCTAACCTACCAACATCTCTTATTTATATTAATAGTTCTTCAAATGCTCCCTACTGTTCCCCTTGCCTCCACTTCTTGCATTTTATAGCCCGTTTTTCACTTAGTACCTGGCACAACATTTTAAACATGTAAATCAGGTAGGAACACTCCTCTGCCTGTTACATCTCACACATAGTATGTTGACCGATTGCCATTTGGCCCATATTGGCTCTACCTCTCTATCTTCCCTTACAATTTTTTCCATTTGCTCACTACTGTCTTGCCACACTAGCCTCCTTTCTGCTTCTCAATGCACCAGTCTCTCCCTTAATGAGCTTTCAACAAGTCTATCTTCAGATCTTCCCAGAGACGGTGTAGTTCTGTCATTCAGATCTTAGTTGAAATGTTGCCACCTTGTCAGAAAGGCCCTCCCTGGCCAGCTCACTTGGAATAGTAGCCTCTTCCGCTTTCTCTTATATTTTTATCATAGTGCTCATTACAATCAGTTGTTTTCTCTCTGGTATGTTTGTTTGTTGTCTGTTTCCATGCTTTAGGATGTAAAATCCCCAGGAACAGGGATATTTTCTGTCTTGTTCGGTGCTGCATTGCAGACACTACAATACAGCCTGGTACATGGTTTTAGTTTCTAAGATAGTCTAGGGAGACAAATCTTTCCTAGCAGGAATAACAAGCCTTCATTCTAAGGATTAATTTAGATCATTAGACTATCTTCACTTTAAGTATTGTGGAAAACATTAGGAAGCAAAGTCCCTAACTATGTCTACAATTATGAAAAAATCATATTTTAAAAAATCTTTGGTAGCAAGAAAGACTATAATATACTCAAAAATGGGAATGTTTTTCCATGTGTTTCTTTACTTATATCACTTCTTTTCTGTTTCTTTTAAGAAAGTAAACACTGCACTTTTTAGTTTATTTGGTGTATATAGTTTTACAAAATATGCATTTTTGTGCCTGGCTTTTTATTTCCTATTATTCCATTACTGTCTTTGCATTTGTTCCTGTTCTTGCATTTCTCCCCCCCGGTTTTTTTACCTTTATGATTTTGTGTATCTCTTTCTCCCTTTTTCTCTTTTCCCCATGTTCCATTTTTCCCACTTATTATTTTCTGAATTGGACATAAATTAGAACAAAATATTATTGATTATGCATTATATTTGTTGAAAAACTGTTTATTAATTTTTAAAATAAAAAATCTTTTTAAAATAAAAATAAATCTACTGAAATTTAATTATATTGTGTTCTACTATGTGATTCTTAATTACTTTTCTTCTGTCTAGTAATATTTACTTAAAAAAATAGTTGTCTTTGCTTTAGTGGAACATAGGAGACACTTATTCCTAAAATGAAAACAACAAAGGCCAAGACCACAATAGGGTGTATTTAAGAATACATCTCTTTGTGAGGAATTAGTCCTTCAATATGCAGTTCTCGTCTCCAAGAAGGATTATGTCAAAGAGTCTTTGTGAACATCATTTATTTTTCTTTGCCTATTTCTTTGTCATCAGAAATATGTTGAATTTACCATACTACCTACCTGACCACATTACTTCTTTTCTTGATCTATCAATGATTTCCTATTATACACTTTTTTAAAAAAAATAGTAACGTAAGAAATAAAATAACCTCTTTTGGCTTTCTGCCCACATGGACCTAGTAAACATGCTGACTATTCTGTAATATGTGTCACTGATAGAATGTTGATTTTAAAACTTAGAAGTAACATAGTGACTTTTAAATCATATATACTTCACTATTTATATATAACATGTTTCTAGTCTCATTCTTTGACTATATTTTGTTGGCATTTTAACAATTCCCTTTGAAAGTGTTTGCAGCTTTGTTAGCCTTCAAATTCCCAAAGTACATTCTCCATTGCATCACAAATTGGTTGCATAAGAGATTCCTCTGTGAGAAGAGATATTTAACAATGAAGTCAGGAAAAATTAGTTATTGTTCCTTCTATTAGAAGGAGGTGATATCTGCTGTTTGACAGGAGCATTAGATTACTAGAGAGGTAAATGTTTTTCCATTCTCCATATTTATAAGGAACATAAGGAAGAAATGGAAACATATTGTAACACCTCAGGTGGGACATCTGCTGCCTTGAAATGCAAAGATCAGAATTATAGTGATTATATAGGTTATGGGTTTCAAACTAGAAATAGATTAATATGTTTAATCTGAATTCAGTAATACAGTAGCACCTTTTACCTGGTCTTAATAATATAGCCCCAGTTTCTCCTAATATTTAGAATTAATTTATTGGGAATATATAAAGCCTTTATTAACATTGCCTTGGGAATGTTTATACTTGGTCCTAAACCTATAGCTATTAACTGAAAGACGTGAGGGAACAGAAGTCATATCCAATGCAGAAATGCTAGGCTGCAGAAGAAATCTTCACCAACTTCACGATTTTGCAGGAGACTAGCTCTGTCTAGTTCCCACACCTGCTGGGATGAGAGGTTCTTTTACAAAGAGTCTTACCATATACCAATCTGGGGCTTTGACAGCTGGCTGAAATGAAGCCTTCATAAATTCTTTTCTAGTAATTTCTTACATTAACATAGCTACCTTTACCCCAGCAACTCATTTCAAAGGCAGGGACAGAGGATCTATATTATATATTTACTTCTTAGAAACTAAAGCCCCTCTTAATATCTACATTTTTTCCTTGTTTAGTTTTGGTTTAGTCAGACTTCAATATGCTACTTATTGCTATCATTCTCATATTATATTCATAAATCAACACAGTGAGATAAAATAACTCAGGCTAAGGAAGATGACCGTCCCAAGATCTCACGGTTAAAAAAATTGCACAATGAAGAACTTAAACCCAGATAGATGCCCAAACGAGGGCTTTTTAAATGACATCCATTACTTTGCCTAGAAATCATGGCATTATAAACATTGGTATCAGTTAATGATTTGATGATACTCTAACTTTATCCACATTTCTCAGAACACACAAAAAATTAGTGATTATATAGGTTATGGGTTACAAATTAGATAGCACATATTAATAGACATCACATTCTTATTCTTATTTTGGGAACATTTCTAAAATGTGTTTTTGCTGGTAGGGTGGATTAATGAGAAATTTCTTTCAAGCAGAAAGGTGAATAGTGCCACTTTTATTAAGATCAGTTATAAACAGACAAAATATTTGAGGTAATGGGAAATAATTTAAAAGTATTTACACAGTATATTTTAAGTAGGATACTATTCAAGGAAAGTAATTTAGTACTGAAATATGGGTTAGGTATTTTTAACCCTTACAAAAATTGGAGTGAAGAAACTTCATGTGCTGTCCTTACTACTGTTTCAAAAGAAAACAATAGTGATGCTTCTCAGAATTAATGGGAAGGCAAACATGAGATCTAATAAAGGAGAAATGAATAGAGAAGAAGAGAGAGTGGAAAAATATTGGAAACTGCAAGAACATTGAGAAGTAAAAACAACAAAGGAGAAAAAATAGAAGAGATAAGAGAAAAGCAAGGGGAATCATTAGAGAACAAATACGAGAGAGAAAGAGAAGATAAAATAGAGAAAGAGAAACCAACTTAAGTAAAAGTATAACTTAAAAAATGAAGTGTAGAAATATTTAGCGAGATGGGAGGGGAAGATAATAAAATAAATATTTTAAAAGGAGGCATGAGGAAATATAAAGAAAAATGAGTGAATTAGTGCCTGTGGATGGGAATCAAATCTCCAAATACCTGCTCCATGAACTTTTTAACAAGAGCCTGGACTCTAAACGTGAACAGTGCATAGCGCAGCCTTTATCTGGAATGTGTGTGTGCCCCCACCCATCACTCTTTCCTCTTCTGTGCTGCTCCAGCATTGTCAGGAACAGATGAAATTTTGTTTCTGTTGAAATTGAAATATAGGATAGAGGGAGTGGCAGTCATTCAGATTTCTATTTCAGCTTCCACTGACAGTGATCCTTCTAACATTGTTATGTTCTTCTAATATAGTTAGACAAGACCAAGCTTGTCTTTGCAGGAATTTCTGTGCTTTTATTTTGCTAGGACTTACTTCATTTTACCTAGAGGAATGTCCACCTTATGAATATATATATTTGGTTTCTGGATCCATAATGAGCATGATGTGAGCACTATCCATATAACAAAAGAGCTTAGAGGGAAGCACACAAAGGGAACACAGTGAATCAAAGATATTTGATGGTAGAGGGTTCCAGATGTTACAGAGTCAGTAGGAGAACAGAAGTGGATAACAGGGAATAAAATGCAAGGTACAGTGCAAGAACCTGAAACTCCCAATCTCAGAGATACTTGAAAGTTTCTCCTATGACCCAAATACATCCTCAATTTTTGAAAGAGTATGAAATAACCAACTGCATAATAACATGCAAGATGTACACAACTTAAGAGTAAGCAGAGAGGGATTCCCGACTTTTCTATTAGCAGGTTTTATATGCACAGAAAGACTGATAAATATTAAGGTCAATAAATGGCCAAGTGCCAAAAAAAAAAAAAAAAGAAAAGAAGGGTATGATATGTAAAATTTTATGCTTCTGTTTTGGTTAGGATACGTGTGTTTGCGTGTATTTATTTGTGTCTGTGTGATGTACATACATGTGATGTAAGATACTTTTTTTTGTTTGAGACAGAGTCTTGCTCTGTCACCCAGGCTGGAGTGCAGTGGTACAATATGGACTCACTGCAACCTCCACCTCCCAGGTTCAAGCGACTCTCATGCTTCAGCCTCTGAAGTAGCTGGGACTACAGGCTCCTGCCACCACGCCCAGCTAATTTTTATATTTTTAGTAGAGTCAGGGTTTTGCCAGGCTGGTCTCGAACTCTTGGCCTCAAGTGATCCACCTGCTTTGGCCTCCAAAAAGGGTGGGATTACAGGTGTGGGCCACAGTGCCTGGCCTAGGTACTTCTTTCATAATTCCCAATTCTGACCATACCTGAAAACCTCTGCTATTAATTAATATATTAGGATTAGATATATTTTGAAAAGCATATCTTTTGATGTTTTAAATAGATGTGCCATTATAAATATTTTCTTTGATTTCTTAATTCGGGACTTTATTGTTTTTGTTTCCCTCTCTTCTTACACACCGACTCCTCATTCAGTTAGTTAATGAACCTCTTTCCCTCTACGCTTCATAGTCCACATTATTTTAAAACAAATGTGCTGTGTAACAGAAGCATATGAAATATTTTTCTGTATCACATTGTAGTATTTTGTTCTAGCTCAAGATCTTTAGCTTTTAAATTTTTTTATTTCAACCACAAACCATTTTTTGAACATGCACCAAAAACATACGTATCTTCTTTATGCATTTCATATCCAATTACATCATGATTCTATATAAATGTAAAATGTTCAAAAATAAAACTTCAAACAATAGGATACAATAATGTAAGTGTAGAAATTCTCCTATTATTGCTTTCATACCAATAAATTATCATGCACATCCCCAAGCATGAGCACAGTCTCAATTTGGAAGCCACTGTACAGAGAAGCCTCAGATCTTGTTTTCTCCAGAGTGACTGAGAGCTTTTTATTTAGACCAGTTCATTTGGTTGATGTTCTATAGAGAAAAGGGAATTATTTCTGGTAAGTACAGTTGCCTTTATAAAAGTTTTTAGATAAACATTCCTAAGGTAGCATTTATATAAAATAAATTGTACTAATTGCTGTATAGTTCAATACTCAATAAATTTTGACAAAAATAGATACATATAACCATTATAATTAAAAACGGAACATTTCTGTCCCCTTGAAAAGTTCTGTCATTCTTCTTTGCTGTCAATCCCAGCTCATCTTCCATTCAAAGCAAAACATGAAGTCCTCAATAACTGGGGTTAAGTTTTTTCTCAGTCAGAAAAATTTTCATATGCCTCATACAAATCAGGAACAAATTCAGAGCAGTAACATCCAAGTCTCACATGAGTGAACACTTAAACAGAAGCACAGGACTGAAACAGAAGAAAGAGTGTGGCTTCAGGACCAGGGTGTTGGCTATCATGAAATGAGGAAGCATAAACAGTAGAAGTGATTTCTTAGGTTGTTGAGATAGATAGAATAATATAAATGTGGCATACCTTGTGTTTAGTTCAAGAACTATAATCTAGATGTAACACCTGAAAATAAACTCTTTTATTGATATTCTACAGGCAGAAGAAATGAAGATAGCAAACAACACAGTAGTGACAGAATTTATCCTCCTTGGTCTGACTCAGTCTCAAGATATTCAGCTCTTGGTCTTTGTGCTGATCTTAATTTTCTACCTTATCATCCTCCCTGGAAATTTTCTCATTATTTTCACCATAAGGTCAGACCCTGGGCTCACAGCCCCCCTCTATTTATTTCTGGGCAACTTGGCCTTCCTGGATGCATCCTACTCCTTCATTGTGGCTCCCAGGATGTTGGTGGACTTCCTCTCTGAGAAGAAGGTAATCTCCTACAGAGGCTGCATCACTCAGCTCTTTTTCTTGCACTTCCTTGGAGGAGGGGAGGGATTACTCCTTGTTGTGATGGCCTTTGACCGCTACATCGCCATCTGCCGGCCTCTGCACTGTTCAACTGTCATGAACCCTAGAGCCTGCTATGCAATGATGTTGGCTCTGTGGCTTGGGGGTTTTGTCCACTCCATTATCCAGGTGGTCCTCATCCTCCGCTTGCCTTTTTGTGGCCCAAACCAGCTGGACAACTTCTTCTGTGATGTCCGACAGGTCATCAAGCTGGCTTGCACCGACATGTTTGTGGTGGAGCTTCTGATGGTCTTCAACAGTGGCCTGATGACACTCCTGTGCTTTCTGGGGCTTCTGGCTTCCTATGCAGTCATCCTCTGCCATGTTCGTAGGGCAGCTTCTGAAGGGAAGAACAAGGCCATGTCCACATGCACCACTCGTGTCATTATTATACTTCTTA
Organism: Homo sapiens; assembly: GCF_000001405.40. Classification (NCBI taxonomy): domain Eukaryota; kingdom Metazoa; phylum Chordata; class Mammalia; order Primates; family Hominidae; genus Homo; species Homo sapiens. The sequence goes on from NW_021160017.1 coordinate 1,323,894, forward strand.
TGTTTGGACCTGCTATCTTCATCTACATGTGCCCTTTCAGGGCCTTACCAGCTGACAAGATGGTTTCTCTCTTTCACACAGTGATCTTTCCATTGATGAATCCTATGATTTATACCCTTCGCAACCAGGAAGTGAAAACTTCCATGAAGAGGTTATTGAGTCGACATGTAGTCTGTCAAGTGGATTTTATAATAAGAAACTGAGAAGGAGGAATTCTGGCTGGAATTCATATCATTCATTTAACAAGTCCTGTTTTTCACTGGTACCTCCCATTTGCCAGGTACCATTGTAGGCAATGGAGGAGAGTTATGCATAATGAGAGAATAAACTTATTATATTTAAAGAATATAAAGGAAACCCCAGAGTGGTTGAAGTATAATGAGTAAGTGTGAGAAATTTAAGGGTTAAGTTTTATGTGACTGCAAGGGTCTTTCGGTCTGAGGTAAGAATTTTTTCATATTTTAATTGTGGTAAGAACCCATTTTAATGTTTTAAGCAAAGGAGCAGTTCATCTACAATGCTTTCCTCTACTGGTTAGAGCAACATCAGCAAGATTTTAGGCAGAGATTAATAAACTGTAAAATATCAAAAACCAAATGTATGTTGCAAGTATGTTATGAAAAAGACTATAGTATTTTATATATATATATTAAAATTACATATATTTTAATGTTTTTATATATATTTTATATATATGTATATTTACATATATATAAAATAAGTAATATATTTTTATATATTTATAAATATATATTTTTATATATTTATAAATATATATTTTTATATATTTATAAATATATATTTTTATATATTTATAAATATATATTTTTATATATTTATAAATATATATTTTTATATATTTATAAATATATATTTTTATATATTTATAAATATATATTTTTATATATTTAATCAATATATAAATAAATATATATTTCCCCCCCAAAATTTGGTGGCGAGATAAGAAAGGAAGCCAATTTGTTTCATGGTAAAATGTCATGAAATTATTTCACTTATTTTTTCTTCAGAGCTTCACGATGATTATTAGACATTATTAGATATTTAGTACTTCAGATTGTATTACAGATTACATAAATCACTCCAGTTATTTTCAACATAGTGAAGCAGCTTCGTTGTCTGGGGAAATACCTGCAGTTCGTTGTCTTGTGCTGTGCCGATTAATGACACAGACTCACACACGGAGTGGGTTAAGGAACAGAAAGTTTATTAGGCAAGAAGGAAGAGAAGAGCTTCCCCATAGAGAGGGAGAAGCACTCTGAATGGAGTAACCCCACTTGTGGGGAAAGCAGTCAGTTATATTGGGAGGCTCAGGGAGGTAGTGTCTGATTTGCATAGGGCCCAGGGGATTCCTTTGACCAGGTGTGTCATTCACACAACCCATGAAAAGACTGGCCCTCCCACCCTAATCTTTTATTCTGCAAATGCGGCTTCTACCTGGCTGTCGCCATGATGCCTGCACATGTGGCTTTACTTGGCTGGTGCCATGACAACTGCACATGTGGCAACAAAGGAAAGTGAGCGGGAAGAGTCATATTGAGTGGACCTGGCTGTTAGCCACCTGCATTTACTTCTGCAAGCCTGTAATTTACATACCTATGCTTCCAGCATGGCTTTTCAGGCTGCTTTCTGTTAGAAAAGAAATGGTTTGGGGGCTGCTTTTTTATTAAAAGGAAAAGCCTTTCTGAGGACTCTTTTACCCTTTCTAGCTGCCTAAAAATAATTTCTTAATAACTCCTGTATTAATAGTGGGGTCTAATGTGAGAAATTAGGTACTTATAAAATTTTTCAAGTATAGAAGACCATTATTTATGCTGGGCATCTATTATAGAAATTGTTACCAGAAAAACACTGTAGAACTAACCTGCTAAGTGACCTATCCCTGCCATAACCAGGAGACTGAGAGGACAAGAAACCACTTTCCCAGCTCTTGGCTCAGGGAACACATCAATCAGCCATGGTCTGGCATGAAGAGAATTGTAGAGAGCACCTCTCATGTTATTGTCTCTCTAATTATTTTTTCTAAATTAAATTTTGTATGAGTATATTTGATAGAATCTGTAATGGTAGTGGCAAAAGTCTTTGACAAACCTGTCTGTGTGTTGACAGCTTCTTCAGAAAGCAAACAAAAATGGTGGTAAAATATAGGATAAAAAGTTTGCAATCTTGGAGGTGAGAAAGGCCATTGAAGTTTGACAAAGAAAATGAAAATAAAAAGATGTATTAAATCTTGATATCTGCTACATATTTTGATATGTAAAAATGAAAAAAGTTTATATGGGCAAAAGGCAGAAAAACGCTGAAAATATTTCTATGGCATATAGATGTGGAGATTATTTTCTGCATGATTATAAGGTTTGCATGTAAATTGAATATTTTTTCCCTACTCCAAGATTGTATGAGAGGGCATCCATGAATAAAAATTAAAATAAAAATTACTAAAAATCGATATAAACGATAAAAATTTATCTAATACATAAATAATTTGCTTAAATGAATATGAAATAGGTACATAGAAGGAAATGTGGGCAATGAACAAAGGAAAAAAACGAAAAGGCTTATAAGCATGAAAGTAAGCTTACCCTTAAAAATCAACCACAGAAATGAAAACCACTGATTTTGATTAGCATGTAGGATAATGTTGCTCATGTATTATCAATAAAAAAGTACAGAATAGGGTGAGGTGCCAGAAGCAGCTATCATGTGCCACTCATGGAGAGGGAGACAGGGTGGTGAGTAAACACTAGCTCTTCACATGGATCGTCCATGAGGCCATGTTAGGATTCATCAAGGAAGCAACTGCAATCGATGGACAGCAGAAAGGGGCCAGGCAGGAAAGCAGTCCACCCAGGATTGGCATAGAGCCAGGTGAGGCTCCCTACCATAGGGAAAGGGTGAATAAGAACCTCCTGGGACCCACACTTCTGCCATGGGCCTCTGCAATCCTGGCACAGGAGATCTCCCGTGACCCCGAGGGGCTTCCAGACCAACACAGAGAGATTACTGGAGTCTGGGCAGAGCTGCAGCTAGGGTCACCTGGAGCCCCATGAGCCGTGGGGCCCTGAGCACCTTGGTGCCAGCTGCCATAGCCACACCAACAAGGGAGGCCAGCTCTCTCGCATGCCCCTAGAATAGGGGCTGCATCCACGGTGCTGAGGAGCAGACTGACCGCAGGCCCCGCTTGCTTCATCAAGCCAGGCAAAGCCCACTGGCCTGGGTCGCCCACGCAGCCAACCCACTCCCACCTGAGCACTCAGGCCAGTCAGGCTCTCCATTTCTTTGGAAAGGAACTCCCAGAGGTAACCAATAGGCCTGAGATTTCTGGTACTGTGGTCTCCCACATGCCGCCCTCAGGCTGGGGAGGGATCGAAGAGCGCAGGAACTATCCTAGACCTTCAGCAAGGCAGCTGTCATACGAACAGCTGTCATACGGAAAAGTGGCCAGATTATTTTCCACTTGGGTCCCTGTCCCAGCTACTCCTCACTGGGCAGGGCCTCCGAGCCTGGGGTCCCAGCACAGCTGCCCCACCCCCACCCGTTCTTTCATTTGGCGGTGGCCCTAAGTTTCTCTGGGGTAGAGCTCCCAGAGACAACCGGCAGGCTCTGTGCCACCACTAGCTGAGTGTAAGGTCCTTCCTTGCTCCCCGCAGGCTAGGTAGGGAACAAAGAGCCTGACTGCAGCTGTCCTAGGGAGAGAAGGCCAGATTGTCTTCCTTGCGAGCCCCTGACCCCGGCTACTCTTCACCAGACACGGCCCGGCTTTGGCCCACAACACAGCCGCCCCACCCCTGGATCCTTCACCTTAGCAGTAGCAGTAGCTCTGGGTGGAGTTGCCAGAGGCAGCTGACAGGCCCTCTGCCACTGCTGCCACCCCCAGGGCTAGGGAGGGAACAAAGAGCCTGCTTGCTGTGCTTGCACATCCAGCATGCCACAGCTGCACTACGGAGAGGAGGTCAGACAGTCCCCCCAACAAGCCCCCGATCCCTCTGCTCTCCACCAGGGAGGGCCCTGGGCTTGCGCCCACAGCACAAACGTCCCATCCCGGGCTGATCATTCTGGTTGGCAGCGGCTCTGAATTTCTCTGGGGTGGAGTTCCCAGAGACAACTGACAAGCCCTCTGCCACCGACACCGCCAAGGTCCCCTTCCCTGCTCCCCCAAGCAGGGGAGGGAATAAAAAGCCCGAACTCGCCCCAGGTCCAACACTAGAGCGGGAAGAGAAACCCACACTCCCAGAGCACCGAGAGGGGTAACCGCATGAGTTCCTGGGCTGCTGTGGGAGCGGGGCGCGCCTCCCTCTGCAGGAGGAGCCTGGAAAAGGTGTGGCCTATCTCCCTGCGGTGGCCTCTGCCTGAGGGAGCCCCGCAGCCTGGAACACCTAGCAAAAGAAATGATGGTGCAGTGCTAGTGATCGGAGGGGGTTCCCCCAAGGCTCAGGAGCTGACCTGGTGAGGGGGTCACTTCTTTCCCCGCTGTACGGGAGACCAGGCTGTAGATGTGAGGAAGTACAAAGGAACCACAGGCCTGAGCAAGAGTGTATTTACCGTCCATTACTCTTAAGCGACATCTACTGGATTGCAGCCAAAACTGCTACAACACCAAAAATATTTTGCTAATATCCCCCAGTGAAATCAAAGGCAAGAATCCAGCCACAAATAAAGACCCTGCACAAAGCCTTGGCTATCTGAAAACATTCAGAAACAAAGCCAAGTGACTATACTCAAATTACACCACAGGTAAAGGAACGCCAATGCTTCCAGATGAGAAAGAATCAGTGCAAGAACTCTGACAATTCAAAAAGCCAGTTTCCCCATACCTCCAGATGAGTCCACCAGACCCCAAGCAATGATTTTTTTTATTTGCTTTCCTTATTTGTTTGCTTGTTTGGAGATACCTTTTACTTTTTTAATTTTAATTTTTTAATTTTTAGGTTCAGTTATACATGTGCAGATTTGTTATATAGGTAAATTGCTTGTCATTGGGGTTTGGTGAACAGATTTATCACCCAGGTAATAGGCATAGTACCTGATAGGCAGTTTTCTGATCCTCACCCTTTTCCCACAGTCCAATCTCAACTATGCCCAAGTATGTATTGTTCCCTTCTTTGTGTTCATGTGTATTCAAGGTTTATCTCAAATTTGTAAGTAAGAACATGTAGTGTTTAGTTTTTTGTTCCTATGTTGGTTCACTCAGGAAAATGGCCTCCAGCTCCATGCATGTTGCTGCAAAGGATATGATCTCATTCTTTTTATGACTGCATAGTATTCCATAGTATATTTGTACCATATTTTCTTTATCAAGTTCACCATTGATGGGCATCTAGGTTGATTCCATGACATTGCTATTGTGAATATTGCTACGATGAAGGTACTTGTGCATGTGTCTTTATGGTAGAATGATTTATATTTCTTTGGGTATATGCCCAATAATGGGATTGCTGGGTTGAATGCTACTTTGGTTTTAAGTACTTTGTGAAATCACCACACTGCTACCCATAATGGCTGAACTAATTTATATTCCCACCAGCAATGCATAAACATTCCGTTTTCTCTGCAAACTTGCCAGCATGATCTATGATTTTTTGACTTTTTAATAATAGCCCATCTGACTGGTGTGAGATGGTATCTCATTGTGCTTTTGATGTGCATTTCTCTAATGATTAGTGATGTTGAGCATTTTTTTTCATATGCTTCTTGGCCAAGTGTATGTCTTATTTATTTTTTTTGAGATGCAGTTTCACTCTTGTCACCCAGGCTGGAGTGCAATGGTGCAATCTCGGCCCACTGCAACCTCTACCTCCTGGGTTCAAGAGATTCTCCTGCCTCAGCTTCCCCAATAGCTGGGATTACAGGCACCTGCCACCATGCCTGGCTAATTTTTGTTATTTTTAGTAGAGATGGGGTTTCACCATGTTGGCCAAGCTGGTCTCGAACTCCTGACCTCAGGTGATCCACCCGCCTTGGCTTCCCAAAGTGCTGGGATTACCGGCGTGAGCTACTGCGCCCAGCCTTGACTACTCTTTTTTTTTTTTTTTTTTTTTTTGATGGAGTCTCACTCTGTCACCAGGCTGGAGGGCAGTGGTGCGGGCTCGGCTCACTGCAACCTTTGCCTCCTGGGTTCAAGCAATTTTCCTGCCTCAGCGTCCCGAGTAGCTGGGACTACAGGCGTGCATTTGCAAATACTTTAACCTATTCTATAGGTTGTCTGTTTACTCTGTTGATAATTTATTTTGCTGTGCAGAAGCTTTTTAGGTTAATTAGGTCACATTTATTAATTTTTGCTTTTGTCATCTTTGTCATGAAATCTTTGTCAGGGGCTATGCTGAGAATGGAATTTCCTAGGTTGTCTTCCAGGGTTTTTATAGTTTGGGGTTTCACATTTAAGTCTTTAATCCAGTTGGATTGATTTTCATATATGGTATAAGGGAGGGGTTCAGTTTCCATTTTTTGCATATGGCTACCTAGTTATCTCAGCACCATTTATTGAATAGGGAGTGCTTTTCCCATTGCTTGTTTTTGTCAGCCTTGTTGAAGATTAGATGGTTTTTGTTTTTAGTTCTGTTTATGTGGTGAATCACATTTACTAATTTGCATATGCTGAACCAACCTTGTGTTCCAGGGATAAACCCTACTTGATTGTGTTGGAGTAGAGTTTTAATGTGCTGCTGGATTCAGTTTGCTAGTATTTTCTTTTTTTCTTTTCTTTTTTTTTTTTTTTTTTTTTTTTTGCTAGTTTTCTTTTTTTGTTGTATCTCTGCCAGGTTTTGGTATCAGAATGATGTTGGCTTCATAGAATAAATTAGGGAGGAGTCCTTCCTCCTCAAATTTTCAGAATAGTTTCAGAGGAAAGGTACCAGCTCTTCTTTATGCATCTGGTAGAACTCAGCTGTGAATTCCTCTGATCCTGGGCTTTTTCTGGTTGGTAGGCTTTTTATTATTAACACAGTCTTGGAACTTGTTATTAGTCTGTTCAGAGTTTCAGTTTCTTCCTAGTTCAATCTTAGGAGGTTGTATGTTTCCAATAATTTATTAATTTCTTCTAGTTTGTGTGCATAAAGTTGTTCATAGTAGTCTCTGAGGGTTTTTAAAAAATATTTCTTTGGGGTTGGTGGTAATGTTTCCTTTGTCATTTCTGACTGTGTTTATTTTTATCTCTTCTCTTTTTTGCTTTATTAGTCTAGCTAGTGCTCTATCAATCTGATGTGTTATTCTGAAGCAACAAAACCTGGATTTGTTTATCTTTTGTATGGTTTTTTGCATCTCAATTTCTTTCAGTTCAGCTCTGATTTCAGTTATTTCCCTTCTCTTGCTAGCTTTGGGACTGATTTGCTTTTGTTTCTCTAGTTCCTCTTGGTGTGATGTTAGGATGTTAATTTGAAATCTTTCCAATATTTTGATGTAGTTTTTTTTTTAGTGATATAAACTTTCCTCTTAATACTGCTTTATCTGTGTCCCAGAGATTTTGATACGTAGTATGTTTGTTCTCATTAGTTTCAAAGAATTTCTTGACTTCTGCCCGAATTTCGTTGTTTACCCAAAAGTCATTGAGGAGAAGGTTGGTTAATTTTCACGTATGCTTTTGATGTATTTTATTGTATTGATTTCAATGTTTATTGCATTGTAATCTGAGAAAGTGTGGTTTGTATGATTTTGGATTTTTTGAATTTCCTGAAAATTGTTTTATGATTGATTGTGTCGTTGATTTTAGAGTATGTGCCATGTGCAGATGAGAAGAATGTATAATATTCTAATGTTTTTGGGTGGAGAGTACTGTAGATGTCTGTTAGGACCATTTTGTCAAATGTTGAGCTCAGTCCCGAATCTCTTTGTTCATTTTCTGTCTCAATGCTCTAATATTGTCAGTGGGTTGTTGAAGTCTCCCAGTAGTATTGTGTGGTTATCAAAGTCTCTTCAAAGGTCTCTAAGAACTTCCTTTATAAGTCTGGGTACTTCTGTGTTAGATGTATATATTCTTAGGATTGTTAGGTTTTCTTGTTGAGTTTAACCCTTTACCATCATGAAATACCCTTGTCTTTTTTGATTGTTATTGGTTTATAGTCTATTTTGTCTGAAATTAGAATCAGACCATTTGCTCTTTTCTGTTTTCTTTGGCTTGGTCTATTTTTTCTCCATCCCTTTATTTTGAGCCCCTGGATATCACTGCATGTGAGATGGGTCTCTTGCAGAGAGAATACAGTTGGGTCTTGCTTCTTTATCTGACTTGCCACTCTATGCCTTTTAAATGCCTTGAAGCATTTAACCCATTTACATTCAAGGTCACTCAAGGTTAGATTGTGTCTTTCCCAGCAATGATTCCTAAACCATAAGAAATTACTGAAATGAGAGACATAGAATTCAGGATCTGGATGTCATGGAAGCTCATTGAGATTCAGGACAAATTTGAAATCCAATCCATGGAATCCAGTAAAATGACAGAAGAGCTGAAAGACAAAATAGCCACTTTAAGAAAGAACCAAACTGAAACTCTCGAGTTAAAAATTCACTAGAAGAAGTTCATAATACAGTTAGAAGTATTAACAGCAAAATAGACCAAGCTAAGGAAAATATCTCTGAGCTCAAAGACTGGTTCTTTGAATTAACACTGTGAGACAAAAATAAAGAAAAAACAATTTTAAAAGTGAACAAAACTTCTGAGAAAGATTATATAAAGAGACCAAATCTACAACTCATTGCCATTACTGAGAGAGAAGGACAGAGAATAAACAACTTGGAAAATAAATTCGACTATATAGTCCATGAAAATCTTCCTAATCTTGCTAGAGAGGATGATATGCAAATCCAAGAAATACAGAGAATCCTGGCTAGATATTGTACAAGATTTACAAGGCACATAATCTTCAGATTCACCATAGTTAATGCAAAAGAAAAGGGATCTAGAAAGAAAGGTCGGGTTATGTATGAAGGGAACTCCATCAGGCTAGCAGCAGACCTTTCAGCAGAAACTTTATCAGCCAGAAAAAATTAGGGGCCTATTTTTAGTATTCTTAAAGAAAATAAACTCCAACCAAGAATTTCATATCCCACCAAACTTAGCTTCATAAGTGAAGGAAAAATAAAATCCTTCTCAGAAAATAAAATGCTAAGGTAATACATTTCAACTTAGCTAGCCTTATAACAGGTCCTTAAGGGAGTGCTAAACACGTGAACAAAAGAACAGCATCTGCTGCCACAAAAACACGCTTAAGCACATAGCCCATAGACACTATGAAGCACTACACAGTCAAGTCTATAAAACAGCCAGCTAACAACATGATGACAGGATCAAAATCTGACATATCAATATTAATCTTAAATGTAAGTTATCTAAATGCCCTACTTAAAAGGCATAGAGTGGTAAGTTGGATAAAAAGGCAAGACACCACTGTCTGCTGTCTTGAAGAGACCAATCTCATATGTAATGAAACCCACAGGGTCAAAGTAAAGGGATGCAGAAAGATTTGTCATGTAAACAAAAAACAAACAAAAAATAGTAGGGGTCACTATTTCTTATAGCGTATAAAACAAACCAACAACAATTACCAAGGACAAAGAAGGGCATTACATAATGATAAAGGGTTCAGTTCAACAAGAAGACTTTATCCTAAATGTATACACACTGAACATTGGAGCACCCGACTCATAAAACAAGTTTTTCTTGGCCTACAAAAAGACTTAGACAATCATACAATAATACTGGGAGACTTCACTGCTCCACTGATGGTTTTAGATCGTTAAGGCAGAAGACGAACAAAGAAATTCTGGACTTAAATTTGACACTTGACTAATTGGACTTAATAAACATCTACAGAACACTCCATCCAACAACCATAGAATATTCATTCTCATCTACACATGGAACATATTGTAAGATCAACCACACGCTTCGTCAGAAAGCAAGTCTGAATACATTCAAAAACACTGAAATCATCCCAGGCACATTCTTGAACCACAGTGCAATAAAATTAGAAATAAACGTCAAGAAGGTCTCTCAAAAGTACACAAATTCATGGAAAGTAAACAACTTGCTCCTGAGTAACTCATGGGTCCACACTGAAATTAGGCAAAAATCAAAAAAATTCTTTGAAATTAAAACAGGGACACAACTAACCAAAATCTCTGAAATGAAGCTAAAGCAGGAAATAAAACTTTTTATATAAATAAGTAAATAAGATAATAAGAGGAAAGATTATAGCACTAAATACCTTCATCAAGAAGTTAGAAAAATCTGAATTTAATAATCCAACTTTGTACCTAAAGGAACTAGAAAAAAAAAAGCTCAAAGCTAGCAGAAGAACAGATATAACTACAAATAGAGAAAAACTTAATGAAAGTGAGATGCAAAAATATGTACAAAAGGTCAGCGAAACCAATAATTGGTCCTTCAAAATAAAAATAAACAAAATTGGTAGATTGCTAGCTAGATTAACATAGAAAAAAAGCTGAAGACCCAAATGAGTACAATCAGAAATAACAAAAATGATGTTGCAACTGATCCCACAGAAATACAAAAGATACTCAAAGAATACTATAAGCAACTTTATGCATACAAATTAGAAAATCTAGAAGAAATGGATAAATTCATGGAAACACACAATCTCCCAAGATTGAATCCCTGGAAGAGATTGAAACCCTGATTAGACCAACATCAAGCTGTGAAACAGAATCAATAATAAAAAAACCTACCAACCAAAGTAAGTCCTGGGCCAGATAGATTCACAGCTGAATTCTACCAGAGTTAAAAAAAGAACTCTACCAATTTTATTGAAACTATTCCAAAAAATTGAGGAGTAGGAGCTCCTCCCTAACTCATTCTATGAAGCCAGTATCATCCTGATACCAAAACCTGGCAGGGACAGAACAAAAAACAAATCATCAGGGCAATATCCCTTATGAATACAGATGCAAATATCATCGACAAAATATTAGCTAATTGAATCCATCAGCACATCAAAAAGTTAACACACTGTGATCAAGTAGGTACTATTCCCGAGAGGTAAGGCTGATTCAATGTATGCAAATCAATAAATGTGATTCATCACATAAACATAATAAGAGACAAAAACCACATGATCATCTCAATAGATGCAGAAAAAGCATTCAATAATATCCAACATCCCTTCATGATAAAAACCCTTAACAGACTAGATTTTGAAGGAATATACCTCAAAACAATAAGAGCCATCTATGACAGACCCACAGCCAACATGATACTGAATGGGCAAAAGCTGGAAGTATTCCCCTTAAGAACTGGTAAAGGACAAGGATGTACATTCTCACCACACTTCTTCAACAGAGTACTTGAAGTCCTAGCCACAGCAATTATGCAAAAGAAAGAAATAAAAGATATCCAAATAGGAAAATAAGAAGTCAAACTATTTCTATTCACTGATGATATAATTCTATACTTAGAAAACTAGCTTTCACAAAAAGGCAACTAGAACTGACATACAATTTTAGGAAGGTTTCAGGACATGAAATCATTGTATAAAAATCAATAGCATTTCCATACATCAATAATGTCCAGGCTGAGAGTGAAATCAAGGACACAATCCCATTTACAATAGGCACAAAGAAAATTAAATACCTTGGAATACAGTTAACCAGAAAACCCTCTACAAAATTAATGGCAAAAACACTGCTGACAGAAATCAGAGATGACAGAAATAAATGGAAAAACATTCCATACTAATAGATTACAAGAATCAATATAGTTAAAATGGCCACACTGCCCAAAGCAATCAACAGTTTAATGGTATTCCTATCTCACCACCAACACCATTCTTCTCAGAATTAGAAAAAAAGATAGAAAATTCATACAGAGCCAAAAAAGCCTGAATAGTCAAAACAATCCCATGCAAAATGTACCACATGAACATATGCACCTACTCTGTACCCAGAAAAATTGAAAAAAATGTAAAAAGAATGAAACTAGAGGCATCACACTACTCAAACTATAAGGCCATTGTAACCAAAACAGTATGCTACTGGTACAGAAACAGACACATAGACCCATAGAACAGAATAGAAAACCCAGAAATAAATCCATGCACTTACAACCATCAGCTCTTCAACAAGGCAGACAAAAATAAGCAATGGAGAAAAGACTCTCTGTTTAGAAGCCCCTACTGAGGAAAGTTGTGGGCTTGAGTCTGGAGCCTAAGAACATTCAACCAAGCTAACTCTCAGGTCTCTCTATTCAATAAATGGTGCTGGGATAACTGGCTAGTCAGATACAAAAAAAAGTGAAACTTGACCCTTATTTTTCACCATATACAAAAATCAACTCAAAATCGATTACAGATTTAAATTTAAGACCTCAGCCTATAGAAATCCTAGAAGAAAACCTAGGAAATACTCTTCTCAGCCACAGCCTTGGCAGAGAATTTTTGGCTGAGTCCTCAAAGGTAATTGCAACAAAAACTAGAGTTGACAAGTGGGACCTCATTAAACAAAAGAGCTTCTGCACAGCAAAAGGAACTATCAATAGAGTAAGCAGAAAACCTACAGAATGGGAGAAAATACTCACAAGCTATGCTTCCAAACAAAGGTCTAATATCCAGAAAGTATAAAGAACTTAAACAAAGCAACAAGCAAAAAAACAAAACAAAAAAAATCCACTTAAAAATGGGCAAATAAGGCAATCCTAAGCAAAAAAGAACAAAGCTGGAGGCATCATATTACCCAACCTCAAACTATACTACAAGGCTACAGTAACCAAAACAGCATGATACTGGTACAAAAACAGACACATAAACCAATGGAACATAATGAGAGGCCAGAAATAGTGCTGCACACCTATAACCATCTGAACTTTCACAAAGAGGATACAAACAAGCAGTAGGGAAAGGACTTTCTATTCAATAAATGGTGCTGGGATAATGGGCAAGCCACATGCAAAAGACTGAAATGTAACCCCTTCTTTCTTTTCCATTTGTTTTATTTTATTTTATTTTGTTACTATTATACTTTAAGTTTTAGGGTACACGTGCACAACGTGCAGGTTTTGTTACACATGTATACATGTGCCATGTTGGTGTGCTGCACCCTACAAAAATCAGTTCAACATGGATTGGAGAATTAAATGTAAAACCGCAAACTATAAAAACCCCAGGAGATAACTTAGGAAATTCCATTCTCAAATAGGCCCTGGCTAGTATTTCATGGTGAAGACACCAAAAACATTGACCACAAAAACCAGAAATTGACAAATGAGACCTAAGTAAACTAAAGAGCTTCTGCAGAGCAGAATGAACTGTCAACAGAGTCAACAGACAACCCACAAAATGGGATAAAATATTTGCAAACTATGCACCCAACAAAGGTCTAATATCCAGAATCTACAAGGAACTTAAATGATCGAGCAAAAAACAATCTCTTTAAAAATTGGGCAAAGGACATGAACAAAGGCTTTTCAAAGACCTACATGCAGCCAAGAAGCATATGAAAAAATGCTCGACATCGCTAAGCACATCAAAACCACAACGAGATACCAACTCACAGCAGTCAGAATGGTTATTATTAAAAAGTCAAAAAATAACATGCTAGTGAGGTTTCAGAGAAGAGGGAACACTTATACGCTGCTGGTGGGAATGTAAATTAGTTCAGCCATTGTGGAAAGCAGCGTGGCAATTTCTCAAAGAAATTAAAAGAGAATTATCATTTAACCTAGCAATCTCATTATTGGGCACATATCCAAAGGAATATAAATCATTTTACCATAAAGACATATGCACACATATGTTCAACACAGTACTATTCTCAATAGCAAAGTTGCCATCAATGGTAAACTGTATAAAGAAAATGTGGTACACAGACACAATGGAATACTATGTAGTCATAAAAAGAATGAGATCATGTCCTTTGCAAGAAAGAGATAAAAGGAAAAGAGTCAAAATTAATGAAACATAAAGTAGACAAACATTAGAAAAAAATTTAAAAGCCAAAAATTGGTATTTTGAAATGATTACCAAAATTGATAAACCCCTAGTAGAATGATGAATTTTAAAAGAGAAACACACAAACTACCAACATTAAGAATAACAAGAGAAGCACTATTAGTCCTAAAGAAACTGAAGGGATAATAAGGGAATATGAAGAATAGCAATATGACAAAACACATTTGCCAAAACTGGCACATCAAGATATACAAAATCTAAATAGGAATATATTTTAAAAGGAAATGAATGTAGAGCTGAAAACTTTCTACTAAGAAAATTCCAGGTTCATATGGCTCAACCAGGGAGTTTTCTAAAATATGTAAGAAACGGGTAATGCCAATTGTATCTAAACTCGTTCATAAAATAGAAGAAAGGATACCATTGCCCAACTTTCTTTATGAGGTCAGTATAACCCTGATACCAAAATCTGACACAGGATTTTGCATTGCAAGGATTTTGCATTACAAGAAAAGATGATTTCTCAAAAACATACACATACAATTTTATTTTTATTTTTTTGAGACGGACTCTGACTCTGTCACCCAGGCTGGAGTGCAGTCGTGCGATCTCGGCTCACTGCAAGCTCCACCTCCCGGGTTCATGCCATTCTCCTGCCTCAGTCTCCCAAATAGCTGAGACTACAGGCGCCCACCACCAAGCCCGGCTAATTTTTTGTATTTTCAGTAGAGACGGGGTTTCACCGTCTTAGCCAGGATGGTCTCGATCTCCTGACCTCATGATTCGCCCTCCTCGGCCTCCCAAAGTGGTGGGATTACAAGCGTGAGCCACCCTGCCCGGCTACACATAAAATTTTAAAACAAAGCATTAGCAATCCGAACATGACAATACATAAAAAGTTGTGACCAGATGGGATGTATCCCAAAAACGCATAGTTGGCTTAACATTTGAAAATCAATCAAGTTAATTGCTATATTCACTGAATGAAGGTGGAAAAATGATATGATCTTGCCAATAGAGGCAGAAAATCATCTGTTTTAACATCCATTCATGTCTGTAAAAAATTCTAAGTACATTGGAAATGAAAGGGAACCTCTCCAGTCCAATAAAGGGCAATTATGAAAAACCTATAGCAACCATTATAACATATGATAAAATCTTGAATGCATGCCCCCTTAAGATTAGGAAGAATGCAAGTATCCATGCTCTCACCACTTCTATTCAACATGTGCTAACCACTGAAATAAAGTTTTTTTTAAAGGTATTAATATTAGGAAGAAAAAAATAAAAATCTATTTATTCATAGAAGAAATGTATGTGTAGAGCATACTATGGTGTCTTTAAAGAACTAGAATTTACAAGGAAATTTATCAAGGGTTGCAGGATACAAGATCAACATTTAAAAACTAAATCTTGGTGAGAATGTGAAACAACTATTAACTCTGAAAAACGAAACAAAGTAAACTTAAATGTTATTATTCTTCTTCCTTTGATTTTTTTGTATAAAGTGTTAAGGATATAAAAATACTAGAAGTCATGCCATAAAAGTAAAAAAAGAAAAAAAAATTCTCTTTGAATTTTTATTTTTTGACTTTTCTTTTTTTTTCTTTTCTTTTTTTTTTTTTTTTTTGAGACGGAGTCTCGCTCTGTCGCCCAGGCTGGAGTGCAGTGGCGCGATCTCGGCTCACTGCAAGCTGCGCCTCCCAGGTTCACGCCATTCTCCTGCCTCAGCCTCCTGAGTAGCTGGGACTACAGGCGCCCGCCACCACGCCCAGGTAATTTTTTTTTTTGTATTTTTTATTACAGACGGGGTTTCACCGTGTTAGCCAGAATGGTCTCGATCTCCTGACCTCGTGATCTGCCCACCTCGGCCTCCCAAAGTGCTGGGATTATAGGCGTGAGCCACCGTGCCCAGCCATTCTTTGACTTTTTAATAATAGTCCTTCTGACTGGTGTGAGATGGTATCTCATTGTGGTTTTGATTTGCATTTCTCTAATGAATAGTCAAGCTGAGCATTTTTTTTTTCATATGCTTATTGGCCGTATACATGTTTTCTTTTGGGAAGTATCTTTTCATATAAAAAGTGGTCATTTTTTTGAGAAAAAAATGAATAAATTCAGAGACAAACTCTTGTTGGTTAAAAATAATATTGAATATATACATGTCAATGCATAAATAGAATACAATTTAATAAAATACCAGTAATACTTTTCATTGTAAAATTAATTCAAGATTATCTAGAAGAGAAAATCTATCCAAGGTGATAAAACTTTCCTAGAAGGATTAAAAAGTCTCCATTTTGAGGACTATTTTAGATCTTCAGATTAATTTTATCTTATCTATTAGAGTGAACATTAAGAGGTGAGTAAGATCCTGGATTATATGCACAATTATGAAAAAAAATCATGTTTTTAAAAGTTTTGGTGGCAAGACTAACCTACTCCAAGATGGGGTTGTTATTCCACTTAAGAACGTATCTAACCTCATTCATTTTGCTTCCTTTCTCTATTTTCCTCTGTGCAGCTCTCTTTATCATTGTTTTCTTTTTATGGTTATATGGATTTGTAGACTGTGCATTTATATGGACTGCCATGCGAGCTGTCACAGCCCAGACAGTGGAGTGTGGTTGGCTTGTGGGTAGTAAGAAGAATTTACCAACAACTGTATAGATTTGAAAAGGAAAGTTGTATTAGATGGAAAGAACGCTGCAGAGGAGTGCAGCAGGGCTCCTCAGCAAGAGAGGACTGAGGACGCCACTGCAGTAGATTTTTCCTTAGGGTATTTATGGACCTTAAAGTGGGAGCTTAAGGGTAATTTTTACCATATTAGCCACATAGGTCATGGTAAACAATTACATTTATAGACATTTTGGTGCCTTGATGTCAGCAGGGATTGCACAATGAGTTTAGAATACATGCATTCCAGAGATGCATAGAAATTCTGGTTACTCACAAATTTTTGGAAAAGAAATCTCATACCAGATGCCAGCTTTACATAATAGGGATGTCTAATTACTTCTGAATTCCTTGGATAAGGAGTTTTGCCTCTGGATGGTCTTGCTCTCCTCATGGACTAGTATCTCTCTGTCTCTTCACCATTTGTTTTTAAGTCATACGACTATCTTTCCATTTATGTCTCTGCTAGTCTTTCTTTTCCCTTTTCTCTTGATTTTTATTTTGATTATTGTAACTTTTTCTGTACTTCTCTCTCTCTCCTTTCTTCTTTCTTTCCTTTTTCTACTCTTACACTTTGTTTTTGAACTGTGAAATAAATTAAAACAAATGTATTTGGTGATAAATTATGTTTATTACCCCCAAATCTGTGTTCTTATTTCACTTGTAAAGTGACCCATAAACTCAGTGTTTTCTTTAAAGCAAAAGATTAAACTAATTTTTAAATAAAATTAATAAAATTAATTTGCATTTATTTTTTCTGACTCAAATAATTTTTAAAATTAATAATCTTTAATGGAAAAATGTTTTTCATCCTTGTTTTAGTTGAGCAGAGTGAAAGGGAACAAATTACAAATACCAAGAGCATGACACATCTTTTCATGCTATGTAGGAGATCACCTTCCCTTTAGCAATTGTTCTATCCTATACTAAGAAACTATTTTCTCTAAGAAGAATTATGCAGCAGTATTCATGAGCTTTTCAATATTTCCTTTGCTAATGTCCTTATCACCGTCAACATCCTACAACTGAGTAAGGTGCTTATCTTGCATGCAAAATTTAAAGGCGTGCCCAAAAACTCAATAGTAGAGATAAACATTTAAATCAATATTTTGAGAAATCAAAATTAATTTTAAAATTTGTGATAAAGTACCAAATTTTAAGCAAAGGCAGGATCAGCAACTGCCATGTTGAGCCATGTTGGAACCTGAGGCAACAGGAAAAATAAATAATATTGGTGAAGTCTTTTTTAAAAATTATACTTTAAGTTCTGGGATACATGCGTAGAATATGCAGGTTTGTTACATAGGTAAATATGTGCCATGGTGGTTTGCTGCACCCATCAACCTGTCACCTACATTAGGTATTTCTCCTAATGCTATCCTTCCCCTAGCCCCCCACCCTGTGACAGGCCCCCGTGTGGGATATTCCCCTCCCTGTGTCCCTGTGTTCTCACTGTTCAACTCCCACTTAAGAGTAAGAACATGTGGTGTTTGGTTTTCTGTTCCTGTGTTAGTTTGCTGAGAATGATGGTTTCTAGCTTCATCCATATCCCTGCAAATGACATGAACTCATCCTTTTTTATGGCTGCATAGTATTCCATAAAGTATATGTGACCCATTTTCTTTATCCAGTCTATGATTGATGGGCATTTGGGTTGGTTCAAAGTCTTTGCTATTGTGAACAGTGCCACAGTAAACATACATGTGCATGTGTCTTTATAGTAGAATGATATATAATTCTTTGGGTATATACCCAGTAATGGGATTGCTGGGTCAAATGGTATTTCTGGTTCTACATCCTTGAGGAATCGCTACACTGTCTTCTACAATGGTTGAACTAATTTACCCTCCCACCAACAGTGTAAAAGGGTTCCTATTTCTCCACATCCTCTCCAGCATCTGCTGTTTCCTGACCTTTTAATGATCACCATTCTAACTGGCATGAGATGGTATCTCATTGTGGTTTTGATTTGCATTTCTCTAATGACCAGTGATGATGAGCTTTTTTTTCATATGTTTGTTGGCTGCATAAATGTCTTCTTTTGAGAAGTGTCTGTTCATATCCTTTGTTCACTTTTTGATAGGGTTGTTTTTTTTCTTGTAAATTTGTTTAAGTTCCCTGTAGATGCTAGATATTAGCCCTTTGTCAGCTGGATAGATTGCAAAAATTTCCTCTCATTCTGTAGGTTGACTGTCCACTCTGATGAGAGGTTTTTTTTTGTTTGTTTGTTTGTTTGTTTGTTTTTTTGCTGTGCAGAAGCTCTTTAGTTTAATTAGATCTCATTTGTCAATTTTGGCTTTTGTTGCCATTGGTTTTGGTGTTTTAGTCATGAAGTCTTTGCCCATGCCTATGTCCTGAATGGTATTGCCTAGGTTTTCTTCTAGGGTTTTTATGGTTTTAGGTTTTCCATTTACTCCTTTAATCCATCTTGAGTTAATTTTGTATAAGGTGTAAGGAAGGGGTTCAGTTTCAGTTTTCTGCATATGTCTAGCCAGTTTTCACAACACCATTTATTAAATAGGGAATCCTTTTCCCATTGCTTGCTTTTGTCAGGCTTGTTAAAGACCAGATGGTTGTAGATGTGTGGCATTATTTCTAAGGCCTCTTTTCTGTTCCATTGGTCTATATATCTGTTTTGGTACCAGTACCATGCTGTTTTGGTTACTGCGGCCTTGTAGTATAGTTCGAAGTCAGGTAGTGTGATGCCTCTTTCTTTTTGCTTAGGATTGTCTTGGCTATACAGGCTCTTTTTTGGTTCTGTATGAAATTTAAAGTTGTTTTTTCTAATTCTGTGAAGAAAATCAATGGTAGCTTGATGGGGATAGCATTGAATCTGTAAATTACTTTGGGCAGTATGGCCATTTTCATGATATTGATTCTTCCTATCCATGAGCACAGAACGTTTTTCCATTTGTGTCCTCTCTTTTTCCTTGAGCAGTGGTTTGTAATTCTCCTTGAAGAGGTCCTTCATATCCCTTGTTAGTTGTATTCGTAGGTATTTCATTCTCTTTGTAGCAGTTGTGAATGGGAGTTCACTCATGATTTGGCTGTTTATCTATTAATGGTATATAGGAATGTTTGTAATTTTTGCACATTGATTTTGTATCCTGAGACTTTGCTGAAGTTGCTTATGAGCTTAAGGAGATTTTGGGCTAAGATGATGGGGTTTTCTAAATATACAATCATGTCATCTGCAAACTTTGACAATTTACCTCCCTCTCTTCCTATTTGAATACGCTTTATTTCTTTCTCTTCCCTGATTGCCCTGGCCAGAACTTCCAATGCTGTGTTGAATAAGAATGGTGAGAAAAGGCATCCTTGTCTTGTGCTGGTTTTCAAAGAGAATGCTTCCAGCTTTTGCCCATTCGGTATGATATTGGCTGTGGGTGTGTCATAAATAGCTCTTATTATTTTCAGATACGTTCCATCAATACCTAGTTTATTTAGAGTTTTTAGCATGAAGGGGTGAATTTTACTGAAGGCCTTTTCTGCATCTATTGAGATAATCATGTGATGTTTGTCATTGGTTCTGTTTATGTGATGGATTATGTTTACTGATTGGGTATGTTGAACCAGCCTTGCATTCCAGGGATGAAGCCAACTTGATCATGGTGGATAAGCTTTTTGATGTGCTGCTGGATTCGGTTTGCCAGTATTTTATTGAGGATTTTTGCATTGATGTTCATCAGGGATATTGGCCTGAAATTTTCTTTTTTATGTGTGTCTCTGCCAGGTTTTGGTATCAGGATGATGCTGGCCTCATAAAATGAGTTAGGGAGGAGTCCCTCTTTTTCTATTGTTTGTAATAGTTTCTGAAGGAATGGTACCAGCTCCTCTTTGTACCTCTGGTAGAATTTGGCTGTGAATCTGTCTGGTCCTGGACTTTTTTTTGGTTGGTAGGCTATTAATTACTGCCTCGATTTCAGAACTTGTTATTTGTCTATTCAGGGATTTGACTTCTTCCTGGTTCAGTCTTGGGAGGGTGTATGTGCCCAGGAATTTATCCATTTCTTGTAGATTTTCTAGTTTATTTGTGTAGAGGTGTTTGTAGTATTCTCTGATGGTAGTTTGTATTTCTATGGGATCAGTGGTGATACCCCTTTATCATTTTCTATTGTGTCTATTTGATTCTTCTTTCTTTTCTTCATTAGTCTGGTTAGTGGTCTATTTATTTTGTTAATGTTTTCAAAAAACCAGCTCCTGGATGCATTGATTTTTTGAAGGGTTTTTTGTGTCTCTATCTCCTTCAGTTCTGCTCTGATCTTAGTTATTTCTTGTCTTCTGCTAGCTTTTGAATTTGTCTGCTCTTACTTCTCTAGTTCTTTTAATTGTAATGTTAGGGTGTTGATTTTAGATCTTTGCTGCTTTAAGCTGTTGGCATTTAGTGCTATAAATTTTCCTGTAAACACTGCATTAGCTGTGTCCCAGAGATTCTCGTACATTGTGTCTTTGTTCTCATTGGTTTCAAAGAACTTATTTATTTCTGCCTAAATTTCGTTATTTACCCAGTAGTCATTCAGGAGCAGGTTGTTCAGTTTCCATGCAGTTGTGCAGTTTTGAGTGAGTTTCTTAATCCTGAGTTCTAATTTGATTGCACTGTGATCTGAGAGACTATTTGTTATGATTTCTGTTCTTTTGCATTTGCTGAGGAGTGTTTTACTTCCAATTATGTGGTCAATTTTATAATAAGTGTGATGTGGTGCTGAAAAGAATGTATATTCTGTTGATTTGGGGTGGAGAGTTTTGTAGATGTCTATTAGTTCTGCTTGGTCCAGAGCTGAGTTCAAGTCCTGAATGTCCTTGTTAATTTTCTGTCTCTTGATCTGTCTAATATTGACAGTGGGGTGTTAAAGTCTCCCACTATTATTGTGTGGGAATGTAAGTCTCTTTGTATATCTCTAAGGACTTGCTTTATGAATATGGGTGCTCCTGTATTAGGTGCATACATATTTGGGATAGTTAGCTTTTCTTGTTGCATTGATCCGTTTACCATTATGTAATGCCCTTTTTTGTCTTTTTTGATCTTTGTTGGTTTAAAGTCTGTTTTATCAGAGACTAGGATTGCAACCCCTGCTTTTTTTTGGCTTTCAATATGCTTGGTAAATCTTCCTCCATCCCTTCATTTTGAGCCTATGTGTGTCTTTGCACGTGAGATGGGTCTCCTGAATACAGCACACCAATGGGTCTTGAGTCTCTATCCAATTTACCAGTCTGTGTATTCTAACTGGGGACTTAACCCATTTACATTTAAGGTTAACATTGTTATGTGTGAATTTGATCCTGTCATTATGATGTTATCTGGTTATTTTGCCTGTTAGTTGATGCAGTTTTTTCATAGCTTCAATAGTCTTTACAATTTGGTATGTTTTTGCAGTGGCTGGTACCAGTTTTTCTTTCCATATTTGGTGCTTCCTTCTGGAGGTCTTGTAAGGCAGGCCTGGTGGTGACAAAAATCTGTTAGTATTTTCTTATCTGTAAAGGATTTTATTTCTCCTTCATCTATGAAACTTTGTTTGGCTGGATATTAAATTCTGGTTTGAAAATTCTTTTCTTTAAGAACGTTGAATATTGGCCCCCACTTCTTTCTGGCTTGTAGGGTTTCTGCAGAGAGATCCACTGTTAGTCTGATGGACTTCCCTTTGTGGGTAACTACTTGACCTTTCTTCCTGGCTGACCTTAACATTTTTTCCTTCATTTCAACCTTGGTGAATCTGACAATTATGTTTCTTGGGGTTGCTCTTCTCGAGGAGTATCTTTGTGGTGTTCTCTGTATTTCCTGAATTTGAATGCTGGCCTGTCTTGCTAGGTTGGGAAAGTTCTCCTGGATAATATCCTGAAGAGTGTTTTCCAACTTGGTTCCATTCTCCCCGTCACTTTCAGGTACACCAATCAAACGTAGGTTTGGTCTTTTCACATAGTCCCATATTTCTTGGAGGATTTGTTCATTCCTTTTCAATCTTTTTTCTCCAATCTTGTCTTCACGCTTTATTTCATTAAGTTGATCTTCAATCCCTGGTATCCTTTCATCCACTCAATTGATTTGGCTATTGATACTTGTGTATGCTTCATGAAGTTCTCGTGCTGTGTTTCTCAGCTCCATCAGGTTATTTATGTTCTTTTCTAAGGTGGTTATTTTAGTTATCAATTCCTCTAACCTTTTTCAAGGTTCTTAGCTTCCTTGTTTTGGGTTAGAACATGCTCCTTTAGCTCAGAGGAGTTTGTTACTACCCATCTTTGGAAGCCTACTTCTGTCAACTTGTCAAACTCATTCTCCATCCAGTTTTGCTCCCTTGCTGGCAAGGAGTTGTGATACTTTGGAGGAGAAGAGGTGTTCTGGTTTTTGGAATTTTCAGCCTTTTTGCTCTGGTTTTTCCTCATCTTCTTGGACCTATCTAACTTTGTTCTTTGATGTTGGTGACCTTCAGTTGGTGTTTTTGGGTGGACATCCTTTTTGTTGATGTTGATGCTATTTCTTTCTGTTTGTTAGTTTTCCTTCTAACAGTCAGGCCCTTCTGCTGCAGGTCTGCTGGAGTTTGCTGCGGGTCCACTCCAGACCCTGTTTACCTGGGTGTCATCGCAGATGCTGCAGAACAGCAAAGACTACTGCCTGTTCCTTCTTCTGGAAGCTTTGTCCCAGAGGGGCACCAGCCAGATGCCAGCTGGAGATCTCCCGTATGAGGTGTCTGTCAACCCCTGCTAGGAGGTGTCTCCCAGTCAGGAGGCACAGGCATCAGGGAGCCACTTGAGGAGGCAGTCTGTCCCTTAGCAGAGTTCAAGCGCTTTGCTGGGAGATCTGCTGCTCCCTTCAGAGATGGCAGGCAGGAACATTTAAGTCTGCTGAAGCTGTGCCCACAGCCGCCCTTCCCCCCAGGTGCTCTGTCCCAGGGAGATGGGATTTTTATCTATAAGCCCCTGACTGGGGACGCTGCCTTTCTTTCAGAGATACCCTGCCCAGAGAGGAGAAATCTAGAGAAGCAGTCTGGCTATAGCTGCTTTGCTGGGTTGCAGTGGGCTCTGCCCAGTTCAAACTTCCTGGTGGTTTTATTTACACTGTGAAGAGAAAAGTGCCTACTCAAGCCTCAGTAATGGCGGATGCCCCTACCCCAACCAAGCTCGAGTGTCCCAGGTCAACTTCAGAGTGCTGTGCTGGCAGCAAGAATTTCAAGCCAGTGGATCTTAGCTTGCTGGGCTCCATGGGGGTGGGATCCACTGAGATAGACCACTTGACTCCCTGGCTTCAGCCCCATTTCCAGGGGAGTGAATCGTTCTATCTTGCTGGCATTCCGGGTGCCACTGGGGTATGAAAAAAACTCCTGCTTCTACCTCAGTGTCTGCCCAAATGGCTGCCTAGTTTTGTGCTTGAAACCCAGGGCCCTGGTGGTGTAGGCACCCAAGGGAATCTCCTGGTCTGCAGGTTGCAAAAACCATGGGAAAAGCCTAGTATGTGGATCAGAATCCACCATTCCTCTTGGCACAGTCTCTCATGGCTTCCCTTGGCCGGGGAGGGAGTTCCCTGAACCCTTCCACTTCCCGGGTGAGGTGATGCCCCACCCTGCTTTGGCTCATCCTCCGTAGGCTGAACCCACTGTCTAACCAGTCCCAATGAGATGAGCCGGGTACCTCAGTTGGAAATGCAGAAATCACCCACCTTCTGCGTTGGTCTTGCTGGGAGCTGCAGACTGGAGTTGCTCTTATCTGGCCATCTTGCCAGCCACCCTCTAAAGTTTGGTGAAGCCTTTAATTGAAAAATTTGAGTCTAGTCATATATATATATATATATATATATATATATATATATATATATATATATATGTATATATGTAATTTTTGCCTCATCCTACCCCTGCTTGCTTTTGTGGTACAAAGCAATAATCTCTCATCATTTATTTAATATTTTTCTCCTTTTGAATTTTATTATAACATGTAAATTTACTTCTCTCAAACTTCTATTTACTTCTGGACTAAAAAGTATGCTTCTGAATAGGGTTCTGTCTTTTTCACAGTAGAATTTTTGTTTTAGAACTAGAAAGGAAGTCAGCTTGGCATTATGTAGCACATTTAAAAAAAATTAGTTCTTGCAAAGCTCTGGTATTTTTCTTTGCCTTATTTAGTTGATAACTAATATAGTTTGCCTAATAACTCCCTTTGGAAGCATTCAGTGGGTCACGGTAGTCTCAAATCTCAAAAGCACTTTCTCCATTACAATAGAGAGATTTTAAAATCTAAGGTTCCTCATGTGGCAATGAACATTTATGAACAATGGCAAAATTGGTTAGTCTTACTAGGAGAGGGAGGATGGCTACTTTGTGAGAGTAACATAAGATCCCTGAAGGCTTAAATTTCTGGAGCTCTTCATATATATACAAGAAACAAGAAGAAAGAGACAATAGAAAAAATATTGCAACTATTTTACTTGTTCACCTGATATCTTAGATTGCAGTTGAATAGACAGGTCAGAGTATTAGCAGGAATAGCCACAGGCTAAGGTCTAAATTCAGCAGTGGGGCACTGTGTATTCTCTCTCCTAATAGATCTCCATCTGCATTTAATGCTTGGGATTACTTTACTGGTGAACTAAACCTTTAATTCTATTATAATTTTCCATAGACTCAAGAGAATTGACATCTGGTGTTAAAAAACAAAAAATCATACAAATGACTGATATGTATCATTTTCCTTATTAAATATGGAAGAAAGGGGAGGAGGATGCAGAAATGGTTGGCTAAAAGCTCCAGAGAAAAACTTAACAGATTTTATGATTTTGCGGAAGGTAAGTCCTTGACCTCTTCATTTTCACATTCAGCAGGTATGAAAGTTTCTTCTGTTACATATGGTTCTATCATTCATTCATAGAATTTTGACAGAAAGCTGTAGAACTGAAAAAAAGCTTGATATACAAACTACTAGCTGTATTGGCAATTTTACATGAAGGCATTACTGACCCTCCACAGCTTCTTTCTATTAACCATTCAGATTTATGCAACTACCATTATCCCAGGGGTTACTCAAAGACATTGACAAAAGATCTAGCAGCATTCTGTCCATTCAATATAACTACTTTTAACATCTAAATATTTTCAGGATTAACTTTGGTTGAAGCATACTTGAATGAATTACATATTAATACCATCATCACCTCATTTGATCCTCATGTTACCCCCATCAGACCCAAAGAGTCAATACATTAAACTATTTGGTAGATGAAAACTCAGGCTTCTGAAAGCTAAGTGACTTTGCCAGAATCACACAGTAAGTTAATTGCTCAGTCAAGGCATGAGAGTCAGATAAATGATTCCCAAACCAGGGATCCTTTTATGTTATTACATTGCCTAAAAAACTGGCATTCAAATGGAATTTAGAGGGCATTTAATCTGGCCATCTCATTTGATTGATGAATAAATTTTCTGGCTAAGAATCTACACATTTGTTTAGTGCTTTATATACTCAGCATCAGCATCAGTATAAATTAAATTTTCTATTATGTTCTCAGCCTGATTCACACTTTTTAGAAAATATAAAACTTATTTCATACTCAAATAATTTACTAACCTTGTGTAGTTAGTAAATTATTACTACTAATATTACATCTCTATTTTTGAAATTTACATTCAATATATTTATTTCATTAGGATGCTACTAATGAAATTAACTTTTTTTTAAAAAAAAGGTGAATCATCTCATTTTTATCAGGTTCACTACATATATATGAAGTAGTTGATAAATGACTCAGCGTTGGCCAATTGCAAGAATACCACTTAAAAGTAAATGGTTATTACTGAAGAGTGAATTATATATTTTCATTTTGTAGACTTAACATTTAAAATGGAAGATGGTGGGAAGCACACACATTTCTCAGTCTTGTTGGAAAAGCAAATGACAACGAGATTTTCTGTTTCTTGTTTCGTTTTGTTTTTAGATGCATTAGCAAGACAGGTGTGGGTAGAATGGAGTAGCCATGAACATAGACAAAAAGTGGAGAGAGTGAAAACATATCAGAGTGAAAAAACATAGATAAATGTAAGGGAGAAGAAAGAAAAAAAAATAAAGAACAATATTTAAAGAGAACAAAATAAATAGAGCCAGAAAGAAACAGAGAAGGGGAAAAGAACAGGCAACAAATTAACAGGGAAAAGAAATCACAACCAGAAAAAAAAAGAAAATGAACTGCTTATTGATGAATAAAGAAAGAGAGAAAAAGAAAAATAAGGAAGGAGGCGGAGTAAGCACATAAGATCTCTAAACACTTGGCTCCAGCAGCCCATCTGACCACACTCAGACTCCAGGCATGCACACACAGAGTTGCCTGGAGATGTTTCTGTGTCTCCACCTTGCAAATGTGGTGAACCCTTCTCCTTCATCTTCCCTATTTCTGCAGTGTGTCATCATGGCCAGAAACTGATCAATCCACGAATTAGCTGAAGTGGCAAGAACGATTAGAGATACAGTGAGGAAGGTATGGTACAGAGTTTTGACAGAACTTTCTCTACTAATTTGGCTAAAATAGAACACTTTACTCTGATGACGTCATCATTTATGGATTTTTTTTTTTTGGTAGAAACTTATTTTATTTTGCTTAGAGGAATGCTCATCTGATTAGTCTCCGCGTCTATTCCAACCACAATTTAGAGAAGGTAGAGATAATTCAAAGATGGAAGTGGGACAGGGAAGAAAGTTGATCAAGATGTCAAGTAGTACAGAATCCCATCTGTTAAGAAACAGTGGAAAAATAACAGTGAGGCTGGGACACAGGCAGAATGGAAGAGCTTATAACCTTCAATTTCAAAGTCCTTCAGAAATCCTCAAATGTCTCAGGGATATTGTTAAATGCTAACACATCAAGAAATACCTCACTCTATGTTAGCATGTGGGATGCATAAAACATATAAGTAAGTACAGTTGACTCCAGAAAAACATGGGTTTGAACCACACGTGTCCACTTATATGTGGATTTTCTTCCACCTCTGCCACCCCTGAGACAGCAAAACGAACCCTTCCTTTTCCTTCTCCTCAGCCTACTCAGTGGGAAGACGACAACGATAAGAACTTTATGATGATTTGCTTCCACTTAATGAACAGTATTTATATCTTCCTTTCCTTATGATTTTGTTATATTTTATTTTCTGTAGCTTAATTTATTGTAGGAATATAGTATATAATACATAAAACAAAAATATTTGTTATTCAACTGTTTATGTTACCAGCAAAGCTTCTGATCAACAGTAATCGTTAGAAGCTAAGTTTTTAGGGAGTCAGGGTATGTGCTAATTTTTTATTGCACAGGGGATCTGCCCCCTTAACTCCTGCATTGTTCAATTGTCAACTGTAGAAGGGGCTCTTGATTTAAGGAAATATTTATATAGGCAGATAGTAGAATAAATGTTGAGACAAATGGCTGGCAAAGGGGGAAAAGGTTAAGACATGAGCAGAAAAGCTCGTTTGAAGGATCTACAAAATATTTTTTCCTATTACAATTTTGCATGTGTTTGTATGTGTGTGCATACGTGTGTGTTCATGTGGTATTTGCATATGTATATATGATGATGTGTTAAAATATGACTTTCATAAATTCCACATGTGGCTGCCAGTAACACCCAGAAATTTCTGTATTAACCACTCTATTCCACTCTAGGGATACATAAAGCAGATAGTTTTAATGCTTCTTAAAATATGTACCCTAAGATGACACTATATAGATGTGCTGTCTGTCTTTTGGTGTTTGTTTGCTTGTTTGTTTGCTTGTTTGGTGTTTGTTTGCCTGATTTTCTATTTCTCTCTTCTTTCTTCCCTCATCCTCTATCTTCTTGTCTTTCTTTTCTAGGTACTGTTGCAGTAGCATTTTCTGTCAAAGATTTTCCCTTCCTTCCGTACCCCATGTGCTAGAGCACTTATTTATTTATTTATTTATTTATTTATTTTGAGACAGAGTCTCGCTCTGTCACCCAGGCTGGAGTGCAGTGGCATGATCTCGGCTCACTGAAAGCTCTGCCTCCCGGGTTCACACCATTCTCCTGCCTCAGCCTCCTGAGTAGCTGGGACTACAGGCAACCACCACCACTACGGCTAATTTGTTTGTATTTTTTTAGTAGAGACGGGGTTTCACCATGTTAGCCAAGATGGTCTCGATCTCCTGACCTCGTGATCCACCCGCCTTGGCCTCCCAAAGTGCTGGGATTACAGGCATAAGCCACCACGCCCGGCCGCTAGAGCACTTATTTAAAACAAATACACTGTTTAGTTAAATCATATTAAGAATATCCTTTTATATTACAGTTTGTATTTTGTTGTAGGCCAACAATTTTCAAACTTAAAAAATTTACTCCCCTAAGACATTTTTTGAATATGTAACCTTAAATGTATGCATATTTATTTATAAAGTATATATAAACCATTGTACTATGTTATCCATTATAAATATTAAAAAGTGAATTTAGAAAAGAATGAAATGTAGTGATACATATAAAATGTTATACACTGACTAAATATAGATAAATTACTATGTTCTTTCTATACTTCAGTGGATTATCATGTGCACCTTCTGGAATGAGTATACCCCATGAAAACAATCTGAATTTTAAATATGAATTTTCTTCACAATGGACATTGTTTTTCTTTTTATTTAAACAAGGTTGAACTTACAAATCAAAGCAATACGGGAGTGATTTTAGACTAGCAATATTATCTTTAGTTATTCAGATGCACAAAAAGAACATTCATTCATTGAAGCTGTGATTAAAAAATTCTTTATCTATTTAAACTGAATAGTATACACTTGCATTATCCTACTACTTATCAAGCAGAGCAAAAAATAAAACTCACTCTAAACTTAAGTAATATAACTACAGGTTATTTCTCATCTTTGAAATGGAAGAATAACACTACAGTATCTTTATGGCTACTTACAGTGTATCTATGCTATGATCTTATGAGTTGAGATAGTGATATTTTAAAGTTTTATACTTGCAAATTTTATATTGTAGCATATTTTTTGTTAAAGGGCTGTATCTTGGGTGTCATACTTGGAACAGAGAAAGAAATGTGTTGTGAGTTTATTAGTATTTGAAACTCAAAAAGTGCTAAATAAGCTGCATGCAGGTGTGGAGTGGCCACAGGAGTGGTGTTCAAACAGAGTTACAGCTGGAGCACTGTGCCTGTGTTAGGTCAAAAGTGGAGCTATAGCTTGGGATTCTCGTGAACAGTCTGGGAAAAGAGTATTCAAGGATATCAGACCAAAAGGAGTATAATAAGAAGTAAATTAGATGATAAGACAGAGGGCAAGGAAGAGAGTTACCAGCTAGGAACTGGGAATTACACAGGAATTGAGGGAAGAAAATGTCTAGGAAAATTTGGGGGTGGTGTGGACAAGGAGAAAAAGGGTCTAATCCCAAGAAAAGAACTAACCCTCAAGCATAGTATATCCAAAAAACTCAAAGACCTTCAGATTTGAAGTTAGGTTGTGTCTCCATTAGGAAACTTACATGATTTAGGAATGTAGGAATCCCAACGTGGAGGATACCAGACTCCTAACATGGAAAATGATTCTGTAGAAGCACATGGTTGAATGGGAATAAAACTGTAGCTTTGAGAACCATATTTTGTTTTCATTTTTCATTTTAAATTTGGAGAAATTAAGGTAACGGAGTTTCCCCAGAATAGGAGAGGGATGGGAAGTGTTGTTTTTAGCTGAAGTACTATATGTGCCAAATATTTTTTAGCTGTAGAACTAGTATCTAGTTGGAAGACATAGCAATAACAATTAATTCTGCTTCTTAATGTACTGCAGGCCAGGGAAATGGAAAGCGAGAACAGAACAGTGATAAGAGAATTCATCCTCCTTCGTTTGACCCAGTTTCGAGATATTTAGCTCCTGGTCTTTGTGCTAGTTTTAATATTCTACTTCTTCATCCTCCCTGGAAATTTTCTCATTATTTTCACCATAAGGTCAGACCCTGGGCTCACAGCCCCCCTCTATTTATTTCTGGGCAACTTGGCCTTCCTGGATGCATCCTACTCCTTCATTGTGGCTCCCAGGATGTTGGTGGACTTCCTCTCTGAGAAGAAGGTAATCTCCTACAGAGGCTGCATCACTCAGCTCTTTTTCTTGCACTTCCTTGGAGGAGGGGAGGGATTACTCCTTGTTGTGATGGCCTTTGACCGCTACATC
Organism: Homo sapiens; assembly: GCF_000001405.40. Classification (NCBI taxonomy): domain Eukaryota; kingdom Metazoa; phylum Chordata; class Mammalia; order Primates; family Hominidae; genus Homo; species Homo sapiens. The sequence continues at coordinate 1,354,641 of NW_021160017.1, forward strand.
ACCATCTGCCTGCCTCTGCAGTATTCAACTGTCATGAACTCTAGAGCCTGCTATGCAATGATGTTGGCTCTGTGGCTTGGGGGTTTTGTCCACTCCATTATCCAGGTGGTCCTCATCATCTGCTTGCCTTTTTGTGGCCCAAACCAGCTGGACAACTTCTTCTGTGATGTCTGACAGGTCATCAAGCTGGCTTGCACCGACATGTTTGTGGTGGAGCTTCTGATGGTCTTCAATAGTGGCCTGATGACACTCATGTGCTTTCTGGGACTTCTGGCCTCCTATGCAGTCATTCTTTGTCGCATACGAGCGTCTTCTTCTGAGGCAAAAAACAAGGCCATGTCCACATGCACCACCCACATCATTGTTATATTCTTCATGTTTGGACCTGGCATCTTCATCTACACGTGCCCCTTCAGGGCTTTCCCAGCCGACAAGGTGGTTTCTCTCTTCCACACAGTGATTCTTCCTTTGTTGAATCCTGTCATTTATACCCTTCATAACCAGGAAGTGAAAGCTTCCATGAAAAAGGTGTTTAATAAACACATAGCCTGAAAAAGGGCAAAAAAAAAAAAGAATAAAAATAGACTGTAGAATTTTATCTGAAATTGATTTGTTTATTTCCAAGTACTGCAATCATTGAATACCTCCCATTTGTCAGGACTATTCTAGGAACTGAAGAAAGAAAGTATTGAGGCAGATAAGGTCTATCTGCTCTCCAAGAGATACAACCTAGTAAAAATAGACCGCCGTTAAGGTAGAAAATAAACAGCATAGTTTCAGGAAGAGATACTGCTCTGTAAAAACTAAAACGAAAAGTGAAATGATAAACTGTGACTCTGGATTGGGAGTAACCAATTTGTGTTTAATAATAAAAAAAGGCCTTGAAGAGCTGACATTTTGGATCATATCTGGATAAACTGAAGAAGCCAAACATGCAAACATTTGTGGCTATAGTATGGTAGACAGAGGGCACAGGCAGTGCAAAAACTCAAAGATGATGATGAACTTGGTATATTTGAAGAATACAATAAAGTCCATGTTACCAAGAATATAGTAATTTAATGTGAAAATGATTAAACTTAAAGTTGGAGATACTGGTAGTGTCAAAAACATATGGTCTACATAGTAAATGTGAGTTTTCATTTTATTACAATTACAATAAGAAGCCATTCTGTGGCTTTAAGCAAAAGAGTGATTCCTCTACTGAAGGGTCATAAATGACTTAGGGCTGTAAACTCAAGATTCTATGCAGATATCAAAGAGTTGAAAAATATCATTAAGAGGAAAATATTATATTTGTAAGTGCACTTTGAAAGATATTAAACTACCAATTTTTCTTACATACGTAAGCAGAGAGTGGCAAAAGAAAGCTGGTTACTTTTACTGAAAAAGATCAAAAAAAATTTTACTTTTTTTTTCTGGAGCTTCATTATTAATCCTAGCAAATTTTTATGACTTTTAGCTGTATGTTTGACCTTATTGCCAATTGATTTCACTGTAAGTTTAATAATGACAGTCTTTTCATAGACCAATCAGGATTTTGTGTCAGAGAGAAGAAACCATTCCAGCTATTTTAAACAAAACATCATTTAATATCAAGAGAGGTGTTCACAAAATCACTGCAAAGTCTAGAAGAGCAGACTATAGGCTGGACACCCAGAGATGACTTACAGACTAACACAGGTGACCTATGTTGTCAGGGAAGTTGTTCTTGCTACAATCTTAGCCATCTGTTGTCTGAAAAACACTACAATTTTAGCCATGTGCCTGGGATCAAGTTGATGATCCGGAATCACTCACTTTGGACCTAACAAATCGCCCCTAGTATAACAGAAGCCTATCCTACTGCCTCCCTTTAACTAGCTTACTACATATTCAAATCTCAAATGAGTACATTAAATGGGCAGCATCCAAAACATCTGGAACCCCAAATGCAAGGGGGTCAAAAATTGAGTTTTAAAATATTTTATTTTTGATAAAAACCAAAGTTTATACTTAGGAATATAAATTTTGTACATGGTAAAAATATTCAGACTATAGAAAAAGTGGTCTGAATCTTCAAATAATCCTTCTCTATTATCACTCTGTTTATTGTGTTGCTTCCTGTTTTACTGAGAAAGGTAACAGGTGAGAATTCCTTAATCTCCCATCACTACCACTATACAACCTGCATCTGTGATTAAGTTTCCTTTAACTTCTCCTGAAACTGGGTGACCTGATCCTGCTCCTACAGAAGTAAACCCTTCCACCTGTGCACCAGATTCCATCCCGTCCTCTCTACTAAAGGCAATTACTCTGGTAACTCTCCTTTCTCTCACCTATAACATGAACTTTGTCCTCCCTATTGGGTGTAACCTTTAGCGTGTAACCGCATTTATTCCCTCCTAAATAAAACCTTCTTGCCACCTTTTCCCCGTCCATGTCACTTCATGAGTCTTTGTGTCTCCACATGAATTTTAGGATTTTTAAAAATTTCTTTAAAAAATGATGTTGGGATTTTCACAGAGATTGTATTGAATCTATAGATTGCTTCAGGTAGTGTGGATATTTTAACAATATTAATTGTTCTATTCCATTAACACAGAAAGTCTTTCCATTTATTTCCATCTGCTTTAATTTCTTTCATCAATGTTTTACAGTTTAAGTGTACAAGTCTTTCACCTCTTTGTTTAAGTTTACTCCTAAATATTTTATTTTTTGGTTCTAATGGAAATGAGATTAATTTCTTAATTTCCCTTTTAGATAGTTCTTTTTTTATTGTATAGAATTGAAATGATTTGTTTCTTTTGTAGATTTTTAAATTTATAAATATTTAATTGACACATAAAGATCAAATATATTCAAGGTATATGAAATGATAATTTGATATACATATACATTGTATAATGATTACCACAATCAAATTAACACATTAATCACCATCCATGTTGTACATTAGTTACCAAGAATGTGTTTATCTTAGGGCTGAAAGTTTGTACCATTTGACCAACATATTCCCCTTTTCTCTGACTTCAAAACCCTCTGACAACCACTGTTCTACTCTCTCCTTCAATGAGCTTTTTTTTTTTTTTTTCAGATTCTACATGTAAGTGAGATCATATAGTGTCTGTCTTTCTGTGTCTGGCTTATTTCACCTACCGTAATGTCTATTAGGTTTATCTATGTTGCTGCAAATGGCAAAACTTCCTTCTTTCTTTGGCTGGATGATAATCTATCACATATATGTACCACAATTTTTATACTCATTCATCAATTGATGTACACTTGGGTTGTTTCCATATTTTGGCTATAGTGAATGATGCTGCAGTGAACATAGCAGTATAGTTCTTTTAGAGATACTTATTTCATTTCCTTTGGGTATATATCTAGAAGTGAGATTGCTGGAACATATGGAAGTTTTATTTTTTATTTTTTGAAGAACATCTATATTGTTTTCCATAATGCCTGTGCCAATTTACATTCCCATCAATAGTGTGAAAGGGTTCCCTTTTCTCCACATCCTTACCAACACTTGTTATCATGTGTCTTCTCATAATGGCCATTACAGTAGGTATGAGGTGATGTTTCATTGCGGTTTTAATTTCATTTTCCCAATGGTTGATGATGTTGAGCACCTTTTCATATACATGTTGGCTATTTCTATGTCTGTTTTGGGAATATGTCTGTTAAAATCTTTGCCAATTGTAAAAATCAGGTTGTTTGTTGTTTTACTGTTGACTTGCGTACTTCCTAATATATTATGAGTATTAACCCCTTATCATACATATGGTTTACTAATATTTTCTCCCATTCGATAGGTTACCTTTTAATTTGGTCAATTGTTTCTTTTGTGGCGCAGTGGAATTTTTAGTTGATATAGTCCCACTTGTTTATTTTTTGTTGCCTGTGCTTTTGTGGTCATATCCAAAAAATGATTGCCAAGACTGTTGTCAAGGTGTTTTTTCCTTATGTTTTCTTCTGGTAGTTTTACAGTTTCAGGTTTTACATTTAAATCTTTAATTCATTTCCAGTTAGTTTTAGTATATGTCATAAGACAAGACTTCAGTTTCTTTCTTTTGCATGTGGATATTTAGCTTTTCCAACAGCATTTATTAAATAGACTTTTCTTTTCCCATTGTGTATTATTGGCACCCTTGTCAAATCTTAGTTGGCCATATATGTGTGAATTTATTTTTGGGCTCCCTACTGTGTTCCATTGTTATGTGTCATGTTTTTATAGTACCATACTGTTTTAATTAATATGGCTTTGTAGTAGAGTTTGAAGCAGTGAGTGTGATGCTTCCAGCTTTGTTCCTTTTTCTCAAAATTACTTTGGCTATTTAGAGTCTTGTACAAGTACATACAAATTTGGTTTTGTTTTTTCCATTTCTATGATGAATGCCATCGGAATTTTAATAGGGACTTGATAGAATCTGTAGGTAATTTAATTATTTTAGATATTTTAACAATATTAATTTTTTAAAATTAATGTACATAGGTATATTTACTTTTAATTCTCTTTTTCCATTTATTTCATCAATGTATTATAGTTTTCAGTGTACAGAGGTTAAACCTCCTGGTTGAATTTATTCCTAAGTATTTTGTTTTAATTTTTTATAGTTATAAATGGGATTGTTTTCTTGACTTCCTTTTCAGATAATTCATTGTTACTGTTCAGAGATACCACTAGTTTTTGTATGTTCATTTTTTAATCTGCAGCTTTATGAACTCACTTATTCTAGAAGGTTTTTTTGAGGACATCTTTAGGATTTTCTCGATATAAGATCACGTCATCTGCAAACAGACAATTTTACTTCTTCTTTTACAATTTGGTTGCCTTTTATTTCTTACCTACTTACTCTAGCTAGTACTTTCAGTAATATATTGAGTAGACTCGGTGAGAGTGGGCATCCTTATTTTCTTTCTGATCTTAGAAGGAAAGCTTTCAATTTTTCACCATTGAATATGATGTTAGCTGTGCGATTGTAATATGTGGCATTTATCACTGTGGTAGGTTCCTTCTAAGCATAATTTGTTGGAAGTTTTTATGATGAAGGATGTTGAATTTTGTCAATGCCTTTTCTGCATCTATTGAGGTAACCATATGGTTTTTGCCTTTCATTCTGCCAATGTGGTATATCACATTTATTGATTTGCATATGTTCAAATATCACTGTGCTTGCTAACCATGAATTATCCTTTTAATGTGCTGCCAGATTTAATGTGTTAGTATTCTGGCATTTATGTTCATCAGAGACACTGGATTGCACTTTTCTTTTAGTATCCACCTGTGGCTTAGGTATCAGAGTAATGCAGGCCTTCTAAAATGAGTATGGAAATGTTCCTGCCTCTTCAATTTTTGGAAGAGTTTGGAATAAATTGGTATTAGTTCTTTTTCAAATGTTTGGTAAAATTTAAAACAGAATCCATTAGGTCCTGGGCTTTTCTTTGCTGTGAGATTTTTGAAACTATTGATTCAATTTTATTCCTTATTGATCGGTTAAGATTTTTTATTTCCTCTTAATTTAATTTTGACAAATTGTGTCCAGAAATTTATCTATTTCTTCAAGGTTATTCAATTTGTTGTAGTATAGTTGTTAAAACTTACACAAATTAAGTTTTTTCTATAATTTTTGACATATTTATAATATCATGTATTCATTTCTACAGCATTAGAAAGAATAATTTCTTCACCCTAAATTGTTCTTCAACTTAAATTATTCCACTCTTCTTTCTTCTCCTTGTACTCTTGGTAACCACCAGTCTTTTACTGTCTCTATAGTTTTAATTTTTCTAGAATGTCATACAATTGGAGTCACACAGTATATAACCTTTCAAAACTGGCTTCTTTCAGCTAGCATTATGCATTTAAGATTCATTCATGCTTTTTTATGGCTTGGTAGTTAATGACCTTTTTATTGCTGAATAACATTCTATTGTAAATATAGCACAGTTTGTTTATTCATACACTCGTTGAAGAACATTGTGATTGTCTCCAATTTTTGGCTGTTAGGGAATGAAGTTGCTGTAAACATTCATGACTGGGTTTTTGTGTACACATGTTTCAAATCAGTTGGGTAAGTGCCTGGGAGTGTGATCATATGGTAAGGCTATGCTCAGCTTTGTAAGAAACTTCCAATTTGGTCAAGATGTCTGACTAGTTGCAGACAGATAGAACAGCTGTCACTGTGGGACTGGGATGACTGGCACAGTCCTAACAGGTCCTCAAGACACAAAAGCTGGGCAGAAGCTGGGTGGGGCTACCGTGCAATGGGACTCGTTCCTCACCCCCAAGAACTTTGGGGGAATGGGTGAGTTGAACTGGCAAGAAGCAACCTACTCTTGCCACAAGCCTCTGGAATCCCACCGGGAGGAGACCCCTCAACCACTACAGACACAGAGTTGGCAGGGGAAGTGCTTAGAGGAGTGGTAGGAGCAGCATGGTAGCCGATATGGAGCCCAGAGGGTTTGTTGCAGGAACATCTATAGCAGAGCACGGCCAGGGATACCCATCTCTCCAGACTTGACTTGCCTCCATAGGAGACTTTAGCCCTAGGGGAACTGTCAGATATGAATTCTGCAGGGCAGTCTTCCCATCAGATGGGGCAGATCCAACCTTAGTACCCCCTGGTCTGCTGACCTCTCCCAGTGCTCCAGCCTGGTTTTTTTCTGCTTGCAGTACAGACTCAGGTTCCCTGGGGACCCGCATCTTAGCTTCTGCAATGGCAGACCATATCTAATTGGTGGAGAGCTCCAGCGGGGTGGCCCCTAGGGCCATGCACCAACCTGCCTGCTCCCTCCCTCTGCTGCAGCTTCTTCCAAGCCCATGGCCAACCACCCCTGCCCCCTGACATCATTTGGCTGGCTTGTATGTGTGCAGGTGGATTTTCCCTTCCCTTCACCACCAGCTTGTGTGAGCACGTGTACCCTGCCCTGCCTCTGCTGCCAGCAGGAGTGCACTCTGCTCCCCTTCCTCGGCCATACTACCATTGCAGTCAGAGCTGTAGTGGGCACAGAGCCCACCAGTCCTGCCTCTGTCAGTGACCTGCCCCTGTGCCAACACTGCCACCAGAATGAAACTAGGCACTGAAAACAATGAACCCTCCCCTGCCCTGAGTAGCCACAGAGGGTGCACACACACCTGAACCCACCAGTGCCCTGCCCCCATACTAACACCACCATCAGTGCACCAATGCACACAGTCACCAATGGGGGCCTGCTGACCCCCCAAGTTATGCTGACTCTACCCCTGCTGTCAATGCCTTCATGGAGGCAGGCATCTCAGCACCTGCTAGCAGTCTGCTGCAGCTGACAAGCATGCATCGTGATTTAATACTGCTGGTTCTGGTGCTGCTGAGGGCACCTGTGAATGAGGACAGACCCCCCCCCTACTGCCACCACACTACAAAACCCTTTGACTAGCACCATTCCATCAACATGTAGTGACCAGCAGTCCAGGAGCACCTTAGCACCCCCATCACAGTCTGTTCATAATCTTGAGAAGTCAGAGAACAAAGTAGGGTAGGATATAAGTCCCCCAGAATTAAAACATGCAGCTGGGGAGATGACAGCTGAACCTTGGTCCCCAAAATCTTCCAGAAATAAAGCCAGTTGACTGAACCCACTTTATAACACAATCAAACTCTCAAAGTCATCTAATAAGATAAAAAAAAATCCAAAGGACAAGAGCTTCAAAGATTGAAAAAACACTAGCCCACAAAAATGAGAAAAAAACAGTGCAAGAACTCTGACAAGTCAAAAAGCCAGCATGCTGTCTTTCCTCCGAATGCCTCCATCAGCTCTCCACCAAAAGTTTTTAACTGAACTGGGTTGGCTGAAGTGACACAAATAGAATTTGGAGTATGGATAGAAATGAAGAGCAACAAGGTACAGGAGTATGTTGAAACCCAATCCAAGGAAGCTAAGAATCACAATAAAACAATGCAGGAGCTGACAGACAAAATAGACAGTATAGGAAAGAACATAACTGACCTCATAGAACTGAAAAACACACTGCAAAAATTTCATGATGCAATCACAACTATTAACAGCAGAATAGACCAAGCAGAAGAAATGATATTAGTGCTTTAAGACTGGCATTCTGAAACAAGACAGGCAGACAAGAATAGAGAAAAAAGAATGAAAAGGAAGAAACAAAACCTCTGATAAATATGTTTATGTAAAGAGAACAAATCTATGATTCACTGGTGTCCCTGAAGGAGATGGGGAGAATGGCAGCAACTTGGAAAACATATTCCAGGATATCATTCATGAGAACTTCCTCAACCTAGCTAGAGAGGCTAACATTCAAATTCAGAAAATACAAAAACCCATTTAAGGTACTTCACAGGAAGATCACCTCCAGGACACATAATTATCAGATTTTCCAAGGTTGAAATGAAAGAAAAAAATGCAAAAGGCAGCCAGAGAGAAAGGTCAGGTCACCTACAAAGGGAAGCCCATAAGACTAAGCAGACCTCTCAACAAAAACTCTACAAACCAGAAGAGGTTGGGGGCCAATATTCAAGATTCTTAAAGAAAAGAAATTCCAAACTAGAATTTTACATCTAGCCAAACTATGCTTCATAAGTGAAGGAGAATTAAGATCCTTTTCAGACAAGCAAATGCTGAGGGAATTTGTTACTACCAGACTGACCTGCCTTACAAGAGCTCCTGAAGGAAGCACTAAATAAGAAAAGGAAATATCATTACCAACCACTTCAAAAATACACTGAAGTACACAGACCAATGACACTATAAAGCAGCCACACAAACAAGTATGTATGGTAACCAACTAACAGCATGATGACAGGATCAAATCTACACATATCAATACTAACTTTGAATGTAAAAGGGGTAAATGCCCCAATTAAAAGGCACAGAGTGATAAGCTGGATAAAAAAGCAAGACCCAATGGTATGCTGTCTCAAGAGACATGCAATGACACACATAGGCTCACATGCAATGACACGCATAGGCTCACATGCAATGACACCCATAGGCTCATATGCAATGACACCCATAGCCTCAAAATAAAGGGATGGAGGAAAATCTACTAAGTAAATAGAAAACATAAAAAATACAGAGATTGTAATCCTAATTTCAGACAAAACAGACTTTAAACCAACAAAGATAAAAAAAGACAAAAAAGGGTAATGACATAATGGCAAAGGGTTCAATTCAACAAGTAGTGCTAACTATCCTAAATATACGCGCACTTAACACAGGAGCACCCTGTTCAAACAAACTCTTAGAAACCTACAAAGAGACTTAGACTCACACACAATAATAATGAGAGACTTCAACACCCTACTGACAGTATTAGACACATCACTGAGGCAGAAAATTAGCAAAGATATTCAGGACCTTAACTCAGCACTGGATCAAATGGACCTGATAGATGTTTACAGAACTCTCCACCAAAAAGCAACAGAATATACATTCTTCTCATCACCCCATGGCACATATTCTGAAACTGTTTCATGGAGGAAACTGTTTCATGGAGAGGAAGCCACAGGGCTGACAGGAAACCAGACCTTAACCTCCCTCTGCACCTGCCCTGAGGCTGGCTCTTGTGCTCAGTGGGTCCTGAGCGCCCCCAGGTGGTCCTGTTCCCTCTTCAGGGAGGCTTGTTTCTAGGCTCATACTGACATTTTTTCTAATTGTGTTACCCAAAATGGAGACAGAGTAAACCGTGAATCCATGCATCTCAGAGAACACAGAACAGCAGAATTACACCCCCTGATCCCCCCACACACATTTAGGTAAATCTTATTAAAACTGCTGAAAAGGAAAGACAAATAGAAATACATGCAGGCAAGTGGAGGTGAGCAGAGGGGGCATTCCTTCCAAAAGAACAGAAAAGATGATGACAGCATTCTTCTGGTTAAAACCTTACAAGCAAGAGGAAAGTTGATGGTATCTGTAAAGTGTTGGATGAAAAGTCAACCCATTATTTTATAACGCATGGGTGTTCTCTAAAAAGTGAAAAAAAATTCTATTTCTCTTTGACAGCATGAGGGTTTCAGTGAATCCAGGCCCTCATGAGACCAGTGAAAATTATTTTGAAAAATTACAGGGTTTGGAAAGGCTCTAACAGCATAAAGCAAGTGAAGAAATATTTATTCAAGAAAATCTAGAAAACTCGGTAAGGCCAGTCATCATGCTTGATCTAAGATGCTCTTCCTTCCTTCCACATCCCAGCTCAGCATGATGTAAACTCCACTGCCGACAGATGCAGCCAAGAAGACAGGACACCTTCTACCAACTCCCACCAGAGGAAACTCTTCCCCAGGGCCCAGTACGTTGGCCCTCTGACCCTGCACACAGCACATGATGCTGAGGTTCAGTGCTGAACAAGAGCTACCAAGAGCCAGAGACTCACTTCTTCCATGGAGCCCCACTCATGGATGGAGGCTCTGCCCTGGGTCCAGTACCACTGGGAACACTGGGTCTCTGGTTTCTAGCTCTGTCCTATGGCAGAGGTTCCACCCCACAATAACCGAAGTGCTGAGAAGGTGGGAAGCTCCTGCCCCACCCTCCACTGAGAGCTCAGCTCCTAGGCTGAGGAATAAAACAGCTCAACTTTGTCTATACCTGCAGAACCTTGTTTAGGAGCTCTGTCCCAGGAGAGAGGGAGCAATGGAATTCAGTCATAAAATATGATCCTTAATTAGTCCTAAAAATCCTAACTTCAGTAACAACAGAATGTGGACAAATTGAAAGCCTGCCAGTGCTCTCAAAAACAGTGGATGGTGTGGTGGAAGGCCCTTGGAAGGAGATGGGTGGATGCATGGGAGATGCAGGCTACACTGCAGGGCTGCTGGCTTGCAGGAGAGAACCGAGGACGAGGGAGAGCTGGGGAAAGTTCTCTTGTGGTTGAAACAAATGCCAGACACTCTTCAATGGAGCCCATGTTTGTTTGGTTCAGTCTGTGAAGTAATTCAACCTCAGTGCATGATTGAAAATAGTACAATTTTCCATCTGCAAGTGGCAGCCCTGGATGCCTGGATGGTCTATAATTGGGACACGTATCTAGACTCAACGATGCCTGGATGGAAAATGTGCAGGCTGCTCCACTGATGTCACCTGTTTCATCACAGTTTTATGATTTAATAAAAGTCATATTTTTTTTCATTTTTGCACATCAATTTTTTTTCTGTGATCTATATTCCTAAGCCCATCTTTGAGCTCACAGCCCTTTCCCAAGAAATCAACATCTAGACCTCCCTCTTCTCGGGGCTCCGAGGTGATTCCTGAGTGACATCCTCTCCACCTCCCTGCTGGGAACAGAGCCCGTCGCAGGGCTCACGGGCAGCCTTAGAATGTCTGCTCCTCCGGGGTGTCCCCCTGCTTCTCACTGGAGAAGAGGCCTCTGGGGTGGTCACAGCCTCTTTCTCCACATGAACCCTGAGAGTTCTTCCTGAGCTACACAGCTGGGGGAAGACTGCCCTAAGAGATGTGAAAAGAGAGACATGGGAAGTGAGGTGTCTCAGCTCTTGTCTCCCCTGGGTGGTGTGGCCTGACCTCACCAGAGCCCCAGCCTAACCCACCTGACCTGTCCCCAGGAGCTGTACTGAGTGATGGCTGCACCTGCTCAGTTACCTGTGGGGCCCAGTGCCTCTGAGAGAGGTGCCCAGTGAGGGCTCTGCAGGGCTCCCCCCGAGCAGGAGCTGGGCTGAGGGAAATCAGCAGGAGGTAGGGGCTGCCCAGGCCCCGGGGAGGCAGGCAGCGTGGAGAGGACACAGAGGTGCACTGGGAGGGCGCAAGCCAGTCAGGACCACCCTCTCAGCTCTGAGAAATGAGCTATGCTCACGGAATGCTCACAGTCAAATCCTGCTGGGAGGGCCATCCTCTGCTCGGGTTCTCTACTGTCCAGGGCAGGAATGACTCATGTTGCCATTCAGAGGCGAGGCCCCACCAGGAAGCATCCACTGACTGCCCAAGGCTGTGCATCCCCATAGCGCTGAGCTCATGTCCCTGACCTGTGGCCTCTGGGCCCACACTCTGCTCAAAGTTCCCTCAGGGGGATGAAGGGAGAGGCAGGCCCTAGGGCAAGGGTGCCCAGGAGGAGAGAAGGAAAAGGCAAGCATGTCTTCATCAGTGGGGTTTTCTCCTGAGAGCAGAATTCATTTCCACACCTTCCAAGTTCCCTCTTGTGGCTGGCACTTCTCTGACCTGGAGCCCCAGATGGCAGGGCACTCAGAAGAGGGAGGGTCATTCCTGGGAGCAGATAAGGCCTCCTCCTTCTCCAGCTCCTGAATCAGAAACTGAGGCCTCCCCTGGACCTTCCCTGCTTATGACTGGGGCCTCCCACGTGCAAAGCACACCTTCATCTTGCACTGAAGTCTCAGGACCTGGAGAGCACCTCCACACGGGGGGCTGGATCCTCCTGGAACTGTAAGCCTTGCCCAGAAAGCCCTGAAGGGGAGCAGGGAGGCGGCAGCAGCACAGCCTTCTTCAGCTTCCAGGGGAAGGGATGAGGGAGGCAGGTGGACGAGCTTCCAACCGGCATGGCATGGGATGCTGAAAAACGCGATGGGCTCTGGCCTATTGGAGCCATCTCTCCTTGTCCTGTACCTGCCCCTTGGGGGTTTAGGGCAGAGGAAATGTTGGCTTGTTGTGTGAGTCAGATAAACAGGTGGGGAGAATGGGCCTGTATGCCCTGGTTTGCACAGGAAAGGTGTGCTCACCAGCAAGTGTTTCTTCTAGAAATTAAGTAATCCTGGGACAGGCTTTTCCTCCCCAGTTCCACAAGACTCCAAGATGTCAGAGTATCATAAACACGGAGAATAAGGACACAGGATTAACCCAACCCAACCTCTGATGGTTTCATGTCATGTGAAGGAATTTTTGGAGTGTTGATGCTGAAGAGTTTACAGAGTGTGGCTACATCAGTTGCCCTAAAGGATATAGAAAACATTTTACTGTGAGAGTAGAGAGGAGGAACACAAGTAGAAGTATCAAGAGTCGCTGCCAGCCAGCCCATAAATAGGTTTCCCATTTGTATGACAGCCAAGAAACCTGGTCTGAGACAGCTGGGGTCACAAACAATGTCTTGGTGCAGTTATAAATTTCTTTATGCATGTATTTTTCTAACAATAATATTTTGGTGTCTTTCTTGGGTCAAGGTGGCAGGTCCTCTAGTCACATTGTTGGAGTGCATGGATGGATGGGTTAGTAAATTATTTCTCAAGATTAGTGGTAATCAAAAGGTGGAAGTGTTGGTGGTGGTTGTAGTTCAGAGATGCGAGTTGGGAGTGGGAAAAGTTACTGGGGAGTGGGTGGTTCTCTCCTCATGGTGTCAAAGGGTTGATGGATATGAGGCAGGTTCCTTTGTGTGCAGCAATGACCTCTGCTGATTTTCAGACTGACAGAGATGGTAGTAACCACTATCAGATTTCTCTGTATGAACAGAAATGTAGTGTAGCATGTTGTGGCAAACAGCAAGGAGTGCACTGGGATCCTGGGCCAAATGGACAGCAAGCTCAGGGAGCACAATAGGATCCCTAGTATCCAAGGGACAAAAGCAAGGCATGTCCAATGCCTTATTGTTTCATTGAGAGACTTCCCAGGCCATGACTGGTGTTAAGGTTTAGGGCACAACTGTCTCCAGCTCGCCGGGGAAAAGCCAAAGCCACCTCCAGCTTTGAGCCCTGGGCCAGGCCGATGTGCTCTAGGATGGGGTACTAGGGTGTCCTTTCCAGGTGGGCATGTGCTCAAGCGGACTGACTGGCTATCAGCACTTGCCGTGTTTGGTTGAAGTGATGGCCTATTTGGAGGTTTTTGCCCTTTGGATTATAACAAATAAGTCCACAATAAAAGCAGCCACATGGACAATGGTGAGACCAGCAGTCAACAGAGGGGTGCTTGGCTGCAGTTGGCAGGTGTTGATGTTGTTTTCATTTGTTTTTTGAGTTTGTTTTTGTGGAACTTTACGTTCAAATGGGCTCATATCAGATGAGCAGCCGACTGACCCACGGGACCCTCTATGGCTAATCATCCGAGGAGAGTTTTTACCCTCAATAGGTTCTCCAGCCCTTATGAGATAAGAGCAACATCAAACATTTGTAAAGATATGGAAATAATATTTTAAATAGCCTCAATAATGCAATGAATATAAGCCTATAAATATCTCAAAGGGTGATGGAGAAGTCCTGAAAGCTGGGATGAGGGCGACTCAGCTAAGAGCCTTGAATTTAGGGAGAGTTAGTTCTACAGAAGTTGGAGATCCATTGGGTGTCCATTTACTGGAGTGGAATTTGAAGGAATTGTTTGAGGAGATCAGTATGTCTCTGAGTTAAACCAGCCCATAATTAAGTTCTATTGAATGGGGCCTAAGAGGCATGAAGTTCTATCAAGTGGCTTTTTCTGTATCCAGCATTGTGTGTTTTGAAAAGTAAAATGTGTGACTTGGTTACTATCAGCAAAGTATGCAATTTTGAAGGACATTAGTGTCCCACCAAAGCCTCGTATTGTGAACTTATTATGTGCAGAGATATGAGCCACTTGATTTATATTTTCAGTGTCTGGGAGGCAAGAGACTTTCAGATTTCCTTACCCTGAAGACAGCTCTTAAACAACGTCTGAGCTGTTTATAATAAATGTGGAAATGGAGCCATTGGTTCGATAGGGCACCCAATGCTGGTGTGACTGCCTGACATCTGCCTAATTTTGGGGATCCCCAGCCCCATCCTTTGTTGGGACATATGGCCAAGAGAGGGAGAGCAGAAGCATGCCCCAAGCCCCATCACTTGTCATCCTTGCAGCCCGCAAATGCCAGTCACTGTCCACTCAGTGAGTCCCAGCGTTCTTCCCATGTGGCCGAGAGGTGGCCTCCTCCAGCACTTGGGCACCTGCCAAGTGACTGTGGATATAGGAAGCCAGTCCTGCTGCAAGCAGAAATGACAGAGGGCCTGGGTGTTGCTTTATCCTGTCTTAAGAAGGCCTCTGGAGCCATGCTAAGTGTGTGGGGTGCTGTTCCTGTGACCCCAAACACAATAGTTAGCTGGATGTGTCCAAATAGTCCAGGTTGTAGACAGCAATGTTCAGTTGAATGATTTATAGTCCAAGGCCAAAGGGAGCAGTTACTTGCCTTGGAAACTGTCGAGCATCTTAAGGCCACATTGATCACCCAGAGACACCAGGAGGCATGAGAAGGGTTTGCCAAGTTTCTTTAGTGAAGGAGTTTCTGAGGATACTAACAGAAGAGCCTGTTGATTTTAAATTAGGCACACTGTTGAGCCTTTTGTTGAAGGAAATTTCATTTAGGGGAGGTGATTTATAAGTAGCAACAACAGCGAGGCTAGTTGAAATTTATGGGTGAGGAATATGTTGCACCAGAACCCACAAGGAACAGCAGGATGTGGCATTTGTATGTCCTTAATGAAAGTATGGGGAGCATCTCCTCAGAGGAGGTGTCAGCAGTGCTGCGGAGGAAGGCAGATGCAGTGAGGAGCCAGCCTGCGAAGCTCTCATGTGGTGGCCACGCCGCTGAGGTGCCCGCGTATCCTGAGAAGGGTGTCCTTCCCAGGCAAAGACAATCTGCAGCTAAGGGGCTGCTGAGATGGGCGCTGAGTACAACCAATTAGACACATCTGGAAGAGCAAAGTCTGCACTGGCTGTTGGTTAAAGCCAGTCGTTTTGAGAACATTGGGAGTATGGGGCCCTAATGGGTGGGGCCACGGCATGAAAGTTGTGACAATCCAACATAGGGCAACCTTCATGCTATTGTCTTTTCTTCTTCACCGGTTTAAGAACAGGCAAGATTTGGCTGTGAAATAGAGAAGCAATGGGAAAAATCACCTCTTTATTGATTAGATTTGTATAATAGTTTTTAATCTTCGAAGGTCCATTTTCACTTCTGTTGGAATATATTAACTACATAAACTGGAACTCTTTGAGTTCCATTTTATCAAGCCAATGCACAAGTGCCAAACACCTCATTCCATTTTAATTTAATTCATTGTGTCAGAGTGTATGCCCAATATGAGATATTTTAGGACAAAGGACATTATGATCATGTGAAATCTAGGCAAGGCAACCGCTAAAGTGCGGTGTGTCTATTTCTTCTTCCAAATATATTGATTTCTATTTAATTATCTTAAGTTCACATGGGATACATGTTTAAATCTTGAAATCTAATGAATTTCCTAGGTATAGCTATTATTGGAGCCCTGGTATTGATCACAAAGTTTGCCAATTGGTGCAATCCCAAAAATGCTAAAGTGAAATTACAATGGACCAGTATACAGTTCCAAGGTCAGAGTCTGGAAGGCGTTTCACAGAACTAAAGACTTGAGCACCAGCCATGCTGCTTCCTTCTAGAGTTATCTGGGAGAATCTATCTCTTGCCTTTGCCAGCTCCTAGGGGCGCCTGCGTTCCCCGGCTGGTGGCTGTGTGACTGACCTCCGCTTCCATCCCACACCTCCCCGGTCTTGGACTCTGCTGCTCCTCTTTCTCCTCATCAGGACCCCAGGGCATATGGCATGCACAGGCCAGGGTGACTGTAACATCCAAGGGCCTCTATCACGTCAGCCCAGTCCCTTTGGCCCTGCAGGTGATGTCTTTGTAGAGCCCCAGGACTATGGCATGGGCATCTTTGGGGGGCATTCTTCTGCCTGCTGCAGGATCTAGATTCCCCTCTCTAGAACCTGTAGTGTAGAGGGGCACGAAGCCAACCAGCTTCATTTTCAATTTTTGTCTTAGAAGTTATTTCAGTACAGAATTTTGTATATAAACTTTGGATTTCTAATTGGTCAAATGATGGACATTTATTTAAATTTAGTTATATATATACATTATATATACCAAAGTGATATATAATTATATAAATAATTATAATACTGTTATAATTATATAAATAATTATAATACTGTCATAATTATATTAGAAATATACTATTATAATTTTATAATAATTACATTTATATAAAATATCTATATGTAGTTTCATGATTATTTAGTTCCTTTTCATTTTTGGAACCTATGTTAATATTTCCCCTCTATTGCTCCTCTTTCCCTAAGGTCTCGAGTTCCTCTGAGCCTGATGATGAGCCAGGACAGGAAGGGGCCTGGGCCTCCAGGCAGCAGCATCTCTCCAGGATGCCCCCAGCCACAGCATAAGGAATTCCTACACTTTTGTTATCTTAAACAAAACCTTCTAGAATTCCTTCTAACTCTAGGAGACTGAAATGTATTTTTCTTTCTTTCAACTGTCTCCTGTCTGTCCCTGACTCCCTCACTCCGTTTTTTAATGTTTGGCCATTTATCTCATGAGCTTACTAAAAATAAATTGTATACTCAGCAATGGATAACATAGAAGAAATGGATAAATTCCTAGATATGTACAATCTTCCAAGATTGAATCTTGAAAAAGTAGAAACAGAACTATTACTAGTAAAAGACTGAATCAGTAATCGAAAGCGAGCTTGGAACCACTTCCAAAAGTTTTTTTGTTTGTTTGTTTGTTTGTTTGTTTTTTGAGATGGAGTCTCGCTCTGTTGCCCAGGCTGGAGTGCATGGCATGATCTCTGCTCACTGCAAGCTCCACCTCTCAGGTTCACGCCATTCTCCTGCCTCAGCCTCCTGAGTAGCTGGGATGACAGGTGCCCACCACCATGCCCGGCTAATTTTTTGTATTTTTAGTAGAGATGGGGTTTCACCTTGTTAGCCAGGATGGTCTCGATCTCCAGACCTTGTGATCCACCCATCTCGACCTCCCAAAAGTTTTAAGATGAAGAAATACTTCTAAACTTATTTTATAAAGTCAGCATTGCCCTGAAATCAAAACCAGGCAAACACCAAATTAACATAAATTACAGACCACTCTTACTGAAACACAAAGATGCAAAAAGTACTCAACAAAATATTGGCAAATCAAACTGAACAGCACATTACAAGGATCATTTGCCATGATCCAGTGGAACGTCTCTCTGGAATATTGGGATGGTGCAACATCTAAACATCACTGAATCTGATGGACCACATTAACATAATGAAAGACTAAAATATTATCTCATCAGATGCATAAAAATCATTTGACAAATTTCAACATCTTTCCATGATAAAACCTCTTAACAAACTACAAATAAAGGGAAATTATCTGGACATATTGAAAGCCATATTTAAAAGCCCACAGTTAGCATCATAGCCAATGCTGAAACACTGAACAAGCTTCCACTTAGATGATGGAGAAGACAAGGATGCCCTATCTCACCAATTCTGTTCTACATAGTATTGTAAGTCCTAGTCAGAGAACTTAGGCAAGAAAAAGTTACTAAATCAGAAAGAGAGGAGTAAAGGTGTCACTGTTTACAGATGACATGTGTTGTATGTAGAAAATCCTAAAAATTGCCCCCCAAAATCAAAACAAAACCAAAACAAAACAGCTGTAAGTTGCTAATTTGTGTGTATAAAATTGGTGTTCTGCAAGATGAATAAGTTCTGGAGACTGGATGCACAGAATCCTGAGTCTAGATAACTTGACTGCACAGTACACTTAAAAATTTGCTGAGAGAGTGTATCTCATGGTAGGTATTCTTATCACAATACAAACTTTAAAAGTTGTATATGAGGACATTGGTACTGCTTTCATATTATTTATTATGAATGAATTTCCAAAAAAAGTGTTATCAGTAATGAGTTGAGGTAATGAGTAATTCATATACAGGAATAGCCTCAAGAGAACAAGAGGAAGAGATGCATTTAGAGTAGAAATCCTCACACTTTAGATGCATTTTAAATGTCTGGATAATGGAGTACTTAAAAAGGGATGTGTCTGTCTCTTCCCCCAACTATTGAGAATTAGTTCCTGAGTAAATCAAAGAACATTATTTTATCCAGCCCCGGTAGGTCCTGAGGTCCTTGTCTCTGGCATCACAGAATGGGTTAGAGTGCAGGGCTGGCGTAGAGCTCCTGAGACAGTAATGTGATGTTGTCCAAAGCTCCATGGGTGAGGAGAGCCACACCACAGGTGGGACCCAAGGAAAGAGCCCAGGAGCTGTGCTGGGCTCAGCACTGAGGAAGCAAGACCTGGGCCTGTGGATAGGGGGAGCTGCGCTAGAAACAAGGAAGGGCAGGAGGGAAGAGGGGTTGGAAGGAAAGTAGCCCTGGGATCAGAATGGCAGGGCTGTCCTTTGCCTATTCCCATTTGTCTCGCAGACCAAGTGTCCTCCAACCACCAAATGTCAAGTGACATGCGTGCCACATGAGTTTAGGAGGAAAGGCACTCTACACAACGCTCAACTACCAGGAGGTAGGGGCCATATCTTAACTTTTCTACTTATAAAAAGAGTCAGCTAGGCTGGGCACGGTGGCTCATGCCTATAATCCCAGCACTTTGGGAGGCCGAGGCAGACAGATCACATGAGGTCAGGAGTTTGAGACCAGCCTGGCTAAGTGACAAAACCCTGTCTCTACTAAAATTACAAAAATTAGTCAGGCATGCTGCTGGGCACCTGTAATCCCAGCTACTAGGGAGGCTGAGGCAGGAGAATCGCTTCAACCCGGGAGAAAGAGGTTGTAGTGAGCCGAGATTGCACCACCGCACTCCAGCCTGGGCGACAGAGCGAGACTCTGTCTCTAAATAAATAAATAAATAAATAGTCATCCACCCCGTGTAATTTTTTGTTTTAGCTCTGGGGTAAAATCCGCCCCTGGGCTGTGGAAGCATCCAGTCACTTCTCAGACTGGGACGGTGTCTCTGGGGAAGACAAAGGTGGGTTCAGAAGAAGATGAGATTGCTGGGCCTTCTCCTGTGCCTGCTGACACCTCCCGAAGGTGAGCATCTCAGAGGCCAGACACGGGCTGTGGCAATAACTGTGATGTCCCATGACTGACAGGGACTGACTGTTCTTGTTCCCAGCTGTCCTGTCCCAGGTGCAGCAGCAGGAGTGAGGCTCAAGACTGGAGAAGCCGTGGCTGCCCCCTTCCTCACCTGGCACGACTCCGGATTCTCCATCACAGCCAGTGGTTACTGCGGAGGCCGGGTCCACCGGCCCCTAGACAAGGGGTTGCACTGGCTGAGGAGCATCGATTATAAGAGAAACACGAACAACCGCCGCCTCTCAAGAGCCTCATCTCCATCCAGAGACTCATCCAACAAGCAGCGCTCCCTGCGGCGGAGCTCCAGGAACCCACAGGACAGCCAGGTATTCCTGTGGGAGACACAGTGAGGGGATGCCGTGTGAACCCAGACAGGACCCTCCCTCCTGGGGGCCTGAGATGTGCAGGATGCACTCGACACTTGGGTCCACTGAAGAGCAGGCTCAGATGGGAAGTGGCGAGGACTTCTCCTTAGAATCTGAGGCTTTCTTTTCTCTAATTCTCAGATGTCCTCAGGGACATTTCATTCTCTTCTCTGTGGCTCTGATTTCCCCCTTTCTCACTGCAGGCAAAAAAGGATGAAATAACTTTCTCCACTGGCAGATAGGCTGTTTCAATTTCATAGAAACCTTCCCTTCATCCGGCTCCCACGTGGTCTGCTTTTTCCTTCATCTGCTTCCATGTGGTCTGCTTTCCTTCCTGAAAAACAGGTCATGTTCAGGATTCACACTTGCTCGAGAAATTCTTCCCTCAAACTCCAGTTCAGACCAGGCACACCCTCTCCCACATCTGTCCCCACGTGGACCCTTCCATGAGATGACCCCACCTGTCCCCAGGTGGACCCTTCCCTCAGACGAGCACACCTGTCCCCAGGTGGACCCTTCCCTCAAACAAGCACACCTGTCCCCACGTGGACCCTTCTCTGAGAGGAGCACACCTGTCCCCACGTGGATCCTTCCTTCAGATGAGCACATCTGTCCCCACGTGCACCCTTCCCTGAGACAAGGACACCTGTCCCCACGTGGATCCTTCCTTCAGATGAGCCCCCCTGTCCCCACGTGGACCCTTCCCTCAAATGAGTACACCTGTCCCCACGTAGACCCTTCTCTGAGAGAAGCACACATGTCCCCAAGTGGACCCTTCCCTGAGTCAAGCACACTTGTCCCCAGGTGGAACCTTCCTCCACACGAGCACACCTGTCCCCACGTGGACCCTTCCCTGAGACAAGCACACCTGTCCCCACATGGACATTTCCCTCAGAGGGGCACACCTGTCCCCACGTGGACCCTTCCCTGAGACAAGAACACCTGTCCCCACATGGACCCTTCCCTTGGAGGAGCACACCTGTCCCCACGTGGACCCTTCCTTCAGACAAGCACACCTGTCTCCATGTGGACTCTTTGCTCAGAGGAGCACAGGTGTACCCATGTGGACCCTTCCCTGAGACAAACACACCTGTCCCCACGTGGCCCCTTCCCTGAGATGAGCTCATCTGTCCTCTTCCCCAAGGCGAGCACACCTGTCCCCACGTGGACTTTTCCCTGAGACAAGCACACCTGTCCCCACATGGACCCTTCCCTCAGAGGAGCATAACTGTCCCCATGTGGACCCTTCCTTCAGATAAACTCACCTGTCACCACGTGGACCCTTCCCTCAGAGGAGCACACCAGTCCCCATGTGGACCCATCCTTCAGACAAGCTCACCTGTCCCCATGAACCCTTCCCTGAGACAAGCACACCTGTCCCTACATGGACCCTTCTCTCGGATGAGCACACCTGTCCCCATGTGGGCCCTTCCCTGAGACTACCACACCTGTCCCCACGTGGACCCTTCCTTGAGACAAGCACACCTGTCCCCACTTCGATGCTTCTCTCAGATAAGCAGAACTCGCCCCACCTGGACCCTTCCCTGAGACGAACTCACCTGTAGCTACGTGGATTCTTGCCTTAGACAAGCACCTCTGTCCCCACGTGGACCCTTCCCTGAGGGAATCACACCTGTCCCCAGGTGGACCCTTACCTCAGACAAGCATGCCTGTCCCCAGGTCAATCCTTCCCTCAAAAGAGCACACCTGTCCACGTGAGGACCCTTCCTTGAGACAAGCACTCCTGTCCCCACATGGACCCTTCCCTCAGACGAGCTCACCTGTCCCCATGTGGACCCTTCCCTGAGACAAGCACAGCTGTCTCCATGTGGAATCTTCCTTCAGACAAGCACACCTGTCCCCACATGGACCCTTCCCTCAGATGAGCTCACCTGTCCCCATGTGGACCCTTCCCTGAGACAAGCACGCCTGTCCCCATGTAGACCCTTCCTTCAGAGGAGCTCACCTGTGCTCAGACACCACCAGGGTCCTCAGACACTAATAGGGTGGCTCAGACACTAATAGGGTGGCTCAGACTCTAAGAGGGGGGCTCAGAAACCACCAGAAGGGCTCAGACACCACCAGAGGGCGCCCAGCAACCACGGAATGCTCAGAACCTACCGGGGGCGCTCAGGACCTACAGGGGTCGCTCAAGACCTGGCTCAGGAGCAGATGCAAAGTGAAGCTGAGGTTTCCGTTTTCTCTTTGGGGATTCCTTGTCCTGCCCTGCAAAAGCCTTGCTCAGCAGCTATTATTGTTTCTTCCCTGGAATTCCCCAGTTCCTCTCATCTGAAAAGGACTTAGAGCAGAAATCCCATTTAACTTTTCACACTTCATTTTCAGTCTCCTTCTAGCGATATTTCAGTAAAATATTAATAAGAAATAATGAAGCCACAGTCCAAATGTTAGCACCATGCAAAGATTCGTGTGTCTTCTCCACTCTGTCAGTTACGCCTTAGGAAACTCTTCTCTCAATCCACTGCTCAGTGTACACTATGGCATTGTGTTTTCTTCTTTGCTTTCATCTGCTTTGCAGGGAAATGAAGCACCATTTATTGGGACGTGTCCTCCATTTCTGATGGGCTCCCCGTGGTCTCCACCTCAGATGGTTTTGCCACCATCTTTAATCCGTTAATGCCTTCAATCGCCCTCACCATCCATGTAATGAAGCAATGAATGCCTTTACTTCATCTACTTGTGTCTCCATCAGTCAGTTCACTTCTCTCCATTCTCACAAAGGACAGCCACCCACTACTTCAGAGCCTCCTGCAGCCTTGGGTGGTAAACCTATTAAAAAGCCCCTGCTGTTTAGAAAGGGTGTGTATTGGAAACTTAATCCCAAATTCCATAGTGTCCAGAGGTGAGAATGTTAAGAAATGATTAGGCCGAGAGGGCTCTGCCCTCATGAAGCAATTAATGCCATTATCATCAGAGTAGGTTACTTATTGTGGTAGCAGATTAGTTACTACAGGCCTGGGTTCCTCATTAAAAACTGAGTTTAGCCCCCTTTCCATCCTTTGCACATGCTCTCCTGCCTTCCACATGGGCATCACAGCAAGAAGGCTCTTGCCAGATGCTAGCACCTTGACATTGACTTCCCAGCCTCTAGAGCTGGGAGAAAATAAATTTCTTTTCCTTACACATTAGCCAGTGTGTGGTATTCACTCATTGCACCACAAAGTGGACTAAGACAAAAAATCAGTATCAAGAGGTGGGGCTGTTGTGATAACAAATATCCCAAAATGTAGAAGTGGAAGTAGTAATGCACAGAGACTGGAATAATTTGGAGGATCAGGTTATAAAAAGTCTAGATTGCCATGACTAGAACACTAGGGGTATTCTTTTGAGGACTCAGAAGAAGAGAGCTGTGAGGAAATTCTGAAACTTCTTAGAGATTATTCAAGTGATGACCATTAGAATGTTGGTAGAACCGTGGACAATAAAGGCCGTTCTGATGAGGTCTCAGGAGAAAAAGAAGAATAGCTCATCGGAAAATGGAGCAAAGGCCATCCTTCCCTTAAAGTGGCAAGGAATGTGGCTGAATTGTGCTCATCCCTAGGTCTTTCTGTAAAGTGGAAGTTCAGAGCCATGAGTGAGGATATATGGTGGGAGAAATTTGAAGCAAATCCATGGCCTCACTTCTAGCAGGCACTTTAGGACTCTGTTCCCTGTGTCCAGGCACAGCACTCCTTGGCTGCCCATGATGTGGCTCAGGAGGACCTAGGTGTGGCTCAAGCCATCACTTTAATGGTACAAGTCATCAACTTCCATGGCATCCATGTATTGCTAATTCTGCAGGTGTGCAGAATACCACGAGGGCATGGCTTTCTCCACCTAGATTTCAAAGAATGCTGTGGACAGCCTAAGGTCTCGGGCAGTGAGTTGTTGCAGAGACAGAGTCACCACACTGGACCCTTAGCACAATGCCAAGCAGAAATATGGGTTTGGAGGCACCACAAAGAGTTTCCAGTCAGCCTAGGAGAGCTAGAGGCCTGAGAGTCCCACCTGTGAGAGGGGCTGAGTGGACTGAACCCAGAAAATCCATAGAGGCAAGACTGCTGGAGGCCTTGGGGGCCCTTCCCCCTCCCCAGTGTGCACAAGATGCCGTCAAAGAGGATGATTTTCCAGCTATAAGACTTTTTTTTATTATACTTTAAGTTTTAGGGTGCATGTGCACAATGTGCAGGTTAGTTACATATGTATACATGTGCCATGCTGGTGTGTGCACCCATTAACTCGTCATTTAGCATTAGGTATATCTCCTAAAGCTATCCCTCCCCCCTCACCCCACCCCACAACAGTCCCCCGAGTGTGATGTTCCCTTTCCTGTGTCCATGTGTTCTCATTGTTCAGTTCCCACCTATGAGTGAGAATATGCGGTGTTTGGTTTTTTGTTCTTGCGATAGTTTACTGAGAATGATGATTTCCAATTTCATCCATGTCCCTACAAAGGACATGAACTCATCATTTTTTATGGCTGCATAGTATTCCATGGTGTATATGTGCCACATTTTCTTAATCCAGTCTATCGTTGTTGGACATTTGGATTGGTTCCAAGTCTTTGCTATTGTGAATAGTGCTGCGATAAACATATGTGTGCATGTGTCTTTATAGCAGCATGATTTATAGTCCTTTGGGTATATACCCAGTAATGGGATGGCTGGGTCAAATGGTATTTCTAGTTCTAGATCCCTGAGGAATCACCACAAGGACTTCTACAATGGTTGTACTAGTTCAAAACCCAACAAGGGAAAAAAACATTAAGTCTCAGCTATAAGACTTAATGTTTTTTTCCTCTGTTGGGTTTTGAACTAGGCACTGCTTTCTCCTTCCCTGTCTCTGAGCTTTGGAATGGGAATTTCTATCCCATACCTGCCCCATTGTTCACTGTATTTGAAAGTAGATAACTTGTTTTGACTTTATAGGCTCACAGATGGAAAAAATTTATATCAGGCTAAATTGTGCCTTGAGTCACACTCACATCTGATTTAGATGAGACTTTAGACTTCAGACTTTTGCACTGATGCTGGATAAGACTTTGGAGACAATTGGGATGGAATGAATGTAGTTTGCATTGTGATAAGGACATAAATTTTGATATTAGGAATGGAATGCTATGACTTAAATGTGTCTCCCAAAGTTTAGGATTTGGAAAAAATCTTTAATGCAACAGTGTTGAGAGGTGGGACCTTTATTATGTGATTAGGTCATGAAGGCTCTGTCCTCATGAATGGATTAATGTCACTATCATTGGAGTGGGTTAGTTATTACAGGAGTGAATTTCTAATAAAAGATAGTCTCCTTTCTCTCGTGGACAAATGATCTCTTGCTCACCCACCTCTGCTGTGAGACGACACAGTGAGAAGGCCCTTGTGAGATGTCAGTGCCTTGATATTAGACTTCTCTGACTCAAGCACCATAAAGTATAAATTCCTTTTCTTTAGAAATTGCCCAGTCTCTGGTATTCGGTTATAGTAACACAAAGACAGACTGAGACTAAGCCATTGTAACATGTGTGAGGTGATATCTCATCGTGGTTTTAATTTGCATTTCCCTGATGATTAGTGATGTTGAGCATTTGACTCTTTATGTTAAGTGAAATAAGCCAGGTATAAAAAATTACTCCATAATCTCACTTACACATGCAATCTAAAAATGTTGAACTCAGAGAAGTAGAGAGAAGAATGGTGCCAACCAGGGGCTGGTGTCAGGGGCATGTGAAAGCTGAGGCATTGGTGAAAGGGTACAGAGTTTTGGTTTGACAGAAGGAATTAGTTTGAAGATCTATTGCACAGCAGGGTGACTTCCATGATACTAATGTACTATATACTTGAAAACTGATAATAGAGTAGATTTTACACGTTTACACCATAAAAAATAAGTATGTGAGGTGATGGGCATGTTTATTTACTTGATTTAATAATTTCACAATGCCTGCATATGTCAAAACATCACGTCATACCACCATAATATATGAAATAGAATATGTTTTTCTAGTAAGTGTGATGCCTCTGTTTCTCTTTTTTTTTTGGAACAAAACAATAAACACCTTTATTACATGGGTGAAGACAAAACAAGGATTTATTTGCCCTTCCGGGCCTTGATTTTCCTAAGATAGAACTCCAACTCTTTGCCCTCTAGCACATACCCATCTGCTCGGCCACACTGTCCTGGCCTTGAAGCGATGCATGCAAGAAGCTTGCCCTGCTGGAACTGCTCCCCCAGGAGACTGCTGATTTTGGCATTCTTTTTCCTTTCATGATATTTCTTCTGAATTTTTTTAGATCGCTTTTTGTTCAAAATCTCTTCTTCCTCAGGAGTCAGCTTGGCTCCCTTCTTGCAGCCCAGGGGCGGCGCATAGTGGGACTCGTACCACTGTCGGTACAGTGTGCTGTCAATGAGCACAATGCAATTCTTCACCAGGGTCTTGGGACGAACCAGCTCGTTATTAGATGCATTGTAGACAACATCGATGATCGTTGTTTTATGAGCACAACATTCTGAGCCCCAGGAGAAATTCCTCACGTCCAGCCTCAGGGCACAGTATTTCTTGTTACCTCCCCACACACGGACTGTGTGGATGCGGCGGGGGCCAGTCTTGGTGTTGGCAGCTGGGTGCCCCAACTCATACTTCCGCTTCTTGTGGTAGGGC
Source organism: Homo sapiens (assembly GCF_000001405.40). Classification (NCBI taxonomy): domain Eukaryota; kingdom Metazoa; phylum Chordata; class Mammalia; order Primates; family Hominidae; genus Homo; species Homo sapiens. Next base: position 1,381,461 of record NW_021160017.1, read on the forward strand.
TTTCTCTTGTCCCTGGTTTTGTGGCGCTTGTGCCAGTTGTCCCAAGAGATGTCCATCGCTCGGCACTGGCTGGAAAGAGGGCCTCTGTTTCTTTAACAACAGTTTCTGGAGATTGTTTTTCCCTTGAACAATGTTTCCTCTCTGCTGTCTTTACACAGTTTTCCTTTCCCAAGGGTTGATTTAAGACAGTGACAATTTATCTATTCTGTATCTGGTAGCTTCATGGAGAAATTTAATGAATAGCCACTTGAAACCATGTGGTGCTACTGAGACACCATCTGAAGGAGACAGATTTTCTGAGTGTAGGCCACAACCATATGTTAACACATTTTAAATTCAAAATCAGGGTTTAAATTTTGATATTTTACAATGGCTTCTTTGATTCCTTCCCAAGATCTAACCATTGAGCGTGTGAAAAGGGCTGGGACTCAGTTTACTGCTGTGCTTGGCATGATGATGTCCTGCAGAAATTCCTTTGGCTTTCTACATGTAGCTCAGCCTCCATATCAGCCAGCTCGCTTGGAGGTCAGAGTACTTCTCAAAGATCCTCAGTGTGTTGTTTCATTTTGAGAGGTTTCCAGCCCTTGTGAGACACCCCTTGGTTTTACAATCATCGCAAAGTTGTTTACGATTCCAAAAACATACCTGCCATCTGTCCATATGTTTGTTCTGCAGCTTTTGATTTCCTAAAATGCTGTAGTAACTGCAATAAGTTCTACCATCTGGATTAATTTTCACCTCAGATGGAAAAGTATATTTTAAGATAAAGATAAAGTAGTAACAGTATATTCTCCTCGGTAATATCCATTTCTATATTTTGAGCTATGGTCCATCAATAAATAATGTTATGTCAGGCTCCTCAATGGAGTGCCTGAACATCTAAGGAAGGTACAGAAGGTACAAAACAGAAGTTAAGGTACAAACCATGGTGAACACAAGCTTGCTATGCTCCCATGTCTCCTGTCTGTCTTACTGTGCACCTGACACTCATTTTAACCTCACCAGGAAGTCAGTTAACTCTCAATCAGTTCATTGTAATGCCTCTAGGTAATTATATGTGGCAGTTTCAGCAGAAATGAAGAAACAACTTCACCAGAGAATCTAATACAGAAGAATGCAAGTGGCCCTGGGCTTGTTTTCATAAAAGCAGCATGCACCAGGCAGTTGATTCTCTTGGCTGTCGGCACTGAACACTCAGCATGCTGGCTTCGTCCCCTAAATAAGCTTCATCATGCATGGATAGGCTGGCAGCAATCCCGAGGCCATATGCAGATACACAGCCAACTGGGAAATGGGACACAATTCTTCTCCACTCCTCCTCTGAAGAATGGTCTGACAATGCCCTCTTCAGTTCCTTCCCTCTGCCACCCTGACCAGGACTATGCCATATGTGCACAGAGACACAAAATTCCTGATGGGAAGAATGAGGCTGGATCAACCAGACTAGCGGTTTCTCACTGAGGTAATGTGAGGTCAACTTCTAGGGTGGACAATTCAGGAAATTATCCAGCAGTTTTGTAATTGATGGCTATGGGAAAATGAACCACTGAGATGAGTAATTACTTATATTCCATTATTCCATGTGAGAAACAGACATCACAGTTCACCATAACTAAATTTTCATAACCTAAATTGATTACTTTAAATTTCTTCCTACATCTTCACTTAAGAATTTTTAACCATGAATGTGTCTTACCTATATTCCCAATATTTAAAATTGGGCTGTCAAGAGAGTCTAGAGAATTCGAGAACTAAGAACAGTGAAACTCCTGTATGTTCAGCAGCTCCCAAAGCAACACAATATTCCCCAGGAACACTGTTCTGTGCTTCAGCACAAATCATGCTTGTGTATTTCCTAATGGCTCCAATAGTGACCCTCCATTCCCATCAAACATTTGGCCTCCCCTTTCTCCACTCCCCTCCATTCATACATTATACTCTCAGCTCTGTCTAGGGTATCATAAAAGCCAGCAGACGGACCCTCCTGATCTCCTGAACGTGAAACCTAACACTATCATGCGATCGGCTCCTCTTGGCATAGTGACCTTCAAAGGCATCTCATTTGAATAATTACCTTTTTTTCCCTTCTGTAACAAAGTGTTTCTTTCCATTGTGCCTTCCCATAAGCATTTTAACATAATTTACTGTCCGACTACAGTTATTAATACACACAAATGCCACAACCTCTTTCTAGCCCAAGAGACCTGATTAATTCTTCTCTGGGGATAAGCACACCCTAGAAACACATCCCATTCACATAAACACGGGCACAACGATGACATGTTCTTGAGTCTACACCATTCTCCGTCCAACTCCACGAGCCCCTGAAGACCAAGACAGGCTCTTTCATGCCTGTGCAAGCTCTGGCCCAGGGACAGCCTGCTGAGGAATGGGCTCAGCTGGGTCTGGGTGCTGGGTTCATCTCTTCCCCTCTCCTGTCCCAAAGCAGGTCCATCACCCTGCTCAGGTCTGAACAGGAGTGTCCAGGTTTGTCTGGCCATCCGACTTTTTCAATGTATAGAAGCTCTCCTATTACCTACTGTATTCATTTTATAGGGCTTTTATGACAAAATACCACAGATCGGATGGCTTACAATACAAAACCAATTTCCTCACACTTATGGAGGATGAAAGCCTAAGATCAAGCTGCCAGCTGGGTGGGTTTCCTCTGAGGTCTCGCTCCCTGGCGTGCAGATGGCGCCTTCTCGCTGTTCTGTGGTAACATGGCCGTCCCTCGGGGCGTGTGCACCCCCCCTCCTGCTTCCCCTTCTTATAACAACAGTCAGATTGCATTAGGGCCCCACTCCAGGAATCTCACTTTAACTTATTTAGCTCTTTAAAAGACACTAATCCAAGTATGATTTCATTCTGAAGGACCAAGGGTTGGGACTTCAGCACATGAATTTAGGAGGGACACAGTCTCCCCTAGCAGCCTCCTCCAGGGATGTCAAATAAAAGGAATAAAAGGACACTGATGCTCCAGAGGGCCTTGAAAGCTTGCAGCTGCTTTGTTGTGGTGGGACATGGGTAAGCCCGCACCTTATCTATGATGGCAGATGGAATGACTTTAGTTTTACCAAACCAGATGACACCAACTATTTGACTGATAAGCCTGGACCCTGGATTTTGTCTGTATTAACCTCCCATCCTCTGTTCAGCAAGTGAGACAGCAAGACAGGGGCTGCAATTTATAAGCTGAAAAAAGACTCAGAAGTTACCATGATAACACCAATGTAGTGGAAAACATGTATCCCCTTTGGGTCAGCCCATCAACTGAGGTTGGAGGTCACTAGGCTGTGAGAGTTGGGCTGTGTAAATATCCCTGGAACAAGACAGTAAAAGTCCATTGTTCTTTTTAGGTTAATGCAAATTGATCTTGAATGTGGGGCAGCAGAAATGCTGAAGAAGGTATTGACTAAACTGATAACGAAATGCTATGTGGCTAACACCTCTCCTATTCTCGTCAGACTGGAGGAGATATTAGGAACAGCTGCATTCACTCGGGAGACCACCTTATTTAACTCCCAGTAATCTACTGTCATTCTCCATGTCCCAACTGGCCTCTGCATGGGCCATGCAGGTCTGTTGTAGGAACTGTGCAGTGGCCTCCTAATGCCTACCTGGGCTAACTCCTTAACAATCTTCATGATTGGATCATCTTCCCCTCCCCAGGGCGGGTGGTGTTGCTCCAGCTGTGGGACTCCCCATGGGTTGGCAGCTCTACCGGCATCCAGTTTGCCTTCTGCTTGGTCACATGCGTCACCACTTTAACTCTCAGTTGGAATTCCCTGGCAGTTGTTTGGAGGGTCACGCCTAAGAAGATATCCATTCTCATGTGTTCTAAGATGGAAGCTATGTATACTAAACAGGGTCTGGGTGGCAGTCCCCCAGGTCGTATCACTAGTTCAACCTGTCTGACTTCTGTGGCCCTTCCATAATCACCTATTGCTGCTATGGGCCCAGATAACTGGTAGGTGTTGCCAGTTAGAGCACATTTGTTGTCTGGCCACGCTGACTGGCTCCTTGGCTGTCTCTCTTCCTTTGGTGCCATTGTTTTTCATCACAGTAGGGTGCATCCCTTGCTTACTCAGTTTCTTCTTTTCTCCTAAGTCAGCAACTACCTGGGGCACATGAAATGTTGGCTGCCCTCCCAGGGGGCTTAACATGGAAATCAGTGCACCATGCCATTTGGTAGGCACTGAATACATAATTGTAGCTTTTATTTTGCAGTAAACAATTCATTGTTGGGACTTCAATAATTCTCAGCATAATTAGCATGCCTCATTTCAACTCCCAGAAGATGTCCTGCAACTCTTCTATAGTCTGCCATTGAGAAGGAGCTGTGTGGGCATCTTCCTCATTGGACCTGGCCCCGTTGGAGCCTGCAACCACTTACCATAAAGGTGCCATCATAGGGCTGGATGGTTTGTGATGGGTGCCATTTTACTCATCTTGAGTCCAGAAAGTATAACACTCTCCACCCCCTGTCCCATAGAGAAGCCACCCTGTGATCCACTCTCTCCCCTTGTGTCTGAATCCAAGTCTAAGCTCCCCCAATTCCACAGTGGTGGCATCCCACATCGTGGTTCACTGCCTTCTCTTAGGTGGGGGAAAGTTCTGTGGGGCTAACTTCTGCTGGCACAGTTGGCCCACTTTTATGTTGGTGGTGACCACCACAAGTACCATTTGGCTACAGACTGTGTCCTGGTATTCCAAGGCTTTTGTGTCTGGAAGGCATCCTTTAGCCAGCCTGCTAAAGGTTGTTCTGGATGTGGAGTGGCCCTCTGTCACATCCTCCACTTGTAAGGCATGACATGTAGTGCAGTTGTTACTCCTAAACAGTATATCTCACTTCAGCTTCCTTCTGTCTTTGAGACCAGGGTCTTAGGGACACACACTTATGTCCTTGCCTTTAACACAGTCCCCACCTAAACCCCTCAGGGTAACTGACTACATCCAATTCACAGGGCTGTCCCTGCACTAGAACTCCCAAGGTTTGTATTCATTTCATTGTGACTTTAGCTTCTTCAGAGCCCTCATCCTCCCTTTTGGAACAGTCGCAGTGGGGCACCTTCTTGACTAAGTGCCATGGGGGCCTAAGGAGTTTGCCGAAATGGGGAATAAAGGATCGCCAATGTCCCAGGAGGCCTTGGAAGGTTTCCAACTGCTTTGGTGTGTTGGGACATGAGTAGACCTGCATCTTATCTTATCTATAATGAAATATGGAATAACTATAGTCTTATGTAACCAGATGACACCAAGTATTTGACTGATAAGCCTAGACCCTGGACTTTGTCTGCATTGACCCCCCCATCCTCTGTTCACCAAGTGAGACAGCAAAGCAGGGGCTGCAGGGCAAGAACCTTTATGGAGTCATCCTAACCTTCATCTCCTTCCCACTGGAGCTCTACATCGGACACCAGGACTTAGGCTTCCAGGACGATGTAGTCATAATAGTCCTAACGCATTGGTGTGGCAGTCGGCAACACTTTAAATGGCCTACCAAATAAACAATGGTCTCCAATTTGCTATCCTATCCCTGCAGGCGGCATCTCATTATAGTTACAGCTGTTCTTGTGGATGACACACCCTAGCCTGTGCAGTGAGCTCTGCCTCAGTGGTTGCTCAGAGTGCAGTCAGGAGTGGCCAACAGCTGCGACAGCTCAGGCATCTGACTGTCACTTTGTCACATTGTCACATCCACCTCAGGCAACAGGTCCTCCAGAACTTTTGGCATTTTGGAGGCATCCCTGTACACTTGCAGCAGGCCCTATCCATCAAGGATTGCAGCTGTTGGGCCCACAGAGATGTGCATGGCCTGCCTGGGATTTCCCCACAGGTCTCCCCTTCCTTGACACCGTTGTCTAAGAACTTGTGGGATTTTCTTTGACCTTGTTCTGGGCCTCCCAATTGTCATGCTAGACCCCTATTGACTGTAATAGGCGTGGCACCATGTCCAAAAGGCTAAAGAGGAGACCTGGAGCCCATGAACAAGATCTAGGGTGTATTGAGGACTTCCATACAATGTGGCCCAGGAAGAGTGTGTTGGACAGGAAAACCACTACCATTTGTAAAACATGTGTAGTTTATATTATGATTTTCACTTAGCACCCTCTACCTAGCAACCTCCAGATTTAACAAAGAGCCTCAATCACCTGGACATCCTGTGTTCCAAGGGATAGGCCAGGGCTTCAGACGTCCTTCACAGACAAGGAATAAACTTCTGGGTGGACAGCTCCTGGATTTCTTAGCTCAGAGCTCTGAACATACATTCTTCTTAAACTATAGGGTCATTCTCACAGTGTGCTTAAATTAATGCTGCCAGGCATTTCTGGCATACATAGATCTGAACACGCACCTCGTAAAACAATGTATAAAAAAGTGTTCATCAAGACTTTGTATTAGGAATATGTATATTTAAACAACCATTAAATACTGCTACTCATTTACTATAATATTACAATGGCTGCACAGCAAAGCATTGGTGAATACTGACAAGGCTCCAGAAAAGAAAGTCTTATTCACTGTTGGTAGGAACATAAAATGGCACTTCCTTTTTGGAAAATATTTTCATGATTTCTTTGGAGTTAAACATGTTAATTGAACAGATGACTCTAAGGTACTTTATTCAACTGATTTTTTTGTTTTGTTTTGTTTTGTTTTGTTTTGAGATGGAGTTTCGCTCTGTCACCCAGGCTGGAGTGCAGTGGCGCGATCTCAGCTCACTGCAACCTTCGCCTCCCTGGTTCAAGCAATTCTCTGCCTCAGCCTCCCAAGTAGCTGTGATTACAGGCATCCACCACCACGCCCAGCTAATTCTTTGTATTTTTAGTAGAGAAGGGGTTTCGCCATCTTGGCCAGGCTGATCTTGAACTCCTTACCTTGTGATCCACCTGCCTCGGTCTCCCAAAGTGCTGGGATTATAGGCATGAGCCACCGTGCCTCACCTATTCAACTGATTTTAATACTTACTTCTACACAGATACTTTCATGGGAATGCCGGTATCAGCTTTCTTCAGTAGAGCTTTTCCTCCTCCATGAATTTTGCTTATAGGGTGATAATTATATAAACAATTCCCATATAATTGGGCCAGGCGCAGTGGCTCACGCCTGTAATCCCAGGACTTTGGGAGGCTGAGGAGGGTAGATCACCTGAGATCAGCAGTTCGAGACCAGCCTAGCTAACATGGTGAAACCCCGTCTCTACTAAAAATACAAAAATTCGCCGGGCGTGGTGGCGGGTGCCTGTAATCCCAACTACTCTGGAGGCCAAGGCAGGAGAATTGCTTGAACCTGGGAGGTGGAGGTTGCAGTGAGCTGAGACTTTGCCGTGTCACTCCAGCCTGGGTGGCAGAGTGAGACTCTGTCACAAACAAACAAACCAAAAAAAAAAAAAAAAACACCAAAAAACTGAAAAAACAAACTTCCCATATAATTAGAGTATATACTTCTATTGTTACTTTTTTCAATTTATTAATGACATACTGTAAACAACATTAAAAATAATAATCCCTTTCATTTCTCAGCCCCAGCACAGCTGCCTCCTCCCTGGGGTTTCTGACACTCTCAGGATGTGGGTTTTCACACTGTGTCTCTCGCACAGTAATACGTGGCCGTGTCCTCAGATCTCAGGCTGCTCAGCTCCATGTAGGCTGTGCTGATGGACGTGTCCCTGGTCATGGTGACTCTGCCCTGAAACTTCTGTGCATAGTTTGTGCCACCACTGTTAGGGTTGATCCGTCCCATCCACCCAAGCTCTTGTCCAGGGGCCTGTCGCACCCAGTGCATATAGTAGTCGGTGAAGATGTATCCAGAAGCCTTGCAGGAGACCTTCACTGAGGCCCCAGGCTTCTTCACCTCAGCCCCAGACTGCACCAGCTGCACCTGGGAGTGGGCACCTGTGGAGAGGACACAGGAGTGGATGAGATCTCCCTGGACTGGACTCAATCTCTTTCTCATCACTGGGACTAGGGAGCCTCCTACCTGTAGCTGCTGCCACCAAGAAGAGGATCCTCCAGGTCCAGTCCATGGTGAGGAGCTGAGCTCTCAGGGGATTCTCTAGAGGACGGATGTGGTTGTTGGGTGATGCTCTCAGGGCAAGGACAGATCTGTATTTACTTCAGTAAATCTCAGGTTATTTGCATATTCATGAGGGGTACTATTTCATAGCTTCATAGCTCTAGACTTGATCCAAGATGAGAAAGAGAACACACATTATTTATGGGCCATGCAACAGTGGGACGCTGAAGCCCTGTCCTAATCCTTGTTTAATGATGTGTGTCCCCTTGTATGCCCAGAACTCTGCTAAAATAAATTGTCTCTGCTGAAAACAAGTTCCCACAAAACATGGTCCTCCAAGTGAACCCATACTTAAATGGCACTTTGACACCTTCATACTTTTCTGGGCTTTGCTTTCTGCCTGTCTTACTACTGTCTCTGCTAAGATTGGCAAGCACTGAATTAATAAAACTATCCCTTTTCTCCATCTCCTAACTATTAAGATATCTGAAAATCCTAGAAATTTCTCCTTTTAAATGTGATTCTCATTGACTTGTTAGGTTAGATAAATCCTACAAATAGTCTTTACTAAATTCTTGTTTAACTTATTAAAGCATGTTTGTTCAAGAAAAGGAAGACATCAACCCCTGGGAGGAACCCCTCCCCAGCCTCCTGTGCACCTGCTCTTGGGCTGCAGTCTGTGCTGCGGGGAGGCCCGAGCACTCCCTGCCACCCACACCTTGCACTGCAGGGAGCTTCCTGTTGGGTCTCACAGAGCATTTTTCTCTCAGCCTCTGTAGCTCACTAGGAAGTGACTGTGCCCTGGCTCAGAATGCTCCTTCAGTGACAACATGAGCGGATGACACCACCTCTTGAAATAGTGAATGGGCCTTTGGAAACCCAATGTCCTCTTCAGGGAGGCTCCAAGAGAAGAATCACTAAAATCACCAGGGAGTCCCTTTCCTGGAGGTCTAGATGCACTGGATCACTGGAAACAAAGGGAGGCTAAAACTCTGGGGGGGGTTGGAGGTGGCTCTTTTCTCATTTTGGCTCTTGCAGACAAATACTGCATCTGAGAATACCTGAAGCTGCAGATGGATGTGGATTAAAGCTCACTCCACGTCCACTGTTTCAATAACTCCTACTCAAACATACAGAAGCACAAACACAAACATACTCACACACACTGTGGCTGATTTTCACAGTTATGGGCCCCTAATGTTTCCTTCTTCATAGTATCTTACTCATGGGAAGTGCTGCCGACCCTGACCCTAGGCCTCAGCATGTGACTTTCTTTCTCAAACAGATCTAAAGCAATCACACTGACCTCTTTAATCCACATTAATGATGCTGTTGAGGAGGTAATGTGTGGGGCAGGGGAGCATGGTATGTTCTTACAGTTGACTCTCCCTGGTTTGGTTGCCCTCTTCACCTGAGCACCTTTACAAGGAATCTCCAGTGATACAGCTGATTTTCTCTCTTTCCTCCCTTCCGCAGATGCTGCACCCAGGGCTACCACCTTGAGTCTGACTCCTCTTGGCTAATTTTATCATTTGCATGATAGAGGAAGGCTGAGGAGGAGGGGTCTGTAATATGGAAGTACTTCCTTCCCCCACATAAACTAAGATTTTAGAGAACACCTTCCCTCGGATGAGCTTTCTAGAAAAGTCTTTTTGTGCATTTTTTCTCAGTGATTACTCCTCCCCAGTTCGTGGCTATAGGGAATCTATTTTAATCGCTTCCATGAGAACCTGAAGGCCCTGGAGGGCAAGTCCACACAAGTGTGGGGTGTACAGCCTCTAGGAGCGCTCACCTTCCCCCTAGTCCACACTTGTCCTCCAGACATTCAGCGTAATCACCAGGTAAGTGTTTTCACCAATGTGTTTCCAGGAGCTTCTCTTCCAAGTCAGCAAGTCTCTGCTGTAATTGTGGATGTGCCTGTCTCTACAGCTTTTGGAGGGAGTAGTTTTTTCAGCAATTTCAGTTCTTAGATGGATTAAAAAATACTTGATATTTAGATGGTTTGGAGATATATATATATATGGTTTGGATATGGTTGGATAATCACTCTATTTGGGGAAATAAGAATGCAGATATATATATATATGCTTTGGATATTTAGATGGTTTGGAGATCTCATATATATATATACACACACACATATATATATACACACACACACATATATATATATATATATACACACACACACACACATATATATATATGTATATAAATTTTTCTTTTGAGATGGAGCCTCACTCTGTCGCCCAGGCTGGAGTGAAGTGGTGTGATCTCAGCTCACTTCAATCTCCACCTCCTGGGTTCAAGCAATTCTCCTGCCTCAGCCTTTCAAGTAGCTGGGATTACAGGCTAGTGCCACCACACCTGGCTAATTTTTGTATATATTTTTTAGTAGAGACGGGGTTTCACCATGTTCACCAGGCTGGTCTCAAATTCCTGACCTCAAGTGATTCCTCTGCCTTGACTTCCCAAAGTGCTGTGATTACAGGCATGAGCCTCTGTGCCCCTCTGGTTCAGATGTTTTTTGATGTAGAAATGGAGCTAATGACTTTTAAGATCATCATATATGTGATCAAAACCCTGAAGTCTCCTAAGAGGTCATGTGTGTTCTGGTACTGGAAGCAGAACACTAATCTCCCTACATAAAAGTGGCATCTGGACAGACACAACTGAACACGTAGGGACAAAGGGAATGGCACAGCAGGACACTTTTGAGGAAGTTTCAACAGTTTCCTTTTTATTCAGAGGAAGCTGCAGCAGGTGAAAGCTGGTTATACCTCAGGTGATGTCATTTTCTGGAAGGCTGTTCTTGCTCTCGTGCTGAATCAAGTGGATGCACCTGGGCCCTCACACCTGGGACAGGAACTCTCATTCCCTAACACAAGGTGCTCGGTGAGAAAGTTTTTTCCAGCTGAAGTGCAGAGAAAGGGGAGAGAAGGAGTTGTCTTTGGTGTCCCAGGATGTGTGTCAACTCTAGGATAAAGTCACCTTTGAGGGGCGCTGGTCTACCTGAGGGGATTACATCAGTTCTGCCTTCAATAACCTGTGGCTGTGGTCAGGAGAGTGACTCATGCCCTACTGCTCCTCCTACCTGCCTTTCATTAAATGTGCAATGAATGAGTGATCCCTCACCAGAGAGTGTCGTGGTCTAAACATCATGATCTCACACAATAACATCCCCACGCCCAATCTCATATACATTATTGACCCCACTCAATCAGCAATTGGCAAATAATTTGCTCTTGTAGACTTGGTGAATACATTTACTCAGCGTTCATGTCAACAGCCTCTCAGCCACATTTAGCAAAGTGGTTGACAAAAATGAACATGTCTCTATCAGCAAATAGAAAATATAAAATCACCAAGTTGGTTGAAACGTACACTATTAACTCTGAACAAATATAATAATTAATTAGGCATATCACAATGGCACACAGTTTGTTTTACCCTAAAACTATCCCCTGAGCTTTGCCAAGTCAGTCTCTTGTCTTTCCCCAAAAGCCCTGCCTATCACAAACCTGTTTTTTAAATCCTTTTAATTTTACTGTATTTAGCAGGTCTCATGAATGGAATTGTACAATACTTAGTCTCTTTTGTCCATCTTCCTTCACTTAGAAAAAATGTTAAAATGTTGTTTTCTGAATTAATAACCCATAAGTTTTTATGACTGAATAGTATTCCACTGTATGAGTATACAAATATTTGAGAATCAATTCTGTTGAAATACATCATGTTTACTTTTGTGTTTGGTAATTATGAATATCGGTTTATGACAATCGATACTGAACAATTGTCTATATTCTTATTTTCAGATAACATTTTTTCTTGGTGAGGTGTTTGTTCAGATTTTCAGTCATTTTAGAATTCTGTTTATATTATGCTTTCTGTTGAGTTTTACAAATTCTTTTTATAGCCTAGAGACAAGACCTTACAAATAGTAAAAAGAAATAGTTTCTGATTTTGAATAGATTCAATATACATACATAATTTTTAATTGTTATAAGCACATAATAGTATATATATTTCTATTTGTTGGGTATATGTGATGTTTTGGTACAGGCATACAATGTGTAATGAACAAAGTAAAAAAAACTACAATAAATCTATAAAACATTGATGAAAGAAATTAAAGAGGACACAAGATGGAACAATATTCCATGTTTATGAATTCAAAGAGTCAATATTGTTAAAATGTCCATTATACTTAAAGCAATCTACAGACTCAATACAATCCCTATGAAAACAACAATGATATTCTTCACAGAAATTAAAAAAAATCCTAAAATATATGTGGAAAAACAAAAGATGCAGAATAGCCCAAGCCATTCTGAGCAAAGAGAACACAACTAGAGAAATCACATTACCTGACTTCAAAATTTATATTTTTATTATTGTTAATTTATTTGATCTAAAAGTTATGTTTCAAACAATGAGAATAACAATACGTTAAATGAGTCTGATGTATGTATACTTGAAATTAATGGCATCAATTTTATGAATGATGGAGGTAATTGAGAATGTTCTGTGTAAGGCACCTGCACTAGATTTGATGTGGAATAATGTCATTTTGAAGATGGAGACAGATTAGTTACACACGCATATTGTAGGCCATGGTGCAAAGCAGGCTCACCATGCAAAAGTGACCAAAACAAGGCCACCTGGGTTGTACACCTCAGCAGCTGTGTTACCCACTGGGACAAAGCTCTGAAGGACATCCTGCCTCCAGGGAAGAGAAGAACAAAGCCCAGGGTGTCCCTAGCTGTTTTTCCCTAAATCAAGATTTTATATCCTCTAGGAGAAACAGGAACAAACCTGAGCTGTTGCAGACAGACAGGATGTCCTTGGCTCTGTGCACGTTCGGGAACAAGATCAACTTGTTCTGAGTCTCTATTTAGTGATTTAGGTTTGGGGAAATAAGAATGCAGATCTGAAATTATGGAGCTTTCAGAAGGTTTTCTTGTGTCTCAGTGCAATTTCTTCATGTGTTATTTTGGCTTATGGTATTGATAGGCCCACAAAAACTAGATTTAATTCAATAATTCAAGTGATAGAGCAAAATTGAAAGAGCTGAGGGGGTTTCTAGCAGGATTTAGAAAGTTTAAAATACTTCACGTTAGAAAATGTATTTGCTGGACATTGATGGGACTGGAGTACAGAAGGATGTGGGGGAGTCCAAGGATTGTGCTTTCACACACACCACAATGACTTCTGCTGTCCCTTCCCTCCCTCCCTCCCTCCCTCTCTCTCTTTCTTTCTTTCTTTTTCTTTCTTCTGTTTCTTTCTTTCTCTCTTTCTTTCTTTTCTTCTTTTCTTTCTGCTGAGTGAGCACAGAAGTACACACAGATATAAAATTCACTGAATCACCATTAGCTGTTCTTCCTTGTGCCTCCCACCCAGTTCAGGAGGAATTGCAGGTCCTACAGAATTCTAGTTCTAAGAGAGTGAGAATCTTTATATGGCTGATTATTCCAGAATTTTCTATAATGATACAGCTGTTGTTTCTTTTAGCCAGTTTTTATTGAATTCTATTCTTTTCTATTGAGTTGTAAAACTTATTTCTATATTCTGTTGCAAGTTTGTTTTAAGATATATTATATATATAATATTCTTGAAATCGGAAAGGTTCTGTTCATTTTCTTAATGTAATTATTTAAATATGAAACTTATTTTATTATAAATTACAAATAATTTTTGCATATATTTATGACATATGTTGTTTAGTTATGATACATGTATACATTATGAACTGGGTGACTCAAGCCACTTATATTCATCACCTCACAAATTTATCATTTCTTAGTGGGGAAATTTTAATGTTTTTTTTTAGTAATTTTGAAATATATACCACCTGATCAGCTATAGTTGACATGCTGTGCATTAGAAAAGCATAACTTATACCTCCTGTCTAACTGGAACATTGTGCACTTTAACCCACATCTCCCTTTCCCAGTCCACCCCTCCAGCCCCTGGTAACCAACATTCTACTCTATCTCTGCAAGTCTACTGCTTTAATATACTACAGTGAAATCTTGAATTACTCTTCCTCCGTTCCTGGCTTGTTTCACTTAGCATAAGGTCCTCTAGATTCAGGCATGCTGTCACAGAGGCAGGGTTTCCTTCTTATTTAAGGAAGAACATTACTCTGTTGTGTCTGTATGCATTTTCTTTATTCATTCATCCATTCATGGGAATTTAGGATGTTTCCATATCTTTACTATTTTAAAAGATGCTGCAATGAACATGAACATGGAGTGCAGATATCTCTTTGACATGTTGATTTCATTTCCTTTGGATACATAGCCAGTAGTGAGACTGCTGGATTCTACAGTAGATTTTGTTTCTTTATTTTTTGAGGAACATTTATAGTATTCTCCATAAATAGCTGTATTCATCTACATTTTCACTCTCCATATTCTGAGTTCTGTTTCTGTCATTTCAGCCATCTCAGCCCCATTCAGAACCCCTGTTGAAGAGGTGCTGCGGTTGTTTGGAGGAATGAGGGCGCCCTTTTTGTTCTCATGACTTTTGCACTGGTTCTTTCTCATCTTTGTGGGCATATCCACCTTCAGTCTTTGAGGTTGCTGACTTTTGGATACATTTTTATTTTCTTTTATCCTATTGGATGATCTTGAGGGTTTGATTGTGGTATAAGGTGGATTCAGCCAACTGGCTTCATTTCTGGAAAAATTTAGGTGGTCAGTGCTCAGCTCCCAACACCTGGACTGTGTGCTCTAACTCTGGGGGAACTTATACAAGTCCCTGACTTGGTTCTCCGGCTCCTTAAGGTTAGGAATCCACTGTCCTTGGGGGGCTGGAGGTGTGGCAGCTGTGACAGAGTGCTAGTGGGTGTCTGGGGGCCTGCCTCCCTGCAGGTGTTCACCACAGTGGCAGAGACACTGCATCTGTGGGTGTGTGGGGCCCTGCTGGTGACTGTGTTCAAAGTCACGCTGGAGGTGGTGTTGGCTCAGGGGTGGGACACTTGTGGGCACAGGTCCGGGTGCCGTATTCATGCCCCACAAGCAGGAGCAATTTCTGAATGTGTGAGATGATCTGCTATTCTCTGTGCAGAATTAGTGCAAGTGCGGGACGCTGACAGGAGCGGGCCTGGCTTTTTCCCCACCAAAGCTACCTCTGCTGTGGTGGTTGGGGTGGGGGGAGGGGACTGCACTCCACGTAATGGTGGGACAAGAAAAGCAAAACCCACCTATACAGACATGTGCCTGCAAAGTGATGTGGGTAGTTACGTGGGCCTGGGGGAACCTACAGTATTCGGAGGAAGTGTGTAAGCTGGTGTGTGCACATGAGAGCTGCCCGATTGGAGCTCTCCACCAGTCAGGCATGGTCTGCCAGGGCAGAAATTTTGGTGCAGGATCCCAGGGTGCCCGAGACTGCCCTGCAAGCAGGTATGGCCAGGCTAGGGCCCCAGGAGAGGCCAGTAGATGGAGGGGCACTCAGGTCCGTACATTATTTGAGAATATGGCCAAGTTTTATGTGAATGAGTGATGACTTGATTGTAATGCAGCATTTTATTCCAGTACACAAACATATCTCAAATTGTTTAACATTCACCTGTAATGGATATTCAATGTGTTCTCTCAGTTTCTGGCTTTTATACAGAAAGCAGCTATTCAGTGTGGGAATGTGAAAAAAATGAGAAAACTGTGATTTTATTCTGACCTCATTAACAACAAAGCTGAACAGCTACAAATAAAAGAGAGAAAAAGCATTCAACATATCTGAGTCGATTTCACCGAGCAAACAAGAAAACTGAAATCTGACAAGATAGGAGCCTGCAAAGAGAACCAGGACCTACCTGCTAGTGTACATAGGGCAGGTGCCACTGGATGGCATTTGAGATAGAAACAGACTAACCTAGAAATACTTAATGACTTTTTTTTAGTATGCATGTACTAATGGTGTTAGAGTGGCCTAGTGCTTGCAAGCTTTTCCTAGAGAACTTGAAAAATCCACGGACAACTTCCTCATCTGGTGTCTTGTGGTGTTGACTGGGGAAAAGAACAGCAGCTCCTGTGGAATGCCTGGATGCACCTCCACTACCTCCAGGGGAAATCCACCAAAGCATGTGTCATGTGAGCTGTGGTGAAGTCAACAGAAACAAAAGGAAACAGAGGACACCAAGGAAACTTGATCCAGAAACACCTCCCATCTCCTTCCTCAGGAAAGAAATCCTTACTCTTTAGGGTAAGGATAGTGGGTAAAAAGCTGGGGACACTGGTGAAAAACAATTCTGTATGGGAAAATACATTCCAGCCCTGGGGAAAGAGTTAAGGACAGGACAATCTGCAAGGCCACTCCCCAGAACTATGCTTACTACTCCTGCATAAGAAGAAGACTCAGTCAGAAGGTTGGAGGACGTCCCGCTTTGTCCAAGCTCCTTCACCACACAGTCAGCAATTTAAACTGTCAGTAGGGTGCACTTTCCACAGCTGAAAGAGACAGACTCCCTGGGGAAAACTAAATATAAAGACCCAGGATCAAACAGGGACACAAAAGCAAGTATCATGGGAGGAACTTGAAATCTCTGTGGACAGCAGAAGCTGACTTCAACTCTGATAATTGTGGCATCCATAAATTGCAAATATAGCCCTGAATAGATACACACAAATGTCTATAATGAAGGCCCAGCAGAATGGAATGTGTGACCATCTTCAGGAAGAAAATAATGAATACATGAGTACAAGAAAATAAATTACAAATAAAAGCCAAACTTGAATTCTATATGTATTAAAAATTTCATTTAAAGAGAAAGTCAAATGAATACCCTGTAAGACAATTCGATTCTGAGAAAATTTATTGCCAGTGCATTCATCCTTCAGTAGGTCCTTTGGCAAATTTTCTGCCAGGGTGAGTAGCCATATGATATACATCTGAAACATGAATCTATCCAAATAAAAAAGGTGGTCAAGAATGAAAAAATGAAGTTGAAATGTAGTTTTTATATTTTTAATTGTTCTAATATATGTCTATGTAAAGTAACGATAAAAATGCACATATTATATTTTATAGCACATATAAGTGCAAACTGAGAATAAACTAAGACAACGGATGAGAAACAGGGTTTAGAAGAATACAGTTATAATAGCTCTACAACCTATGAAGAGGTTTTACATTATTTGAATTAGAATCTGATTATATACAATTCGTATTGTATATCTTATGGCCAATATAATATTCATAAAAGATGAACTAAACGATAAGTTAATAGAGAATAAACATGATCATAAAATGCTAAATTGAAACAGAAATTAACAGAAAAATAGTAATACCAGTTTTAAAACAGAATTTATTATAGTTGTTTTAAAAAGCAAGACCCAACTATTAGCTCTGTATAGAAATTTGCTCTACATAGGAAAGTTAAATACAGGAAAACATGGACCATGAAAATATGAACGAAAAGAAAGCGTGCTTAGCTATGTTAAATTCAGACAAGGTAGACATAAGACTTTCAGGAATCAAGGGGCATATTACATAGGGTAAAGGGATCAGTTTTCTAAAAGGCATCACCAAAGATTTAACCAATGGATCTGCAATAGAAAATAGGCTAACATCTATAACAGATAGAGACTTTGACACTTATTGTGATTGACAAAACAAACGTGATAAAATAGGTAAATACATAAGTGACCAGAATCAACTTATTTGACTAGTTTCATTTATAGAATATTCAATGGGAAGACAGCAGGAACCCAAACTGTGATTAACCAGAAGATATTAGAGGGACATGGTGATTGAATTTGATGTGGTTACCTGAGTTGAACAAAGAAACAAACAAAAAGCAATAGGAAAGTGAGACTTTATCTCAAAAAGAAAAGAAAAAGGAAAAAAGGAAACTGTTAAAAATTGGCAAAATTCAAATAAATCCCAGAGCTGAATAAACAGAAAATTATCAATGTAAATATATTAGTCCCATGTCCCATTTTTTTAACATACTAACTTTAGTGAAAACTCGGAGATGGATGTGAACACACTGTATTTTCCTTACAATTGTTCTGATAATCTATAATTATTCCAAATAAAAAGTGTGTAAAATATAAAGTAACAATCATAAAAATAATAGTTCAAAGAACTTATAAAATAGGCTTCTGAAAATAATATTGTTACTAACATTATTATGGATAATTATTTTAGAGGATAATACTGAAATGATCATCAAAGTAGTGGACAGATGTTTATTTATTTCAGAAAAAGATGTGAGGCATCTCATATTAAACGCTAGTGATGGAAGTGTTTATAGAGTTATTTTATCATCTATAATACGATGGATGAAAAGCATTATCATAAGCATTTGATGGATGAAAAGCATTACTCATAAGCATTTATTTAGCCAATATCATGAATGTATTATAATTTCCTCAATTGTGCACCACTTTTGTGTTAATACCATGTGAACATTTTCCACTGCGTGTGTCATATCTAAAAATTTGAACTAGTTTGTTTCTTATTAACGTGACTCTTGTAAATGCTGTAGGCATTGCTAATGTTCTCTGTAATTTCTCTACTGGTGACTTTTTCCTAATATTTTAACATGATAAATTTGGATTAATACAACTATGTAATTTAATAATATATTTTAAACTTCATAGTCGTACACACACACACACACACACAACAGCCAAGCAATGACACATATATGCGTCCATGCAAAAATGAATGTATATTAAACACCAAAACAACACACCCATTTTTTCTATATTATTTTAATTATTTAACTGAATGTAACTTGTATTTGCAGTTTCATTTTTGAATGAATGTAAATGCCATTCTTGCCAAATATATTACTTAAGTGTACAGTGGTATTTACTTTTTTTTTTGAGACAGTGTTTTGCTCTTGTCGCCCAGGCTGGAGTGCAATGGCGTGTTCTCGGCTCACCGCAACCTCCACCTCCCGGGTTCAAGCGATTCTCCTGCCTCAGCTTCCCCACCATGCCCAGCTAATTTTGTATTTTTAGTAGAGAGTGGGTTTCTCCATGTTGGTCAGGCTGGTCTCGAATTCCCGATATCAGGTGATCCACCCACCTTACCCTCCCAAATTGCTGAGATTACAGGCATGAGCCACTGTACCCAGCCAGTATTTACTTTTTAAATATCAGTCAGTTATTAATAAATTGAATAATAAGACAAACATCACTTAAATTTTTATTAAATCATTGATTAAAGTAACATTGTATTTTTTTAAACTAGGCAAGATATAACTTTTCTATTTGAAAAATTTTTTAAAAAACTTTTTGGTGTTAATTTTCAATACAAACTCTAGTCTTTATTTGCCAATATGCCTTTATAATAAAGAACATCCAGTGATAGGAAACTGAAAGCAGCCCATGCTTTGCAGGATTCAATCACAATGGCAGCTTGCTGGAGGGTGGTCTGAGAGTGTGCAAACACATTAGGGATTTGGACTTCATGAAAGCACTAGTGAGCCCCTGGGCTGAGCACACAGAGGGTAGCATGAGTTGCAGAGCCCAATCTGTGGTACTGAGGGAAAAAGAGGAATGGGTGGGGGTTATGTCTGCAGGACCCTAGAAAAGTGTGATGAGGGCAGAGAGTCTGCAGGTAGAGCATATTCTAAGGAGAACTGTTACTCTCCTAAACTTGGTTGGCTTCAGTGATCATGAAAAGAAGTGAACTGATTTACCAGACATGGGGGACAGAAAGTAAAAGGACTTCCTGTTTCCTGCATGGAGAGTGAGGAAGATAAAATATTTTGACAGAAAAAGAGAAGATGGAGAAAGTTTGAGAAGCAAAACACCAGGGGCCAAAGTGGAGGACATGAGCCCTTAAAGCGGTGTTTCATCTGCACAAACAGCCGATGAAAGGAAAAGAAACTGGACCCCACGCATATGCTGAGTTGTTAGAAAAGCATTTACAATAGTGTGTCTGACAGCACAGAAAACAAAAAAATTGTGCATAGAGCCAGACTTTGGATTGAATATACACAATTAAAAAAAATTATACTGAGATATATCATTGCTAGTATAACTCTGAAAATAGGCAGAGTTTAAAGTTGAATTGAACCCCTGTTCTAAGTTAATGTTTTATAGGTGAAAGAAACCATGAGTTACAAGGAAGACATGGTAAGAGATCCTGGGGAAGACTTTTGCTTGACCAGGTCAGGAATCACCAAGGTGGAAAAGGAAACCTCACCCTCCCCAGGTACCTGATATGGAGCTGC
This sequence comes from Homo sapiens, assembly GCF_000001405.40. Classification (NCBI taxonomy): domain Eukaryota; kingdom Metazoa; phylum Chordata; class Mammalia; order Primates; family Hominidae; genus Homo; species Homo sapiens. The sequence continues at coordinate 1,401,673 of NW_021160017.1, forward strand.
CTCCAAAGAGCCCCTTGGAGGTCCTGAGTGTCCCCTCGTGTCCTGAGCCATCCTTGCTGTCCTGAACACCTGCTGGTGGTTCTGAGCGCCCTCTGGTGGATCTGAGCGACCCCTGGAGGTTCTGAGCGTCCCCTGGTGTCCTGAGCGCCCCCTGGTGGTTCCTCAGTGCCTACTAGTGTCCTGAGTGTCCCCTTGTGGTTCCTGAGCGCCCCCTGGTGGTTCTGAGCACCCCTTGGTGTCCTCAGTGCCCCCTAGTGGTTCCTGAACCTCCCCTGGTTTCCTGGGCACCCTCTGGTTTCCTGGGTGACCCCTGGTGGTTCCTGAGCGCCCCCTAGTGTCCTGAGCATCCCCTGGTGTCCTGAGCGCCCCCTGGTGGTTCTGAGCATGCCCTGGTGGTTCTGACCGCCCGCTGGTGTCATGAGCGCCCCCTGGTGGTTCCTGAGCTTCCCCTGGTTTTCTGAGTGTCCTCTGGTCGTTCTGAGCATCCGCTGGTTTCCTTAGCATCCCCTGGTGTCCTGAGCACTCCCTGGTGGTTCTGAGAATCCTCTGGTGTCCTGAGCACCCCCTGGCAGTTCTGAGTACCCCTTGGTGTCTTGGTCACATCCTGTGGTTCTCAGCACCCCCCCACCACAGTCTCATGAGCGCCCCCTGGTGTCCTGAGCGCCCCCTGGTGCTTCTGAGCACCCTCTGGTGTTCTGAGCACCCCCTGCTTCTTCTGAGCGCTCCCTGGCAGTTCTGAGCGCCCCCTGGTGTCCTGAGCACCTCCTGGTGTTTCCTGAGCGCCTGCTGGTGTCCTGGGCTCCCCCTGGTGATTCTGCCTGCCCCCTGGTGTCAACACCCCTTAGTGGTTCTGAGCAGCTCCTAGGTTACTTAGGGCCCCCTGGTGGTTCTGAGTGCCTCCTGGTGTCCTGAGCACCCCCTGGTGGTTCTGAGCGCCCCCTGCTGTCCTGAGCACCCCCTGGCGGTTCCGAGTGCCCCCTGGTGTCCTGAGCTATCCCTGGTGGTTCTGAGTGCTCCCTTGTGTCCTGAGCGCCCCCTAGTGATTCATAGCACCTCCTAGTGTTCTGAGCGCCCCCTGGTGTCCTGAGCGCCTCCTGGTGGTTCTGAGCACCCTCTGGTGTCCTGAGGGCCCCTTTGTGGTCCTGAGCGCCCCCTGGTGTCCTCAGCACCAGCTAGTGGTTCTGAGCGCCCCCTGGTGGTTCATAGCACCCCCAATTGTCCTGAGTGCCCCCTGGTGGTTCTGAGCACCCCCTGGTGTCCTGAGCTCCTCCTGGCAGTTCTGTGCACCCTACCTGATGGTCCTGAGTGCCCCCTGGTGGTTCTGAGCACCCCCTGGTGTCCTGAGCCCCTCCTGGTGGTTCTGTGCACCCTCCCTGATGGTTCTGAGTGCCCCCTGGTGGTTCTGAGCAGCATCTACCGCATAGTCCCCTCCTGTCTCCCTGCAGTGAGCTTTGTGTCTGGGCTCACACAGGGTTTCCCTCACTGTGTCACTCACAGTAATACATGGCCTTGTCCTTGGCTTTCAGATTGGTCATTGTAAGGCAGACTGCACTTGAAAGGGTGTTGCTTGAGATTGTTAATTTATTTGTATTCATGGAGAGTAACCCTGAGAATTCATACTTGATCGCTCACTGTTGGCATCCACACCTATCCCTGTTGTGAAGCGTGCTGGACCAAGCTCATGCTGTAGCCAGTAAAGGTGAAACCAGAGGCTTTGCAGGAGAATCTCAACCGCTGGGCTGTAAAATTTTTCCCCCTCTGACTCCATCAGTAAACTTCACACAGGACTTCCATGAACACAGAAAACAGACTGAGAAAAGCCCCATGAGGAGCAGCCACAGCTGGACCTGATTTACAAAGGCCACTAATGTTGACGGGGATGAGAAGGGAATCCAGATCAGTGCAGACCCCATGGTGTGGACACTGAGGAAGGGCACAGACATGGGGTGGCTCCTCGCCAGGGCCTGAGGGAACAGGGGATGAGCTGCCTTTCTTGAGAAGGGGAGGGGACACATTTCCATGTCTTTCTTTTTGTGGTCATGGGTGCACCGCTCAGCATTGCTCATCCATCCTCTGTGTCTACATTTCAGGGAAGTCAAGGTCAAAGGATTTCTGGGTCTGGATGCACAGAGTTAATCTGCCCATTACTCTTTTTTATTCTCTAGTGTGGACGCTGTTCAGGTATTTTCATAATAGCAAACATTATCAACAAATATGTCCAGTAAGAACATAAAAATATGTTTCCAGAGAAAATGGACACCTGTCTCTAATTGGTACATTTAGAGCTGCAAACTACTGTTCTTGACAATAAGGCAAAGTTAGGTTACAATGAAAAAAATACATATCTACGCCTTGTCAGGGAGGGGGTTTATAATTATCATTATCTTGAGATCATTTTGCCACAGAACAATTCGACATTGGATATATGTGTTTGTGTAAGGAAACAGTCAATGTGGACATATGTGTACTTATCTGAATTGAGTTCACATGGAGACATGTTTGCTTGTCTGAGACAAGAGTCCACATGAGGAAATGTCTGTTTTCTGAGGAAAGAGTAAATGTCAGAACATATGTGGTAGTCTGAGGAAAGAGTCCACGTGGGGACATGTGTGTTTGTCTGAGGAAAGAATCCACATGAGTAACGGTGCATTTATCTGACAGAAGAGTCCACATGTTGACAGGTGTGTGTCCCCATCTGAGGGTAAATGCCCATTCAGGGACAGTGTATGCCTGAACTGAGCTGAAGTTTGGGGAAATATTTCTCAACCAAGGAAAGAAAATAATCCTGTGGGTTATTTGCTTGTCAAGAGGAAAAAACCTGGGTCACGTAGAAAATTGATTTTAAAAAAAATTAAAAAATTAAAGGTCTTTAGTGAATGGCAACATCTTATATGCAAATCAGGAAAATTACCTCATTCTTTGTTGCATACATCTCATGAAATCTCCACCCTCACAAAATAAGTAATGAGATAATTTTATACAATCTGCATTTGATCCTTGGGTTAATGAACTGCTAAGTACTTTTTTTTAATTGTGTATATTTAGGTTTATATTTTCCATCATAAAATTATGTGCTTAGACAAATTAATTGTGTCATATCTGAACCATTGCATATCACTATAAATAATTTTAATCTTCTTAAACAGTGTCTTTTTAACTTATTTTATACCCAGTCTCTAAGCTCCTGGAATATCCTCTATATGTTTACTTGACTACAGTTTTGGCTTTTATAGAATTTCAAATAAATCAAATTATACAGTGTCATTGAAATGACTTCACTGAAGAAACTGGAAAATGAAGTTGCTGACCTAAGGAACTTTGAAAATGAGGAAACTCTATAATAAGTGTAAAGAAACTGAATATAAGCACTCTATTCTAGTAGATAAACATGTTTCCAACAAGGGTACAGCTTTACATTTCTGATACTGCTATGCATGTGTCCTGAAATTGTGCAGCTAAGTAATCAAATGGCAAATGGTTGGATGGGGTTCCTCACTTTGCAGTGAGTGGTTATAGACAGTCAAGGAAGGAAGGCTAGAAAGGTCCATGTGGTAGCATAATTGGGTAGAGAGACCAGTGTGTTCTCACTATTAATGTAATCAAATTACAGAAGGTTAGATACATAGTTTACTAGGCCAGTCAGTTGAGAGGTCCTACAAGTACTTATACCACGTTAACAATGCACATACCCAGTATTACAATTTTTTAAATACTATTCTTTAACATCAGAAACAAGCAGTCTTTAGAAAAATGGCTGATTCTATGTACGAAAAAGATAATATAGAAAATGAGTTTAGAATTTATTATAATAGCAGGAAACAGGGAAGTGTTCAAAAACAAAAGCATGAGGTGAGCTGTAAGGATGCAGGATCCAAACTAAATGAGCTCCCCGCACATAATAAAGCTGTGGTGGTTTGAAAAATAAAATGAATAATGTAGCATGGATCTTCTTCAGAGTATGAAATAGACATCCATAAACCAATACACATATTAATAAGTGATCAAATAAAGAAATAATAGGAAGAAGAACACATCTTTTTACAGAAGTATTCCAACTATGTTAGGTTGATAGTCCTCCAATCAAGTAGGTGAAGCTTAAACACTCATGAGTTGATTGTAGCCTGAGACTAGAGACATGGAAAAAGTAATCATATTAGTATATTTTATAATGAGATTTCAGATATAATACCAAAGACATGATCTGTAGATGAATAAAATTTTATTTTTTAAATCTAAATTTGTATAAACACACACACACACACTTTTCTGCAATACACACTGATAAGGGAGTAAAAGACAGCCACAGACTTGGAGAAAATACTTCCAAGTCACATATTTGTTAAATGAATTCTTTTAATTTGTTAAATGACTTTTATAATCAATATGCAAGTAAACTTACAACTAATCAAAAGAAAACAATACAGTTAAAAATGAACCAAATATGAGAAGAGGCATCTCAGCAAAAACTATATGAAAATTGTTAAATGTAAATTTTTATTAAGGAAATGTGCATTTAACTAAAAATTAGATACCATTACTCACCTATTAGAATGGTTAAAACACATAATTCTCATAATTGTAAATGGCAATATGAATGTGGAAAACCAAGAACTATCATGCATTGATGGTGCGAATTCAAAATGCTACATGCACAAAATGAGTTTTTTTGGCATTTTTAAAAATAGAGATAAAATGTGATTTGTGTATGTGTTCCAAAATATTTACAACACTGATTCAGAAATTGATGTTTACACAGATACCTACAGAGGAAGTTCTGTATCAGTTTTATTAATTCAATCCCTGAAATTTGCTTGCAGAATAAATATTGTATGAAAAATCTCTCAAGTAATTAAAATTTCTCAAGTACACATTTATATTGTTTCTTTTCCTTAATGACTTAATGTCATTTTCTGAGAAAGTCTTCAATCTAATAATCTTTGTCATTTCCTCCATGCCAGTACAGCTGCTTCCTCCCTGGGGTTTCTGACACTCTCAGGATGTGGGTTTTCACTCTGTGTCTCTCGCACAGTAATACACGGCCGTGTCCTCAGATCTCAGGCTGCTCAGCTGCATGTAGGCTGTGCTCGCAGATGTGTCCCTGGTAATGGTGACTCTGCCCTGGAGCTTCTGTGAATATTTTGTGTTACCATTGCCAGCGTTGATCCATCCCATCCACTCAAGCCTTTGTCCAGGGGCCTGGCGCATCCAGTTCATAAAGTAGTCGGTGAAGGTGTATCCAGAAGCCTTGCAGGAGACCTTCACTGAGGCCCCAGGCTTCTTCACCTCAGCTCCAGACTACACCAGTTGGACCTGGGAGTGGGCACCTGTAGAGAAGACACAGGAGTGGATGGAAGCCCCCTTGACTGGCCTCAATCCCTTCCTCCTCACTGGGATTTGGCAGCCCCTTACCTGTGGCTGCTGCCACCAAAAAGAGGATCCTCCAGGTCCAGTCCATGGTGAGGAGCTGTGCTCTGGGGGCTTCTTCTGAGGAGGGATGTGGTTGTTGGGTGATGCTCTCAGGGCACAAAGATATCTATAGTCATATCAGTTATTTGCATATTCATGAGCGATGCTATTTCATACCTAACACAGCATGAGAAAGAATGGAGAGATGACACATGGATTACCCAACAGGAGGATGCTAAGGGTTCAAGCTATAATCCCCTTAGAGGCCATGTGTGCCCTGCCACATCCCTAAGCTGTATGTTGACAGAGCTTCTGGAGAACAATTTTCTCCAGAACAGTGGAGAACACTGGAGAACAATTTTCCCTAGAACAGGACTTCACTGGGAACCCACACTTGAATAGCTCAGAGGTAATTTAAAGCATTTCTAGGCTTTAATACATGAATGTGTTATTTGGGGGATGAGTGTGTTTCTCCAAAAGTTGCACTTATTTATATAAAATAAAAGCTTAATTGATCTCCAGATGCTTACTATTAAGGTATGTAGCAGGGTTAGAAATCTCCAGTGTAAATTGATAAATTCTTGCAATTGAATAGGATATTTATGGAATCTTCAGCAGTCTTTGTCAAATACTTATTTTAGATTTTTTTAGAAGAATGACACAGATCTTGAGAGGAATCCCTCCCCAGCCTCCTGTGCACCTGCTCTGGGGCTGGGGCCTTTGCTGGGTGGGCCTTGAGCGCCCCCTGCAGCCCAGCCCTTGCACTGCAGAGAGGCTCCTGTCTGGGCTCCCAGAGCATTTTCCTCCCTGTATGAAGTGGCTGTGTCCTGGCTCAGAATGCTTCTTTAGTGACACGTGACACCATGTCCTGCTGACACCATCGCTTGCAATAGTAAATTGGTTGTAGGAAAGCCAGTGAACTCTGCAGAAACACCCCAAACAAGGATTCTATGAAACCACCAGGGAGCCCCTTCTCTGGAGCTCCGGAAGCACTGGATCAGTCCACACTCACAATGAGTCCAGGAGCTCCCAGGGGCTTTGGGAGAACACCTAATCTCTTGTCGGTTCCTTTGGATGAACATCTCATCAGATAATTTCTAAACCTACAAAATCATGGGTCTCAGAGCCCACTGCGAAACTCCTAATACACACACACACACACACACACACACACACACGGGTGGTTAGAGTCCCCACAGTAATGGACACACACACACACACACACACACACACACACACACACACACACACACTGTGTCTAGAGTCCTCACAGTAATGAGAGGGAACTGTGTCTTACTCCCTGTGTCTAGCGCATTGGCTGTGTGCCCATAGTGCCTCTAGGCCTGGGGATATGCCCTTGTCAAGCAGAACAACAGCAAACACTTTACTGGAGATGGGGCCCTGCACACACTGTGGCTTCCCTGTTCTCCCAGAACCTGGGATCCTGCAGATACCCCTAAGAAGAGTCCAGGCTCCCCCAGGAGGGTCAGCCACAGCCCAGCCCCACCGAGTTGGTGCAGCCTGCACTGAACTGCTGACCTGTGGAGAGGGTCACAGCAGACCCACAGCCCAGCCAGCCCCACTCCCAGAGGCACATCAAGGAAGGGGGCAGAACCCTTGGGACTCTTGATGGGCATCTTTTCAGGAGCAGACACAGGAACTGTTCCAGGAACAGGGGACCTGGGAAGGTCAGTAGCTGGTCAGGGTTTCTGAGGACGAGTGTCAGTGATGGGACCAGCCTGTCCCTTCTCATATGGGATGTCTCTCCTGGGGATCCTGTACTGTCTTATTTGTGCAGGTCCACTCTGTGGGACTTGTCTTTATAAATCTCAAATCTCAGGAACAGGAGAGCTGTGCTTCAAAAGCCCCCATAGAGAAGACACATTCCCATCCTGCTGTGATTGAAACAGCTCCATCCTGGGCATGGGGAGGGCTCATGTGTCCCACCTGGGATGAGAAGCAGCAGCCACACGTGAGCTGAGGAGGACCCAAGGCTGCTTCCCAGCACTTCCCCACAGAGTGAAATGTGTCTGTTTGCCCCAAATCCAAGCTGGTCCTGTAACTTGCTTCTTTCAAATTTCTTGGCCTGGAAAGTGCAGGCACCAGCTGTCAATGTCACCACTATTGTGACACTGTACACAGAACCAGGGAAGGATCCCAGGGATGGGGCTGAGGACAGACACTAGCTAAGTGGACCCATTGAAAACATGCAGATCTGCTGGGGTTCACACTCCTGGAAGGACAGATCTTGGAGGGTTTGGAGGAGGAAGGCGCCACTGTCGGTGACTCAGGAGCTGCTGCTCTGCGGGTCACCTCGTTGGCAAGTAACAGTGGGTAGGTGAGTGTGGTTCATCCCCTACAGGGACACCAGGCTTCCAAATGCCCCTCTTCACCAGGAAAGAAAGTGGCTTTGTTCATACTGGTTTCCCCGGCCGTCTGGTCATCCTCTCTTCCTGACCTTCTTCCCATGGCCCTCAGGGCTGTGAAACATGGACAAAGACACTTTCTACTCCAACCGTTGATTACCCAGGTCAGCTCCCTCTAGAAAAGCCATGATGCCTTCCTGGTTCTGTGTGCCTGGCTGAACCAGAATGGACACACATGGATATACCAAAGTGTCAAAGTGGAGGAGAGGAATCTTGGCAAATATCACACAGGAAAGAGAAAGGAATTCGTTTGTATGCAATGAGAGGGTGCAGGGCATGTCTGGAGGCTGCAGGAGCCAGAAGCTTCATATTTTTTTAGTGACCTCGGTTTTGTCTCCCCTGTTGTTGTGAGGCTTCCCTGAGTTCTCCTCCTCAGATAGACTCTGTGCCTTTTCACACAATGACCTGTAGGAGATGTTTACACCAAACAAGAAGCCTCAAACATGGTTTATATTCTGATCTAAATTTTCGAAGGATAAACTCAAGACAGATTCAAAGAAGTGATTATAAAGTATCAGTATGTAGCACTTGGTTGAGAAAACCTTAAACTCATATTATTTTTATGAACCACATGCATAACAAAACTTTGTCCAATTCCTCCACTTTATCAGAGACTGCCTGCAGGATGAATTTCAATGCCATCTAATTTAGAGTAGGAGCAAAACTTAAAATCCTCTATAGGTCTGAGTGCCACTAACAACCAAAAAAAATTTCGACCATTATGAAGTTTTAAGAGATGCCACAATGACAACCTGGGTTGATAGGTGATGGCATTTTCCCTGAGCATATTCTGTGAAGAGTGATTATGGTAGCTTTTCCTTCTAATGAGGAGAAAGCAACAGAGAAAGTAAAAAAAAATAATAATAATAATCACGAAACAGAAAAAAGTGGCCCAAATTGTTTAACAAAAAAAAAAGCACTAGAAACTGACACAAATTAAAAGGAGATATATTGATTACCTAGCAGAAAATTCAAAGTAAACCTTATAAATATGTTCACTGAGCTAGGGGAAGAATGCACGAACAACATGAAAGTATTAACAGGGACAAAAAAGGGAGAGAGATGAGATACAATGATTTGTGGCTTAACAGTAGGGATACATTGGCCAGGCGCAGTGGCTCATGCTTGTAATCCCAGCACTTTGGGAGGCCAAAGAGTGTGGATCACCTAGGTCACGAGTTCAAGACCAGCCAGGGCAACATGGTGAAACCCCATCTCTCCTAAAAATAGAAAAAAAAGAATTAGCTGGGCGTGGTGGTACATGCCTGTAATCCCATCTCCTCAGAAGGCTGAGGCAGGAGAATCGCTTGAGCCTCGGAGGTGGAGGTTGCAGTGAGCCAAGATTGTGCCACTGCACTCCAGCCTGGGTGACAGAGTGAGACTCCATCTAAAAAAAAATGAAAAACAGTAGGGATACGTCTGAGCAATGTGTCCTCAGGCAATTTGTCATTGTGCAAGGGTCATAGAGTGTGTTTACACAAACCTACATGAAATACCCTGCTACACCCAGGCTGTGTGGGATAGCATAGTGCTCCTAGGTAACAAATCTGTATGTCATGTAAGTGTACTAAATACTGTGGGCAGCTGAATCACCATAGTAGATGTTTATACAGATGAACATATCTAAGCATGGAAAAAATGCAGTGAAAATACAGTATTATAATCTAATGAGACCTTTGTCATGTATGTGGCCTGTTGTTCACCCAAATATCAAAATGTGCATGATTCTATTCAAGTTGCTGAAAAAAAAAAGCCAAAAACTTCCAAATAAATATCTTACAGGGATTAAAGCTTTTCTTCAGTAATGCAGGATGTTTGAGAAGTTTCCCAAAAAAGTAAAAAGTCGACAAGTTCATCACCACTAGGCCGGCCTTACAGGAATGCCAAGTGTCTCTGGCAGGTTTCCTGAACAAGGAAGTAGCTGCATCAGCTCCACTCTGTTATCTGCCAATTGATAGATTTGCATAGTTTTTAATTTTAATTTCTCTTCTGTTTTTTCCCTCCATAAACTCCTTCTCCCTTCCTTTCATAATTCTGTCTATTAATGCAACTCATATTTAGCTGACAATGCTGGGGTCATTGGAATAAATTTCTATTTTTCCTCCACCAATTCTAATAAGCTGTCTCCAGGGGTGTCCATCTCCGTTTTCTTTTCTGCCATTCCCATGGGATAATTTCCTTGTTCCTATGTGAGTCCAGCCCTCATCACCACGGGCCATCCAACCATCATGCACCCAGGAACAGCTTCAGGAAATGTACCCTGCCAGCTGCCTATCAGCCTCCACCTGCACAGTGATCATTCCTTCAGCTTTCACTCAGGCCGGAGGGCTTTCCACCCAAAAGGGCCTTTCACACCCACTCCCAGCACGGTTCTAGGACCCTGTATACCTCCCAGATACAGGTACATATCCTTCCCCTTTGTTGTTAATTTTGTTTAATTTATTTAAAATTCACTGGGAAATCACTGATGATGGGAGTGACCAGCCTGTCCATTCCATTTTCTGTCCACCATCTGACGGCACCACCTGTGAGGTTGGCCACCCTAGTGTGCTGTGCTCATGGGGCCATCTGGACATACACAAACACCAGGTGTGTGAGTTATTAGAGGAGGCCCGGGGTCAGCAGGTGGCTGTGCCCCACAGGACACAGGTCTGTCCTGCAGTAGAGCCCGCATGACCTGGAATCATACGTGTGCATGACCCGTGGTCTCAGCACATCAGCTGAGGCCAGCTTCAGGCAATTCCTGTGTAACCTGCCCTGGGCGCCCACAGAGGACAGATGCATGACAAGGATGTAAGGGAATGCTGCGGATTAGGGGAACTGAAGCTCAATCTTTACTGAGGCTTTACTCGGCACCTGGACCTTATGGAAGACTAAGAAGAAGAGAACAAGAGTCCAGCCCCAAATAGCTCCTGGTTTAGGGTCAGCTTTAGTGGGATTTTAGAGAGTAGAAGACACAGGGGTGATGCTGGAGTGGTTTTCTTTGGGATACTTGGGGCAGCAGAAGGTGGGCCGGGATCAGGACTCCATCTGGCTGGTTCTCATTATCTACATGGATTCTCATAGTGGAAAGTGAGAGACATGACCTAGAACACAGCCCCCAGGGCTGATCTCAGAGACGCCTGCTAAGTGAATGACTCAGCAGAAATGTGGTGGGGTTTTCATCTTGGATCTATTTTTCTTTATAAAAATAATCTGAGAGATGTGTCCAGCCTCAGTGGGCTGTTTCTCCCTCCAGGAGACAGAGCTAACACAATTGTATCTGTGAATCCGCTTGGCTTTCCATCAGAAGATACCACAGACTAGGTTGTTTCAAATAACAAATATTAATTTTCTTATTGTTCTGGAGTCTTGATGTCCAAGATCTGGGTGCAGAAAGGGATAGTATTTTGTTTTTTGAGAGGCCTCTTCCAGGCTTGCAAAGGGCCACCTTCTCATGCAGTGCATCCCCACATGGCCTCTCCTCTGTGTGCATGTGGAGAGAGAGGTCTCTGATGTCTTCCACTTCCCATAAGGACAAGAGTCCTACTGGATTAGGGTCCCACATTTATGACCACAGTTAACTTATTCGCCCTCTTAAAATCCCTCACTCCAAATACAGAGCCACTGGGATTGGGGTTTCAGCATATGAATTTAAGAGAAGGACACGATGCAGCCAATGACGTCAATCAAGGGATAGTGAGAAGCCTTGAAATATTTTATTTGTCAAGAAGGTAAAATGGGCCTTGTGGGAATTTGTTGAAAAAAAGGTGCCAGTGACTGTTAAAACCTTAATGGTAAACAGAGAAATTTCTCCCTTCTTTCTTGCCTGCAGTGAGGATGTGAGGAAGCAGAACCACAAACAATAAAGAAAGAGGAGCCCTGGGGACAGCTGAGGTGCTGGCGAGGAGGGAGACCACTGAGCAGATGAGGAAGCCCCGCCCTCCCTGCCCCTGCTCCTGACCCGGCCTCATGCTCTGTGGGCCCCGCGCCCCCTGCTGGTCCTGAGCAGCACCTGCGTCCGCGCCCTCCGCCTCCTGGCAGGGAGGTTTGTGTCTGGGCTCACACTCACCTCCCAGCGGCGGTCACAGAGCTCAGCTTCAGGGAGAACTGGTTCTTGGACTTGTCTACTGATATGGTGACTCGACTCTTGAGGGATGGGTTGTAGTTGGGGCTCCCACTATGATAGATTTCCCCAATCCACTCCAGCCCCTTCCCTGGGGGCTGGCGGACCCAGCTCCACCAGTTACTACTGCTGATGGAGCCACCAGAGACAACGCAGGTGAGGGACAGGGTCTCCGAAGGCTTCACCAGTCCTGGGCCCGACTCCTGCAGCTGCACCTGGGACAGGACCCCTGTGAACAGAGAGACCCACAGTGAGCCCTGGGATCAGAGGCAGCCTCCCCTATCTTCATGTCTGGATCCCTGAGATACTCACATCTGGGAGCTGCCACCAGGAGGAGAAAGAACCACAGGTGTTTCATGTTCTTGTGCAGGAGGTCCATGAGTCTCAGAAAGTATTTCCCATGTGAGCTGGACCCTGAATTTAAGGAAATGTGTGGTGGTTTCCTGTGGGTGCCTAAGCGAGGATTTGCATGTAGGTAGTGCCTTTGTATAAAGAGGTGAAAAGGGATGAGGGAGGCCCCAGTCTTTTAGGCTCACCCTGGGATGAGGATGCTTGCTTTGCCCTTTGAGAACTCAGTTCTCTTCCTGGGGCCTCAACTAGCCATGTCCTGGCTCCTCTTTTCCCAGGTGAGGAAGTAGATTGGAACAGCAGCTTAACGTAATAATCATGTGAGTTCAGACACACCAGGATTCACTTAATGTAATTTATAGTTCAGGACATCCATCATGTTTAGAGGGAATCTCTCTGTTCTAGGGAGTGGGCCACTTTTTAAAAGTGTTTAAATTAAAATAAATTTTTTAGATGAACTTTTGCTCCTTTGCGCAGGCTAGAGTGCAGTGGCCCGATCTCAGCTTACCGCAACCTCCACCTCCTGGGTTCAAGTGATTCTCCTGCCTCAGCCTCCCAAGTAGCTGGGAGTACAGACACGCACAACCACTCCCATCTAATTTTTATATTTTTAGTAGAGATAAGGTTTCACCATGTTGGCCAAGCTAGTCTCAACGTCCCGACATCAGGTGATCCACCCACCTTGGCCTCCCAAAGTGCTGGGATTACAGGCCTGAGCCACCATTTTAACTAAGGCACTGGGAGCTGCCCTCTGAGACCTTTTGAGTCCTGGAATTCTTTCTGAGACCTTAGGAGAGACTCGTGGGACATATCTTCATCATTCTCAATGTGTGACCCTGAGGATGTGGCCTGACCTCTGTACACTTCTGTGTGAAAGAGTAGATTGTGAATTGCAGTGACAATTTCATATGTAAACTCTATAATAGGCCAGCACTGGAGGATATTCTCATCACCAAGATTACTGCAGTTACCTTTCCTGGAAACCAGAGAGGAACTCTGTGAGCCCTCACCTCTGAGTGCACAAGGAACCCTGGTCCTGACTGACAGGTCTCACATGCGACATGGGGGAAAACAAATACATTCAAATCCAGTGTTTTCACCCATATATTGACCAATCTAGCCTGATCTATCTGTCTCTGAAAAGCCTTTTCCTTCATTGAATTGCATGAACATACCCTTGGGTATGGGGTATTGCAATGTGGGTATTTGGTGTTTGTTTAGTCAATTATGTAATTAATAGGCTACCTCCATGAATGTGTGTAGCAGTAGAGTTATCAGAAGTTGGGTGAGTCATATTATCAGGACAAACCTGGACTCTCTTCTTGGGACCTGGACAAGTGGCCAATCTTCTGTGGTAAAGCAAAGGGGAAGAGACAGATCCAACATCTAGAAGCAGGGTAGCTCCTCACTTACCAGCTGGTGTCTGGGCCTTTTGTTTGAACAGACCAAAACGACCTACCTTCACCTTCAGGGAAATGATGAACTTCGTATGAAATTGAGATTAATTTTCACTTACAGAGAAGAAAATGTCATAGGCATGTATATATCTATGTGGGTGTGTACGGGTTTCCAGGATGTGCTCATACACAGAAAGGAAGCAACTATATTTGCCGGGAAGAGAACCGAAGGGCTTCTGAATTTGTAGGTGTTGTTAAGCACAAATGTGTCATGTTACTACATCATGTTATAGAGCTGGCGGTAAAACCTCCCAAAATTGTCATGGAGACAAATGCAAAGAAATAAAGATTCAAATCAGATGCCTTTGATCTGTAATGAACAGACCAAGAGAAATCAACCATTATGGAAAGAGTGATAGTTAAATGTAGTAGTAAATTCCACGCTGAGGTGAGAGGGAAGTTCCATCTGACAGCTCACTTTCACCTCTGCGAAAACTTCAGAGCACAGACTAAGAGCAGACAGTGAACTTAGGGCAAGTGGGGGCCAGATGTTTGAGGAGGCTAGAGAGTGAGCTGGAATCCTTGTGAGCCATTCGGAGAAGCAGCAGTGTGCAAGGGTGTATTGAGTCCTCCTGAGTTAACAGATGCTGAATAGATACCAGTTTCACTGCCCTCATTTTGATTTATCCTCAAGACTCTATTGGATTTCTAGATTTGAACACTGGAAAAGCTGATGAAACTCAACATGACTAGGAATATTTCTGGGAAGATTTATGTAATGATGTGAGTGTATTTAAAATTAGGTTATGAAAATTTCATTATCTAAAATGTTGGTATCAGTATCTATTAATTTGTTCTTTTTTTCTTAGAGACAGGGTCTTGCTCTGTCTCTCAGGCTGGAATGCAGTGTCATCTATGAATTTTATAGTATTAAAAATGATCACCCTGATTAATGTTACCATATTATGCCCTTGAGGGATTTTGCTCCATGTGTGCCTGTGACATAGTTCTAGTCACAGATGCAGGAGAAGTGGTCTGTTGAGGCAATTCTTCCTCCTCAGAGGAGAATATAAACTGTCATCTCCTCACCTTGCTTATTCCATTTTCAGAATTGCACATGACCTTTGGGAATGCTGTCACCATGTCTTACAGGGTGGGAGTCGACTGTGGTATGAAGGTGGAATGGAGAAGTGTAATTTTGGGAAAATACAGAACCTGGGCAGATAAAGTTTTGAATTAATTGGGCCTGGAGCCACTCACATCCTGGTGTCTTGTTGAATTGTTTGTCATTTTAAATTCTGGTTATTTAGTTCAAGTTTCCTTGATTCTCTTTCTGCTAAAATAGTCATTCATAATCATCTAAATAAACTGGAAAAAAATTACTAATTTGAAAATTAACCTCATTTCTGCTAAGGTCAAAATCAGTTTGCGAGGCACAGAGTGATGGGCATGGACATAGCAGATTACCAAGATTGCATTCACAGCCTAGGTAATCACTATGTTTTATTTTAATTAGGAAACACTTCTGTACATTCCTTATATTTATTAAACTCCTGTTGAGAAACTTCAACTGTTATATGTTGATAGATCCTCCCAATAATAAAACTAAATGTTTTAAAACAGGAATTCCTATTACAATGTTAGCTTTACTTTAGGACACATTTCTTCACCTCATTTGAAATTCGCCCAGATGCACTGATTACAGTGTGTCAGTTAAGAAACGACCAGGAAATGAGATCACGTTTCTGGAGCAGGACATGGCTTTGGGATGCTTTGCAAACAAAGTGGTTTCTCATGTCTTCTTGAAAATCCATTGAAATGGGGAAGTTAAGGACCTCTTAGAAGCACTCTTCCACCCCATATACTTGACTAATAAAAAGGTGGAAGTCAGTGCAGAAAAATAGATAACATGAAAGCTAAAGTAAGATTTGTACCAGTTCGTTGTGCCAAACATGTAATCTTAACCTAGAGTGGGATCTTAGCTGAACCCTCAGGAGGTAAATTTCCTGAGAGATTCAAAGATGTCTTTACAAAATAACAACACTTAGCCCCCGATTTTAAGTTAAAATAATGGAAAACTCCTGGTAATCTACTTCACTTAGTGTAAATCAGTTAAAAACAAAATTCTGGAAAACCTGTGAAGGTGGGACTTGCCGAGGAACTGAGCCTTGGGGGCCTTTGGACACTTTTAGTAGGATTTTCTTCAGCTTTGACTCTCCATGGAATTTGAACAAGTTTCATTTACTGTCTACTGTTTCTCTGAATGACTTGAAGTAATTACTTGACAAAAGCCTACAGCCTTCTCAGTTGATAAACATGTTTTATGTTTTCAACCTGTGACATGCCGATGTTTTCATCAGGTAACTGAAGCACAGCCACTACAGGAAGCAATTGTTATAAAGTGATTCTGTAAGGTATTTCCATTATCAAATGCTGAACCGCTATTACCAGCAACAATATTCTGCAAATGTTGAAAAAAATGGCATTGCTACATAGAATTAATCACAAATTTTAAAACATTTTCTTATATTTATTGTTTAAATTCATAAGCATGGAATGTTTATTTTTCCATCTATTTGTTTTATCTCTGATTTTTTTCACCTGTGTTTTGCTGTTTTTCTAGTAGAAATATTTCATCTCATTGGCTTAGCTCTATTCCTAGGTATTCCACTGTCTTGGTGGCTATTGGGAGAGCAAGTTCTTGATTCCACTCTCAGCCAGAACGTTGTTGGTGACTAGAAATGTTACTGTGATTTTTGTACATTGATTTTATATCCTGAAACATTCCTAAACTAATGTATCAATACTAGGAGACTTTTGGCAGAGCCTTCAATATTTTCTACATATAGAATCATATTATCAGTGAAAACAGAGGGTTTGCATTCTTCTTTTTCTTTTATTTGGATGCCTTTTATTTCTTTCTCTTGCCTGATCTGGTGAATACTTCCAGTACTAGGCTGAATAGAAGTGGTGAGAGCGGGCATCCTTGTCTTGTTTCTGTTCTTAAGGAAAATGCTTCCAGTGTTTGCCCATTCAGTATGATGTTGGCTGTGGGTTTGTCATAGACGGCTCATCAGATTGAGGTGTGCTCCTTCAATGTCTATAATTTTGAGGGTTTTTATCATGAAGCATTGTTAGATTTTATTGAAAGCTTTTTTTCCTGCATCTGCTGGGATACTCACATGGTTTTTGCTTTTGATTCTGTTTAGTAGAGCATCACATTTATTGCTTTGCATAGGTTAAAGCAGCCTTGCATCTGCAGAATGAAGCCTACTTGATTGCAGTGTGTTAACTTTTTGATAAACTACTGGATTTGATTTCCTACATTGAGAATTTTTAAGCCTATGATCATGAGAAGTATTTGTCTTGAGCTTTCATCTCTTATTGTGTCTCTGCCATATTTTGGTATAAGGCTGATGCTGGCTTCACAGATTTAGTTGAGAAGGAGCCTCTATGCCTTGATTTTCTTTGTGTAGCTTCAGTAGAATTGGCATCAGTTCTTTTTTGTATGTCGGGTAGAATTCAGCTGTGAATTCTTCTTGTCCAGGTTTCTTTTTCTTGGTTGGGTCTTTATTATTGACTCAATTTTAGAAGTTGGTTTCACTGTATTTAGGGTTTCAATCTCTCCCTGATTCAATATTGGGAGATTTTGTGCTTCCCAAAATTTACTCATTTCCTCCAGATTCTCTAACACGTGTGCATAAAGTTTATAGTAGTCTGAGAATTTGTGCATTCTTCTGGGATCAGTTGTAATATCCCCTTTGTCACTTTTGATTGTACTTATTTGGATCTTCTTTTTCTTTATCTTTCTAAATCCAGACAGGTGACTATCAGTCAATCTTTATTTTACAAAGAAGAAACTCTTGGGCTTATTGATATTTTGTATGCATTTTTGTATCTGAATTTCATTCAGTTCTTCTCTAATTTTCCTTTTCTGTGCTAGCTTTGAGATTATTTTAGTTCCTTTAGGTGCAAGGTTAAGATTACTAATTTGAGAACTTTCTAACTCCTTGATGAAGTCATTTATGACTATCAACTTTTATGGTGCCCAAATAAATTACCAGATTCAATGCTATTACTATAAAACTACCAACATTATTTTTAAAGCATTAGAAAAAAAACTTTTAAAATTTATATGGAATCAAAAAAAGAGTTTTAAAAACAAAAGCAATCTTAAGTAACAAGAATACATTCAAAGGTATCCCACTAGAAGACATCAAATTATGCTACAAAGCCACAGGAACCAAAATAGCTTGGTACTTATACAAAAAGAGACACATAGACGAGTGAAAGGGAATAGAGAATTCTGAAATAAAGCTGCACACCTACAACCATCAGATCTTAAACCAAGACACTAAAAACATGCAATGAGGAAATGTATCACTATTCAATAAATCGTGCTGGGATAACTGGCTAGCCATATGCAGAAGATGGAAGCTAGATGTCTACCTTTCACCATTAACAAAAATCAACAAAAAATGGAGTAAAGATTTAAGTATAAGACCTCAAACTATAAAAATCTTGGAATACAACCTAAGAAATACTCATCTAAAAATTGTTTTGGGCAAGAAAATTTTGGCAAAGTCCCCAAGAGCAGTTGCAACAAATCAAAATTCTGTCTGTGGCACCTTATAAAACTAAGGAGCTTCTACAGAGCCAAGAAACTATCAAGAGAGTAAGCAGAGATCCTACAGAATGGGGGAGGCTATTCACAAACTATGCATCTGATGAAGGTCCAATATCCAGATTCTATAAGAAATGTAAATCAACAAGCAAAAATAATAATAATAATCACATTTTAAAAATAGGCAAATGACATGAGCATAAACTTCTCAAAAATACATAAAGTGGCCAGGACATATGAAAAAACGTTTAACGTCACTAATCATCAGAGAAATGCCAATCAATCAAAACCACAATGAGATGCTGTCTCACACCAGTCAAAATCAGTATTACTAAAAATTAAAAAAAAAAAAAAACAGATGCTGGTGAGGCTACGGAGAACAGGAAACGCTTGTACAGTGCTGGGTGGAATGTGAATTAGTCCAAGCACTGTGGAAAGCAGTCTGGAGAGAGGCTGCGGAGAACAGGAAACACTTGTACAGTGTTGGGTGGAATGTGAATTAGTCCAAGCACTGTGGAAAGCAGTCTGGAGTGAGGCTGCAGAGAACAGGAGACACTTGTACAGTGTTGGGTGGAATGTGTATTAGTCCAAGCACGGTGGCAAGCAGTCTGGAGTGAGGCTGCGGAGAACAGGAAACACTTGTACAGTGTTGGGTGGAATGTGAATTAGTCCAAGCACTGTGGAAAGCAGTCTGGAGATTTGAAAAGTATTTGAAGCAGAGCTGCCACTTGGTCCAGCCATCTCATATGTGGGTATATACACAAAAGAAAATAAATCAGTCTACCAAAAAATACACCCACTTACATGTTCATTGCTATGTTACTCTTAATACTTAAGACATAAATCCAACCTATGTGTCCATTAATGGTGAATTTGATCAAGAAAATATGGTACATTTACACCATGGAACACTATGCATTCATAGAAAAAGAATAAAATCATGTCTTTTGTGGCAACATGGATGCAGCGGGAAGTCAACATTCTAAGAAAGAGATGATGAGAGTCAATGGGAGATGAAGCTGATGTTTTGGGTGTGCCTGTGTGTAAAATTGAGAAAAGAAATCACCTGGGCACATAGACTCTTAAAATAGCCAAGTCTGGAGCCACTCATATCCCAGTTTCCATTTCATTAGGTTTTAATCTTCCTCATTTTTAGTGAGTTAAATTTGCTTTTCTTTACTCTTGGCTAAAATAACCACACATCCTGAATTAGAGGCATTGCAATCAAAACGTCGTATTTGAAGCTTCCAAGTCCCAAGTTAGGTCAAAGTTAGTATGGGATTCAGTGTGATAGATAGGAGACATGGCTGGATACTAAGAATGGGCTCAGAGTTATTTTACCTAAATTAGGAAAATTTGTTCACTTCCCTTATATTAGATTTCATTGGAAACCTTTGATCTAATATCATCTCTGATAGATTATACCTCAATAATTAAGCTGGAGGTTATGAATTAGTAATTTAAATGAATAGTGGAAACCTCCATTTAGAATATATTTCTCTACCAAGTGTAAAGTTAGCTCAGATGGCAGAAATAACTGCACTCAGCAGAGCTTGTCAATAAGGCAAAGACATACACAAACACATTTATTGCAAGGGTAGTGCATGACTTTGAAGTGATCTGACTTTGAAGTGACACAAAAGGATTCTCACATCTTCTAGAACACATCAAAATGGACAAGGGAAGGAATTGTAAATGCAGTCCTAAGTCCTAGAGACCTGACTAATATAACATAGGAAGTAAAGGCAAAGAAAAAAGTAGCATAAAAACTAAAATATATCTGTAACTCTATCTATCCATCTATGTATTTATGTGTCCAACTATATCTCTATCAAGGTACGTATGTATGTATGTATGTAGGCATCTATCTTCTATCTGTTTATCCATAGTAGTGGATCATTATGCAAAGCAAGCAGCTCTAAAATTGTTTATAATACTATCTAAAATAGCATAATTGGGTGGAGAGACCAGTGCGTTCTCATTTTTAATGTAATAAAGTTACATACAATTAGATACATAAGTAGTTTCAATGAGTCCATAAACATGGGTTCATATAAACATGTACATTTACTAGACATATAGGTTGAGAGGTCCTAGAAGTACTTATAACACCTTAACAACACACATATCCAGTATCACAATTTTTAATTTTAACACTATTCTTTAACATCGGAAATAATCAATCTTTAGGAAAAACGGCTAATCCTATGTATGAGAAAGATAATGTAGAAAATGAACTTAGAATTAATTGTAATATCAGGAAACAGGGAAGTGTTCAAAAACAAAAGGATGAGGTGTGCTGTAAGGATGCAGGATCCAAACTAAATGAGCTCCTAGCACCTAATAAAGCGGTGGTGACATGAACAATAAAATGAATGATGTAGCAAGGATCATCTTCAGAGCATGAAATAGACATCCGTAAACTAATACGGATATTAATAGATTATTAAATAAATAAATAATGGGAAGAAGAACACATCTCTTTGCAGAAGTATTCCAAATATGTTAGCTTGATAGTCCTGTAATCAAGTGAGTGAAGCTTAAACACTCATGAGTTGATTGTGGCCTGAGATTAGAGACATGGAAAAAAAATCACTATTATTGTATTTTATAATGGGATTTCAGATATAATGCCAAAGACATGATCTGTGGATGAATAAAATTTTACATTTTTAAAATCTAAATTGGTATAAACATGCACACATATTTTTCTGCAATACACGCTAAGGGTGTAAAAGACAGCCACAGACTTGGAGAAAATACTTCCAAGTCACGTATTTGTTAAATGAGTTATTTTAGTTTGTTAAATCACTTTTATAATTAATATGCAAGTTAACTTACAACTAATCAAAAGAAAACAATGCATTTAAAAATGAACTAGATCTCAGGCAAGGTACCTCACCAAAGATTATTTGAACATTTTTAAGTAGGAACTTTTTATTAGGGACATGTACGTGTAAATAAAAATTAGATACCATTACTCACCTATTAGGATGTTTAAAACACACAATTCTCATAATGAAAAATGGCAATATGAATGTGGAAAATCAAGAACCATCATGCATTGATGGTGGGAATTCAAAATGCTACATGCACAAAATGAGGTTTTGGGGGGCATTTTTAAAATAGAGATAAAAGTAGAGTTAAAATTTGATTCATTTGTGTGTTCCAAAATATTTACAACAGTGATTCAGAAATTGATGTTTACAAAGATACCTACAAAGGAAGTTCTGTATCAGTTTTATTAATTCAATCCCTGAAATTTGCTTACAGAATAAATGTTGTATGAAAAATCTTTCAAATAATTAAAATTTCTCAAATACACATTTATATTGTTCCTTTTCTTTAGTGACTTAATGTTATTTTCTGAGAAAGTCTTCAATCTAATAATCTTTGTCATCTCCTCCATGCCAGCACAGCTGCCTCCTCCCTGGGGTTTCTGACACTCTCAGGATGTGGGTTTTCACTCTGTGTCTCTCGCACAGTAATACACGGCCATGTCCTCAGATCTCAGGCTGCTCAGCTCCGTGTAGGCTGTGCTCATGGACGTGTCCCTGGTTATGGTGACTCTGCCCTGGAACTTCTGTGCATATGTTGTGTTACCATTGCCAGCATTGATCCATCCCATCCACTCAAGTCCTTGTCCAGGGGCCTGTCACACCCAGTGCATAAAGTTGTTGGTGAAGGTGTATCCAGAAGCCTTGAAGGAGACCTTCACTGAGGACAGAGGCTTCTTCACCTCAGCCCCAGACTGCACCAACTGGTCCTGAGAGTGCGCACCTGTGGGGAGGATACAGTAGTGGATGAGATCTTTCAGAAATGGACACAATCCCCTTCTCATCACTGGGACTTGGGAGTCCCTTACCTGTAGCTGCTGCCACCAAGATGTTCCTCCAGGTCCAGTCCACGGTGAGGCACTGAGCTCTAAGGAGATTCTGCAGAAGAGGCATGTGGTTGTTGGATGATGTGCTTAGGGCACAGACACATCCATATTTACCTCAGTGCATCTCAGGTTATTTGCATATTCATGAGACAGACGATTTCATAGCTCAAAGCCTGATACATGATAAGAAAGGGAAGATAAATGACACATCAGCCTTACAAGAGTGAGATGCAAATGGTCTAAGCCCTAATCTTACTTGAGAAAATGCATGCCCTGCTCTATTTACCAACATTTGTGTACAGAGGTCCTTTCACTGAAGAATAAGCCCTCTCAGAACAGGCTCCTCACTGTGAACCTACATGTGATTAGTATAGAGGCCGCCTGGATTATTTTTGGGACCATCACTGTCTATGACACTGAGCACGTGCCTTGGCCCTATCCTGGACCTGTCAGGCACCAGCACAGCTCACTGGTGACTCTGGAAAGGTGACTGCTGATGTCCCTCTGAGATCTACTGGGCCCTCCTGAGACAGTGTCTCCAGCACGTGCCTCATGTCCTGATCCCCCAGGATCTTCAATAGAAACGCTCTTGTTTTACGTATTTGCCCTGTGATGCATAATTACAGCTGATTTTCTCATCTCAGGAACAATGGGAATCAGAAGAGGTAACAGGAGTTTGAAGTTCTTTATGAACTCTCTACTCTCAAAATAATTGTCAATGAATTTGTGTTTTGAATAATTTTGGGTTACTTTTCAACTCCATTTATTAGATTTTTGTAAAGTATTTACATACTTCCAGTTCATATCCATAGATCTGTATCTTTACATATTGATTTTTGACTCACTTGGTCTGTGCACCTGCCACACCCTCAGATCCATCACTGCCCTGTCATTCACACAATGTAGGCAACATTACTTAACACTGAAATCTGAATTTCTTATTCATAGGAATATAGTTTCTTCAACTAATCGGTACCCATTGAATTAGTAAAAACATGCCCATCCTTCATATTCTCACTATTAAGATATTACAGTCCTAGAAACTCACTTTAAAAAATAGCTCTCATTATCTTAAGTTATATGAATGGTTTGGATGTACTAGAATATTTAAAGCACGTCAGCTACTTCTTGAACAGTTATTTTAGATTGTTTTTTTCCTGACAAAGGAAGACCAAGGCCCTGAGAGAAAACCTCCTCCCCGGCCTCCTGTGCACCTGCTCTGGGGCTGGAACTTGTGCTTGGTGGCTCCCAAGTGCCCCCTCCAGCCGAGCCCTTGCCTTGCCATGAGGTTTCTGTTGTAGCTCACAGGCATTTTACCCCACAGTCTCTAGCTCAGCATGAAGTGGGTGTGTCCTGGTTTAGAATACTCCTTCAGTAACACAATGTACTGAATACTCCTTCAGTGACACAATGTACTGCTGACACCATGTCTTTTAAGAATTGAAGAGCCTTATTAAACCTATTTAACTCTACAGGGAGACCCAAAGCAAATATTCTGTGACACAGAGTGGAACACCTTCTCTGAAACTTCACATTTCCTGAGTCAGTGGACACGAAATGAATACAAAAACTTGTAGGATTTTGGGAGTGCCTTGTTTCGTCCTTGAGCTCTTGCAGTTGAATGTTACATCTAAGAATACCTGCAGGTTCAAATACACTCAGAATAAAACCAACTTTGTATCTACTATTCCAATAACACATATTTTTCTTTCTTCTTAGTTTCTAGCCTATAAAAATTGCCTCCTACACTGACACTAGGCCTAGGCTTATTTTTTTTTATTATTATACCTTAAGTTCTAGGGTACGTGTGCACAACGTGCAGGTTTGTTACATATGTATACATGTGCCATGTTGGTGTGCTGCACCAATTAACTCGTCATTTACATTAGGTATATATTCTAATGTTATCCCTCCCCACTACCCCCACCCCACGACAGGTCCCGGTGTGTGATGTTCCCCTTCCTGTGTCCAAGTGTTCTCATTGTTCAATTCCCATCTATGAGTGAGAACATGCGGTGTTTGGTTTTTGTCCCTGCGATAGTTTGCTGATAATGATGGTTTTCAGCTTCATCCATGTCCCTACAAAGGACATGAACTCATCTTTTTGTATGGCTGCATAGTATTCCATGGTGTATATGTGCCACATTTTCTTAATCCAGTCTATCATTGATGGACATTTGGGTTGGTTCCAAGTCTTTGCTATTGTGAATAGTGCCACAATAAACATACGTGTGCATGTGTCTTTATAGCAGCATGATTTATAACACTTTGGGTATATACCCAGTAATGGGATGGCTGGGTCAAATGGTATTTCTAGTTCTAGATCCTTGAGGAATCGCCATAGTCTTCCACAATGGTTGACCTAGTTTACAGCCCCACCAACAGTGTAAAAGTGTTCCTATTTCTCCACATCCCCTCCAGCACCTGTTGTTTCCTGACTTTTAAATGATCGCCATTCTAACTGGTGTGAGACGGTATCTCATTGTGGTTTTGATTTGCATTTCTCTGATGGCCAGTGATGACGAGCATTTTTTCATGTCTGTTGGCTGCATAAATGTCTTCTTTTGAGAAGTGTCTGTTCATATCCTTCACCCACTTTTTTGTCTTAGAGATCTAAGGCAAATAGAATACAAGTGGAGACTTGGGAAGTGCATGAATATTTTTTTTTTTTTTTGAGATGGAATCTTGCTCTGTCGCCCAGGCTGGAATGCAGTGGCACGATCTCGGCTCACTGCAAGCTCTGCCTCCCGGGTTCACGCCATTCTCCTGCCTCAGCCTCCCAAGTAGCTGGGACTATAGGCGCCCGCCACCCTGCCTGGCTAATTTTTTGTATTTTTTAGTAGAGATGGGGTTTCACCGTGTTAGCCAGGAAGGTGTCGATCTCCTGACCTCGTGATCCACCTGCCTTGGCCTCCCAAAGTGCTGGGATTACAGGCGTAAGCCGCAGTGCCCGGCCAAGTGCATGCATTTTTTTTCTCAGCTAGGAACCCTGCAAATGCCCTATGATAAAAGAATCTGAGGTCAATGGATTTGCCAATATCTTTTCTTCAAAAAATATATGTCAGAGGCTTCAGATTTCCCTACTGTCCTTGTCATATTCTCTGCCATTGTGTTTCAGTTTTCCTATGTTCTCCTCAGATAGAGTCTGCGCATTGTCACACTTTCATCTTTAACCCAGATTAACTATCCTGCTGAGAAAACAAAACGTGCATCCTGGAAGTATTATATGTTCTTACAATTGAATCTTAATAATTCAGTCATCTTTTTTTCTCTGGGCTGTGGCCTATACACAGAGTCTCCAGAAATGGAACTGACACTTTCCTTTTTCTGGCTACAACATTATAGGATTATTTCTCTATTGGCTAATTTTATCCACTTTTGTGATAAAGGAAGGCTGCTTGAAGGGGTCTGTAATGGAGATGGACTACCTTAACCAACATAGATAATGTTCTAGATATGTATTTCTCCTGTATGTTCTATCTGGATATATTTATTGTGTATTTCTCAGAGAGTAGGAATTTTGATGACTTATCCAGGAAAGGATCTATGTCAATTTTCACCCAAAGAACCTGGAGGTTCCAGGAGGAAATATAAATGAGTTTGGGGTCTATGAGATCTCTCACCCTCACACTAGTTCAGACATGCCCTTTCTGTTTATTTAGTTCAGATTTACATATAACAAACCACACAGCCAGGCTCATCTAAATTGCCACATGCTTGTTTAAACACATTGGAGCAGCATTAATCCTCACATTAATCTCAGAGAATCTTGGTTCCAGTCCACTGTTTACGTTAGTTGAGAGCAGCATCAGGGACACACTGGAGTGGATATTTCTTCCCGAAAAAAGCCTCACTCCCAAGTATACTAAAGAGTTGCCATGGAGCCATTGTGTGGTTGGATTTCTTCTTATCAGCCTGTCATGGAGGATATTTTGAATGATGTAGACTTTACACTTAGATGGTAATGACTCCCATTGTTGTTGAAATGGCTGGCAGCCCACAATCCTGTTTCTCCTCTCAACTCACCTGAATGTCTCCAAGAATCCCATGAACCTCAGGACTCTCCTTGTTAGATGACTCTGAGGATTGTTAGTCTGCTCAGTGCTACACACAGAGGTAGCTAATAGAGGATTCTCAGTCCACTGACATGTTGGGCTCATAACATAGGACACATATCCAAGAGTGGCCAATTCATGGCAATGCCAATAGATATTTAATTGAAGAGGCATTATTTTTAGTGCATCGGAGTGTGAAAGCTTCATGATTCATGGCAATAAAGCCACAGACTGAATGCTTTGCAGAAGTGAGCTCATTGTTAGAAGAGGCCTGCCCACCAAGAAGTCAGTCTCTTTAACTAAAGCACTTGAAAAATGGTGTCCTGAGACCTTGTGAAAATTCATTTCCTGGAGTAAAGAAAGGGGAAAGCTATTCTTAAATCATTGGAAGAAACCATATCAGAAATTTTATCAACACAGCAGTCAAATTCCAGTAAGTCAATGCTTGGGTTTATGTTTCACAACTCAGGAAGCAATAAAGAAATCTACATAATCGGAAGGCTACTCCAACAGAGGGAATTTTGACCTATTTAATTAATAGGCCAGTATTCACTCAAAGACACACTCCTGTGAGATCTCCAACTTAAACAGATCTCTGTAACCTGAAGAAGTTTTCTCAACAGATTCTTTTTCTCTAGACACTCGCAAATGCAAAAATACATTTTGTATATTTGTGCATGAGTGATCTAGAGAAGTCCTTGTCTTGTTAATGAAAGTTCATGGAAATATGATAACTGCATCACTTACTGTGAACTCACACTTCACTAGTCTCAAAAATTTCTCACCCATGTGATGGAGCAATGGGTGCCTCTAAGAATATGCTGATTTTTGGACTCAACATGTTCTCTTTGCTTGACTTACAGACCCATGTCTGACATCTGAGACACACCCTGGGGAGCTGTCTCCAGATAACAATAATGTAATCTTCTTCATGAACACAACTCTGCATTCCCCACATACCTCAGCCACACCTTAGGGGAGAGGTGTTAACTTCACCGTCCAAAAGCATTTTATACCCTGGAGCCTGAAAAATAAGTTGGATGTGATACCACCTTGTACTTGTAATATAGAGGGCAGAGGTCAGCATCCCCCTGGATTTGAATGTGTTTTATTGTTGTATTTATTTTCTTGCAGACATGAATTACTTGCTTGACAAAAACTACAGCCATGCCAGTTCATAAAATTTTCCTTATTCTGATTTTCCCATCTGTGGCATTTGAATTTCAATATTAAGTGAGCGATGTGCATACCTCACAGGAGCAATTACAAAATAACTCTTTTTAGCTCCTTAGTGTTACTCAAATGCTGCACTGTCCTTACTGCCAAAAATCTTCTGGAAAATTTTAAGTAAAACTGAATCATATGTTGCATCCTTAAGTTAAAAGTTGCATAACATTCAGAAACACATGAACTTTTTTGCTGAAGGTACATCTGCTAAAACTTACAACACAGGGTTTGCTTTCTCAAGGACACAAACGTTATCACCGTATGACTTGATTCATCAAAAGCCCACCTATTTTCAATTACATCTTCAATATTAGACTCCGATTCATTAAATGCAGATGTAGCAAAGCATTCTAGGGGATTGACGTGCTATGCAGAAGCATTCAACAGGATGTTAAAGATGCCTTCCCACCAAATCTTCCTAATTATCTTTTTATTGTCATCAACTTGGAAATTCTTTATTTTAGAAGAGACATCAGAAAAAAGCAGCTTCAAACATTGTCAAAAGGCCTTATTATTTAACGTTATCAACAAATGCAGCAGTAACTCCAGGATGTCAATTCACAGGTTTATGAAGTGAAAATGGATGGGTTACAAAAGTTGTTTTGAGAGAACGATCCTGTAGTTGTAGAATCAATACCAAGGGTGGCATCAGTGTAAGGTTGAAGTGGCAGTTTCTGGGATGATGTCCTTGCAAAAGTAATTTTTTTATAAGATGGTGGTGTCTTCTTCCCAAGATTGTGGTTAAGCAGAGTATATTTATGATAGTTCTTGTTATCAGGAATATGGGCTTAAGAACCCTCCTTCATGGTCACTCCTAGTTTCATTTGTCAGAGTTTTAATACAAGTGGCTCCATTTTGATTTTGACAACTTTCCCACTCTCTTTCTAACACTACTGGGGGGAAGGTGACCCTGTGTTAGCTTGAACAGCACAGGATAAATTCCATATCCACATCCCATTTTGACCACACAAGCTCATCCTCTTCACAACTATTGGCCACTTGCATTCCCAAGTGAGTCTCTACACAACACAGTGGAGGGTTCTGAGCAACGGGAGAGAAGGAAGTCCCATCAGCCTCTCCCACGTGGCTGCAGGAGCCACAGTCTGAGCCCCACCTGAGCTGCAGGGAAAGGGCTTGAGCAGTGGACTTTTTACAGCAAGAACCACATCTCCACTTTACAGGGATCAGGAACAGCAAAAGGAAAATCAACAACTAAAACAACTAACAAGAAATAGAATGTGCTAGGAGCAAAAGCAGCCCCTGATCAGCGCTGATACTGATTTGCATACTTTAGTGTCAGAAGAAGGGTCAGAAATAAAACCTGTGAGGTTCTACGTGACCCTGACCCTGGCCCAGCCTCTCTCTTGGCTGAGGTTAGAATTCCTAAATACTGTTTTCTTCAGGGAACCCCACTGAGGTCCCTGTCCTGAGTGTGACTGGAGAAGACTCACCGGGTTCCACTCAGCTTCCACAGGGCTGTGGCCCTGGTGACCACTGGCAGAGGGATTGTTCTGCATTTAGTGCCTGTAAGAAGGTTTCCTCCTGGTACAACAAAACTGTGGTATTTCAGAGACGTAGAGCTAGGCACAGCATCATGAAATAAGGGAGGGTCCCTGGAGGAAACATGTAGATGTAGAGGCAGCCCCACACCCTGGCAGTAAACCAGCCTCTCATCTCCACCCACACCTGCTCTGGGGCTGGCCCTGTGCTTCCTGCAACCTGCTCTTCCCCTGGTGGTCTTGAGTCCCCCTTGTGGTCCTGAGTCTTGCTGGCGGTCCTCAGTGCCCTGACAGCAAGTTTTGTGTCAGGGCTCACAAGGACACCTCCTCACTGAGTCTTTCACAGTAATACTCAGCCATGTCCTAGCCAGCCATGGAGCTGAGCTTCAGAAAGAACTGGCTCTTGGTTGAGTCATTGTTGATGGAGATGCAGACCTGGGTAAAGGGTGCATGATGTGTATTCCTTGGTGATCTTGATGATGATCTTGGTGATCATGATGTGTATTCCTGGTAACTGTGCCCCAGCCATTCTAATCTGTTGCCTAGGGGATGGTGGATTCAGCTCAAATAATATTCACTGGTAAAAAAAAGAACCCAGACACAGCACAGGTGGAGGGCAGTGTCTGAGGGCCTCATGGGTCCTGGACCTGACTCCTGCAGCTGCACCTGGGACAGGACACCTGGAATAAGAGGGAACATCCTGGTGAGTCACACAACGAGCTCACTTGTCCCCATCACCCCATTTCTTATTTCTAGATTCTGACACTGAAAAACTGTCATCCATCAAAGACATGTAAAAAGTTGATCTAATTGAGAGACAGATTAACGCCTTTCATGGGGAAATTGTGCTCAGGCTGATGACAGAGCAGTATCTAGGGAGGAGAGAGGCTGACAACACCCAGCATTGTTCTCCTAAACAGAGTTTGAGGAGAAGTGTGCATGTGCCAGGAGCCCCACATATATAAGGGGTAGGAACCACGGCGACCCTCTGTCTCAGAGCCTCTTCTCAGGGGTGATTTTCCTGCTCAGGCATCAGATCAATCACACAGACTCTTCCTCCTCTGAAAGAGCATCCCTCTGCTGAGTGTTCAAGGCATCCATTGTCACCCCAAGGGCAGGAGGGCAGGTGACAGAAACAAGCAGGTTTGCTGGACAGAGAGGGAAGAATAGGAGTAGGAACGGGGGAAACACATGGTGCCCAGGACCTGTGGCCTACAGTCCTCCTGCTTCTTTCGGGTTCCCAGCTGGAGATAGTACACTGTGAACTTTCCTGGCAGTCGTGCTTCTGGAGGGAGGATTAGGGGAAATGCTGAGTAAGTTCTCCTCTTTGCTGAGCACAGAGTTTTCACTCTCTGTGGTATGTGGTTTTATCCCTCCCCGGTTGAGTCACCCCTGCTCATCCCTCCCTGTTGCTCCCCAGGTTTTGCTTCTTTGCTTATAGGAGAACTGACAACAGCGAGGCAAGGGATTGGGTTAGGAGGCCAAGGGCAAGTGTGGCTCCTCAGTGAAAAATGTCAAATGTAAAGTTGAGTTCCCTTCCTCTTTCCTATAAGAAAGGCTAGGGTTTGGAAATACGAGGGTCTGGAGGAGGTGACAATTGGTTCCCTTTCCCCCAAAAGAAGCCAGCCAACCAGAAATTGCTTCTTAAGAGCCTGATTTGAGACTGAGACTAAGAAGTCCAGTGGCTAAGAAGTGGTCTTTGCCCCCAGAGAGTTTGAGGTCTAATAAATTGTTATATTGTGTGGCAGAGACTGTGTGTGTTATGGAAGGACGATGGGAAAAGATGGGTATGATGAGCTGCAGCTGGCAGAAAACTCTTGGAATATGCTGGTTTTACAAGGACAAATAGGATATGTGTGTGTGTCTGTGGAAATGGAGCAGGAAGTGTGTAGCATCTGACCATGGAGTCACACTGACCTGGGCTCAAACTCCAGCTTCTCAGTTACATTCATTCATCCATCCATCTATTCATTCATTCAGCTTATAGTGATGGAGGCTCAGGAACTGTTGTAGGTTTGGGGAACACAACAGACAACACCCCTATTCTATGGAACTTTCATTGCAGTAAGGCTGCAGAGTGACCTTGGGCAACTCAACCGCCCATCCCTTAGCTTTCAAGCTGCAGTACTGCCCCCCACCTTACAGGCTGTGGATTCCAAAGAGCCGTAATGATGATGATAAAATAAGTACTATTTATTCAGCACTAACAACCTACCAATACTCTGCTAAGCATTTTGCAAGGATAATTTCCTCTACTCTTCACAACTTCCCCAGGGGACAGGGTTTTACAGGTGTGGAAACTGAGGCTTACAGAATTGAAATAATGATCCAGAATCAAGTGACAGAGACAGGATTCAAACCCAGCAATCATAACCACTGCAGTCAAGGTGGCCCACCTGAAGTGTGTTGGGAGTGGCTGGAACTGACACCTGAGGGGCTCTGTGACCCAGCAGAATTCTGTGCTTTTCCTGGGGAGAGCTTCTTCTAGGAAGAGGTGGCCACGACAGCCGATAGAAGGCTGTGACCTGAGTGCAAGCCTCATGCCAGCCACCTTCTGTATGTGAGACCGTGCTGCTTGCCAAAAGCTGTTAGTTCCTTCCATTCTGGCTGGCTGGGAGAGATTTCTCATGGTTGCGCGTGGGGAGAGTTGACATGTTTATGTGGAGGTAATGACTGTGTTGGCTCCTTAAGGAAGAATTAGGATGAGAGCCCAGTTCCCTGTTTGGGGACTTGAACTTAGATTCTCTGGTGGCCTGGAAAAGGTGGATACCTTGCAGGTTAATGTAGGAAGTTACCATCCCATGACAATTTTATTTTACTCTTCTTTCCTTTGCCCATTAGCTACTGCAAACTTAAAATTACCTATAGTGGAGAGTGGTAGTAGTCTACTTCAAAAACAGCAAATTCCCAGGGATTTGCCCTCACTTTTGGAATCTTAGCTAAATATTTTTTTCTCTATGGGATCACCCTCTTTTGCATCTGACTGAGGCAAGCCTTAAAGATCAAGCCGATGTCAGAGCAGAGGAACTGCTGTTTGGTAAGGATGCCTCAGAGATGAAAAGGGGAGGAGGGTGGTCTCAGAGAACCAGAAGAGGATTGGGAAAGTTGGCCCTGGAAGAGGACTTCTCACTCCTTCCCCAAGCCTTGCCCTGTCTCTTGACCTCCCTTGACTCCCTGCTCTTCCAGGTCAGCTTTGTCCATGCGCTGGACTGAATATTGCCAGCAGGTAGTCATAAGGACCCATGCAATCCCCCAAATCAATACTGAATACAAAGAAAGCTGTTGTTTCTGCTTCTCTGGCAGGAGAATAGGAAGTGACCACTGGCTTGAGAAGGGCTATGCTACCAAAGTAAACCATCACGGGACTGGTTCTGAAATGATCCAATTCCCTGTCTCTTTAGGATGAATCTCTTTAATCCAAGTACATTAAATTGGAATGTAGTGATCATTCAGATTCAACTAATGTTTATTTTATGAAGTGGCTACTATGAACCAAGCACTGGGATAAAGCTTTAGTACAGTTAGGCCATTTTATTCACTTGAAGAGCAAAGGGCTCAAAGTTTACCTTTCCATGATCTATGAGAAAAAAGGTTTACCAAGCAAATGAGTGCTATATGCAAGATTGTCAAGGTGAGGTTTTAAACCACTTACAAGGACAAACTGCTTCCCAGAAGCCTGCCAATGCTTCTTAAGTACTCCCTTGTGTGGGCAAACACAGATCCAGGAGACAAACGGGAAGGACCTAGGACAAAAAGTCAGCAGGCTAGATTCCACTTCTAGTTCTGCACTGAAGTAGTCACATGCCTGCTATTGCATGGTGTCATCTAGTCCCCATTTCTTGTCCACAAAACTAGCATGAGCCCCCCACAAAAGCCTTGCTGAGCAAGGGGTTCAGTGTGCCCCTTTTGCATAAAAAAGGGAGAAAATAAGAATAAACATGCACACACATTTGTATTTGCTTCCATGTTCACAATGACATCCATAAGCTTATTCAAGAAATTAATAATCATGGTTACCTATGGGGAGTGGAGAGGTAGGAGTGAGACCTGGGCAGATGGAGACATAGATGGGAGGAAGATTCCTCCCCAAGGATATATTGGGTTTTGTTGAACCGTAGGAATACATTACCCATTTAAAAATTTAATTCGTGGGAAGGGCCTCCTAAAATCCAGACATAATACTATGTAGAACTTCCAAACAAAAAGAAAGTCACGTTGGCATTACCTGTTCTATTATACTGATGTTGGCTCTTCCTAATCATTCGTTTTTTTTCTAAGTGCTCCCACTATCCTTAAATTGTTCATTTCTAGATTCTTGCCTGGGGTGGATGATATTCCTCAGTGCCAGGTCACTGGGCAGAGATTTTTCACTGTATTGGATCTCTTCTGCTTTCTCTTTCTTATTTGTGAAAATATGTGTGCATACAGACATACACACATGTGCACACACACATGCACGTGCACACACACACACACACGAGCTGACTCCCTTAAACCAGGTAGCTGACCTCCATGGGTCCACACTCTAGGTCCAAACTCAACTGAAGGAAAGTGAACTGAAGGAGGCATTTGTGAATTTGATTCTCCAACCTAAGGACTTTGCTTTTCAAACCAAGGGTGTTCAGAAGGGCACAGACTGCAGAACATGAAGACTTCTGTTACCATTAACATAGTTCCCTGGCTCCATGAGGCATGAACAGCCTCTCTGAGAATGCACCAACAACTCAGCACGCCTTGTAAACAGGCCACAATTATAGAGCTTGGTTTTGACTTTTTTTCCAGGGCCTTAAAGTTGATATATTTTTACATTTCCCTGGATTGGAGGGTAGGGGGCATGGCTTTGGGTTTAGCATTTGCTCTGCTGATTATCTGTGAAAAACCTTGGCAGTGCTGTGGGGAATTGGTGCGGTGGGGAATGGAGGCTTGAAGAGTCAGTTGACCTGCAGACCAAGATAGAGCTGAAGGTGGAAACTTGGATGAAACCTTTAGGCTGTCCCTTCCAGTCCTCAGCGAGAACCTAGGGATCACCATGTGCAATGCTATGTGGATGTGGCGTGTCACACCACAGGCACCAGAGGGAGTTTCTGAGGTTGCAGAGGTGACTGGGCAATATCTTCCAAGCTCCCTGGTGTATTCTGGTTTGGCCAAGCAATGTGTTGCTGCAAGAGCTGAAGGAAAAGTCAACACATGGGAAGGAAAAGCAATCCATTGGGTGACTACATTAATGGATGGGGAGAGACTTCTAGGACACAGACTTTGGCAAAATATGGTCATCATAAAGAAAATGGCTGAGTATATCTCTAGGCTTTCGAGTATTGTCATTTGCACTGTGTTATTTTTCCCTCCAAGGGGTTATTTGGGGAAAATTGTATACATCCCAGGGTTGAACTTCCAAACAAATGCAAGCTGCAACCAGCCCCAGAGCTACATATGGGCATGTCCCTAGGGTGGCTTTAGAAAAGCGTAGTTCTCTCTGTGCTCAGCTCAACCTGCCCCCTCTGCCCTGAGACGCACACACACACACACACACACACACACACACACACACACACACACCACTCCCCCCGCCCCCCCACCCCCACAGTTCCTTCCCTTGCAGAAGAGATGAGAAAACCTCTCTTTCTTTCTACTGTAGAGCAATTCCTTTGGAGGACAAAGACTGTTGCAATGAGCTTTTTGTCTCGGCAGAGTTTGCTAATACATTTAAAAATATTTATTGTGAATGGGTTGGAGGAGGTTGCTGTGGGAAGCCCTGTGTGTTATGTATACCTTTGCATGCTTCAGCAATGCCTGCCCAGTGCTTTGGGGACTCAGCAGATGTCCACAGATGATGATAGTGACTTTGAGGAACCCCCATATTTCTTGAATTTTTCATAATGAGTGTAGAAAGAGGTCCCAGCACTGGAAAGGAAGGTGGGGAGCTGTTCCCCTCATTGCTTACAGTGGTCTACCTCTTGTAAACACAAACCTCTACCTTGAGGAGCACCTTTCTGAGGTCAAGTGTGCTTCTGAGAGGGCAGGTGCCAGCCATGCATCACAATCTAGGGAGGTGGGAAGTGTGAAGTTGCATGGAGGCAGGGAACCTGGGCTCTAGACACGACTCTGCCTCTAACATTCTGTGGAAACCTCAGGCTTCTGTCACTTTGAGCCTTGGTTTTCCATGGGTAAAGTGAGACCATGGAGACCCACCTCACATAATTGTTGAGAGGATTGTTTAAAATACATGTTTTGGCCAGGTGTGGTGGCTCACACCTGTAATCCCAGCGCTCTGGGAGGCTGAAGCAGGAGGATCACTTGAGACCAGGAGTTCGAGATCAACGTGGGCAACATAAAGAGACCTCATCTCTATAAATTTTTTTTAAAAAATTAGCCAGGAATGGTGGTACAAGCCTCTAGTCCCAGCTACTTGGGAGGCTCTGGTGGAAGGATTAACTGGGTCCAAAAGTTCAAGGCTGCAGTGAGCTATGATTGTGCCACTGTACTCCAGCCTGGGCAATAGAGTGAGACCCCATCTCTAAAATAAATAAATTTAAAAAATTAATACATGTGGAACATTTCAAAAACATGAAATAATAGGGAAAACAATGTAGTGAAACTTCATTTTCTCTCATCCAACTTCAGTAATTGCCAGCTCCCAGTTTTGTGTCATCTCTATTCCCACTCCCAGCCCCTTCCCATTACCCCTCAATGCCAGAATATGAGGACTTCATGGCATGGAACAGTGGCATGGAAGTGCCCTCCAGAGTATCTAACACATAGCAGATGCTTAGAAAATGTTTGTGGAATCTGAACTATTTAATAGTACATGCTTTATAATTATTACCTACTGTAGCATGGCGAGAGGGTACAGTATTTCTCACTGCCTTATGGATGAGATGACCTAGTCTCAGGTCAAGTGACTTGCCTAAGATCATGCAGCCACATAGGAATATGGTGCTATCCTAGAACCATGGTTTCCAAATCCCACACGTGTACTCTTGGCAGTATGCTCTGCTGCCTCTGTGTTGATTTTTCCTTTTGAATATCTTCTTAGAGAGGAATAGGAGACTTGTAAAGTTTTATGTGGGCTCACAGTTTAAAGAGAACCTGTTTATGGGGTTGTAATAACCATGTATTCACGGACACAACTGCTTATGTCTGCAAAAGATCAGCAATTCATCAGACACTTTGTGAGTTATTTTCTTCTCTGATTGTCAGAGTGAAAGGTGAGTAAGATCACTTCTCTCAGGGAGCTCACAGTCATATGCACTGAGTCACATGACATAGAGTGGAGCGTGATGAGCGTAATGGCAACAGCATGAACCAAGTACTGAGGGTGCATGGAGGAAGGTTGTTTAACTCCTAGCTTCTGTCTTCATTAAGAATTATCAATACTTCCAGCCATTTATGACAAACCCACAGCCAATATCATCCTGAATGGGCAAAAGCTGGAAGCATTCCCCTTGAAAACCAACACAAGGCAAGGATGCCCTCTCTCACCACTCCTATTCAACATAGTATTGGAAGTTCTGGCTAGGACAATCAGGTAAGAGAAAGAAATAAAGATATTCAAATAGGAAGAGAGGAAATTGAATTGTCTTTGCAGATGACATGCTCCTGTATCTAGAAAACCCCATCATCTCAGCCCCAAAGCTTCTTAAGCTGATAAGCAACTTCAGCAAAGTCTCAGGATACACAATCAATGTGCAAAAGTCACAAACATTCCTATACACCAACAACAGACAAGCAGAAAGCCAAATCATGAATGAACTCCCATTCACGATTGCTACAAAGAGAATAAAATACCTAGGAATACAGCTAACAAAGGGAAGTGAAGGACCTCTTCAAGGAGAACCACAAACCATTGCTCAAGGAAATAAGAGAGGACACAAACAAATGGAAAAACATTCCATTCTCATGGATAGGAAGAATCAGTATTGTGAAAATGGCCCACAGTAAGTTGTAGACTCAATGCTATTCTCATTAAGCTACCATTGAAATTCTTCACAGAATTAGAAGAAACTATTTTAAAATTCATATGGTACTAAAAAAAGAGCTTGTATAACCAAGACAATCCTAAGCAAAAAGAGCAAAGCTGGAGGCATCACGCTACCCAACTTCAAACTGTACTACAAGGCTACAGTAACCAAAACACCATGGTGCTGGTACAAAAAAAGGCACACAGACCAATGGAACAGGATAGAGAACTCAGAAATAAGACCATACATCTACGACCATCTGATCTTCGAGAAATCTGACAAAAGCAAGCAATGGGGAAAGGATTCCCTATTTAATAAATGGTGCTGGGAGATCTGGCTAGCCGTATGCAGAAAATTGAAACTGGACCCCTTTCTTACACCTTATACCAAAAGTAATTCAAGATGGATCAAATAGTTAAATGTAAAAGCCAAAACTATAAAACCGTAGAAGAAAATCTAGGCAATACCATTCAGGACATAGGCACAGGCAAAGATTTCATGACAAAATTGCTAAAAGCAATTTCAACAAAAGTGAAAATTGACAAACAAGATCTAATTAAACCAAAGAGCTTCTGCACATGATAAGAAACTATTGCAGAGTGAGCAGGCAACCTACAGAGTGGGAGAAAATTTTTGCAATTTATCCATCTGATAAAGGTTTAATATCCAGAATCTGCAAGGAGCTTAAACAAGTTTATAAGAAAAAAAAATACTAAAAAGTAGGGAAAGGACAGGAATGGACACTTCTCAAAAGAAGACATTCGTGCAGCCAACAAACATATGAATAAAAGCTCAACATCACTGATCATTAGAGAAATGCAAATCAAAAACCACAATGAGACACTATCTTACACCAGTCAGAATAGCTACTATTAAAAAGTCAAAAAACAACAGATGCTGGTGAGGTTGCAGAGAAACAGGAATGCTTTACACTGTTGGTGGGAATGTCAATTAGTTAAACTATTGTGGAAGATAGTGTGGAAATTCCTTAAAGATCTAGAACCAGAAATACCATTTGACCCAGCAATCACATTACTGAGTATATACCCAAAAGAATATAAATCATTCTATTACAAAGATACATTCACATGTATGTTCATTGTAGCACTATTCACAATAGCAAAGACATGGAATCAACCCAAATGTCCATCAATGATAGACTGGATAAAGAAAATGTGATACATATATACCATGGAATACTATGCAGCCATAGAAAGGAATGGGATCATGTTCTTTGCAGGGACATGGATGGAGCTGGAATTCATTGTCCTCAGCAAACTAATCCAGGGATGGAAAACCCAAACACCGTGTGTTCTCACTTATAAGTGGGAGCTGAACAAATGAGAACACATGGACACAGGGAGGGGAGCAACACACACTGGGGCCTGTCAGGAGATGGAAGGGGGTAGGGAGAGCATTAGGCAAAATATCTAATGGATGCTGGGCTTAATACCTAGGTGATGGGTTGATAGGTGCAGCAAAATACCATGGCACACGTTTACCTATGTAACAAACCTGCACGTCCTCCACACGTACCCTGGAACTTGAAATAAAAATAAACATTTTTTAAAAAGAGCTATCAATACTTCCAAAAGTTGTGACCCTGGAACCATGGCAATTTGTACTCACGCTTATACAATCCTAGAAGCTGACTACTAGGTTTAATCTTTTCATGAACTAGGAGTCTTCATTAGGTCAATGTACCAGATTAACAATGACCACACCAGGAGAGGTGCCATCTATTTATCTATTAATCAATATTAACACTGAAATTTTAGGCCAACTGTAAAGAGCTAACCAACTGTGAAGTGTGGGAACTTGATCTACACTTCTGACAGCAATTGCAAATTCAAGGGTCCCGATAATTTGTTAGAAGGACTCATAGAACTCACTGAAGTCTGTTGTACTTAAGGTTATGGTTTATTACAGGGAAGGGATGCAGGTCCCTTCTTCAACCAAGGGAAGAAATGCATAGGGTGGGGTCCCAGAAAGCAGCAAACGCAGAGCTTCCGGGTGTCCTCCTTCCATCAAGTCAGGACAGTGTTTCTTTCTCAGCATCGGCATGTGACAGTAAGTTCAGAGTATTGCCAGCCAGGGACACTCATGCAAGCCTTGTGTCCAGAGTTTTTACTGAGGCTTGATCACATACCACCTGCATGGTTGACCTTCAGTCACCAGCCCTTCTGGAGGTAGACCTGATACAATGTGGCTCAAAACCCCCTTCATAGATCTCGTTAGATTGTCCAGTGGCCAAAGCCCCAAGGCAAACAAAGACACTCCCATCAGGCAGGGCATTCTATGGAGATCACTTCCCAGAAGCTGAGGGTGGGGGCCAGCTGCTGCAAAGGCGCTCTTTAGTTGAGCGGGGTGGGGGGTGGGGGGTGGCGGGACCAGGGTGGGACCAGGGACCGGAATGTGGGGCAGGATGCAGAGTGGAGAGGCTCGCTCAGGTGAAGGCACTACTGTGTCACCATTGGCTCCTGGGTCCTGGCTCCAGGTGGGGAGAAGCAGTTTCTCTTTCTGGGGCAACAAATAAAATCCCTCCGGGCACAGGAGTGCTCATTGCTGGTTGGTTATGCCAGTCTGTCTCTATTTTTAGAAAGAACCACAAGAAGGAGGAAAAGAATCTAGAGAAATAAGTACAGTTGGTTCCTCCCTGAGGCAGAAGCTGGGTTCTGTGGGATGAAGCACAGATGCAAAGCCATTGTCCTGCCACCCAGCAGTGCAGTCGGAGATGGATGGCATGAATCTAGAATACCATGGGAATGGGTCCTTGCCCTGGGCCAGTAAACATTTGAGACTCAGAGCCAGGAGATAGGATGAGAAGATTGCAGTGATGAGACCCACAAAGGGCAGCAGCCATCTCTTAAGGGATCAACTTGGAGACCAAATCCATCACTTCTTGGAGGTCCAGTAGCCCCTGCACCCTCTGCGCTTTGCAGAGACATCCTGCAGTTCAGGGAAGAAACGGAGCTGAAGGGCATGTGGAAGAAGAATGTCACAGAGATGCAAGGGGTTGGATTATTGGTTGGCTTAAGGTCAAATCATTATTTGCTGCCTGAAGAAAAAAAAAGACCTTGCTTAGGGACAGAAGTACTTGTTCTGGTCTTAGGTCAGATGAGGGGGTAAAGCAACTCTTCCAACTGTCATGGAATTGGGTATTTTGCCACCAAAAATTTCATGATCCAATAATGATGATCATAATCAGTGAATGCTGGATTAAACTGAAAATAGTACAGGACTTCTCTGAGCCTTTACTATGAATTTGCCCATTAAATTCCCTAAAAGAGAAGGAGAAGCTATGCGTATTGAATATCTGTTAGTACCTGGAAAATCCAGTTTTCTGTTTTTCAGTATGGGGGAGAACAGAACCCCGCTTGAGGGTTGAAACAAATTCCTCTGAACACAGTATGGGGAATTCAGAAGAGATTAAAAGAACATATGATTGGAATTATTCAGATCTGGATGAGAAGCCTGGGCCAGCTGTTTGACTAGTGTACTAGTGTAACCCTGGTCAAGCAACCAAACTTCTTGGGTCTTAATTTTCTTATGTATAAGATGAGACTAATAATTCATATCTCAAAGTTATTGAGAGGAATAAATGAAATCAGGTAAGTAAAGAATCCTTAAAAGAGCCTGTAACATAGTAAGCATATAAGAAATGGATGGATGCATGGATGGATGGATGCCTGGATGGATGGTTAGATGGATGGTTAGATAGATGGAAGGATGGGTAGATAGATGGAAGGATGGGTAGATAGATGGATAGAATGATGGACGCCTGGATGGATAGGTAGATGGGTGGGTGGATGGATGGAAGGATGGGTAGATAGACGGATGGAATGATTAATCTTGGCCCACTACCTTAGCTAGATAGGGTCATTGTTCTAGCACATACCCAGACCATCAAGCATGAGTTTGTGTGTATGCACATGCTTGTGTGTGCACATATGTGCATAAGTATATATGCAAGCACTCATGCATGAATTTTCCTGAACCTTTTCCAAAGACAGAAAAGTTAGAAGCTCTTCCACCATGCTTCCATAATATCCTGGCAGTGGCTATATCACAACTACTCCACTGCACTGTAACTGTTTCATAGCCCATCTATCTCTGTTAGAACACTAAGCATCCTGGACCACAAAGGTCATAGCCCAGTCCCTGCAACACCATGAATGCTTATAAAATCATTGTAAAATGATTCTTCTCAATTGTCTAGGCAGGTAGGGCCACTGCACCAGTGACATCTGAGAGGCCTGACCCGACCAGCCTATCAGTGTATCTTAACCCCTCTTGAGGGTCAAAACAAATTCCTCTGAACTCAGCACTCACTAGTGAGTTGGAGGAGGCTGATGACAGGGCTGGTGTCTAGAGTAGGATGAGATGAGCTCTGGGAGCCATAACAGTGCAGAGGTTCCTGCCATCAGCATTTCAGGGTATGGGCTGAGCATTTCAGCATTTCAGGGACTGGGCACAGCAGCTCACACCTGTCATCCCGGCACTTAAGGAGGCCAGGGCAGGCGGATCACCTGAGGCCAGGAGTACAAGATCAGCGTGGCCAACAGGGTGAAACCCTGTCTCTACTAAAACTATAAAAATTAGCCGGGTGTAGTGGCGGGCGCCCGTAATCCCAGCTACTTGGGAGGCTGAGGCAGGAGAATGGCTTGAACCCAGGAGGTGGAGGTTGCAGTGAGCCGAGATCACACCACTGCACTCCAGCCTGGGTGACAAGAGCGAGACTCTACCTCTAAATAAATAAAAAAATGTGCCACGGAAGCCTGCTCCATACTCACCTCACCAAATGTCAGAGTCAGGGACACAGGGCATGCCCCACAGGGTGGGATGACAGGAAGTCCACCTGGGCCCTGACCCTCCTGACCGCCCCTCATCCGGGGGTACACTAACCCTTTCGGACTGCAGGGTGCCCTGAACATTAGGACTGTGGGGTACCCCAATCCTTTAGGACTGTGAGGTGCCCTGAACATCAGGGATGTGGGGTACCCCAACCATTTAGGACTATAGGCTGCCCTGAAATGACGGCCAGGGGGTACCCTGACCTTTTAGGGCTGTGGGACACACTGACTTCTTAAGACTACGGCTGGTGCCTACAGGAGTCCAAGGGATACCAGGCCTATGTGGGGAGGGGGCAGAGGTAGAAAAGCAATGGGGGAGGTGCGGGGCATCGGCTGTCCCTGCCCTGGAGAGGATGGGGCCAGCCAGGTAGGTGTGCAGCCAGGACCCCTCAAGGACTCAAGGGAGAGATGCGGTCGGGGAGAGAGGAGTGGGGGACGGGGAGAGAGGAGGGGGGGATGGGGAGAGAGGAGGGGGGGACGGGGGGCGGGGAGAGAGGAAGGGGTGCCGGGGAGAGAGGAAGGGGTGCCGGGGAGAGAGGAAGGGGTGTCTGGGAGAGAGGAAGGGGTGTTGGGGAAAGAGGGGAAAGGGGACAGAGGGGGCGGGGACAGGAGCCGGAACCGGGGTCACACGTGGAAGGCCAGGACCCTGGGTCAGGAGTGGGAGCCAAGACCCGGGGTCACATGTGGGGCTGGCCACCTGACTGGAGTATGGTCTTCAGTCATGCTGTCACCAGGCTGTGGGACCTCAGGGATGCAGTGAGGGAGCCAGGCCTCGGGGGCCCAGCCTGGATTCTGCCGACTCCCATCCCTCAGCCTCACCAAGAGGCCACTGACTTCGTCACTGCACAGAGATCCCATCCTGGGGTTCTGGGGCCTGTGCAGGAGAAACACAGGTGCAGGGCCACGTGCCCACACCGCCGGCATCTGTGCTCCACAACCAAACTCCTAGAGCCGTCATCATCTCTGGGCTGCAGTGCCCGCCGGTGACAACTCCCTGACCACCTCGCTGTGGTCACACTCCTGTCCCCGTGGGTAGAAAATCCAGTGATGCGTGTAGACAAAGAGCCCTCTGCACACCTGGAACCCCAGCGCCTTGGGAGGCCCAGGTGGGGGGATCACCTGAGCTCAGGAGTTTGAGACCAGCCTGGGCAACATGGCAAAACCTCATCTCTAGGAAAAATTTAACCATCAGACGGACACGGTGGTGCACACCTGTAATCCCAGCTACTAGGAAGGCTGAGGCAGGAGAATCGCTTGAACCCGGGAGGCAGAGGTTGCAGTGAGCCGAGACCGCACCACTGCACTCCAGCCTGGGTGACAGAGCAAGACCCTGTTTCAAAAAAAAAAAAAAAAAAACCATTTAGCCATTTGCATGATGAGGACCATAGAGAATAAAAAATAAAATGAAAAGAATCTCAACAACTCACTCTCCAATTCCTTTAGGAAAATGAAATGAGAAACATACACATGTAAAGTATTTAGTATTCCCTGCAGTTTAAGAAACAGAATCCAGGGCCAGGCGAGGTGGCTCACGCCTGTCATCCCGGCACTTTGGGAGGCTGAGGCGGGTGGATCACCTGAGGTCAGGAGTTCGAGACCAGCCTGGCCAACATGCTGAAACCCCATCTCTACTAAAAGTACAAAAAGTAGTAGCCGGGTGTAGTGGCACATACCTGTAGTCCCAGCTACTCGGGAGGCTGATGCAGGAGAATCACTTGAACCCAGGAGGTGGAGCTTGCAGTGAGTCGAGATCGCGACACTGCACTCCAGCCTGGGTGGCAGAGCAAGACTCTGTCTCCAAAAAAGAAAAAAGAAAAAAAGAATCCTTGTCAGTCTACGGACAAGAATGCCAGTACCACACCATCATGATGAGGGTCACTTCTGTGGGACACACAAGACACAGCTCACACCTGCCCCTACACACAGCTATTTCTGACCCCAAACAGCGAGGCAGTCACTTCAGACCCAAAAGGAAGGTGAAGCCTGCGGCCCTGCACCATCCGCGTGCCACTGCACTGACTTAAAGCTTCTCACGGGCTGGGTGTGGTGGCTCACGCCTGTAATCCCAGCACTTGGTGACGCCGAGGCAGGTGGATCACCTGAGCTCGGGAGTTCGAGACCAGCCTGGCCAACATGGTGAAACTCTGTCTCTACTAAAAATACAAAAATTAGCCAGGCATGATGGCAGGCACCTGTAATCCCAGCTACTCCAGAGACTGAGGCAGGAGAATGGCTTGAACCCGACAGGTGGAGGTTGTAGTTAGCCGAGATCATACCACTGCACTCCAGCCTGGGTGACACGGCGAGGATCCATCTCAAAAAATAAATAAATAAATAAAGCTTCTCGTGAATGATGAAACCAAAATTACCATCGCGTCTGCACTGTATGGATCTGTCTGCTACAACCAGCAGGACCACAGCCAGGCTGCAACTCACTTTCTTTACAAAAAGCACCAGGGATGACCAGGAATTAGTCCCCACCAGGTGACACTCACAGCCTTACCCACACGTAGGAGCCCCACGGACATATGGATCAAATACAATACGAGAGACACACATCTCACCCCATTCTGTGCAGCCAACACAGTGCACATTCAGCATACGGTTTGGTTTGCTTTTTGTTTTTTTCTGAGACCGGGTCTCACTCTGCCTCCCAGGCTGGAGCGTGGTGGTGCAATCTCAGCTCACTGCAGCCTCCACCTTCTGGGCTCGAGTGATCTTCTCACCTCAGCTTCCTGTGTAGCCAGGACCACAGGTCCCACGCCCAGCTAATTTTTTTTTTAAGAGATAGGGTCTCACTATGTTGCCCAGGCTGGTCTTGAACTCCTGGGCTCAAGCAGCCCTCCCCATTTGGCCTCCCAAAGTGCTTGGCACAGGGTAGATTTTAAGTTAAAAATCTCACAAAACAGGCCGGGTGCAGTCTTATGCCTGGAATCCAGCACTTTGCAAGCCCGATTGGGGTGTTTTTTTTAGTAGAGATGGGTTTTC
This sequence comes from Homo sapiens, assembly GCF_000001405.40. NCBI lineage: Eukaryota > Metazoa > Chordata > Mammalia > Primates > Hominidae > Homo > Homo sapiens. The sequence continues at coordinate 1,446,442 of NW_021160017.1, forward strand.
GCCACTGGAATCCAGCACTTTGGGAGGCCAAGTGGGGAGGGCTGCTTGAGTCCAGGAGTTTGAGACCAGCCTGCAGAGCATAGGCTCAGAGACTCTGTCTCCATGAAAAAAAGGCACACACACACACACACACATGCACACACACGCACAGGTGTGGTGGTGGACGCCTGTAGTCCCAGCTATTTAGGAGGCAGAGGTGGGAGGATTGCTTGAGCCCAGGTGGTAGAGGCTAAAGTGAGCTGTGATCACACCACTGCACTATCTAGCCTGGGCAACACAGCAGAAACGTGCCTCGAAAAATTAAACGTTTACAGGCCAGGCACGGTGGCTCACACCCGTAATCCCAGCACTTTGGGAGGCCAAGGTGGGTGAATCACCTGCAGTCAGAAGTTTGAGACCAGCATGACCAACATGGAGAAACCCCATCTCTACTAAAGATACAAAAAAATTAGCCGGGCATGGTGGTACATGCCCGTAATCCCAGCTACTCAGGAGGCTGAGGCAGGAGAATCGCTTCAACTCGGGAGGCAGAGGTTGCAGTGAGCTGAGATTGCGCCACTGCATTCCAGCCTGGGTGACAGAGCAAGACTCCGTCTAAAAAAAAAAAAAAAAAGTTTAGAAAACAATATACACAATATGAATTTTTTTTCCTAAGACAGAATTTCGCTTGTTGCCCAGGCTGGAGTGCAGTGGTGCAATCTTGGCTCACCGCAATCTCCGCCGCCCAGATTCAAGCGTTTCTCCTGCCTCAGCCTCCCGAGTAGCTGGGATTACAGGCATGCACCACCATGCCTGGCTAATTTCTGTATTTTAGTAGAGACGGGGTTTTACCACATTGGCCAGGTTGGTCTCGAACTCCTGACCTCAGGTGATCCCCCTGCCTGGGCCTCTCAAAGTGCTGGGATGACAGGCGTGAGCCATTGTGCCTGGCCATGAATCCAGTTTTGATACAATTTTGAGAAACACAAATGTCTATATACAGACATACACAGGTATATCTATTATCCATGCATGCGTGCCTACACACACTCACAAATGTGTGTGTGCATGTGTGTATACTTATACATTTTGGTGATATTTGGTGATATTCTTCTAGCCCCATATAGGACTGCAGGAACATAACCAAATCTTTTTTTTTTTTTTTTTTGAGATGGAGTCTTGCCCTGTCACCCAGGCTGGAGTGCAGTGGCACAATCTTGGCTCACTGCAACCTCCACATCCCAGGTTCACGCCATTCTCCTGCCTCAGCTTCCTGAGTAGCTGGGACTACAGGTGCCTGCCACCACGCCCGGCTAAATTTTTGTATTTTTAGTAGAGACAGAGTTTCACTGCGTTAGCCAGGATGGTCTCCATCTCCTGACCTCGTGATCTGCCCGCCTCGGCCTCCCAAAGTGCTGGGATTACAGGCTTGAGCCACTGCACCCGGACAACCAAATCTTAACAATGCTTATCTCAGGGCCGGGTGCAGTGGCTCACACCTGTCATCTCAGCACTTTGGGAGACCGAGGCAGGCGTATCACCTAGGTCAGGAGTTCGAGACCAGCCTGGCCAACATGGGGAAACCTCGTCTCTACTAAAAATATGAAATATTAGCTGGGCGTGGTGGTTGGTGCCTGTAATCCCAGCTACTCGGGAGGCTGAGGCAGGAGAATCGCTTGAACCCAGGAGGCAGAGGTTGCAGTGAGCCAAGGTTGTGCCATTGCACTCTGGCCTGGGCAATAAGAGCAAAACTCTGTCTCAAAAAAACAAAACAAAACAAAAAGAAAAACAAACTTGCAAACCTATTATAAAACAGCCACCCCCTGGCTGGGCACAGGGGCTCACGCCTGTCATCACAGCACTTTGGGAGGCCAAGGCGGGTGGATCACCTGAGTTCGGGAGTTTGAGACCAGCCTGGCCAGCATGGAGAAACCCCCATCTCTACTAAGAATACAAAATTAGCCAGGCGTGGTGGCAGGTGTCTGTAATCCCAGCTACTTGGGAGGCTGAGGCAGGAGAATCACTTGAACCCAGAAGGCAGAGGCTGCAGTGAGCCGAGATCTTGCCATCGCACTCCGGCCTGGGCAACAAGAGCAAAAGTCTGTCTCAAAAAAAAAAAAAAAAGAAAAAAAGAAAAACAAATTTTCAAACCTGTTATAAAACAGCCACCCCCTTGGCCTGACGTCATGCCTCACGCCTGTCATCCCAGCACTTTGGGAGGCTGATGCAGGCCTTGAGCTCAGGATTTTGAGACCAGCCTGGCCAACGTGGTAAAACCCTGTCTCTACCAAAAATACAAAAGTTAGCCAGGTGTGGTGGTGCATGTTTGTAATCCGAGCTAGCTGGAAGGCTGGGGTGGAAGGATGACTTGAACCTGGGATGCAGAGTTTGCAGTGAGCTGAGATCACGCCACTACACTCCAGCCTGGGTGAGCGAGTGAGACTCTGTCTCAAAAAAACAAACAACGGTCACTCCCAACCAACTCACATTAAACCGTTCTCTCAAGGGCTATGGATAAACAGTTCGAATTTTAAGAACACAGGCTGCCATGAGACATTTTAAATTTTTTTTGTCAGCAGAGGGTAGAAAGTTACAAAACTCAATGACAGGAAATTGCAAATTTCTAAGATTATAGTAGGCAAAATATCAACGTAATCTTTTTTTTTTTTTTTTTTTTTTGAGATGGAGTCTCACTGTCTCCCAGGCTGGAGTGCAGTGGCGCAATCTCAGCTCACTGCAAGCTCCACCTCCTGGGTTCACAACACTCTCCTGCCTCAGCCTCCCGAGTAGCTGGGACTACAGACGCCCGCCACTACGCCAGGCTAATTTTTTTGTATTTTTAGTAGAGACGGGGTTTCACCGTATTAGCCAGGATGGTCTCGATCTCCTGACCTTGTGGTCCGCCTGCCTCGGCCTCCCAAAGTGCTGGGATTACAGACTTGAGCCACTATGCCCGGCCTTTTTTTTTTTTTTTTAAACACTTGTGAAGGTACACAGGTAAATAATCAGATTTTTTTTTTTTTTTTTTGAGACGGAGTCTCGCTCTGTCACCCAGGCTGGAATACAACGGCATCGTCTCAGCTCACTGCAACCTCTGCCTCCTGGGTTCAAGCAATTCTCCCACCTCAGCCTCCAGAACAGCTGGGATTACAGCCATGGGCCACCACGCCTGGCTAATTTTTTGTATTTTTAGTAGATATAGGTTCTCACTATGTTGGCCAGGCTGGTCTCGAATTCCTGACCTCAGGTGATCCGCCTGCCTTGGCCTCCCAAAGTGCTGGGATGACAGGCATGAGCCACCGTGCCCAGCGTAGATTTATTGGATTCTAAAATGCACAATTCTCTATGTTTCGGTGTTTCTGAAACCAAGGTCATCTCACCATCCACAGGAATCTTTAATAGTTTTTCTTTTTTTCCCCAACAGTTATTACATCACTGATGCATCTTAAAAGTCACTGGTATTTGAAAGTCAAGAAAACAGGAAACTCTCAAAACCAAGTTCTGAAAGCCACAGGGTGTTTCTGCTAAGCTGGCTGCGGCCTCCTGTGTATTTCGAATACCAGCCACAGTGTGGCGGCCACATCTCACCCAGGCAGGCCTCCATAACAGCTTCAGTACCAACTGAGTGGCGAAGTTACATATAAAAACCTGAAAGAGGCCGGGCACGGTGGCTCATGCCTGTCATCCCAGCACTCTGGGAGGCGAGGCGGGCGGATCACGAGGTCAGGAGATCGAGACCATCCTGGCTAACATGGTGAAACCCTGTCTCTACTACTAAAAATACAAAAAATTAGCCAGGCGTGGTGGTGGGCACCTGTAGTCCCAGCTACTCGCGAGGCTGAGGCAGGAGAATGGCGTGAACCCGGGAGGCGGAGGTTGCACTGAGCCGAGATTGCGCCACTGCACTCCAGCCTGGGTGACAGAGTGAGACTCTGTCTCAAAAAAAATTAAAAAACAAACCTGAAAGAGCCAGTGTCCTTATACGAAGGCTGGAATGTAACAAAGACCCACCAAGAGTTTTGCCCAGGCCTTTCCTGGGCCTTGAAAATATGACAACGAAGGAATTCCTAACAGGACCTGTTTGGGTTTACGTAGTTTTACTGGGGATCTGAAAAACTCCCCTTATCTCGGGTAATCACCACAGCACCTGGACCCACCTACATTAAGTCAATTTACTGAGGCTCCAGAGAAAGGTCTTCAGGACTCAGACCTTTGTTATAGATTAGAAGAAGTTAATGCCTTTTTTCTTTTTTCTGAGGCCGAGTCTCACTCTGTCGCCCAGGCTGGAGTACAGTGGCACCATCTCAGCTCACTGCAACCTCCATCTCCTGGGTTCAAGCAATTCTCCTGCCTCAGCCTCCTGAGTAGCTGGGACTACAGGTGCCCACGACCACACCTGGCTAATTTTTTGTATTTTTAGTAGTGACAGGGTTTCACCGTGTTAGCCAGGATGGTCTGGAACTCCTGACCTCAGGTGATCCACCTGCCTCGGCCTCCCAAAGTGCTGGGATTATGGGTGTGTGCCACCACGCCCGGCCCCGCTTATGTCTTTAGATGAATGCACACTTACACATAGACATATAAAAGGTATATAAGCTCTGGAAAACTTTGTAATTTTGAGTCGGTCTGGTGATAATTTCCAGACCTTCTCCCTGCACCTGGTTACAGAAATAAAACCTATCTTCTCTCCCAGTTCATCCACATCTCATTATTGGGCCGTGAGAATAAGCAGGCTGAGATTCGGTTTGGTCTGGGAACAAGAGAAGTGACATTATCCTACCATAATCAGTTCTTTTTCCCTCTTTTCCTCTGTCAGGACATAGTATCAATAACAGAGAAGACAGTAAGACACTCACCACCTCATTAGCAAGAACGTTAATCCCCACCGCTCCCCTCCCTCACCTCCCAAAACCACTGGGAGGGCACTGCTGGGGTACACGTGGCCACGTCAGGAAACTGGAAGAAAGGAAGGCAGGGCTGGGCGCAGGGGCTCACGCCTGTAAGCCCAGCACTTTGGGAGGACGAAGCGGGTGGATCACCTGAGGTCGAGAGTTTGAGACCAGCCTGACCAACACGGAGAAACCCTGTCTCTACTAAAAATACAAAATTAGCCAGGCACAGTGGTGCACACCTGTAATCCCAGCTACTCAGGAGGCTGAGGCAGGAGAATCGCTTGAACCTGGCAGGCGGAGGTTGCCGTGAGCCAAGATCGTGCCACTGCAGTCCAGCCTGGGCAACAGAGCAAGGCTCTGTCTCAAAAAAAAAAAGAAAAAATTCTTACAGAGAAGAGGGTCTCGCGATGTTGGCCAGGCTGGTCTCGAACCCCTGGGCTGAGGCAATCCTCCTGGGTTGGCATCCCACAGTGCTGGGATTACAGGCCTGAGCCACTGCGCTCGGCCATCTATGGCTTTTTATCCCCACTATAAGACAAGGAAGAGGCATAGCTCAGGAGTGAGCTGAGTCGACACCAGGTGGCGCCCAGGTCCCGAGCCTGCTCTGTCTGCAATGCAGCCTTCATCCCCCGACCTGCACGTCCCCTCTCATCCCAGAGCACACCCTCCGGGGCCATCATCCCCCCACCCGCAGGGCTCACCCTCCAAAGGACCCCAGGGCCTGCGTGGTGGTCCGTGGACTCACTTACCAACCCTCCTTCTGCTCGGCCTCCTGAAGCCCTTGGATGGCTCGGAGGGCACGGGGACCAGGTACTAAAGGATAATGATGGCTACACACACGTCCCTAAGCTCACTACCTGGGGACGCCCTCATTCTGTCTCTCAGTCTATTAACAGGGGAGATGGAGCCCAGGAGCCCAGGAGACAGCTACACACACACACACACAAGCACACACACACACGTTCCTGAGTTCACCACCTGGGGATGCTCTCATTCCGTCTCTCAGTATATTAACGGCAGACAGAGCCCAGGAGATTGACGGCTACACACACACACACACGTGTCCCTGAGCTCACCACCTGGGGATGCACTCATTCCATCTCTATTAACAGGGCAGACAGAGCCCAGGAGATTGGTGGCCACACACACACACACACACACACACACACACACGTCCCTGAGCTCACCACCTGGGGATGCCTTCATTGTGTCTCTCAGTCTATTAACAGGGAAGACGGAGCCCGGGAGACTGACGGCTACACACATGCACACACAGACACACACACACACGTCTCTGAGTTCACCACCTGGGGACGCTCTCATTCCATCTCTCAGTCTATTAACAGGGCAGACGGAGCCCAGGATTGATGGCTACACACACACACACACACACACACACACACACACACACACACACCTTCCTGAGCTCACCACCTGGGGATGCTCTCATTCCATCTCTCAGTCTGTTAACAGGGCAGACAGAGCCCAGGATTGATGGCTACACTCACACACACACGTTCCTGAGCTCACCACCTGGAGACGTCCAGCACTCCTCCCACAGCATCTTCGAAGCTCTCATTCTGTCTCTCAGTCTATTAACAGGGGACACAGAGCCCAGGAGAGGTCTCTGTCCCGCGCTGTCCTGGCAAATCTGGGTCCCGATTCTGAGTTCAATGGTGTTAAAAAATAATAGGCTATGTCCCCACTAAAGTCTAAATATAGCCAACCCCATTTACCCAGGCTGTGCACATCACAATTCCACTTGTAGAGGCTCCTACCACCATCTTAGGTCCATCCCCAGAAGGTCCATCCCACCCCCACCCCGCCCCCGTCAAGGTCTCACTCTGTCACCCATGCTGGAGTGCAGTGGTGCAATCTCAGCTCACTGCAACCTCCACCTCCCAGGTTCAAGCGATTCTCCTACCTCAGCCTCTGCAGTAGCTAGGACTACAGGTGTGTGCCACCACACCCAGCTAATTTTTGCATATTTAGTAGAGTCGGTGTTTCTCCATGTTGGCCAGGCTGGTTTCGAACTCCTGACCTCAGGTGATCCACCCACCTCAGCCTCCCAAAGTGCTGGAATTACAGGCGTGAGCCACCGTGCCTGACCTCAGACACCTTTTGGTGCTTCTGGTTTGAGATGGGGTCTCACTCTGTCACCCAGGCTGGACCGCAGTGCTGCAATCTAAGCTTACTGCAGCCTCCACCTCCTGGGCTCAGGTGATCCTTCCACCTCAGCCTCCAAAGTAGCTGGGACCACAGGCCCCCACCACCACGCCCGGCTAACTTTTCTTTCTTCTTTTTTTTTTTTTTTTTTTGTAGATACAGGTTCTTACACCATGTTGCCCATGCTGGTGTCAAACTCCTGGGCTCCAGCAATCCTCCCACCTCAGCCTCCCAAGTAGCTGGGACCACAGGCACCCACCACCACGCTGGACTAATTTTTCTTTTTTTATCTTTTTCTTTTCTTTTTTTGTAGATATGGGGTCTTACCATGTTGCCCATGCTAGTGTCAAACTCCTGGGCTCAAGCAATCCTCCCACCTCAGCGTCCTGAGTAGCTGGGACCACAGGCACCCACCACCATGCCCAGCTAAATTTTTTTTTTTGGGGGGTAGAGAAGGGATCTTACCAAGTTGCCCATGCTGGTGTCAAACTCCTGGGCTCAAGCGATCCTCCCACCTCAGCCTCCCAACACGTAAACGGGTGCTACATTTCTGCACAATCCCCGCAGTCTCCCTTATTCTGTTTTACAACTACTCCCACATAAAGTAACATAGAAAGGTGAGCCCCATTATTCCTTTAGAAGGTAGACTGGAGCTTGCAAGAAGCTGTAGGATAAAGATTCAGAGGTCAACTGAGATAAAATGAAACACCCAGGTGATTTTAAGCTAATCAAGGGCCCCTTTCACGTGGGTGATTTTAAACTACCCGAGTGACCCTTTCACACAGGTGATTTTAAATTAATCAAGAGCCTCTTTCACACAGGTGATTTTAAACTAATCAAGTGACCCTTTCACACAGGTGATTTTAAACTAATCAAGACCCTCTTTCACGCAGGTGATTTTAAACTAATCGAGTTCTCCTTTCACAGAACTAAAAGGGGTGGTTAATTTACACAAATGCGCAGGCTACAGCCACCTCTCCTTCCTAGGGACTTCGGGCCGAAAATGCCACCTGTCACACCTCCAATCCAGGCACTGCAGGGCTGTTAGGAGGGGAATTAGCAGCTGGGATACCCCAATCCTACAATGAGGGGGGTTAGCAACCCCTCCTGAAATACCAAAAAGGCCACAGCTTCCTGCAGACGCTTAAGAACCATGCCAATCACAACTGCTTTCCTGAAAAATGCAAGAAGTCCTGGTGAGGGCTGGGGTTGCAGGACGCTTTGCACACCACGGGTAACAGTTTGTGGGGGCGCTTCTCTGGGACTGGCTACCTCTTACTGTCCCCTGGACCAGGGGGGCCCTGCTCTCATCCTTCTGGCATCTCCCAGGCCCCTGCCCCACTCAGAGCTCCACCGCAGGGGCTCCTGAGGCTGGACTCAGAACCGCTGGATCCCATCAAGGCCCCCAAGGCAGACATCTCACAGATGTCTGTGCTGGGGGGTGCGTCTGAGGCTCTCCTTGCTTCATGAGGCTGCTTCACCCCATTCTTGTCTCCCCTCACCTCCTGACACCCTGGGTTCCCCATAGGCCCCCCTCCCCTGCACAGATTTTCACCTAGGCTCTGGGAGGTTGGTGGAGTCCTGGGTTCTAGAAGACCTCAGAGACCCAGGGCAGAGTGAATGTCAGGGGTTGTCAGAAGCAGGGGCTGCCCAAGACCAATTGCTGAGGGAAGAAGGAGTGATGAATGAGATGGATAAACATGTCAGCTGTTTGGCTTTCCACAATCATTATCTATTTTCAGCCTCCGTGTCCTGATGTTTAAAATACAGCAGCTAAAATATCTGGTGGTCTTTTCTTCCTCTTCTGAGTGCAGCCACGACATGCCACATCTCTGCCCATGGCCTTCTTGCCTTTGTCTCTAGAGGGTGCCATCAGGGATGGATCTGTCCATGCAGGAAGGAGCCTGAACCCCAGACTCTTGGACCTCAGACTGGGAGAGGGTGTGGGTGAAGGCACGTGGACCAGTGATTGATTAATTGATTGACTGATTTATAGACAGAGTCTCACTCTGTCACCAGGCTGGAGTGTAGTGGCACGATCTCGGCTTACTGCAACCTCTGCCTCCCAGGTTCAAGCGATTCTCCTGCCTCAGCCTCCCGAGTAGCTGGGACTACAGGTGCCCACCACCACACCCAGCTAATTTTTGTATTTTTAGTAGAGACGGGGTCTTGCCATGTTAGCCAGGCTAGTCTCGATCTCTTGACCTCATGATCTGCCCACCTTGGACTCCCAAAGTGCTGAGCTTACAGGTATGAGAGTGCAGGGCCAGAGGATGGCAAAGACAGGGGCTGGCCCCAGGATCCTCAACTGTTGGCATCAGGACCGGACTCAGGGCCTCAGTCTGGCAGCATGGGCGTCACGCTGCCTGCCGGGCAGAGCCCTTTGCCCCACCTGAAAGCCCTGTGGTCACAGTGTAGAGGCTGGAGCGGCATGCTGGGGTGGGAAGTGCTGTCCTTGTTGCTCTGTCCCCTGGCTCAGGAGCCCCTGAGAGTGGCTTCTGCTCCCCGAGCTTCCTGCGCTCCCTGAAAGTTGTGCATCCAGTGCTGAGTCCTGAGGGCCTGGGGGTGTCAGGCCTCCTTCCTGGCTGTGACATGTGGGTTGGAGATTTGCCTTTGTTTTAGTGAAATGCCAGTGGTCAAATTCAACAGGAAAGAGGAAAAAGAAAGCATAAGCCTGAGTCCAGGGTGGAGGATGGTGGCATTGAGGAAGGACCTGGGGCCCTGCTTCTCCCACTGTCTCCAGTCCACACCCTTCTGGAAAGGTCACATGATGGCTGCTGCAGCTCCAGGAGTCACTGTATGGACATGAAAACATCCAAGAAGAGGAGGCATCTCCTCCTTTGCATCACTTTTACTGGAAAGGAATGCTTTCCCCAGAAGTCCCCACACCCCATGTCCCATGCAGCAGACCTGCCTCCAGGTCCTGCTGTTGCAGCTGAGTGCCAAAGGAGATGGAGACAGTGAGGACGTGGAGCTCACAGATTCTGCAGCACTGGCAGGCCTGCCGGCCAGGACCAAGATCACATGTCTGCTCCAGCATCCTCGGGCTTAACCCCTGAGCTGTCCTGCCTTACTCTCTCCTGAACTCTCTGGCCTGTTGCCACCAGGCCAGCTTAACAGAAAATACTAGAACCTGTGGTTGTTGGTAAATGTTTAACAACTGGCTCTCCAGAGGTCAGGGGTTGGGGTAAGCCCCACTTTGAAGGTTTGCTGATTTCCAGGGTATAAACACTCCCACTTTGGTTGATTTCAAGGTACCAATGCAAAGTCCCTGAGTGTGGAGTAGGGAAGAGACGCTCACCATCGGCTCTCGTGAGCCCTACGAACTGGCCACAGTGTACCCCTGACTAGAACCCATGGGAATCCATACCTTAGAGCTGGGAGAAGGGATGCCCTACCCAGGCTGCAGTGCAATAATTAAGGCATTGAAGGAGCTGGCTGGACACAAATGAGACCATTTGTTGGATCCCTACGATGTGCTGATCACACACAAATGTCATGTCGATGCCTCATAACTATCCCTTTGTCTGATGAAGAAACTGGGATTCAGAGAGGTTGAGGCACCTGGTGACTTGTATGGAATCAGAATCCAAACCCAGGTCTGTCTTCTTCCAAAGGCTGTGTCCTTTCACCCAAAACAAAGGCCTAGATTCAGAAGAGACCCAGCTCACTCTCATTCCACCCTGATGACATGCCAGGGGCCAGGATGTTCAAAGTGGAGCATGACTCACAGTCACCGAAAAGTAGGAAAAAGCAAATGTCCATCGCTGAGGAGTGGATAAACGAAACGCGGTCCATCCATACAACTCATACCATCAGCCATAGAGAGGAACGAGGCTCTGACACACCCTACAACGCGATGAACCTTGAACATGATGCTGAGTGACAGAAGTCGGACACAAGGGACCACGTATTACACGATTCATTCCATTTACATGAGAGGCCCAGTGTGGCCAGTCTACAGGGACAGAAAGTGGATGGGTGGCTGTCAGGGGCCAGAGGGATGAGGGAATGAGGAGTGACTGACAACAGATATGGGGTATCTTTGTGGGGTGATGGAAATGTTCTAGAACTAGATGGAGGTGTGCACAATGTGTCAGTGTGCATAGTGCCCCTGAAATTATAAAACAAACCAGGCGGTGGAGGATTCCTCGAAAAGGGATTTTCCTTGCTCCAGCCTCCCAGGCTGAGGCTCTTGTGTCACTTTCTCAAGTTCACTGCAGGCAGCTTCCCATGCTACCAGGTAAAAAGTAAAGGAGGCGAGGCCAGGCATAACGGCTCACACCTGTAATCCCAGCACTTTGGGAGGCTGAGGCGGAGGATCACCTGAGGTCAGGAGTTTGAGACCAGCCTGGCCAACATGGAGAAACCCCATGTCTACTAAAAATACAAAATTAGCCGGGTGTGGTGGTGCACGCCTGTAGTCCCAGCTACTCAGGAGGCTGAGGCAGGAGAATTGCTTGGACCTGGGAGGTGGAGGTTACAGTGAGCCAAGATTACACCATTGCACTCCTGCCTGGGCGACAAGGGTGAAACTCAGTCTCAAAAAAAAAAAAAAAAAAAGTAAAGGAGGCATTTTACATGCATCTTTTGCACTAAGTACTCTCAACTCCCCTGGAATTGGGGAATGCTATTAACCCCATTTTACAGTGAAGAAAACTGAGGCTCAAAGAGAAATTAAGGAACTTGCCCATGAGCCCACAGCCAGTCTATGGGAGAGCCAGGACTTGGGCCCAGGCCTGTCTGATTCCAAAGTATTGCTCTAAACTCTTCACTGTAGTAAAGCAACATCCAGGTTGCATGGGATTTTCTCTTTCCAGGATGCTAGTTCAGTGGCATGGCAGCTCAGAAGGCCACATAGGCTGGAAGCTTCCATGTCTCCTAGCCTCTGCCCTCCCTCAGCAGGAACGAAGGACTGGAGCTGGAAGGGAAGAGCCCTGTGCTGAGGGCGTCCCAGGCCCGTCCGCCACATCCCTCCAGGACACTCAGCTCTGTTATGACTCGGCTGTGTGGCATTCGTTAGGCCTCATTTTGCTGACCTTAAAAAGTGACCAACAGCAGAGATCAGTCGTCCTCTACAGAGGCTGTGCTACCCCCGGGGGCCTTCTGGAAGTTTTCAGGGGTACAACAAGTGGGACAGTCCCCCAGATGAAGAACTCCCCCAATCCCTCTGCTTTTCACTGTCCCACCAGGCCCTGGTAAATGAAAAACCCTCTTGTAAAACATGGGTCCAGAACCAAACTCTGGGTGTGTCTGTTTTTTGCATCATTGTCATATACATTAGATATTCTGGGAATGCAACCACTGTGTGATCAGGGGAGAACTCCCTCCGGAGTTGTCCAGGATTTGGGAAAATCCCATCACCAGCAGCAGTACCTTCATGGTCTTTGAGCCTCCACATGACACAGCTGTGTCCACGTGCACCTGTGGCTGTCATGTTTATGTGACTGTCTGGCTAGGTACAAGCATCAGGCCACTTCATCATGTCACCTGATATGGCCAGACCCGAACATTCACCTTGTAAAATCTACATTATTTTATTATAATTGACTATCCTTTTGCAATTTTTCTCTATGTTACAGTCAGGGCATTATATTGATTTCTTTTTCTTTTTGCAATTGGTTTGTAGGTGGGTTAGATTTTCTATGAATTTCATTTCAGAATAATAAAGCATTACAAAATATTCATTGCTAAAAAAACAGTGTTGGTCATGTTTGATGGCTCACATCTGTAATCCCAACACTTTGGGAGGCCAAGGCAGGTGGATCCCTTGAGTCCAGAAGTTTGAGACCAGCCTGGGCAACAATAGCAAGACCCCATCTCTAAGAAAAAATTTTTAAAAATTAGCCTGGCATAGTGGTGCACACCTATAGTTCCAGCCACTCGAGAGGCTAAGGCAGGAGGATTGCTTGAGCCCAGGAGTTCAAGGCTATAGTGAGCTGTGGTCCCACTATTGCACTCCAGCCTGGATAACAGTGTGAGACCCTATCTCAAAAAAAAATGTGTTAAGGCTGATACGGTTCTGGGAAACACTGAGATATATGATTTCTTAAGATCCCTTCCAGTTTTTAAATAATTAAACCTGACCTCATAAAACTTTTTCCATAATTCTAGTAAAACCAAGTGCATGGTGCCTTTTAAACAATCCCCAGAGCATCGTTGCACTACTGTGACCCAAGTGTGCCCACAGGCCAATCACAATTAACAAACCCTGAAGACTCTTAAGAGGCTTCCTTCTGGTTCTGGCCCTTGGTAGAACAATCTCTTCTGTGACATTCAATGACAACATCTTTGCCTTGTTTATTTCCTTTTCACCTTAACAAAGAGAAGAGCTGATGCCCTAAACTCAAACTTTCTTATGCTGTCTTTGTGCTTTGACAAGTTCAGTGCTTAACTAGAATATTTTTGTTTTTGTTTTCACTGAAAAGAAAAAAAAAAGAATAAATAGAACTCCAAGGAAATTTGGTAACATATTTTTATGTGCTGGAGTGAGTTCATGCCATGTGACATTCCTTTCTACTAATTATTTCTCCTGGGTTTATCTTTCCCTCATCTCTTCTCTAACTGATAATATTCTAACAGCAGCCCACAGGACATTCTGGATGGGTGCCACCTTTTCTGTCTGCACTGAACAGACTGTTCACAATGGCTGGTGTTGGAGATGCCTTGCAGAACCGACAGATGAGCCAGGGAGTAAAAAAAAGCAAAAAAGAGAAAGTGGAGAACAGAGTCAACCAAAATCAGGCAGGGAGCACTGCAGTACCAAGTTGTTCGGGGCTGAAAGATAACCCCCAAAAATGCATGTCCACCCAAAACCTCAGAATGTTGCCTCATTTGGAAATAGGGTCTTTGCAGGTGTAGCTAGTTAAAAATTATGTTCCACTGGAATAGGATGGGGCTTAAATACAATGACAGTGTCTTGAAAAGAAGAGGACACAGAGACACACAGAGGGGAAGGCGCATGAAGATGGAGGAAGAGATGCGTCTATGAAACAAGGAAAGCCCAGGAATGCCCAAAGCCCACAGAAGCTGGGAGAGGCTACAAAGGTCCTGGCACAGAGCCTTAGGAGTGAGCATGGTCCTTTTAATGCCACACTTGTGTCCCGCAGCACTGTGGGAGAATAAATGCTTATTCTTTTAAGTGACTTAGCAGATGAGCATTTGCTATGCAGCCACAAAAAACAAATCCCGGGATCACAGGAAAAGTAATCTTAACAGTAACCCTAATCCTAACCCTAACACTAACCCTAATTGTAACGCTAAAGACTAACCTTAACTCTAACCCTAATTCATGACCTTAACACCCTAACCTTAACCCTAACACTAAACTCAAATGCTAACCCAAAAAGCTAAAGCCAACCCAAAACATAACCTAACCCTTAACCTAAACACTAATCCCACCCTAACCCAGAAACCTAACCATAACCCAAAGCCATAACCCATAAATCTAATCATAACCCTAACCCCAACTCAGACCCTAACACGAACCCTAACCCTAGCCCGAAACACTAAACCTACCCCTAAAACCTAACTCTAACCCTAACCCTAACCCTAAACACTAACCCAACCCAAAACCCTACCCCTGCCACTAAACCATAAATGTAAGCCAAAACCTAAACCCTAACCCTAACACTAACCCTAAATCTAACTCCTAAACCTAAACCCTAACCGGAACCCTAAAACCTAATCTTAACAATAAACCTAAACCCTAACACTAACCCTAAAGCCTAACCCTAACCCTAACTCTAAACCCTAACCCTAACCCTAAGCCCTAACCCTAACCTAACCCTAACCTACAGGTGGGAGAGCAATCTCCACCTGCCCCACTCTCCCTCCATCTAGCCAGCAACTGCAGAGTTGATTTTTAGAATCTGAGTGGTGTGTAGGGTGGAGGAAGAACCTGCTGGGCTCTTTGCCTCACCTACAGGTGGGTGGTTTAGAGACTGACCCCGCCCTGGGTATTCCTTTAGCTCCAGGTAAATGAGCCACTTCCTACATGCTGGGGGCACTTGGTGATGGGAATAATGGCTGACATTTACTGAGTTCTTACCATAGTTCTGGAACTATTCAAATGAATATATATGAATTTCAACACTCTATATTCTATTATATTAAGAATTGTATTAAGAGTATGCATATGCTATTAATGATGTTATCATCAAAATAGCACTTGTATTTTATGAAATCCTAGTCACCATTAGTTGTAAGACACAACACTATGTTACTATGGTTTTAAGAATTAAAAAAAAAATCTGTCAACTAAACACATCATTACTTGTAAATACATCCTAATTTTAGAGATGTTAAAATTCAAATCTTAGAATCAATAAAATATGAAGCCAGGTACAGTGGCTCATACCTGTAATCCAATGCTATGGGAGGCTGGGGTGGGAGGATAGCTTAAGCCCAGGAGTTCAAGGCCAGCCTGGGCACCAGAACAAGACCCCTTCTCAACAAAAAGATTAAAAATTAGCCAGACATGGTAGCATGCCTGTAGCCCCAGTTACTCAAGAGGCTGAGGCAGAAGGATCACTTGAACCCAGAAGTTTGAGGCTGCAATGAGCTCCGATCACACCACTACACTCCAGCCTAGGCACAGAACCTCTCTCTAAAAAATAAAATAAAAATAAAGAATCAATGAAATGTGGTATTATCATCACTCCTATTTTATGGATAAGGAAATTGAGGCTTAGGTCACACAGATTTCAAGGGTAGGGCCAAGATGAAACTCCCTGGCCATGTGACTCTAGGACCCAGGCTCTTTTTTTTTTTTTGAGATGGCGTCTCATTCTGTCACCCAGGCTGGAGTCCAGTGGTTCGATCTCGGCTCACTGCAAGCTCCGCCTCCCAGGTTCACATCATTCCCCTGCCTCAGCCTTCCGAGTAGCTGGGACTACAGATGCCCGCCACCACACCTGGCTAATTTTTTGTACTTTTAGTAGAGACGGGGTTTCACCGTGTTAACCAGCTGACCTTGTGATCCACCTGCCTGGGCCTCCCAAAGTGCTGGGATTACAGGCTTGAGCCACCGCGCCCGGCCTGTAGGGCCCAGGCTGTAAACCACTGTCCCATAGGGGCTATCATTAGGGCACTGCCAGCTCTTCAGTTTCGAGTGTCTTAGGCTGAGTCTACCAGTTATCATCCAATATCCATCTTCTCATTCTTCCTTTAGCATTAGAGCCCTTGAGTTTCCATGGGGCACAGGATCAAGCGCTAAAAGCTGCATTACCAGCCTCTCTTGCAGCTAGATGTGGCTGTTAGAGAAAGAAGAATATAGGAGAGCCAGGGTGACACCACCTAAAAACTCAGCTCTGGCAGAGTGCAGTGGCTCACACGTGTAATCCCAGCACTTTGGGAGGCCACAGCAGGTGGATCACCTGAGGTCAGGAGTTCAAGATCAGCCTGACCAACACAGTGAAACCCTGTCTCTACTAAAAATACAAAAAAAAAAAAATTTAGCTGGCCGTGGTGGCAGGCGTCTGTAATGCCAGCTACTCTGGAGGCTGAGGCAGGAGAATCACTTGAACCTGGGAGGCAGAGGTTGCAGTGAGCTGAGATCACGCCATTGCACTCCAGCCTGGGCAACAAGAGCGAAACTCTGTCTCAAAAACAAAAACAAACAAACAAACAAAAACCTCAGCACTATCTTAAAATTAGCAAGACACATTCCTGGTTGGTCACACTCCATGGTCGTAAGATGTTTACAGTTGAGGAAATGGCCTGATGATACCTGCAAGAACACACTCCTCTGACAACGGAATGTCCAGATGTCCCAACACCCATAACAGTGTATGCTTTCAGGATCATGATAGTCGTGCTGGGATGTATTTATGCACTAAGTGCCAAGCATAGTTTTCTTTAAATCAGCAAAGTAAGAAACGTCATGCTGTGAGCCCATCCGCATGGAGTAGACACAGCTTAGCTTTTCCATAGATAAGGCGTCTTAGTAAGAGGAATTTAAAATGATGATGAGGCACTCCTCCTCTTGCTTTCTGAGGGTATAACTTTCTTTCTGGGCTGTAACTTTCTGGGCTTTCTGGGCTGTCACTGAGTAGTGTTCAATAAGCCATTTCTTCTCACTGCACTCTAAGACTCATTTTGAATTCTTTCCTGTGAAAGATCCAAGAACCCTCTCTTGGGTTCTGGATCAACACAGCCACGTGACACAGTTCTGGCCAGTGAGATGTAAGTGGAAGACACGAATAAAGCTCTGGGCCTTGCTCTCATTTCCTCTTGCCTCCTTGCCTGGCTGGAATGTGGACCTGCTGGCCGGAGCTGAGGCAGCCCCATCTCAGATGTTAAGATGGAAACCACATATTAGGCTTGGCAGACCAGCCAGATAGACACCAAAGGGCACCCAAATTTGCTAGGCTCAATCTGGGGCTGTTTCATGAGAAAGAAACAAGCTTCTATCTTGTTTAAGCCACTGTCATTTTGGCCTTTTTTTCTAGCAGCCAGAACGTGTTCTGATGAACACAGTCAATGCTGCCCTACAGGCACGGTCCTGGCCCTCCAAGAGCTGCAGACTCATTAAATGAGAATGAACAGAAAACACCTAATGCGGGGCTGGGCACAGCACGGGCCCTGGGTAAATGTTAGTTCCTCACAAAACATGGCTGACTCTGGCATGAGTTGCTCAGCTAGCTTGTCATTC
The DNA here is from genome assembly GCF_000001405.40 of Homo sapiens. Taxonomy (NCBI): domain Eukaryota; kingdom Metazoa; phylum Chordata; class Mammalia; order Primates; family Hominidae; genus Homo; species Homo sapiens. Next base: position 1,464,133 of record NW_021160017.1, read on the forward strand.
TCCTGCTTTCTTCAAATCCTATCCATGTATGGTAGGAAAAGCAGTATTACTCTTGTTTTTCTTTTTCTGTTTTCTTTTATTTATCTTATTTTTTGAAACAGAGTCTCACTCTGTTGCCCAAGCTGGAGTGCAGTGGCATGATCTTGGCTCACTGCAACCTCTGCCTCTTGGGTTCAAGCAATTCTCCTGTCTCAGCCTCCCAAGCAGCTGGTTTTACAGGTATGCATCACCACACCCAGCTAAGTTTTTGTATTTTCAGTAGAAACGGGGTTTCACCATGTTGGCCAGTCTGGTCTCCAACTTCTGGCCTCAAGTGATCTGCCCACTTTGGCCTCCCAGAGTCCTGGGATTATGGGCATGAGCCACTGCACTTGGCCATGTTTATTTTTAGAGAGGGTCTTGCTTTGTTGACCAGGCTTGAGTTTTAGTGGTGCAATCAAGGCTCATTGCAGCCTTGATCTCCTGGCCTCAAGTGATCCTCCTGTCTCAGCCTCCTGAGTAGCTGGGACAACAGGCACATGCCACCACACTCAGCTAATTTTTGTATTCTTATTTTCCTAAGTTCCCCTTCCAAAACCTCCATCACCTTCCCCTTAACAAATCAAATGTTTTCTCGAGAGTCAGGGCAGTAACAGTCAGCTCCTGCCTTTATACGACAATGGACTTTGGCTGCCATCTCTCCCTGTCCATCTGATAGTGGCTTCCACCTCTCCTCAACTCCAGCCAACTCCCTGTGGTCCTGACAAGGTCAGAGCTCCTTGTCCCCACCCTTCATCAAGCCAGAGGATGCTCATGGTCCAGCCTAGCCAGCCAGAGTTCCCCATCCCTCTGGCTACAGTCACTGATTTAGGGATGTGACCAGCATGCAGGCTGGATTGCTCTGAATCTTTACTAAGAACTGGCCAATGGTGTTGGAAGGATGAAGGTCTATTTCCTCAATTCTGACCTATGGGGATCACGAAAGCTATAGCAGGGCACATCGCAAATTACCCCAAAACTTAGTGGCGTAAAACAAGTATTGATTAAGCTTATGGACTCTGGAGGTCAGGAATAGGCACAGTATGGTGCTGGCCTCCAAGGGCTAAGTGTCCCCAAAGAGAGGGATGCCGGCAGAACTGGATTGCCTTTCAGGACCCAGCCTCAAAAGTCATAGAATGTCACTTCCAACATTTTCCATTGGTTGAGAGGGTTACAAACGACACGTGGATGGGACGTATGTTGGTGTGGCCAAATTTAGAATACACAACCTGCCACAGAGCCTGGAGCTACTATCATCCTTGCTCAAGTGGATGAAGATATCTAAAAAGTGACATCACCACACGGAGGAAAGCAGAGCCGAGGGAAGGGGAGATATCATTTGAGTCCCTGGATCCAGTTGTGCCTGAAGCTAGACTCACCTGCAGGGGCTTTTTTCCAGTTAAGTGAGCTATTGATATTATTTTTGCTCGGCCGGGCACGGTGGGTCACACCTGTAATCCCAGCACTTTGGGAGGCCAAGGCAGGTGGATCACCTGAGGTCAGGAGTTCAAGACCAGCCTGGCTAACATGGTGAAACCCTGTCTCTACTACAAATACAAAAAATTAGCCAGGTGTGGTGGTGGGCGCCTGTAATCCCAGCTGCTTGGGAGGCTGAGGCAGGAGAATCACTTGAACCTGGGAGGCATAGGTTGCAGTGAGCTGAGATTGCGCCATTGCACGCCAGCCTGGGCAACAAGAGTGAAACTCCATCTCAAAAATATATCTATATATTGATATATATTTTATAATATATAATATACATTATTTTTGTTGTAAGTGATTCAGGTTGAATTTCTGTCATTGGCAGCCAAAAGAGTCCTGAGCTCAGTAAGGGGCTCAACTGAGCCAGGACAGGATACTCTGGGACTTTTAGCAGCACAGAGCACTAGCTGGTGCTTGGAAATGATGTTTCCTCTGCTCTTGGCTAAGTGGAATCCCCAGGCCAGCATCCCCAAGATGAAATGTGCCCCTCCCTTTAGAAGGCAAGAATTGATGACAGTGAGTTTTTTGTTTGGTTTGGTTTGAAGTAGCCCAAATGTCCCCTTCCTGCCACGAGGGCAATGCAGCTTCTATCTTATGGCATCTGGGAGGAGCCATTTTTTATGGCCTGGATCACCGAGACGGGAAGAGGGAGAGCAAACCGGGGGATGGCACACTCCTCCAGGCTGGGTCTGGGGAATGTGGCTATTAGGAGGAGGACAGCCGCCACAGCAGGCCCCTGTGATGAACCATGCCTCCGCTTTTGCACACCTGATTCCTGGCTGTTAAACCCTGTAAAGAAGGTCTTATCCCCATGCTACAAAGGAGGAAACTGAGGCAGAGAGAAGGGATGCAACTCGCCCAAGATCTACAGCTGGGAAGTCGTGACACCAGGCATTGGATTTCTGACTGCCATGTTCACGGAGATAGGAAGGACACGGGGGAAGGGTGTTCAGGACGAGTTGGATGGAGGCTTGGCGTTGTGCAGCAATGGGGCAGCTGGCACATCTGCTGTGGCCACAGCAAAGAGAGGAGGGCCTGGGTGTGGAGTGGACACTGACCAGGCAGCCTTGCACTGCTCAGATAAATGAGGTTTGGCGTCCTGTCCTGCCGGGCCATTCTTTGGTGGCCTCTGTGTAAGCTGAGGCCTCGCTGTCCTGAGCCTGGCTTCTGGCTGCCGGTGAGTGGCTGTGGACTGTCTCCCGCTTGCCAGCATCGCCTTTGGTGCTTGGCTGGGTAGACAGAAATGAGTCACACTCCCCAGTCCTGCCCAAGCTCTCCCTCCCTCTGCCCGGGGCACAGGCTGCCCGGTGTAATCCAAAATAAGCAATGTGTGGCCCCAGGGGTTGGGATGGGCAGGGAGGAAGCCCCATTAGGCATTCCTGTGAGGACAGCGTCACTGAGCTGGGAGGACCCAGCTTTAGACTGGTCAGAGGACCGCATCCGTCAGAGGTCTGAGTTCGGAGATTGTCCATGCCTCCAATTAGCCACGTGGCCCTGAGCAAGTCCCCTCTGTAGCATGGAGGAAACTGATCCCGGCAGAACCTCCCAGCCAGAGGCTGCTTGTTAGTCCCCATCTTTCAGGCTCCCAACACTGTTCCACTCCGGCCTTCCTGTGGGCTGGCTCTCATCTTACCTCTCCACTCTGTAGCTAGCTCAGGTCCTGCCCGTAAACCCTTGCGTCCAGCCCCAACATGGTTAGCAAGAGCCAGGTTCCGTTGCTTGCAACCCCAAAACCCTAGCTGGAGGAGCGACTGAGGTGTGTTCCATGTCACCCCACCCGTCCCACCGCCCACATAACCGCCAGCATCCCGAAGGGGCCCAGCGTGTTCAGCCTTGCATTGTACAGTGTGTTCTGCCTCAGTCCCATGGTGGCTCAGAGCCCACCCCTGGCCAGAGCCAGGCTGAAGGAATCCATGCTGGGGGCATGGATCCAGCAAGGGAAGTGTTGCGAGAAGTGCTCTGCAGAGCCTGAGCAGGGAGCTTTCCAGAAGTGGGGTGCGGCCACATGTGTCAGAGCTGCTGGGGAGTGCCAGGCAGGATGTGATTAATGTCGGCCGTGGGTGTGACAGCCAGCCAGCCCTCAGCCTCATTGTCAGAGTGGCTCGAACGCAGCCCCCTTTCCTCTCCCCACCCCTGCTCACAGCACCCACCCCTGCTATGTGTGGCATCCCCTCTCCTCCCTCCAAGTGTACTGATCCATGGTGCCAGTCACTTAAAAATAGCATCCTACCTGAAACGTAGGCATGAGACGGAACTCCAGGAAAGGAGACAGCACCCCTCTTGTGCCTTGGAGCACACAGATTCTTGAGCAATCTGTCCCTGGTGCTGACAAGGAGGGCCTCTCGCCGGCGCCTTCTGTTCCACTGGGGAAGGGAAAGCCCGTGTTGTAAGTCCCCCCATCTAAAGCTGGCATCTCAGCTCCACAGGGCCATAGGGCTGCCCAACCAGGGTCACTCTTTCTCTGCCCAGGGGCTGGCCTGAGAACCATACCCTCCCCCTTCCTCACACTCTCTGCTTCCCACTGGGGGAGCCCTGGCATGAGATGTGAGGGAGGGTGGGGAGGGAGGCTGGGATACTTATCCCCCATCTTTCTCCCTACAAGGTCAGCACAGGCTGGCCATGACCTTAACAGAAATTCTCAGGTCCCTCCACCTTCCACCTCACCTCCATCCCTCAGGGCCCGTTGGCCCATTGAATTGCGTTTCCTGCAGACTCTATTGTGTGGCATGGTGGGTAATAGTGAAAAAAAACCGAAGGAGCCAAAATGTCCAAAAATAGAGGTCAATTGAGTTAGTGACAACAGTGGCACTGAGGAATCCTTTGTGGAATTTAAGAAGGATCTTTTAGTCTGCTGTGTTTCTTTGAATCTGAGAAGCCATCATTTGTTATTTGTATTACCAGTGTCATCATAACCCCCATTTTAGGGGGGAAAAAAAAGAAATAGCTGGCACATTTCTTTTGACATTGATTCTAAAACACATCCTTACTTTGAAACATTACAAAGTAAAAAAATATGCAATATGGTAAAATGTAATGATTTGGAGAATGTGTTCTCCATATATTTTTAAGTTTTAAAAAAGTGGGTTAAGATATATTATGCCTGGTATTAAGAAAAAACTAACATGTCTATACATACATAAACTATCCTCATTCAACTATGACCAGATCCTATGAAATATACACATGCATACACACCCACAGGAAAAAGAAACAGGAAGGACAGCTAACAAAAGGCCAGTGGCGCGGATCGCCGCGCCGTGGGGCTACATGCACTTTCTTCTTTGTATTTTTCTATTTCCCATTTTCTGATTTTATAAGCAGACAACTAAAATAATAATCTCTACCACTGATTATCTCCTTTCCGCCTATCAGCACTTAACCTGTGCTGAATGCTTTGTAATGACGATCTCATTCAAGTCTCCAACACCCATGGGAGTAAGAATGCTGGTTACCAGCTATTCCACACACTGGGAAATGGAGGCTCAGGCAGCTATAAAGCAATGGAGCCGGGACCCAAACCCTGGTCATTCTGACTCCAGAACCGAGGCCCTTAACCATTATATTCTAGACACAAACTTCACCCTAAGGGTTTGCACCTTTTTGAGAATTTAACGCAATGTTGCAAGAGGGCACCCAAGGAAAATGTCACCCCTTTGCTGGCCAGGCAGGGACACTGAGATGCTGACCACAGAGAGCCAGCCTCACAGCACAGCCTAAACAAAGGCTTGGGGCTGCAGGGGAGGACCTCCAAGTCTCTCTGGTCCTGAAAAAGCAACGTGTCTTGTGAGCCAGTAAGGAGCCCCTTGGATGCCAGCCTGGCTGACGTAACTCAGGGCATCTCTGAGGCACTGTCAGCTGAGGCAGGACAAAGGAAGTGGATGTTCCCATGGCACCATGCTACGATGTCTTGACAAGGCCCCCTGCACCTCGTTTTGTGGTTCATTCTTATTTTGCTGAAAGGAGCTCTTCCGCTTCCTCTGAGATAAACATTCCTAACATCATTTCTTCTGAGCCGGCCAGCCAAGAGAACAGCTGGGAGCTCTCCGAGCACAGGCAGAGTGCATTCATTTTCTGGAACTCCGCTGAGAATCTTTTCTCCAGGAGACCCCAAGAAGCCATTGCAAATAAACAAAATGAAGTTGCTGGGGAAACTGGCGGCCAGGAAGCTAGAGCTGGTGTAGCCCTGGGGAGAAGAATGGAGTCAGCCCCCAGTGCTGGGGTTGCTGGTGCTGGGCGCTGCAGTTGGCGGGCGCTGGGCTCCTCTGGATCCCAGGCTCTGCCTGTCCAGAACAGCAATCCTGCACGTCCGCGAGGCTGCCCCATTGCACAGATGAGGAAGCTGAGGCTCAGAGAGGTGAAGCGAGGGGTCCCACAACTGGCATCCAGCCTGAGCATGGCCTCACAGCTCTCCCACTCTTAAAAGTCTCCCAGGTCACAGACTCCTTAAGAATCTGGTGAAAGTTACAGACCCTCTGCTTTAAAAAAAAAAAAAAAAAGTAATCCTGAAGTGCTGAGATTGTAGGTGTGAGCTGCCATGCCTGGCCCCAGTGAAAAAACATTTAAAGCTTCATTAATTAAGACCTGCCTGTCACCTTCCACCACGACTGTGAGGCCTCCCTAGCCACGTGGAACTCTCCAGCTCCAAGCAAGGCCTAGTTTAAATGCCACCTTTTCTGTGAAGCCCTATTGGACTTTCTCAGGCTCGTTTTCCCTTTGGACTTCTAGAGCATCTTGTAGACAATGGCAATTATCAAGGCCTGGATATATACATTATATAATTGTTATGTAATTATTAATGTGGCACAGCACAACAAATACGGATCTTGCAGACAGAAAAAAAATTGTGGTCATCCTCTTTATGAACTTTCTTGATTGATTTCATAAAACATCTATAATCATTGTTTAATCTGAGTTTTTTTTTATTTTTTGAGATGGAGTTTTGCTCTTCTTGTGCAGGTTGGAGTGCAATGGCACAATCTCGGCTCACTGCAACCACTGCCTCCCGGGTTCAAGTGATTCTCCTGCCTCAGTCTCCCGAGTAGCTGGGATTACAGGCGCATACCGCAAACCTGGCTAATTTTTGTATTTTTAGTAGAGATGCGGTTTTGCCATGTTGGCCAGGCTGGTCCTGAACTCCTGACCTCAAGTGATCTGCCTGCCTTGGCCTCCCAAAGTGCTGGGATTACAGGCATAAATCACCACGCCCGGCCTGGTCTGGGTTTTTGGATAGCTCATAGACATGAATTCTTCAGGGCAGGAGTCTCCAAAGTGTTTAGATCATAGATCCTAATGGGCAAAACCTTTCCCGCAGGTGGCCACCATATATGTGTATCTTAAAACTTATGAATTATATATATGCATTGCTGCTCTCATATTTTATGTATAATCATAAAACTCCTGTCAAAATGGATTTTTTTTTGAGATGGAGTCTTTCTGTGTTGCCCAGGCTGGAGTACAGCGGTGTGATCTCAGCTCACTGCAACCTGCACCTCCCAGATTCAGGATTCTCCTGCCTTAGCCTCCCAAGTAGCTGGGATTATAGGCACACATCACCATGCCTGGCCAATTTTTGTATTTTTAGTAGAGATGGGGTTTAACCATGTTGGCCAGGCTGGTCTTGAACTCCTGACCTCAGGTGATCCACCCTCCTCGGCATCCCAAAGTGCTGGGATTACAGGCGTGAGCCACTGCGCCCAGCCAAAATGGAAATTTCTAAATGCCGAGTAAAAGATTAAACAAACAACATTCTTTTTAATGTCTTGCTAATTATGATGGTTTCCATTACATCTCAAGGCAAAATATGCATTTGGGGTGAGGATTATTGTCAACAGGGATGGATTTTCTAATCTGTACTTCGAATAGACTTCTGGATAACTAGGGTTTGTGTGACTGTCCTCTGTGGGACTGACTGGCTAGCTGCCTTTGTTTTTACCTTGGGATATGTCTGATAAAGAGCTCAGGCCAGGAATAAGATAGCTGCTCTGATACGTTCTCACTCTTTACTCTGCTTGGCTTATTAGTGTTTCCTTCATTCCACAGTTCCTTTGTATGAATCTTTTTAAGGCATACATCGAATTTAGTTAGAACCAGACAAGATAGGTACCAGAAGCTACAGATCCACTCTACTAAGCCAATACTTCACCAACATATGTTGCCATATTTTAAGATCTAACACACAGGTGTGGTGGCTCAGACCTGTAATCCCAGCAACTTAAGAGGCCAAGGTGGGCGGATTGCTTGAGCCCAAGAGTTCAAGACCAGCCTGGGCCACATAGTGAGGCCCCATGTTTACAACAAATATAAAAATTAGCCAGGTGTGGTGGCGCATGCCTTTTGTCACAGCTACCTGGGAGGCTGAGGCAGGAGGATTGTTTGAGCCCAGGATGCAGAGGTCGTGGTGAGCTGAGATTGCACCACCGCACTCCAGCCTGGATTGACAGACCCAGACCCTGTCTCATTAAAAAAAAAAAAAAAAAAAAGAGCTAACAGACTGGCGATGGGACTTCACTGTGAAACTCCCATTCATCCTGCAAGTTTCCCTTGGGTGACAGCTGAGGAGCCACCACCGCAGTGCCACCAAGCCTGAGGGGTGTCCCCGCCTGTGACCTCAGGTCCCCCTTCTGCCTCTTTAGTCCTCCATTCCTTGTTCCACCAATGACCAATATTAAATTCTCTCTGCTAAACTAACCAGTGCATTTTCTGTTTTTCTGACCAGACCATCATGGGTACAGAGAGCCAGCGTCAGCTCAGAGTGAATATTCATAAAACCTGATTTCTTGCTTAATCTTAAGCAATAATCTCATCTCTTCTTCCTGGTCCTCAGTGGATCACCTCACACCCCAGGGACATGATCACTGCTCTATAACATAGAACTCATGGGACATTTAATGTTAACTTAATTACCCCCATCATTGGCTTGCTGTGTACCCACTGTGGCACTGAATCATGGCACCCAAAAAGATGCCCACGTCCTAATCCCCAGAACGTGTGGATGTGACCTCACATGGTAAAAGGGACTTTGCAGATATGATTAAGTTACGTATGTTGGCAGGGTATGGTGGCTTATGCCTTTAATGCCAACACTTTGGGAGGCTAAGGTGGGAGGATTACTTAAGGCCAGGAATTCAAGATCAATCTGGGCAACATAGTGAGACCTTATCTCTACAAAAAAAAAAAAAAAAAAAAAAATTAGGGCAGGGCACAGTGGCTCATGCCTGTAATCCCAGCACTTTGGGAGGGTGAGGTGGGCAGATCACCTGAGGTCAGAAGTTCAAGACCAGCCTGGCCAACATGGGGGAAATCTCGTCTCTACTAAAAATATAAAAATTAGCCAGGTATGGTGGCCCACACCTGCAATACCATCTACTGGGGAGGCTGAGGCAGGACAATTGCTTCAACACAGGAGACAGAGGTTGCAGTGAGCAGAGATCATGCCACTGCATTCCAATCCAGGTGATAAAGCAAGACTCTGTCTCAAAAAAAAAAAAAAAAAGCCAGGCGCGGTGGCTTACGCCTGTAATCCCAGCACTTTGGGAGGCAGAGGCAGGTGGATCACAAGGTCAGGAGATCGAGACCATCCTGGCTAACATGGTGAAACCCCGTCTCTTCTAAAAATACAAAAAAATTAGCCAGGTGTGGTGGCGGGCACCTGTAGTCCCAGCTACTTGGAAGGCTGAGGCAGAAGAATGGAGTGAACCCGGGAGGTGGAGCTTGCAGTAAGCCCAGACTGCGCCACTGCACTCCAGCCTGGGAGACAGAGTGAGACTCTCTCTCAAAAAAAAAAAAAAAAATTAGCTGGGCATGGTGGCTGATATGGTTTGGCTTTGTATCCCCACCCAAATCTCCTCTTGAATTGTAATCCCATAATCCCCACCCGCCATGGGAGGGAATTGAATCATGGGGGCAGTTTCCCCCATGCTGTTCTTGTGATAGTGAGTGAATTATCTCAAAATCTGATGGCTTGATAAGCGTCTGGTGTTTCCCCTGCTGGCACTCTTTCTCTCTTCTGCCACCCTGTAAAGAGGTGCTTTCTGCCATGATTTTAAGTTTCCTGAGGCCTCCCCAGCTCTGTGGAACTGTGAGTCAATTAAACCTCTTTTTATAAATTACCCACTCCCAGGCCGGGTATGGTGGTTTATGCCTGTAATCCCAGCACTTTGGGAGGCCAAGGCGGGTGGATCACGAGGTCAGGAGATCAAGATCATCCTGGCTAACATGGTGAAACCCTGTCTCTACTAAAAATACAAAAAAATTAGCCGGGCGTGGTGGTGGGCACCTCTAGTCCCAGCTACTCAGGAGGCTGAGGCAGGAGAATGGTGTGAACCCAGGAGGCAGAGGTTGCAGTGAGCCGAGATCGTGCCATTGCACTTCAGCCTGGCAACAGAGCAAGACTCCATCTCAAAAATAAATAAAAATAAATGGCCAGGTGTGGTGGCTCACACCTGTAATCCCAGCACTTTGGGAGGCTGAGGTGGGTGGATCACGAGGTCAGGAGATCAAGACCATCCTGGCTAACATGGTGAAACCCTATCTCTACTAAAAATATAAAAAATTAGCTGGGTGTGGTGGTGGGCGCCTCTAGTCCCAGCTACTCTGGAGGCTGAGGCCGGAGAATGGCGTGACCCTGGGAGGTGGAGCTTGTAGTGAGCCGAGATTGTGCCACTGCACTCCAGCCTGGGTGACAGAGTGAGACTCCATCTCAAAAAATAAATAAAATAAATAAATAAATAAATAAATAAATAACCCACTCTCAGGTATTTCTTCACAATGGCCTGAGAACAGACTAATACAGTAAATTGGTATTGGTAGTAGGGTGCTGCTATAAGGATAGTTGAAAGTTCAGAAGCGACTTTGGAACTGAATAACTGGCAGAGGTTGGAACAGAGGGCTCAGAAGAAGACAGGAAAATGTGGGAAAGCTTGGAACTTCCTAGAGACTTGGAGAGCTCAGAAAACAGGAGGATGTGGGAAAGTTTGGAACTTCCTAAAGACTTGGTGAATGGCTTTGACCAAAATGCTGACAGTGATATGAAGTCCAGGCTGAAGTGGTCTCAGATTGAGATGAGGAACTTGTTGGGAACTGGAGCAAAGGTGACTCTTGCTATGCTTTAGCAAAGAGGCTGGCAGCATCTTGCCTCTGTCCTAGAGATCTGTGGAACTTTGAACTTGAGAGAGATGGTTTAGGGTATCTAGTGGAAAAAATTTATAAGCAGCAGAGCATTCAAGAGGTGACTTGGATACCCTTAAAAGCATTCAGTTTTATGTATTCACAAAGGCATGGTTTGGAATTGGAATGTGTGTTTAAAAGGGAAGTAGAGCACAAAAGTTTGGAAAATTTGCAGCCTGACAGTGTGATAGAAAAGAAAAACCTATTTTCTGGGGTTTTTTTGTTTGTTTGTTTGTTTGAGACAGAGTCTTGCTCTGTTGCCCAGGCTGGAATGCAGTGGCATGATCTCGGTTCACTGCAACCTCCATTTCCCAGGTTCAAGCGATTCTCCTGCCTCAGCCCCCTGAGTAGCCAGGATTACAGGTACCTGCCACCACGCCTGGCCAATTTTTGTATTTTTAGTAGAGACAGGGTTTCACCAGATTGGTCAGGCTGGTCTCGAACTCCTGACCTCAGGCGATCCACTCGCCTCGGCCTCCCAAAGTGCTGGGATTACAGGCATGAGCCACTGTGCCTGGCCAGAAAAGCCTATTTTCTGAGAAGAAATTCAAGCCAGCTGCAGAAATTTGCATAAGTAACAAGAAGCCAAATGTTAATTGACAAGACAACGGGGAAAGTGTCTCCAGGGCATGTCAGAGAACTTCACAGCAGCCCCTCCCATCACAAGCCCGGAGGCCTAGGAGGAAAAAGTGATTTCGAGGGGCAGGCCCTGGGTCTTGCTGCTCTGTGCAGTCTTGGGGCTTGGTGCCCTGCATCTCAGCTGTGGCTAAAAGGGGCCAACATACAGCTCAGGCCATTGCTTCAGAAGGTGCAAGCCGCAAACCTTGGCGGCTTACATGTGGTGTTGGGCCTGCAGGTGCACAGAAGTCAAGAATTAAGGTCTGGGCCGGGCACGGTGGCTCACGCCTGTAATCCCAGCACTTTGGGAGGCCGAGGTGGGTGGATTACCTGAGGTCAGGAGTTCAAGACCAGCCTGGCCAACATGGTGAAACCCCATCTCTACTAAACATACAAAAATTAGCCAGGTGTGGTGGCACACCCCTATAATCCCAGCTACTCGGGAGGCTGAGGCAGGAGAATTGCTTGAACCCGGGAGGCAGAGGTTGCAGTGAGCTGAGAACATGCCACTGCACTTCAGCCTGGCCAACAGAGCAAGACTCTGTCTCCAAAAAAAAAAAAGAAAGAATTGAGGTTTGGGAACCTCCAACTAGATTTCAGAGGATGTATGAAAACACCTGGATGTTCAGGCAGAAATTTGCTGCAGGGGTGGAGCTCTCTGCTATGGAGAACCTCTGCTAGGGCAGTGCAGAAGGGAAATGTGGGATTGGAGCCCCCACACAGAGTCCCCATTGGGGCAGTGCCTAGTGGAGCTGTGAGAAGACAGCCACCATCCTCCAGGCCCCAGAATGGTAGATCTACCAACAGCTTGCATTGTGCGCCTGGAAAAGCCACAGACACTCAATGCCAGCCCACGAAAGCAGCTGGGAGGGGTGTGGGAGCCCACCTCTTGCATCAGCGTGACCTGCATGTGAGACGTGGAGTAAAAGGAGATCATTTTGGAACTTTAAGGTTTAATGACTGCCCTATTGCATTTCAGACTTGCATGAGGCCTGTAGCCCGTTTGTTTTGGCCAATTTCTCTCATTTGGAATGGGTGCATTTACCCAATGCCTGTACTCCCATTGTATCTAGGAAGTAACTAACTTGCTTTTGATTTCACAGGCTCATAAGTGAAAGGGACTTGCCTTGTCTCAGATGAGACTTTGGACTTGGACTTTTGGGTTCATGCTGGAATAGTTAAGACTTTGGCAGACTGTTGGAAGTGCATGATTCTGTTTTGAAGTGTGAGGACATGAGATTTGGGAGAGGCCAGGGGTGAAATGATACGGTTTGGCTATGTGTCCCCACTCAAATCTCATCTTGAATTGTAAGCTCATAATGCCCACATGTTGTGGGAGGGACCTGGTGGGAAGTAATTGAATCATGGGGGCAGTTTCCCCCATGCTGTTCTCATGATACTGAGTAAGTTCAAGACCAGCCTGGGCAACATAGGGAGACCTCGTCTCTACAAAAAATTAAAAAGTTAGCTAGGCATGGTGGTACACATCTGTGGTCCCAGCTACTTGGAGGCTGAGGCAGGAGGATTGCTTGAGCCCCAAGAGGTCAAGGCTGTAGTGAGCTGTGAACACACCACTGCACTCCAGCCTGGGTGACAGAGTGAAACCCTGTCTCAAAAAAAAAAAAAAAAAAAAAAAAAAAGAAAAGAAAAGAGGGAGACAAGAAGTTCAAAGGTAAAAGAAGGGGATGTGACTGTGGAAGCAGAGGACAGAGTGATGCGCTTTGGAGATAGAGAAGGAGCCATGAGCCAAGGACTGTAGGCAGCTTCTAGAAACTGGAAAAGACAAGGAAATAGATTCCCCTCTGAGCCTCCAGAAAGAAACAGCCCTAGCCAGGCGCAGTGGCTCACACCTGTAATCCCAGCACTTTGGGAGGCCAAGGCGGGAGGATCGCAAGGTCAGGAGATCGAGACCATCCTGGCTAACATGGTGAAACCCAGTCTCTACTAAAAATACAAAAAATTAGCCGGGTGTGGTGTTGGGTGCCTGTAGTCCCAGCTACTCTGGAGGCTGAGGCAGGAGAATCACTTGAACCCGGGAGGCTGAGCTTGCAGTGAGCGGAGGTCATGCCACTGCACTGCAGCCTGGGCGACAGAGTGAGACTCGGTCTTAAGAAAAAAAAAAAAAAGAACCAGCCCTGATGACACCTTGGTTTTAAACTCATGGAACTCATTTTGAACTTCTGGCCTCCAGAACTGTAAGAGAATAAATTTGTGTTGTTTTAAGCAACTAATTGTGTGGTAATTATTGTTACAGCAGCAACAGGAACTTACACTCCTACCCAGAAGACAGCATAAATCCCGTAAATTTTTCTTTCCCAGTTCCCTGGACAAAGCAAGGAAGCTCGCAAGACTTTGAAGCCTGTCCTCATAGAAAAATGTCAATCCCTACTTCAGTGTATGCTAAGATGCCAGCTGACTACTGGGAGATTCAATTCTCTTCATTAGAGTCCAACCCAGGCCACACCCCAAGGGCTGTAAGAAATTGGCACTGAAGTTTGTAAAACTCAATGGTTTCGGCCGGGCGCAGCGGCTCACACCTATAATCCCAGCACTTTGGGAGGCCAAGGCGGGTGGATCACTTGAGGTCAGGAGTCTAAGGCCAGCCTGATCAACATGGTGAAACCCCTTCTATACCAAAAATACAAATATTAGCTGGTGGTGGGCACCTGTAATCCCAGCTACTGGGGAGGCTGAGGCAGAAGAATCACTTCAACCCGGGAGGCAGAGGTTGCAGTGAGCTGAGATCGCACCACTGCACTCCAGCCTGGGTGACAAAGTGAGACTCCATCTCAAAAAAAAAAAAAGGCAGAAAGACCACCAGCAAACAGTTAATAAGCACCAACTGCATACATGGTACCCATCTGGAGCTGGAAATCCAAAGTGACAAACTTAATCAGCCTCAGCCCTGACTCCTGCTCTCAAGGAGCTGAGAATTTAATTAAGCCTCTGGTCTATGTGTATTGGCATGGCCAGCTTCCACAGGAACACACGGGGGGGCTTTACTGTGTCTTACACCAGTGGTCGTTCTGATGGTTCTGTGCCAGCCTCCTAGTGAAGAGCCATCCCTGGGTAAGAGAAAAGAAGCAGGCATGCCAAGACTCAAATATGTGCAAGGAATCATACGTACGACATGTGGACCAGCAGGTTAAAAAAGTGTTAACCCCCAAACCACTCTCAAACAAAGTCTTAAGCTGAAGCCAGCTTTCAGATATGTATTATTATATAGTAATACATGTTAATATATATTAATATGCAATTTGTACATATTAGCATCAATAGGAACACAGGACCTACATATGCACACACATGTACTTACTAGAGCTGCTGTGGCTCAAATGCAAGGGCAAAATCCTCTGCTTCCTCAGGAATCCCCTAACGTGATGAGGATCACACAGCAAAGAAGACACAGGCTTCATCATCAAGCAGACCTGGACCTGTCCTTCTCGCTGTCTACACTGGGCAAGTGGCTTCTCTAAACCTCAGTTTCTTCATCTGTAAAAGGGGAAGAATGTTCTACTGGCAAGATTGTTGTGCGGGCCAAGGGAAATGAGGACATGAAACCCCAGCCACCAGCAGGTCTCAACAGGCGTCAGCATCCGGGACACCAGCCACAGCTGTGAGGCTTCAGGAACCTGGTCCACTTGACCCTCCTCGCCAGAGTCACCATCCAGACCCAGCCTTGACCCACAGCCGCTCTGGAGGGGACGGGGCAGTGGGATTTGGGATCGGGAGAACTTGGTTCAAGTCCTAGCCCTGCTGGTATCTGCTGGCCTCCCCCAGGGCCTGATTTCCCCGTCGGCCAGGTAAGGATAATGATCTATTGTTTTTAAAGCATGTCACCAGGGCTAAATGAGGCATGAAAGTGCTTTGTCCCCTGGCACTTCTGCCCTTCCTGTTTTTGGTGCCAAAACCCTTAGCCTGTCCAGGCTTGGTGAGAGGCACCGTGAGGCTGCTAGCCTGAGCCCTAGCTCTGTCCCTGGCTGGCGGGCTGTCCTTTGCAAGTGACCGCTCTGCCCCAGTTGTTTCACCTGCAAATGATAACAGCCAGCACCAGCTTCGCTCATGATGGAAGCCCCGGTGTTAAGCCCCTGCCTCCGCCTCCACTTGGCCAGCTCCAGGCAAGGCGGCCACTGTGGCAGTGACTGTCAGAATTGCTCTCTTACAAGGTGCTGCTTGCACCAAACTCAGGTGGGGGTGTCTGTGTTGCAAACACAAGCACACGCACTACACACACATACACAGCACATGCCACACACATGCACACACCTCACACACCACACATACCACAGGCATACATATACACACCACATAGCACATAGAACACACACACACTCCACACACACCACATGCCACACACCACACACATACACCACACCCTGCACGTATACACAGCACATGCCACATGTATGCACACCACACACCACACATACCACAAACATACATAAACACACATCACACACACAGCACATGCCACACACATATCACACATATACATATACACACCACACATAACACACATACCACAGATACATAAACACATACATCACACACATACAAAGCACATGCCACACACATACCACACATAAACACATACACCACACATACACAGCACATGCCACACACATATACACCCCACATAGCACATGTGTGTGGCATGTGGCATGTGAGAAATGTGTGTGTGTTGTGTGTGCTATGTGGTGTGTATATGTGTGTGTGGTGTGTATGTGGCACGTGGTGTGTGTGAAATGTGTGTGTGTTGTATGTGCTATGTGGTGTGTATATGTGTGTGGCACATACTGGGAATTGAGATGATTTGTGGCTTTTTATATTGTTTTTTACTGAGGTATAAGCTGTTCATAAGGAACATGTAATGCATCATAATCAGACAAAACAACACAGTCATTTACATGTTTTTAAAAATCCTGTATTGGCTTGAAAATACTCCAGAAAGAACATGTGTGTATGTCAGGGGTGGCGTGACAGAAATGGATGGAATAAGAGTGGCAAAATGTCATCTTTGCTGAAGCTGGCCAAAGGGGACTATGAGAAATCACCATATGATTCTCTTGACTTTTGAGTATGTTTGCACATTTCACAAGAAAAGGTGAAAATAAACAAACGAATAAAACCAAGGTCAGCAGTGAGTTCATCCTTGGCTTTTAGAGGATATCACAATTGCAGTGCAATAAACACAGAAAGATGAGAAACAAATATACAACAGAAATAAGGCTGCAAAACTTAACGCTAAGAACCCAGGAGCCATCAGCTGTGCGACCTCAGGTCAATAACAGCCTTATGAAGCCTCAGGTCCCTCATCTGTAAAACGGGAGGAAACCCTTGTTGCATGGCAGGCTTGTGGTTCAGACTGAAAATTCTAATTACTACTGTGGCTGCTGTTGTTCAATCCATAGGCCCTGGAAGTCTGGAAGCAAGAACTCCACACCCCAACAGTGGTTTCAAACTTTGGTGTGCACTGAGATGACCAGGGTTACTAGCAAAAATGCAGATTCCTGGCCAGGCACGGTGGCTCGTACCTGTAATCCCAGCACTTAGGGAGGCCGAGGCCAGTGTATGGCTTGAGGTCAGGAGTTGGAGACCAGCCTGGCCAACATGATGAAACCCCATCTCTACTAAAAACATAGAAAATTAGCCAGGCATGGTGGTGCGTGCCTGTAATACCAGCTACTCAGGAGGCCGAGGCAGGAGAATCGCTTGAACCAGGAGGTGGAGGTTTCAGAGAGCTGAGATCGTGCCACTGCCTGGGTGACAGAGTGAGACCCTGTCTCAAAAAAAATGCGGATTCCAAGGTCCTACCCCTAGGGATCCTGACTCCATACGTGGGGCCAGGCCTAGGACCCTCCACTTTAAATAAGACCCCAGGCCATTCCCACTGGGGAAATGCTGCATCTAGCCCCACACCAAAGACACCCGGGTAAGCAGGTCTGCCACAGACAAAAACGCCTCGCCGTGCAGAAACCGGGGCTGGACGTTGTTCGGGGCCGATTGCCCATTTATGACTCTAGGTGGACTTTGTCTGCAGTCATGGCTGGAAAAGCTGGCAAGCAACAGACACCTTTGCAAAAATAGCAAATAAACAATATGTCACATTTGTGTTTCCTCCTGGGAGGGGCAGAGTCTATATGGGCAATTGACTTAGGGCAGAATCCAATTCCAACATGAACTAACTGTGTGGCACGGGCCGAAGCCCTTGACCATTCAGTATCTGCATGATGGGAATTTTGATAGCAGTATCAGAAACAGCCCCATGGGGTTTTGTCAATTACACGAGGCTGTCAGGAACCGAGGCCTGGAGCCAGGACCCCATCAGGAAGTTTAGGGATCCACTGGATTTATGGCCTCCATGCTCAGGGTGTCAGGTCCCAAACCTTCTCAATCACAGGAAAGCAGGACTCAGGCCAAGGGAAGGAAGCACATGTCGCAGCTGGAGACCACACATACCTTGGCAGCACCCCAGGGAGAGAAAATTCCCTGCTGCACCAGGCTTCTCTGTGCACTTCCAGCCCCCATCACTTAAGGAACCCCTGTCCCACTCTGAGTCTTCTTCTGAGGCCTCTGTTTGTGTTGTCCTGCTCCTGTCCTGGCCTCCAGATCCCTCCTCTCATAGGGTCCTAGGTCTGAAGGAAAAGCAAGATGGCGGCAGTCTGGGGGAAGAGCATGTGCTTGGGGTCCCTGTGGCCCATTTCTGGGCTTGGCCTGGTCACCTGCTGCAGTCAGTATCACTCATTCAGACCTAAGCAGTAATGCCAGGCGGGTCATGTCCTCCTTGTAAAATTGTTTGTTTGGAGAATTTGTGGTGAACTCCAAATCTCTCTCTCTCTCTCAAAATTAATACCATTAGAGTCATTTGTGCTTGACTGCAGCCCTATGGAAGGGACAGCCCCACTTCTCCCCTTGCCTCTTTGTGGTTATTTGTAGGGCAGTCACAGGAAACCAGTACAATGGCATTTCCCCCTAAACATGAGTGTGGCTCTCAGCGCAATCCAGTTCACAACAAATAGCCCATCCTTGACCTATAGGACCAGGCCTCAGGAAGGGCTCGGGGGCCTCAGAGGCAAATGACACCCAGCCCTTCAACCCTGCACAACCACAGACCTCACACCCAGTGGTAACCAATTTGGCTGAACAGCACCCTACACTGTGGGCTCCCCGTGGTGCTGGGCCCCCTCACAAGGAGGCAGGGCACACCCTCCTGATCTAGCCTGAGCCCCTGAGTCCTCTCCCAACCTCCTCCCAGCGATCTCAGCTGCTCCAGCAAGGCGTGGGGCTGGTGTCCTTCAGCTGCCTCCCTCTCCAGAGGAGGAGAGGCGGCAGATGTTGAGGCAGAGGTGGAGAAAAGCTCCTGGCACGCTTGCAGCCGGGGTCACCTTGTGCACGGGCAGAGTCAGGGAAGGGTGAGACAGTAGGTGCCCTGTGTGGAAAACCAGAATCTCGGGACCAGGACCCAGAGAATGCTGGAGGGCCCGGGAGGTCAGCGCCTGCCCTCTCCCCATGAGGGAGGCCCCCTCCCTCAGGCAGTCTGCCTACTTCAGAGTGGGGAGTCCAGGTTGTCAGTTCTGTATGGTTGATGGACCTGGTCTCATTTGCCTCTGAGGCCCCCAAGCCCTTCCTGAGGCCTGGTCCTGTAGGGCAGGGATTTCATATTTGTTGTGAACTGGACTGAGCTGAGCCACGCCGACTTCTGGGGGGAAATGACATTGTTTCGGTTTCCCTGGCTGCCCTACAAATAACCACAACACGTGTGAGTGCGGGAGGGGTGGGGGAATGGGGGGTGGGGGAGGGGTGGGGGATGGGGTGGGGATGGGATGGCGGAGGGGTAGGTGGGGTGGGGGAGGGGAGGGGGAGGGGAGGGTGAGGTGTGGGGGGGTGAAAACAATAGCAACTTACCCTCTCACAGTTCTGGAGGCCAGGAGTCCAAAGTCAAGGTGTGGGCAGGGCTGTTCCCCCTGGAGGCTCTAGGGGAGGGTCCTCCCTGTCTCTTGCAGCCTCTGGTAGGCCCAGGCACCCCTCGGCTCCAATCTCTGCCATCCTTGCACATAGTCTCCTTTCCCCCGAAGTCTCTATGTGTTCTTTTCTGTATCTTGTAAGGACTGTCTCATTGCATGTAGGGCTCACCATAATTCAGTGTGATTTTATTTTGACTCTTACCTTAATTATCTGCAAAGACTCTTTTTCCAAATAAGGTCACATTCTGAGATTTGGGGTAGAGATAAACTTTGGGGGGACATGATTCAACCTACTAAGCCATTAAATCACAAAGAGCATGCAAGAAGGACCAAAAAGGCAGCGGGAAGTGGGGAGGACCTTGATCCAAGGACTTCCACAGCTCAGGCCTCCCTTGTTCCAGCCAGCAAGGACTTTCTTTCCATGAGCACCTTTGACTTCCACTGCTAGCCAGGATGACGGGTTCCTGGCTCTCTTCTACAGATGAGGAAACTGAGGCTCAGAGGCCCTTGAATGCATAGCCAAGTTCACACAGTCAGCCACAGCTGGGACTGGAGCTCACTTGGTACCAAACCCTGGGGGTTTCACAGCCAGCTCGGCTGGATTGAAGAAGCCCCACCTCCACTCCCAATGAGGTTCCAAGATCTTTCTCCAAGGAGCTTGCTTTATCAATAAGAAATGAATCTTTTGTTTTTGAGACAGAGTCTTACGCTGTCACCCAGGCTGGAGTGCAGTGGTGGGATCCCCATTCACCGCAACCTCCCTTTCCTGGGCTCAGGCAATCCTTCCACCGCAGTCTCCCAAGTAACTGGGACTACAGGCACATGCCACCACATCTGGCTAATTTTTGTATTTTTTGTAGAGATGGGATTTCGCCATGTTGCCCAGGCTGGTCTCGAACTCCTGGGCTCAAGGGATCTACCCTCGGCCTCCCAAAGTACTGGGATTACAGATGTGAGCCTCTGAGCCCAGCCAAACTGTCTTGATGCTCACGTTATTTCACTACCTTAGATTATGAATTTTGGAATGTGGCCAGTTTCCTGGAATCACATTAAGAAGTGAGGTCCAGGAGAACAACGATTAATTTAATTATTAATAGAAATCAGCCTAGACCTGGGAAATAAGATGAGGAGACCCAACTGTCCCCAGCCTTGTCCTTGTGCCCATGTGGGAGGCCATCCTGACTCCATTTAGATTTTTGCTTCTTCCTACACTGACAAAGAACACTCGGGCGGCTCCAGGGAAATGTGCCCAAGGTGTGGAGGGGGCTGGGGGAGTGGAGATCATTTTTTTCTGTTCCCAACCGTGCCTTTCTGCAATGTCTGTTCATCCTTGAAGACCTAAGACTGGAGAATGTGGGGTTTGTTTGTTTTGGAGAGACTGGGGGGGAGGGGGGGGGTCTCACCATGTTGCCCAGGTTGGCCTTGAACTCTTGGCCTCAAGCGATCCTCCTGCCTCAGTCTACCCAGTAGCTGGAACCATAGGTGTGCCAGATTCGGCTGAAGAGTTTTGTTAGGAAGTTTTCAGCACCTTGGATCATATCCTGAAAAAGTTCATTCACTGATTCAACCAATCTCTACTGTGCACTGCCCAGAACCAGAGTGTGAGCTCCACGGGGTAGGGAGGGCGCCAGCTTTGCTCTCAGCTGCTCCCGGGCGCTTGGGACCTGGAACCCAGGAATGAACAGACCCCGTTCTAGATCAACAGACATTCAAAGCAGCGCTCTAGGGGAAGGGCAGGGGAGGAATGAGCGTCCAGCCGCCACGGCTCTGCTTCTTTGCCTGTGTGTAAGTGGTGGGATTTAAAGGTGGTTGGGTGCAGAGGCCCTTCCCCCACCTGCAATCCTCCGGTGCCAATGCAAGTGCCAGGGGAGGGGTGGCGTTTCTGTTTACTTCCAGCCAGGTCAGCTCCCTTGCCCCCGCCCCCGTGTTTGCATTTTCTCGGTTTGGCGAGCTGGTGGAGTAGCCGCGGAAAGAAGGCGGATTTAAAGGCTCCATTTGGAGGAGGCTTTTGGAGAAAGCTTGCACCTCCCATCACACCCCCAGGGCAAGTCAGCCGCCTCAAAAGTGCCGGTGCCGGCCCTCTGTGAGCTGAACACCTTCGCACAAACCCCCGGGAGCGGTTACTATTACCCTCATTTTCCCGGGGAGGCGCCTGGGGCTCAGAGAGGCCAAGTGACTCACCCAAGGTCACACAGCTTAGCAGTGGCCGACCCAGGATTGGAACCCGGGGCTCCGGACCCCGCGGCGGCCGTTTCTCGAAGATACCCACTACCTCCCTCTTACACCGCTCAGGAATAAAGCAGGAAGGCCGAAGGCCCCGTTTTCGCCCAAAAACAATGCTCCACGTAAATTTGCGGGAACAAAAGCCACCAGAAATCCAGCCCGGGTTTTCCGCCTCTCTGCTCTCCGCGGACCAATCGCGTCCTGACGGCCGCCGAGAGACTAGAGGCGGTGGCTCCAATATGATCCATAGCCCCCCAGGGCGGCGTGGCCGCGGCATGGGCGAATGGGATTGGGGACCCGGCACAATCACGGGCGGAGAACGGGCCGCCTGAGCCAATCAGCTAGGGAGGGGGGAGGGTGGGCCCGGCCGGCCCGGGCTGTCCGGAGAGGCGGCCACCCCGCCCACTTCTGCTGGTCCCGGCCGCCCGTCAGCCGCGAGCGCGACGATCCCTCTGCTCCTCGGCCGGTGCCTGCTCTGCCGTCGTCGCCGTCGCCGCCGCCGCCCGTCCGCCGCCCGTCCGCCGCGCGGGAGCAGCAAGGCCGGCAAGTCCCGGCAGGATCCCTCCGCGACTGCCGCCTTGCGTCCCTCCCCCTCCAGCGCCCGTTCCGCGGCCGCGGCCCCCATCGCTCCCTAGGCTGCGACGCCGCGCCCGCGGCCCTGGGTAACGGCCGGCCTGGGGCCCGCAGTGACAGACCCTGCGGCGCGGGGGGAGATGGGGGCGGCCGCCTTCCGGGCGACGACGACGACAACGACGAGGAGCAGCCGCCGCCGCTGCCGCTCACCGGCCGCTGCTGGGCACGGGCATGGGCTCGGGAAGGCGCCTCCCCGTGAGCGGCGGGCCCAAGGCAGCTCGTCGCCCCCGGCCGCCGCGGGTCCCCCTACGGCGCCCCGCGCGCGCCCGCCCGCCGGCCCCTGACGGGAGCCTTGCCCGGCTCCGGTCCCCGCCCCGGCGCCCGCCAGGCCCGCGGCGCCCGCGCGCCTTCGCCCGGACCCGACCCCGGCCCGCGCGCCCCCGGTCCCGGCGCGCCCCGGCCGCGGCCCCCGGCGCCCCCCGGCCTCCCCCGCGCGGGCCCCGGGGCGCGGCGCGGCGCGGGCGGCAGCGTGGTGGAGAAGCGCTGCCCGCTGCAGAGGGACGGCGTGTACCGCTGGTTCTCGGAGCTGCCGTCGCCTCAGCGCGTGGAGTTCCTATGCGGCCTGCTGGACCTGTGCATGCCGCTCGAGGTCCGCTTCTTCGGCTCGTGCCTGGAGGACCTGGCCCGCAAGGACTACCACTCGCTGCGCGACTCGGAGATCAAGGCCAACAACCCGGCCGACCTGGGCAGCCTCACCAACCTGACGGACGAGGTGGTGCGCAGCAAGCTGCTGGTGTCGCTGGCGCTGCTGGGCTCGGAGCAGAGCGAGGCGGCGGGCGTGCTCTACCGCAAGCTCACGCACGTGACTCCATCATCCACAACTACGGGCTGCAGCTCAACGAGGGCCGCACGGGCGATGAGTTCCTGCTGCCGTTCACCATGTCCTCCAACCACCGCGCCTTCAGCTTCCACCAGAAGCAGGTGCTGTGCCAGGAGCTCACGCAGATCCAGAGCAGCCTGAACGGCGGCGGGGGCCACCTGCCTGGCCTGCCACAAGGTGCGTGCCCGCCCCGAGTTCTGCTCTGTACCCCAACCCTGCATCCCCAACTCTGTATGCGAAGCCTCCAGCCTGCACCGCGAGCCCCCACCCAGGCCTCCAAGCCTGTGCCGCGACCCCCCCACCCACGCCTCCAGCCTGCACCACGAGCCCCCAGCCCGTGTCCCAAGCCCCATCCTAAGCCTCTGTGTCGCACCCCAAATGTGTGCCCCACCTCTCCAAGCCTCCACCGTACATCCGAAGTCCCCACCCCGTGTCCCAAGCCCCCATCCTAAGCCCGCACTCCTCACCCTAAGTCTGCACTTCAAGCCCCAAGACCGCACCGCGGCCCTGAGCCCACACCCTCAGTCTCCTCTGCGTGCCCCAAAGCCTCCAGATCTCCGCCTCGCGCCCCTTGGGCAGGAGCGGCTGCAGGGGCCCTGGGTCCGAGGATCCGCGGGAGCGGTGCGGGAGACGTCCGCGGTCAGAGCTCACAGTCCCAAGTGCCCTCCTTTCACTTAGCCGGCTGCAAACGCGATAAGGCCTTTGTCCCCTTAATGGGACCCTTGGGTGACAGATAACACACATTGCGGCGCCTTGGTTTCCCCAAATCTGGTATTTATTACTAGAAAAGGAAGGAGCCGTGGCCATGCCAGAAGCCGCGGGTGAGGTGAACATTGCAAGGCACCGGGCTTCGCCTTCTGAGCCGCTCACTCCATACAGGTGGAGGCCCTGCTTGGGGCCTGTGTTGCTGGGGGCCTGCGCGCGGGACGTGGCTGTCCGTGTGAGCTCATTTATGGACACGTGCATGCTGTATGATGTACGCGTGTGTCGCATGTGGGCATGTATGTGTGCACACGTGTGTATTTATGAATGTGCACATGCCTGTGAGCGTTGTGTGTGATCGTTTTTAAGAGCCGGGCTACCTGTAACAGACAGAAAAAGACTCCTAGAGCCTTAAATGCCCATGAAACCTATTTATTGGCGACCCTTAGAAACAAAACCCAGGCTGACGTTTGAGTAGGAGGGCACTGGTGCCTTAAAGAATGTTAGGTTAGGTTAAAGATCTCCCGTCTCCAAATTGAACCGGAAGGGCATCCTGGCCATCCACTTAGCGATGTGAACTTTTGTCTAAGTGTTTCAGAACTGAAAACGCAAAGTGTTTGGGGCTCCAGCTATTTTGAACAGGCCCCTGCAATCCAGTGCCAAAATTTTGCTACCGGAAGAGATTACTTTGACCTGGTGTGATGTGTATTTAGATTACAAACTGATTATTTTTTTGGAAGGGAATAGGTTGCAGTCGGGACCAGTCTTGCTGAGTGCCTCTTTGCAGTGTCTTTAAGCTCTTTGAAGTTAAAACTTTGATAAGACTTTGCTTTTATGAGTGGCTGAGAACACCGTCTGGTTTGCTAGGTTTTTTGTGTGTGTTTTTAAAGCTGTCTTTCAATCCTAGGTTGTGGCTTTTCTTTTTTAATGTCTTCCTCTAAGAAGTGGTTGTGGTACATACATTGGTTTTTTTGTGTGTGACATTTATCTCCAAGACTATAGTTTTCTTTTTAAGTTCAGCTCCCACCCTACATTTCAGGCTGTGTGCTGCGCAGAGGGTCCTAGGAAATGTAGTTGTTTCTAGTAATCCATGTAAGCCTTGACATGCCAGCAAATTGTCGCCTATTCATGGAATCTCAGTCATTTATGGTCAGTTTCATGTGCTGTTTGTTACTCCTTTGTGTAGATTCCACCCACTAATAATTTCTATGGCTGTTGCTACAGTAAAGTCATCTCTTTAAGGGGATTCTTAATGTGTGAGCACGGGTGCATCACTTTATGCAGACAGTGGTGATTATTATTTTGGTTGGGCAGTGAGCTAAACCTGGAACAAAAATGTCTTTTATAGGAGAGCCTTTCTGTCAAGCAGAAATCCCTTTGACGAGATGAAGGAGCTAATCTATTCCTCTCAGCTCACCCCTGCACCGCCCCCCCTCCCCCCCAGCCCCAAGGCCATGGGCACTGAATTTACCAGCCGTGCAACCTTGGCCAGGATCCTTCTACCTCTCAGTGTTGTCCCTATTGCAGTGGAGGGGATGTAACCTACCTCACAGGCTTGTGTTGAGGATTACATAGGTAACATACGTGAGCTTCCAGCAGAGGTGCAGTAAATGCTGCTTTCTCCCTTATGGCCTCTCCGGCTTTTAACATTTATTTTTATAGAGGTATGCTAACTTAAAGCAAGACATGTTTTATAGATTGAATTATTTACATCTTGGCTATGAGCTTTTATGTGTTCTAAATTGGTTTTTGAATAGTTACTTGGAGCTGACAATTTTTTTGTTTCCTCTTTGGAAAACTGGAAGATTCTGTGACCCTTAATGAGAGGATTATTATAAGGAGTAACCTTGGGCTGTCATTTCCGTATTTCAAAACAACCGTGGATTCTAGTTTTCCCTACATCCCTAGTGTCACTGCTAAGCTAATTTCAGCCCCATTCATTTAACTTTCGTTTCTGTGCTGCTTCAAAGCTAAGGCTGACGTTGATGAACCCTTTATTGCTTGGAGCAGGCAACTCAGATGAAATCTAGCATTTAAGTATTTTGCTTTCTTAGTTTCTAAATATTCCTGAAAAAGCAGCCCCATTAAAGCTGTCTGCATTCTTTTGTAAGCCTGTTGTATTTTGTTTTGAACTCTTTGAGCTTAGAGATTTTGTGTTTTTCTTTTAGAGATACAAATGTTAATTGCTTTTTAAATTCTTTATCCAATTTGAATTTTTATTTCTTGGCCTGGCAAGGTGGCTTACGCCTGTAGTCCCAGAAGTTTGGGAGGCCAAGATGGGCAGATCGCTTGAGCCCAGGAGTTCAACACCAGCCTGGGCAACACAGCAAAACCCTGTCTCTACAAAAAATACAAAAATTAGCCAGGAGTGGTGGCACACACTTGTAGTCCCTGCTACTGGGGAGGCTGAGGTGGGATGATTACCTGATCCCAGGAGGTAGAAGCTGTAGGTGAGGTATGATCATGCCACTGCACTCCAGCCTGGGTAACAGAATGAGACCCTGTCTCAAAAAATTTTTTTTAAATTTATTTTAACTGTATTTTCCGAAATAGTCATTATTTGCAATTCCTTATCCAAACCCTGTGTTTTTATTTAAAAATTCTTATTATTCTGAGGACTTCTAGAGGTGTAAAAGTAGGGGGAGTATAAAGTAGACATACCTGTGTTTTACTTTCAGAAAGAAAAATACTTCCAGTAGCCACACTGATGATAGGCTGAATTAGTTGTACTCTGCCTAGTGGCCGGTAATGCTGCTGCTTGCTGCTCCTGCAGTCGCCTGTTCCAGGGTGCCAACTGTGGGGGATAGTTGGCTTAGACTTTCCAATGCCTATTTTACGTAAATAAAAGACCATAGTTTTGGAAATAGTTAAATCCTTTGCAGTTTTTTCTTTTTGTCAGTGATAATAAATATGCTATGGTATGTGCACATGCTTATTCTTATTTTAAAAATAACAGCTTTATTGAAAGAGAATTCATATACTATATATACTTCACCCTTTTAAAGTGAAGTCAGTGGTTTTTAGTATAGTCACATAGCTGTGCAAGCACGACCACTGCCACTGAATGTTTCCATCACCCGAAAAAGAAACCCAGTGCCTATTAGCAGTCGCTCCCCATTCCCCCTCCCCCCAACCCTTGACCACCCCTTTTTGTCTCTATGGGTGTCTTTTTTGGACGTAGCATGTAAGGGGACCACACACCGTGTGGCCCTTTGTGACTGGCTTCCTTCACTCTGGTGATGTCAGGGCCCCTCCATGCTGTGGGTGTGTCAGCACTTCCTCCTCTTTCGCAACCGAGTGGCGTTCCCGTGTGAAGAGGCCAAGCTGTGCTCACGCGTTCTTCAGCGGGTGGACCTTGGGGTTGCTTCACATGCTTGCTTGTAGACTTTTGTCTTCATGGTTAATAGGCTCTTTATCTTCATCCCCGTGCACTGTGCCTAACACTTAGAGCATCCTCTGTGGACCGCTGGCGTACGTGTCGGTGCAGGGCTGTCCTGAGGGCTCCTGTTCCACCTGGTAGATTGCTAGGTGCGGTGTGCAGAGCTGTGTAGGTGTGGCCTCAGCCAGCCTGGGGAGCTGCAGGTGGAGGTGGCAGGGAACTCTGTGCTGTCAGTACAGAGCCTCTGGGCTGGTGCATTTGGTCAGCGACAGGTATGGGGGAGCAGGGCCTGGTGGGCAGGGGCCTGAGCTTCAGCTGTGAGGGCCCTGCTGTTTGTGTTTCAGCATCCTCAGGGTATGGATAATGAACTGCTTCATGGGGCTGATTTTTTTAAGGGGGTACTAAAAAAATGATGTTTTTAAAGTTTTTGGTGCAGGGGTGTGGTGGGGGTGGTGGTCTTCCTTTAGGGATATGTTCTGTGGAACAGTTCTGGAACTCTCTGTGGCTTGCATTGTGAGTACCTGAGGGTAAGCACTGTAGAAACTTCAGATAGACACAAATGCTGTGAATAAACCTGCTGAAAATGTCTGTCTAAAGATCAGCAACAGCTTTTGCTTTGTTGCTTTTTGTAAGCTGTTGAAAATCATTGCAGTTCAGAGGTGAAACATGGGATAGTTCATCGTCTGGTTATCAGGCAAAGTGGTTTCTCCCTTAGCCCTAAACTCTGGGCCTATTGCAGCCAAGAGTCATCTAGCATTCCATAAGAACGGACTCTCTCTGGAGCAGCTGTTGTCACTGATGGTTAAAGGAATAGCTGTGACCTAAAAGCACTGTTTTGTCTCCATCTTTAACACTCGTTCTCCTGGGCAGCTGGGAACCGCCTGGTCTATGAACTTGTCTGTGAACTAAGTCTTCTGGCTGTCTTTGTATACGTTGCTTTTTTTTTATTGCATTACAGGAGATACAGGAAATAATATTCTAACTCATAGTGGATCTTTATTTTTATTTTTATTTTTTGGCCAGCTGTTACAGGTCTAAAACACTGTGCTGTTTCATAGTACAGTACAGTACATGATACGGGAATTGAGTCATGTGCTGCTTAAGGACACAGATACGTTCTGAGAAAAGCGTCCTCAGCTGATCTTGTTGTGTCAGCACCACAGAGTGTACTTGCACAAACATGGGTGGCAGAACCCGCTACACCCCTGGGCCACATTGTAGAGCCTGTTGCTCCTCGGCTATAAACCTGTGCAGTGTGTTACTGTACTGAATACTGTAGGCAGTTGTAACCCAGTGGTATTTGTGTATCTGAACACAGAATAGGTACAGTAAAAATGCATTATTAGAATCTTAGAGGATCCCTGGTCCGTGTGGTCTGTCAGTGGTGGAAGCATCCTTATGCAGTGCGTGACCGTGCTGGGATGCAGTTCTGATTGCTTTCTTGGTGGTAGTATTTTTGTTGATGCCATGATGGAGCTGCAGTAGCACTGCCATCTACTGTGTAATGGCTTGGATTATGTGGTACTTTAATTACTGTCCTTTGCCCTCACATTAAATGAAGGCCATTTACTTTGATATGAGCTAGTTCACACTTGCCTCATTTAGTTGAACACACATTTGAGTTTTGCTGTTTTCTACTGTGTTCTGGAGCACAGTTGTAGAAACTGGAAATTCTGTGTCATATTTGGGTATGATGAGTAATATGATGGTATCATTTGTTCAAGTGCGAAGATAATTGGAGATAAGCATCTGCGTTAGTCTTGTCACTGCAGGTGAAGCTTACCGTTTACTTAGGCTTTAGTTTACCCATTTTCTCTTTAGTCCTGTAAACTTCATCTACCTTTTGGTTTAACATGCTTTTCCAACAAATCTACATGAGTCTTAAAACTTCAGAGTCCAACTAGTAGAATAGAATAGTAAGAGGTACTTGCACTGGGGCATCTTTTTTTGTTGAATTGATGACGAAGAAATTTTTGTTATGCTAGGAAAAATTTCTACTTTAGTGTTCTCCCCCGCCCCCCACCTTAGAGGGATTAGATTTTAGAAAAAGATCCTTCTTTTTTTTTTTTTTTTTTTTTTTTGAAAAACTGCCAGTTGGAACAGTAGTTATCTTGTTAGTTTAAGTAAGAAGTGTAGCTGCAAGTTACTTAATTAGGGTACATTATTGAAGGGCTTTTGGTTTTGGACTTCAGTCTTAACATACTCAGTTTAGAAATTAGTTTTAGCAAGGTAATTTTTTTCTCCAGTCTCTGTAGATGTTTTTATTGTAGAGAGACCTGACACATTGTAGAAACATTTCCTGTCAAAGGTAAAAAGAGATCATCCAGAATGAACAAAATACGTTAATTCTTAGCAGTTTCTGTTTTGTTCTGGGTTAAAAGACCTGAAGCTACTTAAAGTGAGAAGACAGAAGCAAGACAGAATTGCTCTTCTAGCAGCCGTGTGTCATGTCTGATCAGAGCATGATTAAGCAGGACAGGATTTCACATGTCGGCCACAAAGCCCTGGACCTGGCCGCTCACCCTGAGAGGGGCACTGTGGACCCCACCCGCCATTCACTACCCAGCTTGCCAGTGGGGTGGGTGCTTTGCAGGCTCACAGAAAAATCACTCGCCCTTGAAATGTCTTATCTGGGCCTGGACACCTCCTTAGTTTCTCTTGTGTTTCCTTTCTGTGTAAGGCTGGTCCCTCACCGCTGGTTTGATCACAGCCCTCTGTTTCCTCAGGGTCACTGGTAGGTCAGCGTTTGAACTTTGTGATTTCTGTCTCCCTCCTTCAGTCCAGTCTTTGACCTCTAGCCTCACCTGACCCATAAACCATAATGGTTCTCTGATTTGTATTTTCAACAAAACCCCGCCTTTAACACCACTCACCTCTACCAGCCAACAAAACCCCGGCTTTAACACCACTCATCTCTACCAGCCCCTCTTCTCTTGGTCGCTTCACCACCGAGGCCTCCCTGAGCAGCTAGCAGAAAAGGCCTTCCATCCCGCTGGGTGGTGCTGGTCCCTGCGAATAGGTTGCTGTGTGTCTTTCCAGACGTGTTTGTGCACATATATGTTCATACGTTCTTTCAAGAAACCATACACATGCTTAGATACACGTAAGATCTTACATACACGCTGTTCTTCATGCTGTAACGTGGCCACGCTTCGTGAAGTCACTCCTGCTGTCTCTAGTTCCTCACTTTCAGTTATTCCTCAGCCTCCTGTGACCTGCCTTTTGCCTTGAACCTCTTTGACAAAAACAATTTTTACAGAAAAGTATTCAGCAGGTCTCTTCAGTGAAGAAAGATTTTAAATCGGTAATGTAACCAGAGGTAGGAAATGGAAAAGTGCCAGAGGCTGCTGCATGGAAAGTCCCTTCTCCCACAGATGGCAGGGAAGGGCACCCAGGACGTTTTAAGGGTCAGGCAAGGTTCTCCTTTCCCTGGGTATTGATAACTTTTATTTCACATGTAAAAAACATGTTTCTTACCCTCTTCCCAGCCATCCAGTTCCCCTCTTTGCAGACAGCACACTTCCTCTTAGAACCTTCCAGATAAACCATATGTATTTACAAGTAGGTACCTGATGTCCCACTGCACACACAGGTGCCTCCTGGTCTTCTCTTGGCAGTCTTTCCAGATGAGGCTTCTCTGTCAGTCCATAAAGAGCTTGTTCAGTGGCACAAATGTGTTATTTAATCAGGCCCTGTTGATAACATTTTGTTCCATCGTATTATTACAAACCAGTGCAGTGTAATTTACATATTATATACATATCACCTACATGTTACAGACAACAGATGGGACCTTTCACATTCAGGTAAGTCTACCTGTGAAGTAGAAATCTGGAAGTGGAGTTGGGTCAAACGGTCTGTGCTTTTGTAATTATTTTACCTGTTGCCGAGATCTGCTTTTAGAATTCCCACAGCCATGTACAAGGCCTGTTTCCCTAACCTTTAACGAGCCCAGTGAGTTAGCCACTTGCTGGTTGCAGCCATTCAGTTAGGTGGAGACTTACCCTGGTGTGGTGTAGTTTTATCTTAGGAATGAGGTTGAATATTGTTTCAAGTAAACTATTTCATTGATATTTGGTGAGCTGTTTGTCTCCTTTGCTCATCTCTGTTGAGTTGTTGGTCTTTTCTTTTTTTAATTTTTACTTTATTTGAGACGGAGTCTCACTCTGTCACCCAGGCTGGAGTGCACTGGTGTGATCTCGGTTCACTGCAACCTTTGCCTCCCGGGTTCAAGCAATTCTCCTGCCTCAGCCACCCAAGTAGCTGGGATTACAGGCACGTGCCACCAAGCCTGGCTAATTTTTTTTTTTTTTTTTTTGTATTTTTAGTAGAGATGGGGTTTTGCCATGTTGACCAGGCTGGTCTCAAGCTCCTGACTTCAAGGGATCCACCCACCTCGGCCTCCCAAAGTGCTGGGATTCCAGGCGTGAGCCACTGCGCCTGGCTGGGTTCTTAGTTTTTAGAAACTCCATAAGTTTCAAGGAATCATCTTTAGTAGGAATTGCATGTATTTGTTTTCTGGGTTTTTAATCTTGTCTTTTGACTTTGCCATGCAATTATTTTCTTTTCTTTTTTTTTTTAATGCTATATTTATCAGTCCTTTTTGGTGTGGCTTCTGGGTTTCGTGTCATAATTCATAATGTATAATGCGTTTCTCATCATACGTATTGTACATATGCATGTATTGTGCATACATAATACACATGATGCCCCGTACATTCTAAAGACAGCCCCCTGCAGTGTCGCCTGGTATGGAACTTGTGTCATTCTCTTTTTATATCAGACGGATCCATCTGGAATTGATTTGGTATAAGGTACAAAGTTAGTTTTATATTTTCCAGATGACAGCCCATTTGTCCCAGTGCCATCTGTTAAATAGCCTCTGCTCTCCCTCCCAGATCTGAGCTGTCTCTCGTTTACTCCCACATCTATTTGGGTTCACTTCTGGACCCTGCGTTCTGCTTCATGGATGTCTCCATCCAGATGACCTCATGTTGGCCAGGTTCGTTGGATACTCTTGGTTTTGTTTCTTACCTCTCATTTGTTCTTGTGGGTTTCCTACACAGAGGAATCCCCAGGAAGGGTTTTTTTGGGGGGGGTTTGTTTGGAATAAATATGGCTGCGAGGCGCCTGCTCCGGATGGTGGCTTCTGCAGCCTGGGTGTGCCGGGCCGGCTGGGATCTCGCTGCCTCCGCCAGTTCTGGCACTGCTGGTTTTCCTCTTCTCTGGACATTTGTTTTCAGTTTCTCCTCTGCTTTCCTGCACTTTTGATGATATTATTCCTCAGACTTCTCTCCTTTTTCTTCTTTCTTTTTGCTTTATAATTCGTGACCTTTTTAGCTGTGGTTTTGCCAGTCTCACTGATGAGTCCAAAAAACCTAAAGGCTCAACCAGACCTCCAGCTGCCCCTGAAGGTTCCCAGTAGCTCAGTGTGGCAAAGGCGGGTTTCTGTCTTCCAACGTGCCATGGTTCCCATGTTTCCCCCAAAGTTTGCATCTTAGAAACTTAATCCCCAGTGCAGCAGTGTTGGGATGTGGGTAGGTCACGAGGGCTCTGCCACTGCCATTACAATGAGGTAATATCCTTGTCACCTGAGAGTGGTTTTTGTGAAGGCCGGTGTGGGGCTCCTCTTGCTGGCTTGCTCTCTGGCTCTCTCGCCCTTTCCCCTTCTGCCTTCCACCATGGGATGTCCCAGCAGGAAGGCCCTCAGCAGATGCAGGCTCTTACTGTTGGACTTTGCAGCCTCCAGAACTGTAAGAAATACATTTCTTTTCTTTATAAATTACCTGCTCTGTGGTATTCTGTTACAGGAACACAAAACAGACCAAGACACTAACCCTGACCTGCTCTGTCCTTCCCTTCTAATCCCCTCCAGCCAGAGGCCGAGGCCTGTCATAGAGATGCCCTTTTTTATCCCCTCCAGCTGGTTTATGACCAAGTCCTAAATATCTTTAGATTTGTCTCCAGTGACACCGTTACAGCCCCGGTTCAGTGTTCCCTCAGGGTTTCCCTTTCTTTCCCCCTGTACTTTCCTTTCTTCCTCTCCTTCCTTTCCCCTCCCACTTCCCCTTTCTCCCCCGTTTCTCTCCCTACCACACTTGCCATGGTGGTCACATACATGGCACACTTCTCTGGACGTAGGCTTAGATTTGAGGCAGTATGCCAGGGAAGCAGGACATAGATTAGAATAGTCTTCAGGAAACCAGCATGGCCCCAGCCTAGCCTAACTCCACTTTGCTTCTGATCAGAAATCCGTGTTAGAATGCAAGTCAGTTGATGTCATTGTGTAAAGTCTACAAGAAACAACTTCGTAGCTGCTCCATTTTATTTTCTGATTAAATAGTTTAGAAGCATTGGTACCTTAACTCTTTTTAGAAATAACACTAATGTGCCCAACTCTGATCATGACCTAGGTCTAGCCTCATTAACATTCTAGTCTCCTGGCCTGGGTCTGCCCACTGTAACCCTTTTTGGTCTCCCTGGCCTGGGTCTGCTTCCATAACCCCCTCTGGTCTCACTGGCCCCCTCTTAGTCTCTAACATCAGTTCCCTTGTGTCACTGGAATGGTCCTGGTCAAATGCATGCAGGAGCCTCATTTCTGGCTTACGGGTCTTAGCATGATGTGCCATGGCCTTTGTGATCTGCCCCCTGCCTGTCCGTACACACCTCTGTCTGTGGGCGCAGTTCCTCCTACTCACTGTGTTTTCTCTCTCCTGTGTCCTTGGAGAGGCTGTTTTCTCAGACTGGACACTGGTTACCTGTGATACCCCCATCCCCATTATTGGTTCGTAGATACCAGTCATTTTGTTGTTGCATCCTTATCCTAGACCTTATGTGCTGTGTTCTATTTCTGCCCAAGACTTTGACTTTGGCAGAGACTGACTTTTTAAATCACTAGAGCCTAGCAGTTCCTACCACCTACTAGGGGCTCACCTGTAGAGCATCTGTTAAACCTAGGGGCAGGAGGTGTTGGGTGGATGAAAAGCCGCCATAATACAAGTGCTTTTTTCCCTTTTGGTTTTTCTTTTCAATGGCCACAGTAGTAACTCCTGTTACCAACTCATACTTTTTATCTTTTTAATTTTTGCTTTTATCCAATGACTACCTCTCATATATTATGTAGCTGTAGATTCTGGTGAAGTTTAACTTGAATTTTAACATTTGTATTCTACTTTCTTATTTTTATTTATTTATTTTTTTGAGACACTGTCTCGCTCTGTCGCCCAGGCTGGAGTGCAGTGGCGCGATCTCGGCTCACTGCAAGCTCCGCCTCCCAGGTTCACGCCATTCTCCTGCCTCAGCCTCCCGAGTAGCTGGGACTACATGTGCCTGCCACCACGGCAGGCTAATTTTTTGTATTTTTAGTAGAGACAAGGTTTCACTGTATTAGCCAGGATGGTCTCGATCTCCTGACCTTGTGATCCGCCTGCCTCAGCCTCCCAAAGCGCTGGGATTACAGGCGTGAGCCACCGTGCCTGGCCCTACTTTCTTATTTTTAACTTTATATTTTTCAAAAGCTGGCATGCAAGGCAAGGTGTGCACTGGCTCACACCTGTAACCCCAGCACTTTGGGAGGCCAAGGCAGGTGGATCACTTGAGGCCAGGAGTTCAAGACCAGCCTGGCAACAGGGCAAAACCCCATCTCTATTTTTAAAAAAAAGAAAAAGAAGAAGAAAAAACTGGCCTACAAAAGCTTTCATTGGGAAAAACTCTCTGACATGAGAGTTGGGCTTTAGGTTACCTGGGTTGCATGCATACAAGGTTGTGAATGCGTTAGCTGAGAGCTAGGAAGAAGCTGCGTGGCATCATGATGCTTTGGTGGCCTCGTCTCCTGTGGAGGCATGTGTGTGGATGAGTTGATTTCCATGGAGTAACATTTTTAGTTCTGCATGTAAGTTTGTCTGGATTATATTTATTTAATGCTTTTAAAACTTTAAATCATGGTAAGCCTCGATGTTTTAGTTTGCTACGTAATGTCTGTTTTAGTTTGCTACATAGTGTCAATAAATTGAAAAAGTGTTACTCATTCTAATTAAGGTTTCATTTGTATTTCTTTTATACTTTCAACAGTGACATTAGATTAACTCTTAAGAAGGGAGCATTATGGAATCATTTGTTTAATTATTTGGGACATTTGCATAAAAGCATCAATAGAATTACCAGAAAGAAATTATATCCTTAGGTTTTTTTTTTTTTTTGAGACGGAGTCTCGCATTGTCACCCAGGCTAGAGTGCAATGGTGCAATCTCAGCTCACTGCAACCTCTGTCTCCCGGGTTCAAGCGACTCTCCTGCCTCAGCCTCCTGAGTAGCTGGGATTACAGGCACCTGCCACCACACCCGGCTAATTTTTGTATTTTTAGTAGAGACAGGGTTTCACCATGTTGGTCAGGGTGGTCTTGAACTCCTGACCTCAGGTGATCTGCTCGCCTCGGCCTCCCACAGTGCTGGGATTCCAGGTGTGAGGCACCACGCCCAGCCTATCCTTAGGTTTCTTACTGACTCTGATTAAAACATGTATATATAGGAACTAGTGCTAGAAGGATTATAGTCTAGACTTGAAAAAAGATTAAACTGTTTGAAATAGGAAGAGATTTAGTGTATGGGGAAGAGGAACAACCCTCACCCCTACTCTGTTTTGGGCATTTTAATAAAATTTAGAAGCCTGAGAATAATACTAACAACCTAGTTATTAGTAAAATTAGTAAAATTGGCCAGGCGCTATGGCTCACACCTGTAATCCCAGCACTTTGGGAGGCCGAGGCAGGCAGATCACAAAGTCAGGAATTTGAGTCCAGCCTGACCAATATGGTGAAACCCCATCTCTACTAAAAATACAAAAATTAGCCGCGCGTGGTGGCGGGCGCCTGTAATCCCAGCTACTCAGGAGGCTGAGGCAGGAGAATCGTTTGAACCCGGGAGGCAGAGGTTGCAGTGAGCCAAGATGGCGCCACTGCACTCCAACCTGGGCAACAGCAAGACTCCGTCTCAAAAAAAAAAAAAAAATTAGTAAAATTAATGAGATACTTTGAAAGCACGGAGTATTTAGGTTGTATGGGAAGGACTGTGTGGTGTGTAAACTCCACCCGGACACAAATAGATACTCACAGAACTTGCACGCCACCTCTGGGAGATTCTCCTGACTCCAGGTTCCTGGTAGAGTATCTTTCATATGTGAGAACTCAGGCTATTTTCCAGTCGGTTCCTGCCTTCACTGCACCCCGACTCCCGGGCCTTTTTTCTATTCTTTTCCTCGATTCTGTTTCTTTTCCACCACTGATCAGTTTCGCCTATTCTAAAACTTCATTTAAGCAGAATCATGGAATTCCTGTTGGCTGCGTGATTTTAGTGGCTGGTCTAGGGATGACAGTGTAGATTCTGAACTTTCCACATTGCATTGTGCCACACGTCGTGCAGTGTGTCATTTCTCAAAGCACTTATATGTGTGGGTTGTTTTTTAAGTAGGTGGAAGGCTTTTAAACCAGCATACCATTAATATTGTATTGAGGAAGTTAATTTAT
Source organism: Homo sapiens (assembly GCF_000001405.40). Taxonomy (NCBI): domain Eukaryota; kingdom Metazoa; phylum Chordata; class Mammalia; order Primates; family Hominidae; genus Homo; species Homo sapiens. The sequence continues at coordinate 1,500,657 of NW_021160017.1, forward strand.
CAATGTTATTTTTCCTTTTACAATTGCTAATAAAGATATGAGGTGAGGAGCAGCAGGCTACAGAGAGGAGTGATGCCTGGGGGCGTGTCAGTGTTTTAGGCACGTGCAGTGATCGGCAGCAGACTTGGGAGCAATGCGGTGGAGGCGTGTCATTGTTCCCCAGTTGTGATGCGATGAGGGGCAGCAGGCTCGGGGATGCGGTGGAGGCATGTCGGTGTTACCCAGGTGTGATGTGGTGAGGGGCAGCAGTCTCAGGGGGATGCGGTGGGGGCGTGTCGGTGTTACCTAGGTGTGATGCGGTGAGGGGCAGCAGGCTCAGGGGGATGCGATGGAGGCGTGTCATTGTTCCCCAGGTGTGATGCGGTGAGGGGCAGCAGGCTCAGGGGGATGCGGTGGGGGCATGTCGGTGTTACCCAGGTGTGATGCGGTGAGGGGCAGCAGGCTCAGGGGGATGCGGTGGGGGTGTGTCAGTGTTCTTCAGGTGTGTGCGGTGAGGGGCAGCAGACTCAGGGGAGCCATGTGGTGGAGGCATGTGAGTGTTCCCCAGGTGTGTGTGGTGAGGGGCAGCAGGCTGCAGGGGGATGCGGTGGGGGTGTGTCGGTGTTCCCCAGGTGCAGGAGGCTGCTCTGAGGGTGTCGCATGTATTTCATTTAATCCTCATAACAGCTCCATGAGTTAGGTTCTATTTTTGTCCCCATTTTAGCAATAAGAAAACAGACACAGAGAGGTTAAGTATAAATAATTTGACAAAGATGACATCAGTGAGTGGCTATTTTTATTATGTGAAGTTAAAATTGTTTATGTGTTGACTTCATCATTTAAAGTGAGAGGAAGAACCTGAGGAATATGAAATGAGACGAGGAAGAGAGCCCCAGACTCTGCGGCTGGTAGAAGTAGGGAGTGTGACCTCATCCCCGGCTTCTTCCAGCTCTGCTGATGCCCGGGGCTGCCCCAAGTGCGCGGCCGGCCCTGGGCGGGATCCATGTTCTTGGTGACAAAGCTCCTCTCCCTGCCTTCGCCCCAGCGGCTCGTTTTTATTCATTCAGCACAGAGTGTGTAACTGATAGTCCTCAGTACCGCAGTCTAATATTTTGTTGGGGTTCCTTTTTTTCTTTTCATTTAAGGGTAAAACCTACATTTAGTGAAATGCACATATTTTAAGTGTGTCATCTGAGTGTTTTCACCAGTTCAGTTTTTTTTGGTTTAGTTTTTTTTTTTTTTTGAGATGGAGTCTCGCTCTGTCAGGCTAGAGTGCAATGCAGCGATCTTGGCTCACTGCAACCTCTGCCTCCCAGGTTCAAGCAATTCTCCTGCGTCAGCCTCCTGAGTAGCTGGGATTAGAGGCACGCACCACCATGCCCTGCTAATTTTTGTATTTTTATTAGAGACAAGGTTTCACCGTGTTGGTCAGGCTGGTCTCAAACTCCTGACCTTGTGATCTGCCCTCCTCAGCCTCGCAAAGTGCTGGGATTACAGGCGTGAGCCACTATGCCCGGCCACCACTTCAGTTTTGACAGAAGCAATAAGCCTTGATGGGGTTTTGTGCGGTATGACCATTGCTCAGAGAATTCCCTCCCACCATTTTCCAGTCAGTTCCCACCTTCTCCCACCCCCAACCCCCAGGCCTTAAAAACTCTTTCTCCCTCTGTTCTGTTTCTTTTCCACCATTGATTAGTTTTGCCATTTCTAAAACTTCATTTAAGCAGATTCATGGAATTCCATTTTTTATCTGTTGGCTTCCTTTGTTGCATGATTTTAGTGGCTGGTCTGGAGATGACACTGTAGATACTGAACTTTCCACAGTCTGCTTAGAGTTAATACTGTACCCCGCCTTGTGCAGTGTAAGAAGCTGGTCACTGTCTTGCAACCAGGTGCCTTCCCGGTCCTTGCTGTGGCAAGTGTACATATTACATCTATGCTATAGACATCACAATATATATAGTATTGTTGTTTGCTTCAGTATGAATGTACCTTTAAAAAAATTACGAGGAAAATATTGTCTTTTATATATACTCACATATTTACCTTTTTTCCCCCAACCCCTAAGAGTGGGGGGACTCTTGCCTCACCTCCCTCTTCTCTCACTCCTTGTGCCCACTGCCCCCTTGGTGTCCTCTCTGGTTGACTCCAGCTGCCCCTCCCTCCACAGGGCCTGCAGCGTCTCCAGGTCCCTGACCCTTGGGTGGCATCCCCTGCCTCTTCCTCAGGGCCCTGCAAACCTCTCCTCTCATTTCACCAGGAGCTCCTTTTCTTCCCATATTTGTGTAAATGAATTCACATATTTTGACTTAATTGTCTCAGAATGGCCCAATTTGGAGTTGGACTTTTCTGATGCTCATAAAATTCAGGAGGTGGTTTTTAATCAGTTAGTTCTGCTACGGCTGCCTCCTCAGAGAAGGGAACAGTTTCTTGTTCTTCTATTTTTTGTTTTTTAATGTTGTTGCTGAGGACAATTTAATTTGATCTCTGAATCATCCATGTATCCATCCATGCACCACCCCCACACCCATCCTATCCACACACCCCCATACCCATCCTATCCACCCACCCACCATCCCCCATCCTATCCACCCACCCATCATCCACTATCCTATCCACCCACCTGTCTATCCACCATCCACCACTCCCACACCCATCCTATCCACCCACCTACCCATCCACCCACCCACCTATCCTATTCATCCACCCACCCACCCTGTCTATCCACCCACCCACCCACACTGTCCATCCACCCAACCACCCATCCACCCACCCACCCATCCACCCACCCACCCATCCACCCACCCACCTATCCTATCATCCATCCACCCACCCACCTATCCTATTCATCCATCCACTCACCCACCCTGTCTATCCACCCACCCACCCACACTGTCCATCCACCCACCCACCCACCCTATCTATCCACCCACCCACCCTATCTATCCACCCATCCACACACCCACCCACACTATCCATCCACCCACCCACCCACCCACCCTATTCACCCACCCCCCACCCACACTATTCATCCCCCCACCCACACTATCCACCCACCCACCAATTCTATCCATCTACCCATCCATTCTACCTATCCACCCACTCCACCCGTCCATCCATTTATCCATCCTTCCATTCATGCACCCACTCATCCGTCATCCATCCCTGCTTCCATCGTTTCATCCACACATCCATCCATCCATCCATCCATCCATTCTTGTGTTGGGTGCTCCATCTTAAAGTTATCAGAAGTGTTTCTGTCCGAAACTGCAGTTGCAGTGGAGAGGTTTTCAGCCCAAGCTTTTTATTCTTTTTGGACTCCCAGTAGACACTGATGAGTTTTCAGGGTCAAAGAGGAACATTTTAACAATGGTGTTAGCTGATCATTTTTTGTTTGTTTTTTATTTTGAGACAGAGTCTCGCTCTGTCTCCCAGGCTGGAGTGCAATGGCACAATCTCGGCTCATTGCAACCTCCGCTTCCTGGGTTCAGACGATTCTCCTGCCTCAGCCTCCCGAGTAGCTGGGATTACAGGCGCCCACCACCGCACCCAGCTAATTTTTGTATTTTTAGTAGAGACAGGATTTCACCATGGTGGCCAGGATGGCTTCGAACTCCTGACCTTAGGTGATCCGCCCGCTTCAGCCTCCCAAAGTGCTGGGATGACAGGCATGAGCCACCGCCCCTGGCCTGATAATTTTCTTTCTTTCATGATTGGCTCGTTCATGCTCTAAACTTAAGACTGGTCGAGGAAGTAGTACGTCTCTGTATTTTCAGTTGCTAGCACTAGTAGCCTACCAGGACTTTGGAGTTTATGAATATCTGTTTAGCAGACGGTTGATCTGGGCAAAACTTTTGTAGGCAGTGATAATTTTTCCTTTTCTTGAAATATGTTTAGAAAATGGAAATCCTATTTGAAAGCATGTTTCTTACATAGAAGGAAGTAATCTAGTTTTGTGCTACATGCGTTCCTTTTTCTAATGTAGCTTATGATGCATGATTGCTCCTTCATCACCTATCTCCCAAAGACTAAATACTTTCTATTTTGCTGAATGTCTAAGGATATTTGAGATGCTTATGAGGAGGTCTTTTCTGGCATGAGGTTTGACCTAACAGCGCTGCAGAGAATATATGGTAATTGTTACGGTTTTAGCATGACCAAAGAGAATTTTCTTTTTTCTTTCTTTTTTTTTTTGAGATGGAGTCTCGTTGCCCAGGCTGGAGTGCAGTGGCGTGATCTCAGCTCACTGCAACCTCTGCCGCCTGGGTTCAAGTGGTTCTCCTAACTCAGCCTCCCGAGTAGCTGGGACTACAGGCGCCCACCACCACGCCCAGATAATATTTTGTATTTTTGGTAAAGATGGGGTTTCACCGTGTTAGCCAGGATGGTCTCGATCTCCTGACCTCTTGATCCGCCCACCTCGGCCTCCCAAAGTGCTGGGATTACAGGTATGAGCCACCATGCCTGGCTGACCAAAGAGAATTTTCTCTGCATCTGAAGCATATAACTGCAAACCGATTTGTTTGTGGTTGTTAAATAAAGAGGACCAATCTTTTGTTTGTTTATATGCACTGTTTCCTTTCTCGCCCTAGTTGCATGAGAAACAGAAGCTTCTTAGATTGATCAGTTGCCTCCTTTTGTTGCATTTGAGCGTTGAGAACAAGGACCATGAGTTTTCTCCTCCATTGTGGTTTTAGTTCTAACATCTGGCACATAGTATTTAGTAAAGATTTGTGGAATAAGTGACATAGGGTATTGGGGAAGATCATAAGAAAAACAAAAGATGAATTATTTATTTATAAATTTATTGTTAGGTCTATTCCAAAACTGACTTAGAAAGACAAAATTCTTTCCTGCTATAAAATATTTGTAAGAACTGTGTTGGGTTGGAGTTTGGGATTCACTTTTCCCATTGCAGATGCTTAAAAACCTCAGACTTTTCTTGTTGGGTTTCTTTTTGGGGAGGACTTTATTAGGGATACCATTTATAGTAGAAATTTGGAAGACTGTAAAAACCACTTAATATTCCCGAAAGATGGAAGGTTGTTTCTGGAAGCTGTTAGGTTTTGTTAAGGCAGAGATAATACATTTTCTTTTCTTTTTTGAGACGGAGTCTTTCGCCCAGACTGGAGTGCAGTGGTGTGATCTCGGCTCACTGCAACCTCTGCCTCCTAGGTTCAAGCGATTCTCCTGCCTCAGCCTCCCCAAGTAGCCAGGACTATAGGCGTGTGCCACCGTGCCCAGCTACTTTTTGTGTTTAGTGGAGACAGGGTTTCACCACGTTGGCCAGGCTGGTCTCGAACTTCTGACCTCACGTGATCCCCCCGCCTTGGCCTCCCAAAGTGCTGTGATTACAGGTGTGAGCCACCATGCCTGGCCAGTAATACATCTTTAGAGAGATCATTTTCCTTGGAACATAACTGAAAATGGTAGGATGAAAAGATGTGTAAAATGTAACTGAAGGTGGAAAAATCTTGCTCTGAATCTCTCACTTTCGTTTGAGTTAAATATTATTTTTATTCTTGAAGGAAGTTCTGGGAGTTTGTAGAAGTAGCCAGAAAATATCTTTAGAATATAGTGCTCTATGCAATATCCTGAGCCTTTTTTTTCTTTTTTTCTTTTTTTTTTTTTGAGACAAGAGTCTCTCGCTCTGTCGCCCAGGCTGAAGTGCAATGGTGCGATCTCAGCTCACTACAAGCTCCATCTCCTGGGTTCACGCCATTCTCCTGCCTCAGCCTCCTGAGTAGCTGGGACTACAGGCGCACACCACCACACCCAGCTAATTTTTGTTGTATTTTTTAGTAGAGACAGGATTTCTCCATGTTAGCCAGGATGATCTCGATCTCCTGACCTCATGATCCACCTGCCTCGGCCTCCCAAAGCGCTGGGATTACAGGCGTGAGCCACCGTGCCTGGCCTATCCTGAGACATTTTTGACAGTGCTGCAAACTATTACTATTTTTTCAGGTAGAAATATTTTATTTTATGTTGGAGATGGGATCTCGCTTTGTTGCCAAGGTTGGTCTTGAACTCCTGGCTTCAAGTGGTCCTTCTGGCTTGGCCTCTCAAAATGCTGGGATTACAAGGCATGAACCACAGTGCCTGGCCTGGAAATAATTTTTACTATAGATTCTTTCCTCTTTAAATTAATATTATGGGTTATGAAGCTCCTTTTGTATAATAATATCCAATATATGTTGTCAACCAGGGTATTGCTTTGCTTTTTCTTTAAAAAGGAGAAAACATGTAAGGTAGAGGAAGTGTAGTTTACTCTTAGGCATTCAGACAGTTTTTATTATTGGTGTCGTAGAAAACCCCAGACCATTTGCTGAGACCAAAAACTGTATATTTAAAATTTTAACACTTAATTTTTCTCCTGTGGCTTGTGTGAAGTTTTTAGGTGTAAAGCGTGAACAAGTAAGAGATTCATTTAACAAAACATTATTTTAGGAAACAAATATGAAAAAGCATTAAAACCATTCTTTTTTCTCTCCTAGCATTTTTGAAACATTGGGGTTGTTGGAGTGGTTGGATTTTCCCTGGAATTGAGTGAGAAATTCAGAAGACTGAAGCCCAGGCTTACTGTCTACCTTTCACGGAGGCCTAGCCGTGAGAGGACAGAAGAAGGCATGTGGCGAATCATGACAGCAGACAAAGACAAAGAGAAGGACCGGGACTGAGACTGGGACTGAGAGAGAGAGAAAAGAGACAAAGCAAGAGAGAGTGAGAATTCAAGGCCACGCCGGAGCTGTACCTTGGAAGGAGGAGCCAAAAATTATGCTGAGAGTGATCACAGTGAAGACGAGGACAATGACAACAATAGTGCCACCACAGAGGAGTCCACGAAGAAGAACAAGAAGAAACCACCGAAGAAAACGTCTCGTTATGAAAGGACAGATACCGGCGAGATAACATCCTACATCACTGAAGATGATGTTGTCTACAGACCAGGAGGTAAGGAGCCTTACATTTGGGTCTTGCCAGTGTTTACAATGGGGGAATGATCTTAGCATTAAGGTGAAATAAATACACTTTGTACACTTTAAGGAAGGCTTGGAATCTAGAAGAGTAGGAAACTTAATTTGGTAAACATGTGACCCACTTTTGGTCAGTTAGGTTTACCCACTTCTTGCTTGTGTCTGCCTTAATTTGGTCTTGTGTCCTGGTTTATGCATTCATGAGTTCTTTTCTTATTTTCCTATGCTGCTTGTTCTCTAACTTGACCATCTGCTTAGTATTTTTTTGTCTTTTGAATTCATGCTTGGTTTTTAATCTTCAATCATAAATGAGACTGTGGTGACCCTGCAGAATTGACTGCTTGGTGGAGACAAGTAAACCTTAAGATTCTTGGAAACAGGAAATTTTACCTTGGGACAGGATCGACCAGACTCTAGAGAGGTACTTTTTAAAAATGGCCTTTAGGCCAGGCATGGTAGCTCACACCTGCAATTCTAGCACTTTGGGAGGCTGAGGTGGGTGGATGACCTGAGGTCAGGAGTTCGAGACCAGCCTGACCAACATGATGAAACCCTGTCTCTACTAAAAATACAAAAATTAGCTGGGCTCGGTGGTGTGCACCTCTAATCCCAGCTACTTGGGAGGCTGAGACAGGAGAATTGCTTGAACCCAGGAGTTGGAGGTTGCAGTGAGCCGAGATCCAGCCTGGGCGACAGAGCGAGTCTCTGTCTCAAAAAAGAAAAAAAAAAAGGCCTGAAGATCAGAGATTTATTGCTCCTGCTAACTTCCTTTTCCAAAAATTTGAGCTTCAGGCTCTCTAATCAACGATAATAGAAGAAGTCATCTAACCTGCTTGGTTTTCCGGAAAATGTATTATGGTCATGCCAGTATATTGTGGCTTACAGCATTGCTCAAAAAAAGACAGACTCAACTTTTAGATGAGATCAGGGAAACAAGTGAGTCAAAACCTGTTGAACACTAGCAAAGCCTTTCCTTTTCATTTGATGTATTGTGTGTATTAAGACACCTTTTTTAGGCTGGGCACAGTGTAATCCCAGCACTTTGGGAGGCGGAGACAGAAGGATTGCTTGAGCCCAGGAGTTCAAGACCAGCCTGGGTAACATGGTGAGACCTCATCTCTACAAAAAATTTTTACAAATTAGCTGGGCCTGGTGCCATACACCTGTAGTCCTAGCTACTCAGGAGGCTGAGGCAGGAGCATCACTTGAGTCTGGGAGGTCGAGGCTGTAGTGAGCCATGATTGCACCACTGCATTCTAGCCTGGGCGACAGAGCAAGACCCTGTCTCAAAAGAAAAAAAAAAAAAAAAAACAAGATATTTTCTTACAGAAGCCAGTAAAACCTAGGTGAAATCATTTTGTTTGAGTTACTTTTACTGTTGAAGAGTGACATGAATTTCATATGAGATGTAATTAGCAGATTAAAGCTGCCCATTTTTATGTTTTTCTGAGAAAGAGATTAAAATGCTTTACTGTGTTATGTCCATAATCTGGAACAATCATTTTACTGAGGAATGCTGTTACTGTTCTGAACTTCACATCAAGTTCCAGATTTTCATTCTCCCACACAGGAGTTTTTTAAATTTCAAAAGATGTCAGTGGGGCTGAGCGCAGTGGCTCATGACTGTAATCCCAGCACTTTGAGAGGCTGAGGTGGCGGGAGGATTGCTTGAGCAATGTGGAGACCTGCCTGGGCAACATAGTGAGACCGTATCTCTACAAAACAGTAAAAAATTAGCTGGGAGTGTGATGAGACTGTAGTCCCGGCTACTCAGGAGGCTGAGGTAGAAGAATCTCTTGAGCTCAGGAGGGCAAGGCTGCAGTAAGCCCCATTCACATTATAGCACTCCAGCCTGTGCAGCAGAGCAAAACCCTATCTCCACCCCTCTCCCCCCCACACACAAAAAAGTCAGTGCTAGAACTTAATACAGACAAATTTGCATTCACAACTACAATTTCTTGGTTGAAGATTAACTGAGAAGGTATTCGTGTGATATAAATTGATCAGAGTGGAGGTTTTAGAGCAGTTAAAAATCTGCTGTGAGGATTAAATGATGTGTGTAGGTTACAGTACTGTCTGTATTTATCTTTGATTTAGACTCAGCTATTGGGCAGTAAGAATTTCTTAGTGACTGAAGAATCAGAGTTACCACAGATTGCTTGTTTAGGGCGTATGCACATCTAAATCATGGGAAAGGAACAAAATATGTTAACTCTTTTTTTTTATTATTATACTTTAAGTTTTAGGGTACATGTGCACAATGTGCAGGTTTGTTACATATGTATCCATGTGCCATGTTGGTATGCTGCACCCATTAACTCGTCATTTAGCATTAGGTAGATCAGCACTTTGGGAGGCCGAGGCAGGGGGATAGTTTGAGCCCAAGAGTTTGAGACTAGCCTGGGCAACATAGTGAGGCCCTGTCTATGCAAAATGAATGAATGAATGAGGCATTATGGTCACTCTTACTAGATTTGATTGACTGTGCCTTTACTTTTCAATAAATAATACATAGACTTTCCTGACCTAAGCTTTATGATGATCTCAGGTTGTGATATGGGGGTAGGAGGAGGTTAACTCTCTCTATAGCCACTGCTTTCCTTAAAATCATTGCTTTTTATTTAAGTGTCTTAACATGGCATTTTAAAAAGCAACCTTGGCCAAGCATGGTGGCTCATGCCTGTAATCCTGACACTTTGGGTGGCTGAGGTGGGAGGATTGCTTGAGCCCAGGAGTTGGAGACCAGCCAAAAAAAAAAAAAAAAAGCAATGCTTTACACTCCAGTCATTGAGAGAATCAAAAATTATTTTCCAACCACTGCCATGTCAAATGTAATTTAAGAAAGCACCCTTCTTCCCTGAAGAAAATGCAGTTTGGTTTACTTTATTCCATCTCTGATTAGTGGCATTGGTTTTGTTTACAATTAGAAAATAAAATGTGTTTAGAGTACAATTTAATGGCAAATTGTCTGTAAGAGATTAGTTTTCTTTCTCTTTTTGATTAGCTGAAAAGGTCATTGTAGTAGCATGTTCAAGCTAGTCATCTTTGCGTATTTAATTTATTTCCTCACAAAATATTTATTACAAATATAGTAGCACGTTTCTCTTTTTTGAAGACATGTGAGCATCTATCTGAATAAGATACTCAAGATTTCATCTTGATGTGTGATCTTGAGCAAGCGGTTTCTTTTATCTAAATGTCTTCATCTGAATATAGATAATCCCTTGGAATCCTCCCCTTCTTCAGGGACTCTGAAGAAAATAATTTAGGCTTCATCAGATTCTTTAAATTATTAGAAAAATAATCAGAAAGAACCAAAGGGCTGTTTTCCTTTAGCCTAAAGATGTTTGCAATTTAATATCATCTTTTGGAAAAAAATTTACAATAAAAGATATATGCTTTGTCATTTATGCAGTGGCTTTATGGGCCCTGTCTTTGTTCCTTAAAGGTAAATTCCATTGTGTTAAAATTTCTTTTTCTTTTAAAGACTGTGTGTATATCGAGAGTTGGAGGCCAAACACACTGTATTTCATCTGTAGCATTCAAGACTTCAAACTGGTAAGCATTTTTAATGTGCCGTTCACTCTGCTCTGTATTCTCTCTTTTTCCAGTTCCATTGGCTATCTCTTATTGTTACTCCATCGCTGTTGACGTGGTTACCAGTTCACCTTTTGAGTGCTAACTGCCTCGTGGCAGTAGCACTGAAATGAGGGTTACCAGTTCCATCTTTTCAGCTTTGTAACACTTACTCTCATAATGCTTATATTGTAAACAATATTTCTGAAGTTTTTATCCCTTTAGTAACTGTTTTGACAATTTCGGGTAGTCCCTTGAATTTCTGAAGTAGGTTGTTTCTTCTCAGCCATTGTTAAGAGCCTAAAGTAAAGTAAATTCAGTAAATTGATGAGTAGGGGAAATAATATAAACGGGTCAGAGAATAGTTTCCAGTGGAAATCTGTCACTTCCTTCAATATTTCGGCAGGTGTAGAGCATATGTTGAAATTGTTGTGGGGGTTTCCCGGGGTAACGGTTGAAAGAAGTCTGGCTTGGGCGTGGTAAAGCTGTTATACTTTCTTTCCAGTTTTAGTGCATGTGTTGCAGAAGCGAGGACATAGCTGCTGTACTTTCTCATTAAAAATTCTTCCTGAATATATAAGTGTTGATGTTCCTCATTATGAAATCGCTTTTTTAGGGCCAGTGGTTCTCACACTTTAGGCTTTGGATCGCTGGATGTCTGCAGAGATTTGGCAGAGGTCTGCAAATAAACATGCTAAGCTTTATATAAATGAATTGATCTCACACGTCTGGACAACGATTTTTCAGCCTGTTTTCAGTATGCTTTTATGATTTTTAAAAATTTCACTTATTTAAAAGCAATACACAGTTAAGAACCACTATTTGTTGTTGTTGTTGTTTGAGACAGAGTCTTGCTCTGTCACCCAGGCTGGAGTGCAGTGGTGCAGTCTTGGCTCACCGCAGCCTCTGCCTCCCGGAAACAAATGATTCTCCTGCCTCAGCCTCCCGAGTAGCTGGGATTACAGGTGCGTGCCAGTACAACCGGCTGTTATTTTTATATTTGTATTTTTTAGCAGAGAACAGGGTTTGTATTTCTAGCAGAGAACAGGGTTTCACCATGTTGGCCAGGCTCGTCTCCAACTTCTGACCTCAAGTGATTTGCCTGCTTTGGCCTCCCAAAGCGCTGGGATTACAAATGTGAGCTGCCATGCCTGGCAGGAACCACCGTTTGTTTGTTATTTTCCTCAAACAATTGGTATTTGAAATACTACTGAAGTAGTATCATTTGGGAATCTTTTGAAACATTTTGATCTTACAAGGGACCCTAGTACTTTGAAGATTGTGAACCACTGTCTGTACTCTTAAGGGTAGAGAATTCCTAATTCCTTAGCTTTGTAGAGATGTGTATCACTATCTGTGAATGCTGTTATTTCCAACACGCTTTGTAATTCGACAATGTTTGTTTTCTGACATATGTTGTATGTGATATTTCAGTCTAAAGAAATGTAGTTTGAAAAGATCTTTCTCTGCATCTCCTTTGTTTTTTATCATTTTTAATGGCCCAAGTACCAAATTAGTATATTCAGTAAAAAAAAAAAAGTCACATTATTTTTCTTTGTTAAAAAGTTATTGCTTAAGTTATTGCATGCTTACTGTTTTAAGATGAAGTCAAATGTGCTATTTACTTCTAAGATGGGTCTATTCTTGATAGGCGGCTTTTACCTTTTCTGGTTGCATTGCAAGGTGGCCTCGCAGTTTAATCTTGTAAATCAAATGCTTTCTATCCAATTTTTATGTCTATATGAATTTTTAAAAACCATTTTTAGAGGTCTTTGCTACTTATTGTATCTTTCCTTCCAAAGTGTGTTTTTTTTTTTTTAACAGATACAGCACTGACACCTGAAATACGGGTACAGCCTTATTCCTGAAGAGTTTTGTTTTGGTAGTGGCTGCTGCTACTGCCCTTTTCCTGCCCATTGTCTTTGTGTGTGATTTTTACTAAACCAAACATCAGTGCACCATGAAAAATATATAGCTGTGAAATAAAATTGTAAATATTTTTATTTTACCTATTAGATCTTGAGCCCCCGTTTGTACAGTTTTTGCACATTAGCAGGTGCCTTCATGTTTGAACAGGCATCTCTTATGAAATGCTGATTACAATGTGATAGTTGCTGTTCTGGGCAGAAGTTCCTGCTGAGTTACGGTAATTGCTCAGGGTGTTAACAGCAATAAAAGCTGAAGCTTCTGTTGTCAGTATTGGTCTAATACAACACATTAAAGCTATCTACAAAAATATGTGGGAAGTAGGGTGCAGTATGTTTAGATGCCTTTTTCTAAATCACACACTGCTGTTTCTCATGTTTTTGTTTGAGGTTCTGTATTCGGCACATCCTCATAGTTGTGTAAGAACAACAGATGATGAAATATTTGCTCTGGGAATAAATATAGTTATTTCCACTGTCTTATTTTCTTACTTCTCTGTACTTAGTAAAAGATAATCAAATAGATGAGAATGATCAAGATTTTTTTCTCCTTCAGTTTACTGAAGCTATAAGGGAAAAACATGAGCAGGAGGAAATAAGCTTTGTTTCTCTGTGAGATTTTAAAAAGAAGAAGAAATTGAATTTGATTTTGCTCACAGCAAATAACATGACTAGTGGAGCAATGAAAGAAACAAAAACCCAATAGCTTTGAAATGTTGAGTAATTAGGTATTTTATCTTTTTAATAATCACAAAATAAAAAGTTGGTTTGGGGTTATAACTGAGAGACGTGTTTCATTGTTTATACTATAAATGAGAATCCCTTTGCCACGGTGAAATTTTGTGTATAAAGTATGTTTGGGCACTGTAAAAATAACTGGGTGAATGCCCTTTATGATACACATTAGTAGGTATGATTACGATGTTAAAGACAACAAAAGCTAATGAGGTGAGGCGTGGGGAGGAGGAGACATGTACCGCCAGTCACTGAGACTAGAATAATGGCAGTTTATTGGACCGAGGGCCTTAGGTCACATTTCATGAAATAGCTCTATGTGAGATAAGGAGAAGGGTCTTTGTATTTTATGTGGGGACCTGGGTCGTCTTCTCAATTCTGCTGCTGCATTCCCTTAGAATCGAGTCTGTGGTATAGAACACAGCTGCCTCTATGTCCTGATCCCTGTCTGTTGTCCTGCCAGACTATTAAACAGCCTCCCCTTTCACTCTCAAAAATGTCTGAGTGTGGATGATAGGTTGTGTGGTTATCTTGCCTATGGGGATAGGATCCATGGCTTCTGCTTTATTAATATTCAACCATCAAAACACATAAGGACACCACCATCCTACACTAGTAGGTGTATTTCGAGCCCATGCTTCCACAGGGTAGGTGGAGGCTATGATAGTATCAAGCAGTTAAGTTCCTAACTGAGCTGAGGTTTTAAAGGTAGGAATTATGTATTCTGTTAGGAAGCTTTCATTCTCTTAGGAAGTATTCATTTGATTGGGCTTATTTACAAACGGAGATGTCTGATTTTGTTTGAATGCGCTGACCAAAGTATTTATGGAACAAGTAGTCAAAAGCAGGAGCTCAGGCGAGCAGAAGAGGCAGGGTAGAATTATGGACAGTGCATACTTAGAAGCAGGAGAAAGAAGTATTGTTGATTAAAAAGGTCGCTTCGCACCGTAGATTTCTGAACTAATTAGTAAAATAGCTGGCAAAGTCTTTATTTAGCTTTTTGAAGGTCTAGTAATTCGGAATGACAGTCTGTGATCCTTGTGGCCTGGCATGAAAAGATTAATTGAGCCAAATTTCATTTTTAGAATTTAGAGTTGAGAAACTGAGAGACTGAGGCAGTTAGTAGAGGGGAAAGGTGAATGGATAATTCAAGAATTACCCCTAATATGTCTGTAGAAATTAAAAATAAAAAAAGAATTACCTGAATGACAAGAGCAAGGTTAGGGCTGACATAGGCAAGCTCACTTGCTAGGGAAGGAAACTCGGAAAAGCAGAGGACAGGGAAGCTGTGGGAAGGGCAGCAGACTGCCAAGGGAAGTGCGTGCACAGCCGTCTCTTCCTTGACTCTCCTGGGTCCCACTGCACTGATGTTCTTCCCACAGGATTCTTAGATTATCCTGTTCACTCTGAGTAGAGAGCTCTCATCTGGGCTAGCTTGAGTGGATCTTCATGAATTGCAATGGAAAGAGCCTAGGTTAACATCTCCAACCCTTCTGCTGCCCTCCCATAGCTTTTAGAGGTCACCATGTGACTTAGTTACTTTGAGGGTTTTGTTCTGAATGAGTCAATATCATTGAGGAGCATTATATCACAGAGTGCAAATAGGAATGTTTTGGGCTATAATCAGGGCCTTCCACAGGCATTTACTGAATACCTTCTTTGTGTTCTTTATGGAACTCAGCACTTAAAGAGAGACTGAAGAAGTATAAAATATTGTTCATTCCCTCAGTGATCTTAGTTAGATTCTAAGTGACAGACAACTTGTGGCATTATTGGATGTCAGTCTTCTTTGGAGAACATTCTGAATAGGATTGACAAGAAGGGCATTCGCTTTTAGATCTAAAAGAAATGATTTCTTTTGTGCGTTTATGAAAAACAAATCATATTTTTATGGAAACCCAGGCATTAAGAAGTATAATACAAATAATTTGCCATCTGGAAATAATCATGGAGTCTGAGAATGCTAACAAGGTCATGGAGACAGTAATTTTCATTCAGTCTAACACTGAGGAGTTCCTTGTATAGTAAGTAGTTCCTTGTAGCAGTTACTACCTTTCTTTATTCACAGATAAGTAAGCAAACTCACTCCTGTAATATTCTCCATGGAAATTCAGTGTGGATTCTTGCATTGCCGTCATTCATACAGTAGAGGAAAACATGCTTTTGGTTTCCTAAAGTTACATAGGTGTTTCAGCTGTTACTTATACCAAATGAGTTTCTAGGTAGTATATGTAGCTATAAGTACTATTTTGGGTTAATAACATTGATTCATTTTGGTTCCTTAACTGTTTATTAAAACTTGGAAAATTGTCCTTAAAGTTAAGCCAGATACAGAGATTCCTTAGAGTTGGGGGTGATAGTTAGGGATGTTAAAGTGTTTCAGGTGATGGTTAGCTGGGCTCGACATATTGTTACGGCTCTGCATAGATGATAATGCTGCTGTATCATTTGTGTCCCCAACAGCCTACTTTCTAAGTACTAGTTCTGAATGTGGAATAGCTAAGGATGCATACTACTAGTTACCTTGGAGAATGCACATTTCCATTATTGCTGTGAATGTGGGGGCCAAGTTATTTATCGTTTAATACCATATCCCTCTTGTTGTTTTATTGTCAAATGTGAGCAGCTGGAGGAAAAACACTTGGAATTTCTCTCTGATCCCTGGTCTGTACTCATAAGTTGTTTGCCACTCACTACCCTTTACTCATGCCTTCCCCGACAGTACAGCAGCAGAAGGGCTGCAGAGAAATTAACTTCATCTTAGGTTCCACTTGCCATTGAGATTGCCCGCCCTCCACCAAATTTATTTTCTTAAAAATGGATTAAAAGTAACAAGAAGCTATTTCTCCTCCTTTGTAATAAAAACTTACTGAGGATGAGTAATTATGTCTTCTTTTCTTATTAGAACCATAGATGATGCTGGGAGATATCAGATAGCGACTTAATTACCCATACCTTTTGTGCACACATTCAAGTGTACACACAGTGACTTAATTATCAGACTTACGCATTATCTACCGCATTTCTTTAATCCCAGCTTGGCTGTTACCACTTAGCACAGAAGGTGTAGTGTATGGACATTCATGGAATGGGCATTCGTTTAAAAGGAGGTAAATCTTGCATTAGAGCCCTTTTTTGGTTGCGGGGGGTGGGCAGGAAGGTCCACATAATTTGAACATGGCTAATTCAGAATTTAGGATCTGTTATTCTGGGATTGAGATGAGGGATGGTAGATTGCCCAGGTTCAGAGCTCGGACTTCGACGTCAGGTTGTCTGAGTTCACGTACTCCGTCCATCAGTTGCCATCTTTCCTGACCTTGGGAAATACACTTAACCCTCTTAACTTTCTTTAGTTACCTGTGAAGTTGGGATATAAAGTACCAACCTTGCCAAGTAGATTGTTTTTAGATTAAAAGGTCAAACTTACAAAGTGTCCAGTGCCCCATAGAGTGACACTGATTGTGATGTTGATGTTTAGTTGGTACCTTAGGTTTATGCTTTTTATTCACTGATGTATATATTGTGTGCTTATCACATTGGCTGGCTGTATTGTCCACAGTAAGTATTTATTGAATACTGAATGAAGTAACATTTAAGTGGAATCAATTCACTGGATAAGTATTTTTAAAAAACTTTAGTAGTAGTTGTTTGATACAGTGCATACATCAACACAAATTAACATAAACAAGCCAAAGAAGTCTACTCACTTACTTTTGGTTAGCCTGCAGTGCGTAATGTATAGAAATAATAAAACTTTATTTATTTTAAAATACTTGAAGAAAATTCAGTTTCTTCTTTTCTTCACGAATTTGAATGAATGTAGCCTAAGTCATAACATTTTTTAGGCATCATTATATTGTTTTGGGTTTTCCATATGACTGACTTTCAGCAAAGATAAATGAGGGCCTAGTATACGTGTGAACCTCCCAGAAAAGGCCAACTGTTATGAAAAATGCCTTACGCTATGATGATTTGTTTCTGTGTGACACATCAGTTGTTTCTGTTTTTGTTTTTGACAGTCCTTCAAGGTAGGCCTGCAAAATTGAGTATTTCTTTCTATAGCTCCTTCTTCTCTTTACTTTCTTGGCTTGTACCATACAAAAAGGTCAGTATCACCCAGTTACGCCTTTGTGACTTGTTGTGTAGTGTTGGATAATGAAGTAAAAACTTTACATTAAAGTTCATTATCAAGTATTTTCAGCTATTATATCCAAGGACCAAGTGGCCTTTTCATATATAAATTTGTGATTTCTAATTTTGTTTAATTCTTTAACGAGGCAAGAGGCAGGATGGAATTCTTTTTTGGAGACAGAGTTTCCCTCTTGTCACCCAGGCTGGAGTTCAATGGCGTGATCTCAGCTCTTTCCAACCTCCGCCTCCGGGTTCAAGCGATTCTCCTGCCTCAGCCTCCCAAGTAGCTGGAATTACGGGCACCTGCCACCACCCCCAGCTATGTTTTTGTATTCTTAGTAGAGACGGGGTTTCACTATGTTGGCCAGGCTGGTCTTGAACTCCTGACCTCGTGATCCACCTGCCTTGACCTCCCAAAGTGTCAGGATTACAGGCATGAGCCACTGCATCAAGCAAGATGGAATTCTTTAGCCCTGAGTTTGGTGGACTCAGTCAGAGGAGGTTGTATATCTATACTCCCCTCCCACCACAATTATAGAGTAATGGTGTTGAAAGTTTTTTGAACGACCACATCCTTTTTGCATGATATTGATGTCAACCTCTAAATGGACAGGGTGGTATTAACATAAGTGGAAATCAAAATGAGGCCTTGGGAATAAATAATCCCAGCATTTTATTGGCCCCATTTTCTGAGCTTCCCAGCAATTTGTCTTCACTCGTGGCTGCCAGTCAGGGTAGGGCACTTGGGATTTTAAGTTTTAGTGTTTAACTACTATTGTGAGGTTGGGTAATTCATTTTCTTCTAATTTACTTGGGTCAAGGGACTCTAAGAAACTATTGAAAAAGTTTTGTTTAATTATATGTATTTCCATAAACTATATTTCTGAAAATGTTATTTACTAAAATTGTTAACTATATGTGAAATTGTTTTCAATGCAGAAAACTCATCTTGTGGCCAATATAATGGCCAAATATAAAGGCCAATTTATATGGCTGTTGGCAACTGAAATGGGGAAAAAAGGGGGTAAGTTTGAGTTCAAGTGTGGAATGTGAGTTTCCCCAGGCTCATTGGGACTCATGACCCACCAATCTAAACTATTTTGGGTGTTGTCCTCTTGGGTGACATTTTGTAGGGTATTGCTCAGAAATAGCGAGGCTTTTCTCCAGTGCTAGATGCAGAATAAGCCCTTCACGAGGCTTGGGTCGGGCTGTAGCTATACTTCTTAACGGCTATCCCTTGGTTACTCCTCTGTTACTAGTGGTGGTCCTGAGGGATGTGTAAGAGGCAGCAGGATGAAGTATCTGTAGTGCTTTATCCCTTAAAGCACAGGGACCCGTGTGGGTGATCATAGGGGTTATTATCGTGTAGTGCATCTCCCTTTTTAGGAAAGTTCACACTTGTCTTCCTTTTTTTTCCTGTAATGGTAGGACTTAATGGAGGATTTAATGGTAATGGTTTCTGAAAGTCGAGTATTTATTATTCTGAGTGACTACTGGGTTAATATGAAAGAAGTGTGGTTTCAGTTAAGCATTGACGTCAGTGTGAAGAAGTGACTGTGGCACCCCAGTTCATACTGAATTAGCAAATAATACAAGAGGATAGCAAGCTCTCTCACACTTAGACACACACAATGCGGGATACTGTCAATATACGGTGAGTTGTTCAGTTGCAGTGTAGAATATTAATATCTTGGGGTGAAGAAAAGAAAGTGCTCCAGATGCCATGTGGCACTTGGGGAAGTTCTGTGAAGGTGGGTAGGTTTTGAGGAGCTGGGTATGTTTTTCACACATCAATAAGAAGTGGATAGGCAGAGTATAGGAGCCTTGCAGGTGTACATGGCAGCCTGTCCTTATAAGCAACACAGGCAGTGAGGCTGACGAGTCTGGGAGTCGTGAGAAGATGACCCGCAGGACGTCACTGAAGAGCACAGGTTAGTGGATTTTGGGAGGCAGATGTGGAGATATAAAATGGGGCTAGATTATAGAGAATCTTCAAAGTTAGCAAAGTTAAGATTTTGTGTAATAGGCAGTAGAGAGCTTTTGTAAGCTTTTTTATTCGAGACGAGCCACCTTGCAGACCACTGCTTAAGAAGATTGACTGTAGCAGTTTGCAGTGTGGAACGGGAAAGATGGTGAAAGTTCCAAGTAGGAGGCTAGGGCCGCCATTCATGGGTAAGATGAAGAGGACCAAGACAGTAGAGATGATATATTGATAATTGTAACCAAATCAGGAGTAATTGTTGGAACAGCATAACACGTTTACATATTTGCTGATGTAATTACTCAAGGGTCATACCATAAAAAGGGGTGGGGATTTCACATTATGGAAACCTTGGAATTCTCTGTCTTACGGTGGAAGACAGAACCCAGTGTAGTGTAGATAAAAGTCTAATTTTAATTCCCAGAGAAAGACTGATGTCTTATGGGACAAATTAGTAGATTCCCAATGTGACTACCTACTTTTAAAGCTTCAGCCTTTACCAATGACCAATATGTCTTATTTACCGATATGTCTTATTTCCACATATATCTAAAAAGTGGGTTTTACTTTCAGGCTGATATTTTCTTAATCAATGTGGATGCTATTATTAATACTTTTATTTACTGTAATACTCAACAGGATTTGCTGAATGGATTTTAAGTCTTCCCCATAATAACATTAATTTTTTTTGTAAACTTTTTATATTACAATTAATGATGACTAGTATTTATTTTTTAGCAATAAAAATATTTGTGTCTACTGATGATTTAAATAAGTTCATGACTGGTGGAGCACTTGGGTACATTATATGTAGATGTGAGAGATTCTGTAGTGAGAGGATAAATCTTCTTTCAGTCAAGATGATGGTACATAAAGCTAACTGTATTGATTGTTCTTTAATGATGCTTTGTGCTGCCAAAGTCATTTGAGCTGGATCTGAATCAGATCCAGTTGGCGAAGCTTCCCCATATGTGGAGCTCTTATAAATCCTGCAGGCACACAGATCTAATACAGAGTAATGAGATAGCTGCTGGGAGAAAAAATTGATTACAGGGTTGCAGACAATATCATTAACATTTCTTACCATGATACACCAGATGTCTTCCCTAATAGACTATTTTTGTTAATTTGGTTTTTATAGGATAGCATTGATTGCATCATAATTTAACTTTCTTTGCATATTCAGGTATATGTGATCTGTGTTTCTACACTAATGATGGAATAAACTCATCAGATTTAATTTTGTAAGTTTTAACTTATCTGTTCATTTTTCTATCTGCTGGAGAGGCAACATTTTTACTTGTACTGAGAATCTGTTAGCTTGGATGTTTTCTAGTAAAAATTACTGTGTTCAGTGGTGGGGAGGGAGTAGTGAGGGAGGTAGGAAGGCAAAGATAACATTGCCCAGAACCTCCCTAAACTGGTCAGAAATGATTCTACCCGTCAGCTGATTTACATAGAAACCAGGTGGCACCATGGCAGAGGCTCTAGCCAAAGCAGGAAAGGTGCAACCTTTCAAGGGGACATACGTGCACATTTATCTCCATTGTCAAGGGTGTGGCTCTGCAGGAGAGGACTCACGTTGGCACCTATCCTCTTCTTCACTAGAAGATCAAGGACTAAAGAGGATATTAGTTAGTTAGCATTTTAATTCTTTTAGCCATATCTTTTTGTGTGTTTGACTTCTTTTGAGTGGTTAACACACATAATAGGACAGTATTATAGGGGTGGTTTGAACTGTTTTGAGTAGTGTTTTTTTTTGTTGTTGTTTTTGTTTTGAGACAGAGTCTCACTGTGTTGTGCAGGCTGGAGTGCAGTGGCATGATCTTGGCTCACTGCAACCTCCATCTCTTGGGTTTAAGCGATTCTCCTGCCTCAGCCTCCTGAGTAGCTGGGATTACAGGTGTGGGCTACCACACCTGGCTAGTTTTTGTATTTTTAGTAGAGAGAGTGTTTTGCCTTATTGGCCAGGCTGGTCTTGAACTCCTGACCTCAAGTGATCCTCTCAACTTGGCTTCCCAAAGTGTTGGGATTACAGGCGTGAGCCACTGTACCTGGCTGTGTATGTTTTGTTGTTGTTGTTTTTTGAGACAGAGTCTTGCTCTGTCACCCAGGCTGGAGTGCAGTGGCATGATCTCAGCTCACTGCAACCTCTGCCTCCCGGGTTCAAGCAATTCTCCTGCCTCAGCTTCCCAAGTAGCTGGGACTACAGGTGCATTCCACCACACCCGGCTAATTTTTTTTGTATTTTTAGTAGAGATGGGGTTTCACTGTGTTAGCCAGTATGATCTTGACCTCCTGACCTCATGATCCACCCACCTAGGCCTCTCAAACTTTTGGGATTACAGGTGTGAGCCACCACACCCGGTGTATTTTTTTTTAATCATTATTTTTGTTGTGCATTTTCCTTTAGGGAACTTTTTTTCTTTTGACATGTTTCTTGGTAACATAGGATATGTTAATTAACCTTTCTAACTCTTAGTTTTCTCACTTGTAGTATGGGTATAATAATACTACTATCTATGACAAAGACTTGTTGCAAAAATTAAATAAAATAATTCATTAAATTTCTTAGCACCATACTTAGCATATAGCAAGCATACATTAAGCATTGTCTATTATCCTGTAAGACTTGAATTATACAAATTCTGGTCATTCTTTCTTTATTTATTTATTTATTTATTTATTTATTTATTTGAGATGGAGTCTTGCTCTGTCGCCCAGACTGGAGTGAAGTGGCACAGTCTCGGCTCATTGCACCTCTGCCTCCTGGGTTCAAGCGATTCTCCTGCCTCAGCCTCTGGAGTAGCTGGGATTACAGGCGTCCACCACCATGCCTGGCTAATTTTTGTATTTTTAGTAGAGACAGGGTTTCACCATGTTGGCCAGGCTAGTCCTTGTTAAAAATCAGTTAATCATATTTGTTTTGTTCTATGTCTGTGTTCTCTTTCCTTGATTTATGTGTATCTTTTAACTGTATCATATAATCTTGATTATTATAGCTATACTGTAAGTTCTGAAGTTGGGTAGTTTGTGTCTCCACATTGTACTTTTTTTTTGGCTATCTTTTGCCTTTCTATTTAAACTTTAGAATAAGTTTGTCTATATCTACAAAGTAGTTTGATGGAATTTTAATTGAGATTGAATGAAATCTGTAGATCAATTTGGGAGAAAAGGGTGTCAATAATGTTGGGATTTTCAGTCAATGGCATAGAATGTTTTCCATATAATTAGATCTTTAACATGTTCCATCTGTGTCTTAACTTTGCATACAGATCTGCACATATTTTGTTAAATTTATACATATATGTTTTATTTTCTGCTACTATTGAAAATAATATTGCTTTCTAAATTTCAAATACCAAAATTTCATTGTTGGTATGTAGAAAAAGAATTGAGTTTTGTACATGAACTTTGTGCCCTGAAGATTTGCTGTGCTTGCTTATACACTCCAGAAGATTTTTCCTTGTAGGTTTTTGAGGATTTTACATATAGACTATCATATAATTGGCAAATAAAGACAGGTATTTTTCTTTCCAATAAGAGTACCTTTTTTGTCTTATTGAATTAGGTAGAATTTCCAGTGAGATGTTCAAAAGTGTGGCAACAGAAGTTATAATTGCCTTTCCCTATTTTAAAGATATAGCATTCAGCCTCTGACCATTATGTATGATGTTAGCTTTAGGTTTTATGAGTGTACTTTATCAAGTTGAGAAAGCTCCCATTTATTCCTAGTTTATGAGATATTTTTGTTTGTTTGGTCAATGAATTGATGAATTTTTGCCAAAAGGTTTTGCTGCATCTGTTGATATAATCACATATTTTTTCTTTTTTTTTTTAGCCTGTTGAAATGGTAAATTACATTGATTGGTTTGTGTGTTCAGTCATTTTTGAATATTTGAATAAATTCTGTTTTGTTATGGTTATAATTCTCTTTATATACTATTGAATTCTGTTTGCTAACATTTTGTTGAGGAATTTTGCATTTGTGTTCTTCAGATATATTAGTTTTTCCTTTTTAGTTTATTTTTAATCGACAAATAATAATTGTATACATATGTGGGTACAAAGTGATGTTTTCCGATATGTATACATTGTGAAATTATTAAATCAATATCTGTCACCTCGCATACTTATTTTTTTGTGGTGAGAACATTTAAAATCTGCTCTCTTAGCAGTTTTCAAACATACCATACGTTATTGTTAACTACAGTCACTATGCTGTACAATATGTCTCCAGAATTTATTCTTCCTATCTGAAACTTTATACCCTTTAACCAATATCTTCCCATCTCCCCCAATCCCTTTTAACTACCATTCTGCTTTTATTTCTGTAAGTTTGACTATTTTAGATTCCACATATATGTGGGAACATGCTGTATTTATCCTTCTGTGCCTGGCTTATTTTATTTGTCATAATGTCCTCCAGATTCATCTATAGATTTACTTATTTTTCAAGGCTGAATAGTATTTCATTGTGTATATATACCACATTATTTTTACTCATTCTTCTGTTGATGGACACTTAGGTTGATTCCATATCTTGGCCATTGTGAACAACACTGCAGTGAACATGGGAATGCAGGTACCTCTTCAACATGCTGATTTCATTTTATTTGATATATACCCAGAAATTGAATTACTGAATTATATGGGAGTTCTATATTTTTAGATTTTAGAGAAAACTCCATAATATTTTCCAAAATGCCTGTACTAATTTACCTTCCTACCAACAATGTACAATGGTTCCCTTTTATCCACACCCTCACCAACACTTGTTAGCTTTTGCCTTTTTGATAAAAGCTGCTTGAGCAGCTGCGAGGTGATATCTCATTGTGGTTATAATTTGCATTTCCCTGATGATTGGGCATTTTTAAACATTCCTATTGCCTATTTGTATGCCTTCTGTTTTGAGAAGTGTCTACAGGAGGTCCTAGTGACAGGCATTAGGCATAAGCAAGAAATTACATGCATCCAAATCAGAAAGGAAGAAGTTAAATTGTCTCTGCATATGATATGATCTTATATATAAAAACTCTAAAGACTCCACCAAAAAAACTGTTAAAATTAATAAATGAATTTAATAAGGTTGCAGGATACAAAATAAGCATTCAATAATCAGTAGTGTTTCTATTTACTAACAGTGAAATATCTGAAAAAGAAAGAAGAAAAAAACATGATTGCATCAAAAATATGAAAAACAAGGAGTGGCAAGATCTGTACATTGAAAAACTATTGAAAATATTAATGACACAAATTAAAGAAGATACAAATAAATGGAAAGATATCATGTGTTTATGGGTTGGAAGAATTAGTATTATTAAAATGCCCATAATACCTAAAGATATCTGCAGATTCAGTGCAATCTCTATTAAAATTCTCAAGACATTTCTCACAAAAATGGAAAGAAAAAAAAGTAATTCTAGGATTTGCATGGAGCCACAAAAGACTCAAATATCCAAAGCAATTCCAAGCAAAAGGAGCAAAGTTGGAGACATCACACAACCTGATCTCAAAATTTGCTACGAATATTTCCAATTCAGAAGAGTATGGAATTGGCACAAAACAGGCATATGGATCAATGGCACAAAACAGAGATCCAAGAAATAAGGTAACGTGTCTTCAGCCAATTGATCTTTGACAAAGGTGCCAATAACCTGCAATGGGGAAACGGCAGTCTCTTCAATAAATGATGTTAGAAAAACTGGCTATCCACATGAATCCTTAATTTCACCCCATATACAAAAATCAACTTAAAATGGGTAAAATAAACATTAATAAAAAGATAAAATTACTAGAAGAGAACATACGAAAAGCTTCTTGACATTATTCTTGAAAAAGGTATTTGGATACAATCCCCAAAGCACAGGCAAAAAAGGTTTGTACATTTTATGTATTGCAAGGGCTTTATATGAGTTTTAGTATTGGATAATGATTGACTCAGAGAATTAGGAAAAATCTTCCCTGTTTCCATATGCTGGAATAAATTGTGGAAAATTGATATTATTTCTTTCTTAAATATTAGGTAGAATTCACCAGTGAAATTATGTGGGTCTCAGGCTTTCTTTTTGGAATATTCTTAATTATTCAATTATATATATGTATATCCAAATAGATAATATATCCAAATTATCTATTTTTTGTGTGTGAGTTTTGGTAGCTTGGATCTTTGAAAGAATTGACCTATTTCATTTATATTACAAAATATATGGGCACATGATTTATTTATTTTCTCAGTTTTAAATTTATATGTGGCATTTTTTGAATCAATTTTTAAATTTTCAATAACCTTTTTGCTTTCTCATATATTTATATTTTATTTCTTTAAATATTTTAATAATGATTTTAATCAGTTTCTAATTCAAAACTGGTGGCTTTTGGTTATCTAAAACTATTGGTCATTTTAATTTATTTTGTTTGCTTTTATCTTATTTTTTGAAAATAGTTTGCCTACTTTAAATAATATTTAATATAAATTTAAATATAAGGTCTCCCTTTCTTGATGTGTCAAAATCCTTGAAGCCTAAATTGGCTATAACTCATAAGAAGTAGTCCCAAATTTTACTCTTTTTTAGTGTACCTAGATTAATTGAACCTGGATTTTCAGTAAATTAGCTACCCTAGCTTATGGACATCTAAAGGCTGAATTCCCAGATCATTATGCTGATATAGGCAGTTGTTTTCAGTCTAATTCCCTAATTTCGTATATCCTTACTTCTCACTCTAGTTTCTGCTTATAATTATCTTCAGCTGTCTGGAGAATCCATTTATTTCTTGCAAGCTAAAAATATGCATCATAAATATTTGTTTAGGGTGTCTCAAAATAGATTTTCTTAAATAATTTGATAAGCAAAATCTTACCTTCGTTAAAATGTAAACTACAGAAAATAAAACTAAATAATACGTAGTAGGAGGTAGGGACTAAACAAATACATTTAGAAAACAGATAGAACTGAGAGAAAAATTTATAAAGATGGCATGTTTACTACAGTCATGTTATATATATTTTGTTGTCCATACAGAGAAAATAGCTAAAAAACGAATTATAGATCTTCTTATAATTGTATGTCACAAGCTAGATATTACTTACACACTGAAATATATGAACTTTATTGCTACTAAAATATCTTTCAAAAAGTGGAATTTCTGAATATTTCTTTGTTAGTTTTGTTCTTGCAGCTAGTTTATTTTTATTTTTTTGAGAAGTTCAGTATGACCATGCAAAGTAAAAGCTGATTTTACGATCAATCACCTATATTTTATCATGAAATAATTAGTCAATATTACACACACGAATTATTTAGAGTGATGAATCTCTACATATGTCAAGCAGTGATAGCATGTGACCTTCTCAGCTTGAAGGACATTTGTGTTAAGTATCAAGCAAATGTTATTAAAAATAAAAGTGGAGATTTTATGCTAGGTAAAATTTCTATAGCAAAGGAGATTACATAAATCAAATTATTTCAAAGGCTGTGATAGAGTCCTAAATAATAAATAACCTTACATCAATTAGGAAACTGGTAAATTTTGTATTTTTTGTGTTACCAAAATTCCCTAGAAAAGAAAATGAGACTTTCAGTAAAATTAATTTTCCCAATTTCAGTGTAAATTATAAAGTTTATGATCTAAATGAATATATTAAGTTGCATGTTTGAAAAACTTTAAAAATATGTTTGTAATAAAACTATACCTAAAAGAAATTGTTTATTTACATAAAATACACTATATTAAAGATATTATTTTATCATAATCGGGTGGCTACTGCAAGCCAACTTGGAAATTGTGTCCCAATTGTTTTCAAGTAAATGGCTGGAATTAGAAGGTCAAAACTGACTATAAAAGGATGATGCTTGGCCGGGCGCGGTGGCTCACGCCTGTAATCCCAGCACTTTGGGAGGCCGAGGCGGGCGGATCACGAGGTCAGGAGATCGAGACCATTCTGGCTAACACGGTGAAACCCCGTCTCTACTAAAAATACAAAAAATTAGCCGGGCGTGGTAGCGGGCGCCTGTAGTCCCAGCTACTCGGGAGGCTGAGGCAGGAGAATGGCGTGAACCCGGGAGGCGGAGCTTGCAGTGAGCCGAGATCGCGCCACTGCACTCCAGCCTGGGCGACAGAGCGAGACTCCGTCTCAAAAAAAAAAAAAAAAAAAAAAAAAAAAAGGATGATGCTTTTGTAATTGGAGAATTATTATCTTCAGTAGGAACAATTTTGTGTAAAGGATTTATCACTTTGTAAAGAGAATTACACCTCAGTGCTTTATAAAATACTTGCTTAGTTAGGAAAATGAAGAGGACAACAGAGCTTTATCTTCCATATTTTCTAGGGTAGAAAACATGATAAAAGTATGTTTAACTCTCCAATTAATAAAATGTGGTCAATCATAAATATATATATATGAACATGTTCTTTGTAAAATTTCATTACATGTATTTCTTGCCAATATTTATTTTTCAATTTGACTTCTAAGTAAAATTTATATTTTTATTTTTAAGAAGAAACATTGCAACAATATTTGGAAAGTTTGGTATGGTTAGATAGACATTAAATTCTACAGTTTTACTTGCCATCTGGCCGGATATTAAAATAACATTTAACTATGCATGTAGAGATGCCTGGGTTCGTCTAGGATGTTCATTACTTCATCTGTCATTTTATTCCATTAGTAAACAACCTGATAACGCTTTTTTTCAAAACCAGAGCAAGAATGTACTACATAGACGGCCTTCTAGGTTATGTTTCAATGTTTGTATTGGAAATAACTTTTTCCAACCAATAATTTAAGTAGAATTATACAAAGAATAAATATTAGTACAGATTGTAGCTCTGTTTCAATGTACTATATCCATGCTAATTAATATTATGGGTAGACGGCTTACAAACGATACACTAATATAAAAGCAATTCACATTAACTTTAAATTTATGACATTTCTCATAAATGTTCTGACTAAGAGATTTCTATAAATTTTTATAGTATTATGTAATGACTAGTCACCCATTTAATGCTTGTTGTTTTGGTTCAGATATGTCATATTAGAGAAGTCTCCTTGTTGATTGTCAAATATTTTCTCTCTGAAAGAAACTGAGATACAATTTTCTGGAAGGATAATCAGAATGATACATTTTTAATTCATTTATTTTAATTTTGTTATTAAATATAGAATGGTCAAGAATTTTGAAAGGTATTATAAATTTCAAATTAAATATACATAAAATTTACATAAAAAGCACGTAATAGGATCCATTATACACCAGAAAATGTCCCTAAATTCCAAGAAAATAAAAATGAACAGATATGAACTCTATTCTACAGAAACACAATGTACTGAAGTGAGGAGGCATATACACAATGCACTGTAACAAAAGGCAAATTCCTCGGGACACAGAGAAAAATGAGCATTTACAAGAGGAAAATATTATTCTCATTTGGGTGGTGTATATGTCTATAAGTATCATGGTGGGGTGGAGGAGGTGACTACTGAACTGTGTCTTGAAAGATTCATAATACATATGAATATGATAAAAGTGCATTCAGAAAAAAGCTAAGACATACCACAAGAACTTTGTGAGAGAATAGTGACAAAAACTGAATAATAGTGAAAGGCTTTAAAGATTAAAAATGCAAATTGTGTCATAGTATTAAGAAAAAATACAAATTTATTAAAAATAGGTACATGAAAAACATATACAGAATCATAGACTTTTAGCACATACCAAAATATACACAATAGCTTGCACATAGTCGGTACCAAATAATTGCTCAATAAAACAGATGAATTTATTTATTTTATTAGATTATATGGCTCTATGATCTTGAAACTTATTAAAGATTATGTACTTTTTAGGCACGAACTGAGATTGATTTGCTTTGTATACCTAGTAACCATTACTATCCCTGAAACATTAGAGTCCTTAAATAAATGTTTGCTAAAGATTGTTAAATGGATTAAAATTTGTGCTTGACTTATTGTGGAAGCTACTGTAGTTCAGCTAATGTAAGATAGAATATACACTGATTTGATTTTATGTAAATAAACCAATAAATCATTTGTAAGATTGCTGAAGAACATCCTCAATCTCTGTCCCAGAAAATTTTACTACCTTTTAAAAGAACACATTATTTTTGTATAAAATATTATTAACCTTTAATCATGACGAGTTGAAAGAAGACATTTACATGGTGGTCTCTTGGGAAGCTGGGTAGACAATGTGTATCTGTAGAGGAGGATAAAACCCAGAACTCCTAGCAGTCTCTTGTTCTGACACTGTCTATATACTGTATTCCCCTTGCCCCTGTGGTTTTCCACGTATGAATTGAGTTTACATTGCTTGGACTATAATTGCTCATCCCTACCACAGTTACTTTATTAGTTTAGCTATACTATTGGGAAGATGATTTTTCATCATGGTTATACAAATTTGTTTATAAGCCTATTTAACTCAAATTTAAATTACGCTGCTGTGGGTAAAAATAGTAACAAGTACTTTTTCATGGATTTCTTCAGAGACTAACTAAAATGATCAATCAGCGTGTCCAAGAAAATATGAGAAAATTTATCTTTCAGAAATGTTTTGTATGAAATTCTCAAATGCTTCAAAGGCTTACAACTTTACATGAAATGATTAAAGACAGATTTAAAAACAAGAACAAAATCCACAATTATTATCCACATTACTTTTGAGTACTGTTAATACAGCCATTACAGAGACCTCCAGATAGAAGGAATGATAGTATCTAAATAATAGAAATAGGATGATTAAGTTGCATTTATTTAAAAACAAGTCTTTTTGGTTGGAAATAGGATGTATAAAAAAGCTCAATACCAAAATTTAGATGAGATGTACATTTATTGGAGAGAATAAAATTGTTGAGATAGTTTTTAACAACAAAAAAAAACCCAGAAAGCATACAAAACAAACAAATAAAAACCTGAATTAGAGCTTTGGACTTCCTCAAATCACATTATTTGTAGTGGATTGGTTGACTCCATTTTAAGATAGAGGAGACGAACAAGATGGCCGACTAGACACAGCCAGGAAGTGCCACTCCTCTCAAGAGAGGCCAAATTATTAGGTAAACCACCATAATTTGAACAGGTATTCAAGGAGAAAATGCTGAAAGTGGATGGAGAGGCAAGGTCGAAGCCAAGACTGAAGAGGCAGGAAGCTGGAAACCCTGAGTTAGCTACCCAAATGCCAGGGCTAATTCCTGGCCCCAAACAATTCCAGTAAAGGACTGAATGAAGGAACTGAGGGATGGTTCACTCTTGCCATGAGCATTTGATTTTCTAGCTACAAGGGACCTTACGCGACCATGGATGTGTGAGCTGGCAGGGGGATCTCCCTGGGGAGCAGGCAGAGACAGACTTTGGACAGCACAGAGCCCAGGAGCTTTTGTGTGCTGGACTGCTGCAGGCAAGAGCAGCCATAGATGCCCATTCCCCAGGGATTTCCATTCTCCTCTGGGAGGCATGGACCCCTACTGACCTCCAAGCCAGGAGAGAGTTGGGCCAGCTTTCCTGCACGACTGGGGTGCATCTACTCTGCAAGCCCTTCTGCCTACCAGCCCTTCCCAGGGTCCATGCCTAGCTGCCCTGTAGGAGCAGGTGCATAGTGCAGCCCTGGAAGGTCCGCCTGAGTGTGTAGTTGCACCCACATATTTTCTTCATGACCCTGGAGCACACTGTATCCCCCAGTGGAGCAAGAACCCAAACCCAAGCCATGGGATATCCCAGTGTCCCCAGGGCTGTAGTGTGCAGCTTGGGAGTATGGAACCAAGATTTGTGGCTGGCACTCAAACAGAGAAAGAGCCCCCAATCTCAGAGCCGTGAGAGGGGTGAGATGCACGGATTCCTGAGCTGGGGTAAGAGTGGAACATGCCTCCCTTCTCAGGTCCAGTCCAAAAAGCATGTGGCATATCTCCCTGCCACAGCTTCTGCCCAAGAAGACCATGTGGCTCAGAAAAACTAACAAAAGAAATGTGGGCACAGCACCAGCTATCAGAGGGAGCTCTCTCAAGTTTTACAAGCAGATCTGTTGAGGGAACCGTATCACTCCATATCACTGCAGAGCGTATCTGTGAACTCAAGAAGTACAAAAAAGCCCTGTGACCAGGTATTAACCTAGCTACCAGTCATTACTGTTAAACCTCATTCACTGGATTGCCACCCAAACTACAACACCTAAATTTTATTCTGCTAATATATACAGCTGTGAAACCAAGTCAAAAATTTACCCACACATAAAGATTCTGTAAGAGCCCTGGGCCTCTAAAAGCATTCAGAAATTAAGCCAACTGACTATTCTCAACTTACACCACAGTTAAAGAAATGCCAACCCTCCCAGATGAGAAAGAATTAGCACAAGAACTCTGGCAATCCAAAAAGTCAGAGTGTACCCTCACTTCCAAATGATCCACTAGCTCCCCAGCAATGGTTTCTAACCAGTCTGAAATGACTGACATAACAGACACAGAATGCAGAATCTGTGGCCAGGAAACCCATTGAGATTCAGGAGAAAGTGAAATTCAGTGCAAGGAATTCAAATAATTTAGTAAAGCAGTCCAAGAGCTGAATGATAAAATAGCCATTTTCAGAAATAACCAAACTTAAATTCTAGAGCTGAAAAACTCACTATCAGAATTTTATCAAATAATCAGTAGTATTAGCAGCAGAATAGACCAAGCTGAGGAAATAATCTCAAAACTTGAAGACTTGTTCTTTAAGTCAACTCAGACAAAAATAAGGAAAAAAATGGGAAAAAAAAGTGAAACCTCCAAGAATATGGGATTTTGTAAAGCGAAAAAATCTATGACTCATTGTCATTCCTGAGAGAGGAGAGAGAATACGCAACTTGGAAAATATATTTGAAGATACAGTTCATGAAAATTCCTCTTATCTCTTTAGGGAGATTTACATACAAATCCAAGAAACACTCAGAACCCCAGATAGATATGACATGAAATGACTACCTCCAAGGCACATAGTACAATATTCATCAAGGTCAACACTAAAGAAAAAAGTCTTAAAGGCAGGGTAAAGTCACATACAAGGAACTTCATCAGGCTAGCAGCAGACCTCTCAGCAGGTAGCTTACAAGTCAGAAGAGATTGGTAGCTTATTTTCAGCATCCTTAAAGAAAATAAATTTTAACCAATAATTTCATATCCCACCAAACTAAGCTTAAAAGTGAAGTGAAGCAAATGCTAAGGGAATATGTTTCAACTAGACTAGCCATACAAGAGGTCCTTAAGGGAGTGCTAAACATGGAAAAGAAAGAATGACAGTCATACCACAAAAGCTCATTTAACCACATAGCACACAGGCGCCATAAAGCAACCACATAATCAAGTCTACATAACAATCAGCTAGCAACATGATGACAGAATTAAAATCACAGATACCAATACTAACCTTGAATGTAAATGGGCTAAATGCTCCACTTAAGAGACACAGAGTGGCAGGCTGGATAAATGACCCAACCATCTGTTATCTTCAAGAGACCTATTTCACATTAAGAACAACCACAGGCTCACAGCAAAAGAATGGAGAAAGAGCTACCATGTGAACAGAAAGCAAAAAAGAGCAGAAGTTGCTATTCTTATATAAAATAGACTTTAAACCAATAAAAATTAAGAACAATGAAGGGCATTACATAATGATAAAGGGTACAATGAAACAAGAAACCTTAACTGTACTAAATATATATACACTCAATATTGGAGCACCCAGATTCATAAAACAAGTTCTTCATTGCCCATGAAAACACTTAGACAACCAAACAATAACAGCAGGAGACTTCACCACCCCACTCACAGCACTAAACAGATCACTAAGGAAGAAAACTAACAAACTCTGGACATAAACTCAACACTTTAACAATTGGACCTAATAGACATCTACAAAATACCCCAGGTAATATCCACAGAATATATATTCTTCCCATCTGCACATGGAACATATTCTAAGATCAACCACGTGCTTAATCATAAAGCAAGTCTCAATAAATTCAAAAAATTGAAATTATACCAAGCAAACTCTTGGACCACAGTGAAATAAAAATAGAAATCAAAATCAAGAAGACCTCTCAAAACTACACAAATATAGGGAAATTAAACAACTTACTCGTGAATAACTCTTAGGTGAACATCAAAATACAGGTAGATTTAAGAAAAATTCTTTGAAATATTGAAAACAGGAATATGACTTACCAAAATCTTTGAGATGCAGCCAAAGCAGTGTTAAGAGGAAAGTTTATTTCCCTAAATGCAGTAATCGAGAAGTTAGAAAGATCTCAATTTAGCAATCTAACTTTGCACCTAAAGGAACTAGAAAAGAAAAAGCTAGCAGAAGAAAAAAATAACTAAAATTAGAGAACTTACTGAAATTGAGATAGAAAAATCCATAGAAAAAATAATAAAAAAGCAAGAGTTTGTTCTTTGAAAAGATGAACAAGATGGATAGACTGCTATTTAACAGCTAGATTTACAATGAAAAAAAGAGAAGATAAGTATAGTCAGAAATAACAAAGATAATATAACTGATCCCACAGAATTACAAAAGTTTCCCATAGAATACCATGAACAACTCTATGCATACAAATTAGAAAATCTGTAGATGAAATTGATAAATTCTTAGAAACACACAGTCTCTAATTGAATCAGGAAAAGATTGAAGCATTGAATAGTGAAATATCTCACTCTGAAATTGAATCATATGTAATAAAAAAAAACTACCACCAACCAAAAAAGTCCTAGACCAGATGGATTCACAGTCAAATTCTACCAGATATACAAAGAAAAACTGGTACCAATTCTACTGAAGCTATTACAAAAAAAGGAGGGAATCCTTTCAAACTCAATCTCTGGCAGAAACACAATGAAGAAAGAAAACTTGAGGCCAATGTCCATGATGAACACAGACAAAAAATTCTCAACAAAATATTGATAAACTGAATCCAGCAGCATATAAAACAGTTAATTCACCACGATAAAGTAGGCTTTATTCCTGGGATGCAAGGTTGGATCAACATATGCAAATCAATAAATATGATTCGCCACATAAGCAGATTTAAACACAAAAACTATCTGATCATCTCAAAAAATGCAGAAAAACTTCAATAAAATTCAACATCACTTCATGATAAAAACCCTCAACAAACTAGACATCAAAATAATATGACTCAAAATAATAAGAGTCGTCTATAGCAAACCCAGAGCCAACATTATACTGAATGGGCAAAAGCTGGAAACATTCCCCTGGAGAACTGAAAAAAAGGCAAGCACTCTGACCATTTCATATTCAACGTAGTAGTGGAAGTCAGAGCCAGAGCAATCAAGCAGGAGAAAGGCTACTGGAACTAATAAATGATTTTAGCAAAGTTCCATGATACAAAATCAATGTAGAAAACATCAGTACCATTTATATGTGCCAATAACATCCAGGCTGAGAGTCATATTAAGAACACAATCACATTTACAATAACCACAAAGAAAATGAAACAGCTGAGAGTACAGGTAACCAAGAAGGTGAAAAATCTCTACAAGGAGAACTAGAAAACAATGCTGAAAGAAATCAGGTGACATAAATAAGTGGGAAAACATTCCATACTCATGGGATGTTTTAATGTTTCATAGAAATGAAAAATCAATATCACTGAAATGGCCATACTGCCCAAAGCAATTTACAGATGCAATGCTATTCCTATCAACCTATCATAGAATTAGAAAAACTATTCTAAAATTTATGTGGAACCAAAAAAGAGCCCAAATAGCCAATGCAAACCTAAGCAAAAAGAACAAAGCTGGAGGCCTTACACTATCAACTTCAAACAATAAGGCTACAGTGAAAAAACAGCATAGTACTGATACAAAAACAGACACATAGACTAATGGAACAGAATAGAAAGCTAAAATATAAAGCTGCTCACTTACAACCATCTGATTTTCGACAAGGTCAATGAAAACAAGCAATAGGGAAAGGATTTGCCATTTGATAAATGTTTCAGGTTAACTGGCTTGCCATAAGCAGAAAAATGAAACCAAATTC
Organism: Homo sapiens; assembly: GCF_000001405.40. Classification (NCBI taxonomy): domain Eukaryota; kingdom Metazoa; phylum Chordata; class Mammalia; order Primates; family Hominidae; genus Homo; species Homo sapiens. The sequence goes on from NW_021160017.1 coordinate 1,536,012, forward strand.
TTATCTTTCACTAATACAAATATTTACTCAAGATGGATTAAATATTTAAATGTAAGATCTCAAACTATAAAAGCACTAGAGTAAAACCTAGGAAATACTCATGTCAACACTGGCCTTGGCAAATAATTTTTGGCTAAGTCCCCAAGCAATTGCAACAAAAACAAAAATTGACAAGTGATACCTAATTAAACTAAACAGCTTCTGCACAGCAACAGAATAAGCAGACAACCTATGGAATGGGAGAAAATATTCATTAACTATGTATCTGTATTAGTCTGTTTTTACACTGCTTATAAAGCATTACTTGAGACTGAGTAATTTATTTAAAAAAAAAAAAGATGAGGTTTAATTGACTCCCAGTTCCCCATGGCTGGATAGGACTCAGGAAACTTACAGTTATGGCAAAAGGTCAAGGGGAAGAAGGCACTTCTTACCTGGTGGTAGGAGACAGAGAGCAAGAAAACAAGGAAGTGCCACACTTTAAAACCATCAGCTGTTGTGAGAATTCACCCACTGTCATGAGAACATCATGGGGGAAACTGCCCCCATAATCCAATCACCTTCCACCAGGTCCCTCCTGGGACATGTGGGGATTACATTTTGAGATGAGATTTGCGAGTGTCACAGAGCAAAACCATATCAGCATCCAACAAAGGTCTAATATTCATAATCTACTTAAATCAACAGATTAAAAGCAAATAACTCCATTAAAAAATGGACAAAGGACATGGACAGGCACTCCTCAATAGAAGACATATAAATGGTCAACAAGCATGAAAAAAACGCTCATCATCGCTAATCATCAGAGAAATGCAAATCAAAACCACAATGAGGTACCATCTTACACCAGTCAGAATGACTATTATTAAAGAGTCAAAAAACAACAGATGGTAAAGGGAATCCTCATTTGTAGTTTGTAGGAATGTAAATTAGTTCAGCCACTGTAAAAGGCAGTCTGGAGATTTCTCAAAGAACTTAAAACAAGGCTACCATTGAACCCAGTCATCCTATTTCTTGGTATGTACTCAAAGGAACATAGATCATTCTACCAAAAGACACATGCATATAGATGTGCATCACAGCTCTATTCACAATAGCAAAGACATGGATTAACCTAGGTGCCCATCAACAATGAATTGCATAAAGAAAATGTGATACATATACATCATGGAATACCATGCAGCATAAAGTATAATGAAATCATGTCCCATGCAGCAACATAGATGGACCTGGAGGCCATAGTCCTAAGCAAATTAATACAGGAACAAAAAGCAAAACTCCACATATTCCCATGTATATGTTGGAGCTAAACATTAAGCACACATGAAAATTAACATGGGAACAATAGATACTGCACACAACTAGACAGAAAAGGGAGGAAAGTGGCACAGGTTAAAAAACTACCTACTGAGTACTATGCTCACTACTTGGGACCAATATACCCATGTAACAATCCTACACATGTGTCTCCTGTATCTAAAATAAAAGAGTAATTTAAAAAAATAGGCAAATGACTGAAGGAAGTGAGAAGACATATTCTGAAATCCTGAGAGTGAAAGTTGGGGAAAGGGGTGGAGAGAGAAGCGTGATTGATGGTGGTGATGAGGAGAGGATGATAATCAATAGGTTAATGAAGAGCACACATTCTAAAGGAAATCACTCAAGAAACGAAGGAAGATTTCATACAAATACTCCCTTATGATTGAAAACGAATGATATTATTACAACAATTTAAGTTGGAAAAAAAGACATAGGGTTTAAAAAGCCATGCAATTTGAAAAAATAAAAAGTAAATTTGAGAAGCTTACAACAAAAGTAAAATATTATAACCATTACGGAAATTAAAGTCACATGAGTAGGCTGCCTCAGAGCATATAGTACATTCCATTGGAAAGATGGTCCTGCCATAACATATAGCATCAAGTTAAAGCAGGAGAATAAAATTATATGATCAAGTGTGGTAGTAGTTTTCCATTGCTACATAACCCATCACCACATACATAGTTGCTTAAAACAAGACAACACAAAACAACACGGAAATTACTATTTCTGTGGGTCCAGAGCCCAGCCCTGAGTTATGTAGGTCTTCTGCTAAGGAGCCCATCATTCTGCCATTAAGGCACTGGCTTCCTGTAGTTCTCATCCAGTTGCTGGCAAAGTTCAGTTCATTACAGGTGTAAGACTGAGGTCTCTGTGTTGTTGCAGGCTGTTGGCCACGCCCTGTGACAACATGGCTGCTTACTCAAAACCAGCAGAAGCATCTCTCTCCAGTGGGCTAGGAAGAAGTCTTATGTAGCTTTATATACTCATGAGAGTAACTATCCCTCATAGTCACAGGTCTGCTCATCCTTGATGTTGGAATTACATGGGACATACACACCAGGGGGTGAAACTCTTAGAGGTCATCTTAGAATTCTGCATACACAAATTACAAAATGGAGAGAAATGACAAGAAAAGCAATATGTACTATAAATTTGATGTTTCCGAAGAAAAGAGCAAAACAAATAAAATATGAATTTTTGACTTTATGATGATAGAGAACTTTTGACTTCTTTCTCCTTCAAAAAACACACAGAACAAGAAGGAGACACAGTAAAGAATTAGCTGAAGTCTCATTCTCTAACTTGTGAGTGAAAAAGCCTCAAACAATTGCAGAAACTAGTAAGAAACAAGCAATTCAACTTTGCAGAACAAATGAATTTAGGAATGAGCACTAGTACTACTGTAGTTGGTGGTGGCTGGTGTGAAAGTTCACAGAAGAAACAAAGAGCTTCCATTTCCCAATTACATCCCACAGAGTCCAGTACCTGTTCTTTCTAGAATGAGGCATAAGGCTAGATATTTATTCTCTGGAGAAATATGTCAAGAGAAGGGCCAGGTGTAGGGACACAATTCACAAAACAAGAGAATAAGGTCTACCAAACAGAAGGGTAAAATCTCACTGTACTTACATTAATTGTAAATCACTCTCATAACTTCTTCTGTTCAGATCCATACACTGGTAGTAATAAGTATAGAGAAATTCACAAGCAGACATGTAACATCACCCAAATACCATCTCCAATAAGTTTTACAGTTCCTCTATCTTAAAAATGAATAGACAACCGAGATTTGACAGTAACCTCAAACATGAAAGGCAGGGATCAAGGTAAAAATAATAATAATAATAATTACAAGTAAATCTATAATAAAAGATACAATACAGGCCTGGGAAAAAACTTTTAAAAATGATATGCAGTTATGTTCAGAGAGAGAAAATCTATAACACCTATACATCTCAAAGGTAGAGGAAGCTGTAACAAGTAAAAAAAATCAAAAAATAAAATACATAAAAGCTTTTGAAAATTAAGAAATACAATTGCTAAAGGAAAACAAATCAGTAAGAAGAATTGAAGTCCAGTATATTTTTGGAATAAATAGCCAAAACTGATCAAAATGGAGGCCTCTAGGGTGGAAGACTTTCCACAGAAATGCTCCATGCTGGATGGAAGGCAGTGAGGCAGTGACGGCTAAATTCTGACAGAAAGGAATGTGACCCTAGAATTCTGAAGCCAGTCATGTGTTCTTGCAAGTGTAATGGAAGAAAACACCGAGGAGCTTTACTTCTCACTCTTGACTTGAAAACACGTCAAGCCAGACAGAAATTAAAATAACAGACTCAAGAATGTGAAGATTCAGTGAAATGAATGATGCTGAAAATTACCCTCTATTTAAATATTGAAATTAAATTAGAATGAAACAAAATCTTTGTCAATCATGGTTAAAGGAGAATAACTGTTTAAAGCATTGGCAATGTAAACTTAACAATATAACAAAATAAATCGATCCATATGGAGAATAGAGGTACAAATATTATATCCTCTTCTATTAAATATGAATATGAAGTCACTATTTCAAGTTGAATTGTAGAAAAAATGACACAATACTCTTATTTTTATCTTCTGTTTTTGTTGCTTTTGCTGTTTTTAATTTAGAACTACATTTTAGAATTAAATTTTTTTGTGCCAGAATAATTTTTGCTATAATTTTACTTCTGCTTTATTATATTCATTAAATTAAATATTATAAAAGTAAAAATAACGTAGTGTGGTACAGAATCTCATTTGTGGGATTGTATGAATTGATCTATTACTCTGTTTATTTACATGTCTATTCATATGTCTGTCTCCACAGAGAAATATGAAGAATGCTGTTCACTAAATAATAACAATGTGTGTATTTTGGTTTCATTTCTGAGTAGCAGGATTTTGGTAATTGTTTAGTGGCCTTTTATTACTCTTCTATAGAAAGCTTGCCCTAATGTTGTAACAACAACACGTGACGGGTTTTTTTTTTTTTTTCTTTTTTGAGGCAAGTCTTGCTCTTGTCCCCCAGGCTGGAGTGCGATGGTGCTATCTTGGCTCACTGCACCCTGCGCCTCCCAGGTTCAAGCGATTTTCCTGCCTCAGCCTGGGATTACAGGCACGTGCCACCATGCCCAGCTAATTTTTGTATTTTTAGTGGAGATGGGGTTTCTCCATGTTGGCCAGGCTGGTCACGAACTCCTGACCTCAGGTGATCCGCCCACCTCAGCCTCCCAAATGCCGGGATTACAGGCATGAACCACCATGCCAGGCCAAACATGAAATTTTTACTTTTATTTTTGAAAAAGACATGTTGATTGAACTCCTTTACAATCAGTCTTAGCAATTGCAAGAGCTAGCTGATTCAAGAGTAATGAAACAATCAGATTATTTAAATGGGGTGGAAGCATGATGCCCTGGAATATGAGCATTTGCTAATCCTGCCACACTAGTGTTTATCCCAGGTAATCTCTAGAAAGACATTTGTCTATCCTTATGCCCTAAAAATGTTATGAATAGAGAACACATAAAAACTTCGTAGATGTCAAATTTTTAGTGATAATACCATTTTTACAGCCTAACTCATTATGTGGTAGGTGTTCTGGCCCACTTAGGTAGCCTCTGCTTCTCTTTTCGACAGTAATAAACCTGAAGTTGGAAGAGTCTACAGCACTGCAGAGCTGAGTAGAGGAGACTAATTATTTTACCTCCTCTTGGGCCATATTGGACTCTTATCTAGGATTGTATGTATCAATAAGCTTTTCCACTTCTACCACTGTATTCTTTTCTTTAGATGACCTTCATCTTTGTTTTGGTATAAAGTCTCCTCATACTATGCAAGCAGCCACTTTCTGCTGAATGCTCCCCACTTACTCAGTCAACTGCCCCCCTCACTCCCAGTTTGTGTTAGATAGTGCCTTCTCTCATTACACCCTGTGTTTAAGTTGACTACTTCTTATATGAAAATATACATCAGCTGCCTTTTTCATGTCTTTCTGCTCAATTAGATTTTGAAATCCCAGAGAAAAATAAGTCATATTCTCAACTTTCGCCTGTGTTTATTGCCCTAGTCTATACATCTGACTGCTTCATTGTGTGCCCAACACACAATCCAAACTAACCTAATAATAGACGTGGAATTCTACTACACAACCAGTGAGTTTAATGAGCTGCAAATAAAAGGACCATGTTGCTTCTTCCCCCCATTAAATTTCATCCTTTATAGCTCTTTTGGCTATCGCTGATTTTCATGTGTTCAAATTCAGATGTTTGCGTAGTAAAATGAAAATGTTCCATAAAAGGATTACTTTATTCTTAATTGGTTGTTTCCATTTTAGTCAGAGATGAGTGAAGAGGCAATGCCCACTAAACTTTCTCTGCTACTGAAGAAGACAACTAGGCTGAGGTGGCAGGATTGTTGGGTCCAGAAGTTTGAGGCTGCAGTGAGCCAGATTACACCACTGCACTCCAGCCTAGGAGACAAAGCAAGACCTTGTCTCAAAAAAAAAAAAAAAGTCTTTTTATATATCAACATGTATGTTAATTTTTGCAAAAGGTTTATTAAACCACATTATTCTTATTTTATGGATAAGAAAACTGATAGAGAGTTTAGATAACTTCTAAGTATCCTCCCATTCATAGATTGGGACGCTACTATCTGAATTTAGATCTTTTGATACAAAGTTTATTTCTTCAGTCATATTCTGGAATAGTTATTATATAAAAAGTAGACAAAATGGCAGATTTAACTTTCACCTTCAGTAATTTTTGAAAAGATTATGGAAGTGTGAGAGTAGTGGTTCTCCCAGCACGCAGCTGGAGATCTGAGAACAGGCAGACTGCCTCCTCAAGTGGGTCCCTGACCCCCGAGCAGCCTAACTGGGAGGCACCCCCCAGTAGGGGCAGACTGACACCTCACACGGCCAGGTACTCCTCTGAGACAAAACTTCTAGAGGAACGATCAGGCAGCAGCATTCGCGGTTCAAGTAAAACCGCTGTTCTGCAGCCACCACTGCTGATACCCAGGCAAACAGTGTCTGGAGTGGACCTCTAGCAAACTCCAACAGACCTGCAGCTGAGGGTCCTGTCTGTTAGAAGGAAAACTAACAAACAGAAAGGACATCCACACCAAAAACCCATCTGTACATCACCATCATCAAAGACCAAAAGTAGATAAAACCACAAAGATGGGGAAAAAACAGAGCAGAAAAACTGGAAACTCTAAAAAACAGAGCGCCTCTCCTCCTCCAAAGGAACGCAGTTCCTCACCAGCAGTGGAACAAAGCTGGATGGAGAATGACTTTGATGAGTTGAGAGAAGAAGGCTTCAGATGATCAAACTACTCCGAGCTACAGGAGGAAATTCAAGCCAAAGGCAAAGAAGTTAAAAACTTTGAAAAAGAATTAGATGAATGTATAACTAAAATAACCAATACGGAGAAGTGCTTAAAGGAGCTGATGGAGCTGAAAGCCAAGGCTCGAGAACTTCGTGAAGAATGCAGAAGCCTCAGGAGCCGACGCAATCAACTGGAAGAAAGGGTATCAGCAATGGAAGATGAAATGAATGAAATGAAGCGAGAAGGGAAGTTTAGAGAAAAAAGAATAAAAAGAAATGAGCAAAGCCTCCAAGAAATATGGGACTACGTGAAAAGACCAAATCTACGTCTGATTGGTGTACCTGAAAGTGATGGGGAGAATGGAACCAAGTTGGAAAACACTCTGCAGGATATTATCCAGGAGAACTTCCCCAATCTAGCAAGGCAGGCCAACATTCAGATTCAGGAAATACAGAGAATGCCACAAAGATACTCCTCGAGAAGAGCAACTCCAAGACACATAATTATCAGATTCACCAAAGTTGAAATGAAGAAAAAAATGTTAAGGGCAGCCAGAGAGAAAGGTCGGGTTACCCACAAAGTGAAGCCCATCAGACTAACAGCGGATCTCTAGGCAGAAACTCTACAAGCCAGAAGAGAGTGGGGGCCAATATTCAACATTCTTAAAGACAAGAATTTTCAACCCAGAATTTCATATCCAGCCAAACTAAGCTTCATAAGTGAAGGAGAAATAAAATCCTTTACAGACAAGCAAATGCTGAGAGATTTTGTCACTACCAGGCCTGCCCTAAAAGAGCTCTTGAAGGAAGCACTAAACGTGGAAAGGAAAAACTGGTACCAGCCACTGTAAAATCATGCCAAATTGTAAAGACCATCGAGGCTAGGAAGAAACTGCATCAACTAACGAGCAAAATAACCAGCTAACATCATAATGACATGATCAAATTCACACATAACAATATTAACTTTAAATGTAAATGGACTAAATGCTCCAATTAAAAGACACAGACTGGCAAATTGGATAAAGAGTCAAGACCCATCAGTGTGCTGTATTCAGGAAACCCATCTCACATGCAGAGACACACATAGACTCAAAATAAAGGGATGCGGGAAGATCTACCAAGCAAATAGAAAACAAAAAAAGGCAGGAGTTGCAATCCTAGTCTCTGATAAAACAGACTTTAAACCAACAAAGATCAAAAGAGACAAAGAAGGCCATTACATAATGGTAAAGGGATCAATTCAAAAAGAAGAGCTAAGTATCCTAAATATGTATGCACCCAATACAGGAGCATCCAGATTCATAAAGCAAGTCCTGAGTGACCTACAAAGAGACTTAGACTCCCACACAATAATAATGGGAGACTTTAACACCCCACTGTCAACATTAGACAGATCAACGAGATAGAAAGTTAACAAGGATACCCAGGAACTGAACTCAGCTCTGCACCAAGTGGACCTAATAGACATCTACAGAACTCTCCACCCCAAATCAACAGAATATACATTTTTTTCAGCACCACACCACACCTATTCCAAGATTGACCACATAGTTGGAAGTAAAGCTCTCCTCAGCAAATGTAAAAGAACAGAAATTACAACAAACTGTCTCTCAGACCACAGTGCAATCAAACTAGAACTCAGGATTAAGAAACTCACTCAAAACCACTCAACTACATGGAAACAGAACAACCTGCTCCTGAACGACTACTGGGTACATAACGAAATGAAGGTGGAAATAAAGATGTTCTTTGAAACCAACGAGAACAAAGACACAACATACCAGAATCTCTGGGACACATTCAAAGCAGTGTGTAGAGGGAAATTTATAGCACTAAATGCTCACAAGAGAAAGCAGGAAAGATCCAAAATTGACACCCTAACATCACAATTAAAAGAACTAGAAAAGCAAGAGCAAACACATTTAAAACCTAGCAGAAGGCAAGAAATAACTAAAATCAGAGCAGAACTGAAGGAAATAGAGACACAAAAAACCCTTCCAAAAATTAATGAATCCAGGAGCTGGTTTTTTTTGAAAAGATCAACCAAATTGATAGACCGCTAGCAGGACTAATAAGAAGAATCAAATAGATGCAATAAAAAATGATAAAGGGGATATCACCACCGATCCCACAGAAATACAAACTACCATCGGAGAATACTACAAATACCTCTACGCAAATAAACTAGAAAATCTAGAAGAAATGGATAAATTCCTCGACACATACACCCTTCCAAGACTAAACCAGGAAGAAGTTGAATCTCTGAATAGACCAATAACAGGAGCTGAAATTGTGGCAATAATCAATAGCTTACCAACCAAAAAGAGTCCAGGACCAGATGGATTCACAGCCAAATTCTACCAGAGGTACAAGGAAGAACTGGTACTATTCCTTCTGAAACTATTCCAATCTATAGAAAAAGAGGGAATCCTCCCTAACTCATTTTATGAGGCCAGCATCATCCTGATACCAAAGCCGGGCAGAGACACAACCAAAAAAGAGAATTTTAGACCAATATCCTTGATGAACATCGATGCAACAATCCTCAATAAAATACTGGCAAACCGAATCCAGCAGCACATCAAAAAGCTTATCCACCATGATCAAGTGGGCTTCATCCCTGGGATGCAAGGCTGGTTCAACATACACAAATCAATAAATGTAATCCAGCATATAAACAGAACCAAAGACAAAAACCACATGATCATCTAAATAGATGCAGAAAAGGCCTTTGACAAAATTCAACAACCCTTCATGTTAAAAACTCTCAATAAATTAGGTATTGATGGGACGTATCTCAAAATAGTAAGAGCTATCTATGACAAACCCACAGCCAATATCATACTGAATGGGCAAAAACTGGAAGCATTCCCTGTGAAAACTGGCACAAGACAGGGATGCCCTCTCTCACCACTCCTATTCAACATAGTGTTGGAAGTTCTGGCCAGGGCAATTAGGCAGGAGAAGGAAATAAATGTTATTCAACTAGGAAAAGAGGAAGTCAAATTTTCCCTGTTTGCAGATGACATGATTGTATATCTAGAAAACCCCATTGTCTCAGCCCAAAATCTCCTTAAGCTGATAAGCAACTTCAGCAAAGTCTCAGGATACAAAATCAATGTACAAAAATCACAAGCATTGTTATACACCAATAACAGAGAGCCAAATCAGGAGTGAACTCCCATTCACAATTGCTTCAAAGAGAATAAAATACTTAGGAATCCAACTTACAAAGGACATGAAGGACTTCTTCAAGGAGAACTACAAACCACTGCTCAATGAAATAAAAGAGGATACAAACAAATGGAAGAACATTCCATGCTCTTGGGTTGGAAGAATCAATATCATGAAAATGGCCATACTGCCCAAGGTAATTTATAGATTCAATGCCATCCCCATCAAGCTACCAATGACTTTCTTCACAGAATTGGAAAAAACGACTTTAAAGTTCATATGGAACCAAAAAAGAGCCTGCATCGCCAAGTCAATCTTAAGCCAAAAGAACAAATCTGGAGGCATCACGCTACCTGACTTCAAACTATACTACAACGCTACAGTAACCAAAACAGCATGGTACTGGTACCAAAACAGAGATATAGGTCAATGGAACAGAACAGAGCTCTCAGAAATAATGCCGCATATCTACAACTATCTGATCTTTGACAAACCTGACAAAAACAAGAAATGGGGAAACGATTCCCTATTTAATAAATGGCGCTGGGAAAACTGGCTAGCCATATGTAGAAAGCTGAAACTGGATCCCTTCCTTACACCTTATACAAAAATTAATTCAAGATGGATGAAAGACTTACATGTTAGACCTAAAACCATAAAAACCCTAGAAGACCACGTAGGCATTACCATTCAGGACATAGGCATGGGCAAGGACTTCATGTCTAAAACACCAAAAGCAGTGGCAACAAAAGCCAAAATTGACGAACGGGATCTAATTAAACTAAAGAGCTTCTGCACAGCAAAAGAAACTACCATCAGAATGAACAGGCAACCTACAAAATGGGAGAAAATTTTCGCAACCTACTCATCTGACAAAGGGCTAATATCCAGAATCTACAATGAACTCAAACAAATTTACAAGAAACAAACAAACAACCCCATCAAAAAGTGGGCGAAGGACATGAACAGACACTTCTCAAAAGAAGACATTTGTGCAGCCAAAAAACACATGAAAAAATGCTCGTCATCACTGGCCATCAGAGAAATGCAAATGAAAACCACAATGCGATACCATCTCACACCAGTTAGAATGGCCATCATTAAAAAGTCAGGAAACAACAGGTGCTGGAGAGGATGTGGAGAAATAGGAACACTTTTACACTGCTGGTGGGACTGTAAACTAGTTCAACCATTGTGGAAGTCAGTGTGGCAATTCCTCAGGGATCTAGAACTAGAAATACCATTTGACCCAGCCATCCCATTACTGAGTATATACCCAAAGGACTATAAATCATGCTGCTATAAAGACACATGCACACGTATGTTTATTGTGGTACTATTCACAATAGCAAAGACTTGGAACCAACCCAAATGTCCAACAACGATAGACTGGATTAAGAAAATGTGGCACATATACACCACGGAATACTATGCAGCCATAAAAAATGGTGAGTTCATGTCCTTTGTAGGGACATGGATGAAATTGGAAATCATCATTCTCAGTAAACTATCGCAAGGACAAAAAACCAAACACCACATGTTCTCACTCATAGGTGGGAATTGAACAATGAGAACGCATGGACACAGGAAGGGGAACATCACACTCCGGGGACTGTTGTGGGGTGGGGGGAGGGGGGAGGGACAGCATTAGGAGATACACCTAATGCTAAATGATGAGTTAATGGGTGCAGCACACCAACATGGCACATGGATACATATGTAACAAACCTGCACATTGTGCACATGTACCATAAAACTTAAAGTACAATAAAAAAAAAACGAAAGGATTATGGAAGTGTCATGGTTAACTATGCGTTTAATGGCTTAAAATTAGAATAATTAGAATCTAGAGAATCAAGTGCGCAATTTATAACATTATTTTAAAGAATGACTTAAGTGCTGAGATGAAAACTTGTTTCAGGGGATTCCTGGAGTCTAGTTTGCTGGTCACTGTTCTCACACTGTTTTTTTTTTGTTTTGTTTTGTTTTTGTTTTTTGTTTTTTTCCTGATGGCATGCTCCTGAAGGTTCTTATGCAGATATGTGGTAGTCTCATTTTCAATAAATACCTAGAAAGTGTAGTTGTGGTCACACCAGAACACGTATCTTAGGCATTCAGATTCAAGAATTAGGCCTTGTCTGATTACATGGCCTTATAAGATATTAACAAATGATGGATGTTCACTTAGAAACACTCAACTGAGTGAATTATCATATATATGAAGAAAAATATAAACCGAAAAGTGTTAAACCTGTTTGCTGATCACACACAAATAGATACATCAGTGAGCAATGCAGTTTAGATTTAAAAGTATAGAATTTAATAGCTTTTCAAAATGTAAATACACCTATAGGTATCAAGTTTTTGTTTTTGTTATTATTGTTATTGGTCTCATATTTTTTTATAAAATTGTCCTCAGTGGATAATGGAGTTAGTGGCTCATTTCAAACAATACTTTTGGAATCTGTAATTATATCTAAAACCTATCAATTTTTTCATTATATTCTATAAAATATTCGTGATCAATTTACTATAAATCTATCTTAATGTCTTAAAATTATACAACTGTTGCTTCATGAAGATGTTGTTGATTTATACTCTTGCTATAAGCAACTAGCACACTTCTCCTCTGAAGATACATGTACTCATTTATCAAAAAACAAAGGAGCAGTACATCTGTTAGCATCCAGGAAAATCCAGAATACCGTCGTGACCAAATGCTGGAGTGGAGCTTTCATTTGTTGCTGGCGGAAATGCAAAATGGTACAGCTTCTTTAGAAGAGAGTTTGGCAGTTTCTTACAAAACTAAACATACTCTTACCATACTAACCAGTAATCACATTCCTTGGTATTTACCCAAAGAAATGGAAAATATTTGTTCACACAAAAGCCTGCGTGTGAATGCTTAAAGCACCTTTATTGCTAATTGCCCAAACTTGGAAAGCAACCAAGATATCCGTCCTTCAGAAGGTGAAAGGATAAATAGCCTGCATTACATCCAAACAATAGAATGTTATTCAGCACTAAAAAGAAATGAGCTATCAAGCTATGAAAAAACATGTCAGAATCTTAAGTGCATGTTCCTTAGTCGCAGAAGCCGATCTGTAAATTTCCAATGATACAACATTCCGGAAAAGGCAAAATTATGAAAACAGTAAAAAGATCAGTGGTTGCCAGGAGTTGGGGGTGAAGAGGTTGAATACATAGAGCAGAGACTATTTTTAGAGCAGGGAAAATACTCTGCATGGTACCTTAATGGTGGCACATATCATTATAAATTTTTCCAACTTATGTAATGTACAGCAGTGAGGGTAAACCCTAATGTAAACTATGGAGTTTGGTGATTATGATATGTCAATGTAGGTTCATCATTTGTAACAACTGTCCCATGCTGGTAGGGGATATTGATAATGAAAGGCTCTGCATGTGAGGGGGCAGAGGACTTATGGGAAATCCCTGTTACATCCTTTCAGTTTTGCTATGAACCGAAAACTGCTCTAAAGTAATTAAGTCCTTAAAAATAAACAAACAAATAAGTGAGGGATTAGACCAATGATGATCATGGCAGAGATAATGCAGATAGCCAATCTTAAAATAATCAGAAAGCTGCAGTGCCCACAACCTCTCCTGACTTTAATGAATTAAGTAGATATCCAGGGATTTTCAATGGAGAGTGGAAGATAAAGCTATAGGAAAAAAAAGACAAAGACACAGTGGTTAAATGCTGAACCTTGGCCAAATGCTCTGGTGTGAAAAATAAGACTTTGAAAGACTCTAGAATAAGAGCTAGCTATCCCAAGTGACAGAGCATGAGAGAGGTCATAGGAACCATAGACAGAACACAGAAAAACAGTGTCACTCAGCATAGACCTATCTCTACGGCCACTATGGGTAACAATCATTGTTTATTTCTTAATGTGGAGGAACCAGGAATTGTGATCAGAACTCATTTTGATCACTTAAGTCATTCAATTTATGGAAAGAATATGTATGTATTAAACTATGTATCTCTAGTTCCAGAGAGTGAATTCAGTTATTCCCCAAAATCCTTTTGTTGTTTTAATGAAATCCTGAGTCAAAGAGCCCCTGCTGCTCTTTAGTAGACAGATAACTCAGGTTTATGAAGTCTACCTGTGTGGTACCCACAGTAGGCAAATGAGAAAAGTAGCCCAATTCAGAAAACCATCTTAACTGGGGCTTAACTCCGGCTGAGTGTTAGATATATCTCATTATTGAGAGATATTTCCCTTTTAGATGACTTTTTCATTTCTTTTTAAAAGAAAGAATGGATCCGTATGTGGTCAATTCACTTTTCAACAGTTCTTTCTCTACTGACAGGCTGAAGTGATTTCACATTAAGAGAAAATGAGTTTTGCTGCTTTTCATAAATTGGTAATGAGCTTTTTGAACAATCATAGCCATAACCTGATTCACAAAAGAACCTTCTCAGATTTGCCACTAACATGTCTGTAACAATAAGCTGAGAAAAAAATACCAAATAAGTTGATGCCACTTGCTGAGAACTATTTTCCTGTCTTCATTTCAGCCCTTTAGATTATTTCTCCCTGTGACGCTATCAAGCAGCCTGGGTTCAGTTTGATAGTTAAGCATTGAGATATCTCTATCACTACCCTGTCTCACTTTGCAAAAGGAAGAGAACTTCAATGCTGTGCAGCAGGAAGGATGCCAGGAAAATTAGATTTTATTTTCAGCTCTGCTTCTCACCAGCTTGTGTGATATTGGGAAATTTATTCTTCTGCTCTGGATCAGTTTTCAATATTTCAAATATGCGTGGACCTGTTTCCAAAGAGCTAAAAGACCTCCAGAGGTCCTCTCATTATTAAGATATGATGATGCTAATAAAAGCGTAACATCCGAAATGCTACCTATTACTTCTGTGGAATGATTTCTCCCTGGATGCCTTCTTGTTGCTTACTTTCATTTCCTTCAGAGAAACCAACAACCCATAGAATGTTGCCTTTACAGTACTAGAATGGATTGAGGGCATATCGAGAAAAAAAAATTCCAGCAATTCCTCTTTTAGCTCATCTCACTTCTCACATTCTTTATTGTAGGCAATTAAAGGAACCACTTGGTGCATTCACCACTCTGCCCGGAAATTTTATTAGCCAGATTTGCAAGTTTATTAGCCACATTTGCTATCTTCCACATAAGAAGGTGGCAGCTTCACTGATTTTTGTGCCAATATCATTAAGGTCCATTTGTTTTTTGCTCTTTCTAACAGTTTCCTCAAGGTTTTTAGTCCATAACTTCCACCTGATCATAAAGCCAGTGCTGCATATTTTGATATTTTGTTGCTGAAGCACCCCTCTTCTGGTGTCATTCTATCTTTTGTTAATCTTCTTCCATGGAACAAACTACCTTTAAAATATTGTGGCTTAAAACAGCAATCACTTGTTATTTCTCATGATTCTGAGGGTCAGGATTTTACAGAGGCAGTGGGCTTATCTACGCTCGCTTCAGTGCCTGCTGTCACTGGAAAGGCTGCAACAGCTTCGTTAGCTTTTTGGTGCCTCAGCAAGGGAGATTGGGCGGTGGAGGGCTGGCTAGAAGAGCTAGATTCGAGGAATGTCTGGATTCTTCAGTTCTCAAGGTTCTCTCTCCACATGACCTCTTCATATTTTCTCTTTACACAGTTTCATCTAGAATTCTCATGTGAAACTTTAGGACTTCTAAGAGTTCGTAAGTAGAAGTTTTATACTTTGTTAAAGCCTAGGCTAGGATTGCACAGCAATATTTTTGCTATATTCTATTCTAAAGTCTTTGAGTTATAAGCTAAGCTTGGATTCAGGAGGAATTAACTACAAAAAGGCATAAACACTGAAGCATAACCCATGGGGTCCTACTAGTGTTAACTAACTACCACGATGACAGAGGAAAAAGTAACACAAGAAAAGAATTACTTTTTAAAAAGTTAGGAAAATGGACAAACACCCCGGAAGTTGAATTTGCGTACTTTTTAATGTATTTATTTTTATTTATTTTTTCAAGATGGAGTCTCACTTTTTCACCTAGCCTGGGGTGCAGTGGCACGATCTTGGCTCACTGCAACCTCTGCCTCCAGATTCAAGTGATTCTCATGAGTAGCTGGGATTACAGGCATGTGCCACCACTCCCAGAATCCCAGCTTCTTGGGAGGCTGAGGCAGGAGAATTGCTTGAACCTGGGAGGCAGAGGTTCCAGTGAGCTGAGATCATGCCACTGTACTCTAGCTACAGCTTGGGCAACAGAGTGAGTGAGACTCTGCCAAAAAAAAAAAAAACACACACACAAACATATGTATAAATGAAATCATAAGATTCATGGGATTTAATTCAAAATAATATGGACAATGCAGTTTCAAAATGGGTGGGAGTATAGATAAATTAACAAGATTGATCATGACTTGATAATTATTATAGTAGATTCCTGGATATATACAAAATTACCATTTTTTTATGTTTGAAAGGACTATAAATCATGCTGCTATAAAGACACATGCACACGTATGTTTATTGCGGCATTATTCACAATAGCAAAGACTTGGAACCAACCCAAATGTCCAACAATGATAGACTGGATTAAGAAAATGTGGCACATATACACCATGGAATACTGTGCAGCCATAAAAAATGATGAGTTCATGTCCTTTGTGGGGACATGGATGAAATTGGAAAACATCATTCTCAGTAAACTATCACAAGAACAAAAAACCAAACACCGCATATTCTCACTCATAGGTGGGAACTGAACAATGAGATCACATGGACACAGGAAGGGGAATATCACACTCTGGGGACTGTGGTGGGGTGGGGGGAGGGGGGAGGGATAGCACTGGGAGAGATACCTAATGCTAGATGACGAGTTAGTGGGTGCAGGGCACCAGCATGGCACATGTATACATATGTAACTAACCTGCACAATGTGCACATGTACCCTAAAACTTAAAGTATAATAAAAAAAAAAAAAGAAAAAGTAAAATCAAATAAAGAAATACATTCTAATATCACTAATGAAAACTGGATAATTACTATAGGTCTTTCTTACAAATTAAAGAGAAGAAGATTAAAAATATTTCAGGCCAATATATTTGATACTTTATATGACATATGCATATATCACAAAAGAAAAACTTGTTGAAACAGACTCAAGAAGAAATAGAAAGCCTAAATAGTCCTATATATATGTAAAACAATGAATTCATTAATACCCTCAACACAATTTGAGGTACACAGGATGTGCCCTATGAATTATTTCTAATTTTTAGAAAATAAATAGCACTGATATTACAAAAAGTATTTTAGGGAACATAAAAAGCATGAGAACACTTCACATGTCCTGTTTTAAAGCTATCATATTCTTTATAGTAAACTTTGGCAAGAACATCAGTAGAAAAAAAATCACAGAATAATGTATTACCAACACTGATGAAATCATTTTACAACTGACCCTTGAACAATGTGAAGGTTAGGGATGCTGACCTATCCATGCAATTGAAAATTTGTGCGTAACTTTTGACTCCCCCAAAATGTAACTACTCATAGCATACTGTTGACTAGAAGCCTTACTGATAATATAAACAGTTGATTAACACATATTTTGTATGTTGTATGTATTATATACTGTGTTCTTACAATAAATCAAGCTAGAGAAAAGAAAATTTTATTAAAAAAATAAGGAACATAAAATATATTTATTATTCATCAAGTGGAAGTGGAATCGTTTGAAAGGTCTTTATCCTCATTGTCTTCATATTGACTAGGCTGAGGAGGAAAAGGCAGAGGAGGGTTTGGTTTTGCTGTCTCAGGTGTGGCAGTGGCAAAAAGAAAATCTGTATATAAGTGGACCCATGCAGCTCAAACCTATGTTGTTAAAGGGTCAACTGTATTCATATATTTATGAAAACTGATAATATATCACAAAGCCAATTAAGGTTTATTACAGGAATGTGAGAGCAGCTTAATATTTTTCAATCAATGAATAGAATTTATTACATATTAATAAAAAGAAAACATATTATTGATATATTTAGGAAGAATATTTGATAAAATTAAGCAACCATCAATATGTTTCATGATAATATGTAAGTAGATGGAAATTTATACAATATGACGAAGAATATTAACCAAAAACATACTGTAAATTTTATAGTTACAGTGAATTGTTGAATGTATTTCCTTTGGCATCAGAAATGCCATGTGTCCCTGATCTTACAAATTCTATTAATGATATTACAAGTTCTACTTAGTGTAGTAATAAAAGAAAAAGAAATAAAGACCACAAGATTACAAAGGAAGAAATAACTCTCATTATTCAGAGATCATACAATTACATATATAGAAAATCCAAAAGCATCCATTGGCAAACTATAGGAATCAATAAATAAATTTAGCATGTTGGTTGTATAAAAGTCAATATATAGATTAATTTTTCTTATATGCAATAAAAATTAGAAAATAAAAGTTTAAAATATTCATAATAAAATTAAGAATATCAAATAACTGAGAATAATTATAATAAAATATATTTAAATTGACACCAAATGCTGCAAAACTGTGCTGTAAGAAATAGCAGAATATATTTTTGTGTATATACATACACGACATACATATGTACAACAAACCTGTACAAGTACAGGTATACAATGTGATTTTATGAAAATACATAACATTATACAAATCACAATTCTTTCTAAATATTTAGATCCAATGTGATATCGATCAAAACTAGGTACAATTTTCTGTTGTTTTGTTGAGGTTGGCAAATTCTTTCCAATGTCAGTTTAGAAATATGAAGGGTCTTACATAGCCAAACAATGTTAAGAGGAAAAAGAAAGCTAAATGACTCATTCCAATTTATATCAAGATTTATTGCAACGCTCTAGTAATTAGCACAGTGTAAAATTGGTAAAAGTATAGACAAGCTGATCAAAAAAATGTAAAAGTGTATTTAAAAGCAGTTGCACATACATACAGTTGCCTGATACATGAAAGTGAAACACTAGAGTACAATAAGAGAAAAATGGCCTTTTCAATAATTGCTGCTGGGCCACTTATATGTTTATTGATATTTTCAAAAAAGAATCTATTAATAGATTCCTATATTATACTATATACAAAATAAATACAAATTGAGTGGAAATATAAATGTACAAATTAACACTGCTAGAAGACAGTACAGAAAAATATCTTTATGAATTTGGGCTAGCAAAAAAATTTAACACCGAAAAGGATTAATCACAATGAAAAGAGATGAAAAATTTTATTATAATACAACTAAGAATTTCAAAAGTCACCATTAAGAGAATAAGAAATTAAGCCACAAAAGCCTCTTATCCAACATATATAAACAAATTAGCATTTCACATTTGAAAAGTGAGACAAATGCTAGAACATGCACTTTATAAAATAGGACATCCAAATGTCCAATAAACATATGAAAGGGTACTGACCTTCACAGTAAATATAATTGTACATTTAAATACAAATTATAACCAAAGTATAAAACCCTTACATAACAGAAAAATAGAAGCACAGAGAACACTACATCTTTATGAGAATGTGGAATAATTGAAACACTCATAATTACCGCTGGCTTCAACAAATGGTGCTACAGTAACTGAATTTCCACATGCAGAAAAAAAAAGTTAAGCTGTATTAAAAAATGAACTCAAAATGGGTCAAGGACTTAAATATAAGAGACAAAATCATAAAATTCTTAAAGGAAATCATGCAGATAAATATTCTTAACCTTAGATTTGTCAAGGAAATCTTAGATATGACACCAAAAGTACAAGAAACAAAAGAATTAACAAATTATTTAACAAAATTAGAATCTTTTGTGCAACAAAGGACATTATCAAGAAAGTGAAAAGACTACCTACAAGATGGGAGAAAATATTTGAAAATCATATATCTGATAAATATTCAATATCCAGAATATATAAAGAATTACAATTCAACAACAAAGGGACAATCCAATAAAATTTTTGTAATTGGCTTAAGTTTACATTTCTTCAAATAATATTTATAAATGCGCAATAAGCATATGAAAAGATGCTCAACATCATTAATCATTTGGGAAATGGAAATCATAATCAATGAGATATTACTTCATGCCTACTAATATGGTTATAATAAAAAATATTTAATTAATTAAGAAACTAACAAATTTCCAGGATGTGCCGAAATTAGAACACTCATAAATTTCAGATGGAAGTGTAAATAGTGCAGTTGCTGTGAAAAATAGCTTGATGGTGTCTCAAAAAGCTAAATACCTCTACACAATTACCATAGAACTTGGTAATTCCACTTTCAGATATATACCCAGGGACTCAAACAGATACTTTTATACCAATGTTCATTGCAGCATTATTTACAATAGCCAAAAGATTGAAATAACCCAAATGTCCGTCAACAGAAGAATGTATAAAGAAAATGTGGTATATGAATGCAATGGAATATTATTCAGTCCGAGAAAGAAATGATGTTCTGATACATGCTACCGCATGAATGAACCTTGAAAATACTGTGCTAAGTGATGTAAGTTGCCTGGGAAAATATTACATGATACCACTTACATGAATTATCCAGACAAGGCAAATTCATTGAAAAAGAATGTACAAGAGATTACCAGGGGAAAGGCAGAAATGGAAAGATATTGCTTAATGGGTACAGTGTTTCTGTTTAGGTGAGGAAATTTTTGGAAAAAGATAGTAGTAATGGTTGCACAACATTATGTTGTAATTGATGCCAATAAATTGTACACATAAAAATAGTTGAATATAACAAATTTTATATTAAGTATATTTTACCACAATTAAAAAAATTAAATCTGCCGAGAGTTTCATTAAAAAAAAACCACATTGGAACACTTTTTGATAGTATCTATTGAACATATTTATACCATATGTCTCATATTTGCAATCATACCAAACATAAATGTGTACATACCTTCAACAAAGGACATTTTCTAGAATTATCACTTACGCTCTGTATGCAATAAAATGAGTTTATGAATTGTGGTATATTTGTATTCTGTGGAACTGAAAACAAACAAAATACAACTATGCACATAAATTTGTATAAAATTCACAAAGATTTTGATGAAATAAGCCAGAGGCAAAAAACATGCATATCTTATAATTCCAGTAATATAATATCAAGGACAAGCAAAATCTATCTATCGTTTCAGGTAAGAATGTGGTTGTCATCGGAGTTAATTGCCTAAAAGGATCATGGGGTCGGGCAGATTGTGATTTACTGTGATTCTATGTCCTGGTGTTTGAGAATTTTTCCAAATTCTTTTTATGCTTCAATAAAAAAAGTTACAAAGATAAAGAACTAAAAACTAAAAGTACATTGTAAGTGACCAAAACTATTTGTCTCATTCTTTTAAATGTTACACTAGAGAGGCAAATGTGATTACATTGGTAAGTAGCAACTATATAAATTACTGACAGATTCCTTGGTAATATTATAGTCAACTAATTGCAAACCTAGTATAAAGTTTTTTTTTTTTTAAATGCTGACAAGAGAGAAATGGGATTATGGAGTAACTAGTAAATAGCTGAGCTTATGGGGAGGCTGAAAGGCATGAATGTCTTTGGCTAATAACCGACTGATGGGCACCAGGTCCATGATGAAGCTGCTACCTCCTCAGCACAAAATAATGCACATTTCACAAAACCCTCTCTTGGAGTTTAATCCCCAAGTCATGGACAGTGTAGTATCCTATTCACTGTATAATCATTTACAAAAGATTTTTCTATCTAATAATATCCAGAAGTGCTCTGGGTCTTTAGGAAGGCCCCGTCACAATGTCAAAATTTTAATTCTTCCCATAATAAAAAAACTCATTAATATTAGGGCAGTAAGAATGCCAAGTAGAAATTGTACATCTTTCTGAGCACAGTGGCTTATGCCTGTAATCCCAGCACTTTGTGGGGCCCAGGTGAGCAGATCACTTGAATTGAAGAGTTCAAGACCAGCCTGTACAACATAGCAAGACCCCATCTCTACTGAAAGTACAAAAATTTGCTGGGCATATTACATGTGCCTGTAGCTCCAGCTACTTGGCAGGCTGAGGATCGCTTGAGCCTGACAGGTCGAGGCTGCTGTGAGCCGTGATTGTGCCACTGCACTCAGCCTGGGTGACAGAGTGAGATCCTGTCTTAAGAAAAAAAAAAAAATCTTGTTATCATGATGCTAGTTGGTTATTTTGCAGATTTGTTTATGTAGTTGCTTCATAGTGTCACTGGTCTGTGTACTTCAGTGTGTTTTTGTAGTGACTGGTAACAGTTTTTCCTGTCCATATTTAGTGCTTCCTTCAGGAGCTCTGATAAGGCAGGTCTGGTGGTAATAAATTCCTTCAGCATTTGCTTGTCTGAAAAGGATCTTATTTCTCCTTTGCTTATGAAGCTTAGTTTGGCCATATGTGAAATTCTAGGTTGAAAATTCTTTCTTTAAGAATGTTGAATATTGGCCCCCCTATCTCTTCTAGTTTATAGGGTTTCCCCCGAGAGGTCCTCTGTAGTCTGATGGGTTTTCATTTGTAGGTGACCTGGCCTTTCTCTCTGGCTGCCATTTTTTCTTTCATGTCGACCTTGGAGAATCTGATGATTATGTATCTTGGGGATGATCTTCTCATGGAGCATCTTACTGGGGTTTGTTGCATTTTCTGAAGTTGAATGTTGGCTTGTCTTGCTAGGTGGGGAAGATGTCCTTGATGGTATCCTGAAGTATATTTTCCAAATCGCTTCCATTCTCCCTGTCTCGTTCAAGTACCGCAATTAGTTGTAGATTCCATCTCTTTACATAATCCCATATTTTCCAAACGTTTTGTTCATTCCGTTTTATTCTTATCTCTCTATTCTTGTCTGCCTGTCTTATTTCAGACAGAGAGTCTTCAACCTCTAATATTCTTGGTCTAGTCTGCTATTAATACTGTGATTGCACTATGAAGTTCTTGTAGTGTGTCTTTCAGCTCTATCAGGTTGGTCATGTTCCTCTGTATTGCACCTATTTTGGCTTTCAGTTCCTCCATTGTTTTATCATGATTCTTAGCTTTTTTGCACTGGGTTACAACAGATACCTTTAGCTCAGCAAAGTTTGTTTTTATCCACATTCTGAAGCCTGCTTCTGTCATTTCAGCCATCTCAGCCTCAGTCCAGTTCTGAGCCCTTGCTGGAAAGGTGTTGTGGTCATTTGGAGGAAAGGAGCCACTCTGGCTTTAAAGGTCAACATTGCTAATCATTAGAGAAATGCATATCAAAACCATAATAAAATACCATCTCATACCAGTCACAATGGCGATTATTGAAAAGTCAATAAACAACATATGCTGCCGTGGTCTGAAGAAAAAGGAATGCTTTTACACTGTTTATGGGAGTGTAAATTAGTTCAACCATTGTGGAAGACAATATAGTGATTCCTCAAAGACCTAGAAGCAGAAATGCCGTTCAATCAAGCAGTCTCATTACTGGTTATATACCCAAAAGAATATAAGTTATTCTTACATTCTTATTCAAATGCCCATCAGTAATAGACTGGATAAAGAAAATATGGTACATATACACCACAGAATACTATGCAGCAATGAAAAGGAATGGGATTGTGTCCTTTGCAGAAACATGGATGGAGCTGGAGGCCATTATCCTTAGCAAACTAATTCAGGAACAGAAAACAAAATAAGTGTTCTCACTTATAAGTGGGAGCTGAATGATGAGAACACATGGACACATGATAAGAAAAAACACAAACTAGGGCTTGTCAGAGGATGGGGCTGGGAGGAGGAGGAGCATCAGGAGGAATAGCTAATGCATGCTGGGCTTAATACCTGGTTGATGGGATGATCTGTGCAGCAAACCACCATGGCACATGTTTATCTATGTAATAAACATGCACATCCTGCACATGTATCCCTGAACTTAAAATAAACATTGGAAAGAAAAAAGAGAAAAAAAAGAGAAATTATACATCTTCATAATTGAGATAGAAAGTAAATTATCATTAATCAATGCACCTTAATACAAAAATACTGAATTATAAATAAGAAAAATATACTTACAAAAATTTGTTATAATAATATAGAAAATGTCTTATTTACAGTATTCACTGTAAATAAAGCTGGAGTTTCTTTCAGATTCAGTACTTAAGCTCCTTGATAACTACTTCATCTGCACCTGCAATTTACTGTAACTAACTTGCCTTGTGATATAAAATATGTTTGCTCTTATTTTATCATATATACATATTTTTTGAGTTGGAGTCTCGCTTTGCTGCCCAGGCTGGAGTGCAGTGGTGAGATCTCGGCTCACTGCAACGTCTGCTTCCTGGGTTCAAGTGATTTTCCTGCCTCAGCCTCCCAAGTAGCTGGAATTACAGCTGCATACCACAACACCTGGCTAATTTTTGTATTTTTTTAAATAGAGATGGGGTTTCACCATGTTGGCCAGGTTAGTCTCAAACTCCAGACCTCAAGTGGTCCACCCGCTTTGGCCTCCCAAAGTGCTGAGAATACAGGCGTGAGCCATTGCACCTGGCCTATTTTACTATAATTGTCCTGCCATTTTAGGAACAACTTTACATTCTGACTTGCCCTTGATTTGTGTGTTTTTCTCTCTAATATATTTCAGCTCAATTAAGAAAGTACCCTCTAAGCTAAATATCAACAGGGCTGTCATTAGAGGTGACTAGAAGAGCAAACAAATTAGGACTCAGAGTTTTTGGACAATAGAGAATAAATGTCCCTTGAGCAAGTAATTCCTTAATACTTAACAAAATTTGTTTACCCTAGAAGACACATAAAAAAAATGACAAGTTGATGACTGAACTAAGTTTCTTGGTCTACGAAAGTGAGTGTTCTAGCTGAGTGGTGAAAGAATTTGTGGAAATATAAAAAGGAGGAAGGAAATTCCAGGGTTGTGGAAACAATTGTCAGGGAAAGTAGAGCGATATCAATCCCTGAAAATAGTAGTGAATATGGATTTCTTATTTTAGTCTGTTGAAAAGTGAATGGGAATTGAATAAGATGACGATAATGTATGTATCATTCCTTCGAGAATCAGCTTCTGATGAAAATAGAAGAGAAGGTATTTAGCATATTAAGGGGTATTTATATTGAGAGACAATAAAGGAAGTAAGGAAAACACTAAATATTCTAGCAGACACATTGGAAAGCACTGTAAAAGGATAAATTGATGGAATAGTCTAAACAATTGTAAATAATAAGACTCAGCTAACTAATTGTTATTTTCAAATAGGAGGTCATTTATAGTTATTTACTACTCAAAAGGGTCTGGACTTTGAAACAAGACTGTTAAGAGCATCTTTTGTACACCTACTATTGTCTCTCTCTGTACCTTTTATTATTCCATAGAGACACATTTATGAACAACTTATTGCACTAAATTTACCATATCTCAGGCTTATTACTGGTAGTGTTGTATGCATATCTCATTATATTATTTCTTGTAACTTAAAAGAATGTAGATTCATGATTCCGTCTGTCTGAGACATTAGATTTTTAATTGAAAATGATCCATCATTATCTTCAGTGCTATATGAAAAAAATGTATTGACAAGAGCTATTTGCATGAGAACATCCTAGGTGCTTGAAAGTAAAAGTCAGTGAGATCACTCTAAGTTAATTTAAATGTTTTCTCATCTCCTTCACACACTGCAAATATCTATATAAATATAATTGCTAACCATTTTTTATATTGAAGTTTGAAAACGTAGAGCAGCATCAGAAAGATGTAGAATAGATGGAACAGGTTTGGTTATCACCTCTGCAGTATATGAGCTCTTTAACTGAGGGAAATGTAACCAACCTTTTTGAGCCTATTTTTTCACATGTAAAATGGGTTTATAAATATTTTCTTGCAAGTATTTTTTGTGAAGTAGAGAGTACATACATGTAATATACACAGTATGTGTGTGTATTTGTGTATATGCATATGTAATGCTTAGCCTGGCAAAAATTGGTGTTCGATAAAGCAGTTCTCATGATTTTTGTTAACCTGAGAAAAGGTAAAAAACAGTATTTCAAATCATAAATGATTCAATGAATTACTCCATCTTTGAGGTAAAATTTGGCAGATGTCTCAATTTGTATTTCAACTTATATGAAATAATATACTTTGAATTCCTAACAAATTATTTTGAAATGCAAATCGCAATTGTTAGCTGACTCCAAATCTAATTTTAAATTTATTTTGCTAAGGTAATTCGACTGCAGATCAATTGTTTTCTTCTAAAGATAACCAAAATATATTTTTCTCAGAAAGTCACAAATGATTCATTTTACTCTTGCATAATTTTTTCAGTTGTAATGATGCTGCTTTATTAATAAGATATGATTATTTGATAGAGTATCAATTTACTATTAAAGCATTGGGAAATTTGAGTTAATTTATAGTTTAGTAGCTCTTTGAATGTTGGCTTCCCAGACACTGTCTTCCTAATCATTGTCTTATTTGACTCTTACTCATCTAGTGCTAGACTAACTTTTTCACACTGTAATGTAAGTAGAAAAAGAAACACTTTAGTATTTGTGGCCACTTATGTCCTACCCATATTTTATGTCTAAAAAATATCCATACCTCTTTATTTTCATATTGGGATACAATTATCTCCATATGTCATTTTCTCAAGTAATGGTAGGGATATATTAATATACTTTTAAACTATTAAATGATAAATATTGTATTATTTCTTTAGAAAATAAATATAAAAAGTCATCTGACTTGAAAACACTCATTTAGATCAAGAACACTTTCATCTCTGTACAGGCAATGGCAGAACTGCTATTCCTTACATGGATAAGTTAAACCATAGAGGAGATATAGTCAATACAAATAGGAAAGCAAGATTTGTGTGATCAAGTGGAATTAAGATTGCAGCTAAAGATGGTAAAGTTATGTTTCACATAGCATCTTCCTCCAAGAACTCATAACTTGAAAAACTAATCTTTGATGGAGAGTGAGAACCAAAAAAGCACACCAGAAGCAATCAACAAAAAAGGCAATCACCTACATAGGCAGAAATATCCAGGTGTTCCCAAGATTTAGATTTTTGCAAACACATGTGGCACTTAGCTAAACCCTGAAGAGAAGTGCTAAAAAGAGGCAAAGGGAGAAAAGAGTGAGTGAGGGCAAGTGGAAGTGATAAAAGTGTTCACAAGTAAAAGACAAGCTCCAACTTAGAAAGAAAATTAAGAGTGGATACAAATGAGTAATGATATCACACTCTGGGGTGTAGAGAAAAAACTTTCCATTCTAGTGAAATTCCCCTCAATAAAAATCTATATAACATCAGATACAGAAATCATTACTGGGGTTAGCTATTTTTGTGAAAATTTGAATTTAGTTTTTGGTTTTCAGTAAGATGACATTTAGCCAAGCAAATACTAAAGAGATAACTTAAAAAGAGAAATATCTATTAGAAAGCAAGCTTCATATAATTTAAAAAAAGGAGGACACCAACTTAAAAATTTAGCCATGAGTAGTAAATTAATATTGTTTTTTTCTGGTAAACTGAAATAAAATGAACATCATAATGAAAAAGGTATTGTATATGTCTCATAAAGAAGATAGAGTTGAACTACAAAACTATGGGTATAAAAGATTTTTACTTCACATTAAATCTTGGAGGAAAAGGAGAAAAGGAGGAAGAAGAGTTGACTGGTAAAGTTCATTATAGCTAATAGTAGGGAACCGATATACCGTATCCAAATTTGGGGGACAGAGATGAGAACATTACATACAAAAGTAAGTATAAAAATTTGAGCATTTGAACGAAAGTATAAAACTTAAATAATAAAAAGTGATAGAAAAAAATAAAATAGAAATGACCACAAGAGAACTGAAGCCAAACGTATTGATAATATTTAAAAAGTTAGAGAGGCTTACTCACCCTATCCAGAACACTCGAGACAAACCTAAAACAATGAAATCCAGAAAGCCTAAACATAAAAACGTGACAATGATGAACTATGGAGAAGTAGGAAGAGAGTGAAGAATAAAATATTAGTGTCTAGCATGATTACTTTCAGAATAAAATCATAATAGATTCTAGTTCACTTTATAATATTAAAAGCTTTAATACTCAAAGAAAACACCAGATATTAATGTCTATAGCCTCAATAATGCAGCAAAAATCTTCATGAGGAAGAAAATACAGAGCTTCAAGAAAAAATAAAAATAAGTTTGTAAGAGAAAATAAAACTAAAAAATGCTTTAGAGAAAAATACACTAAAATGAAGAATCTAAAACACAGATTCTCAATCCAGGACAAATAAAATCAACAAAAATTAGTAAAGATATAGAAAATGAAAAGACCATGATTAAGAAGGTAATAAACACACACACAGTCTTTTCAAATAAAAATAGAATATTCACAAAATTTGTTGTAGTTGACTACAAGGAAAAACTTGACACATTACAAGAAAATGAATAATACAAATGTATTAATCAGAAATCACATATAAGTAGAAATTAATGACAAAATTTAAAAAATACTTTGCATTTAATAGTATTAAAATATTTTAAATACTGTGATCAAACAGGAAATATAAAAGAAACATATACAATCTCAAAAAATACAATAAAACCTATTGTCTAGATTTATCATATATTGGAGGAATTTTTTATCATTAAAATCAGTATCAACTTCAGCTGATAAACAACTTCAGCAATGTTGCAGGCTA
This sequence comes from Homo sapiens, assembly GCF_000001405.40. Classification (NCBI taxonomy): domain Eukaryota; kingdom Metazoa; phylum Chordata; class Mammalia; order Primates; family Hominidae; genus Homo; species Homo sapiens. Next base: position 1,564,575 of record NW_021160017.1, read on the forward strand.
TAAAATCAATGTACAAAAAGCACTAGCATTTGTATACACCAACAACAACTAAACTGAGAGCTAAATCAAAAAGGAAATCCCATTCACAATTGCCACACACACACACACACACACACACACACACACACACACACTACCCAGGAATACAGCTAACCAGGAAGGTGAAAGATCTCTACAATGAGAATTACAAAACACTGCTCAAAGAAATCAGAGAAGACACAAACAAATGGAAAAACATCCCATGCTCATTAATAGGAAAAATCAATGTCATTAAAATGGCTATACTGCCCAAAGTGATTTACAGATTCAATGCTATTCCTATCAAACCGCCAATGATATTCTTCACAGAACTAGAAAAAATATTTTAAAATTTATATGGAACCAAAAAAGAGCCCAAATACCCATGGCATTGGTTTAGGCAGTGATTTATTCGATATGACCACAAAGGCACAGGCAACAAAAACAAAAATAGACAAATGGGATTACATCAAACTAAACAGCATCAGCACAGCAAAGGAAAAAAATCAGTAGAATGAAGAGACAACCCATAGATTGGGAAAAAAAAATTACATATAACCCATCTCATGAGGAGTTAATATCTAAAATATATAAGAGACTCAAATTACTCAATAACAAGAAAGCAAATAACCCTATTTAAAAATAAACAAAGTACATGAATAGACAGTTCTCAAGAAAAGACATACAAATGGCAAATAGATATATAAAAAATGCTTAAGTACAAAAATTATCAGGGAAATGCAATTTATAAAAACAATAATGACACCTGTTAGAATGCCTATTACCAAAAAGATGAAAGATGGCAAGTGTTGGCAAGGATGTGAAGCAAAGGGAACCCTTGCACTCTGTTGATGAGAATATAAGTCATTACAGCCATTTTGGAAAACATTATGAAGATTTCTCAAACAAATAGAAATGAATTACCATATAATCCAGCAATCCCACTTCTGGGTATATATCCCAACAAAATGAAATCAGTATGCTGAAGAGTTATGTGCACTCCCATGTCCATTGCAGCATTATTCACAATAGCCAAGATACAGAAACAACCTAAGTGTTCAATATGGATGAAGGGGTAAATACACACACACACACACACACACACACAATGGAACATTATTCAGCCCAAAAAGGACAGGAAATTCTGTCATTTGCATCAACATAAATGAATCTAGAGGACATTACACTAAGTAAAATAAGACAGGCACAGAAAGACAAATACCACATGGTCTCACTTGTATCTGGAATATAAAAAAGTTGAACTCATAGAAGTTGAGAGTAGAATGATGGTTACCAGGGGTGGGGGGAGTGGGGTGAAAAGCAAAGGGGAGACATTGGTAAATGGGTGCAAAGTTTTAGTTAGACTGGAGGAATAAGTACTGCTGATCGATTGCACAGCATGGTGACTGTAGTTAATAATAATGTATATTTGAAAATGTGAAGGGAATAGATTTTAAGTTTTCTCACCACAAATGAGTATGTGAGGTGATAGACGTTAATTAGCTTGATTTGATCATTCCACAATGTACACATGTATATAGACATCACAGTGTATGTGATGTACACAATCATTTTTACTTATTGTCAATTAAATATAAAATTCTAAAAAATGAAATAAATCATATAACCATCTTAAGAAAATCTGAAAAAGCCTTAAACAGACAATTCCTGTAAAAAGCACTTAAATATTTCCTTGACACAGTAGATGTAGACGTAGATGTAGATTAGATAGAGATGTAACCCTCCAGCAAACAAGAGTTCTGATTTAATTGTAACACACCAGCAGCTTCTTTATTACTTTTTCTGTTATTTTCCTTTGTCTGGAACTAGACAAGGAAGGCCACCATCTCTATGACAATTCAACGCCATTGTAGAGAAGTTAGCCAATGTGATTAGGCACCAGAAATGGAGTATAAAAATTGGAAAGGAAGAAGTAATGTCACCTTTGATGTAAATGGTATAAACATGCACATAAATGTGCCAATAAAACTCAACAAAATTGGCAGATTTATGGGAAAAAATAAGGGAATCTAGTAAATTCACTAGAGATGTAAATAATATTCAAAAGATCAGTATCTTTTTATGCACATTCAAAAAATAAATACATAAGGAAAGAAAATGACCCACTTAAGATAGAATAGAGATAAATAAAAGAACCACATATAAATTTAACAAGAAACAGCTTTAACAACCAAAAATCTTAAAAATATTCCTGAAAAAAAGGTGGTCTTGAACAAATGTCAACACATATCAAGAAAAACTCAACATATTAAATGTAATTTTTCCTAAATTAATTTAAAATTGTTAGAATTTCAATTAAAATACCATGCATTTTTATGGAAAAAAGTAAAACAATGTATAGACAAATTGATTACAGAATACATTTGGAAGTACAAATAAGTGCTTTCTATATTCAATTGAAATTGGAGTGTGTTAATTCTAAGAAGACTATAAAAGTTTAGTTTGTAAATTTTAATCCCCAGGACAACAAATTAGTGTGAAAAGACTAGTGTAAATAAATGAATAAATAATCTTGAAACTAGATAAATTATAGTGAAATGCTTTGTACACATGTTTAAATAACCCAAACAGAAGGCAGAAAAAGGAAGGGAAAAAAGAGAGATAAAAAGCAGAGGGAACTAACAGAAGGTAAATAAGAAAAAATAGACTGAAATCCAAATATATCATTCATTACATTAAATGTAAGTGGTCTTAAAGCACTAATGAAAGAGACTAGATTTGGATAATGTATTAAAAGGTAATAAACCAACGCCATCTAAAGTAAACCCACTTTAAGAACAATGATATAGATAGGCTACAATTAGAAACATGGAAAAAAGTTATACCATGCAAAAACAAATCAGTAGTAAGCTGGAGACAAAACAGAGGTTAGAACAAAGAAAACTAACAAAACAAAAAGAGATAGTATATAAAGATAAAATGATCAATTCACCTAAAAGACACAACAATCTCAAATGGGGATATGTCTAACGAAGTGTTTTATAAATGGAAAAATCTGACAGAAGAGAAAGAAGAAACATACAGATTCACAATAGAGAACTTCAACATTTATCTGTAAATGATAAATGGATAGAAAACCGCAAGAATTTAGAACAACATTATCAAGCAACTGGATCTAATGGATGTTTATAGAACATTCTACTCAAACACATGAATGGCATATTTTTTTCAAGTATATGGGGAACATTCACCAAAACAGACATATTGTAAAGGAAACTTTAACAAATTTGAGTGATTCAAGTTAATGTAATATATTATTTATGTACATAGTGTAATTAAACTAGAAATCAAGAGAGACGGGAAATATCCAAATTCTTAGGTATTAAATAGCACATTTCTAAATAATCTAATAAATCCACAATAAAACACAAATACATAGAAAGATACTCAATATTGTACAGGTGTTCTTGCCATTATTATAAGGCAAATCTATTAATGAAACAATCAATACATCCATCAGAGCAAACATTAATGTCATTCTACCAAGAAAGGAAGATGTAAAACTGTTTTTATTCCCTGAGGACATCATTTTGTAGAATATCCTAACAAATCTGCATTAAAAACTACTAGAACTAATAAAGAAGTTTAGCAAGGTTGTAAGATGTAAGATCAATAAATTGTATTTTTATGTACTAACAACAAATAATTAAATATGAAATTATGAAAATAATTTATTTTATAATAACATAATATAGAATACTTAGGAATACATTTAATAAAATAACTTCAAGACATATTCAACTAAAACTACAAAGTATTGGTGAGATAATTGTTCCAAATAAATGAAGGCCATTCCATTTTCATTGATTGGAAGACTCAATATTATAAAGACGGCAATTCACCCCAAAATTGATCTATAGATTCAATTCAATGTCAAAATCCAAGCAGAATTTTTTTGTTGTTAAATTTCATAAACTCACCTAAAATTTACCTGAAGATGTAAAGGCCTTTAAGTAGCCAGAAAAACTCGGGAAAAAAAGTAATGCTAGAGGACTTACATTACTTGATTTTAAAACTCACTATAAAGTTACAGTAATCAGTAGGGTATGGTATTGGTATAACTATAAGTATCTGGATCAATAGAAAAAATTGAATATCAATCCAGAAATAAACTTTTCCATTTATGATAAATTAATTTTCAAAACAAAGTTAAGATATTTGCTGTGGAAAGGATAATGTTTGCAAAAAATTGTGCAAGGACATTGGATATCAGTTTTAAGTTGAGGTACATTTTTTATTGTCAACCCAAAACTTCAAAATGGTGTTTTATTAATATAAAAGGTATAAGAATAGGCATACCTGACTCCCAAACTAGAAATGTGGCTAATCAACCTCACAGGCCTGAAATAAAGATGGCTGTGTGAGCACTTGTACTTCATCAATGACAACAGTGTTAATTCCCAGTGCCTTTACTCTTAGAAACATCTGTTAGATTTTGGCCAGTGATACAAACTGACAGAGGAAAATTATGCATAGTACTGTAGCTGGACTCCTGACAAGATCCGGATTAGCAATATGCTGCAACAATTTTTGTAAGTATACATGCAAATACATGTATCCCTCATGCACAAGCACACAAAGACATACATGCAGTATTTTGAATCAGATAGCTATGTGTATTGATTCAATTTATCTCATTTATTAGCTGTAATTTACAATGAACTGATAGGAAATACAATCCTTCCCATTGTTGTGAATTTTAAATTAGTTGATACATGTCAACCACTTCCCACAATCAACATGTGAATAAGCATGTTTGGATATGCACACTCACACATGCACACAGGCACAATCCTAAACAGCATACCCTTTTCTAGGGAAGAAAAATAAAGTATTTTCCATTTAAAAGGTAAGAGGGGCTATCTGTGTTATATTTCAAGAATTCAAGGTCTATTGTTGGTGTCTGTCATTGAGAGGCAATAAATCAGAAAAATAACAACCATGACAACCTCATTTGTAATTAGGACAATCAAATTTTCACTTTCATGAATATGGTTAGAGGCTGATGCACAGTAAGATTAACTCCTCCTTGATGCTTCCCACCCCAAGGAAGTCGGGATAAAACCTCCTTAATCTTGAAATCATGTGTATTTATATGATTCATACTCTGTTCTGGATTTCCAACCCAGAAATGGGTCACCACAGAGTGTGTGAATATAAGATTGTGGCAGTAATTGTCATGATCAGGAAATTCATGCTTCAGTGATACTTTCATATATCATACTCTTAATGAAATTGTAGAAATACATAGGAATTCATTTACACAGTCATTCAGGTTTCATTAAGACTAAAGATATTCAGTTTTAAAGTTGTGTAAAGTTTTTAGGACAAAGGCCTAGAACCCAGACTTTCTAGATAGGAAAACAAATCTAAATAACCAATTGGGATGAAAAAATTACTTACTTGCGATGTTGTGAGGCTCCACAAAAATTATGCTTTCTACAGCCATGTGCAGATTATGTGGTAGAGGATGTTTCAAGTTTATATCTGTTTATTAATCTAATTTGATAACTTCAATTTTCTTAATAGACTTATTTTTAATCTTTTAAAAATAAAACGGTTTAGAAAATTTTGCACAGGAAATACAAAAAAGCTAATTTTGTGTTGGGCCCAAATGAATATCTGGGAGTCATTATACTAGAGAGCAGAGAATGTTGGGTGAAGTAACTGGGAAAATTACATAAAAAAAAATAGCCAACCAACCACTGAAATTCATATCTGTGGTTAATATTTAAAAAGATCTTACCCTTTGGATATCATAACACATACACATATAATTTTCATAGATTTGACAAGGACTATACTGTAGTATTCCTCAACTAACATTCACAAATCAATGGTTATGCTATGTTACTTTATCATTTTTACAGTGCTTTAACATATCGCACTATGTTTTACACATTTTATCGATATGGTAAGTGAAGTTCGTGGAATTAGGGGAAAGAATTCCATTGCCAGAGCGTAAAGAAGCTTGTCTCAAATCCAGCTTCCCTAATTCTTTTTACTATGCCTATGGTGCTTCATGCAGCTATTAGTATGAAAAGAAGATTTATTGACAAGCATTAAAATTATTAATGGTCATAGAAATAGTACCATCAACATCCTAAAAACAGTAGCGTAAGCCTTGGAATAGCTGTTCTCCTGTTCTCCTGTTAACACTAGCCACATTATCACAAGTGTATTTCTAAATATTATAAATTATGAATTTGTCTACAGCTTCCTTCTGGAGGAAATAACCTCAACATGTGCACTGAGAGGAAACCATAAATCAGTCACTGCAGCAAATGATTGTTTTCTACTTTCTAATCAACACTACCTAAATATCCACCCTCATTTTTCTTATACTATAATTGTACAGAATCATTACTCTTTTTTTAATTCTTAGCCCGTTGAAAGATTTATATTTTCTTGCCATACACCTTGATACTGATATTATTTCCCAGGAAAAATGATATTTTAGCATGGCTATAATGCTCTGCATGGCACTAATATTACAGAGTCTATCTGTAAAATGCCTATGTGATAAACAGGATAATTCCATTTAAATAAGAATAGTGTGGGAGACATAAACCAGGGGATAGATTCGACGAGACATCTTACTCTTCTGCGAGGACTGTAGATAACACCTTATGCCTGGTAACTTATGGAAGAAAAGCACTTAAATATTACTAAGGCTGAGAAATAAGGAAGGGGCTCATTGAACATTGATCATGGACCAGTACCTATCTCATACACTTTGCTTATATGTTATAATGTTTATGAAACTGGCCCAATTGTCCTATAGAACTGATGTTTATGGTTTCTTTTGAAAAAATAAAAATAAAAAGTTGACCCTCCCAGTATTAAAACTGAAGAAACTTACACTTTTCTTATCTGAGTTCCTTTCTCAGGAAACCAACTATCAGCCCTCCAAGATAGTTTCAAGGAACTGCAACTCACCAGATAACTGCACCTGGACAATGAGATGCCAGACCCAGACCCCTTGCCAATTATGGTTGCCTAAGTAACCTGCTGCTGCCTGTTGACCACCTTCTCTTCTTAATCCTCTCCTAATTCCTATTTTTCCATACTTAGTTACATTTCTTCCCTTATTTTTCTACCTCTAATTTTAGTCCATTGAGAAGATGGATTTTTGAGTGATGTCCCATTCTCCTTGGCTGCAGCATCCAAATAAAGCCCCTTTCCCTGGCAATACTCATTGTTTCAGTGACTGGCTTTCTGTGAAGCAAGCAACAGGACCTAGACTGAACTCTTGATGTTTCAGTAACATTTAGTTACACTCCTAGAAAATATGGTATGTAAGTTATATAGATTGTAAAATAGAAAGATAGAATCTGGACTGGGATTTACATAATTATGGTATTATTGTTATTTTACAAAAACCATGTAAAGTAACAGACTAGAATAGAACAAAACCCACAGATTTATCATTTCATAAAGGTAGAACCTGAGACCAAGTGAGTTTGAATGACTTACCCGATGTCATACAAGCAAGCAGAGGAGAAATATAGACTCCTATCCCTGGATGATTTAAATTATGGTCTAGCTGGCTTGATGTAATGGGCTTCAAGTGTTTCATTCATACAGATTACACCCTAGTTTATGCAAAAAATAGGACTGATAAGCTACTTTAGGCTATAGTCTAAACTTTAGACAAGTACATTCAATCAGGAAATATTTAGAGTACCTCTATTGGCAAGACATTGAGTGCTGAGGATAAATAGGTGAATTACAACAGCAAAATCTAATTTCTATCCTCATTGAACTTCAACTCTAGTTGAACTCTCTTGCCCACTCCTGTAAGAGTGCATGAAATTGCTCCATACAAGACATTTTCCGTGGGTTTGAAGAGGCTGCTGCTCAAGCGATCCAGGCTGAAAATATTCCAGAACATCTTCCCCATACTCACTTCTCCACGTGCAGTAAATAACACCAACATTAGCTAATTTTTACTGGACTTGTGTAAGTGCTCTGCTCTTGTGCTTTAGATGTACTGACACATTAAATTGCCAGAGCTTCCTGTTTTTTTTACATTTCAGTAATCAGAGGCACAAAGGGTTTGAATAATGACCCTAAACTGCCAACCTCTGGAAGTTGTGGAACCAGGCAATCCAAAGCCTTCTGGCTCCAGCATCACCCTTGTGGCCACTAAGTGGTGTCACCAGCAGCTGCTCTGGGCTGCTCCTAATGTCTTATCCTGAACACAACTTGAACAGCCTGGAGTGCCCTTTCTGTGCTGTGTCCACATGTGTGAACCTTTCCCTTCATACAAGGCCAATGTCAGCTCTAACACCCCCAAGAAATACCATCACAGTTCTCAACACACATTTGGTGCTTATGCCTTATTACATTCTTCATCAGCATGCAAAATGATTATCTCTGCCATAGTGCATTTATTTCACTTTGACTGTGTATGATGGCCTTTAGCAGATCATTTAGTGTTCATGGTGCCCCTGCAAAGTGTATGTTATGGTCTCCATTAAACAGATAAAAACATTCAGTACAGTTTTGTGATTTGCCCAAGGTCACAAATGTGTTGGGCTAGGAATCAGAGCCATGCAATCTCTAAACTCAATGAATTTTCATTACTAAACTTCCAAGAAGTACATTCAATCAGGAAATATTATGGTTATACTTCTTCTGACATTGAGAGATCCTGCCCATGACTTCACCATTGGCACCAGCAGAAAAGGAGGAAACAAACAAAAAAGCCTATATTACGGTATCTATACTGGTTTTCTATTGCTGCTGTAGCAAATTACCACAAATTTGGGTATAACAACACAAATTGGGCCAGGAGCGGTGGCTCACACCTGTAATTCCAGCAGTTTGGGAGACTGAGGCGGGCGGATTATGAGGTCAGGAGATCAAGACCATCCTGGCCAACATGGTGAAACCCTGTCTCTAGTAAAAATACAAAAATTAGCCTGTAGGCCCAGCTATTTGGGAGACTGAGGCAGGAGAATCAGTTGAACCTGGGAGGTAGAGGTTGCAGTGAGATGAGATCACGGGCCACTGTACTCCAGCCTGGTGACACAGTGAGACTGTCTCAAAAAAATAATTAATTATCTCAACAATTCTAGAGAGCAGAAGCCTGAAACAGATCTCACTGGGCTAAAATCAAGATGTTAGAAGGGCAGCATTGCTTTTGCAAAACAAACAAAATGTTTCCTTGTCTTTTGCAGCTCCTAGAAGGTGCCCTCATTCCTTGGCTCCTGCCCCTCTTCCATTTTCTAAGCCAGTAACAGCCAGTAGGGCCTTTTGCATGCTGCATCATCACACTCTCTTATGTCTTTCTTTTACTTATAAAACCCTTGAGATTACATTGGGTTCATACATAATCAGAGACAATATCGCCATTTCAGGGTCATCTGAAGAGAAACCTTAATTCCACCTGCATTATTATTTCCCCCTTGCCATGCAAACTAGCATGTTTACAGATTCTGGAGATTAGGATATAGACATACTGAGGAGGCATTATTCTGTCTACCACAGTGTTGTAAGCCCAATTCATTCATTTAACATATCAAAATTGCCTACCATATGCCAAGAACTATGCTAGGTATGAAAAATCATCAGATGAAGAACGGAAATATAAAGGGAGGGAATCATGGAAAGATTCCTATAAGATGTGACCTTTGGCTTCAGTTTAAAGAAATAAGCAGTGATCAGTCAGTATGATATATGGCAGTTGGGTTCTAAGGCAAAACAGAGACAGAGTTGACTAAAAAGAAGAGCATTTCCATTTAATTTGTATGCTTCATTTGCTTACATTCTAGTTGCTATTTGTTATTTGTTGGAAAAATTCAGCTCTGGCGTCCGAGTTTAAAGCAACACCATGTGCTTCCCAGTCTGGGAGATCAAACTATGATATTCAATCCTACTCTTTTTTTTTATTACACTTTAACTTTTAGGGTACATGTGCACAATGTGCAGGTTAGTTACATATGTATACATGTGCCATGCTGGTGTGCTGCACCCATTAACTCGTCATTTAGCATTAGGTGTATCTCCTAGTGCTATCCCTCCTCCCTCCCCGCACCCCACAACAGTACCCAGAGTGTGATGTTCCCCTTCCTGTGTCCATGTGTTCTCATTGTTCAATTCCCATCTATGAGTGAGAACATGCGGTGTTTGGTTTTTTGTCCTTGCGATAGTTTACTGAGAATGGTGATTTCCGATTTCATCCATGTCCCTACAAAGGACATGAACTCATCCTTTCTTATGGCTGCATAGTATTCCATGGTGTATATGTACCACATTTTCTTAATCCAGTCTATCATTGTTGGACATTTGGGTTGGTTCCAAGTCTTTGCTATTGTGAATAGTGCCGCAATAAACATACGTGTGCATGTGTCTTTATAGCAGCATGATTTATAGTCCTTTGGATATATACCCAGTAATGGGATGGCTGGGTCAAATGGTATTTCTAGTTCTAGATCCTTGAGGAATTGCCACACTGTCTTCCACAATGGTTGAACTAATTTACACTCCCACCAACAGTGTAAAAGCATTCCTATTTCTCCACATCCTCTCCAGTACCTGTTGTTACCTGACTTTTTAATGATCGCCATTCTAACTGGTGTGAGATGGTATCTCATTGTGGTTTTCATTTGCATTTATCTGATGGCCAGTGATGATGAGCATTTTTTCATGTCTGTTGGCTGCATAAATGTCTTCTTTTGAGAAGTGTCTGTTCATATCCTTTGCCCACTTTTTGATGGGATTGTTTGTTTTTTTCTTGTAAATTTGTTTGAGTTCATTGTAGATTCTGGATATTAGCCATTTGTCAGATGAGTAGGTTGCGAAAATTTTCTCCCATTTTGTAGGTTGCCTGTTCACTCTGATGGTAGTTTCTTTTGCTGTGCAGAAGCTCTTTAGTTTAATTAGATCCCATTTGTCAATTTTGGCTTTTGTTGCCATTGCTTTTGGTGTTTTAGACATGAAGTCCTTGCCCATGCCTATATCCTGACTGGTAATGCCTAGGTTTTCTTCTATGGTTTTTGTGGTTTTATGTCTAACGTTTAAGTCTTTAATCCATCTTGAATTAATATTCAATCCTACTCTTTAATTTTACCTGATTTAAAACATTACATTTTTAGATGAAAAATATTCTCAGGAGAGGTATGCTGTGTATTTTTCAGGAAAGAATGTCCAGATGTTGTTTTTGGAGAAGAAGAACTACAAAGTTAGAGCAAATACTCTTATTTATAAGAAGAATGAACTCAGTGTGTGAGAAGGAGAATACAAATGCAACAGCCTCAAATTAGCAGTGGATGCCTACTGGGCTCCTGCAACCGCTTTCCACGGGTGAGCAAACTCTCAAAGCTTGAGCTGTTGCTCAGGTTTTCCCTAGGGAAGTGTTGATGGTGTCCTGGGGACACTGCACTGCAGTGATGGCCAGCAAGCCTTGTAAATACAAAGCATGGTACAGGATATGCATGATAAAATCACCTTGCTCAAATAAATGCAGCAGGAAAAATGGATTTCATCTTCTGATTCCTTTAGGTTCCACCAGATGGCTAGCTGGTAATGACCCAGACACCTCTGAGTAAACTCCCAGAAAGCCTGACAAATATGTTGCAAACTTAGCCATATGTAGAGTGGCTACACCACATTTGCAACGCTCTCTTAACAGCATGACCTTCTTTAATAGTGATCACTTCCATTTTTAGGCCCTTTATGCATTACTTTTGTCATTTTATATTGCTTCTTTTTTTCTGATCCTTGCAAAAACCCTGCCAAGAAAGCAAGAAAATATGTTTCCCCCTCAGGACCTGGACAACATCAGATAGAATGTGTCACATAAATATGTATTCATAATGAAAGTTTTATAGGTATTAAAAATGAAAGCTCAAAATGGCTAGGTGATATTCCTCAATTCATATGAACATAGATCTCTTACCTTTTTTCTTGATATTATATTGAATATGTAAAGATATTTGAAATAGTTTATATATGAGTAATTAAACCAGCTCATCTTTTTCTCTGTTATCTTCTTTATTGCTTTAAATCTTACAAACCCGTTTACCAACCAAAACTAAAGAACCAACTATATTGCTTTAAATTGTAAAAATATGTAAGTATCCACACATAGACATACAGGAGTTAGAATCCCAAAGGGAAATACTTTTTACCAGACATAGAGGGAACCAGAATAGACATAAAGCCATAAGGACACCCTGAGTGTCAAAAAGAGATCTCAGAGTTCTCTACAGTTTTATTACTGTTTTTAGATTTTCACTCATTCATAAGATTATATTGGTGGCAACCATTTAGTCCATTTAATTATGCCCCCAATCTGTCACAGTTGAGACAAAAGTTGACCAACCTAGTATAATCAGAAAACTTATTCTTGGAGTTTGAAGCAAAAATTAGATTAAAATGTTTTTGGATGTGACTGGATCATGTTAGTGGTTATCTACAGGGCACAAAGTCCAGCCTTCAGAAAGAAAGTATAGAAAAAATAGATAAAACTCTTAGAGGATAGAAGGAGAAAAAAAAGAGAGAGAGAATATTGATTAATTTTCTCTTAGTTCGTTCCAGAAATTTTCTCAGACCAAGTTGTACTTCAATCTTTTGGTTCCTTTAGTCACCACCCTCTTCTTTTTTGATTTTTCCAATTTGTGTTAACACTTGCCTGTATTGATCTCTTGCATTTGCAGCCACATGAATGTGAAATCCATAAGGGCAGAGAGTTTTGCTGGTTTTGTTCACTATCATGTCCCTTAACACCTAAAATAATGCTTAGCATGTAGAAATCTCTCAATAAGTAGCTTTTGCATGAATGAATGAATTAAATTAAATGAATGAAAGAACAAAAGAATATTAACTAAATAAAGCCAAGGGTCAGGAATTAAACATATCACAAACATGCTTGGAATCTTTTACTACATAATTGCCTGCAGAATATCATTACTATACAGTAACACCTAGAGAACATCCGTAAATTAAATAGTTTGATTTACTGAAAGGACTAATTTTATATCAGCAAAAATGACTTTAGTAATTTTCAGATAAACATTTGTCAAACGTATAATCTTGAAACTATTTTCTTTATCTCTCCTTTCTATAAATATAATGAACAAGTATTTAATAAAAGACTTCTTGTTTGTGACACAATTTTAAATGTTTTCATCATTCATTAATGTTTTTAAGAATGTCTCTAAGCACCAATATGTTTCAGAGCCTGTAGTAGTCATGAAGGTAAAATAGTATTTCACATGCTGGCTTTCTCTCTGCTGCACATGGTCTGGCTTATACATCTTCGTTATGCAAAACTCATCTCCTTCACTGACCTTCATAGGAGACAACTGCCCCAAGAATATTGTTATATGTGTAATTTTACTAAATGCTTACAACATAGTTGAGAGGTTTCTTCCTTTCTCTCTCTCATGTACTCTCTCTCTCTCTCTCTCACACACACACACACACACACACACACCATATAACATACTCCACCTATGCATATATACACATACACCACAGATAATTCACCACAGTCACACCACTCACACTCATCACACCCACACCACACATCACCTACCACACATTACACTACACACATATGCACACATACCAGACAAACCACACCGCCCCAAGCACACATCTCATATATAAAATCATACCACACACACACACACACACACACACACACACACACACACACAAGATAATGCACATTTTTGTTTTTGAGGCTCTCTGCTCAGTGCCCTGCTAGTTTTGTCTCCCCCACAGCAGCCAGCAGTGCACGATGTCTTCCTCTATTCCGGGGCTGGTAAGTACCTGCTCTTTTTTTACAGAGAACATTTTACAAATGTCACATTCTTTAAACTTCTATCTATCTCATTTTGGCACTAAACAACAAAATGCTCCCCTCCACACACATGCACCAGTTAAGAGGACTCATGTGTTTCACATTTTGTACAGAGAAATGGGGTAAGACAAAATAACAACAAAAATGTACCCAAAATCACAGGGCACAGTGGCTCACACCTGTAATTCCAGCACTTTGGGGGGCCAAGACAGGTGGATCAGTTGAGGTCAAGAGTAGTCTGAGACCAGCCTGGCCAACATGGCGAAACCTCATCTCTACTAAAAATACAAAAATTAGCTGAGTGTGGTGGCACAGGCCTGTAATCCTAGCTACTCGGGAGGCTGATCCTGGAGAATTGCTTGAACCTGGGAGGTGGAGGTTGCAGTGAGCCGACATCCTGCCACCGCCCTCCAGCCTGGGCAACAAAGAGAGACTCTGTCCAAAAAAAAAAAAAAAAAAAATCTGCCCAAAGTCTTACAGAATGCTTCCCTTTCTTCCGAGGAGTTTTGGAAGACTATGTGTGTGTGTGTATATATATATATATATATATATATATATGGAGAGAGAGAGAAAGAGAGAGACTCTAAAATAAAAAGAAGAAAGCATATGATTCTATGAACTTTCAGAAAATGAAATAAGTAACTCTTTAGCATCTGGTCCAATCAGTGAGGTCCTTACAGACCAGCAATCTGGACCAAAGGCTAAAATATGTCATAAAAATAAATAAGGTCGTGAGTCAGTTTGTCCAGATCTTCACAGAAAGAGGAAACAGAACATGAGGATTTCCAGAGGTGCAAAGCATAAGGTAATTTTTAAGGATTCAGACAATATTCAGTATGACTGGCATAAGGTTTGTGTAGGAGTCTAACCAGGGGTGAAGCTAGAGATCTAAGCAGGAGACCACATCATTAAGCATCTTTACAATCATTATAAAGGCATTCTTAATATTCACACAAAGGCAATTGGAACCCACTTAAAATCATGTTACTCCCCTTCCAATTCTTCTGATCCTCCAATATTGTGATTGGTTCTTCATTTTCTGCTCACTTGACCTCTTTCCACCATCTTGCCACCCCTTCCTTTGAATGGCAGATAGGTTAAATAGATAGCTTACATTTTAAATCTTTTGGTGCATTATTTTCTGCATAGTGCTTTGCTGGGGTGATATATTTCCCCCTGTTATTTCAAGATTCAGATTTTAGTCATTTCTGATTTTAAAAAGAATGATATCTCACTCCATAAGCTATATTTAAAACTAAAAATAAACGTATTTTTACCATTGTATAAAAACCTTCTAAAAAGAGAAAAAGCATTACTGTTAAAACAACTTGATTTCACAAGCCAAATTAGAGTTTCACAGGGAA
This sequence comes from Homo sapiens, assembly GCF_000001405.40. Lineage (NCBI taxonomy): Eukaryota > Metazoa > Chordata > Mammalia > Primates > Hominidae > Homo > Homo sapiens. Next base: position 1,579,794 of record NW_021160017.1, read on the forward strand.
ACTGAAAAAGGGCAGAGGTAATTTAGCTGAAATTGGCATGGCAGTTATGTACCATGTTGGTCAACCTTTTCAAAGGCATAAATCACAACAGGCTACATCAGATTGGGAACAAAATCATTTTGGTGGACTGAGAACTGTTTTTCATTTCCACAGCTAGACTTGGAATTTTCCAAACAAGCTGGATAAGAGAAAGCCATTTGTGCTGTGCCCTAGAAAACTAAAGACCTCTGCAGGTTCCATAAATACATGAGCTAATTGTTTGCTATATTCCAAATATTTCCAATTTATTTAATGTATCTCCTAATGGGAAAAAAAACAGTAGGAAGTAGCACTGGCCAGTTAGAAGTTAGAGGCAGTAAGGCATAGCAGATAGGAACACGGGCTTTGAAGTCAGATTCCTGTCTTTCCATCAGGAAGAAGAACTTCCCATAATAGGAACTATGTGTTCCTTACAAATTTCTCTACATTTCAAGCCTCCTCATCTTTCATATAGTGCTACTAATTGTGGCTAGCTCAAAGCCTGGCTAAAAAATTGGTGAACTTATACCACAAAATAATTTTTAAAATCTCCTGACCTATAGTGAGCATTCCATATAAGGTTAGCTGTTTGAAGGCTTTTTGACCCTTAGGCCATATGATGGAGATGTCAGGGCCTCTTAGAATTATGTTAGAATTATGAAATCATGAATGAATACCACCCATTTGTATCTTGTGTGTCAGAAAGGGAAAGAGCCACGGCAGAGAAGCATTACCAAAATGGAGTTCTGGCTTTGATGGGATTTTCATGAAGTGGTTTAAGTTTTATAATGTGCATATATGTGATATATATTGTTCAAAATTTATGTAAAAATTAGATAATAAAATATGTAATGCTAATTATGATGATTAATTTTACGTGTTAACTTGACTGGGCCACAGGAGGATGTGCAGATACCTGCTCAAACATTATTCTGGATGTGCCTGTGAGGCTGTTTTGGGATGAGGTTATCATTAGAATCAGAAGAGAAGCAGATTGTCATCTCTGAAGTATGTGGGGATTATCCAATCAGTTAAAGGTCTGACTAGAATAAAAAAACACACCCTCCCGTGAGTTGGAGGGAACTCCTACCTGACTGTATGAGCTGGGACATTGGTGTTTTATTGCCTTCAGACTTGAACTGAAACATAGGCTCTTTTTGGGTTTCAAGCTTGCTCTCTTGGACAGGAACTTACACATTTTTTTTCCTGGGTCTCCAGCTTACAGATCTTAGGACTTCTCAGCCTCCATAACTGGATGAGCCAATCCTGTAGGGTAATGTTTGTTCTGTTTCTCTGGAAACCTTGACCAATACATCGATAGAAGGAAGGACAAAGACTGCATACTGGGGTTCCAAACAGGGATCTGAAATCAAGACAAGAATAAGGTGTCCTGTGCTTGGTACCTGTGAGGGAGATTCACGTGCCCTTCACATATAATTAAAGTCAATCCTGATTATTTGTGGATTTCATACTTGCAAGTTTGTCTAATAATACATTTTCTTTATAACCCCCATACTCATGGCACCTTCATAGTTTGTAAAAACGTTCACAGCAGTGAAAAATTTGAGTCGCCGGCATGCACAGCTGAAGTAAAAAAGGTGATAATCTTCCTTATTTTTTCAGCTCTCGTACTATAAACACATGTCTGTTTGTGGTCTATTTAGTACCACGTTTTCTGCTTTGTATTGGTGATTTCATTGTTCAACATGGCCTCAAAGCAGAGTGCTGGAATGTTGTCTAGTGTCCCTGTACACAAGAAAGCTGTAACGTGCCTTACAGAGAACAGACACTGTGTGTGCTAGATGAGCTTCGTTCAGGCAGATAATGTTGTTGGCTGTCAGTTCAATGTTAAATCAAAAATATATTATAATCAGGTATTTCTAAACAGAAATAACATAAAAGAAAGTTATGTATTGATCAGATGATAAAAATGTTGTGATCAGAGATTCACAGGAACCTAATCCTGTATTTTTCCTAAGGACCATTGCTCTGTTTTCAATGACTCAGTGTTTTTGGTGACTTTGCAGTTGAAACAATAGTTACAAACAAACAAACAAAAACGTCTCACAATTGAGCAAATCGTGGCTTACAAAATGTTTATTTCCTATGAAATGCCGTTTAATTTATGCCTGTGAGTAAGACTTTAATGCCTGTTTTCCAAACTCACGGGTTCAATATGGCTCAAATAAGTAACAAGATTTGCTTAATGATGACTCGGAGTAAATGACAGAGGCAAAATTAGAAAACTCAGAGGCCTGTGATTTTTTTTTCATGAGATCAGATTTCTCAGAGCCACCAAATGCACCATGCTGGGCTGCTCAGTGGGGCCAACTTGCTGGCAGGGAGTCGGGGAGCCAGAGTGATGGCTAGACACACACACAAGGCCACGGCACTGCAGTCATCAACAGAGCTCTGCCCAGGGATAGAATTGATGGAGAACAAGGTTGTGGTTGAGACCACAGTTCAGGGACACGAATAACAGCTACAAAAAGAAAGAATAAGCATTATTTATTGATGACCTGGAGTATTAAAATATTCTATCCAAACACTTCACAGTTAATGTCATTCCTAAGCATTTTATTATTTTTTATTTACAGTAAATTTTTTTTACATATTAAAGCCATATTATACTCTGTAAACTTATGAATAAAAATGCAAAATATTGTAAATTTATATTGTCCACCAAAACCTTATAACATATTTTATTATGTGCCATGGTAGGCTCTAGAAAAGGGAGGAGATGATAAGAGAGAGAGTCTATAATCTTCCTGGTAGCAGAAGCTACTTTCATCATTGTTTCCTGCAGTAGTCTGCAAATGAGTAACTTTTTTCTTTTTTTAAATTTTACTTTAAGTTCTTGGATATATATGAGGAACGTGCAGGTTTGTTACATAGGTATACATGTGCCATGGTGGTTTGCTGCACCTATCAATCTGTCTTCTAGGTTTTAAGCCCCACATGCATTAGGTATTTGTCCTAATGCTCTCCCTCTCCTTACCCCTCAACCCCCAACAGGCCATGGTGTGTGATGTTCCCTTCCCTGTGTCCATGTGTTCGCATTATTCAACTCCCACTTATGAGTGAGAACATGCAGTGCTTGTTTTTCTGTTCCTGTGTTAGTTTGCTGAGAATGATAGTTTCCAGCTTCATCCACGTCCCTGCAAAGGACATGAACTCATCCTTTTTATGGCTGCATAGTATTTCATGGTGTGTATGTGCCACCTTTTCTTTATCCAGTCTATCATTGATGGGCATTTGGATTGATTCCAAGTCTTTGCTATTGTAAATAGTGCTGCAATAAATATACATGTGGATGTGTCTTTATAGTAGAATAATTTGTAATCCTTGGGGTATATACCCAGTAATGGGATGGCTGGGTCAAATGGCATTTCTAGTTCTAGATCCCTGAGGAATCGCCACACTGTCTTCCACAATGGTTGAACTAATTTACACTCCCACCAACAGTGTAAAAACATTCCTATTTCTCCACATCCTCTCCAGCACCTGTTGTTTCCTGACTTTTTAATGATCGCCATTCTAACTGGTGTGAGATGGTATCTCATTGTGGTTTTCATTTGCATTTATCTGATGGCCAGTGATGGTGAGCATTTTTTCATGTGTCTGTTGGCTGCATAAATGTCTTCTTTTGAGAAGTGTCTATTCATGTCCTTCGCCTACTGGTTGATGGGGGTTGTTTGATTATTTTTTTGTAAATTTCTTTAAGTTCTTTGTAGGTTCTGTATATTAGCCCTTTGTCAGATGGGTAGATTGTAAAAATTGTCTCCCATTTTTTAGGTTGCCTGTTCACTCTGATGGTAGTTTCTTTTGCTGTGCAGAAGCTCTTTAGTTTAATGAGATCCCATTTGTCAAGTTTGCCTTTTGTTGCCATTGCTTTTGGTGTTTTAGACATGAAGTCCCTGCCCATGCCTCTGTCCTGAATGGTATCACCTAAGTTTTCTTCTAGGGTTTTTATGGTTTTAGGTCTAACATTTAAGTCTTTAGTCCATCTTGAATTAATGTTTGTATAAGGTGAAAGGAAGGGATCCAGTTTCAGCTTTCTACATATGGCTAGCCAGTTTTCCCAGCACCATTTATTAAATAGGGAATCCTTTTCCCATTTCTTGTTTTTGTCAGGTTTGTCAAAGATCAGATGGTTGTAGATATGTGGTATTATTTCTGAAGGCTCGGTTTTGTTCCATTGGTCTATATCTCTGTTTTGGTACTAGTACCACGCTGTTTTGGTTACTGTAGCCTTGTAGTACAGTTTGAAGTCAGGTAGTGTGATGCCTCCAGCTTTGTTCTTTTGCCTTCAGATTGTCTTGGCAATGCGGGCTCTTTTTTGGTTCCATATGAACTTTAAAGTAGTTTTTTCCAAATCTGTGAAGAAAGTCATTGGTAGTTTGATGGGGATGACATTGAATCTGTAAATCACCTTGGGCAGTATGGCCATTCAACCTGATACCAAAGCCTGGCAGAGACACAACAAAAAAAAAGACAATTTCAGGCCAATATCCCTGATGAACATTGATGCAAAAATTCTCGATAAAATACTGGTAAACCGAATCCAGCAGAACGTCCAAAACCTTATCCACCACGATCAAGTGGGCTTCATCCCTGGGATGCAAGGCTGGTTCAACATACGCAAATCAGTAAACATAATCCATCATATAAATAGAACCAAAGACAAAAACCACCTGATTATCTCAATAGATGCAGAAAAGGCCTTTGACAAAATTCAACAGCCCTTCATGCTAAAAACTCTCAATAAACTAGGTATTGATGGGACATATCTCAAAATCATAAGAGCTATTTATGACAAACCCACAGCCAGTATCATACTGAATGGGCAAAACTGGAAGCATTCCCTTTGAAAACTGGCACAAGACAGGGATGCCCTCTGTCACCACTCCTATGCAACATAGTGTTGGAAGTTATGGCCAGGGCAATTAGGCAGGAGAAAGAAATAAAGGGTATTCAATTAGGAAAAGAGGAAGTCAAATTGTCCCTGTTTGCAGACGACGTGATTGTATATTTAGAAAACCCCATGGTCCCAGCCCAAAATCTCCTTAAGCTGATAAGCAACTTCAGCAAACTCTCAGGATACAAAATCAATGTGCAAAAATCACAAGCATTCCTATACACCAATAACAGACAAACAGAGAGCCAAATCATGAGTGAACCTCCCATTCACAATTGCTTCCAAGAGAATGGAATACCTAGCAATGTGGAAACACATTGTGAGGGTGGAATACTTTGTAGTATGAAGGGGAGGTCTCTAAGTCATCTTGATGCAAAGGAGGCACCCCTTAACAGGAATGTGTTGGTCATATCTGCGGACGATGTTGAAATATAAGGGATATGAGTTTACAATATTTTTAGATGTAATAATCCAGATGCTCTTACTCCATGAGAGTTTCATTCTTTCCTGGCCTGAGTTTTTAATGTGGTTATAGCAGACCTGCTTAGTTTGAGAGTTTAAGTTTTTTTACAGCTCTCTTCTACTCTTATGATTGAGACTTTGGTTTGGTCCTCAACATTCTTTGCCTCTAGCTGCAGTAAATGAGATCCTCTTTACATGCTACTTGCTTTCATGCACTGGCATTCACGCTTAGCTTTTAATTTCAGATTAATGAATCATATTTTTATCTTTTTCTTCAAGGCATACTTCAAGTTTAGCAAAGCTACTCAATTCCACTCTCCTTATAACTACTACGTCTCCAATATTTCTCAAATATTTAACACATCACACCACATCATCTAGTGCATTCTCTTCTACTGAGTGTATACCATTCTCTTCTACTGAGTGCATACCATTCTCTTCTACTGAGTGCATACCATCCCTCCGCCAATGAAGATTTTAAAAATGGCACTGTTCCCTTGTGCCAGGGGCTGCCTTTACTTATTTATCACCATTGATGGTGTCCTTGTTTCCTTTTTTTTTTTTTTTTTCGCTCTGTCATCCAGGCTGGAGTGCAGTGGTGTGATGTCGGCTCACTGCAAGCTCCACCTCCTGGGTTCACGCCATTCTCCTGCCTCAGCCTCCCGATTAGCTGGGACTACAGGCGCCCACCACCACGCCAGGCTGATTTTTTGTATTTAGTATTTGTATTTGTATTTAGTAGAGACGGGGTTTCACCGTGTTAGCCAGGATGGTCTTGATCTCCTGACCTTGTGATCCGCCCTGCTCGGCCTCCCAAAGTCCTGGGATTACAGGCGTGAGCCACTGCGCCCAGCCAGTGTCCTCATTTTCAACAGGGCAGTGGATAATCCAACTGCAAAATCTCATTTTAGCATCTGCTTTCTGAGACCAGTTCAGATACCAGCCCTTTTTGGTCAGGTTCCAGAAGAAGAAGGGCCTGATATGGGAATTAGCATGCAAAAGATTTATTGGGAGACTATTTTTGAGAATAATCCCCTAATATAATGAAAACTGCTTCCTCTGCCCAATCTTGCTTCCTGTCCTTCCTGTAAAAGACAAGGAAAGGGAAGAAAAGAAAACAAGATTGGGCCAAGGGAGCAGTTTTCATTCTTAATGAATTCTTTTCTCAGCTGATGGTGTCTGTATCTGGAGGGCCCCTCAGATCTATAAGGGGCCACAGAAAGGACCTGAGTCTTCATAAACCTGCATGAATCAGTTATTCATGTACATGCTGTCTCTTAGGAATTCATGAGATGAAGACAATTACCTCATCCAACATCACTTTGCCCTCTCAGGGCAAAATTGTGCAGCACAGTTCTCTGTTGTGCTGTCTAATGCATTGCAGATGTTTACAAGCATCCCTGGCCTCTACTCACTGGATGTCAGTAGCACCCTCCCCTAGTTCAAGAATTACACTGTTACTTGTGTCAGGGGCTGCCTGTACTATACCTCAGCAGTGATGGCATCCTTCTTTCCATCTGGGTAGTCAGTAATCCAATTATATTAATTCAATGATTAGACTAAGTATATAATGTATATTTTCCCTCAAGTGATATCAAGAAGAAATGGAATGCTAAATTTAGCTAATTGGTAAATTTCACATATTTTATACCATTTGGACATGGGAGATTGGGAGTTAAATAAAGTTTGAAAGAATAATTTAGGCTAACATCCAGGGTGATCCCCCTGTCACCAAGGACCCTTTAGGACAAAGAGAAGATTAGAACTGCTGTCCTAAGCGTTTAAGATGACAACGGCAAGCTGTTGTAGTGTATATATCAGTGCGTGTGTTATGCATTAGAAAAAGGCTTTGCAAACTACCACATGCTCATAATAAAAACGTAGTGGAAAGATGATAGAAACACAAGTTTGAAGTACTACTGAGCTGCTGACTAGCTCAGTGACCTTGGTCATTTCACTCACTCACTGAGCTTTTCCTCACTCTTACTTGAAGATGATTCAAACCTTACAGTGTTAATATTTTTGTGCATATGTGAGTGCATTCATAAATGTCTGAAATTTAAAAGAAATTTAACTTATATATGTATATAAAATATGTACATATATATAAAAATATCTAGCATTATGCCTGGCCTGTAGTGGTTACTCAAATGCCAGATGAATTTTAATGACTAGCACTCAGCCTTACCTAAAAAGACAAGAACATCTTGCAAGTAATTGCTTCTGTCTTCTAAGATAACTGCTGCTGTTTGGCAACACAGTAGGGACTCCCAGTAGAAGCAACCTTGCTCTCATTGCATCTGCTCCAGAGAAATCAAGAAATAATTACCTTTTTATTTGGAGACTTGATTGATGCATCAGCCTTCCCCGTGGCTGTAGAGAGATAAACTGGGCCAAAGAGAATAACCTGGATTTTATTCTGCCTTGATTACTCCTGTTGCAGGGATAATTTGAGTTCAGGGCGGGAAGTACCACAGCTGATTAAAGAGAGGACCTTGGGCACATCAACTCTCAAATATCTTGATTACAGAAATTGGAGGCTCCCATTCCATGTTCATGAATACTGTGAAAATGTGACATCCTGCATTGCCAAGGTAGCTGTCTGAATTATATGAATACAAGGAGATACAGGGTTTAATGATCAGCGGCAATGTCAAGGACTGGAATCATGACAGGAACAAGTACTGCTTCCTAAAACACAGTGTAAATGATTTATAGTTGAAAATGGCAATCACTTCAATTTATATTGATGAAAATAGAATTCTTTTAGAAAGTCTCTATTTAAAAAAAAATATGCCTCTTTCAGTGATGATAGCTACATGACTACCCCATATTACCAGTTGAAAATTAACATTAAAATACCTTTCACCTACATAATCTTTGGAATGGATGTGGAAAATATTCAGATTACCAAAGGTTGTAAACACTTCAATCGTAATGCTTTTTTTTTTAACTTGGCTAGTTTCTTATACTTAAAAAAATAAAAATAACTAAAAATACACTTAAAACTGTCTATATTTTGTAAACATTAATTAGGTAAATAGGGGAGGCATAAGAATAGTGGAAGGCTTTGTACAGAAAGATTCAGTGCTCTTAGTAAATGTCAGTAAGGTATAATGAGAGGAGAGCAGTGTTACAATTGAGAGCAGCTAGATTCAAATCTTCATCACCATACACTAGCTGTGTGGAATTACGCAAATCATTGTATCCCTTTGAATTTTACTGTCCTACTCAAAAAGTTGAGATGACAAATAGAACTATTGGTTAAAAGTTTCTAGAAGTTTTCATGTCATTGTAAATGTAATATGCTACGTAGATTATTTTAAAGCACTGCGAAACTGTTCAACATTTTCATTAACAATATTAGCTAAAATGTAATTAATTTATCAAGGAATAAATAAAATATGTTAAACCCAGTGTGAAGTCCACAGTAGGTCTTCGATAATGGTGATAAATGAAAGTTGTATTGAATATGTTATTTATTGTCTTTATTTTTCATTAAAAAATCTGCTAAATGTTGAATGATGAGTACTTCAATTCATGTAAACAAAGTTAACTGGTCAAATAAACATTAAAAATATTAAGTGATATTGATGCTAGTAATATTTGTTCAATGTTGTAGTGGTAATGTATAAGTTGTAGTAATAATAAAAATTTATATTAATGCCTTCTTATGAGAACTCAATTCAACATTTAGAAAGAGTCAATCAAAAAATAACCTGGGATTTTATCTATCATGGTTTATCAGATATTGTTTGTTTTATACAGGAATATATATGTGTGTATATATATATAAAATTCTGGGAAAGAGAAGAATCTTGATTTTGTTCTCTTTGATTTCCCCTGCTGCAAAGATAATGTGAGTTTAGGGTACTGTGTATATATTTTATTATAAATTACAGTCATAAGCTATGTATAAAATTTTTGAGAAAGGAAAAAGTGATTAATGCATAGCATAAAATGTACATATACAATTATTTTATATGTAATTTATAGTTACATATAATTGCTAATACATATACAGTTGAAGCCATTTCATAGTCTAGCTCTGTTGTTAGTAGAAAAGTGATAGGTGATCATGGCTACAAATATGTCCATAATTTTCACAAATAATAAAGGGGGAAATTGAGAATTTTTATTGCAATCTCATGATGAAACATTGGGACTAAACGAAGACAGAAGGAAAGATATAAACTATGCAGAGAAGTGCTTTTGGGCATAAAAAGGTACTATGCAGAGAAGTACTTTTATGCATAAAGTGCTTTTATGCACTGTGTCATCAGTTCTTAAAACAGGGCCTTGTACGTAGGTGCTTACTGAGTGGTTCTTTAATGAATAACCAATGCAAGATCCAGTGCGGCCATTAAGAGTGAATAACAGTTTCACTTACATACATTATCTCATTTAAGTCTCTCAAAATCTTGTCACATAAGCAAGTGTGATTTTATAATTTAAAAGGAGAAGGTGTGAGGAATAATATTATGTAGATTTGATCTGTTTTTTGTACTGTAATGTTAATTATTCCACAAGTATCAAATGGCACTTACCACTCATAAATGATGTATTTGTAATTTTTGTTACTCCTAGGGATTAAGACTAACTACATAGATTCTTCTTTAATGTTTGCTAAATTTAAGTTGTTGTGTATTCATACTTTGAGACGTGAAACAAATATAACCCACCCCAGAGAGCCTCATTTTCTGATTTGTTTTTCTCTTCTGGGTTTATATCTATATTAGCCCTTTTTATATTGTGGTGCAATCAAATATTCAAATATCTTCAGCCCTAATTTGAGTCAGAGCAACATGAGATGGCAGGAAAAAAAGAATCTGTTAAACAATTGTTGATTCTACCCAAAAAAGCATAAATGTTTCTCTTATTAAAAATAAAATAAATTAAAATTGATTAATTTTTAAAAATATTTTTAAAAAATGTTTTAATTTGTTAAGAGTAAATGAATATATTTATTGGCATTTTATGTCTAAGAAGTTTGTTTTTGGTTATCTAGCATGTAAGTGTGGTATCTTCTAATATTTTATATCTTCTGTTTTATTTGTGGCTTTGTAGATTTCATTAATCTGAATTAAATTGATCATTTGAGCAAGTGCTTCACCAGTGACTTCTTTCACACTTCTAGAAGGGTTTTAATTAGAATAACCTTTCATAGCATTTTTAGTCTAGTAACTTCAAGCCTCATAATATATTCACTCCACATAAAAACACTTATCAATAGAGTCCACAGGATGATTTAACATGCCACACACACCTCTTGTTCTTCACATTGATATGTATGTAATACAGTCAGACCCACCTCTTCATTACTTCCAAAGAGCCAACTTTGTCCGGTCTAAAAAATAATAGCTCTTTCTGATATTTTTTTTCAAGGGAAAACCTATTCTTGGGACTTTTTTTTCCACTTTTCTTTCAGTTTTTCTTTGAATTTTCTCTTCTGTCACATTTTCAAAATGCCATTATTCATGATTTATCGCTGTCTTTAAGTGTCTTTATAGGAATTAAATATCTTTTTACTTTTATAGTTTCAAGTCTTTTGTTGAACTTATTCAACTAGCACTAAATATTTTTATTCATTTTAAAGAAAATTATTTCAGAGAATTATCTACATTAATAGTCTAAATGGTTTTATCATGGTGAAATATATATATATAAAACATAAAATTTGTCATTTTAATCATTTTAAAATATTCAGCTCAGTGGCATTTTATATTCATATTGCTGTGCAACCATCATCACTATCTATTCTAAAACTTTTTTATCACTTCCAACAGAAACTCTGCACCCATTAAGTAATAACTTCTGTTTCCCTCTCCCCCAGCCCCTGGGAACTTCTCTCTGAATTTTCTTATTGTAAATATTTCAAGTAAATGGAATGTTACATCATTTATTCTTATGTGTCTCATTTCTTTTAGTTAGTATAATTTATCCAAGGTTGAGCCATATTGTAGCATATATCAGAACTTTTTTGGGATTGAATCATATTACTTTATGTCTATTTAACACATTTAGTGTATCCATTCATCTGTTGATGGATATTGGTTGTCTCCAATTATTTCTGTTTTATTTTTATTTTAAGTTCTGGGGTACGTGTGCAGGATGTGCAGATTTGTTACATAGGTAAACATGTGCCATAGTGGTTTGCTGGACCTATCAACCCATGGCCTATGTATTAAGCCCAGCATGCATTACCTATTTTTTCTAATGATCTCTCTACCCCCACTCCCTGCCACCAACACTCTGAATCTTTTTGAATGCTTTACATAAAGCTTTTGTTTCCAATACCTCAAGGAAATTAATGTTATCAAGGTCCTCAGTGATCTTCATATATTTAAATTGAATGGTTGATTATCAATCCAAGTATTGTTTGATATATAAATGGCATTTTACAGGACTGAGTACATGTACCTACATGAAATGTCTTCACTAGATTACCAGAAACTGCTGAAGAGATTTAGAAGGTAGGATGGCCCTTTTGCAGATTCTGTGTAGAAACTGAGACCCTCCCCCTTGAAAATACCAGAGAGGATTTCCACAGAAGCTGTAATCAACTATTTATATTGTTTTATTGTTCTGGGTTAGATGACATGCCATTCTTGATTCAAATACAGAAAGGGAAGATATAATCATTCTAATTTTCTCCAACTATTCTCTGGAGCCGAGATTAGACTCAGTAGCTGCTGAATAAGATGCACAGACTTGTGAAAATGGTGAATATTCAAAGACCTTTCTGTTTGAAAAGAGAAAGGGATTCTGTTTGGAAGGAGAAAAACAAGAATGATACTGGATTGGCAGTTAACAATATCCACTGTATGCCTGAAAGCATATCCGTAGAATATTTTTTTAAAAATATCATTTCTACCTCAAGTACTAGTATTGGACTCTAAGAAATGTACTTATGTGCTTATTTAAACATTAAACCAGCATAAAATTAGAATAGTTTCTAAATTTTCTCCATGAAGGTTCATATTGAATAGAAAAAGCTATTGTTTTCTTCTTTTCCATTACAGAGCATGACCCTTTAAATGTTTGAACTTTTTCCTTGAAATGCACTTTAAAACAGAAGTGATATGCATTTAGCTTCATGATGGTTTTAGGTGAGATTTAATAGCTAGCCATACAAATAAACCCTGCAGGTGGTAAGCGACGGTCCATGCATGAAACAAGCATCCCAGCTTCCAAAAGGCTATCAATTAAATGAAAATGACTATTGAACTGATCTTCTGCTACCAAAATGCTAATTAAAATTTCATTACTCTTCATCAGCCACTCATACTGTAGCTCTGGGATAATGGTGATGCAGCGTCTCAGTATATTATAATCTTAGTGATATATTTTTATATCATCACCATAAGAAACATTGTGTTACTCCAGAATATTTGAGATTTCTCACTGCCTGAGGCATGTATTTATTTCATATCTTTTTATTTTAGTTTATTCTGTTCAATCCTCTACTTAATCCATCTACCTGTACCTGATGCGTGGGTCTCTGATACTAGGCCACAGACAAATACTCACCCAGGATTGACCTTGAAAATAAAACATGATGTTTGTGTCATAATCATAGTTCACATCTGACTTCATACTTAGTACAGCTAATTTTACTCCTTTTTCCTTGTGAAAATGCCAGATCCTGATGAGTTTTAAATTTAAAAAATCCTCTTTCCTATGTAATTATAAATTATTTCGTTGTTTAAACCTTATAGTATCATGAATTTAGTACTTTTTTTTCTGGAAATATTTGGCATATGAACCTCTCTCACTTATGAGCAGCATATTTGTTAATTGAGATTATTGTAGATTCACACGTGGTAGAAGGAACGATACAGAGAGATCCCTTGTATACTTCATCCAGTTTCCCCTAATGGTGACATTTTGCGTAACCATAGCATAATAGCATAACCAGGATATTAATATCAATAAAATCCATTGATCTAATTCAGACTTACCCAGTTTTACTTACACACATATATGTGTGTATTAAATCTGATACAATTTTAAGATGAGTAGGTGTGTTTATCCAGAAATAGGAGTAAAAATGCTAAACACTAACAACGTCAGGATTCTTTCTATTCTTTGATAACCATACACACCTCCCACCATTTCTCCCACTCATTTTAAATGTTGCCACTAAACTTATCCTCTATTTCTAAAATTTCATCATGAATAGAACAATACAGAATATAAACTTTGGGGTTAGTATTTTTTTACTTTGTGTGATTCTCTGGAGACTTGCCTAAGTTGATATGTACATAAATGATCTATTCCTTTTAATTGTTAAGTAGTATTCCATGGTGCATATGTACTGCCATTTGTTTGACCATTCACCTACTGAAGTACATCTTGATTGAGCAAAGGTTTTGGCTATTATGAATACATCTGCTATAAATATTTGTTGAATAGGCTTTTGTGAACAGAGCTTTCTCCCCACTCTTGGAGAAATTCACAAGAGTACAATTTGCTAGGTTGAATAATAGTTGTATACCTTTTTTATTACCAAGCTCCAAGCTGTTTTCTATAGCGGCTGTATCATTTTACATTTTCACAGGAAATATATGAGTGATTTAGTTTTTCTACAGAAATGGCAATATTTGCTGCTGTCACTTTTTTGTTAATTTTTGCCATTGTAATAGATTTGTAGTATTAGGTAATAATATATCACTGTGGTTTTAATTTGCAATTTTCTGGTGATGAATGATGTTGATATGATGCTTGTTTTCCATCTGCATATCCTATTCACTGAAATGTCTCTTTATGTCTTTTGCCCATATTCTAATTGGTTTTTCGAGTTCATTTTTACAAGACCTTTTGCAATCTGTATAGTTTTGTTTTGTTGAGGTTAGAGAGGTCTTTTTTATGTTCTAAATACTAGTCCTTCCTCAGATATATAATTTTAAATGTTTTCTCCAAATACGTACCTTGGTCTGTTTATCCTTTGCACACCGGTTTTCACTAAGAGAAAGTTTATAGTTTATAATTTTTTTATTTTATGTATTGTGCTTTTGATGTCAAGTCTGAGAAATTGTAGCTTTCCTGTAGATCCTGAAGATTTGTTTTCTTTTAGTTTAAACATGTTTTTTAGCTATATATTTACATTTAAGGATATAATTTATTTTGACTTAATTTTTGTATGTTATATGAAATGTAGGCTGAGATTATTTTTCTTTTGTTTTTTTTTTCCTTTTGGTCTATGCATATACAATTGCCGCAGGACCATTTCCTGAAAAGAACATTTTTCAGTTTAGTTCTTGCATCTTGCTCAAAAGTGTGTTAGGTATATTTTATGGGTCTGTTTCCAGGCCCTCTACCTTGTTCCATTGGCTTATGTGTCAGTACCACATAATATTAATTAATGTATGTAGATAATAAGTCTTGAAATCAGATACAATAATTCATTCCTTTTTATTTTTCCTTTTTGAAATTGTTTTAGCTAGTTTAGTTCCCTGGGCATTGCATGTAAATTTTACAGTGATAATTCTATATTTATACAAAAGTGGGCTATTTTGGATAAGAATTACATTGAACCTGTGCATTGATTTAGAAAAAATTAGCATCATTACTATACTGTTTCTTCCAATCCATGAACACAATGTCTTTCCACTTATTTAGGATTTTTAATTTATTTCATCATTGTTGTATATTTTTCAGCATAAAAGTCTTGCACAGTTTTGTTAGATTTATAGTTAAATAATTCATTTTTGAGTGTTGTGAATGGCATTGTGTTTTTAATTTCAGTGTTCATGGGCACATTCTGGTATCTAGAATGAAAAATTGATTGTGTTATGCTTATCTTGTATCTTGTGACCTTGTTGGCATCATTTATATTAGCTCTGTTTTTTGATAGATCCTTTAGGATTTTCAACACAGACAATCATGTTATCAGCAAATAGAAAAAAATTTTACTTTTTCCTTTCTTGTCTGTATACCTTTTGTTTCCTTTCTTTTCATTATTGTGCTAGTTGAGGACTTCCAGAACTATGTTGAGAAGAGAAGTAAGAGTAGTCATCTTTACCTTGTGTGCTAAGCTGTTCTTATGTTGCTACAAAGAAATACTCGAGAATGAGTAATTTATAAAGAAAAGAGGTTTAATTGGCTCACGGTTCTTCAGGCTGTACAGGAAACACGGCACTGGCAACTGCTCAGCTTTGGGGGTCTCTCAGGGAGATTTTACTCCCTGAGAAGCGGGAGGAGGTATGTCACATGGCCAAAGCAGAATCACATGGCCATGGTCATGTGGCCAAAGAGAGAGTGGAAGGAGGTGCCACAAACTTTAAAACAACCAGATCTCATGAGAACTCACCTACTAACCTGAGGACAGCACCAAGACATCAGGGATCTGCTCCCATGACCCCGATACCTCTCACCAGGCCCCACCTCCAACACTGGGGATTACATTTCAACATGAGATTTGGCAGGGACATATATCCAAACTATAGCACCTTATTCCTGATTTTAGGAAGGATTTTAGGATGTTTTTCATCATCAAGTATAATCTTAGCTGTAGGGTTTTTACCTGTTCTTTAAAATTTGGAGAAGGTCTTCCTCTATTCCTAATTTTCTAAGAGTTTTTTATTATATATATTTATTTTTTGCTGAATTAATTTTATGCATCAATTGATATGATCATCTGATTTTTCTTCTTTAGCCTGTTGATATTGTTCATTGCAATGACTGATTTTGTAATGTTGAACCATCCTTGTATTGCTGGAATAAACACACTTGGTCATGTGTGTAGTTATTTTTATATATTATTGAGTTTTATTTCATAATATTTTGTTAATGATTTTTATATCTATATTTGCGAGGAATACTAATCAATTATTTTCTTTTTTGTACACTGGCTTGGGTATTGGTGTAATACTTCATAAGAATAGTTAGGAAATTTTCAATTCATTTCTATTTTCTGGTAAAGCTTGTATAAATTTAGTAATAATTACTTCTTAAATGTTTATTACTATTCTCCGGTGAAACTATTTCAGCCAGGAATTTTATTTTTCAGGACCTTTTAATTAATAATTGATTTGATTGAAATAGAGCTATTTTAGATTGTTAATTTTATCTTGGTAATTTTTGATAGTTTGTGTTTTCAAAAAATTAGTCCGTTTAAGTTGATGAAACTATAAGCATGAAGTTGTTCGTATTATTCTCTTTATCTTTTTAAAAGCTACAGAATCAAGAGCGTTATTTCTTACTTTAATTTTGACATGAGCAATAGCTGTCTTTTTGTTACTTTTGTTTAGTATTTTTGGAGTTTTATTAATTTTATTGATAAACATATTTGAAAGATATTTGGTTATATTAATTTTCTTTATTGCTTTTCTGTTTTCAATTTTATTGATTTCTGCTTTGATTTTTTATTATTTTTTCTTTTTGTTTTGAGCTTATTTTGCTCTTCTGTTTCTACTTTTGTTAATAGAAATGTAGATTATCAACTTGAGACCTCTCATTTTTAATGTAAGCCTGCACTGCTATCAGTTTTTCTCTAATCGCTTCTTTAGTTCTATCTGACATAATATTTTGTATCTTTTAAATCATTCACATCTATGTATTTGTTTTTAAATTATTTGAGACTTCCTTTTTGACCCATGGATCATTTAAAAATACGTTATTTCCCACATGTTCTCAGATTCCTCTTGTTTTGTTATTTATTTCTAGTTTGGTATCACAAAAAATACATAACACAATTTAAACTATTTTTTTAAGTTTGTTGAGGCTTGATTAATGTCTACTTATGTCTATGATCTATCTTGATGAGTATTCCATGAAGGTCTGAAAAAAATTGTGTGTTCTGCTGTAATTGAGCGGAGTGTTTTTATGTGGCAGTTAGATCTTCTTAGCTGAATGTGCATATATTCTAGATATTGCAGGTCATTGCTGATTTTCTAATAATTCTATCATTATTATCAGTGTTGGAGTCTGCAATTACAGTAGTGAATCTCTGCTTTCAACTCTTTATCAGTTTTTGTTTCATGTTATTTTGCAAATACGCTCTCGTGGTCGGTACATATTTAGAATTTTTATGTCTAGTTGATTGATTCTTTTATCATCATTAGTATAAAAGACACAAGGATCAAAAACATCTAAATGAAACGTGGTTCGGACAAGAAGGCATAGACCCATTTCTTCTTGCTGTCTCTCACGAGACACAACCTTAAGCATTAGAAGTAGTGAAAAGACAAATATAGAGGAGAACCCTGAAGGTAGTAAAAATAAGAGAGCTTTCTTTGTACTATCCTTGAGTGTTTCACTACGTATTAAATTTCCACAATGCATCACTAGAGCCTATATTGTATCTGTGGACACTCTTTAAATGTGGACATTTAAGCAAAAGTCGAAAGAATAAATCTAGAAATAAAAATGAATGTGAAATTTGATGAGAAGGATTGGCTCCTGCTGCAAATAAATTTCTGTTCATTATACATTACAGTCAGTGGTATTCTATTATAGCAGCATGAAATGGTCTAATACATCTGATCAAGAATGGAGAATCTCAGTCCTATGAGGACAAAGAGGCTTCCATGACCTACTAAGTTGCCTGGTATTGTTCAGTCTCTCCTGCAGGCTCTTTGTCTTGTAGCCTAAGTATCTCTTGGTAGAAAAAAGAAGTCTCAGGACAGGTGGGTGAGGAGATGCACTCTCATGTCTTAAGTTCAGCTGGTGCTATGCTGGGGGCTACTGTTTGATCTGGAGAAACAATGGGCCTATCTGGGCTGCCTTCTGCTACTATGTCATGGGGGAAAGAAGTACTGGATATGGATGGCCTTCCTCTCAGGTGGGAGGACACAAGGCATCTTGATGTTGTGTTGTTGCTCAAATCCTGGGTCCCCACACCAGCTCTTCTATTTTTACCACCTGCAGAGTTCTCCTTTATTTGCTTTTTGTACCATTTGCAGTGCTTAAGGTTGTGCCTAGTGAGAGGGAGCAAGAAGAAATGGGTCTATGCCTTCTTATTTGAGCTACAGCTTACTTAGATGTTTTTGATCCTTGTTTCTCCAATATTAATGATTAATTTTTAAAACTTTACCCTAAATTAATCTGTATTACCTTTTTTCCATAAACTCCATAAAGACAGAATGTGTTTCATTTTTATATAATTAAACACCCTGCCTGCAATTTACAAACAAATGATATGTCATTTAAGTTTCATAAATGGGAAAAAGATTAATCACAGACAGTTTATTTCTTTAAAAAATAACACAAATTTCTTATTTCTGTATTTGTCATAAGTTCAACCTTTTTGCATTATCTTGATCAGTGTAAAATGCTTGGATGGTCAGTGTTGTTTGACTTGTGTCTGTATTTGGTTAGGATCCATTTAAACTCTCTAGGATAATGTCAAAATCAATTTCTTCCTTTATACTTTCTTATTTTCAAAGAAATGGTGCTAAATATTTCTATGAATATATGGAAATATCTGTGCGAATATGTATCTGACTAAAAATGTTGCAGGCATCTTTTCTGTTTTTTTAACCCTTTGTAATATTTTTATTTTGTTTATTTAGTGATATAAGGGAAAATTGTGAGCATTTAACTACATAATCTTTATGTTTCCACCAAACTCAATTTTTTAGTTCTTAGTATATGGCCTATAATCTAACTTTAATTTATCCCTTTTATATTAGCTTATTTTCTTGTTAACAACAAGGATATCTCTTCTGGAGTATCTCAAGTCAAGGTAGAAAAAGTAGTCAACAGGAAAATGAACAGAACAGTTTTGGATATGTATGAGAATTTAAAGCAAATGTTTCTAAATGAGAAATTGTAACTCAGGAAATATTTGGCACATTCTATCAAAATTTTGTGAATTTTGATAATAAAACATTCACAATTCAATTAGGAGTAAAGGAAGAAAATATAAGCTATATCTATCAATAAAAGATTTTTTTCCATTTTTGTTTCATCTAGCAATATTCTTTTCCCTCCATAAGGAATCTGTTAAAAACTCTCTTCTTACTATCCTTCAGTCTTTTAAAATGTGTTAAATTCCCACAGTGCATTATTAGAGCCTATATCTGTGGACACTCTTTATGTGTTGGTATTTGAGCAAAAGTAGAAAGAATAAATCCAGAAATAAAAATGAATGGGAAATTTGACAGGAGAGATTGCTTTCTACTGCCAAATATATAACTATACTTCATCTAGTCTATCACTCAAGGAGGTTTCAGAATGAAGAATCATTTCCAAAATGCCATCCTACTTTCATCTTTTCCCAAGGAGGTTCAGAATAACCTGCAAGTGCATCACTGAACAAAGAAAGTACAAAACCACAAATAGTCCCTCTAAGGTCCTTTAAAACACAAACTTGGAACATTTTTATGACATTTCAAAATGACTTGTGATCCTGATACTACTATTTAAAGATATAGCTTGAATCAAATAAAATAAATTATAGGTCATCTGTCTAAGGATGGAACATTTTGTTTTGTTTTTTTCCCCATTTGACTTCTTAAAATTAATTATAGTTTCTTTAATATATATTGCAGAGATTATATATTTTTAAATCCAGGTTATAGAATAAAAATACTTTGCTTATCATCATTTGATATAAGTTCTATAAGTAAAAACTCAGTTCTACTTATATATTTCTACATAGAAGCACCACTTATAGTTTGTTGGCTTTTTAAAAAGAAGAAGGTAAAATTATACTAACGGATTTTGCTATGAGATGGATCAACCTAGATTTTATGAATAGAATAATTAACTTAAGTGCTTCAAATAGGTTTAGTGTTTTATGGTCTGAGACACTGCTTCCATCTAAAGAAACACCAATTTAGGAGAAACTAGAAAAAGAATTGGGAAAGAAGAAGAAAGTGTTTTTTGGAAATACACCAACCATAAAAGAGCGAAGCTCACTCTGCTCCTCTTAAAGTTTACTGCATTGTAATTGGGAATTTGTTATTTCCATGGTTCCTTTGAGTAACATAGACATAAGCAAAGAGAGTATTTATGTTCTGCACGAGTCCATCCATGTCTCTATTGGTGTGATTACCCTCCCCACCCATGCACCTTCCGTCCAAGCAGGAGTGCAGCCTGCTTGGGCTCAATGTCCCCTCTTCTGAGAAGCAGCCCGGCCCAATCCTGAGCGCCCCTGGTGCCGCAATCCCTCCTCACGCGTATGGGGCTGGCCGTTGATGTCGCCTGGGCTGGGGGTGCACCTGCAGCACAAACACGTGACTGAGCATCTTCTTGTCCCGGACCCTCTCGGCGTTGGACCCCAGGAAGCCCCTCCAGGGGGCTTCAGTCGCCCACCCACCTACAAAGCCCCTCATCTGCAGCGGCGGCTTCGTTCCCGGGACGCGCCCCAGGCTCTGCTCAGGCATGGCCCGCAGACCCTCAGGAGCCCCCGAAACATGATGACCTCCAGCCACGTGCCAGCTGCCAGGAGGGGGCTTCAAGACCCCAGATGAGCACCCGGCTGGCCGTGCCCCAGGGACAGAGGACCCAGTGTGACAGAATCCGGCCTGGGCCACAGCCACCCACGCAGCCCATCCCAGTTCAGCCCGAGGTGGACAAGAAAAGTCCCACCAGGGACTGGAGCAGATGGGGCGGGCTCCGGACCCCTGCCTGGCCCACCATCTGTCCTGCTAGTCGGTCCGTCTCCCCAGGCAACCCCTCCTCCCGGCCCACCATCTGCCCGGCCCTGCTAAGCCCTCCTCCTAGCTCCTCCAGGGCCCTCGGGAGGGGACAGAGCTGGAGCCAGGGCCCAGACCTCTGCTGCTTTGGGCCCGCCCCATCTGGCACCTCCAGGAGAAGGGGGCAGCAAGAGCTTGGCCAGGGCAGGGGCACTCCAGGGCAGCCGAAGGGCCTCGCCAGCTGTCTCATGATGAGATGAGCAGAGGGAGAGGGAGGAGAGGAAGGGAGAGGCTCTGGGAGGACAAGGGCCCCTCCCCTCCTCCTCCCCTCTTCCTCCCCTGCCCATGTGGCCTGGGCGGGAGGGACACGCGGATGGGAACATCCCAGCTGGTCCAGGCCTCTGCTCCCCCCAGCTCCTCCTCCTTGGCTGGCAGCTCTTCTGGGCTCCTGAGGTGCTGCGCAGCCCCTTCCCTGGCCCTGGGACACCCAGTGCCTGAGATGAAAGAGGAGTTGCTTCCATGGAGGGTCCCAGTGCAGGCCGGGGGGCGCTGGCCCTCAGGACACCAGGCCCCCAAGACATAGGGACACCAGAAGCCCCCGATCTGCCTCCAAGGTCCAGCAGCCCCAAAGCCCCTGCTCAGAAGCCAGCGATGGGAGGGCAGGGCCTGCCTGTGGGACCCACCATGGGCGCAGCAATCGCCAGGCCCTGGGCAGACAGCAGCGCAGCCTGAGTCCAGGTCTGGGGCAAGTCGGCAAGTGCACCCCCAGAGGTGGAATGACAGGAGCTCCTGTGGAGGACGCAGGCGGCCCCCGCCCCTCACTCCACTGTGAGGCCTGAGGATGCACACGGGCAGCTCTCACCGGCTTATGAAATGCCCCCACCCCGCTGCCTCTCTGGGTCCTCCTCATCCTGTGGCCTGCAGGGTCAGGAGCGTGACTTTGGTGTCAGGAGAGAGGCTGGCTCCTCCCTGTGGTGGGTGTTGGGGGGAGGAGTGGGGTTCATTATAAATTACACTCCCCTCGAACCTGGCTCTTAGGCGAGGGCAGGGCTGGGGTTCACCCTGCTCTCTGCAGGGGAGGGTCAGCCCCCAGGTATGCCTGGGTGGGTCTCCACGGCAGGCCAAGAGGGCAGGCCCTGGGCACGTCCACCCCCTCTCTCTGGTCCCACAGCTCCCCTACTCGCCACCTGCCCTGAGCAGCCCCCAGGAGAGCACACGCAGGGAGGATGCTGAGGGGCTGGAGGGCAGGAGTCCCGGCTGAGGCTGTGACCCCAGCTGTGCTCCCCGTTCCCTCTTAGGACCAGCCAAGACCCAAGGACAGGCGGCCAATCAGGGCCCGGCGTTTACCCCTCCTCCCCCACCCCCATCACGGGCCTCCCGTGGGACCCCCAGGAAGAGCAGCTTCCATTGACCGAGGTCAGGGGACACCCTCCCGCTGACACTCACTCTCCACGGATCCTGGAGCCCATGAGTCGCCTCCCCACCTCCACTGCACTGGACCCCCCGCAGGCCCTGGTGGGGGTGGCCACGGATAACCACACAAACATGCATTTTCCTTGTAGGAGCAGGCAGGTGACAATCAGTGTCCTACTTTCTTGCATTAAAACACCCAAATCAACAGGGCGAAGGCCCGGAGGAGGGGACCTGAGGGAGCCAGCCGGGCGCTCAGCCTGCTTCGCTGGGATGCTTGTCGAGGTTGGGACCGCACTACCAAACTCACCTCTGTGCACCCTGCGGGGCCCAGGAAACTCGGTCCTCCCTGGGCTCCCCCAGGCCTGGGGTGGACGTTGGAATAAAGTGGGGACAACACGATGAGACCCCAGCCCTGGAGGTGCCCTCGGCAGAAGCCCGAGATCAAACCTGGGAGATTTGTGGCTGGACAGCACCACCTGGTGGACACATTGGAGATTACCAAAGCCGAACAGTCGATTCGTTCTTGGTTCTGGGATTTTCTTAATTGGGTCTTAGCTGGGGCTTCCTTTCCCTTTCCCCAGTAGCAGGGGCTTTGTGACTATCAGAAACACCTGCCAGGCCTGTGCAACATGGGGAGACCTCATCTCTGCAAAACACACACACACACACACACACACACACACACACACACACACACACACACACACACATATTAGTGAGGTGCGGTCGTCCCAGATATTCAGGACGCTGAGATGGGAGGATCGCTTGAACCCAGGAGGTCGAGGCTGCAGTGAGTCGTGATCATGCCACCGCACTCCAGTTAGGGTGACAGAGAGAGACGCTGTCTCTAAAGAAAGAAAAGAAAAGGCCGGGCACAGTAGCTCACGCCTGTAATCCTGACACTTTGGTAGGCTGAGGCAGGCGGATTACCTGAGGTCGGGAGTTCCAGACCAGCCTGACCAACATGGAGAAACCCCGTCTCTACTAAAAAATACAAAAGTTAGCCAGGTGTGGTGGCGGGCGCCTGTAATCCCAGGTATTTAGGAGGCTGAGGCAGGAGAACCGCTTGAACCGGGGAGGCAGAAGTTGCAGTGAGCCGAGATCACGCCATTGCACTCCAGCCTGGGCAACAAGAGTGAAACTCTGTCTCAAAAAAAAAAGAAAGAAAGAAAGAAAGAAAAGAGAAGAAGCCCTTGTCTTCTAATAAGATGGTGTTGGTTTTCAGAGAGCCCAATCCAGGCACTTCAAACAAGGCAGGGAAATCAATGGCCCTGAAGAAAGAGTTTCTCTTCAACAAGCCCCTCCGTCCCTGACACTGGCACCAAGGCATTCACCCACCAGCCCCTCTGTCCCTGACACTGGCACCCTGGCATTCACCCACCAGCCCCTCCATCCCTGACACTGGCATTCTGGCATTCACCCACCAGCCCCTCCCCTCCCTGACACTGGCACCCCGGCATTCACCCACTGTCCGGGGCAACCAACCTTTCCTCCCACCACTGATGGGACAGCACCCTGGCCTACCACTTTTGAGGTGAAAAAAATTAGAAATCCCTGGCTAAAGAGGGGACAAATCGAGCCTAAAATCAAGCCTTGGTATCTCGCTTTTTAAATCTGCCTATACCTTTTGTGTATTGGTTGTGTAATTTTTTGTGTATTCATTGTGTGTAATTGCTGAATACACAATGAATACACAAAAGCTATAAATAGATTTAAAGAGAGAAACCAAACCAAAACCCATCGGTAGTCCACTGGAAAAACAAGGCTCCAACTCTCTATTCGGAACATTGTCAATTAAAAGAAAAGAATTAAGAATTTCCCTTTTAAACTATATTTCAGGGTAACTCAATAACTCTAGTGGACAACAGCAAGTTTTTTTGGGTTTTGTTTGGTTGGTTTCTTTTTTTTGAGACGGAGTCTTGCTCTGTTGCCCAGGCTGGAGTGCAATGGCACAACCTCGGCTCACTGCAGCCTCTGCCTCGTGGGTTCAAGTGATTCTCCTGCCTCAGACTCCTGAGTAGCTGAGATTACAGGCGCCCACAACCAGGCCCTGCTAATTTTTTGTATTTTTAGTAGAGATGGGGTTTCACCATGTTGGCCAGGCTGGTCTCAAACTCCTGACCTCAGGTGATCCACCCACCTCGGCCTCTCAAAGTGGTGGGATTACAGGTGTAAGCCACCACACCCAGCCTGTTTGTTTTATTTAAGAGACAGGGTCTCGCTGCATCACCCAGGCTGAAGTGCAGTGGTGTAATCACAGCCCACTGCAGCCTTAACTTCTTGGGCTCAAAGGATCCTTCTGCCTTAGCCCCTGAGTAGCTAAGACTACAGGCACGCACCACCATACCTGGCTAATGTTTTATGTTTTTGTAGAGATGGGGTCTTGTTGCCCAGGCTGGATTCAAGCTCCTGGCCTCTCTCACCTTGGCCCACAAAAGCTCTGGGATTACAAGTGTGAGCCACCGTGCCCAGCCATTTTTGTTGTTGTTGTTTTTGATAGAAGAATTTCAGCTACTCATTGTGAAGAGATGAGATCATGAGAGAAACCACGATTTTGCCACCTCTCATGGCATAATTATTTCTCGCAAGGGTCATGGATGAGATCAGTAATGACAAAACAAGGGCATCACAGGGTGGGTTCAGGCTATGACCACCTGGACCTACTGGCCACACTTAGCATCACAGGGTGGGTTCGGGCTGTGGCCACTTGGACCCACGGGGCACACTTAGCATTACAGGGTAGGTCAGGGCTATGGCCACCTGGACCCACTGGGCACACTTTGCATCACAGGGTGGGTTCGGGCTCTGGCCACCTGGACCCACGGGGCACACTTAGCATCACAGGTGCTTCCATGTGGCTCTCACAGCTCTGCCCACGAAGGCTTCTGGCAAAGAAAGATGAGCCTGAATCTAAGGGCATTTCTGCAGCACAGCTTCCATTTGCAGGAGACATGGGGCGAGGCGACACCACAGAGAGGCAAACAGCTGCGTGATAGGCGACACATTTGCAGGACAGCTGATCTGGTTTCTGCAACAAATCACAAGTGGTGGGAGGAGCAGTGGGGGTCGGGGGTGGCGCCTGATCTAGAGTAAGAGAGGTTCAAGAGGCGCCACCACAAAACTTAAACTGTGGGCCTTGTTAGGAACCTATGTGTTCCATCTGATGGATGTAAGCAAACAATCAGGGGAATGTGATTCCGGATGGGGCCTGAGCAGGTGCCAAGGAATGACTGTTAATTTGAACATTGCCCTAAGGGAGCCGCAAGTGTGTTCCAGAGTTTCCCGTACTTGGCGCCTTGCAACCTGAAGTTCATAGGAACAAAATTTCAGAACATTTGCTACAGGATGGAAGATGCTTCAGCCAAAGGGGAAAAGGAAAGAGAAAGACAACAGCAATGCATGAAACAAGTGTGGCAATTATCGATAAAGCATGTGTGGTGATCACTGATCACATGTGTGAGTTTATTTGAAAAGTTACATTAAAAAATTTTGAGGCTAGGCACGGTGACTCACGCCTGTAATCCCAGCACTTTGGGAGGCCGAGGCGAGCAGATCACCTGAGGTCAGGAGTTCAAGATCTGCCTGGCCAACGTCGTAAAACCACATCTCTACTAAAAATAAAAATAAGTGCAAAATAAGCCGGATGTGGTGGCAGGCGCTATAATCCCAGCTACTCAGGAGGCTGAAGCAGGAGAATTGCTTGAACCTGGAAGGCGGAGGTTTCAGTGAGTCAAGACGGCACCATTGCACTCCAGCCTGGGCAAAAAGAGTGAAACCGTGACTCAAAAAAAAAAATTTTTTTTTTTTGAAAAGAGACTAGGCATGCTGGCTCATGCCTGTAATCCCAGAACTTTGGGATATCAAGGCAGGAGGATTGCCTGAGGCCAGGAGTTCGAGACCAGCCTGGGCAACATGGTGAGACCCTCGTCTCTTAAAAAAAAAAAAAAAATTGCCTCCCAAGACACATGCCTGTAGTCCCAGCTACTTGGGAGGCCTAGGAGAGAGGATTGCTTGAGGCTGGAACGTTGAGGCTGCAGTGGGCTATGATCAACCCACTGCACTCCAGCCCGGGTGACAGAGCAAGACTCTGTCTCAAAAAATAAATAAACAAAAATAAAGAAAGACATAGCCTTTCTCTTACAGACATGGTCAGGCATCATGGAAATCTTATTGCAGAAGTTGCTCGCCCTTCACCCCTAAGCCTCACCTCTCTGTTTCAGGGGATCCGAGTTTGGGGAAGGAAAGTCTATGGGGCCATCATTTCTCCCTTGTGGCTCCTGCGCCCGCAGCCATGGGCCCCTCACACTGGGGCTGGGTGCCTGAGCAGAGTCCCTGTCCAGCCCCCACCAAGCTCCAGCATCCTGGACACCTCATGCCATCCCTCCTGGACTTTGTGCTGGGGATGAGGTCAATTTGAGAGCCTCCCTGAGGTCTGGTCACTCCTGCACACCCTCCACGGTGGGCAGAATGGTGCCCCCCAAAAGGCCCACATCCTAATCCCGGGACTGTGAATGGGCTACTTTTCATGGCAAAAGGGACATTGCCAGTGTGACCGAGGGTCCTGCGATGGGAGACTCCCCGGCATCATGCAGGTGAACCCAGTGGCATGACAAGGGCCCCTGTGAGAGAGAGGCAGGGGTCAGAGCAGACCTGGTGCAAAAGCAGTGGGTGTGGTGATGCCCCAGCCTGGGACTGAGGCCCAGAACGTGGTGGCCTTCAGAAGCCGGGAAAGGCCAGGAGATGCATCTGCCCCCAGCCTCCAGAAGGAGCCAGCCCTGCTGACACCGTGGCTTTAGCCCAGTGCGGCCCCGTGGGACTTCTGACCCCCAGAACTCTAAAATAATAAATTGGCATTGTTTTGATCCTTCTGTGGCTGATATGTGTGATGAGGGGGTTTTCACACTCTTGCGTGGGACGTGCAACGTCTTTAGAACAGTGGCACCTGTCCTACATGGGGGAAAAAAGAGGAAAAAATAAATACATTTGCATTGTTTTAGACCACTAAGTTTGTGGTCACGTGTAACAGCAGGAACAGCAAACAGATGTGCCCTCCGAGGCTCCCCTACATGCCTGCGAAGCTTGGGGACGCTGGGGAGGGTCACCTTGGCCATCTGGGGGCAGGTGGTACATCAAGACCCTCCCTCCCTCATCACCACCCTTCCTCCCCCATCACCATCCTCAATGGCACGGGGGCAACCCATGGTGAAGCAGCCGGACAGGCAGACTGTGCTAATTCCCTGCAAGGCAGAGCTGTTCCTCCAGCTTTGGAATGCAGCCAGCCCCTGCATGGCAGCCTCAAGGGGACAGGACCGCCCCCCCCATGCTCTCTCTTTCCCCTGGCCCCGACCCTGCCCCTCTGCTCCCTGCCCCCCAGCCCCACTGCCTTGGGCCTCCCTTGAGCTCCCAGGACAGGTCAGCAAATTGCTATGTGTGCATGTTTTCTAGGGAGAGTCCACAACCATGGTCAGAGTCCCTCGAGTCCAAAAAGAGACAGAGCCACAGCCTCAAGCGGCTCCTTGGGCCCCGGGTTCTGAGCTGGAATTGGATTCCCTGAGCCAGCTCTTAGTCCATGGTGACAGGCATCTGCTGATGTAGCCTCCTCTTATCTTCCCCAGAAACCAGATTAGACGCGGCCAGCAAAAAGAATATTCTCAGCTGGCAAAACGCTTTCACCGGCCACCAAAGGCCCCCTGTCCCTCCAGCCCACGGAGGGCACGGCGCCTCCTCATCCAAATGGGCTCTGGGCCCTGTGCCCCACATTCCTGGAGTGAGCCTAGACCTTGTGCTGCGTCCATCGTCTGGGAGCGTTGTGGGGTGTGGGTTTCCCCCCACATCCAGACCCTTGAGTCCTCAGGAGCAAGGACTGGCCTCTCTGGTTTCCCTTCACACAGCAGGTGCTGAATCAATGCCCGGGAACCGAGGCGTCCTGTGAGGCGACAGAGGCTGAGCTGGAGAAGGCTCACCTGAGACCTGCACAGATTCAGGCGTTATCGCTGCCAAGGCCCAGCAAAGGAAGCGAGGCTGCCGTGGACACAACTCATGGCTCAAACTGGGGCGGCCTGAATGTTCCTTTGTGGGTCCCCAGGGCTGGTGGAGGGGGGTCTATTCTCTTCCCCCTGATCTTTCAGCAGGTCCTGGCTCACCAGGGCTCAGCCCCACCCTCCAACGCACCAGGTGTCACTGGGCACCTGCTCAGTGGAGCCTGTTGCTGTTCAGAGACTGAAAGTGGTGATGGTGAGGCCAACACCGATGGCCATGGGACCAACATCAAGGTGAGGAAACCATCAAGGACTGCACCAGAGGGATACCCCTCCTTGACACACACACACACACACACACACACACACACACACACACACGAGATCCTGTCCCCTGATGGGGTAAGTAAGGGGGAGCAGGCCCTGCAGTGACCTGTTGGCCATCTCTTATCCACCCGACATGGCCAAAGGTAGCCACGTTATCTCCCATTGCATGTCCTCTCCTCTGTATCAGGACACAGTAGACATCCAGGTGCCTATAAAATAGACGTTTTCGGAGATAAGAGGCCCTTTGCAGCCTGTCTGGAAAGACTCTGTGAGAACAGTCCTGGTGAATGGAGAAGCCCTTAGCCACATGGTGTCAGGGGCCCCACCGCACCTCTGGCCTTTGGACAAAGTCAGCACCAGCCACTCCCACCCCACCCACCACTTTCATGCGTTCTGCAGCTGCCACTCCCTGCCCGCCAGGGTGACCAGATGCTGGCCGGAGCCAGGGCGGTGGGGGAGCTCTTCAGCATTTCCACAGGAAACCCCAGACCCTGTTCCCGCAGCCTGGCCCTCAGACAACTGCTCCCACTCTCCCCCTGCCCATGGGAGCTCAGCCTCTGGGGCAAGAGGGGACCCTGTTTACACCAATGCACCTAGGAAAAACCTTGGGGAAAATTCCAGGCCTGAGTCCTGAGTGTCCCCAGAGTCCACAGCTGGTGGCAGAGGGCCAAGAAGATAGTGACAATGAGGATTTATACCCCAGCAATGAGGGGACAGTGACAAGGCAGCTTCTCTGCAGGTCCACACAGGAAAAGAAACCCACAGCACGGCTCCGTGCAGCAGGGGCTCTGAGTGACACTCGCAAGGCCGTGGCATCAGGCAGGGGACCCCCCCACCGCGGAGGGCATGGCTCAGCAGAAGCCAGGAGAGGGTGGGTCCTGGGATCCCAACCCAAAGCAGGCAGTCAGGAACTGAGTGACCACGGGTACCCTGGGGGTACAGGTAGGAGGGAGGAGAGTGTCTCCGAGGCCCCCTTGCCAACCCTCAATGCCAAGTCCAGCAAAGGTGGTTTTCTGGCACCAACTAGCAGGCACTGATCCCCCTCATATCCCCAACTCATGACCCAGCCACCTTTCCCAGGGGCTGAGTGGCTCTGAACAGGGGTGGAGCCGTGGGGCAGTCTGGGGCTGACACCCAGGAGGCGTTGGGGGAGGCGCCCACTCAGGCCCTCGCTGCCCCGGGGAAAGGCCACTGCAGGCAAAGCACGCTGACACCAGAGCCTTCGGCAGAGGAGGGGGAAATTGTTTATGTCTTGCGCTCCTTCTTACCGTGGGCCTCCTGGGGGCTCCTGGCCCTGGGTGAGCAGGACGGACCCGGACCCGAGATGCCTCAGAGGGAAGCTTCTTGGGCAGGAGGACAGCACAGGCCATGGAGTCCCAGGGGGAGGGGGAGGGCTGTCCCACTGGGCCCCAGTGGGTCCTCTGCAGCAGGACAGTCTAGCCTGCCCCTGGCCATGCTGAGCCACATGGCTCTCCTCTCCGAGACCCTGTGGTGACAGGCAAGGGCACAGGGGTGGTGGGGCAGAGGCACTGTTGAAAAACCTGCCCAAGGGCCTGCCCTTGGCATCTCCTGGACCCACCCTCATCTTCCCTGAGGCTGTCCGAGTGCTTTCCCGGGTAGTCTGTCCTCAGTGGGAATGCCGCAAGCCTCCTCCTTGTGCCTGGCACAGCCCTACATGCTGGGGGAGGGGACACTAATGATCATCCCCAGCTCACAGGCACAGGAGGGAGGCCTGGGGCAGGGGTAGCCCAGGGTCGTGGCTGAGCCACTGAGAAAAGCTCAGATCCCCAACCCCCTCAGCTCTTCCTCCCCCAGGTTCCTAACCACGGCCCGACCTCCCTGGTCCAGTGAACGTCCCACTCCGCATTGTGTGCTACCCACTGGGTTCCTCCAAGGTTCTCAGAGTCCAAGCCTGGTGATCACCAACAAAAATCTCTGCAAACAGCAGATTCCTACACAGATGGCCCTGCCTTATTAGGATGGCTCCACCGACGGGCCCCGACTCCACGATGGTAAGAGTGTGGCCAGAACTCAGTAGCAACGGCACTTAAGTCCCACACAACCATGTTCACTTTCAGTACAGTATTCGACAAATTGCACAAGAAAATCAACACCTGATTAGAAAACTAGCTTCATGAGCTGGGGACAGTGGTTCACGCCTGTAATCCCAGCATTTTAGGAGACCAAAGCAGGAGGATGGCTTGAGCCCAGGAGTTCAAGACCAGCCTTGGCAACATGGCGAGACCCCATTTCTACAAAACATAACAAACCTTTTTTTAAATTAGCCAGGCGTGGTGGCACATACCTGTTGTCCCAGCTTCTTGGGTTGCTGAGGTAGGAGGATCATTTAAGCCCAGGGGTTTGAAGCTGCAGTGAGCTATAATCACACCACTGCACTCTAGCCTGGGCAGCAGAGTGAGAGTCTGCCTGAAAAAAAAAAAAAAAAAAAAAAAAAAAGCTTTGTGTGAGCTGATTTTGCCTACCTAGAGGCTAATGGGAGTGTCTTGAGCACATCTGAGGTCAGCTGGGCTGAGCTGGCAGGGCGGTTAGGCGTACTAAATGCCTTTTTTTTTTTTTTTTTTTTTTTTGTGATACAGTCTCACTATGTTGCCCAGGCTGGAGTGCAGTGGTGCCATCTCGGCTCACTGCAACCTCCGCCTCCTGGGTTCAAGTGATTCTTCTGCCTCAGCCTCATGAGTAGCTGGGACTACAGGCGCCTGCCATCATGCCCAGCTAATTTTTGTATTTTTAGTAGAGACAGGGTTTCACCATATTGGTCAGGCTGGTCTCGAACTCCTGGCCTCAGGTGATCCACCCTCCTCAGCCTCCCAAAATGCTGGGATTACAGGCA
This sequence comes from Homo sapiens, assembly GCF_000001405.40. Lineage (NCBI taxonomy): Eukaryota > Metazoa > Chordata > Mammalia > Primates > Hominidae > Homo > Homo sapiens. The sequence goes on from NW_021160017.1 coordinate 1,611,345, forward strand.
TGAGCCACCACGCCTGGCCTGTTGCCACATTTTTGCTTTTGTGAATAAGCTGCTATGAACACCTGTGTGCAAGTATCTCTTTGAGACCCTGCTTCCAGTTCTCTTGGGCGTATACCCAGGAGTGGTATACATGAACAAATAAACAAGGGACACGCCAGGCATGCCTGTAATCCCAACATTTTGAGAGGCTGAGGCAGGAGGATCCCTTGAACCTAGGAGTACAAGACCAGCCTGAGCAACATAGGGAGACCCTGTCTCTACGAATACATTTTAAAAATTAGCTGGGCGTGGTGGTACACACCTGTGGTCTCAGCTACTCAGGAGGCTGAGATGGGAGGATGGCTTGAGCCCAGGAGGTCGAGGCTACACAGTGAGCCACGATCTCACCACTGTACTCCAGCCTGGGTGACAGAGTGAGATCCTGTCTCAAAAAATAAATGTAAAAAAAACACAGGACAGGCCGGGCACGGTGGCTCATGCCTGTAATCCCAGCAATTTGGGAGGCCGAGGTGGGTGGATCATGAGATCAGGAGATTGTGACCATCGGCTAACACGGTGAAGCCCCATCTCTACTAAAAATACAAAAAATTAGCCGAGTGTGGTGGCAGGCATCTGTAGTGCCAGCTGCTCAGGAGGCTGAGGCAGGAGAATGGTGTGAACCCGGGAGGTGGAGCTGGCAGTGAGCCAAGATCATGCCACTGCACTCTAGCCTGGGCGACTGAGTGAGACTCCATCTCAAGAAACAAAAACAAACAACCAGGACACAGGATGGTCACAGAGGGGCATAGACTCACACCCGGAATTTCTAGGTGTGAGCACAGAGGCTCCTAGAGAGGAGGAAGGTGGGTCGTCAAGCATATGGGTATTTTATGGGTTGAAGCGTGGTCCCCCCAAAAGATATGACCCTGTCCTAATTCCCAGAATGTGTGAATACGGCCTTTTTTGGATGGAGGGCCTTTGCAGATGGAATTAAGTGAAGGATGAGGAGATGAGGTCATTCTGGGTTATTCAGGCAGGCCCTACATCCAAGGGCTGGTGCCCTTATAGGAGTCATAGGGACAGACACAGAGAAGGCCTCTTGAGAATGGTGGCTGAGCAGGAGGGATGCAGCCACAAGCCAAGGATGCCCAGGCCACCAGAATGCATGACTGCTGCTTGAAGCCACTCAGTTTGTGGTCATTCATTACATCAGCTAAGCCAGGTCTGCACATACCTGCAGAGCAGGAACTCTGGAGGAGAAGCCAGACCCGAAAAGGGACAGTTTCCCCTCTGGCCAGGACCTCACCCCATCAACCCAGCTGCCCACGAGGCTGCTGGGCCAACATCCCAGGCCTACAGCTGCCAGCCTGCCCTGGGCTCAGCCAAGGGAAGAGGAAGCTGTGAACAAGTCAGCCCTGGGCCCCTTCAGGGAGCCAATGACCTCCTCCCTTCCTCCCTCATGCATTCATCCCTTCATTTGTTCATTCAGCCATCCATTCATCACTCCTTCCATAAACAGGCTTGGCACCTCCCACACGCCTAGATATGAATGCAGTATCAATGTGTCCCTTTCAGGGGCCCACAGCAGGCAGGTAAGCACACCCACAAATTCATAACTCCAGAGGGGACAGGAGGCCCAACAGAAGAATCACAAGAGAAGCCACAAGGGCCTCAGCTCTGCCTGGGGCAACAGGGAGAAGCCCCCTAGACTGGTGTCTGGAGGCCCACCCTGGACTGACACAGAGGCTTTCCTGATGGGCAAAGAAGGAGGCCTCCCTCTGGTTTGTGAAGGAGATGGTGGCATGGAGAGCTGGAGGTGGGATCCTGGGTTTTGTCCTCCAGGCGATAGACACAGGAGGGGTGAGAACAGGCTCACCTTTATCAAACTTTGGTGGAAAATTGAAATTGTGTTCCAGAAGGACCAAGAAAGTCTGATGCTGGCCATGTTCAGGCTGTGCTGCTCTGAGATACCGGGGCAGGTGGGCTTGGCAAGGTGGCCCCCATCCTCTCTCTCCCCATGTCCCCCTGATCCTGCTCCTGCTCCTGCTCCATCTCTCCCCACTCCCAGCTGCTCAGTGGCCAAGTCTGGTGTCCTTCAAGAAGTGGCTGAAACCTCTAAAGGAACTTCACCCTGCAGGGCAGGCCCTGCCCAAGGACATCACCACCCAGAGTCCAGGTCTGGCCCTCGCCACCCCACCCCCATCCCAGAGTCTGGAATGATGCAGCCCCCAGCTCCTGGGGCCCCCACATGTAGCCCCTGCTCCCAGCAAACCAGCAAGGGGGGCCTGGGGAGAGGGAGGGGCTAAGAGGGAGGGGAGCGCCTGGCCGTCCCCAGAGAGTACAGCTAACCCACAGCACATAATCCTGTTAAAAAATTAATCCTCATTTAGCCAGGAGGTAAGGCGGCCGCTGAGATAAAGCCCCTGACAAGTAATAAAAGGCAACAGCAATTGATAAAGTGGTGAGGCCACTCATAAAACCCTGCTGCAGTCAAGGTCAGGCAGGTCCCAGGAATCGGAGAGCAAGCACCGCCAGGTGGGGGTGGGGGGCGTTGCCTTACAAGCCCCAGCCCCTGCAGAGGGCGACCACCTTGGGCAACAGAGCTGATGCTGATGGTGGAGAGAGGCAGAAAGGAGGGAGGCTGCCTTTCTCAGCTCCTCCCTGCTCGGCCTTACTGGATGGCTGTGGCCCTTTGGGAAGGAATCACCATCCTTGGTCCTTGTCTCTCTCCTAACATCATGGCCGTGAAAGATCACAGCCCCCCTGGGGCCCAGCCGGTCCCAGAGTAGACCTGGTGAGGCTGGGCCCATCTAGCGTGGCTCCTGGTGGCCCCCGCTGTCCCCCACACACTTGTCCCAGGGATAGGAGGATGGAGAGCCCACCCCAGTCCCCACACCAGGGACTCACCTGGAATCCTCCCAGATGGCAGGTGTGGTCACCACTGCATCTGGCATCTGCCTGCTGGGGAAGACTCATTGCCATGTCGTCATGGGGACGTTCCACTCCAGCCAAATTGCATAATCAGGCCATTCCTCCTTCAGGGTCCCCAAAAGCCAATAATGGTCCCCAAAAAAGGGCACTGGACTGGAGGCAGGAGAGACCCATTGAGACCCAATATTGTCACCACTAGTCATGCTGGAAAATCGGGAGGGGGCTCGATGCCTCCGCTACTCCAACAGTGGCAACAACCCACAGCTGTAAGTGCCCAGCTTCCAAGCCCACACCCCTCACCAAGGCATCAAGGGCTCCCTGGAAGCACCAGTCTGGGGCTGCACCTGGCCAGAGAAGGAAGAGTGTGGTGATTCCCATTACTGTATCACTCCAACTGCTGCCTGGAGACTAAGGAGAAGCAAGGAGACCAGTCAGAAGGCAGTTGCAATGGTCCTGACCATGCTAACTTCACCCATGTTTTCTTTCACTTATGCACTGAAGAATCATTTATTAAACACCTACTGTGTGTCAGGCATCAGACCAGGAGCTCGGGATACTGTGTTGCTCACAGCCTTCTCGGAGAGACACATAAACAATTGCAATAGAATTCCTTGCATCAGGTTATTAACGAGAACAGGAAGTTAGCGGCAAAGCTGACCTTGTGGAGGACAATGCCTGCCTTATGGCTCTCGGCCACCAGCTGAGACACCAGCAGGCCTGGGCAGGCCAACCCCTGGCCCAGAGGCTGGGTCCCTAGGGCCCGAGCCCCCTACATGGCTCATCTGCATGGGGCAATCTCTACCTGTGCAAGCGTCAAATCCACCCGGTCCCCAGGCCAATCCACCCGGTCCCCAGGCCAAGGACGCCTCTGGATCTGGCTGGCTGGCTTGGCTGGCTTGGCTGGCTGGCTGACTGGGTGGCTTGGCTGGCTTGGCTGGCTGGGTGGCTTGGTGGGCTTGGCTGGCTGGCTGGCTGGGTGGCTTGGCTGGCTTGGCTGGCTGGCTGGCTTGGCTGGTTGGCTCCCTGGGTGGCTTGGCTGGCTTGGCTGGCTTGGCTGGCTGGCTGGCTTCTGTGGTTTAGCCAAATGGCTGGCTTGGCCGGCTGGCTGGCTTGGCTGGCTTGGCTAGCTGGGTGGCTGGCTGCCTTGGCTGGCTGCGTGGCTTGGCTAGCTTGGCTGGCTGGCTGGCTTGGCTGGCTTGGCTGGCTGGGTGGCTTGGCTGGCTTGGCTTGCTGGCTGGCTGGGTGGCTTGGCTGGCTTGGCTGGCTTGTCTGGCTGGCTGGGTGACTTGGCTGGCTTGGCTTGCTGGCTGGTTTGGCTGGCTTCGCTGGCTGGCTGGCTGGGTGGCCTGGCTGGCTTGGCTGGCTTGGCTGGCTGGCTGGCTTGGCTGGCTTGGCTGGCTTGCTGGCTTGGCTGGCTGGGTGGCTTGGCTGGCTTGGGTGGCTGGCTGGATTGGCTGGCTGGCTGGCTGGCTGGCTTGGCTGGCTTGGCTGGCTGGCTGACTTGGCTGGCTTGGCTGGCATGACTGGCTGGCTTGCTTGGCTGTCTAGGCTGGATTGGCTGGCTCTCTGGGTTGGCTGGCTTGGCTGGGTGGCTTGCTTGGCTGGCTTGGTTGGCTGGCTGGCTTGGCTGGCTTGGCTTGCTGGCTGGTGTGGTTGGCTTGGCTGGCTGTGTGGCTTGGCTGGCTTGGCCGGCTGGGTGGCTTGGCTGGCTTGGCTGGCTTGGCTGGCTGGCTCACTTGGCTGGCTGCCTGGCTTGGCTGGCTTGGCTGTCTGGCTGGCTTGTCTGGCTTGGCTGGCTGGCCGGCCGGTTGGCTTGGCTGGCTTGGCCGGCCGGGTGGCTTGGCTGGCTTGCTGGCTTGGCTGGCTTGGCTTGTTGGCTGGCTTGGCTGGCTTAGGTGGCTGGTGGGCTTGGCTGACTTGGGTGACTGGCTGGTTTGGCTGGCTTGGGTGACTGGCTTGCTGGCTTGGCTGGCGTGGCTCGCTGGCTTCTTTGTCTGGCTTGGCTGGGTTGGCTGTCTGGCTGGCTGGGTGGCTTGGTTGGCTTGCCTGGCTGGGTGGCTTGGTTGGCTTGGCTGGCCGGCTGGCTGGCTGGATGGGTGGCTTGTCTGGCTTGGCTGGCTGGGTGGCTTGGCTGGCTGGCTGGCTGGGTGGCTTGTCTGGCTTGGCTGGCTGGGTGGCTTGGCTGGCTTTGCTTGCTGGCTGGCTGGCTGGCTGGGTGGCTTGTCTGGCTTGTCTGGCTGGCTGGCTGGGTGGCTTGGCTGGCTTGGGTGGCTGTCTGGCTAGGTGGCTTGGCTGGCTTGCCTGGCTGGGTGGCTTGGCTGGCTTGGCTTGCTGGCTGGCTTGGCTGGCTTTTCTTGCTTGGCTGTCTTGGCTGGATTGGCTGGCTGTCTGGCTTGGCCGGCTTGGCTGGCTGGCTTGCTTGGCTGGCTTGGTTGGCTGGCTGGCTTGGCTGGCTTGGCTTGCTGGCTGGCTTGGCTGGCTTGGCTGGCAGGCTTTCTCGGCTGGCTTGGCTGGAAGGGTGGCTTGGCTGGCTGGGTGGCTGGGCTGGCTTGGCTGGCTGAGTGGCTTGGCTGGCTGGGTGGCTGGGCTGGCTGGGCTGGCTTGGCTGGCTGAGTGGCTTGGCTGTCTTGGCCAGCTGGCTGGCTTGGCTGGCTGGCTCACGTGGCTGGCTGCCTGGCTTGGCTGGCTTGGCTGTCTGGCTGGCTTGGCTGGCTTGGCTGGCTGGCTTGGCTGGCTGGGTTGGCTGGCTGGCTGGCTGGCTGGCTTGGCCGGCTGGCTGGCTTGGCCGGCTGGCTGTCTTGGCTGGCTTGGCTGGCTTGGCTGGCTGGCTGTCTTGGCTGGCTGGCTGTCTTGGCTGGCTTGGCTGGCTGGGCTGGCTGGCTGTCTTGGCTGGCTTGGCTGGCTTGGCTGTCTTGGCTGGCTGGCTGGCTTGGCTGGCTTGGCTGGCTTCGCTGGCTGGCTGGCTTGGCTGGCTTGGCTGTCTGGTTGGCTGGGTGGCCTGGCTGGCTTGGCTGGCTTGGCTGGCTGGCTGGCTGGCTGGCTGGCCTGGCTGGCTGGGTGGCTGGCTGGCTTGGTTGGCTGGGTGGCTTTGCTGGCTTGGCTGTTTGGGCAGCTTGGCTGCCTTGGGTGGCTGGGTGGCTTGGCTGGCTTGGCTGGCTGGCTGGCTTGGCTGCCTTGCCTGGCTGCCTGGCTTGACAGGCTTGGCTGGATGGCTGGCTGGCTTGCTTGTCTGGCTGGCTGGCTTGGCTGGCTTAGGTGGCTGGCTGGCTTGGCCGGCTTGGCTGGCTGGCCTGGCCGGCGGGGTGGCCGGCTGGCTTGGCTGGATGCCTGGCTTGGCTGGCTTTGCTGGCTGGCTGGCTTGGCTGGCTTGGCTGGCTGGCTGGCTTGGCTGGCTTGGCTGGCTTGGCTTGCTGGGTGGCTTGGCTGGCTTCGCTGGTGGGGTTGCTTGGTTGGCTTGGCTGGCCGGGTGGCTTGGCTGGCTGGCTGGCTTGGCTGGCTGGCTGGCTTGGCTGGCTGGCTGGCTGGCTGGCTGGCTTGGCTGTCTTGGCTGGCTGGCTGGCTTGGCCGGCTTGGCTGTCTTGGCTGGCTGGCTGGCTGGGTGGCCTGGCTGGCATGGCTGGCTTGGCTGGCTGGCTGGGTGGCTTGGCTGTCTTGGCTGGCTGGGTTGCTTGGCTGGCTTGGCTGGCTGGCTGGCTTTTGTGGCTTGGCTGGCTGGCTGGCTTGGGTGGCTTTTCTGGCTGGCTGGCTTGGCTGGCTGGCTGGCTTGGCTGCCTTGCCTGGCTGCCTGGCTTGACAGGCTTGGCTGGATGGCTGGCTGGCTTGCTTGTCTGGCTGGCTGGCTTGGCTGGCTTAGGTGGCTGGCTGGCTTGGCTGGCTTGGCTGGCTTGGGTGGCTTGCTGGCTTGGCTGGATTGGGAGGCCGGCTGGCTTGACTGGCTTCGCTGGCTGGCTGGCTTGGCTGGCTTGGCTGGCTTGGCTGGCTGGGTGGCTTGGCGGGCTTGGCTGGCTGGCTGGCTCGGTGGCTTGGCTGGCTTGGCTGGCTGGCTGGCTTGGCTGGCTGGCTTAGCTCGTTGGCTGGCTGGGTGGCTTGGCTGGCTTGGACGGCTGGGTGGCTTGGCTGGCTTGGCTGGCTGGCTGTCTTGGGTGGCTTGGCTGGCTGGCTGGCTTGGCTGTTGGCTGGCTGGGTGGCTTGGCTGGCTTGGCTGACTGGGTGGCTTGGCTGGCTTGGCTGGCTGGGTGTCTTGCCTAGCTTGGGTGGCTGGCTGACTTGGCTGCCTTGGCTGTCTGGCCACTTGGCTGGCTGGTAGGCCGGCTGGCTTGGCTGGCTGGCTGGCTTGGCTGGCTTGCCTGGCTTGGCTGGCTTGGCTGGCTGGGTGACTGGCTAGCTGTCTTGGCTGGCTTGGCTCGCTGGCTTCCTTGGCTGGCTTGGCTGGCTTGGCTGGCTTGACTGGGTTGGCTTTCTGGCTGGCTGGGTGGCTTGGCCGGCCTGACTGTCTGGGTGGCCTGGCTGACTTGGCTGGCTGGCTGGCTTGGCTGGCTTGGCTGGCTGGGTGGCTTGGCTGGCTGGCTGGCTTGGCTGGTTGGCTGGCTGGGTGGCTTGTCTGGTTTAGATGGCTGGCTGGCTTGGCCGGCTTGGGTGACAGGCTGGCGTGGCCGGCTTGGTGACTGCCTCGCTGGCTTGGCTGGCTTGGCTCGCTGGCTTCCTTGCCTGGCTTGGATGGCTTGGCTGGGTTGGCTGTCTGGCTGGCTGGGTGACTTGGCTTGCTGGCTGGCTTGGCCGTCTTGGCTGGCTTGGCTGGCTTGGCTGGCTGGCTGGCTTGGCTGGCTTGGCTGGCAGGCTTTCTCGGCTGGCTTGGCTGGAAGGGTGGCTTGGCTGGCTGGGTGGCTGGGCTGGCTTGGCTGGCTGAGTGGCTTGGCTGGCTGGGTGGCTGGGCTGGCTGGGCTGGCTTGGCTGGCTGAATGGCTTGGCTGTCTTGGCCAGCTGGCTGGCTTGGCTGGCTGGCTCACGTGGCTGGCTGCCTGGCTTGGCTGGCTTGGCTGTCTGGCTGGCTTGGCTGGCTTGGCTGGCTGGCTTGGCTGGCTGGGTTGGCTGGCTGGCTGGCTGGCTGGCTTGGCCGGCTGGCTGGCTTGGCCGGCTGGCTGTCTTGGCTGGCTTGGCTGGCTTGGCTGGCTGGCTGTCTTGGCTGGCTGACTGTCTTGGTTGGCTTGGCTGGCTTGGCTGGCTGGCTGTCTTGGCTGGCTTGGCTGGCTTGGCTGTCTTGGCTGGCTTGGCTGGCTTGGCTGTCTTGGCTGGCTGGCTGGCTTGGCTGGCTTGGCTGGCTTCGCTGGCTGGCTGGCTTGGCTGGCTTGGCTGTCTGGCTGGCTGGGTGGCCTGGCTGGCTTGGCTGGCTTGGCTGGCTGGCTGGCTGGCTGGCTGGCCTGGCTGGCTGGGTGGCTGGCTGGCTTGGTTGGCTGGGTGGCTTTGCTGGCTTGGCTGTTTGGGCAGCTTGGCTGCCTTGGGTGGCTGGGTGGCTTGGCTGGCTTGGCTGGCTGGCTGGCTTGGCTGCCTTGCCTGGCTGCCTGGCTTGACAGGCTTGGCTGGATGGCTGGCTGGCTTGCTTGTCTGGCTGGCTGGCTTGGCTGGCTTAGGTGGCTGGCTGGCTTGGCTGGCTTGGCTGGCTTGGGTGGCTTGCTGGCTTGGCTGGATTGGGAGGCCGGCTGGCTTGACTGGCTTCGCTGGCTGGCTGGCTTGGCTGGCTTGGCTGGCTTGGCTGGCTGGGTGGCTTGGCGGGCTTGGCTGGCTGGCTGGCTCGGTGGCTTGGCTGGCTTGGCTGGCTGGCTGGCTTGGCTGGCTGGCTTAGCTCGTTGGCTGGCTGGGTGGCTTGGCTGGCTTGGACGGCTGGGTGGCTTGGCTGGCTTGGCTGGCTGGCTGTCTTGGGTGGCTTGGCTGGCTGGCTGGCTTGGCTGTTGGCTGGCTGGGTGGCTTGGCTGGCTTGGCTGACTGGGTGGCTTGGCTGGCTTGGCTGGCTGGGTGTCTTGCCTAGCTTGGGTGGCTGGCTGACTTGGCTGCCTTGGCTGTCTGGCCACTTGGCTGGCTGGTAGGCCGGCTGGCTTGGCTGGCTGGCTGGCTTGGCTGGCTTGCCTGGCTTGGCTGGCTGGCTGGCTTGGCTGGCTTGGCTGTCTGGCTGGCTTGGCTGGCTTGGCTGGCTGGCTTGGCTGGCTGGGTTGGCTGGCTGGCTGGCTGGCTGGCTTGGCCGGCTGGCTGGCTTGGCCGGCTGGCTGTCTTGGCTGGCTTGGCTGGCTTGGCTGGCTGGCTGTCTTGGCTGGCTGACTGTCTTGGTTGGCTTGGCTGGCTTGGCTGGCTGGCTGTCTTGGCTGGCTTGGCTGGCTTGGCTGTCTTGGCTGGCTTGGCTGGCTTGGCTGTCTTGGCTGGCTGGCTGGCTTGGCTGGCTTGGCTGGCTTCGCTGGCTGGCTGGCTTGGCTGGCTTGGCTGTCTGGCTGGCTGGGTGGCCTGGCTGGCTTGGCTGGCTTGGCTGGCTGGCTGGCTGGCTGGCTGGCCTGGCTGGCTGGGTGGCTGGCTGGCTTGGTTGGCTGGGTGGCTTTGCTGGCTTGGCTGTTTGGGCAGCTTGGCTGCCTTGGGTGGCTGGGTGGCTTGGCTGGCTTGGCTGGCTGGCTGGCTTGGCTGCCTTGCCTGGCTGCCTGGCTTGACAGGCTTGGCTGGATGGCTGGCTGGCTTGCTTGTCTGGCTGGCTGGCTTGGCTGGCTTAGGTGGCTGGCTGGCTTGGCTGGCTTGGCTGGCTTGGGTGGCTTGCTGGCTTGGCTGGATTGGGAGGCCGGCTGGCTTGACTGGCTTCGCTGGCTGGCTGGCTTGGCTGGCTTGGCTGGCTTGGCTGGCTGGGTGGCTTGGCGGGCTTGGCTGGCTGGCTGGCTCGGTGGCTTGGCTGGCTTGGCTGGCTGGCTGGCTTGGCTGGCTGGCTTAGCTCGTTGGCTGGCTGGGTGGCTTGGCTGGCTTGGACGGCTGGGTGGCTTGGCTGGCTTGGCTGGCTGGCTGTCTTGGGTGGCTTGGCTGGCTGGGTGGCTTGGCTGTTGGCTGGCTGGGTGGCTTGGCTGGCTTGGCTGGCTGGGTGGCTTGGCTGGCTTGGCTGGCTGGGTGTCTTGCCTAGCTTGGGTGGCTGGCTGACTTGGCTGCCTTGGCTGTCTGGCCACTTGGCTGGCTGGTAGGCCGGCTGGCTTGGCTGGCTGGCTGGCTTGGCTGGCTTGCCTGGCTTGGCTGGCTGGCTGGCTTGGCTGGCTTGGCCGGCTGGCTGGCTGGCCTAGCTGGCTGGCTTGGCTGGCTTGGCTGGCTGGCTGGCTGGGTGGCCTGGCTGGCTTGGCCGGCTTGGCTGGCTGGCCTGGCCGGCGGGGTGGCCGGCTGGCTTGGCTGGATGCCTGGCTTGGCTGGCTTTGCTGGCTGGCTGGCTTGGCTGGCTTGGCTGGCTGGCTGGCTTGGCTGGCTTGGCTGGCTTGGCTTGCTGGATGGCTTGGCTGGCTTGGCTTGCTGGGTGGCTTGGCTGGCTTCGCTGGCGGGGTTGCTTGGTTGGCTTGGCTGGCCGGGTGGCTTGGCTGGCTTGGCTCGCTGGCTTCCTTGGCTGGCTTGGCTGGCTTGGCTGGCTTGACTGGGTTGGCTTTCTGGCTGGCTGGGTGGCTTGGCTGGCCTGACTGGCTGGGTGGCCTGGCTGACTTGGCTGGCTGGCTGGCTTGGCTGGCTTGGCTGGCTGGGTGGCTTGGCTGGCTGGCTGGCTTGGCTGGTTGGCTGGCTGGGTGGCTTGTCTGGCTTAGATGGCTGGCTGGCTTGGCCGGCTTGGGTGACAGGCTGGCGTGGCCGGCTTGGTGACTGCCTCGCTGGCTTGGCTGGCTTGGCTCGCTGGCTTCCTTGCCTGGCTTGGATGGCTTGGCTGGGTTGGCTGTCTGGCTGGCTGGGTGGCTTGGCTTGCTGGCTGGCTTGGCCGTCTTGGCTGGCTTGGCTGGCTTGGCTGGCTGGCTGGCTTGGCCGGCTGGCTGGCTCTCCCAGGCTGCAATGCAGTGGTATGATCTTGGCTCACTGCAACCTCTGCCTCCCAGGTTCAAGCAATTCTCCTGCCTCAGCCTCCCGAGTAGCTGGGATTACAGGCCTGAGCCACAACACCCGGCTGATTTTTGTACTTTTAGTAGAGATGGGGTTTCATCATGTTTCGTACTCCAGTATGGGTGACAGAGCAAGACTCTGTCTCAAGAAAACAAAAAAGAATTTACACATTGGCATACAGATTCACACACATACACTCATATTCACAAACACACAAATACAATAAATGCAGGGGCACACACAAACACCATCACAAAAACACACTTCCATAAAACACAGGAATGCACGCTCACACAGAAACACACATGGAAACACACGTCTTACAGACTCACAGACACACTCATCATCACATAAACAGGCACACACAGCCACACAAGCACACACCCACACCCACATCAACACACACACTCCCACATGGCACCCACGCACTCACGCACACAGGCAGAACAGGCCTGCATTACCTGATAACGCAGTTGAATGAGACGTGATGCTGCCTGCCGAGGAGACCTGGAGGCTTCCCATGCATGAGCTTTCAGATGAGAGGTCTCTGGGTGCATCTGGTGACACCCCAGGCAGTGGGGGAGACGTCCAGGCCGGAAGGCCAGCCACAGCCAGCTCTGCCCAAGGATGCCACGTCCATTTGCTTCAGTAGGATCTGCATCCTGTAAACCCTGGTTCCTGCCTCTCCAGGACACCCCACTGAGGTCAGCACACTCCCCAGGTTTAGAAGGGGTCTCTCGGTGAAATCTGGTGACACCCCAGGCAGAAGGGGGGACACCACAGCCAGCTCTGCCCGCGGATGCGACGTCCATTTGCTTCAGTAGGATCTGCACCTTGGAAACCCAGGTTCCTGCCTCTCCAGGACACCCCACTGACGTTAGCACACCCTCCAGGTTTACAAGCGGTCTCTGGATACATTTGGTGACACCACAGGCAGATGGGGGATGCTACAGCCAGCTCTGCCCATGGATGCCACTTCCATTTGCTTCAGTAGGATCTGCACCCTGTAAACCCTGGTTCCTGCGTCTCCAGGACACCCCACTGAGGTCAGCACCCCCCACCCCCCCACCCCCATGTTTGTCCACCTTCGCTGTCTGGGGAGATACACAGAAAGACCACATTCGGTGGAATTCTGGCTATAACATTTTGTGGCCGGCAAGAAGGATCACCAAGCTGTCCTGTTACCTTGCTGGAGCGATCACTGGTTTCACGCTTGGCCCCCGTGCAGTGAGTGCCTGGGCCAGGCTCGATTCCTGGAGCTCCGGTGAAATTTGGGCTTGGAGCTCACGCCTGCACCATCCAGAAAGCAGAAGGCAGCCGGCCTGGGCTGTACGGTTCGTAGAATCAGAGAGAACACTGCTTGCCTTCATGTCTGTACCACAATAAATCTGCCAACTGCTGTCAAAGTCTCTGGATTCCTGCCCCCTCATTTTATTTAGTCTATTACGGAGCGGAAGGAGTGAGAAAGATTTTGCTTCCTATTTTGTTTTGCAAAGCATTTCTAAGAAAAACAACCCGTGTTCTGAAAACGAGATTCTGAGTGTCCCCTGGGCGTGATGAAAACAAACTTTGGGAATCCAAGGGCCTGAGAGGCAGAGTGAATGTCATTCGCATTTCCCTGCGAATGACAAAGTCACTTTTTATTTATTTTTATTATTATTATTATTATTATTATTATAGATTCAGGGGATCCACGGGCAGCTTTGTGACCTGAGGATATTGTACGTTGCTGAGGTTTGGGGTATGAATCATCCCGTCACCCAGGCACTGAGCATTGTACATTCCTGAGGTATATAATGTGTACTAAAAATAAAATGTATATTTATATATGCACTAATGATTCAACTTGATTCCTTGTAATTAAGAAAAACAAACCCCAAATTCTAGAGGAGTTCTAGAAATATGTAAGAAGAGAGGCCAGGCGCAGTGGCTCATGCCTGTAATCCCAGCACTTTGGGAGGCCGAGGCAGGTGGATCTCCTAAGGTCAGGAGTTCGAGACCAGCCTGGCCAACATGGTGAAAGCCCGTCTCTGCTAAAAATACAAAAATTAGCCAGGTGTGGTGGTGGGTGCCTGTAGTCCCAGCTACTTGGGAGGCTGAGGTAGAAGAATTGCTTGAATCCAGGAGGCAGAAGTTGCAGGGAGCCGAGATTGCACCACTGCACTCCAGCCTGGGTCACAGAGCGAGACTCCATCTCAAAAAAAAAAAAAAAAAAAAGAGAGCGAGAGAGAAAACAAACAAGCAAGAAAATGCAACAGAAAAATCCGTGACCCAAAGCTCTCTCCAGTTGCTGCTTTCTGCCGGAAATTCAAAGAATCTCAGGGTAGTTTTTCAACCCTTGTACCCCCGCCCCTGCTTCCTGCTCTATTAGTACTGAGGGTCTGTGGTGCCCCTTCATTGTGTCCAGGTGCAGGCAATGTTTAGCTCCCACCTATAAGCGAGAACATGTGGTATTTGATTTTCTGTTCCTGGCGTTAATTCACTAAGCATAGTGCCCTTCAGCTTCATCCATGTGACTTCAAAGGGCATGATTTTATTCTTGTTCATGGCTGTGTAGTATTCCATGATGCGGAAGGACCACATTTGCTTTATCTAATTGAGAACATGTGGTATTTGATTTTCTGTGTCTGGCATTAATTCACTAAGCATAATGCCCTTCAGCTTCATCCATGTTGCTGCAAAGGGCATGATTTTATTCTTGTTTATGGCTGTGTAGTATTCCATGATGCGGAAGGACCACATTTGCTTTATCTAGTGCACAACATGTGGTATTTGATTTTCTGTTCCTCGTATTGATTCACTAAGCATAATGCCCTCCGGCTGCATCCATGTGGCTGCAAAGACATGATTTTATTTTTTTCATCACTGTGTAGTATTCCGTGGTGTAGAAGGGCCACATTTGCTTTATCCAGTTGAGGACATGTAGTATTTCATTTTCTGTTCCTGGCATTAATTCACTAAGCATAATGTCCTTCAGCTGCATCCATGTGGCTGCAAAGGACATGATATTATTCTTTTTCATGGCTGCATAGTATTCCATGATGCAGAAAGACCACATTTGCTTTATCTAGTGGAGAACATGTGGTATTCGATTTTCTTTTCCTGGTGTTAATTCACTAAGCATAATTCCCTTCAGCTGCATCCATGTGGCTGCAAAGACATGATTTTATTCTTTTTCATGGTTGTGCAGTATTCCATGGCGTAGAAGGGCCACAATTGCTTTATCCAGTCAAGAACATGTGGTATTTGATTTTCTGTTCTTGTGTTAATTCATTAAGCATAATGCCCTCCAGCTACATCCATGTGGCTGCAAAGGACGTGATTTTATTCTTTTTCATGGCTGTGTAGTATTTGATGCTGTAGAAGAACCACTTTTGCTTTATCTGGTACCCCACTGATGGGCAACTAGGTTGATTCCATGACTTTCCTATTGTAAGTCGTGCTGTGACGAACCTTACAGGGCCGGGCACTGTAATCCCAGCACTCTGGAGGGCCGAGGTGGGCAGATCACCTGAGGTCAGGAGTTCGAGACCAGCCTGGTCAACATGGTGAAACCCTATCTCTACTAAAAATACAAAAACTAGCCAGGCATGGTGGCGCATGCCTGTAATCCCAGCTGCTCAGGAGGCTGAGGCAGGAGAATCACTTGAACCCAGGAGGCGGAGGTTTCAGTGAGCCGAGATTGCTACTGCACTCCAGCATGGGCAATAGAGTGAGACTCCGTCTCAAAAAACAACAAAACAAAAAAAACAAGGAACTCTACCATGCATGTGTCTTTTTGGTAGAATGACTTCTTTTCCTTTGGGTAGATGCCCAGTCTTGGAATTGCTGGTGCAAATGGTGGAGCAGTTTGGATTCAGGAGGTACATGTACAGGTTTCTTACATGGGGACGATGTGTGATGCTGAGGTCTGGGGTATGAGTGATCCCATCACCCAGGTAGTGAGCATAATACCCCACAGTTGGTTTTTTCAACTCTTGTCCTTCTACCTTCCTCTCTCCCCCTAACTAGAACCCAGTATCTGTTCCCTTCTCTGTGTCTACCTATACACAACATTTAGCTCCCACTTATAAGTGAGAACACGCAGCATTCTGTTAATTTACTTAAGATAATGGCCTCCACACTGTTCACAATAGCAAAGATGTGGAACCAACCCAAATGCTCATCAGTGATAGACTGGATAAACAAAATGTAGCACATAGACACTGTGGAATACTATGCAGCCATGAAAAAGGATGAGTTCATGTTCTTTGCAGGGACATGGATGAAGCTGGAAACTCTCATGTTCAGCAAAGTGAAACAGGAACAGAAAACCAAACAGTGCATGTTCTCACTCATAAGTGGGAAGTGAACAATGAGAACACATCGACCCAGAGAGGGGAACATCACACACTGGGACCTGTTGCAGGGGTGGGGGACTGGGGGAGGGACAGCATTATGAGAAATATCTAATGTAGATGGTGGGTTGATGGGTGCAGCAAACCGCTATGGCACATATATATCTATGTAACAATCCTGCACATTCTGCACATATACCCCAGAACTTAAAGTAGAATAGAAAAAATAAAAAATAATAAAAATAATTAAAAAAGATAATGGCCTCCAGCTACATCTGTGTTGCTGCAAAAACAAACAAAAAATAAAAATAAAAAAATGATTTTGTTCCTTTTCAGGGTTGCGTAGTATTCCATGGTGTAGATATACCGAATTTTCTTTGAGGATGGAGGGTGGGAGGAGGGAGAAGATCAGCAAAAATAACCTGTGGCTGGGTGTGGCAGCTCACACCTGTATTCTCAGCACTTTGGGAGGCTGAGGTGGGTGGTCACCTGAGGTCAGGAGTTTGAGATCAGCCTGGCCAACATGGCAAAACCCTATCTCTACTAAAAGTACAAAAATTAGCCGGGCATGGTGGTGCACGCCTGTAATCCCGGCTCTTCTGTAGGTTGAGGCAGGAGAATCTCTTGAACCCAGGAGGCAGACATTGCAGTGAGCTGAGATCGTGCCACTGCCCTCCAGCCTGGGCCACAGAGTGGGACTCCATCTCAAAAAATAATCATAAAAATAATAATAATAACCTGCTAGGCTTAGGACCTAGGTTGATTCCATTACAAAAAAAAAAGAAAAAACTAACTTTTTAAAAGAAGGATCTCTCTGTTCAAAAACAAAACCAATGCCCTGTCAGGAAAGATGTTCTGTGTTTCTGGTAAAGCTGGAAGGAACCTACAGGAAGGAGTCACCCCATAAAACTAGTGGAGCAGCATTGCCTTTTGGGGTGAGGGCTACTTCTGTTAGGCCACCAGGATGAGTGTCTTCCTGGGGAGTGTGGTTCATCATATACCATCCAGGAAGCAATTCCTGCCCCCAAATCACTTGCCAGCTTCTGCCCTGTAAGTAAAATCCCCAGCAAGCGGGCAGCAAGGAGCTGCTTGCCTTGGAAGTCAGCTGAAGTCTCTGCCCACCACCCAGACTGTGTCCTCTGGGAAAGGCCAGGTCTTCCAGTTGGATGGTTTTCACATTAGCGGCTGCTGTTTAGAATCATCAACATTGGCCAGGCACGGTGGCTCACGCCTGTCATCTCAGCACTTTGGGAAGCCGAGGCGGGCGGATCACAAGGTCAGGGACCAGCCTGGCCAACATGGTGAAACCCTGTCTCAACTAAAAAAAAAATACAAAAATTAGCTTGGTGTGGCTGGGCATGAGCTCATCCCTGTAATCCCAGCACTGTGGGAGGCTGAGGCAGGCGGATCATGAGGTCAGGAGATCAAGACCATCCTGGCTAACACGCTGAAACCCTGTCTCTACTAAAAATACAAAAAATTAGCCAGGCACGGTGGCAGGCACCTGTAGTCCCAGCTACTCGTGAGGCTGAGGCAGGAGAATGGCGTGAACCTGAGAGGCGGAGTTTGCAGTGAGCCCAGATTGCGCCACTGCACTCCAGCCTGGGCGATATAGAGTGAGACTCTGTCTCAAAAAAATTAAAAAAATAAAAAATTAGCCTGGTGTGGCGGTGGGCACCTGTAATCCCAGCTACTCAGGAGGCTGAGGCAGGAGAATTGCTTGCACCCCAGAGGCAGAGGTTGCAGTGAGCCGAGATTGCACCATTGCACTCCAGCCTAGACAACAGAGTGAGACTCTGTTGCAAAAAAAAAAAAAAAAAAAAAAAAGAATCATCAACATTGCCTTGGCCCAATCTCTTCCCAGACTTGTCAAATATTTACCACTGGACCTCCATGTTCTAGTTTCAAAGCTCTGCTGGCCACAGTGGCTCATGTCTGTCATCCCAGCACTTTGGGAGGCTGAGGTAGGAGGACTGCTTGAACCCAGAAGCATGAATCCATCCTAGGCAACATAGTGATAATAATGTCAAATGAGAGCCAGTGTCCAGTAATTCCCCAAATATCTGAGAATTTTCTTTTCTTTAAGTCACAGTCATCCTGGCAGAAGGCTGTAGGTCCCTTTGGGGAAGACTGGGAAAAAGATTAACAATGTAAATTTTTGGCAATGTAGCAGCGTACTTCCCCAAGATCACCCAGCCTCCCCTTCACTTAAGGGGTTGTGGGCCTGTGAACTGGCTCAAGTCTGGGAATTGATTGAGGGTTTTAGATCTGTGTTTCATTAATTTGAGTTAATCTTTTATTCAGTTGACCTAGAATTCTTCATTTTTTAAACAACAACTAAGACTTTGGTACAGCCCATTAGCTCTCCCTGTGGATACCATGGACTACACAATGCCATGGGTGTCTGTGAGTCAAACCATTCTGACTGCTGCTTTGACACTGCTTTCCACTGTGGTGACCACACCCACCTCATCTTTGGTGATTAAGGACAGCCCATGTTCCCTGCCACCCCAGGATTCAATTATCCTCATTTTACTTAAAGATCCCAGTCCAGTGGCTGCAGTTCCTGCTGTAACATTTTGCCTACTGAGAGCACAGGCTTAAAGCTCTTCCAGGATACTGGGCTCCTCTCACAATATTCTTTCTCATGATCGTTGTGAGGAGTATGTTCTGTAGACCCTTCAGTGTGAGTGAGCAGGTCTGACATAATAAATCCAGTCTCCCTGAGTTTTTGCATACCTTTCTGTACACATAAACCAAGGAAGTTGTGGCATCTCAACTTTATGTACCTTAGGTAAACTCTGATTCTGTTTCAGCCAACCAACCAAGTCACCAAACAAACAGCCAACCAATCAACCAACAAGCAAGCAAGCAACAAACCAACCAAACAACCAAGCAAGGAAGCAAGCACCACCAACCAAGCAAGCAACCAACCAAGTAACCGATCAAACCAACCCTTGGAGCCCTTTCTAAAGCTTTGACCTACAACTCTGAGTCCAGAATCTCTGTTTAGTGGGCCAACATTAATAAATTTAGCCTAATCCAACTTTATGTTACTTTCACCATGGTGCCACACACTTAATATCCATTCCCACATATATTCTCCAGATTTCCTTCTGTATAAATTGCGTGTGTGTGTGTGTGTAGAAAGAGAGCATCAACTGAAAAATCACACAATTTTATAAATTTAGAAAAGAGAGCTTTATTTCTTATAAAGGTTTGCAGTCTGCAAGGTGGCCATTATGACAGGCTGGGAAGTGTGGCCTACAGCCAAGGCCAGAGGCAGGCATTTCCAGGGAGGGAAGGAGAGGACAGGAATTTGAGCCAAATGAGTTGGCTACATATACATACTCAATAGGATATCAGAGGAGCTATATCATTTTATGAGAATACTCATAAAAGAGGTCCTAACACATGCATATTCAATAAACATGCATGTTCATCCTGGGGTGGAGACTTGACATTTAAATGTATTATAATTAGGCCCTACACATCAAAAAGTGAAGCAGGGACATGAAAGTACTCAGCCTCTGTAAAGCCACAGCCTCTAAAACTGGCCAGAACCAGTCCATGGAGGATGGTCTCTTATCAGGAGAAAGTTATTGAAATCAGTCCCTTGTCCAGAGAAAGCTGTCGTTAAGGTTAGTGGGGCAGGAGATCAGTTACTCAGCGTCTGTGAACTGGGTGAGTTGTAATTGTTTTAATCTTCTCTCACAGCCATCTCTCACAGCCAGTGCTTGCTTGGCTGCTAGAGAAAAATAAAACCCATGTGGTAGCTAGAATCTAGTTAATTCTTTAAGAGTAGGGTACAAGACTTAACCCTTGCCTGGCATGGCCCTAGGTCCTGTTTATAATTTGAGGTCTTATTGCCACAAAGAGTCTGTTCTGTCAGTCTCATGATCTCTATTTTAACATTAATGCTGTTCAGTTGTTGGGTCTAAACCATAAGAGGGAGGGAGGTACAGGGAGGTATGTCTGACTTCCTGTCCTGTCATGGCCAAGAACTGAATTTTAAGATTTATTTGAGGTTCCGTTGGCCAACAGGGGGTCTGTTAAGTTGGGTGGGGGGCTTAGGATTTTAGTTTTAGTTCTCAAGGGAGATAAAATAATTTAATCAATTGGCCCCTGCGACTGTGGGACTAATATGGCTATGATCTATCGGACAGACTTCAGGCTGGCACCCAGGCAAAATTCTGTGCTGTAGTAAATGCATCATGCACATTTGTAACAATATGTACATAACAATGTCACAAAATACTTTCACGGTGACACCTAGATTAGTATTTTATTGAATAGCTGATGATATAAACTGGCTCATTTGATGCCAAGACTGACCATTACCACCATACCAAGGTCATCACTGATCAGAGGCCTAACCCAAGGAGGGGGTCATGTGCAGACCCAGCAGTGGGGAGGAAAGATGCTGCAGAGGAGACGGATGCCCACAGAGGCCCCTGAGCAGATACAATGCTCACTAAGTGGTAAGTATAGACTCAACGTAGGCTATAAGGTCTCCCCCTGTGCAAATGGGACCCCGTCCACTTGAGAGTCAAGGGTCTGTTTGGGTGGCAGGGATAGCCACTTCTGAAGGTAGAAAGGAAAATAAGCCACCAAATTGGTATCTTTCTGTGAAATGGACATCGTGCTTAGAATCAACATTTTCCCCACAACCTGGAGGAATAAGTACTGTCATGTGCATTTTGTAGCTGAGGAATCTGACTCAACAAAATTAAATTACTTGCCTAAGCAATTAGCAATTAACCAAGTCTTTCTGACTCAGAAACCCAGCTGTTGCCTGTTCATATCCAGCCCCTGTATTGGGGTCAAGATCTGGCCTGTTCTCAATGCAGCAAGATCCAGGCAGATCACACTGGACTCCCAGCACTGAATCTGGCTCAAGGGGACATCAAATTTGACTGGGTCGTGGGGCTCAGGAGCATCACTCTCAAAAATAGCAGTACAGGAAGAGGCGATGGCCCTAAACAGCATTTGCAGGCAGATCCCATGTTAATCATAAGGGTCAGGACTCTCTCACTTTTCTGTCTCTCTCTCTGTCTCTCCTCTAGGGCTGACCCCACATTGGACACCACTGCATCCATGTCCATCACACACCACAGCTGCCTTTTCTTCTGCCTGCTTATGGGAAAGTCCCCTCCTCTCCTCTGTTTTCTTCTCTTCCTGCCCTATCACACCGTGCACTTCTCCCTTTCCTTAAAGAACCACCATCAACTTTAGGAGGAGGGAAAGGGGTGGCTCTGGCAGGAAAAGCCAGAATCCCCTCTAGCCAGCAGAGAGAGAGGAATGGCTGCATGTTTTCTCCCCCATTCCAAGGCACTAGGTTTTGGCTAGGTTGCAGGTTCCAAGCTGCTTTCCTGCTGTGTCGGTGAGTTCTGGTTAACCTGCAACCTCCTGATGTGGCCACTGCAGTTCATCGAGTCTTCAGGGACTCCCCATGGCCTGGAGTACTTTGCCTTGCTTACACGGGAGAGGAGAATGGATTTATAGAGAACATCATCTAAATCCAACTTGACCATTGTGTGGCCACACTTGCTAGATTGCTTTAGTCTAAATCTAGCATTGTAGAAAGACGGGGGAGCTTGGAGCTGCACAAACCCAGGTCTGGAACTGGCTCCTTACCTTGAAAGGTGAATAATCCTGGCAGGACTCTTAGCCTTCCTGGGCCTCAGTTTCTTTATCTGTTTCTTGGGAAGGAGGATCTCTGCTGGTTGGTTGGGTGATGTGGGGGCTGTGTGAAAACAACTTGTCAATACAAGCCGAAATAGGAATATTTCTCCACAGAGTATGAAGGTCAAATGAGAGAATACATTTAAATTAAATGGAAAATTAAAATGGCAAAAAAGGCAAAGCTGTATTGAAAGTTCTGAGCTTCTCTATAAGGAGCTTTTTGACTATGTAAGAATCCTATACTCGTTCCCCCTAAATATAAAAAAAAAGTTGAAGGAGGCAGAAGGGAGAGTGATGCACGATGGGCGAGGACTTCACCTGCTGTTGCTGGCTTTGAGGATGGAGGAAGGAGGCCACAAACCTAGAAGCTGGAGCCCCTAGAAGCTAGAAAAGGCAGGGACCCAATTCATCCGTTGAGCCTCCAGAAGGGACATAGCCCCGCCAGCACCTTGACTTTAGCCCAGTGAGATCCTCTTAGGACTTTTGGCAACCAGAACTATAAGACAGAAATGGAAGCCACTGAGTCTGTAGCTGTTTGTTGCAGCAGCAATAGAAAACTAATGCAGAGCCCAAGAAATCACTGATGATGAGATGGGGAAGTGGGCTCAGGAGGTCTGGATCTATGATGAGATGGGGAAAGTGGGGGAGGTCTGGATCTGTGACGAGATGGGGTAAGTGGGCTCAGGAGGTCTGGATCTGTGATGAGATGGGGGAAGTGGGCTCAGGAGGTCTGGATCTGAGTTGGGGATCTGGAGTGGAAGGGGAATTCATTTGTTCGTCTATCCTTTTGCATTGATTGAATTTTTTTCTATACATATATGTGAATTTTCACAATAAAAGTTTTTTCCAAAATAAAATAAAAGAAACAAAAGGGGCTTTTTGCAACCCAATTCCTATCTATGTCTGAGTCCACTTGTATTGAATGAGTCTTTCTGCTAACGTCCTTATATTTGGGTGACAATCTGAATGTCAGTGACCAATCAGAGCAGAGGCAGACCTTGGAGTCGGCAGGGCATCCTGAGGGCCATGATTCCTGCCATGAGGCATAACCCTTTAGGTGCCAGACCATGGGGAGGTCCAGGGGTTGCAGGGGAGGGCTGTGCATCTGCAATGACTCTCAGGGGGCTCCCGGTGGTGGCAATTGGTGAATCTGCACGGTGGTGTTTCAATATTGTCACAACCCTGCTGTCTCTCATGCTCTCAAAAAGCATTTCTCTTACCTGTGACAGACTTCCTATACCTAACAGCTTGCAAAAATGTTCCAGGTTAATGAGAATAATCTCTCGGAGCCATACCTCCCTGCTTGGGGTCTCAGTTTCCCCAACTGTCTCCAGACAAGTTAGGCTAGAAGGCCCCTGAGCCTCAGCCCCTCTATACCCCTCCTGTCACCCAGACCTGATCTGGGGCTTGCACCCTGGGTGCAGCATGACAGGGGTGGGCAGGGTCTGGCTCTGGGCCAGAGGACCCTTTCTGATGGACTTCAGCTGTTGGCCTTCCAGGGGAGACTGATCAACCTCACAAGAGTCATACGGTGAGTAGCGGTGGGCAAATCCATCCCCTTCGTCTTAGATTTATGGGGAGACAGAGAGAAAGAGGAGACACTCCAGGAAGACCTGCAGGTGGGAGTACCAGGTTGAAACCAAGGACACCTTCCTGGAGGAGCTGCTGTTTGAGCCAGCTCTGAGAACAGGTGGGGACAGGACTGGAGAGGAGGAGGTGGCCCCCTATGAGCAAAGACTGGCCATCACCCGACCTAACACCCCCACAGGGCCCCTGTGGCATCCCTGTCCAGTCCCTGTCACCACCCAGTTTTTCCCTCTGGACCCAGGAATTCAAAGTAAGCAAGGAGGTCTGCTGCTCCAGTTGGCTGCAAATAATTACAACCTTGAGCCCAAGCAGCACTTTGGGTCCTGGTTTGGGACCATGAAGCGGCTCGGTGAGACTGAGAGGTAAGGCCAGGACAGGAATTGGGATAGTAGGATTGAACTCTCCCTGGGGGCCAGCCTCAGAAAGCCTGTGGCCATGGCCTCTTGGTCAACATCAGATCCTGTGGTCTGGCAATGCCTGGGGTACCCAGACCTCACTCTGGACAGGCCCTGGGAGGGGGCCCTGGTGAGATTCCTGGCAGCCTCACAGCCACTCTTCTGTCCATAGCTACAACATGTCATGCCAGCTGGAGGCTCCATCCCAGTTGGCTGGGAGCACAAAGGCCAGGAAGATAGACATCACCCACCACAGGGGCCAGTCGGGTCCTGAACCAGGGTGGGCAGAGGTTGGCTGCCTTGGGATATGGGTGGGCTCAGGGAGTCAGACAGCAAGGGACCAGCCTCCCATCCTACTGCTGACCAGCCCTGTGACTGGGGAGAGTCACCTTACTTCTCTGGGCCTCAGATTCCCCCTCTGTGGGGTGACACTAAATGATCTCTCTGGAGACAGGGATCAATAGGGCACTGGTGATTGACCAGGCACTCAGCACATGCCTGGAGCACACGGTGCAGGGCTGTGGTGGGGAGGTGGCCTGAGTTCCTGGGGAGTCACCCATGTGTGCCTGCCACTCTGACCAGCCACCAGGCCCTCAGGGCAGAGCCCACTACCAGCAGCAGCTCACACCCCGAGACCAGCTCAGAGGCAGCCCCTACCTCAGCAGCAGGGATATCATGGACACTTTCAGCTGCTACTAGGGTGGCTTCTCCAGCTCCCACGTGGAGAGGGGTCCCAGCTGAGTCCCACTCACGTAGAGTCTCATGCCCATGAAAGTGCCATTCACCACTGGCCAGGCTCATGAGGCCGCATGAGAGGGGGGGTCACTGGGGAGGAGATATCGGGGGAACAGAGAGGGTGGTTGAATTTTTGTATAATAGGCAGTGCAAGTGTTTACCATTTGGGAGGGGAAAGGTTTGTTATTATTAGCAATGCCACACTTGAATATTATACTAAAATCCAGTTTCTCTATAACCTGGGAGTTGCTCTTTTGTTCTTTCTTTTCCCATCTTAATTAAAATGAGATGCAGACTCTCACGGTCCACAGTCGATTACGAAATCTTGCACGGCCATCAGGTTATGTCTTGGAGAGCAGAGTTTCAGTACCATCTGCCTGGCAAGGAGCCGAGCCTGCTCCTCAGAGCTCCCGGGACTGCGAGAATTGGCATGTTCACAGGGCACTGTCACAGCCTCTGAAACACGCTGTCTTTAAAGACGTTTGCAGGCTGGATGCGGTGGCTCACTCTTGTAATCCCAGCCCTTTGGGAGGCAGAAGCGGGTGGCTCACTTGAGGTCAGGAGTTCGAGACCAACATGGCCAACATGGCAAAACCCCATCTCTACTAAAAATACAAAAAATTAGCCAGGTGTGGTGGCAGGTGCCTGTAATTCCAGCTACTCGGAAGGCTGAGGTAGGAGAACTGCTTGAACCCAGGAGGTGGAGGTTGCAATGAGCAGAGATGACACCACTGCACTCCAGTCGGGGCAACAAGAGCAAAACTTCATCTCAAAAAAAACCAAACAAACAGAAAAGCACAAAGACATTTGCAAGGACCATGTCCTCACCCAGAATGGTGCCTGCCTTTCTACAGTTTTTCAGGAAGAGGAAACATTTTCTGCTTCTCTCGCTGAGGTTTTTTTTAACCACCCATTAGGAACCTATAGATTTCAGGATCGAACACTGGGATTCCCTCAGCACTAAAGGAGGAAAATTGCAAACAGAGCTGAAAGTGCAATGTGCAAAGGTCAGGCTGAGGAAGGTTCTTAGCCAGTAGACCAATGGCAGGAAGGACACTGCCTCCTCAGTCTCCCACTAGGGAACTTGTGATTCTTGTCCCCTGACCTCAGAATTCCTTGTCATGTTTGTTTTGTCTCCAAGGGAAAGGTCTGAATTACAGAATTTAAGGCTAGAGTGGGCCTCGTGCAGTTAACATTAACCCTCTCTCTCCTTCACTGGCTGAGGTGATGTCCGGGAACATGTAGTTCTGACGTCCGCTCTCTCGGGGGATCACCAGTTTACCCATCTCACCTGGCAAGCTGGGCCCTAGTTTGGCGACAGGCATCTTCCACCCACCTGGGAGGCAGGGTTCAACACTCTGCCTCTGCCCTTGTTTCCTTCTTCTGCTACCTGCTTAGGCAGCCAGAAGGGGTTGTCCAGCCAGCACCTGGGCTTTGGCGCTCCTCAAGCAGGTGGAGGAAGTTTCAGGCACCTGACTCCTCAGGTGTCTGCCATCCAGGTGTTCTTCAGGCCTGCCCAGCAGAGCTCTCTTGATCCAGCTAGAACTGGCCAGAACTGACTCACTCAGGAATGTGTAGAGTTTGGCATCAGGGGCTGCTTTAATTTGCACAATTTCCAAATACCTCTTTTTTCTTCTTTTTCTGATGAGTCATCTCCCTAGACTTGCATTTTAAAGAGATAGATAGTTATCAGGTTCCAGAGAAGACATGGTAGAACATTTATATCTCAAAGACACAGAGCTGAGACTTCAGTTTTAGATACTATAATTTGCCTAAACCAAAAAGGAAGGTGTAGGTAAAGTTCTAGTCAAGACAGGATGGCCAGGAAAAACACCTTAAACCAAGGGACGGCTTGCTTTGCTGATTTAAGCCAATGGCTTCTTTATTATAAGACTTCCCAGTGATTTAGTCCTCCCTCTCTTCCAGTGCACAGAGACATACCCCTCCTTACAAATAAAAATGTTCTTTATAGATGTAAATTTATTTTACAAAAATGTTTCAAAATAACCAGATGAAAATCATCCTTATGCCAGAAAGACTTGTTTTTTTTTTTTTTATTACTAGAAATGAAACAGTAAGTATTTGTTCTATTGACATACTTAGGCTTAGACCTATGTTTAACAAGAAAGCCTAATAATAGCACTGTGGTTAGACTGTAGCCTATTTTTCCAAACCATCATTTTGTTATTAAGGAAACAGATCAAATACCTTTCATTCATCTGATATGATCCTTTAAAACACATTCCACTAATAAGTCCCATTTGGAACAGCTGAAAATTTTTTAATAAAACTTTTTAAAGATGAGCTCATGGCTTGGTGTAAATTTCACAAGCTTAATTAGGTCAAATGGAAGGAACTCAGATGAGTAGGTGCCCAATCAGAGCCCATTATTTGTAAGTCATCAGACCCCTCCATGACCTTAAAACTCCACTCTGAGCTAATTATTGCAAACCTACATACAACAAAGTGAAAGGATTAATTTTCATTTATCAACCTCTCAATCCCAGATTTTCAAAGAAAAAAACCTATGTAAGGAATACTTACCAAAACCAGACAGGAAAATTAGAGCCTGCATACTTTAGAGTCAAATTTGTTCCACTACAGCCAGATTGCATACAATTACATCATTTGGTTCTTCATACACTCTAGAACTGACTAGGACAGAGTTTAGCATAGAAAAACTGTAAGAAATAGGTTCTGAAACATAGAAATTGCAAATTCAAAAGGCTATGAAAAAAACTAATGTAAATGAGAGAATCCCCTCCCTTTGTTTTAAAGAAATAGACCCATCAGAGAAATGTAAATCAAAACCACAATGAGATACCATCTCACACCAGTTAGAATGGCGATCATTAAAAAGTCAGGAAACAACAGGTGCTGGAGAGGATGTGGAGAAATAGGAACACTTTCACACTGTTGGTGGGACTGTAAACTAGTTCAACCACTGTGGAAGACAGTGTGGCCATTCCTCAGGTATCTAGAACTAGAAATACCATTTGACCCAGCCATCCCACTACTGGGTATATACCCAAAGGATTATAAATCGTGCTGCTATAAAGACACATGCACACGTATGTTTATTGCGGCATTATTCACAATAGCAAAGACTTGGAACCAACCCAAATGTCCAACAATGATAGACTGGATGAAGAAAATGTGGCACATATACACCATGGAATACTATGCAGCCATAAAAAATGATGAGTTCATGTCCTTTGTAGGGACATGGATGAAATTGGAAATCATCCTTCTCAGTAAACTATCGCAAGAACAAAAAACCAAACACCGCATGTTCTCACTCATAGGTGGGAATTGAACAATGAGAACACTTGGACACAGGAAGGGGAACATCACACACCAGGGCCTGTTGTGGGGTGGGGGGAGGGGGGAGGGGGGAGGGGGGAGGGATAGCATTAGGAGATATGCCTAATATAAATGAGTTAATGGGTGCAGCACACCAACATGGCACATATATACATATGTAACAAACCTGCACATTGTGCATGTGTACCCTAGAATTTAAAGTATAATAAAAAAATACAAGAAAATAAAAAAAGAAAGAAATGGATGTTCTGTAAAAATATACACAATTTTTACAGACAAATACATTTATAAGTTGTTTTTATCTTAAAATTGGGGCTATTTCATATTTATAACTAATTATTGAACCTTAAGTTTTCTTGGCCATTTCTAGGCTAATAAACTAAGAATCATGTAAACTAAGCCAAAGTAGAATAGTCATAAAAGTCCTGAACACTTCAACTTCCTATCCTTCAAGAAGTATACCTCGCAAAGCTCATTTGAGAGAGGAAAATCTTTCCTCCACCCTCTGTTTTACAGCGCTGAGGCTTCTCATCACATTTCTATGACTTGTAGCTTAAATCCATGTTACATGTTCACTGGCATTGTTAGTGCTTCTCTTTTAACACTGTAGGAGTTAATCAATTTGGTGGCATATTTAATTAATTCTATCACTAGTGGATTGTAAAATTACATATATTAATACCTCACTTTAGAGGCCACTTAATTTTTTTCCAAGGGGATATTTGACTGTATTTCACTTGTGTCTACTTAATGATTTTATAATTTAAACCCTAAATTGTAAATCTAGAATTTAGAAAGTATATTTCCCCACTGGATTACATTTTTGGAAATATTATTTTATATGTGCACAAATATTACAAAATCACTGTAGACACCTGAAAACTATATTATCTTTTAAAGGCAATATTTACATTAAACTGATATAACAAAATTGTTTGGTGCATTTTTTCCAGTACATTTTGTATATATTAAATGTTTAACCTTTTTTTATTCAGCAAATAATTTTTGAGTATCTACTAAGTGCTAGGTTCTGCATTACTAACTGAATTTAAAGAGTGAAATAACAGACATGGTCTCAGACAATAAAAATTAACATTAGGTCCCCTATTTATATATTTTAAAATGGTAATTATGAAAACTTTTTGAGATTTTTAACTAGATAACATTATAATAATACACTTGATGTTGTTAATATTTGCCAGTGAGCAAAAAAGAAAATAAAAAGATGGTTTTATTCAATATACACTTTAAAATTGCAGAAAATAGTCAAGTTTCCCTGCTTTGCAGTTGAATGTCTATGTGTTTTTCTCCACAACTTGGCTTTTATGGAGTGAAACAATTATTCTTCCAGCCCAATAAAGTCAGAAGAATAACAATAAATCTAATATTTTAAATGCTTATCAAAAGATAGTAAACATATTATTTCAGAATACTGAGTTCAATAAGTTGACCTACAAAAAAAGCCAAACTGACAGTATTACTGAATAAAGAAAGGCCCGAAGAGATGAAATACTTTTCATTTTGTAACCTCGGTATGACACAACTTACCCTAACTATAAAGACCCTAAATTACCAAGATGGGTGCTTATAATATGGAGAGTAAAAAAAGTCATTTCACTTTTAGCTTTTTTATTTCTCTCAGAATAAAAAGCGCATAAGGAGTTGATAAAGAAGTTGATACTATAAGTTAGTACTACAATGACAGCACTTTTCAAGAAAAGACTTTTTTCTGTCTTACAAATATCATGTTAGCAGTATTTGTTTCCTCCAGAAATAATGAGGAAATAAAAACATAAGTATGTGGGTAATTAGTGTAGTTTCTTAAAGAAATGAGTTAGGCAACAGGCTAATAATGTATACTTCACTGGCTTTTGAATGCCAACAATCATATTCTTTATAAGGCACAGACAAGATTTTTCTAAAGAATAAGTATGTGAACCTGAAAAGTAATCACCACTTGGTAGTGATAATATGGATAGGGTGAAGGGCGTCATCAAGAAGCAATGAAAAGATACATTTGCAGTTAAATTTGAAAACCATGATGTTTAATACATATAGTAATAAAGAATACTTTCTCCTGTTTCAAAATCATTTTAGAATTTAAGATAGAAGCTAAAATACCTAGGGATAATGATATGACTATCAAAAATTAAAAATTAAAGGACATTTTGAGTATTATAAGAATGAGAACTTATTACCCAATGAACAGGGGATAATTCATTATGCTCCATATCCATTGAATTAAAATACAGGCCCATTACCTGGAAAATTTGAAAGTTTAATTTTATTTAAAAGTCTTGTTTCATTCATCAAGATAAAGGATTAGCTCCCAGAAATATTCTAGGATTGCATATCCCCAACTCTGTAGGAAGTATAGAAAGAATGTTAATAAGGGCCACCATCTAAACATTATTATGTAAATAATTTAGTACCATTCCATTTGCCTTTGTAGATTTAAAAATGTAAATGGCTTTCTCATATTAGGAAACATCATTTTTCAAAACCCAGATAAACATAGTATATTGCAAGAGAATATTATTTTCTTTATTAAAAAAGAAATACTGGATGCTAAGTCCAAAAGACATAAATTATTTTATACTAATAACTACTAACATTTTATTCATTAAAATAGAAAGGTCAAAGATTTTAAAATGATCTTTAAATGATTAATAACATGTTGATCTTTTTCTTCTTTCTGTAAAACTTTTTGAGTCTTAAAAATACTAAACTATACAAGCAATATTAAATAGTATATAAACTCGTATTAAAATATTCAAATTTACTAGAAGGTAGACATTGGAAAGAATGAAAATAAACAGAAGCATAAAGCAGCAGATATAAAATTAAGAAAGCAACTAAGAGTGTTTAAAGTACATATTCATCTGTAGTCTAATGTCTACCATAAACAATGAGTCTTCTCAGTAAAACACAAATTGTTCATGAAGGGAAAAAGCAAGTTGTAGTAGAGAATACTCAACATATTTTTTTTAGTACTAACTTGTGCTTGGAGTATTATTGGTTTTTCTATTATGCACTTATGCACTTGATAATTTTTTTCATCAAAATTGTATGTACAACTCCATTCAAAAGCAGTTTTTGGTGGGTTTTTTTTTTTTTTTTTGAGAAAGAGTTTTGCTCTTTTCACCCAGGCTGGAGTGCAATGGTGCGAACTTGGCTCACAGCAACCTAGCAACTTTTGCCTCCCAGGTTCAGGTGATTCTCTTGCCTCAGCCTCTCGAGAGGTTAGGACTACAAGCATGCACCACCATGCCTGGCTAATTTTGTGTTTTTAGTAGAGACATGGTTTTGCCATGTTGACCAGGCTGGTCTTGAACTCCTGACCTGAGGTAATCCGCCCACCTTGGCCTCCCAAAGTGCTAGGTATGGGCAAGAGCCACCATACCTGGCCTCAAAAGCAGTTTTTAAAAGCAAACACAATATAACACCAAAGTTGAAAAATCTATGCTCACCTAAGGATGCCAGGTTTAATAAATTATTTATAGAATACTGCATCAAAAATAAGACAATAACCCAAGATATACCATTAAAGATGTATCCACTCCTACAACTAGAGATAATTAATCTATCTGGTAGCAAATTATACTTCAATCAGTTTCAGCATGTCTGAAATCTTTAAGGACAAAAGTGATAAAACATGACTTCATTCTTCATTAGACTCTTAGAACACTTGAAGGAAAATAATTTCTGAAGCACAAAGAGGTAAAGAGGTGTAATCTTTCAAAAAGATATTCAGTGTTCAAAATCCAAGAGTGCAATATCAGGCTGGGTGCGGTGGCTTATGCCTGTAATCCCAGCACTTTGGGAGGCCATGGTGGGTGGATCACCTGAGGTCAGGAGTTCGAGACCAGCCTGGACAACAGGGTGAAACTCTGACTGTACTAAAAATACAAAAATTAGCCAGGCATGGTGGTGTGCACCTGTAGTCCTAGCTACCCGTGGGGCTGAGACAGGAGAATCGCTTGAACCTGGGAGGTGGAGGTTGCAGTGAACCGAGATCATGCCACCTCACTCCAGCATCAGTAACAGAATGAGATTCCATCTCAAAAAAAAAAAGTGTAATATCATATCGGTATACACAGATAATATACTGAATGAAATAAATAGAATAATTTGAAGAGGTATCTTGATGAACAAGGAGTCATTAGAAAGGTTGTATTCATGTCTTTGAAGGAAATTGCAATGTGAGAAATTAATACTTTGACTGCTATACTAAAAGTTTATTGCTAACATGTATTGAGTTATTAACGTGTGTTAGGCAGAGTACCATATAATTTACAGGTGTTATCTCATTTATTGTAGGTAAAACGTAATTTCGAACTCTGGGAGTATAAATGAATTAGATAGAATAAAATTCTATTTAAATGGCCATCAGTAAATCGGTATCTAGGAACAGGGTGATACAGTGCCCAAGTTTTCCATTCTTACTAAATGTTGTGTTTCATTTTCAATGTTTTCTTGGATATTGCTCTTTTTTGGTCATTTTGATTTTTTTTTATTTTAGAAAACTAATAAATTGACTCTTCTTGGTACTGACTCGGGTTTTATAGAAGAAGAAGTAATTAAATTCTGTACATTTACCTTTACCTCATTTTTTGTCTTTTAAATTTATTTTAATTGACATATAATAAATGTACATGTTATGGGGTACAGAGTGATATTTTGATATATTTATGCAATGCGTAAAGATCAAGTCAGAGTCATTATCATATCCATTACCTAAATCATGTATTATTTCTTTGCAGTGAGAATATTCAAAATCTTTTATTTTAGTTATTTGAAAACACACAATAAATTCCCATTAACTACAGTCACCCAACAGTGCTGTAGAGAATTAGAACTTCTTCCTTCTCTCCAGCTGTAATTTTGTATGTATTAACCACAGTTTTCTTATACTCTTCTTTCTCCTACTCTTTCCAGGATATGGTAACCAAAACTCTACTATCTACTTCTATGAGATTAAAAATTTTAGCTTCCATACATAAGTGAGTACACGTAGTTATGTGGTGTTTATGTTTCTATGCCAGGCTTATTTCACCTAACATAATGCCCTCCACTTGCATTCTTGTTGCCACAAATAACAAGATTTTCTTCTTTATTATGACTAAATAATATTCCATTATATATGTATGTCACATTTCTTTATCCATTCATCTGTTGATGGACACTTTTGTCGATTCCATATCTTGGCTATTGTGAATAGTGCTGTAATAAACATGGGGGTGCAGCTAACTCTTTGATATACTGATTTTCTTTTCTTTGGATATATACTGAAAACCATATGATTAAATTAATAAACACAATAAAAGCATTTGGCAAAATTAAATATTCTTGAATGACAAAAAACCTCTCAACAATTTAGTATAGAAAATATATGCCTTAACACAGAAGGACATAAAGGACAAATCTACAACTAAGATCATACTGAGTGTGGAAAAGGTGAAAGATTTTACTGTGAACAAGAAAAAGATTTTACTAGAACAAGAAAAGGATGCCTATTCTCACCAATCATATTTCACATAGTGAAAGTCTTAGCCAGGACAATTAGGTGAGAGAAAGAAATAAAGGACATCTGAATTGGAAAGGAGACAGTCAAATTGTCCCTGTTTAAATCAGTAGCATTTCTATATATTGATAGTAAACTAGCTGAAACAAGAAATTAAGAAAGCAAATCCTTTTACAATAGCTACAAAAATGTACTTATAAATTTAACCAAGGAAGTAAAAGATTTTGACAACAAAAATGACAAATATTAATGAAAGAAATTAAAGAAAACACAAAAAAGGAAAGACATCCAAGTTTATAGATTGAAATAACTAATATTCTTAAAATGACCCACTATCCTATGTGATTTACAAATTTAGTACAATCACTAGCTTGTATTTTTAAAAGCACCTTTGCTGCATATTCTTAAGATATTCAATGACAATGCCTAGATTGAAGTTTGAGGTATTATCATATCTATTTTATATTGGGCACAATATAATGTTATCAGAGATAACAGTTTTGATTGGTCCTAGGTCATACAGTAATATATACATTGTGATTTATAGACATGCTATCTTTTCATACTCAGGCATTTAGAAAGTTCATTTAGACAAAGTTATAAAAACTTGCCTTCCTTTCTGCCTATATCACCTAAAAATCCTAATTTAAGAGGTAATAACATTTTTTATTTGATATACAATTTATCAACACAATAAAAATCTAACAATTATCATGTGCAGAGTGTGAAAATCTCATCAGATTAAGGAACACAAAGACATCTTTTTCATATTTCGAATGTAAAACTGTTTTGGAAACTTATTTTTAGAAACAGTTAAAAACATTTTTTCATTAGTTTTTCACGTAAAATTGTGACAACCAGCATGAAATAACTGTCATCACAGAAGCATGGTATATTCGATTCCAAAACATATTCTTTGTAAGTTTTAATATATTTATGTATTATTTATACTTAGATTGTAACCCATAATGTAGATAATATTTTTCCTTCAACTCTTAAGAGTATTGTTAAATAAAATTAAAATTAATGAATTATAATTTTTGTTGGTTGGGAAAAAGAATAGACACACACGTGACAGTGCATCACTTCACCTCATCATTTCATCTCATCATCTCATCATTTCATCTCATCATTTTATCTCATCCCATCCCATCTCATCATATCATCTCATCATTTCATCAAATCTCATCTCCATTTCATTTTCATCATTTCATTTCACTATTTCATTTCATTTCATCTAATCTCATTTATTTCATTATGTCATTTCATATCATCTCATTTCATTTCATCTCATATTTTCATCTCATAATTTTTCATCTCATCATTTCATCTCATCTCATCATTTCTTCCTTTCATTTCAACATTTCATCTCATTTCTTCTCATCTCATTTCAATTTCATTTCATTATTTCGTTTCATCTCATTTCATTATTTCACCTAGTTTCATTATTTCATATCATCTCAATTCGTCTCATCGCATTTAATCTCAACATTTTTCTTTTTTCTTTTTTTTTATTATACTTAAATTTTAGGGTACATGTGCACATTGTGCAGGTTAGTTACATATGTATACATGTGCCATGCTGGTGCGCTGCGCCCACTAACTCGTCATCTAGCATTAGGTATATCTCCCGATGCTATCCCTCCCCCCTCCCCCCACCCCACCACAGTCCCCAGAGTGTGATATTCCCCTTCCTGTGTCCATGTGATCTCATTGTTCAATTCCCACCTATGAGTGAGAATATGTGGTGTTTGGTTTTTTGTTCTTGCGATAGTTTACTGAGAATGATGATTTCCAATTTCATCCATGTCCCTACAAAGGACATGAACTCATCATTTTTTATGGCTGCATAGTATTCCATGGTGTATATGTGCCACATTTTCTTCATCCAGTCTATCATTGTTGGACATTTGGGTTGGTTCCAAGTCTTTGCTATTGTGAATAATGCCGCAATAAACATACGTGTGCATGTGTCTTTATAGCAGCATGATTTATAGTCCTTTGGGTATATACCCAGTAATGGGATGGCTGGGTCAATTGGTATTTCCAGTTCTAGATCCTTGAGGAATCGCCACACTGACTTCCACAATGGTTGAACTAGTTTACAGTCCCACCAACAGTGTAAAAGTGTTCCTATTTCTCCACATCCTCTCCAGCACCTGTTGTTTCCTGACTTTTTAATGATTGCCATTCTAACTGGTGTGAGATGGTATCGCATTGTGGTTTTCATTTGCATTTCTCTGATGGCCAGTGATGATGAGCATTTTTTCATGTGTTTTTTGGCTGCATAAATGTCTTCTTTTTAGAAGTGTCTGTTCATGTCCTTCGCCCACTTTTTGATGGGGTTGTTTGTTTTTTTCTTGTAAATTTGTTTGACTTCATTGTAGATTCTGGATATCAAGCCCTTTGTCAGATGAGTAGGTTGCAAAAATTTTCTCCCATTTTGTAGGTTGCCTGTTCACTCTGATGGTAATCTCTTTTGCTGTGCAGAAGCTCTTTAGTTTAATTAGATCCCATTTGTCAATTTTGGCTTTTGTTGCCATTGCTTTTGGTGTTTTAGACATGAAGTCCTTGCCCATGCCTATGTCCTGAATGGTAATGCCTAGGTTTTCTTCTAGGGTTTTTATGGTTTTAGGTCTAACGTTTAAGTCTTTAATCCATCTTGAATTGATTTTTGTATAAGGTGTAAGGAAGGGATCCAGTTTCAGCTTTCTACATATGGCTAGCCAGTTTTCCCAGCACCATTTATTAAATAGGGAATCCTTTCCCCATTGCTTGTTTTTCTCAGGTTTGTCAAAGATCAGATAGTTGTAGATATGCGGCGTTATTTCTGAGGGCTCTGTTCTGTTCCATTGATCTGTATCTCTGTTTTGGTACCAGTACCATGCTGTTTTGGTTACTGTAGCCTTGTAGTATAGTTTGAAGTCAGGTAGTGTGATGCCTCCAGCTTTGTTCTTTTGGCTTAGGATTGATTTGGTGATGCGGGCTCTTTTTTGGTTCCATATGAACTTTAAAGTCGTTTTTTCCAATTCTGTGAAGAAAGTCATTGGTAGCTTGATGGGGATGGCATTGAATCTGTAAATTACCTTGGGCAGTATGGCCATTTTCACGATATTGATTCTTCCTACCCATGAGCATGGAATGTTCTTCCCTTTGTTTGTATCCTCTTTTATTTCCTTGAGCAGTGGATTGTAGTTCTCCTTGAAGAGGTCCTTCACATCCCTTGTAAGTTGGATTCCTAGGTATTTTATTCTCTTTGAAGCAATTGTGAATGGGAGTTCACCCATGATTTGGCTCTCTGTTTGTCTGTTACTGGTGTATAAGAATGCTTGTGATTTTTGTACATTGATTTTGTATCCTGAGACTTTGCTGAAGTTGCTTATCAGCTTAAGGAGATTTTGGGCTGAGACAATGGGCTTTTCTAGATATACAATCATGTCGTCTGCAAACAGGGACAATTTGACTTCCTCTTTTCCTAATTGAATACCCTTTATTTCCTTCTCCTGCCTGATTGCCCTGGCCAGAACTTCCAACACTATGTTGAATAGGAGTGGTGAGAGAAGGCATCCCTGTCTTGTGCCAGTTTTCAAAGGGAATGCTTCCAGTTTTTGCCCATTCAGTATGATATTGGCTGTGGGTTTGTCATAGATAGCTCTTATTATTTTGAAATACATCCCATCAATACCTAATTTATTGAGAGTTTTTAGCATGAAGGGTTGTTGAATTTTGTCAAAGGCTTTTTCTGCATCTATTGAGATAATCATGTGGTTTTTGTCTTTGGCTCTGTTTATATGCTGGATTACATTTATTGATTTGCGTATATTGAACCAGCCTTGCATCCCAGGGATGAAGCCCACTTGATCATGGTGGATAAGCTTTTTGATGTGCTGCTGGATTCGTTTTGCCAGTATTTTATTTAGGATTTTTGCATCAATGTTCATCAAGGATATTGGTCTAAAATTCTCTTTTTTGGTTGTGTCTCTGCCTGGCTTTGGTATCAGAATGATGCTGGCCTCATAAAATGAGTTAGGGAGGATTCCCTCTTTTTCTATTGATTGGAATAGTTTCAGAAGGAATGGTACCAGTTCCTCCTTGTACCTCTGGTAGAATTCGGCTGTGAATCCATCTGGTCCTGGACTCTTTTTGGTTGGTAAGCTATTGATTATTGCCACAATTTCAGCTCCTGTTATTGGTCTATTCAGAGATTCAACTTCTTCCTGGTTTAGTCTTGGGAGAGTGTATGTGTTGAGGAATTTATCCATTTCTTCTAGATTTTCTAGTTTATTTGCGTAGAGGTGTTTGTAGTATTCTGTGATGGTAGTTTGTATTTCTGTGGGATCGGTGGTGACATCCCCTTTATCATTTTTTATTGCGTCTATTTGACTCTTCTTTTTTTCTTTATTAGTCTTGCTAGCGGTCTATCAATTTTGTTGATCCTTTCAAAAAAACACCTCCTGGATTCATTAA
Organism: Homo sapiens; assembly: GCF_000001405.40. Taxonomy (NCBI): domain Eukaryota; kingdom Metazoa; phylum Chordata; class Mammalia; order Primates; family Hominidae; genus Homo; species Homo sapiens. The sequence goes on from NW_021160017.1 coordinate 1,648,391, forward strand.
TTTTTTGAAGGGTTTTTTGTGTCTCTATTTCCTTCAGTTCTGCTCTGATTTTAGTTATTTCTTGCCTTGTGCTAGCTTTTGAATGTGGTTGCTCTTGCTTTTCTAGTTCTTTTAATTGTGATGTTAGGGTGTCAATTTTGGATCTTTCCTGCTTTCTCTTGTGGGCATTTAGTGCTATAAATTTCCCTCTACACACTGCTTTGAATGCGTCCCAGAGATTCTGGTATGTTGTGTCTTTGTTCTCGTTGGTTTCAAAGAACATCTTTATTTCTGCCTTCATTTCGTTATGTACCCAGTAGTCATTCAGGAGCAAGTTGTTCAGTTTCCATGTAGTTGAGCGGTTTTGAGTGAGATTCTTAATCCTGAGTTCTAGTTTGATTGTACTGTGGTCTGAGAGATAGTTTGTTATAATTTCTGTTCTTTTACATTTGCTGAGGAGAGCTTTACTTCCCAGTATGTGGTCAATTTTGGAATAGGTGTGGTGTGGTGCTGAAAAAAATGTATATTCTGTTGATTTGGGGTGGAGAGTTCTGTAGATGTCTATTAGGTCTGCTTGGTGCAGAGCTGAGTTCAATTCCTGGGTATCCTTGTTGACTTTCTGTCTCGTTGATCTCTCTAATATTGACAGTGGGGTGTTAAAGTCTCCCATTATTAATGTGTGGGAGTCTAAGTCTCTTTGTAGGTCACTCAGGACTTGCTTTATGAATCTTGGTGCTCCTGTATTGGGTGCATATATATTTAGGATAGTTAGCTCTTCTTGTTGAATTGATCCCTTTACCATTATGTAATGGCCTTCTTTGTCTCTTTTGATCTTTGTTGGTTTAAAGTCTGTTTTATCAGAGACTAGGATTGCAACCCCTGCCTTTTTTTTTCTTTTCCATTGGCTTGTTAGATCTTCCTCCATCCTTTTATTTTGAGCCTATGTGTGTCTCTGCATGTGAGATGGGTTTCCTGAATACAGCACACTGATGGGTCTTGACTCTTTATCCAATTTGCCAGTCTGTGTCTTTTAATTGGAGCATTTAGTCCATTTACATTTAAAGTTAATATTGTTATGTGTGAATTTGATCATGTCATTATGATGTTAGCTGGTTATTTTGCTCATTAGTTGATGCAGTTTCTTCCTAGTCTCGATGGTCTTTACATTTTGGCATGATTTTGCAGTGACTGGTACCGGTTGTTCCTTTCCATGTTTAGTGCTTCCTTCAGGAGCTCTTGTAAGGCAGGCCTGGTGGTGACAAAATCTCTCAGCATTTGCTTGTCTGTAAAGTATTTTATTTCTCCTTCACTTATGAAGCTTAGTTTGGCTGGATATGAAATTCTGGGTTGAAAATTCTTTTCTTTAAGAATGTTGAATATTGGCCCCCACTCTCTTCTGGCTTGTAGAGTTTCTGCTGAGAGATCCGCTGTTAGTCTGATGGGCTTCCCTTTGAGGGTAACCCGACCTTTCTCTCTGGCTGCCCTTAACATTTTTTTCTTCATTTCAACTTTGGTGAATCTGACAATTATGTGTCTGGACGTTGCTCTTCTCGAGGAGTATCTTTGTGGCGTTCTCTGTATTTCCTGAATCTGAATGTTGGCCTGCCTTGCTAGATTGGGGAAGTTCTCCTGGATAATATCCTGCGGAGTGTTTTCCAACTTGGTTCCATTCTCCCCATCACTTTCAGGTACACCAATCAGACGTAGATTTGGTCTTTTCACATAGTCCCATATTTCCTGGAGGCTTTGCTCATTTCTTTTTATTCTTTTTTCTCTAAACTTCCCTTCTCGCTTCATTTCATTCATTTCATCTTCCATCGCTGATACCCTTTCTTCCAGTTGATCGCATCGGCTCCTGAGGCTTCTGCATTCTTCTCGTAGTTCTCGAGCCTTGGTTTTCAGCTCCATCAGCCCCTTTAAGCACTTCTCTGTATTGGTTATTCTAGTTATACATTCTTCTAAATTTTTTTCAAAGCTTTCAACTTCTTTGCCTTTGGTTTGAATGTCCTCCCGTAGCTCAGAGTAATTTGATCGTCTGAAGCCTTCTTCTCTCAGCTCGTCAAAGTCATTCTCCATCCAGCTTTGTTCCGTTGCTGGTGAGGAACTGCGTCCCTTTGGAGGAGGAGATGTGCTCTGCTTTTTAGAGTTTCCAGTTTTTCTGTTCTGTTTTTTCCCCATCTTTGTGGTTTTATCTACTTTTGGTCTTTGATGATGGTGATGTACAGATGGGTTTTTGGTGTGGATGTCCTTTCTGTTCGTTTTCCTTCTAACAGAGAGGACCCTCAGCTGCAGGTCTGTTGGAGTACCCTGCTGTGTGAGGTGTCAGTGTGCCCCTGCTGGGGGGAGCCTCCCAGTTAGGCTGCTTGGGGGTCAGGGGTCAGGGACCCACTTGAGGAGGCAGTCTGCCCGTTCTCAGACCTCCAGCTGTGTGCTGGGAGAACCACTGCTCTCTTCAAAGCTGTCAGACAGGGACATTTAAGTCTGCAAAGGTTACTGCTGTCTTTTTGTTTGTCTGTGCCCTGCCCCAAGAGGTCGATCCTACAGAGGCAGGCATGCCTCCTTGAGCTGTGGTGGGCTCCACCCAGTTCGGGCTTTCCGGCTGCTTTGTTTACCTAAGCAAGCCTGGGCAACGGCAGGCGCCCCTACCCCAGCCTCACTGCCGCCTTGCAGTTTGATCTCAGACTGCTGTGCTAGCAATCAGCGAGACTCCGTGGGCGTAGGACCCTCCGAGCCAGGTGCGGGATATAATCTCGTGGTGCGCCGTTTTTTAAGCCCGTTGGAAAAGTGCAGTATTCGGGTGGGAGTGACCCAATTTTCCAGGTGCCATCCATCACCCCTTTCTTTGACTCAGAAAGGGAACTCCCTGACCCCTTGCGCTTCCCAAGTGAGGGAATGCCTCGCCCTGCTTTGGCACGTGCACGGTGCGCGCACCCACTGACCTGCACCCACTGTCTGGCACTCCCTAGTGAGATGAACCTGGTACCTCAGATGGAAATGCAGAAATCACCCGTCTTCTGCGTCGCTCACGCTGGGAGTTGTAGACCGGAGCTGTTCCTATTTGGCCATCTTGGCTCCTCCCTATCTCATCATTTTTCATCTCATCATTTTTCATCTCATTTAATCTCATTTCATTTCATCTCATCATTTCAGCTCATCATTTCATCTCACCACATCTCTTCATTTCATCATTTCATTTCAACATTTCATATTTCATCTCATCTCATCTTTCAATTTCATTTCAATACCATCATTTCATCATTTCATTTCATCTCATTTCATTATTTCATTTCATCTCATTTCAATTCATCTCATCATTTTATCTCATCATTTTTCATCTCATCATTTAATCTCATCATCTCATCTCATCATTTCATCTCATTTCATCATTTCATTTCATCATTTTATCTCATTTCATCTCATCTCATTTCAATTTCATTATTTCATTTCATTTCACTTCATTTCATCTCATCTCATCTCATCATTTCATCTCATCTTATCTCATTTCATCTCATTTCTTCTCATCTCATCTCATCATTTCATCATTTCATCTCATTTCATCTCATCTCACCTCATCTCATCATTTCATCTCATCATTTCACCTCATCCTTTCAGCTCATCATTTCATCTCATTTCATCTCATCTCACCTCAGCATTTCGTCATTTCATCTCATCATTTATTTCATCTCATTTTATCTCATCATTTCATCTCATCTCATCTCAATTCAATTTCCTTTAATTATTTCATTTCATCTCATTCATTTCATCTCATTTCATTACATCTCATCATTTCCTCTCATCATTACATCTCGTCTCATTTCATCTCATCATTTCATCTCATTTCATCACATTATTCATCTCATCTCATCATTTCCATTTCATTTCCATTTCATTATTTCATCATTTAATTTCATCATCTCATTTAATTTCACCTCATTTCATTATTTCATTTCATTTTTTCATTTCATTATGTCATTTCATTTCATCTCATTACATTTCATCTAATTTCATTTCATATCATTTCATCTCATCTTTTCATCTCATTTCATCTCATCATCTCATCAACTCATTTCATCTTATCTCATCATTTCATCAACTCATTTCATCTCATCATTTCATCATTTCATCTCATCATCTCATCAACTCATTTCATCTTATCTCATCATTTCATCATTTCATCTCATCATTTCATCTCATCTCGTATCTTCTCATCTCATTTCAATTTCATTTCATTATTTCATGTCATCTCATCTCATCATTTCATCTCATCACATCTCATCATTTCATCATTTTATTTCATAATTTCATCTTATCATTTCATCTCATTTCATATCTCAATTTTATTTCAATTTCATTTCATTATTTCATCTCATTATTTCATTTCATTTCATCAGTTCATCTCATCATTTCATCTCATCATCTCATCTCATCTCAAATTTATTTCAATTTCATTTCATTATTTCATCTCATTATTTCATTTCATTTCATCAGTTCATCTCATCATCTCATCTCATCTCATCATTTCATCTCATTTCATATCATTTTATCTCACCATTTCATCTCATCTCATCATTTCGTCTCATCTCATTTTATGTCATCATTTCGTGTCATCATTTCATCACATCTCATCTCATCTCATCTTTTCATCTCATCATTTCATCATTTCATCTCATCATTTCAACTCATTGCATCTCATCTCATCATTTCCATTTCATTATTCCATTTCATCATTTCATTTATTTCATTTCATTGTCATTTCATCTCGTCACATTTCATCTCATCTCATCATTTCATCTCATTATTTCATCTGATTTCATGTTATCATATCATGTCATCATTTCATCTCACTTCATCACATCTCATCTCATCATTTAATCTCATCATTTAATCTCATTTCATCTCATCATTTCATCTCATCTCATCATTTCATCATTTCATCTCATCATTTCTGCTCATCTCATCATTTCCATTTCATTTCCATTTATTTCATCATTTTATTTCATCATTTCATTATTTCATTTCATCTCATTTCATTATTGCATTTCATTATGTCATTTCATTTCATCTCATTTCATTACATCTCATTTCATCTCATTTCATCTCATCTCATCTCATCATCTCATTTCATCTCATCATTTCATCTCATTTCATCTCATCTCACTTCATCATTTCATCTCATCTCATTTCAATTTCATCATTACATTTCATAATTTCATTATTTCATTGCATCTCATTTCATTATTTCATCTCATTTCATCTCATTTTTCATCTCATCATTTTTCATCTCATTTCATCTCATTTCATTTTATCATCTCATCATTTCATCTCATCATTCATCTCATTTCATCTCATCATTTTATCTCATTATATCATCTCATCTCATTTCAATTTCATTATTTCATATCATTTCATTTTTTCATTTCATTTCATCTCATCATTTCTTCTCATCATTTCATCTCGTTTCATCTCATCATTTCATCCATCATCTCATCATTTCATCTCATTTCATCTCATCTCATCTCCTTTCAATTTCTTTTCAATTTTGTCATTTTGTCTCATCATTTAATCTCATCATTTCTACTCACCATTTCATCTCAAAATTTCATCTCATCATTTCATCTCATCTCATCATTTAGTCATTTCATCTCATCTCAAGTCATATTATCATTTCATCTAAGTGAAATGACGTAATGGAATCATGAAATGGATAGGATGCCCTCAGTGATGTTAAATTTAAAAATTGTTTTCATGTATTCATTTGTATATTTACATGTATTTATATTTATATTTACTTATATTTCTTTTTACTTATTTTTATTTATGTTTTTACTTATTTCTTTATTTATAGACAAGGTCCTGTTCTGTGGCCTAGGCTGCAATGCAGTGGTGCATTCACAGTTCACTGCAGCCTTGAGCAAACCTCCCACCTTAGCCTCCCGGGTGGCCGGGACCCCAGGTGCGCACCACCACACCTGGTTAATATTTTATTATTTGTAGAGATGGAGTCTTGCTATTCTGCCCAGGCTGGTCTCAAACTCCTGGGCTCAAGCAATCCTCCTGCCTTTGCAACCCAAAATGCTGGGATTACAGATATGAGCCACAGTGCCCAACCTATTTATTTATTTATTTATTTAATAAAGAAAAGGTCTCAATATGTGGCCCAGGCTGGTCAACTCCTGGACTCAAATGATTCTCCCAACTTGGCCTCTCAAAATGTTGGGATTACAGGTATGAGCCACCATGCCTGGCCTAAAAATAATATTATATTTTTGTATTATATAATTTTCAATTAGGTAATATGAATACTCTGTACAGGAAATACGCCCTTAATTACATAGGAATAAACATTTGTTACACTGAGAAAAATCTAATAGAGCTAAAAATATAAATTAATTTGGAAATGTCATTAGATACTCATACATTCTTATGTTTATACATTCTTTCATATATTCATATACTCTTTTAACAGTATCAATGGTTTGGAGTTATGTGTACAAAACCATGACCTATATGTAATACAACTAATAACAAGCACTTACAATTCAAGGCATATTATATACAAAGCTTTAACTTCTCATCATCAGATTTTTTTTTCTTTCTGTTTTGGCAGATACTATGAACACAACATTCAACTCACAGACACCATGGAGCCCTTACTAAGCATAAAGTACTGTGAAAGGCCAGGGCTAGGACAGAACTGAGACAGGGCCAGGGATAGGACAGAGCCAGGGCAAGGTCATGGACAGAGAAAAACCAGGGGCAGGGTCATAGCCAGGGACATGAGAGGACCAAGGCCAGGGCCAGAAGTAGGGCAGAACCAGGGCCAGGGCAGGGACATGGCAGGGCCAGGGCCATGGCAGGATCAGGGTCAGCAGAAGGCCAGGGCAGGGCTAGGGTAGCACAGGGCCAAGGCAGGGCAGGGTCAGTGTAGAGCAAGAATGGGCCAGAGTATGGCAGGGCAGGGACAGGGAGGTCCAGGGCCAGAGTCAGGTCCAGGACATGGACAGGGCAGGGCCAGAAACATGGCAGGACCAGAAAGGGGACAGGGCAAGGGCAAGGCCAGAGAAGGACCATGGAAAAAACATGGCCAGGGAGGGTCCAGGGCAAGGGCAACGCCAGGGCAGAACCAGAGCCAGGGCAGGCCAAAGGCAGGGCCAGGCCAGGGCAAGGTCAGGGTAGGGCAGGGCCAGTGTAGGGTGAGGGTAGGGCCAGGGCGAGTTCAGGGCCAGGGTAGGACTAAGAGAGCACAGGGCCAGTGCAGGGCCAAAGGAGGGGCCAGGGCCAAGCATGGCCAGTGTGGGGCCTGGGGATTGTCAGGGCCAGGGCCAGGGCCAGGGCCAGGGTCAAGACTGGGCCAGGGGCAGGGCCAGGGAGAAGGCAAAACCAGAGAGGATCCAGAGCAAGAGCAGGGCCAGGGCAGAACCAGGACCAGGATAAGGCAAAGCCAAGGCCAGGGCAGGGCAAGGCCAGGGCAGGGCAAGACCAGGGAAGGGCAAGGCCAGGGTAGAAAAGGCTAGTGTAGGGCCAGGCCAGGGTAGGAGAAGGCCACGGTAGGGCCAAGGCAGGGCAGGGCTAGGGTAGCACAGGGCAGGGCCATAGCAGTGGCAGGACTAGCAACAGGGCCAGGGTAAGTGCTGGACCAGAGCATGGTGGGGACAATACAGGGCCAGGACAGACGATGGCAAGGCAGGGCCAGGGCCATTTCATGGACTCGGTAGGCCTGGGGTCAGGCCAGGGCAGGGCAAGAGCAAGGCCAGGGAGAAGGCAGGGCCGGGGCCAAAGCAGTGCCAGGGCAAGGCAGGACCAGTGCAGGGCCAATGCAGGGTGAGGGCAAGGCCAGGGCATGGAAGGGCAGGGCAGGACCAAGGAAGGGCCAGGAGAGGGCCACGGCAGGGTCAAGGCCAGAACAAGGGTACGGCTGGGGTCAGGAATATGGTAGGACAAGGGCTGGGCCCAGGCTGGGACATGCAGGGCAGAGCATGGCCTGTGCAAGGCACGGCCAGAGCCAGGCCATAGAGATGGGAGGGCAACACCAAGGCAGAGTCAGGGTAGATCCAGGGCTGAGCAGAGTCAGGGCAGGTCCAGAGTCGAGGCAGAGCTAGGGCCCAAGCAGGGCCATGGCAGCGCCAGGGCAGAGGAGGGCAGGGCAACGCAGGACTGGGCCATGGTAGTGCCTGGTCAACTCCGGGGCAGGGCCAGAAGCAGGACAGGGACAGGGCCAATGCTCAGGCCAGGGACAGGGCATGACAGGAAGTGCCAGAGCAGGGCTGGGCCAACGTTGGGGCAGGGCAAATCAGACCAGGACACCTCCAAGTCCAGCTCTGGCCCTGCCTTGGCCCTGGCCCCTTCCTGGCCTGACCTTGTCCCTGGCCCTGCCCTATCCATGCCCTGTGTGTTTGACCAGTGTTTTATAACCAGAATCCTACAAGAAACTTAAATCAGCTCTTTTTGTGCATTTTTAGTAGAGATGGGGTTTCACAATGTTGCCCAGGCTGGTTCCAAACTCCTGAGCTCAAGCCATCTGCCTGCCTTGGCCTCCCAAAGTGCTGGGATTACAGGAGTAATCTGGCCAAGTATTTAACTTCTTTATGGCTGTTTCCTACATTTGGAAAATGGGGATGCTTTAAGTACCTAGCATGTAGAATTATTGTGAGAATCAATGCCTCACATATTTACATATTGATAAAATTATACTCATAGAATACTACTGGAAGCAAAGATAGTATTAGTTAAAATTTAGTGATTATTTACTGCAAATATTATTACTATTACAAACAACATAGTATAGACATTATTACTACTACTGTAGTTATCTTAAAAATCTAAAATAAAAATTTTACATAACAGCCTAACGTAATCTCTCCTGCTCTGCCCCGGCTCAGCCCTAGTACCGGCTCTGCCCCTAGTCCTACCACATTCCTGGCCCTGACCCTTCCCTGGTCCTGCCGCTGCCTTGGCCCTTCCCATCTTCAGGCCTTACCATGGCCCTACCCTGGTCCTGACCCTGGCCCTACCCCAGAGAAGGGGTATGGCAGAGCCAGGGAAGCGCTGGGGAAATAAGGGACAGGACACATCCAAATCCAGAAAAGGGCCAGGGCCATGACAGAGCCAGGGCAAGTCCTTGGCAGGGCCAGGTTCCAGGCCAGGGCCAGGAAAGGGTCATGGCAGGGTCACTGTATGGCCAAGGTCCAGGCCAAAGCCAAGGCACAGGCAGGGTCAGGCCTGCATAAGGGCAGGACGAGAGCCAGGCCATAGAGTAGGGCAAATGCCAAGCCAAGGCCAGGGTAGTGCCAGGGCTAAGGCAAGGTCAGGGAAGGTCCAGGGCTGCGTCAAGGCTAGAACCAAGACGGGACAAAGGCCGGGGCAGATCTAGGGCACAAGCAGGGCAGGCTAAGGCAGGGCAATGGCAAGACCAGGCCATGGCAGGGCCAGCCCAGGATAGAACAGGGCACAGGCAGGGCAGGGCCAGGACCATGGCTGGGGCAGGACAAGGACCAGGACCGAGGTCCAGGCCAGGGCAAGGGTATGGCCAGGGCAGAGGTAGGGCCCGAGCCAGGGTCTGGGCAGGACCAAGGCAGGTCTATTGCAGGGCCAGGGTTCAGACCAGGGCCAGAACCAGGAAAGGGCAATGTCAGAACAAGGGCCATGGCAGGACCAGCAATGGGGCTGGGGCCAGGACAGGGACAGGGGCCGGGTCAGGGCCAGGGCCAGAATAGCATGCCAGGATAGAGCCAGGCCAAATTAGGGCCAGGACAGGGTCAGGACCAGGGCTGGGCCAGGGTATGGCCTTAAGTAGTGAACGGCCAGGGCCAGGGTCCATGCCAGTGCCAGCGCTGGTCCAGGGCAGAGGCAGGGCCATGGCCAGGTCAAGGACAAGGCTGGGGCAGGGCCAAGGTCTGGGTCAGGGTCAGCACAAGACCAGGACAGAGCCAGGGGAGGGACAGGGCCATGATAAGACCAGGTTAAATCATGGACAAGACACCTGCAAATCCACTTCAGGGCCAGGGTCAGGGCAGGGCCAGTTCAGGGCCAAGGCCAAGACAGGGCCAGGGCCAGGGCTGTCAGGGTCATTGGCAGGGCAAGGGCCATGGCAGGGCCAGGGTCAGGAGCAGGGGTCAATGCCAGGCTAAGGCCACAGATAGGACCAGGTCTGTGCTAGGGCCAGTGTGAGGGCCAAGGCAGGGTCATGGCAGGGCCAAAGGGAGGGCAGGGCCAGGGCAGGGTGGAGCAGGCCCAGGGTTGCACAGGGTTAAGGTAGGGCATGACCAACCAGGGCAGGTCTATGGCTGGGGCCGGGGCAGGGCCAGGGCCGGGGCAGGGCCAGAGCCAGGGCAGGGCCAAGACAGTGGCAGCTCCAGGGCAGGGCCAGGGTTAGGACCACGGACGTGTCCAAGGCCAGTGCCAGGGCAAGGGCAAGGGCAGGTGCAGGGCCAGGTTCATCTAAGAACCAGGGACAAAGCCAGGCCCAGAGCTGGGCCAGGACAGGTACCTGGCAGGGCTAGGGTCTGGGACAGGGCCATGGCAGGGCCAGGGCCACAACCAGGTCTGTGCTATGGCCAGGTCCAACAGAGTGGCCAGGTAAGGCTAGGGTGAAGGCCAAGGTAGGGCCAGGGCAGGGTCAAAGCCAGGCTAGGGCCAAGGCAGGGCCAGGACAGGCAAGACAGGGCCAGGAAAGCATAGGGCCAAGGCAGGGCAGGGCCAGGGAACAGCCAGGGCAGGGCCAGGGCCAGGGCCATGGCCATGGCCTGGGCAGGACCAGGTTTGGGGCAGGAGCAAAACAAGGACACGGTCAGTGCAGGATCTTGGCACAGCCAGGGTCCAGGACAGTGTCAGGGAAGGGCCAAGGCAGGGTCTGGGCCACGGTAAGACCAGCAACAGGGCTGGGGCTAGGCCAGTGACAGGACCAGAGTCAGGGCAAGGGCCAGAGCAGTGCAAGGCCAGGGTAGGGCCAGGCATTTCAGGGTCAGGGCCAGGGGAGAACCAGGGCAAGGTCTCAAGCAGGGAAGGGCCAGGGCCAGGACAGGTCCAGGGCAGGGCCATGACAGGGCCAGGGGCTGCGTTAGGGCAAGGGCAGGGCCAGGGCAAGGTAAGGGTCAGGGCCAAGGCCAGGGTAGGGACAGGGCAAGAAATATGGCAGGACCAGGGGCAATGCCAAGGCCAAGGCTGGGCCAGGGCTGAGCCAGGGCTGAGTCGGGCAGGGCAGGGCAGGGCATGGTATGGCCAGTGCAGGACAGGACAAGAGCCGGTCCACACAGAGAGCAGAGCTGATGCCAAAGAAGAGCCAGGCTAGTGCCGAGGCTGAGGCAGTGTCAGAGCATGTCCAGGGCAGGGCAGGGCCGGGGCCAGGGCCAGAACCGAGCCAGGGCACAGCCAAGGCAGGGTAGGGCAGGGAAATAGCATGGCCAGGTCAGTACTGGGACAGGGCAGAGCAGGGCAAGGCGATGGTAGCGGCAGGGCAGGGACATGCCAATGCAGAGCTATGTTACGCCGGGGCCAGGACACCTCGAAGTTCACTTCAGGGCCAGGGCTATGGCAGGACAAAGACCAGGGCCAGGGTCAGGGCCAGGTCTGTGCTAGGGCCAGCTCCAGAGCAGGGCCTAGCGAAGACTAGGGTGAGGGCCAAGGTAAGGCCAGGGCAGGGTCAAAGGCAGAGTAGGGCCAGGTCAGGGTGATGACACATCCAGAGCACAGCAGGGCAGGGTGATGGCAAGACCAGGGGCAGACCACTGCCAGCTCAGGACCACGGAAAGGCCAGTGCAGAGCCAGGAAAGGGTCTGGGTCTGGGTCAGGGCCAGGAACAAGGCAGAGCAGGGCCAGGGCCATGGCAGAGTCAGGGCAGGTCCTTGACAGGACCAGGTTCCAGGCCAGGGCCAGGGCAGCAGCAGGGGCAGGGCCTGGATAAGGGCAGGGCCAGGGATATGGCAGGACCAGGGCTAGGGTCAGGGCCAGGCCATAGTGAGGGCAGGGCAAAAGCCAAGGCAGGGTCAGGGCAGGTCCAGGGAGCGGCCAGCACCAAGCGGGGCCAAGGCACAACCAGCGCAGGGTAAGGCAGGGCAATGGCACCACTAGGCCATGACAGGGCAAGGTCAGTGCCAGGAGAGGGTAGAACAGGCAGGCCTATGGTGGGGCCAGGGCAGGGATGGGCCAAAGCAGGGCCAGGACATGTCCAAGGCCAGGTCAGGGCCAGAACAGGAGCAGGACCATGACCATTGGCAGGGCCAGTGCCATGACAGCACCAGGGTCAGGACAAGGGGCAGGGCCAGAGCCAGGGCCGGAGCCAAGGTCAGGCCAGGGCAGGTTCAGGGCAGGGCCAGTGCCAGGGCAAGACCAGGGCAAGGACAGGGTAGCACAGGGCCAAGACAGGGTCAGGATGGGACCAGAGCAGGACAGGGCCGAGACAGTCCAGGTAACAGTAGGGCAGGTACAGGGCAAGGCAGGGCAGTACAGGGTCAGATCCACGGCATGGGCAGGGCAAAGCCATTGCCAATGCGCCAGCCCTCCCTACAAGGCTCCTACCACCTGGCCACTGCTGCAGCCCATCCATTGCTGTAAGCCTGACCCCCAACCCTGGCTGCAGCCACCTGCCCTCCTAGTGCGGCCGCTCTCCTACCACTCTGGTGCACTGCAGTCTCCGTTGATGCCACCCTCCCGCAGCGAGGCGAGCCGTGGTGTCGCAGGCTCTAGGTGTCTCCTCCTCCTCCTGGCATGGAGCAGCTGGGCGGGCAAAGCCAGAAAAGCCTAGAGGAAGATGTGAGGGGTGGAAGGGTTAGAGCCTCACCTTGTCATGCTGGCCACTGGGTGGCAGGGGCCAGTTTCAGCAAAGGCACTCACACCCACCCTCCAAAGTCCAGCCTCTCCCTTTGGCCCAAGCTGGCCAGGAACTGGGGTCTGGGGTGGGTGCTGGAGACACCACAGCACCCAGCTCCCCACTCCACAGGAACCATTGGGCCCACCAGGGCTGCACTCCTCAGGGAGTAGGAGAAGCAGAAAAATTCAGACCCAGACAGCCCTCAGCACCCAGGTGCCAATTCCTGTTCCGGACGCCTCCACACACAGGGCCCTGTCCCCCGTGGTGTCCCCAGGGGTGCCTGGCAGCCTCTGAGGCACAGACCCAGAGTGCACAGGCCCAGGAACCACGGTGGGTGTGGGGGCTCTGCCATGCTCAGGATTCCCACGCAAACGCTGTGCGCCTGCCGCACCCCAGTATGACCAAGAGTGGGTCGCTCTCTGGAGTGTGGAGTCAGGGAGAGGAGAACCACTCCTTCCTTGGATGCCAACTCTGCTGACCGCCGCCAGCAGTGCAGCCCCTGATAGCACTGAACTCACCCCTCTCCATGGCTAGTCCTGCCCTCAATAGCTCCCCCCACCTCCATCCCCCAATGCCACCAGTAGCGTATACCTGATAGTGCCCTAACCTGTCCTTCTCCATGGGCATTGCAGTCCCAGAAAGCGCCCATAACCCACCCTCCCTGCCATGTGCAGTGCAGCCCTGTACAGTGCTACCAACCAGTACCCCTAATGCAGGCAATGACACCCTGGATAGCGCCCCCAACCCACCCCACACTGCGAAAGGTGCAGCCCTGGATAGCCCCTGTCCTACCACTTTGGTCATGCTGCAGTCTCTGTCACCGCCACCACCAACCACAGTGAGGCAAGCCAATGGGCCACAGGCTGTAGCACCCAGCAGCCAGGCATGGAGCAGCTCTCGCTGATGGCCGGCTCCTACCACTCTGACCACGCTGCTGTCTCCGTGGCCATCTTCTTTGACTACAAAGGAATAAAACTAGGTATCAATAAGAAGAGTAATTTTGGAAACAATACAATCACATGGAAGTTAAACACTACCCTCCTGAATAAATGACTAGCGGGTCAATGAAGATACTAAGACAGAAATTCAAAAATTTCATGAAACAAAGGGTAATGAAAACACAGTATACCAAAACTTGTTATGCAGAAAGCAGTACAAAGGCAGAGATTTACAGCTATAAGTGCCTACCATCCAAACAAAAGAAAAACTTTAAATAAACAGTACATCTTAAAGAACTATTAAAGTAAAAACAAACTAAACTGAAAATAAGAAAATAAATAAGATCATAGCAGAAATAAAATTGAAATAAAAAACACACATGATTAAATGAAAAGTTGGTTTTCTGGAAAGCTAAACAAAATTGACAAACTTTTAACCAGGCTAACTAAGAAAAAAGAGAAAAGATTCAAATAAATAAAATCAACAGATTAAAAAAAAGGAGACATTACAACTAATACTTCAGAAATTCAAAGGATCATAACTGGCTATTATATGCCAATAAATTGGAAAGCCTAGTAGAAATTGGCAAATTCCTAGATGCATACATCTAGGAATACACCTACTTAGGTTGTATACACCTACTTACGTTGAATAATGAAAACATCCAAGACCAAAACAGATTGGTAACAAGAAATGAGATTGAAGCCATCAGAAAAAGTCTCCCAGTAAAGAAAAGCCCAGGAACTGATGTCTTCACTGCTGATGGCTTCACAACAAACAATTTAAAGACCTAGTACGAATCCTACTCAAACTATTTTGAAAAACAGGAGGGAATACTTCCAAACTTATTCTATGAGACCATTATTACTGTGATACCAAAATCAGACAAAGGCATCAAAGAAGGAAACTACAGGCCAGTATTTCAAATATTGATGCAAAAATCCTCAACAAAATACCAGTGAATCAAATTCAGTAATACATTAAAAAGATAATTCATCATGATCAAGTGCGATGTATCCCTGGGATGCAAGGGTCACTCAACATACAATGTGATACATCATATCAATCAAATAAATGACAAAAACAGTATGATCATGTCAACTGAAACTGAAAAAGCATTTGGTGAAATTCAACATCCTTCATGCCATTAATCCTCAAAGAAACGGGTACAGAAGAAACATACCACAACATAATAAAAACTACAGGAAAGACACCCACAGCTAGAATCATATGGAGGGAGGTCCAGGCTGCAGTGAGCTGTGATCCCACCACTGCACTCCAGCCTGGGCAACAGAGTGAAACCCTGTCTCAAAAAAAATATGTAAAAAGAGGTATGAGCCTCTTTTATAGGTGCAGTGACTCACATCTGTAATCCCAACACTTTCTGGGAGGCTGAGGTGAGAGGATCTCTTGAGGCCAGGAGTTCAAGATCAGCCTGGGCAACACAGCGAGACCCTTTATCTACAAAAAATTTTTAAACATTTGCCAGGTGTGGTGGCACGTGCCTGTAGTCTTAAACAATTATCATATGACCCAGATAGTCTATTCCTTAGGGATATACCCAAGGGAAATGAAAATATACATCCACACTAAAATTTGTACACAAATGTTCATAGCAGCATTGTTCATAATAGCCAAAAATTGGAAAAAAAACTCAAGTGCCTATCAACAGAGGAACTAATAAAATATGGTATATCCATTCAAAAGATTACTCAGCATTAAAAAAGAATGAAGTGCTGATATACGCTACAGCATGGATAAACCTTGAAAACACTGTGCCAAGTGAAATAAGTCAATCACAAAAGACCATATGTAGTAAGATTTCATTCTGTGAAACCTCCAGAAGAGCTAAACTCAGAGACAGAAAGTAGGCTAGTTATTGCCAGGGACTAGGGGAAAAGGGAATAAGGATGACTGCTAATGGGTATGGGATTTCTTGTGGACTGATGAAAATGGTCTGAAAGTATCTAGATACCTGTCTTGTTTGTGCGATTCTGTGAATATATTATAAACCACAAAATTCTGCACTCAAGGGGTTGATTTCATGGTAGGTGAATTTATCTCATTTATCTTTATCTCAATAAAGCTTTTTAAAGACACTTTAAAAAGACATATCTGTATAAGCTACAAAAATAACATACTGAGAGACTAAAATGCCTAATTTTTCCATTTTTCTTCTTCAGCGCAATCTCAAGTCCAAAAGTCTTTCCTTCCTATATATGCGTATTTTGTCCAGTGAAACAAGACACTCTATTAATTTTTTATTAGAAATAAAAAAAAGCCAGGTGTGGTGGCTCACAGCTGTGCTTCCAGCTACTCAGAAGGCTGAGGCAGAAGGATCACTTGAGGCCAAGACTGGGAGTTCAAGACCAGCTGAGGCAACACAGCTAGATCCTGTCTTTAAAAATATTTTTTAGGCCAGGCACAGTGGTTCACGCCTGTAATCCCAGCACTTTGGGAGGCCAAGGAGGGCAGATCATTTGAGATCAGGAGTTCAAAACCAGCCTGGACAACATGGTGAAACCCCATCTCTACTAAAAATATAAAAATTAGCTGGGTGTGGTGGCAGGCACCTGTAGTCCCAGCTACTCGGGAGGCTAAGGCAGAAGAATTGCTTGAGCTGGGAGGGTGGAGGCTGCAGTGAGGCCAAGATCATGCCATTGCACTCCAGCCTGGGTGACAGAGCAAGACTCCGTCTCAGGGAAAAAAAAATATATATATATATATATTTATACACACACACACATATATTTATATATTTTTTAAGTTAAAACCCTACTGAAATGAAACTAATAAAATAAAATTCAACTTAATTAAAAAACAGTTCCTGAAATATTAATTTTCAAACAATTCTATTTTAGCTTTGACTCTGAACAAAATATAAACCTCAATTTCAAAATGTCACAAAGACTGGCTGGGAGCAGTAGCTCATGCCTGTAATTCCAGCACTTTGGGAGGACGAGGCAGGTGGATCACTAGAGGCCAGGAGTTCCAGAGCAGCCTGGCCAACATAGGGAAACCCAGTCTCTACTAAAAAAATACAACAAAAATTAGCCGGGTCTAGTAACCCCAGCTACTCAGGAAGCTGAGGCATTAGAATCACTGGAATCTGGGAGGTGGAGGGTGCAGTGAGTGCAGATCATGCCACAGCACTCCAACCTGGGTGGCAGCCTGAGATTCTGTCTCAAAAAAATAAAAATAAGGCCAGGTGCCATGGCTCATGCCTGTAATCCCAGCACTTTGGGAGGCCAAGGTGGGCAGATCACTTGAGGTCAAGTAGTTTGGGACCAGCCTGGGCAACATAGTGAAACCTCCTCTCTACTAAAAATACATAAATTCGCTGGGCATGGTGGCACACACTTGTAATGCCAGCTACACCAGAGGCTGAGGCAGGGGAATCGCTTGAATTCGGGAGGTGGAGGTTGTAGTGACCTGAGATTGTGCTACTGCACTCCAGCCTGGACGACAGAGTGAGACTCCATCTCAAAAAAAAAAGAAAAAAAAAAAGAAAATTTACATTTAAAATTTAAAAAAATCACAGACTACAAATACTCAGGTTTAAGCAAATTCCCACCTTTCTTGAATTAACAGTAATTCATATTTGCTTTGTCAAAACTGTAGATATTTACCTGCCCCAACGGAATGAAATCCTAAAAGCCTAGTGTTCTCAAATGATGAAGAGAAAGAAATATGCATATTTTAATTTAGAATTTTGATTTAGAATTAATTTTAACCTAGCTGGAGTATACATAATCATTTATGTATTTATTTACTTATTTAAGAGACTGGGTTTCGCTGTATTATCCAGACTGGAATGCAGTGGCACAACCTTGGCTCACTGCAACTTGTACTTCCTGAGCTCAAGCGATCCTCCCACCTCAGCCTCCAGGGTAGCTGGGACTGCAAGTGCACGCTACCACACCCAGCTAATTTTTGCGGAGACGAGTCTCGCTATGTTTCCCACACCGGTCTCTAACTCCTTGGCTCACTACAGCCTCAAGCCTCTGGGCTCAAGCAATCTGCCTCCCAAAGTGCTGAGATTACAGGAGTGAGCCACCGCACCCGGCCTAGTGGATAGTGTATACTAAGCAACATATACCCTGCTTTTGCCTAGAACATACTGAAAACATGGCATTAAAAACAATCACAAAAGTTGGGAGCTGAGAAAAATCATATACTGTAAAACAAATCTGACAGATATTAATCTCAAGAAGCTCCTGAAAATGTCTCAAGAACTCCTATGTTGCACTCTCCCTAATAATTTAGACTTTCTACAGATATTTTCTGATCATCTACCGTGTGCCAGGCACCATGCCAGGTACCAAGATGCCATGGTGAGGTATACACAAAAACAGCTCCTGCTTGCAGGAAGCCTACTCTCTAAAACAGTGCTTGCCAAGCTCGACTGATCACAACTTGGGAGCTTGTTTAAGTTCCAAATCGGCTTCCCTGCTTTGGTGAGCCACAATCCGTGGCATTTTTATCAGGTGCTCCCAATGATTCCTACACTCTAACGGGTTTAGGAGACAAGGGTGGGGGTAAGCTCGAGAGCCCAGAGCCATCCCGTCCAGCGGGAGCCCCACCTCTAAAGTCCATGTCGCTCAGCATCCTTCCCCCTGACTAGTGGCCCAAACACAGCACGAAGCTGAGGTGGGTGGAACGCTTTCCAAAACAGTGCTCTGTGATGAGCCACCGACAGACTTGCTCGCCACTGGGGACGAAGAGCTCACTCCTCACAAACCCCACCCGGGAGAGGTAGCACCTGATCCTCCCGGGCTGCGCCGACACCTGTCTCCCCGCGGGTGCCGCCTACTGCTCTGGTGGACTCCAGTCCCCAGCTTCCGCCCCACGGGGACTGGGGGGAGGGGGGAGGCACCGCGCGCATTAGGCGCCGACTGTATACCGACCCCCCCACCCCCGGTGTGTGCAGGCCAACACCCATACACACCCACACACACCCACACACACTCTCGCGGAAACTGAGGCAGGCAGGCGGCCGACCAGGTCCTGTCGCCTGACGGCTCGCGGCTGGGATCGAACCCGGACTGCGAGACACCCTCCGCCTCGCAGGCGCTCCTCAGTCGCTGAGGCCCGGCCCGGCTCCCACCGCCGGAGTTTGACAAAGAAAGTCTCCCGGCCCGAGCCCCTCACGCACTCACCGGCGCCAACGCTGGCGGCGACTCGGTCTCCCGCCGCCTTCAGCTCCTTGCGGGGGTCGGCCCTTGGGCCGGCTCGGGCGCCGGCGGCGGCCACTGCTCCATATCCACGGGGTCCGGGCCGCGTCCGCCTCGAGCTAACGGTCCCACCAGCTAGGCGCGTGCGCCGGTTCCGCGCGCCATGTTCCCGCCGTGCTGCGCGCCGCCGCGGCGACCCTCACTGCCCCCCAACCGCGCACGCCCCCGCAGGCCCACACACGAACCGCGCACGCGCGCGTTCGACGCGCCCCGCTCCCCGCGCGCCCGGCCTCGGGCCCTCTGCAGCTGGCCGCTGTTCCCAGTGTCTCACCCACCCCCGCCGGAACCGTCCGACTGGGCGGGTGAGCGCGCGGTTCCCGACTCAGCACCGCCGCCTGCCTCTCTGCAGACCACCCCTGACCCGACCTCTCGGCCATTTCCCCACACTGCCCCTTTCACTTCCCCCACGGCGCGGGGCCTAGGACGAGGGTCTGGGCCAAGAAGAACTTCCCCGCAAGAAGTGCCGAGCTAAGGACGCTACTAAGGGGGTGGGATCGCCACCGTGGAGGTGTGCAAGCACGTGCCTGCGTCCCGGTGACAGCCAGACTCAACGGAGAAGCTGAGTTCAAGTCCCACATCTCCACTAACCCTTGCGTGTTAGGGTCAGGGCTTCGGGACTTGTTTCTCCTAAATCTTTTTTTTTTTTTTTTTGAGACAGTCTCGCTCTGTCACCCAGGCTGGAGTGCTGTGGCGTGATCTCGGCTCACTGCAAGCTCCGCCTCCCGGGTTCACGCCATTCTCCTGCCTCAGTCTCCCGAGCAGCTGAGACTACAGGCGCCCACCACCACGCCTGCTAATTTTTGTATTTTTAGTAGAGATGGGGTTTCACAGTGTTAGCCAGGATGGTCTCCATCTCCTGACCTCATGATCCTCCTGCCTCGGCCTCCCAAAGTGCTGAGATTACAGGCGTGAGTCAGCGCGCTCGGCCTGTTTCTCCTAAATCTAAAGACTCAATATAATAATCAAGAGAACGCCTCAGCACCGCGCCTAGCACTTAGTAGGTAGTGATCGAGAGAGAAGACCTCTTAAGTGGTTTTAATGGTTAAGGACCACAGGTTCTCAAGAAAGGGAAATCTCAATTCGAGTCCCACCTCCATCTCTTGAAAACTGAGAAACCTGGAACAAGTCACTCAGAGGAGCCAAAGATCCTTGATTTCTACATGTGCAAAAGGGGAGTGTGGCAGTAGCACTGCACAGGGCTGACTGAGCTTTCAGGGAGATGATGACTGTACGATCATGCCTCTCTTAATCACGGGATGGTTCTGAGAAATGCCTCCTTAGGTGATTGCATCATTGTGCAAACAGCAAAGTGCATTTACACAAACCTTGTATAGCCTTGTACAGTCTACTACACACCTAGGCTGTATGGTGTAGCCTATTGCTCCTAGGCTACACACCTGTACAGCCTGATACTTTACTGAATATACTATAAGCAGTTGTAACACAATGTAAGTACTTGTGTACCTGAACATAGAGAAGGTACAGTAAGAATAGAGTATAAGAGATTTTAAAATGGTACTCCTGTATAGGGCACTTACCATGAAAGGAGCTTGCAGGACTGGAAGATGCTGTGGTGAGTCAGTGAGTGTGAAGGCATAGGACCTTACTGTACACTACTGTAGACTTTATAAACACCATATGCTTAGGCTACACCAAAATTTTTTAAAGCTTTTCTTCAATAAATTAATCTTAGCTTACTGAAATGTATCTTAAAAAATTTTGCCGGTCGTGGTGTCTCACACCTGTAATCCCAGCACTTTGGGAGGCCGAGGCAGGCAGATCATTTGAGGTCAGGAGTTCGAGACCATCCTGGCCAACGTGGTGAAACCCTCATCTCTAATAAAAATACAAAAGTTAGCCAGGCATGGTGGTGTGCACCTGTAGTCCCAGCTACTCAGGAGACTGAGGCAGGAGAATCGCTTGAACCCAGGAGGCGGAGGTTGCAATGAGCCGAGATTGTGCCACTGCACTCCAGCCTGGGCAATTACACGCATGGAGCTGTCATCTCCTGTGATAACAATGCCTTCTTCTTCCAGAATACTTCCTGAAGGACCTGCCTGAGGCTGTTTTATAGTTAACTATTTTTTAATATAAGTAGAAGACATACATTCTAAAATTATGAAAAACACTAAATACACCAGGGCTGGGCACAGTGTCTCATGCGGGTAATCCCAGCACTTCGGGAGGCTGAGGCAGGCAGATCATTTGAGGTCAGGAGTTTGAGACCAGCCTGGGCAGTGTGGTGAAACCCCATCTCTGCTAAAAATACAAAGATTAGCTGGCCGTGGTGGTGGGTGCCTGTATTCCCTGCTACTCAGGAGGCTGAGGCAGAAGAATCACTTCAACCTGTGAGGCAGAAGTTGCAGTGAGCCAAGATCGCGCCACTGCACTCCAGCCTGTGCGACAGAGCAAGACTCTGTCTCAAAAAAATAAAATAAACCAGTAACATAGTTGTTCATTATCAAGTATTATATATTGTATGTAATTGTACATGCTATGCTTTTATAGAACTGGCAGCACAGATTTGTTTACATTAGCATCACCAGAAACACAGAAATGCATTACCCTAACATTACAATGGCTATGTCACTAAGCAATAGGAATTTTTCAGCTCCATAATCGTCTTATGGTACCATTGACTTACATGTGGTTTGTCATTGACTAAAATGTCATTACATAACACATGACTGCATATCCCAGGGCCCAATGCCTGGCACACACAAAGCTGAGTTTCACTGGTGTAATTCCAACCCTATCCATCCAAGACTCCTAAAAGTTTAATGAAAGGGTCTCTGCTCCCAAAACCCTGTGGTATAAGTAGCTGGGAGGAGTTCGCCCAATGTGGGGCTGCAAGGACTCTGTCTTCCCACATCTTTGCTTTCCTTTCTCTCCACCAAACTTCTCTGAAAACCCTAAAGTTGGCAGAAAAATGGAGAATGTTTTCCCTACTAACAAAAAGAATCTTCAAGAGTCTCTTGGAATTTGTAAATGGTTGCATTTACTAGTCTGGTTTTTTGTTGTTGTTGTTGTTCTTGTTTTTGTTTTTTTTGAGATGGAGTCTTGCTCTGTCACCTAGGCTGGAGTGCAGTGGCACGATTTCGGCTCACTGCAACCTCCGCCTCCCAGATGCAAGCGATTCTCCTGCCTCAGCCTCCTGAGTAGCTGGGATTAAAGGCAGGCACCACCACACCCGGCTAATTTTTTTTGTATTTTTAGTAGAGACGGGATTTCACCATGTTGATCAGGCTGATCTCAAACTCCTGACCTCGTGATCCACCTGCCTTGGCCTCCCAAAGTACTGGGATTACAGGCATGAGCCACCGCACCCAGCCTTCTAGTTTGGTATTTTTCTTATTCAAGTAACAAGGAAAAAAAAATAACTCCACCAAGAGTAAAACAGAAAAAAGGAACAAAACTGATAGCATGACTGAAAAGGCCTGGGGTGGTACCTCACTTCAGGCATAGCTGGATACAGGCACTTATACAAGATAAGTCTCTCTAATCTCTCAGTGCTTGCTTCCCTTTGATTACTTCATTCTCATACAGTTCTTTCCACACAGTGGCCTGAGCAGCTCCTAACTCACATCTGCCCAAGAAAGCAGAGGCTGTTCCCCAATAGTTCCAGCCAAAGTCCCAGGACTGACTTTCACTGGACCCGTTTGGGCCACATGCCCCTGCCTGAGCCAATCACCACATCCAGCCTGGCCAGACCTGGCTTTCATGAAGCCTCTTCAGGAAGCAGTTGGGGTCATCCCCTCCAGAAGGACATGGGGAAAACCAGAAAGTGGGAAGAGGGATGCTTCCTTCTGAAAAACAGGGATGCAATTACCACAAGAGGTATCAGGTACAGGGCTGGCACAAACAAGAGCTATCCACAGCACCATCATGTAGGCATGCAGCAGGTCCACCATGAGGCAACCTGGCTGCTCCGCAAAACGGAGTCACAGTTAGTTCAGCCAATGAGAAATATCCCTCTACCTGGGTTCCCACCATTCACCCCAGGCCTGGCACGTCCCAAATTTGCTTGGTCAAAGGCAAGCAAATTACCCGCCTTTTATGCTGTACAAAAAGCTGAAAAGATTATCTTACTTCTCTGGCTCAAGAAATTTCTATGACTCCCTCTGGCTACTTATGTGGCTCCCCCACCCTTAATGATAGAAGCCAACATTCATGAATCCCTTACCACACGCCAGGTACCTTATGGACCTGCCTCCTCCAAACAGCATAGAAGAGCTTGGTACTCTTACCGCACCCATTTTATAAATATGGAAACAAAGGCTCAGCAATTTGAGGTAATTTACCCAGAGCCAAAGTTAGGAAGTGCAGAGTTCAGATTAGCACAATATTGTTCCCGCCATTGCCATCCCAGCTCCATTTGTTCATGTTTCAAAGTCCTACACCCACCTCTAGCTAGGGGCTGGTGGGAACAGCTCCACGGCAGAAGAAGCCTCTAGGAGCCCCTTCAGCTTCTGCAGTGGTGGGGCTGGGGAGTAGGTGCAAAAGATACTTAGCTTTACCATCCTCTCCCATAACTTTTTTTTTTTGAGATGGATTCTCACTCTGTCACCCAGGCTGGAGTGCAGTGGTGCGATCTCAGCTCACTGCAACCTCTGCCTCCTGGGTTCAAGCAATTCTCATGCCACAGCCTCTGGAGTAGCTGGGATTACAGGTGCCCACCACCACACCTGGCTAATTTTTGTATTTTTAGTAGAGATGGGGTTTCACTATGTTGACCAGGCTAGTCTCAAACTCCGGACCTCAAGTGATCCACCCACCTCAGCCTCCCAAAGTGCTGGGATTGCTAAGCCACCATGCCTGGCCCCATCTCCCATAACTTAATGGGATAGGGAAAAGAATTCCTCCAAGATAAAATTGGAGTGAGGTTAGGAGAGGAAATAGGTGCTTGGTAGCCTTAAATCAGCAGCTGATTTCTCCCATTGGTGAGTCAATTAGTTTTCTATGGCTGCTGTAACAAATTACAACGAACTGATTGGCTTACAACACAGGCTTAATATCTTATTGTTCTATAGGTCAGAAGCCTCAAATCAGTTTCACTTGGCTAAAGTCAAGTTGTAAAGGACTGATTCCTTCAGGAGGTTCTGAAGGGAAAACCCATTTTCTTGCCTTTTTCTGCTTTTAGTGGTTACCTATATTCCCTGGATTGTGGCCCTTTCCTCCATTTTTAAAGCACACCACTCCAATCTCTGCACAGTCTATGGTTTGAATGTGTCCCCCAAAGTTCATGTGCTGGAAATTTAATCTCTAATGCAACAGTGTTGAGAGGTGGGACCTTTAAGAGGAGATTAGGTCATGAAAGATCTGCCCTCATTAATAGAGTAATGATGTTATCTCAGCAGAGTGTTAATTATCATGGGGATGGGTTCCTAATAAAAGGATTGAGTTCAGCCCCCTTTCTCTCTTGATGTGACACCTTCCATCATGGGATGACACAGCAAGAAGACCCTCACCAGAAGCAGGCCCCTTGATCTTGACATTCCCAGCCTCCAGAACTGTAAGAAATAAACCTGTTATTTATAAATTACCCAGTCTCAGATATTGCATAGCAATACAAAAAAGACTAAGACACTCAGTCATCATCTCATTGCCATCTCCCCTGACTGCTGAGTCCCTCTTAAAAGAGCACTGTAGGCTGGATGTGGTGGCTCACACCTGTAATCCCAGCACTTTGGGAGGCCAAGGTGGGCAGAACACGAGGTCAGCAGTTCGAGACTAGCCTGGCCAACATGGTGAAACCCCATCTCTACTGGAAAAACAAAAATTAGCTGGGCATGTTGGCGAGCGCCTGTAATCCAGCTACTTGGGAGGCTGAGGTAAGAGAATCGCTTGAACCTTGGGAGATGGAGTTGCAGTGAGCCGAAATTGTGCCATTGCACTCCAGCCTGGGCACCAAGAGCAAAAAACTCTGTCTCAAAAAAAAAAAAAAAAAAAGCACTGTGATGGGACTCTGGGCCCATAGGCAACATAGGATAAGCTCCCATCTCAAGATGCTTAATCACATCTGCAAAGTCCCTTTTGTCATGGAAAGGAACATAGTCACAGATTCTGGGGATTAAGTTGAGGACACTTTGGAGGGGCCATTATTCAGCCTACCATGGAAGATATCATGAGAGGGAGTTAATACAAAATGCTCTAGAAACAGAGAAGGGCGGCCGGGCATGGTAGCTCATGCCTCTAATCCCAGTACTTTGGGAGGGAGGCGGGTGGATTGCCTGAGGTCAGGGGTTCAAGACCAGCCTGACCAACATGGTGAAACCCCATCTCTACTAAAAATACAAAAATTAGCTGGGCATGGTGGCAGGTGCCTGTAATCCCAGCTACTCGGGAGGCTGAGTCAGGAGAATCGCTTGAACCCAGGAGGCGGAGGTTGCAGTGAGCCGAGATCGCACCATTGCACTCCAGCCTGGGCAACAAGCATACGACTTCATCTCGATTAAAAAAAAAGAAAAAAGAAACAGAGAAAAGGTGGCTAACTCTCCACAGCGGGAAAAATGTCCCAGGAAACCACAGCCTCCACATTAAATATTCAAATGAGCTAAAACCCATCTAGGGCAATCTCAGCCTTATTCCTTTAAACATGCAAACCAACTAAATTCCCAACAAACCCCCTACACCAGGCCAGCCAAGTCTCAGAATGCTTATATACCCTTTAATAGAAATTTCCAACCACATCCCCATTTCCTAAGGAAATGGCTGTGTGCCCTTGATTCTGCCCTGACTGAATCGCCAGTGGCCATTGAACCACGGCACTCAATTCATGGCATGGCCAGCGAGCTACAAAGTGTCCTAGCATCAACCAAGCAAAGTTATAAAAGCAGATTCAGTGGACAATAAGGAACATTAGAGTCAAAAAGACCTGGGTTGGGTCCCAGCTCTGCCATTTACCAGCTGTGCGACATCAGAAAAGTTACCTTCGTCCTCTAACTTTGGTTTCCTCACCTGTGACATGACAGTGGCTAGAGGACCTCACTCATAAAATCACTGTGAGGACAAGAGCAGCCAAGGGTAAGTCTTTGCACAGGGCTTCCCTGGTCATTATTGGGTCAACAAGACAGAACCATGCCTTATCTCCACTTCCAAAACCCAAACAGCTCTCAAAAACGAGTCATTGTAGCTCATTTGGAAGAAAAGACTGATATGAATCAATATGCAACTACCTATAATCTTTCTCTATCCCTCTTGCTGTGAATATTTGCTGTGGAAATATTAACATGTTTGGTCTCCACTGGGGTAGGACTCCACATGTGTAGGACTCCGCTGAGGTGCTACACATACACATAGTAGATATGCCTTACCACCTTCCTAAATTTGGGTAATTAAATTTCACAACTTATCTAGCCCAAAGGTTTCAGAGACTGTAGACCTGTATCTTTATGAGGGCAAGGATGAGAATATAACCTGGCCTGTTATTATGCACCAAGGTACCTGCTGTTCTCATGAAGATGTCAGCAGCCAGCCAGCCAGTCTCTACAAACTCCACCCCCAACCTTGCTATGCTCCTTTCCCCGGAACTTTCCAAGGGGCCCTTAGAATTTGTATTCAGCTCTCACAGGCTGAGACCAGGGTGACATCCTGGGAAACCTGCCTAGTGATAGCCAAGGTGTAGCTCCAGATGAAAGGCACACAACAACTTTAAATATAAAAAAGCCATTCAGGCTAGGCGCAGTGGCTCACGTGTGTAATCCCAGCACTTTGAGAGACCGAGGCAGGTGGATCACCTGAGATCAGAAGTTCAAGACCAGGCTGGCCAACATGGCAAAACCCTGTCTCTACAAAAAAATATAAAAATTAGCTGGGCATGGTGGTGCATACCTGTAATCCCAGCTACTCGGGAGGCTGAGGCACGAGAATCGCTTGAACCTGGGAAGCAGAGGTTGCAGTGAGCCAAGCTTGCACCACTACACTTCAGGGTGGGCAACAGAGTGAGACTCCGTCTCAAATAAATAAATAACAAAGCCATTCAACTAAAGAACCGATTATCAAGCAGAAGCACAAAGCCCAGGTTCCATCAGGTTTTTAATTGTACATCAGTGACTGTGAAAAAGCAATTATTTCCATAATTAAAATACACACTATAAAAAACAGACTCAAAGAAAAGAAAGATGACAGAGTGAAAGAAGGTACATTTCTTTCATGTTCAAACCACGGAGTTCACAACACAGCAGCACACACAGCCGGGCACTTTGTGGTCTCGGCACCCTCGGCTTCCCCTTCATGAGGCCACTTTCGACTAGTAGAAGGCTGAAAATAAAGGAAAATGGAGAAATGTTCAAAAGAAAATCACTGGCTTCTTTAAGATTATCAAAGTTCCTCAATATACTTCCAGTAAAGTGGGGGCATTTGATGTGAAATTCTAGTACCAAAAATTACTGGTCGTCATCATTGACAACTGAGTCCTCACCACAGCCCGCAACTCAGACATGCTTATCTAATAGGTATTTCTCTCCCTATGGCTTCTGACCTCTGAACGATGTATACTGAAAGCAAGTAGCATAACCAACTTCCTCTTGATCGTCCTCTTCTAAATATCAAGTTTAAAAGGACTATAATACCTCTCAGTTGAAGCCCCAAGTCTTGGTCTTTTGCGGGAAGACAACCTTTGTGCCTTAGTTGTTTTCCCATATATAAAATTGGGAGGAAGGCTGGGTGCGGTGACTCACGCCTGTAATCCCAGCACTTTGGGAAGCCGAGGTGGGCAGGTCGCTTCAGGTCAAAAGTTCGAGACAAGCCTGACCAACATGGCAAAACCCCATCTCACCTAAAAATACAAAAATTAGCTGGGCGCAGTGGTGGACACCTGTAGTCCCAGACACTCGGGAGACTGAGGCAGGAGAACTGCTTGAACCCAGGAGGCAGAGGTTGCAGTGAGCTGAGATTGCACCACTGCACTCTGGCCCGAGTGACAGACTAAGACTCTGTCTCAAGAAAATAAAAATCGGGGCAGCGGGGAGGAAACAGTGGGAAAAAGGACAGCTACCATTCAACAACAACAACAACAACAAAGTAGGACTGGAATTAACTTATACTCACAAAGAACTTTAAAGAATAAACTTGTAATCAAGGAATCAACTACTGACCCAAATTTTAATTTTTCCAACAAATTTATATTTGAGCCCCTAATAGAGTCTTTCGAAA
Source organism: Homo sapiens (assembly GCF_000001405.40). NCBI lineage: Eukaryota > Metazoa > Chordata > Mammalia > Primates > Hominidae > Homo > Homo sapiens. The sequence continues at coordinate 1,676,501 of NW_021160017.1, forward strand.
TTGCCTTGCAGGTGACCTTTTGGATGACAATCCCTAGCTGTGCTTATCTGTCTATTATGTGTTAGATATTAAACATATCCTGCGTTTTTAAATCTAAGGGTGCTGGAGTGAATCAAGTTCAAACAGAGTTTCTACTACATTATAACTGAAACAATGTTAAGCAATTGCTACTCAGGAAAATCTTGAATTTCATCATCTTTGCTTATCATCTCCTTAAGCCCAGACTACATTTAGTGATCATCAGGAATACGAATACCTGGGCTAGAACCTGGAGTAGAGCTGTGGATTCATTTTCCTCACACAGAAGATCTTGAAACTTTCTCTTCATGTCTTCATCCTGTGAGGGAATTAAAAACATAAGTAGCTGTGTCTGAAGGATAATAAACTCCTAGAATGACAGGGCTAGCATGCCTCTGTGGAAAGAGGGAGGAAAAGATGTCCGTCCAAGAATCATCCCCTTGATGAAGCTCCCACAGTGAAGGCATTATGTGTTGCCCCCCTCTACCTTCCCACAGGAGTCCAATCAGCAGTCAATGCTCCATCGATCCTGGCTGAGTCACATCCACATGCCTAAAAGCTCTCAGTGGGTCAATCACAGCCTCCAGCAGTCAAGAGTTTCTGAATTAGCATCCCAGATCCTGAGAAAGGTGACAATCAGGGGGCCAGGGGCTGGGTCTCACTCCGTGCAGCTCCTCAAATCCTTCCAGGACCGCTCTCCACCTGCTGCCCCTGCCATGAATGAGGCCAGTCACCCAGGCTGTCTTAACAACCAGCCCAGCACCCTAGGAAAATTCACCCAGCAGATGCCATAGAAATTTTCAGAAGTACTTAAGCCCACAGTATCCCAGAGTTCAGGTCTAATGAGAAAGGGAGACAATAAACAGAACAAAGCATTACAGGTGTTTCATGCTGCAGGAGCGGGAGATGAGCAGGGCACAGACAGTGTGTATACGGGTAGCTCCCACCTCTCTGGATGCTCACTTCTGCAGGGTTCAAGGATTTGCATTAGGAAACCCTGAGAGGTGGTCCGGTGCAGCTCTCCCCATCTTCAGCAAGGTGAAAGGAACATCTATATCTAGTAATGTGGCCTTTGAGTGCTGGCCAGAAGCCCAGCTCAGCCACTCACAGGTGGCATGTGCGGAATACAGACCCAGAGTTATCTGATTCCAGTGCCTCATGTACTTTCCCACCCAACTCCAGCCCCTCCTCCCACTGAGCCAAGCATACCACAGTGGGGAAAGGGAGAGGATACAGCAAAGTCCTCCACCATTTGGCAACTTGATGGATATGGAAATTTTACAACACTAGGTTGGGCATGGTGGCTCATGCCTATAATCCCAGCACTTTGGGAGGCCAAGGTGGGATAATTGCTTGAGGCCAGGAATTTGAGACCAGCCTGGGCCACATACTGGGACTTTGTCACTACAAAAAAATTTAAAAATTAGGCCAGGCATGGAGGCTCACGCCTGTAATCCCAGCACTTTGGGAGGCCAAGGTGGGTGAATCACCTGAGGTCGGAAGTTTAAGATCAGCCTGGCTAACATGGTTAAACCCCATCTCTACTAAAAATACAAAATTAGCCAGGCGTGGTAGTGCATGCCTGTAATCCCAGCTACTCAGGAGGCTGAGGCAGGAGAATCACTTGAACTCGAGAGGCGGAGGTTGCAGTAAGACAGGATCACACCACTGCACTCCAGCCTGGGCAAAAGAGTACGACTCTGTCTCCAAAAAAAAAAAAAAAAATTAAATTAGCCAGACATGGTGGCATGCACCTGTAGTCTCAGCTACTTGGGAGGCTGGGGCAGGAGGATCACTTGAGCCTGAAAGTCATGGTGCAGTGATCATGCCACTGCACTCCAGCCTAGGTGAGACAGCAAGACCCTGAGGAAGGAAGGAAGGAAAGAAGCAAGGAAGGAAAAAGGGAGGGGGGATGAAAGAGGGGAGGAAAAAGGAATGGAGGAGAGGGGAGGGGGAAGGAAGGAGGAAGAAAGAGAAAGAAAGAAGGACCAGGCACAGTGGCTCACACCTGTAATCCCAGCACTTTGGGAGGCCAAGGCAGGGCAGAACACTTGAGTTCACCATGTTTTGAGTTTCTCAGTGTAGCTCCCCATTGCCATTTGACAGCAGCAAGCTCATCTGGATTCCTCTCCCCACCCTCTCACGGCTTTACTTAGGATCTCAATTATCTTGCAGTGTCACTCTCAAAAGTCCATCTCTTGGCAGCCCTTCAGTGAAGCCAAACAGAGTGGTCACAAGCCTAATCAGGCCTATATTTAAAACAAGTCATCAGGTCAGGCACAGTGCTCATGCCTGGAATCCCAGCACTGTGGGAGGCCAAGGTGGGTGGATCACCTGAGGTCAGGAGTTCGAGACTAGTCTGACCAACATGGTGAAACCCCATCTCTACTAAAAATACAAAAATGAGCTGGGCATGGTGGCAGGCACCTGTAATCCCAGCTACTTGGGAGGCTGATGCAGGAGAATCACTTGAACCCAGAGATGGAGGTCGCAGTGAGCTGAGATCACACCATTGCACTCCAGCCTGGTAGACAAAAGCAAGACTCCATCTCAAAAAAGGAAATAAATAAATAAACATTGATTTTCTTCATGATGTCTACAATTATTCCAAAATATTAAATTAGCTAGGAACAGTGGCTCATGCCTATTATCCAAGCACTTTATGAGGCTGAGGCGGGAGGATCCCTTAAGGCCAGGAGGTCGAGGCTGCAGTGAGCTATAATTGCACCAGTGCACTCCAGTTTAGGGAACAGAAGAAGACCTTGTCTCCAACAATAAATAAAATAAAAATTAAATTATAATATCCCTTGAAAGCAAACAGAAGAAATCCTCTATTTCAGGCAGTAAATATGAAGCAGAGAGTAGATGTAAGGGATGCTCCCAAAACTGGCCATTCTGTTAATGACAAAACAGAGACCAGAATCCACATTCCCAACACTCAGTCCAGCGCCAGACCCACAAAACCATTTGGTTTTTGCAAAAACACTGAATTTTCCCAAAATAAAACCCAAACTATCACTAACAGATGTTTTAGATGGTCAGTCTTCATCCTTGTCTTCATTCAATGCTCATTCCTCCTTTTACTGCAAAAACAAAAGGTGGCTAAAAGAGTGTTCCAGGGAGATCCTGCAACGGAGTTGAACTTCACCTTCTCCTTGGTTGTTAATAAGTTTTCTTTGAGACAAAGAAGTACAAGAAAAATAGGCTACGCTTGCTCATAAATTTCAGGCAGATGCAAACCCTGTTCCCAGGCTCAACAGGCCAGCTCTATTTTTTTGCTAGAGATGAACACAGCTCCTGTACCTCTACATTTAGACCCAAGAGTTTCCCTATTAGGACACATGAAAAGAGCCAAAAGACATGTTTCTCTTTCTCATCAAAATTAAAATCCCCACATGCAAAGGCACCCTTTGTTTCCAAACCCCTTTCCTCCAGGGTCCCGCTGTTTCAAATCTCTGTGGTCTATTAAATGCTAAATCATCTGACAGATTTCTTCTGGGGAGACTATAGTTTCCAGGGCAACATCCAAAACACATATATATATATATCTGTCTTTTTTTTTAAGTTTTTGTTGTTCTCAACCTGAGCTGGCCTGAGCAAAACTGTTAGGTGTAGAGGATTAGAACAGAGAACGGGGACAGTCTTCCCAGAGTTCCAGAAGTACGGGGCTGAGGCTGGATTGCCCAAGGAGTTCCTGGACCAGTAATCCCCAGAGAAACAGCATTTAGCTCAAGTAACAGCCTCTAGCTCAAGCTACCAGTTCTGTCCCCCATCTCCACAGAAAGCGGATTGATACAGTTTGGCTTTGTGTCCCTACCCAAATCTCATCTCAAATTGTAATCTCCAGGTGTTGAGAAAGGGACCTGTTGAGAGGGGATTGGCTCATGGGGGCAGTTTCCCCCAGGCTATTCTCATGATAGTGAGTTCTCATGAGATCTGACAGTTTCATAAGAGGCTCTTCGCCCTTCACTTCCTTCACAAGCTCTCTCACCTGCTGCCACTAAGACATGCCTTCTACCCCTTCCACCATGATTGTAAGTTTCCTGAGGCCTCCCCAGCCATGTGGAGCTGTGAGTCAAGTAAACCTCTTTTCTTTATAAATTACCAAGTCTTGGGCAGTTCTTTATAGCAGTGTGAGAACAGACTAATACACAGACCAAAAGAAAATTAATAGAAAGGGGCATGGCTGTACTGAATGGAACTGCTCGTTACAGAAGACCAGACATCTATCAGAAAAACCTGCCCAATGCCGTAGCTAATTCCAAAACTAAAGATTAACCCAGCAAAGCCACAACGTACTTCCAACTCTTGGCAGTTCCAAATGAGGTCAGCATTTAATAATGGCAGCCCCAACCCCTAGCAGGAGTACAGCAGTAACACAGATGAAAGGTGCAGGTGACAGCCTTCACTAAGGACACATTTACTCACCTGAATGAACAAGCAGTGGGACCCTTTATACCGAGTCACTTGGGCTTGAGAAATAGCTGGATTCTCCCCAGGGAGGCTGCCCTCCTCCCCCTCCCCCACTTCCCTGATTTAAGGTTGAAGATGGCTAGAATGCACCCCACCTATGAAGAGCAGTGGACATGGCTGGGAGTAGAGCCAGAACAAGCCCTCAAAAGAACACAGGCCAAACTGGAGACTCGGGGCAGCCAAGTGGAACCAGAACAGGACATAAAGTGAGCTTGTACATCCAACAGCCATGAGTAATATCAAAAAGGTTGTAGCCTGGCCAACACAGCGAAACCCCATCTCTACAAAAAATACAAAAAGTAGCTGGGCGTGGTAGCATGCACCTTTAATCCCAGCTACTTGGGAGGCTGAGGCAGGAGAATCACTTGAACCCAGGGTGCAGAGGTTGCAGTGAGCTGAGATTGTGCCACTGCACTCCAGCCAGGGTGACAGAATGATAACCTGTCTCAAAAAAAAAAAAAAAAAAAACAGGTTGTAACCTGTCCAAGATACCCCCCATACATCTAAAACAATTAAACACATTCAACAAAGTAAACATGTTTCTGTCCTCTGTCTCATGTCTCTCAGGCAGCAGGGCTTCCCATGTATTTTATGCTAGCAGGCACTGTCCCACACCCACCTGAAGCCACAGTGTCTTAAGGCTTCTTCTGTTGTAAAACATGCCTTTGGATCCACTACCAACAACTTCTTGACAAGGTCCAGAGCTAAAGCAACAATTGGGCAAATCACAGTGAAAAGGATAAATATATTATCAGTAACAGTATGCCAGAATTAACAGGCCACCATCCAGAAAGAGCAGAGAGGGTCTGAGATCGTCAGGGAGTCAGCAGACAGGGCCCCCTAATCTTCCTCACTCTCTGTATTCAGAGTACTGTGAGAAGACCAGGAATGATAATGACACTCCCTGTCTCCTGTTGCTGGGACATCAGTCACGACCTCTTCGCTGCCTGTTCCCTCTCTTGTTGTTAGACTCAAGGTCAAACTAATTAAAGCTAAACTTCTACCCAATTCTAAGATAATTGGGATGCACAGCAAACTCTCCCTGACATCTACAGATGGATGGGTGACAGTTACTCAGCCAGGGAGAGGCTCCCTGGAACTGCAGACTTGTCAGAAATAAAACTTGACTACTCCAGCAAGCAACAAATGCATGCTGGCCTGTATATCACAACATTATTATTCCTGAAATATTCTGACATTTAACACAATTACCTATGTTACGTTATTTGACATTTAATTTTCTATTTTCTCTTCAGGGAACTAAAGTTGCCAGGACAAATTATAAAATACAAGGTAACTAAAGACATATAGTTTTTACACGCTTGCTTACTCAAAGGAAACCTTGTAACTAAAAAGTTACAAATGCATTTATTTTGCTCAGTAAAATAGGTACAAGGCACTTGTTTACATTATACCTAACCCTCAAAAAACCTTTTAAGGTAGGGATTATTGAGGGTCCCTTTACACAGAAAGAAATTGGAGACGGAGGTTAAATAACTTGCCTAAGGCCACACAGCTAAGTAGTAGCAGACCCAGGACCTGAGTGCATGCTCTTAATAATTTCCAGTGCCTCTCAAATGGTGTGAAACTAACGATAGAAAATAAGAACAGAATTGACAGGAGAAAACACCATGGAATTTGGAAAGAAACTCCCACCACAGGACACACACATTTTAGCATACCACAAATTCTTAACCCTTTCATATTCATACCTTTCTCTGAGACTTCTGCCCAGACTTTAGGAATGAAGTTGTGTTTTCCACTGGTGATCTGGTCCTTCAGTGACACTTGAGTCCTGTGCTCAGAGAAAGGTGGATACCCACTAAGGCTTAATATTGGTAGAGAGAGAAAGGAAAAGAAATCAAGTGGCATTCTCAGTGGCATTCAGATATAAAGACTTCTTTTTCAGCATAATGAAAAGTCAGATTTTTCTTTAAATCAATGGTCAAAAAGTGAGCTAGGCTGGGCACAATGGCTCATGCTTGTAATCCCAGCACTTTGGGAGGCCGAGGCAGGAGGATCACTTGAGCCCAGGAGTTCAAGACCAGCGTGGGCAACATGGCAAAACCCCATCACTACAAAAAATAGAAAAATTAGCTGGGCATGGTGGTGTGCGCATGTAGTCCCAGCTACTCAGGAGGCTGAGATGGGAGGATCACTTGACCCAGAAGGCAGAGGCTACAGTTAGCCAAGATCAAGCCACTGCATGCCAGCCTGGACAACAGAGCAAGACACATTTGTGACTTCATCTAATCACCTCCTACCAGTCTGTGAAGCAATGAAAATATTTCTTACCAGATAAAAAGAATAACTCCTAAACTCCAGCAGTCCACAGCACGGTTATACCCAGCAGTCCCAACAGAAACAAGAACTTCAGGAGCCAAGCAGGTGGGGGTTCCACATAAAGTTCTCATGAGAGAGGTCTCTCCCAAAATCTTGGAGTGCCCAAAATCAGTAATCTAAAATTCAGTACAAAAGGGAATAATGTTGAACTTGTCATAAAATAAAAAGATTAACATAGTCTGCCAGTCCAAGAAGACATGTAGGCTAGATCAGTTTCTATTGTACAATTCACACCTGCCATTAATCTGGAATCTACAGATTCATGTCTTTGCAAGTTAAGACATTTAACTTTGGTTAAATTAAAATTCCTGAGCCTAGGAATCTCAACACTCAGGCTTTCCAACTTAATCTATGTCCTCTGTAATCTTACAAAAAGCTTATTACCTTTATCACAGACACTTCAGGATTCTCATTAGTTCTACATGGTTCTTAGACCCCACTGTCTCAAACTTGGCTGTGCTATGGAATACCTGGGGAGCTTGGAAACACGTGCTTATACCTGAGTGCCACTCTCAGGTTCTGAGGTAAAGCCTAGGTGTCATAAATTCTAACAAGAGATTCTAAAGTGATGCCAGGCTTGATAAACAGGGAAAGGGAGGGCATGTGATTACACTCATTCATTCATTCATTCATTCACCTATTCTGCCCAAAGCGATGCAGTGTTCCCAAGGTCTGTGCTGAGGAGAACGCTGCTCTGCCTTCGCTGTGTCCCCCGGGTCTGTGCTGAGCAGAACGCAGCTCCGCCCTTGCGGTGCCCCCGGCCCACCCGTCCGCCCGGGTCTGTGCTGAGGAGAACACTGCTCCGCCTTCGCTGTATCTCTGAAGTCTGTGCAGAGGAGAACTCAGCTCGCCCTCACGATGCAATCCGGGTCTGTGTTGAGGAGAACGCAGCTCCGCCCTCGCAAAGGCGCACAGCGCCGGCGCAGGCGCAGAGAGGCGCACATTTTATGAATAGAAAATCAGTTTCTCCCTGTTCCTCCTACGTCGAGGCCGGACACACGTTTACAGGGGATCAGTGTGAAGGGAAGCTGGTGAGGCTGCCTGGGAAGCCCCCTGCCTGCATCTCCCAGTGGACTCCTTGGGAGCGCCCCCTCCCCACCTCTGCCCATCAGCGCCTGAACCGTGGCCACTTGCACTCCTGTTGCCTCCCCAGTGGCTTGAACTCCAGAACTTGCCACCCTTCAGTGGAATTCCTGGAGGAGTGAGGAGCTCTGTGCTATGCTTGGCCACCGAACATGGGCCATCTCTCCTATTATGGTTTGAAATGTACCATAGTGTCTTGTTTGGTAATTGTATAAAAATATGGGGAGACTGTGCGGGTGTCTGCTAGCTTGTCTGCTGGTTCTTACTCATGGTGCCTTCTTCCCTTTCAGACTTGGATATCTTTGTGTGCTTCTTGGGGCCCTTGGAAGGGTGTCTGTGGGGTTTCCGTGAGGCCAAAGACAGAGGTTCCTTCTCACAAGGATGGTGTTTGCTTTCACATGGACAGCCCAGACCACCTGGAACCAAGTGCACAGAAGCCCCACCATCCCTGGGCCTTCCAGGTGTGATGGGTGAGGGGTCCAAGTCCGCCGGAGATCCAAGGCTCTTTGTGGTTGAATCTGTGAGTTTCCTTTCCTTTTTTCCTCCCACTCCTTTTAATGCTAATGAATTCCTTGTTTTGGGGCAGGGACCAGGGTTATCTTTGCTTCTGTCTTCACCCAGGTGAGGCCTTTCAGGCTCCCAGCTTGATATGGGGGTGAATCCCCTATCAGCCTCCTCATACCTTGACCTCTGTCTACCCCCCTACTCCCTCCAAGGTCGAAGCCCAACTTGTCAGGTTGGCAAATGCTCACAAGCAACAGTGGCCCCAGCGCTCCTCTCTAGGTTCTTGGTTTTCCCCTGAAACTTGGCCTGGAGGTTTCCCACTAGCTTAGCAGCCCTTTGATGCTTTTAACGTAATTTTGTTATTGTCTTATCCAAAATTCTTGCTTGTTTTCAGAGGGAAAGCGGGTCTGCCATTACTGCACAGAGAATCTGGGACAGTTATTATAACCATAGAAATTTATTTTCCATGTGCTGTCCCATCTTCTTGATGAGACAGATGTTTAACAACTGGAGAACTGGACCCCATCTTTGTCCCCATCTTGCCTAGCAACAGAAGGTGGTCACTAACCAGGGATTTTCGAGCCCATTGCTTAAGGCCGTTGTTGACCCAAAGGATAGTGGGTCCCTGCTCCTCTTCCTACGGAGAGGCCCAGGTGCCCAGAGGGCCCTCCTGGCTCGGCTGCCTACTTGAGTGGCTGATGAAGTGTCTGCTGTGCACACAGGGCACCCAGCCCCGCTCCTCCCCAGGCAGCCCCTCGAACAGCTGTTCCTCTACTGCTTCAGCTGTGGACCTGAGGCTGAGAGTCTGAGCCATCGACCTGAGCCACATGCGGGGAAGTGGCAGGCCTGGACCCGGTGCCCAGACCTGGCTCACGTGACCTTACTTTTTCCACTGTGCCTGCTGCTCCCTCCCGGGCTCTGTGACCTTGGGCAGCCATGGCCGTTGTGCACCCATTCCCAGCTGTAAAATGAGAGGCTGGGCTGGCTGATCTCAAATGTCCCCTGCCAGCCTGAGATTCTGCGTTGTGTCCTGGGGTGTGACCGTGACATGCCTCCAAAGGCAGCTGCCAGTGCTCACGAGGGAGGCCTTTTTCCTGAGTTAAGGCAGGTAGGGGGACTGGGGGTGAGTTGAGGGACTGGGAGGTGGGGGAAGCACACAGACAGTCCTCCCCAGCTGAACCCTCATGGTGAATTACCTTCAGTCCCAGGCTCAGTGCTTTGGAAATGCTCTCAGGCCCAGCACCCAGACCTGGAACCAGCCTCCAGGCCCCTGGCCCTCCCTTTCTCTACTGGAATCTTCCAGACCGAGGCAGGTCAGCTGAAAGTCACTGACTCTGCCTTCCACAAACTCATAGCTGACAGACCATTCCATGTCCCCTCCCAGCCCCGTCCCAGGAGGGGAACTCACTTCGCCTTCCCACCCTCCAGGCCGACTCACTGTCCGTCACTCTCTGGGTCCCACCCACTGTCCCACCGACTTCATTGGTCTAAAAATATGCTCTGGCGTCTTGTTGGAAAGCAGAAGGAATCATGGGCCCTGCTGATAAGGTGAAGAAAGTGACCCGAGGGGGCAAACTTACAGACGGGACATGCTTTAGCAAAATAACAAAACAGCGGGACCTGAAGGCTGGCTTCCCAAGCCTCCTCAAGGCCTTGTGCCAGGAAGAGGACCCTCGGGCTTAGGGAAGTGAAAACCAGGCTCGGGTCCCTCACCCAGACCCTTCTGCCCACTTTGGGAGGGAGCCCAAGAAGTCAGCTAGGGAGGGACCTCCCGGTGGGACCTGAGTCCTGATTGGAACTTTCTGGGGGCTTTCTTGGCATTTTACGTGTGTTGTCACAACTCCTTGATGGGGGAGTTAAGCATGGTCTGTGGGATTCCACTGGGAGAGGACCCCTAGAAGCCTGGGCCGGGCCTCCTCCCAATTTCACCCCATATGCCTTTCCCTTTGCTCATTATGCTTTGTGTCTTTTGCTGTAGTAAACCACAGCCATGACTTTTGCAAGTCCTCCTAGATTAACACTGAACTTGGGGGTGGTTTTAGGGACCCTGACATACCTATGGATGTCTGCCTGCTTTAGCGCTATTTGTTGAAACAATAATCTTTTCCACATTGAATTGATTTGGCACTTTTGTTCAAATCAGTTGTAAAGATTTGCTACATAAATGTAAACATTTATTCCTGGACTCTTTTTTTTTTTTTTTTTTTTCCTGAGACGGAGTCTCGCTCTGTCACCCAGGCTGGAGTGCAGTGGTGCGATCTCAGCTCACTGCAAGCTCCGCCTCCTAGGTTCACGCCATTCTTGTGCCTCAGCCTCTTGAGTAGCTGAGACTACAGGTGCTCACCACCATGCCCGCCACCACGCTCTACTAAAAATACAAATTTTTTTTGTATTTTTAGTAGAGACGGGGTTTCACCGTGTCAGCCAGGATGGTCTCGATCTCCTGACTTCATGACCCGTCTGTCTTGGCCTCCCAAAGTGCTGGGATTACAGGTGTGAGCTACCACACCCAACCTATTCCTGGACTCTTACTCTGTTTCATTGCCTATCTTTATGTCAGTACCATGCTATCTTGATGACTATGGCTTCTTAGTAAGTTTATTGTTTATTTTTTATTATTTTTTTGGGATGGAGTTTTGCTCTTGTTGCCCATGCTGGTGTGCAATGGTACAATCTTGGCTCATTGCAGCCTCTGCCTTCCGGGTTCCAGTGATTCTCCTGCATCAGGCTCGCGAGTAGCTGGGATTATGGGCATCTACCACCATGCCTGGCTCATTTTTTGTATTTTTAGTAGAGATGGGGTTTCACTGTGTTGACCAGGCTGGTCTCAAACTACTGACCTCAGGTGATCTACCCACCTCAGCCTCCCAAAGTGCTAGGATTACAGACGTGAGCCACCATGCCCAGCCCAGCTTCTTAGTAAATTTTAAAATCAATATGTCTTCCAACTCTGTTCTTATTTTTCAAAATTATTTTGCCTACTGTAGGTTTTTTTTTTTTTGCATTTCCATATGAATTTTAAGATCAGCTTGCTGATTTTTATTAAAAAGGTTAGTGGGATTTTGATTGAGGTTGCATTGAATGAATGTACCAACTAAGGAGGCTTGACATCTTGACAATAATGAGCCTTCCCATCCGTAAACATGGAATAGCTCTTCTTTTAATATATCTCAGCATTGTTTTGTAGTTTTCAGTTTACATGTCTTGTGATTCTTTTGTTTATTCCTGAGTATTTTATTCTTTTTGATGCTATTGTGAATGGAATGGTTTTCTCAATTTCAAGATTGTTCATTGCTAGTATATAGAAATCGAATTGGCCAGGCACAGTGGCTCATGCCTGTAATCTCAGCACTTTGGGAGGCTGAGGCAGGAAGATTGCTTGAGCCCAGGATTTCTGGGCCAGCCTGGGCAACATAGTGAGAGTCCATCTCTACAAAAAACTACAAAAATCAGCCAGTGTGGTGGTGTGCACCTGTAGTCCCAGCTCCTTGGGAGGCTGAGGCTGCAGGATGGCTTCAGCCTGGGAGGTTGAGGCTGTAGTAAGCCATAATGGTGACATTGCACTCCAGCCTGGCTGACAGAGTGATACCCTGTCTAGAGAAAAAAAAAAAAAAGAATTGATTTTTGTATATTGATTATACCCTGTGACCTTGCTAAATTTATTAGTACTAATATTTGTTTTATGGATGCCTTAGGATTTTCTATATATAAGATAATGCCATCTGTAAATAAAGACAGTTTTATTTCTTCCTTTCTAATCTGGGTGCCTTTAATTTCTTTATTTGCCTCATTGATTAGAAATAGCAAAAGTGGGCATCTTTGCCTTGTTCGTGGTGAGAAGAGGAAAGCAGTCATTCACCACTAAGTGTGATGTTAACTGTGGGTTTTTGTAGGTGTCTTTTATCAGATTTCATAAATTCTCTTTTATTCCTACTTTGTTGAGAATTTTTATTATGAATCTGTGATGGATTTTGTCACATAGTTTTTTCAATATCTGTTGAAGTCACCATGTGTTTTTTGTCCTTTATTCTGTTAATATAATATATTATATTATATTGATTTTCAGATGTTAAACCAACCTTGCATTTCTGGGATAAATCCCACTTTGTTATGGTGTATAATCCTATTTATATGTTGCTAGGCTTGGGTTGCTAATACTAGTCTTACAGAATGAATTGGGAAGCATTACCTCTGCCTTCATTTTCTCATTCATTTATTTTATTTTACTTTTTATCATATATATATATATATATTTATATTTTATTTCATTTTATCTTATTTTAGTTTTTAGAGACAGTGTCTTGCCCTGTCACCCAGGCTGGATTGCAGTGGTGTGATCATAGCTCACTGCAGTATCAACCTCCTGGACTCAAGCGATCCTCCTGCCTGGGACTATAGCCATGCATCACCATGCCCAGCTAACCATCCATTTCTTTCTTTTTTTAAAACAAATTTTATGTTTATTTATTTATTTATTTGGATTTCTCCTACCGAAAGGAATCGTTCATTTCTTTTTTTTTTTTTTTTTTTTTTTTGAGAGGGAGCCTTGCTCTGTTGCCCAGGCTGGAGTGCAGTGGCACAATCTCAGCTCACTGCAACCCCTATCTCCCAGGTTCAAGCCTCAGCCTTCTGCATAGCTGGGACTACAGGTGTGCACCACCACACCCAGCTAGTTTTTGTATTTTTCAGTAGAGACAGAGTTTCACTATATGTTGGCCAGGCTGGTCTCGAACTCCTGACTTCAGCTGATCCACCTGCCTCGGCCTCCCAAAGTGCTGGGATTACAGACGTGGGCCACCACGCCCAACCAGAATCATTCATTTCTTTTCAAGTGGATATCTTATGGTATTTTAGGGCATGGCTGGGAGCAGTTTTGTTTTCTGTTCTCAAGGTGGAGTTTTTGCAGGATGTCATAGAGTTCATGTCTGCAGCTCACAGTGTCATTGCCTGTGTCCGCAGCTCCACGTACTGGCAGGTGTACTGCAAGCTGGGCAGGTGCTCCGTGTCCCTGGGATACCTTACCCAACACTCCTGGCCCTCCTCTGCAAGCCGTGCCCTGATCCTCCCTGCAGGGACTGGGGATTGGTTCTGCTCACCCAGAAGCCGGGATACCTGGCTGAGGGCACGTCTCTCCCTCTTCTCTTTGAACAGAGCGGCCGCGAACCCAAAGGTGCGGGAACAAGTGTGGCTGGAGCTGAGCTTGGTCAACTCAGACCTGCAGATGCTCAAGGAAGAGCTGGAGGGGCTCAACATCTCAGTGGGCATCTATCAGAACACAGAGTAAGTGGGAGCAGCACACCTTCCAGAAGCCTCTGAGCCAGAGATCCTTCATATATCCAGGGTATGAAGAGGTACCTGGGTACGAACCCTATCTGCACAAACAGGGCAGATAGGGTTCTAGACTGGGGTGTGGCAGCCCCAGCTTTGGGAAGTGAGAGAACCATCAGGTTGGGGTTGAGTGAGGTGCTAGACTGGAAGGGATGAGCCCATTTGTTGGGAAATATCTGCAGTGTTGGGAAATATCTGTAGTGTTGGGAAATATCTGCAGTGACAAAAAGGCATTTGTGAGGCCAGGCACAGTGGCTCACTCCTGTAATCCCAACACTTTGGGAGGCTGAGGCGGGTGGATCACCTGAGGTCAGGAGTTCGAGACCAGTCTGGCCAACATGATGAAACCCCGTCTCTACTAAAAATAAAAATAGCCAGACGTGGTGGTGCACACTTGTAATCCTGGCTTCTCAGAGGCTGAGGCAGAATTGCTTGAACCCGGGAGTTGGACGTTTCAGTGAGCCGAGATCACACTACTGTACTCCAGCCCGGCTGACAGAGCAAGACTCTGTCTCAAAACAAACAGACAAAAAAAAACAAATGAAGACAGTATAAAATCTAGTGTAAATATACGTGATGAACCAAGATAAGTTTAAAAGTTAGATGCCTTGGATTTTATAGTTAAGTTTCAGTAATTCCGCGTAGTCACATTTCATAGACACGCAAACATTAGCAAGATATGTTATTAAATTCAACTGAACAGACATTGAGCAAGGATATTTTAGTGGGTCATCATAATTTTCCTAAGAAACATTAAAGGGACATTGTTAGGACAATACCTTTCCAATGTTGGCTAATTATTTTCTCATTTATTTGCCAAGGAACAGAAAGCATACACAAATACTTCGGGATTAAGGCCAAAGGCCAAAATTGACCCTGTAAGGGGAGGCCACTATGCACACACAGAGATTCTGTGCACTGTACTTAGATGCTGGACTGCAGTCTGTTTCCTAGCTGGAGGTGACAAACTGAAACAGAAAAATCCAAATTAAAACAAAGTAACACACCAGTCTCCTTTTAAGGTTGTATTTCCTGTTTTTTTTTTTGACACAGAGTCTCCCTCTCTCACCCAGGTGGGAGTGCAGTGGCGAGATCTCAGCTCACTGCAATCTCCACCTTCTGGGTTCAAGCGATTCTTGTGCCTCAGCCACCTGAGTAGCTGGGATTACAGGCGTGCACCATCACACCTGGCTAATTTTTTTTTTTTTTTTTTTTTAGTAGAGACAGGGTTTCATCATGTTGGCCAGGCTGGTCTTGAACTCCTGGTCTCAAGTAATCTGCCCGCCTTGGCCTCCCAAAGTGCTGGGATTACAGATGTGAGCCACTGTGCCTGGCTCCTAGGTCAATTTTGAAGGCACTCTATCGTATCATTCTCCATAACTCAATTTTGGAATTGATTTCTGCAAGATGAAAGCCAACAACACTATCCCTCAGAATTGCAATACATCTCCAAAAATGGAGATCTAACTATGAAAGAAATGCCCCTCTTGCCTCATGTCTGTAATCCAGCTCTTCAGGAGGCTGAGATGGGGGATCGCTTGAGCCCAGGAGTTCAAGGCCAGCCTGGGCAACATAGTGAAACCCCATCTCTACAAAAATAGGAAAATTAGCCGGGCATGGTGGTGTACACCTGTAGTCCCAGCTACTCAGAAGGCTGAGGTGGGAAGATCACTTGAGCCAGGGAGGTCGAGACTGCAGTAATGGCAACAGAAAGAAGTCCTGTCTCAAAAAACACAAAAACAAAACAAAACCCTAAGTGAAATGCTTCTTTTTAAGGAGAAATAACTTTGAGACAGTTCAAAGAAGGGTTTACGTGCTTTTTTAGTAGGGGCATGAGACTTCTCAAAAAGTAGGTGGGCCCCAGGGGAAACTCAGTCGGAAAATAGCTCCCTGGATTTGGGAACCTTAAGTCACCTATGGAATGTGTGTTTCCTGGTGCTGGTCCTCCACAGGGCACCAGGGTGGTTTCAGAGCTGGAGGGGAAGTGTCAGTGTGTGAAAGCTCGCTGGCTCTTCCCTTTGTGATACCCCGTGCCTGGCTTACCTGTGGGCTCCTGTACGGTTTTTATTGTTTGTTTGTTTGTTTGTTTTTTGAGATGGAGTCTCTCTCTGTTACCCAGGCTGGAGTACAGTGGCATGATCTCGGCTCACCGCAACCTCCGCCTCCCAGGTTCAAGCAATCCTCCTGCCTCAGCCTCCTGAGTAGCTGGGACTACAGGCGCATGCCACCATGCCCAGCTAATTTTTTGTATTTTTAGTAGAGATGGGGTTTCGCCATGTTGGCCAGGCTGGTCTCGAGCTCCTGACCTTGTGATCTGCCGGCCTCAGCCTCCCAAAGTGCTAGGTTTACAGGCGTGAGCCACCACACCCGGCCTACTGTGCAGTTTTGAACACCCAGTCAGTGTGACAGCTAATGGAAGGTTCTCCCAGCCTATGCTCTGGTGTTCAATTACAGTGTTTGTCCAAAAGGTTCAAGTTCTGGAGGAGGCGAGATGGGGCCAAGGTTTGGTAATAAATGTCGGCTGTCCCACACTCTCATTTGCTGTGCCGAAGAGTGGGGATGTGCAACACAGGGCTTCCCACAGAGTGAACCGAAGATCTCTGGAGTGGTCCCTGGGCTCTAGAGTGGCCAGTCACTGCCCTGTGTCACTGGGAAGAGGGAGAGCTGTGCAGATTCAACACGGCACCATGCATTTGGGTCCTGTGCTTTTCTGTTTTCTTTTTTTTTCTTTTTCTTTTTTTTTGAGACGGAGTCTTGCTCTGTCGCCCAGGCTGGAGTGCAGTGGCGTGATCTCGGCTCACTGCAAGCTCCGCCTACCGGGTTCACACCATCCTCCTGCCTCAGCCTCCCGAGTAGCTGGGACTAAAGGCGCCCGCCACCTTGCCCGGCTAATTTTTTGTATTTTTAGTAGAGACGGGGTTTCACCATTAGCCAGGATGGTCTCAATCTCCTGACCTCGTGATCCGCCTGCCTCGGCCTCCCAAAGTGCTGGGATTATGGGCGTGAGCCACCATGCCCGGCCCTGTTTTCAAAGTAGATTGTTTCTTTCTTAGTATGGTTGATCTTTTTTTTTTTTTTTTTTTTTTTTTTTTTCTGAGACGGAGTCTTGCTCTGTCACCCAGGCATGGAGTGCAGTGGTGTAATCTTGGCTCACTGCTACCTCCACCTCCTGGTTGAAGTGATTCTCTTGCCTCAGCCTCCTGAGTAGCTGGGATTACAGGCGCACACCACCATGCCCAGGTAGTTTTTGTATTTTTAGTAGAGACGGGGTTTTACCATGTTGGCCAGGTTGGTCTTGAACTCCTGACCTCACGTGATCTGCCTGTTTCAGCCACCTAAAGTGATGGGATTATAGGCGTGAGCCACTGCGCCTGGCCTGCACTATTCTTTTTTCAAGGTAGACTGTTTCTTTCTTAGCATGGTTGATCTTTACAGTCTTCTAGGAGGTAGGCGGGAAAGAAATAACCTCATGGTGCATGAGGTTATTTCCCTCCCTCATGGGAAAACTCAGGGAAGCCGGAGGGCACCTAGAGGGTGCTGTCAGTGCCACACTGGGGCTGGGGTGCCCTGGAGTTGGGACTCAGGACAGTCGCTCCTCCTCTTGTTGTTGCCTGGACAGCCACAAACCTGGCTTCCCGCCCTGCGTAGCCTGGAGGAGCCTTCAGCAGAATTCGGCTTTCCATGCCCCCAGGATGGGTCTCACCTGGCCGTAGCATGGCTGTGCTGCAGAGCCAGGTTCAGCTTACAGCTGCATTGTCCCCTCGCCCTGCCCAGCCTTCCTGGCCTTCTTGTGGGGCTGGGCTGAGCAGCCCAAGGAGGTCTCCTGTTACAGGTCAGGGAGCTGAATCCCTGTTTGCAAAACACAGCCTGAGCTCCGTTCACTTCCTGCTGTCCCTGCCCCTAGGAATGTAGGCTCAGGGAGCACTCCCCAGGCGACCTGTGGTTACAGAGTGGTCAGCTGGGGGAGAGGAGGTGGAGGGTGTCTGACCCTGGGCTGGGAGGCAGGTGCACTTCGGTGTCGGATGGGTCTCCTGCCCTGATGGCACCTTCTGTGCTGGTGGTGGGACGCCTAGACACTTCCCAAAGAAGAGGCCCCTACGAACCCAGAGTTGTGAATGTGAGGGTGTTGGAGAGCTGCCACAGCTGTGGGGCCCGCTGAGGGGAGCAGAGGAGGAGGGGGTGAGGAGCTGACAAAGGAGGCGCAGGGCAGCAGGGTGGTGCACCCAGGTGGGAGCAGCAAGTGCACCATGCACAGGCCCTGGCACACAATAGACTCTCAGCACAGCTGCCAAAAGAAGCATTGAGATTGAGCTGGGCACAGAGGCTTGTATCCATCATCCCAGCACATTGGGAAGCCAA
This sequence comes from Homo sapiens, assembly GCF_000001405.40. NCBI lineage: Eukaryota > Metazoa > Chordata > Mammalia > Primates > Hominidae > Homo > Homo sapiens. The sequence continues at coordinate 1,694,609 of NW_021160017.1, forward strand.
GGTGGACGAATCACTTGAGGTCAGAAGACCAGCCTGGCCAACGTGGTCAACATGGTGAAACCCCATTGCTACTAAAAAAATATACAAAAATTAGCCGGGTGTGGTGTCCTGTGCCTGTAATCCCAGTTACTCAGGGGGCTGAGGCAGGAGAATTGCTTGAACCTGAGAGGCGGAGGCTACAGTGAGCTGAGATTGCGCCATTGCACTCCAGCCTGGGCGACAGAACAAGAGTCTCTCAAAAAAAAAAAAATAAAAAAGGAACCATTTAGGCATTGAAACCGGGAGATAAATCAGTGTCAAGATGCCAGGGGCCTGATGTGTTAGGCAGGGTGGTCCAGCAGTCTTAGGGAGCAGGGTCAGTTTTAGAGCAGAGGGTGGGGCATGACTAGAGTCATCCTTATGGAAAATGAGCCTGTCAGCCAGGTGAGTACTGGATGGGGCAAGGAGGGGGCGCACACCTGAGCTGGGCTGCTGAGGGCAAGGCTGTGGCATGCACAAGGGTCCGGTTGGGGGTGTTCATACATACCTTGTTGTGTTGCTCATAGGGAGGCATTTACGGTTCCCCTGATTCCTCTTGGCCTGAAGGAAACGAAAGACATCAACTTTTCAGTCATCCTCAAGGTAAATCTCAAAGCCATGGGCACTGGACTCAGTGTTTAAAATGGAAATAGGCCATTTGCAGTGGCGCATGCCTGTAGTCCCAGTTACTTGGGAGGCTGAGGCAAGAGGATCGCTTGAGCCCAGGAATTGGAGGCTGCAGTGAGTTGTGATCATACAACTGCACTCCAGCCTGGGCAACAGAATGAGACCCTGTCTCCAAAAAAAAAAGCAAAAAAATGGATATAGAGAAAATATGTATCCCTTGCAATGGCCTTAGGCTCAACAGGCAGAGTCAGTTGATATCTACAGAGTGACCCTGAGGCCCTTCTCAGCCAGCTACATGCATAATTGATATGTTTATTCCTGCCATATTTTTGTTGTTGCCTTTGATGGCTTCTGAAGCTCCTCCTGGGTCTTGGACAAGGCAGGTTGGAAACCCAGGAGGGCCTTCCCTGAGAGGCCAAGTCAAAGGGTCTGTAGTGGATATGCTTTCAAATTTAAAACTTACATCCTCTTTTATTAATAGTGTATTTGTTTCTTAAGTCATGTATCCAGTTTAGGTTATGTCTTTGGAAGAATAGCTAAAGTTTTTTCTCTAACATTTGATTATGAAAATTTCCAAACTTTTCAAAAAATTTTAAGAATTTTATAGCAAACCCCTGTGTACTCACTTCTTCCGAGAACATACTGCCAGCATTGCTTCCTGACATATTTGTCCATCTGTGCATTCTTGTGTCTGTTAGGTTGGTTTGAAGGTAATTGCAGTTTTTGCCATTGAAAGTAATGGCTAAAGGCTGGGCACAGTGGCTCACGCCTGTAATCCCAGCACTTTGGGAGGCTGAAGCAGGCGGCTCACTTGAGCTCAGGAGTTGAAGACCAGCCTGGCTAAAATGGTAAAACCCCTGTCTCTACCAAACGTACAGAAATTAGCTGGACATGGTGGTGCACACCTGTAATCCCAGTTACTTCAGAGGCTGAGGCAGGTGAATCGTTCAAACCCGGGAGGTAGAGGTGGAGGTTGCAGGGAGCCGAGATCACACCACTGCCCTCCAGCCTGGGCGACAGAGTGAGATCCCATCTGAAAAAAAAAAAAATTAGCTGGGCATAGTGGCATATGACTGTAATCCCAGTTACTCGAGAGGCTGAGGCACGAGAGAGGCGCTTGAACCCAGGAGGCAGAGGATGCAGTGAGCTGAGATTGTGCCACTGCACTCCAGCCTGGGCAACAGTGAAACTGTCTCAAAAAAAAAAAAAAAAAAGAGAACGAAAGTAATGGCTAATATCAATCTGTCTTATTTGTGATGCAATTTCAAAGGAAATCAAAGATGTCAATTCACTCCCCTTAAATATTTGAATAACCAGAGTCTTTGCTTGTGTGTCCCCCTGCCACATTCCTGGGTATCTGGACTCCTCTCCCATTTGGCAGATCCTCATAAGCCCACCTGTGCCTGGCACTGTGCTGGGTGCCAGAGGTGCCACAAGCACTGTCTGCGGGGCCCTTGGGTCAGTGGGGGATTCAAGTGGGAAGTGGAAGGGGTGCTTCAATGGAGAACACAGGAGATACCGTGCCCAGAGGCTGGGGCCGGGAGACCGTCCTGTGCCTGGAATACCCTCCTCTTCCTTCCCTCTTCAACTCCATCAATTTGAGTTTTTAACCAGTCACCTCCAAATTCCATCAAGGAAGGGAAAGGGGATGAGGTGCAGGGTGGCCCAAGATTGCATCATGCAGCCCAGGCATTGGTTATAGGAATTAATCCTAGCATTGCGAAAATTGCTTCGAAGAAATATTTTATGTTCTTTTTTTTCCTTTTTCTTTATTATTTTGAGACCGAGTCTCACTGTTTCACCCAGGCTGGCATGCAGTGGCATGATCTTGGCTCACTGCAACCCCTGCCTCCTGGGCTCAGTTGATCCTCCCACTTCAGCCTCCTGAGTAGCTGGTACTACAGGTGTGTGCCACCGTGCCTGGCTAATTGTTGCATTTTTCTTTCTTTTTTATTGAGATGGAGTTTAGCTCTTGTTGCCCAGGCTGGAGTGCAATGGCATGATCTCGGCTCACCGCAACCTCCACCTCCCGGGTTCAAGTGATTCTCCTGCCTCAGCCTTCCGAGTAGCTGGGATTACAGGCATGTGCCACCATGCCTGGCTAATTATGTATTTTTAATAGAGACGGGGTTTCTCCATGTTGGTCAGGTGGGTCTCGAACTCCTGACCACAGGTGATCCACCTGCCTTGGCCTTCCAAAGTGCTGGGATTATAGGCGTGAGCCACCATGCCCGGCCAATTTTTGTATTTTTCATAGAGACAGAGTTTCCCACTGTTGCCCAGGCTGGTCTCAAACTCCTGGGTTCAAGCAGTCCTCCTGCCTCAGCCTTCCAAAATGCTGGGATTATAGGCATGAGCCACTGTGCCTGGCTTATTTTACTTTCCATGATAATCCTCTTAGTTGGCTCATCTTGGACTACTTTTAGTTTAGAAAAGAAAACATCTTATGACATTTTGACTGTTACTTTTTTTTTTCTTTCTTTCTTTCTTTTTTTTTTTTTTTTGAGCTGGAGTTTCGCTCTTGTTGCCCAGGCTGGAGGGCAGTGATGGCCATCTCAGCTCACTGCAACCTCCACCTCCCAGGTTCAAGTGATTCTCCTGCCTCAGCCTCCTGAGTAGGTGGGATTACAGGCACCTGCCATCATGCCTGGCTAATTTGTGTTTTTAGTAGAGATGGGGTTTCACTATGTTGGCCAGGCTGGTCTCGAACTCAATCCACCCGCCTTGGCCTCCCAAAGTGCTGGGATTACAGGTGTGAGCCACCGCTCCCAGCCAACTACTACTTTTAAAAGCAATTGGTTAATACTTTGGAAGCACTTGACCTTCATTCTCAGAGACGGTGAGTTGTTTGACATAAATAGAGGCCTTTTTTACTGCTGCCTTGTTTAAATCCTGTGAGTTTGGGGTTTATTTTGGAACTGGAGAAGGGAAGTTGGTATTCTGAGTGTTTCAGGACTCAAGTTTACCAGAAAGTTTATGTTCTGGGTAGAAAGCAATGAAAACAATCCAGGAATTGCAGCTTTATGCCACACTGCCACAGCCTGCCTGAACTTTTACGTGAGACTTATGCCCAGATGCAATGGCTCACGCCTATAATCTTAGCACTTTGGGAGGCTGAGGCAAGAGGACAGCTTGAGGCCAGGAGTTGGAGACCAGCCTGGGCAACAGAATGAGGCCTTCCCTCTCTCTCTCTCTCTCTTTTTTTTTTTTTTTTGAGACACAGTCTCACTGTGTTGCCCAGGCTGGAGTGCAATGGTGCGATCTCAGCTCACTGTAACCTCCACCTTCTGGGTTCAAGTGATTCTCCTTCCTCAGCCTCCTGAGCAGCTGGGACTACAGGCATGCACCACTATGGCCAACTAATTTTTGTGTGTATATATGTATATTTTTTGAGATGAAGCCTCGCTCTGTCGCCCAGGCTGGAGTACAGTGGCGTGATCTCGGCTCACTGCAAACTCCACCTCCCAGGTTCAAGCAATTCTCTGCCTCAGCCTCCTGAGTAGCTGGGGTTTCAGGCACCCACCACCATGCTGGCTAATTTTGGTATTTTTAGTAGAGACAGGGTTTCACCATCCTGGCCAGGCTGGTCTTGAACTCCTGACCTCATGATCCACCTGCCTCGGCCTCTCAGAGTGCTGGGATTAGAGGTGTGAGCCACTGCGCCAGGCTAATTTTTGTATTTTTAGTAGAGACAGATTTTCACCATCCTGGCCAGGCTGGTCTTGAACTCCTGACCTCAGGTGATCTGCCCACCTTGGCCTTCCAAAGTACTGGGATTACAGGTGTCAGCCACCACGCAGTCATCTCTTTCTCTCTCTCTCTTTTTTTTTTCTTTTTTAAGAGATGGGGTCTCCTCACTATGATGCCCAGGCTGGTCTTGAACTCCTGGCCATAAGCGATCTTCCTGCTTCCACCTCCAGCAAAAGTGCTGAGATTATAGATGTGAGCCACCACACCCAGCCCCATCTCTATTTTTATTTAAAATATATGTGTGTATATATAAATGCAAAAATAGATGTGACTTGCCACTGGTCTGTGGGACTCAAAACAATCCACGTGTCTGGAAATGTCTGTTGCTATTGTAGAAGTTTCTTTACGATTTAATTTGTCTGTTGCATGGTGCTGGGCTACAAGAATGTAAGCATTTTTTTTTTTTGAGATGGAGTTTCACTCTTGTTGCCCAGGCTGGAGTCCAATGGCATGATCTCAGCTCACTGCAACCTCTGCCTCCTGGGTTCAAGTGATTCTCCTGCTTCAGTTTCACAAGTAGCTGGGATTACAGGCATGTGTCACCACACCCAGCTAATTTTTATTAGCAGAGACAGGGTTTCACCATGTTGGCCAGGCTGGTCTTGAAGTCCTGACCTCAGATGATCCGCCTGCCTCAACCTCCCAAAGTGCTGGGATTACAGGTGTGAGCCACTGCGTCCGGCCAAGAATGCAAGCATTTTAAAGGAAGAGTCTCTTGGAGAAACTTAGGAATTTTATAGGCATTTTTAAGGATTCAACTGGGTCATGTTCTGAATTCCACATTAAAGCAAATGAAAATATTCACATGTTGTGGACATGGCCAACTGCCATTCGGCACAGGCTTCCAACCATGTCATTTTAGCCTAAAAGAGATGCTACAAATGTCAGTCATATGAAAATGAGAACGTTTGAGGGGCTTTCTGTTGTATTTTTTCCCTTCCATATTTGAGAGAAACACAGGTACTGCAGAAGTGGTTCAGCAGACTGAATTAGGGCAATTCCATTTCAAATCTGACTTGTGTGTCCGTGTGATATTTTTAATAATCAGTGAAGCTTCACAGTGTGATTTTGTTTTATTTTATTTTATGTATTTATTTATTTAGAGAGGGAGTCTCGCTCTGAAGCCCAGGCCGGAGTGCAGTGGCACAGTCTTGGCTCACTGCAACCTCCGTCTCCCAGGTTCAAGCGATTCTCTTGCTTCAGCCTCCTGAGTACCTGGGATTACAGGCATCCGCCACCACACCCAGCTAATTTTTATATTTTTAGTAGAGACAGGGTTTCACCATGTTGACCAGGCTGTTCTCGAACTCCTGACCTCAAGTGATCCACCCGCCTCAGCTTCCCAAAGTGTTGGGATTACAGGCGTGAGCCACTGCAGCTGGCTGATTTTGTTTTATTTTGAGGAAATAGGGCCAGGCACAGTGGCTCACACCTTTAGTCCCAGCTACTTAGGAGGCTGAAGTGGCTTGCTTGAGCCCAAGAGGTCGAGGCTGCAGTCAGCTGTGATTGAGCTCCTGCAGTCCATCCTGGAAAACAGAATGATACCTTGTCTCATTAAAAAAAAAAAAAAAAAAATCGAATCAATGAAAGAAAATGAAATCACATCTGTTCTTCAGTAAAGTTTAATAGTTTTCTGCTTAATTATATTAATTTTATCCCTAGAAATGTATTTTTGTTGCTATTTTGAAAGGTATTGTTTCTCTGTTAGGTTTTTTTTGTTTGTTTGTTTGTTTTTGAGACAGAGTCTCACTGTGTCGCCCAGGCTGGAGTACAGTGGTGCAGTCTTGGCTCACTGCAACCTCTGCCCCCCAGGTCCAAGTGATTCTCCTGCCTCAGCCTCCTGGGTAGCTGGGATTAGAGGCACCTGCCACCATACCCACCTAATTTTTTGTATTTTTAGTAGAGACAGGGTTTCACCTTGCTGGTCAGGCTGGTCGCAAACTCCTGACCTCAAATGATCTGCCTACCTCAGCCTTGAAAACTGCTGGGATTACAGATGTGATGAGCCACCACACCTGGCTGTCTGTTAAGTTTGTCTAATTGGTTATTGCTTGTATAAGAAAGGAAGAATATTGACTTTTCTTTTTTACTATTGACTTTCATGTGCTAACTTCTTTGCCACTTTATTGAATTCTTATTAATTTAGTAATGTTTCAGTTGATGCTATTGGGTTTTATAAACATGCTGTTGTGTTGCAAAAAATTATTTTGATTGTTTCTTTCCAGTATTTTATGTCTCTTATTTTTCTTAATGTGTGGGCTAGAGAATGTTTGGAATTAGGCTAAGTAATAACAGTGATGGTAGAAATTCTCGTTTTGTCCCTAATGTTTACAGTGGGTTTCAGTTAGGATTTTTTTTTTTTTAGACGAAGTCTTGCTCTGTCATCCAAGCTGGAGTGCAATGGCTCAATCTCAGCTCACTGCAACCTCCGCCTCCTGGACTCAAGCTATTCTCCTGCCTCAGCCTCCTGAGTAGCTGGGATTACAGGCACCTGCCAGCATGCCTGGCTAATTTTTGTATTTTTAGTAGAGATGGGGTTTCACCACGTTGGCCAGGCTGGTCTCAAACTCCTGGCCTCAAATGATCCACCTGCCTCGGCCTCCCAAAGTGCTGAGATTACAGGGGTGAGCCACTGTGCCTGGCCAGTTAGATAATTTTTTTTATCCCACTAAGTACGTTAATCTACCCTAGTTTACTAAGTTTCAAATTCAGGATCACATATATAATTTAATCAAAATCCTCTTTGACTTTTATGAGGTGAACATAAGATTGGAGTGCAGTGACGTGATCATGGCTCACTGCAGCCTCAACCTCCTGGGCTCAAGTGATCCTCCTCCTGCCTCAGCACGCCTGGCTAATTTTTTATTATTTGTAGAGATGGGGTTTCACTATGTTGTCCATGCTGGTCTCAAACTCCTGGTCTCAAGTGATTCTCCCACCTTGGCCTCCCAAAGTGCTGGGATCACAGGCATGAGTCACTACACCTGACCCCTTTTAACCACCATGCCCAGCTATTTTATTTTTTATTTTTTAAATTTTTAATGGAGACAGGGTTTCACCATGTTGGCCAGGCTGGTCTGGAACACCTGACCTCAAGTGATCTACCTACCTCAGCCTCCCAAAGCGCTGGGATTACAGGTGTGAGCCACCATACCCAGCCCATGGCCAAGTTTAAAGAAAAGAGGCATAGTCAGCTGAGCGCTGTGGCTCATACCTGTAATTCCAACACTTTGGGAAGCTGAGGTGGGAGGATCACCTGAGGCCAGGAGTCCGAGACCAGCCTAGGCAACATAGGAAGACTCTGTCTTTACGAAAAATAACAATATTAGCTGAGTGTGATGGTGCACACCTATAGTCCCCTCTACTGGAGAAGCTGAAGTGGGAGGATGACTTGAGCCCGGGAGTTCAAGGCTGCAGTGAGCTATGATTGCACCATTGCACTCCATCCTGGATGACAGAGCGAGACCCTCATCTCTTAGAAAAAGAAGGCACAGCAAAGTTGTATATTTAGTACAAATCCATTTTTGTAAGACAAGTGTTTGTGTGTGTGTACGTTGAACACACAAAAACAGGAGGAGCTTTAATGTAGAAGTTGTGTAAAGAGGTTACACAGTCACTTGGGAAGACATAATTGAGCCATCTATGTGATCACCTTTCTTGCAGCTTGGGGGAGCCAGCACTTGTAGGGGCGGGGGTGGGGCAACAGGGCAAAACCCCATCTCTATTAAAAAATACAAAAATGAAATTAGCCTGTGGCACGTGCCTGTTGTCCCAGCTACTTGGGAGGCTGAAGTAGGAGGATTACTTGAGCCCAGAGAAGTCGAGGCTGCGGTGAGCTGCGATCGCACCACTGCACTCCAGCCTAGGCAACCAAGTGAGACCCTGCCTCAAAGATAAAATAAAATAAAATGCCTTTATAACATGGTTAAGGGTCTTCTTGGCAAAGGAAACCTGTATCTGGGGACTGTTATGACAGTCCTACCCTCAGGGTCTGTGCTGGGAAACTTGTCTGGGTCCTGAGGGAGGCCCAGAATTGCAAGTCTGAGCCCCTGAATATCTGCAGTGTTTGCAGTATAGTTGAATGTATAGGCCATAGACTAGTCTCAAACTCCTGGGCTCAAGTGATTTACCTGCCCTGTCTTCACAAAGTGCTGGGATTACAGATGTGAGCCATGATGCGCAGACACAAAGACATTTTTAAGCAAAAAATTAACTTCAACTCTCACTTTTACTGAAGCAACACAGCATTTAAAAACATAGGCATGGGGTGCAGTGGCTCACACCTGTAATCCCAGCACTTTGGGAGGCTGAGGCAGATGGATTGCTTGAGCCCAGGAGTTTGAGACCAGCCTGGGCAATGCGGTGAAACTCCATCTCTACTAAAAATACAAAAATTAGCTGGGCATGGTGGCACATGCCTGTAATCCCAGCTACTTGGGAGGCTGAGGCATGAGAATCACTTGAGCCTGGGAGGTGGAGGTTGCAGTGACCCGAGATTGCAACATTGCATTCTAGACTGGGCAATGGGAGTGAAACCCTGTTTTAAAAAAAAAAAAAAAATTCTATGGCCGGACACTGTGGCTGACATCTGTAATCCCAGCACTTTGGGAGGGTGAGGTGGGTGGATCACCTGAGGTCAGAAGTACAACAATTAGCCAGACGTTGTGGTGGGCACCTGTAACCCCAGCTCCTTGAGAGGCTGAGGAAGGAGAATTGCATGAACCTGGGAGGCAGAGGTTGCAGTGAGCCGAGATTGTGCCACTGCACTCCAGCCTGGGCTACAGAGCAAGACTCCATATAAAAAAAACTACATAAATTAAGAAAATAAATTCCCCCACTTTGAAAATCACTGTAAGTTTTTCTTTATTCTGCCTTTTTAGAAACAGGTCACAAATGACATATTACTGTTATGCACATACATGGTTTTCAATCACATTTTATAGTATCTAACCTTATTTTTCTTTAAGGATTTTATCCTGGAACATTACAGTGAAGATGGCTATTTATATGAAGATGAAATCACAGATCTTATGGATCCGAGACAAGTAAGTTTTTGTGTGCAGCAGAGAGGGGAGGGTAGCTTTTCCAAGTCTTCGGGGAACCCCATTATTGCATGCTTGTGGTCTTAACAGAATCGTGGGTAGATTGAGGTGATGGTTGGGGGGTGCTGGAATCATCCATTCCATTTGCTGCATAAGAAAACTGTAGAAGGAGGCCGGGCACGGTGGTTCACGCCTATGTAATCCCAGCACTTTGGGAGGCGGAGGCAGGAGAATCACCTGAGATCAGGAGTTCCAGACCATCCTGGCCAACATGGTGAAACCCCGTCTCTACTAAAAATTCAAAAATTAGCTGGGCGTGGTGGTGCATGCTGGTAATTCCAGCACTTTGGGAGGCTGAAGCGGGTGGAACACCTGAGGTCAGAAGTTTGAGACCAGACTGGCTAACATCGCAAAACCCCGTTTCTACTAAAAATACAAAAACAAGCCGGGCATGGTGCTACACGCCTGTAATCCCAGCTACTCGGGAGGCTGAGGCAGGAGAATCACTTGAACCTGGTAGGTGGAAGTTACAGTGAGCCAAGATCGCACCACTGCACTCCAGCTTGGGTGACAGAGCAAGAGTCCGTCTCAAAAAAAAAAAAAAGGAAAACCATAGAAGGGGAGAGACCTGCCTCCTGGCAGGGCTGGGACTGGATTCCAGGATTTCTGACTTCCTGCCAGGTTCTTTCCACCCCTCCTAGAGTTTATGATGCCAGCAGTGAGGTCGTCATACTGCAGAAATAGTTACAGGCACCTGCTGGTATGTGCAGGGCACCTTCCGGGAAGGGCTGTCAGCTGTGTCCTCCTCTGCTCATGCCCTCTGGGGTTCTTTTCCTCGCAGGCTTGTCAGACGCCCAGCCGGGATGAGGCCAGGGTGGAACTGCTGATGACATACTTCATCCAGCTGGGCTTTGTTGAGAATTGATTCTTCCCACCCACGCGGCAGATGGGACTCCTGTTCACCTGGTAGGTGCTTGAGGTCTGCGCTGGCGCTTCACGTGTTATGGCAGCCACAGTTTCGGAGCCTCAGCATCACAGACGCCCCTCTGCGGGCACCTCAGCCCCTTTTCCTATCTTGCATTTATCTGGGGTGCACCCCTGTGCACCTCAGCCCCCTTTCCTATCTTGCATTTATCCAGGGAAGTCTAGAAAGATGTCAATACATTGGTATTTATTTATAAAGGTGATCCGAGGGAGATGGCCCCAACAGACTGTGGCCTCTTGCTTCTCAGAACAAGTGAGCCAAGGAGAGGAGACATTTTTCTTGCTTGTTGTATCACTGGGGAAGCACAGGGCTCTGAAATGGAATTAGTCAGAAGCAAGATTCTTGTCTCAGATTGGACTGGGGCATGCATGTGTATGTGTGAGTGAGTGAGAGAGAGAGAGAGAGAGAGAGAGAGAGAGAGAGAGAAAATCAGGTCTTGTCCAGTGAGACAAAAGCACCAAACAGAAATAGATCAGGTTTCTTTTGAAATGGGGTCTCACTGTGTTGCCCAGGCTAGTCTTGAATTCCTGGGCTCAGGTGATATTTCTGCCTCAGCCTCCTGAGTAGCTGGTACTATAGGCATGAGCTACACACTCAGCTTAGATCAGATTTAAAAAATGGAAGTAGAGGATTTGATTCTTCTCCACAATTGGTATTTTCAGACAAGATCAGGCACGTCAGGGTGGTATGGCCGTAGACCCAATTGGTGTTTTCAAAGATTAGTATACTTTAAATACTTGGGAGCCCGGGTACAGTGGTTTTCACGCCTATAATGCCAACACTTTGGGAGGCTGAGGCAAGCAGATCACTTGACCCCAGGAGTTTGAGACCAGCCTGGGCAATGTGGCAAAACCCCATATCTACAAACAATACAAAAATTTGCTGGGTACGATGGTATGCACCGGTAGTCCCAGGTACTCGTGAGGCTGAGGCAAGAGAATCACTTGAGCCTGGGAGGCAGAGGTTGCAGTGAGCCTAGATCACACCACCGCACTGCAGCCTGGGTGATAGGAGTGAAACCCTGTTTCAAAAAAGAAAAAAAAAGGCTGAGTGCGGTGGTTCACACCTGTAATCCCAGCACTTTGAGAGGCCGAGGCAGGTGGATCACGAGGTCAGGAGTTTGAGGCCAGCCTGTCCAATATGGTGAAACCCTGCTTCTACTAAAAAATACAAAAATTAGCTGGGCATGGTTGTGCGTGTCTGTAGTCCCAGCTACTTGGGAGGCTGAGGCAGGAGAATCGCTTGAACCTGGGAGGCAGAGGTTGCAGTGAGCCAAGATTGCACCACTGAACTCCAGCCTGGGCAACAGAGTGAGAGTCTGTATTAAAAAAAAAAAAAAAACACCAAAAACCTAAAAAAAAAGTAGTTTGGAGATGCTGCACCCCTTCTCTGAGTGTCGTTAGGAGTGTCAGTGAAAGGAGAATACATCCTAGAAGGTCGGGGCGTATCAGAATTGAATGTTTCTATAGCCGATGGTTGGCTACTGATGCCTTCCTCATTGAAAGCAAAGGAAAGGGGGATGACTTTTCCTAACAATGCACCAGGCTGTCTGCATGGTGAAAGGTGGTTTCTCCTTAGTCATGAATTAGGGAGAAGCTGTCTGCACACCCCTTGGTTCATGAGTAAACTTTAAAACAAGTCCTAGGGCCAGGTGCGGTGGCTCACACCTGTAATCCTAGCACTTTGGGAGGCCGAGGTGGGTGGATCACCTGAGGTCGGGAGTTCGAGACCAGCCTGACAAACATGTCTCTACTAAAAATACAAAAATTAGCTGGGTGTGGTGGCGGGCGCCTGTAATCCCAGCTACTCAGGAGGCTGAGGCAGGACCATTGCTTGAACCCGGGAAGCAGAAGCTGCAGTGAGCTGAGATGGTGCCACTGCACTCCAGCCTGGGTGAAAGAGCAAAACTTTGTCTCAAAAAATAAAAATTAAAAAATAAATAAATAAATAAAACAAGTCCTAGGCTGGGTGTGGTGGTTCACATCTGGAATCCCAGCATGTTGGGAGGCCGAGGTGGGTGGATCACTTGAGCCCAGGAGTTTGAGACCAGTCTAGGCAACACAGTGAGACCCCATCTCTACAAAACAATTAGAGAAAATGTGCCAGGCATGGGTGGCACATGCCTGTAGTCCCATCTCCTTGGGAGGCTCAGATGAGAGGATCGCTTAAGCCCAGGAGGTTGAGGCTGCAGTGAGTCATGATCATGCCACTGCACTCCAGCCTAGGCAACAGAGTGAGACTTGGTCTGAAAAAATAAACAAGTAAAACAAATCCTGAGGTTTTAGATTTCAGAAAGAATTATGAGGGATTAGTAATTGCCATATTTCATTTAGGAGAAGCTATATATATATACACACACACTTTTCTTTTTTTTTTTTTTTTTGAGACGGAGTCTCACTCTGTCGCCCAGGCTGGAGTGTGGTGGTGTGATCTCAGCTCACTTCAACTTCTGCCTCCCAGTATCAAGCCATCTTCCCACCTCAGCCTCCCAAGTAGCTGGGCTTAAAGGCACATGCCACCACCATGTATTTTTGGTAGAGAGGGGTTTCACTATGTTGCCCAGGCTGGTCTCAAACTCCTGAGCTCAAGCCATCCACCTGCCTTGGCCTCTAAAGTGCTGGGATTACAAGTGTAAGCCACTGCACCCGGCCTTTTTTTTTTTTTTTTTTGAGACGGAGTCTTGCTCTGTTGCCTAGGCTGGAGGGCAGTGGCGTGATCTCGGCTCACTGCAACCTCCGCCTCCTGGGTTCAAGTGATTCTTCTACCTCAGCCTCCTGAGTAGCTGGGACTACAGGTGTGCCCCACCATGCCTGGCTAATTTTTGTATTTTTAGTAGAGATGGGGTTTCACCACGTTGGCCAGGCTGGTCTCAATCCCTGGCCTTGTGATCTGCCTGCCTCGGGCTCCCAAAGTGCTGGGATTACAGGCATGAGCCATCGCACCTGGCGCATTTTTTTTTTTTTTTATAATTGAGGAACTTACCTGACACATCATTATCACCCAGAGTCCATAGTTCCCATTAGGGTTCATTCTTGCACTTGTGTATTCTGCGGCTTTTGGCCAACATAGAGTGACAGTGATCCATCTTTGCAGTGTCGTACAGAAGAGTTTCACTGCTGGAAAAATCCTCCGTGTGCTCTGCAGTTCCTCCCTCCCTCCCCCTAAGTCCTGGCAACCACTGATCTTTCTTCTGTCTCCCGGGTTTTTGGCTTTTCAGAATGTTGGACTCACACAGCGTGCTATACAGTAGGTAGCAACGTTCAGGTTGGCTCTTAGTAATGTTTCCTCTGCATCTTTTCAAGGCTTGCTTGAAAAGGCTCCATTTTTAGTACTGAGTAATAGTCCATTGTCTGGATGTCCCATGCTGTGTTTATAAAGTTACCCCATCAGATATTTGTGTGTGTGGCTGTGGCGGTCAGTGTGATTAGTCCTGTCATCTTGCTTGGAAACAAAAGCCTCAGTGCATGTGCATTCTTGAATTTTATTGAAGAAATGAGTTTGTTGTTGTTGTTATTGTCACCCAGGCTGGAGCACAGCGGTGCAATCTCGTCTCACTGTAACCTCTGCCTCTCGGGTTCAAGCAATTCTCCCACCTCAGCCTCCTGAGTAGCTGGGATTACAGGTGCCTGCCACCATGCTTGGCTAATTTTTGTATTTTTAGTGGAGACTGGGTTTCACCATCTTGGCCAGGATGGTCTCGAACTCCTGACCTCAGGTGATCCACCCGCCTTGGCCTCCCAAAGTGCTGGGATTACAGGTGTGAGCCACCACACCCAGCCAACCCAGGAGTTTAACAGCAGTTTGGGTAACATAGTGAGACCCCATCTCTACAAAAATTAAAAAAAAAAAATTAGGCACGTATGGTGGCATGCACCTGTAATCCCAGCTATTCTCATGAGGCTGAGGCGGGAGGATCAATTGAGCCCTAAAGTTGGAGGCTGCAGTAAGCTATGATCACACCACTGCACTCCAGCCTGGGCAACAGAGTGAGATCCTGACTCTTAAAAAAATAATAATAGAGCCAGGCACAGTGGCTCACGCCTGTAATCCCAGCACTTTGGGAGGCTGAGGTGGGCGGATCATGAGGTCAGGAGATCGAGACCATCCTGGCTAAAACGGTGAAACCCTGTCTCTACTAAAAATACAAAAAATTAGCTGGGCGTGGTGGCGGGTGCCTATAGTCCCAGCTACTTGGGAGGCTGAGGCAGGAAAATGGCGTGAACCTGGGAGGCAGAGCTTGCAGTGAGCCAAGATCACGCCACTGCACTCCAGCCTGGGCGACAGAGCGAGACTCTGTCTCAAAAAAAATAAATAAATATCATAATAATAATTTTTTCCACTTGCATCCAAAAGTAGCATTAACTAGCCAAGTAATCTGTACTCCCTGAATGCATTTCTTTCACATAGGTATGACTCCCTCACTGGGGTTCTGGTCAGCCAGCAGAACCTGCTGCTGGAGAAGGCCAGTGTCCTGTTCAACACTGGGGCCCTCTACACCCAGATTGGGACGTGGCGCTATTGGCAGACGCAGGCTGGGCTGCAGAGTGCCATAGATGCCTTTCAGAGAGCTGCAGGTATGTCTCCTCCAGGGCTGACTGGACAGAGCCTTGGCCCCGCCTGGTGGCACCAGGGGACCCCCCACTGAAGAGGGTCTACAGGTCGTCCCCTGCAAGGGCCAGACCAGTCTTCAGCTCTGGTGTAACTTCCCATTAAGAAACTTGCTCTGGCCGGGCGCGGTGGCTCATGCCTGTAATCCCAGCACTTTGGGAGGCTGAGGCAGGTGGATCACGAAGGTCAGGAGATCGAGACCATCCTGGCTAACATGGTGAAACCCCATCTCTACTAAAAATTCACAAAATTAGCTGGGCCTGGTGGCGGGCACCTGTATTCCCAGCTACTCGGGAGGCTGAGGCAGGAGAATGGCATGAACCCGGGAGGCGGAGCTTGCAGTGAGCCGAGATCGCGCCACTGCACTCCAGCCTGGGCGACAGAGCCAGACTCGATCTCAAAAAAAAAAAAAAGAAACTTGCTTGGTGGTTCAGACCTCAGTCTGGGATGGCTGATGTACATGGTGAATCCTGTGGCTGATGATTGATCTTTTCCAGACAAGTGGCCCTGGGATGGCAGTGCATAACTGTTTCTTTCAACACTGTCATGAAGAGCAGAATAACTTTTCCCAAATAGTGAAACTGTAGGCTTCTTTTTCTTGTATTAGGTGTACCCTATCTGTGCATATTACTCTCCGTGCCTTTATTTATTTATTTATTTATTTATTTATTTATTTATGAGATGGAGTTTTGCCCTTGTCGCCCAGGCTGGAGTGCAGTGGCGCAATGTTGGCTCACTGCTTGAAACCTCCCAGTTTCAAGCGATTCTCCTGCCTCAGCCTCCTGAGTAGCTGGGATTACAGGCACTCGCCACCACGCCCGGCTAATTTTTGTATTTTTAGTAGAGATGGGGTCTCACCATCCTGGCCAGGCTGGTCTCGAATTCCTGACCTCAGGTGTTCCGCCTGCCTCAGCCTCCCAAAATGCTGGGATTACAGGGTGAGCCACCGCACCCTGCCCCTCCATGCCTTTATGTCACCTGCATTCTGCCAACTTCTCCAGCATGAGGTGGGTGTTCTCAACCCTTGGTCAAGTGATGCATTCAAAGGATATCTCATAGCTCAGTTCCCTTCTTCTGGGAACTGTCTTTTGTTATTTTATTTTATTTATTTGTTTATTTTGAGATAGAGTCTTGCTCTTGTCACCCAGACTGGAGTGCAGTGGCACAATCTCTGCTCACTACGACCTCTGCCTGCTGGGTTCAAGCAACTCTTCTGCCTCAGCCTCCCAAGTAGCTGGGATTACAGGCGTCTGCCACCATGCCCGGCTAATTTTTGTATTTTTAGTAGAGATGAGGTTTTGCCCTGTTGGCCAGGCTGGTCTCAAACTCCTGACCTTAGGTAATCCTAGTATGAGAACGAGGTGCGGGGTCGAGGAGAAAAGCAACCTAGTGCTTACACCTGTAGAGGACCGGGGTCACCAGACCCAGTGCTGTGGGTGAGCCTGGCACGGCTCACCCTTGCCTATGGGTTCTGCCTTGCTCCCCCATAGCAGGGCCTGTGTCTGGGTCAGACTCCCCATGGGGATGGATGCAAGAGCAGGGCACAGTGTAGACCACAGTGTGTTCTCCACACTAGCTCTATAGTGTGTTGCCTTCTAGGTTGATCATCGACATTCTGCTTTGGGGTGTGATCCCCTTCCACCCATGTGGATCATTGTTTGATATCACTTTGCCCTGCAAGCTTGTGAAGAACCAGAGCTTTGCCACTTCAACTCATTGTGAAATTTCTGATGTTACAATGATTGGTCCTACCAGCCTGGGCCACACAGGAAGACCCTGTCTCTACAACATATTTAAAATTAGCCAGGCGTGGTGGTGTACGCCCATAGTTCTAGCTACTCCAGAGGCTAAGACAGGAGGATCACTTAAGCCCAGGAGTTTGAGGCTGCAGTGAGCTATGATTGTCAAAAAGAATTTTTTTTTTTTAATTCAAGAAATAGGCCAGGCATGGTGGCTCATGCCTGTAATCCCAGCACTTTAGGAGGCTGAGGTGGGTGGATTGCTGGAGCTCAGGAATTTGAGATCAGCCTGGGCAACAAGGCAAAACTCCATCTCTACAAAAAGTACAAAAATTAGCTGGGCCTGGTGGTGCATGCCTGTAGTCTCAGCTACTTGGGAGGCTGAGATGGAAGGATCAGCCAAGGTTGTGGTAAGCCAAGATCGTGCCATTGCACTCCAGCCTGGGTGACAGAGCAAGAACCTGTCTCAAAAAATAATTAATTAATTAAAAAAATGAAAGATTGGTCTCTTGGGATGAAGCGATATGCTAAGATTCCAAGTATGAGTTGATTTCTTTTGTTGTAAATCTTTTTTCTGGACTCATCTTTCTGGGGAATCTTAGGCAGGCACTCTGTGTCCTGTCTCTGAGATTATAGCAGTGGAGACAAATTATAGATGAAATGAAGCAAGTGGGAGAACAGTGGGGAGGGTGAGGGAACCCCCACGGAGCTCACAGCTCAAAACAGCAGGTGCCATCCCTCCACAGGGCGGGGATTTTTTTTTTTTTTTTTTTTTTTTTTTTTTTTGCTCAGCAACAAAACCAGAGGACCCAGTTGGATGGGATTCATATGAGAGACTCTATTTCAGTTCCAGATTGATTGTCAGTTAGCGCTTTGGACAGTTAATTTTCTAAACTATAAAGAAGTCAGTGGAAGGCTGCAGCATGAAAATTTCCATTGGAGCAGACGGATTGAGTTGTTTTTTTTTTTTTTTGAGACGGAATCTCACTCTGTCACCCAGGTTGGAGTGCAGTGGTGAGATCTTGGCTCATTGCAGCCTCTGCTTCCCGGGTTCAAGTGATTCTCCTACCTCAGCCTCCTGAGTAGTTGGGATTATAGGTGTGTACCATCATGCCTGGCTAATTTTTATAATTTTAGTAGAGGCAGGGTTTTGCCATGTTGGCCAGGCTGGTCTTGAACCTGACCTCAGGTGATCCACCCGCCTCGGCCTCCCAAAGTGCTGGGATTAGAGGCATGAGCCACCGCACCTGGCCAGAATAGATCTTTCTTGAGGTCCAGGGGAAAAGCCCTGGACTGCTGAATGACTCAGATCTTATGTGTGAGCCTGGCCGCCTGTGAGCCCCTCAGTCCTTCTGCCTGCTGTCTGCTTGCATCTCCATACCTGTCATGGTGGAATTTTGTCCCAGGTGACACAGGAGTTGTGGGGAGCAGGCTGGTTTCTCTACTCAATAGAGATGTAAGTGTTTTGGAAGATAATCCAATTTTAAAAAATTGGGTTAAAAGGCTGGGTGGGGTGGCTCACACCTGTTATCCCAGCACTTTGGGTGGCTGAGGCAGGCAGATCACCTGAGGTCAGGAGTTCAAGACCAGTCTGGCCAACATGGTGAAACCCCGTCTGTACTAAAAATACAAAAATTAGCTAGGTGTGGTGGTGGGCACCTGTAATCCCTGCTACTTGGGGGGCTGAGGCAGGGGGATCGCTTGAACCTGGGAGGCAGAGGTTTCGGTGAGCTGAAATCATGCCACTGCACTCCAGCCTGGGCGTTTATTTATAAATAAATAAATAAATAGTGTTAAAATATACATATATAACTTAAAATGGACTATTTTAACCAGTTTTTTTATTATAGTAAAATAACACAGAACATAAAATTACCATTTTAATGATTATCTTAAATTTTTAAAATTTTAAAATTATCTGCCAACCAGAAGCACATTTTAACCATTTTGAAGTGTGCAGTTCAATGGCATTAAGTGCATTTGTACATTCATAGTGTTGTGCAGCCATTACCACTAAACATCTCCAGAAGCTAAAATTTTTTTTTGTTGGTTAGGCAAGGTGGCTCACACCTGTAATCTCAGTACTTTAGGATGCTGAGTCAGGAGGATCACTTGAATCCAAGAGTTGGAGACCAGTCTGGGCAACATAGGCACACCCCATCTGTACAAAAAATTTTAAAATTAGCTGGGTGTGGGGTGGTGCATGGCTGTAGTCCCAGCTCTTCAGGAGACTGAGGTGGGAGGACCGCTTGAGCCCAGGAGTTTGAGGCTGCAGTGAGTCATGATCGTGCCACTGCACTCCAGTCTGGGCAACAGAGTGTGATCTTGTCTCAAAAATAAATAAAATAAATACATTTTTAAAAAGTATATATTTTCTTAAGAGACAGGGGTCTCAGTATGTTGCCCAGGCTGGTCTTGAACTCTTAATGTCAAGCAACCCTCCCACCTCAGCCTCCCTTGTAGCTGGGATTATAGGCAGCAGCCCCTGTGACCAGCTATCTCCGGAACTTTTCCATCTGGATGATGGATAAGCAAAGCTCTGTACTTACTCAGTTAAGCAATAACTTCCCATTGCCCCCTTTCCCAGCCCCAGCTAACCTCTATTCTCCTTTCTGTTTCTGTGAATTTGACTATTCCGGGTACCTTATCTAAATGGAATCCTACAATATTGGTCCTTTTGTGACTGGCTTGTTTCACTTAGCATAATGCCCTTATTTACACTGTACCATATGTCAGAATTTCATTCCTTTTTAAGGCTGAAAAATATTCCATTGTACGGATAGGCCACATTGTGTTTAATCATTCATCTGCTCATGGATGTCTGGGTGGTTTCCACTTTTCAGCTCTTGTGAATAATGTTGCTATTAACACGGGTGTTCAAGTATCATTTAAGCCCCCACTTTCAACTGTTTGGGGATATATATCATAAGAGTGGAATTGCTGGACCATATAATTGAGAATCAAACTTTTTAATATGTTGTAGGACACTGGTTCTTTTTTTTTTCTCCTATCTTTCCTTTTTTTTTTTTTTTTTTTTTTTTGAGACGGAGTCTTGCTCTGTCACCCAGGCTGGAGTGCAGTGGTGAGATCTCAGCTCACTGCAACCTCTGTCTCCTGGGCTCAAGCAATCCTCCTGCCTCAGCCTCCAGAGGAGCTGAGACTATAGGTGCACGCCATCACACCCAGCTAATTTTTGTATTTTTTGTAGAGACAGGGTTTCACCATGTTGCCCACACTGGTCTTAAATTCCTGATGCAAGTGATCTGCTCGCTTTGGCCTCCCAAAGTGTTGGGATTATGGGCATGAGCCACCGCACCTGGCCTCCTATCTTTCTCTACAGCAACATGATGAAGTAAATGTAAACCCGAACTAATGGGCAAAACATTTTCCACTTTTAGGGGTTTTAAACTACCTGAAAGAGACATTTACCCATACTCCAAGTTACGACATGAGCCCTGCCATTCTCAGCGTGCTTGTCAAAATGATGCTTGCACAAGCCCAAGAAAGCGTGTTTGAGAAAATCAGCCTTCCTGGGATCCGGAATGAATTCTTCATGCTGGTGAAGGTGGCTCAGGAGGCTGCCAAGGTAAGACTCCCTGGTTCCTGTGACTTTGGGGAGTGGGCAGGAAATTCTGGCACAAGAGCACTGGAAGTAGCGGGGCCTTCCCACGGGAGCTTGCCTGTGACCTGGGCATTGTGCCAGCTCCGGCCAGTACTGCTGGCTTGAGTTTTCTTGGCAAGTGTTGGTGTTTCAGATACGGATCACTGATTCCATGTGTAGCTTAACCTAAAAACCAGCATAATGACAGCAGCCTGATCCCCCTGTTAACTGTGACAGTGACAGAACGAGGGGTTGCTTGGAGTTGCTCCCAGATTCTGGAGCAGCCCCTGGCAGGGGCTGTTGCATGAGAAGAAGAAAGGGCTCTTTCTCTGCAAATGGGTTCATGAGGGCCCTTGTGCCGGGCTGCCCCTTCCCAATGCCCCTTCTATTTCAAGTGGGAGAGGTCTACCAACAGCTGCACGCAGCCATGAGCCAGGCGCCGGTGAAAGAGAACATCCCCTACTCCTGGGCCAGCTTGGCCTGCGTGAAGGCCCACCAGTACATGGCCCTGGCCCTCTACTTCACTGCCATCCTCCTCATCGACCACCAGGGTAAGGCCTGTGGGGTTCAGGGGTTTGGCCAGGGCTGTGGTCCAGCTGCCCCAGGGGTGATTCTGAGCTGAGCGAGAGCTAACTGCCTTCCCTGGAGATGCTCACAGGCTGAGGGCAGAGGATGAGAATGACCCATGACTGAGGCAGCTGCTGCACAGGCCATGGTGGGGTTAGGGGTTATAAGCTTCTTTAGAGGGAGGAAGAGGAGGCACCTTTAATTCTGCCTGTGTGCAAGAGGATGAATTTTCACCTGGAATCTAGAATCTAAGGGAATGCCAAAAATGCTGGCATCAAGATAGGTAACATTTTAAGGTAGTATTTTAAAAGAATCCAAATTAATGCAGGCCGGGTACAGTGTCTCACGCCTGTAATCCCAGCACTTTGGAAGGCCAAGGCAGGCAGATCATTTGAGGTCAGGAGTTCGAGACCAGCCTGGCCAACAAGGTGAAACTCTGTCTCTACTGAAAATACAAAAATTAGCCGAGCATGGCGCGTGCCTCTAATCCCAGCTACTCTGGTGACTGAGGCAGGAGAATGGCTTGGGCCGGGGAGGTGGAGGTTGCAGTGAGCTGAGATTGTGCCACCGCACTCCAGCCTGGACAGCAGAGCAAGACTCCATCTCAAAAAAACTAATAATAATAAAATAAAAATTAATGCAAAAAAAATCTGTGATGATCAGAATTTAATTTAATTTAATTTATTTTTAGAGATGGGGCTGGAGTACAGTGGTATGATCATGGCTCACTGCCTTCTTGAACTCCTGGGCTCAAGCGATCCTCCTACTTCAGCCTCCTGAATACCTGGGACTACAGGCACATGCCACTACACCAGTTAATTGAAAAAAATTTTTTTTGTAGAGATGGAGTCTCACTATGTTGCCTAGGTTGGTTTCAAACTCCTGGCCTCAAGCAATTGTCCTGCCTTGGCCTCCCCAAAGTGTTGGCATTACAGGCATGAGCCACGGTGCCTGGCCAGGGATTTTTGATCTAATGAGTACTAATCCAGGCAGCCTCCTGAGGAATTAAAAAGACAGCCTCTGGAGCCAGACTTCCTGGGTTCATATCTCAGCTCTGCCATGAATGAGCTGTATTACCTTGGGCAAGTTACTTAGCTGTCCTCTGCCTCGATTTTCTCATCTGTAAAATGGGTATATGGAGAGAATCTACCTCACAGGCTGTCATGAAAATGAAGGGCCTGTATGCAAAGCTCAATAATGCTTTATATGCTGTAGGTTCTCTGAAAGTGTGAGCCACCACTCCTAGTACTATATAGTCTATTAGGTGAGACAAGATGTGGAAACAAATAGAAATACCATATAGTGCCTTGGTGATTGCTGCAGAGACACAAATGCAGCAGCAGGTGGACTCCATGGTGCAGTCATTGATGGCTTCTCAGAGGCGGTGACATTTGAGTTCAACTTTTCCATCTGCACAGGAGGGCAGGGTCAGCCTAGAGGGAGTAAAGTGTCTGAGCACAGGAATAGAGGCCGAGGGTGCTGGGTAAGTGGAGAGTGGTTTTGTGAGGTTTGAGAGCAGGATACGCACCAGGGAGGGTGTGGTTGAAGCAGGAAGGGGCTGTGCTGCAGGTGTGCAGGCCTGCAGAGGGGTGCAGGCCAGGCATGACAGGGTCTGGGCTATGCTAGGAGGTTCTGTGTGGTGGGTGAGTCAGAGGAGGTAGCGTGTGGGGGCTCAGGGTCAAATTATGAACCTCACCGGGTGTGGTGGTTCACACCTACAATCCCAGCACTTTGGGAGGCCGAGCTGGGTGGATCATGAGGTCAGGAGTTCGAGACCAGCCTGGCCAAGATGCTGAAACCCCGTCTCTACTAAAAATAGAAAAATTAGCTGGGCATAGTGGCACGTGCCTGTAATCCCAGCTACTCGGGAGGCTGAGGCAGGAGAATCACTTGAACCCGGGAGGTGGAGGTTGCAGTGAGCCAAGATCACACCACTGCACCCAAGCCTGGGTGACAGAGCAAAACTCCATCTCAAAAAAAAAAAAAAATTCTGAACCTCTGGAGCATGACTGGTTCCAATGAGCAAGAGCTTTGGGGTAGCCAGGCATGGTGGCTCACACATTTGATCCCAGCAATTTGGGAGGCTAAGGCAGGAGGATCGTTTGAACCCAGAGGTTTGAGACCAGCCTGGGCAATGTAACAAGACCTCATCTTTACAAAAAAATTTAAAAATTAGCCTGGCATGTGGTGGTGCATGTCTGTAGTCCTAACTACTCAGGAGGCTGAGGTGGGAGGATCACTTGAGCCCAGGAGTTCAAGGCCGCAGTGAACTATGATTGTGCCATTGCACTCCAGCCTGGTGACAGAGTGAGACCACACTCCAACCTGAGTGACAGAGTGAGACCATCTCAAAGAAAAAAAAAGCTTGAGGGTCAGACTGCCTGGGGTGTGTCCAGGGGCAGAAAGGAGAGCGATGATCCCAAATGCCTTGTGAAACTGCAGAAGAAAGGAAACTAGAGACATGGTAGAAAGAGAAATCTCTATGTGGGTCTGTGGCCAGATCCATGAGAGGGGATTTAACCTGTGGTTCTCTTAGCAGTGAAGCCAGGCACGGATCTGGACCACCAGGAGAAGTGCCTGTCCCGGCTCTACGACCACATGCCAGAGGGGCTGACACCCTTGGCCACACTGAAGAATGATCAGCAGCGCCGACAGCTGGGTGCGTGTCCCTCTGCACCCAGATGTGGGTCCCACTTGGTGCCCAGCTGATCCTGCTCACAGACAGCCACAGAGAGGTCCCTGAAGAGGGCCCGGGAGAGGGGGGTGTTCCAAGTCATCGTGGCCACTTTGGGTTCAGAAGTCATGAGGTGCAGTCCTGAGCCTCAGAGGGCTTCCCAGGCTGTGTTCTCATGGGTTCCATAGCACCCAGGCCTCCCCCTGTGGAGCCAGGACTTTAACCATCTCCCTTGGGGTCCATAGGGTGGCCTGTATCATGCTAACAGGGAAGGAAACGTTTGTTGATTTCTTTATGCATGGCTGAATTACCAAGAACACCTAATGACTGGTAATGAAGTGTCCTGGTTTGGTCTCTGCCATGTCTCAGTGTGAATATCTCTTCCCATGTGCAGACCTCACCTCCACCATCCTAATCTGCCCCCACGCACACATACGCAGCTTCCCCGTCTCAGTGATGGCAACTCCCACCCCTCTAGGTGCTCAGGCCAGAAACCTTGGACTCACTCTCCACTCTTCTTTTCTTTCCTCCTCTTTCCCCTCCTCTCCCCTCTGCTCCCCTCTCCTCTCTTCCCCTCTGCTCCCCTCCCCTCCTGTCCCATTCTCTCCCCTCCTCTTCCCTCCCCTCTGTTACCCTCCCCTCCCCTCCTCTCCCCTTCTCTCCCCTCTCTTCTCCCCTCCCCTGCTCTCCTCTCTCCGCCGTCCTCCCTCTCCTCCTCCTCCCTCTCCTCCCCCTCTCCTCCCTCCCCTCCTCCCTCCCCTCCCCTCCTCCCTCTCCTCCCTTCCCCTCCTCCCTCTCCTCCCCTCCCCTCCTCCCTCTCCTCCCCTCCCCTTCTCCCTCTCCTCCCCTCCCTTCCCTTTCTCCCCTCCCCTCCCTTCCCATCCTTCCCCTCCTCTCCTCTCCTCCCCTCTCCCACCTCCCCTTCACTCCCCTTTCTCCTCCTCTCCCCTCCCCTCTCCTCTCATCCTTCCTCCTCTCCCCTCACCCTTCCCCTCTCCCCTCATCCCCTCCCCTCTCCCCTCATCCCCTCCCCTCTCCTCCCCTTTTCTTGTTCCTTGTTGCTTTCCTTTTCTTTCCCTTTCCTTTCCTCTCCTTTATTCTTTCTTTCTTTCTCTCTTTCTTTCTCTCCTCCCCATCTACCCTTCCTCCCTCCTTTCCTCTTTCCTTTTCTTTCATTTGCTTTCTTTGACAGCGTCTTGCTGTCCCCCAGGCTGCAGTGCAGTAGTGCCATCACAGCTCAGTGCAGCCTCGAACTCCTGGCTTCAAGTGATCCTCCTGCCTCAGCCTGCTGAGTAGATGGGACTATAGGCATGCACCACCATGCCCGGCTAATATTGTAAAAAGGTTTTTGTAGAGATGCCATCTCACTGTGTTGCCCAGGCTGGTTTTGAACTCCTGGCCTCCAGCGATCCTCCTGCCTCTGTCTCCCAAAGAGCTGGGTTTACAGGCACGAGCCGCCACACCTAACCTCTTGTCTTACTTTCTCACCCTACATTTGATTAGCAAATCCCTTTGGCTGTACCTAGAAGACACACTCAAATCTGGCCACTTTAACCCTGCTGCCCTGGTGGAAGCCACATGTGTACAGTGCTTATGTAAGAAACATTTACTCACTTAAACCCCAGGCAACACTATGAGGTGGGTCTCATGGCATCCCCATTTTACAGCTGAGGAAACTGAGACCCAGAGCAGTCACATGGCTTGCCCTGCTCATAGCTGGTTTTCTTGCTGCCCCTTCAGAGTCTGGTCATGCAGGCCAGATCACATCAGTCCCCTGCTCACACCCCAGTGGGCTCCCATCTCAAGCAGAACAGGAGTGAGAGCCCTCATCTTGCACGCGTGAGATCTGCCATGATCTGGCCTTGCTCCTTCCCTGCAGTCATTCTGTCCCACCCTCCCTGCCTCCAGGCACGCCTTAGCTTCTCCTTGCCCTTGAACACCTGTGCGTGCCCCTGCTCCAGGGCCCTCGCACCTGCTGCTCTTTCACATCCATCAGGGCTCTGCTCAAAAAGGACCATATCACAAAGCCTTCCTTGGCTGGGTGTGGTGGCTCATGCCTGCAATCCCAGCACTTTGGGAGGCTGAGGTGGGAGGATAGCTTGAAGTCAGGAGTTTGAGACCAGCCTGGGCGACATGGAGAAACCCCGTCTCTACCAAAAATACACTTAGCCAGATGTGGTGGTGTGTGCCTGTAATCCCAGCTACTTGGGAGGCTGAGGTGGGAGAATCGCTTGAACCTGGGAGGCGGAGGTTGCAGTGAGCCGAGATCGTGCCACTGCATTCCAGCCTGGGTGACAGAGTGAGACTCCGTCTCAAGAAAAAAAAAAAAAAAAAAAAAGCCTTTCTTGGTCACCCATCATAAGACAACCCCATTCCCAGTCTTCTCCTACCATCTCCGCTTACCCTGCTTTATTTTTCTCTATAACCTCATCACCACCCCATCCATTACATATTTCTTGTCTTGTTAGTTATCTGTCTTCAATCACTACATGTAAACTCCATGAATGTGGGGGCAGTTTGTTTACTCGTTGCTTTATCTCTAGTGCCTAGCACATTTGGTAAATATTTGTTGAGTGAACATCTTATGGACACAAGTGAGCTTATTACATATGCATTTAAGGGAGGCTTGGGCTGGGCGTGGTGACTCACGTCTGTCATCCCAGCACTCTGGGAGGCTAAGGCAGGTGGATTGCTTGAGGCCAGGAGTTTGAGACCAGCCTGGGCAACATAGCAATGATAATGAAATGATAATGATAATGAAAACATTATCCAAGTGTGGTGGTGCATGCCTGTGGTCCCAGCTACTCAAGAGTCAGAAGTGGGAATTTCAGTTGAGCCCAGGAGTTTGAGGCTGTGGTAAGCCATGATTGCACCACTGTACTCCAGCATGCGAAACAAAGTGAGACCCTGTCTCTAAATATAAAATATAAAATGAAATAAAATAATATTTTAATAAAAGGCTTGTTGTAACCAAGCGAGTTGTAGAGAAACGCCACACTTTGAGACTAATTCAGGAGTCATTTATTAGCCGGCAACTGAGAGATGGCTAATGCTCGAAATTCTCTCGGGCCTGAAGAAGGGGCTAGATTTTCTTTTATACTATGGTCTAAATAGGGGAGGGGGGTTTAACTGAAGCAATTTTCAGAAGCAGAATAGGCAAAAAGTTAAAAAAAGTAATTGGTTATAGAAGCAGTTACAAAAAATAAACAGTTCCAGGTGCAGGGGCTTAAACTATCACTGAGAGATAAATGCAGGGGCTTTAGGTACCTGCCACTGAGCACATCCCCAGGAGCTGCTGGTACAGCCTGCCTCAGTATCTTATCAGCAGTTTGCGTTCCTGGATGTGCTTGGAGTCAGCTTACACTAGTTATTCCCTTAAGGGGGATAAAGGGGGCTGCAAGTGAAGAAACTAAAATGGAGTCTGTCCGGCTCTCTCTGCTAGGAGAGAGTCACTCAGGTTAAAACAAGGTAGGGTATCACGGGCTCTAGCTATCCAGGCAGATTCTTTAGAAAAGAGAACGTCCAACCTCTTGGGCTGCCCCTTGGGCCCTTATGCACTGCTTGGTGGATCTGCAGGTCACGTGGGTGCTGGCTTCCATCTGCGGGGAAGTCCCACCTGCACAGAGCCATGGCTCATCACGAGGAGTCAGTGCGGGAGGCCAGCCTCTGCAAGAAGCTGCGGAGCATTGAGGTGCTACAGAAGGTGCTGTGTGCATCACAGGAACGCTCCCGGCTCACGTACGCCCAGCACCAGGAGGATGATGACCTGCTGAACCTGATCCACGCCCCCAGTGTTGTTGGTGAGTAACCTAGACTGTGTTCCCTCTGTGGGGGTGCCTGTGCCGCGGAAAGAGTACGCCTGGCCTGTGGGGGTTGAGCGAGCCCTCGCTGTGTGCTTGGCACAGGGAGGGCTGCACAGGGCAGGGACCGAGGTGCTTATTTTGCCCTGGAGTTCTCTTTTCTTTTTGAGATGGAGTCTCGCTCTGTTGCCCAGGCTGGAGTGCAGTGGCATGATCTCGGCTCACTGCAACCTCTGCTTCCCGGGTTCAAGTGATTCTTCTGCCTCAGCCTCCCGAGGAGCTGGGATTACAAGCGCCCACCACCACGCCCAACTAATTTTTGGATTTTTAGTAAAGATGGGGTTTCACCATGTTGGCCAGGCTGGTCTCGAACTCCTGACCTCAAGTGATCCGCCTGCCTTGGCCTCCCAAAGTGCTGGGATTACCAGAGTAAGCCACCACACCTGGCCTAGATACACTTTTTATGCTATTTGTTCTCGTGTAGAATCAGCCTGCCCTGGGATCCTTTGTTAGAAATTGACCAGCCTTATGTTAAGGGTAGTCCGAGCCTGCTGTGAAGATGCTGGTGGGGGTATGTAGCTGTCAATGGTTATGATTTGCCAAACCTCCTTTTCACTGGGAAATCCTCATACCACATTAATAATGAAAAGGTCAAGCACGGTGGCTCAAACCTCTAATCTCAGCACTTTGGGAGGCCGAGGCAGGAGGATTACTTGAGCTCAGGAGTTTGAGACCAGCCTGGGCAACATAGTGAGACCCCATCTCTACAAAAAATTTTAAAAAAATTCATCAGGTGTGGTGGTGCATACCTATAGTTCCAGCTACTCGGGAGGCTGAGGCAGGAGAATCATTTGAGTCCAGGAGGTCAAGCTGCAAGAGAGCTGTGATCACACCACTGCACTCCAGCTTGCGCGACAGAGCGACACCCTGTCTCAAAATAGTAATAATGTTGAAAACAGAAAGCTCAATATCCCAGGACTGTGTCCAGTGAGGCATGGAACTTCCATAACAATAATACTTGAAACATAGATGACTTCTCAATAGGTTTTTTGTTTGTTTGTTTGTTTGTTTGTTTGTTTGTTTTTGTGAGGTCGTTTTGCTCTTGTCACCCAGGCTGGAGTGCAGTGGTGTGATCTCAGCTCACTGCAACCTCTGCCTCCCTGGTTCAAGCCTCAGCCTCCCAAGTAGCTGGTACTACAGGTGCGTGCCACCACGCCTGGCTAATTTTTTGTATTTTTAGTAGAGATGGGGTTTCATCATGTTGGCCAGGCTGGTCTTGAACTCTTGACCTCAGATGATCCTCCCACCGCGGCCTCCCAAAGTGCTGGGATTACAAGCATTAGCCCCCGTGCCCAGCCTCCTCATTAGGGTTTTATGAGTGCCAGAGAAGCCCACTAAGCCCCTTAAATATCAGGAAACCCCATGGGAATGTGTCTGGTTATCACTCCTTGGTCCCAGCTCAGGAATGAGTTATACCTCTTATGGCTCACAGGAGGTACCCAAATGGAAGGTAGAGTTCAACCTAGGTCGGGGGTTGAGCTGTGTTCCATCTTCTTGTACTACTTGTCTAAACCGAGGGGAAGGATGTGTGACTAAGAGAAAGTTCTGTACTGTCTCCTTCCCAAGGATCACTTTCTTTTTTTCCCCCCCTGGAGTCTTACTCTGTCACCAGGCTGGAGTGCAGTGGCAAGACTTCAACTCACTGCAACCTCTGCCTCCTGGGTTCAAGTGATTCTTCTGCCTCAGCCTCCCAAGTAACTCGGATTACAGTCGCCTGCCACCATACCTGGCTAATTTTTGTATTTTTAATAGAGACGGGGTTTCACCATGCTGGCCAGACTGGTCTTGAACTTCTGGCCTCATTGATCCACCTGCCTCGGCCTCCCAAAGTGCTGGGATTACAGGCGTGAGCCACAACACCGGGCTATAAGGATCACTTTCAATTACAGAAACATTTATCCTCCCATTTCTAATCCTCTATTCTAGCTAAAACTGAGCAAGAGGTTGACATTATATTACCCCAGTTCTCCAAGCTGACAGTCACGGACTTCTTCTAGAAGCTGGTATGTTGAAAGCTCTCTACATAAATGACCTAAGGGGACAGCTCTTCACTTTGGCGAGTATGGTGTCTTAGTCCATGTGGGCTGCTATAACAAAATGCCTCAAACTGGGTGGCTTATGAACAGCAGAAATATATTTCTCAGTTCTGGAGGCTGGGAAGTCCAAGACCAAGGTATTGGCAGATTTGGTATCTGCTGAAGGCCCATGTTCTGGTTTATAGGTGGGGCCTTCTACCTGTGTCCTCATGGCAGAAAAGGTGATGAGCTCCCTTGGGCCTGTTTTAAAAGCATGTATCCCATTCTTGAGGGCTCCACCCCAAGACTGAATCACCTCTCAAGAGGCCCCACTTCCTAATAATTACATTGATGATTTTAATATACATTTTAAATTTTAATAAATATTAATAAAATTTTAATGTTTTAATATACAAACTTTGGGAGGGTACAAACATTCAGACCATAGCATATTTTATTTTATTCATTTATTTTTATTTATTTGTTTTTTGAGACAGAGTCTCACTCTGTTGCCCAGGCTGGAGTGCAGTGGTGCGATCTCGGCTCAGTGCAGCCTCCACCTCCCAGGTTCAAGTGATTCTCCAGCTTCAGCCTCCCGAGTAGTCGAGATTACAGGCCTGTGCCACTATGCTCAGCTAATTTTGTATTTTTAGTAGAGACAGGGTTTCACCATGTTGGCCAGGCTGATCTTGAACTCCTGGGCTCCAGTGATCCACTCACCTCGGCCTCTCAAAGTGCTGGGATTATAGGCCTGAGCCACTGTGCCCGGCCCCATAGCATATTTTAAAAGTAGTTTTTAGGTATTATCTATTTGAAATTTTTAAAAATATTTTTAAATTTTTTTTAGAGATGTGGTCTCACTGTGTCACCTAGGCTGGATTACAGTGGCATGGTCATAGCTCACTGCAGCCTGAACCTTCTGGGCTCAAGCGATCCTCCTACCTTAGCTACCCTAGTAGATGGGACTACAGGCAAACACCACCACGTCCAACTAATTTTTATTTCTTGTAGAGATGGGGTCTTGCTATGTTGCCTAGGCTGGTCTCAAACTCCTGGGCTCCAACCATCCTCCTGCCTAGGCATCCCAGAGTGCTGGGATTACAGGTATGAGCCACTATGCCTGACCTGAGATTTTTTTCCTTTTTTTTTTTTTTTTTTTAGACAGGGTCTAACTCTGTTTTCACCCAGGCTGGAGTGCAGTGGCACAATCAGTTCACTGAAGCCTCGAACTGCTGGGCTCAAGAAGTCCTCCTGCCTCAGCAGCCTGAGTAGATGGAACCATAGGCGTGCACCACCATGCCTGGCTAATTCTTTTATGTTTTTAGTAGAGAATGGTTCCCGCTATGTTGCCCAAGCTGGTCTCAAACCTCTGGCCTCAAGCAATCCTTCTGCCTTGGTCACACAAAGTGCTTAGGATTACAGGCATGACATGCCTGGTCTTAAATTGTTTATATTAGAGATTTTATTTAAGATAATTTTGGCTGGGTGC
The DNA here is from genome assembly GCF_000001405.40 of Homo sapiens. Lineage (NCBI taxonomy): Eukaryota > Metazoa > Chordata > Mammalia > Primates > Hominidae > Homo > Homo sapiens. Next base: position 1,725,584 of record NW_021160017.1, read on the forward strand.
AGTGGCTCACGTCTTTAATCCCAGCACTTTGGGAGGCTGAGGCGGGCGGATCACCTGAGGTCAGGAGTTTGAGACCAGCCTGGCCAACATGGTGAAACCCCATCTCTGCTAAAAATACAAAAATTAGCCAGGCATGGTGGTTCGCACCTGTAATTCCAGCTACTCAGGAGAATTACTTGAACCCGGGAGGCAGAGGCTGCAGTGAACCGAGATCACACCACCACACTCTAGCCTGGGTGATAGAGTGAGACAATGTCTCAAAAAAAAAGAAAAGAAAAAGATAATTAATACAATGTCTAAAAGATAATTTTATTGAAAATATATTGGGTATGTTTGAGAAGATGGCTTTCCAGCTTCTTGCATGACTGCTGTAGCATGTATGCCCCCAGATGTGTCATTTGTCCCTGAACAAGGCCAAGTGAGATCTTCAAGGACAGCAGGCAAAATTCCCTTTAGCTTTCAAGCGTCTGATCTAGCCTTCAAATCCTACACCTAACGATGCTCTCTTCCAAAGGGCCCCTTATCTGTGTTTTTGGCTAACAAGCAGTGGATGCCTCCTCGAAGCAACCGCTTCACCGCAGAAGAAGGGGACTTGGGGTTCACCTTAAGAGGGAACGCCCCCGTTGAGGTTCACTTCCTGGATCCTTACTGCTCTGCCTTGGTAAGCACATGCTTTTCTTGGTTGGCAGCAAATACAGATATCTGGGTGATTGAATTTAGGGCGGGTTCACCCACGTCAAAGGCCTGACTTGATGTGAAAGGCCTCATGGGTGCTACATTCCCTAAAAGAAAAGGATTAATTTTTACTGTCTTTATTTTGTTTTTAGTATTTTTTTAGACGTTGGGAGGTGGAGGCTGCAGTGAGTCGTCATCATGCAGTGGCGCGATCTCAGGGCTCACTGCAGCTTCTGCTTCCTGGGTTCAAGTGATTCTCCTGTCTCAGCTTCCTGAGTAGCTGGGATTACAGGCACGTGCCACCAGACTCAGCTAATTTTAGTTTTTGTTTTTGTTTTTTGAGACACAGTCTCGCTCTGTCGCCCAGGCTAGAGTGCAGTGGCGCGATCTTGGTTCACTGCAACCTCCACCTCCTGGGTTCAAGTAATTCTCCTGCCTCCACCTGCTGAGTAGCTGGGATTACAGGTGCGTGCCACCATGCCCGGCTAATTTTTTGTGTCTTTTTAGTAGAGACGGGGTTTCACCGTGTTAGCCAGGATGGTCTTGATCTCCTGATCTTGTGATCTGCCCACCTCAGCCTCCCAAAGTGCTGGGATTACAAGTGTGAGCCACCTGGCCCGGCCTAATTTTTGTATTTTTAGTAGAAACGGGGTTTTGCCATGTTGGCCAGGCTAGTCTCAAACTCCTGGCCTCAAGTATTCTGTCTGCCTTGGCCTCCCAGAGTGCTAGGATTATAGGCGTGAGCCACTGTGCCTGGCCAATTTTGACTTTTTTTTTTTTAATTGCACCCAGGCTGGAGGGCAGTGGCACGATTTCGGCTTACTGCAATGTCTGCCTCCCGGGTTCAAGCAATTCTCCTGCCTCAGCGTCCCAGGTAGCTAGGACTACAGGTGCCCACCACCACACCTGGCAGATTTTTGTATTTTTAGTAGAGATGGGTTTCACCGTGTTGTTCAGGCTGGTCTTGAACTACTGACCTCAAGTGATCTACCCGTCTCAGCCACCCAAAGTGAATTTTTGCTTTCTTGATGCGAACTTACGCAAATACCTATTTTGTTAATGGGGACTGATTCAAGGATTTGAGTGAACAAAACGTTGACTTATTTTCAACAATACTTTTTCAGGTGGCAGGAGCCCGGGGAGGAGATTATATTGTCTCCATTCAGCTTGTGGATTGTAAGTGGCTGACGGTGAGTGAGGTTATGAAGCTGCTGAAGAGCTTTGGTGAGGACGAGATCGAGATGAAAGTTGTGAGCCTCCTGGACTCCACATCATCCATGGTGAGCACTGACACCTCCCTGGGCAGTCAGTAGTGGTGTGGAGTGAAATCTGCATGAGTTCAGCCCCAGAGGTGTTTATCAGACCCTCTGTCTCCTGCCTGTGTAACATGGTACAAATGACTGGACTCCCAGGCTTGTAATCACTGTAATGTGCTCACCTTGGGTCAAAGAGAAAATTGGCAAACTTTTTCTTTTTAAAGACAGGCTGGTTTGCAGTGGTATGATCATGGCTTACTGCAGCCTCTATCTCCTGGGTTTAAGTGATCCTCCCACCTCAGCCACATGAGCACCTGGAGTTATAGGCACCCACTACCACCCCTGGCTCATTATTTATTTATTTATTCATTTTTTTTTTATTATTTTTTTTGAGATGGAGTCTCGCTCTGTCACCCAGGCTGGAGTGCAGTTGTGCAATCTCGGCTCACTGCAAGCTCTGCCTCCCAGGTTCACGCCATTCTCCTGCCTCAGCCTCCCAAGTAGCTGGGACTACAGGCGCCTGCCAATGTGCCTGGCTAATTTTTTGTATTTTTAGTAGAGATGGGGTCTCACCATGTTAGCCAGGATGGTCTCGATCTCCTGACCTCGTGATCCACCTGCCTCGGCCTCCCAGAGTGCTGGGATTACAGGTGTGAGCCACCATGCCCAGCCCATTCTTTATTTTTTGTAGAGACAGGTTCTCGCTGTGTTGCCAAGACTGATCTTGAACTCCTGGGCTCAAGCCATCCTCTCACCTTGGCCTCCCAAAGTGCTGGGATTACAGGAAACTCTGCAACTCTAAAATCCAGAGTGTCTTCTTACCTCCAAACGACCACACTGGTTTCCCAGCAATGGTTCTTAACCTGACTGAAATGGCTGAAATGACAGACATAGAATTCAGAATATGGATAGGAAAGAAGATAACTGAGATTCAGGAGAATGTTGAAACCCAATCCAAGGGAGCTAAGAAATAAAGTAAAATGATACAGAAGCTGAAAGATGAAGTGGCCATTTTAAGAAAGAATCAAAATGATTTGATAGAGCTAAAAAACTCACTTCAAGAATTTCAGAATACAACTACAAGTATTAACCGCAGAATAGACCAAGCTGAGGAAAGAATCACAGAGCTTAAAAACTGATTCTCTGAATTAACTCAGTCAGACAAAAATAAAGGAAAAGAGAACAAAAAAGAAGGCATAAAACCTCAGAGAAATGGGTGATTATGTAAAAAGATCAGATCTATGACACATTGGTATCCCTTAAAAAGAGAAAGAGAAACAAAGCAACTTGAAAAACATTTCAGGCTATCCTCCATGAAAATTTCTCCAACCTCACCAGAGAGGCCAACATTCAAATTCAAGAAATGCAAAGAACCTCTGCAAGATATTATACATGACAACCATCCCTAAGACATATAGCCATCAGACTCTTAAAGGTTGAAAGGAAAAAAAATGTTAGAGGCAGCTAGAAAGAAGGTTCAGGTCGCATACAAAGGGAACCCAATGAGGCTAACAGTGGATGTTTCACCAGAAACTGTACAATCCAGAAGAGATTAGGGGCCTATATTCAGCATTCTTAAAGAAAAGAAATTCCAAGCAAGAATTTCATATCTAGCCAAACTAAGCTTCACAAGTGAAGGAGAAATAAGATCCTTTTCAGACAAGCAAATGCTAAGGGTATTCATCATCACTATATTTCCCTTACAAGAGGTCCTTAAGGGATTGCTAAATATGATAATGGAAGAATGTTACTGACCACCACAAAAACACACTTAAGTACATAACGATTGCCACTATAAATCAACTATACAATCAAATCTGCATATTGAGCAGCTAACAACATGATAACAGGATGAAATATGCACATATCAATATTAATCTTGAATGTAAATGGACTAAATGCCCCAATTAAAGGGCACAGAATTGCCAAGTTGGATAAAGAAGCAAGACCCAAATGTATGCTGTCTTCAAGAGACCCATCTCACATGCAGTGACATCCACAGGCTCAAAGTAAAAGGATGGAGAAAAATCAACAAAGCAAATGGAAAACAGGAAAAAGCAGGTGTTTCTTTTTTTTTAATTTTTTTATTATACTTTAAGTTTTAGGGTACATGTGCACAACGTGCAGGTTTGTTACATATGTATATATGTGCCATGTTTGTGTGCTACACCCATTAACTCATCATTTAACATTAGGTATATCTCCTAATGCTATCCCTCCCCCCTCCCCCCACCCCACAACAGGCCCCGGTGTGTGATGTTCCCCTTCCTGTGTCCATGTGTTCTCATTGTTCAATTCCCACCTATGAGTGAGAACATGTGGTGTTTGCTTTTTGTCCTTGCGATAGTTTGGTGAGAATGATGGTTTCCAGCTTCATCCATGTCCCTACAAAGGACATGAACTCATCCTTTTTTATGGCTGTGTAGTATTCCATGGTGTATATGTGCCACAGTTTCTTAATCCAGTCTATCATTGTTGGACATATGGGTTGGTTCCAAGTCTTTGTTATTGTGAATAGTGCCGCAATAAACATATGTGTGCATGTGTCTTTATAGCAGCATGTTTTATAATCCTTTGGGTATATACCCAGTAATGGGATGGCTGGGTCAAATGGTATTTCTAGTTCTAGATCCCTGAGGAATCACCACACTGACTTCCACAATGGTTGAACTAGTTTACAGTCCCACCAACAGTGTAAAAGTGTTCCTATTTCTACACATCTTCTCCAGCACCTGTTGTTTCCTGACTTTTTAATGATTGCCATTCTAACTGGTGTGAGATGGTATCTCATTGCGGTTTTGATTTGCATTTCTCTGATGGCTAGTGATGATGAGCATTTTTTCATGTGTCTTTTGGCTGCATAAATGTCTTCTTTTGAGAAGTGTCTATTCATATCCTTTGCCCACTTTTAATGGGGTTGTTTGTTTTTCTTGTAAATTTGTTTGAGTTCATTGTAGATTCTGGATATTAGCCCTTTGTCAGATGAGTAGATTGCAAAAATTTTCTCCCATTCTGTAGGTTGCCTGTTTACTCTGATGGTAGTTTCTTTTGCTGTGCAGAAGCTCTTTAGTTTAATTAGATCCCATTTGTCAATTTTGGCTTTGGTTGTCATTGCTTTTGGTGTTTTAGACATGAAGTCCTTGCCCATGCCTATGTCCTGAATGATAATGCCTAGGTTTTCTTCTAGGGTTTTCATGGTTTTAGGCCTAACATTTAAGTCTTTAATCCATCTTGAATTAATTTTTGTATAAGGTGTAAGGAAGGGATCCAGTTTCAGCTTTCTACATATGGCTAGCCTGTTTTCCCAGCACCATTTATTAAATAGCTAATCATTTCCCCATTTCTTATTTTTGTCAGGTTTGTCAAAAATCAGATAGTTGTTGATATGCGGCATTATTTCTGAGGGCTCTGTTCTGTTCCATTGGTCTATATCTCTGTTTTGGTACCAGTACCATGCTGTTTTGGTTACTGTAGCTTTGTAGTATAGTTTGAAGTCAGGTAGCTTGATGCCTCCAGCTTTGTTCTTTTGGCTTAGGATTGACTTGGCAATGCGGGCTCTTTTTGGGTTCCATATGAACTTTAAAATAATTTTTTCCAATTCTGTGAAGAAAGTCATTGGTAGCTTGATGGGGATGGCAATGAATCTATAAATTACATTGGGCAGTATGGCCATTTTCAGGATATTGATCCTTCCTACCCATAATCATGGAATGTTTTTCCATTTGTTTGTATCCTCTTATTTCATTGAGCAGTGGTTTGTAGTTCTCCTTGAAGAGGTCCTTCACGTCCCTTGTAAGTTGGATTCCAAGGTATTTTATTCTCTTTGAAGCAATTGTGAATGGGAGTTCACTCCTGATTTGGCTTTCTGTTTTTCTGTTATTGGGTTATAGAAATGCTTGTGATTTTTGCACATTGATTTTGTATCCTGAGACTTTGCTGAAGTTGCTTATCAGCTTAAGGAGATTTTGGGCTGAGACGATGGGGTTTTCTAGATATACAATCATGTTATCTGCAAACAGCGACAATTTGACTTCCTCTTTTCCTAATTGAATACCCTTTATTTCCTTCTCCTGTTTGATTGCCCTGGCCAGAACTTCCAACACTATGTTGAATAGGAGTGGTGAGAGAGGGTGTCGCTGTGTTGTGCCAGCTTTCAAAGGGAATGCTTGTAGTTTTTGCCCATTCAGTATGATATTGGCTGTGGGTTTGTCATAGATAGCTGTTATTATTTTGAGATACATCCCATCAATACCTAATTTATTGAGAGTTTTTAGCATGAAGCGTTGTTGAATTTTGTCAAAGGCCTTTTCTGCATCTATTGAGATATCATGTGTTTTTTGTTGTTGGTTCTGTTTATACGCTGGATTACGTTTATTGATTTGTGTATGTTGAACCAGCCTTGCATCCCAGGGATGAAGCCCACTTGATCATGGTGGATAAGCTTTTTGATGTGCTGCTGGATTCAGTTTGCCAGTATTTTATTGAGGATTTTTGCATCTATGTTCATCAGGGTTATTCGTCTAAAATTCTCTTTTTTTTGTTGTGTCTCTGCCAGGCTTTGGTATCAGGATGATGCTGGCCTCATAAAATGAGTTAGGGAGGATTCCCTCTTTTTCTATTGATTGGAATAGTTTCAGAAGGAGTGGTACCAGCTCCTCCTTGTACCTCTGGTAGAATTCGGCTGTGAATCCATCTGGTCCTGGACTTTTTTTGGTTGGTAAGCTATTAATTACTGCCTCAATTTCAGAGCCTGTTATTGGTCTATTCAGAGATTCAACTTCTTCCTGGTTTAGTCTTGGGATGGTGAATGTGTCGAGGAATTTATCCATTTCTTCCATATTTTCTAGTTTATTTGCATAGAGGTGTTTATAGTATTCTCTGATGGTAGTTTGTATTTCTGTGGGATCAGTGGTGATATCCCCTTTATCATTTTTTATTGCATCTATTTGATTCTTCTCTCTTTTCTTCTTTATTAGTCTTGCTAGTGGTCTATCAATTTTGTTGATCTTTTAAAAAAAACCAACTCCTGGATTCATTGATTTTTTGAAGGGTGTTTTGTGTCTCTGTTTCTTTCAGTTCTGCTCTGATCTTAGTTATTTCTTGCCTTCTGCGGGCTTTTGAATGTGTTTGCTCTTGCTTCTGTAGCTCTTTTAATTGTGATGTTAGGGTGTCAATTTTAGATCTTTCCTGCTTTCTCTTGTGGGCATTTAGTGCTATAAATTTCCCTCTACACACTGCTTTGAATGTGTCCCAGATATTCTAGTATGTTGTGTCTTTGTTCTCATTGGTTTCAAAGAACATCTTTATTTCTGCCTTCATTTCGTTGTGTACCCAGTAGTCATTCAGGAGCAGGTTGTTCAGTTTCCATGTAGTTGAGCCGTTTTGAGTGAGTTTCTTAATCCTGAGTTCTAGTTTGATTGCACTGTGGTCTGAGAGACAGTTTGTTATAATTTCTATTCTTTTACATTTGCTGAGGAGTGCTTTACTTCCAACTATGTGGTCAATTTTGGAATAGGTGTGGTGTGGTGCTGAAAAGAATGTATATTCTGTTGATTTGGCGTGGAGAGTTCTGTAGATGTCTATTAGGTCTGCTTGGTGCAGAGCCGAGTTCAGTTCCTGGATATCCTTGTTAACTTTCTGTCTCGTTGATCTGTCTAATGTTGACAGTGGGGTGTTAAAGTCTCCTATGATTATTGTGTGGGAGTCTAAGTCTCTTTGTAGATCTCTAAGGACTTGCTTTATGAATCTGGGCGCTCCTGTATTGGGTGCATATATATTTAGGATAGTTAGCTCTTCTTGTTGAATTTATCCCTTTACCATTATGTAATGGTCTTCCTTGTCTCTTTTGATCTTTGTTGGTTTGAAGTCTGTTTTATCAGAGACTAGGATTGCATCTCCTGCCTATTTCTGTTTTCCATTTGCTTGGTAGATCTTCCTCCATCCCTTTATTTTGAGCCTATGTGTGTCTCTGCATGTGAGATCGGTCTCCTGAAAACAGCACGCTGATGGGTCTTGACTCTTTATCCAATTTGCCAGTCTGTGTCTTTTAATTGGAGCATTTAGCCCATTTACATTTAACGTTAATATTGTTATGTGTGAATTTGATCCTGTCATTATGATGTTAGTTGGTCATTTGGCTCATTAGTTGATGCAGTTTCTTACTAGCCTTGGTGGTCTTTACAATTTGGCATGTTTTTGCAGTGGCTGGTACAAGTTGTTCCTTTCCACTTTTAGTGCTTCCTTCAGGAGCTCCTGTAGGGCAGGCCTGGTGATGACAAAGTGTATCAGCATTTGTTTGTCTGTAAAGGATTTTATTTCTCCTTCACTTATGAAGCTTAGTTTGGCTGGATATGAAATTCTGGGTTGAAATTTCTTTTCTTTAAGAATGTTGGATATTGGCCCCCATTCTCTTCTGGCTTGTAGAGTTTCTGCTGAGAGATCAGCTATTAGTCTGATGGGCCTCCCTTTGTGGGTAACCCAACCTTTCTCTCTGGCTGCCCTTAATATTTTTCTTTCATTTCAACTTTGGTGAATCTGACAATTATGTGTCTTGGAGTTGCTCTTCTCGAGGAGTATCTTTGTGACATTCTCTGTATTTCCTGAATTTGAATGTTGGCCTGTCTTGCTAGGTTGGGGAAGTTCTCCTGGATAATATCCTGCAGAGTGTTTTCCAAATTGGTTCCATTCTCCCTGTCACTTTCAGGTACACCAATCAGACATAGATTTGGTCTTTTCACATAGTCTGATATTTCTTGGAGGGTTTGTTTCTTTCTTTTTACTCTTTTTTCTCTAAACTTCTCTTCTCCCTTCATTTCTTTCATTTGATCTTCAATCACTGATACCCTTTCTTCCAGTTGATCGAATCAGCTACTGAAGCTTCTGCATTCATCACGTAGTTCTCGTGCCATGGTTTTCAGCTCCATCAGGTCATTTAAGGACTTCTCTACACTGGTTATTCTAGTTAGCTATTCATCTGATCTTTTTTCAAGGTTTTTAGCTTCTTTGCAATGGGTTCCAACTTCCTCCTTTAGCTCGGAGTAGTTTGATCATCTGAAGCCTTCTTCTCTCAACTCGTCAAAGTCTTTCTCCATCCAGCTTTGTTCCATTGCTGGCGAGGAGCTGTGTTCCTTTGGAGGGGGAAAGGCACTTTGATTTTTAGAATTTTCAGCTTTTCTGCTCTGTTTTTCCCCCATCTTTGTGGTTTTATCTACCTTTGGTCTTTGATGATGGTGACGTACAGATGGGGTTTTCATGTGGATGTCCTTTCTGTTTGTTAGTTTTCCTTCTAACAGTCAGGACCCTCAGCTGCAGGTCTGTTGGAGTTTGCTGGAGCTCTACTGCAGACCCTATTTTGCTGGGTATCAGCAGCAGAGGCTGCAGAACAGCGAGTATTGCTGAACAGCAAATGTTGCTGCCTGATAATTCCTCTGGAAGCTTCATCTCAGAGAGGCACCCGGCCGTGTGAGGTGTCAGTCTGCCCCTACTGGAGGGTGCCTCCCAGTTAGGCTACTTGGGTGTCAGGGACCCACTTGAGGAGACAGTCTGTCCATTCTCAGATCTCAAAGTCCATGTGGGAGAACCACTACTCTCTTCAAAGCTGTCAGACAGGGACCTTTAAGTCTGCAGAGGTTTCTGCTGCCTTTTGTTCAGCTATGCCCTGCCCCCAGAGGTGGAGTCTACAGAGGCAGACAGGCCTCCTTGAGCTGCAGTGGACTCCAACCAGTTTGAGCTTCTGGGCCACTTTGTTTACCTACTCAAGCCTCAGCAATGATGGGCACCCCTCCCCCAGCCTCGCTGCCACCTTGCAGTTTGATCTCAGACTGCTGTGCTAGCAATGAGCGAGGCTCTGTGGGTGTGGGACCCTCCAAGACAGGCATGGGATATAATCTCCTGGTGTGCCGTTTGCTAAGACCATTGGAAAAGTGCAGTATTAGGGTGGGAGTGACTGGATTTTCCAGGTGCCGTCCATCACCACTTCCCTTGGCTAGGAACGGGAATTCCCTGACCCCTTGCACTTCCTGGGTTAGGCAATGCCTCACCCTGCTTCAGCTCACTCTTGGTGGTCTGCACACACTGTCCTGCCCCCACTGTCCAACAAGCCCCCATGAGATGAACCCAGAACCTCAGTTGGAAATGCAGAAATCACCTGTCTTCTGCATAGCTCATGCTGGGAGCTGCAGACTGGAGCTGTTCCTATTCAGCCATCTTGGAACTGCCCCCTCATAGATTCTTGATATTAGACCTTTGTCACATGCTGATGTGGTTTTGCTCTGTGTCATTAAACAAATCTCATCTCAAATAGTAATCCTCGGCCGGGCGCGGTGGCTCACGCCTGTAATCCCGGCACTTTGGGAGGCCGAGGCGGGCGGATCACGAGGTCAGGAGATCGAGACCATCCCGGCTAAAACGGTGAAACCCCGTCTCTACTAAAAATACAAAAAATTAGCCGGGCGTACTGGCGGGCGCCTGTAGTCCCAGCTACTTGGGAGGCTGAGGCAGGAGAATGGCATGAACCCGGGAGGCGGAGCTTGCAGTGAGCCGAGATCCCGCCACTGCACTCCAGCCTGGGTGACAGAGCGAGACTCCGTCTCAAAAAAAAAAAATAGTAATCCTCATGTGTCAAGGGATGGACCTGGTGGGAGGTGACTTGGTCATGGGGGTGATTTCCCCCATGCTGTCCTCATGGTCTCCTGATAGTGAGTGAGTGCTCATGTGATCTGATGGTTTTATCAATGTATGGTGGTTCCTCCTTCATTCCCTCTGTCTCTCTTTCTCTCTCTCTCTCTGTCTCTCACCTGCTGCCATGTGTCACATGCCTGCTTCCACTTCCACCATGATTGCAAGTTTCCTGAGCCCCCGACCCTAACCACACAGAACTGTGAGTCAATTAAACCTCTTTTCTTTACAAATTATCCACTTTTGGGCAGTTCTTTATAGCACTGTGAAAACAGACTAATATAGTAAATTGGTACCAGGAGTGGGGAACTGTTATAAAGATAACTGAAAATCTGGAAGCAACTTTGGAACCGGGTACCTCCTGACAGAGGTTGGAACAGTTTGGAGAACTTGAAAGAAGAGGGGAAGATGTGGGAAAGTTTGGAACTTCCTAGAGACTTATTGAGTGGTTTTGACTAAAATGCTGATAGTGACATGAACAGCGAAGTCCAAGCTGAGCTGGTCTTAGATGGTGAGGACTAAACTCTGATTTTTTTTTTATCTTGCCCAAATTCCTATCTAAAGAGTCTGGGGAGGCATGCTCTACAAATCATAAATTCTCATCAGATAGGTTTTATTTAAACCTATATATCATGATTTACTTTCCAAACTGACTCTGGCATAACATTATGAGACAAATAAGAAAATCAAAATATTTTACCCCAAAACATGTTTCTTTGCCATACTCTGAGATGGCCCTGCAGGCCGGGCATGGTGGCTCATGCCTGTAATCCCAGCACTTTGAGAGGCTGAGGTGGGCGGATCACCTGAGGTTGGGAGTTCGAGACCAGCCTCACCAACATGGAGAAACCCTGTGTCTACTGAAAATACAGAATTAGCCGGGTGTGGTGGTGCATGCCTGTAATCGTAGCTACTCAGGAGACTGAGGCAGGAGAATTGCTTGAACCCAGGCAGTGGAGGTTGTGGTGAGACAAGATCGTACCATTGTACTCCAGCCTGGGCAACAAGAGCAAAACTCCCTCTAAAAAGAAAGAAAGAAAGAGAGAGAGAGAGAGAGAGAGAAGGAAGGAAGGAAGGAAGGAAGGAAGGAAGGAAGGAAGGAAGGAAGGAAAGAAAGAGAAAGAAAGAAAGAAAGAAAGAAAGGAAAGAAAGAAAGAAAGAAAGAAAGAAAGGGCCCTGCAAAGCTGTTCTTTGTGGGGGAAAATTTGCATCTGTAAAGAATCTCTATTAACATGGCTAGATCTTTTTCTTCTAGAACCTCCCAATCCTAAAGAGTTGAACTAAGATCTGAATAGGAAACATTTGTCACCTATTATCTCTAAGGGCAGCCACTATAAGACTTCAAAAGAACTTTGGACTCTAGAATCTTTATCTTAACCTGAACATTACCTTTCTATCTATCCCAGGTCTTTAGACAAACTCAACCAATTGTCAACCAGAAAATGTTTAAATTCACCAATAGCCTGGAAGCCCTCGCTTTGAGTTGTTCCACCTTTCTGGACCAAACCAATGTATCTCTTAAATGTATTTGATTGATGTCTCATGCCTGTATAAAACCAAGCTTGATGGAATTTTTCCCTGCCCTAGAAATCTGTGGAACTTTGCCCTTGAGAGAGATGATCTGAAATAGGAACTTATGTTTAAAAGGGAAACAGAGCATAAAAGTTTGGAAAGTTTGCAGCCTGGCCATGTGGTAGTAAAGAAAAACACATTTGCTAGGGAGAAATTCAAGTTGGCTGCAGAAATTTGCATAAATAATGAAGAGATGAATATTAATAACCAAGACAATGGGGAAAATGTTTCCAGGCCATGTCAGAGATCTTTGCAGCAGCCCTTCCAATCACAGGCCTGGAGGCCTATCAGGGAAAAATGGTTTCATGGGCTGGGTCCAGGGCCCAGCTGCTCTTTGGAGCCTTGGGACTTGGTGCCCTGTGTCCCAGCTGCTCCAGGTCTAGCTGTGGCTAAAAAAGTCCAATGTACAGCTCAGGCCATTGCTTCAGAAAGCCCCAATCATTGGTGGCTTCTACATGATGTTGGGCCTATGGGTGTGCAGAAGAGAAGAGTTCAGCTTTGTGATCCTCTGCCTAGATCTCAGAGGATTTATAGAAATGACTGGATGTCCAGCCAGAAGTCTGTGCCAGGGGCAAAGCCCTCATGGAGAGCCTCTGCTAGGGCAGTGCAGAAGGGAAATGTGGGGTTGGAACCCCCACACAGAGTCCCCACCGGAGACAGTGACTAATGGGGCTGTGAGAAGAGGGCCACCATCCTTCAGACCCCAGAATGGTAGATCTATTAACAGCTTGCACTGTGCACCTGGAAAAGCTGCAGGCACTCAATGAGAGCAGCCAGGAGGGCTGAACTCTGCAAAGCCCATGAGAGCAGCCATGGGATCAGAGCTGCAAAGCCACAGGGTGAGAGCTTCCCAAGGTTGTGGGAGCCCCCACTTTGCATAAGCATGCCCTGAATGTGAGGAATGGAGTCAAAGGAGATTATTTTGAAGCTTTAAGATTTCATGACTGCCCCACTGGAGTTTGGGCTTGCATGTGACCTGTAGCCCCTTTATTCTGGCCCATTTCTCCCAACTGAAATGGGAGCATGTATCTAATGCCTGTACCCCCATTTTGTCTTGGAAGTAACTGACTTGTTTTTCATTTTACAGGTTCATAGATGAAAGGGACTTGCCTTGTCTCCAATGTGACTTTGGATTTGGACTTTTGAGTTAATGCTGAAATGAGTTAAGATGTTGGGGGACTGTTGGGAAGGCACGATTGGTTTTGAAATGCAAAGAGGACATGAGATTTGGGAGGGGTTGGGGTGGCGTGATCTGGTTTGGCTGTGGGTCTCTACCCAAATGACACCATTCCTCAGGGTGATCAGCGAGCTACCTGATGGCAGGTTGGATTATATTGGACCTCTTCCATCCTGGAAAGGGCAGAGGTTTGTCCTCACTGAAATAGACACTTACTGCAGATATGCATGCAATGCTTCTGCCAAGACTACCATCTGTGGAGTCATGGAATGCCTTATCCACTGTCACAGTATTCCATATAGCATTGCCTCTGACCAAGGCACTCCCTTTACGGCTAAAGAAGTGTGGCAGTGGGCTCATGCTCATGGGATTCACTTGTCTTACCATGTTCCCCATCATCCTGAAGCAGCTGGATTGATAGAAGAATGGAATGGCCTTTCAAAATCACAATTACAATGCCAACTAGGCTCCAATACTTTGCAGAGCTGGGGCAAAGCTATCCAAAAGGCCATGTATGCTCCAAATTAGCATCCAACATATGGTACTGTTTCTCCCATAGCCATAATTCATGGATCCAGGAATCAAGGGGTGGGAGTGGAAATGGCACCGTTCACCATCACCCCTAGTGATCCCCTAGCAAAATTTTTGCTTCCTGGTCCCATGACATTACATTCTGTTGGCCTAGAGGTCTTAATTCCAGTGGGAATAATGCTGCCATCAGGAGAAACAACAGCAATTCCATTAAACTGGAAGTTAAGATTTCCACCTGGCCACTTTGGGCCGCTCCTACCTTCAAGTCCACAGGCTAAGAAGGGAGTTACAGTGTTGACTGGGCTGATTGACCTGAACTATCAAGATGCAATCAGTCTATTACTCCACAATGGAGGTAAGGAAGAATATGTATGGAATACAGGAGATCCATTAGGGCATCTCTTAACATTACCCTGCCCTGTCATTAAGGTCAACGGGAAACTACAACAGCCCAATCCAGGCAGGACTACAAATGGCCCAGACCCTTCAGGAATGAAGGTTTGCATCACTCCACTAGGAGAAAAAACTCTACCTGCTGTGATGCTTGCTGAAGGCAAAGGGAATACAGAATGGGTAGTAGAAGAAGTAGTCATCAATACCAGCTACAACCACGTGATCTGTTGCAGAAATGAGGACTGTAATTGTCATCAGTATTTCCTTCTTCTTTTGTTAAAAACATGTTTGTGCATGTACACACTTGTACTAAGAAAATTCCTTCATTTTATTTCTTTTTTCCTTTATCATGTGACATAAAATTTATTGACTTCATATCAGCATTTAAGTGTTCTTAACTTTACATAATAGCACTTGGGTTGGGGATTGGTGCATTTCTGGTTGTACAAAAGATAGTTGTATTACATTAGGTGTAATTATGACCTTATTATTGTCTTTATTTGAAGATTATGTATGATCTCAGGAGATTCGTATGGGTTCAAGTTGACAAGGGTTGGACTTGTGATGGTTAATACTGAGTGTCAACTTGATTGGATTGAAGCATGCAAAGTATTGATCCTGGGTGTGTCTGTGAGGGTGTTGCCAAAGGAGATTAACATTTGAGCCAGTGAGCTGGGAAAGGCAGACCTACCCTTAATCTTGGTGGGCACCATCTAATCAGCTGCCAGTGTGGCCAGGGTATAAAGCAGGCAGAAAACATGAAAAGACTAGACTGGCTTAGCCTCCCAGCCTACATCTTTCTCCTGTGCTGGATGCTTCCTGCCCTCGAACATCAGACTTCAAATTCTTCAGCTTTGGGATTCGGACTGGCTTCCTTGCTCCTCAGCTTGCAGGTGGCCTACTGTGGGACCTTGCAGTTGTGTGAGTTTAATACTCCTCAATAAACTCCTACATATATATAATATATAATACATATTATATATTATATATATACATACTAGGGTTCTCTAGAGGGACAGCACTAGATATATATATATATATAGTTTCCATAGTCTGTGGTGTAAACTATGTGAAATGGACTTTACAACCTCCTGAAGGGTAACACCCAGACTGTCACCTGAACTCCCTGAAATCCTGTGCCCTGGGGATTGGAGAAACCTTAAAACCAAAGCCAGTGTTAAGTTAGCTCAGTCTTTGATTAAACATGGCAATCTCCCTATACTTGGCTTCCAGGGGTGGGTGAGGGAGAATTCCTGCCTGGAACAAGGTCGCATTACAAAGAATCTTCACAATGCTCATGAGACATCTTGGACCTTCCATCAGAAGCATTCAGGATGGCAGGAGACTGGACATGATGAGCAAACATGGGGAGAGGAGGAAGGAAACAGAGAATGGAAGGAGGTGACAGCTGACAAGGCCTTGTGTTCCCAGATGCTGAGTGTGAAATGAAGCGTTTATGACGAAGGAAACAGAACAGATGTACGGTACAATATTAAATATAAAACAGTAAATTACAACAGGTGGCTTCACAGCAGCTTAGACACAGCAGAAGAGAAGAGGATGGAATTGGAAGATCGATGCTCAGGACGGATGCAGAGTGAAGCCGAGGACCCGGCAAAGAGGATTTGGGAGTTGCAGGCTCTGGCAGAGGACCCACCCCAGAAAGAGAGAAGGAGGGGGTGGGAGGAAGAAGGAATGTTTGAAAGTGCTCCATAGAGAACCAGGACAGCCCCTTGGGCCAAGCAACCCACGACCCTTGCAGCTTCAGAAGTCCAGACTCCAGCCTGGCCTCACATGCTGGTTGGTCTTATCCCTGCCAGGCCAGAACCCTCTTCAGAACCCAGAGCCCCCACAGCTCTCCCTCACCCTATTCCCAGGACATGTCTCCTGTGTACTCTTCCCTGGCCCACAGGTGGGAGTTTACACCTGCTTGGGTAGCCTCGGCATCCACACCAACAACCCGGTAGCAGTTGTCCTGCTCCCTCCACCTGGCACAGCTCGAATCTCCCACAGTGCAGGCCACGTGTATAGGAGTGATTAGGACACACAGGAGGGCAGGTCAGGACAACAGGTGCTGAGGCAGGCAGATTTCGAGGATTTAAGTGCTGATGCTCTTGGAAGACCATTTCCATGGGGTTAATTGTGGTTTTTCTTGGTGAACTGTTGGCTTGTTTTTGATATTGTTGTTGCTCTAAATAGTGTTTACCTGGCTTCAATACAAACTCTATTGGTCATGTTCTTTGTTAAAATATGTATCATTCTAAAAGTTCACATGGCATTAGATTTTTTGCTCAAACTACCTATAATATTTCTCCAACAGAGTGCACATTTGCCTTCCTTCTGCACATACCACCGCCCCCTGCGCTGAGCAGTGTCCCAGTGGGTCCATCTGTTTAGGGGGTGAGGAAGGGGACACAGGCCCTGACACAATGTGGGGCTGTGCCAAGCTTGGTGGTCTTGCACGGGCACTGAGTGGGTGGGCCCTGGAGAGAGGGGAGGTCATTCCCCCAGGGAACCCCCCAGGCCACAGGGAAGAGGTCAGCTGGGTGCATGAGGTGGAGGGTGGAGATGCATAAAGGGTGGGACGGGGCCTGCTGTTCTATCAGCAAAACCCCTCACACCCGAAGGACACACAGGGCGAGGGCATTGTATTCACTGACCTCACACTTCACTGTCCATTAGCGTTCACCCACAAAATAATAGAACACCCTGAGAGAGGCACAGGAATGCATTACTCGCATTTTTATGACAGCTGAATGGAGGAAATTTCTAAGCAGGTTCAGAGAAAGGATATCAAGCTGTGTTTGGAGAAAGGGGTGGGAATTCTAAACAATATCTGTGGAAGCAGGACATCTAGAACCACAGATGTATTCAGAAAAATGCTAGATCTCAGTACTACTCTAGAATACCAGCAGTTTTCTGTTGATGGTATGGGAAGGGTGATGTCTTCCGTTGGTGGGCTTTGCCTTTGACATTCTCTGTGACATATCTACACTGCATTTTAAACGTCAATATTATTGTGAATTGTAAGTTAAAATAAAATGTTATCTCATTCAGTTATTTATACATTTAACTTCCATTTTCCTTTACAACAACTTAGCGACACACCTAGCCCTGTTTTCCACCCAGACCAGCCTGTGCTGCTACAAGCCTGGTTTCTCTTCCTCATCATGACTTACTCAGCTTCCCTTCCTGTTTCAGTTCAAGAAAATGTGGGGGCAAGAAGAAAGGGGGCAGCTGCCACTCACAGAGCTCACACTAAATGACAGACAGCTTGCCCTCACGTCTACCTATTTTTCTAGTTGAATTTCATTGCTTGCAGCAATCAACCTGAGGGATTCATTTTCCCACATATGGGAAGCTCGGCCCCAGGTAGGGGGATTTGCTTGGTGGGGGATTTGAACCCAAGTCCCTCTCACTGCAAAGCCCACAGCACCCCTGTAAGGAACAGACAGGGAACAGGGAGTAGCCCTGGATCACCCTAAACTGACTTCGGGTTTAGAGAAGGACTGATTACCTGGGGAATGAGGAAGCTTATTGCTCTGGAGCTCTCTTCTGGAGAAATGTCATGAACGTGCCCTGTAAGGAGCTGGTGGCAACTTCCGTTAATTCCGGGACCAGCGACCTCAGGTCAAGAGCCAGATGCTCATTCATGTCTCTCCAGGCCAGAGGTTCTGGCCAAGTTTGGGCTCCCAGAGGAGTCTAAGAAAATGTGGAAGGCACCAATGTGTGTTTTTGAAGATTTATTTCAGAGTGAACATCAGCGACCTACAAGAACCTGGGATAGAAGCCAATGCCTCCCCTTTCCCTGTGACGTGAGACAGGACCATGTGCCTCCTGTGGACTTCAAGAAATGTGGACTTGAGCTTTGCCATCCCTTCGCCTGATCCTATTTCATAGATTTTGCTGTTATATTCTCTGTATCTTTACAGGGATCGGGAGGCTGAATTAGTCTTATTCAGGGTTAGTAACTGTCTCTTCCTAAACGGTGGTGGTCCTGATAAGTTTGCACATTTGTGGCTGTCCCAAAGAGCAGTGCAATTATGAAGGCGTAAATACGACCAAAGACCACTCTCAGATACATCTCTGATTGTTGGCTTTGTCTGAGAGAACGTGTTCTTTTTGGAGGTGGCCCGCTGTCGACACTCCCACCAGCACCTCTTCTTAGGCACAGTGGAGGATCCCAGCCTATATGGCAATGGCAGTTCCTTCTGTTGTTGCAGACCCCTCTATGACTGCACTTCTCAAGGCGACAGTCGTAGCCCAGTGAAGTGATAGTTGCATTGCACCGGGTGTTATTACAGAAGTTTCCATGAACACAAGGAGTGCCATCTATCACACGCCCAACATCAGTCATGTCTGTTGCATGGTGTTCATCCAGTCTAAAACACTGAAACCCTCCTCTCACTGAGTGATGGAATGAAACATGTTCCTGCAGCTGGGGAAGATGGGTCACATTGGTACACTGCAGTCCTCCACAAAACTTATCTATTCCTGTACAAGCCTGGTAGCTGAGATATGTTTGTTGTCTAATACAATGTCCAAATCGGTAGCTTTCAAGATTTATGTCATAGCAGACCTCAGGAGCATCCTCAGCACTGACACCAAACATCGCCTTGCAGAGCACATTGCGGTCAGTGCAGTTCCCATGATAACAGTAGCCTTCTTCCATGCACAGGGTTCCATCTTGCATATAAAAGTTTGCTGGGCATGTCACGGTGGTCCTGTGACAGTACTCTGGAAGGTCACATATATTTTGGATAGGTCTGCAGAGAGTCCCTGGTGGGGAGAAGCTGAAGTTTGTACAGCACTCTCCTATATGACAGGTGCTCCCCGGTGTTAAGTGACAGTCACTTTGGCAGCAATAACTGGCATAACACTGCTTGAAGGAGCCACAGTCACATTCCTCCCTCCCCTCCACTATGAGGTTTCCACAGCGAACCGTTGTCATGGTTTCGTTATACACAGGAGAAAGTGTTTTGAAAACACACCGGCCTGGACGTATAAAACAATTTCGTGCATGTCCATAAGAACAGTTACTGAATGCATCTGTCATCCCAGGAAATCTCTGCATAATGCAGGAGGCCCTTCTCTAACATGTGCAGTAGTTATCATCATACTCCAGACCAATACTTCTCATCTGTGTCTGGGTTATTATGATGGCTACCAATAAATAATGTCTGCCTAGAGTACCAATGTGTAATAGGCCTAAATGTGTACAGAAGCTATACCTTTCAGGTTCATAGTTGGATTCATGTGGTGCGTCTTTAATAAGTAGTGTGGATGAATGAACATGAAAAGTATCAAAAAAGGTTGTTTTAAAATAGGTAAACATTGCACTCTGAATTCGATATTGATTCACAGGGGCTGGGTCACGATTATTATATATGGTCAAAAGATAAATATAGTACCACAGATCAATATTTTGAACAATGCTGTCAATGAGACTGAACATCTGGACCACCTCTTTGGAACAGGTGGTAATATTGCCATATATATGATAATATGAATTGGAACATTGAACGTGGCCTTTTATATTGCCTCTATGAGAACTATACAGCGAATTAGATATCCTGGGATTCATGCTGTTATTTGCTTCAGAGAACAGGGGGTCTGTCTCCTCATTGTCACCATCTCTAAATGTGGGCACCGTTGCATTGGGCTCAGCCACTATCTGAGAAACAACATGTTCAAACCTGCGGGAATCCTGGAGGGGTTTGATTTCGTAGGCAAGGTCGTCCAGCTTCATGATGCCTCTGAGGCCCCCATAGCACGTGTCGATGGTGACCATGGACTGAGGCACCTCCTCCAGGTAGCCGAGGTAGTAGCAGTCTGGTGGAATGTAGGGGCCATCCATCGGCAAGGCTCCTTGGTCATCCTGAGTTGTCACCAGCAGATGTCTGGGCCAAAGAAGGTGTTTCCTCCGCATGTGAATGACGTGTCTTTGACCCCCAAAACGCAGGCTGTGGGACAGCCAGCCGGGAAACTGAAGGCCTTTGCCGTGGTGCGTCTCCTTCCTGGGAATCACCACCTCGGAGGAGGCGTAGTGCCACAAGGGACGGCCTTGAGAACACCGGACTGGAGCCAGGAGCGCCCAGAGCCCCAGCAGCAAGAGGGGGGCCCTAAGGGTGACCCGCACCTCTGCCTGCCTCATGTCCCAGCCCAGCAATAATTACCCAACGACAATGGGAAAGGAAAGGACTGTCCTCGGTGAAGCCAGGCCCCAACCAGCTGCGGTGGCTGCGTCCCTCCCAGGGAGACCCTGACAGAGAACAAAGGGCCTCCCCAGGCTCCCGCACCACACCGCGGGGCACCTGGACTCTGGGAGGGAATGAGGTAACAGTCCCAGGGAGGGGCAGGAGGTGGGTCTGGACAGGACGGCAGCTGCTGCACTGCGGGATGAGGCTGAGGGTCACGGCTGTGAGGGCTCATTGGGAAGGGAAAAGGGAGAGGGAAGCAGGGCTGTCTCTTTTACCACCGTCAATCTTTTCTGTTGCTTTCTGAATCTACAAAATGCAATGATGTGTGTTCAATGCCCTCGCATCACCCGTGTTATTCTCGGTCACTCTGTGGGTTAATATGCTCCTTTCTGTGGCTTACACTGCTTACTCCTTTGTCATGTGGAGGTGGGCACTGCCAATATTTTCCTTGGGGACTGAATGTTTTTCTACTCTTAATAAGTACCCATGTCTTATTCTTTTTGTTGTTGTATTGTTTTGTTGTGGCTTTGAAGTTTTGTTTGAAGTTACCAGATTGTGAAAGGAAAATATCTTGGGCCCCATCAAGCTGAGAACCACTCAGGGCAAATCTGCCTCCCAGTCTATTTAAAGTTGTCCCTCTGCTCACAGAGACAGATGAATATTCTCATGACCTCCTTTGCGAACACTTATCAGAAACTCAAAAGAATGCAACCATCTGTCTCTCACCTACCTGTGACCTGGAAGCCCTAAGTGGGGAGGACTTGCTTTGAGTTGTCTCAGCCTTTCTGGATGGAACTAGTGTCCTTCTTACTTATATTGATTGATGTCTCATGTGTCCCTGAAATGCCTAAATCAAGATGTGCCTGACCACCTTGAATCCAGAGTTCCTGGATTCACAAGATCAACAGTTGATATAGGGTAACTTTTTCTTCTGTGCTATGTAAAACCCTTGTGAATTATGATACTTTTTACTTAGTCCATCTATTGGGAGCAGACACTATTCCTGACCCCATGAGAGCCCCAGGTGCTGTCCCTCCGATGCTTCTGTGTGGTTCTCTCCTGGTCTTTGGTCATTTCTTCAGATGCAGGAGCTGATCAGCTCTCAGGGAAGGACAGAGGGGGCCCTCTCCGGGTGTCTCATGTCTGAGAACTAATGTTTCACATATTTCTGCTGATTCTGTCATTGCTTATGAGGGGAGGGAAAATCCAATGCCAGATCATAATCAGAAACACAAATTACTGTTTCCTCAAAAGTGTAAATATTTCCCTTTCCTGGCGAATGTGGTCACTCCATTTAAACTTAACATGACCATAGTGTGTTTCGAAGGCTGCGTTGTGTGGCACTTTGTCTTCCAATGCCCCGTACTCCCATCTTCCACCGCTTCAAATCCTGCCTTTTTACCACAAATGTACGATTACTAATGAAGCTGGTTTCCCCTCTACGAGCGTGCAGGTTGGACGCCCTTTCCCTACCCCTTTAGGGTTTTCACAGGGAGCAGAAGGAAAATATTTGACATCCCTGAAGGAGGCTGCTAGGGTAGACTGTGTCCCTCCTAAATTTTTGTGCTGAAGTCCCAACCCTTGGTCCTTCAGAATGAAATCATACTTGGATCAGTGTCTTTTAAAGAGGTGAATAAGTTAAAGTGAGATTCCTGGAGTGGGGCCCTAATGCAATCTGACTGTTGTTATAAGAAGGGGAAGCAGGAGGGAGGGTGCACACGCCCTGAGGGACGGCCATGTTACCACAGAACAGCGAGAAGGCGCCATCTGCACACCAGGGAGTGAGACTTCAGAGGAAACCCACCCAGCTGGCAGCTTGATCTTAGGCTTTCATCCTCCATAAGTGTGAGGAAATTGGTTTTGTATTGTAAGCCATCCAATCTGTGGTATTTCATTATAAAAGCCCTATAAAATGAATACAGTAGGTAATAGGAGATCTTCTAAAAATTGAAAAAGTCGGATGGCCAGACAAACCTAGACACTCCTGTTCAGACCTGAGCAGGGTGATGGACCTGCTATGGGACAGGAGAGGGGAAGAGATGAACCCAGCACCCAGACCCAGCTGAGCCCATTCCTCAGCAGGCTGTCCCTGGGCCGGAGCTTGCACTGGTGTGAAAGAGTGTGTCTTGGTCTTCAGGGGCTCATGGAGTTGGACAGAGAATGGTGTAAACTCTTGCTTACACAAAAAAACAAGTCATCGGTGTGCCCGTGTTTATGTGAATGGGATGTGTTTCTAGGGTGTGCTCATCCCCAAAGAAAAATTAATCAGGTCTCTTGGGCTAGAAAGAGGTTGTGGCATTTGTGTGTATTAATAACTGCGGTTGGACAGTAAATTATGTTAAAATGCTTATGGGAAGGCACAATGGAAAGAAACAGTTTGTTACAGAAGGAAAAAAATGGTGATTATTTAAATGAGATGCCTTTGAAAGTCACCATGCCAAGAGGAGCTGATCACATGATAGTGTTGGGTTTCATGTTCAGGAGATCAGGAGGGTCCATTTGCTGGCTTTTACGATACCTAGACAGAGCTGAGAGTATAATGTGTGAATGGAGGGGACGTGGAGAAAGGGGAGGCCAAATGTTTGATGGGAATGGAGGGTCACTATTGGAGCCATTAGGAAATACACAAGCATGATTTGTGCTGAAGCACAGAACAGTGTTCCTGGGGAATATTGTGTTGCTTTGGCAGCTGCTGAACATACAGAAGTTTCACTGTTCTTAGTTCTCAAATTCTCTAGACTCTCTTGGCAGCCCAGTTTTAAATATTGGGAATATAGGTAAGACACATTCGTTATTAAAAATTATTAAGAGAAGATGTAGGAAGAAGTTTAAAGTAATCCATTTAGGTTATGAAAATTTAGTTGCGGCGAACTGTGATGTCCATTTCTTACTCGGAATAATGGAATGTAAGTCATTAGTCATCTCAATGGTTCATTTTTCCATAACCATCAATTACAAAACTGCTGCGTAATTTCCTGAATTGCCCGCCATAGAAGATGACCTCACATTTCCTCAGTGAGAAACTGCCAGTCCCGTTGATCCAGCCTCGTTCTTCCCATAGGGGATTTTGTATCTCTGTGGACATGTGGTACAGTGCTGCATATCCATCGGCATATGGCCTCGGGAAAGGTTCCAGCCTATCCATGCACGATGAAGCTTACTTAAGGGATGAAGCCGGAATGCTGGGTGTGCCAGTGCCGACAGCCGAAAGAATCAACTGCCTGGTGTATGATGCTTTTATGAAAACAAGCCCAGGGCCTCTTGCTTTCTTCTGTATTAGATTCTCTGGTGAAGATTTTTATTCATCTCTGCCAGAAATTGCCACATATAATTACCTAGAAGCATTACAATAAACTGATTTGGAAGTTAACTGACTTCCTGGTGAGGTTAAAATGAGTGTCAGGTGCATAGTGAGACAGACCGGAGACATGGGTGCATAGCAAACTTGTGCTCACCATGGCTTCTATCTTAGTTAGGGAAACTTCTGTACCTTCCTTAGATGTTCAGGCACTCCATTGAGGACCCTGACATAACATTATTTATTGACAGACCATAGCCCAAAGTATAGAACTGGATATTACCAAGGAGGATATACTATTACTATTTTATCTTTATCTTAAAATACACTCTTCCAACTGAGGTGAAAATTAATCCAGATGGTAGAACTTATTGCAGTTACTACAGCATTTTAGGAAATCAAAAGCTGCAGAACAAACATATGGACAGATGGCAGGTATGTTTTTGGAATCATAAACAACTTCGTGGTGATTGTAAAACCAAGGGGTGTCTCACAAGGGCTGGAAACCTCTCAAAATGAAACAACACACTGAGGATCTTTGAGAAGTACTCTGACCTCCAAGTGAGCTGGCTGATATGGAGGCTGAGCTACATGTAGAAAGCCAAAGGAATTTCTGCAGGACATCATCATGCCAAGCACAGCCGTAACCTGGGTTCCAGCCCTTTTCACACGCTCAACGGTTGGATCTTGGGAGGGAATCAAAGAAGCCATTGTAAAATATCAAAATTTAAACCCTGATTTTGAATTTAAAAAGTGTTAAAATATGGTTGTGGCCTACACTCAGAAAATCTGTGTCCTTCAGATGGTTTCTCGGTGGCACCAGATGGTTTCAAGTGGCTATTCATTAGGTTTCTCAGTGAAATTACCAGATATAGAATAAATAAATTGTCACTGTCTTAAATCAACCCATGGGAAAGGAAAACTGTATAAAGACAGCAGAGAGGAAACATTGTCCACACCAAGGAAAAAACAATCTCCAGCAACTGTTGTTGAAGAAACAGAGGCATCACACTTACTAGAAAAATATATTGTATTTCATATATTATGGGCATACAACGTGATGTTTTGATATATGCGTGCATTGTGAAATTATTAAATCAAGTAAATAAACATGTCTGTCACCTCACATACTGCTTTTTTTATGGTGTAAATGTGTAAAATCTACTCTCTTATCAGTTTTCAAGTATATATAGTACATTAGTATCACTGAGGTCTGACCATGGTGTGCAATAGATCTTCAAAGGAATTCCTTCTGTCTAACCAAAACTCTGTACCCTTTCACCAGGGCCTCAGCTTTTACATCCTCCTAACGCCAGCTCCTGGTAGGCAACATTCTACTCTCTACTTCTCTGAGTTCAACATTTTTAGATTGCATGTGTAAGTGAGATCATGGAGTAATTTTTATACCAGGCTTATTTCACTCAACATAAAGACATTTAAACGCTCAACATCACTCACTAATCATCAGGGAAATGCAAATTAAAACTGGGATGAAATATCACCTCACACATCTTACAATGGCTTAGTCTGAGTCTGTTTTTGTGTTGCTATAACAGAATACCAGAGACTGGGCATTTCTTTTTTTTGAGACAGAGCCTCGCTCTGTTTCCCAGGCTGAAGGGCAGTGGCATGATCTCCGTTCACTGCCAGCTCCGTCTCCCGGGTTCACCCCATTCTCCTGCCTCAGCCTCCCGAGTAGCTGGGACTACAGGCACCCACAACATGGAGACTGGGCAATTTTTAAAGAAAAGGAATTTATACTTAACGGTACTTGAGTCAGAGAAGCCCAATATTAAGGGGCTGGCATCTGAAAAAGGCCTTCTCACTGCATCATCTAACAGCAGAGGAGGATGAGCAAGAGACCACTTGTCTGTGAGAAAAAAAGAGGCCATCTTTTATTAGAAACTCGCTCCTGTAATAACTAGCCCACTCCCATGATAGTGACAGTAATCCATTCATGAGGACAGAGACTTCATGACCTGATCACATAATAAAGTCCCACCTCTCAACACTGTTGCATTAAAGATTTTTTCCAAATCATAAACTTTGGGTGACACATTTAAACCATAGCATTCCATTCCTAATACTAAAATGTATGTCCCAATTACAATGTAAACTACATACATTCCATCCCAACTGTCTTCAAAGTCTTAACTCATCCAGCATCAATGCAAAAGTATGAAGTCCAAAGTCTCATCTAAATCAGATATGAGTGACACTGAAGGCACAATTTAGTCTGATATAAATTGTTTCCATCTGTGAGCCTATAAAATCAAAATAAGTTATCTACTTTCAAATACAGTGAATGATGAGGCAGGTATGGGATAGAAATTCCCATTTCAAAGCTCAGAGAGAGGCAAGGAGAAGGGGTGCATAGTCCAAAACCCAACATGGGAAACAACATTAAGCCTTAAAGCTGGAAAAAATCCTCCTTGACTGCATCCTGTGCACACTGGGGAGGGGGATGGGCCCCCAAGGCCTCCGGCAGTCTTGCCTCTATGGATTTTCTGGGTTCAGTCCACTCAGCCTCTCTCACAGGTGGGACTGTCAAGCCTCTAGCTCTCCTAGGTGGACTGGATACCCTTTGTGGTGCCTCCAAACCCATATTTCTGCTTGGCATTGTGCTGAGGGCTCAGTGTGGTGACTCTGTCTCTGCAACAACTCACTGCCCGAGACCTTAGGCTGTCCACAGCATTCTTTGAAATCTACGTGGAGAAAGCCATGCCCTCGTGGTTCTTCTATTCTGCACACCTGCAGAATTAACAACACATGGATGCCATGGAAGTTGATGACTTGTACCATTGAAGTGATGGCTTGAGCCACACCTAGGTCCTCCTGAGCCACAGCATGGGCAGCCAAGGAGTGCTGTGCCTGGACACAGGGAACAGAGTCCTAAAGTGCCTGCTAGAAGTGAGGCCATAGATTTGCTTCAAATTTCTTCCATCATATATCCTCGTTTATGGCTCTGAACTTCCACTTTACAGAAAGACCTAGGGATGAGCACAATTCAGCCACATTCTTTGCCACTTTATGGCAAGGATGGCCTTTGCTCCATTTTCTGATGAGCTATTCTTCTTTTTCTCCTGAGACGTCATCAGAACGGCCTTTATTGTCCATGGTTCTACCAACATTCTAATGTTCATCACTTGAATAATCTCTAAGAAGTTTCAGAATTTCCTCGCAACTCTCTTCTTCTGAGTCCTCAAAAGAATCACCTCTAGTGTTCTATTCAGGGCAATCTAGACTTTTTATAGTCTGATCCTCCAAATTATTCCAGACTTTGTGCATTACTACATCCACTTCTACATTTTGGAGTATTTGTAATCACAAAAGCCCCACCTCTTGATACTGATTTTTTTGTCTTAGTCCACTTTGTGGTGCAATGAGGCAATACCACAGACTGACTAAGTATAAGTAAAAGAATTTGTGTTCTCACAGTTCTAGAGCCTGGGAAGTCCAATATCAAGGTGCTAGCATCTTGCAGGGGCCTTCTTGCTGTGACACCTATGTGGGAGGCAGGAAAGCATGTGCGAAGGAGAGAAATGGGGCTAAATTCATCTTTTAATGAGGACCCCAGGCCTGTAGTAACTAATCTACTCCCTCTATGAGTAACCCACTCTGCCAATAATGGCATTAATTGCTTCATGAGGGCAGAGCCCTCACGACCTAATCATTCCTGAAAGTTCTTACCTCTGGACACTATGGAATTTGGGATTAAGTTTCCAATATACATTCTTTCTAAATAGCCAGAGCTTTTTATAGGTTTACCACCCAAGGCTACATGAGGCTCTGAAGCAGTGGCCTGAGGGTGGCTGTCCTTTGTGAGAATGGAGAGGAGTGAACTGACTCATGGAGACACAAGTAGATGAAGTAAAGGGACTCATTGCTTCATTACATGGATAGTGAGGGTGACTGAAGGCATTAACGGATTAATCGTGGTGGCAAAACCATCTGAGGTGGACACCACGGGGAGCCAACCAGAAAAAGAGGACACATCCCATTAAATGGTGCTTCATCTCCTTGCAAAACCAATGAAAGAAAGTGAAACACAACGCCATAGTGTATACCAGACAGTGGATTGAGGGAAGAGTTTCCTAAGTCGTAATCGACAAAGTGGAGAAAACATACAAATCTTTGCATGGTGCTAACATTTGGACTGTGGCTTCATTGTTTCTTATTAACATTTTAGTGAAATATTGCTAGAAGGAGACTGAAAATGAAGTATGAAAAGTTAAATGGGATTTCTGTTCCAAGTTAGTCCTTTTCAGATGAGAGGAACTAAGAAGTTACAGGGAAGAAACAATAATATCTGCTGAGCAAGATTTTTGCAGGGCAGGCCAAGGAATTACCAAGGAGAAAAAGGAAATGTCAGCTTCACCTTGCATCTGCTCCCGAGCCAGGTCCTGAGCACCCCCTGCTGGCGCTGATCGTCCCCTGGTGTCTGATCCCCTCTGGTTCCCTCAGCTTCCCTGGTGGTGTCTGAGCCGCTCTACTGGTGTCTGAGCCCCTCTGCCTGCCCTCAGCTCCCCCTCGTGGTCTGAGCCACCCTGGTGGTGTCTGAACCCCGCTTGTGATGTCCTGAGCCCCTCTATTAGTGTCTGAGCCCTACTGGTGGGTCCTGAGCCCCTTTGGTGGTGTCTGAGCCCCCTGGTTTTGAGCCCCCCCTTCTGCATCCTGAGCCCTCCTGGTAGTGTCTGAGTGTTATTTTCACCATACACTCAAATAAGATTGAGCAGTGATTCTTTCATCTGTGGTGGTCATTCCAAGTGATCTGTCCAGGGCACATGGGGACTCTATCCCTAGGACCACTTGTCCCCACAGAAGGAGAGACCACAGTAGCAGCACCAAGGGTAGGTCACAGCATTGTCACCAGGAGTCCCCATATTCTTCTCCCAGACGCAGTGAACCTTGTCACCCTCTTCCCACACTCCACAGGGGGTGTACAAAGAGGCATCTTGCAGTGACCTGACCCTGGGATGTTATGGAAAAGGAGACAGCCTGAGCTCATGACTCCTGGAATTACATGCTCCAGTCTTGGCTATATACAGACCTACAATTCTTTTCCTTTTACTCAGGCACTTTGCCTTCTGGTTGAGGACAGTGTTCTACAGCCCTCCACAGTGTGCTAGAGCTGACTAGAGTCGAATAGCCACTTTCTTTGTGCAAGTTTCCTTTCTGTGACTTTACTGGATTTCATTGGTAGTAAGCGTTCATCCAGACAGATTCCAAGACAGTGTCCACATGAAAGGAAAACAAAGGCTGATGGGCAGAGATGCCCTGAGCATCCAGTCCCAGGGTACCTTTGCCAGCTGCCCTTCCTAACATCCAGAGGCAGGGAAGGGAGGAGCCCCGCTGAGCAGTGCACACATGTCCGCAGAGAGAATGTCACAGAAATGCAGCTCTGCTCCCGCTCATGAGAAGCAGCTCATCCGCTGTCCTGCAGGCCCTGGTGAGGAGCCAGCCCATGTTTGGGTCCCTCCTCAGCATCCCCACCATGGAGCCTGTGCCTGCTCATCACTGTTGAGGGAGCATCCCTCCTGCAGCAGGCTCACTTGTGGCTGCCCCACACAGGGCTGCTCTCAGTGTGTTTTCTCTGTGCTTCCAGGACTCCCTTGTGAACTTCAGCTGGGGGAGGTCGAGGACACATGAGGCTGCCCTGGGCATTCTCTGAGCCTTCTGCAAAGACTCTGGTTTCACCTTCGCTAACAATAGCTTGAGCTGTGTCCAGCAGACTGGAGTGGGTGGCACAAGTGTGTAATCCAGCTGGAAAAAATCAGTACTATTCTCCATCAGACAAGGAAGAACTCAAAAGAATTCTTGCTGTTTAACAGGGAGCTGAGCAAGAGTAAGGTGTAGAAAGCTTACTTAAAGAAATAATAACAGATAAATTTCCAAAACTTGAGAAAGATATAAATATCCAGGTACAGGAAGGCATGACAACACCAAACAGAATCAACAAAAATAAGACTACTACAAGACATATACTAATCACACTTTCAAAGACAAGGACAAAAAATGGATCCTAAAACCAGCAAGAGGAAAGAAACAAATAACATATGAAGGCATTCCAATTCCTCTGGCAACAGGCTTCTCAATGCAGATTACACAGGCCAGGAGGGAATGGATTGACATTTTTTAAGTGCTCAAAAGAAAAAAAACCTGCCATCCAAGAATATATTCTTCAGCAAATTACCCCTCCAATTGAAAGGAGAGATAAAGACTTTCCTAAACAGAAAAAAGATGAGAGGATTCACCACCCTCGGGCCCATCTTACAAGAAATGCTAAAGGGAGTTCTTAAATCTCAAAGAAAAAAATGCTAAAGAATAAAACAAAACTTTTATAAATATAAAACCCACTGGTAAAATTAGGTACATGGAGAAACCCAGCGGATGGAGTCAAAATGTAGAATTTTTCTGTGTCTTTTTTGCCTTTGCTTGTTTCTGTTCTTTCATTTGAGTTGTCGTCTCCTTTAAATAACTTCTCATATCTATAAGGTGTTTCTTTTAAGACTCATGATGACCACAGCACAAAAACCTATAACTGATTCACTAAAAATCAGAAGCAACAAATTCTACTGAAGAAAATCACTGAACCACAAAAACAAGAAAAAGAAAGAAAGAAGGAAGGAAGGAAGGAAGGAAGGAAGGAAGAAAGAAAGAAAGAGAAAGAAAGAAAGAAAGAAAGGGAGGGAGGGAGGGAAGAAGGAAGGAAAGAAGGAAGGAAGGAAGGAAGGAAGGAAGGAAGAAAGGAAGGAAGGGAGACAGGAGTCTCAAAACTGCCAGAAAATGGGCAACAAAATGGCAGTGGTTGCTCCTTCCTTCTCTTTTCCCCCAACTAGACGGCATCGCTCCTCACACTATGCTACCTGGCGTTGGGACAGGAGTGACACAGGTCATGCTGAACTGTTGTTCTTATTCTCTTCAGTGTGTCGTTTCTTACTTTTAGGCTGTAACCAGGTATGGGGATCTCTCACTTGGCTTCCTTAGCTCTTGTGAAGGATTTTTGGACGTGGATAGTTGTTCAGATTAATATTCCGGCAGGGAACCATCACTGGAGAGTCCTATTCCGCCATCTTGCTCCTGGATGATCACTCAAGACTGTCAGACTAAAGGACACACATACACTGAAACTGAAAAGAAGGAATGAAAGAAGACATTTCATGTAAATGTTAACCAAAAGAGAGTGAGGTGGGAGTATCTACATATATATCAGAAAAAAATAGATTTTAAGTAAAAAGCTCTCACAAAAGACAAAGATCTTTGTCTTATATAATTATTATATGTGATACAAAGTTTCACTTATCAGAAAGATACAGTTATGCACACACACACATGCATCCAACATCGAAGTACCTAGACATATAAAACTATCATTTACAGATCAGAGAGGAGACACAGAAAGCAATACAATACAATTAGGAGATTTCAACACCCCACGTTCATCAATAGATAGAACATACAGACAGAAAATCAGTAGGGAAACAGCAGACCTGAATAGCACTAGAGACCAAATTGACCTAACAGATAGATACAGAACATTCAATTCAAGTCCAGCAGAGCATGCATTCTCCCCAAATGCACAGGGAACATTCTTCAGGATAGATCACGTGCTAGGTACTACACATGACCTTAGCCAAAAGGCTGAGGGATGATTACCTCACATGTTAGGTCACAAAGAAGACTCAACAAAATTAAGAAGACTGAATCGCATCAAGTATCATTTCTGACAATGGATTGAAACTAGAAATCACTAATAGGGAAAAAGTTGAAAATTTACAAAGAAGTATAAGCTAAGCAAACTTAAAAGATAAGGTAGAAAATATTTTGAAATAAATGACAGTGAAAACGCACTACATTGAAACATGGGATACTGCAAAAGCAGTACTAAGAGGGAAATTCATAATGATGCCCACCTACATTAAAAGAGAAGAAAGGGGCTGGACATGGTGGCTCTCACCTGTAATCCTAGCACTTTGAGAGGCTGAGGTTGGTGGATAATTTGAGGTCAGGAGCTCAAGACCAGCCTGGCCAACATGGTGAAGCCCTGTCTCTACTAAAAATACAAAAATACAAAAATTACCTGGGTGTGGTGACTCATGCCTATAATCCAAACTACTCAGGAGGTGGAGGTTGTGGTGAGCCGACATTGCACCACTGCACTCGATGTTTATTGCGGCACTATTCACAACAGCAAAGACTTGGAACCAACCCAAATGTCCAGCAATGATAGACTGGCTTAAGAAAATGTGGCACATATACACCATGGAATACTATGCAGCCATAGAAAAGGATGAGTTCATGTCCTTTGTAGGGACATGGATGAAGCTGGAAACCATCATTCTCAGCAAACTATCACAAGGATAAAAAACCAAAAACCGCATGTTCTCACTCATGGGTGGGAATTGAACAATGAGAACACTTGGACATAGGGTGGGGAACATCACACACCAGGGCCTGTCATGGGGTGGGGGGAGGGGGGAGGGATAGCCTTAGGAGATATACCTAATGTAAATGATGAGTTAATGGGTGCAGCACACCAACATGGTGCATGTATACATTTGTAACAAACCTGCACGTTGTGCACATGTACCCTAGAACTTAAAGTATAAAAAAAAGAGTTTGAAAAAAATAATAGAAAAATAAAAAAAAGAAGAAAAAGAACCTAAATTAATCTTATTAATCTTTTTTTTTTGTCATTAAGAGTTTATCTCCCATTTCAAACATAAAGAGTATCTACAAATCAGTTTCAAAAGTCTAATAACACATTATGCAATTGACAAAAATATATAAGCACTTAATTTACATTAGAGAAATAAATATGTCTCTTAAATGAATGAAACAATGTCCACGTTCACTCATAATAATACAAAGACAAGGATACCAAGATAACTATTATTCATTACTAGACTGGTAAAGATCCAAAGTTTTTTTTTTTTTTTTTTTTTATACTCTAAGTTTTAGGGTACATGTGCACATTGTGCAGGTTAGTTACATATGTATACATGTGCCATGCTGGTGCGCTGCACCCACTAATGTGTCATCTAGCATTAAATAGAAAAATAAAAAAAAAGAAGAGAAAGAACCTAAATTAATCTTATTAATCTTACACCTCCGGATTTAGAGAAAGAATAAGTAAGTCCTAAGTTAGAATGAAATAATAAAGATTAGAGTAGAAATTAATGAAATACAAAACAGAAAAATAATAGGAAAAATCAACAAACTAAGGGCTTTTGAAAAAAAAGACAAAATTGACAAAACTTTAGCTAGACTACAAAAAAAGAATACTCAAATAAATAGCATCAGAACTGATCAAGGAGACATTACAACTGATGCTACAGAAATAAAAATGATCATGATGTGATATGATCTGGATCTGTGTCCCCAACCAAATGTCATGTTCAGTTGTAATCCTCAGTGTTGGAGGTTGGGGCTCAGCCGGAGGTGATTGGATCATGGGAGAAGGTTGGTTTCTCATGGTTTAACACCATGCCCCTTGGTGCTGTCGTCCGATAGTGAGTTCTCCTGAGATCTGGTTGTTTAAAAGCATGTAGCGTGGCCGGATGCGGTGGTTCATGCCTGTAATCCCAGCACTCTGGGAGGCCGTGGTGGGCGGATCGCGAGGTCAGGAGGAGACCATCCTGGCTAACACGGTGAAACCCTGTCTCCACGAAGAAATACAAAAAATTAGCCAGGCGTGGTGGGGAGTGCCTGTAGTCCCAGCTAGTCAGGAGGCTGAGGCAGGAGAATGGCGTGAAGCCGGTAGGCGGAGTTTGCAGTGAGCTGAAATCGTGCCACTGCACTCCAGCCTGGGCCACAGAGTGAGACTGTGTCTAAAAAATAAATAAATAAATAATAGAAAAAATAAATAATTAATTAAATAATAGAAAAAATAAATAAATAAATAAAGCATGCAGCACCTCCGGTTCTCTCTCTTGCTCCTGCTTCAGCCATGGAAGAGGTTCTCCTTTACCTTCCACCGTGACTGAGTTTCCTGAGGCCTCCCCAGATGCAGATCTTGCCATGCTTTCTGTACAGCCTGCAGAACTTCTTTTTTTTTTTTCATAAATTACCCTGACTCAGGTATTAATAGTAGGGCAAAAACAGACTCATACATGGAGACGACTATAAATCATTATTGAATAAACACCAACACACTGGATAACCTAGAAGAAATGGGTAAATTCCTCAAAACATACATTCTACCAAGACTGAATCATAAAGAAATAGAAAACCTGAAGAGACCAAAAATGAACAAGGAGATTGAAACAGCAATCAAAAATCTCCCAATCAAGAAGATTTGAAAATCAAGTTCAAGTGGTTTCTCCAGTGAATTCTACCAAATGTTTAAAGAAGAACTAAAACTAATAACTCTAAACTCTCCTAGAAAGTTAAAGGAACACTTTCAAAATATTTTTATGTGAGCACTCTCAGTCTGATACCAAAGACAGGCAAAGGCCATTTAAGAAAAGAGAACTACAGTTCATATCCCTAATTTGTATAGGTACAAAATTCAACAAAACCCAGCAAATCAAATTCAACAGCACAATAAAAGGAACCTATCCCACCACCAGAAATGCATGATAAAGTGGGATACATCTCTGAGATGTTCCTGTTTGAAACACAAAATCAAACATCTTTGTAGTAACTCTAAGAGCTGTAGCCTGGCCTGGCACGGTGGCTCAAACCTGTAATCCCAGCACTTTGGGAGGCCAGCGTGGGCGGATCACCTGAAGTCGGGAGTTCGAGACCAGCCTGACCAACATGGAGAAACCCTGTCTCTACTAAAAATACAACATTGGCAGAGTGTGGTGGCGCATGCCTGTAATCACAGCTACTTGGAGGGCTAAGGCAGGAGAACAGCTTGAACCAGGGAGGCTGAGGTTGCAGTGAGCAGAGATCTTGCCATTGCACTCCAGCCTGGGCAACTCCATCTCAAAAACAAACAAACAAACAAACAAACAAACAAACAAACAAACACCTGTAGCCTTTTGGCAAGGAGATGCTTCAAGCCATTCTGAATGTAGTCACACCATAAATAACACATACCCAAACTCCAAGTGGATAATTCTTGGGTTAAATCATTTTAACTGTGTTCAAAGTATTTTTGAGCTTTGGTTTCTCCCCAGGGTTACCATCACTCTTTTACCAGCACGATGTTGTTGACTGGTCACAACTGATGCAACGACAACCACAGCTGTGACTTTAGATTTTACCATCAGATGTTGATTGGAGACAATAACCAATTACCATACACCTCAAGATTCGTGGAGAAATCATGGTTTCATGGAGAAATCAAGATAACATCTACTTGAGCTCATCTGGTCCCACCAAGCATGTATCTTGAGAGCTTCATAAATTACCAGAGTTAGCAAACAAATTTACAAGAGAAAAACAACGCCATCAAAAAGTGGGCGAAGGATATGAATAGACACTTCTCAAAAGAAGACATTTATGCAGCCAAAAGACACATGAAAAAATGCTCCTCATCACTAGCCATCAGAGAAATGCAGATCAAAACCACAATGAGATACCATCTCACACCAGTTAGAATGGCGATCATTAAAAAGTCAGGAAACAACAGGTGTTGGAGAGGATGTGGAGAAATAGGAACACTTTTACACTGCTGGTGGGACTGTAAACTAGTTCAACCATTGTGGAAGTCAGTGTGGCGATTCCTTAGGGATCTAGGACTAGAAATACCATTTGGCCCAGCCATCCCATTACTGGGTATATACCCAAAGGACTATAAATCACGCTGCTATAAAGACACATGCACACGTATGTTTATTGTGGCACTGTTCACAATAGCAAAGACTTGGAACCAACCTAAATGTCCAGCAATGATAGACTGGATTAAGAAAATGTGGCACATATACACCATGGAATACTATGCAGCCATAAAAAAGGATGAGTTCATGTCCTTTGTAGGGACATGGATGAGACTGGAAACCAACATTCTCAGCAAACTATCGCAAGGACAAAAAATCAAACACCACGTGTTCTCGCTCAGAGGTGGGAATTGAACAAAGAGACCACTTGGACACAGGAAGGGGAACGTCACACACTGGGGCCTGTAGTGGTGTGGGGGGAGGGGGAGGGATAGCACTAGGAGATATACCTAATGTAAATGACGAGTTAATGGGTGCAGCACACCAATGTGGCACATGTATACATATGTAACAAACCTGCACATTGTGCACGTATACCCTAGAACTTAAAGTATAATAAAAATAAAAGAAAAAAGAAAAACAAAGAAATTATCAGAGTTAGTTACACAACCAGATTTTTCTATTATTTTAAATTTAAAATCAGGAGTTAAACATTCATATTCTGTAATGGCTTTCTGAATGCCTCCAGAGCTTGATCACTTGAATGTTTAAATAGGATTATAACCTAGGTTACAGCGACTAGTTTTGAATAATAATCTGCTGGAGTATGCTCTTTCACTTCCTTACTACCTAATTTGTGTGGGTGCCAATCTTCACATCAGCCAGCACAGGGAAAGGAGGTGTGTATTTAAAGGTTCCTTAACATTGTCCATCTTTTTTGGTGATGATTATGTTCTACTTGTTTTCAATGTTTTCTGCTGTGTACATTA
Source organism: Homo sapiens (assembly GCF_000001405.40). Lineage (NCBI taxonomy): Eukaryota > Metazoa > Chordata > Mammalia > Primates > Hominidae > Homo > Homo sapiens. The sequence goes on from NW_021160017.1 coordinate 1,761,960, forward strand.
AGAGTGTACAACATGGTGTTTAGATATACACATGCATAGTAAAAAGGTTACCACAACCTAGCAGCAAATTAACCAATCAATTTCCTTTTATGGTTACCGTTTTGTAGCAGGAGAAACTAAATTCTACTCTTTTAGCAAATGTTCAGTATACAATAAAATATAACTACAGCCTACCTGCTGCACACAAGAGCTCTTGATTTTATAACTGCAAGCTCTTTCTTGTGTAGCGTCTGCATAACTGCAAACTCTAACTTCTGTAGCTTCTGCGTGACTGCAAATGTGTTAACTTTCACCTATTTCTCCCCATTTCCTACCTCTCCACACCCCTGGTAGCCATCATTTCACTCTCTGTTTCTATGGATTTGATATTTTTAAAGATTTTACATGTAAGTGAGAACTTGCTGTATTTTTATCTTGTGTCTGGCTCATTTCACTTAGCACTACGTCCTCTGGATCTATCCATGTTGTTGTAAATGACAGTCGATCTCCTTCCTTCTTGTCCAGTATTGGGGTATGTTTCATCAAGTCTTCTTTTTCCCTGAAAACATCCCCAAATCATGCACTATTTCAACACTTACCTTCTAGATATCAGTCTCTTTGTCTATTTTTGAGACTTGGCTAGCTTACACATTCTAGTCACTGGCTTAAATTCTACTATTCAGCGTGGGTTTACTTCAGCTGATGGTGATGGTACCTCCTTCTCCATAACATGCAGTTTCAGTTTTGAGATGTGATCCATCAGCACATATTGTGAGGCTCACATTACCAATGGGAGTCTGTAATACACCTAAGCAATATGCAGGCAGTTTCCTCACTAAGATGAGACGGGGTGAGCACAGCTTGATATTCTGCCACGCCTCCTGCCTGTCTCACTACTCACTACACACTAAATTTGAACTCACATGAAGTTCAGGTTAATGTTTCAATCTGTTTGGTTTAATTTAATTTTTACTTCAAGATCATTTCCATTATTATATGTGGCTATTTCAGTACAAATTGAAGGAAAGGCAACTTTTATTGCCTTTATTTATGAGGCTTTATTTATGGGCATGATGACAGCAGTTTTAAAAGTCACATTCCGACATAGTGATGGGCTGGATGAAGAGAGGGCATTCCCTCTGAAATGCTCTTCGGAAGGATCAGAAATGCCTCAATCGACCAACTCTCCTGTCCTCATGACTAGAGCTGTGTCACATCTTCAGAGAGACACACATCCGTGGTAGGAAGGATAAGATTACATGGATGAATCTGGCTGTTTTCTAATGTTTTGCCTGAGATGAATCCAAATATATGGGGAATGGTTATTTTTATTATTTTGGGATTTGTAAGCAATGGCTGAAAACAAGAATACTTTTTAAGATGACATATTATTTTTGTGACATTCTGTTATTTCATTGTAGAGATTGACAATTACATTTTCTTTTTCAAAAAATAAATTGTATTATGTATATCTAAGACATACAACATGATATGGAATAAATATATACAGTAAAATGATGACTATAGTGAAATAAATTAATGCAGCCCTCAACTTACAGAGTTACCCACCTCCCCCATTTGGCAAGAACAGCTATAACCTCAGTTAGCAAAGTCCTGGATGCAATGCACCCTTATTAACTTCCTCATGTTGCACGTTGGATCTGTGGCAGCTTCCAGATGGGAAAGCCTCAAAGAGTCAGACGTGACGATATGGGGGTGCTGCATCTGAGCACACAGCTCCCTGCAATCCTCTCTGTTCCCAGGTGTCCTGTCCCAGGTGCAGCCGTAGGAGGGGCAAAGCCCTCGCAGGCAATCTCCGTGTCCCATGCTGCTTCCCGCTGCTCCGTTACCAGGGGTTACTCAGGGGGGATGGATCCCCCGACCTGCAGGGAAAGGTTGGAATGCAATGGATTGCTCACCTCTGTTATGGAGGGAGCATATAGTTTATCCCTACCATCAAAGTTGAGTATCCATCTCCAGAGATGCATTCAGGATACATCCGGTTCTCCTTGCAGCTGAGTTTTGTGACTACTGAGGACACAGCCCTGTATGACTGTGTAAGAGACACAGAGAGGAGATCCCAGTGTGGGCCCAGACACAAACCTCACTGCAGGGGTGCCTGGGACCTGGATGGCAGGGGCCCCCAGGGCCCAGCCTCAGGGCATATGCAACCAAGGAGGGCATATGGGGAGGGAATCATCACCCAGGGTTTCCTTTCCTGAATGAACAGCATCTGAGCCATGGAACCTCTGCTTTATATCTGGGCTACGGAGTGGCCTGAGGCACCTGAGATGCAAGCACAATGGAGATGTTTAAGATTCTGTATGAGCATATGTGACATCACAGTTCTTTTTCCTCATCTCTCGGATTTCACTGAAACTGTGAAGAGAACTGTCATCCTACTGGCACTGTGTGCTGTGCAGGAAATTTCTAAAATATGGTAACCATCATGAGGGATGCATTCGTGGCTGCACTGTGCTGGGAAGAGTCACACCAGGGAGAAATCCTGTGAGGAACCCTGGACTCCACCGGCTGTGCCCAGCACAGCTGTGAAAGACCCAGTTGATGTCCAAGAAATGAGAATGCAAACATCTGCCTCCAGCACATAGGAAATTACAGCAAACGATTCCATGTCCCGTGGTCCCTCTATCCCCAAATTCTTTCCCTTTTCCCAAAATCAAGGAGGAGAACTGGAGTTTCCAGTCCATAGCCTGAGCCAGCCACCATGTGTGTGTCCCCAGCCTTTCCCAGAGCTGCCTGAGGGGCTGGACAAGACCTGCTCCCTTCCCTCCTGCTCACACAGCTGCACAGGGGAGCTCCTGCAGGCTGTTAGCATCCCAGTTTCCAAACAGCTTTCATATCCACAGGATTCATTTCTTGCTGTTACTATTGTTATTTTGCCTGAGCATTCTCATGACTGCATCACTTGTCAGAGACACGTGCCCTGCACTGAAACCCCACTCTCTGCTTTCCACAAAGATGGAGTTCCTTAGACCTTCATCTGCTAGAAGGATCTGATGTCTTGTCCTTACACTGGCCAAGCATTGTCTGATATGCCCCAGTTGGCACACAGACATTATGGATTATTTGCACCTGTGTGGGAATGGTCTATAATTGGGACACGTGTCTAGACTCAAAGATGCCTGGATGGTCTATAATTGGGACATGTGTCTAGACTCAATGATGCCTGGATTGTCTATGATTGGGATGTGTCTAGACTCAAAGATGCCTGGATGGTCTATAATTTGGGACATGTGTCTAGACTCAAAGATGGCTGGATGGTCTATAATTGGGACACGTGTCTAGACTCAAAGATGCCTGGATGGTCTATAATTTGGGACATGTGTCTAGACTCAAAGATGCCTGGATGGCCTATAATTGGGAACCGTGTCTAGACTCAAAGATGCCTGAATGGTCTATAATTGGGACACGTGTCTAGACTCAACGATGCCTGGATGGAAAATGTGCAGGCTGCTCCACTGATGTCACCTGTTTCATCATAGTTTTATGATTTAATAAAAGTCATATTTTTTTCATTTTTGCACATCAAACTTTTTTCTGTGTTCCATATTCCTAAGCCCATCTTTGAGCTCACAGCCCTTTCCCAAGAAATCAACTTCTAGACCTCCCTCTTCTCGGGGCTCCGAGGTGATTTCTGAGTGGCATCCTCTCCACCTCCCTGCTGGGAACAGAGCCAGTCGCAGGGCTCATGGGCAGCTTTAGAATGCCTGCTACTCCGGGGTGTCCCCCTGCTTCTCACTGGAGAAGAGGCCTCTGGGGTGGTCACAGCCTCTTTCTCCACATGAATCCTGAGAGTTCTTCCTGAGCTACACAGCTGGGGGAAGACTGCCCTAAGAGACGTGAAAAGAGAGACATGGGAAGTGAGGTGTCTCAGCTCTTGTCTCCCCTGGTTGGTGTGGCCTGACCTCACCAGAGCCCCAGCCTAACCCACCTGACCTGTCCCCAGGAGCTGTACTGAGCGATGGCTGCACCTGCTCAGTTACCTGTGGGGCCCAGTGCCTCTGAGAGAGGTGCCCAGTGAGGGCTCTGCAGGGCTCCCCCCGAGCAGGAGCTGGGCTGAGGTAAATCAGCAGGAAGGAGGGGCTGCCCAGGCCCCCGGGAGGCAGGCAGCGTGGAGAGGAGACAGAGGCGCACTGGGAGGGAGCAAGCCAGTCAGGACCACCCTCTCAGCTCTGAGAAATGAGCTATGCTCACGGAATGCTCACGCTGACCACTGAAAGACTTGACTATGATGATGACTCTCCCTGTGTTAGCAGGTGGGTGTAAGCACCTGCTTCCCAGGTTCAAGCCATTCTCCTGCCTCAGCCTCCTGAGTACCTGGAATTACAGGCACCTGCCACCACGCCTGGCTAATTTTTTTGTATTTTTAGTAGAGATGGGGTTTCACCATTCACCATGGTGGTCAGGCTGGTCTCGAACTCCTGACCTCAGGTGATCCACCTGTCTCAGCCTCCCAAAGTGCTGGGATTGTAGGTGCTAGCCACTGCACCAGCCTCAACACAACTCTTTTAGGGTCAATATCTTGAGACCCACAAGGAATTTCCTTTGAGCAAATTCTGTGGGAGGTATGTAGCCTTTTATCTTTATAGTTATGTATTTAGGAAAAAAAAAAAAATGAGAGACAGGTTTGTGTGACACAGTTCCCAGCTAGCCTTTTCCCTGTAGCGTAGTGAGTCTGAGATCCCAAGATTTTATTTTTCTTTTATAATATAAACATGAAATAATAAGAAATGTATATTTGTAAGATCTGAGAGCTACAGTGTAAAAGAAAATAACACAGAAAAAGAATACACACACTCGCACACACACACATACACACAAACACACATATATGGTCTCTGTCCCTGTCTCCTGGTGCACAGCTCCTGAAACCCTTGGAATCTCCCAAGTGATGTGTCTTTATGGATGCTAATGAGACGACTGATTTCTGGGGACTCCCAAAGGACTGGTGGCCAGGGGAACCAACCTCGTGAATACGGGGTTAAACTTTTCAGCCCCCTATCCCCTGATTTCCAGGGATGGGGAGGAGCTGAAGGTTGAGTTGATCACCAGTGGTCAATGATTTAATCAGTCGTGCTTATGTGGCCATCGTGGGTGGCTCATGTCTGAAATCCCAGCATTTTGGGAGGCCAAGGCGGGAAGATCACTTGAGGCCAGGAGTTTGAGACCAGCCTGGGCAACATACTGAGAATTCATCTCTACAAATAAAAAAAAAATAGCCAGGCATGGTAGTGCATGCCTGTGGTCCAGCTACTCAGGAGGCAGAGGTGGGATGATCAATTGAGTCCAGGAGATCAAGGCTGCAGCCAGCTATGATTGCAGCACTGCATGCCAGCTTGGGTGACAGAGCTAGACCCCGTCTCAAAAACAAAACAAAATGAAACGAAACAAAAAACAAACTAGAAACCAAATCATGCCTATGTCATGAAGTCATGAAAGTCAGGACAGCGGCCGGGCATAGTGGCTCATGCCTGTAATCCCTGCACTTTGGGAGGCCAAGGCAGGCAGATCACTTGAGGTCAGGAGTTTGAGACCAGCTTAGGCAACATAGTGAGATTCTGTCTCTATTTTTTTTAATTAAAAAAAAAGATAAAGTAAACATTGGGCAGAGGAAGCAGTCAGATATGCATTTGTCCCAGGTGAGCAGAGGGATGACCTTGAGTTCTGTCCTTTGTCCTGCAAGGATAAGCTATCAATTTACATTGTCAGGGAAATTCAACAGAACTGTTCTAAGGTCAAAATCTTGAGGCCCACGAGGAATTTCTTCATGGGCAAATTGTGAGGGAAGTATGTAGCTTTTTAAAAAAATCTTTGTAGGTATCTATTTAGGAACAAAATGGGGGAGGCAGGTTTGCATGATCCAGTTTCCAGCTTGACTTTTGCTTTTGGCTTAGTGAGTTGGTGGTCCTGAGATTTCTTTGCCTTTAGCAGTCATTATTCAGGGAAGAGGGTATGGTCTTGATACTCAAAATTTCTTAGGCGAGAAATCTACCAGGGTTTGGATGAGACCATACATTGCTCATTCAGTATCTCAAACCCAGAAAGATGAGTTACTGACATTGAATGTGTGAAAGGAAAACAAACAGCTCTGTTGAATTTCTTGAATTTCATCTAAAACAGTTCTGGGTTTTGTTTTGTTTAGTTTTTGAGACAGAGTCTTGCTCTATTGCCCAGGCTAGAGTGCAATGGTGTGATCTTGGCTCACTGCAACCTCTGGCTCCTGGTTCAAGCAATTCTCCTGCCTCAGCCTCCTCAGTAGCTAGTATTACAGGCATGCACCACCATACTCGGGTAATTTTTGTATTTGTAGTAGAGACAGGGTTTCACCATATTGGCCAGGCTGGTCTCCAACTCCTGGCCTCATGCAATTCACCTACCTCAGCCTCCTAAAGAACTGGGATTACAGGCATGAGCCACCATACCCAGCCAAAACAGTTAGGTTGAATCTCACCCTGACAACATAAATGAAAAACTTGTCTTCACAGGTAAGGGACAAAGGACAGATTTAAAAGTCATCCATCTGCACACTGGAGACAAAAGCATATCTGACTGTTTCCTGTAGTCTATGTGTATTTTTCTTCTGTAAAAATGCAGATTCACTGAGTGCAAGATGAATACATAATTGACTATTCCTCCACCCTTTTCTTTCCGCATGTAAAATGTGGGTTCCATGAATGCTGATCAAAGACTAAAAGGAACACAATCGCTTGGCTTTTCAATATGCTCTCCCTTCCCGCTTGTTTTTCCTTTTGCCTTCCCCTACTGGCCACTCTTTTTCCATTTACTTATTCATTCATTCATTTATTTATTCATTTATTTATTTATTTATTTGGAGATGGAGTCTCACTCTATTGCCCAGGCTGGAGGCAATGGCATGATCTCAGCTCACTGCAACCTCCGTCTCCCAGGTTCAAGCAATTCTCCTGCCTCAGCCTCCTGAGTAGCTGAGACTACAGGCACCCGCCACCACACCTGGCTAGTTTTTGTATTTTAGTAGAGACGGGGTTTCACCAAGTTGGCCAGGCTGGTCTTGAACTCCTGACATCGTGATCTGCCCACCTCAGCCTCCCAAAGTGCTGGGATTACAGGCATGAGCCACTGCACCTGACCTATTTTTTTAAGACAGAATCTTGCTCTGTTGCTCAGGTTGGAGTGCAGTGGTGCAATCTCGGCTCACTGCAACCTCTGCCGCTTGGGTTCAATCAATTCTCCTGCCTCAGTCTCCTCAGTAGCTGGGATTACAGGCATGCGCCACCACACCCAGCTAATTTTTGTATTTTTGGTAGAGACAGGGTTTCACCATATTGGCCAGGCTGGTCTCGAACTCCTGACCTCAGCTGAGGAGACTGAGACAATCCTGGTCAACATAGTAAAACCCCAGGAAGAAAGCTCTTCCACCCCAGCTGGGCCTGAAGCCACACGTTATAGTAGGAATGAATGGATGATCATTGAGCCCATCACTGTCCATTCTCCAAAGATGGTCTCTGAGACGCAATAGGCCACCATACAGACGGCCGCAAGAAACTCCAGCAGGTGGTAAGTGCCATTCACATAGTAGATGACATCATCCATGTTTTCCACCGGCTCTTTTCTGAATTCCTCAACCGTAAATCAGACATAAATAAAAAGTGTTCCCAGAACCTGAAGAGAGGTAAGAATGCTGCTGGAAATAATGATAAGAAGCCAAAAATCCAGGTGGAAAAACTGGCAAATCATATAAGCCATATGAGCAGGGAATACCAATAAAAATAAACAAAGTCGCACAGCACGGAAGTGTTTCCACAAGCTCTTGTCTCTGGATGCTCCCAGTGCCAAAAAAATAGGATCTGCAATTTCTAACATAGACTGTAGGATAGAAGCTGCAACAATGAAAAGGATAATACTGAGCAGGAATGCCCGATGAACAACCTGCAGTTCTATCAGCCCAGTCTGCACTGCCAGGATTAACAGCGTTACTCCTCCTGTCATGCCCCAATTCATGGCAGGATCATTCCTGAAAGCTCGATAACCCTGCAAGTGAAACTCGCAGAGTGTGAGAACACCCAAGGCAACAAAAGAAACCGTGAAGACCAAACCCAAAAGAGAGTAAGGAGTGCTGCAGCATTCTGCAATACTTGTCAGAAAAAGGAAAAGAAGCCTCTCACGTGATGCCGGCTGATCTCGAGTACTGAAATAGGAGTAAATCTGAAGAGCAAATAAGATGAGCCAGAAAACCATGAAAAGAACAGGGACTACCAGTTGATTCCACAAGGACATTCCCAAGGTGAGAAGGCCATATACCTCCACTACCTGAACCAATTCTCTGTGTGCAGATTTAGCAAGGTTATAAGGTAGCAAAAGATTAGACCCAAGAAAATAGAGAACTTCCAATCCAGTAAAAATCATAGCAAATTTATTGATGATAACAATTGTCTCCAAAGGAACCAGGCAGAGTCGTGCTAGCAGAGGAAGCACGTGAGCTGAAAACAGCCAAATCTGCTTTGTTTTCATGACACAGGAGCATAAAGTACACACCACCAACTGACCTATTAAGGCTGTGGTAAACCGATTCATAGAGAGAGGTTCTAAATACATTGGTCCCTCACAGGCAAACTGCAGTTCACTCCGAACGTAGTCCCTGGAAATTTGATGTCCAGTATAGAAAAGCAGAGCAGTCAAAAAATATAGATAAAGCTGAACCAGATGTTGCCTGGGCAATGTTAGCAGCACCACACTTAAGATATAACCTCAGGCTGTGGACTCCCTCCCTGGGGAGCGGTGCTGCCGGCGGCGGGCGGGCTCCGCAACTCCCCGGCTCTCTCGCCCGCCCTCCCGTTCTCCTCGGGCGGCGGCGGGGGCCGGGACTGCGCCGCTCACAGCGGCGGCTCTTCTGCGCCCGGCCTCGGAGGCAGTGGCGGTGGCGGCCATGGCCTCCTGCGTTCGCCGATGTCAGCATTTCGAACTGAGGGTCATCTCATTGGGACTGGTTAGACAGTGGGTGCAGCCCACGGAGGGCGAGTTGAAGCAGGGTGGGGTGTCACCTCCCCCAGGAAGTCCAGTGGGTCAGGGAACTCCCTCCCCTAGCCAAGGGAGGCCGTGAGGGACTGTGCCCGGTGAGAGACTGTGCCCTGAGGAAAGGTGCACTCTGGCCCAGATACTACACTTTTCCCACGGTCTTCAAAACCCGCAGACCAGGAGATTCCCTCGGGTTCCTACACCACCAGGACCCTGGGTTTCAACCACAAAACCGGGCCATTTGGGCAGACACCAAGCTAGCTGCAAGAGTTGTTTTTTTTTTTTTATACTCCTGTGGCACCTGGAACGCCAGCGAGAGAGCACCTTTCACTCCCCTGGAAAGGGGGCTGAAGGCAGGGAGCCAAGTGGTCTAGCTCAATGGATCCCCCCCTACGGAGCCCAGCAAGCTAAAATCCACTGGCTTGAGATTCTTGCTGCCCGGACAGCAGTCTGAAGTTGACCTGGGATGCTCGAGCTTGGTGGGCGGATGGGCGTTTGCCATTACTGAGGCTTGAGAAGGCAGTTTTCCCCTCACAGTGTAAACAGAGTCACCTGGAAGTTCAAACTGGCCGGAGCCCACCACAGCTCAGCAAAGCTGCTGTAGCTAGACTGCCTTTCTAGATTCCTCCTCGCTATGCAGGGCATCTCGGAAAAAAAGGCAACTGTCCCAGTCAGGGGCTTATAGATAAAACCCCCATCTCCCTGGGACAGAGCACTTGGGGGAAGGGGTGGCTGTGGACACAGCTTCAGCAGACTTAAACATTCCTGCCTGCTGGCTCTGAAGAGATGAGCAGATCTCCCAACACAGCGCTCCACGCTGCTAAGGGACAGACCGCCTCTTCCAGTGGGTCCCTGGCCCCCATGCCTCCTGACTGGGAGACACCTCCCAACAGGGGTTGACAGACTCCTCATACAGGAGTGCTCCAGCAGGCATCTGGCAGGTGCCCCTCTAGGACGAATCAGAAGAAGAAGCAGGCAGCAATCTTTGCTGTTCTGCAGTCTCTGCTGGTGATACCCAGGCAAATAGGATCTAGAGTGGATCTCCAGCAAACTCAGCAGACCTGCAGCTGAGAGGCCTGACTTTTAGAAGGAAAACTAACAAACAGAAAGGAATAGTATCAACATCAACAAAAAGGACGTCCACACAGAAACCCCATCTGAAGGTCACCAACATCAAAGACCAAAGGTAGATAAATCCACAAAGATGAGGATAAACCAGTTCAAAAGGGCTTAAAATTCCCAAAACCAGAACACCTCTTCTCCTCTAAAGGATCACAACTCCTCATCAGCAAGGGGAACAAAACTGGACGGAAAATGAGTTTGACGAACTGACAGAAGGAGGCATCAGAAGGTGGGTAATAACAAACTCCTCTGAGGCAAAGGAGCGTGTTCTAACCCAATGCAGGGAAGCTAAGAACCTTGAAAAAAGGTTAGACGAATTGCTAACTAGAATAACCAGTTTAAAGAAGAACATAAATTACCTGATGGAGCTGTAAAACACAGCACAACAACTTCGTGACGCATACACAAATATCAATAGTTGAATTGAACAAGTGGAAGAAAGGATATCAGAGATTCAAGACCAATTTAATGAAATAAAGTGTGAACACAAGATTAGAGAAAAAAGAATGAAAGGAATGAACAAAGCCTCCAAGAAATATTGGAGTATGTGATAAGACCAAACCTTCGTTTGACTGGTGTACCTGAAAGTGATGGGGAGAATGGAACCAAGTTGGAAAACACTCTTCAGGATATTATCCAGGAGAACTTTCCCAACCTAGCAAGACAGGCCAACATTCAAATTCAGGAAATACAGAGATACTCCTCGGGAAGAGCAACTGCAAGACACATAATCTTCAGATTCACCAAGGTTGAAATGAATGAAAAAATGTTAAGGGCAGCCAGAGAGAAAGGTCGGTTTACCCGTAAAGGGAAGCCCATCAGACTATCAGCAGATCTCTCTGCAGAAACCCTACAAGCCAGAAGAGAGTAGGGGCCAATATTCAATATTCTTAAAGAAAAGAATTTTCAACCCAGAATTTCATATCCAGCCAAACTAAACTTCATAAGCAAAGGATAAATAAAAACCTTTACAGACAAGCAAATACTGAGATTTTTTGCACCACCAGGCCTGCCTTACAAGAGCTTCTGAGGGAAGCACTAAATATGGAAAGGAAAAACCAGTACCAGCCACTGCAAAAACATACCAAATTGTAAAGATCATCAACAGTATGAAGAAACTACATCAACTAATGGGCACAACAATCAGCTAACATCATAATGACAGGATCAAATTTATACATAACAATGTTAACCTTAAATGTAAACAGGCTAAATGCCCCAATTAAAACACAGAGACTGACAAATTAGATCAAGACTCAAGACCCATTGGTGTGCTGTAGTCAGGAGACGCATCTCATGTGCAAAGACTCACCAAGGTCTCAAAATAAAGGGATGCAGGAATATTTACCAATCAAATGGAAAGAAAAAAAAATAGTGGTTGCACCCCTAGTGTGTTATAAAACAGACTTTAAACCAACAAACATCAAAAAAGACAAAGAAGAGGATTACCTAATGGTAAAGGTATCAATGCAACGAGAAGAGCTAACTATCCTAAATATATATTCACCCAATACAGGAGCACCCAGATTCATAAAGCAAGTTCTTAGAGACCTACAAAGAGACTTAGACTCCCGCACAATAATAGCTGGAGACTTTAACACCTCACTGTCAATATTTGACAGATCAATGAGACAGAAAATTAACAAGGATATTCAGAACTTGAAATCAGCTCTGGACCAAGTGGATCTAATGGACATCTACATAAATCTCCACCCCAAATCAACAGAATATACATTCTTCTCAGCACCACATCACACTTATTCTAAAACTGACCATATTATTGGAAGTAAAACACTCTTCAGCAAATACAAAAGAATGGAAATCAGAACAAACAGTCTCCCAGACCACAGTGCAATCAAATTAGAACTCAGGATTAAGAAACTCTTCAAAACTGCTCAAGTACATGAAAACTGAACAAGCTGCTCCTGAATGACTACTGGGTAAATAATGAAATTAAGGCAGAAATAAATAAGTTCTTTGAAACCAATGAGAACAAAGATACAATGTACCAGAATCTCTGGGACCCAGCTAAAGCAGTGTTTAGAGGGAAATTTATAGCACTAAATGCCCACAAGAGGAAGCATGAAAGATCTAAAATCAACACACTAACATCACAATTAAAGAACTAGAGAAGCGAGAGCAAACTAATTCAAAAGCTAGCAGAAGACAAGAAATAACTAAGATCAGAGCAGAACTGAAAGAGATAGAGACACAAAAATCCCTTCAAAAAATCAGTGAATCCAGTAGGTGATTTTTTGAAAAGATTAACAAAATAGATAGACTGCTAGCCAGACTAATAAAGAAGAAAAGAGAGAAGAATCAAATAGACACAATAAAAAATGAGGAAAGGCATATCGTCACTCATCCCACAGAAATACAAACTACCATTAGAGAATACTATAAGCACCTCTATACAAATAAACTAGAAAATCAGAGGAAATGGATAACTTCCTGGACACATACACCCTCCCAAAACTAAACCAGGAAGAGGTCGAATCTCTGAAGAGACCAATAACAAGTTCTGAAATTGAGGCAGTAATTAATTGCCTACCAACCAAAAAAAGCCCAGGTCAAGACAGATTCACAGATGAATTCTTCCAGAGGTACAAAGAGGTGCTGGTACCATTCCTTCTGAAACTATTCCAAACAACAGAAAAAGAGGGACTCCACCCTAACTCATTTTATGAAGCCAGCATCATCCTGATACCAAAACCTGTCAGAGACACAACACCAAAAAAATTTCAAGCCTATATCCCTGATAAACATTGATGCAAAAATCCTCAATAAAATACTGGCCAACCAAATCCAGCAGCACATAAAGAAGCTGATCCACCATGATCAAGTCGGCTTCATCCCTGGGATGCAAGGCTGGTTCAACATACACAAATCAATAAACATAATCCATCACATAAACAGAACCAATGGAAAAAAACACACAATTATCTCAATAGAAGCAGAAAAGGCCGTCAATAAAATTCAACACCACTTCATGCTAAAAACTTTCAATAAACTAGGTATTGATGGAACATATTTCAAAATAATAAGAGCTATTCATGACAAATCCACGGCCAATATCATACTGAATGGGCATAAACTGGAAGCATTCTCTTTGAAAACCAGCAAAAGACAAAGATGCCCTCCCTCACCACTCCTCCTATTCAACATAGTATTGGAAGCTCTGGCCAGAGCAATCAGGCCAGAGAAAGAAATAAAGGTATTCAAATAGAAAGAGAGGAAGTCAAATTATCTCTGTTTGCAGATGACATGATTGTATATTTAGAAAACCTCCTCCTCTCAGCCCAAAATCTCCTTAAGCTGATAAGCGACTTCAGCAAAGTCTCAGGATACAAAATCAATGTGCAAAAATCACAACAATTCCTATACACCAATAATAGACAACCAGAGAACCAAATAATGAGTGAACTCCCATTCACAATTGCTACAAAGAGAATAAAATACCTAGGAATACAACTTACAAGGGATGTGAAGGATCTCTTCAAGGAGAACTACAAACCACTGCCCAAGGAAATAAGAGAGGACACAAACAAATGGAAAAATATTTCATGGACATGGAAAGGAAGAATCAATATTGTAAAAACGGCCATACTGCCCAAAGTAATTTATGGATTTAATGCTATCCCCATCAAGCTACCATTGACTTTCTTCTCAGAATTAGAAAAAAAACTACTTTACATTTCATATGGAACCAAAAAAGAGACTGTAAAGCGAAGACAATCCTAAGCAAAAACAAACAAACAAACAAAGCTGGAGGCATCATGTTACCTGATTTCAAACTATACTATAAGGCTACAGTAACCAAAACAGCATGATGCTGACACCAAAACAGATATATAGACTAATGGAACAGAACAGGGGCCTCAGAAATAATCCCACACATCTAGAACATCTGATCTCTGACAAACCTGACAAAAACAAGCAATGGGGAAAGGATTTCCTATTTAATAAATGGTGTATGGAAAACTGGCTAGACATATGCAGAAAACTAAAACTGGACCCCTTCCTTACACTTTACACAAAAATTAACTCAAGATGGATTAAAGACTTAAATGTAAGACCTAAAACCATAAAAACCCTAGAAGAAAACCTAGGCAATACCATTCAGGACATAGGCATGGGCAAGGACTTCATGACTAAAACACCAAAAGCAATGGCAACAAAAGCCAAAATTGACAAATGGGATCTAATTAAACTAAAGAGCTTCTGCACAGCAAAAGAAACTGTCATTGGAGTGAACAGGCAACCTACAGAATGGGAGAAAATTTTTGCAATCTATCCATCTGACAAAGAGCTAATATCCAGAATCTCTAAGGAACTTAGACAAATTTAAAAGAAAAAAAACAAACAACGCCATCAAAAAGTGGGTGAAGGATATGAGCAGACACTTCTCAAAAGAAAACATTTATGAGACCAACAAACATATGAAAAAAAGGTCATCATCGCTGGTCATTAGAGAAATGCAAATCAAAACCACAGTGAGATAGCATCTCATGCCAGTTAGAATGGCAATCATTAAAAAGTCAGGAAACAACAGATGCTGGAGAGGATGTAGAGAAATAGGAATGCTTTTACACTATTGGTGGGAGGGTAAATTAGTTCAACCATTGTGGAAGACACTGTGGCAATTCCTCAAGGATCTAGGCCTAGAGATACCATTTGTCCCAGCAATCCCATTACTGGGTATATACCCAAAGGATGAACAATTAATCCACTATAAAGACACATGCACGTGTATGTTTATTGCAGCACCGTTGACAATAGCAAAGACTTGGAACCAACCCGAATGCCCATCAGTGATAGACCGGATAAAGAAAATATGTCACATATACATTACGGAATACTATGCAGCCATAAAAAAGAATGAGTTCATGTTCTTTGCAAGGACATGGATGAATCTGGAAACCATCATCCTCAGCAAACTAACACAGGAACAGAAAACCAAACACTGCATGTTCTCCCTCATGAGGGAGAGTTGAACAATGAGAACACATGGACACAGGGAGGGGAACATCACACAACAGGGCCTGTTGGGGGGTGAGGGGCTAGGGGAGGAATAACATTAGGAGAAACACCTAATATAGATGACGGGTTGATGGGTGCAGCAAACCACCATGGCATATGTATAGCTATGTAACAAACCTGCACGTTCTGCACATGTATCCCATCACTTAAAGTATAATTAAAAAAAGGTAACTTTGCAAAATATTTAGAGAGATTTATTCTGAGCCAAATGTGAGGACCATGCCCTGTGACACACCTTAGAAGACCTTGAGAACATGTGCCCAAAGTGGTTTGATTGCTCTTATATCTAATGTCTTAGAGAGACATTTGACATCAATCAATACATGTGAGATATGTGTTGATTTGGTCTATAAAGACAAAACAGCAAGAAGTGAGGCAGTGTGGGGAGGGGATTACAGCTTACAGGTGGATTCAAAGTTTTTCTTATTGGCAATTGATTAAAAGACTTAAGGTTTTATCTAAAGACCTGAAATCAGTTGAAAAAGTTTCTAGATTTAGAGAGCGGGCTTTGGAGAACAATATTCTTATTATGCAGATGAAGTCTCTTATGTGGCCACCCTTAGAGGCAATAGATGGCAAGTGTTTTCTATTAAGACCTTTAAAAGATGCTAGACTCTCAGTTAATCTCCTCCATATAACAAAAACACCTGGAAAGGTAAAGCGATTCTCTACAGAATGTAAATTTCTCTCACAAAATATAACTGTGCAGGGCAATTTAAAATATGTCAAAAATATACTTTAGGGCAAAAGACTTTGATTCCTCTCAAGGCCTGCTGTCATGTGATGCTATTCTTGAGTCAGGTTAGAATTTGGTATCTTACTGCTACAAAGAATCTATTTTCTGAGCCTTAAGATCTGTTTGAATGAAAATGCTGGTTAGTTGTGCTTGAATTCCAAAGGCAGGAGTGCATAATGAGGCATTTCTGATCCTTTCTTGCTAACATGGCCTAAACTAGCTTTTCAAGTATCTCTGGAACTCCTTTTTGAAGAGGAAGGGTCCATTCAGCCAGTTGGGTTGCTTAGAATTCTGTTTTTAGTTTATAGGACATATATGAGACTTATCCTAATCAGGGGTATCAGAAAATATTCATTGAGGTAATCACTTTAAAGTTGAGACATGAAAGATGGTCCCAGATTCCTCCCTGCAAACCTTCTCTCCTGATACTAGAAGAAAAGTTACAAGAAACAAATGTTAACATTTCTTCTGTGTTCAAAATTGCCCCCCATTAGGAAAATAATTAAACTTGCAAGACTTATCTTTAGAAACAAGTAATCTAGTTGATTTCTAAAGTCCTTTTACAAACCCACAGATTCTGATTAGTTTACAGATTACATAGAGCATCCCATCTAATGGGAATCTGCAATTAGCTGGATTCCCCTGCATTTGATTTTTAAATGTTGAATTTATACAGATACATAACAGTTCAAAACCTTTATGTGGTACATGTGATATTTTGATAAAATAATATGTGCAGTGATCAAACCTGGATAACCGGGATATCCTTCATCTCAATCATTGATTATTTCTTTGTGTTAAGGACATTCTAAATTTTCTCTTCTAGCTATTTTCAAATATACAATAAATTATTAACTGTAGTTGTCTATGTACCATTTTAGCATTCCCAACAGCAGTAAGTGAAAGTTCCTGATTTTCAGCTTTCTCTTCACCATTTGGTATTGTCTATATTGTTTATTTTACCCATTTTAGCAGGTTAGCAGTATTTTTTGAATATTAAATGTACATTTACCTAATAAAAATCAAACTGATCACTTTTTATCTTTACTTTTAGATGTGGTTTCTCTTCAGGTCTTTGCCCATTTTAAAAATAAATTTTGTGGTTTTGTTGTTGTTCAATTATAAGTCAATTTATATATTTGTGATAAAAGCCCTTTTCCAAATATTGGATTTGCAAGCAAATTCTCCAAATCTATGGCTGATCTTTTCAGTCTCAGTTAAGGGTTTATTTTCAAATATCTAGGTTAGTTTGTCCATCTATGAAAAGAGGATAATCTTAATTCTAAATTCTTAGAATTATTAGAATAATAATGTAAGTTGAAATTATTCCAGTATCTGGCCCTTCACAAGTTTTAGTATAACACCAGTGAGAAAAATTTGCAGATTGTTCTGTGTAGACCAGAAATCAGAAGGTGATAAAGGGGCAATTAGATTTGAATAATCCGGAGATATGAAGTGTACTTGGTATTCACCTCCTTCTATTTCTCTATGAAGACAAAATGGATAGATGACCTCTCCATGTGAAATGGGACACATAAGTTTTTAAGATGATTCTGAAAGAAAGTTCCTAATACAATCACTCAGGTGATGTTCCAAACACAGGGCTGTGGAGGGGATGGTGGCTGCCGGTGGTTGCTGTCAGCCACAGGGTTGGTTTGTTTCCCACAGGTTCCAGAAATAGTTTCTAATAACAAATGTCATATTTTGTTTAGAATTGATTTATTTTTTATAATTTATTTTCTCCCTGTAGGCAGCACTCAGAAGTATGTTCTCAGAATAATTCCTGATCCTCTGTGAGTTCCTGGTGCAGCTCCTGGAGGCAAAGCCTGCATGGGGGAGGGAGCCCTCCTCACATGCAGCCCTGAGGCTGCCACGTCACTTCACCCACCGTTGCCCTTCAGTCACTTCCTGAACACTTATGAGTTGATCTTCCTGAAACATGTGGTATTTGGCAGTGTCTTTCCCAGGTAAGATAATACTTCCATTCTGTTTATCCCTGCAGGCACCTGTCCCTTTCTGGAATATAAATTGGTTTCGATTGTGTGGTAGTGGATAAGTGGGGGGAGGAGGTTTGTGTGCATCTTGTCATCTTCCAGAGTGCACCCCTCATGGGGTTGACAGTGACAAGCATGCAGATGGGCTTGCTCAGCTGGAAGATGACAGGCATTTTGGTAACCTGTGACCCCAGTGAGGCTCTCTCGCTGCAAGATCAATCAGGCTCAGGCCTCTGGCTAAAGTGCAGCCAGCAAGGGGTCCAGTGCCCAACCCTGAGAGCTCCTTCCAGGTACCAAACCACTTTCTAAGGGAAGCTTTTTTCCTGCCTGGATCCCATGCATGTGTTTGTATTTTCTTCACAAAGGCCTTTATCCAGAAACACCCCCCAAGAGCTTATAGTGTTTTGAATTGAACTGAAGGGCATTATTCATGAAAGCCCTCATGGCCAAAGTCTTCACTTCTCATTAAAGGACATTGATTATGGGATTCACCAGAAGCTGCTGGCCTTTCACAGGCACAGACCTTCCTCTACACCAGTGGTCCCCAACATTTTTGGCACCAGGGAACGGTTTCGTGGCAGACAATTTTTCCATGGATGATGGCGGTGAGTGATTATGGGATGAACTTACTCCACCTGCATTCATCAAGCATTAGATTCTCATAGGGAGCACTCAAACTAGGTCCTTTGCATGCCCAGTTCACAATAGAATTTGGATCCTAGGAGAATCTAGTGCACAGCTGATCTGACAAGAGGCGGAGCTCAGGCAGTGATGCTCACCCGCCGCTCACCTGCTGTGCTGCCTGGTTTCTAACAGGCTGCTGACCAGTTCTGGTTCACTGCCTAGGGGTTGGGGACCTCTGCTGTAAATGCTTGGAGACCTTACCCTCTGGGAAGGGGCATAGAAAAACAAGTCAGATGAGCTCCAAATCAATGTACATTTTATGGATTCTTGAGGAAAGAGTGCAAAGAGGAACGTCCCCACCCACTTTCCCTCTACCTGGCATCATTCCCAGTAATCCGCTTGAGGAACCCGGGGTGTTTCAAGATAGTTTAGGCTTGTTATACTAGGGGACGCCAGAAAAGGAAACAATTAATGTGTCCATGCGGGTTTGTCAGCTGCAAGTTATTACTTCAGTGCAGGGTATTGATCATGGAGAAGTCTGTGCGTATCTTGGGCAGGAATACATGGGAACTCTGTTTCTTCTACTCAAATTTGCTGTGATCCTAAAAGTGTTTTAAAATAAATGTAATGTAAAAAAAGTGGCAAAGACATTTTGGAAGAAATGTTGGCCACTTCTTAGAAATTATGTTTAGTCTTACCACGTGATAAAGCAATCCTGCTCCAAATGATTTATCCATTCGATTTTAAAATGTTATGTCCCCACAAGGCTTCCATGGGAGTGTTTGCATCAGCCTGATTGATTGCTGCCTTTCCCACTCTGTGAATTTTACTTACAGGGTGAAAGTTGAAAAGACTATTTCCTATATAATTAGAGTGTATACATCTTTCTATTGCTTCTTTTCCTCAATTACTTAACCCATTTTCTAAACACGTTTAAACCTCATAAATCCTGTCATCTTCTCACCCCCAGCACAGCTGCCTCCTTCCTCAAGGTTTCTGACACTCTCAGGATGTGGGTTTTCACACTGCGTGTCTTGCACATTAATATACGGCTGTGTCCTCAGATCTCAGGCTGCTCAGCTCCATGTAGGCTGTGTCTGTAGACGTGTCCCAGGTCGTGGTGACTCTGCCCTGGAATTCTGTGCATATATTGTTTCACCATCTTCAGGATCAACACGTTCCATCCACTCAAGCCCTTTTCCAGGGGCCTGTCGCCCCCAGTGTATGTAGTGGAAGGTGAAGGTGTATCTGGGATCACCTTCACTGAGGACCCAGGTTTCCTCACCTCAGCCCCAGACTGCACCGATTGGACCTGGGAATGGGCACCTGTGGAGAGGACAGAGAAGTGGTTGAGACTCCACTTAACTGGACCCAGTCCCCTCATCAGCCCTGGAACTTAGGATTCTCTTCCCTGTGGCTGCTGCCACCAAGAGGAGGATCCTCCCGGTCCAGTCCATGGTGAGGTGCTGTGCTCTGGGGGCTTCTGTAGGGGAGGGATGTGGTTGTTGTGTGATGCTCTCTGGGCAAGGACAGATCTGTATGAACCTCGGTAGACAGCAGTGCATTTGCATATTCACGAGGCAGGTATTTCATAGCTCAAGCCACCTCAACCTGAGGAAGAAGATAGGTGACACACGGACCACGCCACAGTGGGATGCAGAGCTCCCTGCCCTGAACTTTGTTTAATGATATTTGCCCTCTGTTATGCTCAGAAGTCCATGAAGACAGAACTCGTTTTACAGAAAACCAGAATCTCCCAGGACATTGTCCTCAATGTCATTTCTTGTTCATATGGCACCCTGACAACCTGAACTTTTCCTGGGCCTTGACCTCTGCACATCTAAATTCTGGGATGAGTGTATCTTCCGACAGTAACACCCATTGAATTAATAAAACCACTCTTCAATTCCTAACTATAAATACATTTGAAAAGACTAGACATTTCTCCTTTTAAATGCTGTTTGCATTCAATTATTTGGTTAGGTATAGGCTACATATATAATAGAATACTTAAAGACACATCAGTACTTACTACATTCTTATTTAGATTTTAGGTTATTATTGCTTTGAAATAAAGAACATTCAATTCCTGAGAGAAAACCCCTCCCCAGCCTCCTGTGCACCTGCTCCAGGGCTGGATCCTGTGCTGGGTGCGCCCTGAGCGCCCCCTGCAGCTCAGCTCCTGCCCTGCAGGAAAGTTCCTGTCTGGGCTCATAGAGAATTCTCCTCCCAGCGTCTCAAGCACAGTATGAAGTGGCCTTGCCCTGACTCAGAATGCTCTTTCAATGGCAGCAATTGCTTCTCCCACCATCTCTTACAGTAGCAAATAGGCCTTAGAACACCCGACATAATCTACCGGGAGACCTCAGCACAGCAACAAGGAATCACTAAAGCCACCAGGGAGCCCCTTCCCTGGAGTTCTAGGTGCACTGATAGGGTCTGGACACATGGCAAGTCTAGGAACCGATGGGAACTTTGGGGCAGCCTCTATTTTTTTTTAGGATTCTGTGGTTGACGATCACATCAGATTGTAACTTTACACAAAGACCCTATGTCTCAAAGCACCCCCCCCACACACACACACATACACTCACAGTGGCACATTTGCACAGTAACGAGACTCAGATTTGCCCTCCTTCCAAGTGTCTTGTCAATGAAAAGTGCTTCCAACACTGGCCATAGTCCTGCTTGTGTTTGTTGTTGTTATTTTTTCCAGACAGAGCTAAAGCAAGCTCAGTATTACTGGAGATTTGGAAAGTGCCTTCATGTTCTCTTTGCCAGTTCTCACCTGGGAACCCTGCAGATGCCCCATGAGAAGTAAATCTAAGGCCATTGAGGGAGAGGCTGTGACCTTGGTCCTGAAGCTGTTGTTCTCAGAGGCTTTGAATCACTTCACTGTCCTTGAGTTGTTCTCTCCCACTGCCTTTGGTTTCCCTAAGTTGTAGTGTTTGGACAGAGTCTGTGCATTATCACACTTTTCTCTTTAATCCAGATTAATCCTATTGGTGAGGAGGGGAGGTGATGCAGTGGACAGGGGAGCAGTATATGTTCTGGAAATTGACTTCCAATGTTTTCTTGCTGTGTTTTCTCTAGGCTGCACCCTTTACAAGGAGTCTCCAGTGGTACAGCGGATTTTCCTCCATCCTCCACTCCCCCTCCTGGCTGCAGCATCCACAGATTATTTTCTTGAATCTGACCCCAGTTGTTTATTAATTATACCCCTTTTCATGACACGGGAAGGCTAAGATGAAGCTGTCTGGGATGGAAAAGAATCCCTTCCTCTCACATAGAATAAAGATCTTGAAAAGTATTTTGTCTCTGTAGCATCTGTTAGGAGAAAGTTCTGGGCATATTTATCACAGAATAGTTCTCCTGACGACAGAGCTACGAGTGATTCTGTTTGGACTCTCATCTTGAGAACCCAGAATTTTCTGGAGGGAAATTCCATGATAGTGTGGGGTGTGTGGCCCCCCAGGAGTTCTTACCCCATCCCTGTCCACACCTGTCCTCCAGACATTTATGGAATTACCATGTTTCCGCCAGCTTGTGCTGTCAACTGAAGAATCACCCAATTTATTGATTTAGAAAGGGGACTTTATTTCTGAGAAAGGATTGAAGCTGCAGGACGGCCATCTTAACAGGCTGGGAAGCAAAGCCTCCCACAGAGACATTGAGCAGGTACTTCAAGACAGGGAAAGACGAGAAATGAATTCATGTGAATGCGTTGGCCAAGTATACACACTCAGCAGTCTATAGGAGCTGTGGATATTCACACGGCAGGCATGCTCTCAGGTCTAATAATCAGACAGACACGCTACATGCACTTCATGTTTGCTTTGGGGTGAGGACTTAAGAACTAACTGAATTACAGTTGGGCCCTGCACATCAAAAGGGCTTTGTGCAGGGGCGGAAAAAAACACAGTGCACAGCCTCTGGAAATTGGTGAGGCCAAGTCTATGGTCAGTGGTCTCTTTTCAGGAGAAAGTTACTGAAATCCATCTCTTGTCCAATCAAAGCTCTATTTATGGCTTGTGAAACAAGGTCACAATTACTCCATGTCTGAAGTTCCATGAACTGCAAATGTTTTAATATTGCTTATCTCAGGACCAGTGCTTGTTTAGCTGTTAGAGAAAAACAAAAAGCCCTGTGGCAGTTACAACATAGTCTATTTTTTAAGTGTAGGGGTGAGTGACTTAATCCCTGCCTGGCATGGCCTTAGGTCTTGTTTATAATTGGGTATCTTATTGCCACAGAAAGTTTGTCCCGTCAGTGTTATGATCTCTATTTTAATGTCTTTCTAGTTTTTGGGTCCTGGTTTTCCCTGCAATTTCATTTCTTCAATAGATCCAAGAAATCATTGATAATCAATTTTCCAGACTTTTATTATGGTAAGAATGTGGGTGATGATTGACATGCTCTTTACATATTAAAGCAGAAATCTGAAGTAGCTTCAGAGATCACGAGTGACATGAAACAAGTAGAAGGAATCTCATCTCATTAAGTGTAAGTGGCACCACACAGATATAGCTCAACATACAGTGACACAGAAGAATCACAGCACATGACACATATGTAAAGTTTTTATGATTCTGAGCCTTTGCCCAGGAAGCTGTAACTCAGATGGTACTACAGGGATGGACTCAGTTCTCTCTCAGGTGATACTGTTTTGGAAGCTTATTTCCACTCTTGCACTGGATTCAGTAGCTGCACCTGGGCCCATACCCCTAAAACAAACTCTCATTAATTAAACACAAGACCCATCAATAAGAAAGTTGTCCCAGGGAAGGTGCACAGCAGGGACCTCTGCTTTTGGGAACCTGTGGCTATGCAGGCAGGGTCAGGAGTGTGACCCATTTTCTTCTCCTCCCCCTGCCTGCTGCACAGACAACTGAAACCAGGAGCTTTCCATTGCTAAGTATATAAAATACGTGATAGTTCCAGGGAAATGTAATACACATATGAAGGAATGAGGAACCTACATAAAATTAAATGAATATATTAAATATACAACACTGTAAGAGATAATCACGGAAAAGATAACAAATATAAAAAACCTGTGTGTATACGTGTGACATAGTGTTGTTGTAAATTAAATCGTAATTTGCTTATGAAGTCCTTCAAGTAGGTACAGAATATTTGCCTTTTGATTGCCACAAAGATGAAGAATCTGGCACCAAGACTCCAGGGCCATGCTAGTGACTTTCCCTCCTATCTCCTGAGGACACGGTGCTTCCAACTCTGAGGATCAGGATACTGAAATTGACTGTGTGAGAAGAGAAAGTGGGATTTTCTGTGGGAAAAGACTGTTTTGAGCATAATTTTCAAGTAATAAATATATTCTACCAGGAGACACACTGCCATCATGCTGACGGTGTATGTTGCTTTTGACATTAACATTATGATCATCAATATTATTGGGGTGTTCCCTAGAAAATGACCAATTATCACAGAATTAACGAGTCATTTTCATTTTAGTTTTTTTTCACACTTCCAGCTAAATCCACTGAGTTTACTGAGTTTGAGCATGGAAATTTCAGGGCATGGGTTACAAATGATGGAGTGGAAGTTTTCCTGGGAGTTAGATATAGTTTCGCTGAAGGAGAACCAAGGATTTTGCTAGAAGCTCCCCTCCTGGTCTATCCCAGCACCTGCTCCTCAGTGTGCCCCTTCCTGTCTGACTCCTAAGCATCTCTGTGGTCCTGGACAATGCATGTCTGGGGCATCTGTTTCCTAGATGTGCATCCACAGGGCAGGCTGCTGTCCCTAATTGTTGAGAGGGAGCTTGGCCTGGATCCACCCAGGTGGCCCCACCCTGAGCACTGAGCTTCCTCCCAGCAAGGAGACAGGGTCAGCTGAGCGCCTCCACTTCACAGAAATTCTAGGAGGCAAATTCAGTCAAATCTCAACATAGTTTTGGCATGCAATCCAGCACCCATGCTCCTAGGTATTTATCTATCTGACTTTCAATGTATGACCACAAAGAAAACTACACATGAATAATCACAGTAAGTTCATTCATATTTGTCAAAACTAGGAACACTCAAGAAGTTCTGTAGGTGAGTAGATAAACAGTCGGCAGTAAATTCATAGAATAATATTCAGCAATTATAAACAAGAGCTATCAAACCATAAAAATACATAAATGAATTTTAAATGCATATTGTTAAGTGAAAGAAACAAGTCTGAAAAAGCTACATAATATGTTATTTATTTGATATTCTGGAGAAGTCCAAACACACAAAGTGATTCTGTATTTGTGAGAAATTTAAGGAGATGATGAAAATGGGTAAAAAATAGATTTAAAAGGGTGATGAATTATGTATAATATTATAATGGTAAATATGTGATATGAATTTGTTGAAATCAACAGAATATACAGCATAAAGGGTTAATTCCAATTCACAAAAATATAAATAAATAGGAGATTAGGAATTCCAGGATAGAATGCAGACAATATAGAAAATATCTAATGTCATTACAAATGTATGAAATCAGAAGAGGTGCCAAGTGACCTCAGAAATAGTGTAGTCAATAAAAGAATAAAGAAAGTGCACGTCAGAACTGTACCCCAGCTGATGATGTTCCACAAAAGAGCAAAACATACACAATCTGGTTCCACTCTACAGAAATCCTGGAACTGGACTACAAAGGGAATAGACAGGGTGTGGCAGGAGGGGGTTCCTCACGGTTGGAGTGCGAGGTTAGGGACAGGAATAGAAGGCAGGTAATAAACATTCATGTGGTATTAACAGGGCAGATGTGTCAATATATTTGCAAGTTTAGCATAATATAGGTATAAAAATTAAATAAAAATAGTTTAGATGTGTGTGTATATATGGGTTAATACACAACACATACCTCCTAGAGTCATTACCTGAGAGGTTCTACAAGAAAAGACAGCAAATTAACAAAAAATACACCCAGAATCAAGATTTGAGTTTTGGTTCCTTTCATAGCAGAATGGTATGCAACATTTCTTGGAAAAATGGCTAATCCTAGGGCTTGGAAAGAGAATATAGGAGTAAAGTCTACAATTTCTCATGGTACCCAGAAAATAAGAAAGGGTTCCAAAATGAAGAATCGCTCCTTTTGCAAACCTTATGGTAACAAATATAATATTTATAAAAAGTGAATTAGGTAATATGTTAATGGAGAAATAAACATCATTATGAAATGCTATCTTAAACAAAAAATAAGAGAAAATATTAGTTTAAAAATAGAACTTATAGTCGATTTAAAAAAGCAAGACCAAACTCTTAGCTATGCACAAGAAAGTTACTTTACACATTCACAAATATAAAAGGATGAGAAAACATGGATTATGAAAATATGAACCGAAATAAAGCTATAGTAGCTGTGCAAATTTCAGACAAAATAGACATCAGAAAAGACTTTTAGGACTTAACAGGGATATTACATAGGATAAAGTTACCACTTTTTTTTAAAGATGCCAAAAAAGACTTAACAAATATATAATAGAAGAAGAATACCCCATTCATTGTGATTTACAGAACGTGACAAAAGAAATAAAGATGTCAGTGACACCATGCACGGAAGGGTGTCCTGGGGACTGAGGCTTCTTTGTACTCATGGAGGGCACCACCAAGAACTTCCTCTTGAATTTCTCCCTGTAGCCGCCCACACCAGCCCTGGTCTTGGAGGCTGCTGAACCACGATTATGCTGCCATCAGTGAAGGAAGCTGAAATTGTGAAAGTGAAACACCATGGCTGGTCATGTGCCAGATGATGTTGTGTTCTGCAAAGTATCTCCAATCCTGGGTTGGATCCAGTAGGTGCACTTGGGCACCCAAACCGGAAACAGGGATTCTTGTTCCTTAAACACAAGACATTCCAATGAGAAAGCTGCTCTCAGATGAGTTGCAGATCAGGCAGGAGGAGATGGAGGTGTCCTTGGCTTCCCAGAATTGCTGAAACTTGAAGACCAAGGCCACCTCTGAGAGGCAGAGACCCACTTGAGTACATGGCATCAGCTCTGTCTTCAGGAATCTTTGGCTGTGTGGGAGGATAAAGGATGTGATTTCTTTCTTTCTCTCACCCAACGTGCTTCAGAGACAGTAAAATGGAAAATTAAATAAATATGTTTTCTTTCCATGTTAGGGGAGAGAACATGTATAATTCATGGCAATACAAGTGCTCACTTCAGAGCCTGCAGGAGCAGCAAGTGCACAATTGACGGTCGCAAGTACTCTACCCCAGGAAGCAGATGCCCTGAGATCATCCCGAGTCCTGCCCTCTGGATGCCATGCATCTGTGGGACATGGGCTTGTGCCTGGGATCTTGTAGCTAGTGTGGAGAGCTGAGCACAGCTCCACTCCTCCACACTGTGTGACCTAGGATGTGGTCTCTTCCTCAGAGCTTTATTCTAATAAGGTGTTAATATAAAATAGCAGCAGTAACTTTACCTGTAACGTTTTAGGTAGGAGCCAGTGCTGTTCAGAATCGTTAACCACCGTTGCTGCCTCCACCCTTAGAAACCGGAAAAATACCTGAGTGACCTGTCATCTCAGGCCTCAGATGACCACATTGCAGAGAGCACACCTGCTTTGTTTCTGTCACTAACATTGTATTGGATACTGGAAAACATGTGTACCTGGTTATAGAATGTATCTTAATTAGGTTATATTGGATAAAATTAGAATTAGTAGGTGACACTTAAAACTTAGCTGAGGGGATTTCTAAGCAAAGTGTGGATGGTGTGTTTTGATTTCTCCTTGCTTAATATAATGAGAGGAGATAGATAAATCAAAGAGGAAACTATTGAACAATGTGGAATGAGGTATTTTATAAGGAAGGAAGGCTCTCACATCTTCTGGAAACCCCATAAACTTTTAAAAAATAAAGGAACTTTAAGACACATTTCTACATTCTAGATACATAACTAATATAAACTTGGATTTTAGTGCAAAAAGAGGTTAATTTTCACAGAAGATGAAAATTAATTAGATGAATATTCATACACAATCTACAATTTTGTCTTTACATATTTTTGAAATTTAAATAAATTGCATCAATATTATGTATCCTTCTGCAACTTGCTTTATGTTTGGTTTGTGGAAGGGGAGTTTACATCATTCATTTTCAGTTCCGAATATATCCAACTGTATGAATGTATCTTATTTATCTGTTCTCCTGTTCTGTGTTGTTTCCAACTTTTAATTAATATTAACAATGTTATATTGAACATTGTTCATACACATGAGAGTTTCTCTATGTCAAGGAGAGAGTTCCTTAGTCATAGAGTGTAAGTATCTTTATCCTTTTTAAAAATTGTAAATTATTCTTCAATCTGATTGTACCAGTATATAATTCCACCAGTGGTTGGAGAGAATTTCCACTGATGTACATTCTTTGTCAAACACCTGATACTGTCAAGTTTTAAAATTTACCATCCTGATGAGCATTAAATGCATGTTTTATTTGCACTTTCTTGATTACTACTGAAGTTGAGTATATTACCCATATGTTTACTGCTAACTCAAGTTTCCTCTTCAGTGAATCATCTGTTTATATTCTTCATGATCCTAACAGATATTCTTTTTCTAATTTATTTGCACGATTTTGCATATGTTTAGGATACAAATCCATTGTATCCTAGATAAACTGCAAATATCTTCTTTCACTTTGTGCCTTGTCTTTTCACTTTTTATGGTATCTTTTAAAGTACTTTTTATTCTAATGGTCAAATTTATCTTTTTCCTGTATGATTTATGTGTACTTATTGTTTTAGAAATCCTTCCTTAATCCAAGATGATAATACTATTATCCTGCACTTTCGAAGAGTTTTAAATTTTGCTTTCACATTTTTACTAGCTTTACTGAGGTATACTACACATACCGCAAAATTCACACACTTTGTAAATGAACAATTGACTTTAAAGAATTACATAGAGTCATGCCACTATCATTACAATAGAGTTGTAGATCATTTTTATCATCCTAAAAAGTTCCCTGTGCCCACTGGCAGTTAATTCCCACTCCCATTGCTAGCCCCATTTAACCACTTATTTGCATTCTGGACATTTAATATAAACAGAAGCATACAGTATACAGTTTTTTTGCATCTGGCTTCTTTCACTTAGCATTAATAGTTTTAGGACTCATTATGCCATAGTATGCATCGGCAGTTTGTTTCCTTTTAATTGCACAATAGTATTCCATGTATGGCCATAAAACATTTGGTTTATCCATTCATCAGCTGATTGACTTTTGGATTGTTTCTAGTTTGGAGCTATTATTAATAATAGTACTGGCTGGGCACACTGGCTCATGCCTGTAATCCCAGCACTGTGGGAGGCTGAGGTGGGCGGATCATCTGAGGTCAGGAGTTCGAGACCAGCCTGACCAACATAGTGAAACCCCGTCTCTACTAAATACACAAAAAAATTAGCTGAGTGTGGTGGCGCACACCTGTAGTCCCAGCTACATGGGAGACTGAGGCAGGAGAATCACTTGAACATTGGAGGCGGAGGTTTCAGTGAGCGGAGATTGTACCACCATACTCCAGCCTGGGTAACAGAGTGAGACTCCATCTCAAAATAATAATAATAATAATAATAATAATAATAATAGTACTAAGAATATTCATGCAAAGTCTGGCTATGAACATGTTATCACTTCTTTTGGATACATTCCTAAGTATTGTAATACTTTTTAAGAAATTAGGAAATCCTTTTGGAACATGGCTGCAGGATTTTGCATTCCATCAGCAATACATAAGCATTCAATAAGTAGTCTGTGCTGTGGTTTTGTTTCCATTCAGTTCTAACTAACGTCTAATGTTCTTTATTTCTTTTTTGACTCAAGAATTAGTTATGTTCTTTACCTCCAAATACCTTGCAATTTCTCAAACCTCTTTCATTCAAATTTAATTGTGTGGTCAGGTAATATACTTTGATTTATTAGTTTTTAAATTTACTGAGACTTGTTTTATGTTTTATAGCCCAACTCATAATACATTTTGGAGAAAGCTGCATGTGCACTTGAAAACAATTTTGCTAGCTTTAGGTGGAGTGTTTTATAAATGCCAAAATATTGCCCAATAGGATGTCGAACAGGGGTGGTGAAAGCAGGCTTTCATTATTTGTTAGTTATTCAAAGGGGATGCTTCTAACATTTCATTACTAAACTGGACTGTGGAAAGCTTTCAGTAGATGTATGTTACCAGATTTAAGAAATTATTTTCTATTTGTGGTTTGCTAAAAATTTTTATGATGAATGATACTGAATTTTATAAAATTTTTTGCACACATCATAATTATATAGCCATTCTCCTGTTAATAAATAGATGAAATGTTGTCCTGATGTTAAACCACCTTTACATTCTATCACTACCCTCAACTTGGTTAAGCTGTATACTTTTAAAAAGTAACCGATAGACTCATGTTCATAGGGGAGATTGACCATAAATTTCCCTTATAATTCCCTTGTAATTGGATAATCCATATCCAATTTTGGTGAATAAAATTTCATCTAATTTTATTAGGTGAAACAGTGGCTGATTCCTTCTTTATCTAGCTAGGCATGGGAAATTATAAGTGAAAATACAGATTTTTGGCCTTGCCGTTACTCTGTTTAATAGTCTCGCTTTGTGTTTCATTCCCTTCTGCCCTTCATTATTTCTTTTGCCTTCTTAGGCTGACAATTAATGAGGTAAGCATAACTGAGAACCTAGAAAAATGAAAATCTAAGTACCTTTCTGCTTTCAATATAAATGTTTACAACTATGAATTTTCTCTAATATCATTTAGACCTAATCTCACAAGTGTAAATATACATATTTTTTAACATTTTTACTGCGTTTTATAATTTGCATAATGAATAACTTCTTGTTATAGTTATTTAGAAGACACATATTTCTATTTTCTAACTTTAATTTTTGTCATTGATTTCTTGTTTAATTGCACTGTTTGCAGAGAAAGTCATCTGCATGACAATTTATTTAAATTTATTAAGCCTCCTTTATGGCCTCATTTAAATAATTTCTATAGTTCTGTGTGCTTAAAAAGAATGTGTATGATACTCAAGCCAATGGATTTTTTTTTTTTCAAATTATACTTTTGAGATTTTTTGTAACTGATCTTTTAAGGAGAAAAATATGTTAAAATGTGTAAAATACTCTTCCAAATTTAGTCAATAATAGATTTCTATAACTCACCTACACTAAGTGTATATGCATTTGAAACTGTTTTACATTCCTAGTGAATTATACCTTTTTCATAATATGGTGCCCCCTTCATCCTCAGTAATTTTTTTGCCTTAAAGTTTATTTTTATATATTTAAATAATGCAATACCAGCTTTTATCATTTAATTTTTAGAATAAGTAGTACATTTACTTAGTTAAAAATATATGATGACATAAAAAGATACACAGAGAGATTTTACAACTCATCCGTTACATTTACACATCACTCACAGCTCCCCCATACAAGTGAACACTTTATGATTTCTCATTTCCATACCACTTTCCCCTTCTCTTTTAAACGCACTTCATTTTTAGAGCAGTTTTAGGCTCACAGTAAAACTGAGCAGAAAGCAGGGAGTCCCATATGTCCCTACCCCTACATACACACAGGTTTCCCCACTGTCAACATCCCTCACCAGAGTAGTATATTTGTTATAACTGCCTATTGACTTTTTAAATGCAAATAAAAATACATCATTTGTTCCATTTCTTTAACAGACAGCATATTTTTTTAAGTGTATCATCACTCTATTCATCAGACATGGCACCTTTATTAGCACTAAAATCTGCTAAGTATTTGGGTCACTCTGTGGACTGCACTTTGCTCTGTTTATTCACAAATATGTACTATATTGTTTTTATTAAATATTATATTTCTTTTAATATTATACAGCTAACTTCCCTTTGTTGTTCCCCTTGACCTTGTGTTCTGGAGTTTCACTTTGTGATAAGATTCCATGTTAATTTTCCCTGATTGATTTTACTTCCAAAATCTGAGAAATCAGCTCTTTCATCAATTTTGTAAAACTTCAGTAATTTACTTTGAATATTGCCTCTTCTTCATTCTCTCTTCCTCTTTTCTGTAACTCCTATTATTCATATTTCCTTTCCTTCTTTCTCCATCTCTCTGAATTTCATGTTTGTAATCTTGTTTATTGGCATTGAATTCTAGGTAATTTCTTCAGTTCTATTTCTCAGTTCACCAATTCTTTCTGAAGCTTTGTTGAATCTGTTTACTGTTTCCATATAGGTGTTCATTGTAATTATTACCTTTTCATTTCCACAAGTTACTTACGATTTTTAAATTACATGGTTTATTTTAAAATTACCTTGTTTTTAAAATCTTGTTTCTTTTAATATGCTTGATTTTCATTTCTGGCATATGAAAATTTCCTTTACTTTTGTGTGCACACCTATATGTTTAATAGGATTTTTGACATATTTTTATCCAACATTTGTAAGTTTTTAGTAGTTCAAAGTGTTTCAGGATATCTAGTTTTTACACCCATCAGTTTTCTCTTCTAAGAACTCTTAATAGTCACATGTGAAGTCTCTTATTTTGTAAGGCTTTATCTTTTCTCTCACTCTCTATTTTTCACCCATGCTTTGAGATCTTCCAGTCCACTCATCAGGGTTAACTGGTTAAAAAATCATCAGCTAAAAGAGTAGATTATTATCTTTCGTGCTCTATTTGAATCTCAAAAGCTCTTTGTATAAATGAAATTTAAATGTTCCACAATAGCCTCTACCATAGTTCTACTTCATTGGGTACATAGTTTGATGATTCTCTCATCCTGCTTCTGGCTAGTAGGCCCCTTTAGATGAGTTGCTATTTTTCACTATCCACAGAGTCAAGGTCAAATCTCATGGCTGTGAATTTTAAATGATGAGATCCCCACAGGTGGTGTCAGGCAAAGCACCCTCTAAACTTACTGACTTGTAGTATAAAACTTAGCAAGCTGTAAGTCCTGCACCATGAGCCCCTGAAGCCAGCATCGTAGCACTCCAATCTTCCTACACACCGACCCACAAAAGTTTAAGGACAAGAAGATTTATCCCACCATTTCAGATACTTCTTGGCTTTTTGTGGACTGAAATAGGTCAATTAAAGTTTGTCTTAAAGTTTTAAACTTTAAGTGACTGTCTGTTTCTCCTGTAATTTCTATTTTATGAATGTTTCTATTTTATCATTATGAAGAATTCTTCTTTATCTAACGGTTATTGCTTTTTGGCTTGTATTCTAATTTGTCCAATATTAAGATCATGATTCCTACTTTTTGCTTTCTTTGTACTTACATAATAAATCTTTACTCATCCTTTTACTTTCAACCTTTCAAAACCACTTTCGTTTTTTTGTATGTTTCTTGCATATAGAACTGGGTTTTATTACTGTGATCAATTGTGATATTTTTCTTAACAGGTGATTTATAAAAGCTTCTACATTTATTTTTTATGACAGCATGACTGGTCTTAAGATATGTCATATTTTATGTTATGCTTACTGATCTTTACAGATTTTTTAAGGTTCCATTACATATATTGTTCTTAGTTTTATCCATACAGATCTTTAATATTTTGGAAGCTCTATAATTTTATAGAACTGCTTATCTTTTTAACTATGAAAGAATAAGTAATCTTCCATCGGCTTAAAAAGGGTATTTCCTTACTATGAGAAATGTAAATGTCAGCATATTTACTCTTAATTTTTTCCTTTCATCTACATCATCAAATTTTAGTCAACAGGCCTACATTTGTAATATTTCATCTTTCCGCTTACATGGAAATTCTGACTCTTTGCACTTGCTCTACTTTCCTTCTTTTCTCAATCCTCTCCCAATTCATTACAGTTGAGTCATTTCTACATTATTAGCATATATAAAAAGTAAATTCTGGTCTGTCACAGTAATATGAACGTGTATTTTATTCTTCGTCTTATGGTTAAATTTATTCAGTGCTCACCAGCTGTCCTTAGCAATAGTTTCTCCAGTCATTTGTAGTTGGTTGGACTTCATCCCCAGCAATTTCCTCAAGATTTAGTCACAGAAATAATTTGCTGTATGGCTAAAAAATATTTGATGGCATCTTTTTTACTTAAAGGATAGTTTGGCTCCCACTTTCTTCATTTAAGTATCTGATGATTGTGGTAGTTTTTTGTACTGAAGGTTATTTTAGAGTCTAAAGCCAGACTCATTTTTCTCCTTATTTTGTGCACTGTTATACAAAGTATTCTTATATTTAAGTCCAGTAATACACCTTGATGCTAGCCACTCTAGGTCAATTTTCCCTAGCACACAATATGTCCTCTAAATAAGAATGGCAAAATCTAACATCAAGACTTCATTAAATTATAGATTTAAATATTTGTCTAGTTCCATTGTTCTGCTTTTATTTGGGAACTCCATTTATGCCATTATTTATTTATTTATTTATTTAATTTTGAAACAGTCTCCCTCTGCTGCCCAGGCTCTGGAATGCAGTGGTGCAGTCTCAGCTCACTGCAACCTCCGCCTCCTGGGTTCAAGCAATTCTTTTGCCTCAGCCTCCTGAGTACCTGGGATGACAGGTGCTCGCCACCATGCCTGGCTAATTTTTGTATTTTTAAGAGATGGGGTTTCACCATGTTGGCCAGGCTGGTCTCAAACTGCTGACCTCGTGATGTGCCCGCCTCAGCCTCCCAAAGTGCTGGGATTACAGGTGTGAGCCACCTCGCCCAGCCGATTTATGCCATTATTGTAATTTGTTTTTCTCTCATGTCACTCATTTTCTTTCTAATCCTAAACTCACATTTTCACCTACTCATATTATTTGCTTTTTTCAGTTTTATCTTCTGTGTATTTCACTATGATACTAGCCAGGGTTTTGCCTTTGAGCAATCTCCACTTTTATTTTTTTGTGTATAGTTCTTTTCCTCCAATACTTGTCCAATGTTTTATTAGCTCATAATTAAATACTTCCATGCTATCTGTTTTAGTCTGTTCTCACGCTGGTATGAAGAAATACCCAAGATTGGCTAATTTATAAAGGAAAGAGGTTTAATTGACTCACAGTCCTGCATTGCTGGGGAGGCCTCAGGAAACTTACAATCATGGTGGAAGGCAAGGAGAAGCAGCCACCTTCTTCACAGGGTGGCAAGACGGAATAAGGGAAAGGAGGGGAAATGCCAAATGCTTATAAAACCATCAGATCTCATGCGACTCACTGTTACAAGAACAGCAGAAAAGAAACTGCCCCCATGATCCAATTATGTTCCCCTGGTCCCTCCCTTCACACGTGGGGATTACAATTCAAGATGAGATTTTAGGTGGGGGAACACAACCAAACCATTTCACTATGTTAACATTTCTAACAACTTTTTTTTTTCAGATGGGGATGTTGCTACATTGTCCAGGCTGGATTCAAACTCCTGGGCTCAAGCAACCTTCCTGCATAAGCCTCCTGAGTAGTAGGATTACTTCTCCAAATTATGTTTAGTGGTTCTTTCTCAGAAGCTACTTATTTATTTTTAACTTATGACAGTAAATTTTTAAATCAAAATGCTATATATTCCATAGCAATATTTTTATGCTAAGTGCTATTCATGTACTGGTTACCTTAACTTTTTTTTTCCGTGTTTTTTATCTGATACATGCACTGATGATGTGCCAATTCTTTGATACAGTCTAATTTGCCTGGCCCATCAGTCTACAGGATGCTTCCATGCATATGTGTAAAAGAAGGGACAAGGGTAACCTTTTTGCTTTCATAATCCAAAAACTTTCTCTTTCTCTATAGCCACAGAGATAGACTGCTTGCCACAAATACAGCTCATCTGTGTAATTCTTTGTGATATCTTCTCCTTTTCTGAAACCAATCTGATTCAAAAAAACTCTGCTATCAGGCATGATATATGTGTATCTATTATTTCAAAGAAATGATCTATTTTTTTATTTATTGTTATTATACTTTAAGTTTTAGGGTACATGTGCACAATGTGCAAGTTAGTTACATAGGTATACATGTGCCATGCTGGTGCGCTGCCCCCACTAACTCGTCATCTAGCATTAGGTATATCTCCCAATGCTATCCCTCCCCCCTCCCCCCACCCCACAACAGTCCCCAGAGTGATGTTCCCCTTCCTGTGTCCATGTGTTCTCATTGTTCAATTCCCACCTATGAGTGAGAATATGCGGTGTTTGGTTTTTTGTCCTTGCGATAGTTTACTGAGAATGATGATTTCCAATTTCATCCATGTCCCTACAAAGGACATGAACTCATCATTTTTTATGGCTGCATAGTATTCCATGGTGTATATGTGCCGCATTTTCTTAATCCAGTCTATCATTGTTGGACATTTGGGTTGGTTCCAAGTCTTTGCTATTGTGAATAGTGCTGCAATAAACATGTGTGCATGTGTCTTTATAGCAGCATGATTTATAGTCCTTTGGGTATATACCCAGTAATGGGATGGCTGGGTCAAATGGTATTTCTAGTTCTAGATCCCTGAGGAATCGCCACACTGACTTCCACAATGGTTGAACTAGTTTACAGTCCCACCAACTGTGTAAAAGTGTTCCTATTTCTCCACATCCTCTCCAGCACCTGTTGTTTCCTGACTTTTTAATGATCGCCATTCTAACTGGTGTGAGATGGTATCTCATTGTGGTTTTGATTTGCATTTCTCTGATGGCCAGTGATGGTGAGCATTTTTTCATGTGTTTTTTGGCTGCATAAATGTCTTCTTTTGAGAAGTGTCTGTTCATGTCCTTCGCCCACTTTTTGATGGGGTTATTTGTTTTAGAAATGATCTATTTTTGAAATTTAAGGTGGGCCTCTCATCTTCAGAAACTGTACTTTCACTGACAGTTCCTATTTGCTACAATTGAACTCTCTCACCATGCTCTTTGTATTTTCTCTTCTCTTTAGCCTTAACAGCTTTTACCCAACCTTAGCAACTTTAAGCAGCTGATACCCATATTCTGGAGTTCATACATTTGCATCTATCTTGATAAGAGAGTACAGTTTTTTACTTCTTGTTGTATCATTTATACATTCTACAGGAAAAGGGGAAAATAGGACATCTTAAACACCATGTTTACACAGGAAATTGCCTGCTTGTATTTTTAATTTTGTATTAACTGAGTTTTCGTTTTTTTTGTACATTTTTTAATGTGCTTTCTTGATATTTGAGGAGGTTGCATCTTGGGCTACAATCCTTTAACTTTCTCCAATCAATTTATTTTAATTAACTGAAGTTAAGTAAGTGATCTTTATCTCTTAAAATAAAAAGGGCATATGCTTCTTCACTCCCAGTACTCTATCACCAAGTGAACTTATATATATCCATATATATATATATATATATATATATATATATATATAAATGTATCCTTCTCTACAATCCTGGCTTTGTTTGAACTATTCCTTATATCCATAGTATATCTAGTCTCCCTTAATCATTGTTTGGTACCAAAATTTTAAAAATATTTAAACTTCTAGGCTATACAGCTTGTTAGACATGTCTTGTCTGAATTTTGTGCAGTTTTCATGATTATTACAAATAAGCGCGTTGCAAATTTAAGCAAGCACCAAAAAAAAGGGCAACACTGAGGTTTTCAAAGGAACCCCATCTAGTAACATTTAAATTACAGTTGCACTACTTCCTTGGCTTCATTTGTAAGGAAATCTACTCTTAAAACTATATTCATACACTGGATAGTGTAGTATGAACTGCAATCACTAAGCCAGCAGTAGTTTCTTACACAAAAACTGTTCTTAGAAAGTATTCAGATTCTGTATTTTGGGAAAGAAATGAAGTATTCTAGCATCTTGAAGTCACAAAATTAATTAATAAGCCCTACTGTTAGAAACTAATAACAAAATACTGACTCAGCATGTAAGCATAAGATCAACTCTCAGAAAGACCTCAACATATACATGATATTTCCTTGTCAAGGAAGCTTTCCTTGAAATCATAGTCATATGTGCATCATTATATCTTGACAAAATATTGTATTACATCTATAGATAATGCTTTCTTTTCAGGAAGCATATAGAAATAAAACCTTGTTACTTAAATTGTAATCTTGTTCCATAATCTACTATTAATAAATTTTATAAAACACTCTTACTACTTCTACCACATAAAGCTATTATTTTCCAGTGTTAGATTATTCAAGTCAAATTTCATGTTACATTACATATAAAACTCATAAAAACATAATCTCAATAGTTATTTCTAGAATGCATTACAACAAATATCAATTTACTTCTGACCTAAATGCTTCAGAAAGTATCCCAGAACCTTCAAAGCTTGAACCCAAATACTTTCACTTTTAGAAGCCAATAAATTGTAGATCACCCTAAAAAATATATAAATAATGTTTAAAAACTTACTAATATTAAAAACAAAAATACACTACATACTTTACAAATAAATTATACATATGTGAAATATAAAACTTCTCTGAAGATTTTATTCTCAGGATTATAATTCCTTGGAAAAATTAAAAACTGGCATGCTTTAGTAATTTTTCTTTAAACATGTCCTTCAACCATATACTCAAAAGGGCAATGTGACTGGTATTCATAAGTACTGCCTCCCAACATACTAAACACGATTTTCAGTTTTAAGACACATGCTTGTTTAGGCCACATCTCTTCTAAGAATTGGCCCCAACATTTAAACTTGATAACCCTATTTTCTTTCTTTTTTAAAATTTTTTGTTCTTAATTTTAATATAGAGGTGAGGTTTTGCCATATTGCCCAGGCTAGTCTGGAATTCCTGAGTTCAAACAATCCAACCACCTCGGACTCCCAAAGTGCTGGAATTACAGGCGTGCACCACTGCACCCTAACCCTCTTGTCTTGGTATGACTGATTAGATGATAGGTAGGCACCTGCCTAGTTATTGCTCTTTTTTGAGAATTTGGAATGAGGTCTAAGAAACAATATCTCCTCTTTGCTGGGCTCTTGGATTCGAAAATTGTTTAAAACAGAAACTAGAACAGCAATGTTTTGTTTCTGCTCAGAAAGGCTAGTCAACATACAGAAGGAAGGATTAAACAGCTTACAGAAAGCAGCAGAGAAAGCAAACTTGTTTCCTAATAGCCCTACAATTCCTGGTTCCTACTCTAAGATTTTTTAAACAAACATATTATTCAGTTTTTACTTTAAAAGCTTGAGAGGTTTTCTGTTACTTGGAGCAAAATAGCCTCCACTAATATACAACCTAACCTATACAATCACTTCAAGTACTATATAAAAGTAGGGCGATATTCATTATAATATTCGTAAGTGTTTAGAAATTTTATTCCATATTTTTTCTATTTAAAAAAATTATTTGTTTCCATAAAGTAGAAGGGACAATGACAACTATATACACTGGCAACTAATTCTAGAATATAAGAAGGTTCTTTAGGGGCTATAAAATTATAGTTTGCTTTATTTTATTAAATATTGTTCCTTAAAAAATAAAATGCCATGGTATATTTTGAGGTAAAGTACTCAGCTGAAGAAGAGAATCTAGTAAAAGATGCAATATAATTTTCATAATTTCAGTGATACTTACAAAGGGGCACAAATAGCTTAAACATAATGTCATTATTTTTAGTTTTACCAACAGTTTATACTATTAAAAAAGAAAAGATGTTATTGGTACTGTTTCTTTTTCTCTTTTTTTCTTTTATGCTTTGCATTTCATCTATTAAAGAATAAACTACAAGAAAAGTGATTACTTCCTTTGGAAGATTTTTTTTTCAAATCCCACATTCATAAATATGTATGGGTTTACACTGAAATCCATTTTCAAAACTTTTAGGAACCAAGATCAGTAATGAAAAAAGACAAGTTTGAGAATAGCAAAGTCAGACATGTCAAAAACATACATTCAAGAAATCATAAGAAGCAACATTAAACAGCAAAAATAGTCTTGAGAACCAAAGTAAAACTCACAGTCTGGGCCAGGCATGGTGGCTCACGCCCGTAATCCTAACACTTTAGGAGGCCAAGGTGGCAGATTGTCTGAGTGCAGAAGTTCAAGAGCAGCCTGGGCAACAGGGTGAAACCCCGTCGCTGCTAGACACAAAAAAAATTAGTCAGGTGTGGTGGCACATGGCTGTAGTGCCAGCTACTGGGGACGCTAAGGCATGAAAATTGCTTGAGCCCAGGAGGTGGAGGCTGCCGTGAGCCGAGATGGTGCCACTGCACTCCAGCCTAGACAACAGAGCAAGACTCTGTCTCAAAAAAAACAAAGCAAAGCAAAACAAAACAAAACACAACACTCACAGCCTAAAAATGTGGTTACACTCAAATATAGAATTGGAAGTTCTCACAGAGTTTCTACTGCCTAGGAATAACTTTGAGTAGGAGGAAAAAAGTTATTAGACTCCACCCTGGGTCAAGAGAAATTACGATTAATGTTGAAACATGAAAATGTCTAAGGCCATCATACATGTATATATGTAAAGATGTGATACAGTATGAATAAGAAATTTGTTAATAAATGTTTACTTGTAATATACATTGTTACTAATTAATAATAATCCTAATTCATCTGCTTAAGCTCACTATATTCAGCCAGCAAATGATCTAAGCTATATAAGACAGGTAGTTGTCTATTCTTTTCTTTAAACATTTCAAGATATAAAAATATCACATTTTTAGCTGCTTAGTTCAGTGTTATCACAAGGGCTTCCTTAAGCTGAATTAGCATACCATCAGAACTAAACTCAGTTCATTCTTTTTGTTCAGATGTTATACTGAATTCCATTGTATGAATTAGAACAGACCAGAATTTTCCTCCCAAAATACTTCATATACAACTGTTAGCCTTTAATGGCTATTTTCTAGAATAAAGACATATAAATGCTTTAGACACTTTCAATATTTTCTATCTAATAAGCCTATTTTTTTTCACCTTTTATACTATTCTGAACCAGCTTTCTCCCCATTTTTGAAGTAGAAAAGCTGAAGTGTCAAGGAAAGGCCGTTTTTTAATCTTTGTGATTGTTTTTAACATACTGGCAACAATCTGAAATGTTCTGCTCATGGTCAGCCATGAGCACAAAGCCTTTTAATCTGTTGTGCTTAATCAATTCTTTCATATCATACATTTAAAACACTATGTCAATCCTAAAGATCTTACCAAATAGCACTCTCATATGTAGGATCGTATTTCCAATGTGTCAAAACAATAGAATTATATTTCTGCATTTCATCATATTAGACAATCTAAGTTTAGTATCTTCCACAAGGGTAACGTGGATATCTTCAACTGGTTCACTAAATTTATCAGATAATATAATAAACAAAGCAAAATCTCAGGACAAGGACACTAATTATTGAATCTAAATATAAGTTCAGAAGAGTGAGTGTAATTGTACTACCTTATTAGATCGAACCATATGAAATTGCCATTATTTGGTAAAATCAGTTAAGTATCAACAGTTTCATATAGTTCAAACTCAAGAGTAAAAAATTATAACAGTTTTTAATCACTAAATGTATAATCTTTTTCAAATAGATTGGCAGGCCTTTGAATTATAAACTCAAAGGTAATAGCGATGTCACAAGGGAGATATGCATATAGAGATAGTGATCGCTTCTCTAATTTGAAAAGGAGTTCTTCAAGTCTAGAAAGTTGTTATCCATTGATATAAATGGCCAAGTAAAAAAAGCACTTAAAAAAGCCCTTGACAGTCACTGATATATTCTTTCCAAACTCTTTTTCACAATAAATCTGTAGAAATTCACTGAGTTATACATGGCATAACCTTGATATCCTGCTCATCCCACTAATTAAAACTCCAGAAAAATAAAAAGGAAGAATTCCTTAAGAAGCTAAATTATAGGGTTAAGTTCAGAAAAATACTAACTAAGAAATTATATTTCACCTGTCTACCAAGTTACTTTTCAATTGCCACAACAAAAGTTGGTTTTCAATTTCTTTAGGCTTTGGCCTCTTAACTCCAGAACATCTTTCATCTCTATTATTTCCATTGCACTGCTACTGTCTCAGGTCATCATTTTTAATACTGATGAATAAAATAATCTCCCTAAAGATATTGCTACATCAGTTTGTCCTTCAACTCATGTTTCACACTGGTGATTGTAAATCTAACAAAATAGCAATCTGAGCACATTTCCCCTATTTAAAATTCTTTAATTTTCATCACCAACTGAAAAAAAAACGAAACACTAAAGTTACTACCATCCTATGAACCTTCCAAAACTGGCTGTAATCTCTGTCTCAGGCCTAATATCATAAAATTTCATTGTATCCTCTTTTGGTAGAACATACCTTGCTTTTTCGTGTCTTCTTGAAAAAAAAATTGCTCTATTCACAATTTGTAATGTCCCTACTATAGCAAAAACAATTTACTCTTCTTGATTCCTGAGACTACTGTTTATACACTTCATCAGTTTCCTGAGTATTGGAGGATCAACAGCAGCATTCTCCATTTATACTCTCTTATGTGTAAGATGCTATATTTATTCAAATATTCATAGAATAGGAATTATTCTAGGAGGAACAACTGTGCTCCATTGACGTCTAATAGTAATACTATTATAATCATACCTTATTCCATTTCTTTGATTAAATACTGGTATCATTGAGGCTGGGTGTTCTGACATTAAAGCCATCAGTAACTGTAGCACATCATGAATATTTTCATCCTGCATAAATCACCAATATTGATTTAAATTTTATTCTAAAGATTGGCTTAAATAATTAAAATAAAAGGTCCATAACATGTCCTACCTCATGTATTGTAAGAAGGTAATTTAATATACTCTGAAGTTCATCTTCTTTGACCCTTTGATCTTAATTTTTAAAAAATATTTTATTATTTTACATCTAAAATTAAAATTTTAATTTAAAAGACACCAAAATAATCATTTTAAAAGAAAATAAAAGTTTAATGTAGTGATATTTGAATTAAAATCCCCACACATTTCACAATTTATAGACTATATTATTTCAAGGTAAGTAAATATTTAGAAAATTATATCAATTTTTAAGTCATTAATATTTGATTGACATTCACTATAAAAAGTTAGCATATTTTGACCATCGAAGTATTCTTATGACTATTTTCTAATCATTCTTTCTTGAATACAAGTGCAAGACTATACAGTATCAATTTTTGTGTATTACCTCACAATTTATTTTCACTTTGTTTTCATCTTAACATTTAAAAAATCCTACTACAATAAAATACATTATGTAAGCCTTCTTAAACTGGCACACAGACCATTTTCTAGAATAATGGTCAATTACTATAAGAATAAGGGCTCAATTCTTATTCATATGTTCCTTGTCCATTTCTGTCACATCCCTTAATAGGGAAGATTTCAGAGAGCATTTAACCAGAAGTTAGTTAAGTTCAATAAAGTTAATATTAAGATGTGCAGAATTTTGGAAGCAATTCATTAATTAAAGGTAGCTATTACTAATTTAACAATAATAATTTTAAAACATGCCAGAATTTCCTTTCTACCTATACACTGTAATTCTAAATTATATAAAATTATTTTACTTTTAGTATGAGCTGTTTCAGAAAAAGTAGCATAAATGCCCTCAGTGATATAATTTCTTTTTGTGATGGCTGGGGACCATCAAGAACAAAACAGAAAAAAAAGTAAAAATAAAAAATACAAGATATTAAATAAGCTTAATGCAGTTATGTTGGGATACTATGGCATTCTTGAATAATTATATTTATTAAAATTACAATATTTATATTAATGCTATAAAATTTTAATAATATATGGGTATCCAAAAGTTAACTTTCAAATTTTTGGCAATTTCAAATTATTTACTCAATGTCTGATTTTGTGGAAAAAAGAACTTTTAAAAAAGTTGTAATATATTAGTATCCATTTATAAATGTATAATCCCCAAGTATTTACATTAATACTTGAATACTTTTTTCTGTTTTTATTACATTAATAGGTTTCCCAACATGTCTTCCATTCTCAATTAAACTTGTCTTCATTTAAGGACTGTCTCCATTTTCACCCCACACATTATTTAATAAAGCTCAGAAAAAGTGACACTGTTTTATTTTAATTATTTGTTTTGCAGCCTATTTCTTCTATGGCACTTGTATAAAGAAAATACATATTATGGTGGGCATTTAATAAATGCTGTGTCAATAACTGAAAATGAGCATAAAATATTCAAATGTACATATCAGTTCTATCATAATGTACAAATTTTAAAGTAATTTCAAAATATCTAATTACTAATAAAATGAAAATATAAAATAATATATAATATGCGTAATATACAATAAAGTATACTTTTAAGAAATGTAGCTAGATTCATAAAAATCCTTTAACATTAAGCCTTTCTTGTAGCAACCAGTATTTATCTACTGCTTTACAAGTTTTAAAAGCATAATCCCTTCATGTATAATCTATACCATCTGCTTA
The DNA here is from genome assembly GCF_000001405.40 of Homo sapiens. Lineage (NCBI taxonomy): Eukaryota > Metazoa > Chordata > Mammalia > Primates > Hominidae > Homo > Homo sapiens. Next base: position 1,805,869 of record NW_021160017.1, read on the forward strand.
TTCACTTAACATTTACATGAAGATTATTACATCTGCAAGCAAGTTATTATCCAAAAAATCCATCCTGCCTATTATAATAAAAGAAATATTTTCCCTATTTCCCAGACTGCTCTCCACCTTTTATTGCCCCACTCCCACTAAGATGCACAGAGTACTCTTCCCTTCCTACTGACACTGGGTATTACTTAAAAAAAACTTTTCATTGTAAAATATTGCCTATGTACAGAAAACATACATGATCAACTTAATGAATTATCATAAAATGAACACCTGTATAAACAGTTCTTTGACCAAGAAATTGAACACTGACAGTAGCCTGACAGGGAAACCTGTCAACTATTGGTATGCTGGTAAAGGAATTATCTGCAGAGTGGAGGGATGAGGTCCTGATTTTGAGCATTTACGGATTTCTGATTTCTATCATATTAATAATAACCTGATTTCAAGTTCAAGCTACCAATGGTTTAACAACCAGCTCATAAAATTCCTGAATATCTAACAACTGATTGTGTCCCCATCCTGCCCTGCATGCCAAAGCCCTCACCATGCTCCAGACCTCAGCTCTGTGCCACATTCCTGTTCCTGATCACATCCCCACTCCATCCAAGAAAAGACAGATTCTGTCTTAGCAATAATTTCCTTAATCTTACTATTTCTGCCACCACTTAATAAAATTGGACAAGTTTTATAACATCTCTGTACCTAAGATTTGTTTTCTTCTTTATTGTTAGGGTAAGAATAATAATACTGCTTGTCATAGGACGTCTTGTGAGGATTAAATGGATCAACATATGTAAAGAAATTAGACTAGTACCAGGCCCATTTTAATCATAATCACTCAAATGTTAGCAATAATTACTTTTATTGTATACTGCACAATACAAACAGCATGTTGCAAAGAAATATATATATTTGTGTGCTTTGTGTATGATATAAATCCATTTCTGCAAAATAAAATATAAACCGATTTATCTAACAAATATGAAACTCAATGAAAAAACAAATCCCAAAATAATACTATTTATGTAAAATATAGAAGCTAAACAATAAATTAATAATATATACATAAATAGCAAAAGAGTAAAGCATAGTAAAAAATAATAAGCACCCAAGTAAAGAAAAGAAATAACGTAAAATTTGGGATGGAGTGATTTCTATGACGGGGAATAGAAAAGAGATGTGGCCACGCATGAGAATATTCAGGCTCATTGGTAATGTTCTGTGTCTTAGGCTTAGTGATGTTTAAATAGGGTTCATTTTATATTTATATTCATATTTATAACATGTTTATATATTACATTGATATATGTAATTATACCACTTTGTGTTCGTGATGTATTCAGAATAAAACTTTGAAACACCTAGGTGTATGCATGAGTAAGTTCATGTTTGTATGAGCAGAGAAAAAGCAGTAGAAGGATATGCAAGACTGGTAACATTGGCTACCTAGGAGAGTAGTAACTTTTTATTCATAAACCTTTGTATTATTTCACTTGCTCCCATGAATATGTATTACCTGTCCTATAATATTTTTAATATATCTCAATGTTTTTACAGTTAACTATATATAATAATAATTTAAGAGACAAAAGCTTTAAGTAAAAAAAAAATCCTACTTCTCAAGGTGAGTGCCTACACATGAATAGTTCTACGAAAACTAGTGTAGTGCACATTATCTTTAGAGTGTCCTTAAAAGAAAGCATTTGTTTAAAATGGTATTGAAAAATGCTGTCATTTAGAAAATGATACACTTCAAGTCAGAACCTTACATTCTACTATATAACAAAATTAATTTCAAAGTATTAAAATGTTAAAGTAATAATTTAAATGATAAAGAAAAATAAGTGCTCATTCCACTTTCCTGTCACTTTCACTTAAAATATATGTACTACTGGTTCTCTTCCTTTCCCTCTCTTTGATGTAGCTAGAACCAGTGAGGCCTCAGGGACACGGGTTCTATGGAGGGAGCAGAGGCCCTGGTGATACCCAGGATCTTATAGAGCCAGAGGCAAGTGAGTCTGGAAGGACTTTCAGGGTGAGGGCCAAGGAGACAGTAGAGGTCAGGAGGACGGCCAGTGCCAAAGAAACAACTGGGGCTGAAGAGACAACAAGGACCATTCAGAGTCAAATCTGAGGGTATGATTAGAGATGACTAGCAATGTTAAAGCTGAGAAGGTTATGGCATGTGTATCAAAATATTGGTTTTGTAAAATAGAATAAGAAAACATATAAATATATTAAAGACAATAGGAGCAAGACTTCTCACTATTGAAGAAGAAAGCTACACATTTAAGAAGTTTGAGGCTAGGTCGAGCCATGTGACTGGAATTGAAGGTACTGCTGTGAACTCATGGTTTTAATATAGATAAATCAGTTGAGATGTACCTATATACATAGATTCAAACATCATTTCCTAGATCTGTCCACTAAGAGAATGTAGAAGCAATGACATTCAAAAACCAAGAAGCACACCTCACATCCAGATCTTGGTTTCTAAAAACCATATCCACCAAGCAAACCAGGGCTTCTTGGAAAAATGGCTAATTTCAGGGCTGGGATAAGGAAAGTGTAAGAAAAGTCAAAAACATCTTGTTTCAGAAAGTAAGAAAGTATTATAAACTTATGGGCATTTGTCCCATAATCCATGTGAAGGGTCCTACTGGCCAAATCTCGAGCATCAAAATAATGATACAACCCAGGAGACAGATAAACCACAGCCCTAGGACTAAACCAATCAGGCCACTTGTTTTTGTACGTTTCACTAGAACAAGCCACACCTATTCATTTACATACAGTCTGTGGTTATTTCTGCAATACAATGTCAGAGCTGACTATGTGCAACAGAGACCTTATGGCTCCGTAAGCCTAAAACACTATCTGGCCCTTTGCAAAGAAAGTATGCCAACTGTTGATATAACACATTGAATACATGAGTCCATACTGATATAAAAGATGATAGATAGACAGACAGATCAATAAACAGACAGATCGATAGATAGATATAGATAGATAGATAGAGTGGAGTAGTAAAACAAGTTCTTCCTTACAGTAGATATGCCAACTTAATCAATGTCTTAGAAAACATCATTTGTCAGTCATCATAATAAAGATAATTTTTAGTAAGAATCATCAGCACACTAAAACAGGCAGGTGAAACTTTGTTGAGGAACAGGATATTTATATAGTTTCAATGTATTTCTCCATCAAATACTTCTTAACTACCAAAGAGAAAGAAGTGATTTTTATAATGAAGAAACCTGGAAGATAATACCTTAATCAAATGTTTAAAGTTGACATCACTTGTAAAAGCACAACTCAACATCATGTGTCTCCTTGACATGATACAAGGAGACAGACAATATGACTTCTGTGTTATTTCTTGTAAAAATGAAAAACCTGCATCATCATGAACAAATAGAAAATTCAAATTTAAGGGTATTCGAAAAAATAACTGGTCTGTATTCTTCAAAAATGTCAAGGTCCTGAAAGACAAGGAAATAGTAAAAAACTATTCTACATTGAAGAACATTAAAAGTAACAAGGCAACTAAGCACAACATATGGTCCTCAACAGACTTAGGACAAAAGAAGTTTTTTCCTAGAAAGGACTTTATTACTGTAATTAGTGAAATCTGAGTGGGGGTCTTTGAATTAGATGATAGTATTGTATTAATGCTAACTTCCTGATATTAATGGGTATCCTCTGGTTATTTAACAAAGTGCCTTTACCTTTCAGGAAATACACAATAAAGTATTTAGAGGTGAGAGGGTATCATGTCTACAATTTATTATCAATTGATTCAGAAAAAAATATGGGCATGTGTCTGTAGGTGTGTTTATATATATATAAAAAGAGCATGAGAGAATAGTAAAGCCTAAAGTGGTAAGATGTAAAATACTGAGAATCTACTGAGGGACATATGAGAATTCTTTGTGCAATGTTTGCAACTTTGTAACTCTTCTGTAAATTAGAAATTAATATTTTAAGGCAGAAATTATTATGTGTGAATATATGATTTGTTTAGACTAGAGAAAACTCTATCATAGAGTAGCATTTAAGAATGAGATCTCTGAGTCAGATAGATATGATCCAAATTTTGGTGCTGGTTGGTTTGCACCAACTTTCAGTTTCCTAATCTTTAAAATGAGGATGATATCAAAAACAAAGTTACATATAGATGCAGTCTTATGTATGGATATGAATATGTCTATTTATCTATAATTATATTATGTTTTATATATATATATATATATATTACTAAACAAATTAACAGGTAGAGTGCTTGGCAGAAAAATCCAATACATTTTAGGCATTACCAACTTAAAAGCAATGGAAGAAGCCATAGAAGGACAAAATAACAGATCTGAATATAAATAACTTCTAAAGCCCCATTAATAAAATAAAAAGAGATAAAAGTAAGCTTGTATAAATATTAAAATAGTAAAATGGGAGGCCGAGTTGGGCAGATCACGAGGTCAGGAGATCGAGACCATCCTGGCTAATACGGTGAAACCCCTCTACTAAAAATACAAAAAATTAGCCAGGCGTGGTGGCGGGGGCCTGTAGCCCCAGCTACTCGGGAGGCTGAGGTAGCAGAATGGCATGAACCCGGGAGGCAGAGCTTGCAATGAGCCCAGATAGCACCACTGCACTCCAGCCTGGGTGACAGAGGGAGACTCCATTTCAAAAAAAAAAAAAAAATTGGAAAATGCTATTTTTCCTTATCAAAGGGATTATTATAAAACTATAATATTCAATGTTATTGTGAGCACGCTAAAGGAAGTACTCTAACATACTACTGGTAAAACTAAAATAATATGACATTCCTGAAAAAAATTTAAAATATTTGTCATTAGCCCCTTTTTCAGTAATTTTAAACAAATCAAAGATGGAGGTAAACACATATATATATGAGAGAATCCTCTAATATGTATAAAATCAAAACTTTAGAAACAATGTAAATGGTACATCCCCTTACATTACTACATTGAGCTGAGAAAAGGACAAGATAGAAAAATTGAGAAAATCTCAATTTATAATTAAGAAGTTTAAATATTTTTATATATGTATGCAATGAGAAACACTGGAAGAAAACATGCCAAAATCGTATCAGTAATTATTCTTGGGGTTTGGGCCATAAATATATATTTTCTTCTGTATTATTTTCTTTTTTTTGTATAATTAGAAAAACTGGCTATATTTTCAAAACAAAAAAGATATCACAGTGAAGAATTAAATTAGTTTCCACTACAGTCAGAACAAAGGATAAATCTGGAATAAAAATATGAAAACATGTAACAATCTGAAAATGTTGAAAGCAACTGATGTACTAGAACACACTAACCAATATCATTTAACTGTTTTTAATATTATAAATGTGTCTTCCTGAATGGAAAAAGGCATACAGGCTAAAATAAAGACTATTGTTGCTTTTTACCTGATTTTATTCCAAAATAATTTAATATTGAAAAGCCCTAAACTTCTTTACCACAAACAATTCTCAATATGCCAGTTTGCTACATAAGAAAGAAAACATTTCAGTGATTTCATAGTCATGTACACGGCTCACACTTTAACAGTACTCAGAATACAGAATATTCATAGGCAAATGTAAATACAGTGGAAGTGTTATACATACCTAATCCTTTAGGTGTAATGCCACTACTGTCAGCAGGATTAATAACCCAGTAGTAATATTTTAAGGTGTGCATTATCTTTAATAACTGTTCCTATTCTGCGTATGGTGGTGTAGATGGTAGCAGTTCCAATAAATTCAGCAGACAAATATGTATATAGGGAAAGTTGAACCTAATACAGAATATTAACAGATCATTAAAATGAACTTAAAATGCCTCAAGTGCTTATATTATAAATATGCATTGTTTTAATTTAAACGGAAATTAGTAAAGGCCAAGAAATGATCATTTATTAAGAGGTTAAAGATAACTTTCTTCTTCAATATTATTTGTATTTTAAAAATATATAGCCAGGCGCGGTGGCTCAGGCCTGTAATCCCAGCACTTTGGGAGGCTGAGGCGGGTGCATCACCTGAGGTCGGGAGTTTGAAAGCAGCCTGACCAACATGGAGAAACTCCATCTCTACTAAAAATACAAAAAAATTAGCCAGGCACGGTGGCACATGCCTGTAATCCCAGCTACTCGGGAGGCTGACGGAGGAGAATGGGCTGAACCAGGGAGGCGGAGATTGCGGTGAGCCAAGATCGCGCCATTGCACTCCAGCCTGGGCAATGAGAGTGAAACTCCGTCTCAAACAAACAAACAAAAAAAAAAAAAAAAAAAAAAAAAAAAAAGGCCGGGCGCGGTGGCTCACGCCTGTAATCCCAGCACTTTGGGAGGCCGAGGCGGGCGGATCACGAGGTCAGGAGATCGAGACCATCCTGGCTAACACGGTGAAACCCCGTCTCTACTAAAAATACAAAAAATTAGCCGGGCGAGGTGGCGGGCGCCTGTAGTCCCAGCTACTCGGGAGGCTGAGGCAGGAGAATGGCGTGAACCCCAGGGGGCGGAGCCTGCAGTGAGCCGAGATCGCGCCACTGCACTCCAGCCTGGGCGACAGCGAGACTCCGTCTCAAAAAAAAAAAAAAAAAAAAAAAAAAAAAAAAAAAATATATATATATATATATATATATATATATATATATAAAATCTGCAATTAACGTTTTCTAATAAACTTATTATAATAAGGTAGTCTAACAGCTGTGGCAATTAAATAATTTTAAAATGATTAATTTATTGAAATTAATCTGATAAAAAGATTAAAATTTTTTAAAAGTCAACTAAAGCTCTTAAAGTATATTTCAGTAGCTTTCAGTGTATAAATTTCTTCATAGCAACAGAACATCAGTCAGCTAAAGCCTATCTAAAAACCTATATATTTTTGTCATATATCCTAAAAGTTCATGCAATTTCAAATTCTCCTCCCCTGTGGCCATAATATATATAGTTTGCTTTCACAATCTGACCATGTGAGCACAGAGATGGCATGTCGGACATCTTGCTTAAAAGAGTTCTCAAAATTAAGATTTGGGCTTAGGCAATAATTAATAACTCAGGGAGATATTATTAAACTGTAAAAGATAGCTCAAAATCAAAATATCCCTCATTATTGATTTCCACTAAGACTAAATTCTGGTATACAAAATAATAAGAATTTTCTGTTATTATCTGGAAAAATATTTATTTCATGTATATATTTATTTTTAAGTGAGTATTATTTACATGTAATGATATAAATTCTGCCTTCAAAATGAAAGCAATTTTCCAGCAAAATGATTACAGTCATAATACAATTAGTTATCTGTTCTCTTTCCTAGTCTTTCAAAAATTGGTATAGCAAATTCTCTTCATTGGAGAAGTATGTATCACATCTAAAGATGTTAGAATGCAGTGTTACACAAAGATTCTTTTTTACCTATAGTTTCATTTATTTTACTACTTATAAATATTTTGATCTCCTGATACTGCCTAACACAATTGCTGCAGATTAACTATAAAATAAGCTAAAATGTTCAAATGTTTTCCACTGGATACTTTAGATCCAGCAACTATAATGTATAACATTACACTAAAACAAACTGAATAAGTATAAAACTCATACCTTTGCAGGTGTATGTATCCAGATGGCTGGGTTAATAAACAAAATATGATCACAAAGCTGCTTCAGCAAAGGTGCTCCATGAGATAAACCATCAAGGTATTTTGCAAAAGATAAAAATTGCTCCAAGACAGGTCTAGTTATATGAACTCTTGATGACTAAGAAAGAAAACAGAAATTCTAGCTTGAAATATCCAGAATATTAAATTGTATAATTTCTGACTTAGCATAAGCACACATGAATTTTTCATATGCTATCACTAATAAATATGAAATACATTTATATTATTTGCTATTAAAATATAATTTTATTAAGAGATCTAAAATTTTAGCTATTTCTTTGAGTGATAGCTTGTTATTTGAAGCCTAATCTAAGACAATTACAGATACATAATTCAAGTTAAATAATGCTACTATTAGCTAAAGCTAAAGAAATGAAATGTTATAAGAATGGCTTCATTTCATTTTTTGTAGAAATTGACATATAAGAAGAAATCTTAGACATAAAAATAGAGATTGTTTAAAACATGTAAAAATATTGCTTAAAAATATGTAAAATATTGCTTAAAATATTATTTCCTTGGTCTGCTCTTCATAAATACCGTATCCCTGGATATATTATGCTTTCACAGCTTCATATAACACTATGTCTATGCTGAGTACTCACTTCAAGAATTTTCAACTGCTATCACCATATACCTATTACCAATGGTATTTAAACAACAGACTCTCCAAAATTGAAACCGAACCTTAAAGCTGCACCATCTCATACAGTAGCCAGAAGCCCTATGTGGCAACTGAGCTGCTGGAATGTTGCAATTGAAAGTGAGATGTGTTGTGAGTATGAAAACACTGGGTTTTTCCAGCTCAGAATATTTTTAAAAATCGTATTTTCTTATTGAATAGATGTTGAAATAATATTTTGCATATTATCAAAATAAAATACTAGACTAAAGACATTATTAAGATTAATATAACCTGTAATTTTTTACTGGAAAATATTAAATTGCACCTGAGGTTTGAATTGTATTTTAATTGGACAATGCTATCCTAGAATACAATTTCAGATAAAAATGCTATATTAAAAAATGCTCTTCACAAAAGCTGATAATTCAAACTCAAACTTCAAAAAATATATCTTCCGACACAAATCTTTTCTTCCTCATCTAGTGATACAGTTTTGTAGTATCACTATCCTTTCAGTCATAGGGTAAAGAATCATGTACCACTCAACCCTAAAGCACACATCACACAACACATCTTTCCTTCCTATTCTTCACTGACTGAAGTCTGAATGTCAGTTTAAGATTATCAAAATTTAAAAGGGATGAAACTGTCTTACCAATTTTACCTCCCATATGATTTAGCTACATTTCTCATGATCATAAGGACAACTCAATAAATTTGACTTAAGCACATCATGAATTTTCACACTTCTACATAAAAGGTCACAAACTAAAATGATTGCAAATAACAACAATGTGTAAACCAGTGTAGGAGACAAAAAAGAGTGGTGAGGAACAAAACTAAACCTTTTTGTTGAGTCCCACAGAATATTACCGTGGGCCAGTTTCACCCACAGGACACATTTTCTTCCCCTGCTTTCTCTGTCTTGCTCCCCCAGTTTGTAACACCCTTGCATACATTTCCTTTACCTTAAAGGTAGAGCTCAAGACTTTTATTTTAGTCATTTAGAAAATATACATGCTGATTGCTCACTGTCAGTCAAATACACTCCCTGGCACTGTCAAAAAAGCAGCTAACAAAATTGAAGTAAAAACTCTGTCTCACAGAACATATTCTAAGAGATGATAAGGCAGGAACACAGAGTAAATAAAATAAAAAGGTACAATATGTAACATGTTAGAGGTTACTAAGTTCAATGAAAGAAACTATGGAGCAGATAAAACATTTGTAGAAGAATGGTGAACAGGTTTTACTAAGAAGGGGGCATTTAATTGGTTCAAACAATTTAGTATTAATATAATAGAATTCTTTGTCTGACAAAATTACCAATGGTGCTTACATAAGCAATAGCCTACAAAATTCAAAGCAAACCTTAGTACATAATTTTCACTGAAAATTTTATGAAAGATGGTGGAAATTAATCTAAATAAATAGCTGAGTTAATAAAGGAGGGGAACCAAAACAAACATTTGAGTTTAAAAAGTAAAGATTGAGTATTCATATTTAAAGGAGTATCAGTGAAAATAATATAGTACTTTAAATTAAAAATATTTTATTTGTAAAGGAATAAAATTAAAATAAGAGATCAATAGTTATTTAAAACTTCAGCCAGCTCCTTCACTAAATATAATTTCACATAGCTTATCTTATACATTCTATTTTTATTCAGTAGTAATGATTTCAAGAACATGATCTGATAACATTCTACTCTCACACTTAAAACTCTAAAATAAAATACAGTCAGATCCTGTTAATAAACATACTATGTGACCAGACTGTAGCTCATAAAAATTATTCATCATGTCCTTATAAAGAACATTAACCTGTATTATAAAATCAGGCTGACCATTATAAACATAGCCACTTGATGAATTCATAATATAGAAACAAGTTTGGAACTTGGACCATGATATTAAAAGGTATACTAAAAGCATCACAAGGCCTTCCACATTACTTAAAAAAAAATGGGGGGGCCTGCTGTTTTCACATAACAATTAATGCTGTTGGGTGGCAGATTTTCATTCTAAAATTATTGTTTAGAAAATATTTTATTGTCTTTTTATTGATCTCCTCAAAATCCTACTATTCTGGATTATAAATAGTGTATAAATGTATAAATGAATATTCTCTTCAACAGCATGTTACCTTTACCTCTTAGAAGTACTTATTCCTCCTTCCTTGTATTATTGTTAGTAAAAAAAAAAATCTCTCTTTCGTAATATAAGAAAGAATATTATCTTATTCATCTTTTGTCTTCCTGATCCCTACCCTAATTTCTCAGGGAACATTTAACTGAATTAATGTCAAATTCAAAAATGGAGTAAGAATAGAATAGGTAGGAAAAAACAAAGCCTGGGAAGAGAAGAAAGAAGATTCTAACTCTGCTTTTAAATGTATTTCATTTGATTAACAGTTTCAAAATATTTTTATATTTTGGTATTTGTTTTCATTTTCTGAAGTAAAACTACTTTAAAAACAGATCTATACTTGGATAATTTATAGTTATAAATCTGTAACCTTTAGATGGAACAATTTAAATCTCATAGAAAATGCAAGCCCTGGAATTTGATCTATATATTAATTTTATGTGGTGACAGAATACATAATTTTTAAGAAGTACTATAATGTGACATGGCTAACCATATTTGGAAATAATACCTGAGAAGTTATAAAAATAGTTGCATTGTAGCATCCAATCCAGAATTAACTAAACCAAATAGGAGCACTGGCAGTTACAAAGAGAAACTTCTGTTCAATAAAGAGAGATTGTTCCAACATTTAGATTAGCCTATAATGGAACAGGTTATCAGAAATGTTCATTTTTATTGTAGAAAGCATTATACATACACACACATATACCCATAACATGTATGATTATATATTCAATAAATTGTGTAAAACTATTTTAATTGTAGAGGTACACCATAGTCTATTATCCATTCTGCTCCTCCCAGGACTCCAAGGTTGTGCTCCAAATAGCCTAATCCAACCAGATTAATCATTTGTTGTTGTTTTGGTGGAGTGATGGGGAGGGTGGCAGGCAATGATTAGTTCAGAGACTCAGTATCAAAGTGTAGCATAGCAACAATTGATTCAAAAGAAGGCCAGCCAAGCTCTAAGCTAACCAATCAAATTGGAGAGAAGAATCTTGCTCAGTAATTGACAGAAAGGAGCTTGCTTTCTTCACCTGGATGTGAAGGTCTATAGCACTAATTCTCTCTGGCAGCCTTGTGACCTCAAACAGTATCAGCTTTAGCATAAAATCAACACTGTAGCTGGTACAGCAGAGATATAGATAAAACCTGGGTCTCTGATGACATTATTGAGACTCAGATAACCCAGCCCTGAAACACAACTTATGTTTGCTGCTTTTCCAACCTTTTGCTGCCTTTCCAACCTCCCTGTCCTGTTTTAATGCTTGGGACGCTCCCTTGCCTACTGGTTTCCAGCTGAGTTTGACTAATTGAAGACATTAGCAAGAAATTAAGGGACAGAAAGAAAATGAAGTTGGGTATACATTTTCCAGATTTTACCCCTTCAGTACACTTACACTATACTCCTTTCTTGAAGACCACAGTCCCATCAGGTACCCTTCTACAGCTACAATAACTTTCTCTTTGGGTTATGCTAAACACTTATTCCCCTCATCTCTTCAAATCTTCCCAAGCTCCCTGCTTTCAACTTTTTAAATACCCTTGCATTAAACTCTTCTCAAAAACCTAGGTTGAGTACGCCATCTGTTTCCTGCCAAGAATATAACTGATATGCTATCTAACACTAGACTTTGTTACATTAGTTAGTATATTTTCTTAATGTTTAAGATACTTTGAATCAAATTTTCTACTAACCACAATCAAAAATATCCTATTGAATATACTGGATAACCTCTAAGTTTTCCACAAGATCATATTTTGGCAAAACAAAACAAAAACACCTTAAAATTTTTTCATGGAACAGTAAAATTGTTATTAATAAAAGGCCTCGCATATACTATCTTCCTAAGATATCTTCTATGACAAGGAGATATAAAAGCTAAGTGGCATTAACCAGTAACCTGTTATTAAGTTAAGAAATTAAAAAATCAAACTTCTATTACCTATACTATTAATACTAACCTGGCCACTGATTATTTAAAAATAACACAATATGAGCATTCCTCTGAGAAAGGTAAAAAAGTTACTGTTTCTTAGGTAATCAGACAAGCATGCAAGGACATTTCATATACTCAATTCAACAACTATTTACTGAGCCCAGCACTGTGCTAGGTGCTGAAGATATAACAATAAGAGGAGACAAAAAAATATATATACATACATATATATATATACACATACATATATATATATTGCCCCTGCTTTCATGAAGCCTACATTCTAGCAGGAGGAGGCAGAAAATTGGTAAAAAATATAAAACACGCCAGAATGGTGCTGTAAAATTAGCAGAGTAGGTAAACACTGATGGTTATGGAAGGGATACTAATTTATTTAGAATGATCGGAGAATATTTCTGTGATAAGGCATCATACAAGCAAAATCCTGAATGAAGCATAGAATCAAATTCTGTGAGTATCTGAAGAAAAAGTGATGGAAACAATGGGGGAAGTAAATGCAAAAGTCCTTGGGTAAATTCTTATCATTTTAGTTCTTAAGGGAAAGGCAAAAAGACCTTTGCCTAAAACAGAGAAAGCAAGAGAGTGGGGAGAGATGATGTGAGGTGTAAGGCTTATGACTTCATTATGAGAAGGATGAAGACTTGAATAAGATTTGGCACATTTTAGGACAACTAGTCTAACTGCAAGTGAAAAACGGACTGTAGGTAACCAATGGTGAAGGACGATCATGATTTGAACTAAAATGGTATCAACGGACATAGTAAGGAGTTGAGAAATAAAGAGGAAGTAGTAATTGATTCTGGATATGTTTTGAGAGTAAAACAACATAATTTCCTGAGAGTTTGGATCTAGAGTGCAACAAAAGTAGAGTCAAAAACAATTAACTTTTTGGTTTCAACTACTTGTTGAATGGTAATGCCACTAAATAAGACAAACAACTCTGAAGGATGAAAAATTTGAGAGAAAAATCAGTTTGGATAATTTAGTCAAGAAGATTACTAGAAATCCAAGTGGAACTAAAAATAGGAGAAACAATTGAGGGTAATTAGTATTTACAGGATCACGGGAGCTGTAGAAGTGGATAATCTCAATTAGAGTAAGGTACTGTGTAGATGGAAAAGTGAAATGCTTTCCAGGATTAATCACTGGGAAAGAAGAGTCATCAGAGTTTATAAAGATGAAGGAGAACTAATGAGAGAGAATAAGTAAGAGAAAAACAAAGCAAACCATGGCAAAACACAATGCAAGAAAGCATTTCAAGAAGGAAAGACTGTTCAACCGAAATATTCACAGGTCGAATAAGATAAGGACTGAGAAATAATCACAGGACAGACTGTGAAGGCCACTGGTGACAAAGACATGAGCCATCTGAAAGGACATGGAAGAACGAAAGACAGGTTGGAATAGGAATAGATTTAGGAGTAAGTGAGTGTCCAGGAATATAAGGAAGGTTTAAAATCTGAAAAATAATCAATGTAATTCACTAAGAAAAATGAGAAACATCATACTCATCTCAAATACTGCAGAAAAGATGTTTGATAAAATCCTGTTTATAATAAAGAAAACTCTTAGAAAAATAGAAATAGATAATTCCTTAATTTAACTAAAAAATCTACAAAAACTAATTATTAAAAAGATCATACTTAGTGGCTAATTATTAACAGCATTGCCCATGAGATCAGGAATAAGACAGGGATGGCCACTATCACAACTTTTATTCAACACTGTACTGGCAGTCTTTAGGTGGCATAACAAGGCAAGGAAAAAAATAAAAAAATAAATATTAGAAAGGAAAAAACAAAACTATCATTCTCCGATGTTATTATTGTCTACAAAATTTTTTTTGAAAAAAATCTACAAATGACTAGATTTAATAGAGGAATAGAAAGATTGGTATATAAAAGTTCAACATAAATATCAATTATAATACTATGTACCAGTAACAAATTAAAAATCAAAACTTTTAATTGCTTCTTGGCCTTTTGGGTAAGATCAAGTGCAAAGAATTAAAATTTTAAGGGCATCAAATAATATCAAATATCTGGAAATAAATCCATCAAAAAGACAGAAACTGTTCTATACAGAAAACTACAAAAGAAAATCTAAATTAATAAAAGAATATACCAAGTATATGACTTGAAAGATTCAATATAGGAAAGATGTCAATATAATACAATAAAAATCCTCATGTTTTTTGGTGGAAGTTGATAAGCTGACATATATGGAAATGCAAAGACTCAGAAATGGCCAAGGCAATCGTCAAGAACAACAGTAAAGCTAGATGACATACTCTTAAATATCAGGCCGCACTAAAAAGCTATACAAATTAAAATACTGTTGGAATATTACTTAGCAATAAAAAGGAATGAAAAAAATATGCTATAACATGGATGCACACTGAAAACATTATGCTAAGCAAAATGGACCAAATACAAAAAGACAAATATTGTATGATCCCACTTACATGAAATATTTAGAATAAGCAATTCATAAAGCCAAAAAGTGAATTATGGATTGACTAGGGGTGGGAATCATGAAGAGATATAGGGAAAATTGGTAAAGGAAATGAATAACAAAGAAGATAAAATATTCATTTTCCATAATTATATATGAAAATGTCTAATCTTATTCAAAATCTAGGAAAAGTGCAAATTAAAACCACAATGAAATAATATTTTGCATCCACTAAATTGACATTATAATATGAAATATTAACATACATTTTTATTTGAAGGCTTTTACAAATATTTCTAATTATAAGCTAAGTTTTAAGTAAAAGAATGTTTAATTTAGGATTTTCTGATACATTCTCAAGTAAACAAATGAAAGCACATTTAAAGGGGTAAGTCCTCACAGAAATCCTGTCACACACAGTAATCTTACAAAGGCATTTCATATGTTATCGAATTCATGTTAAATGTAGCTTATCATACATCTTCTAAACAATTCTTAATACTCTAGATACAGAAAAAGAGTATTCTCTTATTTTAAAAAATAAACCAAAGAGCCTTAAGTTCTTAATAATGTTATGGAAAAAATCATCTCAATAAAGAAATGCTACCAATGATCAATCTTAACAATCTACCACTCTTCAATGCTTAATCCTTAAGGAAAGGTCAGCACTAGTTTCAAAGACATATTTTTTATATATATAACATATATATGTATAAAGACATGTAATATATAAAATATAGCATATTTTAGAACTTGACTCTTTTTGTGACTAAATAATATTCAATTGCATGTATACACTACATTTTGTTTGTCCATTAATCAACTGATAACATTTCAAATGTAAAACAATTGGAGGTAAAATTAAAACTGCTTCAAAGTATGTTCTCAATTTTTTTCCAGAGGAAATGTATGTTTATCCCTTAGTTGAGATCTCACTTCTATTACTTTTCAAATAGTCTCATTTTCAGAGCAGCTGAATATTATAGAGTTAACTAACTGATAAGAGGTTTGAGAGTGCTAATAAAGGGCACAGGTATTTGTCATTAAAAAAAACAACAACATGCTGGCTGGACGCAGTGGCTCACGCCTGTAATCCCAGCACTTTGGGAGGCTGAGGCGGGCGGATCACGAGGTCCGGAGATCGAGACTATCCTGGCTAACAGGGTGAAACCCTGTTTCTACTAAAAACACAAAAAAATTAGCTGGGCGTGGTGGCAGGCGCCTGTAGTCCCAGCTACTCGGGAGGCTGAGGCAGGAGAATGGCGTGAACCCGGAAGGCGGAGGTTGCAGTGAGCCGAGATCGCGCCACTGCACTCCAGCCCAGGCGATAGCGAGACTCTGTCTCAAAAAAATAAATAAATACTAAAAAAATAAAAAATAAAAAAACGCTTATTCATGAAATCTCACTAATTTTTAAAGGAAATCACATGATACAACTAAACTCTTGTGAGATCATAATCAGAAATTCAGCACTCATAAAAGCACAGCTGTGACTAAAGCAAAAGAGGTCATAAAACAACATAAATGACACAAAATAGGAAAATGTAAACCCATCTAATTTTTATTGTTTATACTATGTATAGATGAGAAAAACTACTTTAAATAGTCATATATATTAAGAGTAGGGAAAAAGAGCACAAAATAATGTTTCTATTACTACAAAATAAAAATTTTGACCGCATAATTAAAAAATTACACAAAACCTAACAGGTAAATCCATGTATACTAAATATAAAGATTTTTATCTTAATAAAAAAGACTTTCAAGAAACAGTCTAAGGCCAGGTGCAGTGGTTCATGCTTGTAATCCCAGCACTTTGGGAGGCCGAGGTGGGCAGATCACTTGAGATCAGGAGTTCAAGACCAGCCTGGCCAACGTGGGGAAAACCCTGTTTCTACTAAAAATACAAAACTTTAGCTAGGCATGGTGGTACGCACCTGTGATCCCAGATACTAGGGAGGCTTAGGCAGGAGAATTGCTTGATTGAACTCGGGAGGTGGGGGTTGCAGTGAGCCAAGATCGCACCACTGCACTCTAGTGTGGGAGACAGAGTGAGACACTGTCTCAAAAAAAATAAAAAATAAAAAAAAAAGTCTAAGTGAAAAGATAGCAAAGAAACAACTACAGTACTCACTTCTTATCCGGAGGCGATGCTTCCAAGACCCCTAGTGGATGATATATACGATTTTCAGTCTGAGAACTGAGATAGCTACTAAATGACTAATAGGAAGACAGTGTATACTGCATGAAAAAGCTGAGCAAAAGGAGGATTCATGTCCGGACTTGATGAAGAGGGACAGTACGAGATTTCATCACTCTACTCAGAACAGCACACAATTTAAAAGTTATAAATTGTTTATTCCATTTAATATTTTTGAACTGCAGTTGTCCATGGGTAAGTGACACCTTAGAAAGAGAGAGTAGAAATAAAGGGGTACTACTATAGAAAAACTTAAATGATACTTATTGCTTGAATAGATATAGATGAAATTTTTTTCTTTAGTTTTTTAATTCAAAATTTAATTATGCTTCCAATACCCAGTTAATTCCATGTCTACACTTAAATCTAAGATGTTTGTGAATTAGCAAATAGTATAATCTCTACACAGTCAATGGAAAGTGAAATTATAGAAAAAATATAATTAGTGATTGTCAGCTGTCCAACTGTGAGGCTACACAATAAAACCATCAACACATCACCTACCGTTTCAAGTAATTAGCCAATAACTAAAAAGCCTTTTCCACCCAGCACCTGTTCTTGCATGGCTACTGAACTTTTAAGTAGTTCAACCAGGAATGCCGAAAGAGTAGCACTGCATGTAAAGTACAGATATCATTATGTAATCATCACGTTTATTCTAAACACAGTGTTCCATTTCAGTATTTTATTATGCCAAGAGATAACCATATTCAAATCTAATCTCTATTTTATTGACAATGACTATTATGCCTTATATTATGAAAGAATATATTTCCTGATAAGCATGAGAAAACTAGTGTTGTCCTTTACAAATTAAATATAATAAACTGAATCATAACTGTGTAGTTTTTTTACATTCCAAAGTAAAACATCAAAGTTTATCTCTACATATATTTATAGGTCTGGCTTCAAGTAAACCTAAGAAACATACACATATCATTTTCCATAATAAAGACTGTATCATACTATTCTTTTGAATAACAAGCTATTGTAGAGAATTTTAAATATAGATGCAATATTGCTTTGTAAGAACAAGCCCTATTTTTAAATAAACTTTTCATTTAGAACTATTCTTCAAAAACACTTTGTTAAAAAAAATCCAGAGGAATATGTAACATGTCACTTATGTCCAGGTATGCCCTAAGAAAAGCTCATGAGAGCAAAGAAATGATTTATGTAATATTGAAATGAAAAGTGACAATTACACAGCATATAAACAAATACATAAAGGCACACAAAGAGGCGTCAAAGATTTAGCACTTGGTATGTCTTTGGAATGAATGAAGAAACAAAATAGAAAGACTGCATTGAATTAAGCTTTGATAATATATTACTTCATAGTTACATATAATGATTTTAACCAGCAACACTGATATATGAATATAGTATTCTGAATAATGGAAATACATATTCCTTCACTGTATATGCTTAATGTAGCTCATAATAAATTGTTATATACCAGATTTTATCAACAATTAAAAGAATATCAATTTACAATGTTTTATAATATACCCTAAATTACCTATTTATATTCATAAGAAAGGGTAAAACCACAAATTTCTAAACATATTTTAAATGCAGAAGTACTCATTCTTACAAGTAATTCAGACAATTTGGTAATAAGGAAAACTTGAAAATTATTAAAGCCCGAAAGGAATCTGAAGTTATTCTAATTTTTGAATTATTCTAGCTCTTCCAGTTTCAATAGGGATAATGTATTTTTCTCATAATGTGGCTACTTTTGTTCAAATCAGAAATGTTCTCATAACAAGAACCAACAGCAAAATTATCATTGTCATTATTATAAAAATTGATAGTTTAATGAATTACATATCAGCTAGACAAAATATAGTATCCAGAAATAAAGTACTTCATTATAGGAAATTAAAATTCAATTATATTAACTGACCCTATATCCTTAAACCACAAAAAATGTAAACTATCACATATCAATGATTTTTTTTTTACTTTGTCCTTAAGCCAAAGATAGACACTTACAAGAAAACTACAACTACCAATGAGTCTCTTGGGATTTTAAAAAAAGTTTCTGTAAAGAAGCACAGCTATTAAGCAATCTAGTCCATTTTAAATGAATTGAATAGTCAAGGCCACTTCACAAATAATTGCTAAGTACTATATTACACATAACACATCTGCCTAGATGTGTAAAAAGAATAAAGAAAACCATGCATAGAGGTTACACAATTTCCTGATCTGTTCATAGAATTCTTACATACACCAAAGTTAGTGATTGAGGGAAAATGGATTCCTAAACATGAGCACTGCCAAAAAGAAAGACTAGAAATGCCTCACAGTGGTCCTTATGATCCATGAAAAAAGGCAAAAAAGTATTTTACAGTAAATCACCCTACTATATAGAACCATATACAATTGCAAGGATGACACAGATTTTCTCATTCTTTTATGTCAGAATAACTACTCATTCTCAAATATCTAATGAGTTAACTCAGACCTCTAAACACAGTGGAGCTCTATTATAAAAACTGAAATATTAATATTATTATTCCAAAATCTTAACAAGATTCTGCTATCCATGAAGTATTAATTTCACTTCAACATTAACTAGGACACCAATCGAAATGTCAAATGCATTCACTAACAAAGGTAGTTTCAATTTATACCTAAAACCCAATGCAATAGCAATACCACATCTTTGCAAAAAAAAAAAAAAAAAATCTTTACAATAAGGTATAATTGACATGGTGGACGTAATAGTAAATAGATGGCCATCTTCGAAGAGGTACATTTTCAAACATAATTCAACAAACTTACCAGGAACTAAAATGCATCGGATTGTTGCAGGGCTCACAATAAACTTGCAAAATTCTGTGTACTGCCATACAAAATTTCTCTCCATTCTTGCCTATTTCCAACTTCCCTAGATACAAAGGCAAATATAAAAGATACTTCAGCCCATTCCTATATCTCCTACATACAACTTCCTGTCTAGAACGCATCAGTTCATCTGCAGAGGATCTAAATATATACTCTAGGATAAACCAAAAAGCAAGTACCGGTGTCAGCCAAAACTAATACAACATAGAACACTCTCTTGAAAACTATATCAATACCTAGGAAAAGATTTTCAGAGGAGTATTTTATTTTATAGACCAAAAGTATGCTGATTATTATGTCATGATATGTAATTGCTCAACTTTTCAACAGACAGTACTATAACACATGTTCTATAAGTAGCAATTCTACTTCAGGAATGGATGAGAGTTTGTAATCCTGTATCTTTTTAAGGAAAATGATGCTAATAATCTAGTGGGTGTTTTTTCTTAAAAATAATTACCATCTTGTAATTCTTAATAAGCTTAATTTAAGTTAGAAAATAATGTTTATTTCAAGTATCAGATCGTAAAGGGTTAGACCATGGGAAAAAAATGAAAGAAATAGCATAATAATACCTCTTGTAAATTAGCATATTTATTATTTCTCCAGAGCTTTTTGGCCTTTATTGATAAAGAATGCCACAACAGTCTTGGCCCACAAATACCTGAGAATATTTATTAACTATGTATAAAAACATAACTAACCTGTTTATAATATACATATATTTATATGCCATTAAAATTTAAATATAGATTTTGACTTATTTTACTATAACTTTATCCATTTCAATTTGTATTTAATTTTTTAAAATAACTAATGTAGATATAACTCATGTAATGTGATCCATGAAGTTTTATTATTTTTGAGGTACTTTTATTATTTAGAATTCAATATATCATAAAGATGCACCTAATTCATAACTAAAATGATTAAGAGTGAATATATAAACCTAAGTTCTGTTCAAAGGTAGCTCTCTGAAGACATAAACTGGCTATTCAATTTGGTTTTTACTGAAAAAGCAAAGTACCACAGCTAGATTGGCTTTTTAAATAAAGATCTTTTTATTAAGAAGACTGGAAATAACTTACGTAAAAAGTAAAGATTCCCCCCCTAAAATCCAATACCTCCTCCACTTTTAAAAGAATGTTGCAAAGTAATCAAGTAGATTAAGTTTCAAATCGGATTTACGGTTATCAGTAAGGGGGAAAAATCTTTTGACATTTTCAAAACGTTTCATCTCTTAAGCCTAATTTAGGACTGAATTACAGTGAAATATTTTAAAAGATGATTAAAATTACGTAAAATATTTAATATCACAGTTTCTATAGTATTTCTCTCACTACAAAACTCTTCCTAAATAAGAGTGATCATAGCAGAAATTGACTTCACTGTACATTAATCAATTCAATTCCACACCCAAAACAATTTTGCATCCAAGATAATTTTCAGTGACACAAAAAAACTCACAGTAAGTTCTAAGAGTTAATTTCCTTCACAGTTCAACATTAGAAAGGGCTAAACCATATGCTACAATAGACCTCATGTGATATTTCCAACATGTGGGTTATCTTAGAGTTGGTCTATGATGATTTTCTCTTCCCTTGAGAATAAGTCACATTTTCCTGACCATTTTTAGAATAAGTACTTTTGGATTATATGCTAAATAGTGTGACTATTACTCTGTACAATACTGTAGAGAAACTTTCTGGCCAGAAAGTTTCCTATAAAAGCAAAAAATGGGGATATCAGTCCATGCAGACTGACTGTTCCATATTTTGACTACCCTCGCCTGCTTTTATTCAATCTTCACAATCCTCAGATAGATGTTATCTATATTATGTGCAGAGTTTACAAATGGTTATTTTTGAGAAGATCAGTTTGTTAGGAGCTCACCCCTCTATACAAGTATCAGAAATCCTCTGAAGTGATTTTTAATTTGAGGTTGTGTTATACTTTTTCTCTTATCAGTTAGAACTTCTTTATGATATAGCAAATTATAAAAACTATTATACTATCATATTCATAAATGAAGGAGAGAACTCAAAGCTAAATTTTCAAATATCTGGCCATGAAGACTAACTGCTTGCCACACGGGATTAACAGAACAATGAGAAAATGTCTAGTAATAATTATAAAATATAAAAACTTTGTTAAAATCTGATTTGCAAGCTTATGTCAAAGGGCCACCTCATACACAATCTTGAAGACATTAAATAACCCCAAATAGCCACTGTAAACTTATCTGGCAGTAAATTTTACTATACTAGACAAATCTACAGTGAGATTTTCTGTTATTTTAAATATTTTCTGTATTTCTGTATTTTCCAAAATGAACGGTTTATTTAGTTAATAAGTGATACCCTAACTTATTTACTGTTTCCAGAAAATAACCAAGTACAGAATATATACTGATAAGCTGCAATGCTCAAAACCAAATATCAACAGAAAAAAATTTACCTAGCACTACAGTGACCAACAAGTCAAAATCATTTGACAGGCTCCATTGAATATATAGTTTGATGGCATTATTTGAAGGTAGAATTAACTTATTTTATTAATTTTGAAGCCCATATGTTGACATGCTATCTACACTAAGCTCAGAATCATAAATATTGTCTGACCATTACACTGAAAGTTCCATATAACTGAAGGCAATAAATATAAATACTAAGTTATTATACAACACTAAGTAACTTAAACTCCATTTTGTGATTTATCCAAATGTCCATTAGTTAATTATATTCTCTACACCTTAAAAGTTCCGCTGTAGCCCTCTACCCCGCTTCACTCACAGAGAGTGACTTTAGCAAGATAATTTTGACTATGTGTGAACTACTCAGCTTTTCTTCTGTCAAAACACAATCTGATCATTTGCATTCCTCCTTCTCTATGTTCTCTGAATTTCTAAAAAAAAAAAAAGGTTTTTAATATAAAAAATTTTTGCTGATGCCTGTCATGGTGCAATTGTACTTATACTATTTACAAATTGAGGAAATGCATGTACCTGTGGCTTTATCAACCCCCACTAACAACAAGGGGTGCAGTAAGCTGAGAACTTTCAAAACTTAAAAAAATACTCTCTTATGTAATGCCCAAATTTACAGGTATATCTCTTAAAAGTTCTGACTTTAGGTACTCTACACTGTGTGTTAGGATATTAAGGATACACTACGTCACATGAGCTGTGCACGTATGATGACCGGGTTACTGCTCATTATCACTGTTGTTAAAAAGAATGACGAGAAAGACGTGTGAAAAGAATACTACAAACTACAGAGATTGCAAAGCTGTTCAGGACAAAGTTTGCTTCTCTGTGAATAGAAGAATTACAAAATTGCTTATATTCAGCCCTTTTCCTTGATGTTGCCAGGAAGCTCCCATCAATTCTGAAATTTCACATTAGCAATCATATTGGATTTGTATTTTCTTGATACTCTACCTTTTTATATTTCATTTGTTTGCTTGTCACTCTATTTAATATCATTCTATTAGAGCTTAAAAAGATACTGCAAGCATTTTATGAAACAACTCAAAGAAGTAGAAAAGAAAAGCAGGCAGCATATTAATAAAAAATGTGAATTACAAAAATGTTCCTATGCAAGATCAGCAATGGCAGAACCAGGATGCAAATTCGACAAAAAGACCCATGAAAGAAAAAGTAGCTGGACAAGCACAAATTCATTTCTAGAGCTAGTAGGACAAAAACAAAAATGATATGGAAAATATATGATAGCAAGTATTGTTACCTTGACATAAAAATAATAGCATTATTATCCTTCAATATTATCATGGTTATTAAAGTCACTGAGAAAAAAAGATCTTTTAATATGGGTAAATTCAAACTTTCCTCCCTCGCTCTATATATATATATATCCGTGTGTGTGTGTGTGTGTGTGTGTGTATATATATGTATATATATATATGACAAAAATAAAAACAGAAATACCAATGCAAAAATACAGAGGCCAAAGAGGGAATTTTTTTATGTTTTTCCTTTCCATTACACAATCTTCACATTAATTAAATTGAGTTCAATAAAAAAACCACACTTCCGTACAAGACAAGTACTCCTTCAGAATTATAAACACTTTGACTATAATGTGTAATTCTCTTTCAGCTCTAAGTAGTTTGAGACTTCACAATTCCCAGTGTGATTTAAACAGAACCCTTATATGTTCCCCTAGCCAGGTGTACCGCACATTTAAAACTAACTCATATACGTGCATGCTGTATCTTACCTAGTCTTTGTTCTTAAAGTTTAAAAAACAGAAAGAATGATAAATTACATTAATTAGTTTTGCTAAATTAGTTTACTCACTACTGTACCTACTTCCTCACTGCAATTAAAGCAAAAATATAAACTAAAATTAAATAATTTCAGGCCCATGAAATATATTATCTTAGATTCCTTCTAAATCTTTAACTCTTCTTTCCAAGTTACCAGTAATATTAACAAGTTCTTTATTATGTTCATTATGTAATATATATTTCAAATTTTTGTATTTTAAATACTACATTAAGCAAAACAGTTTTATAAGATTATTTCAGAATTGTTAAAAGGCATGCTATCAATATTAGAAAATATTCTGAAGAATAAAAAAGTTTATAAAGAGAAAAGAGTTGAGAAAAAAGCACCTTTGAACCGAAAAGAAACATATAATAAAAACTGACTACATTCCAAAAAATAGAAATGACTCTTAAACTGTATTAAAGAAAGATTTTCACTAAAAGTTATATTACATCACATTTTACATCTAAAACGCTCTCTAGAATTTATAAAATTACAGTTATTACTACCTTATATCTAGGTCCTAACTGATGAATTGCAAATATCTGTGCTGGGTTGAGTGCTTCACTGAACGGCAACAAGTTGAGCACAGAATACGCTATTTGCATCAGCAGTTTCTGATGAACCACGAAAGCACTTGTCATAGCTCTATTTTTAAAAGTCATTAAAAATGCATTATTTTTAATGATGAAAAGGTTTAAATCCTTAAATCGGCCTTTAGGAATATTTTAAAATATAACAATAATAATAGAAGAAAGCATCAATTAAGACTTTATTATTTAAATAATAAATGCCAGTCAAGTTTTTTGGGAAAAATGACCAATTACATGTTTTACACTTACATTTAAGCAAACAAAACAATAGCCACCTACTCAGTCTTCCGACTTACTTTTCAAATATTATAGTTAAAGGCAAAATAGCTTATATTTATTTATTTACAAACGTTAAAATAATTTAAAACTGTCATGATGTATAATGATCCATATATAGAGATTGATCTGAATCAAGGGAATGACTATTCCAAAATGTAATCATGAAAACATAGGGTCTAATTTTTTAAATTCAACTTTATTTTTGAAATTATGAATCTATTCCTCTACTCCTCCATATTTAGTAAAACACACAAAGAAAATAAATCCCCGCTCGTGTGTGAGTAGGAACTACACAGAACGAAACACACAATAAGACTATAATCTGCTGCTTAAAGCAGATGGTACAGTGCTCTCCACATTGAGGAATTCAGCACTGAAGAAGCCAAAAGCTTAAGATCTTTCCAGCCTCTACATCTTACACCCCACCCACCCAAACCAGGGAAAGCAGTCATGGCTCAGTTCCCTTCCCCTATCCTCAAAGGCTATTTCACACCTTAGAATGAATAAGCAAGAATCATATATGTAAGAAGTACTTTTGGTCCTTCAATAAAGTAACAAAAAGAATTGTGAATGCATACAAAGGCAAAAAGAACTGTCATCATTAAATACCCAATCTTTAATTAGAAGTATAGGAACTTAAACTTTAACGGCATAAAGTATGTGTCATTATCTAGAATTCTCCACTTCTTAGGGCACTATTACAAATAACCAAAAACGAAGTCTTTTCTTTCCAAGATACTGTCTTCTCATTGAATGAGTCAAGACGACCACTGGGATTTCTTCCACTCTATAATAAAAAGACTCTGCAGAGATCTCCTCTGGAGAGAAGATAAAAAGCAGAATTTCATCTGTCTATTCTAATTCTGAAAACAACATTCTATTAAATATTAATTGGTTGTGGCACAACCATGAGTTTCTACGGCAGGGAAAAGCAACTTTTTCTATAAAGGGACAGACAGAAAATATTTTAAACTTTGCTTGCCACACCTGGTTTCTGTCCCATTCTTCTTTGATTTTGTTTGTGTCTCAAGAAACAAACAAACAAAAAACCTTTAAAAATTAAAAGCCAAGATTCTTAGGCCCCAGCTTACACAAAACCAGAAACAGGGGAAGGTCAGATTTGGCTCATAGGGTGTAGTCTGCCAAGCCCCGATCTAGGGGACAAACTGTGGACCATACACACAGTGCTAGTTAAACGAATACAAGACACGATAAGCAAATCCCTGCCCTTTGGGAAATTAAAGCCTAGAGAGAGATGCAAACAAAACTGAGAAATGAATTGTGTTTAAGAGGTAAGTTCTTATAAAACCAGGTATGCTTGAAGGGTTGTATATTATTGAGCTTGGAAGTACTTTCAGCATTAAAACAAACCTTTTACTTTGACTCTGACAGGCCAGAATGTAGACAATGGAAAGCCCCAAGTAGAGAAACCGTAAGGACCCTTGAGGTTTTAATTCAAGTTGTTCTCTACCTAGAATCCAACTGTGTCACTTCTTCCACTGCTAACATACTGGTAGAAACTCATATAATCTCTTTATTTTATTGCAATAAGCCATTTAAGTGATCTTCCTGCTTCTGTAATTTCCCTTCAAAATATTCTCAATACTGCAGGCAGACTGATGTTTTTAAAATATAAGCACACATCACTTGTCTGCTGAAAACTTTCCAAGGATTTTTAAACTGAGTAAGATGCGAAAGCCCAGGCCTTACGTTTGCTTATGAAGGCCAAAATGATTTCTGCCTAACCTCATCTCTTAATATTATTCTGCCTCTACCTCCCTCTGCTCCAGACAAACTGCCTTTTCCTTGAACTTTCCTATTCCGCCTCAAAGCCTTTGCACTCACTGTTCCCACTGAATAGAAGAAGTTCCCCACATACCTCGCTTGCTCAACTCTTCCTACTAAAATCATCTCTGGACCATCCGGCTCCTCCCTTCCCTACAACTACACTTTCTGTATCCCCAATTTATTTTCTCCATAGCATTTATCACGATGTAATTAATAATAGTGACTATATGTTATCCTTCTGTTTAGGGTCTTCTTTCTGTATCTAAATAAGGGGTAAACCACATTTTTTAGTGCTTGATGCTGGAATAAATAGAATACAGGATTCACGGTTTTTTTAATCTAAAAAACTTAAAACTTTGGCCAAATGTTCCTGTTTTTGTATCACTAATCATGTCTTTTAACAATTTTCTTATACTAAATTTAACAATGAAAGATTCGTTTAATAAAAAAAAAACTTTCAAAGTTTTAAGTTTCTACCAAACTATTTTATTATTCAATTCATATTGTAATGATAGATCATACTCTCAAATTAAACCACAGACAGAAAAATAGACTTACATCATTTGTGTTAACATGCCAAGCCATATCACCATAAGATACCAGTTGTCCATTAACGTAACACTGAATTTCATTGTTCCTCCATCGATTGTAAATGTGGACAATGCTGATCATGTACCACTTACATAAAAAAATTAAATATATCAATATGTAATGTTTGGTTATTATGGTCTAAAATGCAATTATAACATTCATAAAACCCTAGAAGAATATGCTGACAGAACTATTAATGATCATCTAATACCACTTCCTCAAGCTCCCCCTCCCATCCCTCATTTCACAGATGGTAGAAGCGGCACATAAAGAATATTCATGGAGAAGACAAGAACTACAGCCCCTTGACCTCCAGAGTGATATTCTTTCCACTATACCAAGATTCAAAATTGTGGAAATACAATTTATTTATGTTCATTCATTTAAAATTTACATTGTGTCAGGCACTGCAGATACCCAAGGCTGACTAGTTCTCCTAGAAATTATGAGCTATAAAAGAAATACATATGACACAATTAAACAAGTGTAGAATTATAAATCATGGTGATTACAGTGAGGAGAAAGAAAACAAAAACAGGAGAAGAAACAAGAATACAAACATGAAATAGAAGCAGTAGCAAAAGAAAATGAAGAGGAACAAGAAAATGAGAAGAAAACACACAGCGGAAGAAAGGAAAAAGAACAGGTATGGGAATTAGAAGGCCTATAATACCTTTTATCCCCTTCTCGATTCATAAAATTTGAGTAACTCAAAGACTATCACAACAAAAAACAAGCAAAAGGATACACAAATAGTCATCCCCTAAATTTTGTTAAGAATGAGACAATGCTGCCACTCACGCCTAGCTCAGGCACCAGCAGGAGGGCACCCTCCAGAGATTGCAGGAGAAGGGGGAGAACTCTTCTTTGCCCTAGGTATATCACCACCACTGCCACCGAAGCCTGTGTTACAGCACCCACAGGTTCCTCCCCACCCCAGAGTGGGATGGGCCCTGCAGTGCTCCTATTCCCCCTTCCCGGCCCCCAGACTTCCTACTGCTACCACCACTAGCGCCAATGCCAATACAACCACTGTCGCCCTCAATGTACCAGCCCACCCTACCAGCTCCTACCACCTGGCCCCCGTGGGTGCCCTCCTCCCGCTCCGGTCGATCTGTGGTCTCCATCGCCACCACCAACCGCATGAGGCAAGCTGCAGAACCACGTCATCTGCAGGCTCGACCCTACCACAGGCGACTCCTCGCCTTCTCCTCCTTCAGCCTGGCTTGGAGTAGCTGGGCAGGCAAAGCCAGAAAAGCCCAAATCAGGATTCAGACAGTGGAACCGTTAGAGCCTCACCTTGTCACGCTGGTGACTGGGTGGCAGGCATCAGTTTCATTGAAGGCACTCACATCCACCTTCCAAAGTCCAGCCTCTCCTTCTGGCAAAAGCTGGCCAGGAACTGGGGTCTGGGGTGGGAGTGAATGCCTTCACTGAAACTGGCCCCTGGCCAACTCCAGCTGACCAGGAATTGCTGGGCCCACCAGGGCTGCCCTCCTCAGGGAGCCCGAGTAGGAGAAACTCAGAACCAGCCAGCCCTCCCCACCCAAGGGCTGGTTCCCATTCCTGACGCCTCCACCCACAGTGCCCTGTCCCCTGCTTCCCCCGTGGGTGCCTATTACTCCCTGCCCGGTAGTCCCAGGTGGTCTCCGCAACACAGAGCATGAGGGCGTGCCGGGAAACCACAGTGGGTGTGGGAGCCCTGCCGTGCAATCTAGCACGAGCAGGAGAAGATCGCCTTCTAGAGTCTGGAGTCCGGGAATAGAAGAACGATCCCTTACCTGGAGACCACCAGAAGGAAAGAGGCGGCCACTACTGTCGCTGCCGCTGCCGCCACCTCAGCTCGCCAACACCGCTGGCAGTGTAGCCCCCACAGCACCCCTAATCTGACCCCTGCCACTAGCAGTGTAGCCCCCGGATAGCACATCCAACACACCCTAGTTTCAGGCAATGTAACCCCAATACCTCCCCCAAAGCACTCCCCCCACACTGCAGGGAGTGTACCACCCAACAGTGCCCCAAATCTGACCCAGCCACGGGAGTTGCTGCACGAGATACCATCCCAAACCCACCTCCTCCCACCCCGCCACGGACAGTTCAGCTCTTGATGGCGCACCACCCTGAGTCAGCACCCAACAACGCCCCAGGCAGTGCAGCATCCAACAACGTCCCTAAACCACCCCCCACTGCCAGCATTGTAGCCCTGGATAACTCCACCCAACCCACCCCCTGCCGCTGGCAGTGCAGCAGAAGATAGCGCCCCTAATCCTTCCCCAGCCACCGGCAGTATACGCTAGTGTACACAATCTGCTTTCCCCGACCACCCCTGCCACCGCAGGCAGTATAGCCCCAGATAGCCAGCCAACCTGCCCCACCACCAGCAATGCCACCCCGGAGAGTGCCCCCAACCAGACCACTGCCACAGGCAGGGTAGCCTCTAGCAGTGAGCCCCAGTAGGACACCCAACCCTTGCCCCCAGAGGCGTGCATGGCAGCCCCGGGAAACTCACCTACCCCATCACATTTCTACCACTGTGGCCGAGCTGCAGTCTCCGACGTCACCACCAACCACAGCGAGGCGAACCAACCAGAGCCAGGCCAGCCACGGTGGCACAGGCTCCAGCCTCCAGCATGTGGCAGTGCCTCTTCCTTCTCCTAGTCCTCCAGCCCAGCAGGAGAAGCTCCCGCTGCCGGGCGCTCTCCTACTGCTCTGTCGCCACCACCAACCACAGCGAAACAGTGTCCCACGCTCCAGGGCTCCAGACTCCATCCATCCTCCAGCTTCAAGCAGGAGAAAGGTTGCGGCCTCTTCCAGTTCTCTAAGCCGGTCACGGGGTAGCTCTTCCTCTAGACACAGAAGAGCTTGAAATGACCTGATACGACCTCAGCATGCTTTATATACCGAGGTTATGCAAATGCGTTTCCTGGACTACATGTTCTGATTGGATGAGAGAAAAAACCTCTAGGCCTACTCTGATTGGACTTTGTTTTCATGCTGTGATTGGTTGTGTTAAGACTTGCTCTCAACCAATCAGAACATGATAATAAAGTCCAATCAGAGTAAGCCTGGAGGTTTCTTCTCATCGAATCAAAACATGCAGTCCAGGAACCTCCGTGGGCATAACCACAGTATATAAATGATGCTGAAGACAGGTCAGGTTTATTCAGGTTCCTGTATTTTCCTGTCGAGTTGCTAGCTGCCCGTCGTAGAGGACTAAAAAAAATTAATGAAAATTGCTAAATCAATGACGCTTTCAGAAGTTCCCTGTTTTTGACATCAGAGTCATATTATAATGCTATATTTTCTGTTTCCTCACCTAAATAGAATTTTGCTTGAGGTAATTTTTTATCTGAACTTCTGTTTGTAGAAACCAGGGACATTTATTGAATTGTTTCTGGCTGGCTATTTGATCTTAACAAAGCATTTAAATGATACTGATGCCCTGGCTTGAGCAACGGAGCATCCCAGACTTTCAGTTAGTTGCACATAGCACACATACAACTCATTTGAGTTACAGCTAAATGCAATTACAGGCCTCAGAGCTAATATATAGATCACTTCTTATTTAAGGCAATTCACCTTTGAATTGGCTAACCTTTAATTGTTTATAAAATAATAAGATGGGAAACAAAGTTGCTACCCAATATGTTAGTTTCCCCAAATAAACACTTATTTAAAGGTTCATTTGTTAATCAAGTATCTGGAAGTTGAAATACATTTTTATGAAAGGAAATAAATTTTAGGTGATGATTAGGTTTTTATCAAGAGCTGAAGTTTTTAATAACGAACAGGGAGAGATACTATGGCAAAACAGTAATTGAATAAAACATAAATTCAATAAAATGATATGAAAAATCAATGACATTTATCCTGAGTCAAATATAAAGAGAATTAAATTGAGGATGATAAAATGTTTCTAATCATTGTTCCACCAGTATTTGACCTTGAGCAAACTGCCTGGGGGCCATATTTGGTAGACAGATGAGGATGTACACTTTCTTTTAAATACTTGAGAATTAGCTTAAGTGCTATCATTTGATAACTTGCTCGGTATTTCATAAATGCCAGGAAATTAACTCAAATCCTTTGATGAGCTGCATTTTCTGTATTCAATTTGTGTAAGTTCAACAAATATTTATTGAGGGTCTTCCATATGCTGGGTATGTGTCTTCGCAAAATAAAGTACATTATGTAAGATGTGATGCTCAATAGTATATCATCAGTGAATTGCAAATTAAAATCTAAATGAGATATCACTATATATCCACTGGATTGTCTAATATTTTAAAGTTGTCAGTATTAAATATTGGGAAAAATGTGGAGCAGCTGGAACACTCATACATTGCCAGTGGGAGATTAAAATGGTGCAGCACTTTGTAAAGCTAAACATATATTTACTATACTACCCAATAATACCACTAAGTATTTACCAAGAGAAAACAATTGTCTACACAAAGACTTGTACATGAATGTTCACCGTAGCTTTATTCATCATAGCTAAAAACTGGAAACAACTCAAAAACAGAAAAGTAAATTGATGAGCAAATTGTGGTATATCAATTTAATGGGATACCATCCAACAATGAAATAAATAATGAACGATAACACTGATTGACATCAATAATCTCAAAATCATTATCCTATGTTAATGAAGCCAGACACAAATAAGTATTTTGTATATTATTTTATTTGCATAAAAATTTATAACAGGAAAATCTAATCTATAATGGCAAAAAGTAGATTCATGGTTGTCTGAGCTAAGGGGTAGAGGAAGATTGATGGACTGCAAAATGCAAAAGGGAACTCCTTGAGGGTGATGGAAATAGTCTATATCCTGATTAGCAAGGTGGTTACATGCATGTATACCTTTCTCAAAACTCATAGAACATACACTTAAAATGTGCAGTGCTGGCTGGGTGCAGTGATATGGCTCATACCAATAATGAACAGGGAGAGATACTATGGCAAAACAGTAATTGAATAAAACATAAATTCAATAAAATGATATGAAAAATCAATGGTTGACATTTATCCTGAGTCAAATATAAAGAGAATTAAATTGAGGATGATAAAATGTTTCTAATTATTGTTCCACCAGTATGTGACCTTGAGCAAACTGCCTGGGGGCCATATTTGGTAGACAGATGAGGATGTACACAGTGGTATGGCTCATACCACTGCACCCAGCCAGCACTGCACAATAAATGTCAAACATTGATTTTTCATATCATTTTATTGAATTTATGTTTTATTCAATTACTGTTTTGCCATAGTATCTCTCCCTGTTCGTTATTAAAAACTTCAGCTCTTGATAAAAACCTAATCATCACCTAAAATTTATTTCCTTTCATAAAAATGTATTTCAACTTCCAGATACTTGATTAACAAATGAACCTTTAAATAAGTGTTTATTTGGGGAAACTAACATATTGGGTAGCAACTTTGTTTCCCATCTTATTATTTTATGAACAATTAAAGGTTAACCAATTCAAAGGTGAATTGCCTTAAATAAGAAGTGATCTATATATTAGCTCTGAGGCCTGTAATTGCATTTAGCTGTAACTCAAATGAGTTGTATGTGTGCTGTGTGCAACTAACTGAAAGTCTGGGATGCTCCGTTGCTCAAGCCAGGGCATCAGTATCATTTAAATGCTTTGTTACGATCAAATAGCCAGCCAGAAACAATTCAATAAATGTCCCTGGTTTCTACAAACAGAAGTTCAGATAAAAAATTGCCTGAAGCAAAATTCTGTTTAGGTGAGGAAACAGGAAATAGAGCATTATAATATGACTCTGATGTCAAAAACAGGGAACTTCTGAAAGCGTCATTGATTTAGCAATTTTCATTAATTCTTTTAACCAAAAAAACTGCTCTTTTGTAGTACTTTTTAAAAGAGAAAAAAAGGGAAAAATGCCTTACTTAGCCCTTGGCACACATTTTATTATTCATTTCTAACATGGCATGTCACATTGACAACTCGTTTTAAGTTTGAATTTTTCTTACTAAGTAATCATTTTGTATATGCTATTTTTTCATTGAATTACAGTGTATGAGAAGCAGTCTCTCAAATCACCACATAGAATATGTGACAATCAGTTTAGTTTGTAGTCAATGTTCATTATTCCTCTATGTTTCTTTATTTTGGTAGTTTAGTCATAGTTCTTAACAACTGCCTTGAAATTTAGAGATAAAAGTAATGTCTAATTTTAGTATCTTTAGTCACAAAAATAGCTGTGGAACAAACTATAGACTAGGAAGACAGAAGGATGAGTCTTCAGATATCCTATTTCATATTAGTTGAAGAAGATTTCTTAAAACATTCCTGTTTCTCCCTACATTTATTCAGGAATTGGTTGAGGGAAAAGGAGAGTAGAGAGAAATTCAACAGATACTTAATTTCTGGTTGGTGCTTTGCCTATATATTACCGTGCTGTTGCATTACTGACACTTATCACAGTGTGGGTTGCTAGTTATTAAATGTAATGGAATAACCTGATTTATTGTTTATAACACGCATAATTTAGAAATGTTGAAGATAAAGCTCTTCAGTTTAAATTGATAAATTATCCAAGATTATATATTAATATGTGCTTGATTAAGTCGGTGAACTCAGATTTGGGCAATTCTGAGGTTCATGCTCTGTCCAATACCATAGTAAAAATTTACAAAATATTTCATGAAAGGAGACATGTGACAATTGGGAAAGCCACAAGAATTTATGAGTTAATACTTATGAAGACCTCTGAAAATCCATAAGTATAATAGATTTTTATTTAGTATGTGCTTTTCAGAAGAAATAATTTTCAGGTATTTGCTTAGTTTTTGAATAGTTAAAATTAGGCTCTTAAAATTTATTTGGAACCTGGACAACATAGTGAGATTTTGTCCTTACTTAAAAAAAAAAATTATCTGGGTGTGGTGGTGTGTATCTGTGATCTCAGCTGCCTGGGAGGCTGAGATGGGAGGAGAGTTTGAGCCCAGGAGGTCAATGCTGCAGTGAGCTGTGTTTGCACTACTGCTTACCACCTCTGATGACACAGACCTTGTCTCAATTTTTTTTTTTAAATTTGGCTTAAGTCAGTCACCTTTTATATTTAATTATAATGCAAAGTCAGTGATGTTTTGATATTTTAGATTACATATCATGGAAGATTAAAATCATCACATTATTTTGAATTTTTTTCTACTAGTTGGTGAAAAAGATATTTTTTTATGCATGCTCTAAATCTAAAATATGTATAATCAAGTCATAATCCTTAATTTACAGAAACTTGAGTATTTTATTTGGGGTATATACTATTATTTTAATATCTAGAATGGGAAACTCATTGTGGCAGAAACTCAAACAAGAGCTTCCTCTAAATTTGATCTTCCTCTTTCTCTGAACGTGTTACTATGCTTTCTAAGCATTATGAGGTTCCAGAGAAGAGATTTTCACTTTAGTTTGTATCAAATTCATGAGTGAATAAATTCTACAGTGTGCTTAAAACACTCTGAGAAGTAGGATAGGGAAAAACTCTATAATCCTCTTATGGGTTTTTTTTAATGTGTTAATAAAATAATAATATGCCATCTACTTAAAATCCTTTTTGCAACAAGGTGCAGGGATAAATAAATAGTCCAAGTAACATGATATTTTCAATTTTAGGCAAAAGCTCTGACAAGACTTTGATCCTTCTTCAAGGCCTGGTAGGTCTGAAATAATCTTATCCGCACATGAAAAACATTCAAAGCATTTAAAGGACCTGGCTATAATTGCACAGTTCATGGTGGCAACTCATAGAATAAAGTTCAACTAATTCATTCCTTAGTCACATGTCATCCATTAGTTTAGCAATCTTGGATTCCTTAAGATTAAAGTATAATGAATAGTCTCTCTTCATTTGACTAACAAAGGGGACTAATGCCTTCCGCAAAACAGAACTTTTTCTTTCCCTTTCATGATACTGTATTTATGTGTTCTCATAACAAATCTTTCCTCTTTCAGTCGCTCAGAACAGATAAAGATAAATGAAGAATAATCTATCGATATTAGCATAATTCTGTGAAGAACTATAGCAATGTCTTGTTTACAAAAGCCAATTATACAAATGTTATGCATAATGCACTCAGGAATTCATTTAAACCAGGGGTTTTGAGTTACATGTTATAAGTACTAGACAACAGCTGTTTCCCTGGTGTATGATGGAGCCAACACCAGTCAGAGGTATATTATTACATCTGATTATCAGTCAGGATAAGGTAGGCAATTCTCTGGTAACAAACCATCCTCAAATCTCAGTGCTTATATAGGCACTATTTCTTGCTCCACTAGATGGTTCATACTTGCTCACACTACCCATCATGGGTCGTTAGGAGATCTCTGCTTATGGTCACTCAGGAATTCATCTGACAAAGGAGCCACCACCTTGAATATCATGGGTCACTGTGCTGGAAGCAAAAGAGAGAAATGTGGTGGGTTTACCATCAACATTTAAGTACTCTGACCCAGAAGTGGATTGTCACTTCTACTCATCACTTACGGGTGACAAGTGCTAGAACTGGTCACCTAACCCCACCACAAGGGGACCAGCATGTACAATCTTACCATATGGATGTAAGGAGACAGAACAGGAAATATCTGTGAAACAGTGGTATTGTCAAAACCAATGTGTAAGATTAACTTCTGCTTAAACAAGTATATGTATTATTGCAGCAGTGCTGGTCAAAAATAACTGCTGGATGGAGTAGTAGGTTACAGAAATTATGTAGACTGGGTACAACTTGCTGCAAGTAAGAGATGAGCTGCATAGTGCTAAATAAAGATGGCATACTTTCTGGAACATATGAGAAATTTGTCCTTTTAAGTATAAAGGAATGAGGTCAAGACAATAATCATTTTCACTGAAGCAGTTAGTTACATGGAGCTGACGAGTTGTTATGGATACTTTTCAGACACTCTGGGACAGAATTTTACGGTGGAAGTATGCACTGTAATGATTCAGGACTTGACTGGCGATATTTTGGGTATCTTAACCTCCTCCTTAAATAGGCTACCAAAAATTTGAAACCAAAAGGGCTGAGAATCACTGCTTTAAAAAGTGAGTTATGATTGGAGGGAATAGGGTCCATCCTCTAATAAACAGTAAAGAAATCAGAAGTCCTGGCTGGATGCAGCGGCTCACACCTATAATCCCAGCACTTTGTAAGGCCCAGGTGGATGGATGGCTTGAGCCCAGGAGTTCGAGACTAGATTCGGCAACCTGGCAAAACCCTGTCTCTACACAAAATACAAAAATTAACCAGGTTGGGTGGCGCACCTGTGGTCCCAGCTACTTGGAGGCCGAAATGAGAGGATCACTTGAGCTCCAGAGGTCAAGGCTGCAGTGAGCCAAGATGGCGCCAGTGCACTCCAGCATGGGCTGCAGAAAGAGACGCTGTCTCAAAATAAATAAATAAATAAATAAAATAAATAAATAAGTCCTGTTGTCAAGAAGTCAGTAGACAATTTTTCCTAACACAATGATCTTAAGGACTTTATTTTTCCCATTTTTATTTCATTTTATTTACACCAAATTTCTTACTGGGTTTTCAATGCAGCTTAATGCAATATGCAATGATTTTATGTTTTTATCCACTGAGATTTGTGGATGGTTTGTTACCAGAGTATTGCCTACCCTATCTCAAAAAAATAAATAAATAGCTATATAAGAGTTTATATAAGCAATTTACTTATTGCTTATATAAGAACACTTATAAAAGCATTGAGGCTGGAGTGCAGTGGCATGACCATGGCTCACTGCAGCCTCGACCTCTCAGGCTCAAGCGACCCTCCCACCTCAGCCTCCTGTGTAGCTGGGACTACAGCTTAACATGCCAAGCTAATTTTTAAATTTTCTGTAGCGACAGGTTTCACTATGTTATCAGGGCTGGTCTCAAATCCCTGGGGTCAAGTGATCCTCCTGTCTTGGCCTCCCAAAGTACTGGGATTACAGGCATGAACCACCGCACCTGGTTTGATCTTAAACACAACTTTTCTTGAAAAAAAGTTACCATGACAAGTGCTAATTTTTTTCTCCTACTATTTGTTTTGAAAAATTTTAAACTTACAGGTTAAAATAATAGTACAATAAATATCTATATATCTTTTTACTTAGAGTCACCATTTGTTTACATTTTTCCATATTTTCCTCTATTTTAATCTGTCTACAAACGTATACATAAACATACTAAATGTATATGTATACACGTATGTGTGTATATACATTCATATACTCACACATACACATCAATATTACTTTTCTTTTGTGAGGCTATTAGAGAATAAATTTAGACACAGCATTTTTGTCCTAAATACTTCAGTATGTATCTTATAAGTACATGGATATTCTTCCACATAAGCGTGACATAATTATCACACTCAAAATTTAACAACAATAAAATTAAATATGTAATGTACAGCTCATTTAAAAATTGTCCTTGTGGTCCAAGTAATAACCTTCATAGCCACCTGCCCTTCCCCCATCCTTAATCCAATCATGAATGAAGCCTTCTGTTTAGTTACAGCAGAGACTGCTGTGGGAACCTAGATCTGCTTCTTTCATAGGGAATAACCTCAGGCAGCCAGGACCTGCTCTGCCTGTGGGGCTCACAGATTGCATGAAGTGCAAGGATGAGCTGAAAGTGTGGCTCTGAAGCAGCAACTGATGGGACAACTCTGAGGTCATCTACTTACCCTCAAGGGACTGAGGCAGCTCTCTCTGTGAGATTGCTGATATGCAACTGGGCTTGGCCTCTTTATTCTTCTTGGACTGACTTGACTTCTCACTTTCCTGTTTCTCCTGGGAACACTCGTAAGGAATGGCTCAGTGAATTTCCTTCTCAAGGTCGGCTTTGGGGATATATATTTACATATATGTATACATGTAACAAAACAAAGACCATTCCTTTTACAGATTATTCTCAATTTGGATTTTTCTGATTGTTTCATCATGATTAGATTTAGACAAAATATTGTTGACAAGAATACTACATACTACATAAGTGATGTGTCTTCCTAATACAGGTTTTTGAAATTTTAAATTCTGATAACTGCTTTTCTTCCAAGAAATGCCATTATCTTTTGGCCAGCACTCAAATGAAATACAGACATTCTTTTAAAATCGAATGTATTCTATTTTATTATGTTTTGCATTTCCCCTCTTGAGTTTCTCCTAGTTTACTAACCTCTCTACAGAGTAATAAAATTATATTATATTTTTATTCATAAGAAAAAGAAAAAAAACCTCATGCAACTGAAATTGCCTTAAATTATTCATCTCTCACACTATTCTTACTTTGATGTTTAATATTATTATTTTATCTGCTTAATCCCATAACATATATTCTGACATAAATCTGCAAATTGTTGAAAACAATTTACTTAACATTTCAACTACTTAAAATTTTATTTTATTTCAGACACCTAGAAAAATAGTTCTAAATTCTACAAAACCAAAAAAAAAAAAAAAAAAAGGGGGGATTTTTCTTGGACTCTGTTCGAAGTTTCAAGCCTACCATCAGATCTGTCCCAGACATAACTTCTCAGAAAGCTCTAATGGGATTTTGCCCTGTATAGTTTCACTGAAACAAAAAAGTGACAGCTGCTTCCCCTTCCTTCCCTTCCTCTTCCCTCCCCCCACCCTCCTCCTCCTTCTCCTCTCTTCCTTCTTCTTCTTCCTTCTTGCACATGTCTGATCTCTTTTTCCTGGCCTCTAATTTAGCAGCCAGTGATTGGGTGACGAATGACTAATCTGAGGGTCAGAGCTTCTTTCCTGAAGCTTCCTGAAAAAAATCCCCCAGTAATTATAGGTTGCAAAAAACCTCTTCTACTTATTTAGCCATTTGCTCTTTTAGGTTCTCTTCATTTATTTCAAATTAAATGATACTTTCTTTTCTCCCAAAATTCAAACTGGAGTTTCTTTGACTTCCTTCAGGTGCTGCTACATTAATTCAATGCATGTTGCATTTTTAATGAATAATTTTAGGTAGTGAATTTCAAGTTCTGTATCAATTTCATTAATTCTACTTAAGTTGGGTTCCCACCATAATGAACTTTTAAACATGTGTATTATTGTTTGGCCAAAAGCACCAAATGGGTGTTCAGCTTACATTCTAATGACTTCCCTTCCTTCCTTCCTCGCTCCCTCTCTCCCTCTTTTCCTTCCTTCTTTCCTTCCTTCCTCCTTTCCAGCATCAGCTTTAGCAAGGAGCCCTAGCAGAAGACACCAGAAGGTTTCCAGCTGACTTGTCTCTTTTGTTCCTAAACCACTACTAACAGCAATATTAGTCATCACTTCCCCCACTGCCCACTGTGCTATTTAAATCTCCCTCTTTGGGTATATTTTTTCCTAAGTTTCCTTTTTCACTCCGTAGTCAGGGATGTGGGGGAAACACTCCAGGCAACACCTCCCACACACGGCCACATAAATATTTATTAGCTTTTTATTTGTATCAATCTGTTCTGTACAACCTGTACAGCTTTTCATTGCTGACATCCTTTTTATTATTTCAAATAATAGTTTAGTATGAGAGTTAAAAGAAACATATCTTTGTTCTTGTTCTGAATCATAGAAAATTTAAACCGTCACAGGCCAGTGAGAATGTATGATTCCCTTTTGAAACATTTAAGAGGCATAATTTTGACAGTCTTTGTTTAACAAAGACTTTGCTTTGTTTTGACAGTCTTTGCTCAGTAACTCTTATATGACTGGAAATTTTCTAAAGCTACCTTAGATCAGTTGATAGGCTATGTTTTCTCTTTCAATCTGTATGAATTCAATAAATGTTTTAATGAGAGTTTTCTAAGCACCAGATGCTGTATCAGGTACTAGGGATGACTATGAAATGACTCAGCTCCCAAGAACTTTATAATAGGGCTTAAGCAGTGTCATAACTAATACAATCCTAATAAAAGCATGCTGTGTGTTCAGACCTAAAAGCTTGCTGTGTGTGTGCATTTAGGTAAACAGTTTCATCTCTCTGGACCCTAGCTCCTCTCTGTAAAATGAAGGAGTTGAATTCAATGATATATTCTATTATATAACACCATAAAAACACTTTACCATATGGTGTGCTGGTCCTGGACCTGTTTGCACTCAGATCCATCCTTCTGCTCTGCCTTGTTCTGGGGTGAAGAAGTTGATCCTCGGCAGGGTGACTTTTTCAGGCTCTAGAGAATTTCTGAAAGGACTGAGTCAACGGGCAGCAGGAATATATCAACCATGGAAAATTAGAGAGCAGGGTGAGGAGCGGTTTTTGGGGGAGGGAGCTATCAAGACACTCCCTCCTGTTTTCAGCCTAAGGTGGCCTCTCCAGTGGCTTTATCTTCTCTGTGACTCCAGCCCCCATTGTATCGAGGCCACCAGAGATCCAGTCTCCCAGAGTGGTCCTCTTGGTGCCAGTAATTCCATGTTTTCCTTTTGTCTCTCCAGCCCAAGAATGATAAAGACTTCCTGCTATCGTCAATCTCCCAGGATTATTTTAGAGCCCTCTGTTTAATTCTCAGCCTCTCCACTCTTCATGGACCCACCACTGCTTTCCATTCCTTCTGCTGTGAACATTTGAGATGATTTCTGCTTTCTTGGTTAATCTATGGCTAACCACAGTGTTCACCTCTACTTTATTTTATAATTGAGGAAGGAAAATATGAGCATAGATACATTAAAGGAGCAGACCCAAACTAGCTCCTTGTATCCAAACAAAATGAAAGAAGGTTGTATCCAAACCTTCTTTTGATGCTGGTATCTATTTTTTGGTGCTTAGATACCAGCATCAAAGGAAGGTTTGTTTTATGCTTATTCTCATGGCCCAATAATGAGATGCAGATGAACTGGATAGAAGGGAGTTTATTTATATAACTAGGTACAGAGAGAAGGCTGGGAAATATTGCCAGACCAACTCAAAATTATAAAGTTTTCCAGAGCTTATACACCTTCTAAGCTATATGTCTATGTGTAAGTATGTAAGTGTGCATTCATCTAAAGACATAAGTAATAAACTTTTTTTTTTTTTTTTCTTGAGACGGAGTTTTGCTCTTGTTGCCCAGGCTGGAGTGCAATGGCGCGATCTCGGCTCACTGCAACCTCTGCCTCCTGGGTTCAAGTGATTCTCTTGCCTCAGCCTTCCAAGTAGCTGGGATTACAGGTGTGCACCACCATGCCAGGCTAATTTTGTATTTTTAGTAGAGATGGGGTTTCTCCATGTTGGTCAGGCTGGTCTCAAACTCCCGACCTCAGGTGATCCACCTGCCTCGGCCTTCCAAAGTGTTGGGATTATAGGCGTGAGCCACCCCATCCGGCCAAGTAATCAACTTCTAACCTATAACTAAAATCTGAGTACTGAAGACCTTCCTCTGGAGCCTTAGTAAATTTTCTTAATCTAAATGGGTCCAGGTGCCAGGGTGATTACCCTTATCTTGTCTCC
The DNA here is from genome assembly GCF_000001405.40 of Homo sapiens. Taxonomy (NCBI): domain Eukaryota; kingdom Metazoa; phylum Chordata; class Mammalia; order Primates; family Hominidae; genus Homo; species Homo sapiens. Next base: position 1,847,774 of record NW_021160017.1, read on the forward strand.
TGCTAAATCATGGAGGTTCCTTTAGTCCCCAGTAAAGCTTGTTTGTGGAGGTCTAGGGAGTTCCTTTAGACCCCCAATAAAACTTGTTTAATCCTAAATGGGTCCTGTTAGGAATTCCTTTGTTATCTTGTCATACTTCAAGGCCCAGGGAAGACCTAGGCAAAACTCTTGGTGGGTTTTGTTACATTCCAGCCTTTGTATGAGGACATTGGCCCCATCAGTTTTTAATATTTATCTTAACCACTCAGTCAGTGCTGAAACAGTTGTCATGGAGGCCTGCCTATTCAGCTGTTAGTGAGACCTGGCCTGCCACACTTTCAGTCAACTATTGAAGGACACACAAGATTCTCTTTTTTTATTATTATTATTATTATTATTATTATTATTATTATTATTAAAGCTGCCACGTTGAATCTCTTGAAAGTTAAGGCCCATGTAAATCGAGGTGGGGGAAACCTTTAGTGAACTACATCACTCTGTGTGCTTCCTGGTTCTTAGGACAGATGACTTTATTACAGCCTCTGAATCTATCAAATGTGTCCATTTTTCACCAGGAATGTTAATTAAAAATAAAATTATAGTGATAAATGTATTAGCAACCTAAAGTTTGGTAAGAGAAAGATATGTAAAAAACCTCTTTTTTAAAGACGAGGCTTAGGCATCCTGCTTCTTCTCCAACTCTTTTATCTCCATTTCCTTTAGGTTGGTAAGATACTTTCTTTATTTCTAGCAATTTCACCAGAGAGGTCAACAATCAAACTTACGGTGGTTTTACTTTAAAATGATAGGTAGGCAAACTTGTGGAGATACTCTTTTATTTAATTTATTCATTAAAAAAAGAGGTGGGATGAAAATCCACCCATTCCCACTACCCCTTACTTTGGGTATGGGTGCGAGAGAGGAGAAGTTCATGGTGATTGGGTGACAAGGAAAGTGATAGTACCATTGCTGATACAGGGAGAGTCCCAGAGAGAGAAACTAGCTGGAGGTTAGAGTATTACTTTCCTGTGGTAGGTGGCTTAAAACAGACATTTAGTGGATAAAACAACACACATTTATTTACTCACAGTTCCAGAGGCCAGAGTCTGAAATCAACATCACTGGCTTAAAATCAAGGTGACAGCAGGGCTGTCTCCCCTCTGGAGGTTCCGGGGGAGAATCTGTTCCTGACTTCCGGTGTCTGGTGGCTGACAGCATTCCTTGCCTTGTGACCACATCGCTTCAATCTCTGCTTCTATGGTCACACTGATTTTTTCCTGTTCTTTGATGAAGTTTCCTTCTCAATCCCTCTTATAAAGAGACTTGAAATTGCATTTAGGGCCCACCTGGATAATCCCCAGGAAAATCTCCCTGTCTCAAGATTCTTAGTCACATCTGCATAGTCCCTTTTGCTATGTAAAGTAACATTCACAGGTTCCAGGGCTTAGAATGGGGACATCTTTGGAGGCCTTTATTCAGCCTACTACAGTCAGATAAAGCACACAGAAAAGCTGGTGTGGGTTTTATTTGTATGTTGTCTCTGAGTGTTTTCAAGGTTAAGATCTTTCAAGGACTAAAGAATATTGGTTAATTCCTAACATCCTGGGCTATACAATTAGTGTAGAAATAATACGCCCTTTTGGGGTGGATGAGTCAAAATACTCACACTTTATTAAAACCATTTTAGTGAATTTTACTGTTTGTTCTGTGGATGTTACAGAAAAAGGCATATTCTCTGTATAGTGTAAAGCTTAGTCATGCCTATTAAAGATATTTTGTCATTCCGGAAATTCTGTTTTATCTCCTAGATGTATGTTACAGTTATGTTAAAGTTTTATGTAAAGTTTCCTTTCCTTCCTAACAGTTTTTATTTTATGTATTTCCTCAGTGTATGGATTGTTTGTGATGCTTATGTTTGCACTGTGCATTGTAACTTTTACAGGTGTATAATAATCATTTTATCCATTTCATATTTTTTGCCATGATACATGATGCTGTGTCTGATTCTAATATTTCTACCTGTCTATTCCTCTAACTTTTCTATGTTCCTTTTGACCAGGGAAACTTTTGAATCCCTTTATTTTCAACATTTCTTTGTCAATTTGTTTATACATGTGCTTCTTATAATTAGTAAATTTAGATTTTTACCTTTTGATATAATCTGATTTTATTTGCCTTTTATTGTTATCTTTTAAGCCATTTATATTCACTATGCCAAGTCAGGTATAGTCTTATTTTGCCATTTTATTTTATTCTTTGTGGTTTATACTTATTGTTTTCTTCTTCCCTATACATTATATGTCATTGTAGCTCCTCTTTCTTCCTATTAGTTATTTTTTCTACAAATTTTATTCTCTATTCCCATTTGTAGAATGCACATTTTTGTTCTACAGTTATATATATATTCACATATGCACATTATATGTATATAAAAATATACATATACACAGAGATTAGCATATATATGTAATTTTCAACCAATTATAAGAATGGAAGACTATTACTGGTTCTCCTATATAAGAGACTTATCACACTTTTACTTTCCTCTTCTCTACTCCTGCTCAACATGTATTAATTAATTAGTTTTTTAGGTCAAATTCCTGGTATTAAAAATATTATTTTTTGTTTATTTTCTTTCCCAAGAAATATATTTGATACAAGAATTATGTAACATATTGATGTTAAAAACTAGTAATTATTTATTAATGTGAATTTTAATGGATGCAGTACACATAATCAATTTTTAATATCATATTACCTCTTGAGATGTAACAGTTTTATTTATTCTTTTAGTCAGCTGTGGTATTTTCTCAAGTATCAAAGAATTATTTCCCCCATGAATGGTAAATGGATACTTGCATTTTCTGATTTCCTCTCACTTGACTAAAAGTTTGGTTGCCTGCAGAATTTTTTAATCTGAATTCGCTGATGGATACCTGGGTTGCTTCTACTTTTTAACTATTCTGAATAATGCTGCTGTGACAGTCATTTAAAAATATAAAAAAAATTAAGCATTTTTTTGGGGACTGAGATATGCTTAAGATAAATTAACCATCATAGGAGAACATAAAACATAAATATCTAAGGGTGAACTAGAACCCAAAGGCCTAGTCTGGGTCATAGGATATTATGGAATGAAAGAATAACCCATACTGATGAAAATGTCACTTACCAAGATGATGATCTTACAGTGTAGGAACAGCAATTGTTTAGCTACAAAATGTGTGGTAATCATGACTTGCAGAAATAAGACTGGTAAAGTCTCCCAGAAACTTTCAGGATTCCTAAAACCAGTCCTTTGTCCAAAAGTCATCTTCATAGTAGTGGCCATATCCTGAATGAAGTTACTCAGTTCTTAAGAGCATACTGTCTAGGTCTGAAGAAGAATACGGAGAGTGAAGGCAGATTCATGGACCAAGGAAGATATTCACAAATAGAACATACAATGGGGGATGAAATGATTTTAAGGAGAAATGACAATGACAATGACAGTGGTATGTAGTATGTAGGGGGGCCATTGCTTTCAATCTTGGAAGATGAGTTCAAGTTTTGATTGCATCAAAATGGAGTCACACTGAAGTTCTCAAGTAGAATTAGCCATACATCCTTTGCTTCTGGGTTTCTGAGATATTGGTGACAAAACTGAAACTAAGAACAGATCTATTGTCAACTATGATTGTCTTGCCTCCTTTTTTTCTCTGATCTTGTTTACTGCCTGAGTTTCCCTTCACATTTTACCACCACAACTAAGCAGGGACCTTATTTATTAAGGGTACATTCTTGCATATTTCTGCTTTAACATAGCATTAGTTAGTTCAGTATCGTATGAGTGAATTTGGGGGAGAAGTAACCAGTGTCTGTATCTGCTACAGACAATGAGAAGATTGTCTTACTGCAATATTTTAGGCATCTGCCTTGACTTCGAATGAACGTTCCTGTCCATACCCTAAAGGAGAAAAGAGTTGCACTCATATAATTAAATATCCTCTAGATTTTAGCGAATATATGGACTACTTTTTTTAAGCAAATCTGTAAGGGCAGTTGTCATTGTGGAGAACTGTGGGTTTAGTTAGTCTCCCTTAATAATACAAATGGAGAAAATTTAGTTGAGAACATTGTTGAATTTTTAGTGGTCCAGCGATATCTCTTTGTGGAGAGAGCATTTGCTTTATTAAATCTCCATTAGATAAACTCACATTTTTATAGGAGTGTTAAGAGAAAATCTCTCCAAGTGTTTAAGCCTGGGAAAATGAGAGAGAGGAAATACAGAACGAGGTCATGTGAACCGTCAATTGTGAATAAGAGGAAAAGTCAGAACCAAAGAAAAGCCCTTAGTGTGCAGAAGAGGTAGAGATTGAAAATGAGCTGTCAAAAAGAAATGCGGGGGATAAGCTAGAATAAAACACCTAAAGAATAAATTTCAAGGAAAAAGAGGAACATTAATAGGGCTAAATTTGATTAAACTTGACTGAGATAAAGGGAGAGAGAAAGGTGGTTTGATTTGGGGATTAGGTTATTAGTGACAATCTTCATAAGCAGGTTTCAAACGACTTGTAGTAGTAGAAACTGGGATGAAGGGAACTGTAGTAATTTAGGAAGGACAGGTAGAGTATCAGTATCTTTGAAAAGTTTGCAGGTGATGAGATCAATGAGAATAAATGATAACTTAATGGGGTGTCACAAAATCACCTTAAGTTGGCTGGTGAAGACTTGGGCAGTTTTTAGGAACAGATTATATTAATATTAAAAATAGGAAAAAAGAGCAAAGAAATATATTAGGACTTCTAGCTACATGGTAAACAATAAACTCTGGTTTTACTAAATATATTTGACACATATTATAGAATTTTCCTTGCAAATGTTGTTACAAATTATATGATATTTCCTCTTTTCCAATTTTCCTCTTACAAGGTAAATTCACCTAATCTTTATTATGATATATTTGTAAGGGGAATTGAATTATAAGCTTTCTCAGGTTAAAATAAGGACAAAACAAAAATTTTCTGATAAAATTTTCTTGCAGTATGCCACCATTTGCCAAAGGAAGTCAGCCATTGTAGCCTTTTCTGTAATCTTAAGTTTTTTGGACAGATATCTATTGTGCAAACTAAAATTTAGTTCTAATTCCATTCATATTAGATATATTTATTTAATACAGTATTCCGCTTAATACAGACTTTATAAATAGAATCACATTTTATTTTTAAATGTCATATCCTAGAGGAATGTTTGTACAAATCATTTAAAAATGAATAGTTTACAAATAACTTAGCTTTAGTCTTTAAGTATTTACATACATTTATTTATGATTTGTCACACATAAAAGGACATTCTTCTTCTTAATTATATCTTGCTGATACTTAATTTTAAAGTTTTTTTTTGTTTTAATTACACAACTGGTGGTGACAATATAACCCTAGATGGCTATGGTATATTTGTTCAGGTGCCTTGAGAAATACCAAAATTTTTGACAATGTTTTTTTTCCTTTGGGTCAGATCTTTTTTATTACAATGAAAGATAAATTTCAGTAAACTAAGAGACAGAGACTCTACACAGAGTTTCAGTTTCCCCTTAGCTCCTATAAAATGGAATGTCATGCTACTGAGATATCTCATGCACTGCTCTTGCCTTCTGTCTGAAGATGGGATTCATGAATTACCTGAATCATCTGGATCCCTAGAATTGGATTAGTGGCTCAGACAACTCCATCTTTTGGGACAGATGATAGAAGGTATCTATTTCCTACAGCTAGGTTTTTGCAGTAAGATTACGTAACTCTTATTTGATCTTTCTCATTATTTTTTTCAGGACATAAATTGTGTTCCAATTCTGATATCCAATGATCTTACCTCATTTGGGGTAGGTTAAAGTAGATACTCATTAGGACTCTAAGGAGCATATTTTTCTACTTAGTGCAAACGTCAGAAAGTAAGTAATCATGTTTAAACTGACAAGAGCTTTAACCAGGAAGTTGCCTACATCACAAGATCTCCTTCCTGTGGTAGTGTGCATGGAGTCTTCCACAAAGAGACAGACAGATGCCTGCAATAACCGGCTTAAGAAAAGATAACCATCAATACCACTGGTTGATTTCATCTGCTCCTATGAGAAGGACAGATTGTACATGGTGCTGTCAGATGATCTCAGAACATAAAGAGATTTCCTGAGAGATCGTTATAATATTGGGATAAAACTTTACTGCAAAAATCTCATAGAGTGAATGAATGATAGAGGTAAACAAAAGTTTATTCTATTAAAACTTACATTTTGCAGCTTATTACAACATATGTTATGATTTGAATGTGTCCCCTCCAAAGTTCAATCATTGCCAATATGATGGTATTAAGAAGTGATTAAGATAGGTATTAAGATGGTCTTTAAGAGGTGATTAGGCCTTACAGTCTCTTCCTGGCTAATGGAGTTAAAAAGCCCTTACAAAAGAGGTGTCCCGCAATGCTTGGCTAGTTGCCCTTCCACCTTATGCCATGTGAGGATGCAGCAAGAAGGCCCTCACTAGATCAAATGCCTAGAGCCTTGACCTTGTATTTTCCAGCCACTGAAACTGTGAGAAAGTAATTTTTTTTTCTTTATAAAATAGTCTGTGGTATTTTGTTATAGGAGCACGAATGGACTAAGACAACATGCATGTAATTAACAAATGGGTCTTGGGTATAGGCATGAAGGAGATAGCTTTCCAGTTTGCTAAGAGATGTCTAAACTGGACATCCTTAACAGCTGCCCCTCCACCCATAACCATTGCACCGGTTTCTATATAAAAGGTCAGAACTCTGCCTTTTACTTCGAGAACTTCTTTTCTGGGAAGGTCTAACAGCTTACTATCCAACCCATTATAACTAGCTATAATATTCTGTCAAATTCCTTCAAATTGATTTCTCTGTCTCAGACCACCATAACCCATCACAATTCTGAAAGCTGAAATAGGATGAGCACCCTCTTCTCTACAGATAGCCCTATATGGAACCCTTGGCTTCTGCTGAGATAAGATTTGAGATAGGAGAAAGAGAAAAGCTAGTTTGCCAACCAGAGGGAGGATGATGTGTTCAGTTTGCAAATGGTAAGATTTAGATGTTCTTTAGACAACTAGAAGTATTGGAATCCAGGCTTGGATGAGAGGTTTGGTTTGGTACATCAATTGAGTAGTCATTAGTATAAAAATTACAACTGGGCCGGGCGCGGTGGCTCATGCTTGTAATCCTAGCACTTTGGGAGGCCAAGGCAGGTGGATCACCTGAGGTCAGGAGTTCGAGACCAGCCTGGCCAACATGATGAAACCCCATCTCTACTAAAAATACAAAAAATTAGCTGGGCTTGGTGGTGGGTGCCTGTAATCCCAGCTAATCAGGGGAATGAGGCAGGAGAATTGCTTGAACCCGGGGGGTGGAGGTTGCAGTGAGCTGAGATCGCACCACTTCACTTCAGCCTGGGCAAAAGAGTGAAACACCATCTCAAAAAAAAAGAAAAAAAGACAACTGGAGCTAGAAGGCAGGATTGGTAGGCAAAGGGGAAGTAAGTGGAGAGAGATGGGGATTGAGGACCCAGTCTTGCAGCAAGAAGAGGAAGAGAGTTACTGAAGGAGATGTGAAAGCCAGGTAGAGAGGTAAGAGAAACCTATTACAACGGCCCCATCACAGGGGGCCTTCACAGTCACACAGGCTTCACATTTGGATCTCTAAATGAGATCATGTCTCTATATTTTGTGAATATGTATTAAACGTTTAATTTAGAAGCAATAAATATTTAAAACATACTGAAATGTTGGGACACTGTAAAAGAAATGGGCTGTGTGTAGTGGTCACACCTGTAATCCCAGTGCTTTGGGAGGCTGAGGTGGGAGGACTGATTGAGCCCAGGAGTTTGAGACCAGCCTAGGCAACATATTAAGACCCTGCCTTTACAAAAAAAAAAAAAAGTTGGGTATGGTGGCGCATACCCATAGTCCCAGCTACTTGGGAGGCTGAGATGGGAGGATTGCTGGAGCTCAGGGATTTGAGGCTGCAGTGAGTCATGATCACACCACTGCACTGCAGCCTGAGCAACAGAGCAAGACTCTGCCTCAAAAAATAAATAAATGAATGAAAGAAATGAAAGTTGCTTGGATTCTTACTAACTTGTGATTAGTCTTGGGAGGAAAATTAGAAGACTGTTCCAGGAACAGGCAATTGAGGTTGTCAGAAGAGTGAGATGTTGGCAAGATGTCAAAGAGAATAAGAACTGAGAGAAGACCATGATGTTCAGCAAGGGGGCCACTAGAACTCCATAAGAGAGAGACCTGGGTATTGTGGTCAGAGGAAGTCAAGGAATTAGTAAATGCTAAAGAAAGTGGGACAGGTCTCAAGCATCCTTTAGAGAAGTTTGGCAATTAGAAGTGTGTGTGTGTGTGTGTGTGTGTGTGTGTGCGCGCGTGCGTGCGCGCGCACGCCAGTGTTCATTTTTACCTCTCATCTCCTATCTCGTCCAATACCTAATATTCTCTAGGGAAATGGAATCCTGGCTGAAAGGCAGGCTTGTCCTTCAGCTGTCACAGTGCCCAAGAAGCACACAGCAGGGAGTCTTTTTTTTTTTTTTTAAATTTACGCTGTGGTGCTGGGAGCCAGAGACAGAGACAAAAAAAGCTGTCCTGGAGTCTGTTGCATTGTGACTGAATCAAGTTATCTATAAAAGGACTCAAAATAGGAGTCTGGGTTCACAGCTTAAAGGAATGAGGCTAAACAGCAGAAAGGCTCAAGCAACCACTGGTGGAGGGGAACAAGTAAGAACTTGTCTGGAGAAGTCTGGCGCCAAGTATAAATACCCACTGCTGACATTCACACATTCCCAGCTTGCTTGTCCAAGGGCAAGCAGGAGTCATTTACAGCCTGAACCTAATAGGCATCTAATATTGTTATGTGTTGTCATATCTCAACCACCACCATCACCACCACTCCCAGCTAGCACTCACAGAGCACCTGACCTGGGATCAGTGCCTGAATCAGAAACAGAAACTTCTAGACTGATGTGGTTCAGTGGTGCTTACATAGGCTATTGTTTACTACATCTGCACCCACCTTTCAGGAAGCATTTGGCTTGTACATTTAGCTCTGTGGCCCACTGAAGAGAATTTCCTGTGGGCAGTGGGGTGAGGAACCCTGCCTTAATCTGTTTCTCAGGTATTCTTCTCCCCTGCTTTTATGTGTCAGAACCTGTATAATCATTGTAGGGCCTATCCAGGAGTAGGCAGAGCCAGAGTGCCCATTCCTGATGTCCACAAAGTACAGTAATGCACCCAGGCTTGATTTGGAGCCACTCTTGCCTTCCTGACTGTTTTCAAAGATATGTTGCATGGCCTCTGAGCCAGTGCAACAAGCCTTGCAGGCATTGGTATTTGCACAACAAATAGTATTTTTTTTTTTTTTTTGCTTAAATAAGGGAAATAGGGAATATTTATCACAGCTATACATTTATTCATCATTTAATTCCCATTTATTTATTCATTAATTTATTCAAACACTTCTTAAGCATGCACCATGTGTCATGCCCATCTTAGAGGCCACAAAGGTTCTAAAACTATTACTTGTGGACAGAAAAAGAGACCCATATACATGTAGCATTATGTCTTATTGGAATTCAGAGCAGGAAGAGAACACATCTGGCTGGGGGCAGGATGAGGAAGGACCTGATAAATTTTCTATTGAACAATTACTCTAAATAAGTGTGCTTTCTTTAGATGGTAAGGATTAGACCAGGATTCAAGATTACTGGATTTTGAGTCAAAGTTTGAGCTCCTTGGGGGAAAATCTGCATATATGCAGAGTCATGGTGGTAATTACAGTATTAAGCCCCATTTTGGAACACTTTGATCTGATGTGATTCAAAATTTTATTTCCTGAAAGGTTTACTCATGTCATATTAAGGTACTCTTGTCTTTTTATTTGCAAACTCATTTAAAATCTAAATACTGCTGCTCTCTGCTTTGGACTTGGCTGCTTTTCAATAACAGGAAGGAACAATACTGTTTTCATCAGTTTTGTACATGGGCCACGAGAAGGCAGCATTTTACTTCTTTTAAGATTTAATGCTGGTCTACAAAATGCTGAGCTGTGCCTGGAGGGCTTTGTGGTGTGGAAAATCTTCAGAAATGTTCAGTGAAACCCAGCATCCTCTGATTCATCTTTAAAGAGGAGAAAAAATTATTCTATGTGACTCTATTACCAATCTTTGGGCAGAGAACCAAATAATTCGGCCAGGCTCTCAGTCTTCATGGTTGAAAAGTTATCAGGAAATTTAAAATTTAAATTCATAGTTACAGAGCCACTAGTGAAAATTTGCTTTTTAATGAAAAATTTTTTTTTGGTCTACATTTTCACCCTCTGCGGTGGGGGCTCTTTTAAATGCCCCTGTTTAACCATACTGCATCCAGAAATGTATACATATCACAAACCTGTTGGTAATGACACCAAGGCAAGCTCCGTTTCCTTTCCCATCATCGGTGGACCACACCTACACCAGCGCTTCCTTCTGCGCATCCTATGGCACCCGTCTACTTTCTGCTTTGGGAATCCCCACAGAGGCTAGCACAGTGCTGAACTTGTAAAACGTACACAATAAACGTTCTATTTCTTGAACGACATTGGATGATAATGCAATCTCTCTCTTGTAAGAGAGAGGAGAAAGAGAGAGAGAGAAGTGAGAGGAGAGAGAGACAGAAGAGAAAGGTGAGGGGGGAGGGGAGAGAGACACAGAGACAGAGTCAGAGACAGAGAGAGACCAAAAGGGAACAGCTGGCAGCAGCAGGGAGGCAGGCTTGAGGAGTTGGTGTCTGATTTACGTGGGGGCCACAGATTGGTTTGATCAGGTGTGAAGTTTACAGGGCGCTGGGAAGGCTGGTTGCCCCACCCTAATCTTATGCAAATGGGCTTTCCACTTGCTCAGCGCCATCTCGTCTACTCTTTACTGTACACGTGGCTGGCAAAGAGAAGGGAAGATAGAGCTCTCGTTTTGAACATGTAATTCCAGGTAGTATTTTCCTATTGGCACAACTTCACGCATTTGCCTGTGCAGGCTTCCACTTCGCTTGCCTATGTCTGCAACTTCATTTTACAGTCTGCTCTTTGTTAGGAAAATAAATGATTTGAGGGCTGCTTTTAATTAAAAGGTAAAACTTACCAAGGACTCCTGTACCCTCACTATCTGCCTAACTAATTTCTTCTTAACTCCTATATCAACAAAACCCCACGATAATTTTTTTCCTATGAAAAAATATTTTATTTGAAGAAATTAACGTAAGCTGTGTGTGGTGGCTCACACCTGTAATCCCAGTGCTTTGGGAGGCCAAGATGGGAGGACCCCTCGAGGCGAGAAGTTTGAGACCAGCCTGGGCAACATAGGAAGACCCTGTCTCTATAAAAAGTTAGAAAATTAGCCGGGCATGGTAGTGTGCACCTGTAGTCCCAACTCCTTGGGAGGCTGAGATAGGAGGATCATTTTTGGCCCCAGGAGTTTGAGGTTACAGTGAGCTGTGATTGTACCACTGCACTCCAGACTGGGTGACAAAACAAGACCCTGTCTCCAAAAAAAAAAAAATTAATATAAAATGTGGAACTTTTCGCTAGTGGAGATGAATGAATATACTGTGCAGATTTATGGAAGTATGACATCTAAAAAGACCAGAATAGTTCCTAAGTGAAAAGCGGAAGGATATGCCCTAGAAGAGGGCATAACTGAATGTGTGGGGAAGGTTTTCAAACTTTACTCCTTCTAATGCAAACCTCTGTGACCCCTTACAACCCCTTCCTCTGGATGGGTATCATTCCATATCATTACAGGCAGTACTGAGAGGGAGATTACAAATTGTAAACATTTTCAGAGGTGGGAGGAGAAAAGATGGAAACCATAAAGACACAGCTATATAAAAGGTTAATTGCATATATATTTGGTTATGGTAATTTCTGTATATATGCTTCATATCTTTTACAGTCAGTGTGTTAGTGGCAAATAAATACGTAGAACTTACTTCAAAATATTTTGTTGTTTCTTAAAGTGCCTAATTGTACCATAGTCCAACACGAAGCCCTTTTATAAGAGAGATGGAAGAGCATGCAGAATCTAATCATTAGATTCAATAAGTAAATATGTATTGAGTACTGATGAAGTACCAACTAAACATTATGATTCATTTTGATAAAACAAGCCAGTCACATTAGTAAGAAACAGCTCACTCTGGCTGGAGAACTTGTTCCCTACTTTCACAAGGTTGACTTCTTAATCCGATCAAATGAAAATGTCATGTTCACCAGAAAGGCCATTTCTGATCATCTAATTTATAGACTGAACACCCCTCACCCTGTCATTCTACTTTACAGCACCTTGTTCTGTTCACAATTTATAATTGTATTATCACTTGTTTACTTGATTAATGTCTGTCTCACTCATAGATCGTGAACTCCATGAAAGCAAGAATCAAATCTGTTTTGAAGCACTCCCAGCATTTAGGGAAATACCTGAAGTAGAAGGCATTCAGTAAATACTTGTGGAGTGAATGTATATATTCTTGCTCTATATGTGAAAACACCATTTATTCATACAGTTAAACTATGATGTCAGTATTATGTCAGATTATTATAATGTCATATTCATTAACAACGAGACCCATAGTAAAAACAAAAATGTATTTGACAAACTGTTCATTAGTAGGAAATTGAGTTTAGTATAGATGAAATTTTCAGGTAAGATATTCTTATCTTTTTGAAGATATGACAGCATATTTAAGCTTTGGGCAAGGCAGACTTTTTTTTTTTTTTTGAGACAGATTTTCACTCGTTGCCCAGGCTGGAGGGCAACGGTACGATCTCGGCTTTCCGCAACCTCCGCCTCCCGGGATCAAGCAATTCTTCTGACTCAGCCTCCCGAGTAGCTGGGATTACAGGCATGCGGCACCACGCCCGGCTAATTTTGTATTTTTAGTAGAGATGGGGTTTCTCCATGTTGGTCAGGCTGGTCTCAGACTCCCAATCTCAGGTGATCTGCCCGCCTTGGACTTCCAAAGTACTGGGATGACAGGCGTGAGCCACTGCGCCCGGCCTGGGCTATTTTTGTTTCCCACAGATGTTTACACCAGAATGGCTGTTGCCCGGTTTGATTGCGCCAGTGTCTGACGGCTGTGTGGTGCCTGTATCATAACAGTTGTTAAATAATTTGAATATATAATGTTTAAATATGTAGCTTGTCTTTGATCTTTTGACAACAGAGATAGCTTCATTTACCTAAAGGGGTACTGATTTTAAAAATTAATTCATTTGAATTTAAACACAGCATATGCTAGACAAAACTCTTAGGGAAAGAATATGTATATATGTGCATGTAAACCACACAGACTGAAAGAGAAGCATTCAGTACATAAATTATTAGGCTCAAGTAGGAGGTTACTATAGAGTTAGCTGCTACTTATTTTCAGAATTTGATTTTATATTTTGAATTGGAAGAATGCCGATCTGGGAGTCAAAAACTCTTAATTTTGAGCCATGGAGGCATAACCTTGGGTATTTTAATATTGGGCTTAGTTTACTGGTTTGCAAAAGAGATGAGTGGACAAGATATCTTTAAAGTCTATTCTAGGCATGAATTTTCATGATTCTGCAGTATATGTTCCTTTTAAGAAGTGAGACATTACCAGGATAAATATAGGAAAAACTAGTAGTATCCCCTTACCCCCTCACCCTCCTGAGTAACCAATTTAATATGCACAGAACATCCTTCTATCATCCTTTTTGGTACACACAAACATATATAAACAAAAGTAAATGTATGTAAGTTTTCTTGCCTGAAAAAAGTAAAATAAAATATACATTATTCAGATGTGTTTCCTTGCTAATAGACATCTGAATGTCTTCAGTTTTTATTTTTGTCACTATAAATAATATTTCAGTAAACATCATTGTAGAAGTATCACTATATGCTGATGCTTTTGTTTTTTTTCTGTCAGATACATTTTTGAAAATAGGATTTTTGGGTCAAAGGTATATGCAGTTTTCATTTTAATAGATAATTGCTAATTTATTTCTAAAATATTTGTGGTGATTTAGAATGGTAACAGTGCCAATTGCCAGCACTGAGTTAATATTTTGTTTTCTATTGCTGCTCACCTGAAGGCTAAAAATGATGCCATTTTAGTTTAATTTGAATTATCTAGATTTTGTTGGAACAAGAAAAAAGAATTCTACTTGCATCTCTTCAAATGATGGGTCTGCATACCGTCTACTATGAATTGGCAATTCGTAGCCTTTGCATATGTCCATTTTAATATGATCAACTTTTAGATATTATATATACTGTAAATATTTTTTCCAGTCTTTAGTTTGTCTTTCTGCTATGGTTTACATAGCGAGATATACTTGTTTTTTATAAAATAGGTGGTTTGTTTTCTGTCGTTCTTAAGTGAGAAGATCTTCACCAAGGGCTTCCTTCTGGAATTTTTATAGGTTTATTTAAAAATATTGGCCGGGCGCAGTAGCTCACACCTGTAATCCCAACACTTTGGGAGGCCGAGGCGGGCGGATCACGAGGTCAGGAGATCGAGACCATCCTGGCTAACACGGTGAAAACCCATCTCTACTAAAAATACAAAAAATTAGCCAGGCGTGGTGGCGGGCGCCTGTAGTCCTAGCTTCTCGAGAGGCTGAGGCAGGAGAATGGCGTGAACCCCAGAGATGGAGGTTGCAGTGAGCCGAGATCGTGCCACTGCACTCCAGCCTGGGCAACAGAGTGAGACTCTGTCTCAAAAAACAAAACAAAACAAAAATATTTAATTCACCTGAACTTTAAAAAATATATAAATAGTCTAAATTTGTATTTTTACATGGGGTTTTTAATGGAGATGTACTGAATTAAAAGCTCATTTTGTCATATATAAAGCTCTTATGTGTACTTGGATGTAATTCTAGATTCCGTGCTCTATTCTCTAGATTTGCTTATTCATGTGCCAGTGCTATACTATTCTATTTTTTTTAAAGGTTTAAAACATTTATCACTAAAGATACTAGAATGTTCTTTGAAAACCTATTAAGACATTTAACTATTCTTTTATGCTATTCTGATCAAAAGAAAGAATAAAAGTTTAGGAAAGGGAAAAATGCACATTTCTTAAAAAAGTTTATTTCTAGCCCTGAAAGAACAAAATTATTGAACAAAGTCATAAAATACAGCAGTTAATGTCAATGTATAACAATTAAATAATTGAATGGGATTAAATTAAAAATAAAAGACATTATAAAATTTGAAGACAACAGAAAAGACAAACTATAATTTTACTTAATTCCATTTCTATCACAACAAGAAAAAAAAGCCAATGTGTTCCAACCAAAGATGCTGAATTCCAAACATAATTGTTTCTCTTAATAAAGAATAGAAGTGTGCTTGACAGAATTATCATCCATTTCTTTCTGCCTCTGTCTTGGCAGCATTCTAGAGAGGTGAATGGGAAAGACTTCCGTTCTTTCAAGGCCAGGCCAGTGCTTGCTTCTTCTTTCTAACTCCAACCTCGTCTACCACAGCATCTTTGCCAGAGTGTTCAATCAGTGTGTTGACTGAGAAAAAAGAATGTGTGTATATATTTTTTCTTATATAAACACACTATCAAAAAACTGATTTCACCAGCTGGGAGCAGCGGAGACAGGAAGACAATCTGCTTCTTGTATTACTATGAAGTTCCACTATAAAAAAACCCCAAATGAGTATTAATCTGGATTTTAGCTATAATCTATAATATTTTGACACTGACATTTCACTAGATGTGGATCTCAGTATATTTAAAAAGATTTAGACTCAAAAATGGATGCAAATTCTTTAAGCACCTATTTTGTTTTTTTCTAATTTTAGCTACTACCTGATCAGATCTAAAATTATTCTGGCTAGAATACAGTATATACAAACGTATTTAAGTGAGCCCTATAAAGAAATACTCATAGGTAGTTTAAAATTTCTTGTTAAAGGCACAGGCTCGTTTACAGTTGGTGGTTACTAGACTCTAAGCAGCTTAACATTTATATGTTAAAGGGAAGAGAATTAGTACTATGTGCCAGGCACTCGACACATGAAGACAGAGTTGTATTAGCCTCGGTGTCTTACGCTTCACAATTACTCATTTACTATTCTAGGTAGGATAAAATGTTCCATGTTTCATAGTTTCCCAGTTTTAACTGTCCCTAAAAGCAGCAGAAGAAAAAAGTTCATAGTTTCTATTTCATTGGTAGCATCTTCTTTATCATAATCCATCCGTTTACAAAGAATGTTAAAATTTGGAACTCAGGTGGCACTGCAGCTTTCTGATAGAAATAAACCAGTTTCTGTAATTCAGTAATAGCTGTAGAAGGCCAATATATTCCAGAGAAAAATGAAATCAAGAATTATATTGAAAACAGAGACCATTAAGTGCCCTAAATATGTTTCATTAATTATTTTACTCATTTTTCTGAAAATCTTGCCTTATCAATAAAAAACAGTCACTTCTCTCCTTATAATTGTATCTTATCATAGATATAGTGGGAATAAAATAATGGAAATAAAACCCTGCTAGTTTCCCCAATGTATACTACAACAGCAAAATTATTTTTTATTCATAATTTATACTACTGCAGGATGGCAAGCAGGGGGGAAGTTAATGGGGGAAGGGGATGGTGGGAACAAAATGCCAGAACCAAACCAAATACTTGAACAACCTACTCCAAAGCAAAACAATGAATAAAGGAGAAGGAGAGGAGATGAAAGAAGAGAAGAGAAAGGGAGGGGAGGGGAGAAGGGAGGGCACTCAAATAATTAATGCTACAGGTCTCAGATCTTTCAGAATCTTTAAAAGAAACAAATTATTGCTCTCAACACGCACATTTCATTTTCCTTTCTTGTTTTTTTAAATTAATAGTCTCTACCTATTTGAAAACAAAACAAAAGTAACTCAACATCTCAAATGATCTATAAATTCATCAAGAAATACTCTGTCGTTCAAGTTCTCATAGATAACACCACACTGATGATGACCTGGAGCGATGCCGCCGCCTCCAAGTCTCTACAGTTGATTTCCTATCGGCTGCTTCTCTGTAACACTAACATTCTCTTTCATGAGTATAATCTCTTCTCACTATATCAGAGATCACCAAGGTTCACGTCTCTCACTCTGCGCCTGCTAGTCCCAAATATTTTTCTCCTTTAAGTGGAAAAAAGCTAATTTTAAATTCCCAAAAATTCACTGGTTATTATATTATTTGCCATGGGAGGGGGGTATCTGTGAGGTGAGAGAGGATTAATGAAAAACAAAAAGAACAAAAATAAACCTAAAATTGCAACATATACAGAAATTTATTTCCAAATTGAAGGGGGAAAGGAGGGAAGAAGGTAGTGGCACTAACCAAAGTCACAAAGCCCAGGTTGGAACAAGAACAAATCACTTTGGTTCCTAGAGCCAAGCCTGAAGGGGAAACAGGCAGAAGGGAAGACGAAATGGGAAGAAATATACGGTCAATGGGAATCTTTTTCTATCTCAATGATTTAGTTATAAATAGAGATTATTAGTCTTCTCTCTATACATGTAACAAATGCCAAACTTACTACCACAAAATTTCTAAAACTGACTTTTTCACATTTGTTAAAAAAGGTAAAAATCAAATACTTTTCTTCCCTTCCTTCAGGTCAAGTTCTGAACTAAAATATTACATGTAACAACAGCTGGTCCTAACTTTTATAAAAAGTGAAACTATATAGAGCTCCTTTGCCAACATAAGGAGCTACATAATTTCTATTACACTACCTAGGCATGAGAAACTCAAAAGCAACTCAAAAGGAGCAAGTCCAGGAAAAGGAAAGCTATGAAGGAGAGAAAGACTAGCAGATGAAACAAATACTCTGAAAAACTCCAATCTGCCATTCAAGTATTGGAAATACCCCAAAGGGGACAATGAATGGGATCTATTACAACAAAGTCAGTAAAGTAAAATGCAAATCTCACATATGATAAATGGCCCTGATAGGCGGTTTGCTGAAAGACCTAAGGCTAGTGATTCAGTCCACAATTCCTTTTGGACCCTAAAGAAGGGGTTCATATAAAAGTCATACTTTTCTTTTTGCAATTTTCTCTTCATTGTCTTCAGAGAATAGTCATTTGCTTCTTTCATTCAGGTTATGCAGACCATTTCTTTAAACCCCCAAAAGAGTAATAATTTTCATATACTAAAAGGCTTCTTGTAGAAAATGGAAAAAAGAATATGAGGCCACAGCAGTGATGTTAACGGTTACTCTTCATTGCTTCTTTAGCTGCCATGATCAGTGGTGTCAAGCTAGATAACAGTTTGGCTAGTTTCAGGAAAAGATGCTGTAATAATTCTTTGGCTGAACCCCTTTTTTCCACATCTGTTTCCAAACATCGATTTAAGAAATCCTGAAATATTGGGGAAAGTGTCTCTGGATTCTGAAGTTCTGGGATTCCATTAGTTGCTATTAGGCACAAGGCCCTCAAGGGATTTTCATTGAGGTATGGAGGCTCTCCTTCTACCATCTCAGTAGCCATGATACCCAGAGACCATACATTGACTTTAGGGCCATAAGCCTTCCGTGTAACCACTTCTGGTGCCATCCAGTATGGCGTTCTGACCACGGTACTGCGTTTGCTCTGCTCAGGGGTGATCTGGGCACAGAAACCAAAGTCAGTGAGCTTAACTGATCCTTCCATTCCCAAAAGTACACTGTCACTTTTGATGTCTCTGTGGATCACTTGATTAGCATGTAAAAACTCCAATGCCTGTAAACTCTCTCTGCATACAGCGGCAATCTGTGCTTCATCCATGCAGGTTTCTGTTACCACATCAGTGAGTGACCCCCTAGCAAGGTATTCCATGACCACAAACAATTCATCTCCTACCAGGTAACTGTCCAAGAAGTTAACTATGTTGGGATTTTTTAATTCTTTCATTACCAGAATCTCATTAATGATCAATTCCTTCTTTGGCTGTTTCTGTAAATTAATTTGTTTGATAGCAACCTTCTGTCCCAGTGCAACGTCAGTAGCAGTGAAAACTGTACCAGAAGCCCCTTGTCCAATTTTTTCATATCTTGTATATTTTTTTCTTAGGGTCACCTATGCTCACAATAGTTCTTAGTTTCTCCATAATCTCTTCATCTGTCATCTTAGTCTTCTTTTTCTGTTTGTCTAAAGACTTGGCACCACCATCAACATTTGAATCACCAACTGGTGCAGGAACAGGGTCAATTACAGACCGTGTGTAAATTGATTTCATATGATCCGGTGGTGGGGCAATAACGGGAGGGGCAGTCTCTTCATCATCGTCCTCCTCCTCTGTCACTACTGCAGGTGCTTCTGTTCCCTCGGCATTCAGTGCTGGTGTTCCAGAAGGGAAGCCATCTTTCTCAGGAGGAGTAAAACTCAGATACTTCTGCTTCACTGTGTTGGAGTCGTAGAACTTTAAGACATCCAGCACAGCCTGAGGATTCTTCTTTTGCTCTAGTTTGGTGATATTTGAGGTCTGCAGTAATCGAGCCCAGTGTTCTGGCATGCCAGTGAATTCTCCAGTAACAGCATCAAAGCCAACATGGATGGTGTGTTCAAAATCAGATGGAGGAGAAATTTCTGGCCGTTCCTTTTCTTTCTTTTTACTTCCTTTCTCTGTGCCTGAGAATATGGAGATGATTTTATGCCTGGGCTTTTTCTCCTCTGGAACAGAAGGCAAAGGTTTCAAACTGTGATTGGCTGACAAAGGGTCTTTGCCTCCAGTGCTAAAGATGGTCCTGCTCATTCGCACGGGAGGTGCTGGAGGCTTGTCTTCCAGTTCTCCGTTATCACACATGATTCAGAATTATGAAATGGCCCCAGGTGAGGCAAGGTCCCCACCCCAGTGAGGCGCCTTGGTCAGAGCTCCTGGGAGGTTGCGGAGGCGCCTGGTACCAAAACAGAGATATAGACCAATGGAACAGAACAGAGCCCTCAGAAATAATACCACACATCTACAACCATCTGATCTTTGACAAACCTGACACAAACAAGAAATGAGGAAAGGATTCCCGATTTAATAAATGGTGCTGGGAAAACTGGCTAGCCATATGTAGAAAGCTGAAACTGGACCCCTTCCTTACACCCTATACAAAAATTAATTCAAGATGGATTAAAGACTTACATGTTAGACCTAAAACCATAAAAACCCTAGAAGAAAACCTAGGCAATACCATTCAGGACATAGGCATGGGCAAGGGCTGCATGTCTAAAACACCAAAAGCAATGGCAACAAAAGCCAAAATTGACAAATGGGATCTAATTAAACTAAAGAGCTTCTGCACAGCAAAAGAAACTACCATCAGAGTGAACAGGCAACATACAGAATGAGAAAAATTTTTGCAATCTACTCATCTGACAAAGGGCTAATACCCAGAATCTATAATGAACTCAAACAAATTTACAAGAAAAAAACAACCCCATCAAAAAGTGGGTGAAGGACATGAACAGACACTTCTCAAAAGAAGACATTTATGCAGCCAAAAGACACATGAAAAAATGCTCATCATCACTGGCCATCAGAGAAATGCAAATCAAAACCGCAATGAGATACCATCTCACACCAGTTAGAATGGTGATCATTAAAAAGTCAGGAAACAACAAGTGCTAGAGAGGATGTGGAGAAATAGGAACACTTTTACACTGTTGGTGGGACTGTAAACTAGTTCAACCATTGTGGAAGTCAGTGTGGCGATTCCTCAGGGATCTAGAACTAGAAATACCATTTGACCCAGCCATCCCATTGCTGGGTATGTACCCAAAGGATTATAAATCATGCTGCTATAAAGACACATGCACACATATGTTTATTGCGGCACTATTCACAGTAGCAAAGACTTGGAACTAACCCAAATGTCCAACAATGATAAACTGGATTAAGAAAATGTGGCACATATACACCATGGAATACTATGCAGCCATAAAAAATGATGAGTTCATGTCCCTTGCAGGGACATGGATGAAGCTGGAAACCATCATTCTCAGCAAACTATCGAAAGGACAAAAAACCAAACACCGCATGTTCTCACTCATAGGTGGGAACTGAACAATGAGAACACATGGACACAGGAAGGGGAACATCACACACTGGGGCCTGTTGTGGGGTGGGGGGAGGGGGGAGGGATAGCATTAGGAGATATGCCTAATGTTAAATGATGAGTTAATGGGTGGAGCACACCAACATGGCACATGTATACACATGTAACAAACCTGCACGTTGTGCACATGTACCCTAAAACTTAAAGTATAATAAAAAATAAAAACATACAACCAAACAAAAAAAAGAATGCTGGAAAAGCACAAATGTAACGTTTTATGTGGTGGGACAGCCCTTTCAAAAGTGTTTTCCACTGCTTATACTGATGAAGGTAGAAAAAAATTTCACTTATTTTAACTCTTCCTTTAAAAACTTCTTTTTGGTGGCTCATGTCATGCATACTCCACAAGTCCTGGAAGTTAAATGCTCTTAAATATTTGATGGTCTGGTCTTAGCAAAACGGCAGGTTTTTACTTTTACATTTTTAGCTATGTTTTAAATTATTTGTAATCCAGACACTGAAGTTTTATTTTGTTGTGAATTGAATCTGGGCAGAGTGTACAAGGGATCTCTCTGTATTATTTTTACAACTACATGTGAATGTATAATTATCTCATCAAAAATTCACTGAAAAAGGTATCACGGAGCCCATGTTTGCTGTTACCGTCTTTGCTCCTCCCAGGTTACAATGCCCCGTGCCTCTCAGTGCACAGTGAAAATGCAGCAGACGTTTTTGATGTGAGCTCCACGGAATGGATCCAGACTGTCCCCTTCAACAAGGTAATTTGACCTTAAGATTATGCAACTAATGAGTTAATGGCTGAAACGCGGAAACAGAAATAATCCATTGTTCATTTACTGCAATGGGTACTTGCTAGTTTGGAGGCTTAACAAAGAGTATAAAAAAACAAAACCCTACAAAACATTATATTGATTAATTGCATTACTAGTACTAGAGCCATTTGTGACATCTAGTTCCATTATATAAAGTAGTATTGTTATAGATAAATATATTATTTATTTATACCATACAGCACAGCAGTTATTTCCCATATTCAATTTAAAGTTACTTTGTTTATCAGTAATTACTTTATCAGTAATTTTTACTTACCAGTATAATTTGTTCCTTTTATACTTACCAGTATAAAAAGGAACACTTTACAGGGTAAAAGGAACATTTTTACAGGGTAAAAAAAGAAAAAAGCATATAACCAAGGCTGTGTTTCAGATTCTCAATAGGATTTCACAATGGTGATGTTTTGCAAAACAAGGACATTGACAGTAACTCCATCTACTTACCTTAGGCAGATTTTCCTAGTTTTACTTTCACTGTGTGTGTATTAATGTCTGTATAATTCTACCACCTGCGTGAGTTCATGTATCCACCACTAGTCAATATACTGAATGGCTCCAGCACCACAGTGGGTCCCTCAAGAGCCCTTTTATAATCACTCCCCCTCCCTCCCACCTCCTTCCGCTTTCCTAACCCCTGGCAATCAGTAACCTCCATTTCTAAAATTTTATCATTTCAAAAATGTCTAACAAATGGCGTTATATAGTATTCATGATTTTTATCTGCTAAGTCCAAATTTATTTTTCTAAAAAAAACAAACTTTGGATTAGAAACCCAGGAGAATCCCATTACAATATTCTTATCATATAGCAGCTACATCAAAAAATTTTTGGAATATATACAGTTCAAATAAATAGACAAAAACAAGTGATGCCCATCAGTCAGATGATAGAGTAACTTCAATTCATATGGTCCAAGTCTGACAAAAATGCATTCTAACACCTGCATCTAACACCAGCTTTATTGAATAATTTCATCACGTTTCAAAATCTGTGTCTCCTAGACCAGTTGAGCTCACAACAAAAAGCAATTGTAGAGAGTTAGAAAAATATATGAAATTAGTGAACAAAACAGTGAAACCTTCCAACCAGGAATGTTTTTGGAACTTTCTTTGTTAGTAATAGTTCCTTATGGTTCCTAAATATTCAACCTCCCAGCATGAATGTGTCTCCCATCAAAAGAGCCACAGAATAAACACAACCTCTTTTTTCAACATCCCTCTTCCTATGCTCACGTCTCCCATCTTTTTCCCTTGTCTTACAGCCAAATTCCTGAAATTGTTATTGATATTCCTTGCCCTCCACTTCCCACCCCTATTCACACCTCCATCCAGGGCAATCTGACTTACACCTTAATCACTCCATTAAAGCTGCTCTCATACAAGTTATCAGCCATCAGTTGTGAAAACCATCTGACCTGTTTGTCTCTTCTTGGCTGCCCAGCGACACCTGACCCTTCTTTCTTCAGTCCCCACGCTGCTGCTCCCTCGATTTTCCCCACTTCCCTGAATTCTCCTTCCCTGTTTTCTCTGCTCCTCTTCCTCTGGTCGAAGCCCTCTTCCTTTCTCGCTTTGCTTACTCAGCATGTCCAAAGAGTCAGGCTGACACTACCAGAAGCGAGTCATCGATTTTAGCGTGACAAGTGGGATGGCTAGAGATTGTGTGCCATGCACAGTACTGTTCATGAAGTGTTCCTACAACCAGGCTTTAGAGCTCCTTCCCCATTATAGGAAATTCAGGGCATAGAAGTGAAGCAGTATCATGAGGGAGAACAAAGACAGGTGCAGATTGTGGGACATTATGAAGGACAACAAATCAGTGGCAGGGAGGACTGCTCAGGATGAGAGGACCTTTGTGAGAAAGTGGTGTGCAGGGTGGACCTTGTCAGGATTCTGATTCCAATAGACAGACTGCAAAAAGAGAAATACTTGTGATAATCAAGTATGTATGACTGTGGACTATGTATGGGATGATAATCAGAATCATTGAGTACATCTTCAGGAGCGATCACAGCAATGTGATTATGGGAGAAAGTGTCCCTACTTTTAGTGATACATGTTCAAATGTGTAGAGATGGAACAACATGATGTCAGGGATTTGACTTGAAATATTCCAACAACACAACAACAAAGAAAATACTTCAATGGTCACATCTCTTCCTCCATACCCGCCTAGATCTGCTCCACCTTGTGTTTTATGACCTCAGAGTCTATCAGTGGCCTCCGCCCCTTTGCTCAAGTTGGAAACCTGAGAATCATTGCTGATTCTCTTACACGTCAGCTTCCACTTCCAACCAAGTGTGAAGCTTTTGCAATTTTATCTCCTCAATATTCCTCATATCCTCTCCTCTCCATCCCCACCGCTACTATCATACATAATTTTAATTCACAATTTCTCCCGTAACCCCCTAACTGGTCTCTTAGCCTCCAGTAAGTAGTAATTGAATTCCCTTAATTACTAGTGGTGTGGAGCATTCATTTGTGCGCTTATTTGCCACATGTATCTTCTTTGTTGAGGAACCTGTTCAAATACTCCGCCCATTTTAAAAATTTGGGTTGAGTTGGGGAGCGGTGGCTCACACCTGTTATTTCACCACTTGGGAGGCCAAGGTGGGTGGATCACCTGAGGTCAGTTCAAGACCAGCCTGGCCAACATGGTGAAACCTCGTCTCTACAAAAATACAAAAATTAGCCAGGCATGATGGCGGGTGCCTGTAATCCCAGCTACTCGCAGGGGTGGGGGTGGGGGATTGGGAGGCTGAGGGGGGAGAATCGCTTGAATCTGGGAAGCTGAGGTCACAGTGAGCCGAGATTGTGCCATTCCACACCAGCCTAGGCAGCAGAGCAAGACTCCATCTGAAAAAAATAAAATTTGGGTTATTTATTTTCTTATTATTGAGTTTTTAAAATTCTTCATACATTCTGGATACAAGGTTTTTTTGTCATATCTGATTTGCAAATATTTTCTCCAAATCTGTGGCTTGTTTACTTCTCTTAGCAGTAAATTTCAAAGAACAGAAATTTTTAATTTTATCAATTTTTTATTTTTATTTTTATTTTGAGACAGAGTCTCACTCTGTCGCCAGGCTGGAGTGCAGTGGTGCGATCTCGGCTCACTGCAACCTCCGCCTCCCAGGTTCGAGGGATTCTCCTGCCTCAGCCTCCCGAGTAGCTGGGACTACAGGTCCCAGCTCGTATAGCCAGCATGCCCAGCTAATTTTAGTATTTTTAGTAGAGAAGGGGTTTCACCATGTTGGTCAGGATGGTCTCAATCTCTTGACCTTGTGATCCACCTGCTTCTGCCTTCCAAAGTGTGGGGATTACAGGCATGAATCAACGTGGCTGGCCCCAAACTTTTATCACATTTTTAAAAGTTTTATACATTGTGCTTTGATGTTGTATCAAAGAATTGTTTGCCTTATCCAAAATCAGAAAGATTTTCTTCATTGTTTACTTTTAGGCACTTCCTAGTTTTAGGTTTACATTTAGTTACATGACCTATTTTGAATTAACTCTCATATATGCTAAGAAATATAGATAAAAGTTGATTTTTTTGCATATGGTTATCTGAGGTTCTAGCACAATTTGTTGACAGCTTTTGCAGCTTGTTGGAAATACTGTATATATTAAAGCAACAGAATAGAGGATCCTGCAATATATATCAGCAAATGTATAAACAGACACATAGATATAGAGATGGATATACACAAAATATTTTTGTATCTGTATATACAGTTCTGAATTTCATATCATATATATTATAGTTTTATTGTTGAAATCAGGTAAAGTTAATTTATCAAATTTGTTCTTTTTTCAGTTATTTTGGCTCTTCTAGATCGTTTGCATTTTCTTATGAATTTCAGAATCAGCTTGTCAATATCTACCAAAAAATATTAAAATCCTGCTAGAATTTTGACTAGGATTGTGTTGAAACTATCTATCAATTTGGGGAACATTTATGTTCTAAATATTGGTTTCCAGGGCATGAAGACAGTGTATCTCTCCATGTATTTGGGTTATCTTTAATGTTTCTCAGTATTCCACAGTTTTCAGTGTACAGGTCATGCACATCTTTTGTCAGATTTATTCCTAAGAGTTTAATATATTTTGATGCTACTTTAAATGGCATTGCTTTTAAAATTCCAATTTCTGGTTATTTGTTGCTAGTATAAAATGCAATTGGTTTTTGTATATTGTTCATGTATCCTGCAACCTTGCTAAACTCATTTATTAGTTCTAATAGCTTTTTTTGTATTTTATATTGAATTTTCTACATAGATGTTCATTTTGTCTGTGTGCAGTTTTGCTTCTTTCTTTCTATCCTGGACGTATTCTATCTCAGCTTCTTGTCTGGCTAGGATTTCCACAACAATGTTAAATGTAAGCGTGGTGAGAGCAAACATCCCATCTTGTTCCTGATAAGACAAACAAGAAAGCATTGAGTGTTTCGTTACTAACAATGATGTTAGCTGTAGGATTTTTCACAGATGCCTTTTATCAGGATGAGGAAGCTCCCTTCTAAATGTTCCAAATGTAAATATATGACTTCATCAAATGTATTTACTGCATCTATTGACATGATCATTTATTAATATGGTGCAATACATTGATTGATTTGAGGATGTTCAACCAACCAACCTTTCTGAGATACATTATATTTGTCCACGGTACAATATAATTTTTATGTATTGTTGGAACTGATTTGCTAACATTTTGTAAAGAACTTTTATATCTAAATTCAAAAAGAATATTTGTTTATAGTTTTTTTGTAATATCTTAGTCTAGCTTTGGTATCAAGGTGATACTAGCCTTATAAAATAAGTTGGTAACTAGTTCCTACTCTTCAATTTTCTGAAAGAGTTTAAGTATAATTGGTAATATTTCTTCCTTAGAGGTTTGAACAAAAAACTTCAGAGAAGCAATCTGGGGTTAGAGTTTCCTTTGTAGGATGAGCATTTAATTAAAATTCAATTACTTCAATAAATATAGAGTTATTCAATTATCTGATTCTTCTTGAGTGAGCTATAGCAATTTGTATCTTTCAAAAAAATTCTCATTTCATCTCAGTTACAAAATTTATTAGGTAATGCTGTACACAGTATTCCCTTACTCCATTTTTAATTTTTACAAAATCTGTGCTGATATAGTTTCTTTCATACCTGATATTAGGAATTTGTCTCTTTTTTGTTTTGATGATCAGCCTGCTGGAAGTTTATAAATATTTGGTTTCATAGATTTTTCTCTATTTTTTTTTGTTTTATTGATGTTCACTCTGATCTCTAGTATTTCCAAAATTGTTTTTTGTGTTTAATTTGCTCTTGTTTTTCCAATTATTAAGGCAGAAGCTGGGGTAGTTAATTAATCTAAAATCTATTCTCTTTTCTACTATAGTGTTTAATCCCATAATTTTACACATAAATATTGCCTTATCAGCATTCCACACATTTTGAAATATTGTTTTCACTCTCACTTAGCTGAAAATGCATTGGTTTCTCTTTTGAAATCTTCTTTAGCCCTTGCAATATGTAGACATGTGTAATTTATCATCTTAATACTTGACGTTTTTCCAGAAAAGTTATTATTATTAACTTCTAATTTATTTCCAATGTGGTCCAAGAACATACTTCATAGGACTTAAATCACTCCAAATATTCTGAGACTTGCTTTCTGGCACAGAATGTATTCTATCTTGATAAATATTCTGTGTTTGCTTGAGAAGAGTTTATATTATGTGACTGTCAGGTGGACTGATTTATAAATATCAATAAAATCAAGTTATTTGATAGTTTTATTTTTTTAAGTCTGCTGTATCTTCACTGATTTTTTTTCTACTTGTTCTACTAATTATTGATAGTGAGTATTGTAATCCCCAACTATAACTGTGGAGAAATAGACAACTATTTCTCTTTTGAGTTCTATTGGTGTTTGTTTCATTTGTGTTGAAGCTCTGTGATGACATACGTAGTGCTTGTTATTCTTAGAATTATCACGTCCTCCTGAGAAGCGGACCCTGTTCTCCTTATAAAACGACATTCTTCATCCCTGATAATATTCTCTTATCTGATGTCTACTTTATCTGATATGAATATAGCCACTCCAGCTTTCATTTGATTCATGGTAACTCTTTTTCAATCTTTTACTTTTAATAGGTTTGTATCTTTACATTTAAAATGTCTTTCTTACAGGCAGCATGTACTTGGGTCTTCATTTTTTTCATCAAAGCTGACAATCTCTCCTTTTAATTGGGATGCTTAGAACATTTAACAAGATTTTTGAAATGGTTATGTTACACCTGTGATCTTGTTATTCATCTTTTACTCAATCCATCTGTTCTTTGCTCCCCTTTCCTGTTTAGTGCCCTGTTTTGGATTTTGTTGTTGTTGTTGTTATTCCATCTCATCTTCTTTGTTGGCTTATATGATAACAAAACTTTTTGTTTTGTTATTTCAGTGGTTGCTTTACAACTCTAAGTTACTGCAGCCTACTTTCACATGTTATCTTACTTCATGTGTGGTGTAAGAACCTTCCAGTAACATGCTTTCATTTTTCCTTTCCTGGCCTTTCGCTATTGTTGTCCTGCATTTCACTTACACATAAATTACAAACTACACAAAACACTGTTGTTATTTCTGTATAAAATTCAATTATTATTTCAAGATTTTTTAATGGAGGGGTCTTATACATCTTCCTATACAGTTACTTTCCAGAGCTCTTCATCCTTTATTACAGATCAATATTTCCATCTGATATCATCTTTCTTCTGCCTGAGGAGTTCCTATTTTATTTCCTGTGCAGCAGGTCTGCTGGTGATACGTTCTTACAGTTTTTTTCTGCCTGGATATATCTTTATTTCCCCTTCATTGTGGAAAGTTATTTACACTGGTTACAGAATTCAGAGTTAACAGTATGTCCTCTTTTAGAATTTAAAATATTTTTTCTATATCCTCCCAGATTCTGGTATCTGTGATGAGAAC
Source organism: Homo sapiens (assembly GCF_000001405.40). Classification (NCBI taxonomy): domain Eukaryota; kingdom Metazoa; phylum Chordata; class Mammalia; order Primates; family Hominidae; genus Homo; species Homo sapiens. Next base: position 1,876,659 of record NW_021160017.1, read on the forward strand.
TCTGGCAGCATCCTTTGTTAATCTTTATGTATGGTGTGTCCCATCCCTCTATGTCTGTATCACTAGGGTTCAATACTTTGATTACTATGAACCTTTGTGGAGTTCTTCATATTTCTTATAGGTGGGCTTTACTGAGTTTCTTGGATAAGAGATTTATAGTTTATATCAAATTTGAAAACATTTTGGCCATTTTTTTGTATTATTTTTTCTGTCCCTCCTCTTTTCAGTCCTTCTAGGACTCAAATTACATGTATTATTGGCTGCTTGAAGGTGTTCTACAGTTTAGTTTCTTAAAATCCTTTTACTCTATTTCCTTTTGGATAGTTTTTATTGCTATGTCTTGTATTTGGCAATGTTTAATCTGCTATTAATCATGTTCCGTGTATTTTTCATCTCAAATTTATAAGAGTTTTTGGGTGGGCATGGTGGCTCACACCTGTAATCCCAGCCTTTTGGGAGACTGAAGTGGGCTGATCATTTGAGCTCAGGAGTTTGAGACCAGCCTGGGCAACAAGATAAAACCCCATGTTTACAAAAATTAGCCAGGTGTGGTGGCACATGCCTGTAGTCCCACCTACTCAGGAGGCTGAAGTTGAGGATAGCTTAAGCCCAGAAGGCAGAGGTTACAGTGAGCCGAGATCACGCCACTGCACTCCAGCCTGGATGACATAGCCAGACCCTGTCAAAAAAAAAACAAAAACTTTCATAACCAATTATATAACCATTCTACTACTTAGAGGAACAAAAAATCAATAATTCACGATTTAAAAGCTACTAAAAACATAAAATATAAAACTATGCACTAAGGAGTTTTATATATAAATTTACCCATTAAATAAATATGTGTATGTACTTCTTTAATTTAAAAAATTCTAATGACTTACAGTTTATACCACAAGATTATTTATACAAACAGATTATTCTCATTCCAGAGTGGGCTTTTTGGGGGATGAAGTTTACTAAGCAATTTACAATGTTCTGTGAAAATCATCAGCTTTTTCAGGTTCTGTAGTAAAGTTATAAAAGTTCTAGGCACCATATCTTTTTAAACCATAAGAAAATACGAGGGCACATGTGTGTATGTATGTATGCATGAATGCTTTTATGGCAGTTTTATTCGTAATTACCAAAAACTGGAAACAACCCAAATGAACTGGGGAATGAATACAGAACCTGTTGTACATCCATACAACGCAATGCTACTAAGCAACAGAAAGTAATTACTGATACATAAAAACATGGATGAATCTCAAAATACATTAGGTTAAATAAAAGACGTCCGTCTCAAGAAGCCACATACTGAGTCAAGCAGGGGGATCCCTTGAGACCAGGAGCTTGAGGCCAGCATAGGCAATATAACAAGGCCTCCCATTTCTATTAAACAAACAAAAATTAAAACAAAAAGGCTAAATACTGCGTGATTTTGTTTACATGGAATTCTGAAAAGAAAAAAAAAAAGACAAGACAGAGAAAAAAACAGATCAGTGGTGGCCAGAGACTAGAAGTAAGGAAATGGGCTGACTATGGAAAGGGGCATGAGGAAATTTTTTGAGAAACTAACTCTATATCTTGATCATCATGGTGGTTGCACAACTAGATGTGTTTCCCAGTCTTACAGAACCATATTCAAATACACCTTAATAAAGATAATTTTCAACCATACATATGATAGAATCATAATTATTACTCTTATACTAAGACCAAACAGATGCTGCTTAAACCACTGAGGCAAGAACACTAAACCTTGGTCTGATCTGCCTCCAAGTTTGAAAACTCCCTTCCATTAACATTTTGCCTAAAGATTAAACAATATTTGTAAATTAGTCACAAAATCCTTTAAGATTAAAATATACATATATTCTTAAAGAAAACTACCTAGTGCTTGCAACCAAATCATTTTAGGAGAAAATTAGCTTTGTTAAGAAGGGAATAAAGCCCAAGTAATAAATATTAACATCCATCTTTTCCAGAATCATGATGGTCAAAACAATGAGACTCTTCTCCTAATTTTGGTTCAAAATACCAAAATTTTTACTTCAAAAACTCTCTAACAGATTATTATAAAATCTTAACATTTGCCTAAAAGTCTTTAAGTATTTTCACATAACTAGGCAGTATAACAAAAAAAGAGCACAGGCTTAGGCTGGATGCAGTGGCTCACACCTGTAATCCTAGCATTTTGGGAGGCCAAGGCAGATCGCTTGAGTCCAGCAGTTTGAGACCAGTCTGGGAAATGTGGCAAAACCCCGTCTCTATAAAATACATTAAAACGTGGCCCATACCTGTAGTCCCAGCTACTTCAGGGGATGAGGCAGGAGGATGGCTTGAGCCTTAGAGACAGAGGCTGCAGTGAGCCAAGATCATGCCACTCACTCCACTCTGGGTGATAGAGTGGGACCCTTTCTCAAAAAAAATTTTTTTTTTAAAGCACAGGCTCAAGAACTCAACCCACCTAGGCAAGTTATTTAACCTAATTTTCCATCGATTGTATCATCAGTAAAATTGGGATAATTTTACCTACCTCTAGGAATAATCCTAGACTATTACATGAGTTAATACATGTATTCTAATAAATCACAGGGTAATGCCTGGCATAGTTAACTAAGTCTCAATACCAACCTAACATAAATGAATGACACCAATAATCACCAGCTGTGTAGTCTTTGCATACCACAATTCTGCCCTGTAAGGTAAGTGGCCTAAATTCAATGGCCTAAATAAAGACCTATCTAGTAATACTACTCTATATTCCTATTATTTTACCTGAATTGCACCTACCTAATTCAGTTTGCAAAAGAAAGGTTAAGTATTATACCTCTTATATATAAAAAAGTGAACTATAAATAAGTTAAATGACTTACCCAAAGAAACAGTAACTTGAAGGCAGAGCCAAGATGAGGATTTGGTATTGAGACTCCTTAAAACTTTGTCCTCTCCAAAATTTTTAGCCCTCCATGAATTCCTTCCCTCCTAACAAAGATACGGGTATAATGCACCCCCAAAAACCTCCAATTTAATAATTTAAAAATTTCATTAAGCTATACATTTGATTTGTGCACTCTTCTGTATGTTTTATATCATAATAGAAAGGTTAAGTGGCTTATTACCTAATACACTAGTATTCACTTGTATTCACATATGAATACATACACTTGTATTCACATATGAAGAGAAGTAGTGGAAAAGTTACATTAAAAGCTAAAAGGTGACAAACTAAGCAGATTATGTTCTTTAAAATTTTGTGAGAGGCAAAAGTTTTTAACTGAGGTATATAATACATGTACAAAGAAGTGCACACTTCCTAAGTCTACTATTCAATGATTCTCATAAACTGAACACAACCATGAAATCATGACCCAGATCAAGACAGAGAACATTACCAGCACACCTACAATCTCCCTTGTCCTCATCACCAAAGATAACCATTATTCTGATTCCATTCCCATCTGTTAGTTTTGTCTGTTTTTTAAGCTTTACAGAAATGGAGTGCTCGCTTCGGCAGCAAATATACTAAAATTGGAACAATACAGAGAACATTAGCGTGGTCCCTGCACAAGGATGACATGCAAATTGGTGAGGCTTTCCATCTTTTTATTATTACAGTAGTCTGTATTATTTCATATCCAAAAAAATGATCAATATGAAGAATGGGATGAACTAATTAATACTGTGATTGAAGACAATAGCATTATTTGCCTGGGAAACTAAAGACAAAACAACTGGAAAACTACTAAAACTGTTAAAGGAGTCAATTTGCTACTTATGGAATAAACATATACTGTATTCACAGTAACATATATTATGGAATTAAAATCACATTTCTGGCTGGGCACAGTGGCTCACATCTATAACCCCAGCACTCTGGGAGGCCAAGGTGGGAGGATCACTGGAGCTCAGGAGTTCAAGACCAGTGTGGGCAACATAGTGAAACTTCCAAAGAATAGGACTAACTCCACGTGTAGCATCTACATGTGGACAAGCAGGAGTGTTTCCTGATTAAATAACCTAAGTGTCATCTCCATGAATGCATGTATACAACTTTGTTGGATTGAAGGCTCCTCATCTCAACCCCACTGGAGGTAAATGCTATAAAAGTAAGTAATTCAAGAAAGTTTCATCCAAATTAACTCATGTAAAACAAAAACAAAACAAGAAAAATTTGCCACATCAAGGTAATGTTATAAAATGTGTAATGTAACTACTGTCTTTATTTGTGTCTCACTTACAAAGTAGATCTGAACTATGGATTACTACTACTTACTTTGATTAAAAAAACACTGATGTGAGATATTTTTGTAAATTTTCTTTACCCAAAGGTTCACTGCAGCCATAAAAAAGAACAAAATCATATCCTTTGCAGCAACATGATGCAGCTGGAGATCATCATCCTAAGCTAAACATTGGGTAAACATGGACATAAACATGGGAACAATAGATACAGGGAACTAACAGAGAGGAGAGGATGGGAAGGGGCGAAAGCTCAAAACTGCCTACTGGCGGCTGGGTACAGTAGCTCACGCCTATAATCCCAGCACTTTGGGAGGCCAAGGTGGGTGGATTGCTTGAGTCCAGGAGTTCGAGACCAGCCTGGGTAACAGGGCGAAACCCAGTCTCTACAAAAAAATACAAAAAATAGCAGGGTATGGTGGCCCACCACTGTAGTCCCAGCTACCCCGGAGGCTGAGCTGGGAGGATCGGCTGAGCCCAAGAGGTCAAAACTGCAGTGACCAGTGATTGCAATATTGCAATCCAGCCTGGGGGACAGAGACCTACCTTGTCTCAAAAAACTTAAACAAAACTACGTGCTGGGTGCTATGCTTACTACCTGGGTGATGGGATCAATTGTACCCCAAACCTCATGCAATATACCCATGTAACAAACCTGCACACTATTATTATTGCGAGAAACAGAGCTAATTTAGAACAATATATATAGCTTGACCCAATTTGAGGAAAAATTTTACATTTGTATATTTGTTGAAAACAACTATCAATAAAGAACTAAAATTGCATACTATTCATTCATATGACTGAATACTACACAGCTATTAAAATTAATGAAGTAAGGCAGGTGCAGTGGCTCACACTTGTAATCCCAGCTACTCGGGAGGCTGAGGCTCGAGAATCACTTGAAACTGGGAGATGGAGGTTGCCGTGAGCCAAGATTGTGCCACTGCTCTACAACCTGGGTGACAGAGTAAGACTCTGTTTCAAAATAATCATAATAATAATACTACTAATAATACACATATATCAGCATAAATAAATGTAACTTTCCAATTACAGAATGTATGTACCAAAATATCACATAAATTTGAAACACAATAGTACTACATGTTAAATATATGTAGATATTTGTAGGAAGAATATAAGTGCATGAGCTAAAAAGATAAATAACTTCTGCATAAGAAAATAGGATCTAAGAGGATGACAAAAGGGACTCCAACCGTATGCATATTTTATTTTTAAAAACAAATATAGGCCAGGCACAGTGGCTCACCCCTGTAATCCCAGTATTTTAGGGGGCCAAGACGGGCAGATCACTTGAGGTCGGTTGGAGACCAGCCTGGACAACATAGTGAAACCCCGTCTCTACTACAAATACAAAAATTAGCCGGGAGTAGTGACAAGCTCCTATAATCCCAGCTACTCAAAAGGCCAAGGCACGAGAATTGCTTGAACTTGGGAGGTGGCGGTTGCAGTGAGCAGGGATTTTACCACTATACACCAGGCTAGGCAACAGAGTGAGACCCCATCTCAAAAATAATAAATAAAAACATATATAAATACACTTTTGAAGCAAATCTGATAAGATGTCAGCATCTATGAAATCTACTGAATGGGCTGGGTGCGGTGGCTCACGCCTGTAATACCAACACTTTGGGAGGCCAAGGTGGGCAGATCACGAAGTGAAGAGATAAGAGACCATCCTGGCCAACATGGTGAAACCCAGTCTCTACTAAAAATACAAAAATTAGCTGGGTGTGGTGGCGTGTGCCTGTAATCCCAGCTACTCAGGAGGCTGAGACAGGAGAATCACTTGAACCCAGGAGGCAGAGGTTGCAGTGAGCTGAAATTGCACCAGTGCACTCCAGCCTGAGCGACAGAGCGAGACTCCATCTCAAAAAAAAAAAAAAAAAAGGAAAGGAAAAAAGAAAAAAAATCTACTGAATTAGTACCTGGTGTTTGTTAAATTATTCTCCATATTTTTCTAAATTTTTGAAATATTTAAACTTTGCTCTAAAAAAGTCGAGATTTTGGAATTCAGAGACAGGCTTTGTAGATTCAGTACAGGATGTGTGTGTGTGTGTGTGTGTGTGTGTGTGTGATAAACCTGTTATTCTGTACTATAAAATTTCTAACTAAAAAAAAATTATATTAGGTTGGTGCAAATGTAGTTGCAGTTTTCGTATTGTTGAAACTTGCTATTTGATACTGGAATACATTCTTAAATATATGTGGTTATTTATATACCATTTTAATGCACATTTCTCACCTTTTTTGCTAATAACATATTATTTGCTGTTTTATTCTTTTAGACAGTGGAAATTATATTATAAAAAAAAGCAAATTCAAGCGATTTTCTTGAGTTCAAAATGGGTCGCAAAGCAGTGGAGACAACTCGCAACATCAACTACACACTTGGCCCAGGAACTGTGCAATGGTGGTTCAAGAAGTGTTGCAAAGGAGACGAGAGCCTTGAAGATGAGGAGTGTAGTAGCCGGCCAGAAGAAGTTGGCACTGACCAATTGAGAGCAATCATCGAAGCTGATCCTCTTACAACTACACGAGAAATTGCCAAAGAACTCAATGTCAACCATTCTACGCTTGTTTGGCAATTTAAGCAAGTTGGAAAGGTGCAAAAGCTTTTTTTTTTTTTTTTTTTTTTTTTTGAGATGGAGTCTCACTCTATCACCTAGGCTGGAATGCAGTGGCACCATCTGGGCTCACTGTAACCTCTACTTCCCGGGTTAAAGTGATTCTCGTGCCTCAGCCTCCCTAGTTGCTGGGATTACAGGCACCCACCACCACACCCGATTACTTTTTGTATTTTTAGTAGAGCTGGGGTTTCACCATGTTGGCCAGGCTGGTCGTGAACTCCTGGCCTCAAGTGATCTGCCCGCCTCAGCCTCCGAAAGTACTGGGATTACAGGCGTGAGCCACCACGCCCTGCCAAAAGGTGAAAAAGCTTGATAAGTGGGTGCCTCATGAGCTGACCAAAAATTTTAAAAATCGTCGTTTTGAAGTGTTGTCTTCTCTTATTCTACATAACGACGACGAACCATTTCTTAGTTGGATTGTGACGTTTGACAAAAAGTGTATTTTATACAACAACAGTGATGACCAGCTCAGTGGTTGGACCGAGAAGATGCTCCAAAGCACTTCCTGAAGCCAAACTTTCATCAAAAAGAGGTCAGGGTCACTGTTTGGTGGTCTGCTCCTGGTCTGATCCGCTACAGCTTTCTGAATCATAGTAAAACCAATACATCTGAGAAGTATGCTCAGCAAATCGATGAGATGCACCGAAAACTGCGAGGCCTGCAGCTGGCACTGGTCCACAGAAAGGGTCCAGTTCTTCTCCACGACAACATCCGACAACATGTTGCACAACCAACATTTCAAAAGTTGAATGAATTGGGCTACAAAGTTTTGCCTCATCCACCATATTGAACTGACCTCTCACCAACCGACTACCACTTTTCCAAGCATCTAGAAAATTTTTTGCAGGGAAAATGCTTCCACAACCATCAGGATGCAGAAAATGCTTTCCAAGAGTTCATCGAATCCCGAAGCATGGATTTTTACGCTACAGGAATAAACAAACTTATTTCTCATTGGCAAAAAATGTGTTGATTGTAATGTTTCCTATTTTGATAAAGATGTGTTTGGGCCTAGTTATAATAATTTAAAATTCGTAATCCAAAACCACCATTAATTTTGTACCAACCTAACAGTACCTACATTTATTACCTCAACTGCTCTTCAACTTTCTTTTTTTGAGACAGAGTATCCCTCTGTCACCCAGGCTGGAGGGCAGTGGCACAAATCTCGGCTCACTGCAACCTCCACCTCCAGGGGTCAAGTGATTCTCCTGCCTCAGCCTCCTGAGTAGCTGGGATTACAGACGTCCACCACCACGCCCGGCTAATTTTTGTATTTTTAATAGAGACGGGGTTTTGCCATGTTGGCCACGCTGGTCTCAAACTCCTGATCTCATCTGTCCACCTTGGCCTCCCAAAGTGCTGGGATTATAGACATGAGCCACGGCGTTCAGCCTAATCTTACTCTTTAAAAGAATAAAGTAAGGGCAGACAATAACGAATGTCTTAACCCAGAAATCTCACCTTTTTGAATGATGTTCTCCATTCACAGAAGCATTTAAAACACTACAAGTGTGCAGTAAACAGCAAAAGCCAACAAGCTCTAATCACTTAAACTCTAGAGAATATATGACACAGCTCTTCCTAAAATATCACCAGATGGGTATATAAACGTAGAACGGCTTAACTCCCAGCTGTATATTAACACCAAATCTCCAATAAGCCTATACTGTCATAATAAAAATCATTTGCCTAAATCTCTTCCAATTCATATTAGATGTATTAATATAAACCATATCCTACCTGAGTTGCTACAACTCCACTTGATATTTAAAACACACCACAACACACAAGCACACAAACACACATACACGGATACAGAACTTGGGAGTTCAGGCTGAGTTCTGCATTTACAGAGTTCATAGAAACCAATTTTTCTTAAGGTATCTTTCATAATTCTCAATCAGCTTATTAAAAAGAGAAAAACTAGATGGCTCAGTCCTCTTGTGTTTAACTGTGATCAAATCCCACAATGTCTTCAGTCATAGTAGAGTTCACAATGATAAAGTTCAAATAAGCTTACCTGCCCCATTCCTCCCATACTACTTCCTACAGCTGCCACTCGTCTTAGGAACTGGAGCCAGTTAACCACCCACTTTCTCAATGGTGACTGTGACCTAAACCTTCACAAGACATCCAGTGAAAAATAAAGACTTTAAAATAGCAGTTTTTGGCTGAGCGTGGTGGCTCAGACCTGTAATCCCAGCACTTTGGAAGGCCATGGGCAGATCACCTGAGGTCAGGAGTTCAAGACCAGCCTGGCCAACATGGTGAAATCCCATCTCTACTAAAAAATACAAAAATTAGCTGGCTGTGGCCAGCTTGTGCCTGTAGTCTCATCTGCTTGGGAGGTCGAGACATGAGAATCGCTTGAACTTGGGAGGCAGAGGTTATAGTGAGCTGAGATCGCACCATTTCACTCCAGCCTGGGTGACAGAGTGAGACTCTGTCTTAAAAAATAAAAATAAAATAGCAATTTTTCCTACTTATAAAAGTAATACATGCTCATTGTAGAAAAATGGGAAACTATAGAAGAATAAGAAGCAAAAAAGCCACATTATCCCACCGAGACAGAAATTAATCACTACTAATATTTCCATTCATGGCAATCCAGGGTCTCTTCTGTATATCAAAGTGTATTAGTTCATTTACCAAACAGGATTTTAAGTACTGCAGAACAAGGGGGAAGTAGCATACTAATTCTTTGGAAGACTAATTTTCTTCAGTGTAAAGAAGTTACACTTACTGCTGAGTAAGTCAACCATATGTACAGGAAACTGGAGAGAATGACAAAGGTGAGGGAAATCATGCCTGCTTTTTCTTCATTCACTCACAGCAAACCATGGAGTCCATGTTTTGGGAACCATTATGTATGCAAAGACCAACTAATGAGTATGTTTCCTTTACAAATAGCAGCCTACTAAATAAACAAATACATACATACATATATACAAATATACAGTCTTGCCACAGGAGTTACACACACAGTGAAAGGAATGACATTAAGAGTATTTTTAAAATTATTATACTTTAAGTTTTAGGGTACATGTACACAACGTGCAGGTTAGTTACATATGTATACATGTGCCATGTTGGTGTGCTGCACCCATTAACTCGTCATTTAACATTAGGTATATCTCCTAATACTATCCCTCCCCGCTCCCCCCACCCCACAACAGGCCCTGGTGTGTGTGATGTTCTCCTTCCTGTGTCCATGTGTTCTCTTTGTTCAATTCCCACCTATGAGTGAGAACATGCGGTGTTTGTTTTTGTCCTTGCCATAGTTTGCTGAGAATGATGGTTTCCGGCCTCATCCATGTCCATACAAAGGACATGAACTCATCATTTTTTATGGCTGCATAGTATTCCATGGTGTATATGTGCCACATTTTCTTAATCCAGTCTATCATTGTTGGACATTTGGATTGGTTCCAAGTCTTTGCTATTGTGAATAGTGCCGCAATAAACATACGTGTGCATGTGTCTTTATAGCAGCATGATTTATAATCCTTTGGGTATATACCCAGTAATGGGATTGCTGGGTCAAATAAATGGGATCTAATTAAACTAAGGAGCTTCTGCACAGCAAAAGAAACTACCATCAGAGTGAACAGGCAACATACAGAATGGGAGAAAATTTTTGCAATCTACTCATCTGACAAAGGGCTAATATCCAGAATCTACAATGAACTCAAACAGATTTACAAGAAAAAGACAAACAACCCCATCAAAAAGTGGGCGAAGGATATGGACAGACACTTCTCAGAAGAAGACATTTATGCAGCCAAAAGACACATGAAAAAATGCTCATCATCACTGGCCATCAGAGAAATGCAAATCAAAACCGCAATAAGATACCATCTCACACCAGTTAGAATGGCGATCATTAAAAAGTCAGGAAACAACAGGTGCTGGAGAGGATGTGGAGAAATAGGAACACTTTTACACTGGTGGTGGGACTGTAAACTAGTTCAACCATTGTGGAAGTCAGTGTGGTAATTCCTCAGGGATCTAGAACAAGAGTATGTTTTTTGTCACCATGAAAGTATCTTAAGAGACAGTAAAGGGATATGTGAAAGGTTGATCTAAAATTCATGACCTCTTCCACAAAAATAGTTTCTGTGCACATAAGATGAAGGAACAATCTAACTACGGAAAACGTAACTGTTGATTTTATAATGCTATAACTTATTTACACGTATAAATAAATATGCAGGAGTTTAAACAGTTAGTCCACAAATATTGATAGCTTACTCTGTACCAGGCAATGTATTAACTGCTAGGGAGTAAGGGAGAGAACAGCCACCAGTCCCTATTTCTGCAGAACTTTCAATCTGTCTCTTGAAGTATGATGTCAAACACTAGGCATGTGGCCTCAAGCAAGTCACAACAGTCCTGATTAAATGATGATCTCAAATCCTTGTGATGATCTAAGAAGATATATGTGAAAGTAGCTTATAAATCATGTTACCTAAAGTAAAAAGAGATATGTAGCCATTTGTGCAAAGCACTGTTTATAGCAATCATCTTCAATAGAAATTATCTTTATTTATTTATTTATTTTTTGAGATGGAGACTCGCTCTGTCACCCAGGCTGGAGTGCAGTGGCGTGATCTCGGCTCACTGCCACCTCTGCCTCTGGGGTTTAGGCCATTCTCCTGCCTCAGCCTCCTAAGTAGCTGGGACTACAGGCACCCACCACCACGACTGGCTAATTTTTTGTATTTTTAGTAGAGATGGGGTTTCAACTGTGTTAGCCAGGATGGTCTCGATCTCCTGACCTTGTGATCCGCCCACCTTGGCCTCCCAAAGTGCTGGGATGGCAGGTGTGAGCCACCGCGCCCGGCCTCTCATTTCTTTTAACTGGCAAAAAATAATCACTCAAGTTGCTTAATATAATCTCTTTTGACAGTCTCTAAGATTTTGATATTATCTTTCTCTGCCAATGACCCATATGAAGTAACTGAAATTAATTTTCCCATGATGGGGGAGAAAAGATTCACTTTTTTCTAATACAAAAAGCTTTATTTCCTGATTTCATAATTTATAGGGGTTAGGGGGCAGGCAGCCACAGATCAAAAGCAACTTATTCAAACTCAAGAAAAAAATTATCTTTTAATCTAAGAATCACCATGGAAAGTTTGTTATAGGCTCAGGCTAATCCAAATAGTTAGTGACAGGTTAATTGTGGTACTTTGAAAGCAAAGGAGAGCAAGTAGCAATTATTCTTCCCTTCACTCAGTCTCTAACACCTAACCTCTTAAAAAACAGGGAGATATATATTATAGCCAAATTGCTTTCCAAAAAACATAATTTTTAAAAATATGCTCTACACAGTATCAACTGTTTGTATCTAAAAGAAATAGACTATTTACATTGCTTTTTATCCTACGATTTATCCTTTTCAAATTCAGCCACCTCAACGATGCAAAAAAGTATCAAACTGATGCTTTAAATTTATTTTTGCCCTTATTGCAGATACGACTCTAAAGAGCATGGGGAGTTTTTTTTTTTTTTTTTTTTGAGATGGAGTCTCGCTCTGTCACAGACGTTGGAGTGCCGTGGTGCAATCTCGGCTCACTGCAACCTCCACCTCCTGGGTTCAAGAGATTATCCTGCCTCAGCCTCCCGCGTAGCTGGAACTACAGGCGTGTGCCACCACGCCCAGCTAGCTTTTTGTAGTTTTGTAGAGATGGGGTTTCACCGTGTTAGCCAGGATGGTCTCAATCTCCTGACTTCATGATCCACCCGCCTCGGTCTCCCAAAGTGCTGGGATTACTGGCGTGAGCCACCATGCCCGGCCTAGCATGGGACATTTTAAAGGCATTCATAATCCAACTAAACAGAACCACCTGCAAAACTAGTGAAATGCCCCAAAACAAACATCTATAAATGCCCAATATTAAACCTCAAGGGTCTAAAGCAGTAGTATCCAAAGCAAGTATAACATACCTCCAGGAGATCGGGCATGGTGGCTCACACCTGGAATCCCAGCACTTTGGGAGGCTGAGGCTGGCGGATCACTTGAGCCCAGGAGTTCAAGACCAGCCTGACCAACATGGTGAAAACCCATCTCTACCAGAGAATACAAAAATTAACCAGGCATGGTGGCAGACACCTGTAATCCCAACTGCTCAAGTGGCTGAGGCACAAGAATCACTTGAACCCAGGAGGCGGAGGTTGTAGTGAGCCAAGATTACACCACTGCACACCAGTCTGGGTAACAGAGCAAGACTCTTGTCTCAAAAATATGTATATAGATCATATATTATTATATATACATATATATTATACATATACACACACACATACATATACACATGCGTGCACACACACACACCTCCAGGAGTACCCAAGAAGCCCCAGGGTAAAAAAGGAAAATATTTGAACTTTATTTTTAATTATCATCCTTGTTAATTTTTTGTTTGTATTTTAAAGTCCACAATAATCAGTTACTATATGTTTATTACTTGTAAATTAAATATCTAAGGATTAAGAACTGATGCTCAATATTTTTCTTTTTCTCTTTTTTCAAAGCAACAACATGAAGTTGTATCAATTTTTTTTTCTGACTTCATTCTTCCCATCCCATCAGTTTTTTGTTTTTTTTTTAAAGAGACAGGGTCTCACTATGTTGCCCAGGCTGGAGTACAGTGGCTGTATTCATAAGCACAATCACAGTGAACTTTAGCCTTGAACTCCTGACCTCAAATATCCTCCTGCCTAAGCCAACTACGTAGCTGGGACCACAGGACCATGTACCACACCTGCTTAATGCTCAAAAGTTTTTGGTGATGGGGTAAGCAACCAAAGTTTGGAGACCACTGGTCTACACGACTCATTGTCACTGAACTTTCATTTTTATCAGCTCCCTCCCAAGAGTTAATCTATGGAAGTAAGTCCTGATGCTGAAAAAGAAACAGAAGAAAAACTGTTTCAAACTATTTTGAACTCCCAACAAGCTAAAGATGACAAATCACTAGCAAGAATATATGGAATTGAATACTAATATGCTATTGACGGGAATTTCAAATAGACATCCTATCTAAAGGGCATCTTGAGTATATCCACATTTAAAACACACATACCCTTTGACCTAATAAGCCCTTTTTTTTTTTTTTTTTTTTTTTTTAGAATGAGTCTCACTCTGTCGCCCAGGCTGGAGTGCAGTAGCTTAATCTCGGCTCACTGCAGCCTCCGCCTCCTGGGTTCAAGTGATTCTCTGTGCGTCAGCCTTCCAAGTAGCTGGAATTATAGACCCTCGCCACCACACCAGACTAATTTTTGTATTTTAGTAGAGATGGGGTTTCACCATTTTGGCCAGGCTGGTCTTGAACTGCTGACCTCAGGTGATCCACCCACCCGCCTTGGCCTCCCAAAGTGCTGGGATTACAGGCATGAGCCACCATGCCTGGCTAATAAATCCGCTTTTAAGAATTTATCCTGGGCCAGGCGCGGTGGCTCAGGCCTGTAATTCTAGCACTTTGGGAGGCCAAGACGGCCGGATCACGAGGTCAGGAGATCGAGACCAGCCTGGCCAACATGGTAAAACCCCATCTCTACTGAAAATGCAAAAAATTAGCTGGGCGTGGCGGTGCACGGCTGTACTCCCAGCTACTCAGGAGGCTGAGGCAGGAGAATCACTTGAACCTGGGAGGCAGAGGCTGCAGTGAGCCAAGATCATACCACTGCACTCCAGCCTGGGTGACAGAGTGACTCTGTCTCAAAAAAAAAAAAATTATCCTAAGGAAATAATAGGACAATTCAATGCCCAAACAAGTTCATCACAGTACTACTTTAAGAGAAAAATTGGCAATATCCATTAACAACACAGAACTGCTATAAACTATGATGCATCCATATTATAGAACACTAAATACTCATTTACTCATTAAGGGAATATCAATTTTACATGGAAAGTTGTTCTTTTTTAAGGTATTTCAATAGGTATGCATAAGAAAAAAAATGAAAACACCAAACATCACATCCAGATGGGATTACAGGTTATCTCTACTTTTTTAAAAAAAGAAAAGCATTAAAACTGTTCTGGGCCAGATGCATTGGCTCACGCCTGTAATCCTAGCACTTTAGGAGGCCAAGGCAGGTGAATCACCTGAGGTCAGGAGTTAGAAACCAGCCTGGCCAACATGGTGAAACCCTGTCTCTACTAAAAATACAAAAATTAGCCAGGTATGGTGGCGGGTACCTGTAATCCCAGCTACTCGGGAGGCTGAGGCAGCAGAATTGCTGGAACCCAGGAGGCAGAGGTTGCAGTGAGCTGAGAAAACGCCACTGCACTCCAGCCTGGGTGACACAATGAGACTCCATCTAAAAAAAAGTTCTGTAGCTTTCATAATCAGAAATAATTTCACTTTGAAATTTAAAATGAGATTAAGTTAAAACTCCAAATTATTGTCCTGTATCACTTCTAAAACTCTTTGTAAACACTCTGTCTTCCCATGTCATTTGTGGATCAGTCTAAATACTTAATCTAATATTTGGTTTATCTCATGGAAAAATGATAGGCATATAATAAACAACAACCCTGTTTCAAGTTAACCATCTTGTCTTTATACCAATTCTTGCCAGTTATGTCATGATTTATCAATATACTTATAACTTCCTTATATTCTGCCAGATTATAAATCTATGAATAATTCTGAAAATTATTCAGAAATTTCTATCTCTCTTCTGCAACTAAGTTACAAAAGTATTAACTACTTCGGGAGGCTGAGGCAGGGAGAATCACTTGAACCTGGGAGGCGGAGGTTGCAGTGAGGCGAGATCATGCCATTGCACTCCAGTCTGGGTGACAGAGCAAGACTCTGTCTCAAAAAATATATATATATGTATTAACTACTAAAGAAATTAGATTTAGACCCCAGATAAGTGAAATCAGAAAAGCTTGCTACCATCTGTCACAACAGAATCATTCTGAATATCTATAGTTATCAGATCAAGACAATACCTGTGTGGTTAACAAGTACTCCACACTCCATCTTAAGGGAAAAGAGTACTTAAGAAGATTATTATAGCATAAGTTTATGTGCTTTGTTCATTAATTCAACAATTTAGAACAAAGCTATGAGGTATTTCACCGCTAACAGAATAGCTTTAAGGTAACCCATCTTCACAATTTTCTCTTTGTTTTCATTTGTTTCATGCCTTACTATTTTATAGACAGTCATTCTATCGGCATTGCACAAGTACTATGTCCCTAAACAACTACGACCAAGTTTTATCACGACCCAAAAGAAAAAATAACTTTCTAGGCCAGGTGCAGTGGCTCATGTCTATAATCCCAGCACTTTGGGAGACCAAGGCAGGACTACTCAAGCCCAGGAGTTCAAGACCAGCCTGGGCAATGTAGCAAAACCCTGTCTCTACAAAAAATGAAAATAATAATTTTTAAAAAGAAAAAATACATTTTACACGGCAACCAAGTATACATACATAAACATATCTTTTAAAAAGAAAGAAAAGTTTCCCAAATCAATATTTACTTTTACTTTACACAATGTACTGATATATTCTTTTTTAAAATGCTTTTTAAAATAAGTACATTGATTTCATTACCCTATGACACTGCCACCTGCTACTTAAAAATGTAGCCTTAAAACTTTATGCAGAGTGTGCTAAACTCCTTGCTCCTACCACCTTCTCCCACGACTCCAACATAAGAAAATGGGTAAAATCTAGCAAGTCTATTCTAAGTACAGACCTTGGCATAATTGTGAGACACCCCAGGTTCCTCTGAAGTCCCTGCAACATTGTGATTATTCCAACTGGCAGACAGGATACATTTGCTGAAAGGTTTCTCCAGCCAGACTACAGAAGCAGAAACCTTTTCTGTTGCCATATCAGTGATATTGCTAAATTCTGCACTTGACAATGTGGACCAGGTTTACTACTGCTCCACAAGCCAATTCTTCCAAGAAATAAAACAGGATTCCAATATAATAGGATTCTAATACCAGACCCTTACATTTTTTGAATACTTTTCAAACACATTATTCCGTTGCATTCTCCCCCTGGCAGTCTGTTAGAAAAGTAGAGAAGCTGCTCTTCTTCCTTTCACTAATGAAGGAATTGGAGCTCAGAGGGGTTACGTGGCTTGCCAGAAACAACACGGCTAATGAAGAATACAACGCAGGCTTGAACCCAAGATTTACTCATCTATCCACTTTTATGCTACAATTTTCATTTTTAATATCTGATACAAGTATGAACTTAAAAAGTATATTGTTTCTAGATACAAAAGCAAAGGTGAAAGCATGATATCAATATTGATGATACCAAAAAATTAAGATTAAAAATAGCAATGACATGTTAATAATTTTGGAGGCCTCTAAAGTTACTGGCAGTCCTAGTTCAATCCAATATGAATCTGATATCATCTTATATCTTCAATCAATGTTACATGATTATAAATTTATGTATATATTCACCATAGAAAATTACAGAATTGGGTGGTAAGAAACAACTAGCTATATAAATTGCACATACTCCCCCAAACCATTCTCAAGTCTTGTGGCTTCACACTAAATTATGAAGTTCCCAATGTAAAACCTGATTTGATTTCAACACTAAGCGAATTACAACAGCATAAGCATGTTCTTACTACATAATACTTGCAACATACATTCAATTTCCGAAGCACTTTTGGACAATGTCTAAAATCCATAAGCTAAAAGCAGAACCCAACACAGAATCTTGTTTCTTTTAAATGGCAAAGGTTAGTCTACCTATATGAGATGAATACCAAATAACATAATTAGAACTTATTAAAAATTTACAGAATCAGGCTAGAGAAACTACTTGAGGTCAAAGACTATAGGCCCTTAATTGTATAGATGAGAAAATTGATGCCCAGAGAAGTTAAGTGACATTCCCAACAGCAATTAATGACACAGATGGAATCAGAATATATGTCTATCTGTCAATCCAGAACTTCCCATTATTCTATATTACCTCTGCATTTAATGTGCTCTTAAAAAAGTCACTAACATCTAAAACACTTAAGACACATTAAGACTCAAAAACCAGGGGACACAACAATGTTCACGACAGTCTTCAGAAAACAATTTCTTAAAGGAATCTCAAAAATTCCAAACAACAAGCACTGAAAGCTGGCTCTTTATTTTTTTTATTTTCTTTCCTATCCAGAGCCCTACTTGATCAAAAACTGGTTCTTTAATCCATTGCAAATTATCAAGTAGCTTTTAATAACTAACACGGCTATAAACCACCATAACTGTTCTTTTTTCCATATCAATACTATTCACTTACTAAAAAAAAAATCTGAGGGTATAGAATATGCTGATAACTGTGCTGGGTATTGGCGACACCAGGGAACAAAACAGACGAGGCCTCTGGCTCTTCTAATGGACAGCTGGGTGCAACTCTCTAAAAATACTACTTCATGATTTGACAGGATATTTGCCAAAGTCCTTCACTACTCTACACAACTATAACAACATTTTCTTCCACCTCTTCCAAACTTATAATAACCTTCACCACACCCCCTCTAAAACGTGAATACGTCCTTTGGTAACTCAGCATTCTACTTCACTAAAGAAGGTGTGAACGTGTTAACTAGAACTACAGCAGATTTTTAAACTGACTTTACCACTCCTCACGGCCTGCGGCAAATTTCAAGAACTTTTCACAATCTGTAGTAACCCTTCCTGGTTCACAACCCTGATCTCAAATGACTGCTAACACACCCATCCTACCCTCCACTAGAAATCTGAGTCAGATGGTTTAGGAGCAACCATGTTAGGGAGCATCTTCAGTGGACCCCTTTATGAGCCAGAAGCTGACTTACTTCCTCTCCTTCTCTGTTTATTTCCTCTGGATTCTTGTGTATCTCTGGATACAATGTATCTCCAATTAATCAGCATCTAATTTTATCAAGTGTGTTCCTGATAACTTGTGCACAAATTAACTTTTGGCAACAAATCTGTTTCACCTACACAAATCCATTATATTTTAAGAGATGCTCAATTTGCATCCTTTAAGTTTCTCATGCTTCCCCTTCTCCACTTCTTAAATTCTTAAAAAGCTATAAACTGCATAAGTTCGAGGAACTTAGGTCGTCCATAATATTGCTAATGACCAGCCTTAAACTAGACAACCACTGAAGAACCTGGCCTATGAGCTGAGAAACTTGGGTTCTTTTATGGCTGGCCATTAACGACAAGTGGGGCTGTACCACTGTGCTGGTCACTTGAAGTTCTCTGAGTCACCTGAAAATGAGGGAGTAATTGGAGCCAAAAGAGGTCTGTCGTCATAGGCAGCCAATCTAGAATTCTAGAATCCTCCAAATTTAGTTTAATATCACATACTATACTGGGTTACTCAAAACAGTGTCATTCTGGCTGGGGGTGGTGGCTCACGCCTGTAATCCCAACACTTTGGAAGGCTGAGGCAGGTGGATCACTTGAGGTCAGGAGTTCCAGACCAGCCTAGCCAACATGGAGAAATCCCTGTCTCTACTGAAAATACAAAAATTAGCCAGCCGTGGTGGCGCACACTTGTAATCCCAACTACTTGGGAGGCTAAGGTGGGAGTATTGCTAGAATCCGAGAGGCGGAGGTTGCAGTGAGCAGACATCACACTACTGCACTCCGGCCTGGGCGGCAGAGCGAGATAACGTCTCAAAAAAAAAAAAAAAAAGTGTCATTCTGTAAGCTCTTCTAGCCTGCCCAAGTCATAGGCCCTATAAAGGGAAGACTTTCTGCATGCCATCAATGTCTCCTGTCCTACTGAACAGCCCTGAATCTGAAAGGGGATAGTCCCCCACCACCTCTCCACGGACAAATCATAAACATTTAACATTTAAAAAAAATCATCTCCTGTAATTCAACCCAGGCCTCTCATGGCATTACCATTCACATAAGAGAAAGTTGAACCTCAACTGGAAAAGTATATGGTTTGGGGATGTTGTTTTGTTTGTTTGGGTTGTGGAAAAACAGATGTCAGAAAACAAAGTGGATATCAAGATACTAGAACAGTAAGAATTTAGGCCTCGGTCTGCAAACGACATTTGAACATCAATATGTAATAGTAGTTCATGTCCAAAACTCACAAGTGAGATTATCAAACTCCAGGGGAGTCTATTAATGTGGCCATAAAATCTACCCCATAATTTTGACATAACTTTTCCAGCCCAAAATACGACTGACATCATCTTATGGGTCCGGAAATACCATACATCAAGGAAAATTTCTACCGGAGAAATAACACTGTAATCGTTTGGGGAGCAGTCTGACCAGTGTTCCCTGAGTTACGCCAACCGCCCCCAACCATCCTTCCCACCTAATTATTACCAGGTCAGGAGGACGTCCTGCTGCACGCTCAGGCGGTCGCTCCTCCTTTCCACAAGACCCAGGCCCGCACCGTTCGCCCCGGGGCTCCCATGGCCCCCGACCTCCAGTCTCCAGCAACGATGGATCCCCACAGACCAGGCAGGGGGCGAAGGGCGCACACCCACCTCCCGGGAGTCAGTGGGAATAACCCCGGGCGCTCCCAGGATACGTCCCACACCCGGAGCCGCACGGGCCCATCCCCGCCAGGTCTGGGCAGGCAGCCGGAGCCCGGGACCCCGCCTCCCCCGCACCTAGGGTCCCGGCCGAGCTCGACCGCTGAGGTCCCGTTCCCACTCCCACTCCCAGCGCCTCCCCCTGGCGGCGGCGGCCGCCCGGGACGCCCCTCCCCTGGCGCTGCCTCCTCAGAGGGTGACAGCCGCCTGGCCGGGGCCGTACAGAGGCCGGCCCCTCCTCCAGCTCCTCCTCACCCCGGGAGGAGACAGGGGACGGGGATGGGGTTCTTACTAGGCAGCAGGACATGGCAAGGCCCGCCACGGCACAGCCTCCTCCTCCACCATCTCACCAGGCTCCCTGCCAGGCCCGGCGCAGGGCAGCGACTGAGCTACTAGGGCGTCTGGTCCGGCTGCTACTCCGCCGCCGCCGCCGCCTTCTCACAACCACAACAACACTGCAGCAGCGGCCACACAGAGTGCACTCCCGACGCCGAGCCGGGCGACGAGCGGAGACCTGCGCGCACGCTCGGGCGCTGAAGCCGGTGTCCGGGAAAGGGGGCGGGTCTCCGCCTGTTGGACGGGGGCGGGGCCTGGACAGGTGGTCACGCCCCAGGAGATAGGCGGGGCTGCAGCCCAGACGAATACCAGCGGCTGGGGAGAGGCTCGCGAAAAAGCCCAGCGGAGGCAGAAGGGCTAGACAGATGGGAATTGGGCGCAGGAAAAGCGATGACAAAAAAAAATCTGGAAGATAACCAAAGGTGGTCCTACAAATTTTTAGGAGGCGTCTTTCCCTGGGCAAGACATGGCTCACTCTACTTACCAGAAAAATAGAACAACAGTGGTTATCTTTCACCTGCAATTGTGGTCAGGATAAAACCAGTTTAATATAGTGCAAGTAAATGTAGTGTTTTAGAAGATGTATTCAGGATACAATTTCTTTTTTTCGTTTCTTTTTTTTTTTCTGTCGCCCAGGCTGGAATGCAGTGACATCTCAGCTCACTGCAAACTCCGCCTCCCGGGCTCAAGTGATCCTCCCACCTCAGCCTCCTGAGTAGCTGGGACTACAGGCGCAGAACATCATGCCCCGCCAATTTTTGTATTTTTTGTAGACACGGAGTTTCTGCCATTTTGTCCAGGCTGGTCTCGAACTCCTGGGCTCAAGCAATCCACCCACCTCGGCCTCCCAAAGCGCTGGGATTAAAGGCATGGACCGCCGCACCCGGTCCAGAATACAATTTCAAGCTGATTCAACTTCAGCTCCTAATCAAAAGCTTAGCGGGAAGAAGTGAATTTTCAAACAAAATAAACCCCTCCCCCCAAAATTGTAACCTACCCACATTAGCCTGCAGAATTCCACAAACCAGGATTGCATTACCGCAGGCCCTAACAGATTCACCTCCTCTGAGTTGCCTTTTAACATTCTACCCTTGACTTTTCTGGAAACTGTCTGGGAGAGCTAGTCAAATGAAATCTATTCCTGCATCTGTTGTAAAGTTTTTCCACAGCACTTTCTGAAATTTATTTTCAATGTTTATTGTTTTTTCACTCCACTTAGAATGTAAAAGCTACTTGAAGATAAGGATCTTGTTTGTCTTGTTCATCACTATTTCCCCAGCACCTAGAACTGTGCAGGCTAAGTAGTAGGCAGTCGAATTTCTTGATAGCTGGCTGGGCGCGGTGGCTCACGGCTGTAATCCCAGCACTTTGAGAGGCTGAGGCGGGTGGAACACCTGAGGTCAGGTGTTCGAGACCAGCCTGGCCAGCATGGTGAAAACGCGGATCTACTAAAAATGCAAAAATTAGCCGTGCATGGTGGCGGGTGCCTGTAATCGCAGCTAATTGGGAGGGTGAGGCAGGAGAATAGCTTGAACCTGGGAGGCAGAGGTTGCCATGAGCCAAGATTGCGTCACTGCACTCCAGCCTGGGTGACAGAGCGAGACTCCATCTCAAAAAAAAAAAAAAAAAAAATGGCTAACATTTATTCATACAACTCATCTAATTGAATCTTCACAACTTTAATAGGTAGACGCCGTTATCTCCATGTTACAGATGAAGAAAGTGAAGCACAGAGTAAATTGCATGTATTAAAACAAAATTCAAACCCAAACCCAGCAGACAACAAACAAACAAACACACAAACACACAAAAAACCACTGTACTCTCACCCACCAGGCTGTACTGCCCAGTGCATGACACAGTAGCCTGAAATAAAATCTCAAGTAAGAAATTACTTTAGGCCGGGCACAGTGTCTCATGCCGGAAATCCCAGCACTTTAGGAGGCCAAGGCAGGTGGATTGCTTGAGCTCAGGAGTTCCAGACCAGCCTAGGCAACATGGCGAAATCCCACCTTTACAAAAAATACCAAAAAACTGGCCAGGCATGGTGGTGCGTGCCTGTAGTCCCAGCTATTTGAGAGGCTGAGGTGGGAGGATGGCTTGAGCCTGGGAGGCAGACGTTGTAGTGAGCCCTGATTGTGCCACTGCACTCCAACTGGGTGTCAGAGCGAGAAAAAAGAAAGAATGAAAGAAATTACTTTAGAGGTAAATTCTTGGAAAGCCCTTGCTTTACTACCAGAAAAACCAGTGCGCTTCCTGCTTTTTGATAACTCTTATGCAGCTGGTTGTGTCTCTCTTTTCACTCTGGCTTCCAGAAAGCCCAGGGCTAAATGTGAAGCTCAGCAATGACCCTTGCTTGGCCCCTAAGGTCCACTCTTGCCTCGACTTTGCACCTTTATTTATATGTGGCTGTCCTGATTTTCCCTTTGTGTTATATGACTGTAGGCTTTATGGAATGGGAGAAGAAATAGTAAACACATAAAATTGATGAATGACTTAAAGACTTTTATTTTATTTTTGAGACAGAGTTTCGCTCTTGTTGCCCAGGCTGGAGTGCAATGGCAGGAACTTGGCTCACTGCAACGCCTGCCTCCTGGGTTCAAGTGACTCTCCTGCCTCAGCCTCCTGAGTAGCTGGGATTACAGGCATGAGCCACAACAGCCGGTTAATTTTTTGTATTTTTAGTAGAGACAGCGTTTCTCCATGTTGGTCAGGCTAGTCTCGAACTCCCGACCACATGTGATCCGCCCGTCTTGGTTTCCCAAAGTGCTGGGATTACAGCTGTGAGCCGCCATTCCCGGCTTATTTTTATTTTTATATTTTATTTTATTTTCACACAAGGTCTCACTCTTGCCCAGGCTGGAGTGGAGTGGCTCACAGCCACCAGGTGATTTGGGCCCACAAGTCACCCTTGCTAAGAGGCAGAGTCCAGAGCAGAAACTGGGTAGATGCCAAAGGCAGCACTCCCTACTCCACACATGGGTTTCTGTCAAGTAAATCACCAGCCAGGTGAGGTGCATACAGCATCTAGGGAGATGGGACACCGTGTTGTCCCCTCCTTCAGCCAGGAGGCCCCACACTGAGCGCCACTGCCTCCACTGTCCGATGCTACAGGAGAAACGTTTCCTGCTGGTTAAGGAAGTAGAAACTGCAGATCACTTTTCATCTTATTGGAAATCACTCTTTGACACTCTTGCCTCATCTTCACTCAGTACACATTGACTCTACCAGCAATAGCGTACAAATAAACACAGCTTAAGGAAATAGGAATCCTTTATTCCTGGGACTTAAAAGCTTGACTTTCTCCAGTAAGTCAATTACCAGTGCCCACGGCAGGAAGAGCTCTGATGCCAGGGTTGACAGCATGCTGGAAAACCGGAGGAGTGTTTGCATTTCTGGGGCCTCAAGTAATGAGAAGTTCTTCCAAGAACACTGACAGGGGTATTATTGCCCTATTTTAGAATTATTACTCTGAAGATCAGGGAATTTCAGGTGGTTGAACTCATGCCACAGCACCTGTGCTTTTCTGGTAGGGGAGGGATGGAGTCCAGCTCAGGAGTCCCCCGTCATGGGGGAAAGCACTGTGATGGGATGTCTGTGGGGGAATTAGAACCCTATAGCAGATGGGATAGGGTGGGGAGTCTACATATTTTTATTTGGATGTTTTGATGGAGTAAAGTTCCAAACCAAGCAAGTATCAGGCAGGGGGCAGTCCAGGCTGTGGTGCTGTGCTGTGAGGCTGGGAGTCCAGGCAGGTCCTGTGTTCACTGGTCACTTCCACAGCCTGAAGCCCCTCGAAAGGACATCTGCACAGAGGCCCGCTAGTGACTTCAGGATGCTGATGATGCCCTCAAGGTGAGAGCCAGAGAAAATCCCGTCAACTCTGTCAACCAAGGGCATCAATGGCCACGTGTGTGGTTTTCTCCTGCAAAGAACAAGCCAGTTTGCAAACCATGCTTTTGAGGCTAGAAAAATGGCTGTATTCCTTCAGTGTCTCCTGAAGGCTGGGTCCCCTGAGAGTTGATTCAAATACTGTATTCTCGTAAAATATGGTAACATTTAGACCTGAAAAATGGCCTGGGGGATAATCTTATCAAACCTCTGATGTGGTTATTTTGTAACTGAGTATATTGAAGGCTGGGGAACAAAGCCATCTGGTGCCAGCATCCTAGCTGCTCTCTCTCCTCCAGGGGCTTGCCTTGGTTGGGGGCCTTTCCAGCAATATTAGGCTGAAGAAATGAGATTTTAGTTAAACAAGGCCCACTGTTGCTTTAAGACAAAGTGTCAAAGTTTTAAAAAATGTATTAACTTGTTCTTTTGGCCAAGAAATCAATAGATGCACTTCCTTTCCACTGTGCAGGCACTGAGCTGACAGAGGAGTAAGAGCTTGAACCATCTACGTGGTCTGAGTGACCACATCCTTCACTTGGAGCCCTGTTCTACAGCAGATAATTCTGAGTCACCCCAGCTAATGGCTGTGCACAGCATCCTGATGCTCTGATTAGGCTGAGGGGCTTGTGGCGTGGTGGCTAGGCTGTCTCAGAGAGCACCTCGGGCTGGGTGGACCAGGCTGACCCAGAAGAGGGCAATGGGCCTTTGACAGGGACTAGCTGGCTACTATCTGCCTCTTCTGCAGTTTGGGACACTTAGGGTCATGGGTGAAAGTGTTTTTCCACATATAGTGGCCCGAAAGGAAAGGAAACTCATGCCAGTGTTCAGAAAGCGTGCGGGTTTCTCAGGTAACGTTACTGCAGCCACTGATGTCTAATCCAAAGAGCTCTGAATGCTTGCCATAGAGATTTGTAGTTTTAATACTGAAGCCCCGAATATTCTGATTTCCTCATTAAGACCGACCTAACACGAGCTATGCAGTCAGCTAAGGTATCAACGGGAGGAAATTGCCAGTGTTTCCCTCTTATTTTCCTCTGAGGTCATCTGAAAACAACCGCAGTGAGGACGGAGTTCGTGCGGCCCTGATGGCTGTGTGTTCCCAGCTCCAAGCATGCACTAAATATTTAATTCATTTGAATATAAATAAGTTAATGAATATGAATACATTAATAAATTAATTGGCATCGTTTTAGTCCTGTTGCAGTTTCAAACTCACCGATTTATCCAACTTCTTTGCACTGAGTTCTTATTCAAGTGAAGTATTCCGGTCTTGTGACTTGTACTTCTGACATAGTAATAGAACAACTAATATTTATTTAGAACTTTAGTTTACCAAGCACTCTACATTTTATTTTATTATTTATTTGTTTATTTTTTTTAGTAGAGACAGGGTTTCACCGAGTTAGCCAGGATGGTCTCGATCTCCTGACCTCGTGATCCACGCTCCTCGGCCTCCTAAAGTGCTGGGATTACAGGCTTGAGCCACCGCGCCCAGCCTACATTTTATTTTTACATTTTGTTTTTACAAACCCCCACGGGGCAGGCATTCTCCTTACACGCAGTGTTACACACAGAGGCTCAGGGGTTTAAATGGTTTCACTGTAAACAATGTAATCTAGTAGGATGTTGCTTTCCTATTTTTCCTAATACTACCATGTTTAGATGTGGGTGGCTGAGTGGGAGTATATGATTTCCTGTGTATGTATAGATGTAACCCACACTCACAGGCGGAAAGTTCTGCAGGCTGAGAAGTGAAGCCCTCTGCTGAACAACCACCACCAACATTCTAGGACCCCCACACCCTTGGTTCTGCAGGCTACACCCCTCCCATCTGCTTAGAAGCAGAAAGAAAACTCTGCGGTTACTTTTCCCTTTTTTATTTTCTTTCCTATCCAGAGCCCTACTTGATCAAAAACTGGTTCTTTAATCCATTGCAAATTATCAAGTAGCTTTTAATAACTAACACGGCTATAAACCACCATAACTGTTCTTTTTTCCATATCAATACTATTCACTTACTAAAAAAAAAATCTGAGGGTATAGAATATGCTGATAACTGTGCTGGGTATTGGCGACACCAGGGAACAAAACAGACGAGGCCTCTGGCTCTTCTAATGGACAGCTGGGTGCAACTCTCTAAAAATACTACTTCATGATTTGACAGGATATTTGCCAAAGTCCTTCACTACTCTACACAACTATAACAACATTTTCTTCCACCTCTTCCAAACTTATAATAACCTTCACCACACCCCCTCTAAAACGTGAATACGTCCTTTGGTAACTCAGCATTCTACTTCACTAAAGAAGGTGTGAACGTGTTAACTAGAACTACAGCAGATTTTTAAACTGACTTTACCACTCCTCACGGCCTGCGGCAAATTTCAAGAACTTTTCACAATCTGTAGTAACCCTTCCTGGTTCACAACCCTGATCTCAAATGACTGCTAACACACCCATCCTACCCTCCACTAGAAATCTGAGTCAGATGGTTTAGGAGCAACCATGTTAGGGAGCATCTTCAGTGGACCCCTTTATGAGCCAGAAGCTGACTTACTTCCTCTCCTTCTCTGTTTATTTCCTCTGGATTCTTGTGTATCTCTGGATACAATGTATCTCCAATTAATCAGCATCTAATTTTATCAAGTGTGTTCCTGATAACTTGTGCACAAATTAACTTTTGGCAACAAATCTGTTTCACCTACACAAATCCATTATATTTTAAGAGATGCTCAATTTGCATCCTTTAAGTTTCTCATGCTTCCCCTTCTCCACTTCTTAAATTCTTAAAAAGCTATAAACTACTTAAGTTCGAGGAACTTAGGTCGTCCATAATATTGCTAATGACCAGCCTTAAACTAGACAACCACTGAAGAACCTGGCCTATGAGCTGAGAAACTTGGGTTCTTTTATGGCTGGCCATTAACGACAAGTGGGGCTGTACCACTGTGCTGGTCACTTGAAGTTCTCTGAGTCACCTGAAAATGAGGGAGTAATTGGAGCCAAAAGAGGTCTGTCGTCATAGGCAGCCAATCTAGAATTCTAGAATCCTCCAAATTTAGTTTAATATCACATACTATACTGGGTTACTCAAAACAGTGTCATTCTGGCTGGGGGTGGTGGCTCACGCCTGTAATCCCAACACTTTGGAAGGCTGAGGCAGGTGGATCACTTGAGGTCAGGAGTTCCAGACCAGCCTAGCCAACATGGAGAAATCCCTGTCTCTACTGAAAATACAAAAATTAGCCAGCCGTGGTGGCGCACACTTGTAATCCCAACTACTTGGGAGGCTAAGGTGGGAGTATTGCTAGAATCCGAGAGGCGGAGGTTGCAGTGAGCAGACATCACACTACTGCACTCCGGCCTGGGCGGCAGAGCGAGATAACGTCTCAAAAAAAAAAAAAAAAAAAGTGTCATTCTGTAAGCTCTTCTAGCCTGCCCAAGTCATAGGCCCTATAAAGGGAAGACTTTCTGCATGCCATCAATGTCTCCTGTCCTACTGAACAGCCCTGAATCTGAAAGGGGATGGTCCCCCACCACCTCTCCACGGACAAATCATAAACATTTAACATTTAAAAAAAATCATCTCCTGTAATTCAACCCAGGCCTCTCATGGCATTACCATTCACATAAGAGAAAGTTGAACCTCAACTGGAAAAGTATATGGTTTGGGGATGTTGTTTTGTTTGTTTGGGTTGTGGAAAAACAGATGTCAGAAAACAAAGTGGATATCAAGATACTAGAACAGTAAGAATTTAGGCCTCGGTCTGCAAACGACATTTGAACATCAATATGTAATAGTAGTTCATGTCCAAAACTCACAAGTGAGATTATCAAACTCCAGGGGAGTCTATTAATGTGGCCATAAAATCTACCCCATAATTTTGACATAACTTTTCCAGCCCAAAATACGACTGACATCATCTTATGGGTCCGGAAATACCATACATCAAGGAAAATTTCTACCGGAGAAATAACACTGTAATCGTTTGGGGAGCAGTCTGACCAGTGTTCCCTGAGTTACGCCAACCGCCCCCAACCATCCTTCCCACCTAATTATTACCAGGTCAGGAGGACGTCCTGCTGCACGCTCAGGCGGTCGCTCCTCCTTTCCACAAGACCCAGGCCCGCACCGTTCGCCCCGGGGCTCCCATGGCCCCCGACCTCCAGTCTCCAGCAACGATGGATCCCCACAGACCAGGCAGGGGGCGAAGGGCGCACACCCACCTCCCGGGAGTCAGTGGGAATAACCCCGGGCGCTCCCAGGATACGTCCCACACCCGGAGCCGCACGGGCCCATCCCCGCCAGGTCTGGGCAGGCAGCCGGAGCCCGGGACCCCGCCTCCCCCGCACCTAGGGTCCCGGCCGAGCTCGACCGCTGAGGTCCCGTTCCCACTCCCACTCCCAGCGCCTCCCCCTGGCGGCGGCGGCCGCCCGGGACGCCCCTCCCCTGGCGCTGCCTCCTCAGAGGGTGACAGCCGCCTGGCCGGGGCCGTACAGAGGCCGGCCCCTCCTCCAGCTCCTCCTCACCCCGGGAGGAGACAGGGGACGGGGATGGGGTTCTTACCAGGCAGCAGGACATGGCAAGGCCCGCCACGGCACAGCCTCCTCCTCCACCATCTCACCAGGCTCCCTGCCAGGCCCGGCGCAGGGCAGCGACTGAGCTACTAGGGCGTCTGGTCCGGCTGCTACTCCGCCGCCGCCTCCGCCTTCTCACAACCACAACAACACTGCAGCAGCGGCCACACAGAGTGCACTCCCGACGCCGAGCCGGGCGACGAGCGGAGACGCGCGCGCACGCTCGGGCGCTGAAGCCGGTGTCCGGGAAAGGGGGCGGGTCTCCGCCTGTTGGACGGGGGCGGGGCCTGGACAGGTGGTCACGCCCCAGGAGATAGGCGGGGCTGCAGCCCAGACGAATACCAGCGGCTGGGGAGAGGCTCGCGAAAAAGCCCAGCGGAGGCAGAAGGGCTAGACAGATGGGAATTGGGCGCAGGAAAAGCGATGACAAAAAAAAATCTGGAAGATAACCAAAGGTGGTCCTACAAATTTTTAGGAGGCGTCTTTCCCTGGGCAAGACATGGCTCACTCTACTTACCAGAAAAATAGAACAACAGTGGTTATCTTTCACCTGCAATTGTGGTCAGGATAAAACCAGTTTAATATAGTGCAAGTAAATGTAGTGTTTTAGAAGATGTATTCAGGATACAATTTCTTTTTTTCGTTTCTTTTTTTTTTTCTGTCGCCCAGGCTGGAATGCAGTGACATCTCAGCTCACTGCAAACTCCGCCTCCCGGGCTCAAGTGATCCTCCCACCTCAGCCTCCTGAGTAGCTGGGACTACAGGCGCAGAACATCATGCCCCGCCAATTTTTGTATTTTTTGTAGACACGGAGTTTCTGCCATTTTGTCCAGGCTGGTCTCGAACTCCTGGGCTCAAGCAATCCACCCACCTCGGCCTCCCAAAGCGCTGGGATTAAAGGCATGGACCGCCGCACCCGGTCCAGAATACAATTTCAAGCTGATTCAACTTCAGCTCCTAATCAAAAGCTTAGCGGGAAGAAGTGAATTTTCAAACAAAATAAACCCCTCCCCCCAAAATTGTAACCTACCCACATTAGCCTGCAGAATTCCACAAACCAGGATTGCATTACCGCAGGCCCTAACAGATTCACCTCCTCTGAGTTGCCTTTTAACATTCTACCCTTGACTTTTCTGGAAACTGTCTGGGAGAGCTAGTCAAATGAAATCTATTCCTGCATCTGTTGTAAAGTTTTTCCACAGCACTTTCTGAAATTTATTTTCAATGTTTATTGTTTTTTCACTCCACTTAGAATGTAAAAGCTACTTGAAGATAAGGATCTTGTTTGTCTTGTTCATCACTATTTCCCCAGCACCTAGAACTGTGCAGGCTAAGTAGTAGGCAGTCGAATTTCTTGATAGCTGGCTGGGCGCGGTGGCTCACGGCTGTAATCCCAGCACTTTGAGAGGCTGAGGCGGGTGGAACACCTGAGGTCAGGTGTTCGAGACCAGCCTGGCCAGCATGGTGAAAACGCGGATCTACTAAAAATGCAAAAATTAGCCGTGCATGGTGGCGGGTGCCTGTAATCGCAGCTAATTGGGAGGGTGAGGCAGGAGAATAGCTTGAACCTGGGAGGCAGAGGTTGCCATGAGCCAAGATTGCGTCACTGCACTCCAGCCTGGGTGACAGAGCGAGACTCCATCTCAAAAAAAAAAAAAAAAAAAATGGCTAACATTTATTCATACAACTCATCTAATTGAATCTTCACAACTTTAATAGGTAGACGCCGTTATCTCCATGTTACAGATGAAGAAAGTGAAGCACAGAGTAAATTGCATGTATTAAAACAAAATTCAAACCCAAACCCAGCAGACAACAAACAAACAAACACACAAACACACAAAAAACCACTGTACTCTCACCCACCAGGCTGTACTGCCCAGTGCATGACACAGTAGCCTGAAATAAAATCTCAAGTAAGAAATTACTTTAGGCCGGGCACAGTGTCTCATGCCGGAAATCCCAGCACTTTAGGAGGCCAAGGCAGGTGGATTGCTTGAGCTCAGGAGTTCCAGACCAGCCTAGGCAACATGGCGAAATCCCACCTTTACAAAAAATACCAAAAAACTGGCCAGGCATGGTGGTGCGTGCCTGTAGTCCCAGCTATTTGAGAGGCTGAGGTGGGAGGATGGCTTGAGCCTGGGAGGCAGACGTTGTAGTGAGCCCTGATTGTGCCACTGCACTCCAACTGGGTGTCAGAGCGAGAAAAAAGAAAGAATGAAAGAAATTACTTTAGAGGTAAATTCTTGGAAAGCCCTTGCTTTACTACCAGAAAAACCAGTGCGCTTCCTGCTTTTTGATAACTCTTATGCAGCTGGTTGTGTCTCTCTTTTCACTCTGGCTTCCAGAAAGCCCAGGGCTAAATGTGAAGCTCAGCAATGACCCTTGCTTGGCCCCTAAGGTCCACTCTTGCCTCGACTTTGCACCTTTATTTATATGTGGCTGTCCTGATTTTCCCTTTGTGTTATATGACTGTAGGCTTTATGGAATGGGAGAAGAAATAGTAAACACATAAAATTGATGAATGACTTAAAGACTTTTATTTTATTTTTGAGACAGAGTTTCGCTCTTGTTGCCCAGGCTGGAGTGCAATGGCAGGAACTTGGCTCACTGCAACGCCTGCCTCCTGGGTTCAAGTGACTCTCCTGCCTCAGCCTCCTGAGTAGCTGGGATTACAGGCATGAGCCACAACAGCCGGTTAATTTTTTGTATTTTTAGTAGAGACAGCGTTTCTCCATGTTGGTCAGGCTAGTCTCGAACTCCCGACCACATGTGATCCGCCCGTCTTGGTTTCCCAAAGTGCTGGGATTACAGCTGTGAGCCGCCATTCCCGGCTTATTTTTATTTTTATATTTTATTTTATTTTCACACAAGGTCTCACTCTTGCCCAGGCTGGAGTGGAGTGGCTCACAGCCACCAGGTGATTTGGGCCCACAAGTCACCCTTGCTAAGAGGCAGAGTCCAGAGCAGAAACTGGGTAGATGCCAAAGGCAGCACTCCCTACTCCACACATGGGTTTCTGTCAAGTAAATCACCAGCCAGGTGAGGTGCATACAGCATCTAGGGAGATGGGACACCGTGTTGTCCCCTCCTTCAGCCAGGAGGCCCCACACTGAGCGCCACTGCCTCCACTGTCCGATGCTACAGGAGAAACGTTTCCTGCTGGTTAAGGAAGTAGAAACTGCAGATCACTTTTCATCTTATTGGAAATCACTCTTTGACACTCTTGCCTCATCTTCACTCAGTACACATTGACTCTACCAGCAATAGCGTACAAATAAACACAGCTTAAGGAAATAGGAATCCTTTATTCCTGGGACTTAAAAGCTTGACTTTCTCCAGTAAGTCAATTACCAGTGCCCACGGCAGGAAGAGCTCTGATGCCAGGGTTGACAGCATGCTGGAAAACCGGAGGAGTGTTTGCATTTCTGGGGCCTCAAGTAATGAGAAGTTCTTCCAAGAACACTGACAGGGGTATTATTGCCCTATTTTAGAATTATTACTCTGAAGATCAGGGAATTTCAGGTGGTTGAACTCATGCCACAGCACCTGTGCTTTTCTGGTAGGGGAGGGATGGAGTCCAGCTCAGGAGTCCCCCGTCATGGGGGAAAGCACTGTGATGGGATGTCTGTGGGGGAATTAGAACCCTATAGCAGATGGGATAGGGTGGGGAGTCTACATATTTTTATTTGGATGTTTTGATGGAGTAAAGTTCCAAACCAAGCAAGTATCAGGCAGGGGGCAGTCCAGGCTGTGGTGCTGTGCTGTGAGGCTGGGAGTCCAGGCAGGTCCTGTGTTCACTGGTCACTTCCACAGCCTGAAGCCCCTCGAAAGGACATCTGCACAGAGGCCCGCTAGTGACTTCAGGATGCTGATGATGCCCTCAAGGTGAGAGCCAGAGAAAATCCCGTCAACTCTGTCAACCAAGGGCATCAATGGCCACGTGTGTGGTTTTCTCCTGCAAAGAACAAGCCAGTTTGCAAACCATGCTTTTGAGGCTAGAAAAATGGCTGTATTCCTTCAGTGTCTCCTGAAGGCTGGGTCCCCTGAGAGTTGATTCAAATACTGTATTCTCGTAAAATATGGTAACATTTAGACCTGAAAAATGGCCTGGGGGATAATCTTATCAAACCTCTGATGTGGTTATTTTGTAACTGAGTATATTGAAGGCTGGGGAACAAAGCCATCTGGTGCCAGCATCCTAGCTGCTCTCTCTCCTCCAGGGGCTTGCCTTGGTTGGGGGCCTTTCCAGCAATATTAGGCTGAAGAAATGAGATTTTAGTTAAACAAGGCCCACTGTTGCTTTAAGACAAAGTGTCAAAGTTTTAAAAAATGTATTAACTTGTTCTTTTGGCCAAGAAATCAATAGATGCACTTCCTTTCCACTGTGCAGGCACTGAGCTGACAGAGGAGTAAGAGCTTGAACCATCTACGTGGTCTGAGTGACCACATCCTTCACTTGGAGCCCTGTTCTACAGCAGATAATTCTGAGTCACCCCAGCTAATGGCTGTGCACAGCATCCTGATGCTCTGATTAGGCTGAGGGGCTTGTGGCGTGGTGGCTAGGCTGTCTCAGAGAGCACCTCGGGCTGGGTGGACCAGGCTGACCCAGAAGAGGGCAATGGGCCTTTGACAGGGACTAGCTGGCTACTATCTGCCTCTTCTGCAGTTTGGGACACTTAGGGTCATGGGTGAAAGTGTTTTTCCACATATAGTGGCCCGAAAGGAAAGGAAACTCATGCCAGTGTTCAGAAAGCGTGCGGGTTTCTCAGGTAACGTTACTGCAGCCACTGATGTCTAATCCAAAGAGCTCTGAATGCTTGCCATAGAGATTTGTAGTTTTAATACTGAAGCCCCGAATATTCTGATTTCCTCATTAAGACCGACCTAACACGAGCTATGCAGTCAGCTAAGGTATCAACGGGAGGAAATTGCCAGTGTTTCCCTCTTATTTTCCTCTGAGGTCATCTGAAAACAACCGCAGTGAGGACGGAGTTCGTGCGGCCCTGATGGCTGTGTGTTCCCAGCTCCAAGCATGCACTAAATATTTAATTCATTTGAATATAAATAAGTTAATGAATATGAATACATTAATAAATTAATTGGCATCGTTTTAGTCCTGTTGCAGTTTCAAACTCACCGATTTATCCAACTTCTTTGCACTGAGTTCTTATTCAAGTGAAGTATTCCGGTCTTGTGACTTGTACTTCTGACATAGTAATAGAACAACTAATATTTATTTAGAACTTTAGTTTACCAAGCACTCTACATTTTATTTTATTATTTATTTGTTTATTTTTTTTAGTAGAGACAGGGTTTCACCGAGTTAGCCAGGATGGTCTCGATCTCCTGACCTCGTGATCCACGCTCCTCGGCCTCCTAAAGTGCTGGGATTACAGGCTTGAGCCACCGCGCCCAGCCTACATTTTATTTTTACATTTTGTTTTTACAAACCCCCACGGGGCAGGCATTCTCCTTACACGCAGTGTTACACACAGAGGCTCAGGGGTTTAAATGGTTTCACTGTAAACAATGTAATCTAGTAGGATGTTGCTTTCCTATTTTTCCTAATACTACCATGTTTAGATGTGGGTGGCTGAGTGGGAGTATATGATTTCCTGTGTATGTATAGATGTAACCCACACTCACAGGCGGAAAGTTCTGCAGGCTGAGAAGTGAAGCCCTCTGCTGAACAACCACCACCAACATTCTAGGACCCCCACACCCTTGGTTCTGCAGGCTACACCCCTCCCATCTGCTTAGAAGCAGAAAGAAAACTCTGCGGTTACTTTTCCCTTTTTTATTTTCTTTCCTATCCAGAGCCCTACTTGATCAAAAACTGGTTCTTTAATCCATTGCAAATTATCAAGTAGCTTTTAATAACTAACACGGCTATAAACCACCATAACTGTTCTTTTTTCCATATCAATACTATTCACTTACTAAAAAAAAAATCTGAGGGTATAGAATATGCTGATAACTGTGCTGGGTATTGGCGACACCAGGGAACAAAACAGACGAGGCCTCTGGCTCTTCTAATGGACAGCTGGGTGCAACTCTCTAAAAATACTACTTCATGATTTGACAGGATATTTGCCAAAGTCCTTCACTACTCTACACAACTATAACAACATTTTCTTCCACCTCTTCCAAACTTATAATAACCTTCACCACACCCCCTCTAAAACGTGAATACGTCCTTTGGTAACTCAGCATTCTACTTCACTAAAGAAGGTGTGAACGTGTTAACTAGAACTACAGCAGATTTTTAAACTGACTTTACCACTCCTCACGGCCTGCGGCAAATTTCAAGAACTTTTCACAATCTGTAGTAACCCTTCCTGGTTCACAACCCTGATCTCAAATGACTGCTAACACACCCATCCTACCCTCCACTAGAAATCTGAGTCAGATGGTTTAGGAGCAACCATGTTAGGGAGCATCTTCAGTGGACCCCTTTATGAGCCAGAAGCTGACTTACTTCCTCTCCTTCTCTGTTTATTTCCTCTGGATTCTTGTGTATCTCTGGATACAATGTATCTCCAATTAATCAGCATCTAATTTTATCAAGTGTGTTCCTGATAACTTGTGCACAAATTAACTTTTGGCAACAAATCTGTTTCACCTACACAAATCCATTATATTTTAAGAGATGCTCAATTTGCATCCTTTAAGTTTCTCATGCTTCCCCTTCTCCACTTCTTAAATTCTTAAAAAGCTATAAACTACTTAAGTTCGAGGAACTTAGGTCGTCCATAATATTGCTAATGACCAGCCTTAAACTAGACAACCACTGAAGAACCTGGCCTATGAGCTGAGAAACTTGGGTTCTTTTATGGCTGGCCATTAACGACAAGTGGGGCTGTACCACTGTGCTGGTCACTTGAAGTTCTCTGAGTCACCTGAAAATGAGGGAGTAATTGGAGCCAAAAGAGGTCTGTCGTCATAGGCAGCCAATCTAGAATTCTAGAATCCTCCAAATTTAGTTTAATATCACATACTATACTGGGTTACTCAAAACAGTGTCATTCTGGCTGGGGGTGGTGGCTCACGCCTGTAATCCCAACACTTTGGAAGGCTGAGGCAGGTGGATCACTTGAGGTCAGGAGTTCCAGACCAGCCTAGCCAACATGGAGAAATCCCTGTCTCTACTGAAAATACAAAAATTAGCCAGCCGTGGTGGCGCACACTTGTAATCCCAACTACTTGGGAGGCTAAGGTGGGAGTATTGCTAGAATCCGAGAGGCGGAGGTTGCAGTGAGCAGACATCACACTACTGCACTCCGGCCTGGGCGGCAGAGCGAGATAACGTCTCAAAAAAAAAAAAAAAAAAAGTGTCATTCTGTAAGCTCTTCTAGCCTGCCCAAGTCATAGGCCCTATAAAGGGAAGACTTTCTGCATGCCATCAATGTCTCCTGTCCTACTGAACAGCCCTGAATCTGAAAGGGGATGGTCCCCCACCACCTCTCCACGGACAAATCATAAACATTTAACATTTAAAAAAAATCATCTCCTGTAATTCAACCCAGGCCTCTCATGGCATTACCATTCACATAAGAGAAAGTTGAACCTCAACTGGAAAAGTATATGGTTTGGGGATGTTGTTTTGTTTGTTTGGGTTGTGGAAAAACAGATGTCAGAAAACAAAGTGGATATCAAGATACTAGAACAGTAAGAATTTAGGCCTCGGTCTGCAAACGACATTTGAACATCAATATGTAATAGTAGTTCATGTCCAAAACTCACAAGTGAGATTATCAAACTCCAGGGGAGTCTATTAATGTGGCCATAAAATCTACCCCATAATTTTGACATAACTTTTCCAGCCCAAAATACGACTGACATCATCTTATGGGTCCGGAAATACCATACATCAAGGAAAATTTCTACCGGAGAAATAACACTGTAATCGTTTGGGGAGCAGTCTGACCAGTGTTCCCTGAGTTACGCCAACCGCCCCCAACCATCCTTCCCACCTAATTATTACCAGGTCAGGAGGACGTCCTGCTGCACGCTCAGGCGGTCGCTCCTCCTTTCCACAAGACCCAGGCCCGCACCGTTCGCCCCGGGGCTCCCATGGCCCCCGACCTCCAGTCTCCAGCAACGATGGATCCCCACAGACCAGGCAGGGGGCGAAGGGCGCACACCCACCTCCCGGGAGTCAGTGGGAATAACCCCGGGCGCTCCCAGGATACGTCCCACACCCGGAGCCGCACGGGCCCATCCCCGCCAGGTCTGGGCAGGCAGCCGGAGCCCGGGACCCCGCCTCCCCCGCACCTAGGGTCCCGGCCGAGCTCGACCGCTGAGGTCCCGTTCCCACTCCCACTCCCAGCGCCTCCCCCTGGCGGCGGCGGCCGCCCGGGACGCCCCTCCCCTGGCGCTGCCTCCTCAGAGGGTGACAGCCGCCTGGCCGGGGCCGTACAGAGGCCGGCCCCTCCTCCAGCTCCTCCTCACCCCGGGAGGAGACAGGGGACGGGGATGGGGTTCTTACCAGGCAGCAGGACATGGCAAGGCCCGCCACGGCACAGCCTCCTCCTCCACCATCTCACCAGGCTCCCTGCCAGGCCCGGCGCAGGGCAGCGACTGAGCTACTAGGGCGTCTGGTCCGGCTGCTACTCCGCCGCCGCCTCCGCCTTCTCACAACCACAACAACACTGCAGCAGCGGCCACACAGAGTGCACTCCCGACGCCGAGCCGGGCGACGAGCGGAGACGCGCGCGCACGCTCGGGCGCTGAAGCCGGTGTCCGGGAAAGGGGGCGGGTCTCCGCCTGTTGGACGGGGGCGGGGCCTGGACAGGTGGTCACGCCCCAGGAGATAGGCGGGGCTGCAGCCCAGACGAATACCAGCGGCTGGGGAGAGGCTCGCGAAAAAGCCCAGCGGAGGCAGAAGGGCTAGACAGATGGGAATTGGGCGCAGGAAAAGCGATGACAAAAAAAAATCTGGAAGATAACCAAAGGTGGTCCTACAAATTTTTAGGAGGCGTCTTTCCCTGGGCAAGACATGGCTCACTCTACTTACCAGAAAAATAGAACAACAGTGGTT
Source organism: Homo sapiens (assembly GCF_000001405.40). Classification (NCBI taxonomy): domain Eukaryota; kingdom Metazoa; phylum Chordata; class Mammalia; order Primates; family Hominidae; genus Homo; species Homo sapiens. The sequence goes on from NW_021160017.1 coordinate 1,914,931, forward strand.
ATCTTTCACCTGCAATTGTGGTCAGGATAAAACCAGTTTAATATAGTGCAAGTAAATGTAGTGTTTTAGAAGATGTATTCAGGATACAATTTCTTTTTTTCGTTTCTTTTTTTTTTTCTGTCGCCCAGGCTGGAATGCAGTGACATCTCAGCTCACTGCAAACTCCGCCTCCCGGGCTCAAGTGATCCTCCCACCTCAGCCTCCTGAGTAGCTGGGACTACAGGCGCAGAACATCATGCCCCGCCAATTTTTGTATTTTTTGTAGACACGGAGTTTCTGCCATTTTGTCCAGGCTGGTCTCGAACTCCTGGGCTCAAGCAATCCACCCACCTCGGCCTCCCAAAGCGCTGGGATTAAAGGCATGGACCGCCGCACCCGGTCCAGAATACAATTTCAAGCTGATTCAACTTCAGCTCCTAATCAAAAGCTTAGCGGGAAGAAGTGAATTTTCAAACAAAATAAACCCCTCCCCCCAAAATTGTAACCTACCCACATTAGCCTGCAGAATTCCACAAACCAGGATTGCATTACCGCAGGCCCTAACAGATTCACCTCCTCTGAGTTGCCTTTTAACATTCTACCCTTGACTTTTCTGGAAACTGTCTGGGAGAGCTAGTCAAATGAAATCTATTCCTGCATCTGTTGTAAAGTTTTTCCACAGCACTTTCTGAAATTTATTTTCAATGTTTATTGTTTTTTCACTCCACTTAGAATGTAAAAGCTACTTGAAGATAAGGATCTTGTTTGTCTTGTTCATCACTATTTCCCCAGCACCTAGAACTGTGCAGGCTAAGTAGTAGGCAGTCGAATTTCTTGATAGCTGGCTGGGCGCGGTGGCTCACGGCTGTAATCCCAGCACTTTGAGAGGCTGAGGCGGGTGGAACACCTGAGGTCAGGTGTTCGAGACCAGCCTGGCCAGCATGGTGAAAACGCGGATCTACTAAAAATGCAAAAATTAGCCGTGCATGGTGGCGGGTGCCTGTAATCGCAGCTAATTGGGAGGGTGAGGCAGGAGAATAGCTTGAACCTGGGAGGCAGAGGTTGCCATGAGCCAAGATTGCGTCACTGCACTCCAGCCTGGGTGACAGAGCGAGACTCCATCTCAAAAAAAAAAAAAAAAAAAAATGGCTAACATTTATTCATACAACTCATCTAATTGAATCTTCACAACTTTAATAGGTAGACGCCGTTATCTCCATGTTACAGATGAAGAAAGTGAAGCACAGAATAAATTGCATGTATTAAAACAAAATTCAAACCCAAACCCAGCAGACAACAAACAAACAAACACACAAACACACAAAAAACCACTGTACTCTCACCCACCAGGCTGTACTGCCCAGTGCATGACACAGTAGCCTGAAATAAAATCTCAAGTAAGAAATTACTTTAGGCCGGGCACAGTGTCTCATGCCGGAAATCCCAGCACTTTAGGAGGCCAAGGCAGGTGGATTGCTTGAGCTCAGGAGTTCCAGACCAGCCTAGGCAACATGGCGAAATCCCACCTTTACAAAAAATACCAAAAAACTGGCCAGGCATGGTGGTGCGTGCCTGTAGTCCCAGCTATTTGAGAGGCTGAGGTGGGAGGATGGCTTGAGCCTGGGAGGCAGACGTTGTAGTGAGCCCTGATTGTGCCACTGCACTCCAACTGGGTGTCAGAGCGAGAAAAAAGAAAGAATGAAAGAAATTACTTTAGAGGTAAATTCTTGGAAAGCCCTTGCTTTACTACCAGAAAAACCAGTGCGCTTCCTGCTTTTTGATAACTCTTATGCAGCTGGTTGTGTCTCTCTTTTCACTCTGGCTTCCAGAAAGCCCAGGGCTAAATGTGAAGCTCAGCAATGACCCTTGCTTGGCCCCTAAGGTCCACTCTTGCCTCGACTTTGCACCTTTATTTATATGTGGCTGTCCTGATTTTCCCTTTGTGTTATATGACTGTAGGCTTTATGGAATGGGAGAAGAAATAGTAAACACATAAAATTGATGAATGACTTAAAGACTTTTATTTTATTTTTGAGACAGAGTTTCGCTCTTGTTGCCCAGGCTGGAGTGCAATGGCAGGAACTTGGCTCACTGCAACGCCTGCCTCCTGGGTTCAAGTGACTCTCCTGCCTCAGCCTCCTGAGTAGCTGGGATTACAGGCATGAGCCACAACAGCCGGTTAATTTTTTGTATTTTTAGTAGAGACAGCGTTTCTCCATGTTGGTCAGGCTAGTCTCGAACTCCCGACCACATGTGATCCGCCCGTCTTGGTTTCCCAAAGTGCTGGGATTACAGTTGTGAGCCGCCATTCCCGGCTTATTTTTATTTTTATATTTTATTTTATTTTCACACAAGGTCTCACTCTTGCCCAGGCTGGAGTGGAGTGGCTCACAGCCACCAGGTGATTTGGGCCCACAAGTCACCCTTGCTAAGAGGCAGAGTCCAGAGCAGAAACTGGGTAGATGCCAAAGGCAGCACTCCCTACTCCACACATGGGTTTCTGTCAAGTAAATCACCAGCCAGGTGAGGTGCATACAGCATCTAGGGAGATGGGACACCGTGTTGTCCCCTCCTTCAGCCAGGAGGCCCCACACTGAGCGCCACTGCCTCCACTGTCCGATGCTACAGGAGAAACGTTTCCTGCTGGTTAAGGAAGTAGAAACTGCAGATCACTTTTCATCTTATTGGAAATCACTCTTTGACACTCTTGCCTCATCTTCACTCAGTACACATTGACTCTACCAGCAATAGCGTACAAATAAACACAGCTTAAGGAAATAGGAATCCTTTATTCCTGGGACTTAAAAGCTTGACTTTCTCCAGTAAGTCAATTACCAGTGCCCACGGCAGGAAGAGCTCTGATGCCAGGGTTGACAGCATGCTGGAAAACCGGAGGAGTGTTTGCATTTCTGGGGCCTCAAGTAATGAGAAGTTCTTCCAAGAACACTGACAGGGGTATTATTGCCCTATTTTAGAATTATTACTCTGAAGATCAGGGAATTTCAGGTGGTTGAACTCATGCCACAGCACCTGTGCTTTTCTGGTAGGGGAGGGATGGAGTCCAGCTCAGGAGTCCCCCGTCATGGGGGAAAGCACTGTGATGGGATGTCTGTGGGGGAATTAGAACCCTATAGCAGATGGGATAGGGTGGGGAGTCTACATATTTTTATTTGGATGTTTTGATGGAGTAAAGTTCCAAACCAAGCAAGTATCAGGCAGGGGGCAGTCCAGGCTGTGGTGCTGTGCTGTGAGGCTGGGAGTCCAGGCAGGTCCTGTGTTCACTGGTCACTTCCACAGCCTGAAGCCCCTCGAAAGGACATCTGCACAGAGGCCCGCTAGTGACTTCAGGATGCTGATGATGCCCTCAAGGTGAGAGCCAGAGAAAATCCCGTCAACTCTGTCAACCAAGGGCATCAATGGCCACGTGTGTGGTTTTCTCCTGCAAAGAACAAGCCAGTTTGCAAACCATGCTTTTGAGGCTAGAAAAATGGCTGTATTCCTTCAGTGTCTCCTGAAGGCTGGGTCCCCTGAGAGTTGATTCAAATACTGTATTCTCGTAAAATATGGTAACATTTAGACCTGAAAAATGGCCTGGGGGATAATCTTATCAAACCTCTGATGTGGTTATTTTGTAACTGAGTATATTGAAGGCTGGGGAACAAAGCCATCTGGTGCCAGCATCCTAGCTGCTCTCTCTCCTCCAGGGGCTTGCCTTGGTTGGGGGCCTTTCCAGCAATATTAGGCTGAAGAAATGAGATTTTAGTTAAACAAGGCCCACTGTTGCTTTAAGACAAAGTGTCAAAGTTTTAAAAAATGTATTAACTTGTTCTTTTGGCCAAGAAATCAATAGATGCACTTCCTTTCCACTGTGCAGGCACTGAGCTGACAGAGGAGTAAGAGCTTGAACCATCTACGTGGTCTGAGTGACCACATCCTTCACTTGGAGCCCTGTTCTACAGCAGATAATTCTGAGTCACCCCAGCTAATGGCTGTGCACAGCATCCTGATGCTCTGATTAGGCTGAGGGGCTTGTGGCGTGGTGGCTAGGCTGTCTCAGAGAGCACCTCGGGCTGGGTGGACCAGGCTGACCCAGAAGAGGGCAATGGGCCTTTGACAGGGACTAGCTGGCTACTATCTGCCTCTTCTGCAGTTTGGGACACTTAGGGTCATGGGTGAAAGTGTTTTTCCACATATAGTGGCCCGAAAGGAAAGGAAACTCATGCCAGTGTTCAGAAAGCGTGCGGGTTTCTCAGGTAACGTTACTGCAGCCACTGATGTCTAATCCAAAGAGCTCTGAATGCTTGCCATAGAGATTTGTAGTTTTAATACTGAAGCCCCGAATATTCTGATTTCCTCATTAAGACCGACCTAACACGAGCTATGCAGTCAGCTAAGGTATCAACGGGAGGAAATTGCCAGTGTTTCCCTCTTATTTTCCTCTGAGGTCATCTGAAAACAACCGCAGTGAGGACGGAGTTCGTGCGGCCCTGATGGCTGTGTGTTCCCAGCTCCAAGCATGCACTAAATATTTAATTCATTTGAATATAAATAAGTTAATGAATATGAATACATTAATAAATTAATTGGCATCGTTTTAGTCCTGTTGCAGTTTCAAACTCACCGATTTATCCAACTTCTTTGCACTGAGTTCTTATTCAAGTGAAGTATTCCGGTCTTGTGACTTGTACTTCTGACATAGTAATAGAACAACTAATATTTATTTAGAACTTTAGTTTACCAAGCACTCTACATTTTATTTTATTATTTATTTGTTTATTTTTTTTAGTAGAGACAGGGTTTCACCGAGTTAGCCAGGATGGTCTCGATCTCCTGACCTCGTGATCCACGCTCCTCGGCCTCCTAAAGTGCTGGGATTACAGGCTTGAGCCACCGCGCCCAGCCTACATTTTATTTTTACATTTTGTTTTTACAAACCCCCACGGGGCAGGCATTCTCCTTACACGCAGTGTTACACACAGAGGCTCAGGGGTTTAAATGGTTTCACTGTAAACAATGTAATCTAGTAGGATGTTGCTTTCCTATTTTTCCTAATACTACCATGTTTAGATGTGGGTGGCTGAGTGGGAGTATATGATTTCCTGTGTATGTATAGATGTAACCCACACTCACGGGCGGAAAGTTCTGCAGGCTGAGAAGCGAAGCCCTCTGCTGAACAACCACCACCAACATTCTAGGACCCCCACACCCTTGGTTCTGCAGGCTACACCCCTCCCATCTGCTTAGAAGCAGAAAGAAAACTCTGCGGTTACTTTTCCCTTTGACAATAAGCCGCGGTTCTCTTCAACGTTCTCCTGGGGACTTGGGTCAATGTTCTCACATGCAAATGTTAGCCAGGCCCAGGGTTATTGTTTTCCCTACCCCTGCGGATTGATCATGGCATGCAACTGCCCCATATTGTATTTTGGTCACCCCCATCGGCATCCCATCTGCTGCTAGTGCCTCTGGCCAGCTTCTCGCATGGTCCTGACACGGTGCTGTCACTCTCACATTATTTGCACACATTGTTTACCTATAGCTGGACACATTGTTCATAGGAGCCCAGCTGGTAAAGTAAAAATATTCCAAGACTGTGCTGATAAGCTACTTCTTCCCTGCATCCTGGGCTGGTGAGAAGCTAAAGAGGAATGAATGCTCTGCCTGTGAAGAGGCCGCACTGCAGAGAAGAGGAGGCAGAGATGCAGTCGTCACGGCCCTAAGACCCTGCCTGGACCCGGTTTTGCAAGTCGAGGGAAGAGTTTTGCACAAATTCTCACTGGGAGCATTGTCAGGGCTGCAGCCACATCACTTTTTTTTGATCTGAGTCCTTTTAACATTAGCTATGATGTCAAAAAAGATGAAATTGAAGTTGCCAACATCTGGTGGAAGGCAAAAACCAGTGAATTTCTACCCAGGGAGAGTTCCTCTGCAGGGTCCCCGCTTCTGGTGGCCTGGAGTTGGGGAGGCCTCTGGAGCAAGTCAGGGGATTAAATTCTGGGTTTTCTTCCATTTTTTTATTTTCCTATTTTGACATCTTTGAAAAATGGCTCAGCCTCATAGTGTATGGGTCTTCTGATTGCTTTTGTCTTGATTTTATTCTGACTGAGGGGCAATGGCCACTGTGGGCTCCTCATCCAGGATGAAGAGGGCCCCTCTGCGGCCTGGGTGCATCCATGCTCTTCACGGTGGCCTCATGGATCGTCATACAAAGGATGATCTCAGTGATGAGCTTGAGCCTACCCAAAATTAAATTATATGGGTTTATAAGATTCCTCCTCAGGATCAGTATCATCAGGCCTGTCCCTGCTGGTAGCAAGGCCATCTTTATAATGTGCTGTCATGGTGGTAAAGGCATCACTCACTTGATGGAGATCCCGAAGACCAGCTCTACTCGAGAGAGATTTAAGCTAAGTTGCCTGGGAGTCCTTGGTGCTTTTTCGAGGTTCTACTGAAGACAATGCCATCATCCAAGTATCTCTGAATGCCAACGTAGCTCTTGCCTCAGGAGCTCTGAGACCCATGTTATCTATTTTTGAACTGGCCAAGGCCCCCCACAGCAAGGAAAGGGATGCTCTTCCCATCCTTGTCAGCCCTCGTGTCTTGTATTCCACCCCACAGCCTCCTAGCAAGCATCTCAGTGTCTGCAGGTGAGCATGGCTGAGTTCAGTCTTGCTTACTGCAACTGTAGACATGAGGTCTGTGGAAGTAAGAATCCTCTCATTTGCTGACTGGCATTTTGTTTAAGTCCCATGTCACTAATCTCTGGTGAGACAATCCTCTTTGTGTTTCCTGGTGATGGACTTGAGTGATTTCAATGTAAACAGTGGCTCCACCTGGGAGTGTATCCCCTTCCCACGGGGAGGGGGTGCATAGCCCCTGCCAGGTTTCTGCTGTCCTCTCATCCTCCCACTGGGCTTTTCCCCTGCAGATGGCCTGGTGCCCACACTGCCTGCAAATGGTCACTCTTGCTTGTCCCAACACCACCTCCACTGCAGCTTCCAAGAGCCCTAGAAGGGCCGGGCCCTGGCTGAGCACTATTCCTAGGCCCTGGATGGCGGGTGTGGAACTATGTTCTCATCAAGGTCATTTCCTCTTCTATTTTCATCATGTTAAGTAAATCCCTCTCTCATCATGAAATGCCCTGGAGAGAACAGATGCATGGCTGTGGAGTCTTGTTCTGGGATATGTCAGGTACGGGCTCAGGTGTGTGGAGGCTACAGGGGGTGGACATGAGTGGTCTTTCTCTCGCTGTGAATCGCATGTTTTGTGCCAGCCCAAGGGTTCTGTGAAGGAGAATCAGCCGTTTACCTGGCTGAGTCTAACCCTGGGATGGCGACAGCCGAAACCCCAGCTCCATTCCCTGACCTTCCCTAGGCTGCCGCATGGGTTCCCTGGCACTGTCACTGGGCTAATGCCTTCTGTCTCCTCCTGGGGTGAGGCCAGCCTTTACTCATAGTTTCTGCCCATTCCACATCATTCTGCCTCCCACCCTTGGCTTTTTCAAAAATCTGAGCCAAGCGTGTGCAAGGGGTTAGAAACATGCTGTCCACAGGGAACTAAAATACACTGAGATGAGAAACCAGCAGCACCTGCTTTGGAGCTGTCACACCTGGGAACTGAGAAGCAAACTCTCAGAGATGCCTGGAAACCTTGGGAGCACATGAGTTCTCTGCATATATTTCGGTTGCAGATGAGTTTCTAGTCAAAGTAAAAAACACATGAAGGGCATTCATGTTTCCAGGAACAGAAGCATCCTGTCTGATTTTTCAGAGGTGAAGGGAGCAGTCTGAAGGGGCCGTGGCATAAGTATGTCTACAATCAAAGCTCACAGCCAAGGCCCTGGGGGAGGTTCAGGTGTACCCCAGGGGGTGCGCCCCATCCAGCACTCCACTGACAGGGGCCTCATCTTTATTAAATTCTAGGCCTTTTCCTGGGCACTAGTTACAAAAGGTGGGTTCAATGAACCCTAGGTTCTGTGGCTGCCACCCATCTCAGGGTCGCACAGGTAATGATTGCCACCCCCTCCACCTTCTGCTGAGGGTCCTGGTGACCCCCTGGTGGTGTAACCCAGGCCCTCACCCCTAAGGGGTCCTGAGCCTTGCTCACCACAGAGTCCTTGGTCTAGGGCTCCCGCACTTGTCCACATGCCATCAAATGCTGTGTACCGGGAGGTACTTGCGTGGAGCCCCTCCTTCCCCAGGCAGCACAGCCCTGCTTCTGCTAACACCACGGTCCAGGTGGTACCCATTTTTCTGCCTGCAGGTCCCATGGAGGAGTAGCCTGAGGACAAAGCAGCACCCGGAGCTTGTTTTTTCAGAGAACCTGGCCCAGCCCTGGCTAGAAGCCCCACAACTGTGGAAACCAGGGCCTCCTGCTTTTCAGAGCCTAGATATGCAGGATATAGATGCCCCTCAGAGGTCCTGGCTGTGAGGTGGAAGGTTGGGGGACACTGGGCTTCCTACTGCTGTGCTCCCATTGCCACATCTTCTACCTGGTGGGACAAGGCAGCTAGCAAAGGTGACAGATTCACCCAGACACTGTGTCCTCCCACATCCTGACCTGGCACCTGAGCCACCACTGCTGGGTCTGAAGCTCCCAGGAGTGTGTGTGTGCTGTGACCAGCAGACCTATGGCATGTGCCCTCTTCCTCCCTCTGTGGTGTGAAATCATTTCCTCTGATGGTGTCATGTGAGGTCTTTGTCCTGATGGGTAGAACTTTCTATAAACCATCCCATGGCCCCGGGGAAAGGCAAGCTCATCCCTTCAGGTTTAGCTGTTTCTGTTAAATGCAACCCTGTCCTTCCCAGGGCCTCAGGGCCCCGTGCAGTTGTCCCAGCCTGGCAGGAAGTTCCCTTGAGGATTGTGTGGAGGGCGCAGCCTGGGCCTGACTCGTGACCCTGGCAAAGAGCAGGTGAGCCCTGGGGCTGACCACCTGCACTTCCTGTTTGGTGGTGGGAGATGTGGGGCAATATTTCTTGCATTTCCTTTAGAGAGCATCTCCCAGCCTGCCCAGACAACCAGACCCCTAAACATGTGACTTGTAGGCAGGCCCTGGCTCTCTGTGGTGCTTTTCTGTCTCCTCCAAGCACCTGTGACTCCCAGGCTTCCAGCCCTGCCAGCTTCCCCCATCTGAGCTCCTGATGCAGGGTGAGGACTGTATTGTGGCAGACAGCATGCCGGTTTACACAGTTCTGGGACGAAACTGTATGTATACATTATTTTATGTCCCGAGTAAATGAATCCTATTTATGGATACTTTTTTTGACACAGAGGGAAGAAAGGCATTGGTGAGATCCACGGGCCAGAGCTCAGCCTGTGCTCAGGCTCTGGCAGCAGCTGTGCAGCTCTGGAGCTGTTGCAGAGTCGGGAGGTGCTGTGTCTTTGCTCCCTGTGTTAAAGGCTTCATTTGTGTCTTTGTTCAGTTTGTTTTCTTTGACCCCTGTTCAGCAATACTGAAAATCAAGCATTCCTAAGAGGTGGAGACTTTGCTTTGGAGCAGGGGCGGGGGCATTGGGTGGAAATGGGGAATAGGTTGATAGTGGGAATTTCATTTTCTGGAGCTCACGTGCAGCCTCTTGATGGCCTCGTCACAAGTTCACCTGATGACCTGAGTGGCCACTGTCCTTCTCCTGAGTGAGTTATGTGCTTGCCAGGCACATGAGCAGTGCATGCTCACATTTTTCAAATGAAGGAACTGAGAAGGGTTTGTCAGCAGATTGTAAGCCTGAAGCTGCCAGTGTTTGGTCCACAGTAAACCACATGTGGAGAGCTTAAAAAAATTGCCCTCAAATCTGGCAAGAAAATGACAGTAATAAATTAAATTATTACTGTGATACACATGTTTCTTTCATTACAATTAGATATATTACACATATCACAATTTTGCAGAAGTTTCTCATCTATCAGTATTTATTTATTTTTTTTTGCATAAGTTTCCAAGGAATCCTAATGATGGGGACTGTCTCTTTTAAAATTAAATTGTGTAAATAACTCCCAGAGCCATGCTGGTAAGAAACAAAACAAAACAAAAAGAACTAGAAACATGAACAAACATTGGATTTCTGCTGTAAAGAGGATGCAAAGCAGGCCTGCCTGCTGCACCTCCCCAGAACTAATCCTTGAGCCAAAAGAGCTTCCTGGTGAAGCCTTGCACTCTCTGTAACAGGGCGTGGGGGGACCAAGACATGCGGGCTCCAGATTAGACCATCTTTACCTAGTTATAGGATTTCAGTCATGTCTTTTAAATTCTTTGAGCTGCAGTTTTCACATATGTAAAGTGAAAGTATTTTTAAAATTTTAATTTGTGTTATGACCTTGTATAAAGTTAAAATAGTACATTTGAAAGCTGAAGTCAAACGTTCACGTGTGTGCATGCAATGGCTTCTTAATTATTTTAGGGCTTAACCTGGTTTTACTGGTACTGTTACTAGCACTGCTACTTCTCCATGTCTCTGAAGACTATGAAATACTTAGAACTTAAGCAACAAGAAGCACCTGTCAAAGCGTTCTATGGCTGATGACAGATTTGACACAGCTGGATATAGTAATATGTTCGATGGTGCCCAGATCATTGCTAAGCAGAGACTTCATGCTATTCTAAGTCGAAAGTGTCCCTAGAATTCTGAACCTGCTGAAGCAGCCTTCAGAACTGAAGTTGAGAAAAGTACATTTTCTTTTTTTTTTTAATTATTATTATACTTTAAGTTTTAGGGTACATGTGCACAATGTGCAGGTTAGTTACATATGTATACATGTGCCATGCTGGTGCGCTGCACCCACTAACCCGTCATCTAGCATTAGGTATATCTCCCAATGCTAACCCTCCACCCTCCCCCCACCCCACAACAGTCCCCAGAGTGTGATGTTCCCCTTCCTGTGTCCATGTGTTCTCATTGTTCAATTCCCACCTATGAGTGAGAATATGCGGTGTTTGATTTTTTGTTCTTGCGATAGTTTGCTGAGAATGATGATTTCCAATTTCATCCATGTCCCTACAAAGGACATGAACTCATCATTTTTTATGGCTGCATAGCATTCCATGGTGTATACGTGCCACATTTTCTTAATTCAGTCTATCATTGTTGGACATTGTTGGTTCCAAGTCTTTGCTATCGTGAATAGTGCCGCAATAAACATACGTGTGCATGTGTCTTTATAGCAGCATGATTTATAGTCCTTTGGGTATATACCCAGTATTTTCAGTTAAAGAAAGTCTGAGAGACCGTGTTGCCATCACACCCAAACCCCAATAAATAAACTTGTTCAGGATGAAGAAAAATAACAGTTGGAAATTCTACTTCACAGAAAAGATGAAAGTGTGCCAAAAATAGTAAATATGTGGAGGGGAAATTACTGTTTTAATGACATCCTCCAGGAATTACAACATGTACAAAAGAAAAATCTATGACAACATGGCACAAAAGATGAGAGGATGGTAAGGTAAGGTTTTTATATTTTATATACAGTGTTATGATATTTAATATACATTAAGTATTTATATTTTAATTTCTGAACAACTCACCAAAAATAAATAAATGAAACAAAGAGTCATAGTTAAAAAAAAAACAAGGTACAAAATCCATACTAAAAAAAAAAAAAAAGAAAACCCCATAAAACAAACAAACAAACCAAAACTACCATAATCCAGAAGAAGATGAGGAAGGCGGAACAGAGACTGTCAAAATAAGTAAAAAGGAAACCTCAATAACCACTTTTAAAACGAAATACACTTATGAGATAAAGATATAAATAGATTTGAACTGAAAAGATGGACAAATATACACTATGCAAATCTTTGTTATCAAAAACTGCAGCCAGTGTATTAATGGCAGATAAGACAGACTACAAGAAAGACAAGCTTCACCAGGGATAAAGAAGGATGTTTTATACTAATAAGTCCATTTGCTTAGAAAACCTAATAAGCATAAGCATGCATACACCTAAGAAAAATAACAAAATACATGAAGCAAAAGTTATTGAATTAAAATGATAAATGCATAAATCCACAATTTGACAATTCTAATTCTTATATCTCAGAAATTAATAGAAAAAAAAACTACAACAATAAGACTACAAGGTATTAATAGGAGAGATTATAACCAGAGCACTGGGAGAAAAACAGCAATATCCAATATGCTTACAACTATTGGTTGACAACTCAAAAGTTCCCAAAAGAATTTTTGACACCAAATAAAGGTAAATAGCCTGGAAAACCTACAAGCCAGCATAGGAAGGAAGTGGAAAATGAAACATTGATTTAAAATAAATCTGGAAGTCCGGGCGCAGTGGCTCATGCCTGTAATCCCAGCACTTTGGGAGGCCAAGATGGGTGGATCACCTGAGGTTGGGAGTTCGAGACCAGCCTGACCAACATGGAGAAACTCTGTCTGTACTAAAAATACAAAATTAGCTGGGTATGGTGGTGCATGCCTGTAACCCCAGCTACTTGGAGGCTGTCGTAGAAGAATTGCTTGAACCCGAGAGGCAGAGGTTGTCGTGAGCCAAGATCTCCCCATTGCACTCCAGCCTTGGCAACAGGAGCGAAACTCTGTCCCCCAAAAAAAAGAAGAAAAGAAAAGAAATCTGAAAAAAGGAAAAGAGAATTGAGGATAAAGCTTTGCAAATACAAAATCCAAAAATCAAATGATAGAAATAAGTTCAAATATATCACTTTTTCCTACCAAACATAGAGGGATTAACCTCATATATTAAAATACAAAATTATCAATAACTAAGCAGCACTTTCAAATTAAAGAAATTAAAAATTAAATAGTTTATAAAAATTTTAAGTAAATATTCACAGAAAGCAAGCTGCTATCACAAAATTAATTTTAGTTTAAATAAAATTTAAGGAAGAAATAATAAACAACAAGATTGACACTGCACATGGAGGGACCATAGAACCGGGTAGGTGAACCAACGTCAAGTCCAATGCTGGCCTCACCTCCAGGACATACAAAGAAACTAACAGGATAGAGCAGGTCTAGAGAGGGACACTGGAACTCATACTTCTGAATTTAAATGGGAAATAGACAAAGATGTTATGTGTTTATAAAAGGTTTTAAATCACAACAAATGCTGAATGTACATCACTTTCTAGTATATGTAATACTTACCAAATGGGACCCATATTAGGTTGCAAAAGAAATTACAAAAACCCGGAGATAGGGACCAAAGGACTAAAAGAAGTCAGAACAAAAAACACGCCCCATATATTTTAGGGAAAAACAGCACAGTGATTTAATGGTAAATCACTATAAACATGAAGGCATTCACCTAGAATAGAGATGAGATGCCAGAGTTCAAGACGACAACATGTGTCAGCCTGACTTTCTGAATGACTGCACAGGCAAGGCTGCCATCCATGGAAGCGCAGAAAAGGACACCCCTTAGGTCCTGGATGGAGGAGGATGACCCCCAATACTGGATAGAGAAAGATGCCCTCCAATTCTGGGATGGAGAAGGATGCCCCCCAGTCCTGGATGGAAAAGGATGCCCCCTAGTCCTTGATGGAGAAGGATGCCCCCTAGTTACTAGATGGAGAATGATGTCCCCTGAGTCCTGGATGGAGAAGGATGGTCCCCCAAGTCCTCGATAGAGAAAGATGGTCGTCCAAGTCCTGGATGGAGAAGGATGCCCCCCTCAGTCCTGGATGGAGAAGGATGCCCCCTAGTTACTGGATGGAAAAAGATGTCCCCCAAGTCCTGGATGGAGAAGGATGCTCCCCAATTCCTGAATGGAGAAGGATGCCCCCTAGTTCTACATGGAGAAGGACAAACCCAGTCCTGAATGGAGAAGGATAACCCCCCAGTCCTGGATGAAGAAGGATGCCCCCCAAGTCCTATATGGAGAAGGACAAACCCCAGTCCTGGATGGAGAAGGATGCCCCCCAAGTCCTATATGGAGAAGGACAAACCCCAGTCCTGGATAGAGAAGGATGCCCCCCAAGTCCTAAATGGAGAAGGATGCCTCCAAAGTCCAGATGAAGAAGAATTTCCCCCACTCCTGAATGGAATAGGATCCCCTTCAAGTCCTGGGTGGATAAGACACCTCCCAAGTCCTGGGTGGAGAAGGACACCCCTCAGGTCCTGGATGGAGAAAAGATGCCCCCTAGGTCCTGGATGGAGAAGGATGTTCCCCAAGTTCTGCTTGGAGAAGGTGGCTCTGGGGACCTCATGGGGAAGGATGCCCCTTTTCCAGCCTCCCCATCCATACTTATCCTGACTTGTTAGTGTAGAACAAAGAGATTTGGAGGAAGAAACACAGGACTAAACTTTAGTCAGAATGTTTTCCTTTTAATCAACATTTTATAAATTCTAATTTTTATTTGATAAAAATAAGTGAAATGTATGACATAAACACAGTGTAACAACCGATTAGACCTATTTTTCCGATCTGAGTCCTGGCTACCGGCTCTATTAGTCATTCTACTTTTCTGTATTTGCAAAGCTTCTCAAAATTAAAGATAAAAGAGTTTATTGCTAGTAACATGTATAAATAGACATTGAATAAAATGTGGCTCTTTAAAAATTAGTTTATTCTATGGGCTTCTTTTGAAAGGTTATGGGGTACTAAAATTACTGGTGGATCTTTATTACAAGCTCACTGGTAAAAATAGTCAATATGGGAATATTCTAATTTGTTAGAAATTAGTGTTGAGTGAGTATTAATCAAAACTTTAAAACCAAAATACATGGACATAAGAATAAATTATTCGACTTAATTATCCACTGACTTTAAATTCTAATTGCTAAATTTACTTTTTGCCCATTTCACCTCCTTCAAATCTCCAAGTAACTCTTCATTTTTCTCTCCTGTCAATATTTTATTCTCCCTTATTTTTTTTTCTATTTCCTGATTTTTTGAACAACTCCAAGGGAGTCGTGTTTTGCTTGTGTTGAATGACGTCATTACACCAACCCGTTAGGCAACTAGAACGTCACCAAGGTGAGCACTAGGAGACTTCAGACCACGGAGCCTCTCCTGATTTTTGACTCAGGTTACCTGGCAACTGTGTTTAAATTATGAGTTGTTTAATTTTTTTAGATCCCCTATAGATAAAGAAGGATTTTAATAACCATCAATTTAAAATGCACTGGGACACTTCATGACTGACATTTCTTGCAGTTTCTGTGCTGTGGCCTCATGAGTAACTGTCTGTAAGGAACATCATGTTCCTCATTCTGCCCTTGCTCCTTGGGCTCCAAAGGGAAAGACCAGAAATTCTGTGGATATAAAACATGGAAACATTCATTCTTTAAAGGAAAAGGCGGTAAAGCAGAGATGAGGAAAGGATGGTATTGAATACATGCAAATGGATAAAATATGAATGATCATGTTCTCATGTTCAACTCAATTTTTAAAAGTGGATGTATGAGCAGTGCGAGCATTTAGTCAGGGCATGGTGGGCCTGTGGGCTAGAACAAGAGGCCACACTCAAGGAGAGATGGCACTCACGACGGGGGGCCTCTGCTCCTTTATGACTCCCCTTCCTCAGTGACCCAGAGCACCCTCCTATCACAGCCTGTAGGGGAGAGGAAGGTGTTAGGGCACTTTGAATCACAGCGGAGTGTGTGTCTACATGCTCTCCTCACATGCCACAAATCTGCATCGCTTTACAATATTTCAATAGATTATGAGTAAGGAAGATCGCTGCAGAACCAGTAAAAGCTGCCCTCCCAGACAATGCGCTAAATTGGGTTTTACAAAGTATTGTGAGAGATCTCGGGAGAGGGGGAGCAACCTGCTCATAGATTTTGCCAAAATCAACATTTAAACACCTCCGTTAGGCAGAAGAGCAGTGCTACTGGAATTAGTTAGCAGTTCTTTCCTGCTGGACATCTCTCAGCCTCCAGACCCTACAGAGAAGAGGCCATGACCTAAAAGCAGTTTAAAGGCTTGAAAAAATAGAAGCTAAGGATTAAGCAAATATCGAAATTTAGAAAAGGAGAGAAGACTTTATTTCTTGTAGAGGGTTACAGCCTGCAAGGTGGCCACCCCACAGGCTGGGAAGAACAGCCTCCTGCCGAGACCAGAGATGGGCACTTCCAGGAGGAGGGGTTGGGGCAGGAGCTTTGGGGTGAAAAGGTTGGCTAAAGATACACAGTCATCAGGAGACAGGCACAACAACATAAAACCAGTTGTAGGTAACACAGAATGATTCTGATATTGATGTTCAATTCCACACACTAACGGACGTGAGAACCTCATTCACCGCACGTGGAGAAGGCACTGTATCTGCTCCGTGGTGGTCCCGATGACTTGTGTTTATCATTGCCTGGGTCTGCATTTTCTCTTCTCTAGATTTTGCTTATCCTGCAAAGTTTGTGCTGGGACATCATTTCTAGGATTGAGTTTAAGCTGAGCCTCAGAGTTTTTATTGCAGCTACGGTGGATATGGCTTGGTTCCCTGCAGTACTCTCTGGAAAGTACCTTCCTCCATTTGAAATCCCTGACGTGGTACCTCCTACAGCCTGCACAGCTCTGGCCTCTGCCATGGGTCTCATGGCCTCTTCTGCTAAAACTAGAGAGGAGGTTCATCCCCTGCCTCTTTATAGAGAAGAGCCACTTGCTGACTGAGCTGAAAAGGGACTCCCCACTGAGCAGGCTCACCAGTGTCCCGACAGCTGGGCAGATCATGGGGACGGGGAATTCTGAGCAGACCCTCTTCAGAAGTTGAGTCTCAAGGGGCCTTGGGGAACTTGGTCAGCAGATGGCAAGACTTCATCTGTCAGTGGGCGGGTCAGCTCAGCGGGACTCCTGTCTTTGGAACTGAGACTCAAGTCTCTACTCTGTACCAAGACAGAGATGGAGGCCAGGAAACAAGACACACAACCATTTTCCATCATCGAGGGGCAAGGCAGGGCTTGGCATGAGGCAGAACCGGGCTCCATCAATGCCACATGTCAGGAGGAACCCCTTTTCTGTTTCAATCCCTCCTGCCCATTTGTGGGAGGCATTAGAGAGGCCTGACATAGTTTTTTTTCTCCACGGCCTGAGGACGTGATAGGATTTCATTCCCGCCCCACCTTGTGGTTGGATGGAATCATGTGCCCAATTCTGGTCAAGATCAAGAAACTGAGGTATCATTTTTGTTTGTGTGGGACCAGGAAAATGGCTCTAATTTGGCTTTGTGTTTGTGCATGTGTGTGAGAACAGACAGGTAAATGTGTGTAATGGAGAGTGGGTAGGTGAGTGTGTACGTGTGTGAGAGTGTGTATGTGAGTTGTGTGAATGTTTGTGAAGAAATGTGTGATAGTGGTGTTTGAACTTGGCAGTATGAGTGTGTATGTGGAATATAACTGTGTGCGGATGTGTAAATATGAGTGCATATGTGTGTTAATGTGTGTAAGTGTGTGAATAAGCCATGTGAGTGTGGTGTGTGAGCTTGGGTCCATGAGTGTGTGTGCGTGTCTGTGTGAGCATGACAGAGTGTGTGAGTTTGGGGTGTGTGCAGGCCACAGCCAGTCCCTCCTGGGGTACTAGATCTTTCCAACCCAAGCACCTCAAGTCGTTCTCCTTCCTCACTCCATCCTGAGCTTCCCAGCCAACTGCCTCTCATCCAAACTCCCACAGGGAAACAGTCCCTGGGACTAGGGGCTCTGAGCATGGCACAGTGCCAAGTCTCCTCCCTGGCCACCTCCTGAGAACCTGGGTGTAGCACAAAACAGTCAAATATGTTCCTCTTCTGTCATCACTAACTAGAGCTCCACAGCTTCCCAGATTGCCCTGTTAGCTCTTCACCATAATTAGCTATTTTCTGATATCATACTAACATTCCTTAATTATTCCCTCAGAAACAAAGCAAATCCGTGGGATGCAGAGGGTACGCTGATGACTTCTGCTGGGGAGAGAAGCCCAAACACACGTCCTGGGCAGAGCCCAGAGACCTGGAGTGTGGCTGCCAGTGGGCACCCGGCTGAGGGACAAGCAGGTGGGCCTCAGTGGTGGCTGCCAGGTCCCTGGACGCCGGGGGCCACCGGCTTTGCCTCTCCTCTGCCTCGGAAGCACCGGAGGCTTTGGGGATCTGGTGGTCCTCCGGCCCTGAACGTGGACCTGGTGTGACAAAGGGAAGTTTGCCATCTCCATCCTCCTCAAGCTGCCTGTGCACCCCAGTAGCACTCACCCTCTCTGTGCTCCCGTCTGCACCGCATGTCCTGGGGTCCTTCTTTGTGCTGCACCCAGTGACAGGAACCAGTGTCCCGACTGTGACTTACTTCCCCCCTCAGGGACACACAAGGACTTTCACATCGAGGCTACTTTTCACCCCTTCTGCCTCCTGCAGGGACGCTGCATGCAGAGGCAGGAGGACAGAGGGGCTGGTCTCAGGTGTGGCTTCTCTCATACCTGGCGCAGGTGGCCACTCCCCTTCCCCCCCCCACTCCCCCACCCCACCTCAGCTCCCGGGTGTGAATGAGAAAGGGGAACCAAGAGATCATCATTACATGGGACATGCCACAAACCCCAAAAAGACCCATTTGGTGAAAAGAAGTAAAACAACCACAAGGCTATTTTGGCCTGAGGTGGTCTCATGGCTGAAGCAGCCGCTGGTCTCTTGCCTGGGCTACTCAAATAGTAACCCGGTGTGTCCTCCCATGTGCATTTTCCTTCGGGTTGAGCAAAAACACTTTGTCATCCTCCCACTCCTCAATAGAGCAGAAGGGAATGAAAGGCAACTACAGGGCCTTACAGAGCTGCTCCGGGGGCCGCGGGAAACTTATCAGCATCCTAGAAAAGACAAAACCAGTGGGTTGCATGTGGCCTCTGACACCTGCCACCCTGACTGCAGGGAGTGGCCTCCCCCACCTTTCACCTTCCCATCATTAGTAAGCAAAGTGACCCCCTACGCCTGGACAAAGCGCTCAAAAGCCCAGGCCCGCGGGTTAGCTCCAGCCGCTCGGCTTGACAGGGGCCAGGGAGGCGGGCCAGCCTCACAGCCAAGTCACAGCTCCAGGGCCTGGTCGCACCTGAGCAGCGCGGCCTCGGGCTGCTGCTGGCGCTGCAGGATCCGCGCCTGACCCTCCAGCCTGCACAGCGGGCACTCGGCCGGGAAGCACCTCTCCAGCAGGCGGCTCAGCACCACGTTCACGCGCCCGCGCCTGTGGCCGCGCGGGCCCCAGCTCCACTTAGCGCTCACAGACCGTGAGCCCGCAGGGCAGCGTCACAGGCTTGTGCAGCAGCCGTGGGCAGCCAAGCAGGTCGCGGGGCGCGCCGGGCGCCAGGGCCGGCCCTCCCTAGCCCTGAGCTCGCCGCCAGGCTTCCCCGCCAACAGTGGCCGTTCGCGCAGGCCGGGACACACCAGGCCGCCCGCCAGCTCCCCCAGCTCTTCCGGACTCAGCGCCTCCAACCTCCCGGCTACATGGAACGCGCCCAGGGCCACCGGGAGGCGGCCGGCGCGGGCCAGCGCGTCCCCCAGCCTCAGGCACCGGCCGCGGTCGGGCTGCGCCAGCAGGGCCAGCATGGAGCGGAAGAGCCCGGCGCTTTCTGGTACTTGCTCGCGCGGAAGGCCTCGTCGCCCTCCTCCAAGCGGTGGGCGATTGGCTTCCCGCAGCAGCAGCCCGACACTGGGGCGGCGGCGGCGGGACCGGCTCAGTGCTGATTCTCGCGGGGCTGCGACCGTGCGGGCCTGGAGCGAAGGCGCGGAGCAGGGGCGATGAGCTGCTGCTGGGAACTGGCCGGCGGGAGCGCGGCCACAGCCTTCGCCTGCAGAACCAAAAAAACGGTTTTAAAAATCTTTTTAACATCCGCAGAACGTGAAGAATTACATTGGAAATTGGTTAGAGATTGTATTGGACCTATAGATTGATTTGAGTATGATGGTCATTTTAACAGTATTAACACTTCTAATTCAAAAAATGGGATAACCTTGTCTTTACTTGTATCTTTTCAATTGATTTTTATCAATGTTTTATAGTTTTCATTTTAGACGTCTTTATTTTGCCAGGCATTTTTTTTATAGCTATTTTCAATGGGGATTCCTTTTTCAGATAGTATGCTGTTGGGTATAGAAATGCAACTGATTTTTCTATGCTGATTTTGTATTCTAAAACTTTACTGTATTCATTTACTGTTTCTGTTTTTCAGTATAGGGTCTTTTATACATATGACATGATCTATGTCATCTGCAAACAGGGACAATTTGACTTTCTTTTTGTTTTTCAATTTGGATGTCTTTTCTTTCTCTTTTCTAATTGCTCTAGCTAGGACTTCCAGTGCTATGTTGAAGAGAAGTTATTAAAGTGAACATCCTTGTCTTGTTCTTGATCTTAGAGACACAGTTTTCAATTTTTCCTTATTCAGTATCATGTTGGCTGTGGGTTATCACATATGGTCTTTATTTTATTGAGTTATACTCTTTTTATAACTGATTTGTTAAGAGATCTTATGTTTACAAAAAACATTGAATTTTGTCAAATGCTTTTTCTGTATCTATTTAAATGATTATATGATTTTTATCTTACCTTATCGAATGTGGTGTATCACATTTATTGATTTATATATCATAAGCCCTCCTTGCCTCCCTGGAACAAATACAGCCTGATTATGGTGAATCATCTTTTTAATGTGCTTTCAAATTATGATTGCTAGCATTGCTGGTTTTGAATTTTTGCATTTATGTTCATCACTGATATTGGCCTGTAGTTTAGTTTTTCACTGTTCTTGTTGCATTTTGGAATAAGGTAATTCTGTCTTCATAGAATGAGTTTGGAAGAGTTTCCTCCTTTTCACTTTTTTTGGAACAGTTTGTAAATAATTAGTATATGTTCCTCTTTAAATGTTTTGAAGAATTCAGCAGTATAAGCATTGGATCCTCGATTTTTATTTTCTTCTCCTTCCCTCCCTTCCTTCCTTCCTCCCTCCCTCCCGCTGTCTCTCTTTTCTTCCTCTTTCTTTCTTTCTTTCTTTCTTTTTCTTCTTCTTCTTAAATATTTTTGGTTTAGAGACATGGTCTTTCTTTGTCACTCAGGCTGGAGTACAGTGGTGCAATCATAGCTCACTGCAGCCTCAAATTCCTGGTCTTAAGTGATCCTCCTGCCTCAGCCTCCCAAGTTGTTAGGACTGCAAGTGCACACCACTAAACCTGGATAATTTTTATTTTTATTTTTGTAAAGACTGGGTCTCACTATGTTCCCCAGGCTAATCTGGAAATTCTGGCTTCAAGTAATCCTCCTGCCTTGGCCTCCAAAGTGTGAGATAACATGTGTGAGACACTGTGCCAGCCCTCCAGATTTTCTTGTATTGAGAGACAATGCTTCAATCTCTTTATTTGTTATTGGTCTGTTCGCATTTTGTATTTCTTAATTCTTCAACTTTGATAGGTTATATGTGTTCAGAAACGTATTTATTTCTTCTAGGTTTTCTAATTTATTGGCATATAATTTTAGTACTTTCTCATGATTCTTTGTATTTCTGTAGTAACCATTTTAATGTCTTTTTTCATCTCTCATTTTATTTATGTGAATCTTCTCTCTTTTTTCTTAATCTGACTAAAGATATATCAATTGCGTTTATCTTTTCAAAAAATAACTTTTTATTTCATTGATCTTTCATATTTTTGTCTCCATTTTGTTTATTTGTGCTCTGGTCTTCATTATCTATATTCTTTTACCAATTTGGGGCTAAGTTTGTTCACGTTTCTATAATTCCTTGAAATGCATTCTTAAATTATTAATGAGAGTTTTCTTTCTTTCATATAGAAATTTATTTCTACAAACTTCCCTCTGAGGACTTTTTCTGCTGTATTTCGTAAGTTTTTATATGTTCTGATTTCATTTTCATTTGTCTTAAGAATTTTTAAAATGAAACAAAATTTATTTTTTAACCCATTGTTTGTTTAGGGGCACGTTGTTTAATTTGTATGTATTTGCACAATTTCTGAAGTTCTTGTTGTTTATTTCTAGTTTTATTCTATATTGTCAGAAAAGATGTGATATAATTTTGATTTTTTTTTGAATTTGCTAAGGCTCATTTTGTGCCTAGTATATGATCTATCATGGAAAATGTTCCATGCGCAGTAGAGAAGACTGTGAATTATGCAATTGTTGGATAACATGTTCTGTAAATGACTGCTAAGTTATTTGGTCTAGAGTTCACTTTAAATATGATGTTTCTTTGTTGATTTTATGTCTTGATAATCTGTTTATTGCTGAAAGTAGAATGTTACTATTATTTTATTGCTTGCTGTTTCTCCTGTTAGATCTATTAACGTTTGTTTTATATATTTAGGTCCTTCAATATAGAGGGCATATATATTTACAATTATATTATCTTGTGATATTGATCCCTTTATCATTATATAATGGCTGTATTTGTCTGTTTTTATAGGATTTTGTTTGAAGTATATGTTATCTGATATAAATATATCTATACTGGCTTTCTTTCGGTTTCCATATTTATAAAATATATTTTTCCATCTGATCACTTTCAATTTATGTGTGTATTTACAGATGAAGTGAATTTCCTGTAGAAGGTTTATAGTTAGGTCTTGTTTTTAATCAGTGTAGCCATTATATGTCTTAAATGGGATAATCCATTTACATACAAGATAATTATTGATAGGCAAGGACTTGGTTCTGCCATATTATTACTTGTTTTCATGTTTTTTTTAATTTGTACTTTGATTGATTGATTTCTCTATCTTCCTTTGTGATTAAGTGCTTTACTCTATCAGTGTGTTTCGGTTTTTTTTTTTTTAATTTTTAGAGTATCTTTTAAAAGTTTTTGCTTTGTGGTTACCACAAGGCATGCAAAGAACATTTTATGGTTACAATAAGTTATTTTAAAGAGATAGCAACTTAATTTTGATTCAAAAAGAGGGGAAAAGAAACCACTCTACTCTTTAACTCCATCACTCCCTCACATTTTGCATTTTTGATGTCTTAATTTACATCTTTGTATATTGCTAGTCCTTAACAAATTATTGTAATTATTATTATTTTATTTGTATTGTTTTTTAACCTTCCTACTAAGGATATATAAGTGCTTTACATCCAATTATTACCATATTAGAGCATTCCAAATTTGTCTGAACCCTCACTTCTACCTGTGGGTTTATACCTTCAGATTTTTTGTGTTACATATTGCTGCCATTTTCTTTCAGTTTGGAGAACAATATTTAGCGTTTCTTGTAAGGCTGGTTTGATTACAATGAATTCCTTTGCTTTTTGTTTGTCTGAGAATGTTTCAATCTCTCCTTTATTTCTAAATGATAGCTATGCTGGATACTTTATTCATGGTTGACAGTTTTTTTAATTCAGCACTTGAATCTATTATCCTACTCTCTCCTGGCCTGTAGTGCTTCTGCTGAGAAGTCTGCTGCCAGGCATATTGGAATTCTCTTATGTGTTGTTTCCCTTTTCTTAGTCCTTTCAGGGTCTTCTCTTTGTGTTTGACATTTGAGAGTTTAATTATAAAATGTCTTTGGTTGTCTTATTCAGATTAAATATGATTGGGCACTTTGACCATCCTAAACATTTTAATCTTTCTCCAGGTTTAAAAAGTTTTCTGTTATTTCTTCGAATAAACTATCTCCTTTTCATTCTTAGTTCCCCTTTAACACCAATGATATGTAGATTTGCTCTTTTGTTGGTGTCCCACAAATCTCATAAACTTTCTTTGTTTCTTTTCATTCTTTTTTTCATTCTACTCTGACCATGTATTTTCAAAGAGCCTGTCTTTGAGCTCACTGTTTCTTTCTTCTGCTTGATCAGTTCTTCGGTTGATGCCTTCCGTTGGATTTTCAATGTGTTAATTGAACTTTCCTGCTTCAGGATTTACATGTGATTTTTCCCATTATTTTGATTTCTTTGTTGAATTTCTCTGGTAAATTTCTGAATTATGTCTCTGCTTTCTCAGTGTTCAGGCTCTTCTTAAAACAGCCATTTTGAATTCTTTGCCTGCCAGATCATTCATCTGTATGTCTTTAAGTTCAGTTGCTGACACCTTGTTTTGTCCATTTGGAGAGGCAACTTTTCCTAAGCTATCATTATTATATGTAGATATACATCTCTGTCTACACATTGATGAATTAGATATTTATTTGTGTCTTCTCAGTCTGGGTTTGTTTGTGACTACTTTTAAGTGGGCTTATTAGGAAATGTTGAGCGGACTTACCATCGTATTCCATTTTAGCATTAGAGAGAGTCCAAATCCCACGTTAGACATAAGTCTTCCAATGGCTCCACCACTGCTGCAACATTTGCTGGATGGGCCCATGGGTGATCCACAGGGAGCCCCTGGCTATGGGGGAGAACAAGTCAGGCCGTCAAGCGTGTAGTCTGTGTATTATGTTTCACATGGTGGCTGTTGCTGGCCCCACCTCCTCTTACGTCCTTAACATGCCTCAGGTGGTTCATCCCTTTTGGCACTCATGGTGCCACTTGTGGGCTGATACAGGAGTGAGTCTACTGTGAAGGCACTCAGTATAGTGGAAAAAACAAATATCAACCTCCTGCTGACTTTTTTCAGTGTAAAAACTATAAGCCCTATGGGAGTTTCTGCAGATGGTACCATAATGGCCTGAGGGAGGAGTATCACAGTCACAGAGTATTGGTTCTCTCACTCTGTAAGCCATGGTTTTACCCATCTTCACAGGCCAAAGGTGCTTCATAACCTTGTTCATGTATTGAGGTTCTGTTGGCTCTTGTAATGGTAATTTCACATGTGGACAGTTGTTCATATTGATGTTTCTATAGGGGTATGATAGCTGGAGAGGTCTGCACCACTGTCTTGCTCTGCCTCGATCATTATTTTTTTCTAACAAGAATTTGTCTCCTCCTAGTTTTTCTTTTTCTCTTAACCGACCTAGGTATAGCCTTTTAATCCTTCTCCCTCCTCTGCTTCTAATGTCATTGCTTCTTTGTATGCCTATCATATCTACATGCTACATGACCTTCAGCTGGTTATGTATAATATATAAGACTTAATATCCTATAAAATAGAGGTAATAATAGCATCTACTTGATAGGAAAGTTAAGAATATTAAATGACACCATTGATGTTAAATGGAGGTAACTTTCTGAAATGTATTAATGAGACATGATTCTTTGTTCTAGTCCACTTCATAGACTAGACTACTTTGTTTGAGTTTTCTCTTTTCAGTCAGAGAAAGCAATAAAATTGTAATGGTAAAAATTAAATAAAATTTAACTTAAAATTGTGTTCTGGTCTTCTCATTGTTCAGCCGTGGAAAGCAATAAAATTGTGATAGCAGAAATTAAAAGTGAGCAGAGACTTATTTAAAAATTGGTATTCTCCTTTTCAATGCCAAAATAAGAACTAGAAACTTTTAATAAGGCAACAGTCTGAAGAAACAATTTATTGAAGAGAATATGGGTTTCTAAATCCTAACAAGTTTTTTTACGTATGTGAGTCAAGTTTGGCTGCCTTGAATCCTATTATGACTTTAATGGAAGTTCTAGTTAGGGTGGAAAGTGTCAAAGAAAACAGTTGCACCAGACAAAGTTAAACACATAAAAAAGCTGTTATTGAAGACTATTGCAAAAGGGCAAAGAGGCCAGAACTTAGTCTGAACTCAGCTCCGCTGAAACAAACAGCAGTAGAGATTTTAAGAGCCAGGATGAGGGGGAGATCATAGACCACTTGTCTTTGATAGTTGTCTTTTTCCAAAGGAATATTAAACTATCTTTTATCTTTATGACAGAAGGTGATTTTACAAATTAGAGGAATATGCCCACCAAAATTTGGCTCTTACTCTCTCATGGAGTCTGGGAGATAATGGTGTTATCTTTTTTGAGAATTACATTTCAAAGGGATGGCTCTGAGGTCCTTGAAATGGACATTTCTGAAGTGTAAAACTGGCACGTGGGCTCTTAGAAAGATTTATCAAAGAGGCAGAGAAAGAATTTACAATGATAACATTTCTAAAATATGCTAAAGAAAAAAAGAGGTGAGGAGCCAAGAATCAGAAATAATCCTGTCTAAAATTTTATCAAACTGAGGGGATGGCTTTAGTCAAAGGTTTAGTGTAAGGGGAATTTCTATGAAGAAGAGGAAGAGAAGAGCTTTTAACTACACAGGAAGAAGAAAGTTCCCAGGAGATGTGACTATGGCTCTGCCTGTGTCTCTGATCAGGTATTCAGCCCCAACATCCTCCTGGGACTCGCTCAAACAGATGGATAGGAAAAAATAGACAGTTAAAGAAAGATGAGAAAATATGCAGGCTGGTGTCTTACTTCTCTAGTGCACATAGGGTGTCCCAGGAATGACAGAGTGGCAGGACAGGGGGAAGTGCCTGAGAGATCAGTTCCCTTACTCTCAGCCTGTGAGTGCTGTCTGAAAAGCCAGTCTCTCCAAGCTTGGTGGAAGGGGGACTCACACCTGGTTTGACAGGACCAGTGGAGGCCCCTGGTGGGACATGCTGGCCTCAGAATGTGAGGTCTTGGAGGCTAGAGGAAAATGGCAGTGGGTGACCAGAAACTTCATCACTGAGTGCCAATACATGCAAAATCAAAGAGAAGATGAGCCATGTCAGCAGATATCAGTGAAGCATGCCCAGAGAAGACTCCACTGACCATACACAGCACAGACCAGCCTGTTCCAGAGGACAGTGCAAATGGCACGCCACAGCAACAGAGGCGACTTCGACCCCGCCCACGCCATCAGCAGCTCGGACCCTAGGGTCAGATACCACCACAGAGGCTAATTCCAGTGGTCGCCCCGCATCTCAGGAAGACGGGAACCTGCACTCAGCACCATCCCCGTGGCTGCACAGGGCCCAGGACTCGTAACCCGGCGCTCTGGGTGCGGGCCAAGAAAGAGCGTAACCTAGGGTGGCATGTCGGTGAACTCGGCGACCCTCTGACAACCTGGGAGCAGCCCCAACAGCCTCAGTTGTGGGCTCAGCTGCAACTGCCACCTGCCGATGGTGCACGGGAGCAGCAGCGGCAACCCTCGACCCTGTCCCCGCCACCAGCAGCACGGACAGCAGGGCCAGATAGCGCCGCGGCGCCTAAGACCTTAGGCCACGCAGCTGCAGGAGGACGTGAAACGGGCGCTGACCGCCCCCCAGAAGCTATGCAATCCCCAGCGCAGGCGAGTCCTCACTCTGGGCGCGGGCCAAAGATCAGACACTACGATGAAAGGACGGTGAACTTGGTGACCCTGAGGCTCGCAATGGGTTTAGCAGCAGCTGCCAACTGCAACCAACCCTGACCCTGCCCGCGTCACCAGCAGCAGTAACCCAGGGCCAGATGCCGCCTCAGCGGCTAATTCAGGTAATCGTCCTCCAGCTGCAGCAGGGCGGAAATCCGCTGCTCAGCCCCACCTCGGCGGCTGCACAGAGCCCAGCGCCCGCACAACCCGCTCTTGGTAAGGGCAAAGGAAGAGCGGACCTAGGGTGGGAGGACCCTGCACTCCCTGACCCTCAGGCCGTCTGGGGCCAGCCCTGCCAGCCTCTGTCTAAAGCTACGCTGCAACTGCTACCTGCTCATGGCGCGCAGCGGTGGCAAACCCGGACTCCGCCCGCCGACACCAGCGGCCTCGAAACCCTAGAGACAGACTCCACCTAGTGGCCAAAATCAGGCAGTCGGCCCACAGCTGTAGGAGAGCGGGAACCTGCCCTTCAGCGGATTCCTGGAGGCTGCACAGTGCCCAGCGCCAGCCACCCGGATCTGGGCGCGGGCAAATGACCCTCAGGCCGTCTGAGACCGGACCAGCCCTGCAGCCTCAGCGGTGGGCTCAGGGGCGACTGCCACGTGCACATGGTGAACTATAGCAGCTGTGGCAGCCCCCGACCCTGTGCAAGCCACCGGCAGTGCGGACCCCATGACCAAAAGCCGCCGCGGCGCATAACTCAGGCGGTCGGCCCCCCAGCAGCCAGAGGGCGGAAACTTGCAGCTTAGCCCATCCCAGCGCCTGCACTGTGCTCAGCGCCTGCAATCCCACTCTCTGGGAGCGGGCAAGGAAGACTGGACCTTAGGGTGGGAGGGCGGTGCATTCGGGGACCCTCAAGGCTTCTGGAATAAGCCCTTCCAGCCTCCGCTGCGGGTTCAGCTGCAGCTGCCAGCTGCACACTCCTGGAAGCAGCAGCGGTGGCAGCTCTGGTCTCTGCCAGCTCCAGCAGCAGCGCGGACCGCCGAGCCAGAGGTCACTGCGGCGCCTGTTAGGAGGTTGGCCTCTCAGCTGCAGGAGGGCGGGAATCTGCACCCAACCAGATCCTCATGGCTGCACAGTGTCCAACGCCCACGACCCTGCAATTTGGGCGCCGGCCTAGGAATAACGGACCCTGGGGTGGAAGGGCGGTGCACTCAGCCACCCTTAGGCAACCTCAGACCAGCCCTGACAGCATCTGCCTGGGACTCAGCTGCAGCTGGCACCTGCGCATGGCGCACGGCAGTAGTAGTGGCAGCCCTGACCCTGCCCTCAGACACCAGCAGCAAAGACCCTAGGGCCGGATGCCTCCAAGGCATCTAAGTCAGGTGGTCGGTCCCATAGCGCTGGGGATTGCAGCGGTCGCCCGCTGCAGCGGGGCGGAAATCGGCTGCTCAGCCCCATAGCAGCTGTGGCAGCCCTCATCTCTGTCCATGCCACCAGTAGCACGTACCCCAGGGTCAGATACTGCGGTGGCGCCTAATTCAGACTGTAGCTGCAGCAGGGCAGGACTCCGCCGCTCAGCCCCATCCTGGAGGCTGCTCAGAGTCTAGCGCTCGTACACCGCGTCCTGGGAGCAGGCTAAGGAAGAGCAGACCCTAGGGTGGTAGGGCGATGCACCCAGAGACCCTCAGGGTGTCTGGGACCAGCCCTGCCGGTCTCTGCCACGCGCTCAGCTGCAGCTACCACCGCCAGGTGGCTCCCGGCAGCAGCGGTGGAAACCCCGCTGACCTTGCCCGCCGCCAACAGCAGTGAGGATACCACGGCTGGATCCCTTGCCAGGGCGGGAACCTGCCGCTCAGCATATTCTGGGCAGCTGCACAGGGCCCAGCGCCTGAAACCCCGGGCTCTGGGCTCGGGCCAAGGAAGAGTGGACCCTAGGCTGGGAGGGCGGTGCACTCGGCGATCCTCACGCTTTCTAGGACCAACCCTGCCGGCGTCTACTGAGAACTCAGCTACAGCTGCCACCTGTACAAGGGCGCCGCAGCAGCAGAGCAACCGGGCACTTTGCCTGCACCACTAAGAGCCAGGACACCGGGGACAACGCCGCCTCAGCGCCTAATTCAGGCACTCAGCCCAGCAGCTGCAGCAGGGCAGCAACCTTTGCCCTCGGCCGAAGCACCTTGGCTGCACAGTTCCCGGTGCCCGCGACCCGGAACTCTGGGCGCAGGCAAAAGAAGAGCGTACACTAGGCTGGGACAGTGGTCCACTCCATGACCCTGAGGCTGTCTGGGAAACTCCTTGTCAGGTGATGGGCCCAGCTGCAGCAGCCAGCTGCACATGGCGTGCGCAGCAGCCTTGGAGGCAACCCCAGACCAGGCTCCTACACCAGCCAGGCGGATCCCAGGGCCAGACGCCGCCCACCGGCTAATTCAGCTGGTCAGACCCCAGCTGCAGGAGGGCGGGAGCCGGCCGCTCAGCCATTTCCTGGCTGCTGCCCTGTACCCAGCGCTTGCACACCCCGCTGTGGGCTCCGGCAAGAAAGAGCTGACTCTAGGGTGAAAGGGCCCTGCACTCAGAGACCCCCAGGCTGTCTGGGACCAGCCCTGCCTGCCTCTGATGTAGGTTCAGCTGCAGTGGTAACCTGCACAAGGCGCGCAGCAGCAGCTGTGGCAAACTCCGACCCTGCCAGTGCCACCAGCAGTGCGGACCCTTGGGCCAGAAGCCTCCACAGCGCCTAAGTCAGGGTGTTGGTCCCCAGCTGCAGGAGGGCAGGAACTGGCACTCAGCCCCACCTCAGAGGCTGCATGATGCCCAGAGCCAGGGCCCAGCTCTTCTAGCGCAGGTTGTGGAGGGGCCAGGGGCCACCCAGACTGGAGGGCAGTGTCATGATCACAGCTCACTGAAGCCTCAACCTCCCAGTTTCAAGCTATCGTCTCACCTCAGCCTCCTGAGTAGCTGGTAGCTGGGACTGCAGGCGGGTGCCATCATGTCTGGCTATTATATTTTATATACATTTTGGAGAGACAGTGTCTCACCATGTTGCCCAGCAGGTCTTGAACGCCTGGAGTTCAAGCGATCCTCCCAACTTGACCTTCCTCAGTGGTGGTGGTGGGATTATATGTGTGAGCCACTGTGCCCTACCTGCCGCTTTTCTTATAAGGATACTTGTCATTGGATTTAGGGCCCATCCTAATCCAAGATGAGATGCCCTCATCTCGAGGTGCTGGATTTAATTACATCTGCAGATTGTTTTCCAAATAAAGGTACATTCACATGTTCCAGGTAGACATATCTTTTGATAGACCACCATGCAATCCACTCTAGGAGTATTAAAGTGCCAGTGTGGACCGAGGCACCAAAGAATCACATTATTATGTCATATAACTTGCCTTATTTGTAGTGACCCGTGGGCTTGGAAACAGAACCATTTGCAGCTGTCAGGGAAGTGCACAGTGCCTGACCTTTCCCGCAGCCTCCTCCCCACTGGGCTTCCGTGAGAGGATCACCCCTTGGAGTGTCCAGAGATTCCTGTTAAATGCTAAAGACCACAGGAGAGTTTGGGCGGGGGAAGATGTTTGGGGAGCAACTTAGTTGTCCTGAGGTGCCCATCACCCTTCACCGTTTCAGCAATATGGATCTTCCAAGGATCTGGGAATGGGAACCAGGCATAAGACAGATACATGTGAGTGAGAAGAGGCCAGAGTCTTTCTCTGTGTAGGCACCATCCAGCCCAAGATGAGCATTGTTCCAGAAACACATGCACTCATGATGCTAAACCCAATCTATTGAGGACTTAATACAAACTGTGATTTTTTTAAGCATTTAATTCTTACCACAGTCCTTTGTCATCTTATTATCTCCATTTTACAGATAAAGAAACAGGCACAGAGGGTTTAAGTAACATGTACAAGGTCACACAATCACAACTAGTAAAGCCAGGATTAAAGTCCAGTCAGTCTGCATTCAAAGCCTGTGCTCCTGCCCCAAAATGACAAGTAATGACTTAAAGGCAAGAAAAACACACTCTCCTCTACCCACCATCCTCATACAGACTTCCAGCCCAGGATCTAAACCATTCATTCATTTGCTCTCATATTCATTCATTCATTCATTCAGTTCTTCATCACACATTTAGTGAAGCTCTGTCATGGAATGTCCAAACAGAAGGTACAAAAATGAGGCAGGTATATTTTCTCCCATCTAAAGGGGGATGACCACGTGAAGAGAACTGATGGGCTGTGTGTCCCATGGCCTTACAGGGCAGTGGTGGAGGGTGGCCCAGGTCATCCACTCTCTGGGGAGGCAGAACCAGAAGCACCAGTTGGACAACTGCTAAAGAGATGTTTGTGCAGCCTCATATGTTAAGTCCTATATTTTGAAAGCTTTTTAAATTTTTTCTTTAAGATTTTAGATGCTTACCACTGAGTACCAGAGGGATGTAGCCTGATGCCCTTATCAACAAAGTCAGGGATGGTGGCACACAAGGTTTGACTACTGCATACACGGTCACAGTGCTACCCCCAGATAGCCTGATTTCCCCTGCCTTCTCTGGTGGGGAGAAGGGCTGGCAGAGCCATTAGCATGGGCTTCAGCCAATCCTGGCCACTTTGATGCTCCTGGTGCTGACCCAGGGTCCTGGAGGATGGGCTGAGGCGGCGGGGTAGAGATGTTCAGGGCAGTGGCCCCTTTCCATCCACACTGGAACTATTTCAGTATTTTACCACCAATTCGGCTATTCCCTTATCGGCTGGCTGAACATCGGCCCTGCTCCAGGTCTCAGTTTCCCCTTTGTAAAGGGAAAGCCCTGGATTCAGGGGTGACTAGGTCATCATGGTCTTGAGATTCCAGGCCTGTAGGCAGGGGGAGAGAGGTTCACTAGGAGTGCAGAAGACCAAGGTTGGGGAGAGGCAGAGGAGAGAGTGGCCTCCCTTTGGCCCAGGTGGGAGAT
Organism: Homo sapiens; assembly: GCF_000001405.40. NCBI lineage: Eukaryota > Metazoa > Chordata > Mammalia > Primates > Hominidae > Homo > Homo sapiens. The sequence goes on from NW_021160017.1 coordinate 1,946,906, forward strand.
TCACAGAGACAACCTTCCTTCTTCTCCAAGGCAGGACCTGTTAACAGTGAGCTTCAGGCAGTCTGGCACTTGGGACTAACTAGGATGTCACCCTCCCTGCAGCCTCCACTCCATAGACAACATGAGAGGAGTGTGTAAGTATAACTAGGAACAGGCTAGTGTCCTGATATTCTCTGTGATAGAGGGGACAGCCCTCCTCAGAGACCCGGGGGAGCCCAGAACCATGGACAGCCTGAACACACTTTACTTTCTCAGCAGTGGCAACCAGAACCCTGGCCTACTAAAGCCGAAATTAAAAGGAGAAAAACCTAAATTCCTGCCTGTACCAGGCTGACTCACATCAAGGCCCTGCTAGGACTAAGCTAACTTTATATACAAGGCCAAGCAGAGCCCAGAAGGAATGGACTCCAGGAACAGGGATGAGAAGAACAAGTTCTTCTTATCAGCTTCCCCCTTTGAGATTCTTTCCTAGGCCAGTATGTCTTTGCTCTGCTCTCATAACTATTTTTGTAACTATTTCTGTAAGTTTGTAAGGATTTTGTAAGTTCCTGTTTTCCATCTGTGCAACACTGAGAAGGTCACAAGACATGTCTGAGCAAGCCTAAAATAGTAACCATCTGCTGAGGGCCTGCTGGACGGCCCAGCAGAGGTCACCAGGCATGTTTGAGTCATACACCTGTCACTGTTTGATTAACTGCCTTTGTTCTGCTTCTGTAAGCTTGCTAAGCCCACCCTGTGAGTTTCACGCAGCTGCATGCTTAAAAACCAGGCCCCATCTTTGTTCCAGGCTCAGCCTTTTGGATGCGAATCTACTAGGCCAGTGGCCACTTTAATAAAATCCTCCTGTCTCATCCATTGGTCTCTCCAGTCTCTTGAATCCCGCAACACTACAATGGCTCCAAGACAGCATGTGGGATCTAAGTAATAACTTTTTATTTTTTTTATTTTTTTTATTTTTGTACAAGACTGGGTCTGGCTTTTTCACCCAGGCTGGAGTGCAGTGGTGCAATCACAGCTCACTGCAGCCACCTCCTGGTCTCAAGCCACCCTCCCACCTTAGCCTCCTAAGTAACTTAGGACTACAGTTGTATACCACTATGGTTGGCTAATTTTTGTATTTTTTGCAGAGACAAGGTCTCACTGTATTGCTCAGGCTGGTTTCAAATTCTTGAGCTCAAGAGATTTACTAGTCTCAGCCTTCCAAAGTGCTAGGATTACAGGCACGAGACACCGTTCCTGGCCAGTAATTTTGTTTTATTATATTAAGGTGAGGTTTATACCACATTCTTCTGGTTACAGAAGTAATACGTGCTCATTGTATACACTGAAAAATGTAAGCAGTATAAAGAAGAAAATAAAAAAGGATATGAAAATCACTAGTGGTCCCATTGCCTACCGTAACATTATGTGCTGCTTCTTAATCTTTACTTCCTCTCCCTCCGTGTGTGTCTTTGTGTGTGTGTGTCTGTCTGTGTGGTTTTTTGTTTGTTTTTTTGGCACATAGTACAATAGCTGACATTTATATCTTCCCGACCAGTGTTGAGCATGGTGTTAAGCAATTGACAAAGTGTATTGTATTTAACTCCTACAGAAAACCTAAAAAGGGGAAGGGCAGTATAATTAATAGAATTTTCCAGATGAAAAGACTGGGGCCTGAGTTGAGGTTACATTTTATATATGGCATTATATTGTACTTCAGACATGTAACATAGTAAGTGTCCTGGAGAATCTTGGTCTGTTAGTCTGTATAATAACATAAGCATCTTTTGTGGGATTAATAGTTTTTCCAAAGCATGCCTGGGATGTTTGCATAATATTCTAGTGTTTAAATATGTTGCTTATTGCCAGGTGTGGTGGCTCATGCCTGTAATCCCAGCATTTTGGGAGTTCGAGACAGATGGATTGCCTGAGCTCAGGAGTTTGAGTCCAGCCTAGGCAACACGGTGAAACCCCATCTCTACTAAAATACAAAAAAATAGTGAGGCGTGGTTGGTGTGCCTGTATTCCCAGCTACTTGGGAGGCTGAAACAGGAGCATTGCTTGAACCTGGGAGAAGGATTTTGCAGTGAGCTGAGATCGTGGCACTGCACCCCAGTCTGAGCAACAGAGTGAGACCCCATCTAAAAAAAATGTTGTTTATCAAACCATTTTCATCTTTGAAACATTTCAGGTCTCTTCTTTGGCTTTTTCGCATTATTAATAATACTGTGATAAACATCCTTCAGCAGAAACCTTCATAGGCTAGCTTCCTAGAAGTAGAGGTATTAGGTCCAAGGTTTTGAATTGTTTTAAAGCTATTGATTTATCTGGATAAAATTGCTTCCAGAGATATTGTCCCATTTTGCTTTCCAATCAGTGGATCTCACCTTCAGTATTTTGTGCAATTAAAAAAAATAATGTTTCTCCTTTTAAAGATTATATTTAAAATAGCTTTTAAATATGAAAAATTTGTATCTACAAATAAGAGATAGTGACAAAAAATAAATAATAAAATAAACACAAGAGCAGAAAGTAGATTGAAACATTAAAATTCAAATCACAGGCCTCTGTTATGGAGAAGACAGCTGCAATAGCTTTTCTGTTCTTTTATCTACATTGGTAGGTTCTTCTTTTAATTAATTTTTACCCCAACTTAAGTGCTGGCTGGTTTGGCAATTTGTTGCTGGGATGGAAAGAAGAAATGTGCACCTTGTCTTTTGCAGGTTATGAGAGCCTTGTCTGTCCTTGTGGTTGTGTGGGTGTCTGTTAGATTATTGTGAATACTGAGCTTTGAAAATAACCTAACAGTCAATCAATTGCTGAGCTTCTATTACCAGTAGTGGGACATAATGTACATCATGTAGATAGGCAGGCTTGTCACTGACAAGGGGGCTGACCCCTGGAAAACCAGCACAGAGCCAGCTCTTCTGTGTGAATCCACTCTCTCCAGAATATACCATAAGTCATGGAAAGAAATAAGAGTCTCAGGAAATGAGACTCTTACCGCGATGAGAGGTGAACCTTGAAATCTATTTTAGCAATTAGGAAGAGAAGTCCCATTTCGCATCCCAAATCAAGTAGAGGCCTGCTAGTCCAAACATAGTTTCTGAATAACCTGAGTCACCTGGGCCCTGAGGAATCCTGGCCTCTTAGTCCACATTTGCAGAAATATCAGGAGGTCAATCAGGAAGCTGGTTAGGCAGCTCAACACAGGGTCAGAAAGCTCCTAGGTATGCAAATAAATGTGCACACTGGAAATTGAGTTCTGTAATTTTTCCATGACCTAGAAAATTATGATGATGAAAATGTTCTACATTCATGCTGCCTAGTTCAGTAGCCACTAGCCACATGTGGCTATTGAGTAATTGAGATGTGGCTAGTACAACTGACCAGCTAATGTTAAATTTTGTTTTATTTGAATTAATTTTAATTTTAATAGTCACCTGTGGCTATTGGCTACTGCACTGGATAGCACAGAGATGAGAAATAATAGAAACCTTTTTTGTTGTTGTTTCAATGGCTAACATTGTCAAAAGCTGAATTCCTGTTTTATGTAAAATTTTGGTTTATATTTTCTCAAAGAAGGGAAGTACAAAAAACAAAACAAAACAAAACAAAACAAAAGGATGATCAAGCAGAACTTTGGTAAGGAAGGGTGAAGCAGAGACACTTAACTCAGAGTGGGGAAAACAGCAATGACCTTGTTTGAAATGCAGCTCCTGTCTATGTGGCTCTCTGTGCTCTGTTGGGGTGTCAGTTCTTTACTTCTTAGTTAAAGCAGTTATTTCGGCGGTGCAATGCTTTTTTGTTCAATAAGCATGACTTTTTACACAGCTGGTTTATCTCCAGTATGGAAACTCTCTGCTTAATCATCTTGATTTCTCTGGGCTTGTTCCTACTCTGCAGATTTAAGCATGACACTTGTATCTCTCTCTCCAGGCTCTGATCTAGGATGACAGCTTCTATGATGTGCCCATCTACAGAAATATGCAAATTGCAACTTTAGGAAGATTAAAAGAGGGCCCTGCAAAAGGCATCTACAGGCCCCATGTGCTGTTCACCTTTCTTATTTATTGGTGAAGTGAGTCCTCATCCATTTATTGGGCAGTTGCAAGCAAAGGAATTAACTATGACAATTCACCTTGATGTACAACAATTTAGTCTGTTTGGAGTTTCCACTGTTGGAAAAAACCTAGTTATCCTAATTCCTAATCTTAGGAAAAAAACTGTTCCTAAGAACAGTTACAGATAGTATAGTGATAGCTTTTTTTTTTTTTTTTTTTTGAGACAGGGTCTTGCTCTGTCACTCAGATTGGAGTGGAGTAGCATGATCATGGCTCACTGCAGCCTCAACCTCCCTGGGCTCAGTGATTCTCCCACCTCAGTCTCCTGAGTAACTGGGAATACAAGCACATGCCACCATGCCTGAATATTTTTTCTATTTTGTTTTGTTTTATTTGTTTTGTTTCGTTTTGTAGAGATGGGGTTTTGCCATGTCACCTAGGCTGGTATTGAACTTCTGGACTCAGGTGATCCTGTCTCCTCAGCCTCCCAAAGTACTGGGATTACAGGTGTGAACCAGCATGCCATGCCTATAGTGATACCTTTAAGTAACCCTCTCTTTTCTTCTTTTGGGCAATTTTTCAAAGCAACAGGCACTTTATTAAATAAGAAAGTTGATGTGCTTTCCTAATGCCTGCTAATAAAGTAAAGAACCAAGGAACCTCTGTGATTTCAATGAAATCCCTCCAGATGTTATAGGCTACTTGTTACAGACAGGTATGATAGGAAGTGTGGTCAAGCTGTGATAGGCAAATAGATCTTGCTGAAGAGGAAGAATGATTGGCTAAGATAATGTCCCAGGACAGCTGGCATACCTTTAGACACAGCTAAATTGAATGCTTTCTGAGGATGAGTGTATTAGTCTGTCTCACATGCTATAAAGACATACCTGAGAATGGGTAATTGAAAAAGAAAAGAGATTGAATTGGCTCACAGTTCTGTGGGCTGTACAGACTTATGCTTATAGGGAAGCCTCAGGAAACTTACAATCATGGCAGAAGGTGAAAAGGAAGCAAGCACATATTCACATGGCTGAAACGAGTCAGGGGAGGTGCTTTTTAACTTTTTAAACAAGCAGATCTTAGGATAACTTTATCATCAGACAGCACTAGGGGGATGAGGCTAAACCATTAGAAACCACCTCCATGATGCAAACACCTTCTACTAAGCCTCTCCTCCAACACTGGCAATTACAATTCCACATCAGATTGGGGATGCGGGGGTGCACAAATCCAAACCATATCAAGAAGCATGTTAAAAATTGAGGGAAGTTCTAATCAAATGGCAAGTCAGGACATGGCATTCCATCAACATAACACTCCTCTCAATACATTCCAAAATGGGAGAAAGGAAAAAGTGCAAGGATGAAGAAGGGACACAGCAAAATGACAAGATGACTAACAAGATGACCCCTGTGGAAAGCATTTACTGATTCAACAACCAAATAATGAAGAAAATAAGAGCAAATTTGCTGAGTTTCTATGCTCTTTATGTTTATTAGGGAAGGGCAAAAGCCAGTCCCTCGACATTGTTACTGTTAATTAACATCATCACTGCCTGCTCTTAAGTGTCTAGATACTTTCAAGAATCTAGTATTATCCTCACTTAAATGTTTTTTGGATGTGCCCTGTCATGCATGTGATATTGCAAAAAGATTCTACATTAACCACAGCAAGATGGCTATGTAATAATTGGGATCACTTTAGGGGAGCATATTTCTACCACATTTTGAGATGGAAAATGAAGTAAAGATATCCATTTGTCAATTTCTTCTACATTATGCCAAACATTCAAAGAGATTATTTTATTTATTTCAAAGATGTACACATGTTGAAATTAAAATTTAAATTAAGAAAATTTATAAACTGAGTCAAAAGAAAAGTAAGCGAGGCAGTTCTGCACGCCCTGAAGTGTCAGGCATATATGACTAAAGTATTCGGCATTTGGCCAGGTGTGGTAGCTCATGCTGTCATTCCAGGATGTTGAGAGGCTGAGGCAGGTGGATTGCTTGAGCTCAGAACTTTGAGACCAAGCAAGGCAACATGGTGGAACCCTATCTCTACGAAAAATATGAAAATTAGCCAAGCATGGTGGTGCTCGCCTTTTTATACCACCTACTGGAAAAGCTAAGGTGAGAGGATCATTTGAACCCAGGAGGTCAAGGCTGCAGTAAGCTCTGGTTGCACCACTGCACTCCAACCTGGGTGCAAGAGGGGGACCCTCTGCCCAGGACTCTTGGGATATGACTATACCCATAGGGACTGCCCGCAGTAACCTCACATTTGAGTGGAAGTGGAGATCATATGTACCTGTACCAATATGTAGTGAAAAAGGAAAACATAAGAAATCATGGCAGAAATGGCACAAAGTATAAAAGAGGCTTGGTGTAATTGAGAGAGGCATTCTGGTGATAAAATTTGAACTGATTTCTGGAGAATGGGTTGAATTCCAATAGAGGGAGATGGACCAAAGTTAATTCTGATGAGGGAAATGTCTTGAGCAAAATCTAGAAAAGGGAAACATGCCCATTTTAAGTGTTAATGAGGGTCCAGTTGGGGTACAGTGCAGGAAGAGAGTTCTAGTGAAAAGGTAGTTGGTCTGATAGGACAGGGTCTTGCAGGCAGAGGCAGATACTATCATTATTCCATTGTTCAGATTGGAAAACAGACACAGAGAGCCCAAGGTCACAAAGCCAGAAAGTGAATCTGGGCAGTCTAGCGGTAGCACCCTCTTCTTAAATGATCTATTAAAGGGCCTCTTCTCCAGGCACTCTAAAACTCTTCTCCATCTTTAGCTCCCCCAGAGTACAGTGAGGCCCCCTGTCTACCTCACATGATGGGGTCTCAGAAAAGCAACAGATCCCAACTCATACTAGCTTTTAAATAAAAAAAAAAAAACCTTGCAAAACAAGAAGTGCAGAGGTTGGGAGAGAGCCAGCACTGGTTAATTCAGCAGCTCAACAATAAATCCAAGACCTGGGTATTGGTTCACCTCTCCACACCACCATCCTCATGGGCCAGCTTCTACCTCCTCCTGAATGCTGTGTCTTTGCCTAGTTTTCTCCCTGATTTTAGCTCAAGTGCTGCTTCCTGGGGGCAACCTTTCCTGCCTCCCTCTTGGGGTCAGTCCACCTTCCCAGGCTCTTGCAGCACCCCTGGGTCTGCTGAACTTTCCCTTGTTACATAATTCTGTGACTAACATCACCTCTTTCTGTTAGACTCTCAGCTCCACTAGAGAAGAAATTCTGTGCATTTTTGCTCACTATTGAACCCTGGAGTCTACTACTCAAATATTTGTCAAATGAGTAAATGGTAGCTCTGTGCAGGGCCGAGGAACACAAGAACCACAAGAAACATGCAATCTGCCAAAATACTCATTACAGCTCACTCTCCTCTGGTGACATTTCCCTGAGGCACATTCCTGTTGGTTTCTTCCCCTCAAGAAGCATTCTTCTTTCTCCTTCCTATAAAAGCCAGGATTTTCTCAGATAGCCACACCATGCCCCATGCAAAGAGATTTGGATTATTCTATCATCTTGAGGCATTTCTGTGGAAACTGCTGTCAGTCCAGGTGGCCCATGACCTAAGCTGACCCAAGCCGACTGAAGGGAGGACATATTCTATGCACTCTATGCAGTTCCACAGGGTGCTGGTTGTCCCGGCTGCTGCTGGTGGTCTTCATGTAGCCAAGGTATCACTAGTGCATATGGAGAAAACAGAGCAACTGGAGAGAAACCGAGTAGGTAAAAGTGGGCAGGGCTTGGTGATGTTTGGGGATATGATATGAGCGATAAGACAGAGGATGGTCTTAGGAAAATCTCCTGTATTTTCCTTTTGGACAATGGTATAAATGAATAAAAGTTCCAATCACTGGGATAGAAAACACTTGGAAAATATGAGATTCATTCAGGCAAGCCTTTCATACACTATTCCATAATCAGTTTCATAAGTGAAAGGGAGTCAGAACTCATTTCTACCTTGTTTGCTTCTATCATACTGTGTTGTACCCTGTTGGATCTACTTATCACATTCCTCCTGCTAGTGGACTTACCTGCTAATGTTTGCACTTCTGCCTTGCCAGCATGGAACCTCTGAGACAGCAGGAGCAGTGTGTGTGCATGCATGTGTGTGTGCACTTTTGTGTGTGTGTGTGTGTGTGTGTGTGTGTGTAATTGGATTCCCCACAGCACATTATTGTTTTATCCATAGTAAATGGTGGATGAATATTTGCAGGATTTAGCTGGACTGCAGCATTGTGGAGGTCAGATAACCACATTTTGACAGACAAGTTGCATTCTAACCTTGAAGCAGACAAAATGCCCATCTTATCAGCCTCGCTCACATCAGCTGTGCCTTTCCTTTGTGGTTGTATGTTTATGAAGCTCATCCAACAAGCTTCTTAAAAAGGGGATTGGACCTTCGCCAGCCTCAGGCTGCATGGCAGGGTGACTGTGTCTTTGAATATCCCAGACGGAGGCTGGTCACCCTTTTGTCTTTGGGTGAATAGACTACTCAGGAAGGCAGGGATGCAGGCACCCCCATTTCTTGTTAATGAGTTTGCAATTTATTTTGGCAGATCTAAAATAATAATTCAAAGGCAGTGTAGAAGAAGATGGGGACATTACTTTTAATTGTTTAATATTGTTATGACATGACATGTGCTTACAGAAAGAGAGGCAAGCCACCATCTTCAAGGGAGGGCATAGTCATCGACTGTGATCCTGGTGTCCATGTTGGAATATCATGGCAACTGTCTCCCAGCACTGAACTCGATGACTTCTGCTGCATTCCCAGTGTTAGCTGAGTTGCTTAATTTACTTTCTTCAACGCCATGTGTGAAAGGGAAGCTAGAAAACTGCACTATGTATGGCTTCGTGCACTGAAAATTTGACATTATCAAAGGAGGCATGATCTTGTTTCTCTCCATCCCTCTCCAAATGTTTTCTATAATTATATTCAGAGGCTCATGGGTCTTACCATGGGTGATCAAGGAAGGGCTGGTAACTCTTTCAACCACAGGTAAAATATTACAAACATCTGAAATATGCATTTTTACAGGTGAGAGAAATGAGGCCAGAAAAGTTAAGTGCATCATGTTGAGTACAATTTTATTTGGTGATCAGGCAGCCCTGGGTTCAAATCCTGGCTCTATTGCTACCAATTAAGCCACTTAACTCCATCTGAGCCTCAGGTTGCCCATCTGCATAATAAGCAGTAATAGCAGCTGTCCTGCAGGACTACTGTGAGAATTACAACTCAGGCAATGATCATGATATTTCTTGGCACAGAGGTGTTCACTACCTAGGTAGTGTTATTATTATTAGGCCTAAAGTCACAAAGGGAGTTTTTGAGAACGCTGGAATGAAAACTTGTTCCTCTCAGCTCTGAGCTTATTAGAGCCCACCGTTTTGCATGAATAAAGCAGCCCTGGAGTCTCTCAGGGGAGGGTGTTTGTAACATCTGTTCAGGCACGGTTTCATTTGCTATATACCCAGAGACTAGCACGGTACAAGTTGTGGGGAGATACTCATGTGAGTTGGCGGACTTTGGGTCAAATATTTTCCCTAAACCCAGGTCTCTATGGCATTCTACAGTACACTCTGCATCCTTCTAAGGGACACTGGAAGAGCAAATGGATTGTACAGTGAGTTACAAATAAAATGGCCAATCTCAGCATGAAAGGCTGGGGGTGTTACCTGAATGAGGATGCAGACCACTCCATCTACATACAAGCAAACCTAAGTGACCATGAGCCTGCCGGAAAGAAATCACATGCTATGTAAAGGCTTAGTAACAGTGATGAATATTTGAACTTGAACTCCAGCTCCAGAGCAGTTCAGTGGCCTCTCTTCCAGGAACAGAAGCCAAAGCAGCTCAGGATTCTTGAAGGCTCTGAAAGGTCAATGACAATCCTGGTATATGTCAAGACTTTCCCACCAAAGAAGGGCTCCATGTGTAGAGACTTAGAAAGGATTCCCAACTTCCGCCCCTTCAAAACCAGAAACAAAGGTGGGGGACAGCCCAATTAAGTGGCCCTAGAGATTTGCCCAGGAGCTGGAGCCCTCCGGAGAAGTCCAGTTTTCCTATGCAGGGAGAGGACTGGGAGTTCTCTGGTCACAAGCGTTCTGCCTTTGTTTTCATGAAGCTATGTCTCTTACCTGGTAAGAAAAATGGAACTTCATGCAGCTGCTGAAAACTTTAACCAAAACCCAAAGATGCTGGCACAAAGAAAGGAGGCCTGAAGAAAACAAGTGACCATGGAAACACATTTAGCTCTTAATCTGACCAATTTCTCATGGGCCAGGCCTGGTGCCAGGAATGCTGTGATGAATAAGGCCTGAGCTGAGATTGTGAGGATGAGACGGAGTCCACCCTGTGGGGATCTGGGATGATAGAAGGGCTCCGCAGATAGAGGACCCGGTGGCCAGAAGTTCTGCTGAGTGGAAAAGGGCTCGGAGTAACTGAGGTCAGCTGGATTCCTTAAACATTGCCCAGAGCCCTTGAAGCCATCTAAGGGCACACTTCTCAGGCCTGCTCCGAACCACACTCAACTGGGAATCTTTTAAGGACAGCTGCTCTGTTAGGCTTGCCTGAGATGGTGCAGTTTTCCCCCGCGGCGGCAGAGGCACAGACAGTTAAGAATGCAGGAGCGGGGCCTCACAATGCCTTGGACTAGGGCAAAGGAGGACCCCCGCCTCTCCCCTCCCGGGGCTAAGACATGGGAGGACCCCGACCGGTGGATCCATTGACTCTGGCACCAGAGGATCCCCGCTCTCCAGCGCCCTAGACTGAGGCAACAGAAGACCTCAGACCTGCTCCATCCTGAACTAGAGCACAGTGGGACCCGCGACCTGCCGTGGTCTCAGGCACTGGAGGACACCTGCAACGCCGTGCGCTAGACTATGCTACTGAAGGACCTCTACCGCGGCTCAGCCCTGGACTAAGGCACCGGAGGATCCCCGCCCTGCCCCGCCCCGCGGTGTCCTGGACTGTGCACTGCAGAACCCCCACCCTTCCACACCCTGGACTCTGGCTCCCGAGGACCTTGGCCCCGGCTCGCCCTGAACTACTCCTGCCCCTCAGCGCCCTGGACTGTGGTTCCAGAGGACCTGGTCCTGGGGCAACTTGTGCTACCGCGTGGACTCCAGGACCCCAGTCCTTCCACGCCCTAGACCAAGGCACGGGAGAACCTCTGACTCGCCGCCCCCGACCTAGGGCACCAGAGGACCCACACCTTGCCGTGCCCCGGACTACAGCACGGAAGGACCCCCGATCCGCCGGGCACTGGGCTCCTGCACAGAGGGACCCCCGCCATGGAGGTCTGGACTACCCCTGCCCCACCGCACCCTGGACTACTGCACGCCAAGACCCTCGCCTGAACACGCCCTACACTCTGGCATGGGGGAACCCGGCCCCGCAGAGCCCTGGACTCTGGCATTGGAGGACTCCTCGGCTAGGTTCTGGACTCCTGCACCAGAGGACTCCTGCCCTGCCACACCCTGGACACCTGCACTAGAGAACCCTGCCCCGTCGCCCCCTAGACTATGGCACGGGAGGACCCCTGCCACCGACTTCGGCACGGTAAGACCCCTGACCCGCCTTGCACTGGATTCCAGCACTGGAGGACCCCCTGCCACGGCGCTCTCTGGACTACCCCTGCGCCACCGCGTCCTGCACTACAGCACAGCAGGACCGCCGTCCCACCGCGCACTGGACTGAGGCACAGCAGCACCCGGGCCTCGTGGTTGGTGGACCGCAGGACGAGGTGACCCCCCGCCCCGCTGCGCGTTGGACTATGGCACAGGAGGACCACCATTCCCGCATGCCCTGGACCACTGCAGGACAGGTCCCCCACTCCGCAGCGGCCTGGAATATGGCACTGCAGGACCCCCGCCCTGCTGCTCCACGGACTCCACCACTGAAGACCCTCGCCCCCCTGCACCCTGGACAAAGGCACGGGAGGACCCGGCTTCACCGCCCAGTGGGCTATCGCATAGGAAAACCCCCAGCCCACCCCCATCGCGCCACAGACTCTGACAAGAGAGAACCCCTGCCCCCTGCTCCCCGGACTACAGCAAGGCAGGAACCACCCTCCTCCAGGATCCTCACTATGGCAACTGTGGAACCCTGCCCTGGTACGCCCTGGACTAAGTCACCGAAGGACCCCGACCCCACCACACCGTGAACTCCAGCACTGGAGGACCATTGCCTTACTGCGGACTCAAGCACTGGACTATCGCAGGGCTGGATCCCTGTCCCGCCATGCCCTACACTATGGCACGGGAGGACCCAGCCTCACTGAGCTCTGGACTCCAGCACCGGAGGACACCTACACGGAGGACTCCTGCTCCGCCACGTCCTGGACTCCTGCACAAGAGAACCCCCGCCCCGCGGCACCCTGGATATAGCAAGGCAGGAATCCCGCCCTGCAGTGTTCTGGACTGCGGCACCTGAGAATCCATGCCCCATCGCGCCCTGGACTGCTGCTCCACAGGACTCCTGTTCCACTGCACCCTGGACTATGGCACCAGAGGACCCAGCCCCCTGGCGTCTTGGACTAAGGCACAGTAGGACCCCGCAGCATCGTGTACTCCTGCACAGGAGGACCCTCGCAGGGCTGCGTCCTGGACTGAGCTACTGAAGGAGCCTCACCCCTGCCTCACCCTGGTCTAAGGCACTGGAGAACTCTTGCTCCGCAGAGCTGCGGACTCTTGCACGAGAGAACCTGCGCCCAGCCGTGCCCTGGACTGTGGCACAGTAGGGCCCACACCGGGCCATGGACTCCTGTACTGGAGGAAGAGTGGTGATAAATGTCCAGGTTTACAAGTTGAAAAGTAGCAGTCAATGTGCTACAATGGATGGATTTGATGTAAAATTACAAATGCTGAAAACATTATGTGTAATTGCCTAGCCAGATCAATTACACAAGACAAAGAAATAAAAGAAATCCATATAGGGAAGGAAGAGGTAAGATTGTTTCTGTTTTCTGAAAATATAATCTTAAGATACAGAAAATCTTTTTTTATTATTAATGTTCTATTTACTTATTTTTATAATATTTTATAAATAAACTTTTTTCATATAAAACAGGCCAAACATCTGACATTCAAAAATGGCTACTGTTATAAAATCAGAAACATAGTCAGAGTGTTGGGAATATTGAAATTTCTAAATCTTTATGAATAACACAATCACTTAAGTTATATCCACAAAGAACAGAAAAGAGGCAAGCTTGAAAATATGAGGATAGAAAGATGTCACAGTGATGTGTTTTTAGAAACAGTACCTTCACCTCTAAGCAACTTTCAGGTAGGTGATAGCTAGCTCATAGGCACCAGAAATTCATAACAGAAATTAAATTACCCAAAAGGCACAGAAGAAAATGTTAACACAAGTATAAAAGTAATTTTATGTAAGGTTAAAACCTATTTTTAAAATGCTTCCAAATATGTAAAACTATACACAAGTCCATTACACATTCAGCTTAAGTTTACCATTAAAAAGTGTACACACAATACTGTAACTGTAAATACATGCCACCGTTTATAATGTAGCATTTACCACCACAGCACCCAAAGATATTAACAGAAACCAACTCCCCACTAAAATCTAGGGAAAGGTTTTAGAGCTAGTGAAATAATTTATTGCAGACCGTATTTATTATAAAGAAACTATTGGCTCATTCTACTGTATCCACACTCCCTCACAATCTTAAGGGAGATACAATAAGTCCACTCTCTTCTCCTAAAATGATATTTAGCACATTTGACAAGGAGGAGTGGTTGCTTTATTCCTTTTTCTTATCTTTTTTTCTTTTTCTTTTTTTCTTTCTTTCTTTTTTTTTTTTTTTTTAAGAATAAATCACTTTCACAAAACTGAGACTCAAACTTTTTTGAAGCTCACCTTGATTTGCTGGAACTACACAGAGACATGTTTGATCACACAACAGCAACTGTACATCCTCCCAAGTCTGGAATACGGAACTGATGGAGGACACTTACTTGCTTAAAATGTATTTGATTATTCTGCATTTATGATAAAAATATCATCCAGGGATCATATTCAAGAGGGTAAATTTAGGATTACATGTTTCTAGAACATATAATATGTAATGCCATCCAAAACCAACAACAAACAACATAGAGCACTGAAACCGAAGAGCCACTTAAAATTTAGAATTAGGAAATTTCAATCTATAATTGTCAAACAATAAGTGAGTTATAATAGTTTTCTAATTAGAAAAATATCACCTAAAGTGGAAAGCCAGCATTTAGTTGGGGACTATGAGATACTACATCCTTGGTCTGGCTGGCCACCATTTTAAAGACCACCACAGATCTCAAGGCATGAGACCTCTCACCAACAAAATCTATCCCTGCTATTGCACCTAGTGCCATCTCAATATGTGGCAGACAGCAAATGTTCTAACTTAATCTGATAGATGCTCCTTTAGCATATAAAAGAGCTTGCTAAGTCCCTATCACCTGTAGCAGTCTATCAACTAAATATTTAAGAAGTCATTTCATAGGCAAGGTTTATGAATGACTTAGAAGTAAAATTAGTAATTTCTAAACCACTGTAGTGTTTTCTATGTTTTTAGAGATATTCCCAACACAGAGTTTTCCGAGGAGCTGTGAAAACAAGTACAAACGTACATAAGTAATTTTGTCAGGGATGTTTCTGTACTAATTTGGGGGAGACTTGTGGGCCATAAATAAATGAGATACACATCCTAAAAATAATGGTAAAAATTATCAAGTACCACTTTCAGATGGTTACTCAAGTATCAACTTGGTATGCAAGTAAGTTCACCGATTTCTTCACCTATGATTTCATACTCAAAGTGCTACATCTTACTTAGGTACTGATAACATTTAGAAACCTTTATAATCAGCCTCTTAAAGAAAATCCAGCCTTTTCAGATGGTAAACTTGTCTTTACTAACTTTAATGCCCGTAACTATTTCGATATAACCAAACAAAAATTTTTAAAAATATATTCCTTACAGCTCCTGATTAACTTATTTTTTGATACATTCTGAGGCTAGTAACAAAATTTAGACCAGAATAGGTTTTCATATATCAAAAAAAGGAAAGGAACACGGAGAGCACAGATGAGACGTATGGAGGCTCTATACTATAGACCCATCCTTGCTCTGTGCGGGAATCATCACAGGAATCGCGCCCATTGGACTTAGATTAGGGGCAGCTACCTTAGCAGGTGGGAGAGTCGGACTCTGAGGAGTGCGTTCAAAGTCTTCACTTGGTACTTGTTTATACTGAGTCTTGGAATATCCTTCCATGTTGGAAGGAGATATGGATCCCAGGGATGAATGATTACTGCCTATGTAGCTTCTGGCAGTGGACGTGCGGCTCTTTGGAGGCGGCACATCTTCCTTGATATCGTGATGAACTTCCTTTTCATATTTTTCTTCTCTGCGCTTTTTACGACAGCAAAAGATGATAAGACCAATGAGCACTAGAGCAAGCAAAGTTCCTATAATGGCTCCTGCAATTAGTCCAGCTTTATTTGAAGGAGGGACAACGTTTACACGCAACAGGCACTGATCAGAGCCCACTCTGTTTCTGATGTACAGCTGTATGTCCCAGAGTACTCAGAAGAAACATTTTTACAGATATAACAGATGAAGTCATTTCTGCTAACCATGAAGTGGGCATTTTCTGTGAGTCAGACAATTTTTGCCACTCATACTGTAATGGAAGTGAACCTTCTTTTGGTTCACATTTTAATTTAAAGTCACTTTCAATTTCTTCTGATCCATCAACGTAACATCTTGTACCTGAAGGCTTACCAAGAACTACCAGCTGAATCTTCCTATTTGCAACACCAGGAGCTCTTTTCACTTTGCACTGATCTGTGCCAATATCTGACAGCTGAAAATTCGTTACATTTATTGATGCATCACCAGATTTGAGATCATTACTCTTAAAATGTACTCGGCCTTTCAGATCTGGATAGTAGTCATCATAAATTTTGTCTCCAGAATATAAAATAATCACTTGATCCACCTTCTGATTATCAGCTGGTGATATCAGCCACTCGATGTCCAGTGGTCCCTGGTCTTCAGGACTAAGCGTAAATTTGCATGGCAGATAGGCAGTTTCCCCTTTGGCTTTTTCAATCATCTGCTCAGGAGTAGTGATACTCCAACCTCTGATGAAATCCGCGGCTCTGCACAGGAGCACGAAGCGCAGCAGGAGCGCCATGGTGGCTGCCGTGCCGTGGGCGGCGGCTGCAGGTAGGCGGCTCTCGCTCCAGGTCCTAGGCTCCCCGCGCCTGGCGCACTCAAGGTAGAGAAAATCTTAAAGACTCCACCACAATAAACGGTTAAAGCTGATAAAGAAATTCAATAAAGTTAATAGTTACAAAATCATACAGATAGCATTATTGTTTCTATACATTAATGACAAACTATTACCTGAAAAATAAATTAATAAGGCAATTCAATTTATAATAGAATCAAAACAGATATAAAAATATGTAAAAGACTTAGGAGTAAATTTAATCAAGAATGTGAAAGATTTGCACACTGAAAACTATAGCACATTGATGAAAAAAGTTAAAATGGCATAAATAAATGGAGAAACATCCTTTATTGATTGATTCAAAAATTAGTATTGTAAAAGTGTCAATGCTACCCAAAGCAATCTACAGATTAAATGCAACCACTATCAAATTCCCAGAAATAGAAAAATTACTGCTAAAATTTGTATGAAACCACAAAAGACCCTGACTAACCAAAGCAATCTTGAACAAAAAGAATAAAGCTGGAGGCATCAGACTACCCGATTCCAAACTATATTACAAAGCTATAGTAATTAAAACAACATAGCAGTGGCATAAAAACAGACATGTAGAACAGTGCAAAGGGATATAGAACCCGTAAATAAATCCGTATGTCTGTGGTCAATTGACTTTTTGATAAAATAACTAAAAATACACAATGAAGAAAGAAAATTATTTTCAATAAATGGTGTAGAAAAAACTGACTATCCACATACAGAAGAATAAAATTTGACTTTTCTTTTGCTCTTTATACAAGCATGAAATCAAAATTAAAGACTTAAATGTAAAACTACTACAAGGAAATATAGAAGAAGACTGTATGACATTGGCCTGAGCTATGATTTTCTGTAGATTATTCCAAAAGCACAGGCAACAAAAGCAAAAACACATGAATGAGATTGCATAAAACTAAAAAGCTTTTCCACAGGAAAAGAAGTGATAATAGAATGAAGAGAACCCACAAATGGGATAACATTTTTAAACCATACATCAGATAAGGGGCTCATATAATAATATATAAGTAACTCAACCTACTCAAACATAAGAATAAAACTATGCTTATTAAAAAAAATAAGCAAAGAACCAGAATAGACATTTCGTAAGGCATACAAAAGGCCAACAGGTACATGAAAAAATCATGAACATTTCTAATTATCAGAGAAATGCAAATCAAAGCCACAATGAGATATCACCTCACACATTTTACTAGGGCTATTATAAAAAAAGATGGAAGATAAGTGTTGATGAGGATGTGGAGAAAAAGAAACCCTGTGCACTGTTGGTAAGAATGGAAATTAGCACAGCCATCTTGGAAAACAGTATGAAGCTTCCTCAAGAAATTATAAATATATTTACCCTATGATCCATCAATCCCACTTCTGGATACGTGTCCAAAGGAATTTTAATCAGTATGTCAAAAACAGACATCTGCAATTTCATGTTCATTGCAGCATTATTCATAATACCCATGAATTAGAAACAACCTAAGTGCTTATCAACTGAAGACTAGATAAAAATATGTGGAAAAATTGGAACCCTTCTACACCACTGGTGAGACTTTAAAATGTAAAGCAGTCTCGCAGTTCTTCAAATGGTTAAACATAGAGTTATCACGTGACCCAGCAATTCCACTCCTATGTGTTTACCAAAAAGAAAATAAAACAAATGCTACACAAACAGTAGTACACAAATGTTTATAGCAACACAAAGTAGAAAACAACAGAAATGTTCATCAGCTGAGGAGTGGATAAATAAAATGTGGTGTGTCCATAAAATAGAATCTTATTTAGCAAGAAAAGGTAAAAAACTGTTAATGCATGCTCCAAAATGGATGAACATTAAAAATATGTTAGGTGAAAGATGTGAGTAAAAAGTGACTATGTGTTATTATAATTCCATTTATGTGAAATGTCCAGAATAGGCAAATTCATAGTCAGAAAGTAGACGAGTGGTTGCCTAGACTAGGAGGGGTTTAAAAAAGACTGGAGAAAATGGGGAAAGATTGCTAATGGGCGCAAGTCTCTTTTAAGGAAAATAAAATGTTCTAAAATTATATTATGATGATTATTTGTCCATCCAGTTAATATACTAAAAGAATTTGAAGTTTGTACTTTAAATGAGTGAATTACACAATGTATAAATTATATCTCAATAAAGCTGTGGAAAGTTAAAAGTATATGTAGGATGCATACAAAAATACTACTTATCTTTATAAATGAATGAAAATCTGTCATTTGCAAAAACATGGATGAATTTAGAGGACATTATGCTAAGTAAAATAAGCCAGACACAGAAAGACAAATATCTCATAGTATCACTTATATGTGAAATCCAAAACTGTGCACTCATAGAAGTTAAGAATAGAATGGTGGTTTATCAGAGGCTGAGCAGGGTGGGGGGCAGGGGTGGAAAAAGGGGAAATATTGAATGGGATAATGCTTCAGTTAGGAGAAAGACATTCTGGTGATATGGTGCACAGCAAAGTGACTGCAGTTACTCATAATGTAGTGCATATCTTAAAAGTGCTAAAATAGTACATTTTAAATGTTTCACCATAATGTAATACATATCTGAGGTGAAGGATACGTTATTTAGCCTAATTAGTCCATTTCACAATATCTACATGTATCGTACCACATTGTACCCTATATATATTTATTTATCAATAAAATCAACATTTTAAAAAGTGAGGAACACAGATGTGCTAGATCTTCATCTAAAGACATTTCTGAGAAAAGTGTATCTGTTTTCCTTCAGAAGAAATTTACACTTAATAGATATTATGGTAACTAAAGTAAGGCAGATAATTTTGGCCATCAGCTTTTATTGTGGGATAATCTCTTTTTGCTGACCTTGTAAAAGCTGTGGCATATTAACAAGTAGGAACATTTTTTTTATCATGATCAGGTAAAGATTCTGCAAGTTTCTATTTTGAATATTTCCCCAGGAATCACAAAGTGTGAATGCCTTTTATTTCAGAGGTCTAGCCCTAAATGGTTTAGTCAATTACATCATGCATTCTGAAATAAGTACTGGTGCATTTGGGAAGGTACTATATATAATTGTGTTTTAAATTTAACTATCATATAAATCTACTTTTCTAGTTAACAGTTTATATTTTATAGAGGCCCTCCATATACATAAGAGCTTTTCTGATAGTATATCCATTAGATTTCAAAGATAAGTAAAGGAACAATTTTGCTTTTATTTATTATTATTATTATTTTTTAAGGCTAGTCAAGTGAAGCAGTGGGAGTGGAGAAGGAACTGCTTTAATTTTTATATGTTGGTGTTACAGGCTATATGTGACAGGCTGTATATTTTTCTGCTGAATTTTAGAAACAAAATGAAATATTTATTTCCTATTTCATTAGATTTAGGGATGATGATTACATTGAGGGGTTGGGACTAGACTGAAGGCACCACATCATCAATCACTTGGAAACAATATTTTGCCTATGTGTTATGTTATATTGACAAAAACTTTTATTGTGGCAGGCAATATAGCTCCCTATTGAAATATGTGAAAAATGTAGAGAAAAAAGGACAATATTAGTTATCAAGGGATATTTAGGCCTGAGATGCATGATGCTAATATTCAAAACATACACTTTTTAAAAATTAGATTTAAAATGTAAATTGAAGCAGAACATTTAGAAAAAGACATAATATCTACTATAAAAGTCCTGGGTTAGAAAAGTTAAAATGCTAAATGAAAAAATAATGCTTCTTGGGTGGCTTAAAATCGAATATGAGACAAAAGATTACTCAGAAATTTTTCTAAGATTAAAAACGTGTATACAGTTTCTTTGATATAAAATGAAATAAATGTCTGGATATAACTTTAACAGAATAGAATAGGGAGACAAGGGCAACGAGCAGGTGTATGTAGAATAAAGTGAACATATTATTGTAATAATGAGAGGGACAGAGTTGAATGATTGCTCTTGGAGACAAGGGATTTTGATGTCTAAGTTAATGACAAATCTTTTGTTTGCAAGTTTAAAAATGTAACTTAAACCTGGTGAAGGAATAAAGGGTGGTTGGAGGGATGATTCTTTGTACACTAAACTTATTTTAATGACTAATGAATTAATCATAAGTTCAAATGATTTTATGGAGGCCCTTTCTTTATTTGATATTTCTGGACTCCTTTTTTCTTTGTGTGTGCTCCATTTTTACCTACTTGAACAATTTTTACCCCCAAAGTTTAGGAAACACTGTAACCAAATGTTCCAACATGATATAATCCCTGAAGGCATTTGCAGCTGGGGGAGTAGGGGAAAAGGGGTTTCTCTTTCAACAAATGCATGTTAACCTCGGTGAAAACTCAGAAGTTTAAACATGGTCCCCCTTGGGTCATGTGGCTACCCCAGGACCAATCATTGCACCAGACATAGGAGATAATCTCAAAAGCCAGGTTGGAGTCAAGGTTCTCCAGTGGAATTTCCACTTTAGAAATCAGTTTTGTCAGGCTTTGTGTTTGCATATTACAGACATGATAGCCATATAGCTATCTATTCCAGTAGAGATGAAAACCTAAGAGCATATGCCCATTCAAAGGATTTTACGTGAATCTTCATAGCAGCTTTACTTGCAACAGCCAAAACCTGAAAATAGTCCAAATATCCATGGACAGGTGAATTTGTGACTTATAAACTTACTATGGTATCTGTATATAATGAAATAATACTCCCTAGTAAGAACAGAACAATTGATAGATGTAGCAACATGAATAAATCTCAAAAATAGTGATGCTGAGTGATCAGAAAGTATACATACCCTATGATTTTATGTATTTGGAAATAAAAACTCACGGATAGTGACTAGAAGTGGATCAGTGGTTGCCTGTGGATGGAATGGGGATAGGCAGGAAAAAGTGAGTAGAAAAAGCACAAGGAAACTTTGGTGGTAAAGGTAATGGATATGTTTGCTATTTTCATATGTTGTTGGTTTTGTAGAGCTACAAATGCCAAGAATTATCAAAATGTACAATTGAAGTATGTGCAGTTTATTGCATGTAAATAAACCTTTTAAAAATTAACCGATACAAATTGACTTACATGACCAGAAAGCTCTTGAAAAACTCTCCTGTTTTCTCCCCTATTTTTATTCTTGCATGCCCTTATAGCCTGTGTTAACACATTTCTCATCTTACCGTTATTTTGTGTCTACATTTCACCAAGTCAATATAACTATCACCATAATTTCTTGGTTTCTCTTTAGTTCATTAGTAATTATGAGTAATGTATTGAAATGTTAAAGATATGTTCATGCATTCAGAATGCTCTGCTCTCTGATCCACATAATAGTGAATTATGCTCTCAATAATTACACAGTATAGTACTTTTTTTTTTTTTTTTTTTTTGAGACGGAGTCACACTTGGTTACCCAGGCTGAAGTGCAATGGTGCATTCTGGGCTCACTGCAACCTCCACCTCACGGGTTCAAGTGATTTTCCTGCCTCAGCCTCCTGAGTAGCTGGGATTACAGGCATCTGCCTTCATCCCCGGCTAATTTTTGTATTTTTATTGGAGACAGGGTTTCACCATGTTGGCCAGGCTGGTCTTGAACCTCTGACCTCAGGTGACCTGCCTGTCTTGGCCTCCCAAAGTGCTGGGATTATAGGCATGAGCCACCACCCCTGGCCAGAATATTGCTACTTTTGCAAATAGCTACAATTGACCCTGATCTGGACTTTGAGTTGATCACAGCTTTGTAAAAGAGGATAGCATTGTAAAACTGCAAAATTAGACTAATAATAACATAGAATGCTTTCAGTATAAGAAATAATACTATCCTAAGCAAAAATAAATAAATAAATAAAACTGGAGGAATTATATTATCTAACTTCATATTATACTACAGAATTACAGTAACCAAAAGAGTAGGGTACTGACATAAAAAGAGGCCCATAGATCAATGAAACACAATAGAGAACCCAGTAACAAATCTACATACCTACAGTGAACTCATTTTTGACAAAGGTGCCAAGAACATACACTGGTGGGAAATGGTGTTGAAAAAACTGGATATCCATATGCAGAAGAATGAAAACAGACTAGTATCTATCACTGAATACAAAAGTAAAATCAAAGTTGATTAAAGATGTAAAGCTAAGACCTCAAACTATAAAACTAGTACAAAAAAACTTTGGGGGAAATCTCCAGGATATTGGTCTGGGCAAAAATATCTTGAGCAATACCCCACAAGCACAGGCAACCAAAGCAAAAATGGACAAATGGATCACATTAAGTTAAAAGCTTCTGCACGGAAAATGATACAAGCAACAAAGTTAAGAGATAATCCACAGAATGAGAGAAAATATTTGCAAACTACTCATCCAACAAAGGATTAATAATCAGAATATATAAAAAGCTCAAACAACTCTTTAAGAAACAATCTAATAACCTGGTTAAAAAAAAGGGGGCAAAAGATTCAAATAGATATTTCTCAAAAGAAGACCTACAAATGGCAAACAGGTATAAGAAAAGGTGCTCAATATCACTGATCATCAGAGAAATGCAAATCAAAACTACAATGAGATATCATCTCACCACAGTTTATAAGACTTGTATGCAAAAGACAGGCAGTAACAAATGCTAGCAGGGAAGCAGAGAAAACGGAACACTTGTACATTGCTCCTGGGAATGTAAATTAATAAAACCACCAAGGTGAACAGTTTGGATGTTTCTCAATAAACTAAAAGTTGAGCTAGCATATGATCTAGCAATCCTACTGCTGGGTCTATACCAAAAATAAAGGAAATCAGTATGTCAAATACATATCTGCACTCCCATATTTGTTGCAGCACTGTTTACAAAACTAAGATTTGGAAGAAACCTTAGTGTCCATCAACAGATGAATGGATAAAGAAAATGTGGTACATATACACAATGGAGGACTATTCAGCTGTAACAAAGAACAAGATCCAGTCATTGTCAGTAACACTGATGGAGCATTATGGATCATTATATTAAGTGAAATAAGCCAGGCGCAGAAAGACAAATGTTACATGTTCTTACTTATTTGTGGGATCTAAAATCAAAACAAACTCATGGACATAGAGAGTATAAGGATGGTTATCAGAGGCTGGGAAAGGTAGTTGGGGGGGGATTTTGTGGGAAGGTGGGGATGGTTAATGGGTATAAAAATAGAGAGTTAATAAGACCTACTATTTTATAGCACAATAGGGTGACTATATCCAATAATAATTTCGTTGTACATTTTGAAATAACTAAGACTGTAATTGAATTTTTTATAACTTGAAGGATAAATGCTTGAGGGGAGGGATACCCCATTCCCCAAGATGTGCTTATTTCACCTTGCATGCCTGTATCAAAACATCTCAGGGACCCCACAGATACATACACATACTATGTACCCACAACATTTTTAAACAATCTAATACAATTTTTTAAATGGCTCTTATTTTTTGTTAACTTCAATTATTGTAAAATATATTCTATTATTTATGATTTGCCTTGTTTGAAAACAAATTTTAAAAACACTATTTAAGACCAGATAAATGGACTAGGAGTAACTTGCATAAAAATGACAGAAATTGCTGCTACTTCTTCTAATTATTGAGATGGTATTTCTATATTTGTGAAATTATCTGATAGAAAATTGAATTGTTTCCAACATTATTTTTCATAATTAAACATGTTATATTGCTACTTCTTTAAAAGTAGCCTTTAAAATATTACCAATCTATTTTAAAGTCTACTTGCCAAAACATTAAACTATTCTTAAAAAAAGTAATTTATTTAATTACCTAACATCCTCAAGCAATGTCCTAATTTTCTCAAGCAATTATCTGATTTTCTCAAGCAATTGATATTAGCAAGTTGTGCTAGCTAACTGCTGAGAATCATTGTCTACATATGAGATAAATCATCTATCAATCCTTTAAAGAAGACTTTATGAGCCATAGAGATTGTAGTCCAATCTGTATCACTGACTTTAAACATTGGATAATTGACACTCCGTGTTGTCTGTAAGCCTATTTCACAGCAGCTGAGTGATGTTAATAGGTACCTCTTGGAGTGCCATTTTCCTTGTAACCCTTAGATTAATTCAGATTGACTGAGTTCTGTGTCAGTGGAAATTGCCAGAATTATATCATGCTGCTTTGCATCTAGTTTCACTTTTCCAAAAGCCTACACAGATTTCAGATGTTTAGAAAATAGCTCTTGTTTTCCTTCTGGGTAATCTTTTTCATGTCACCACTCTTGTCAGCATCTGCATTGGGCAAATTTCCTAGGACCTCCCTTCTGCGTCTTTTAAAATATGAAAACAAAATCAATGTAGCGCAGCAAGCCAGGGAAAGTCTGCTTTGACTGACTTACGGCCATAGTCACCCAGCAGTTCCTTCAGATGTGGCTTCCCAGGTCAGCCACTGAGCCCACCGCTGTCCTCCTGCCTGCAGAAGTGGCTCTGTGAGCCGTTTGAGGAGAAAATGGGGGACTTTGGGCTTCAGCCCGAGGAGAACACGGTGGAGATGGAGGAGCCCCTGGGCGTCCGCAGGTTAACTGAAAACATGAGAGGACACAAGCACGGGACCAAGTCTGTCACTAACCTGTAAAGTACTCTCACCAAGCCGACTGGGCACTTTGTCTGAGCGCCTGCCTTTGCCACCACTGTGTGCAGGAATGCCTGGGTCATGACTGGGCCATCCCAGTGTTCTTATTTCTATACATTCCGAGGTTACCCCTCAGCAAAACTCCAGAGGCTGGCAGACACAGCGGAGCATCCTGCAGTAGGGATCCGAAGCCATGGAATCTCCAAAGGACCACTTGACCGCGTCCCAGAAGCTCCAGCTCAGGCTGGACATTGCCCAGAAAGCCCACATCGTCTTTGGCAAGACCTCCCGGATTGTGGTTTTGATTTGCATTTCTCTGATGGCCAGTGATGATGAACATTTTTTCATGTGTCTGTTGGCTGCATAAATGTCTTCTTTTGAGAAGTGTCTGTTCATATCCTTCGCCCACTTTTTGATGGGATTGTTTGATTTTTTCTGGTACATTTGTTTAAGTTCTTTGTAGATTCTGGATATTAGCCCTTTGTCAGATGGGTAGATTGCAAAATTTTTCTGCCATTCTGTAAGTTGCCTGTTCACTCTGATGGTAGTTTCTTTTGCTGTGCAGAAGGTCTTTAGTTTAGTTAGATCCCATTTGTCAATTTTGGCTTTTGTTGCCATTGTTTTTGGTGATTTAGACATGAAGTCCTTGCCCATGCCTATGTCCTGAATGGTATTGCCTAGGTTTTCTTCTAGGGTTTTTATGGTTTTAGGTCTAACATTTAAGTCTTTAATCCATCTTGAAAAGTTAATAATAATAAAAATAATAATATGGAAGAAATTTAAAAAAAACCTCCCAGAGACCAGGAACTTGGGGCGCGCGGCCTGAGATCACCCCAAGCTCTGGGTGCCTTCCTGTCCTTCTGCTTCTTCCTTGGCCGCTTTAGGGGGCGCGCCTTGCCATGCGTCTCCCTGCGGGCGGCGCGGTGGTGCTCCTGGATGTCACCTCCAGGCGCTTTTGAGACTGCGACCGGCACCGGGCACCAGGCACCTGCGGATTGGCCTCCCCACGCCGGGTTCAGGGACCTCCAGCGCTCCGCGGTGCAGGCTGCAGGCGACCTCAACGTGGAGCTGCTGCCAGCGCCACAGGCCCCAGGGGAGGCCCAGGATGCTGCTTCCCCGCCCCAAGAAGGGCAGTTTGGAGGAAAGTCTTTGGCCTGATGGAAGGCGGCGCCCATCGGGGGCGGGGCTGAGAACTAGGCCGGCGCCGCTGCCTGGTAAGCGGGGACCAAGAGGCCCACGGCCTCCATCAGGAACCAGGTGCTTCTCCAAATCCCGGACGTCCAGGAGGAACAACGGCGTCAAGCTGGCTGACACCAGGAACACCCAGAAGTCCCCGCTCCTGTCTGTCCTTCCGCACTCAGGAGCGGGGATGGCCACAGGGACACCATCTGCCCACAAACCGCTGGCGTTTGCTGCCATGGTGCGCGGAGATGCGGTCCCCGAGGAGGCCACTTTCGGCCAGGACGCCGGGATCGTATCAGCGGCAGCATCCCGCGCTGACACTCAGTATTGACTTTCCCCGGACATTGCTGGATTTTTTCCTTTTTAAAACAATTTTGCAGTGGGAGAACAAAAAAGGGCATCCTCAGAGCTTTTACAAAATTCTCCTGGACCTGTTGTTCTATGGTGTTCACCTCTGCGTTTTACGCACCACTAATGGGCCAGAGCTCCTAAGGCCTATAAAGGCCCCACCCAGCGCTTTAGACACCCCTGAGGGACACTCGCGGCTCAGGAGGATAAATGTTCTCAGGGGCCTGCTGTGAGGAGGACATGCAGCCCCTCAGCCACCACATCTTCCTCCATTCCAGCCTGGAAAGAGAGACCTTGCCCTCCACCTTACAGGCCTTCCTGACCTTGGGACCCACTCTAGAGGCCACGCGCATTTCCACTGCCAAAGCAATGACACAGGAGATGGAAAGAAATTCTTGGCCAGGCGCGGTGGCTCACGCCTGTAGTCCCAGCACTTTGGGAGGCCAAGGCGGGCAGATCACGAGGTCAGGAGATCGAGACCATCCTGGCTAGCAAGGTGAAACCCCGTCTGTATTAAAAACACCCAAAAGGTGGCCGGGCTTGGTGGCGGGCTCCTGTAGTCCCAGCTACTCGGGAGGCTGAGGCGGGAGAGTGGCGTGAACCCGGGAGGCGGAGCTTACAGTGAGCCGAGATTGCACCACTGCAGTCCAGCCTGGGGGACAGAGCGAGACTACGCCTCAGGAAAAAAAAAATTATTTTGCCTTCACTATATGCCTAAGTAATTTCTCTATTAGAGCCCAGAGTCGTGGGGCCCACACCGCCAGCTGACACATGAAAGTGTGGCAACGATGTGGTGGTGTCTCTGTGTGGCAGCGTGGTGGTGTGTCTGTGTGGTGGTGTGTCCGCATTTCTGTGTGGTGGTGTGTCCGTGTGGCAGAGTGTCTGTGTGGTGCTATGTCCATGTGGTGGTGTGTTCATGTATCTGCATGGTGATGTCTCCGTGTGACAGTGTGTTTGTGTATCCGTGTGACAGTGTCTGTGTGTCCTTGTTTCCACATGGCAGTGTCTGTGTGGTGGTGTCTGACAGTGTGGAGGTGTGTCCATGTGACAGTGAGGCGGTGTGTGTGTGTGTGGCAGTGTCCATGTGGCAGTGTGTTTTTGTGTTCGTGTGAGTGTGATGGTGTGTCCATGTGACAGTGTAGTGATGTCTCTTGTGTGTGTCCCTGTGATAGTGTGGTGGTGTGTCCATGTGGTGACGTCTCCGTGTGTCTGTGTGTCCCTGTGATAGTGTGGTGGTGTGTCCGTGTGGATTTCTCCGTATGTCTGTGTGTCCGTCCATGTGAATGTGCCAGTGTGTCCATGTGACGGTGTCTCCGTGTGGTAATGTCTCCGTGTGTCTGTACATGTGACAGTGTGGTGGTGTGTGCGTGTAACAATGTGGCGGTGTTCCCCTCCCGGCTTGCGGAGCTGGCGTCTTTCCCTCTCAGCCCAGGACGCCCCAGGAGACCCCCAGCTTGGAGGGCAGGAGGTGGCTTCTGTGGAGGGAGGCGCAGGGAGCCCCAACAGCCGAGTTTTGGGGTCCCCTGCATTGGGTGGGAGTGAGGAGAAAGGTGCCCGGGCAGCCAGGACAAGCCTGGGCCTGCCCTAAGGAGGTGACCCACTCCGGGCCTGCATTTTGGGGCGAGCACTCCAGCTCGGTCATCTTGTCCTAAGTCCTTTGTGTGCCGTGGAGATTGCTGAGTTTTGAAGAAGGGAAGGTCATCTTTGTCGCGGAAAGCCTGATGTGTTTCTCTATTGCTGTCACTTTTCAGCCTCATGGCTGGCGAAACATCAAACATTGGGCACCTTCTGCCAAGAAAACTCCCGGAAGAAAATGTGGGGACTGGCAGTATCCAACCAGAGGAGTCACACACAGATTTCTGTTTGGTTGGAGATCGGCCGTTTTTCCCTGTGGGTGGGGGAAGCGCAGCAGCTCTGCAGCGGGAAGGAAGGGGGGTTCTGTGTGGCCAGGAAGGTCCTGGCCCGGGGCGGAGGGGCCAGAGGTGATGTGCGGCGAAAGGCTGTGCAGGGCAGCGGGCAGTGTGCATCGCCCCTACTGCCGGGCGCCCAGGAGGAGGACAGGTCCCGGCCTGGCAGGAGCAGAGGCGACGGGGCTGGAGTCCCCGCACCAGGCTTGAGGGCCGGCGGAGCCGCAGGCTGTGGCGGAGGGGGACTCCCGGGCACCTGGTGGGTGTCCCCATGACCAGGATGCACACCGGGCTCCGGAGGCCAGGCGGACCAAGCTAGGGGTGCCAGGGGAGGCTCGAGGTTCCCTCGGTGGGAGGTGGGTCCCTGGACCCTGGTCTCCTGCTGCTGTCCCCCCTTCGCTCAGGGGCGCCCCGCCAGGGTCGCCTATCTGGGACCTCAGCGCAGCTCCTAGTGGGCGGGAGGCTGAGGCAGAGGCCTCCGGGCCCAGCTGGGTCTGCAGTTTCCACCACTCGTGATGCAGGGCGAGCTCAAGCTGTGCCACCCAGGCAGGAAACCCTCCGACCTTGCCAGCTTTGGCGCCAGCCTTGGTGACTCTCTCCAGCTCAGCTTCAACACCTTTCAACAGTTCTGTGTTCTCTATTATCACAAGAATTCTTTCTGTATTTCCTATCCTTTATCAAATAGGAATTTAAATATGCATATGGAGTGATTATCACAGTTGAAACATTAAACAATATACAATTTCATGTGTCTTTTTTGTTTAATGTATAATTTTCTAAGAAGTAAAATTATGACTCTACTGCAAATATAAGATAAACACATATCAACAATGTTTTTCAACTCAATAAGCGATGAGGGTTCCAGTAACAGGTTCAAATCATTGCAAGGAACATTAAAGGAGCTTTACAGCCAATGTTAACGTCAGATCGCTGGGTACTTACAGTACTGGTTAGTATCCAACATAGCCAGAAGCTGTCATCTTTGTGAGTTCTCTCTTCCATGGCACAGAAATGATGCGTTTTTCTACTGTACAAAATATTTATCTTTTCTACTACTTCTGCACATAAAAATATTGCTAGTCAGAAAAGACCAGAATTGCACTGAAAGAAAATCTCAGTAATATCTCTCACCTGTATTCTTACTTTTTCTTCCTTTATGAAATATCTTTCAACTGCATTTTCTATCTGAAAGTTTATAGAGAGATGAAAATGAATAAAAGCATAGTAAGTGAATATTTTGATAACATTTTGCAGCTTTATTCATGTCTAACGAACATAAAACACACTTCCAATATTTAAAGTGTAAATGAGATGAATTTGATATGTACATGTGCCCATTAATCACCATGAAGGGGACAATGAGCATATCCAATACTCTCAAAGCTTCCCAGTTCTCTTTTGTAATGCACACTCATACCTCTCAGGTGTGAAGTATTGAGCTTCACACACACACACACACAAATATATACTGGGATATCTAATTGTTTCAGAAGCATTTGTTGAAAATGTTATGTCCATGAATGGTCTAAGAACTTTATCAAAAATTAGCTGATAGATGATATACATGTGTATATCTATATTTGTACTACATTGTCTTAAGTATTACTGTAATGTTATAAGTCTTGAATCCAGGTGCTGTTAATTCTCCAGCAGCACCTGGTTTCAAAGTAACTGTTTCCTTTCAAAGTAATTTGCCATTATAGGTCCTCTACCCATCGATGTACATTTCAGAATTTTAGTTTCTCAATTTCTAAAATAAGAAATCCAGCTGTGATTTGATTGGAATTGTTATAGATCAATGTGGAAAGAGTAGACATCTTAACAATATTGAGATTTATGACTCATAAATTCCATTTATTTAGGTCTCGTTTATTTTAGCAATATTTTGTAGTTTTGTAGTTTTCAAATGTTTCTCTTTTTTGCTGGTTTATCTCTAAGTACTACATATTTTGATATTTACAATAATATCAAAATTATGGTAATATTAATGCAAATGTTGTTTTATTTTTTCCTCCATTAATTGTCAGGTAGTTTTAAATCATAATTTAATTGTATGATAAAACTGAATTTTGCGAGAAATGTATACATATTGTATATATACTTTTTTTCAGTTTGGCAGATTGACTGCATTATCATATCATAATTTAAAATTGCACTAATTACCACTCAGCCTCCTCTCAAGGACAATATATCAAAATATATAGCATGTTTCAGTTTACTTAGCATCATGAAACTCTCATATTGCACTTACTTTTGGAAACCTGGAATAATAAAATAATGTAAATGTCAGTTCACAGGCGACATATGAGTACATGCGACAATTTTCTAAATATCGACCTATCGCTCTTTAATTCTATGTTAATATTGTCAATTTTTTCCTCCTCTTGCAACTCTCTTATGCAGCTTATTGACTTTTGGTTCAATTCCTTCCCTGTTTTCCCCCCAATCTACTTTCTAATATTTTACTGATGTTGTGCTCCTTTTTATTTGGACACTTTTAAAAAGCTGTGTAATTTCTCCTTTGTATTAAAATGCAAATCCATATCCAAAATAAATGAGCGGAGGGACCAAAAAGATGTTTGTGCAGCGTGTCCGTTAGCAATATTATTCACAATAATCAAAGGGAGGGAGCAGCCCATGTGAATATTGATGGATGAGTGGTTAAACAAAATGTGGTATATACGGCAACATAATAATATTCAGCCTTAAAATATATTCTCACACATGCTACAAAATAGATGAAACTTGAAGACATGCTAAGTGAAATAAGCCAGTCAGAAAAATTCAAACATTCTATCATGCCACTTCTATGAGTTACTTAGTGAAATTTGTAGAGACAGAAAGTAGAATGGTGATTGCTAGGGGGAAGGAGAGGGAGAGGAATGGGAAGTTGGTGTTCAATGAGTAAAGCATTTTAGTTGGAGAAGAAGACAAGTTTTGGAGGTCTATGGTGGTGACTGTTGCACAATAGTGCAAATATACTTAATGCCACAAAACTGTGCACTTAAAGTGATTAAAAAGGTAAATTTTATGTTGTGTATATCTTTCCAGAATTATAAACCTGCCATCACAGTATAGAAATAGAATATATTATATAGCGTTAGGTGATGATATTTTACACATTTGCACATAATTAGAATTTCAAAGCCTTAATTTCAGATACGGTAGTCTAAGACATAACAATATTGATGTAAGAAAGCCGTAAGAAATGTTTATTTTCAATCAGATTTACTAAAAAAATTTATTGAACTGGTCAATTTTCTTTGCCAATATTACTGTATTCTTATTTCTAGTAATAGAGGTGTGAGAAAGCATCAAGGAAACTAAAATTGCATTATCATACTGACTGCATACAATAATTCTGAAAACAGCAGAAGTTATGTATATCCCCCATAAGTAAAACATGAGTAACACAACAGAACAAAAATTAATAGGAGACAATTCAAATAATGGTGACCTGTTATTCTTATCTAGTTAAGTACTATTCTTTTCTAACAGGAATTTGCTATTTCAAATATATTATCTGAGATGTCTATATTTATATTTTGAGATGCCATACAAACTTGAGTCAATGACATAGAATTTTACAAATCAAGAAGCTTATTCTGGGGTCATTTCTTTTGACATTAAACTACTAAAGAGGCATTAATGATCCATAAATTATATTATCTACATTTACAGCATTTAAAATGTGTTCAGCATGAAATATTAGTTACAGGATAAGTGAAATAAATTAAACATGGAATAAAGATTTATCCTTAAATATAAATTACAAAAAGACTTGGTATTAGTTTTTCACAAGTGAAGCATTCTTATAAAATGTCATAACCTTTTTGGGGAAACTCTGGGAAAAATGGAGAAACTCTGAAGGGTTTTAAGTATCTTTCCTGAAGCTACAGACTCCATAATCTCTCTTTACAGGGAGCTCCTGCAGCTCCAACAGAAATGAGTGGCTGAGATTCCTGGTTGCAGAGCAGAGCTTCTCATCCAAACCCTTTCCCTTTTTAGTGTCTGTGTATCAGTATAAAAGTTCTATAAACTGTAGTTACTTATTTTAATCCCAAAGCACAGTAACAATATATTTCATCCAAGGGTTGGCAGTTTCTGTGAGTGTTTTGTCTAATTCTCCAAAACTCTATCTACAGGATTCCAAACAGCCTAAAAAGTAAAATATTTTAAAAAGGGGAAAGGGAGAAAGGGAAAGAAAATAAAATTAATAGCCCATTCTGTCACTGTTATTAAACACCAGAATACCTTTCTGTTAATCTAATTAAAATTAGTGACATCATTTAACATTTATGTCTTCAACAAAAGTTTGGAATCCTGAAAAAGACATTTAATTTCCTAATAAATATATTTGAATTGAATTGAAATCCTTACATATTACTTTAAATAAAGAACACAAGATGATTTATGATGTAGAAAATTCTATCCCTCATTGTCCAAAATCTAATAGTTAAATTGAACTTGTTAAATAATATTTTTGGCCAGGCATGTGGCTTACATCTGGAATCCCAATACTTTGGGAGGCAAAGGCAGGTGGATTGCTTGAGCTGAGTAGTTGCAGACCAGGCTCGGCAACATGGTGAAACCCAATCTTTACCAAAAAAAAAAAAAAATTTTAGCCAGGCGTAGTGGCTTGCCTGCCTGTAGTCCCAGCTACTCAGGAGGATGAGGTGGGAGGATCACCGGAGCCTGGGGAAGCTGGGGCTGCAGTGAGCCATGATTGTGCCACTGCACTCCAGCTTGGGCAACAGACTGAGACCCTGTCTCAAAGAAAGACAGAAAGAAAGACAAGAAAGACAAGAAAGACAAGAAAGACAAGAAAGAAAAGAAAGAAAGAAAGAAAGAAAGAAAAGAAAGAAAGAAAGAAAGATAAAGAGAGAAAGGAAGGAAGGAAAATTAATAGTTTTGGTGGCAATAATCTTTATGGAATTTTGCTTTAATGAAATAGATTTAACTAAGTAGTGACATGATCTGCTTAAGTGTATTGACCCTAGCAATCAGAGGCCTCCGTATCCCCACAATGACTTAACAGTTACATTTGACAAGCCTTGATTCTCCTATCCTACGCACAGCATAGTCAGAATTTCAGAATTCCAACTTTCCCCATGCTATTTGGGCACGTTGCTTAACATCTCTAAGACTCGATATTTATACTCTTAAGATACTACTAATAATAGTACCTAGTTTTTATGATATAATGTGCATCAAAAGCATTATACTTTCAGGCAGATGGCAATTCCTCAATAAATATTTGCTAATGTTTTAGTACAAACAGGAAAATTGGATTATGATATTTATGACACTGTTGATTCTCCTTCTAGAAACATTTGTTTCTAAAACTTGTTTTCAAATTAGAGCACTATTTTGTATTCAGATTGAAAATACTATATGTTCAGATTTTTTAAAAAACAGTATTGCATGAATGTTTTAATTAAAATATTCCTAAATGAGCTTGAGCAAGGAGGACAGGGGAGATAAGTAAAATAAGGCTTTGTGGCATAGGAGACATTTGGTGGAAATCTTTCAGCTCAACTAAGATTTGAAAAAAAAAAGAGAATTTTTATAAAAAATGTAAAGGCAGGATTTACACTGATGAGCTTGTGGAGAAAATACAGAGTCTAACATAATTCAAAAGAGACTAATCAGTCAAAGTGGTTTTGAAGGAATATCTTGAAGAGAGAGAACATAAAATGAAGATCAGGTATGTAGTTATTTTAATAATCTATCCATGAGATAAAAAGCATTGGGTTTTATTTGTCAAAATGGGACAATAGTTCCAAGAACCATTATTTGCTCAGCCTAAAGAGGTTTTTACATTTTGAACCAGCGACATATTGTGCTAAGTAGGATAATATCCAAATTTGTGTCTATATCAATAATTTTGTTCTCAATTAAAAACACTTTATTCACACAACTGATGATTATCTGCATTTGATTTAGTGCTGAACTGTCAAAGGGGGACTAACAAAAACAAAATATTAGAGTTGCAAGCAGTGTAAGTGGAAAATAATGATCATATTGAACTCATCATTACTGAAATAAGAAAACAAAGCAAAAAATAAATAAGAAAAAAATTGACTACGTGAACATTTGCTTCTCTCCTAAGAATCAAAACCCTTAATTTGCTGTGGCAAAAAAGCATCTGGGTCCATGAACCCATGCAAAAGTCTACTGTTTCTGGGAGATAAGAAGAAGCAAAACACATCAGCTTCCAGAGAAGGTTAAGAAACCTCTCATACCCTACCCTACCCCACCTGACACCAGGCAAAGGATCACTGCTTCTGGGAGAGGGATGCAAGAAAAATACTCCTCCATCAGGAGAGGAACAAGGATTGTTTTGGGGCCCAGGATTTTGCACTAATGCAGAGTCGTGCTACTGTGGTAAAGGTTTGGAAAGTCTCCATCCAGTGACCACAGACAAAGGTACATTGTTCCTATGGAAGGAGAAATAAAAGAGTTTGCCCTTATTGTGGGGTTGAAAACTTGCAATGATATAAATCAGGGGTTTTCTACTACTGAGGTGGGAGGAGGGTAAGGTATTATTTCTTCTGCAAAAAACAACACAGGTAAGTGACAGTTTGACTCCCACTAGAAAAAGAGTCAAGAAGTGTTAAAAATACCCCATCTCTGAGTGTCCAATGATGAAACTGGCTCAAAAACAACACAAACCATCCCTCTGTCCCCAACCTGAATTTTTTGCCTAGTCACACACACACACACAAAATGATGTTCTACAGTTAGAGAAGAACAAGAAAGTGGAGAGAGACCCTCTCTATAACATAGGTTGTAAGGACTACCGAAAGCTAACTGTGGAACAGGATCATTGGCATATGCTCTCCAGAGTCTAAGGCCCCACACAAGGCACATCATATAGCAGTCTACTGCTGGAGAAATCTGAGTTACATTGTTCACTGAATGTTTCAGACACCGCAGCAAAAAGCAACCTTTGTTCCTGCCCACACTAATAGCATGACACAAACAAAAATGAAACAGAAATATAAAACAATCTCGACATAAATAATTATCTCATGATCTACTGTTTTTCTACATCAGATGATTTGCATTTTTTAGAAATTGGGAGACACATAAAAGCAAGTTAGAAATTTGAGTTATGAGTTATAATATTTTCAAAGGATAAAAAGTCAACAGAATCAAATTCAGAGATAATTCAGATGTTGGAACTAAATGAAAGTAATTTAAAATAATAATGATCAAAATGTTAAAGGATCTAGTTAAAAAAAGACAACATGTATGGAAAAATGAGGAATTTCAGCAAAGATGGGAACAGTAAAAGGCAAAATCTAGAAATAAGTGAAAGCATGAGAACAGAGATGAAGTATTACATCAGCAAGCTGATTAGCAGACTGGTCATCAGAGTTAAAGAAAGAAGCAGTAAATTTTATACTAGGTCAATACAAATCATTTGAATGGTAGCACAAAGGGAGGAAAGAGAAAAACCAAATAAACCAATGAACCAAGCAAATAAAATACTCCAGTGAATCAAAGAATTTTCTGGTAATATGAAATTAACCAAAATACAATTAATTGGAATTACAGAAGGAGAGTAAAAACAGAATGTGAGAGAAGAAAAATTTGAAAAAGATGACTGAGGAGACCAAATAACCTCAAAATATACAAGAAAGATTAATACAAAATTTAAAGAACGCTAGAATAATCACACTAGTGAAACTGCTGAAAACCAACGATTAGCATAAATCTTGAATTCAGTCACAGAAAAAATAAGAACACTGTGTAGAGAGATAAACAGAAACAAACATTGTAATGAACTGCTTGTCAGTAACTCTACAAGTCAGAAACCAATGATACAAAATTCTTAAATAACTGAAGAAAAGTCAACCCCCAATCTTATATCCATTAACTGTAATACAGCAAAAATAACAATTAAATGACATTTGCAGATTAACACTGGAAGAGTCCCTTGCTAACAGGTATGCACTAAAATAAATGTCAAAATCATTTCTTGAGGCAAAAGGAATATGGAAGCAGGTGAAAGTTGAAACTACACAAAGAAATAAATAATGCCAGAGAAGATATAAAGATATATAACCCAATTATTTTACATTGCTCTAAAGATAATTGATTGTCTAATTTTTTAAAAAAAGAGTAACTTTATATTATGGAATTCATAATATTTGAGACTATAATGCATGACATAAATAGTATAAAGGAGAGAGGAAACAGAAATATACATTTTAAGGTTTTTATACCATAGTTGGTATAGTACAAATTATAGGTTACTGTAATAAGCTAGAATAGGTATTGAAATCTCTAGAGAAACCATGAACATTTTTAAAAAATGGTATGTGCATTAATGTTTTCATAGAACTTCCAGCTTTTATTTATTTGTTTGTATTCATTTAATTTTATTTATTTTTTTTGAGATGGAGTCTCGCCCTGTTGCCCAGGCTGCAGTGCAATGGTGTGATCTCAGCTCACTGCAACCACCTCCGCCTCCCAGGTTCCAATGATTCTCCTGCCTCAGCCTCCTGAGTAGCTGGGATTACAGGTGCCCACCACCATGCCCAGCTAATTTTTGTATTTTTAGTAGAGACGGGGTTTCACCATGTTGGCCAGGCTTGTCTCAAACTCCTGGCCTCATGATCGGCCCACCTCAGCTTCCCAAAGTGCTGGGATTACAGACTTGAGACACCGTGCCAGGCCCCAGCTTTTAGTTTTTAAGGTAGTTGTTGTGTTATTACATGTGAAGTAAGGTTATTCTTAAATATCCATGTTTTGAGAATTAATGATAATGACAAGTTAATTTATCTCAATCTAAATGACATTTTAATATTAAATATTTAAATATTTTTATTACTTTTCCTTTTTAACAGAAGTCATTCTAACTGGTGTGAGATGGTATTTCACTGATGTTTTGTTTTGCATTTCTCTGATGATTAGTGATGGTATGCATGTGTTAATATGTTTGTTGGCCACATATGTGTTCTTCTGAAAACTGTTCACGTTCTTTGCCCATTTTTTTATGGGGTTATTTATTTTTTGCTCGTTGATTTGCCTAAGTCTCTTATGGCTTCTGGATAATAGGCCTTTGCTGTATGCATAGTGTGTGAATATTTTCTTCCACTCGGTAGGCTGTCTGTTCAATCCCTTGAGAGTTTCTCATGCTGTGCAGAAGAAGCTCTTTAGTTTAATTAAATCATACTTGTCAATTTTTATTTTTCTGGCAATTGCTTTTGAGGACTTACCCATAAATTCATTGCCAAGTGCAATGTCCAGGTGAATATTTCCTAGGTTTTCTTCCAGGATTTTTATAGGCAGAGGATGTAATCTCATGTCAATGGGTCTTAATAATCAAATGACTCCACACTGAGAATCATTACTGTGAAAAATCGATTTTGTTATAATGATAGAAATTTAAACATATAAAAGTAAAAACAGATGCCACCTCTTTGCTAGAACTCTACAAGGCAAATTACTATAAGAGAGCCATTGCAGTGAAATAAGTGAAAGCACATTATAAATAAACTTACCTGATTTTACAAACTAACCTGTAAAGGGATTTGTACTAATTTTTCCATTGCCTGCATTGCCCTTTCTTCTAGATCCAATTTATATTTTTGTACTTCACCAATGTGTCTTCACCAATGTGTACTTTCCATACGTTTTTTAAGATTTAATATTACTTTTTCCAACATCTTTTTAGCCTCCTCAAGATTTTTACATTCCTGTTGTATTTTTTCATACATAATAACTCCTGTTGAATACCTTGATTGTTTTGAGTCAAACAGACATATTTTGAAGATACAGCTTCCAGCTCTGCTGTAAGATCATCAAACTACATTAATAAAATAATATAACTTGAAAATGAAGTAGGCTGAGAATAATCTCATACAAAACCAGTAACAAATTTTGAAATACATTTACTTGCAATAAAATGTTATCTATAATGTAGATTCTTTAAATGTTAACCCTTAAATTACTCAGAAATTCAAGAACAAAGTAAAAGCCACCATAAGTCACATATATTCTTTACTATCATCTTTGCCACAGAACTTTTGCACTTGATCTTTCTTTTACTTTTCTGATAATTTGTGTTTTTTCCTCCTTAAATGGCTCTATGTTAACTCTTATTAGAAAGTTTCAAACCCCTTTCTCTCATCATCATGCCCCAAAATTTGTCAAAAAAAGTTTCAGAGATATAATATTGAGTTATTTAGGCCAAAGTCAATAAATGGCTCTTAGAATAAGACTTTGAAAATAATGTAATACTCTATGCTAGGCATGGTGGCTCATGCCTGTAATCCCAGCACTATAGGAGGCTGTGGCAGAAAGATTACTTGAGGCCAGGAATTTGAAACCAGCCAGAGCAACATAGTGATAACATAATCTCGACAAAAAATTTTATTTAAAATTAACCAGGCATGGTGACTTATGCTTGTAGATCCAACTAGTTGGGAGACTAAGGCACAAGGATGGCTTGGACTCAGAGTTCATGGCTGCAGTGAATTATGACCAAGCCACTCCACTTCTGCCTGGATGACAGACAGAGACCATATCTCAAAAAAACACAAAATAATCCTATAAATAAGGATTCTAATGCCATAAGCCTTTCCCTAGGCTGTAAATGTTTTATGCTAATTTGAATTGCATTTTTAAAAGTAATGACTCTTGGGGTAGAGGCCATAGAATACAGCACCCAGATATAAATCCACATATTTGCCTTACAAGAAATAAATCCACATTCTTGCCTTACAAGAGCTCCTGAAGGAAGCACTAAACATGGAAAGGGACAAACAGTATGAGCCACTGGGAAAACATACCAAATTGTAACGACCATCGACACTATAAAGAAACTGCATTAACTAATGGGAAAAATAAACAGCTAACAACATCATGACAGGATAAATTTCACATGTAACAATATTAACCTTAAATGTAACTGGGCTAAATGCCCCAGTAAAAAGACACAGACTGGCAAGTTGGAAAAAGACTCAAGACCCATTGGTGTGCTGTATTCAGGAGACCCATCTCACATGCAAAGACACACACAGGCTCAAAATAAAGGGACGGAGGAATATTTACCAAGCAAATGAAAAGCAAAAAAAAAAAAAAAAAAAAAAAAAAAAAAGCAGGGGTTGCAATCCTAGTCTCCGATAAAACAGACTTTAAATGGAAAAGATCAAAAGAGACAAAGGGCATTACAAAGCAGTGCCATCTGCTTTTCCTCAGGACTCTGCTCCATCAGCCATCAGGTGGCAGCCATTCAGGCTGTTGGAACCTGGCCATCCATGCTTCTTTGAGTGGGTGAGATTAAAGGCTGGTCCAACTGCACCAGGAGCATGCTTGCAGAGGTGGCTGCTTGCTCTTTGAGCCAGCTTGGCTTTGCCTGGCATGCACAGGCCCCAGCTACTGACAAGCTGCTCTGAGTGAGCTTGTCCTGCCTGGGGCCAAATTCTAAGTCTGGCCAGGGCCACAGAAGGGCAAGTCCCCTGGGTGGTAATCCTGACTTTTTTCTGCACTTGAACATAAAGTCCTCCTCAAGACGGCCTGTGGTCTGCCTCTTGGCAACCAAGAAGCCTGCAGTGCCATATAAGCTCGGAGGCATGGACTAGAGCCCCAAAGGCAGTGAACACCCTGCTCCTGAGCCTGCTGCTCATTTCCTCTGTGTGGCTCCATTTGTAGCACAGTTGTTGTACTGAGGCTTGTGCATGCTGGGCAAGGACAAGCTGGCTCAAAGAGGAACCAGCCACTTCTGCAAGGGTGTGCCAGGAGCAGGTAGACCAGCCACCAACCTCACTCACTGCCTGCCAGACATGGCACATCAGTTCTTCTACCCTAGAGGTAGGGCCCCAGTGCCATCTGCTTTTTCTGAGGCCTCTGCTCCATCAGCCATCAGGTGGCAGCCACACAGGCTGTGGGAACCTGCCTATCCTTGCTTCCTTGAGTAGCAGAGGTTGGTGGCTGCTCTACCTGCTCCCGGTGCACCCCTGCAAAGGTGGCTGGTTGCTCTTTGAGCCAGCTTGGCCTTGCCTGGCATGCAGAGGCCCCAGCTACTGACATGCTCCTCTGAGTGAGCTTGTCCTGCCTTGGCCCAAATTCTAAGTCTGGTCAGGTCCACAGAAGGCAGAGTCCCCTGGGTGGTAATGCTGGCTGCTTTCTGCATTTGAACACAAAGTCCTCCTCCAGACGACCTGTGGTCTGCCCCTTGGCAATGAAGAAGCCCGCAGTGCCATATGAGCCCTGAGGCATGGACTGGAGCCCCAAAGGCAGTGCACACCGTGCTCCTGATCCTGCTGCTCATTTCCTCTCTGTGGCTCCATTTGTAGCACAGCTGTTGCACTGAGGCTTGTGCATGCCGAGCGAAGCCAAGCTGGCTCAAAGAGGAACCAGCCACCTCTGCAAGGGTGTGCCAGGAGCCGGTGGAGCAGACACTAAACTCACTCGCTGCCGGTTGGGGCACATCAGTTCTTCTCCCATAGAGGTCGGGCCCCAGTGCCATCTGCTTTTCCTCAGGCCTCTGCTCCATCAGTCTCCAGGTGGCAGCCACTCAGACTGTTGGAACCTGGCCATCCATGCTTCCTTGTGTGGGTCAGTTTGATGGCTGCTACATCTGCTCCAGGCACACCCTTGCAGAGGTGGCTGGTTGCTCTTTGAGACAGCTTGGCCTTGCCTGGCATGCACAGGCTCCAGCTACCGATACGCTGCTCTGAGTGAGCTTGTCCTGCATTAGGCAAAATTCTAAGTCCGGTCAGGGCCACAGAAGGCAGAGTCCCCTGGGTGGTAATCCTGGCTGCTTTCTGCACTTGAACATAAAGTCCTCCTCAA
The DNA here is from genome assembly GCF_000001405.40 of Homo sapiens. Classification (NCBI taxonomy): domain Eukaryota; kingdom Metazoa; phylum Chordata; class Mammalia; order Primates; family Hominidae; genus Homo; species Homo sapiens. Next base: position 1,988,083 of record NW_021160017.1, read on the forward strand.
GATGGCCTGTGGTCTGCCTCTTTGCAACCAAGAAGCCCACAGAGCCATACTAGCCCGGAGGCATTGACTGGAGCCCCAAATGCAGCACACACCCTGCTCCTGAGCCTGCTGCTCTGTTTTCTCTGTGTGGCCCCATTTGTAGCACAGTTGTTGTACTGAGGCTTGTGCATGCTGGGCAAGGCCAAGCTGGCGCAAAGAGAAACCAGCCACCTCTGCAAGGGTGTGCCAGGAGCAGGAGGACCAGCCACCAACCTCGCTCACAGCCGGTCGGTGTACATCACTTCTTCTACCCAAGAGGTAGAGCCCCAGTGCCATCTGCTTTTCCTCAGGCCTCTGCTCCATCAGCCATCAGGACGCAGACATGCAGGCTGTGGGAACCTGGCCATCCCTACTTCCTTGAGTGGGTGAGGTTGGTGGCTGCTCCACCTGCTCCAGGTGCACCCTTGCAGAGGTGGCTGGTTGCTCTTCGAGCCACCTTGGCCTTGCCTGGCATGCACAGGACCCAGCTACTGATACACTGCTCCGAGTGAGCTTGCCCTGCCTGGGGCCAAATTCTAAGTCTGGCCAGGGCCACAGAAGGCAGAGCCCCTGGGTGGTAATACTGGCTGCTTTCTGCATTTGAACATAAAGTCCTCCTCAAGATGGCCTGTGGTCTGCATCTTGGCAACGAAGAAGCCCACAGTGCCACACGAGCCCTGAGGCATGGACTGGAGCCCCAAAGGCAGCGCACACCCTGCTCCTGAGCCTGCTGCTCGTTTCCTCTATGTGGCTCCATATGTAGCACAGTTGTCGCACTGAGGTTTGTGCATGCCAGGCAAGGCCAAGCTGGCTCGAAGAGTAACCAGCCACCTCTGCAAGGGTGTGCCAGGAGCAGATGGACCAGCCACCAACCTCACTCACTGCCGGTCAGGGTACATCACTTCTTCTACCCTAGATGTAGGGTCCCAGTGTCATCTGCTTTTCCTCAGGCCTCTGCTCCATCAGCCATCAGGAGGCAGCCACTCAGGTTGTTGGAATCTGGCCATCCCTGCTTCCTTGAGTGGGTGATGTTGGTGGCTGCTCCACCTGCTCCTGGAGCACCCTTGCAGAGGTGGCTTGTTGCTCTTTGAGACAGCTTGGCCATGCCTTTCATGCACAGGCTCCAGCTACTGACACGCTGCTCTGAGTGTGCTTGTCCTGAGTTAGGCCAAATTCTAAGTCCGGTCAGGGCCACAGAAGGCAGAGTCCCCTGGGTGGTAATCCTGGCTGCTTTCTGCACTTGAACATAAAGTCCTCCTCAAGATGGCCTGTGGTCTGCCTCTTTGCAACCAAGAAGCCCACAGAGCCATACTAGCCCGGAGGCATTGACTGGAGCCCCAAATGCAGCACACACCCTGCTCCTGAGCCTGCTGCTCTGTTTTCTCTGTGTGGTTCCATTTGTAGCACAGCTGTTGCACTGAGGCTTGTGCATGCTGGGCAAGGCCAAGCTGGTGCAAAGAGAAACCAGCCACCTCTGCAAGGGTGTGCCAGGAGCAGGTGGACCAGCCACCAACCTCACTCACAGCTGGTCGGTGTACATCACTTCTTCTACCCAAGAGGTAGAGCCCCAATGCCATCTGCTTTTCCTCAGGCCTCTGCTCCATCAGCCATCAGGATGCAGCCATGCAGGCTGTGGGAACCTGGCCATCCCTACTTCCTTGAGTGGGTGAGGTTGGTGGCTGCTCCACCTGCTCCAGGTGCACCCTTGCAGAGGTGGCTGGTTGCTCTTTGAGCCAGCTTGGCCTTGCCTGGCATACACAGGCCCCAGCTACCGACATGCTGCTCTGAGTGAGCTTGTTCTGCTTTGGCCCAAATTTTATCTCTGTCCAGGGCAGAGTCCCCTGGGTGGTAATCCTGCCTACTTTCTGCACTTGAATATCAAGTCCTCCTCAGGATGGCCTGTGGTCTGCCTCTTTGCAACGAAGAAGCCCGCAGTGCCACACGAGCCCTGAGGCATGGACTGGAGCCCCAAAGGCAGCGCACACCCTGCTCCTGAGCCTGCTGCTCATTTCCTCTCTGTGACTCCATACCTAGCACAGATGTTGCACTGAGGCTTGTGTATGCCAGGCAAGGCCAAGCTGGCTCAAAGAGCAACCAGCCACCTCTGCAAGCGTGTGCCAGGAGCCGGTGGAGCAGCCACCAAACTCACTTGTTGCAGGTCAGGGCACATCAGTTCTTCTACCCTAGAGGTAGGGCCCCAGTGCCATCCGCTTTTCCTCAGGCCTTTGCTCCATCAGCCATCAGGAGGCAGCCATTCAGGCTGTGGGAACTTGGCCATCCCTACTTCCTTGAGTAGCTGAGGTTGGTGGCTGCTCCACATGTCCCAGGTGCACCCTTGCAGAGGTGACTGGTTCCTATTTGAGTCAGCTTGGCCTTGCCTGGCATGCATAGTCTCCAGCTACTGACATGCTGCTGTGAGTGAGCTTGTCCTGCCTTGGCCCAAATTCTAAGTCTGGTCAGGGCCACAGAACGCCAAGTCCCCTGGGTGGTAATCCTGCTGCTTTCTATACTCGAACATAAAGTCCTCCTCAAGACAGCCTGTGGTCTGCCTCTTGGCAACCAAGAAGCCCGCAGTGACATATGAGCCCTGAGCCATGGACTGGAGCACCAAAGGCAGTGTACACCCTGCTCCTGAGCCTGCCTCTAATGTCCTCTGTGTGGTTCCATTTGTAGAACAGTTGTTGCACTGAGACTTGTGCATGCTGGGCAAGGCCAAGCTGGCTCAAAGAGCAACCAGCCACCTCTGCAAGGGTGTGCCAGGAGCAGGTGGACCAGCCACCAACATCACTTGCTGCCAGACATGGTACCTCAGTTCTTCTACCCTAAAGGTAGGGCCCCAGTGCCATCTGCTTTTCCTCAGGCCTCTGCTCCATCAGCCATCAGGTGGCAGCCACTCAGGCTGTGGGAACCTGGCCATCCCGGCTTTGTTGAGGGGGTGAGATTGGTGGCTGGTCCAACTGCTCTAGGCACACCCTTGCAGAGGTGGCTGGTTGCTCTTTGAGCCAGCTTGGCTTTGCCTGGCATGCACAGGCCCCAGGTACTGACACGCTACTCTGAGTGAGCGTGTCATGCCTGGGGCCAAATTCTAAGTCTGGCCAGGGTCACAAAAGGCTGAGTCCCCTAGGTTGTAATCCTGGCTGCTTTCTGCACTTGAACATAAAGTCCTCCACAAGATGGCCTGTGATCTGCCTCTTGGCAACCAAGAAGCCCACGGTGCCATATGAGCCCTGAGGCATGGACTGGAGCCCCAAAGGCAGTGTACACCCTGCTCCTGAGCCTGCTGGTCATTTTCTGTGTGGCTCCATTTGTAGCACAGTTGTTGCACTGAGGCTTGTGAATGCCAGGCAAGGCCAAGCTGGCTCAAAGAGCAACCAGCCACCTCTGCAAGGATCCACCTGGAGCAGGTGGACCAGCCACCAACCTCACCCACTTAAGGAAGCAGGGAATGTGTGTTTGTACCATGCATTGCACTACAAGTACATTTCTCCTGAGTTTGGTGGCCTAGGTTTTCTTCTAGGTTTTTTATGGTTTTAGGTCTTAAGTTTAACTCTTCAATCCATCGTAAGTTAATTTTTGTATAAAGTGTAAGGAAGTGGCCCAGTTTCAGTTTTCTGCATATGGCTAGCCAGTTTTCCTAACACCATTTATTGAATAAGGAATCCTTTCCCCATTGCTTGTTTTTGTCAGGTTTGTCAAAGATCAGATGGTTTTAGATGTGTTGTGTCATTTCCGAGGCCTCTGTTCTGTTCCATTTGTCTATATATCTGGTTTGGTACCAGTACCATGCTGTTTTGGTTACTGTAGCCTTGTAGAATAGTTTGAAGTCAGGTACCATGATGCCTCCAGCTTTGTTGTTTTTGCTTAGATTGTCTTGGCTACGCGAGCTCTTTTTTGGCTCCATATGAAATTTAAAGTAGTGTTTCTAATTGTGGGAAGAAAGTCAATGGTAGCTTCATGGAGATGGCACTGATTCTATAAATTACTTTGGGAGATATGGCATTCAGGCACAGAAATGTCCTTGTGTTAGGCAATACCATTCAGGACATAGGCATAGGCGAAGACTTCATCACTAGAACACCAAAAGCGATGGCAACAAAAGCCAAAATTGACAAATGGGATCTAATTAAACTAAAGAGTGTCTGCACAGCAAAAGAAACTATCATCAGAGTGAACAGGCAACCCTCAGAAAGGGAGAAAATTGTTGCAATCTATCCATCTGACAAAGGGCTAATATGCAGAATCTATAAAAACTTAAACAAATTTACAAGAAAAAAACAAACAACCCCATCAAAAAGTGGGCCAAGGATATGAACAGACACTTCCCAAAGGAGACATTTACGCAGCCAATGAACATGTGAAGCAAAGCACTGGTCATTAGAGAAATGGAATTCAAAACCATAATGAGATACAATCTTACGCCACTTGGAATGGCCATCATTAAAAAATCAGGAAACAACAGAAGCTGGAGAGGATGTGGAGAAATAGGAATGCTTTTACACTGTTGGTGGGAGTATAAATCAGTTCAACCATCGTGGAAGACAGTGTGATGATTCCTCAAGGATCTACAACTAGAAATACCATTTGACCCAGCAATCCCATTACAGTGTATATACTCAAAAAAATATAAATCATTCCAATATAAAGACACATGCACACGTATGCTTATTGCGGCAGTGTTCACAACAGGAAAGACTTGGAACCAACCCAAATGCCCACCAATGATAGACTGGATAAAGAAAATGTGGCATATATACACCATGGAATACTATGCAGTCATAAAAAAGGATGAGTTCATATCCTTTGCAGGGACATGGATGAAGCTGGAAACTGTCATTCTCAGCAAACTAACACAAGAACAGAAAACCAAACACCACATGATCTCACTCATAAGTAGGACCTGAACAATGAGAACACATGGACACAGGAAGGGAAACATCACACACAAGGGCCTGTCAGGGTGGGGGGCTAGAAAAGGGATGGCATTAGATCATGGGTTGGTGCATGCAGCAAGCCACCATAGCATGTGTATACGTATGTAACAAACCTGCATGTTCTGCACATGTACCCCAGAACTTAAAGTATAATTAAAAAAAAATAAATTTGCTTTTAATTAAGCTTTTCAACATAGAACTTGTAAAGAAAATACTTCTGAATCTTTTACTACCACATCATAGCTGGGACAAACTGCTGATATTTTAAAAGTAACACAAATATCAAACAGAAAGAACTAGACTTAGGAACCAAACTCAGGTTTCTGTAGTGAACAGGGCAGAATCTTAACTTTGGGTCGCCACCACTACTCCCTCAGTTTGGCCTTGGCTAGCAAAAGATGCAACCACTTATGTAAAAAATAAAAATAAAAAAGTTAAAAAAATCATTTCTGCTAACTGGAATTTTTTTTTTTTTTTGCAGCCACATGAGTTTTAGCCAATTCAGAAGGCTTGTTCCCCACAATTTGGAGCATTCTTTGGATTTGACCAAGTCAGGAAGAGATGGGAGAAAAGTGAAACAACAACAACAAAACCCCAAACATAAACAAACAAAAAGAGTTAAGCAAAACAAACAAATGCACAATTCATATGATTACTGAGTGTTCTAATGGTAACAAGAAATTAAAAGCAGCTGGTGAGTAATCTTAAATTTTAGTCATTAAGGAAAAATTTTAAGACAAAACTCTAATTCAGCTACTTACCTGGAAATAAGTCTCAGGCTGGTGATTGTTCTCTGCCATCTTAGAAGCTGGAAAAAACTTACACTCACCTTCCCTGTCAGAAGCAAGCTGAAACTCAAGAAAGGAGGTGCCTGCTCTCCATCATCACGGAAGCAGGAAAACTTGCCTTGTTGGAAATAAGTAAAACTTCAGAAAAGGAGTTGTATAGCAAAATCAACCTTAGATCTCAACCAAATTTTGGGAGATCAGGGATTCTCTGCAGGGGAGAAGCTCCCTAACCTCAGCACATTATCCTATTGGTTTGGGCAATAAAGATAGCCCAGGTTGGTATCAAGCAATAATGAGATTTATCAAAGGTCAGGACCACCTTTGTAATCTCCTTCTCTCTTTTTTTTTTTTTTTTTTTTTTTTTTTTTGAGACGGAGTCTCACTGTCTCGCCTGGGCTGCAGTGCAGTGGCACGATCTTGGCTCACTGCAAGCTCCACTTCCCAGGTTCACACCATTCTCCTGCCTCAGCCTCCCAAGTAGCTGGGACTACAGGCACCCGCCACCATGCCCAGCTAATTTTTTGTATTTTTCGTAGAGACGGGGTTTCACCGTGTTAGCCAGGATGGTCTCGATCTCCTGACCTTGTGATCCATCTGTCTCAGCCTCCGAAAGTGCTGGGATTACAGGCGTGAACCACCGCGCCCAGCCCTCTGTCTTTTTTTTTTTCTTTTTAATCTTTATTGGTATAGTCTGCTTTGTCAGAAACTAGGAGTGCAACACCTGCTTTTTTCTATTTTCCATTTCCTTGAAATATTTTTCTCCATTCCTTTATTTTGAGCCTATGTAGGGCACTGCATGTGAGATGGGTTTCTTGAAGACGGCATACTCCAATGGGTCTTGGTTCTTTATCCAGCTTGCCCCCTGTGTCTTTCAATTGGAGCATTTAGCCCATTTCCATTTAAGGTTAGTAATGGTATGTGTGGATTTGATCCTCTCGTCATGCTGTCAGCTGGCTTTTTTGCAGACTTATGTATGTGGTTGGTTTTTAGCATCACTTGTCTGTGTACTTCAGTGTGTTTTTGTAGTGGCTGGTGGTGGTCTTTTCTTTCCATATTTAGTGCTTCCTTCAGGAGCTCTTGTAAGGTAGGTCTGGTGATAATGAATTCCCTCAGCATTTGCTTGTCTGAAAAGGATCTTGTTTCTCCTTCACTTATGATGCTTAATTTTGCTGGACATGAAATTCTGGGTTGAAATTTCTTTTCTTTAAGATGTTGAATATCTTTTCTGGCTTGTACAGTTTCAGTTGAGAGGTCTGCTAAGTCTGATGGAATTTCCTTTGCAGGTGATGTTGCCTTTCTCCCTAGCTGCCTTTAACACTTTTTCTTTCATTTTGACCGCAGAGAATCTGATGATTATGTGTCTTGGGGATGATCTTCTCATGGCATATCTTACTGAGGTTCTCTGGATTTCCTGAAGTTGAGTGTTGGCCTGTCTGGCTAGGTTGGGGACATTCTCATGAATGATATTCTGAAATGTGTTTTCCAAGTTGGTTCCATTCTCCTCATCTCTTTCAGGTACATTAATCAGTCATAGATTTAGTCGTTTATATAATCCCATATTTCTCGGATGTTTTGTTCATTCCCTTTCATTCTTTTTTCCCCCATTCTTGTTTGCCTGTTTTATTTCAGAAAGCCAGTTTCCAGGTTCTGGGATTCTTTCCTCTTCTTGGTCTATTCTGTTGGATGGTCTTGCACATGAGATGGAGCTGGTCTGACCTCAGCCCTCCCTAGTCTGCTTGCCTCTCCCAGGACCCCAGCCTGGCCACATCTGCTTACAGGGCACTCTCAGGTGCCCACACATACTACAATAATTTTCATAATGCAATCACACACAATCACCGTGTGACTGCATTATGAAAATTCTTCTAGTGTGATTTACAGCTCTGTCAGGTCAGTTATTTTCTTCTTTATACTTGCTATTTTGTCTGTTAGTTCCTGCAATGTTTTACAATGATTTTTAGCTTCCTTGTATTGGATTACAACATACCTCTTTCACTCAGGGAACTTTGTTCCTACCCATATCCTGAACTCTGCTTGTATCATTTCAGACATCTCAGCCTCAGCCCAGTTCTGAACACTTGCTGGAGAGTTGATGCAGTCATTTGGAGAAAAGAAAGCATGCTGAATTTTTGAGTTTTCAGTGTTCTTGCACAGTCTTTTTCTCATCTTTATGGGCTTATCCACCTTCAATCTTTGAGGCTGCTGACCTTTGGACAGGGTATTTTTCCTTTATTATATCTGATGACCTTGAGGATTTGATTGTGGTGTAAGGTGGATTCAGCCAACAGGTTTTGTGTTTGGAGGATTTTAAGGGGCCAACATGCAGCTCCCAATGCTTGGACTGTGTGCTTTAACTCTGGGGAACTTGTATTGGGCCACAACTTTGTTCTCTGGCTCCTCGAGGTTTGGAGTCCACCGCACTGAGGGGACCAAAGTGCGGCAGCTGTGGCAGAATGCTAGCAGATGCAAAAGTCCCTGCCTCCCTGTGGGCATTCACCTAGTGGTGGAGGCAAAACAGCTGGGGTGTGGGCCAGGGGGCCCCTGCTGACTGTGTGTGCTGTTGCACTGGAGGTAGTTCTGGTTTGGGGTGGGTGGCTGGCCAGTGAAGGTGCCTTCTCTGATCCCCCCCAAGCAACAGTGGTCACTCAGGGTATAAGAAGGTCCCTTTTCCTCTGCACAGCATTACCTCAAGGGTGAGATGCTAGCAGGGGTGGGGTTTTTGGTTCTGTGCCCACCATGGCTTCATCTTCAGTGGCAGTTGGTGTGGGTTGGGGTGTGTGCTGCATTCCCATATGCTGTTAGGGCAAGTACAACAAAACCCACCTGTGTAAACACACACAGCTAAGTGATGTAGAAAGTTTCCATATAAAGGGCTGCAGTATGGAGAGGTAATGTGCAGGCTGGTACGTGGCTGTAGAGGTCACCTTGCTGCAGCTCTCCACTGATCAGCCACGGTCCGCTTGTACAGAAGCTATGGTGTGGGCACCCAGAAGTGCCCTCTAAGCAGGTGTGGCCTGGCTGGGGTCCTGGGAGAGGCAAGCAGACTAAGGGGTGCTGAGGTCAGACCAGCCCCATCTCATGTGCAAGACTGCCCAGCAGAGATCAGGTCTCAGAGGAGAACTCTCTCAAAAGTGAATCCTCAGCACAGCACAACTGCTCTACACAAACGCGGCCAGACTTCTTTTTTAAGCAAGTCCCCCTTTTTAGGAAGAGAACTCTTAGACCTGATCTGTGCTGGGCAATCTTGCACGTGAGATGGGGCTGGTCTGACCTCAGCACTCCTTAAGTGCTGGGATAAAGTGTCTCATAAGAGCAAGTGGAGCCTAGAGACATAGATGTCCCTGCCCTCCGGGCTCCACATCAGCTGACTTGCTGCTCCACCACTTTCCTTGTCTTCTGGGGGCTCCACCCCAGAGAGGTGTAAGTTAGGAGTTACTTAATGTAATCACCCCAGGATGGAGGGTCTGTGCTGTGGGCCCAAGCCAGGGTTCCTTGTCTGGTGATGAGCAGTAAGGGGTGTGTTGTACCCGTGGAAGATGGACTGACTTGTTCCTTGTGTCAACTGCAGCTTGTTGGAGGTGTCAATATGGCACTTAGGGTCTTTGCTCCCTTGATATTCTGAGGGTAGCAAGGGCAGTTCCACTGCAGAGGCAGTGGCAGAGAGGATTTCTGTTGCTCCTGGAAGCTCTGTCCAGGGAGTTGCTGAGTTGCTACTGGCTTGAAGGCTCAAGTGGGGGGCTGGCTGGAGACCCAGGCCAGGAAGACCTGCCCATCATGGCCCACCCCTCTCTCTGGGAACTCTGTCCCAGGAAGGTTTCAAATCTCCATTGGCCAGGGAACACTGGTGGGTGTAGCTGGAGGCCTCAGGTGGGAGATCCTGTCCAGTGACGAGGAACAGGATCAGGGGCCTGCTTACAGAAGCATTCTGGTCATGATTTGGTAAAGCAGCTGTGCTATGCCACAGGATCTCTTCTGTCCCTGGTGAGTTTGTACTCTCCAAAGCCCGCACGCTGGAATGACTAAGTTGCCCAAACAGGAAAGATGGTGGCCTGCCTCATCTTTTCTCTCAGAATTTATCCTGTGTGATGGAGCTTAATTTTTAGGTTGTTAATTTTACTGTCAGCGTTAGAGTTGTTCAGAAAGAATCTCACTGTTATCTTTTAGGTGAGATATATAAGAATTCATTTTCTCCTGTAAATAAACCTGTTGATGTTTGTTCTCTGGAAAGAAGTCCCTTTCAGCTATCTGACTTTGATCACAATCATGTAGAGCAGTAGTCAGTCTACAATGACATGATTGAATTTCCATTTCCAGTGTTTCCTAGTTGTGTCTTACATTCTCCAGTTCAGAACTGAGCATTCTCAGTTGTCAAAATCCTAAGCTGTCCACTGTACTTAAATACTGGTTTTCGTTAATGCTTCTTCATTCAGTTGTATAGTCTTTAGAAGTTTTTCTTTTACACTTTCAATTTCCTCCAAAATTTTATTTTCCCTTAGCTGGTTCTGATGTTTTGTTTCATCTAGTTCCAGTCTTAGCTTGGCAATTTCTTCCCGCAACATGCTGTTTTCACGCAAGAGATCTTCTTCTTTCTTATGACTAAGAGAAAGCTAAGTAAACAAAGGGAACTTTTAGTTAGCACTCAATAGAATGACATATCATGATTTCTTCTAAAATCAAAGAATGACATTTATATTTGTATAATGAAATAATTCCCATAGTGGATATTTAACTGGAAAAAAGTTGGACAAAACTTCAAATCTAGAAGAGTGTAAATTCCAAAAAGTTGAAATATTTATCTAAAGACCATGAAAAATAAATCACTAGAGGATTTTTAAGAATTTCAGAATTGGAAAAGCCTTTCTCTGAATTACAAAAAACCCAGAGGCATAAAATAGAAGATTAATACATTTGGCTACATTTTTTAAATTGGGTTTACACTCTGATATCTAACCTACAAACCACACCATCATAAGAGCCTCAGCTATGCATATATTAGGACAGAAGCAATTCCTCAAAGTTCTTTAAGTTCCTTTTTCTGAGGAATGTTTTATCAATATACTGCTTTTCTAATATTTTTACAGTCAGTTATAAGAATTACATTTATTCATAACTGTTAAATCTAAGCATTGTACCCTTCTACAATGTACACACCGGCATCTAAGCATTGCACTTCTACATACAACACTCAACTCATTTAAGATCACGATTCTTAAAAGGAGAGGTCAAAAAATATATGCAGCCAGGACCAGTGGCTCACACCTGTAATCCCAGCACTTCAGGAGGCTGAGGCAGGAGAATCGTGTGAACCTGGGAGGCAGAGGTTGCAGTGAACTGAGTTTGTGCCATTGCACTCCAGCGTGGGTGACAGTGCAAGACTCCATCTAGAATACACACACACACACACACACACACACACATATATATATGCAACGTGCAAGATTTTTGCCAGGTCTTCTGATGCTACTGTTAGTGATCCTCCACAAAATCAGTTGCTTCTGTGGTGTAAATATATAAATACAAAAGAAGCCTTTTATTTCAAAATACAAATGGTAAATAAGATATAACTTACAAGGCTTTTCTTAGAAATCATGAGATTATTTGCCATTGCAATAACTTTTCTTTCCTCTTCATAATGTTTGAAACATTATAGTAGTAAGTGTGAAATACAGGAAACGTACTGAACTATTCATCTGGGAACAAAATACTTATCAATAAATTATCACTAAATGTGTATCATGGCATGTCATTGTTTTCAAAGCTCTTTGCATTGAATTGAGAAACTACTCGGAGCAAACTGTTCCTCTCCTCAAAAGCAAGGATAATGACATCCACAATGTGGCCTCTGACCCAGCTGTACATTTCTTACTTTCCTATTAGTGAAAATAACAAACTGACTTCTCTATTAATATTTTAAAAAGAACTAATGTCCCAAAACTAGCAAATCTGTTGTTAGTAGCAAAACTTATTTTTGATATTGGAAAGATAATCAATTCTTATGAAAAATATCAAATGCTTTTCCTTTGGATTGAGGCCATTGTGAAGGTCACTACTCGACTGTTGCAGGCAAATGCAGTTGAATTAAGAACATGGCTTTATCCTATGTGTACATATATAGATATATGACCAAGGATATACAGGGTGTGTGTATATATATGATTTAAAAATCCTTTATACCTTCCAAAATAAAGCTTTTTAAAAATATACACACATATGAAAACATTTGATAATGACTAAAGAAAATACCTCAGAATTCATTTCCTTTTCAGCCACTTCTATCTGCTTTTGTTTATTAGTCAGAATCTCATCTTGTGATATTCCAGTGTTCTGTTCTTCAGAAAGTTGTTTCTGGGTATCATTTTGTTCGTCACTAGAAGAAATTTTAATTTTCATGAAATACTGGAGGTGTCCCTAAAATGATCTACAGGGCAAAATGGCACCATCAGATGTCATTCACACAATGTATATCTGCACATTAATCCAAGACAAGGCAAAGGGGCCTCACATCTGTTAACCCTGCTCTCCCAGTCATGTTGGCACCAGGGACTAGTTTTGTGGAAGATAATTTTTCCATGGACCTGAGGTGGGGGATGGTTCCAGGATGATTCAAGCACATTACATACATTGTGCACTTCATTTCTATTATTACTAATATATAATGAAATAATTATATAACTCACCATCATGTAGAATCAGTGGGAGCCCTCAGCTTATTTTCCTGCAACTAGATGGTCTCATCTAGGGGTGACAGGAGATGGTGACAGATCATAAAGCATTAGATTCTCATCAGGAGTGAACAACCTAGATCCCATGCATGAGCAGCTTGCAATAGGGTTCAAGTCACACTCTTATGAGAATCTAATGTCACCGCTGATCTGACAGGAGGAGCAGCTCAGGTGGTAATGTGACAGAGAGTGGCTGTAAACAGATGAAGCTTCACTTGCTCATCTACCACTAACTTCTTGCTGTGTGGCCCAGGTCCTAACAGGCCAGGGACTGGTACTGGTCTGTGGCCTGGGGATTGGAAACCCCTGTGTTAACTCAAACTTTTTATGTTTATTTTTTGGAAACAGTTTCCACTTATATTCTTTATTCCTCTGTAATTTATAGACAAATTAGAAATTCCCTTTGGAACAAGACAGGGTCTAATATTGTGTTTTTAACATAGAACTTTGAATTAATTTTATCTGTGTATGAGAGAGAGATGTGAAATAAACTGATCATTAATCGCTTTCAATTTCACTTTTATTTCATGCATATTAAGAAGAAAACTGGGAAGCCCTAGGCAGAGCAATTGGGCAAGAGAAATAAAGGGCATCCAAATTGGAAAAGAGAAAGTCAAACTCTCTCTTCACCAATGATACGATCTTATGCCTAGAAAACCCTACAGACTCCTACAAAACACTCCTAGATTTGATAAATGAATTTAGTAAAGTCTCAGAGGTTACAAAATATACAAATACCAATGAATAGTACCACTATACACCAACTACAACCAAGCTGAGAGTCATATCAAGAATCCAATCCTTTTTACAATGGCTGCAAAATAGTAAAATACCTAGGAATATACTTAATGAAGGAGGTGAGTGATCTATCAAAGGATAACTGGAAAACGCCACTGAAGAAAATCATAGATCATACAAATAAATGAACATACATTCTATGTTCCTGGACTGAAAGCATTGATATTGTGAAAATGCCATAGTGCCCAAAGTAGTCTACAGAGTCAATACAGTTTCTACCAAAGTACCAATGTCATTCTTCACAGAGTTATTTTAAAAAGCTGTCATTCATGTAGAACCACAAAAGAGCCTGAATAGCAACAGACATACCAAGAAAAAGGAACAAACATGTTGGCATCAAATTACCTGACTTCAACTCTAAGGCCACAGTAACAAACATCATGGTACTGGTATAAAAGTAGATACACAGATCAATGGAACAGAATAGACAACTCAGAAAAAAGGCCACTTACAACCAAATGATCTCTGAGAAAGGATACAAAAACATACACTGGAGAAAGTACACGTTATTCAACAAATGGTGCTGGGAAAAAAAGATAGTCACATATAGAAGAATAAAATTGGATCTCTATCTCTCACCATGTAAAAAATTAATTCAAGATGGATTAATGGCCTAAACCTAAGACCAGAAGACATTAGCCTAGGCAAATAATTTATGATGAGGACCCTGAAAGCAAAAGCAACAAAAATAAAAATAAATAAATAAATAAATAAATAAATAAATAAAGACCTAATTAAACTAAAAAGCTTCAGCACAGCAAAAGAAATAATCATCAAAGTGAGCCAACCACTTATACAATGGGGAAAATATGGGCAAATTATGAATCTAACAAAGGATTAATGTCCATAACCTACCAGAAGCTCAAACAAATCAGCAGGAAAAATACAAACAATTCCATTAAAAAGTGGGCACATGACATGAATAGACATTTTTCAAAAGAAGATGTACAAATGGTGAACAAGAATATAAAAACATGCTAAATATTACTAATCATCAGGGAAATGTACAATAAAACAACAGTGAGATATCACCTCACTTCAGCCAGAATGGTCACTACTAAAATAAAAAAAACAGCAGATGTTGGTGTGGATGTGGTGAAAAAAGAAGATTTATACACTGCTGGTGGGGATACAAATTAGTACAAATCTATGGAAAACATTATGGAGAGTTCTGTTAAAGTAGATCTTACCATTCTATCCAGCATTCTCATTTCTGGATACCTACCCAAAATAAAAGAAATCATACTCTCAAAAAGACACCTATATACATATGTTTACTGCAGCACAATTCACATATGCAAAGATATGTTATCAGCCAGTGTCCATCAACTGATGAGTGGAATAAAGAAAATTATATATATATATATATATATATATATATATATATATATATATATGTATGTATGTATGTATGTATACCTGAGACTGGGTAATTCATAAAGGAAAGAGGCTTAATTGATTCACAGTTACACATGGCTGGGAAGGCCTCAGGAAACTTACAATCATGGCAGAAGGTAAAGGGGAAGCAGGCAACTTCTTCAAAAGGTGGCAGGAGAGAGAGAAGTGAAAGGGAAAGAGCCCATTATAGAATTATCTGCTCTTGTGAGAACTCACTATCAAGAGAACAGCATGGAGGAAACCGACCCCATGATCCAATACCTCCCAGCTGGTCTTTCTCTCAACACCTGGGAATTACAATTTGACATGAGATTTGGGTGGAAACACAAAGCGAAACTATTGGGGGGGGGTGTATCCTTACTTTTAAAATATCAAAATGTCATTATTTATATTTCAAAAATAGCAATTTTTATTAGTAATGATTTTGTTTGAAAATAAAATGACCTGGTAAATTTTCTTCAATTTTAGCCTAGTATTTAGTCAAAATATAAAAAGCTGAATTTGCCAGCAGAAAACTGTAATTACTTTTAAATGAGGTAAAGATGTATAAGAATATCACTGTTATTGTACTGAGAAGAAAGTGAATGAGAAAAGGAATTTAAAAAGAGAGTATCACTACCATATACATACATGAACTGACAAAGAGATTAAAATCTCCTACTGGAGATTATGTTAGGACTTGAGCAAAAGCTTCTAAAAATACCAAAAACAGAAAGAAAATAATTAATTTTAAGGAATAAATTATACAGAGAAATATGTATTTTAAAAAAGGAAAACAGATCTTCCTGAGAGCTATTATTAACCAATTCATCTTGACCAAAATTTTAAAATGAAGTCTACAATTCTGGAATATAAAATACTTTCATTTTGAACATAGTTAATTGAAGGCAACTTTTATACAGAAAATTTTTGGTTAAAGTTGACTCTAACTTAGGAAAGAAATGACTTGTACCAATGGTAACAACAAGCCACCCAAAAGCCAGTTTGAAATCTAGTCAATCAATCAATGACCACTGCTCTTGCTCACCAACCAATATCAATGTGAGCAGCTTACTTCTGAAATACAGCCACGCAGCAGCACCTGCTCCACCAGAATAGACAGTGCCTGACCAGTATTCCTCTTACTATAGGAAGCAAAAAATTCCAACTCTGTATCTTTATTTCAAATACCAAAGGTTCATAATCCCTTGAAAAGAATTTGTAAGTCCATTAAATGTGCCACCCTAATTTTTTTTTAAATAAAATACTAGTGGCCAGGCGCAGTGGCTCATGCCTGTAATCCCAGCACTTTGAAAGGCCGAAGTGGGTGGATCACCTGAGGTACAGAGTTTGAGACCAGCCTGACCAACAGGGTGAAACCCCATCTCTATTAAAAATACAAATATTAGCCAGGCGTGGTGGCATGCCCCCGTAATCCCAGCTCCTTGGGCGGCTGAGGGAGGAGAAATGCATGAACCAGAAGGCGGAGGTTGCAGTGAACTGAGATCATACCACTGAACTCCAGCCTGGGGGATACAGCAAGACTCCATCTCAAAATAAAATAAAATACCAGTAAAGTTTGCAATTCCTCTGACTCAGTTTACCATAATTACAATTATGTTTACTAGTAAAAGAATAAATAGTGAATAACCACAATATTGGGCTTTTCTCTCTAAATAAAAAAATAATATAAAGAATGTAGCTTATTATAAAGAGCCAAAACAATTTTTAAAATGCATGTAATTACCGGGCAAAACTGTTAGAATGAACCATGTCAAACATTTTTAAAGTGAGAATTAATCAAACAATATATCCAGGATAAACTCCATTCACTCATTTAATAAGTATTTATTAGGTAGCTTCATCCAATATGCTAGGCCTTTTTCTAGGCAGTGAGGATATGGTAGTGAAAAATAAAAAACCCATTCATGAGAGTGAGAAAAACACACAATAACAACAGACAGATAAGGCAAAATATACAGTATGTTAGAGGAGAAAAACTAAAGCAGGAAAATGAAATGTTTATGTGTTTCATGGGGAGGGTGGTGGGAAAGTTGGGGTGGTCAGAAAAGTCCCTGCTGAGAAAGGGGATTTTTTTTTCTAATACAAAAAACCTTTTATTTGTATATCAAAGACTCTAAGAAATGACGACATAAGGTTAACGGCATTGATGTCAAGATACAAATGGGTTTGAAGTTAGAGATGTTAAATCACTTTGTTTCACTGAACCTTCCCTTCATTACGTTAGAGAGCATCCCTGGTAGGCACCCAATTGAACCTCAAGCATGACGCGTCTAGGTAGCACGCTGTTCTTCCTCAGAAAGTGGTTGTTCCTTAATGTCTTTCTTTTTACCCTTTTTCCTCTTCTTCTTAGAAAGGGGGTTTTAAATAAAGAACTGAAGGAATGGAAAGAGAAAGCTAGGAGGATAACTGGGGAAAAAGCATTCCAGACACAGGGAACTGCGAATCACAGAGGTGTGCCTGGCATCTTTAAGCACTAGGGGTAGATAAGGGACGGCAAGAATTCAGTTTGGCTGAAGCAGAGCAAGGGAGATAATTAGGAGGAACTTTGACACATACTCCGAGTGAAATGGGAGATAATCAGAAGGGCTGGGGCAGAGGAATGACACAATTTGACTTATGTTTTAAATACATCCACTGAGTTAAGAATTGATGAAAAGGGAAGTTTTTAAAAACCAGGACTATCAATTCCCAGTCTATGACACTCATCTAGACTGCAGATGAGGGTGGCTCAGATGTACAAGATATGACTGACTTCTGGACATATTCTTCAGGTAGACCTGACAAGATTTACTGAGAGATTAGATGTGAGGTGTCAGAGAGAGAGAGAGATGAGTCAAGAATGACACCGAGATATTTGGCAGAGCAACTGGAAGAGTTGCCCTTAACCAAAAATAGGAAAGACTACATGAGGTGCAGATTTCAGGAAGGACATCAGTAGCCCAATTTTGGATCTGACAAGTGTGTGATACCCAATAACTAACCAAATAGAGACGTCAAGTAGGCAGGCTGATATAGAAATCTGGAATTAAGGAGAAAGATCTGAGCTGGAGACATACATTCAGAAATCACTAGCATATACACAGTAGAAAAAGTCACGAGGGGCCAGGTGCAGTGGCTTACACCTGTAATCCCAACAGTTTGTGAGACCAAGGCAGACAGATCCCCTGAGGTCAGGAGTTTGAGACCAGGGTGGCCAACATGGGGAAATGCTGTGTCTACTAAAAATACAAAAATCAGCTGGGCACGGTGGCATGCACCTGTAATGCCAGCTACTCAGGAGGCCGAAGCAGGAGAATTGCTTGAACCCAGGAGGCAGAGGTTGTAGTGAGCCGAGATCACACCACTGAACTCCAGCCTGGGAGACAGAGTGAAACTCTGTCTCCAAAAAAGAAAAAGAAAAAGTCACAAGAAAGAAGACTGAGGAGTGAGCCCTGGGAAACAACAATGTCCAAAAGGAGAAAGATGAGGAGGAGCAAGCAAAACAGACCATGATGAATGGACTAGAAAGGCAGGAGGAAAAGCCTGAGGGAGTGAGGTCCTGAAAGCCAGTGAAGATGCCGTTAGGGAGGAGATGCCCTCCATTGGCTCAAATATTGCTGACAGATTAAATAAAATGAGGTGGAAGAAAAGTGCCTAGATTTATTACAGAAAAAAATTAGTGATAATCTTGAGGAAAAACAATGCTGGAGGACTACTGAAATTGAAGACTTACTGGCATGAGATCAAGAGTGAATGAAAAGAAAATTTGAGTTCGTGAGTGTAGACAGTTCTTTTAAGGACATCATACTTAGGAGTCATGGCTGAGAATGTTGTAATTTTCTTCCACAGTCATGGAAAAGTAATAGACAAATAGTTTCAAATTTTACATAAAAGGTGTAGTTTTCAAATTTTATATAACAATTATATATTTTAAAGCTTATAAAAATTATACACATGTGGCATTAAAAATGCCAGACCAAGGTGTTAAATCTTAAAACTATAGAACTAAAAGTTGCCTTGACCATTTCTAGATTACATAAGCCAATTATCATTTTGTTCATGCTTATACATAAAGACCAAGAAAAACTAAAAGTTTCAAGGAGAGTATTTCTTGCTTGATAAAAATCAGCCAATTCTAGGACAGTTGATGCTCATCGAATATACAAAGTAATTGATCACCATAAAATACTGAATTCTATTAACAGGAATAAAGTGGCAGAAATGCAGAAAATAATCTTATTTTACAAATGAAATTTTTAAAATTATATGAAGTCACTGTGGAAAAATATGGTGAGGTGAATACCAAAATATATCCTTTTCTCAAAGGAAAGATACTGTCACACATGCTGGGCACTTTTATAAATAAGTGTTACTGCATTAGCAGCACCTTCCTTTTAGCACAAGGGTCAGCAAATTAGCACCTGTGGGCCAAATCCAGGCCACTGACTGTTTTTGTAAGTAAAGAATCTTGGAACGCAGCCATGCTTATTCACTTTACAGTCCATAGAGTCAATTAGCTGGGTGTGATGTTGCACACTTGGGGTCCCAGCTAATAGAGAGGCTGAGGTGGGAGGAGGATCACTAGAGCCCAGAAAGTCAAGGCTGCAGTGAGCTGTGATCACACAATTGCACTCCAGCCTGGGCAACAGAGACCCTGTCTCAAAAAAAATAAATATATATAGTCCACAAAGCCTAAAATATTTACTAAATGGCTCTTTGCAGAAAAAGCTGGCCAGCTCCTGGTTTAGCAGATGAAAGATACTTTGATATATTTTAATAAAAGTTTTACCCAATATACTCAAATGTTTATATTAAATATAGGTCCCCATGTACAATCCCTTGGCAATATTCAGATTGAAGGTCCAATATTTTGGCACTCAGGCACTGACAACAAAAATTTAATAACTACCAATCTCGTTGCTAACAAGGTACAGTGTCAATGTAGCGTGTAGCTTCCATTTGCAACACAGCAGATATTACAAGAATTCTAACAAAATTATCTTAAGATGTGTTACCAAACTAAATGCTTTAAATACATTTTAATTGTGAAATAATCAGTATACTCTAGATCTAACCTCATTTGTAAAAAATGTTTGCATACCGTATTATTTTCTGGGTATGAAAATTGAGCCATTTCCTATTGGTAAGGATTTACTTTTGATAATGATAAATTCCTATTGATAAGGATCCATCTTTTTGATATAATAACGCTGTAAGAAATGTCCTTATACATAAGTATATATGTGACAAATCTATACAAATATCCTTAACATACATATATATACTTACTATGTTATATATGTGTGTGTGCAAATATGCTAATAAATTAATGTTCAAAATATATTTACCAACAGTGTATGAATTGTCTTTTTCAATGAGACCGTTTCCTTTGCAGCAACACACATGGAGCTGGAGGCCATTATCCTAAGCAAACTAATGCAGGAACAGAAAATCAAATGCCACATATTCTTACTCATTTGTGGGAACTAAACAATGAAAACTCATGGACACAAAGAGGAGAATAACAGACACCAGGGTCTACTTGAGGGTGGAGTGTGGCAGGAGGGAGATGACCAAAAAACTACCTCTCGAGTATTTTGCTTATTATGTGGCTGATGAAGTAATCTGTAGTCCAAACCTCCATGACACAGTTTACCTATATAATAAACCTACACATGAACTTCTGAAGCTAAAATAAAAGTTCATTAAAAAGAAAAGGAAATGCCTTTTCCCTCACATTTGCCAATGCCGGTTATTTTTCAAATAAATTAATGACTGGAAAAAACGGTAACTCATTGTTTACTGATTTTCATTTTTCTGATTAACAGGCAAGGCTGAATATTCTAGTAAAAGTATAAAATTTGTTCATCATGAAAGCCCAAATTAGGATTAGTTTGACAGCATATAGTTATCTCCTATAGGCTTACCTGTGATACTCTTCATTCTCAGTGTCAGGAAATTGCTGATTTTCAGGTTTTCTGCTCTTCCTTTGTGGAATTAATCCATCATCACCATTGCCAGCACTGGCACCATTAGTCAGGTTTTCTGGTAATCCCACAGGATTACTTCCATGCTTCTTTATTTCTTCTTCAACCTTGAGTGGAAGTTTGATATTAAGGATGGTTATCACTTTATTGAATAAAAATAACCTTTTTAATTGATTTTATCAATTGACTCAGTTTGCCATTATTTTAGTCATTAAAAATATTTCACACTTAAATTTGATCATATATACAGAACTATAACCGTATAATTTTAAGATGTAATTATCATGTCATTAGTATATCACTGAAATTTTTGTAGTTTGCTTGATTCCAGCTGTTTGACTGAATAAAACAGAATTTTCCAAAATTCAAAAAGGGCCCTCCTTCATTTTGTGCTTTTATTCCCAAAAACTCTTCAGAATCTTATATATGAATTTACCCCATTTGACTCGTGGGAACACAAAAATAAAACGACATAGACACAAAATGTGTCTTCTGTCTTTACCACCTAGATTTTACATTAAACACTCAGATGTAGAGGATGAGACACTGGGGGGCTTCAGGAATAGAAAGGAAGATGGCCCTTTTCTGCACTAAGATATTCTCCTCTCCCACTGCCTTTGATCGTTCTTTTTTCATTTGGTTCCTGGATATCAAAAACATGATGGTGCTCACTGAAACATGAAAACCAAAGTTTGCCACAACACAAGGAGCAGAGTGAAACTGCTGAGGTGCAAGCATGGAATTCCAGAAAATTAGATGCTCCCCAAATTTCACATTCAATAGCTATACAATTTTCCAGCTGGAAATTACAAAGAATAAGTAATTATCTTCTTTAGCCACATTATCTAGTGATAATCAGACTAAAACCAAGAAAGATAAAAGGATTGGTCCAAATCTCCTAAAGAGGCATTACCTAGCATTTTATGGCACCATTCAGGATTGTTCCATAATAATGAAAGAATCTCTCTAGGGTTTGTATCTCTTGAAAACTCAATGTACAGAATTCTTTCTGAGTTAAATATTAAATTTTTCACTGGTGATTTATGCTACTTACATGATAGGATCATGTATGCGTACACTTACTACACTTTGTTAAACAGCATAACATAAAAATCTAATTCCACAGAAACATTTGAACATAAAGGTATACCTCTCTATCACAGTCCTTATTTATTTCTGGTTCTTGAGACATTTTCTGCAGATGCAAAAATAGAAGGTTAATTTGCTTGTTGTATTTCCGTGTATGTCTCCTCTTTTGGAATGCATGTTAAAATAATTTTATTCTTAAGTAATCAAGTATGGACATGAAAAATTAGAAAATAAAATAAAATTTAACTTAAAATAATTAAATAAATAAATAATTAAAATTAAGAATTAACTTTTTAATCTATGTTTAGCTACTGCCACATCATTGGCTTCTGACTAACATGGGAAAATAATTCACCTTAGACAAAGGGAGAATAAAAACATGAACCAGCAAACTTAACTTTGTCACCATTTGTTTGGACTAAACTTAATTTGTTATGTGTTAAATCTACCAAAAATGAATTAGCAGATGATTTGTAGTGTTCCAAGGGCTTCCTCACTTGAAAAGAGTATATCTCATGAAACCCTAACTAGTGAGCCCCTATAGTGCACTGAAGTGCTTTTTAAAAAGATTCCTAATTGGATTGTAGGCACGCTTTAAATTATTAGGAGCTGAAATCAACACCAAAGAGGAAGAAATGCAAATTCTTAAATTTTAATTGAAATTATATGCTGTAATATGATAGTGTTATGTATCTAGATGATCTGCTTAAGTCCAGTTCTAATATATTCTAAGGTGTACTAATTACAGTGGATAAAAATTTTTTAATAATCTGTACTGATTTTCTGCAACTGAAATAAGGTAGAAGGTTATTGTGTTTGTGCACTAACACCAAATGTCCCATTCTGCAAGATATGATTCTTGTAATAGGCAGTTGGGTTGCTTTTATGACCTGGTTCCCTCCCTGAACAGAAATGCTGAGGTCAGTGAGAGACCACAAGGCAGAATATGTCTTTAACCTTGGTATCTGTGACTGACAATATAAAACTGCAGATTTTCAATCACTGGCCGTGATTATTCTTTAACCATGAATCCAGCTCAGGGACCTTCAGTGTTACATTGTTCACAGTTCTATTGCTTAATAATATAATCCAATAATTGATGGTACTTTATCATGTTAGGGTGTTGTAAAAATAAAAGAACAAACAAAGGTCTGGAATATGTTTTTGCCTCTATTCCAAAAGGAAAGATTAGCTATAAGCTAATCAAAAAGGCAGATAAGAATATTTTAAATAAGAATACCATAAAATAAGAGTATTTTAAATTTTATAGTGGTTACGTTTTTAAGCTAAATATCAAATGTCAAGTTAGAATTTATTAATTCTTCTGTTAATGAGATTGCTGAATTTATTAAAATAAATTTTAAGAATCTATTAAAAAATTCTTAAAAAAAGAATCTATTGATTCTTAAAACCTAGTCTGAAAGGTAATTTCATTTGGACTATCTAATATTATTCAAGCAAAGAAAACAACATTAAATCAAAAATTTAAACTTAAAATTTTCCATGCCTCTGGCTGGCTATTTTCACTGACTTTAAGCCTTTGTGACTCTTCCTCTGATGTCAGCTTTAAGTCTTGTTCTGTTGAGAAATCCATATATTCAGTTAAAATGAACCACTTAGAACAGTTAAAAACTATTGCCTTTATAAAAATAGATTGAAGACAACATTTTATTTTATTTCATAAACTGAGTGTTTAGTCTTTCATGAAATAGTTACTTAGGAAATAATTCTCCAAAACTTCAACAAACCACTTGGGGAGACACCTGATGTGATTCACTCACAAATTCATCCACCCAACATAAATGAACAAAACCACCAGAAACACAACTTTAAAATACAGTAGAAACATATAAGGTAACTCAGTATGTTGTTCACTTCCTAATAGTGAAGCAGTAAATGTAAAGAAAAGGAAATTTAGTTTTAAAGAGAAACAAGTTTTCCTGCACTTAGCTAGTCTGACTCTAAGGATAGTAACAAGCAGGCCCAGGAAAGGTCATGGTGACCCTGTCTGAGAAGCCAGAGCCCACAGGTATGGGCTCCAGACATCCCAGAGCAAGGTTAAGAAAACAAATTCCTTTACCATCTCCCCTCCCCCTCAGCATTTATTCATAGCTATTTTTACAAATGCATATATTTTGCAAATTCTTGTTTTCCCTCAATGCAGCTGCAAGGTCGCAAGCTATGCAGTGGTTGCAAAACTGTCACTATATGATTAACTGCCTTTGTTCTGCTTCTATAAGTTTGCCTATATAAGCCAAGCCCTGTCTTTGTTCAGGGCTCAGCTTTTTGATGCAAATCCGCTGAGCTGGTGTGCACCTAAACAAAATCCTCTTGTTTGACCCACTGGGTCTCTCCTGCCTCCTGTTTTCTGCAAAAATAGTACCTTACAAACGATTTCCAAAATTACTACTGACACCTTTATTAGTGTACAATGTCTTCTTAACATCTAAAATGTTTCCATCCACTATTATGACAAATTTATTTTCATTTTTCTTTTTTTTTTGTTTTAGCTGGGGTCTTGCTCTGTCACCAGGCTGGAGTGCAGTGGCACAATCTCAGCTCACTGCAACCTCTGACTCCCTGGTTCAAATGATTCTCCTGTCTCAGTCTCCTGAGAAGCTGTGATTACAGGCACACACCATCATGCCCAGCTAATTTTTGTATTTTTAGTAGAGATGGGGTTTCACCATTGGCCAGGATGGTCTTGATCTTTTGACCTTGTGATCCACCTGCTCCAGCCTCCCAAAATGCTGCAATTACAGGTGTGAGCCACCACACCCAGCCTTGTTTTCATCTTTTAAAACAATGCTATGGGAAGTCTTCCTTGATTCTGCAGATCTTTCCCCAGATAAACAGGTAACTCCTTCCTTGAGGTTGCCTTAGGACCTCACTGATTTTTCTACTGCACCTTTACCACCTGAACTGTACACTATTCCTCCACATGTCTGTCCCCTCTGCTCCAAGACTGCAGAGGACAGTCTTGCACATCATCTTTGTAAAAACAGTCTTTATTTTACTCAGAAATTTCTTATTGAGTCCTGCTACATACATGCTAGGTGTTAGGGTTTAAAAAGAATGAAAATAAAGCCTGTCAGGGATGGCTTTTCTAGAACACCTGCCCAAGCAGAGACTTAAATATTGAGGCTAGCTAGATTAAAAGTGGTAGAGGGCAAGAAAGGGTGACAGCATGCCACACAGCAGCAAGAGCAGGAGCGAGGCCTGAAAGAGTGAAAGTATTTGCCTGCAATAGAAGGAGGAGTGAGTAGGGCATTAAGAGCCACTCAGTAATGCCAGAGAAAGGGCACACAGGGAAAAGGGCTAAAGATGTAGAATAGGGCAGAAGTCAGATTATGAAAGCCTTATGTGTACCTTTAAGATGCTTAGACATTAACGTTCAAGAGTGGTCCCTGGTCCTATCTGTATTAAGATGTAGATCATTTTAATGCCAAAACCAATATTCCTAGTGAGCCATTATTCATTAAGACAAGGTGACAGCTAGCTCATGTGGACACAGCTGAGATGATACTATGTAGCAAATTCCCAATAATTCTCATGAACACTTGGAAAGTCAATTCTATAATAAGTCATAGAAATTATAATAAATCACTTAATATTTGTTTGGGAAGGTGCTTTATAAAGTTATAGTGTATATGAATATAACTAATAGTTGTGAATTCAGAGCTGTGAGAATAAAGCAAAAAAATCACACTGTGTTTGAGTCAGCAATCTTTAGATTTCTATCTAGTCTTCCTACCCAGTCCATAAATTCTAAGTATAATCCTAGTACTCGCTCTCAAGTTTAAGTTAAATGCTAGCCTATACAAAAAATACTCTTTCTCTTACTTCTTTTTTGTTATTTATATGTTGCTTTGTTTAAAGGAAGAACACAAAAATGCCCTGCTAAAGGGATTCTGTTTGGCTGCAGGCTGCAAGAGGGGAAAAACACAAAGCACATTTTGCAGAAAATGATTTTTTAGAAGTCAGAACTATGACATGAAGTCAAGCAGGGCACTCTAGGACTGACTTTGCTGTGCTTCCTTAATATGCTCCTTGCTCTCTTTCTTTTCTGGAAGCTGTGACTCACACAGGTCATGGAGAAAATTTCGTACTCCTTCCTCATGCCCAGCTTAAATACTAGTGTACAACGTGGAAACCTGTAAATTATCTGACATTTCTCTCTGTCCTCCAAACCTTTCTCATTCAATTATCACTAAATCATATTGACTATACCTCTCTTCTGCCTCTGCTTTATATTACCACTTCCACTGAGAACATAAACATTTACAAAATGGCTTTTATTACAAAAAAGCCTTCCAACTATTAATGTTATTTCTCACATGAAAAAAATTAAGCAAAACAAATGAAAAAAGCATAACACCAAAAAAAGGCCAACACATTAAAATGAGTAATGGGGATTCCAAACTTTATTTCACCATGGGCAGGTGAAAACCTTAGAATACATTGATACTAGTCCAAGGATGTGTGACATGGAAACTATAGATGACTACTGCAAAAGCTTCCTTTGTCTCCTGGTTTCTTTACATGGTTATCTTCCATCAATCCCAGCAAACTATAGGCCACAGGACAAATCCAATCTGCCTTTTGGCTTTGTAAATAAAGTTTTATAGGAGCTCAGTCATGCCTGTTTGCTTACATATAATCATGGTGGCTTTCACACTACAACAACAGACAACAGCCTGGTTAAGTAGATATGACAGAGACCACATAGTCTAAAATATTTCCCACCTGGTCCTTTACAGAAAAAGCTTGCTAACCCATTTTACACCATAAGCAGAATATGCCTTAATATTCAAATTTAATCTTGTAACTCCCCTGCTCAAATTTCTCCAATGAGCCCCTGCAGCACACATTGTTGGCTCCTATCAATAGCCATTCCTTATTCTTTCTTGCAGAAGAAACACAAGTCTATTGGGATATTTATTATCCCAATCCCCCTCCTCAGCCTCAGAAAGAGAAATGTTTATTCTAAGCTAATCATGTATTTGCCATCCCATTGCCTGGTTTGGGAATGAGCATGTGGTGTGACCCAGCCAATGAAATGTTACAGGAAGCCCCTTGCATGCTTCTAAGTTTTCTCCCTGTTTAAAAGACACATGTGAAGAAAAGCAGCCCTTGAAATGTTGTGTTGTGAGAACAAGATGTTTGGAGCTGCTGCGGATTAGCCAACCATGAAAGGAAACATGAAGAAAACACTGCCAACAGCACAGCTGAAAGAGGGACAAATGGGATCCTAGGATATCACTGAACAACCAAAACAACTCTGGTTCCTACTGTTTTAGCCACTGCTCATCTAGTATTTACAGTCCAAAGCATTCTACCTGGTAAATTTCCCATGGCCCACAGGGTAAGACCTACTCATTTCTATAGTATTAAAAAAGTCTATCATAAACTTGCCTTAGCTAAGTATTCACCTCATTCCCAAACTCTGGTGTCTCACACTTTTGGTACTAGCAAAAGTGAACTGCTCAGAAACCCTGCAAAGTTCACTCGGCATCCTGTCTTTTGCAGTTGTTGCTCTTCCTGCCAAACAGGCAATCTCATCAGATGTTCTTCTGGCAAACACACAAACTTGTTGCATGTTCCTTCTGCCAAAAATTATTCTTCTGCTTCTTTACCTAGAAAAATTCTTCTCACTCTGCATGCTTACTTTGAATCATACCTACTTTTTTTCAAAACTTTCATTCCTCATCACGTATGTCTGGCACATAATTAATACATAATAAATCATAATTATAAGCTTCCAGTTGGCATCTAGCACACAGTAAGCACTGAATAAAGTAGTAAAATAATAAAAGTGACAATGATAATAACAAGCTCCTGTCTGTATTTTTAATTGTGTGTGTTCTGTAGCATTAGAAAAATGATTAGTATCTAAAAGACATTTGATAGTTATTTGTTAAGTGGACAAGTGAAAACATAGAAATGTTTTCTTTGTAAATTCTGTTGAAAAAGCACAGAAATGAAATAGAGACACCTCTATTATGAGCACCTTAAAGATCAAAACTACATCTATTCCATCTTTGTCTTCTGCAACTTATAAAACCTAACTTACAGAAGCTTTTTGATAAATAGATGGCTAAATTAAAGGTGTCCTCATCCAGTTTGGATTATACAATGTATTAGGTGTCCACAACCAGGTGGCATACTAGTATTTTTGTTAATGTGAAGCATTTTTCTACTTTTATTATAATCTGCTGAGCCTAGAGTTGGGCAATTTGTATATTTATTATGACAATCTTTTGGTAAATGGTAGCAGAGCATCTTGTTCTAACAAAATTACTGTTATCAAGACAATTGACCAGCAGGTAGAGAACACATCTTGTTCCAACAAAGTAAATGTATCTCTTTCCAACTTCAAATGAGGAGGAATGAAGTCAGTAAGAGTGAGACCTTGTTGGGACAAGGATATGTAACATGACTTGTGCTTTGGCGTTCTTTTGTGATCAAAAATTCCTTACTTTTATTTTTTTATCTACGGTAGGACCACCCAGAGCAGGGGTCCACAACTCCCAGGTCACAGACTGGTACCAGTCCATGGACTATTATGAACCACACCACACAGGAGGAGGTGAGCAGCAGGCAAACCAGGGAAGCTTCACCTGTACTTACAGCCACACCCCATGGCTCATATTACCGCCTGAACTCTGCCTCCAGTCAGATCAGTGATAGCACTAGATACTCATTGGAGCATGAACCCTATTGTGAACTGCTCATCTGAGGGATCTAGGTTGTGTGCTTCATATGAGAAACTAATGCCTGATGATCTGTCACTGTCTCACTTTGCCCCCAGATGAGACCATCTAGTTGCAGAAAAATAAGCTCAGAGTTTCCACGGATTCTACATTATGGTAAGTTGTATAATTATTTCATTATATATTACAATGTAATAATAATATAAAGTAGCACAATAAATGAAACATGGCTGAATAATCCTGAAACCATCCCCACCTTCCCCCAGCCCATGGAAAGACTGTCTTCCACAAAACCGGTCCCTGATGCCAAAAACATTGTGGACAACTGACCTAAAGTAATTCATTATCACAAGTCTTACCTGGATTGCTGTTTTCAGAAGAGATTTTTAGCATCTGTTTTTCTTTATAGTCAGAAAGTAATTCACAAATTCTATGTATAAAAATGTAATAAACCAAATTACTATTTTAATACTGATATAAAAAATACTTACCAAATGTAAGATTCTTAGAGTATTTCAAACAATATCATAATATCAGAATTTAACAGTATTATCCCATACACTTATGAGTACATTCTACAAACTTTTCTTTAAGCTTCTAATTAAAGAAGAAAAAAAATTAGGTGAAATGCTCATAAATCAAGGGCACTGTGACCCAGTAAATCAGCAGGCATTAGCATGACATAATAGAAAGTGTCCCAACTCTGCATAAGTCCTAGCTCCATAATGAACAGCTATTTGTTCTTGGACAACTTTCTTCTCTTAGGCTCAATGTCTTCTTCTACAAAGTGAGGACTTTGCTGCCTTATTTCACTAGGTTGTTATAAAGATTTAACAAGGTAACATTTTTTAAATGCTCAGAGAAATAGTAAAGCAATGGAATAATCTGTTCCTAAACTTTATGACTAAAATTATCTTGGAATCCCAAATAAAACCCCATGTGTATTTTGTTCATAGGTTCTAATATGCAAATGCTGTAGTTTTCAGGAAATGTTATTAAGTCCTAATTTTGCTTCTTAGTTGTCCTACTCCTTATGGCTTATCATTCAGGGCATCTCAACTGTGTCATAGTTTGTAACTAAATTTTTTCATAAATCTCTCATTAAAGTAGATAATGTGATTGTCCACTATTACGGAGTTGACCAATTTGTTGTGCTAAGGGCAGAAAAACCAATGGATGTTAAGACCTGGCTTGGAGCAATGATCCTTCTCTACAGACTCAAACTCTGAGCCAGCAGATGTTTGTTAGGATAATGCTTTATATTGATGTTCAATTCCAGCTGACATGGGAGACCAAAACTCTACTTTTATTTTTTTTCAGTTTTCATGAAGAAGCTGCAAATTGACATTCTCTAATTTTTGACGTACATACTTATAATATATTTTGCACTGAACACATTATTCAGCTCTAAATCATCTCACAGACCATCTTCCATGACTATTTTTGCAGCACAAATCACATTTCGATATTTTGGTGGCACCCATTTTGCTTTGATTCACACTGTTTCCTTAGAGCTAGCCAGCAAATAGTGAAATGATCTTCCAGTGACTGCACAAAATATGGAATGCTTCAAAGAGTTGTGCTGCCTCCTTATGCAGAAGCCGTGCTAACTTTCTCTGTATTGTTCCAATTTTAGGATATGTGCCGCCAAAGCAGGCACAAAGCCCTACTTTTACACATGATTTGTGATGAGTCATGGGCAAGGCTTGGCTCTTGTCCATGACTCATCACTACTTACTTAACCCACGTGAGATTCTGAGAATTCTCTTCAATGGCTTCCTGTGAGGTACAATTTGAAAATATTTTAAAATCTTGAGCTAGAGATGGAAGTAGCTTGGACGATTTTCATTATCATGTAAATCAGATCACTCAAGGGGCCAACCACAGCTGGGAGCCACTGCTTGGGGAAGGCTCATATGGGACTTTCTACTGCCTAAGGTTCTACACAGGATATAAAGGTGCCTCACTGTGTAGATCTGGTAGCAAAGAAGAAGAAACAAACACTGATCTCTTTCTGCCACATTATTTGAACCCCTCTGACCCTTTATAACAAGCCCACCTCATATCTGCTAGAGAAAAGACCAACAACGGCCTGAAAGGATCTCTTACCATGAAGGTCTCAGCTAATTCTTAGCTAAGATGTGGGTTCCACATTAGGTTCTGAATACAGGAGGAAGGGTCAATTTGCTCACTTTGTGTGCGGATAAAGTCAGGATGCCCAGCGGCCAGAGCAGGGTGCTGGTGCTTTGGGAACAATGGCTGAGCATATAAGCATAGGTAAGGGAACTAAAAAATGTTGTAACTTCAAAGTCACTGTGTGAATCCCCATGAAGACTTGAGGGATCTGAATCAGTAAGGGCACCTTGGTGTCAAAGGTCAACAATTACCAGGCAGCAGAAGCAGTTTGAGTGGCAACAATGCAGCAACAGAAACAATGGAAACAACAGAATGATTGGAATGTCCTTTTTTCTCTCCTCCTTCTGACTTGATAAAAGGGACTGTCTTCCTTGGATTTAGTGAACCCCTTTGGTTCTTGAAAAATTCAAGGAGTATGTAGGAGACAGTCCCCAGAAGACAGTACAAGGCTTTCTGCTAAACTGGACATTTCAAGACCCAAATAACTAATCAGAAAAATCAAAGATGTGATACTCTTTTTTATGCCATGCATAGGTGTTATACTTGGATGAAATGAACAATATTGGGATCTCTAAGGATAAAGGTCTTAAAAGTCCTGAGGTAAAGAATCCTGCACCCATTGGTACTTCTAACTTGTCTTGCTTTTTGTCTGATTTCTGGCTGATGCAGGGGACTAACTCACTGCCACTCTAAAACTACCTGAACCAAACTATGACATCTCACCTGATATGTAAGATGCAATTGTTATAATTATTTTAAACCTCAATTTAGCATTAACTAGCCTTTTCATGTAAACACTTACACATGATGATGACTAGAAACAGCATACTCTCTGGCCGTCTGTCCAGATAGATCTTGAGAAGATACATCAACATTTTGCTCAAGTAGAAGATTGACTATACTTGCTGATCCACAACATACAGCAAGTATGAGGGCAGTTCTAAAATTACAGAGATAATTTCTCCTTTAGAAACTGTAATAAAGTTATTTTAAAAGCTAATTTGATATACTTTACCAATTTGACATCTTGCCTGTCCATGCAGAATCAAACATTTACATGCGCTAAAAGACATAAGCATCTTGGGTGCTCAAGAGTTCATCTTTGTAAAATACCACCAAGGTTAAAAGGAAGGGACAAAAAGGAAACCTCTTATCTCAGTGGGGTATTGCATAGCAGAAGCTACTAATTTAAAGTCCTTTGATGGGCAAGAAACAATGCTAGGGCCACTTATCTGAAGTGGACAAAGATTTAAGTGAAGATTTTGTCACAGCTTCCCTAGACTGATATGCTGTGATAGAAAATTAGCTAGGGGCTAAGATAAATAAGAGCTCTCTGCATGCTGAAAGCAGTAATATTAATAATAATGGTAAGAATAGTAGTCACAGGAGTTTCAGTTAATGATGCCAATAAGCATGTGCTACGCACTGAATTAAATGCCACATGTATCTTTCTTGCTTATGCACAGCCAACTTTGAAGGATATATTCTCCTACTTTTCACATATGACAACATATTGGGTGGTAAATCACGTTCCCAATGTCACACACGTAGCAAGTAAGAAAGTTAGGAATTAAACCCAGTCTTGTGTGAATCCAAAGCGTAGCTCTTTTCTCTTTGTCACCCACCTACAGCTTGCCTTCATTAAAGGAAAAGTGTATCCACTTAAAACTATCTTCACTCCCTCTCTCCATACCAACTAAAAATAAAAACATCAAAATACACTGGAAATAAAAAAGGAAAAAAGCTGTTGAACCCACAGTATGTGGGAATAGCAATTAATTGTCATGTAGGGATAAGCTAACATTAATATTCTTCAAAGAAAGCAACTTAAAGCAGAGTCATTGAAAAGACAAAAGGATTTTCAACTCCTATTTATGTTTAATACAGCATATTTAGTGGAAAAGCATATAAGATACAGAGGTTAAAACCTACTAGAAAGGGTTAAAAAGTTCAATACTGAGTCATAAAGTAAACTGAAAGTTAAAGTTCAAACTTCATAAAATTAATATGAAATCCCTTTAGCTAACATAAGATCATGTAACCAAAAACATCATACAACAAATAACATCAGTCAATATAATAAGAGAAGATGAATCCTACTAAAACAGTTCTTTATGTTGCCCAGTCCAAATAATTGCTTTTCTACTTAACTGATTTGTGTTGATACTGATCACTATGTCCCAATAAGTATAATTTGATCTTATTAATTTATTATTTATGACTTGAGTGACTGCTATCAATCTAGAACAACACACAGATTAAAAGAAATAACCATACCTTCCATATCTATCAAGTGCATTTAAATTAGCTTTTTTCTTGATTAAAAATTTCACCACTTGCTGTTTTTGTTCATGTACGCCAAGCAAAAGTGGTGTGAGGCCACACTGTAAAACAATATAAAACAAAAACAATATGTAATTCAAAAAATTATGTATCTCTCAACTGAACTGGAAGCTTATGGACTTACACTCACAGAAAGTAAATAAAATTTGGTCGCTTCCTTCTCACTCTTCTGTACTTTCCCACATGCCACTCCTTCCCTTGGAAACATCCCTTCTCTGCCTCACCACATTAAATCTGATCATCTCAAAAACTCACTTTAAACATTTACTGTTTCCAAGACTCTTTGTTTCTAAATGAGCATTTGGCATGGCACTTTTGGATGATTTTTTTTTTCATTTAAACAAAAAGCTTCTTGAGGGCAGGGGCTGTATCTTTTATCTCTATTATTATCCAATCCTAAGACAAAATTGTTGTGTATAAAGCAAGAATTTGAATGTAAAATATTTCTTTAGTTTCACATGTTTTACCAAAGTTCAAGCTCCAACATGCAATAAATATTGCTATTAATACTCACACTGCCCATTTCAAGAATTTTTTCCAACATTTATTCATTTAAAATCTATTTGTATTTAATTTTTCCAGATTGTTAACTAGATAGATAATCAGTTCATAGGATTACTGAAACTAAGAGATTTCCTATCTGTATTCTTAATAACTCCATGGTTTTTAGTGTTTAAACCTGCCATCCTGATTAAGCCAAAGCTCTACAAACTTAAGAGACATACTGGATAGCCCACAATATAGCTTCAATTGACAAAAAAGGTTTAGAATTTGCTACAATTCTGAGAAAACTCTGCTCTTAAAAACGACTTACTGACCTAAGCACTTGAATGATTGAACAAAGGGACACAAAGTCCTGAGAGAGCCATCCTCTACTTATTGGAAGACTACTCACTGCAAATTTCTAAAGACCTTCTGAATGGCAGTGAATAACTGATGGTAGAAAGGAAAAGGTATTATTCTGTAAGCTGATAGATAGTGCCAATAATATTTATTTTAATGTCCCAACGACAGAGATAAGTCAGACTAGGCCAGGAATGGTGGCTCACACCTGTAATCTTAGCATTTTGGGAGCCTGAGGTGGGTGATTCACTTGAGCCCAGGAGTTCAAGATCAGCCTGAGAAACATGGCAAAAACCTCATCTCTACTAAAAAAAAAAAAATACAAAAACAGATTGGAGGACCACCAGAGCTTAGGGACGTCAAGGCTGTGGTGATCTGTGACCGCACCACTGCACTCCAGCCTGGGGAACAGAGTGAGACCCCATCTCAAAAACAAACAAACAAAAATTTAGATTAATGTTATTGGAAAGGAAAGATTTAAAGGAATTAGCACATATCCAACTCCAACTCTTCTAGAAATATCTGAAGTTTCTGAGATATAAGAATTTACATATTACACTTCTGTATTCAGTGGTTAAGCAGGAGTGTATCCGGATTTTGAGAAATTTGTTGTTGTTGTTGTTAGAGACAGGGTCTCATTATGTTGACCAGGCTAGAGTAGAACTCCTAAGCTCAGGCAATCCTCCCACCTCAGCCTCCCTAGCAGCTGGGACTACAGCCATGCACCACCATGCCTGGCTTCAAGGAAACATTTTTAAACATACATATCCAGGCTTTATTAGACTTACTCTATCAAAATCTTCAGGGGAAAACCTAGACCTGAAGATTATTTAAAAATTTTCCTGAGGTAACTGGAATGCACAACTCTAGCTGGAAGCTAGTGCAATAGACAATTATTTCAGTCTCATCTCTCATCACATAAACAATTCCCTTTATCATTTGAGGATTTGGCCAAAAAGAGGAAAGAGTAGGAGAGAGACTCATTTGCTGAAAACACCACAAAATTTTCCCTGGTAAGAGTAGAACAAGGTCTAGTAAACTCAAAATCCAACCTGATCTTTTTACTTATAAGCCCCTTATCTCCCACCTTCCCATCAAGACATTCTAGAATTGAAAGCAGAGTTGAGACTCTAATTGGCCATTTCTACCAGAATAGGATACTAAGTTGGTTAATTACTTGTTATTCCTTCTACTCAAGGGTTTCCCACTACATTACCACATATTCACTGCCAATCTGGTTCCTCAGAGGCCTCCTAAAATTGATCTCTAGGCAGTTTACAACCCACTAACTCCCTCTCCCAAACTGAAAACTGTCATTCTCTAAAATGGAAAAGAACCCTGTCTCACCATATAAAGGAAACAAATGAATGAACAACAATAACAACACACACACACACACACACACACACACACACACACAAACAAAAACAAAAACAAAAAAAAAACCTCTTCATGGTCTTTTCCCCCATTACCTAATTTCCAAGTTGGCCTTGGTATTTCTGATTGCTGCATTTTTCCCTTTCCAATTCTGCCTCATGAGCAATCAGAAATATCTTAAGCCTTGCCACTGAGAGATACATCACCTCATATCTATTAGTGTTTTTTTAGGAATTTGCCAAAGTAGCAGGATTACTATTCACTGAAACATGTTTAAGTTTTCTTGGAGTTTTAATGTAAAACCTATTTCCAGGGCAAATTTTGTCATTTTACATTTGTTAGGGAAAAAAAAACTTGGCAGGGAAAAATTGAAAAAAAAAAAGTATTACCTTTTACAAATTCCGTGTTTTTTTTTTTTAAAAGCATTAACCACAAGTGCACTGAAAAAAACTGTACCCTCTAATGCTTCTTTAAAAGTAACAATATTTAAAATAAAGTCTTAGATAATTAAGTCATTTCAAAATATTTTCATTCAGGTTATGCTTGAGCTTCCAAATACGGAAAACTGGCCCTTACACAGGTCAATGTTAACACGAATGCATTTCAGTATTTTGAAGATAAAATTGGTAGATCTATACCTTGTTTTTTGATTCAATATCAGCACCATATAAGAGCAGTGCTTTGGCCATTAATTTATCTTCATTGTAGATAGCATAGTGTAGAGCGGTATTTCCATACTCATCTTGAATATTTCCATCAGCGCCATGTTCCAGCAACATTAACACACATTCATCTTCCTGGCATTGTACGGCCTGTCAGTATTAGACCAAAAACAAATTATAAGTCCTAGGAATTCAAAATAACATTCCACAGCTTTCACCAACTAGTTATATTTAAATGAGAAAACTCATTTTTATGCTATCTATTGAAATCAAACCCATCTCACGCTGATATAGTTGACTACTGCATACCTTTATCAGAGCTGTCCTTTTTTTGTTGTCAAGGACGTTAAGTTGACATCGTCTGTCCAGCAGGAGTTGTACTACTTCTGAATTTCCATTGGCAGAGGCCAAATGTAGAGCAGTCCTATGAGAGTGAGAAGACTTCAGGAAATTGTAGTGCACTAGCTAATGCCACATTAATGATTCATGTAGTTGCAAACACTGAATAGCCTATTACTCTGCCTTCAAAACAAACTCAATTTTCCTTTGAAGAAAGCACACTACTTATTACCTCTCATTAGTCACTGTATTAATGAAAGAGCAGCCTATTTGAATAGAAAGAGCATAGCTCTTGGATGACATTCAACTTGGGCTGGAATCCTACTTGAAGCTCTGTCGCTTCCTAGCTGTTGCTTAGCCTTTTTGTGTCTCAATTTCCTCATCAATAAAATGGGAATGAAAATAGTCAGTTTCTCAGAGGAAACCACTGTAATGCTTAAATAAGACTCTACACAAAATATAGAATAGTTCCTAACACAAATAACAGCTCAAAACTTGTAAGATATTATAATTTTTACTAATACCACTAAAGACAACATTTGAATTAAGTGAAACGATACAATTATACCTACACTTTCAGGTACATTTTAAAGATTACAGGTAGCGTTGTACTGTATTTTATTGAGTCTAAGATGATCATTGTCTCCATGTTTTAACATTTCTTACACTGAAATACCACTTATTAATTCATGATTTACTATAATTATAATTGGCAGCATTTAAATAATTTTCTTAGTGAGACATAAAATAATGGGGCATCATACAATCCCTGGTGCCTTACATTAAGTAGAATATGTTATAATATAACAGGTCTGGGGCAGTTCCAGTCAGATGACTAGCATTTAGATAAATTTTAGTTCTTAAAAGAACTATGGAATAAGAGGGCTGAGGTGAAAACAAAAACAATTTTCTAAAATAATCTATTTCTTACTTTGGTTTTCAAAAACTTTAAGCCAAAGAAATCTTGAAATTCAAATGAATAGCATGGGCTCATTTTTTTCAATACTTAGATTTATACAACGTATGTACATCAGATATTTCCAATCATTCATATTAGGATTTAAGACTGTTATAAATTTTCTCTTTTTAAAATGGATTTATGAAACTATTTGTGGAGCTTTTTTCAACTTTTACATTCGGGGATACAGGTGCAGGATGTGCAGGTTGGTTAACATAGGTAAACGTGTTCCAAGGGGGTTGGCTGTACAGATTATTTCATTACTCAGGTGTTAAGCCTAGTACCCGTTAGTTCTATTTCCTGCTTCTTTCCTTCCTCCCACCCTCCACCCTCTGATAGGCCCCAGTGTGTGTTGCTTCCCTCTAGGTGTCTGTGTGTTCTCCTCATTTAGCTCTCACCTATAAGTGAGACCATGCAGTATTTGGTTTTCTCTTCCTATGTTAGTTTGCTAAGGATAATGGCCTTCAACACCATCCATGTCCCTGCAAAGGACAGGCTCTTGTTCTTTCTTTTATGGCTACATAGTATTCCATGCTGTTTATGTACCACATTTAAGTTCTTAAAACAGCTAAAACAGTGTTTACCCAAGTCTTATACATTTTCAAAAGGGCAGTTAAGGGTTATCTTTTACTATTTTCCACCTTCAGAAGTGCTTTTGTTTGAAAGGAGGGAGGAAAAGCTTCAATTGAGATTAAGTCCTAATGCCCCAATTTTGATTCTCTCAGCTTGCTCAGGCGCAGCAGGTAAACATGAAGTTTTCAAAGGTGGAAGGATCCTGAGAGATAGCAGAATATGCCTGCCATATAATAGGTGTCTGGCTTATGTTTGATGACTAAACGGATTGAAAGAATGGATAAACATAGGTTGGAAGTTCAATATTTTTAAAAGAAAACTCCTGTTGAGTAGAGCAATACATTTGCGATAGTAACGATCATTTATATTTGCTATTTTAGTTTTCATAAATATATAACTAAACTAAAATAATTAATCCATACTATTTACACATCAATCTATATATAATAAGATGTATACACAATAAAATCTACCAGAAGAGGTAAACAGAAGCCCTCTACTTCTGAAGAGGGTAAAAGTTCACAGAAGATAGCCATCCACAGGTATAAAAATAAATAATAGAATGTAAGAAATTATTTGTATCTATGCAAGTAGCATATTCCTTCTCTTCCCAAGGATTATTTCATTACTAATGAAACTTAACTAAAACTTTGCAGATGTTCATTGCAGAAATCACAGATAAGAGAAAGGGAAAAACTTCACTTACAAATCCCCAGAAATAAGTTTGATTATATTTTCCACATATTTCCAGCTAACACAAGAGCAGATTCTATTTGTGTATATGTATAACAAACTGATTTTTTCTCACTTGATACAGCAAAGTACATCTCTGCATGCCGACATATCTCTGTATCTACTGACACCCTCAATGGTTACATATTATTCCATCCTATGGATGCACTGAAATTTGTTCATAAAATCTTTATATGAGTTCTTCTCAATACATGGCTATTTTAAGCAATACTAAGAAAAACAGCTGTGTCTGTTTCATATAGATATTTCGGTATAATGGAACAGATGGGTAAAAGGCATACACATTTTAAAAATGTGGTTCTTACCATCAAAGTGTCTATTTGAAAAGTCGCAGCAACTTAAACTTTCAGCAGGTATATAAGTACCACTGTTCTTCACCCTCACAAACTTTGTGGACACAAAACAGTATTTCATTCCTTTATATTTATTTATTTATTTTTATTTATTTATTTTTTTGAGATGGAGTCTCACTCCATCACCCAGGCTGGAGTGTAGTGGTGCAATCTCAGCTCACTGCAACCTCCATCTCCCTGGTTCAAGCAATTCTCCTGCCTCAGCCTCCTGAGTAGCTAGGATTACAGGTGCATGCCACCATGCCCAGCTAATTCTTTGTATTTTTAGTAGAAATGGGTTTCACCATGCTGGCCAGGCTAGTATCAAACTCCTGACCTCGTGATCCACCTGCCTTGGCCTCCCAAAGTGCTGGGATTACAGGCATGAGCCACCATGGCTGGCCTTTCATTCCTCTTCTAACTTAAACAGAAAATAGTCTTTCATTCCTCTTCTAACTTAAATTCCTTCTCTTAGCAGGAATGCTATGTTTTCCTATGTACACAGGTCACTGGTAGACATGCAAAAAAGTACCTTGCCCAATTTTAAATTGAGCTTATTTTATTATATCTGCATATATATGCCGGTTTCAGTGGCTCATGACTGTAATCTCAGCACTTTGGGAGGCTGAGGTGGGTGGATCACAAGGACAGGAGTTCAAGACCAGCCTGGCAAAGATGGTGAAATCCCGTCTTGATTAAGAACACAAAAAATTAGCCAGGCATGGTGGTGGGTGCCTGTAATCCCAGCTACTTGGTAGGCTGAGGCAAAGAATTACTTGAACCAGGAACCAGAGGTTGTAGTGAGCTGATATTGCACCACTGCACTCCAGCCTGGGCTATGGAGTGAGAGTCTGTCTCAGAAAAATAAATAAATATTTGCACATATAAATAGGCATTTGTGTTTTCTTCTGGTACTTTTCTCCTTTTGTATCTTTAAAATTTTTAATCTATACTCCAGGAACTTATTTTTGTGACATAAAAATCTAGGTAGTTTTCTCCAAACAGCATGCATTTAATTTATGAATAATTCACCTTGTTTTACCAATATGAAACATCACCATTATCAAGTGCTAAATTCTTACATATATTTGGGTATTTCTGGATTTCCTATTCTGTTCTGTTCACTTATGTCTTTTCAGCTGTTAGTAAACAATTTGTGGAAATAACACACGCACATTTTGATATCTGGAAAAGCAAGTCTTTTTCCATTCTGTTACAAAAAATCAATTTATCACAATGATAAAATACATCATGTGCAATTTAAAGACACTAAGACTTTGCTATTTTTATTTGGCTTATGTAAAAGTGATAAACACAGAAAAAGCTCACATCTTAAGAAAAACGAACCTTCCTATTCAAAGATATGAACCATACTTCCCATTTCAGTTTCCTTTTAAGGTTACTCAGTAAAGAACGTGTTTACATAGGGTACACATCGATATAAAATCCATATTGGATTTTATTTGAAAAATATTTAGCCCAGAAGTTGATATATTATGGGACTTAGTTCTCAATATACACCTTTCTATAGTGTATAGAACATTGTTTTAAAATGTGTACATTAAAAATAATCTGCTGCATCGACTTAATTTTGCGAGTTAAATCACTTTAAAACCGTCTATTAGTGTTCTATAAGGGAAATTATAATTGGATTGGAAATCAGCTAAAGTTTTGTTTTTGTGTTGCTGTTTATAAAGGGACCTGGGCCCTGACATCTCTGAGGTTTCCACACCCAGGGTGGTGTGGGGCCTGCGGAGGAAGAGAAAGCCTGGCTCCTCCCTCCCTGCGCCAGGAGGGTATGTCCCCATCATCCCCCCATGTCCCGCCTCCTCCCATCCCAGGCCCGGTTACCTCTTTTGCTTGTCCCTCTTGTTCATGTCAGTGTCCCTGAGCATGACGATGAGATCCTTTCTGGGGACTTTACCCCACCAGGCAGCTCTGTGGAGCTTGTCCAGATCTTCTCGACGGACGTGGTACCTCGGCTCCATGAAGGCGCTGTCGTCGTAGTCTCCCCAAGTGCCCACGTTGCTCTTGCCGCTCCCCCTGCAGCAGGGGAAGCAGTGACAGCACCACTTGCCCATCTTGCTCCTGAGTGTCTTCATAAAGGAGTTGTCATGGTCTCCAGAAGTGCCCACATTGCTCGTGCCGCTCCCCCTGCAGCAGGGGAAGCAGTGGTGGCAACACTTGCCCATCTTGCTCCTGAGCGTCTTCATAAAGGAGTCGTCGTGGTCTCCAGAAGTGCCCATGTTGCTCTTGCCGCTCCCCCTGCAGCAGGGGAAGCGGTGGTGGCACCACTTGCCCATCTTGCTCCTGAGATCAAATGGCTTCTTCACAGCAGAGGCAGCGGGCATTGAACAAACCTCAGCCACCATCTGCTTTTAACAGCCAGGGGAGGCCGGTAGTAGCGAACAGATCGCGTCTACCAACCAGTTTCACCAACTAGCAGGAAACCCTGGGTTTCCAATCTGTTTGAAGAGAAAGGTCAATCCCAGCCAAAACTTGCCAAGCCCAGCAAGGGAGCCCAGCCCACCCCACCCAGGGAAAACCCACACCCACCCGGGGAAAGCCCACGCCCACCAGGGGGACCCCACGCCCACCCCAGGAAAGGCCAAGCCCCCCCTCCCAAGGAAACACCCAGCCCAGTCAAGGGAATGCCAAACCCAGCAGAGAAAAGGTCAAGTCCAGCAAAGGAATGCGAGGGAGGAAACGCCAATCCAAGCAAGAAACACCAGGCAAAGCTACTAACAGCCAAGCCAAGCTAGGAACGCAAGGCCAAGCGAGGAACGCGAAGCGAAGTGTACCCGTTACAGGTAAGCCAAGCCGTTATGCGCGTGCGGGGCGCGCGTGCGGGGCGCGCGCCTCAGACGTTATGCGGCGTGTGCGTGAGGCGTGCGCGTGTCATTGCACGTGGTCCAGGAAGTGGCCGATGTGTGCAATCCGCGTGCGCAAGTCTTGGCGCCACAAATGTCAGTGACAGCCTTGCGTTACTGGCAAAGTTCATGGGAGTTGGCCCAGCTTTCTGGCCACTGAGGAGAGAAGCCTGTGGTGGGAAAAAGCCTCTTGAAGCAGGACTGGGGCTAGAGCGCCTGGAACTCGAGGATGCTGACAGCCTCCTCTGAAGAAAGCCCCCAAGACACTAGTGGTGGCGCTGTTGCGGGTGGCCGCCGCTGCAGCTTAGAGCTCTGGTTGGCGGAGCTGGATGCAAATGGCCTCAAAATCTCCGAGCACAAGACGCCCACGGAGCCCAGGGCCTGCCTGAGGCGCCTTCCACACCTGCTCCTCCTTGGTCCGCACCCAGAACACAGGGCCATCAGCAACGGGGCACTCGGGGCCACAGAATCGGGGCTGGGCTGCTAGCTCCTGCTGTGGTGCCCCCTGCCTGGTGTCCAAACCAGGGCCAACAGCTGTGGGGCTTCTGGCCCGGGGTGCTTCGCTTCACTGGCATGCAGTAGGGTTGAGGTGCAGGCCGCTGTCTCCAGGCCTGCAAGAGGGGGCTGGGAGGAGCACCTACCACTGATGGGGAGATGCAGGAAGGCACCCCCACGTGCAGATCCTGGGAACAGGACACTGCCAGCACCAGGGAGCCAGATCGGAGCCTCCCTGGCAGCCTGTGAGCTGGACCCAGGCAGTGGCACCTCTACCCTCCTGCTGGGACCCTCCTGCTGTGCAGGCTTATGCAGCCAGGCTCCAGGCTGCTTCACCCATACTGCAGGTGCTTTGGTGTGGGAGGAAAAATGCATTCTGGCCGGGCACTGTGGCTCACGCGTGTAATCCCAGCACTTTGGGAGGCTGAGGCGGGCGGATCATAAGGTCAGGAGATAAAGACCATCCTGGCTAACACGGTGAAACCTCATCTCTACTAAAAATACAAAATACTAGCGGGCATGGTGGTGGGCGCCTGTAGTCCCAGCTACTCGGGAGGCAGGAGAATGGCGTGAACCTGGGAGGCGGAGCTTGCAGTGAGCCCGAGATCGCATCACTGCAACCTGGGTGACAAAGCAAGACTCTGTCAAAAAAAGAAAGAGAGAGAGAGAGAGACAGAGACAAAGACAGAGACGGAGACAGAGAGACAGACGGAGAGAGAGAAAAATGGATTCTAAGCCTGGGACACCGACCTGCTCTTGCCAACAAAAGCAGAGGGGAAGCCAATTGCAAGTGCAAAAAAAAAGTTTTTATTTCAGTGGGATGAATGTCTAGGTGTGCAGTCACTGGAGTAAACGTCACTGGGACATGCTGTGTAATTCTTTGTGTACATTGCTGAGTTCTACTGCTAATGTTAGCCCATTGCATTCATGAAACTGGTAATTTATGACATCCCTTTTT
The DNA here is from genome assembly GCF_000001405.40 of Homo sapiens. NCBI lineage: Eukaryota > Metazoa > Chordata > Mammalia > Primates > Hominidae > Homo > Homo sapiens. Next base: position 2,031,148 of record NW_021160017.1, read on the forward strand.
TCTTTATCATTATTAGTTAAGGTTTGTCAATTTTATAGATATTTTCAAAGAACCAGCTTTATTTCTTTGCTTTTCTTTGTTGTTTTCTTTTGGCTGTTTCATTTATTTCTGCTCTTATCCTTATTATATTCTTTCTTATATTTGTTTTGATTTTATTTTGCTACTATTTTCTACTTTCTTGATGTGATAGCTTGAATTTTTATTTGAGAGATTTCTACTTTTCTATTATATATATTTAGTGAAATACATTTTCCTCTCAGCACTGACGTCAACTGTGTTAAATCAAGTTTGATATGTTGTATTTTTATTTTTATTCAGTTTAATATATTTAATTGTTTCCCTTGAGACGTTCTCCTTAGAAGTGTGCTTGCTGTTTAGCACTATTCACAATAGCAAAGACATGGAATCAACCTAAATGCCCATTGGTAATAGACTGGATGAAGAAAATGCAGTACCCATACAACATGGAATACTATGCACCCATAAAAATGAAGGAGATCATGTCCATTGCAGGGACATGGATGGAACAGGAAGCCATTATCCTCAGGAAACTAATGCAGAAACAGAAAGCCAAACATCTAATGTTCTCACTTATAAGTAGGAGCTGAACAATGAGAACACATGGACACAGGGAAGTAAGCAACACACACTGGGGCCTGTGGATGGGGGAGGGAGAGGAAGAGCATTGGGAAAAATCTCTAATGCATGCTGGGCTTAAACCGAGGTGATGGGTTGATAGGTAGGGAAAACCACCATGGCACAAATTTACCTATGTAACAAACCTGCACATCCTTCACACCTACCCCAGAACTTAAAATAAATAAAAATGTAAAAAAAAGAACTAAAAAAGTATGCTGTTTATTTTTCAAGTATTTAAGATTCTGCTGTTATTTTACTTTTATATTTTTAATTTGATGCCATTTTGGCTGGAGGATACATTCTACAGGATTTCAGTTTTTAAAAAATTCTTAATGTTTGTTAAAATCCAGGATACAGTCCATTTTGGTTTATGTTCTGTGGGTACCTAAATGTTCTGCTGTATTCTGCTGCTAGGGGGTGGAGCCTGTTTTTTTCTTCTTTTTTTTATCTCCAGGTACAATTTGCCCTATGAGACACCTGATATAGTAAGTAGCCCATCAGGTATCCAGCAGTAAAAACTAAATTAGTGGAAGGAAGTCCTGTCCCAACTGGTTTGACATATTGTGGCTGAATTTTTAGGTTTTAGTGAAAATAATAATGATGGCTTGATCTTCAAAGTTGTTTTTTTTTTTTTTTACCATTTCCCAAATAGCTGGGGATTATTGTGGTGTAACCACTTAAAACTCTGATGAAATGTGGAAAGAATTTCTTTTTCTAATTGATACTTTGTGAGTGCAACTACTTTGCATTGTGCAGAGAGAAAAAAATATATTCCAGGCATTCGCCAAATCAAAAGTGCATGAACAAGTCCCTAAATTTCTTCCTGTCCTCAGATTTCCACCATAAAGTTTCAGACCAAATAAAAAATTGTTTTTTCACTAATTTTCTTTGAGGAAATGTAAGAGAAAAAAAAGAAAGAAACAAGTGTTTTGAAGGGTAGAATTTTGGCAATTATATGAGATTGTAAAATCCGAATGTGGATTAGCTTCAACTCATCAAAGATTCAAGAACAGCTACAGTTCTAAGAATGAGCCAAAAAAAAATGGGTATGCATTGAGGGGAGGGAATTAGGAAGGGAATTTATAGCCATTCAGACATTTCCCAACATTAAGCCTTCATGAATTTTGCATTGGAAAGAAATATTTATAAATTAAGAAACTCAGTATCCAGTCCACCCTGTGATAAATACTGCAATGTGCCCAAGCATTCCAATTTGAGTATGGCTTTGTGCTTTGCCAATCATAACAATGGGAGATAGAAGTAATAAGAGCCTGCATGAAGCACTGTGCTAATGATAATTTTCCCAGTAAGAACAAAAGAGAGGCCATTACTTTTAAACATCATTGAATATAATCAAACACTGGGTAGGCTTGTCTGTATTTAGATTTTATAACTCTACGGTTATAGCTATAAAGTAAAAAAGACATATTATAAAATTTCTGTCATTAAGAAAAGTATTTATTATTACAAATGTGAATTTCTCTAGACGGTAAATTCTTTGGAATTAGTTGACTTCATGTAAGTTGATTTGTTCAGTAACACAGAGTAGACTTCTTGTAAATAGGAACAAGTGTGCATCTGATCAAGATCCACTATTTTCTTATATGTATATCCCTTTTCTGCCTTCCCTCAGAATACTATCTTTCACAAAACAACACACATCTCTTCCACCAACTTCTCCCCAGAATATTGCATATTCGATCAGTGTCCACAAATGTTAGATACAGAATGTTAAATTACTATTAGGTTCGCACAAATGTAGTTGTGATTAATGGCAAAAATCGCAATTATTTTTGCACCAACCTAATAGTAACATTGAAACACAATATTAGTTATTCAACATCAGAAAGATCTTCCAGAACAGTCATCACCACAGATGGGCCAAACTATTATTTGTAGGGCACTGCAGTAAGTTAGAATTTTATCAAATTCATAAATTAATGGATATTTTGTTAAGGGATATGAACAGCCTGTAGTATAAATTTGAGCTATACATTGTTGGGAGAACAAAATAATAAAACGATATAATAGTAGCAATCAAGTGGTGACCTTTCTGTCACACTTACAATTTTCAATGCACTTGTCTACTTATTATTTCATGTGTGGATGGGTTAGCTGAGTGGCGGGGCCATCAGATGTCATATATACAGATGACTCCCTTCTGTACACCATTCTGCCATTAGTTGATGTATATTTTACTTTTGCTTTTCCCTTCCCATTTCACTACTAGATAAAAATCCTAATCTTGAGTTCTAAATCACACCTAGTTTTACTCATGTGTAGTTGTACCTGACAAAGAATTACACTACATAAATTCCATCCATTAGAGGTGTGGCCGAATGGACAGAAAACCATTAACATTGATTACTTCAGTGCATGTGGGATTGCAAATGCAGATGAGAAGGAGAAGATTTTTATTTTTTCTTTATATAAGTTTACATTATGTATTCTAATGCAAGGCTCAAGTATCATTTATAGTGAAACATTAAAATGTTCTTAAAAGTTCATGTCCTTAATGTTCTGTAAAGGAAGCATAAACTCATTTATTGCAACAAATGCAACAATTTATTTCATTCCTCAGATTATTGATCCTGATATAAATAAAACTGTTCAGAACTTGCACAGAGATATTTAAACGAACAAAGAAACAAAAAATCTAGGGAAGAAGTGAAGAAAAGAATGCTTTTTAAATTACTTAATCATTGTTGATGGACTGACAACATCCAACTTACATCTCCTGAATTAAACCTGATATTTTCTTGGAGAGTAGTGAGGAGTAGTTGAGGGTAGATAGGAAAGAGAGTGTATTTTGAGAAATGTAAAATTTAGAGAAGCTTAATTTAAACACTCCCTGTGTGTCAAAGAGCTATTAAATAAAATTTTCATGATTTTAATATAAGTGAATCTGAACTAGCATATGGTCTAAGTTTCTTTTAAGTTGCACATGGATTTAAAATATAGGGGAAAAAGATCACTTGGCAAATATGTTTTTGGTTTTGAAAAACTTCCAAATGTTTAAAAAGTACTTTTCAAATCAACCATACCCATATGCATCCAGGTTTTCTCATCCTCACCAGTGAAGGATAAAAAGAAATAGAATTAAGGCAAAATGGATGGAGAGGTGATACATATGCTGTAAAACTATGTCAGAAATATCAGTTGATTCTTTAGGGAATTGGTTAAAAAAATAAATTTAGTCCTTATGACAATTTAACCCAAAGAATCTAACACTTATTCTTAGTGGCTTAGGATCATGGATGATATTAATCTGTCACAAGATGATTCTATGACTATTTCCAGAAGTGGAAAAGTGCAGAAATAGAAAATGCATATGATATTGCTATTTTATTTTGTTCCAAGTCTTGTTACTATTGGTGGAAAACAGTTTTCCAAAGGAATGAACATTTAGATAAATTATGGCATGAAGAATCATTTTCAATCCTTTATGCATAGATGCATTGATAATAACTGAACATCTTTGGCATCTGGCTTCCAGATACAGTGACGATTCCTTCAAGACATCTAGAAATTAAATAGATGTGCGTGAACACTTTAAAAAATGTAAATACATTAAATGTCAGTTATTTTGAAATAAGTTATTTTTTTAAACAGGAAGCATTTTTAATTAAAAATTAGAAAATAGCTATATTTGGACAATTAGTTACTCAATGTTTTTTCCAAATAACAGATGAAATATACTTTGATGTTTTTTGTTTTAAATAAATGCAAATATATGGATGCAAAACAAATCAAACATTGCTACAAATGAAATATATGTGCTGTCAGTAATTCTCAAACATTGAATAATATTCAGTGAACTTCAACACATACCTTTGGTGGCCCGTTAAAATTCATTATAATGAATTTTGAATTAGATTCCAAAATGAACACACTATTTTCTTAGCTTTTAGCGTCTGTCGTTTTTTTCTATATTCATTTTTCTTTTTTTTTTTTGACTGAGGTGGCGTCTCACTCTGTCACCCAGGCTGGAGTGCAGTAGCGCAATCTCGGCTTACTGCAAGCACCGCCTCCCAGGTTCAAGAGATTCTCTTACCTGAGCTTCTCAAGTAGCTGGTTACAGGTGCGTGCCACCACACCCAGCTAATTTTTGTATTGTTGGTAGAGATGAGGTTTCACCATGTTGGCCAGGCTGGTCTCGAACTCCCGACCTCAGGCGATCCACCCACCTTGGCCTCCCAGAGTGCTGGGATTACAGGCGTGAGCCACTGCACCTGGCTGGTTTTTTTTTTCTATTTTCATTACTAAGACTAAACAATAGTTATGTGACTGAATACAGCTGATCATTTTACCAACTCCTTTCAGCAAATTCATTTTGTCATTTTAATTAAGTTCAAATTTAAGAAGTGAATAAATATAGATACTATAGCACATATATTTCCCAAAACATAATATAATATGTGTGTGTGTGTGTGTGTGTGTGTGTGTGTGTGTGTGTGTGTGTGTGCATTTGGGAAATAAAAGAGTATTATATTTTACTCAAACAACATCAAACATGCAGTCAAGTAAGTTTGATGAAGAAGATAATATTTTAGCCTAAGAATGAGAATTCTGTAAGACAATGTGTTACTTTATAGTATCAGTTATGTGACCCTTCCACACTGATATTTTGGGTGCAATTGCACCCTCTTTGCCATATACTCTTGGGAGAATAGAAGGTTCTTCACATTTTTCCATTCATTGTAACTTCTCCTGTAGGACAGCCCACAGATACATTTCCTAGACTATATTAAGGAAACAAAAGCAAACAAATATGAGAAAATAATAAAGGTAAGTGTCTGGGAGGGTGAGAAATCAAATTCAGTGGGGTTTAAACTATATCTCATACAAGTGTCCCAAAGTTGTGCTTTTGGAGAAATTCACCTTGGATAGAGACATGGTCAAGTGACCATGTCTCTTTACCTTTACCTTTTTTAAAAAACAATACATAGCTGTATCCTTGGAAGAGAGGCAAGGAGTGCTGTAGGGTGACTATCTTTGATTTCTGTTGTGGTTCAGAGGAAGTGTAACTTTCTTAAAAGATACCTTGACTTTTGTCACATTTAGCTATTCGTTCCTTTTTATTTAGGAAAAAAAGGCTGAGCCTGCTGTGGCTTGGGCTCTTATTATCTTTTCTTGGGCTTCTTGGATCTCATAAATGATAACTCTACTTTTATTGTTGCCTTCTCCAAAGGAACCTGAATACCAGCATCACCTTCATTTACCCTAAAGCATGATTCTCTGCCTAAGAAAACCCCTATGGTTGACATTTACATTTACTTTATACCTCTCTTAATCTTTTGAGGAATGCCTCTCTACCTATTCTGCATGGTAAAGTTCTAATTAATTACAACTATGAAACAGATATTTCCTTCTTTTCTTATGTTTCAGATATTGAATTACTTTATTATTGCCAAGCACAATCTGCTTTGCTAAATTATTCAGTATAAGCTTGCTTCTTCCATTAGACTTTGGAATTCCTGAGATAAGAAATTACGCTTTATTCTGAAAGTGTGCTTAAATCAATGGAAAGTTGGTTTGTCCAAACTGGATATAGAGGAATAGAGTTATTCTGTACACAGCCACTTTTAGTTGCAAGAGCAGCTAGAAATAGGAGTTATGCTACCTTTTCAAAGACATGTCCTCAGCCAGGTGCAGTGGCTAGTGCCTGTAATCCCAGCAATTTGGGAGGCTGAGGCGGGTGGATCATGAGGTCAGGAGATCGAGACCATCCTGGCTAACACGGTGAAACCCAACTCTACTAAAAATAAAAATAAAAATAAAAATAAAAATAAAATAAAATAAAATAAAATAAATTAGCTGGGCATGGTGGTGAGTGCCTGTAGTCCCAGCTACTGGGGAGGCTGAGGGGGAGAATGGCTTGAACTCAGCAGGCGGAGCTTGCAGTGAGCCGAGATCGCACCACTGCACTCCAGCCTGGGTGACAGAGCAAGACTCTTTCTCAAAAATAAATAAATAAATAAATAAACAAAATAAAGGTAGGCTATACTAAGTTAAAGATGCTGGCTGTAACCCTAGAGCCATCACAAAATAAAATAAGGTAAAATACAGATACAGTAAATAAGCCACTAGTGAAGACAAAATAGATACAATGAAATTAGAAAAAAATTAAAATCCTTTAAAAAGCCCCATTTGCCTCGATTTTCCTAATTACACAAAGGAGGCAAAGTGTGAAAAAGGATAGATCACGTTCCTCTAAGGACCCATGTCAGGTATCTGTGGAATGCAGGCGGTGCAGGAGGGTGGGAATGGGTGGGTGCCCAGCGTTGCTAAAGCTATGGAGTGTCTTCCCATTTTTAAAGAAATCCAGAAGTGCAGATCTATTCATTCAACCATTCATTGATGTAAAATCTGGTTTCTAAGGTGTTCAGTTTGATGACTAATATATGTATATTTTGCCATCAAAATCAAACTCATTCACATTCCCATCATCTCGCAGAGCTGCCCTCTTTCATGTGTGTGGTGAGAACAATAAGATCTACCTCCTCAGCAAATGTCAAGTATACATCGCAGTGTTGTTAGCTATATTCACAATGTTGAACAGTAGATCTCCAGAACTTATTCATCTTGCATAACTGAAATTTTATACCCTTTGACCAACATCTGCCCATCTCTCCTTCCCCCAGCCCCTGGCAACCACTCTATACCCAGCAATCCCATTTCTTTGGGGATATAGCCAAAGGAAATAAAATCAATATCTGGAAAAGATACCTGCACTGTTATGTCCATTTGGGCATTTTTAACAATAGCCAAGTAATAGAAACAACCTAAATGTCTGTCAATGGATAAATGGATAAAGAAATGAAAAAAAATACACACACACACACACACACACACACACAGTGGGATATTATTTAGCATTAATGAATAAAAAAAATCCTGCCATTTTTGACAGCATGGATGGACTTGGAGAACATGCTTGGTGAAATAAGCCAAGCACAGAAAGACGAATAACACATTGTCTCACTTATAGGATGACACTGCATTCACGTTTCAGCCACCTCTGCCACACCCACCCATGCAAACACACCCACCCATCTCAGTTCCTGCCCCTGACTGGGGGACAGGGTGGGCGCTCTCTGGCACATGTTCCACTCATGCTTCTCCACCTCCAGCTATTTTAGGCTCTGACACTGAAAATGAAATTCTTACCAAGACGATATGTGTTGTGTTGACATAAAACTGATAGAAAGTGTACCAAAAAACATGGAAGTTTTAAACATAATCCACCAAAAGAACATACTCACAGTCGACGTTTCTTTCATTATTAAGAATGAATGTCCATAACCCTCACTAAGACAAAAGTCATCCCATTTGTCTACATCTTTTTTCTTTGCAAACACACACTGAATGACTTTGTGTGACAAGCTGTGAAGTTTTACCAATTCTTCAAACTCTTTGATTTGCATTATGCTGTTTAATCCTGAGAGGCGAGCAGCTGTCGCTGGTAATTCTAAGCCTAGAATTCCACCACCTAATAGGTGAAAATTATAGTAGGCTGATCATAAAACCATGTTGTTAACTTTTTAAAATTTAATGACTACCAAGGAATTTCACCTTAATGATACATCTTTTGAGAGATTAGAAAATGAAGAAATGCACGTGTTCAATGATCCATTTTAGAATTTAAAAAGTCTTTCAAATGAGCATCTTATTCATATATTGTGAAGAACCACTGGAAACAGTTATTTAATAATGTGGCTAAACGCGTATTCAGAGTAATGCTTCCTGTATATTTGCACATTTATACACTTATGTCCTGCTCCTGGAATAGACTTACCAGTTTCCTTTTCAGAAAATTTCAGAATTTCTGGAATGTGCCGAAGTACTAGTGGGTAACTTAGATTTGGAATACACTGTATTAGGTGTAACTGGAAAACTGAGAGGCTTCCTACACTGGAAGGTCAAAGATCTTTCCTGGAGGAGAGTTAAGAATTTGCCTTTTCTTACCATGACTCTGTTAAAAGAGAATATAAACAATGCAGTTTCACAAAAGGAAGGGGACAGTGGTGTAAATAAACCTCCCCATCATGTTCTGGTGGCTTTCCTGTAAGTCTTGAACGTTTTCCACTGGGTGTTACAGTCGAGAGGCCCCCACCTCCTGAGGAAGCAAGACCCCGAAACCCCGAGACGATGGGCTGTGCTGCTTTGGCCCCATCTTGCTTGTGTTGTTTGAAGAGGCCCTGCTGCCACCCAGCTGTCATTAACGCCACCCTCACCTCCCAGGAACTGCATCACTCGGACGGACAAGACACCTATGTAATGACCATAGTAAGACCCCATGTGCGTGGCTAATGAGGCAGTGCCCAACGTGGCGTGGAAGCCCTGCTAGGGAAATCCCGCCCCCCCACCCCAGATGCGCCACCCCAGACCTGCTCTCGGACCTGCGGCCCCTGGCCCCTGGCCCTTTCCCGTTGTCACCGAGGCTTCTTGCTAAGAAATGGAACTTCAGAAAACCCCCAAATATATACTGCATTAGGTAAGGGTTTCATTCTAATGGAGTCCCATGTGACCCTGGCTTTCCGTCCGGCAGCAATGCACTCCTGTCTATGAATGAGATGAAAAGAGTGCCCACAACAAGCCAATTTCTTTCAGGAGCGACTAAGACATGCGCATGTCCGGGGGTGCCTCAGAGCACCCGGGAGGGACCCAGGCCTGGGCAGGGAGGGGGGGCCGGCCCTAGGGGAGCAAAGCTCTTGAAACTGGCCTCTGTTGCCGGGCTCCTGACCCTGCCCTCCCATCCCTGCACTACAAGAGGACAGCGGCGACTACAGGAGGCGCCGAAGACGCTGCTGAAGGCCCTAAAGAAACTTCAGCAGAACCGGAACTCCCCTTGCAGGTCCAGCCGCGGGCCCTGCGCCCTCCCGCTCAGCCGAGCGGGGCCGAGGGCGCGTTTGCTGAGTGTCTGGTGGCCTCTACCCAAGCGCCTCTTCAGAGGGCTGTTCCTGCGGCCCAGAGACTGCTTGAGGCGCTCGGGGAAGGAAAAGCAGGCGCTGGTGCGCCGGGGGCTCTGCTGGGGACGGCGCGGAGCTGACTGAAGGGCCGCTGCGGTAGCGCAGGGCGCAGGAGCTGCTCCGCCCCGGAGCGCCGGGAAGGTTGGCGCTGGCAGCCTCCAGCCCCTGCCAGCCGGGCGAGAGCAGGCGGAGAAGGAGGATGCACCGTCACCTATGGCTCGCCTCCACCGGCCGGCACGCAAGGTGAGCTCTGCGTGCGCCCGGCGGGACAGTGAGGTAAAAGGGCGGGAGCGCGGGAGAGGACTCGTGGCCCCGGCTCAGCCCGCACCCCTCTCCTCTGGGATCCCGAATCGCGGGCTGCGTGGTGGGCCAGGAGAGGTGCAGAGCAGGCGGGGCGCCGCGGCCAGTCCGGAGCGCAAACTTTCCCTGGCGACTGCAGCGCTGAATCTGGGCGCAGGAGAGCGCGGGGTCCGGGCTGCTCAGCCCTGCCCGGCGGGGTACCTGGGCACAGCGCACATGGGTCAGCCGGTAGGAACTGCGGGATGGGGGACACCCAGCGCCACCGTCGGGAGCCGTAGGAGCGAGATGGACCACCTGGAAGGCCCGGGTCAGCCCTTGGGCTCTGAGGCACGCGGCGTCCCGGCGCTGGTGGCAGGGTGGACTCGGATCCCGCGAGGGTGTCGCGCTAGTCGCGGGGGCTGCTTGAGGCCGGGGGACTTCGAGCTGCCGCTGCACCACTCGCTCCCAGCCCAGGAGGAAGGCGCCGGCTGGCGTTGCGCTCTGCTCGGACTCAGGGCAGGAGCCGGGGAGGTCTGCAAAAGCCGGGAGCGAGCCGGGGAGGGCCCGCGAACTGGAGAGGCTCGGCGCGCCGCTGCGGACGCGGCGGATGGCCGACCACGGGTGCCAGGGGAGGCCCAGGCTGCGGCGCCGCAGGGCAGCCCCCGCGCCCACCTGCCCCTGCGCGCCGGCCCTGGCGAGCCTCTGTGGAGGTCAGGGGACCGTAGCCTCTCCTGGGGTTCCTGCCTAGCGACTGAGGGGCGGCAGGAGGCGCAGCTCCGGTTTCCCGCATGCAGCGCCGCGTGCTCGCCGCCTGGTTTTGTCCGGGTCAGGCAGACCAGCCCCAGGACGCGCCCAGCCGACCCACGCATGGCAACCTGCCCTTCTTGGCAGGAGTCGCAGAGGGCTTTGGCTTCTGAGGTGGAAGTACCTGTTATGTCTCCTAATTCCGGAGTTTGCGGGGGTTTGGGCTGGCGGGGGGCTCATTGGGAAAATGCTTTTCAAAGCATTCTGTTTGGCTGCCGTGAGCACCTATTTGCCTTATGTGCATATTGAGAAATGTGTGCTTCTACTAAGGTTAGTCGCTGAGCCCAGGGACAGTGTAGGCCTGGATTTCAAATGCATTAATTAGGGTCCAGCACCCAGCCTAGAGACTTCCACAAATGCAGTAGTTATTTAGTCACGGGGACTGAATGCGGAGAAAGTAGCCACACCGTTATAGGCAATTGTTATACCCTTGTGATCCTGCAGAAAACCTGTTTCTTAAATGTGCTTCCCCCCTCTTTCTTTCTATGTACTTTCAGTGCCTTGCAGAACTAGGAGTAGCGTGCTGACTTTGAACACGTGGTAGATATTTCAGAAAGGTAAAATTGTTAGGCTTGTGGATTTGACAGATACAAAATACAGTTGCTCAGACAACTAAAGCATTTATTTTAATAATTGGACTAATGTTTCATTTGATAACATACTAAAAAATAAAACAGGTTGGGCGCAGTGCTCACGCCTGTAATCCCAGCACTTTGGGAGGCCAAGGCGGCGGATTACGAGATCAAGAGATCGAGACCATCCTGGCCAACATGTTGAAACCCCATCTCTACTAAAAATGCCAAAATTAGCTGGACGTGCTGGCGTGCGCCTGTAGTCCCAGCTACTCGGGAGGCTGAGGCAGAATTGCTTGAACCTGGGAGGCGGAGGCTGCAGTGAGCTGAGATTGCACCATTGCACTCCAGCCTGGCAACAGAACGAGACTCCATCTCAAAAATAAAATAAAATAAAATAAAATAAAATAAAATAAAATAAAATAAAATAAAATAAAGCAGAGTATTTGAGACATAGAAAACAATAAATTACGATGACTCTGCACTCTGAGTAGAAGTAAAAATAAGCCAACTTGTTAATCTTTTTATGTTTCAACTTACTGCCCGGTGGGCGTGGTGGAAAATTCCTTGCGTGCAGCTGTGCCAGGGAAGGACAGCCAGCTTCCTTTCTCTAGGTTACAGCAGGGAAGGACAGCCGGCTCCTTTCTCCAGGTCACAGGATCTGCTCTGCTTGGATTTGATACGGTGGTTAGTGCAGCCCATAGTCCAGTTGCTGCAGCAAAAGTTGCTTGAGTCTTTGATAGGAGAGGACACTTGAAAGCAGGAAATGAGAAACACATTTTGATCTTTATGTAGGAGCTCATTGTTCCTGACTCTCTCCTGGGATAAAGGACAGGGAAGAGTGGACTTTTTTGCACTTCTAGTTCCTTCTCCCTGTAGCTGTAGTCGTAGCAAGTAAAGGGGTTGTACTGATGCTTTTTAAGGCATATTATCAACATACAGCCATGACTTGTCCAGAGAATCTCACCTGACAAAAACTCAGAGAAGAAAGAGAAAGAAGATGAAATGGCTGGTTTTCAGGTAAATGTGTCCCAGTTCAAGGGCTGTGACATGGATAGACTGCATGGTGGTGAAGTCAGGGCTTTTAGGGTATCCATCATCAGAATAACATACATGTCTCTGAATTTTGATATTAGCCATCCTAACAAGTGTGAAATGATATGTCATCATTGTTTGTATTTGCTTCATGATTGAAGATGTTGAGCAGCTTTTCAAATACTCTTAGTTTACGTCTTCACTAAAAAAATATTTCTTTACCTGTCTTTTAATCATGTTATCATTACTGTCATTATTATTGTTGTTTTGGTTTTTTATTTGTATGAGTTCCTTACATATTTTGGATATTAACCACTTAACAGTGGTTTGCAAATATTTTCTCCCAACCTGTAAGTTTTCTTATTGTTTTCTGTTTATAAGTTTTTTAGTTTGATGTAGTCCAACTTTTTTATATTTGCCTTTGTGGCGCACTTTTTGTGTCAGATCCAAAAAAATACTGTCAAGACCAATATAAAGGAGGTTGACCACATTTTGTTTTCTTTTAGGATTTTTAAGAATTCATGTGTTTTATTTGTCCTTACTTTGAGTTAATTTTGGGATATGATGTAAGAAAAATCATCTAATTTTATTCTTTTGCTTGTGGATACCCAATTTTCTTAGCTCCAAATAATAAAGGGATTTCACTTACTGCATTGTGCATTTTCAATATCCTTGTTCAAGATTAATTGATTTTATAGGCATAGGTTTTTTTTTTCTAGGCTCTCTACTTTGTTCTGTAGGTTTTCGTGTTCATTTTTATGCACATGCTGTCTTTTTTTTATTACTATAGTATTGAATATAATTTAAAATCAGAAACTATAGGGGCGGGTGCGGTGGCTCACACACCTGTAATCCCAGTACTTTGGGAGGCCGAGGTGGGTGGATCATGAGGTCAGGAGTTCGAGACCAGCCTGACCAACATGGTGAAATCTCGTCTCTACTAAAAATATAAAAATTAGCCGGGCATGGTGGCGAGCACCTGTAATCCCAGCTACTCAGGAGACTGATGTAGGAGAATCACTTGAACCTGGGAGGCAGAGGTTGCAGTGAGCTGAGATCGTACCATTGCACTCCAACCTGGGTGACAGAGTGAGACTCCATCTCAAAAAAAAAAAAAAGATCAGAAACTATAATATCCTTAGCTTTCTTCTTCCTCAAGATTGCTTTAGCTATTCAAAGTCTGTTGTAATTTCACATAAATTTTAAGCTTGTATTTTCTATTACTGTGAAACAAGTTATTGGAATTTTTATAGGGAGTTTATTAAATCTATAGATCATTTTGGATAATGTAGAATTTTAACAATATTTACTCCTCCAATCTATGATAGCTTTACATTTTTTGTCTTCTCCAGTTTCCTTTATCAATATTTTATTTTTCAGCATAAAGATCTTTCACCTTAGTTGTTAAATTTGTTCCTAAGAAATTTATTGTTTTTTATTTTATTTTAAATGAAATCATTTTCTTCCTTTTAATTGGATAGTTTGTTGTTAGGGTAGAAAAACACAATTGAGATTTGTATGCTGTTTTTATATTCTGAAAATTCATTGAGTGCATTTATTAGTTTAAATAGGTTTTTGGTGTACTATTTATGGTTTTTGTATATAAGATCATGTCATCTACAAAAAGTGACATTTTTTCAATTTAGATGGCTTTAAAATATTTTTCCCCAAATTGTTCTACTTAGGACTACTAGTATGTTAAAATAGAAGCATTAAAATTGGGCACAAGGTGGCTTCATTGTGACTCCTCTTATTTCGAGCAGACTCAACTGCTTTCAGAACTTTGATCTGTAGGGCAGATGCCAGGGCCAGGGTTCTGAAGCTGGGTTTGCATATGGCGGCCCTGATAGTAGGTGTGTGGATGAAGTGTGACTTCTGCTGAGTACCTGAGAGGGTTTTCTCTCCCTTTGTGGGTCTCTAGGTGGGCAGAACTGTCTATAAACTATGGTGAAGAGGGCTGAAACTGAGTCACAGACCTGCTTCAGAGGCCACAGTAAAGGTGAAAGGTTAAATTCTGTAGGTCTGCCTCCATTATCATGAATGTCTCTCCCCAGTTCTCTGTATGGGAAGGACTAATTCCAGACCATAACTGGGAGGCATTGGAGATGGTTACAGAGTCACTTCAGGATTCTCAGTGTGACTGAGTAGGATGGGTCAATTCCTAGTCTGTAGACAAGATCAGGGGTTCTCAGATTTGCCCCCTGAATGAGGGCCTGCCTTCCCAAAACAGCCCTCCTCAGTCTTTGTTTTTCACAGGGTATCATAATGCCCTCTCTAATCCCAAAGCTCCCATAAAGGCACTTTTGTCCATGGATGGCTGCAAAAGTATTGTAGCTGTGGGAAGATAAACAAGAGTGATCCCCTTATTCCAACATCCTTGCTGATGTCACTCTCCTTATATGGTTTCACTTTGTATTTTGCTGTATTACAAATTTGTCTGTTATTTTAGATTCATTCAGAACAATATGCTATAATTTCCACACCATGTAAGAAGTAAATCAGACAGGCACTCCCTATTTATTAAAATGTTCATTTGTACATTACAGTTAACTGAAATCATATAGGAATCATTAACATTTTTGTTTTCTCAACCTATATCTAAATGATAAATTACAAAAAATTATTTCAAAATATTTGCATTGTATATAACTCATATTTTACAACATACATGGTTTTACTTTATTTCAAAGTCTAATGCTTTTCTTTGCTTCTAAAGAGTGAATTGCAGCCTTTTTATTTTCTGTGAAAATAGCATCAATATATTAATAGTAACACATTATCTTTACTGTCTTTACATAATCATTAAAAAAATTTTACTAGAGCATTTTCTTAATGTCTGTAATGCATTTTCTGTAAAATTTTACTGCCATACAGTAGACATCAATGATTACAAGTATGTGTGCTCCATAGGTGCACAATCACAGGTGAACTCGGTAGTTACCTAGAAAAAGGTGTTATAATGATATATCAATGTTGCATACAGAATTTTATAGGTAAATGTTTATCTTGTCTTGCAATTCCTAATTACTGTGTTTTTAGTAAGGATACATTTATAGGCAGTTTATTGTGTTTCTGTTTTACCTATGTATTATAATTTTGAATGACAATTTGCAACTCTGTATATATACTTTAAATCAAGGTGGGGTTTAATTCAAAGATGAATTAACCAGCTGTCTATCACTGTTAAATTATACATATGTATGGGCATGGTTGTCTCTATAAATATAACACCAACTTTGTTTATGGTTCATCTTGTGTATTTCTCCTCTTGGCTGATTTTTTTTTTTTTTTTCCGACGGAGTCTGGCTCTGTTGTCAGGCTGGAGTGCAGTGGTATGATCTCGGCTCACTGCAACCTCTGCCTCCCAGGTTCAAGCGATTCTCCTGCCATAGCCTCCCAAGTAGCTGGGATTTCAGGCGTGCACCACCATGCCCAGCTAATTTTTAAATTTTTAGTAGACAGGGTTTCACCATGTTGGCCAGGCCTGGGTCTTGAACTCCTGACCTCAGGTGATTGGCCTGCCTCAGCCTCCCAAAGTGCTGGGATTACAGGCGTGAGCCACCGCGCCCAGCCCGTCAAATATAGTATTATTTTTTGTTTCTAGATATCCCATATCAGTGTATTCAGACAACCTGTCTTGTTGTGACTGCCTTTATTTAGCATGTTAAGATTTTGATTTTATATGTTACATATGCTGATTTTGCAAAGCTGAGCAATATTCTATTTTTATATTCCAAATTTTATTTATTCATTTAAGAAAGTTTAAGCTGCTTTAGCCTATCAGCTTTTGTCAATAATGCTGCATGGGTGTGCAAACAACTCATTTGACCACACATGTGTAGCTGTATTTCTAAGTTTTCTATTGTTTTATTGTTCTTGTTGTGTGCATTTATGCCAGCACCAAATTCCTTTAGCTACTGTAGCTTCACAATGTATTCCAAAATCAGGAGGTGTGACACCCCCGATATTGTTCTTGATATTTCAAGATTGTTGAGTCTTCTTGGTCTCTTTGTAGTCTGTATAATTCTGGGGTTGCTTTTTTATTTCTGCAAAAATAAACTGAGAATTTGGAAAGGACTGTATTGAATCTGTAGACCACTTTATGTAGTCTGGACATCTTCATAATATTAAGTATTCCCACCCTTGAAGAAAAGCATGTTCGAGGGTGTATTGTTTAACTCCCATATATTTGTGAATGTTTCATTTTCTATTTTATTCAATTTTGGTTATAAAGAATAAGCAGTAATATTTCATTTTAAAAAAAGGTGTTAAGACTTGTTTCATGGCCTAACGTCTTCTATCAAGAATATTTTCTGAAATATTGAAAACATTGTGTATTTTGTTGGATGAGGTGTTCTCTACACATGTTGAATTTGATTTTTATAGTGTATTCAAGTCTTCTGTTCACTGTGTATTTCTTGCTTCAATGTCATCAATGTTTGCTTTATAAACTGGAAACCCTGATGTATGATATAGATGTATAATTGGAAACCCTGATGTGTGATGTAGATGTAGATACAGGTATAAGCACACACACAGGAATCCACACACAAACAACATATACAATTTTTATAGGTTTCCAATGAATGAACCTTTGTATTATTTAATGTCTTTTTTATGCTGTAGTTTTGAATTAAATTTTATAAAATATGATAATGATTGACTTAAAGTCTTTTGTCACAGTGACTACTTCTGCTCTCATTTGGCTAACATTTGCATGGAATATCTTTTTCCATCCTGCTTTTAGTCTATCTTTGTGATTGGATCCAGTGATTCTCTTGTACACAGAATATAGTTGATGCTGTTAATACAATTTTTAGAATCTCTTCATGAAATATGTCTTTTGATTGGGAAAGTTAGTCCATTAATATTTTTAAAGTATTCTGAAATGGAACTTACTATTATTATATTAATCATTGTTTTATTATTGTAGCCATTTTGTTCCTTTTTCATCTTTCTTGCTGTCTCACTGATTTCTCTGGTGATATGGTCTGATTTCTTTCTCAATTTCTATATTGTATTTCTCTAATATTTGTGGTTATCATGAAGATTACAAAAATCTTCTTAAAATTACAATATATTTTGAATTGGTAAGATATTCAGATGCATAGTTTTTTTCAGTATGTCTGCTCTCAACTTTGTAAGTCACAAATTATATTGTCATATTGTGTTTATAACTACTTTCATGTTTTTGTCTATCAAATTTTGAAAATAGAATTGTTTTCTGTATTATAATTTTAATACAATTTCCTGTTATGTGCATGTCTTTATTAGAGAGTTATGTGTTTTTTATATAATGTAGGTTTTTTCTAGAATTTTATTTTCAGTGGAAGAGACACCCCTAAGCATTTTCAGTAAGGCAGATATACTAGTGATGTACTTTTACTGCATTTTGTTACTTTGGAACTTTTTTTGAAGACTTTTCCTATAGTATTCTTGCTTTGAAAGTTTTTGTTTCAGCACTTTGACTATATCACTTAACTTTTTTTCTGGCCTGCAAGGACTGTGTTGATAAATCCACTGCAAATCTCAATGAAGCATGCTATAGATGACACAACAGGTTTATCTTACTGCTTGCTTCCAAGATTCCTTTTGCCTACGACTTTTAAAATTTTGCTTATAATCTGTCTTGTTATGAGTAACTGTGTTTATCTTAGCCAAACTAATTTAAGCTTCTTGATATTTTACAAGTATTTTGTTTGAGAATTTCTGTCTTTATGACTTACTGTAGTCTTCAGCTCCATAATTTTTGAAGGTTTTTATAATTTTTTGTGATATTCTCATTTTGCTGCTTTCATTTAGTTGTCTATGTTCCCATTTCATACACTGAGCATCATTTAGATGGTTATTTTGAATATTTTCAAGTAATTTGTATATCTCAATTTTTTAGGGTTCATATCTGGAAATTTATTGTGTTTTTTTGGCCATGTTACTCTGGTACTCTGTTGTCATCTTTCATTGTGATTTGAGCATTAACAGAAAGCTGTCACAGTCTTTATAAAGTGGTTTGGAGTCTGACACCAATTGACCAGGCTAGAGATTCTGGAGGTTTCTAAAGCCTGTTCTCAGGCTGTGTCTACTCTGGGATTGTGTGTTTATTTTCTTTCTTCAGAAAGAAGTCAGAAGTTTACTTCTATAAGCATCATGCTGCATTGGAGAGGAAGAAGGGCTGTGGTGGGTAAATGCAACAAATTTTCCTTCCTCTACTATTTGGCTTTTGGCATTCTGCTTGCCTGGGGTGCTGCAAACTCTTGATTTTTAAACTTATCACAATGGAATTTTGTTCAGGATATTTTTGTTAAGTGTATATGTATATGAAGAAATTAGGGCCTATGATTTTTATTGTGCCACTTTGCTAATGTGCTTGACATAACTTTATACATTAGGTTTCTAACACGTACTCACCTGAATCTAATAAGTGAGGTAATTTATTTTCCCTTTTCCCAGATGTGTATTCTCATTTTATGGAAGACATGTTGCCAGAGTAAAGCACAATATATTCATCTTGAAATGTAATACTGAGAAGATATGGAAGTTATGGAAGTTGTGGCCTTCAGAATTGACACTTACGGAGAGACTAGAACAGCGTGGGTGAGTTGTGAGGGGCAGGAAGCATGTCTTAATGGACTTAACCAATTTTCGTCAACTATTCACAGTAAAATCTTTCAATGTACAAAATTTAGTAATCTGATAAACAATAAACAAAATATTTGAATAGGCATTTTTCATAAGACGTACAAAGGGCAGACAGGCATACGAAAAGGTGCTCAACATTTTTGATCATCAGACAAATGCAAATCAAAACTACAATGAGATATTATGTGACTCAGTTAAATGGCTTATATCCAAAAGGTAGGCAGTAACAAATGCTGGAGAGAAGTGGAGAAAGGGAGCCCTTGTATGCTGTTGACAGGAATGTAACATTTTGAAAATTCTTCAAAACAACTAAAAATAAAGCTACCATATAATTCAGGAATGCCACTCCTGAGGATTCACTTACTAGAAAGGAAATCCATACATTGAAGAGATATCTACCCTCCCATGTTTGTTACAGCAGTGTGCTCCAGCCAATATTTGGAAGTAACCTGATGTCCATCAAGAAATGACTGGATAAAGAAAACATGGCACATATACACAATGGAATACTATTTAGCCATAAAAAATAAGATCCTATTATTTGCAACAACATTGATGGAACCATAGATTAAGTGAAATAAGCCAGGCACAGAAAAACAAACTTTCCATGTTCTCACTTATTTGTCGGAGCTAAAAATCAAAACAATATAACTCATGTAGGTAGAGGTAGTTGCCAGAGGCTGGGAAGGGCAGTGGGGAATGTAGGGGACGGTAGGGATGGTTAATGAGTACAAAAAAAAAGAAAGAATTAGTAAGACCTAGTGTTTGATAGTACATCTGGGTGACTATAGTCAATAATAATTTTAATTGTACATTTTATAATAACGAAAAAAGTAAAATTAGATTGGTTGTAACACAAAGAATAAATGCCTGAGGGGATGATGGATACCCCATTTTCCATGATGTGATTATTGCTTTCTATGCCTGTATTAAAGTATCTCATATATCACATCAATATATCTCCAACTAAGTACCCACAAAAATAAAAAATTTAAACCAATTCAAAATGCCAGAATTTCTATACATTAACTATAAACTACCTGAAAAAGTCAAGTAAACAATTTTATTTATAATAACTACAAAAAGTTTACTCATAAATGTAACCAAAATGGTGAAAGATTTCTATATTAAAATTAAAAAACACTGAGTAGAAAAACTTTCTAAATCACAAATAAATGGAAAGATATTTCTGGTTCATTGATTGGCAGAATTAATACTGTTAAAATGTCTACACTGAGCAAAACAATCTACAGATTCAAAGCAGTCTCTTATCTGTATACAAATGAAATTATTTAGAATATTTCAAAAATTCTAAAGTTCATATGGCATCACAAAAACACTAAACAGCAACAGAAATTAAGCACAAATAATACAGCTGGAAGCATTACACTACCTTTGAAATACACTACAAAGCTTTAGGAATTGATATAGTATGATAACTGGTTTAAAAAGAGAAACATAGGTGAATAAAGCAGAATGCAGAGCCCAGAAACAAATTCATAAAATTTCAGGATCTTACACAAAGGTGACAAGAACACACAGTGGGGAAAGGACAGTTACTTCAAAAGTGGTGTTATGAAAACTGAGTATCTCCAGGCAGAACAATGAAATGAGACCCTCCACCAACATAAATCAAAGACTCAAAACTCTGGAACTGCTACAAAAAACAGAGTGAAAGCTCCATGACATTGGTGGGGACAATAATTTTTTCTTATTTATTTCACCTCAAAATCCCAGCAAACAAAAGTGGAAGTAGACAAATGAGATTACTTGAAAACTGAAAAGCTTCTACACAGCACTAGGTACAACCAACAGAAGAAAAATAACGTATAAATAAGAGAAAATATTTATGAGTTATATATCTGACAAAGGGTTACTATCCAAAATAGACAGGAAACTCAAACAACTATAGAACAATAAACAAGTAACTATTAAAATGGGTGAAAGATGTAAATAAACATTTCTTAAAGGAAGACATACAAATGGTAAAAAATATATGAAAAAAATGCGAGGTAAATTATCATAAGGCTAATCTAAGGTTAAGGCTAATCTAAGGTTAGGACTAATCTAAACCTCTATTAGATAACAACTCACTACTGTTAGAATGACTATTAATAAAAAGCCAAAAAAATAATTATTGGCAAAGATGTGGAGCAAAGGGAATGCTTGCGCACTGAATGTAAATCAGCGTAGCCATTATACAAAACAGTATGGAGATTTCTCAAACATTAAAAGCTGAACTATCATATGATACAGCAATATCATTATTGGGCACATATCAAAAAAATCAAGTATGTGAAAGAGACATCTGTGCTGTTATGTTTATTGCAGCACTATTCACAATAGCCAAGATATAAAATCAAACTCAGGGTTTATTATCAAATAAAATGATAAAGAACATGTGGCATACATCCATTCTGTACGAATGGATTATTATTCAGCCTTAAAATAGAAAATACTGTCATTTTCAATTACATGGATGAACATGAAGGAGATTATGTTAATTGAAATAATCCAGACACAGAAAGACAAATACCTCATGATTTTGCTCATATGTGGAATTTTAAAA
Source organism: Homo sapiens (assembly GCF_000001405.40). NCBI lineage: Eukaryota > Metazoa > Chordata > Mammalia > Primates > Hominidae > Homo > Homo sapiens. Next base: position 2,052,654 of record NW_021160017.1, read on the forward strand.
AATTGATCGCATTGAAGTAGAGACTAAAATAGTGGAACGAGAGGCTAAGATATTTTGGAAGGGGATTGGGTAGATGTCTTTCAAAGAATATATAATTAGTTAGATTAAAGGAATAAGTTAAAAAAACCTGTTGTAAAGCCTGGTGACTATAGTTAATGATGACATACTGTTATGTTTTAAAAATACTGATATAGTCAATGTTAAGTGTTCTCCATCACAAAAATGATAACTATATGAGGTAAAGCACTTGTTAATTAGCCAGAATTTAATATTACACAATGTATGCATGCTTTAAACCACATTTTACATGACAATACATATAATTTTATCTGTCAATTTAAAAAATTTAGAAACATGAAAAGGTAGTGTTTCAAATAAGCAGTCTGTGTCTTATTCATAAGCTTAGCAGAGTAGTATCAAAATATATAGTTTTTGTGGTGTTTTTGTCATTTCACTTGTCAGTCATAAGCATAGAAACTCAGATATTTACCAGCATGTGCAAGAACCAGCACAGTGCCTGGGAGAATCCTATGTACTTTAGAGCTTTTACTTTGAGCTCCAGGTACCTGGAATTCCTGGTATAGAAGACACTAAAAAGGCAGGTGCTGCTAATGGTTTCGCCTCTGGCCCTTCTGTAAACACTGAAAACAAGTTTGCATCCAAAATCACTGAGAAAATGTTTTAATCCAAAAGCCTGCCATTGTCTTTGAGATTTCTCTAAAGAGAATGACCTAGAATTTGGCTGTAATTAGGTGTCTGAGAATAAAAACTGTGGACTGTAACTGTGCCCATTCAAATAAAAGAAGTTATAATAATATGAGTGAGAAATTTCCCAAGATGGCAATACGAATCCGCAAAAAAGATTATTCCAAATTTTAAACCCACAAAGGTTATTTTATTTTTGTCCAAAACTTATTATACCCACTCAACAACAGAAGATTCTGCATGGAAACAAAAGCAGTGGGATAAATATTTCATAGAAATTTGAATTTAAAATATTTTACTTACCACTAACTCTCCTTAATACAATTTTATTTCTAAGACATGTCTCTAATGAGATATCCAAATTTTGATTTGTTTTCTTATGTAGCACTAATAATACATGGCCCACTGGTATTAATACTTCACTTAGTCTAATTTGATATTTACCATTCTTTGTGTTATAATATAATAATGTTTAACAATGCTATCTGTCCAACGATCTAATCCATGGATACTGCGTTATCTTATCTAAATTAAGTGACAAGAATGTTGCATTTGTAATCTATAAATGACTTCAAATTCTCCAGCTACAAAGAATTTTTAGGCACATTAAAAATAATTCTAACTTGTCCTCAGAACCTGCAGAGTACTGTGTGAAATAACATGGGGTGGGGAGAACAGTGAGCAAGCTGTTGCCATAAGACAGGCAAAGAAAGAGAAGGGCTATAATGCATATGTATTTGGGGGTGAAGATAAAAAGACAGTGAAAGAAAAACTGAAGATAATTAGAAAATAAAAGAAGCAGAATTTATCTGTCTAAATTTAGAGTTAGTTGTGCAGCCTGACTACAGATTTCCTCTCTCACCATGCAAAACCAATGCCACTTCTTCACTCTGGGTGTTTTTAATCTCTTATATGAAGATACAAACTCACTCGAGCAGAAATATTTCCTGATAATTGTAAAGCATTTGTTACACACCTAGCACCGTCTTGTGTTTGTTTACTTCATACAAATGGCAAGAAAATCCCATGGCTTATGAAGCCTCCCGAGTTTTTACCTTAAAAGCATGGCTCAATAAATTCAATAATTATATCAAATATGTCTACTATAAAACATGAAAGAAACAGTAATAAAAACATTTTGCTTAAATAGAATTGTCTAATTGAAAAGATTAAATATACTAATTAAATAATAAAATTTAATAATATACTCACTGCAAAATTACTCAGATCTTCAAATTATTTAGTTAGCACCATTACATTTTACCGAAAGAGCTATAATCATTAGGCAGGTCACGTAAAGAATACTTCATGAACTTTGAAAGAAGAAAATTGTATATTAGGTCTAGCATGAATAGAAGGCAAGCTAGAACAAAGGGTTTGGATGGGGAGATTCTGAACCACAAGATTTTAGAGATGAATGGAAAGCAGAGGAAATAAATTTGCTTTCAGAATCTGTGAGGTTTTAGTTTGCTAGTATATCATAAACACTCATGAAATCATCTGCTTTGTTCTGATATATTTTCCTACTCAGAATAGGTCCACACTCACATAAAAACAATTACTTCTCCAATTCTTTTATATCTAAAGTTTATCTTTAGAGTAATATATTTAGAAATTTTACACCATGTAAATTAAAACTAAAATTTTGTGTTTGTAGAACCAGAGATAACATGTTCAAAAAAATGTAGGCTGAATTTTCTAAATAGTTATTCAGAATTCAGAAATGTAGGGCTTTTGATTATACTCCTATATAATCTTCAGTATAACCATCACAATAACTTCACAGTTACAAAATAAATAAAAATGTAATACGTGGGAACAATATTCTCTAAATTATTTGAAGTATAAGGCCACTGGGAAAAAGAATCACTACAGATGTTATTCCACCATATTACTTAATGGTATAGTCTTACCATGTTTTACCTACAAGCCTGAGTAAGGTAGAATAAGTTAATGTTGACAGCAGGATGACACTTCAATCAATGCACAAGACCCTTAACATATTAAAAATATTTTTTATTTGTTAAAACAAATAAAGTTTACAAATAATCTGAGACATATCAAAATCCACTCTATTTTATTAGTTTTATGTGCATTTGGTGAAACAATTTTCTTCTAAATTTTACAGTGTTTATTAATAAAATGCAGAGGATATGCACTGAACACCTACCTCATGCATCGCTTACAACACTGTTATCACTTAACCACAAACAGCCTCTCCACTTAGATTTTCTTCATGTATCTTACATTTCCAGGTCCTTAATCTTTTATGGAGAAGTATATAAATGATGACCACCTAATACAGAAGGACCGCTCAGAGCTGTAATGCATCAAACATTGACCACATGCTTCCATATAAACATTAGGAATAAAGGCAAAGCACTAAGTTATTCGAAAGTTTAATTATATCAATACTTGCTATTCAAAACATTTAAAATTATTTTAATGCAAATAATTACACTCAATATAATTTTAAATCTTCAAGAAGCAATCTCCTACTACTTTTATCCTACATACAAATAAATTATCCAATTATTTTAACTTTGGATTATTCTCTATAATGAACACTCTGAATAATTTAACTCATGACAGGATTCATACAATTAACCTTTTAAACATTTGTCTTATAGTTTACATCACATTGATTACCCTTTTATCAGATCTCAGTAGCACCAAAAACCTGACAATGGTATAGACACTGCCCACTAGCCTCTAGACACCACGGTCATATGCCCATGGCAACGTTGAGGAGGTTGAGATGATGAAGTCCATCTTGTACATGCCCACCGAGAAACTCACCGGCAGCAGGATGTGCTGATGGCTCTTGCCTCTGCAAAGATCCTTAGGTAGAGGCTGGGGCTGTGAAGGTACCAGGATCTCCTGTAGTTCCTGAATGAGAGTCATCATGTAGACACTTGAGAACAGCATTATTTGTTTAAGAAAAACATCTCTGAATAATGACAGAGTGAAAAACAGTCCTCTGATTATGGAGTTTATTGGGAAAAGTGAACAGTATTTACTGACATGCAAATTGATCTGGGTCACATTGGAAGAAGCCACAGTGTAAAAGATCAGGCTACTACTAACAGGAAAACTGAGAGACCATGAGAACAAATGGAAGGTAAAAATTGTGGATTTCCATTTAAACCTCACCAACCAGGAAATGCTGGGGCTGATGTTGACGACCTGCAGCATGCCCAGGAGGCAGGTGGTACAAATGGAGAGGACCCTGATCACCCTCCTCAGGTAGAAAGATGCCTCATATTTGAAGTCATTCTGAAAATTCAGTGATTCAAAGAGCTGTGGAGACAAGAACACCATGGTGAGAAGGACCACCATGTGGATGAGGGCCACATGACAGACTGGTAGGTAAGTGCGCTCTGGCCTGAGATCCAGAAAAAGCAGAAAAGGAGAAGACGCAGAAAAGAAGGAGAAAAGTGTTGGCTGAGATGCCAATACCAGCTTAGAAATGAAAGGCATTTTTCATGGGAACACAAGTGCAAAGTAATCATCTGAATTACAAAGACAAACATACTTTGTACATCAAAATATGAAGTATAAAAAACATTTTGTACTTCACATCATCTGTATTATATATTCTATGGCCAAAATTATCATAAACATTATTTTTATTCCACTAATTTTTTTCTTAATTAATCCTCTCATATAAATCCTTGATATATATAGTGTATGTGTGCATGTATGTATATATAATTTGATGTATAATGTTGAGAATGTATTTTGAAGAATGTATATGAAAAACTGGCTCACTTTTTACAAAGCATTTCTTAATGAAGAGTGATGGTTACATAACAATAACTCACATGTTTGTATAGTTGAGCTAAAGTAAATTTTATGTTAAGGGAAAATAATCACCTAAAGAAAAAGTTGAAAAAAAAGTTTAACTGACTCACATCACAGCACTCAGTTTCTCTTATTATTTCTTTCACTTTTAAGAATGCTTATAATTACATTAGGCCCAAATCTGTAATTCAAGTTAATGTTTTTGTTTTAGAGTCAGCTGGTTATCAACCTTGATTTCATCTGCAGCCTGAATTCCCATTTCTCATATACCATAATACATGCCTAGAACCTGGTGGTTAGACATGGGGACCTTTGCATGGCATTATTCCACTTACCACAAGTCCTATTAAACGAATCCCTTAAAATAATTCTGGCTCTGTTCAAGTTTTGTTTTTATCCCAGAGAAATCTCATGAAAGCTTTATTTCATCTCAGGAGGAAATTGCTAAAATCCAGTTTTCAATGCTACAAGTACATGGACTACCTTTTTCTACTTTATGGGATCCATGAATTTGCATTAAGTGATAATTTTCTTGATGCTTCACTTTATACAGAGATACCCTTCCATGGAAAGATGCCTTTCCAAGCCTTGGAAAAACACCAAGGTCACTAATAGTAAAGATAATTCTCCATCTCTTAATCATGATATCTCTGTATGAGAACCCTTCATAAAATTTTATTGAATAATTCTGCAATTACTTTCTTCTTTGCCCTGAATACAGTCATCACTATTGTATCCAACTAATTCAGCCCGCAGCTTAGAATAATAGAGCTCTGGCTCATGCCTATAATTCCACCGCTTTGAGAGGCTGAGGCAGGGACATTGCTTCAGATAAACAGTTTGAAATTAGCTTGAGCAACACAGTGACACCCTGTGTCTATCAAAAATAAGAAAGAAATTAGCTAGGCATGGTGGCACGTACCTGTGGTCCCAGTTACATGGGAAGCTGACATGGAAGGATCACTTGAGCATAGGATCTTGAGGCTATAGTGAGCCAGTGAGTTGTGATGGTACTAATGCACAAACCACAAATATAAATGTGCAAGGCAATGAAGATGATTTGACAGTATTTTTTACCTCATACTCAGAAATTAACATCTGAGTTAGAAAACTGCTAACCAATTTTAAACCACCTGATATGGATGAGTTTACAAAAAGGAAATTGCATAGTTTATATATCAGTTTTTATTTTTTCTCCTAACACATAATCTAGTATAAGTACACATTTATCTCAATGTCCAGAACCAAACAATGGATAGTTGCCACCAAAATATACTGATGCCATCAACATGATATGGTTCTTTTGTCATGTTAAACCTAAAAGAAGCTCCAGGATAGTATCAGATTAAAGCCATAATAATCTCCATATATTAAATACTGCAGTCTAGTTCCAGAAAATAAACATGGACAATTAATATACAAATAACTACTTACTACTTATGTAGAAATCACTTTTACTAAATATACTGTGTGTATTAAAAGTTATATCACAGAAAGAGGTAATACAATTAGATAAAACAACATACGTAAGAATTCTATTTTTTTCTCCCCATAAGGTATCCAGATCACACACTTTAATTCATGCCACACCCTCTCTAATGACTACTACATACCGCAAAAGAATGTATCTGCTAATTATCAAACTTTATTTTTCTCTAATGAAGGTTTTCAGGTCATTAATGCTGAGTCTGGAGAAAAGAACAGTGGCTCCCATGAACAAGGGTTGACAAATGTAACACACTTGGTTATATTTGAATTTCAGGTAAATGATGAATTGTTATTTGTATATACTCCAGTAATTGCTTACACATATTATACACAGATATAAAAACATTGCATAGCTATACTAAAAAGTTATTTGTTGTTTACCCCAAATTTAAATGTAACTTATGTTTTCTCTATTTTATGTCACAAATGTGCCACAACTACCATAGAACTATTGTATAATTTGGGACAACATGTTACAAACATGGGAAAACAGAATAAAAGAAAAAATATCAAAGGTTTTATAAAGGCTGAGTGCTGTGACTTATGCCTGTAATTTAAGCATTTTAGGAGGCAGCAGTGGGAGGACTGAGCCCAAGAGTTTGAGACCTGCCTGGGCAACATAATGAGAACCCATCTTCACAAAAAAATTTCAAAAATTAGCCAGGCATTGTACCACCTGCCTGTAGCTCTGGCTACTTGTGAGGCTGAGGCAGCAAGTTCACTTGAGCCTACACGGTCAAGGCTTCTGAGACCCCTGATCAAACCACTGCACTCATTCCTGGGTGTCAGAGTGTGAACTTGTCTCAAAAAAACATCAAAACATGAGATGCAGCAAACTACTGAGAGAAATTCACAGCAGTAACCACCTACATTAAAAATAAACAATTCTAAATTAATAACCTAATGTTTGGCAAAAATAGTTAAGGGCTAATTAACTACTCATCACACCTTGGAGAAAGAATATCAGTGCGGCAAGCAAAAGTCATGTAGAATATCTAAGAGAAAAGACTGAGGAGTGAGGTGCCTGGGGGATTCGGGCTTTGAAAATTATCCACATATTCCTGAGAATCCAGAAGCCCATAAGCATGTTCAGGGTCAATCAAGGGACAGGCAAATGCTCACAAAGACCTACGAAGCTGTTATCTCTCATGTCTGCTTTACCTCCAAGCCCTGCACAAGCAGGAAGAAAAGAAAACAGCAAAGTTGTAATCTTTCTGGCTAAGTAAACCCAACTGCAAGAACTAGTAGATTTATATTTGATGTGAGCAGGCATTTGAGAAAATCTCTGTCAAATAGCTAGCTCACATGAAGCTAATAAAGCAGAGATTTTTATTGCTAAACACGACAAAAGGATGATATTTTAAAAATAATTTTGAAAACTCACCAAACAAACAAGTAAAATTTACAATAAGCAACAAAAAAACCCAACGGGATGAGAGAGAATATTATTTCAGGGTTGTTGTAATAGAAAAAGTCTAGTTTTCAGCAACAGCAATGAAATACAAAGCGTGCAAATAAATTAATGAAAAAATAATGGCCCACTAATAAGATAACAGATATTAACAGAAACAGTCCTAGAGGAATCGTAGGCATTGAAAAATCTAGAAAAAGTCTTTAAATTACCTGTCTTAAATGTGCTGCAAAGATAAATAACATCAAAAGGAAAAACATTTCAGAAGAATAGTGTCTCATCAAATAGAAAATATTAATAGAGATAGAGATTATAAACTGAAGCCAAACTCTAAAGTTGAAAATTAAGATAACTAAAATAAAAAATTCACCACAAAGGTTCAACAAAAGATTTAAGTAGACGAAAGACACAACCAGCAAGCTTGAGGTCACTTCAATTCGTATTATCCCAACTAGCAGAAATAAAAAATAATGAATAAAGATGAACAGAGCCTAAGATAACAATGGGATACTATAAAATGTGCCATTACAAGCATTATGAAAACTCCCGAAAGAAGGGAGAAAGATAAAATGGGGCAGAAAGAACATCTGAAGAAATAATGGCTAAAAAGTTCCCAAGCATGATGAAATACGTGAATCTACACATTCCAAAATCTCATTGAATTCATAGTATAAACTCAAAGAACTCTACACCAAGACAAATTACAATAAAACTTTCAAAAGCTAAAGAGACAACTTTGAAGAAAGTTATGGAGAAAAGACTACTATTTGCAATGCATCTACACTGACATTAACAACTCACTAAAAACTAGAGTCCAGAATATAATTTCTCACTAAAAACTACGGAGTCCAGAATATGATAGGACAATATATTTAAAGTGTAGAAAGAAAAAAAAAAGCCAACAAAGAACTCTATTTTCAGCAAAACTGCTCTTCAAAGATGAAGGACATCCTTGAAGACCTTTGAAGACACTAAGAGCTATATAGATTAAAACAAATTTAACAGCTTGTCACTAGTAGACCTGGTATGCATTAAATGACAAAGGTTATCTTTTGGGTTGAAATGAAATGACAAACTAGGTAATAATGCAAGGCCATATGAAAAAATGAAGAATGCCAGTAAAAATGAGTACATGGCAAAATATAAATGCCACTATTAAAGAATATTTTGTAACTTTTATCTATTGTTCTTTTTTACATGTAATTTAAAATACTAATGCATAAAATAATTATAAATTTTTGTTAATGTCATACAATGCATAAAGATGTAATATGTGACAAAACAACATAACATTGGAGGAGCAGATCTCTATTGAAACAGCTTTTAAAATAAAACTGAATTACGAGCGGTATTAATTTAAAGTACAGTTACACAGTGATGAGATTAATTGTCATCCTTAAGGTAGCCACTAAAAATACAACTAAAGAAAGAAGTGAAAGAGGAAATGAGAAGAGAATCAAAACTGTTTTGGAAAAATACTAGAACATTAAAGATGTCAGTAATATAAGAGTTAATTAACAAAAATATACAAGACTTTAGAAAACAACTAGAAAAATGGCAGAAGTGTGCCCTTCCTTATAAATAGTTTAAATAGAAATTAACATCTACAATTACAATGCAAAGATTGGCAGATGGTTTAAAAATAAACAAAAACATGAACTAACTTTATGTTATCTACAGGAGAATCTCTTTAGTCCTAAGCTCACAAATAGGTTGAAAGTGAAAGGATGGGTAAAAAGATTCCACACAAATAGTAAGCAAAATAAGCTGGGGTGGTTACCCTTAGACAAGATAGGCATTAAGACAACATTGCTATAATTAATTGACACAGGAAATTTTATGTTAAAAAATTATAAATCTATCAAGAAGATAAAATAGTTTTAAATATGCATGTACCTAACAAAGACCCCAATATATGAAGCACAAATGGCAGAATGGTAGAAGTAGAAAATTCTCAATGTGAACTGCTGACTTTAATATACCAACTAGACCTAACGGACAAATTCAGAAACACCTAATCAAAAACCTTGAAATGAGCAAAAATTGATTGCATTTTCAGATTGTTTTCAAGCAAGCAATTTAACCACCTTGCTATTTTATGGCATGCTTATTTTTTTAAAAAAAGTTATGATGAAATATGCATAACATCATACTCAATACAAAGTTTCTGGTATATTTATAATTATGCAACTATAGCCATGGTATAACTTTAAAATATTTCCACTATCAGGACTAGACAATCATTACTGATTTCCCTTTTATGGACATTCCATTTTATCACCTTTATTGTTTGGTTTGGTTTCGTTTTTGAGATGGAGTCTCTGTCATGCAGGCTTGAGTGCAGTGGTGCGATCTCAGCTCACTGCAACCTCTGCCTGCCTCGCGGGTTCAATAGATTCTCCTGACTCAGCTTCCTGAGTACCTGGGATTACAGGCGCCCACCACTGCACCTGGCTAATTTTGTTTTTAGTAGAGACATGGTTTCACCATGTTGGCCAGGCTGCTCTCGAACTCCTAACCTCAGGCAATCCACCTGCCTCAGCCTCCCAAAGTGCTAGAATTAAACGTGTGAGCCACCATGCCTGGTCCATTTTTATTACCTCTTTATTATTGTGGTATGATTACTATTTTGTATAAATGGAATGATACACTGTATTATGTTTTGTGTCTGGTTTATTTCACTTAATGCATGTGAGGTCAGTTATGTCATTTTTTTTTTTTTACTAATTTTTTGTATATTTTAGAAAATGCATTTAGAAGAGAATAAAAAACTTTTAAAATAACTTCCATATTTCTCAATGTTGTGCATTTTTTTCAAAAAATAAGCAAATATTTTATTTTTTTTGGTTTCTTTGAGACAGATCTTATTCTATCACCATGGCTGGAGTGAAGTAACATGATCATGGCTTACTGCAGATTCTACCTCCTAGGCTCAAGTAGTCTTCCCACCTCAGGCTACCAAGTATCTGGGACCACAGCTGCACACCACCATGCCCAACTAATTTTTAAATTTTGTGTATAGATGGGGTCTCATTATGTTGCATGGGCTTGTCTCAAACTCCTGCGCTCATGAGATTCTCCTGCCTAGGCCTCCCAAAGGGCTGGGATTACAGGTGTGAGCCACCACACCCAGCCTATTTTTTTCTAAAGACAGGGTCTCATTCTGTCCTCAGCTCAAGTGCTGTGGCGTAATCATAGCTGAAGGCAGCCTCAATGTACTGAGCTCAAGTGATCCTCCCTCACTGACCCAAAGTGCTGGGATTACAGGCATCAGCCACCATGTCCAGCCTGAAATAATATTTTAATTAAACATTAAGAAAAATAGAAGAAATAAGATCTAGTGTTTCGTAACACAATAGGACAACTATAGTTAACCGTAATTTATTGTATAAAAGATAGAATTGTTGAGTAAGGTGTGAGCACCAGTTTAGGGTTTTGGCACATTCTTTACACTTGAAGAGTTTCTATCTGGTATGAATTATTTGATGTTGAGTATGGGTTGAGTGTCTGTTAAAAGCTTTGCCACATTCTTCACATTTGAAAGGTTTCTTTCCAGTATGAATTCTCTGATATTGAGAAAGGTGTGAGCTCCTGGTAAAAGCTTTGCCACATTCTTTACATTTGAAGAATTTCTCTCCAGTGTAGATTCTCTGATGTTGAGTAAGGTGTGAGCCCTAGATAAAAGCTTTGCTGCATTCTTTACATTTGAAAGACTTCTCTCCAGTGTGGATTCTCTGATGTCGAGTAAGGTGTGAGCCCCTGTTAAAGGCTTTGCCACATTCTTTATGTGTGAAGTGTTTCTCTCCAGTATGTATTCTCTGATGTTGAGTAAGGTGTGAAGCTCTGTTAAAAGCTTTGCCACATTTTTTGACACTTGAAAGGTTTCCCTCCAGTGTGAATTCTCTGATGCTGAGTAATGTATGAGCTTCTATTAAAGGCTTTGCCACATTCTTTACATTTGAAGGCTTTCTCTCCAGTATGGATTCTCTGATGTTAAGTAAGGTATGAGCCTCTGTTAAAAGCTTTGCCACATTCCTTACACTTGATAGGTTTCTTTCCAGTATGGATTCTCTGATGTTGAGCAAGGTGTGAGCTCTTCTTAAAGGCTTTGTCACATTTTTCACATTTGTAAGGTTTCTCTCCAGTATGAATTTTCTGATGTCCAAGTTGTAAGCCCCTGGTAAAAGCTTTGCCACGTTCTTTACATTTTACTGATTTCTCTCCAGTGTTAATTATCTTATGTCTCTTCAGATGTGACTGACTAAAGACTATTATACATTTTTTATTACATCTTTGTGAGCTCTCTCCAATATAAGTTCTTCGATGTTGAGTAAGTTTTGAGGATGGGTTAGAAGTTTCACCACATTCATTAGGGTTGTAAGGCTTTTCTTGAATATGGATACTTTGAGGATTGATAAAACACTTTCTCACATTCATTACATTTGTAATAGTTTTCTAGAAAATGAGTATTCTGATGTTTACTAATATTTGAGTCATGGCTAAAATTTATCTGATTTTTATTACAAAAGACAGATTCCAAAAATTGATGTTGATATTTACTCACAGGAATACATGGTTCTGTAGGAGTAGCTGGCAGAAACTGAGGCTTCTTCAGAAATATTCTATGTTCTTCATCTCCTTTCACAGTTAAATTTTTGTTATGAGAAGTTGTCAAATATTGGCTACATAAATTATAATTCTTTTTGTCCTTCACCTATACTTTCCCAGTTTTTCCATAAGCATAAATTTTCAAGGCCACAGCTCCCATATCTTCCCAGTGTTGCTTTTCCTAGTGTTGCTTTTTTGAATGACTCTTCTATGCCTTGCTCTGGTAAAATGCCTTGGTTGTAATAAGAATATATAGCTCAAAGTAGTAAAAATAACTAATTATTCTACATACTGAATTTAGCTGAATATACTTTACAAATCCAATATGAAATTTTACCAAGCTGAGAACATGAGCACAATGCCATAGTAGAAAACCAACAGAGGACAGAGCAAGATGGCTAGATAGAAGGCTCCAGTGATCATTTCCCCTGGAAGGACACCAATATAACAACTATCTATTAAAAAGCAAACAAAAACCTTCATAAGAATAAAGGCGAGCACTCACAGTACCTGGTTTTAACCCTGCAGTACACAAAGAGGCACTAAAACAGGGTAGGAAAGACAGTCTTGAATCACTAATGCCACTCCTCACTCATGCCCTGGCAGTAGTCACATGCTATGTAGACAGAATCTGTACACTTGGGAGAGGGAGAGCACTGGGATTGTGAGCATTGAACTCAGTGCTGCCCTATCATAGCAGAAAGCAAAACTGGAATGAACTCAGCTGATGCCTGCCCACAGAGGGTGTGTTTCAACTGGCCCTGGACAGAGGGGAATCACCCTCCCAGTGATTGGAACTTGAGTTCTGGCAAGCTTCACCACCATAGTCTAAAATGCTCTGGGGCCCTAAAGAAACTTAAAACAGTCTAGGTCACAAGGACAGCAACTCCCAGGTGTCATGCTGAACTGGGCTTAGAGCCAGTGGACTTGGGGGCCACATTACCTACTAAGATACAAGCTGGGGCAGCTAAGAGAGTTCTTATACCACCCCTCCTCCAAACTGAGGCTGCACAGCTCACAGATTCAAGAGACCACTTCCATCTACTTAAGAAGACAGAAAGAGTAAACAGGACTTTGTCTTGTATTTTGGATACCAGCAAGGCCACCAGTCAGAGTTATAAAACATCCTTCTCAGCCACTAGCTCCTAATTAAAATTTCTAGGTACATACTGGACTATAAGGAAATCTGCTGCCTTGAATGAAGAAATCCGGTACTAACAAGACCCATCAACTGCTAAGTAAAGGGCCCTTGGCCTGGAATAACCTGCAGTGATAACCAGGTAGTTTGCTGTGAGCTTTCATTGAGACTCTGAGGCTTGCTAGAATCAGGTGAGACTCGGCACATTCACAACTGTGGTGGCTACAGGGAGACACTGAAAAAGGTAGAGGAAAAACTAGAGAACTTCATCTTGCAACTTAGGTCCCAGCATGGCCAAAGAGAGGAAGAGCACCAGTGGGCTCTTGGGGTCCCTTATTCCAGGTCTTGGCACTTGGATGGCACTTCTGGACCTGTACTGGGACAGAAGGGACACCACTGACCAAAAGGATGAGTAGCAGGCCAAGCATCATTCACTATAAGTGAACTAAAGAGCCTTGAACCTTAAGAGAACATTGGTGGAAGCCTGGCAGTATTCCCGATGGGCCTGTGGTGATGGCAGCAATAGGATGAGGCCCCTCTGCCTGTTGAGTAAGGAGGGAAAAATGGGAAGAACCGAATTTCATGGTTTAATTGCTAGCTCTACCACAGTACAATAGAACACAAAGTAGACTCCTAAGGTTATTGACTCCAGCCCCTGGCTCCTGGATGGCACCACTGGGCTTGCCCAGAACCTGAGGGAACTCACTACTCTGAAGGAAAGGATACAAACCTGGCTGGCTTACCACCTACAGATTATAAAGCTCCAAGACCTTGAGCAATTACTGGTGGTACCAGGTAGGGTTACAGCTCACCATGGGTGTGATCAAGTGCTGTGCTGGTTTCAGGTCTGACCCACTGCAGTCCTACTGATAGCAACAGAAGACAAACTCCTAGGCAGACAGGGATGGGTGCACTGGTGAAACTCGACCTTCAAGGAAACAACAGTCTAAAAAGCCTGAAAACTGAGCTACCAGTTCCAGAAAGAATTCATGGACTAGAGTGAGAACTTCCATCCCTGTCTAACCTGCTCTCTATTGGTTCTTTGAGAATGATGCCTTTTAACCAATTGAATGGTGTCTTTTCCAAGCCCACCCATGAACCAATCAGCATGCATTCTCCTGTTTTAAACCCATAAAAATCCCAGACTCAGCCTCACAGATGGCTACCTACTTTCAGGTTCCCTCTTGCTGCTGATAGCAAGACCAGAAAACAAAGAACAAAATGGCAAGAGTAAGTCTTTATATAATCAATAACAACACTGAATGTAAATGGACTAAATTCTCCAATCAAAAGACACAGAGTGGCTAAATGGATACAAAAATTAAGACCCAGCGATTTGTTGCCTACAAGAAACACACTTCACCTATAAACACATAGATTAAAAAGATTTAAAAAAATTCCATGTCAAAGAAAACAAACAAAAATAGCAGTAGTTGCTACACTTATGTCAGACAAAATAGATTTCAAGACAAAACTAGAAGAAGAGACAAAGATGGTCACTCTATAATAATAATGAGTTTAATTCAGCATGAGGATGTAAGAATGTTACATACATATGCATCCAACACTGAAGTACTCAGATATATTAAGCCAGTATTATTAGAGCTAAAGAGAGAGACAGGCTCCAATATAATAATACCTGGAGAATGCAACATCACACTTTCAGCATTGGATAAATCTTCCAGACAGAAAACCAACAAAGAAATCTCAGGCCTAATCTGCACTATAAACCAAATGGACACAATGGATATTTACAGAACATTTTATCCAATGGCTTCAGAATACACATTTTGCTCTGCAGTGCATGAATCATTCTCATGGATAGACCATATGTTAGGTCACAAAACAAGTCTTAACACATTTTAAAAATTAAAATAATATCAAGCATCTTTTGTGACTACAATAAAAAAACCTAGAAATCAATAACAAGACAAATTTTTGAAACTATACAAACACATAGAATTTAAACAATATGCTCCTGAAAGGCCAGTGGGTCAATGGGGATATTAATAAATAAATTGAAATATTTCTGTAATATGTCACAATGGAAATACTTAGGATTTACAGTAAAAGCAGTACTAAAAGTTTATAACTAAAAGTGTCTACATAAAAAAATTCAAATGAACAACTTCATGACAGATTTAATGCAATTTCCATGAAAATACCACCAGTATTCTTCACAGAACTAGAAAAAAAACCCTAAAATTAATATGGATCAAAAAAGTGCCTACATAGCCAAAGTAATACTAACCAAACAAATAAATAAAAAATATGGGGTCATCACATTACCCTACTTCAAATTATACTACAAGGCTATAGTTATCAAAACAACATGGTATTGGTATTAAAATTTACACACAGACCAATGAAGCAAAATACAGAATCCAGAAATTAAGCCAAACACAGGCAACTAAACTAATCATCAACAAGGCATATAAAGACACAAATTGGGGAAAGAACACCCTATTCAATAAATGGTGCTAGGAAATACTGGCAAGCCACACACAGAGGAATAAAACTGGATCCCCATCTCTGACCTTATACAAAAATCAATTCAAGATGGATCAAATATTTCAATCTAAGGCCTGAAAGCATACGAATTCTAAATGATAACATAAGAAAAAAAACTCTTCTCGACATTGATTTAGGCAAAGAATTCATGACTAAGACCCCAAAAGCAAATGCAACAAAAACAAACATAAATAAATGGGACCTAATTTAACTAAAAAGCTTCTGCACAGCAAAGGAAATAAGCAGCAGAGTACACAGACAACCCACAGAGTAGCAGAATATATTTGCAAACTACAGATCTGACAAAAAGCTAGTATCCAGAATCTATAAGGAACTCAAAGAAATTAGCAAAATAATAATTCCATCAAAAAGTAGGCAAAGAAAATGAATATATATTTTTTCAAAAGAAGATATACAAACAGCTAATAACAACCTAAAAATGCTCAACATCAATAATCAAGGAAATACAAATGAAAACCACAGTTAGATATCAAATAACTCCTACAAAAATGGCCATTTTTTGTAGGCCAAAAAAAGTCAAGAAAACAACAGATGTTGGCATTGGATGTGGTGAAATGGGAACACTTAACAAAATAATGTCATTTGCAGCAACTTGGATGGAGCCGAAGGTCATTATTCTAAGTGAAATAACTCAGAAATGGAAAACTAGATATCGTATGTTCTTACATATAAGTGGGAGCTAATCTATGAGGATGCAAAGGCATAAGAATAATGTAAAAGACTTTGGGGACTTGAGGGGGAAGGCTGGGAGGCGGGTGAGGGATAAAAAACTACATATTAAGTACAGTGTGCACTGCTCAGGTGACAAGTGCACTGAAATCTCAGAAAACACACTAAAGAACTTATCCATGTCATGAAAAACCACCTGTATTTCCAAAACAATTGACACTTTAAAAAAAAAAAAACCTAATGACGTATCTTAGAGAGCTAGAAAAACAAGAGCAAACCAAACCAAAATTAGAAGAAAAGAAATAATAAAGATCAAAGCAGAAATAAATGAATTTGAAATAAAATACAAAAGGTCAATAAAATGCAAAGTTGTTTTCTGGAAAAAAAAAAAGAAACCTGACAGACCTTTACTCAGACTAAGAAAAAAAAAAAAAAAAACTCAGCAGGCAGTGGCTCATGCCTGTAATCCCAGGACTTTAGGAGGCTGAGGCGGGCGGCTGGATCACCTGAGGTCAGGAGTTCAAGATCAGCCTGGCCAACATGGCAAAACCCCGTCTCTATTAAAAAACACAAAAATTAGCCAGGCATGGTGGTGGGCGCCTGTAATCTCACCTACTCAGGAGGCTGAGGCAGGCAGAATTGCTTGAAGTCAGGAGGCGGAGGTTGCAGTAAGCTGAGATCGAGCCACTGCACTCCAGCCTGGGCAACAGAGCAAGTCTCCATCTCAAAAATAAATAAATAAATAAAAGAATAAAAGGAAAAGACTCAAATAATATCAAAGATGAAAAAGGAGACATTTCAACTCTACAACTTATACTGCAGGAATTCAAAAGATCATTAGTGAGTACTATGAGCAGATAGATGCCATAAATTGGAAAATCTAGAACAAATGGATAAATTTCTAGACACATAGAACCTAAGAAGATTGAATTATTAAGAAATCCACAACCTGAATACACAAACAAGACGTGATGAGATCCATAATACAAAGCCTCCCATCAAAGAAAAGCCTGAAATCTGATGGTTTCACTGAATTTGACAAAACATGTATAAAACTAATAGCAATCCCACTTAAACTATTTCAAAACAGAGGAGGAGGAAATACTTTCAACCTCGTTCTGTAAGGCAAGCATTACTCTCATACTAAAATCAGACAAATGCATATCAAAAAAATCTATAGGCCAATATCAGCAATAGATGCAAAATTTCTCATAAAAATACTGGCAAGTAAAATTCAGCAACAGATTAAAAGTTTATTATTCCTCATCATCAAGTAGGATTTATCTCATGGATGCAAAGATACTTCAACATATGCAAATCAATTAATGTAATATACCATATCAACAAAAGAAAGAACAAAAACCACATGATCATTTTAATTGATCCTGAAAATCATTTGACAAAATTTAATATCTCCTCATGAAAGAAACCCTCAAAACTATAGAAGAAACATACATGCAGCCAAAAAACACATGAAAAAATGCTCACCATCACTGGCCATCAGAGAAATGCAAATCAAAACCACAATGAGATACCATCTCACACCAGTTAGAATGGCAATCATTAAAAAGTCAGGAAACAACAGGTGCTGGAGAGGATGTGGAGAAATAGGAACACTTTTATACTGTTGGTGGGACTGTAAACTAGTTCAACCATTGTGGAAGTCAGTGTGGCGATTCCTCAGGGATCTAGAACTAGAAATACCATTTGACCCAGCCATCCCATTACTGGGTATATACCCAAAGGACTATAAATCATGCTGCTATAAAGACACATGCACATGTATGTTTATTGCAGCACTATTCACAATAGCGAAGACTTGGAACCAACCCAAATGTCCAACAATGATAGACTGGATTAAGAAAATGTGGCACATATACACCACGGAATACTATGCAGCCATAAAAAATGATGAGTTCATGTCCTTTGTAGGGACATGGATGAAATTGGAAATCATCATTCTCAGTAAACTATCGCAAGAACAAAAAACCAAACACCACATATTCTCACTCATAGGTGGGAGTTGAACAATGAGAACACATGGACCCAGGAAGGGGAACATCACACTCTGGGGACTGTTGTGGGGTGGGGGGAGGGGGGAGGGATAGCTTTAGGAGATATACCTAATGCTAAATGACGAGTTAATGGGTGCAGCACACCAGCATACCACATGTATACATATGTAACTAACCTGCACATTGTGCACATGTACCCTAAAACTTAAAGTATAATAAAAAAAGAAACATACCTCAGCATATAAAAGTTATATATAGATATATAGATATCACATATAGTATGATACTAAATGGGGAAAAATGAAAAGCTTTTCCTCTAAGATTGACAACATGACAGAGATGCACACTTTCACTACTGTTATTCAACACATGGCAGCTAGAGCAATTAGCAAGAGAAAAAATAAAGGGCAAGCAAATTGGAAAGGAAGAAGTCAAATTATGTTTGTTTGCAGATGATGTGGTCTTATATTTGGAAAATCCTAATTCACTAAAACACTATTAGAACTCACAATTTTAGTCAAGATATAGGATTAAAAAGTTAGCAGCATTTCTATATGCCAACAGTGAACAATGTGAAAAAGAAATCAAGAGAGTGGTCCCATTTACGATAGCCTCAAATTAAAATTAAATACCTAGGAATTAACCAAAGACGTTAAAGATCTCTACAATGAATACTATAAAACATTGATGCAAGAAATTTAAAAAGACAAAAATATGTATTTTATGTTCATGAATAAGAATCAGTATTTTTAGTGTCTATATTAACCAATGCAATCTACAGACTTAATGCAACCCTATCAAAACATCGATACTCTTCACAGAAACAGGAAAAACAATCCTATAATGCAGACAGAACCACGAAAGACTCAGAATAGCCAAAGTTCTTGTAAGAAAAAATTTTGCCTTTATGTGCCTGGCTTATTTGTCTTACCATATGATCTCCAGTTCCATCCATGTTGTTGCAAATAACAGGATCTTATTCTTTATAAGTGAAAAGTACTCCTGGGGGTGTGTATGTACATTTGCTTTATCCATTCATCTGTTGACATGTTGCTTCTAAATCTTGGCTAATGTAAACAATGCTGTGTGAAAGGAAAACAAATCTTTGGACCCCAAAATCACTAAGCTAAAGGGAAAAGTCAAGTTGGGAACTGCTTAGGGCAAATCTGCTTCTCATTCTATTCAGTCATCCCTCTGCTCACTGCAAGTCCTACCAGTACACAGGAGAAATTTTAAAAATGAATAAAAGCAAAATAATTCAATGAAAACAAAAAAGCAACTGTCATTACCTCCATAAGAGGTGACTGTGTAGGTAGAAAATCCAAATGTAACTGACTAGCTGTTAGCTTAACTGTACAAAACACTATTAATATTCCTAAATTCTATCCATACTTAGAAAATAAAATACAATAGCAAACTTCACCTGCTCCACCCTATATTACTCCCTATGTTGATAACAGTTGAGATGTCTCATGTAGCTGATTTATTTAAATATTTGCACCAATTCAGATTTAATCAAATTTTACTATTATTTTTACTTCTTTGTTTTTGCCGACTATTGATTATTATTATTATTTTTTTAAGACAGTCTCACTCTGTGGCCCAGGCTTGAGTGCAGTGGCACAATCTCAGCTCACTATAACCTCTGCCTCCTCGGTTCAAGTGATTCTCCTGCCTCAGTCTCCCGAGTAGCTGGGATTGCAGGTGCACACCACCACACCTGGCTAATTTTTGTATTTTTAGTATAGACAGAGTTTCACCATGTTGGCCACGCTGGTCTCAAACTCCTGACCTCAGGTGATCCACCCACCTCGGCCTCCCAAAGTGCTGGGATTACAGGTGTGAGCCACCACACCCAGCCTGATTAGTATTTTTAATGCATTTCTTTGAATTCATTTTCTCTTCTTTATGGAGTGCATCCTCCAGTTTTGTTTTTTTGGTTTTTTTTCCCCTCACAGAGTTTACAGGTAGTCAGTAGTATATACTTCTGAATAAATTCTGTCTTAGGTTGGTTTCAGTGATAGTTTGGCTGACTGTAAATTTCTATTTCCAATGTTCTTTTCTGTGAGAACCCACTATTGATTTCTGCACTTCTTTTTGCTTCTGATGTCACCACCCTGATCAAATCAAAGTCTCTCTCATTCCTTTGAAGCAAATCAGTTTATATCATTCTGGTGATATAAAATGTGACCTTCATGTTTCTGGGTATGCTTTTTGTTTTTGTTGTTTTCCATTTATCCATTTCAACATAACATGAACTTTTATAACAAAAGCACATTATCCTTTTCCAGTTTCTGGAAGTTTTTCTCAATTATTTTTGTTACTAATTCTTTGAAATTTATTAAAACTGGCTTTATGCCAAGTAAAGTGGTAACTATTACATATGCAATTTAAATGGCTGCATAATATTCTCTAATCACTATATATGTCCATTAAAATCAAAGTGGGAAATAATCTATTCGAATCTTCTATATCCTTATCCTTTCACTTTATTTTATGTGTTCTACTTGTCCATTTTATCTAGTTTTTTTCCCTCTCTCTTCCTGCTTTTCTTTTGAATTTATTTATTTATTTATTGAGACTCAGTCTCACTCTGTTCCCCAGGCTGGAGTGCAGCGGCATGATTTCGGCTTACTGCAACCTCTGCCTCCCGGATTCAAGTGATTCTCGTGCCTCTGCCTCCTGAGTAGCTGGGACAACAGGTGTAAGCCACCATGCCCAGCTAATTTTTTTCTTTGTATTTTTAGAATAGAAGGAGTTTCACCATGTTGGCCAGGCTGGTCTTGAACTCCTGACCCCAGGTGATCCACCTGCCTTGGCCTCCCAAATTGCTGGGAATACAGGTGTGAACCACTCTGCCCAGTCTCTTTTGAATAATTTAAATCCTTCTACCCTCACCCACCAATTCCATCTTTTTTCCTTTGATTGGTTTGGAAATTAAACCTCTATTGGTTTGGAATCTTTACTATTCTTTTAGTTGTTTTCCTTGAAATTTTACACTGCATTTTGCATTACAATTTAACAAAGGCTAAAATTAAGCTAATTTTAACTCCCTCCACAAAATAATGCAAACACTGTAGAATGCCTTCACTCTGATCACCTCATTTTTGTATTTATTTTCAGTTGTTCGCTTATTCTGTCTTGTTTCCTTTAATTCCACCAACCACAAACAGAAGTTGTTTTACATACAGCTTTCTTATTGTTGCAAATACGTGATTAGAGTTTCAGATGTGTCATCTGCTTACTAGCTACTAGATTCTAACTATTCATAACTGCACTCCTTAATCTTTTCCTTTCTTGCTAACCTTCTCTATTAACATTTCTTTATTGAAACTTTGTTGGTCTTAAATGCTCTTAAGTCTTAAAGATTATATTTTTCTGTAAATGACTACCTCAATTTTATTTATTTATTTATTTATTTTTGAGACAGAGTCTCACTCTGTCGCCAGGCTGGACTGCCGTGGCGTGACCTCGGCTCACTGCAACCTCTGCCTCCCAGGCTCAAGTGATTCTCCTGCCTCTGCCTCTCAAGTAGCTGGGATTAGAGGCACCTGCCACCACACCCGGCTAATTTTTGTATTTTTAGTAGACACAGGGTTTCACCATGTTGGCCAGGCTGGTCTCAAACTCCTGACCTCAGGTGATCTGCCTGCCTTGGCCTCTCAAAGTGCTAGGATTACAGGCATGAGCCACCACACCCGGCTCTCACCTTCATTCTTGAAATACGACTCTACAGTTCTTCATTGGTAATGATTATTGCCACTGACTCTCCTTCATGGTGGTTTGTTTCCTCTGTCTACAATTTTCCCTGGAACCTCTGCTGCTCCTGGTATGCACCACTCCAAACTCACTGAGGCCAGACTCTGAGGACACGCCCATCTTTTGTAGTCACTCTCGTGATTGTCGTTATTTGATGAATTTATTTTTTAAATTAATTAATGTATTTTTTTGAGACAGAGTCTTGCTCTGTTGCCCAAGATGGAGTGCAGTGGCGTGATCTCAGCTCACTGAAACCTCCGCCTCCCAAGCTCAAGCGATTCTTCTGCCTCAGCCTCCCGAGCAGCTGGGATTACAGGCACCCACCACCAAGCCCAGATAACTTTTGTATTTTTAGTAGAGATGGGGTTTCACCACGTTGGCCAGGCTGGTCTCGAACTCCTGACCTCGTGATCTGTCCACCTCAGCCTCCGAAAGTGCTGGGACCACAGGCGTGAGACACCCCACTGGCCATGAATTTATTTTATGGAAGAAGATAAACATACTAAAGATTTCATAATTATTTTTCACTAATGTTATACTAACAAGAAGTTACATTATTAAATAATTGCACTAATACTGGTGCTCAATATTAGATAGTGGTACAGTTACTTTTTTGTTCCTCCCATATAAATTTCTCAGCTATGAATTTGTCTTGCCACAAAAGAGGCCTAAAGGATAAATCTATTCAGGCAGATTTGAGAAGAGTAGTTGACTCCCCCAAAATACACATTTTCCTATTTCAACATCATTGTTAATGAAATGAAGTGGCAGTGCTCACCTGGAAGAAAACACTTGCAAAACATACATCCAACAAAAGATCTGTAACCAAAATATACAAGAGCTCTTACTGTTCAATAGTAAGACGATAAATCACCCTAATAAAAAATAGGCAATGGTTTAAACAGATGCTTCACCAAAGAAGACATACAGACAGAAGCAAGCACAAGAAAAGATGCTCTAGATTGGGCGCCGTGGCTCACGCCTATAATCCCAGCACTTTGGGAGGCCAAGGCGGGTGGATCACCTGAGCTCAGGAGTTCGAGACCAGCCTGGCCAACATGGTGAAACCCTGTGTCTACTAAAAATACAAAAAATTATCTGAGCATGGTGGCAGGTGCCTGTACTCCCAGCTACTTGGGAGGCTGAGGCAGGAGAATCGCTTGAACCTGGGAGGTGGAGCTTGCAGTGAACGAAGATCGCGCCACAGCACTCCAGCCTGGGCGACAGAGCAAGACTCAGTCTCAAAAAAGGATATATATAATGATATAGCACTGCATATGTATCAGAATGGCTAAAATTAAAGATGGACCATACCAAAGCTGGTCAAGATATAGAGCCACTGAAACTCTCATACACTACTGCTGAAAATGGAAAATGGTTCAACTGCTTTGGGAAACAACTTGGCAGTGTATTAAAAAGTTGAGCATGCACTTACCATATGCACTAGGCATTCTACTACCAGGTATTTAGCCAAGAGAAACAAAGGAATATGCCTACAGAAAGGCTAGTTCACTACTGATCATAGTCACATTGCTTGATACTTGAGGTCCACAGGAGCAGTAATAGTGACTAAAATTCACTGAGATTTACTAAGTTCCAGGTATTACTTTCATATATTAATTTGTTTAATCTTCATTAACATTTCCATGAGGAAGCAGTGAGGGAGGAAGGACATCTCTCTGGCCAGCCAAATTCCTGGCCAGCCAAATTCCCTTAAGTCAACCATCAATCACTTACCATCGAGGTCAAGTTCATCCTCCTCCAAGGGAAGGCTGAAGATACTGATGGCGGCTCAGTTATGGTATCTCTCAGGGAAGGGAAAAAACTGGCTTCTTCCCTAGAGAGTGGGGCCGTGATCAATGTGGCCATGATTAATGACACACATGTCCTTTTCATGATGAGTTTCATGGTGCATCGCATGCTAGCCTACAGACTGTACCTTTCCACTCTTCCTGTTTCACTTTGCAATGATATTCACTAGAAAAAGGATCTTTTTATGGGCTAACAGGCAGCCAATCTTCCAGCAAATGAACTGGGTCACTTAATGAAGAACCATAAGTTGTCATCAATAGTGATGCAGACTTCTCAATGATCAGGTTTGCAGGTTTACAAAGACAGATCAGTAGTTCTTCATGACAAAGAACAGTAAATGATTATGATCAAAATTGTATTCTTATAATCTAAAACACCAATATTGTCTTTCTTTTTCTTTTTCTTTTTTTTTTTTGAGACGGCGTCTTTCTCTGTCACCCAGGCTGGAGTCCACTGGCGTGATCTCAGCTCACTTCAATCCCCGTTTCCTGGGTTCAAGCAATTCTCCTGCCTCAACCTTTCAAGTAGCTGGGAGTACAGGTGTGTGCCACCACGCCCAGCTAATTTTCTGTATTTTTAGTCCAGACGGGGATTCACCATGTTTGCCAGGCTGGTCTCAAACTCCTGACCTCAGGTGACCCACCCACCTTGGACTCCCAAAGTGCTGAGATTACAGGCATGAGCCACTGCACCTGGCTAATGCCTTGCAGTACACATCTAAAGAGAGCATTTGACTTTATCTAACCAGTGCTTGACTCTGAAATCTGTTAACTGTATGTCTTCTATGTCTGAAAGTATAAGTATTTTTTTTCCAATTCCTATGCTAAGTGCTCTATTTACTTCCTTATCTCATGTGAACCTTACAAACCATACGAACGTATTTTTTAGAAATTTTCCTTGAAACTTTAAGAAAGCAAATGGCAATGTGGTGTGTGCTTTCTTAAACTTCCTTAAAACTTTATTCAGTGTATCCTCTTCCCAGCCTCACTTTTTGTGACTCTTGGCAATGACTGCATCTTTCACACCATAGAAAATAACCTGCTCTGAAACATCAACGCTCACAAGCTGGTCTTACCAGAACCTCCATGAACCAAATGCTGCAAAGAAGCCTCAGAATCACAGATGCATAACATCTAGCTAGCCTGATAACATTACACAGCTGTTTATTTTTTATTTTTATGTCTATTACTTTTAGTGTAGCAGTTTTCTTATACTCAAATGTCTAAACATTGAAAACTCAGCCAATGCAAAGCTATACAACAAACCCTTTGACAGCCTTCGCACATTTGAACAGTATTATTTTTCTTAAATGAGCCAATTCTGAGACACAAATTTCATAATTCTTGAAAGATTTTCTTCCACAATAGAAATTTTGGTTAAAATGATTTATTTGACCCGAATCAAATTATGGAATTATGTTCTAAAACTAACTGTATTACATTTATTACATCTATTGGCCCTCAAGCCAAAATTCTGCCAGCATTTCTCGTCTTCGTGCTGTGCTCACAAGGACCAGCAGCATGTGCTAATACTGACTGTCTGCCCAGTAACATGCTAGAGTATGAGGAAGGCACCTCAGGCACATGGAGGCAATAGCTGCAACTGGGTCAAGGCACATGCCCTATTTCTTCATCACTCACACACTCAGAAATCCACAATGGGGAATATGCATTTTGCATGGAAGAAGAAAAAAATGACTCAATCCTAGCTAGGGGGATTCCCACCTCACTCCCTCACAGCACTCTCTACCCAACCACCTTCCCTCGCCACACTCAGACATGCTCACACCTACACACAAGGATGATCTGGCCACTTCTCCCATTAATTCACCACTCCTAGAAAAACTGTATTTGGCTTAACTTTATCAAGCTGTCTGGCTGCCTGAAGATTTATAGATGTCAAAATAAAAAACTAATTACAACTCGGAATACCGCAGTAGCACCTGATTTAATGTCTAAGGCAGCAGGCCAGTGAACATACTGAGAAAGGAGAACCCTCACACACTCTCCATAAAGGAGCCATGATGAGGATCAGCATGGAGGATCCTCAGAAAACTAAAACTAGAGTTACTATATGCCCACAATCCCACTGATGGGTATACATCCAAAAGAAAAAAAACAATATATCAAAAAGATATCTGCACTCCCATGTTTATCTCAGCCCTATTCACAACAGCCAATATATGGAGTCAACCTAAGTGCCCATAACAGATGAATGCATAAAGAAATGTGGTATGTATACACAATGGAATACTATTCAGCCATAAAAAAGAATGGGATCCTGTCATTTGCAGCTACAAGGCATAACTGGGGATCATTGTGTTAAGTGAAATAATCCAGGCACAGAAAGAAAAATATTACATGTTCTT
Organism: Homo sapiens; assembly: GCF_000001405.40. Lineage (NCBI taxonomy): Eukaryota > Metazoa > Chordata > Mammalia > Primates > Hominidae > Homo > Homo sapiens. The sequence goes on from NW_021160017.1 coordinate 2,078,963, forward strand.
AGTCATATGTGAGAGCTGAAAAAGTGGATCTTATGAAGACAGAGAATAAACTGATGATTACCAGAAGCTGGGAAGGATTTGGCAGGGGAGGGCTCAGGAGGCTGAGGCAGGAGAATTGCTGGAACCCGGGAGGTGGAGGTTGCAGTGAGCCAAGATCGTGCCATTGCACTCCAGGCTGGGGGACAAGAGCGAGACTTCATCTCAAAAATAAAATCATAAAATAAAATAAAATTGAAAAAAGTTCCCGGTTATCATGTTGTTGAGTAGTACTTAATCAGAATATACTTGAAAACAAAAGATTCTTTGTGGTTTTTTAACTCTTGGTAATTAATCCATTTTAGGCAGTCTTAAAAAAATGATGTAGGACAGGGAAACCAATATGAAATGGGTAGTCTGAAAAGCAGTTATTAGATATTGACCATCATTTTAGGAAAGGCAGGCTATTTACCCCACTATATGCTCCCAGGTAAACTTGTCTTCAATTCCTGTTAAGTCAAACGGGAAAAACCAAACTTGCCATCTCTCTATATTTACTATCATTTAAAAAATTCTGTTAAGAGACACCAAAACATAGTATTTCGTACCTCCTTGCAACATAAAAAATTGGCTTCCCAGCTTTGGAATTCCCAGCTTGGTAAAAAATACTTAATGTTTTCAAAGCCTTGATCTCTTCTTTTTCACATACCTGATGCCTAAAAGAAAAAGAACAGGGTAACTGTGAGGCTTTGTGTTGTCTACTGAGTATGTAAAACAGCCCATAATTGGATAAACAATAAAATGCTAAAATGAAAAATTATTTTAAAAGCAACAGGCATTCTAAAGGGTAATTTGACAACATGCACAAAAAATCTCAAGATATTACTCTTTGAACCACAAAAGCACTTTTAGGACTATTCTAAGAGAACTACTGGATGAGGATATTAACCATAGGATTGTTTTTACTCATGACTTCTTTGTGTCAGACAGAAGTTTATGATTTTTTAACGAATTCATTTTATTAATCTTTTCCTTTCTAGTTTATGGATTTTGAATGGATGAAAAAGGCCTTGCTTTGCCCATGTTTTTTTTTCTTTCTGATTTATGGGAGTCTATCCTCATAAATGGTATGAAAATATTTTTTCAGATCATTACTCAGTTTTATCAACACCATTTATTGAAAGTCCATCCTAATCTTGATTTCAAATACCACTTTTATCATATATTATGTTCCCATATGTATTAAAGCCTGGTTTACTTTTTATATAGTCTGCTCAAGACTCAGTGTGCTTCTTTAACTTCAAGATTAATGTCATTCATCAACTCTAGAAAACATTCATCCTTTACCCTTTCAAATATTACTTCTTCCCATTCTCACTGAGCTCAATTTCTAGGGAACACCTACTAGACATATTTTGGAACTTCTCATTCTATCTTCTGCATCTCTTAATCTCTTTCATATTTTCCATTTCTTTGTCTGTAATGACTGTATGCTAGGTAATTTGCTTAGAAACTACCTTCAGCTATAAACTTAATTAATTAATTAATTAATTAACAGATGGAGTTTTGCTCTTGTCGCCCAGGCTGGAGTGCAGTGGCACGATCTCAGCTCACTGCAACCTCTGCCTCCCAGGTTCAAATGATTCTCCTGCCTCAGCCTCCCAAGTAGCTGGGATTACAAGCACCCGTCACATGCCTGGCTAATTTTTATTTTTATTTTTTTTTTAGTAGAGATGGGGTTTCGCCATGTTGGCCAGGCTTCTCTCAAACTCCAAACCTCATGTGATCCACCTGCCTCAGCCTCCCAAAGTGCTGGGATTATAGGCGTAAGCTACTGCACTCTTCCTAATTTTTTTTAAGTATACATGTTTTCTTTTACACTTAGTGTATCTATGAGTATTGTGATTTGGGAAGGAGACTGTATTAACTCAGCCCATCATGCTGCTGGTACCAGGTCAGCATTTTAAAAATATTAATGGAAACAACCTAGATATCATTTGATAGGAGAAAAACATATACATGTGCATAGATAAATGACTGGGAGACTATACACCATACGTTAACTGAATTATTTCTGAGCAGGAGGATAAACAATTTTTAATTTTTTTTTACTTTCTTTAGATTTCTATATTGAGTAATTCAATAATTTTTTTTAAATAACAGAATATTGGCTGGGCATGGTGGCTCATGCCTGTAATCCCAGCACTTTGGGAGGCTGAGACCGGTGGATCACCTGAGGTCAGGAGATCGAGGCCATCCTGGCTAAAACGGTGAAACCCTGTCTCTACAAAAAATACAAAAAATTAGCCAGGCATGCTGGCGAGCGCCTGTAGTCCCAGCTACTTGGGAGGCTGAGGCAGGAGAATGGCGTGAACCCAGGAGGCAGAGCTTGCAGTGAGCCGAGATCATGCCACTGCACTCCAGTCTGGGCAGCAGAGCGAGATTCTGTCTCAAAAAAAAAAAAAAAAAAAAACTGAGGCTATTATAAAGCTACCTTCATTTTTTTAAAACAGAAAATGGGTCTCCAAAAGCATCAGTGGGAATTTAGAACAAAAATAAGATCTAACATTTATTAAACACTTTACAAGTACCAGATACTGTCCTAAGTATACTATATATATTAGATCACATAATCTTCAAAAGCACAAAAGACTGCTTTGTAAGGAAAGGTAGGATCTTAGAAAAAAAGGAGTAATAAAAACATTTTCCTAGAAAAATAGAAAAATGGCCAGGATGTCCTCAGTGATGTTAAATTTAAAAATTGTTTGTTTTGATGTACTCATCTTTATATGTATTTCTATTTACTTATTTTTTTTACTTCTTTTAATTTATATTTTTACTTATTTCTTTATTTATAGACAAGTCTCATTCTGTAGCCTAGGCTGGAATGCAGTGGTGCATTCACAGTTCACTTCAGCCTTGAGCAAACCTCCCACCTCAGCCTCCCAGGTAGCTGGGACCACAGGTACGCACCACCACACCTGGTTAATATCTTATTATTTGTAGAGATGGAGTCTTGCTATGTTGCCCAGGCTGGTCTCAAACTCCTGGCTCAAGCAATCCTCCTGCCTTGGCATCCCAAAATGCTGGGATTACAGACATGAGCCACAGTGCCCAACCTATTTATTTATTTATTTAAGACAAGGTCTCACCATGTTGCCCAGGCTGGTCTTGAACTCCTGGTCTCAAGTGATTCTCCAACCTTGGCCTCTCAAAATGTTGGGATTACAGGTATGACCCACCATGCCTGGCCTAAAAATAGTATTATATTTTTGTATTATATAATTTTCAATTAGGTAATATGAATATTCTGTACAGAAAATATGCCCTTAATTACATAGGAATAAACGTTTGCTACACTAAGAAAAATCTAACAAAGCTAAAAATAAAAATTAATTTGGAAAGTACATTATATACCCATACATTCTTATGTTTATACATTCTTTCATATATTCATATATTCTTTTAACAGTATCAATGGTTTGGAGTTATGTGTACAAAACCATGACCTATATGTAATACAACTAACAACAGGCACTTACAATTCAAGGCATATGATATACAAAGCTTTAACTTCTCATCATCAGATTTTGTTTTTTTCTTTCTGTTTTGGCAGATACTGTGAACACAACATTCAACTCACAGACACTATGGAGACCTTACTAAGCATAAGGTACTGTGAAATGTACTTTAAAAGATTCAGCAAACTACTCTCACTGTATCATCATAGAGTCAGTGTCTAACCATGAAGATCTTTTTGTTCACAAGCTAAATGCCATGAAATGGGATTCAAAACAAATGTCCACAGAAATTTTATAGCAATACTGAAGTAGACTATATTTTCTGAGCCTTAATCTAAAAGAAGTTAAAACCATTCATCTTTATGAGGGTTCTGAAAAGTGTTATAGTGTAGTAGAAAAGTTCTGCACTTAAAACCAAAAGACCTATGAATCAGGTGTGGGATCTCACACAAGCCAGTTATTCACACTGAGTTGCATTTTCCTTAACTATCATCTGAAAATAATGTTTTCTTCATTCCCTGGTAGGTATTAAATGTGAAAACTTATGAAAGCAAGATGATAAAATATGATTTGTTACTACTATTATGGCAATCAACATATAAAACATATTCTTTATATATATATATATATATATATATATATAAATAATATATAGAATAGGAGAAAAGTTGGGTCCCCAAACATGGCAATGTGATTATTAGATGCATCTTTCCTCATAGTCTTCTATCATATCTAACAAGTGGCCTAGTGGTAAACTCTGCTTCTCAACCAAAAAGAAAGCAGTCTACATTTCAAGGTTGTACTTTACCTCATCATAAATTCCTCAAACTTTTAACTGGTAAGGTTAAGGCTGGACCGGTATGTATCTGCCACAGGTTTGTGCTCTGGAGGACCGAGGTATACAAGAAGTGTTGCCATTTATCAAAAGGTCATCTTCCAACAGCTTTATGATCCCTAGATATAGCAAACTACTTAGAAAAAAGTAGCAGTTCACATTTAGCAGTACACATTTCTTTAACTTGTAACTGTTGCTTTTCCTTTAACTGTCAGCTGGTGGTCCCTGTTGATTTGTAAACAGCACCCAAAAGACCTCAGGCCCATGTCTACTTCAATCCATTAATAATGCATAAAAGATTAAAATGCTCTGTGGTTTAAACTCCCATCTCCCAATTGCTTACCCTTAGCTTCATAGTCCACTACTTTTCCTGTGAATGTGCTAACCACTTTTATTGGCATTTAAAAATAATTTGGACTCATTTTTCCTTTGTAAGGAACTCCTCATACTTAGGAATTTTGTCCCTTTACAAGTTTATATAACTAGATGGGACAGCAAGTAATTTATGTTAACACAAGAGACTAATAAGAGCTAATGAAACAATGCCCAAATTAATAATTTCAATTTTTAAGTATTTTTTCTTTTTTTTTTTTTCCCCTGAGATGGAGTTTTGCTCTTATGGCCCAGGCTGGAGTGCAATGGCACAACCTCGGCTCACTGCAACCTCCGCCTCCCAGGTTCAAGTAATTCTCCTGCCTCAGCCTCCCAAGTAGCCGGGATTACAGGCGCCTGACACCATGCACAGCTAATTTTTGAATTTTTAGTAGAGATGGGGTTTCACCATGTTGGCTAGGCTGATCTCGAACTCCTGACCTCAGGTGATCCACCCACCTCGGCCACCCAAAGTGCTGAGATTACAGGCATCAGCCACAGTGCCAGGCCAGTATTTTCTATATAAAGCTTTATTTGCATATACTTAGAGTATCACAAATGAGTTTATCATAGAATTGAAACACTGACAATATTTTAATTACTGAATTCCTATGAATTAGCTGTTCTTCAGATTCAAATGCCAACACTAATTTGAACTTCTTTGGGTCTATGACAGTTTGCAAGCCATACAAACCCAAAGAGCTAATCTGTGATTTCTTAACTTGAGAAAATAATAATAATAACCACCACTGGAACCTACATAGGTTTGTTGATTATTTAACATGACTTAACCTTTCGTTTGTATTTTTTTGAAAAAAAAAAAAAAAAAAAAAAAAAAAAGACTTTCTCTTTCTAAACCATAATTCTTAGTCCAAGAAGATGCAAAGTTTTTAAAAAGCACTATTCATGACCAATAATTTTATTGATCTAAATTAAAATGGAGAATGTTCACTATCCTCATGACTGGGAAATCTTACCTGTTGTTAGAAAGACACTGGCCAATTTTCTCCTGATTGTTCCGGAGTAGATGATGTAAAGCGAGCACATTGCCGTCACTGCTGAAGGAAAGGCTATGATTTACTGCATCACTTGTAGGACAATCAGATGCCATATCAAGAAAAAACATTAGAAAATGCAAAGTCACTAGAATTTTCAACACCAGAGACACACCATACTTATGTTTGAATTAAATTTATACGAAGTAACTTTGTGAAGCAACTGAGATGACAATTACAAATATGGAGGGCTTGTTCCCACAACGTGATTTGTCATTAGACAAAGTAAAAAGGACAAGGAGAAAGTTGGCTTTCCATTTCTGATACCTGGCTTCAGCTTCTGTAGTTAAAGAACAGCAAAATTGAGATGGATGAAACTTTGGAAAGAGGCTGGTATTTTACAGATAAGGAAATGAAGGTCCAGACAAAAGACCTCCCCAAAGATATATAGCCTGTTAGGTCAAAGCCAGTATTAAAACTTTGTTCCTTTTAACTTTCTTTGGGCCCTCAGTCTGCCAGAATATGAATCCTGTGCTGACATTCACTCTCTTTCCAACATGGCTTGTCATTCAGCAATATACCTTTTAAACTCCAATTTTCCTAAAAGAATAAAAGTCAGTAACAATTACAATGATGATAAACTGGAAGAGAGAGTTGTACAAGGCTAGCTTAGATGATAAGGATCAATTAGATTCACACTGCATGAAAAGCAGAATTCCAGACATAAATTTACAAAGCACTTTCTTATGAATTATCTCATTTTTTCTCTCTAAAAACAACTCAGGCAAAGAGTTTATCCCCACTTTACAGATAAACCAATAACTCAGAGAAATAAAGTGAAATAACTGGTTATGGAAATCCAGCAGAAAAGTTTTCTAAAATCATAAAGTTCAGTTACTCATGAACAAAATCTTACGTGTTTGCATTACTTGGTTTAAAGAATAACATTTTAGTTTAGATACACTTCCAAATTTAAGTATCACAAATATTCTGATACTAATAAAAACCTTATTAAACATTCTTATGCATTATCAATACCAATTTGGTTTTAGTTTTAAATAAAAGGAATCCTATTTCTTCCTTATCCCCATATTGTACCATCCTCAAATCCTTTATTTAACTAGACATGTCCAAAATGCCTCTTGGTTTTCAAATATGAAAATCACTACCAAATTATAAAAAATATTAATTTATTTCAAGACTGTCTTTTATAGTAAAATAAAATAAGGCAAGCTATGTCTTGACCTAGAGCAGGAAGAGAAAAAAACCTACACGGAACTTCATGTAAAACAGGTACATGGATTTATGTGAAACTGAAAATATTTGATTCAAACAGAGCAAGTGAATAAGTGGCAAGTAGCTTACCTTCAAGCTGCATCAAAGCTGCTTTTCACAAAATCATTGAAAGGCCGCATATGCTCTTCTTTTGTGAAGAGAACATGATTGGCAATACTCTGAAGTATTTACACAATAAAACAGGGTTATAAATAATCAGATTATTTATTGTATGAAGTTTATACATTAATATATTCTTTAAAAATATGAATTTTCTTGATATAATTTCTGCTAGTAGTTAAAATCAATCATTTCTCATTCTATATTTTAGGTAGTGTTTCTATTCTTCCTAATTATAATTATATTTACATGTACAAATACATATTAAAAATGTTTAATGTCTTAAAATAAAAAATCCTACAGCCTTCACTGTAGTCTGTTTCAGAATGTCTAGAATGATTACGCAAAAAATGATCCTCATGACACAAGACATCTGCTATAATAAAACGTATTCTCATGAAAATAAGGTCCATCAGGTACCTAACTAATGAATTCCTTTGTAATATAAACAAAATAAAAACACATAACTGAAAACCGTAGGGTATTTCCAATATAAATGTAAGAGGAAGTACTGTAAGAAAAGCTGAAAATTTAGTTGGAAGGGGAATTTAAGATAGCTAGATTATCAAAATAATTCACCTTTGACATTAACTTCAAGCCCCTTCCGATTCTAGGTGGTGGCTTTTTATCTAAAATCCCTGCTTCATACAGTGAGACAATATCAGGATTCATAAATCTGAGGAACATGGCACTTCCTGCTGCACTGATACTGTTCTGAGGGAAACGTTGGCTAACCCCCTAAAAACAAGTTGAGACTTGAGTATAAGGTTTGAATTAAAATAGGGGCATGGGAACAAAGAGTTCAAAGGTCAACATTTGCACAACAACTCTGAGTCAATCAGTCCTCATGAATGACACATTTCTATTTTTTCTTCTCCCAAAACATGAGAAAATAAAGTTTCCTCTCAATTCTAGTCTTGTATCATATTAAAGTACAATTTAGGTATCTCAGAGGAAAGAAAAACCTCATGGATGAGATGGGTAGAAGAAACCTGAAAACAGATCTTCACTGTATCATCACCTATACTGCAAGTTTGAGGAGTCATGAAAACAGACCAAATTTTCACACAAAGATGATCATAATTTATTAAGATTAACAGACATGAAAGTGTGGTCAACATTATAAGGTGAAACTAAATTTTCAACAACACACCCCCAAAACATCCTATACCTGATAGTACATATTTATGTTTTGTTGTGTACCAGTTACAACTGAATTGAAGAAAAAAATGCTTGCTATAAAAAAACAAAATCTTAGATTCCTATTGAGGAAAAAAAACTTACTTACAAGTAATGTTATTGCCTGTTGCCAGCTTCCTTTATAACAACCTACCTATTATTTGAACCATGGAGGGATGGGAATTCTTGGGCACCTAAAAGAAAAAAGGATCTCAGCAGAACAGCGAACCCCTATGTCTACCTCAATGTATAATTCTGTCAAATAAAAATAATTTAAGAATTCAAGAAATGGTTGTCCAGCCTGAAAAGTAATGTGAACCCAATATTTAAAGTGGATTGATTTTCTCTTTATAAAACATTCTACATTAAGATAAAGTAAAAGGTACCTTAGACTGGGAAGAGTGCCATAAAATGGGTTCAGCCCCCATCCCTTCCCAGTGTCCCCTGCTTTAAATCATGTTATAGATGAAAATTATATTATTTTGGAATTTACATTTTTATATATACCATATATATTCATTTTTAAAGAACACTTAATGTAACATTTTAATCTCTACAGCTATTCTTGCTTAGTGTGGCTAACTGCTGTTTAAAGTAGCAGTGATTACAAAACTGTAGCATTCCACTCAATGTTTTGTGATTCCGAGGATAAACCTTCCTTTCAAAGGATATTGGTGTGGGGGACCCAGATTTACATGCAGAATATCACGTAACTATTTTTTGCACAATGCCTCAATAAATTAATATTTCCTGTCCTAAATTCACATGGCTGACTCCAGATTAACTCTGGAATCGGGATTATTTCACTTCATCCTGTTCAACGCAGTGCTTCATGAAGTCCACATTTTAAATGCATTCTTATCACTGCTTATAATCTCAAAATAGCTTTCTGTAATCTCTAATAGGAAGTTAGTAAAAATTAGATCTTAGAGAATAAAGTATTTGTAAGCGGTGAGGTGTAACAATATAGTCCCACCTTCAGTTACACTACACACAGTTCAGGAAGCTTTCTTTATGTTACAGTGTTTATTGCATGAAGAACAACCTTAACCCTTCAATAAGGGGAAACTGGTGAAGGTGGCTAAATATAGCTGCTTTATTAGAATGGCTTTAAAACCTAAATACCATTTATTTTTAGCTGAAATATATAAATTTAGAATTAGATATAGAAGTTTTAGCTAAAAGTATAAAAAGATAAAGAATTAAGAAAAAATTTGAGTGCTTTGACTATTCCAGTATAGTGTTCAACCTTCTGGGGATGAGGAACCTCTTTGAAATCTGATAAAGGTTAGAAAAATGGATGTATGCTTTCACACAAATTTCTTCACATAATTTTAGAATATTCATAGACCATCACTGCTACTGAGTGGTTCTCTTAAAACTCCCAAATTTTAATCTCAAAACAGACAATTCTCTGGTTGGGCATGGTGGCTCACGCCTGTAATCCCAGCATTCTGGGAGACTGAGGCTGGTGGATCAATTGAGGTTAGGAGTTCCAGACCAGCCTGGCAAACATGGTGAAACTCCATCTCTACTAAAAATAGAAAAATTAGCTGGACGTGGTGGTGCACGCCTGTAATCTCAGCTACTTGGGAGGCTGAGGCACGAGAATCGCTTGAACCCAGGAGGTGGAGGTTGCGGTGAGCCATCGTGCCACTGCACTCCAGTCTGGGTGACAGAGCATGCAACTGACTGTGTAAAGTGATATGTAAAGTCATGGAAAAAGGAAAGAGCCTTAACTAGTAACGGTCTGTGGAGGTAGAAGTCAAAGACATCCTTCTCCTGTCTGTCCCTGGATCTAAGGCAGATAAAAAGAAGGATAACTTAAAAAAAATTACAGATATCATTAAAGAAAAGCATATTTGTATATAACTTTTATAATTAAAAACAAATTTTAATGATCAAGAGGAGAAGTTATGAGGGCCTTGCTTCATGCAGTGTTAGCAAAAAAAAAAAAAGAGCACTTTTATGTGAAAAGATGATAAAACTGGTAGGATCCACTTCAAAGCTAACATGTTGCCCATCAGAGGATGTGATCTCAATTCGTAATAAAGCATCCAGGAGTTTTTATAGATAGGTAGCACCATATACCTATAGAAATGCATGAGTAGGACTTCATTATGCCTGCTCCATACATTTTACCTTAAAAGAAGACAATCAGCTCTGCACATTCTGTACATAATCATTACTTGACATACCTCAGCACACACACACACAAAATGAATGATACAAACCTTGAAACAGAGTGTCATTATTTTACTGGCCAAACTGTTGCCTCAGAGGAGAGTCTGAATGGAGTCAGTCTGCCAATTCTACTTCTTTACAAAACATGTTCCAGAGCAGTTGGTAGAGTAAATGCCAAGAACCAAATAGAGTAACCAGAACTCAAGCCAGTTCATCCTGAGAACAAAACAAAATCAGGTTAGTGCATTTTTGTTCTCAGGTAGATAGCTGAAGAGTGGCAAAAACATAAACCCAAAGTTGACAACTACTTGCTAAATTAAGGCAAAGGTGACTGATTAATATTTCTCCTGAGATTTATCTGCGTATATTGTTTATGATAGATGACTATATACGATGTCTACGATAGCTGTTAATTCCAAGGATTAACCGGTGAAAGCTATTAAGAGAGGCCTAGGCTTTACCAGGAGACAAAATCTCCAAGATTCAGTTCAAATTACATCACAAAATGAAAGAGAACAGAAACAGAAGATGACAGCAAATACTTTAGTTTGATTTGTACAAGCATTTGCACAGAGCAGAAATAAGACTGATGATCAGAAGAGTTCTACTCTCTTCTCATACAGTCAGGGGAACTCAGTGAATGCTGAACATAGACTAGGTAGAGACATGACAAAAACAGAAAGACTATAGGATTTTTGAGAAATCAGGAAGAAAAGGAACTGGGCGTTCAGAACCCAGAGATCAGCCAGATTTACATACAAAGCAAGGGGGACAGGGATGAGGGCTGAAATTCCAATTACCTAAATGACATCCTTGTAACTCCCTGTAGTAAAGCAGTTTGGGGTACACTCAAGAAAAATGATCTACTGGTAAATCACTGTTTAATCACAAGAAGAAATTTATAGAGAATAGGGGTAGCCATAAAAAGATGCCTCAATCCTCAAGCAGTAACAACAACGGCCAGGATCATGGCCCATAGCTCTCTAATTCTTGCCTGGTCCCAGGATTACAATAATGTGATAGGTGAGATCTGGCCTAATAGAAAATTCCTTCTCAAAGTCATTTAATATAAAACTCAACAACAAATTAAAGCTACTTGAATTTAACTGATTCTTTATTTAAAAAATTACTGAGTATTTTCAGTGCTAATCATAGGTAGATCCTAATAAGATAATTCACAATAGTCATTTTCAAAACATTTGAACGTTTGTGAAGTAATTTTAGGCTTTAGGAAGATTTCAATGATTTGGGGCTGTTGCTAATCAATCAGTATAAAATTTCAGTTATACAAGGTAAGTTCTAGAGATCTGTGGTGCAGCATTCTGCCTACAGATAGCAATACTGTATTCTACACTTAAAAATATGTTAGAGGGTAGATCTCATGCTAGGCGTTCTCACCAAAATAAAATACCAGAGGAGAAGCATTTCAGGTGGTAGCAGCAGCAAGGGTGCTTAAGGCAGAAACAAGTCTAACAAGGAGGGACAGAAAGGTAGCTGGTGTGGCTTTGGTGAACAAGAAGGAAAATGGCATAAGATGATGTTAGAGATGAGGCAGGGCCCAAATCAGGTGGAGCCTTGTAGGACAGGATAAGGAGTTTGAATTTTACTTTAAGTACAGGTGTAACAAATATCCTACAGCTTTAAGCAGAAACAAATCTACAATGACAGATTACCTTATTAGTTATACTTTACTATAAGTGAAACCATTTTTGGTACACTAAAAAGGAAATAGCCTTTTAACACTGGAAAGGAACCACCACCCTTCTCAACGTTTTCACATGTATTAGGAATGATGTGATTTGAGGAAAATTTTTCATTAAATTAAGAGAGAGACCTAATAGCCATATGATGTTTTCAGTGTTTAAAACAAACAATATCATAATATCAAATGCAAATACAGTGCTTACATTTTTAAAAATTGTGTAAGATATTATGGGGAAAAGAACAGCAAACTGGAGGTAGTAAACAGGCACAAATCGTGGATTCCAATTCCAGCGTTGCGACAACTGACTGAAATTAGGTTTAACTTAATTACCTTCTCAAATATATGAAGACAGCGGAGTAGATCAGTGATTTTTAATCAGTGTTTAAATGGAATTTTTCAGTGGGATGAAATGATATAGGACACTATTCAGGTCTAGCAGTGCCAACCACTTCCCTACAGCTGAAAAGTCACCTAACTAAACATCTAAGATTTCTTCTGGCTCTAAAATTTTATCAATTCATTCAACAAACATTTATTGAACAAATATGTTCTGAAGGATTTGCTATGTGCCAGGCACTTTTCTTCCCCACTTACTCTATGCACTTACCCACTGAGAACAAGGAACCACACTGTTCAGAGCCATCACTATAGGGAGCTCTCCTTGATCACCCATCACTGTGACCAGTTCCACCAATTGCTCAAACCCATCAGCCAATACCGTTTCTGAAGTGTGTCAAATTCTGTGCCTTGTTGAGGGATTTTCATCAGAACTTCCATAAATGTAGCTGTCTGGAGATCCTTGTAGTACCCTAAACCTGATGTGGACAAATGGATGCAAATTTACTAACATGGCCTTACTGAAGTAATTTTTGCTTATCTTACAAGCCAGTTCTCTAGGCTGTGTATTTCTATATGAAACTTTCATTTGATCTCACCTATGGAGTGCATGAGACCACCGTCTATGCTGGCACTGAGTAAGTTTGACATTGCAAGGACTGCACAGTGCCTCCGTGATGCCAACCTCCGAGACATGCCACGTTTCCTGCCACCTGTTTGTGCACTTTCATCTTCAGCTTCACTGCAGTCACTCAAAAGGTTCATAAATAGTGTGAAGTATCTGAGAAATAAAAAGACTGACCTTTACATAGCAAAGGCCGTATCAACTAGAAAGCTAACCAGACATTCCAAAACTATCACATGTGCACGGTGTGACTGGCCCTGGATTAACTGCTTCTCTCCTCTCTCAGGATAATCAGCCAGGGTGACTCATTATGAAGCATGCTGTGTTGGGCATGATTATACCTGATATAGCCTAGCATACCTTTCATAACATAAGCATCAAATAGATGCAATGTTTCCTGGTAAATGTGTCATTTTTAATGTTTAGTATATAAAATTAGTGGTCCAAACAGCTTACACAATGTCACTTTTGTAAATGACTTAGTGAAGCAATCTGGGTTTTATTACAAGCAAAATTTCAGGGATCATATTATTTTCTTTAAAAATCATAAAACACAGTTATTTTCCTAATCCTAGTCCTGCATGGGGAACATTTCTTTGTTTTCTTTTTTGTTTTTTTGTTTTTGTTTTGTTTTGTCTTTGAGTGTGTGTGTGTGTGTGTGTGTGTGTGTGTGGCGGCGGGGGGCTTTATTTGCTTTTGCTTTGTGTTTTTTGGTGACTGAAATTTACTTAAGAAATAACTGTGTCCCCTTTGGCTTCCATCAATTCCACACCATCTCCTTCCTCAGGCTGCACAGGGAGACCAGCTAGAAGTGAAACTACTGCTTCCATGCTTGCCTGGTCCAAATCTCTGAAAAAAAAAAATTAGAGACCATAAATCTTTCAGGTTATTTCACTTCCTCTCAAATAAACCTCTTATTAACAGATATAAACTTTAGGAACTACCTGTTTCATTAAACAAATTATTAGCACAACCCAAATAATTTGAATTAATATGCAGATCCTAGAATACAAAATCATCTCAAATGAGGAGAAGACAATAGTAACTTTCTACAAAGTAATCTTGGCAAAATGACTATCTTCAATCAGAAGCATGTACAATTGGCCCTCTGTCTCAGCGAGTTCTGTATCCACGGATTCAACCAACCATGGATTGAAACTATTTGGGGGAAAAAAAAGTAGGGTTTCATCTGTACTCAACATGTAAAGATTTTTCTTTGTCGTTATTCCCTAAACAATATGGTATAACAACTTGTGTTTATATAAGATTTATATTTATTAGATATTATAAGTAATCTAATGATAATTTAAAATATATGGGAGGATGTGCATAGTTTATATGCAAATACTATGACATTTTGTATCAGGGACTTCAGTCTGTGGATTTTAGTGTTCATGGAAGTGAGATGTGGGCAGGAGTTTGGGGGGTGGTTCCTGGAACCAATTCCTGACAGATACTGAGAGACGACCATATTATAAAGCTAGGCTTGGTCAAAGAAACATATGTAAAGGCTTATTATACAGTCCATAGTGTTTAATCACTTTCTGATATGTGTCAATAAGCATTTATCATTAAAGCAGACTTAATTACACTTAATTACTTCCTTTTTTTTCTGTCTCTGGTGCCTGAATCAGGAAATCAATTATTTTTTAGAAAGACCAACACAATGAGTTCCTCAAATAATACCTTTTTCTATCTAATCATAACATAAATGCAATCTGAGGCTTTATGTACCTTATTTCCCAATAACGGTAGACTATTCTTCATAAACTGACAACACTAACTTCCCAAACATACCGCTCTCGCACATTTATTTTTACAGAAAGTCTATCAGTCAAAAAAAAGTAGTAATAAAGATTAGTATCTTTACATATTTCAACCACAAAAGTTTGACATCTAAAAAATTTAAATACACATAAAATACAAGTATAAAGCTGTAAGGAAGTAATTATAATTCTTACAGGAAAACCCACTAATACTTGAAGGTCATTCTCTTTTTTACCTTGTAATACATTTTACATCATCATCTGCTGCTTGGTTTGATGTTCCCATAACCCAGACTGTCAGGTATTCTACAATCTTATTCCTAAAGAATGGCGGAGAAAAGAGAAACAGCAAACAATTTTTTTGAAGCCACACACACACACACCTTTAATTGTGTAAGATTTCTTACAGTGCAAATAATTTGGCAGATAACTCAGGTGACATGACGACTTTATAAAAGAGATACTGATGTCACAGACGTAAAAGCCAGAAGGGAACAAGCAACGTGGATATTTAACCTCCAACATGGCCCTTATTTATGGTATCAAATTGGAAACAGAATCAAATTCTTAGCTCAAGTACAGCACAGTTTTAGAAAAAGGGAGGCTTGCCACAGGCACAAAGCTTACGGAAATTTGAGGAGAGACGTAGAGAAACACAAACATGTAAATTGCTCTCTTTTTATGTCTTCCTTCCTACCAATAACCAGATATCTACTCTATTTCTGTACTTCATTCAACAAATTAAGATTTACAAGACCCTACATTGCTCTTTTGAGAACTCACCTAAATTTCATCTCTTGGCAAAATAAGAGGTCATCTCTCCTTGCCATCGTTACTTCAACCAACTGACACAGTTTCGTTTTATTTGAATTGCATGGACCATATTCCCAAGCACACGAACATACCTATACAGACACAGAGACAATAAAAAAATTATCAGATATAGACAAAAGAGAAAGCATTCAAAGTACTTTAGTCATCAAATAAAATGAACTAAATGTAAGTCTGAAAACAATATTTATTTTTATGAGAACATACACACCTTCTGGTTACCTGACTGTCACACCCTAGTTTGTGTGCAGTAAAGAATGGCAAATTATTTTATCAATTACTACCAATATCAATGTGTAAGAGGTTTTTCTGATCTCTTAAAGTATGTTTCTGCTACATTTCAGTAGAACGCTTACCTGACCAGATATAACATCATTGGTTCAATGCTAGCTTGCCCTAGATGTTCAGAGCTGCCTTCAGTATGATTATCTAGCAAGTTCTTCATTATAGCTATGGTTTGCTCTACAAATTGAGTGTTGGTATCCATCAATAAAAACTATAGAAAGAACAAATGTATTAATCATTTGCCATCAATGCCCAGAAGACAGACCTCTAGAGAGATGCAACCGACTGATCTAAACACACAAACACAGAAGTGCACCCACAGGCACACAGCCAAACAAGCATACAGATACATGCAGACACTCATACCCATACACAAGGCAGGTATACCCTCAGGCACACATACACACCAGAGTTCCTAAGAAGCAAGCTGACCCCTACATTGAG
Organism: Homo sapiens; assembly: GCF_000001405.40. Lineage (NCBI taxonomy): Eukaryota > Metazoa > Chordata > Mammalia > Primates > Hominidae > Homo > Homo sapiens. The sequence continues at coordinate 2,095,412 of NW_021160017.1, forward strand.
ATGACTCTTCTTTCTGCAATTTTTTGGCAATTTTTAAAAACTGTGAGCACCTAATTTAAATAATTGGAAAGAAAAAGCCTTCCTTATTTCAAACAAGGTGAAAAATAAAAAAGAGCACACTTTACCTGTCCTTGGGAGTCAAAAAACTTGCTGATGGCATTCTTCAGTTTGTTAAATAGCATCAGATAAAGAGCAGGACTCAATTCTAGACCCACCAGGTCCTTAACATTGGCCCGTATTTGAAGTCCCACTTTCTCATGGTTACACACCATTAAGGACAACAGCTGATCCATACATTTGCTGACAGGTGTACCTGCGTTTCCCTCTGAGGACATCACTGAAATCATGGAACCCTGACATTCACTGACTGGACCCATGGGTGGGCTATAGGTTGCCAGGCCAGAATTACTTCTCTGCTGGAGGCACACTCCCCCAAGGGCACAAAGGAAGCCAGTCATGTTGATCCATTCCTGTAGGGAGTCTGTGTCAGACAAATCTGCGCGTCCTCCTCCACTCAGATGGGATATTCGACTCCTAACAATGGTCATGTGAAACTTTCAGCAGCCTAAACACAAAATTTTTGGGCAAAGCATGAATTAAACCTAAATTAGTTGAGACTTGACAAATTACTCTTTATCCAACATTTCTTCCATGACAAAAGTACAAAAAATGTAAAAAACACATTAAAATCAACCCCAAAAATTACCATATACATTTTTAAAGAGCCACTGATTTATTTTTGTCATACACTAATATAATCGCCCAAGTATCAAATTTCTTTTAAAAAGCTTTGATTTCACATGGATGAACCTTGGAAACGTTATGCTAAGTGAAAGAAGCTAATCACAAAAGCCCACATATTCTAAAATTCCATTTACAGAAAAGATCCAGCAGAGACAAATCTGCAGAGACAGAAAGTAGATTCAAGGTTGCCTAGGGCTGGAGAAGCCGGGGGAAGAGAGACAAGAAAGTGGCGGGGAGGTGGGGTAGGGTGTTAGAGGCAGAAATAGCTAAAGGATACAGGGGTTTTTTTTCCTCAATTGATGAAATTGTTCTAAAACGGACTGTGGTAATGGTTGCACAACTCTGGGAATATACTAAAAACAGCCACTGAATTGGACACTTTAAATGGGTGAATTGTATGGTATATTAAACAGTTATCCCCCCAAAAGCTTTCATTCTAAAGCTACATGTCCCCTCCAAATAAAGCTATTAGGTACACAATTTTGCTTCATAAAAACATAACATTTTTCTTATTGTAATTAAGTATGACAGAAAAAAAACATGGGGGAATAACCAGTTTTTATAAATCGCCTAATAATGAGAGGAATATGAACATTACAAATCAATTACACACAAACACCAACTCATCAATTTCCAGAGTAACAGATAATATAGTCAATAGTAATAGTTGAATGAACTGTCCACATTTTAAAATTTCATTTAATCTATGGGTTCAATCTTTTGCCCAAGACATTCCTTAATTAGAATACTTAACAAAATAGCAAAATGAATTGTTTCCGTGTTTTTTTTCTCTACCTCTGTTGCTCCTCTTCTGAAAATTCTGTGAAACACCCTGATGAAGGGATAAAGAGCAAGAAAAGGTCTCTGCAACAGTCTCTAGCAGTGCTGCCCAGTATTTCTGTGATGATGGAAACATTTTCTCTCTCTGCTGTCCAGACTGTCATATGTGGCTACTGGGTACTTGCAATGTGGCTACTATATGATTGAGGAACTAAATTGTATTTAATTTTCATTATGTTAAAATTTAAATAGTCACACGTAGCTAGTGGCTACCATATTACGAAGTACAGGTCTAGATAAACCACAACTAAATATCAGTCTTCAGACAACTATATGCTTACTTTACTGAGTGACTCGTGAGAGATTACCAAAGAGAAGGACATATATTTAGCAGATCAGTTAATAGACAAAAGTCAACTTTACAGACTTACCTGGCTGTCATCCATTTTGGCTTTTGGATAGTTAAAGATTAGTTTTGTTGCTTGTTCCCATTTTGCATGTGTATCTTCCCAAGCCTAAAATGAAGGCAATTATCACTTGAAAGCAACTTTAAGTCTAGAGCTAAACGTCAATCAGCAATGGCCAAGTTTCAAACTTGATGTATAATAAGTACTCAGATATTACACTTCTAACACGCACATATCTTGGATTTACTTCAAAAGCTATTCCTGATTACACATATGTGACAATAGGTTTCCAAAATTGAGGGTGGGCGCCTAGGAGGGGTGTTTCTCTTGCTAAGAGCACACCTCAGTGTTTCCTGCAGTGGGATGCTAAGTGCGCCTCCGCAGTGCCATCACTCTTTCTGAAGTGCTGCTGTTCCTAAGCAAATACAACAGCCAATCAAGTCACTGCACTTAGAGCCCTGCCTGCCAATGGAGAACCTCATAAGCCCTACCCAAAAGGCAGAGTAGGAGGAGCAGAGCAAATGCCTCAAATGATAAAGCCAAAAACTTCCTTTCACTAACCTCACAGGAAAGGTACTTATCTTAGACTCTACAATGTCCACAGCACAAAATAGCTATTCCCACCTATAATTTACTCAAAACATATGCCAATGTGCATAAAACTTCACTATCTACAACTTAGGTGGAGTAAATTATATGATCACAACTGATAATAACATATACTGCCAGTTATTTTTAAAACGTATAGCATATTAAAAACTCAGTGGGAGACTATTTCAAATGCTTTTTCTTTTCATCTTTGTTTCATTTCTTTGTTCAGAAAAGGATTTCAAGTAAGCTACTTGAATTTCCCCTGTAAACTTACAAAGTAGTAACCTTAAATACATTCTCACAATTAGATGTCACGTGCTTCAGGCAGGTTGAGTAAAAAAACCACTATTCACATTTACCTGTTGACATCACATTGCTGACAGAGGCAAACTCCATGAATGTGCTACAGTTGGGCAAGAGGTGATGCACTGACACTTCATCCACCCCACACCAGGTATCTGCTTCCTCACAGAGGTGGCGGAAACAGGACATGGCAACCAGAACAGCTTCACTGTCAGGGTTCCACAGAAACATGTACAGCGCCACACTTCTAGTTTGGTCTGCCCTTGTTGGCAAATCGGGGAAGGGGGGGCGGGGGCGGTTGCACTTCATCCTGCTGCACTATCCTGAGAGTCAAAGTTGTAAGACATATATTTGCAACTTGGGTAATTTTATGTATAAAACCCAACAATGCAATAAACTGTGTGTGTGTGTGTGTGTGTGTGTGTGTGTGTGTGTGTCTCAGCATACAATAACTCACAAGAGTTTTCTCCTTTAATCATCACAGGAATTTTTCAAACCCTCAAATATCTTGTCCAAATGAGAAATGAGATTATCTGGACCAACATAAAGCTACTCTCTGTCCAATTTCAAATCAAATAGGTATTATCCTATTCCAGATTCCAGAAACATAAACTGATTCTAACATAAACAGGTAAAACACTGTAACATAAATCTGCTGCAGTAATGATATAATGTACTTACCAGTCAATTAGAAATGACAAAAAAAGAAGTAGGCCGGGCATGGTGGCTCATGCCTGTAATCCTAGCACTTTGGGAGGCCGAGGTGGGCGGATCATGAGGTTGGGAGATCGAGACCATCCTGGGCTAACATGGTGAAACCCCGTCTCTACTAAAAACATAAAAAAAACAATTAGCCGGCCGTGGTGGCGGGCACCTGTAGTCCCAGTTACTCAGGAGAGGCTGAGTCAGGAGAATGGTGTGAACCTGGGAGGCGGAACTTGCAGTGAGCGGAGATTGCGCCACTGCACTCCAGCCTGGGCGACAGAGTAAGACTCTGTCTCAAAAAAAAAAAAAAAAAAAAAAAAAAAAAGAAAGCCTAGGTTTTAAAGACCAATAAAATAGTAAACGTGAACGAGGAAAAAAAGAAATGAGGAAACAGTTACAAACATAGATACTGAAGGTAATTATATGATAATATAGAAATAAAATACAGCCTTTAATTGTACAAGTAAAATATATAAATATTATATACAACTCTGCACTGATAAAATTGAAAAACATGTTTTGTAGGAAAGAACAAACCATGAAAAGTGACTTTAAAAATAATAGAAATTCTTCAAAAAATTAAAAATAGAATAACCATATGATCCAGCAATTCCGCTTCTGGATGTATATTCGGAAGAATGAAAGCAGGGCCTTGAAGTTATTTGTACACCCATGTTCACAGTAGCATTATTTATAATAGTCAAAAGGTGGAAACAACCGAAAAATCCATTGGTAGATACATTTAGATCAATAAAATGTTGGTATATACATACGATATCATTCAGCTTTCAAGAGGAAGGAAATCCTGACATGCTACAACAAGATGAATACTATTTCAGCCATAAAGAATGAAATCCTGCCTTTCAAGGCAACATGAATGGAACTGGAGGACATTATGCTAAGTAAAATAAGCCCATGTCAAAAAGACAAATACTGTATGATTCCACTTATGTGACATAGTGAAATTCAGAGAGACAGAAAGTAGAAGGATGGTTGCAGGAGTTGCAGGTAGGAAAGAATGGAGAGCAGTTGAATAGACACAGAATTTGTTTTGCACAATGAAAAGGTTTTGGAGATTGGTTGCACAACAATGTGAAAGATAGTGCTACTAAACTGTGTACTTAAAAATGGCTAAGATGGTAAATTTTATGTTATGTGTATTCTACCGCATAAAAAATTTTAAAGAGAGACAGAAAAACTACATAGATCCATAAGGCAGCTCAAATAAAAGGTGATTAAAGAGTTATTTTAAATAGACAATAGATAGGCTAGTTCTAGAAACAGCATAAGAAACCAGTAGCAGTACTTGACTTAGGAAGAAAAGTATAAACTGAAGGTCAAGAGGGAGTAGGAAGCTTACTTTTCCACTGAATTCCCTTCCTGATGTATAGTGAAAATTTCCATTATGTCAATTTATTTTTTTCTTTAAAACTAATAAGCAAAAGTCAAAGGAAATCTTAAGAGCTTCTAAACTTGATGATTTTACAATGAATTTCTATCTAATCAGATAATTTCTATTACTTAAATTATTCCAGACCATAGAAAAGAGTAATAGTTCCCAAATTCATATTCTAATTTAGCACAAATAAGTGTTAGAATAACTACTTTCAAAAGTGATAATGCATATTATGTTAAATATACACATGTTCTAAGAATCAGAAAGCTGAAACACTGGAAGGAAATGTTTTATTAAGTAGCTACCCAGTACATTTGCCAATAGCCAACCAGATTTACCTCACGCACACACACAAATCAACATACTAAAAGTAAGGATTTCCAAACATATTTCCACTCCAAATTTAAAGTGAAAGTTTAAATAACATATAAACCATCTGACTGGATACAATTCAGCCCTAAAGCTAGAGTTCAGGGCCCCTTATCTTTTGTTCATTATTAATTTTAAAATTTTTGATGTATTTATTAGTATTTATGAATAACATAGTAACATTCCCATAGATTTGCAGAGATCAAATCGAGGTAATTAGCATATCCATAATCTCATTTATCATTTCTTTGTGCTGGGAACATTCAACATCCTCCTCCTCTTTGAAACTGTGTAACATATTGTTGTTAATTACAGTCATCTTACAGTGCTATACAACACTAGAACTTGCTCTTCCTATCTAGCTGTAATTTTGAAACCTTTAACAAATTGCTTTCTACCATCCCTGCACCCTATGCTTCCCAGCCTGTAGTATTCTGTTCTACTTTTTACCTCTATGAGATCAACATTTTTTTAGCTTCCACAAATGAATGAGAACACACAGTACTTAATGTTCTGTCCCTGGCTTACTTCACTTAATATGATGTCCTCCAGTTCAATCCATGTGCCTCAAACTATAGGATTTCATTCTTGCTTATGGCTAAATAGTATTCCATTGTGTATGTATACCATATTTTCTTTATGCATTCATCTGTTGTTAGATACTTAGGATGATTCCATATCTTGGCTATTGTGAATAGTGCTGCAATAAACACGGGGGTGCCGATGTCTCGTCAATATACTGATTTCCTTTTCTTTGGATAAATGTCCAATAATATATTGTTGGACCATATAATAGTTCTATTTGCAGTTTTTTGAGGAACCTCCACACTGTTCTCCATAGTGGCTGTACTAGTTTACATTTCCACTAGCCACATTTAAGTGTTCACTTTTCTCCACATCTTTGCCAGCATTTGCTATTTTTTGTCTTTTTGATAGTAGCCATTCTAAGTGGGGTGAGATGACACCTCATTGTGGTTTTGATTTGCATTTCCCTGATGACTAGTGATGTTGAGCTTTTTAGGAAAACATATTTGTTGGTTATGTGTCTGTCATCTTTTAAGAAATATCTATTCAGGTCATTTGCCCATTTTTCAGTTGGGTTCTTTTTTTTTTTTTTTTTTGCTATTGAGATGTCAAGAGTTCCTTGTATATTCTGGATATTAATCCTCTGCTGGATACATACTTTGCAAATATTTTCTCCCATTCTGTAGGTTGTCTTTTCACTCTGCCAATTTCTTCCTTTGAATTAATATTAATTTTTTAAAGAAAAGTAACTTAAACGCTTGACAATATGGAATTAAAAATACAGTACCTTCAAGCTGGGTGCGGTGGTGCATGCTTATAGCTGCAGCTATCTGAAGGCTGAGGCAGAAGAGGATCGCGTAAGTCCAGAAGTTTGAGACCAGCCTGGGCAACATAACAGCAAGACTCAGTCTCTTTTTAAAAAATGGTATATTCAATTTGGGGAACATGCTACAAATCCTCAAAAAACGGGTACAGAAGAAACATACTGCAACACAATAAAAACCACATGAGAGACCCCCACAGCTAGAATCATATGGAATGGGGAAAAATGGAAAGCTTTTCCTCTAAGATCTGGAACATGATAAGGATGCCCACTGTCACCACTGTTATTTAACATAGTACTGGAAACCCTAGCTAAAGCAATCAGTGCAGCCCCTGATATGGCCCCCAACCCACCCTGCCCCCTGCCACCAGCAGTGTAGCCCCCCCGCAATAGCGCACCCAACACACCCAAACCGCCCCGCCTCCCCGAACCACGGGCATTGCAGCACCCCATAGCACCCTCAACCTGAAACCACCAACCCCCCGCAACAGCCGTGCAGTGCAGCCCTGGATAGGACACTTAGCCCACCTCACTGTTGCCAGCAATACAGTCTGGGATAGTTTCCCCAACAGGCTCCCCGCCGAGGGCAGTGCAGCCCCGGTTAGGGCCCCCAAACCACCCCCCGGTGCAGGCAGCACAGCCCCAGATAGCACACCTAACCAGCCACCCAAGGTGGGCAGTGACGCCTGAGATAGGGCCCCAAACCCGTCCCAGGCCAAGGGCAGTGCAGCCCTGGATAGCCACTTACCCCGATGCTTTTCTACACTCTGGCCGGTTGCAGTGTCCATCGCTGCCACCAACCGCAGCGGGCAAGGCAAGCCAGCGAGGCAAGGCGAGGCAAGCCGGCGAGGTGGTGAGCCAGGGAGGCCAGCCACAGCCCGGTAGGCTGCAGCCTCCAGCATGCAGTGGCTGGCACCTCCTACTCCAAGCTGGCAATGGAGCAGCTATGAAGTCAGACGCCGACGAGGCTGGACTAGTGCAACTCTATCTCTTAACATGCTTTATATACCGAGATTATAAACTACATGTTCTGAGTGGATGAGAGGAAAACACTAGGCCTACTCTGATTGGACTTTATTGTCACGTTCTGATTGGTTAGCCTAAGACTTGTTCTGATCCAATCAGAACATGAAAATAACGTCCAATCAGAGTAGGCGTAGATGTTTCTTTCATCCAATCAGAACGTGAAGTCCGAGAACCAGGCCTGCACAACCCCCAGTATATAAGCTATGCTAAGGGGGCGTCGCGCTGTTGCAGGCTATCGTGTGTTAGCCTCTACTTCTCCCGCAGAGTTTGGAGAAAGCGGCAGCAGAGTGTGCTGCCGCAGGCTGGAGCCTGGAACCTGGAGCCCTGGAGCCTTGAATGGTGTGTGGTGGCAATGGAGAGAGGCAGCTGGCAGTGACAGCTGCTCCGTGCTTGGCTACAGGAAGGAAAGAAGGAGAAGGCACCTACCATAGGCTGTAGGCTAGAGCCTGCAGGACTGCGGCTGGCCTCGCTGGCTCGCCTCCCTGGCTGGCCTCGCTGTGGTTGGTGGCAGCGACGGATACTGCAGCTGGCCAGAGTGTAGAAAGGCAATGGGGTAGGTAAGCTATCCAGGGCTGCCCGCGGCGGGGGCTGGTTGGGGTATTATTCCGGGTGTCACTACTTTGGGTGTACTAGAGTGTTATTTTGGGCGTCACTGCTTTTAGGTGTGCTATCCGGGGCTGCACTGCCCTCAGCAGCGGGTGGGGGGGGGGTTGGTGGGGGGCGGGTTGGGGTCACTATCTTGGGCTGTATTGATGGCAGCAGTAGGGCTGGTTGGGGGCGCTATTGGGTGCTGCACTGCCCGCGACAGGGGCCGGGTTGGGGCTGCTATTGTGGTTGCACTGCCGGCGGCATGGTGGTGGGAGGGCTGGTTAGGGTGCGGACTGGTGGGGGTGCTTACTGGTCGGGCTTCATTGCTGACAGCGGTGTGGGGATGCTATCTGGGGCTGCACTGCCCATGGTGGGGGCTTGTTGGGGGCGCTATGTGGGGCTGCAATGTCCATGGCAGGGGAGAGGTTAGAGGCAGTATCAGGTGCTACACTGCTGGTGGTGGGGCGGGGCAGCGGTGGGTGCGGGTAGGTGCTTGGAGGGTGCGGTTTCGGGCACTATCGGGCCAGACTGCCCATGATAGAGGGCAGGTTTGGGTGCGCTACTAGGGGATACACTCCTCACAGCAAGGGGCGGTTTGGGGGTGATACCCGGCCGGTGGCAGGCGGGGTGGTGGGGTGGGTTGTGGGCACCGTTCGGGGGCTGCACTGTGGTCAGTGGCGGTGGGGCGAGTTAGGTGCTCTATCAGCTGCTGCACTGTTTGTGGTGGGGGCTGGGTTTGGTGTGCTATCGGGGACCATATTTTTGGCAGCGGTATACAGGTTAGGGGTGCTGTCGGAGGCTGCACTGCCCATGGCGGGGTGCGGGTGGGGTGCACTATCCAGGGCATCATTCCCCCTGAGTGGGGGATAGTTGGGGGTGCTATCTGCTATGTAGGGCTGCACTGCTCGTCGTGGGGAGGGGGTTGGGGACCTTAAGGATCCATGGCTGCACTATTGACGGCATGGAGCAGGTGGCCGTGCTCTCCGGGGCATCACTGCCCGCAGCCGGGGGTTAGTTGGAGGTCCTATCCGTGGCTGCATGGCCGACGGCAGACGGTAGGATGGGGGAGTTATCTGGTGCTGCGACGTCCGAGGCAGGGATGGGTTGGGGGCGCTATTGGGTTTTACATTGCAGCGGCGAGGGGCGGTGTTGGGGGCGCTATCCCAGAGCCAACATCAGGCAGCGGATTAGGGGCGCCATCAGGGGCTGCCTTGCTGGTGGCGGCAGAGCTTGCAGCAACAGGGTCTCCAAGGAAGGAGCCTTCTTCCTCTTTCTGGATTTCAGACTCTAAAAGGCGATCTCCTCCTGCTCCTGCTAGAGCGCAGCGAGCGCACGGCGTTTCCGCAGTAATCCTGAGCACGGCAAGGACCCCTTACCCGCCGTGGTTCCCGGGGCCACGCCCTTTTCGCTCTGTGTTGCGGAGACCACCTGGCACCCCTAGGCACGCTGGACACGGAGTGGCGGGGACACCACGGGGAGACAGGGCTCTGTGGGTGGAGGCATCAGGATGGGGAACCGGCATTTGGGTGGGAGGGCTGGCTGTGTCTGAGTTCCTGCTGATTTTGTTCCCCAAGGAGCGCAGTCCTGGTGGGCCCAGCGGTTCCTGTGGATTGGAGCCAGGCAGTGTGATGTTACCAGTCACCACTCCAGGTCCCAGTTCCTGGCCCGCTTGAGCCAAAAGGAGAGGCTGGACTTTGGAGGGTGGATATGAGTGCCTTCACTGAGACTGGCCCCTGCCACCCAGTGGCCAGGATGACAAGGTGAGGCTCTAACGCTATCAGTCTCTGCATTCTCCTCTAGGCTTTTTTGGCTTTGTGTGTCCAGCTGTTCCATGCCAGGAGGAGGAGTTACATGCTGGAAGCTTGCAGATAGCCTGGGGCTGCTGCTCGCCTTGCTGCGGTTGGTGGCAGCTACCGAGACTACCTCGCACCAGAGCGGTAGGAGGACGGCCAGCTGCGGCCATGGCAGGGGCAGGGCTGCGGCGGTGGCCAGGTAGTAGGAGTTTTGTAGGGTGGGCCAGTGCATTGAGGGCAACAGCAGCGATGGTTATAGTGACATCTGTGCTAGTTGTGGCAGCAGCCGCAAGTCCAGGGGCCGGGAAGAGGGAGTAGGAGCGCTGCGGGGCCTGCCCGGCCAGGCCTAGGGTGGGTTAGGAAGCTTCGGGTGCTGTACCACAGGCCTCGGTGGAAGTGGTGGAGGAACAGCCAGGGCAAGGAGGAGTTCTCCCCCTTCTCCTGCAGTCTCTGGAGGGCGACCTCCTCCTACTGGCGCATGAGCCCGGTGTGAGTGTCAGCATATTATCTCACTCTTTCTTCCAATATAATACAGTCATGCACTGCATAACAAGGTTTCACCAGTGATGGCCTGCATGTATCAGGGTAGTTCTATAAAATTGTAATGAAACTGAAAAATCCTCATTGTCTACTGACAGCATAGCCGTCTTAACCTTGTAATACAACGCAATACTCACGTGTTTGTAGTGATGATGGCGTAAACAAACCTACTGAGCTCCTGGTTCTATGAAAGTATAGCGCATATAGGCCAGGCGTGGTGATTCACACCTGTAATCCCAGCACTTTGGGGGGCCAAGGCGGGCAGATCACGAGGTCAGGAGATCGACACCATCCTGGCTAACACGGTGAAACCCCGTTTCTACTAAAAATAGAAAAAATTAGCTAGGGGTGGTGGCAGGCCCCTGTAGTCCCAGCTACTCGGGAGGCTGAGGCAGGAGAATGGGGTGAACCCGGAAGGTGGAGCTTGCAGTGAGCCGAGATCGCGCCACTGCACTCGAGACTTGGCGACAGAGCGAGACTCTGTCTCAAAAAAAAAAAAAAAAAAGTATAGCACATTTAAGTATACATAGTACATAAAAGTTGATAATGAACAACTATGTTACTGGTTTATGTGTTTAGTATACTATGATTTTTGACATTATTTTAGAATGCATTCCTTCTACTTACAAACAAAAAAGTTAACTAAAATAGCCTGAGGCAGGTCCTTCAGGAGCTGTTTCAGAAGAAGTCATTGTTACCATGGGAGATGACAGCTCCATGTGTGGTATTGCTTCGGAAGACCTTCCAGTGGGAGGAGATGTGGAGATGGAAGACTGATGTTGATGATCCTGACCCAGTGTAGGCCTAGGCTAGTGTGTGTGTATTTGTGTGTTAGCTTTTACCAAAACAAAGTTTAAGAAATTTGTATGCTTATTTTTTGTTCTGAATACTTACCAAGATACAACTTACAGAGAGGAAGCATCGAGGCACCTGAGTGTGTCTTTTTAACGCTGACATTATCATTGAGAAAAAAATTAAAACACAGAAAAAGCTATTTTTCTTAAGAAAAAGTTTGAGTGTTTTTAACAAATCTATGAATTGATTTGCAATTTCATGGTATCTTTATTGGTAATGTACCTTCAACAATGCAATCATGTGCACATACTTTACTGAGGAGGCACTTAACACAGGCTGAATCACCTATAGATATATTCAACTGATTACCTGTGCCTGTGAGAATACACGAGGTAAACTCTAATGATGTATCAATAAGTAGAAAGCTATGAAGCAAATTGAGACAATTATCTAAATCATCCTGTCAGAAATTCCCTTTTTATCTGGACTACTAGGCCAATAAAATATCATTAATTTCTGGAACCTGTGAAGTTTGCCTCTGTTCAGTTAATTAGGGAAATGAGTCTCTAAACAAATAAATAATGTAAACCAGCAGATTGTGGTCTCCACAAGAGTCAAAGGCAAATAACTGCTCTCAACCATTTGTAAATCCAGTCAAGGAAAAATAGTTTTGTCATAACGAAGAATATTTTATTATAAAATTTGTTATATGATATTGATTATATAAAATATTTTAACATCACATTAAATTAATATGTTGAGGGAAATTAGATTTTGAAATGTTTTATTCTCATTGCTCTATCTTAACTGTATCTATTTGAATGTTCTAGTAGCATGTAGAATCTAATAAAATATCAACTATATAGGGACCTGAAAATACATTGTAGCTATTACTTATCTTTGCGTTTTCAATGTCAGAAAGTTCATTGTCATAGGTAATCTAGTAAGCAAAAGTTAATTTTTCTGAATTTAATTAATTTAAATAATTGTATCATGTGCATTAACCAGTTCATGTAATCCAAGTTAAATTTTACATGCCCTATGGCAAGAAGTTCTAAATCCCTAATGTACATCTCTAAAAGACATGATTTCTTTCCCCAGACTTATCTCATCTTTTTATCTATCCATCTCTTTCTTCCACTAACAAAAAATTCTTTTTATCTATCCATCTCTTTCTTCCACTAACAAAAAATTCTATCTCAATAGTTGTAAATCAGTTGTATCACTAGTCCCATTCCATCTATGAGAAAACTCCAGTTCAGGGATGTTAAGTGACTTCATTAATGCCCCACAGCTAATCAGTAGGAAATAACCAGGAGTGGAGGCTAGAAACCACTCCAGATCTATAGTCTTAACATTGTGCTATGTTTGCTGTGTACTTTCTGACATACAAGTCATAAAAGTATTTCTCAATTCTCTGGGAAATTTCTACACTCCACTCTTGCTCAGCCTGTTCATATACCCAGAGCCCATCACTTATGTCAGCCTTTTGAATTTTACAAATTTTGTTAAAATAAGATACCATTCCTGGTGCTTTTTCCAATTCTAAATAGAGTGATTTTTATTTTTGTGCAATTCTTAACCATTGGATCTATTCCCTTATTATGCCATTTGTCATTATTTACCAGCATTGTTTTTACATTTTTATAGGTATTCTCTTCTCTACTAATTTAGGGGCTCTTTGAAGATAATAATTACCTTGCTGTACTTTAAATACACCAAAATTTGTTATGATTGCTGAAGAAGTAAAAACAAAGTGAAAGCTACCAATTTTATTCAGTTGAAATAGTGGTATACCTCAGATATCGTGGATTCAGTTCCAGGCCACTGCAATAAAGCAAGTCAGACGGAAGTGTTTGGTTTCCCAGTGCATCTAAAGTTTATGTTTATACTACACTGTAGTCTAGTAGGGGTGCAATAGTATTATGTCCATCTTACCATTTCTGTCTATTCAATATATTGGCTATGGGTTTGTCATAAATAGCTCTTATTATTTTGAGGTGTTTCACCAATACCTAGTTTGAGAGTTTTTAACATAAAGGGACGTTGAATTTTATCAAAGGCCTTTTCTGCATCTATTGAGATAATCATGTGGTTTTTGTCTTTGGTTTTGGTTATGTGATGTATTGTGTTTATTGATTTGCAAATGTTGAACCAGCCTTGCGTCCTAGAATCCACCTGGTCTTGGGCTTTTTTTGATCAGTAGGCTATTAATTACTGCCTCAATTTCAGAACTTGTTATTGGTCTATTCTGGAATTCAACTTCTTCCTGAATTAGTCTTGGGAAGGTGTGTGTGTCCAGGAATTTGTTCATTTCTTCTAGATTTTCTAGTTTATGTGCATAGAGGTGTTTATAGTATTCTCTGATGGTAGTTTGTATTTCGGTGGAGTTAATCATTTTTTTGTGTGTCTATTTGATTCTTCCCTCATTTCTTCTTTATTAGTCTAGCTAGTGGTCTATTGATTGTGTATTTTTTTCAAAACACGAGCTCCTGGATTCATTGATTTTTTGGAGAGTTTTTATTTCTGCATCTCCTTCAGTTCTGCTCTGATCTTAGTTCTTTTTTTCTGCTAGCTTTTGAATTTGTTTGTTCTTGCCTTTCCAGCTCTTTTAATTGTGATGTTAGAATGTCAGTTTTAGATCTTTCCCACTTTCTGATGTGGGCATTTAGTGCTATAAATTTCGCTCTTAACACTGCTGTAGTTGTGTCCCAGAGATTCTGGTACATTGTCTCTTTGTTCTCATTGGTTTCAAAGAATTTCTTGACTTCTGCCTTAATTTCGTTATTTTTCCAGGAGTCATTCAGGAGCAGGTTGTTCAATTTCCATTTAATGGTGTGGCTTTGAGTGAATTTCTCAATCTTGAGTTCTAATTTGGTTGTGCTGCCGTCTAAGAGACTGTTTGTTATGATTTTAATTCTTTTGCATTTGCTGAGGAGTGTTTTACTTCTGATTACATGATCAATTTTAAGGTGCCACGTGGTGATGAAAAGAATGTATACTCTGTTGTTTTGAGCTGGAGAGCTCTGTAGGTATCTATCAGGTCTGCTTGATCCAGAGCTGAGTTCAGGTCCTGAATATCTTTGTTAGTATTCTGTCTCAATGATCTGTCTAATACTGTCAGTGAAGTATTAAAGTCTTCCACTATTATTGTGTGGGAGTCTAAGTCTCTTTGTGACTCTTTGCTTTATGAATCTGGGTGCTTCTATATTGGGTGCATATGTAGATTAATAGAGTTAGCTCTTTTTGCTTAATTGAACCCTTCACCATTATGTAATGCCCTTGTCTTTTCTGATCTTTTTGGTTTAAAGTCTGTTTTGTCAGAAACTAGGATTGCAACCCCTTCTTTGATTTCTATTTGCTTGGTAAATTTTCCTCCTTCCCTTTATTTTGAGCCTATGTGTGTATTTGCACGTCAGATGGCTCTTTTCAAGACAGCATAGTGATGGGTCTTGGCCCTTTATCCAGCTTGCCTTTCTGTGTCTTTTAATTGAGGCATTAAGCCCATTTACATTTAAAGTTAGTATTGTTATGTGTGAATTTGATCCTGTCATCATGATGCTAGCTGGTCATTTTGCAGAATTGTGCATGTGGTTGCTTCACAGTGTCCCTGGTCTGTGTATTTCAGTGTGTTTTTGTAGTGGCTGGTAACAATTTTTTCTTTCAATTTTCAGTGCTTCTTTCAGGAGCTCTTACAAGGCAGGCCTGAGGGTGACAAATTCCCTCAGGATTTGCTTGTTTGTAAAGGATCTTATTTCTCTTTCACTTATGAAGCTTAGTTTGACCAGATATGAAGCTCTAGGCTGGAAATTATTTTCTTCAAGAATGTTGAATATTGGCCCCCAATCTCTTCTGGCTTGGAGGGTTTCCACTGAGAGGTCCACTGTTATTCTTATGGCTTTCCCTTTGTAGGTGACCTGGACTTTCTCTCTGGCTGCCCTTAACATTCTTTCTTTAATTTCAACCTTGGAGAATCTGATCATTATGTGTCCTGGGATTGATTTTCTCATGGAGTGTCCTACTGGAGTTCTCTGAATTTCTTGAAGTTAAATGTTGGCCTGTCTTGCTAGGTTGGGGAAGTTCTCCTGGATGATATCCTAAAGTATGTTTTCCAACTTGATTCCATTCTCCCCATCTCTTTGAGGTACCCCAATCAGTCGTAGGTTCTGTCTCTTTACATAATCCCATATTTCTTGGAGATTTTGTTTAGTCTTTTTTATTCTTTTATCTCTATTGTTTCCTGCCTGTTTTATTTCAGAAAGATAGTCTTCAAGCTCTGAGATTCTCTCCCCTACTTGTCTCCATTTTTCTCGGGAGGTATTTTAACAAAATTTAAAGAAATTACCACACCGTTTACAATTACTGTGTATGTTTGTGTTTATGTGTGCACGTGTGTGTATGATGAACCCAAGGAAAGAATATTCTAAAATGAGGACCAGTAATGTTATTTTCTATAGTTTTTTCTTAGTACTGAACCCAAAAAAGGAATATCGAGAATGTTTCAGACAGTAGAGTAAGATAGAGATAAATCCTACAATTGCCACTTATAATCTGGGTAACTTTGGGAAAATTACCTTTCTTTTGAACTTATTTTATTAACTTTTAGAATGAGAATAATAAAAATACCCTCCTCATAGGACTGTGGTGAAGATTAAGAGAACTAATTAATATAAAACACAGCATGGGGCCAAGCATATGGTAAGACCTTAAGGAATTTTATTTCGTTAATTATAAAACACACATTTCTCCCTACATTTTAACATCTCAGTAGAGAAAATGTCTTAGAATTTATGTTCTTATAGTTGATGAAGCAAGGATTCTTACCTAAATACATGATTTATAATTGAAACATAGTTTTTTGTTTAAAAATGTTAGAAATCAACACTATGAAATCAGATACCAATTCTGTCAGTGGGGATAGTTTGCAGTGAGGGAAATAAAATGGAGAATTTTGCAAATTAGGACAAAATTAATATATGTTCTCTTTATTTTGAGTTTATTCATATTTATTCCACAAACATTTGAATGGATATCCATGTGCCAAATTCTGTGTAGGACAAATTTCATAAGATGAATAACATATATTTGTCTTCAAAGATCTAACACATGTTCATGGAAGACAACAGAACCATATAAGTACAGCATCAGTTATAAATATCTAAGCTAATTGTTTACATAGAAGCAAGACTTAATTCATAGGAGAGGAGAGGGTGGGGAAAGACAAAATGAAAGATGTGATTTCTGAACTAAGTCTCAACAGACTGGTAACATGAGTCAGGTGAAAGGTGAGAGGAAGTACGCTCTAAAAGGAGGAAATAAAAAAGGACTTGGGAGAAGAAGAGAGAAGAATCTCTCTTAGGAAACTACATGATATTTAATTTGGATGAAATATTTGCAGAAGGAGTAAAAATTCTAAGCTAGAAGTTTAAGAAGGGTCAGCTTACGGAGGACCTTGCCTGGTTATGCTGATGGGCTTAAACTGTGGCAGGAGTTAAATGAAAATACTCTGAAACAGTTTAAAATGGAGGGGTGATACACTCACAATTTTATTTCCAAACTGTTGTTCAGAATGAATTAAAGTGGATAGGATTGAAGACAAAGAGGATGGTTAGGAGCTTATTGTGATCATCATTAACAGTGGTATTGCACATGTAGTAAAATGGGCAGATTTGAGAGATTATGAAGGTGATAGAATCTATAGTACTTGATGATTAATGGAATGTGAAATAGAGATAGAAGTTAAGTTGTAATAACCACATCTCAGTTCAAATGATAAACAAATGCCATGCAGATCTAGAGCAGGGGCCATGTTCCCAAACAATTTGCCTGAGCCATTGTGCCTAACACAGTGCTGAGTCCACAATAAACCAATGCCAAACAGTTGTGCATTGATATATCATCCATTCTTCTGGAAATTTGAGGATTTCACATACAGATGTCCATATTGAATTAATACATAATTATCAAGAGAAAAATAGCCCTGAGTCAACATTCTAGAAATGTTCAATTGTCTAGAGTGGATTTTCTCATTGTCCTTTTCCATAACAACATAGTGACTTGGAATATAACGTGGCACTAAAAAATAGAAGAATAAAAAGGGTCTTTGAAGCAATTCCTTTTTATCTTGCTTTATTCTTAACAGCAGTTCTCTGGTCTTAATTCTTTTATGGTTCCAGGAGAATTACATTTCAAATTCCGTAATTGCACAGGAGAATTGGAGTCTTGTAAAAATTTAGAATACTTCGTTCAAAGGCAACTTTTATTATGAACTGAACCTATGCTGTGATGCAGCCAAAGAAATTGTTTAGAGCATCATTAAAATAACCTTTTTAATAAGACCACTTTCTCTTGAAAAAGTGTAGTACCCTCTTATTTAATATTACCATATTACAATTGACTGTATGTTTGCTGAAAGTCTCATAGTATGGTATTTAGTTTATTGAACTAGCACAAAATATACATGAACTTTATCAGTTTTCATTTTCCCTTTAACAAACCAAGAACAATATTAAATGACATTTTATGACATTTGATAGGTATTTAAAATTTGTTATTGCGGCTCTTCAGTGAACCATAAAATAACAAGTGTCACAATATGGCTGTGCTTTCATTATGAGAAATGCAAGCAGGAAACATTTAAATCAGCATCATTTTCCATCAGTGTTTTGCTCCTGATTCTCTGCCAAGTTCATTATCTCCTCTGTGCCTAAATTTGTCCATATGAAAAATTAGGAGAAAAAAGAATAAATTAATACTTGCCTCTAAAATGATCTGAAACCCAGGTATGGAAAATCTTACACAAGTTTAAAAGACTGGTTTATCCACTACTGTCCTCATTCGTTTGAACAGACCGCAATGTTCTGTGGGAGAGTAGCTGAGAGACTGATGCAATAATAGTCCTTTTCACACCTTCCATCCAGAAAGACAATTTTTTTATTTGCAGCTGAAGCTATTATATCCAGAGCCTATGGCTGTTTGCCTCTTTTAACGATGGAAATTTTGAAAGAGAAACAGCAAGTAAAATGTGAAAATGTCCTCTGGGATATTATTTTATTACTACATGTCCCTTATTTAGCAAACTAGATGCAATATAAAAAATTAAGTCTGGTGCCTGGTTGGCAAAAAATCAAATAACAGGTACTAAAGAAATAATGATGAGCTAACCTAAGCTCTGTGTGTGTGTGTGTGTGTGTGTGTGTGTGTGTGTGTGTGTGTATGTGTGTGAGTGCACGCACGCCATAAAGCCAAGGTGGAGAGGTGAATGAAAAAGTCATTAGAGGAGAGGGAAAAGCCATATCGCTTGAAAAAAGCACCATGGTATCATGGTGGAAGAATGGGCTTTAGACGCTGGCAAGCTTGGGTTCCAATTATGGCATTTTGTAGTGCGCTATTTATTTCTGAGCATTAATTTCTACAATGAAAAAATGCATAATACCATAGGGTTTGAAGGATCAAGTGAGATGATTGAAATAAAGTATGAATCAAGATGTCTGTCATTAATTCTCTCTTTTAATCATGGGATCTATTGACAATGCAAAAGTGTACCCAGTATAGCAGTAGAATGATAGTGTATCTCTTGAGATAATGTGTCAGGTTGTTCGCTAATGCCTTTTTCATAGAAATATTGTTGAGCTGCCTTCACATAGATAGAACATCTGGGTTACAACCACTTTGCAGAAAAGCTACCAGGTACAGCTTTTTGAAATTGCCTGCCTGGGTTTAAATTACAGTCTTGTAGTAACTCTTTGGTGCATTTTAGTAACTGCTGAACCGTGTGATGTTGAGTCAATCACATTGATTGGAAAGGAAATTTAACGCATCAGACAATGGAAAGTTACTAAGGTTAGTTGACATAGAATGCTCTTAAGTTAGTTCATGGTAAGTTATGCAAGTAGAGGAGATCATAGATAACTAAATAGCAGGCAAACTGCAAAAAGACTAGCAGAAGTTGGCCAGGCATAGTGGCTCACGCCTGTAATCCCAGCACTTTGGGAGGCCAAGGCAGGTGGATCATGAGGTCAGGAGTTCAAGACCAGCCTGTCCAACTTGATGAAACCCTGTCTCTACAAAAATATAAATTAACCAGGCATGGTGGCTGGCACCTGTAATCCCAGCTACTCAGGAGGCTGAGGCAGGAGAATTGCTTGAACCCAGGAGGCAGAGGTTGCAGTGAGCTGAGATCGTGCCACTGCACTCCAGCCTAGGCAACAGAGTGAGACTCTGTCTCAAAAAAAAAAAAAAAAAAAAGACTAGCAGAAGCACATCAGTTGTTACTATTCTGTAGCAAGTTCAACCAGAATGTATCTCTTTGCTGTTCTCACAGCAAAAATTATAAATGTTTGAGGTGATGGATATGCTAATTACCTTCATTTGATCATTACACAATCTATACATGTATTGAAGCATCATATTTTATCCCATAAATATGTATAATTAGTATATCAATTAAAATTAAAAAATGATAGCAACAACTATTACTCCTTTATATTACACTACTACAAGCGCTTTGTTTATAGCTTATATCCTTGGGAACCTTTTTTCTATTGCATATAGAATGTATAATACAGTCTGTGCTAAATGTCATAGAGCTTTTACAAGCCAGATAAAATTTGACTGTACAGTTAAGAGGTCAAAAAGCCATCTGCCACAATGTAGAGCCCATCTCAGGAAATTAGGATATAAAAATTTTCCAGCAAATGATTTGTAAGAAGTCATGAGTTTTATGGGGAATAACTGGTTAGCCTGGTAACAGATCTAGTGAGTTCTGAAGAATCATATATCCCATCTATGCCCATATTGAAATAGTGGCAGTGCTAGGTTTGTTCTATAATGAATTGTGGGTAGCTGTTGCAGCCTTCTCCTACTCCATATCTTTATTGTGGTCACTGACCTTATATTATTAAGTGTGTACAATATAGATTTAAAGGGTAGACATTGGGTCACCTTTGATGAAAGAGTCTTACTTCAAGAATATGTACCGTATTCTCTCAACTGACAGTAATTAATGTCACTGATATGGACAGTATTCATATCACCATAATGAAGCCATAAAACATTGTGGCTAAAATAATTTGTGAAGCTCATTTTGAAGAACTTGTGAAAAGCTAGGCCTTGGTGCCAAGGATAGAGAGAAAAGCAACAGTAATGAGGAAAGCACTGACACCTCTTTGGAGGAAAATGTGGCCATATTGACCAAAATTTAAAGTGTGCACACTTAGGCCAGGTGTGGTGGCTCACGCCTATAATCCCTGCACTTTGGGAGGCCGAGGTGGGTGGATCACTTCAGGTTAGGAGTTTGAGGCCCGCCTGGCCAACGTGGTGAAATCCCATCTCTACTAAAAATGCAAAAATGAGCCGGGTGTGATGGCAGGTGCCTGTAGTCCCAGCTATTCAGGAGGCTGAGGCAGGAGAATCGCTTGAACCCGGGAGGTGGAGGTTGCAGTGAGCTGAAATCATGTCACTGTATTCCAGCCTGGGCGGCAGAGAGAGACTCTGTCTCAAAAAAAAAAAAAAGTGCACAGTTTATGACTCAGCATTTTCACTTTCAGAATATTTCTTTCAGATATTGTGTATTTTGCAAATTTCTACATAAATTAATAAGCTTTCAGCATTATTTGTCATAGCTGAATCTTGGAAACAAATATGTCTATTAATAGGTGACTGAATCAATAAATCATGTTACATTTAGAGAATGAAAAACTACACAGCCATTAAGAATTAAGATAGATGTATACATTTTGATAAGAAGCAGTATGTCCAAGAAGTAGTTCTAAGTGAAATAAAGTACAGAAACGTGTGATTAGTACGCTATAATTTATTTAAAAACGTACTTACAAAGTAATGATAAATGATTGAGGTGACAGATATCCCAATTACCTTGATTTGGTCACTACATACTATATACCTGTATCAAAATAACACGTGTACCTTGTAAATATGTAAAACTATTACCTGTTAATATTATGCATTATGTAAATTAAAAATTAAATGCCCAAAGCCATGTGTTTATACACATATTTGTAAATGCACTGATTATCTATATGTGACTTAGGAATAGCAGTTTTCTTTTAGAAGAACTGAGGGTCTTGGGTGGGAGAGCTATCTTACTGTCTAAAAATACTATTCAATATTTATTTATTTTTTTCTATGTGGCTGGATTACTTAAGTAAAAGAAAGCTTTGAAGGCAAAGCTAGTGTACTGTGTGTTTCACTTAGGACATCACTTAAGACAAACCAATAGTTTGACACAGGAAGATTGTTATTGATGATTGGAACATACTAAAGTAAAAAAATCTGTCCTCACATTCTTTTCATTTCTTCCTATAAACAATAAAAGAGATTCTTACCCTTTTGTTCAAATTGAAATCTCCCCCTTCACATTCTGTATTCCATCCTCTACCACAGTTACAGGGAGCGAGTACCTTTGCTTACCACCTTTCTCTCCTTTCCCTGCTCAACCTTACCTTACAAAAACAAAAACATAATTCTTCCTTGATCTAACATCCCCCTTCAGTTTTCATCTCTCTCCTCTCCTTTAGCCAAGCCCCATGTCTATACCGGTTCTCTGTATCTCTCATTGTCACTTCACTCCTCAGCCTACAGCAATCTGGTTTCCTTCTCCACAATGTCTCTGAAATTTTGCCAAAGTCACCAGTGATTTCTATGTACCTAAATCAAATGGTTACTTGTAAGTTCGTGAATTGTTTGACTTTTTAGCAGTGTTTGACCAGACTGACAACTCTCTAAATGAAAATTCAAAGAAAATCCCATTTTCTTTGCTTATTTTCTTCTGTTTTTTTTTTCCCCCTCTCTATTTACTTTTCCTGTTTCTTTTTTGGTATTTTGCTTCTCCACCTATCCACTATATATTTATTTGTGCTTATTATGGCATTGCTGGTGGCTTGATGTTAGACTCTCTGCTCTTTTCTCATACATATTTCTTAGGCAGTATTTCTTAGGAAGTATATACCCACTTCAGGTCCAAATGCCCTTTCTGTGCTAACAGCTTCTAATATCTAATATATCTATTACCCTCTCCTGAGCTTGAGACTTTTCTGTCCAATCGCTAACTGGTTGTCTTTACTTGGATATCTCAGTGACACATAGTTGACCATGTGTACAAGTGAACTCATTGTGTTACCTCAAATTTTCCCTTCTGGGGTTTGCTATGTCACAAATTAATTACTTTTTGGAGGCAGATTTCCTTACTGTGATATCAAGAGTGAGTGAAAAAAGTGTCTGGTGAATAGTAGTTATTTCACAAATATTTATTGACTCAAGGATTGAATCAATTAATGATACCATGTATGATAAATATCATCAAATGTATAGTACAGAACATTTTGAAACATTTAAAATATTGAAAGACAAGATACCGAAAGTGCAGATTATCCTAATGTGGTAAAATTATGCTACCTCTCTAAGGATGACTATGAATAACAAGGAAAAAGAGTTAATCAAGCATTAATTCCCTGTTAAATTTCTTTCTGCTTAAAATTTTGGAGTTGTTTTTCTATCTTGTACTGAACTCTGATATGTATAGCAATGTATGTGTGAAATGCTGTGATTCAAGGGTAGAAACTAAATTAAAAAAAGGGAAGAATCAAAATTTAACAAAGTAGCTAATCTTTCTGAGGGCAAGTTGTCAAAATTTTGGCAATGGTGTTGAGTGTATGCAGTGTATGCATGACCAATATCCAGAAAGGGGTATCCTGGAAGAGGTTGTATATAGTACTCATCTTCACTCAGTGAATTTTTGACTGAAGGAAAATTTTAAAAAAATTTATTAGATACAAAGTAAGAACCCATGGTCCTGAGGGCTTTCTAAGGTAAAAAGACAAAAGGCAAGAAAAGATCTTTGCATCAAAGAGCTTAAAGTATTATAGTTAATTTAAACATATAGTTGTTTTACATTCTTTTAATAAAGGTTTAATCATATGCTTACATGAAGAACAAAGGAAGCTTAAATGTTGTAGTTGTTACTCTGTTCACCAGTATTTTGTTTTTCCTCCTGAGTGCATGATAGAATTGTACCTCCCTGACACTTGGAAATTAGATGTGACCAAAAGACTACCCTGATTTGCCTATCGATTTCTGAATAGATGTAATGGCATGCAATTTTCAGATGGAAGTTGTAAGAGCTAGTGTGTGATTTGCCTAAGAAGGATGGTGACATTTTACTGCAGAGATAGAAAGTGAGGGCATATGGGCAGAAAGACCAGCATTAGCAAACCCATGGAAGACAGGGATTGAATTTATAGACATAGAGATACCTGAAACAGGGCAGCAAAATAATATTTTCAAGAACATGTTTTCTATCAATATTTCTAATTTAATTTTATAGCATCTAAGAAAGTGGTATACCACTCACATAAAGTCTTAAACACTCTACATTTTAATTAAACTTTAATTATATCTTTTAATTTCCATGGCTGGCTTTAAATTAAATTTAATTCTACTTACCAGGATTTTAAGAGCTTCTGAATTTGTCCTATCCTCAACTTTCTGCAACTGGGTTTACAGCTGTATTTTCTCACTACTGTTAATTGAATGCTGATGGTAGGGATAGTTCTTACTATTTTTTCCCCCTGTAACTATGTTCACTTAATTCAAGGTCCTCAGGTCTCTGTAAACCTTTGCATTCAAAAAACTAAAAAACTCCACACTGCTTCCTACTGCTTAAGATTTTTCTTATTTCTGCCCCACAGGTTTTGGCTCAAGCTAAAGGAAGGATTGTGCTTGCCGTGATTGTAGATAGGCACAAGATCATATATTTCAAAGGAAATCATATTCAAATTCAAATACAACCTAATGGTGATCTTGTGGTAAATGTATCCACTAACACTCACTTTCTATTCCTTCCTAGTAATTGTTCAGTCTCCAGAAATTATTTCCGTAATTTATTCCTGTTATTTCAGAATTGAATCTTTGAAGGGAATAAGCCCACTGAATTATATGTTGATACAGCCATTCACAAATTGCTTCTTTAATACATTCTTCAAAATGTAAAAATGTTGGTTTCAATTGGTCACTTTCTTCTCCAAACAATTTTTTTAAAGTGGATCAAACATGAAATAAGTTTATTTCTTTCTTTATTTTTTTGAGACGGAGTCTCGCTGTCACCCAGGTTGGAGTGCAGTGGCGCAATCTTGGCTCATTGCAACCTCTGCCTCCTGGGTTCGAGCAAGTCTCCTGCCTCAGCCTCCCGAGTAGCTGGGATTACAGGTGTGTGCCACCACACCCAGCTAATTTTTGTATTTTTTAGTAGAGACAGGGTTTTGCTATGTTGGCCAGGCTGGTCTCGAACTCCTGACCTTAAATGATCCACACACCTCGGCCTCCCAGAGTGCTGAGATTACAGGCATGAGCCACATGCTGGGCCGAAAGAAGTTTATTGCTCACTTAAAATCTGAATGGGTGCTCCTGATTGGCAGGTTCTTCAAGTGCTGATTCTGGAATTCAGGACTTCTCTTTGACTTCATCATCTTCATAAATGTCTTTCAATGTCATTGTGCTCAATGGTATCAAAAATCATCAAGGCCCTTGTATGGGTAGGGCCTGAAGTGTTGCACAGCAGTTTTCATTGTTTTCTCTGAACTAGAACTCGGTCACATGACCACACCTAACTCCAAAGGGGACCCAGAAATGTGATCTACACTTGAAAAAGAGGAAATGGATTTGTCTTTTTCACACAATTGATAACTTCTGGGTTGACTAACATCTACCTTGTTTGATCTATATGTGGAGAAAAAGAGTTTATAAGAAATAAAGATGGGTAGCTCTGTGGATTTCTGGGCATAAGATCCTTCTGGATTTAGTGGGCAAGATCTTCAAACTGCCAACTGGGCAACATGGATGAAAAATTTTGGGTCTTCTGAATAATTTAAAAAGCAAAGAAAAAGAAACTTGACATTTTGGAGACAAACCTGTGTGAGTGTTTTATTGGTACAAACGTATTTAACACTAGGGGTTTTGTACAATTTTTTGCCTTTTCTACTAGAAAACAATGTAAAGTGATTTCACAATGTGAAGAGAAAAAAAAATTGCCGCTGTGACCAAACGCACAGTCTGTTGTGCAGCAACAATGGGCTTCGATCAACTCAGTCGTGATTCAGCTGTAGAAATGCTTTTCCTTCACCTTGTTTGAGCTTTTCCTTTCTTTCCTGTTTTGATTTGCAAAAGAAAATGTCTTTTTTGTGTGAACTTGTGTTGTACTCTGTAGAAAATTACGGGTTTTACTTTAATGGTTTAAGAAAAAAAGCAAGAAGAGCCCTCGTCGCTTTTCTTACTTCATCACAGAGTTTGTGTAGTGAATTTAAAAAGAGAAAAAAAATTGTTAAAATTTGGAGCAAGGGAGTATGTTTTTCAAAAGAACCTCCTTCCTTTTTTTGTGTGTTTTTCCTTTTGTCCCAATGGGGAATCTAAATCTGTTTTAATTGCACAGACACATGGACAAAAAGTCATTTTTTATCTGCCAAGTGTGGTACCGTTCTTTGTTTGTTATTAAACTGTTTAGACCCAGAATTTTTTTTTCTTCTCAGTTTCTGAGATTAACAAAATTTGAAGGTAATGGTGCCTCTCATGGCAGAAAAAGTTTGTTAGCACAAAGATAATTTATTAAGATTAGAAGAGGAAACTCTGGAAGGAATACTGCTATGTTAACAGCCTGATCTGTGTGTGTGTAAGTGTGTGTGTGACTGCACATGAGCGTGTATGCATATTATGTAGTTTTTGTCTCCAATATGATTATCTCTGAAGATGAAACATACTCAAGCCTGCATAATGCACGTTAATTGCCCCCACTGGTCCCAGGATTGAGATCACCAGAGACAGAGCCTCAGACTCTGGAAGGGATAAGTAATGAGGAATGGGGAGATTTGTGGCATGTTCTACATCTGAGTAAAGCCTGAAAGGGGCCTTTGTAAAGAAAAGAATCAAAAGGTGCCTTACTTAGAGGCTATTTGACTCCTGGGCAACATTTAGGATACGGAATTATGGGCAGGTGGAGCAGTAACTTTTCTGTATCTCGAAGTCCACTTTGTTTCAGATGTTGGTATAAAAAGGAGCATAAATTTTCATGACTATTTTCCTTCACAAACAGCTTTATTATTAGGCTTATTAGACACAGAATTAAGAATTTTTTTGTCAAATAGTAATTTTGTCCTTGCAGATTATCTTCAAAAGGATTATATTCTTAGAAGACAGGAAAATGGGAGTCATTGCTGCCTGTCTAACTAGTTCAGGCTTAATTTGCTAGTCAATGAAAAACAAGATGTACTAGAAGAATGAAATGTTCAAAGCTTTATGGAAACAGCATTTTGCAAGACCATTTGGTGCAGGTTTGGGCAATAATTTGGACTAACTCTCTTGTTTATTGTTCTCTTTCACACAGATACAGCCTAGCACATATTCACTCATTGTGTGTGACTTGGAGAGAAAACTTTGTAGGTGGTAGCTAATTTATTTCATGAAATTTAACATTCTGATTCAAAAGAGTCAAAAGAAAAAAGGACTGGGGAATCTAAGAGATATCCAACATGACCCTTCAGTAGGCTAATCTTTTGGTACAGAAAGGTCCTCAATGCACAATTACTGTGCTGAAAGTGGATCTCGCCTGTGAGATACCCCATGCAGAGGACTATCTGTGGCAAATGGAAGTGAAACCTTGCTTTTTTTTTTTTTTTTTTTTTTCCTTGTTCTCGTCCTCTGCCTCTTGGGCAGAATTTAATTACCTCTGTCCCTTCCCTGGTATTTGTTTGTATGTAATTGCCCCAGGTCAAGCTTTTTACACTTTTTCCTTGGGCTATTGAAATAATTTCCAAATTTTTTTGCTAATTTTATTAACCTGCACCAAATGGTCTTGAAAAATGCTGTTTTCATAAAGCTTCAATTATTTCATTCTTCTACTAATACATCTTGTTTTTCCTTGACTAGCAAATTAAGCTTGAACTAGTTAGACTGGCAGCAAGTCCTCTGCCATGTGATTACCATATATTTATACCTTATGTCTCACAACTTTTTGCAAGCACACTTGTACTATTTTAGACTCTTCTCTGGGTATAATTTTTTGTATCCAAATCTTTCTACATTTTTATTATATGCAAATAATATTTTCCCGCCATCGTTATGGAAAATTCTATATTTTGTCAACGTTCATTTTCTTCTCAAAAGCCTTTTGTTATTATTTCCAAATTAATATTATGTGTGTCTCAGACAACCACAGAAAGTTTTGTTTTTGTCACATTCTACTGCTACTGTGTCAATGGCAGCATTTTGATATAGGTGGAGGGACGCTCACATCAACCCCATAATTTGTGTCAGCTTCTCCTGAAGTTATCAGAAGCATACAATTTAAGTAAAAACAGTATCTTCGCTATCCAAATGATGTTCCAAGGTAAATCTCCTCAGATCTCTTCCAGTACATGTATGCTCCAAGGCCTGCTCTATGTAGAACTTTTGGAGCCATCAACGTACTGCTTGAGGTTGCTTTAAACAAAAGGTATTTGACATAAGCTCTATAAGATCAGGGACTCTTTTTTATTTTATTCATTGTTCTTTATCTTCTAGAGCAATAATTTGCAAAATGACTATTTATTGAATAAACTAGGACGGAGGTGAAAAGGAAAGAACAGCTCATCCTTCCAAGGGGAAGAGAGCAGTATCCCAAACCCAAATTGAAGAAAATAAACATATATCTATTCACCAGAAGAGATAGAAGGGAGACAGGGCAGAATTTCTGTGGTTCTTACTATCTCTGTCACCTCTACAGGCCAAACCAGTGAGGACCTTGGAGACTACTAATATCACTGGATTTGTGAATGAGTTCATCCTCTTGGGCTTCCCCTGCCGCAGGGAGATCCAGATCCTCCTTTTTGTGGTCTTCTCTCTCATCTACCTTCTGACCCTCCTGGGTAACACATCCATCATCTGTGCTGTGTGGTCAAGCCAGAAACTCCACACACCTATGTACATCCTACTGGCCAATTTCTCCTTCCTGGAGATCTGCTGTGTCAGTTCTGACGTGCCCATAATGGCAGCCAATCTCATCTCCCAGACACAGAGCATCTCCTGTGCTGGCTGCCTGCTCCGATTCTACTTCTTCTCCATGTGTGCTGCAGAGTGCTTATTTCTGTCAGTGATGTCTTTTGATAGGTTTCTTGCCATTTGTAGACCTTTGCACTATCCCACCTTAATGACCCATCACGTTTGTGCTCATTTTGTGATCTTCTGCTGGGTGGGTGGCTGTCTCTGGTTATTGACCCCTTTGACACTAATATCTCAGGTGCTCTTTTGTGGTCCAAACACTATCGACCATTTTTTCTGTGATCTGGCACCTTTGCTGGCACTGTCTTGTGCTCCAATACCTGGAATTACTCTGACTTGTGGTATCATTAGCGCTCATCATCTTTCTTACCTTCTTGTATATCCTTGGGACTTATTTCTGTGTTCTAAGCACAGTGCTACAGGTGCCTTCAGGCTTAGGAAGGCATAAGGCTTTCTCAACTTGTGGCTGTCACCTTGCTGTAGTGTCTCTCTTCTATGGTTCTCTTGTGGTGATGTATGTTAGCCCAGGTTCTGGGGACTATCATGGGATAAAGAAATTTGTGACCTTGTTCTATACTTTGTCAACTCCATTCTTTAATCCTCTGATCTACAGTTTCCGGAACAAGGGTATGAAAGAGGCACTAAAGAAATTTCTGAGGAATCGCCACACTGTTGATTGAACCAGTATGGCGATTCCTCAGGGATCTAGAACTAGAAATACCATTTGACCCAGCCATCCCATTACTGGGTATATAACCAAAAAATTATAAATCATGTTGCTATAAAGACATATGCACATGCATGTTTATTGAGGCACTATTCACAACAGCAAAGACCTGGAACCAACCCAAATGTCCAACAATGATAGACTGGATTAAGAAAATGTGGCACATATACACCATGGAATAGTATGCAGCCATAAAAAATGATGAGTTCATATCCTTTGTAGGGACATGGATGAAGCTGTAAACCATCATTCTCAGCAAACTATCGCAAGGACAAAAACCAAACATCGCATGTTCTCACTCATAGGTGGGAATTGAATAATGAGAACACTTGGACACAGGAAGGGGGACTTCACACACTGGGGCCTGTTGTGGGTTGGTGGGGGGAGGGATAGCAAAAAAAATTTATGTATGTGTTATAGTAGGAAATTTCTAAAGGATCCAAGAGGCAAATTTAATATAATTCATCATTAATGTTTAGAAGGATGAAAGATCATGAGACCAATGAGATCATGCTTTTTTCCATTTTATTCTACTTTTATATATTGGGAAGATAATTTGAAAGAATTAATTGGACCCATGGTTTCAGTCTTAGGAAGTTATTACTATTATGGTCCAGATATGTTTGTACCTTAAATAGATTTTTTTATTTTTGCAATTCTACTTAATATTTTCATCTATTTCTCTAAAACTGAGCTTCTGCTTACTCTTTTGGTTTTCAGTACATACTGTTTGGTATGTTTCAACATCCTCAGATTCTGCCTTCATTGAAGCAAGTTGTTTCATTTTTTTGAGAGCATAGCAATGGTTGAATGTATTGCAACTAAAAATAGTTTTCCACTGATCCTTCAAATTACCAGATTAAAACACACACACACATACACACCTCCAAAACTCAACAATTCAGGGACAATTTTAAGCTCTGCTTTTTTATTCTTTATAATTTGAAGTATAACTTCTGGGGCTAACAAGGGCCTTCAATAATATTATGTTGACTTGATTGACACCTCACATTTTGCCAATGCTAACACTTTGGCATATGTAGACACAAGAAGGTCAGGTGATGCCCAGTGCAAACCAAAGAGCCATAGAATCTGTGAGATCGCTGACAATCTAGGCCTACTAAGCACTTTTTTTGTGTGTGTAGTTCTTCATTAAACTCTGGAAAAGTGTTCCTTGGGTAATTTCTACCCTCTAATTTATTTTTTTGAGTAGCAATTTATTAATAATTTGCAGTACTGCACTCCATGAGGAAATCTTGTGCTAAATCTTGATTCTGGGGTAACTCCAGCACTGACTTTACTACCAAAGTGTAGTTAAATATTTGCAGCATTCTGCTGGATATTTTTACATGAAGATCTATTTCAAATTCAAATGTCTAATCCTAAATTTGTTAATCTCCTTTTAAATTAGCTCTAGCCATCCTTATTTTCTCATGGATCTATTGATTTATAGCATGAACTTGAAATCTTGAGAGTAGAATTCCTTACCATCTCATTCCCACTTCTAATCTGTCATTAAACAGATTAGGCATCTTCCCTGGGATCATTTGTCATCTTTATGCTCGTCTTTTTTGTGCAGGTTCCTAGCACTCCATATCTGTGATGGCATAATCACTTCATAAATGGTCTGTCTCTGTTATCTCCCATGTCAAATTCCAGAATTATGTTCTTGAACCTCCATCACTTATTTTCTCTCTACCTAAACACAGGAAAAAACCCCAAATTCTTTAGCTTGTAAATGTTTTTAGGTTCTTCTGAATTTCTTCTTAAACTTTATTTTTACCTTAATATGTGTCTCATCACTCCCATTTGACTCACTCTCTCTAATTCACAGAGTATAATCTTAGTTTTACAACCTGAGCTTAAAATTGTTCTATTCATACCTTGCCCATGTTTAGATGCCTCATACAAAACTTTCCTTGCCCACTACAGTATATCATAATGTTATTTTCTAAGTTCATTGCCTTTTGAATTTTGCCAAATATTTACTCAAAATTGGTCTGCCTTTTGGGTATCTATTACAGCATTGTTTGTGCTATTTTTTACTTTCCTACCAGTTAGAATATAAGTTTCTTTAGGGCAGGAAATACGATCTTTTTACTGCTCCTGAATGGCTTCTGCAATAGTAATAGCTCAATTATTGAGTTAACAAGGTTATTTGACAAACATTTATTGAGCTCCTATTATGTATTAGGCATTATCTGAGCACTGAAGCTATAGCAGTGATACCTATTCCCATGCAGTTTATATTACAGTATGGGAAGACAGGGATCAATAAATAGAGAAATAAATATGTAGGATACAATATTTCCTGTGGTGATACATTCTTTGAAGAAGGGCAAAGCAGATGATGGGAATAGATACTAGTGAGAGTGGGGATGCTCTTTTAAATAGAATAGTGTGGGATGGCTTCATTTAAGCTAAATTTTGAGGAGACCTATAGGAAGTGAGGGAGTTCTGTCCTTCCTATTTCAAGTTTACGGTGAGCAAGAAAGCAAGGCAATCATCAAAATGAGTGTGGAAATGCTCTAACAAGTACACTTAGAGATCCAAATCCAAATGGTGGCTATTAAGAAAGGCAAGAAGTTTGGTTTAAAAATGTGCCTGAAGATGCACCATTGAAAAATGGCAGCAGTGTGCAGGGACAATGCCACCTAACCCGCGTTCAGAGCGAAGCCACCTGGTCGGCCACCGGCAGCTTGGGGAAGAAGGGCATGTGGCGCGCCCACTCCACCTTGCTGAAGAGCAGCCGTGAAATTTTTAATAATATTTTTATTTAACCCAACTCACCCAAAATAGTATTTCAACATGGAATTAGTATAAACACTATTAATGAGATGTTTACATTCTTTCATCCCACCAAGTGTTCAAAACTGGTATTTGATTTTATACTTGGAGCACATCTTAATTAGGACTAGTCACTTTGCAGGTGCTCAGTAACCACATGTGGGTCGTGGCTATTGTATTGGACAGTACAGGTTAAAGAGAGGTCTAAGGACTAAATACAGACCTCAAATAATATTGAGGTTAAACAAATATTAAATTGACTTTATTTTTCAGAATGAAGTTTCTTTGCCTGGAGAGAACAAGCATGCTCTTATTTCACGTATTTTCCTAATTGAAATCCTGATTTTGGAAGGGGAAAGAACCCACTGAGTGTGCTACATGTTGGAACTAGTGACCTTACACATCCATGCTCCATCTCCTGGGAAAGTCTTTCCTGAAGAATTGTATCTTCAGTCTGTTTGTCCTGATTTGTCCCAAACTGACAGAAGTACCTGCAGAGCTGGCTAAAATTTCCCTTTCAGACATTGCTGTTTAGGTGAGAGTACAGAGTGGTTGGGAGGGTCAATCAGTTGTAGAACAATACTTAGGTATAATCCAATTTATATACCCACTCAAAACCCAGAGATTTTGCTTCTATATGTACAGAAAGAGGACTTAGAAATACATCCACCAAACTAAACACGCTGCTGAGGAGGCATGTGTGTGTGTAGAGGTGTGGAGATGTGAAAATTTTCACTATTTTGTAGTTTTTTCTTTACAACGACTATTCACTATAAAATATATGATTTATTTGTATAATTAAAAAGTAGACAAAATGGAATACAATTCATTTCAGTGTAGCTAAGCAAGCCCCAGTTAGTAAAACTTTTATGTTTTTATGTACACATTTAGACTAAAAACATACTTTAAAATATTTCAATTTTATATATGAACATCTTTTTCAAGCACAATGAGAGCTTAGATACAAGTGAGGATTTTAGTTATTCAGTTAATTATGGTTCGTTGGCCCCCTCCCCCAAGTCTAAGAATTTTTGGCTTAAAGAGAAAGAGTAAGTGAAGAATCCTCTATATCCATTCTTCACTAGTTCTAAGAAGGATGAAAGGCAAGTGCACAACACTAAATCTCACTGCAGCTTACAGAGATTTTCCAGATGATAATTTATTTACCTTTAGTTTAACTTTTTCTCTCAGAACTCCAGATAATGCAGTAGTAACTTATAAGCAGCACAGTATCTTCTAACATCATTCATCATGAGATAGACAAGTCCTCAACTACCCGAGACACTGTTTTACCCCTTACTCATCCTGCTCCCCTTTCACTGCTGTTGCATAGGTGGATAATTTGATTTCCACCCTGTGTAATCTCTAGAGGAAACATAGCTCAGAGATATGGAATAGTCAAAATGAATGGGTTGTTTGAGTTATTTCTCTCTCTCTCTCGCTCTCTCTCTGTGTGTGTGTGTGTGTGTGTGTGTGTGTGTGTGTGTGTGTTTGCTGTCCAGTATCTCCATCCCTTTTTATGTTTGAGGTAATCCCAATATTATCAGGCTTGGAGCTTCTATTTATGTAATTGTTGTTTATATTGCCAGATATTAGCTCTCCTAGCTTCCCTTGCACTTAAAGTTGTAGGAATGTACTCTTGCCTTTACCAGATACAGCTATACCAGGCTTTGAATCAAGAAGCAGAAGTAGGAAGAGCAACAATGTTGAAATATTGGCATAAGAAATGACAATGAACAGGCTGGGCGCAGTGGCTTGCGCCTGTAATCCCAGCACTTTGGGAGGCCAAGGTGGGCGGATCACGAAGTCAAGAGACCAAGACCATCCTGGCTAACACGGCGAAACCCCGTCTCTAGTAAAAATACAAAAAAATTAGCCGGGCGTGGTGGCTGGCACCCGTAGTCCCAGCTACTCAGGAGGCTGAGGCAGGAGAAAGGTGTGAACTGGGAGGCGGAGCTTGCAGTGAGCCGAGATCGCACCGCTGCACTCCAGCCTGAGACGGAGCAAGACTCCGTCTCAATTAAAAAAAAAAAAAAAAGACAAGAAGGTAGCACACTTATTGCAGAAAAGACAAGTTCCTAGAACAGAATGACAGTGGTGCTCATGTAGCATCTTGGTGGCCTATAGCACAGCCATGACTGCAGTCATGATTTTTCATCATCAGTTCTGCATGGTGGTTTGCATATGTATCTTTGAATTTGAGCCTCAACTCTGGCTCTTCAGCTTTCATTGGTTCTGTGAGATTCCTGCTACTCCATCAATAAGTCCTTTTTCATTTACATAATCAGCTAGAGTCAGCTTTTATTGGATGTAAGTGAGAACACTGGCAGAATTATACTCTAATAGAGTTATCTCAGGTGGGTATAGTCTCTACAATCTGCAGAGGGCAAGAAGAACTAACGCTTTGGCATTGCAGGTTGCTCTGAATTCTCCCTTAGCTCCACAGTGGTCTATGAAGCTTTATCCCTTAACGTATTTTATTGAAGAAAATATTCCAAAAGTCAAAATAACTTGGAAGAGGATTTGAAGATGTCTGTGTGTGTCTGGATTTTTTTCACTTAGCATAATGTTCTACAGGTTCATCCACATCGTCACTAATGGAAGAATTTCTCTATTTTTTAAGGGCCAAATAGTATTCCACTGTGTGTATATATCACATTTTGTGTATCTACTCATCTGATGACAAATACCTAGGTTGCTTCCGTGTCTTGGTTATTGTGAATAATGCTGCAATGAATTTGGAAGTACAGATATCTCTTTGACATATTGATTTCAATTTCTTTGGATATATGCCCAGAAGGGAAATTGCTTAATCATATGGTAATTCTATTTTAAGTGTTTTGTGGAACTTCTATACTGTTTTCCACGGTTATATTAATTTACATTTCCACCAACAGTGCACAAATGTTTACTTTTCTCTGCACCCTCAGCAATACTTATCTTTCATCTTTTTGGTGATAGCCATTCTAACAGATATGAGGTGATACTTCATTCAGTTGAACTCTTAAAAGTAGAGAGTAGAATGGTGGTTAACTAAGGCTGGAGGGAAGAGGCGGCTGAGGGGAGGAGAGATGTTGATCAAAGGATACAACAATTCAGTTTGATGGAAGGAATAAGATTTAGTGATCTGTTTCATAGAATGGTGACTATAATAAATAATAATGCACCACATATTTAGAAACTACTAAAAGCGTGGATTTCAAATGTTTTAACCACAAAAAATAAGTATAGGAGATGATGAATTTATTAATTAGCTTGATTTAATCATTTCACAATGTAAATGATTATCAAAACATCACATTGTATCCCATAAATATATAATTATCATGTGTTCATTAGAAATAAAATTTAACAAATAATAAAAGAGGTATATGTTCACAGAAAAAACTTGAATATGAAGTCTAATGTAGACTGGATGTTTTTAGTCAAATCATTAACTTTCTCTTCAACATATTGGAGACAACATCACAAACACCTCTCTTTCCTATCCCCCTAATTTTTGTGCCTTAGTTAAAAATATGAAAATTTCAGAGTGTTGGCAGGTGATCAGGTTAAGTAAAGAAGTTTATGTTAAGTGGTGACTTTTTTTAATTTTTTATTTATTTTTTATTTATATGTACTTTTTATTATACTTTAAGTTCTAGGGCACATGTGCACAATGTGCAGGTTTGTTACATATGTATGCATGTGCCATGTTGGTGTGCTGCACCCATTAACTCGTCATTTACATTAGGTATATATCCTAAAGTTATCCCTCCCTCCTCTCCCCACCCCACAACAGGCCCCGGTGTGTGATGTTCCCCTTCCTGTGTCCAAGTGTTCTCATTGTTCAATTCCCACCTATGAGTGAGAACATGCGGTGTTTGTTTTTTTGTCCTTGAGATAGTTTGCTGAGAATGATGGTTTCCAGCTTCATCCATGTCCCTACAAAGGACATGAACTCAAACATTTTTTGTGGCTGCATAGTATTCCATGGTGTATATGCACCACATTTTCTTAATCCAGGTGGTGACTGCTTTAAGGTAGCTTATATTTTGGTTGATAGAGTTGATTCCCTGGTATCCTATGTTTATTTTCTGTAACGGTAGATGTTTCTTCACTATAAGCTCAGAAAGTATAGAAGCCCAGGTTTGAGTAAGAAATATTTAATTATTTGGCATATTTGAATGTATGCATGCCCTTCTATGCATTCTCTTCAGAGCTGGAACAGGAATTTCCCTTAAGAATCTATACCATTTCTAGTTTTTATTTGCTGCGCACCATGAACACCTTACCAAGACTTAGTAATAAGGAAAATACAAATTAAAAAACATTCTTGTTTCAGTGACGGATTCTCGTTCTTTGATATTATAGATAAAGCAATTTAATTTTTGTGAGTACAGTGAGTAGATGCTGTTTTTCATTATAGAAAAACCTATAGTTGGCAAGGAAAAAACAGTTGATAAATTTAAAACACATTTAAGATACATAAAGTTGCATTAGGATAAAGCCAAAATACAAATTAGAAACATGGGTCTTAGCTTTGTACATACCAACTGAATTACATATAGTTTTAGGACTTAAAAAATCTCCAAAATGGAAAAATGATACATAGATGAATAAAAATTGTACAGATCTTACCTACGATGAAACTTAGGACTTTGTATACTTTTTGCTTTGAGATAGGATCAGGGCTCTTTGTGTGTAATGAGTCACGCTTTTATGAGTAAGAAGCCAAGTGCTCAGACATCACCAGAAAATAGTTTTTTTTTAAATGAGAGAAATTTTGCATTTCTTATGGAATAATTGTAGAAGAATGTATATCATTTCAGTGTGTTCCAAGATATTTCTTTTGATGGCACTCCCAGCACTTTTTTAAGGGCATCTGTCATATCTTTGTTCCAGAGACTGTAGGTCAGGGGATTAAAGAATGGGTTTGCTGTGCAGTAAAACAATGTCACAAATTTCTGTGTCCCAGGGTGGCTCCTGGAGCCTGGACTCACATACATCACCATGACTGAGCCATAGAAGAAAGAAACAACCAAGAAATGGGAAGCACATGTAGAGAAAGCTTTGTTCCTGCCTGAGCCAGCTGGGACCCACAGAACAGCTCGCAAAACTAAGATATGGGACCCAAGAATGTAGAGGAAGGTGATGAAGATGATGAGAGAGCTTACTGTAGCACAAGTCAGAGTAGTTTTGGGAACTGGGGCACAGGACAGTGCCAGCAATGGTCCCAGGTTACAGAAAAAATGGTCAGTGATGTTAGGGCCACAGAAAGGCACTCGGGACATAAGCACTGCAGGCATCAGTATGGATAGAAAACCACCTGCCCTGCAGAAGGCCACTAATCGGACACACAGGTGGTGAGTCATGACTGTGGGATAATGCAAAGGTCGACAGATGGTAAGGAACCGATCAAAGGACATCACAGACAGAAAGTAGCCCTCTGCAGCACACATGGAGAAGTAGAAGAACTGGAGCAGGCAGCCAGCATAGGAGATGCTCTTGATATGGGAGATGAGATTGGCCAACATTTTGGGACATCAGAACTAATGCAGCAGATCTCCAGGAAAGAGAAATTAGCCAAGAGGATGTACATAGGTGTGTGGAGTTTCTGGCTTGACCACACAGCGCAGATGATGGATGTGTTACCCATGAGGGTCAGAAGGTAGATGAGGGAGAAGACCACAAAGAGGAGGATCTTGGTCTCCCTGCAGCAGGCAGGGGAAGCCCAGGAGGATAAATTCACTCACAGGCCCAGAAATGTTATTGGCTTCTACGACACTCATTCTTCTAATCTATGAAGGAAATGAACGATAGGGACCACTACAATAGCCATTTTCTCTCTCTTAAAGTGTTATATTTATTTCTTTTGACTCCAAGACAATCTTTTAATGCACTTTTGTGAAAAGTTCCATATAGTTCTCAATTCAATAACTCACCTCCCATCTTTGTCTTAGTTCAATGAAATCAGGGTTATGGGAGAATGTGGCTCAACATGTTACTACGTGATCCCACAGCCTCCACTATATCATATCTCTGTTTTTCAGAGTGTAAGTTTCATTGACATCACATAACATAGGGTCCAAACGACTTTCTCTATTTGCATTTAAATTAATTCTGCTTTGATGTAATGTTTTGTAATACACATATTCAAATATTTATACATATAATTTCTCCCTATTAGAAAATTTTGTATTGTATTTTGAAAAATTCTAAGAAAAATCAGTTTAAACATAATCTAAAATTGAATTAGGTGAGTACAAAAAGAGAACCTCATTATGTTGTCAATAAATTATGTTTTTAGGAGATCTGTCCTGGATAGTTCTGTTGACTGAAGTAGGGTACTGAGGATGCTGCCACAGATTTCATGCTAGCACGTGTTTGTTTGTTCCGTATAGTGGCATTTAACTTCTATTTGCTGAGCAACAGCTAATTTGACACAGAAAAGTTGCCTTCAACCCTTTACTAGGAAGATCTTGCTCTATGATAGAAAAACAGCAAGAGGCAGATGGAAAAACATCTATTTCCTTAGCTCAGATGCCTTCTCATCTTGTTACTATACTGGTGATGAATTATCTTATATTAAAAAATAAACCATAAATTTAACTGTAAAAATGTGAG
Organism: Homo sapiens; assembly: GCF_000001405.40. NCBI lineage: Eukaryota > Metazoa > Chordata > Mammalia > Primates > Hominidae > Homo > Homo sapiens. The sequence continues at coordinate 2,133,960 of NW_021160017.1, forward strand.
AGGAATACACCAGTGTAGAATGTTAGTGTCAGAAAGGACCTCTAGTCTTATTAAGCTCAATTTCCTCGTATCACAGAAACTGAGACCAGAGAGGTTAGAATGATCCAAAGTTATGTTGGCTGTTAGAAGAAAGAGGCCTAAAACTTAGGTGTTCATATATTCAGTTCAGACTTTTTCTCATAAGCCTCTGCTATTGTGGGACCCTGCTTTTTTTGTCAGCTCAGATGGTTGCAAAAGTATATTGTGTATGTATTATACTGTTCCTTCCTTTGAATTAGATCCCTATTTATAATAAAGGAGGACATTAACCAGGTTACTAACCAAAGCTGACAATTGCTACATCATATCCCCTATTCACCTTTGACCTGCCCTTTGCCCTAATTCTTGGCACCATTTATGGCATCAATCTACTTTTGGACACTTTCTTTAAAGAACATTTGACTTCTAAGATAGTAAGCATAACAACAACCACTGTCATGTATTAAATGTTTATTGTGACAGTTACATAATGTTCATTATCTCATTAAATCCTCCTCCCCTCTCCTCTCCAGTTTTAGAGTAGAAAAACACTCTCACATGTTTAAATGTACCATTTAAATTCTATTGTGCTTCTAAATACATTGAATCTAAAATTAAAGTTTTTATTCTGTCCAGCTTTCAGCTATGTATATAATGTGCTAGCTGTTTTCTCTCATTGCATCTGATTCCATTTGTTCACATGTAACTTGCTTCTATCTAATTTTTGCTTGTGAATTTGAAAGATTTGCCTCTGGACATCTGTGTTAGGAACTGAGGTTATATATCATAGGAAAATATTATTTACATATTTCTTATAGATTATGTAGTTTACATTAGATACATCACCTGAGGCCAGGTTTGTGTCCTTCCCTTCCATGCAGCGAGTCCTCCAGGCCCCAGGTAGGTCTAGAGGTGTTGTCTGGTACCCAGGGACTGGAGTCAAAAACCTTAGATGTCTACCTGGTGTTCTATTATACTGCAACTGAGCTGGCCCTCAAGCCACAAGACACAGCCCTTCCCACTCTTCCCTCTTCTTTCCACAGGCAGAGGAGAATGACCCTGTGGCCACCACCATCACAGGCCTATGGTGAGTAACTGCCACACTCCCACCTGTGTGTACTTAAGGCCCACAGGCTCTTCAGTCAGCTTGTGGTGAATGCTGCTATGCCTGGGAATCACCTTTCATGGACATGGGCTCCCCTCTGGCCCAGAGAAGCTCCAGAAATGCCATAAAAGAGCCATGGGCTAGAATAGGGAACCTCAAGAGCCCCCTTGATGCACTATGCCCATTTGACTGTGCTGGTACTTAAGGTACAAGACAAAGTCCCCTTGACCTTTCTCTTTGCTTCTCTCAAGCAGAAGGAGTCTGTCACTGTAGTCACCACAGCTGGGAATGTGCTAGGTCTCACCTGAAGCTAGTATGTCTCGAGTCTCACCCAAGGCATATGGCATACTATTTGGGTGTTGCTTCTCATTATTCAGGGCCCAAGGGCTCTTTAGTCAATAGGTGATGGGTCTTGCCAGGACTGGTTCTTTCCTTCAAGGCAGCAGGTTCCCTTCTAGCCCAGGGTGTGTCTAGAAATGTCATCTGGGAGCTAGGGCCTGGAATGGTGCCTCATGACGGACCAATATTCTTTCTTACTGTAATGAGCTGGGATCTAAGATGCAAGACAAACATCATCTTTACTCTTCCCTTTCTTTTATTCAAGCAGAAGTAAAGGATCTCTTTTGGAGCCACGAGCTGTGCTGCTGGGGTTAGGGGAGGTGTGGGCAAGGACTCTCTTAGCTGCCCCAGCTGTTGTTTCAGTAAGTCATGTGTTCCCAAGTCCATTGGCTCCAAGCCCAGCTCAGCACCAGGACTTGCTGTCCTTGTGGCCTAGACTGCCTGTCAAATTTATTTAGGACCCTAGAGTACTCCAGCTCATGGCGGCAAGGCTTGCCAGAACTCAAGCTCCATCTGCTGGAGTGGGCAAATTGCCCTCTGGCTGGACCTTGTCTAAAGGCTCCCTCTGTGGGTCTGTGTCAGCTGAGTTCAGCACAGTTTTGCTTTCCACTGTGATAGGGCAGCACTGAGTTCAATGCAAAGTCTCACGATTGCTGCACTTTCCCTCTCCCAAACACACATTTCTCTGTGCCATGTGGCTGCTGTAGTGGGGATGAGGGAGAGTTGGCATCAACAATTCACGGCTCTCTTTCTGACTCTCTTTAGTGCCTCTTTCAATGATACGGAGATAAAACCAGGTATTGTGAGTGCTCATATTATTTTTGGTTCTTATGAAGGTGCTGTGTTTGTGTAGACAGTTGGTACATTTGGTGTTCCTGTGGGAGGACAATTGATGGAGCTTTCTATTCCACCATTTTGCTCCAGCCACTTCCAAATGCTTTTTCTTTTTCTTATCTATTTATTTTTGAGATGGAGTCTCACTCTGTCACGAGGCTGGAGTGCAGTGGTGCAATCTCCGCTCACTGCATCCTCCACCTCCCAGGTTCAAGCAATTCTCCTGCCTTAGCCTCCTGAGTAGCTGGGGTTACAGGTGCACACCACCACACCCAGCCAATTTTTGTATTTTTATTAGACATGGCGTTTCACCATGTTGGCCAGGATGGTCTCGATCTCTTGACATCGTGATCTGCCCACTTTGGCCTCCCAAAGTGCTGAGATGACAGGCGTGAACCACTGCACCCGGCCCCAAATGCTTTTTCTGAATCTATGGAGATTATATGTTTTTAGTATTTTTGTTAATGTGGTGTACTACATTTATTGATTTGCATATGTTGAATCATCCCTGCATCTCAAGGATAAATCTCTCTTGATCATGAGGTGTGATACTTTTAATGTGCTGTTGAATTCTGTTTGTGAGTATTTAAGTTTGTTGAGAATTTTTGCATCTTTATTCATCAAGAATATTGACCTGTAATTTTCTTATCTTATAAAGTCTTTGGCTTTGATATCACAGAAATACTAGCCTCATTTAATGAGTTTGGAAATGTGGTTTTTCTTCAATAATTTGGAAGAGTATATAAAGAACTGGTATTTTAAAAAAATGTTTGGTGGCATTTATTAACAAAGCCATCTCTTCCTGAGCTTCTTTGCTGAGAGGTTTTTAATCAGTTTTTTATTGCTGATTCAATCTTCTTATTCATTATTGGTCTGTTTAAATTTTCGGTTTCTTCATGATTCAGTCATAGGAGGGTGTACATTTCCAGAAATTTATCATTTCTTCTTGGCCTTCCAATTTATTGTCAAATAATTGTTTATAGTAATCCCTTATGATCATTTGTATTTTTATGGCATGAGTTGTATTGTTTCTTCTTTCATTTCTGATTTTATTTATTTGAGTCTTCTCTATTTTTTCTTGGTTAGTCTAGCTAAGATTTGCCAACATTATTTTACATTTCATCGATTATTTCTATTGTTTTCCTATTCTGTATTTGATTTATTTAATTTCTGTTCTAATCTCTGTTATTTAATTCCTTTGGTAAATTTGGGCTTAATTTGTTCCTTTTTACTTCCTTGAAGTTTAAAGTAAGGTGGGTTTGTTTTTGGACATTTTTCTTATGTTTAGAGTAGATGTTTATTGCTATACTGCCTCAATACCACTTTAGCTGCATCCATAAGTTTTGTTATTTTGCGTTTTTGGTCTTTTTTTATATGTAGATACATTCTAATTTCCCTCGATATCTTTTTGACATAATGGTTTTTCAAGAGTGTATTGATTTCCACATATTTGTGAATTTTCTAGTTTTGCTTGTTATTGATTTTAGTTTTATATCATTATAGATAGAAAAGATACTTTTCCTACTTACATAATTTCTATATTCTTAAATTTACTTGTGCTTGTTATGTGGCCTAACAGATGACCTATCCTTAAAAATGTTATATAGTCACTTGAGAAGAATGTGTATTCTGCTGTCACTGGATAGTTCTGTACATGTCTATGAGGTCCTTTTGTTTTATAGGATGTTTAAGATTGCTGTTTCCCTACTGGTTTTCTGCTAGAGAGTCATTCCCATTATTGAAAGTGGCGTAATGTTGTGTCTCATTGTTATTTTATTGCTGTCTATTTCTCCCTTCAAATCTGTCAATGTTTGCCTTATATATAGTTAGGTACTCTGATCTTGGGTGCCTATACATTTATAGTTGTTCTAACATCCTGATAATTGACCTTTTTATCATTATATAATGACCTTTTTTATTTCATGTGACAGTTTTTAACCTAAAGTCTATTTGGTCTGGTATAAATTTAGCCACTCCTGCTGTCTTTTCGTTATGATTTGCATGGAATATTTTTTTCCCTCCCTTCACTTTCAGCCTTTGGGCATCCTTGAATCTATAGTCTCTTGTTGACAGCCTATAGTTTGATTTTATTTTTTAATGCATTTGGACGTTCTTTGTCTTTTGACTGGGGAATTTTTAATCCATTTACAGTCAGCTGGATGTAGGTTCCACATCCACAGAGTCAACCAACCATGCATAAAAAAAATCACACACCCCCATAAAAATAACAATGATAAAAAATGGAATAATAAAAGTAATGCAAACTAGATGGTGTAACAAGTATTTATATACTGTTTACATTCTATTAGATATGATAAGTAATCTAGAGATGGTTTAAAGTATAGGGGATGGTGTGCATGGGTTATATGCAAATACTATATCACTTAATATAAAGAACTTTAGCATCCATAAATTTTGGTATCCACAGGCGATCTTGAAACCCATCTTTCATGGATACTGTGGGACAACTGTATTTACAAAGTTGTATTAATAAGTAAGGACTTGCTATGGCACTTCATTTTATTTTTTCTGTCTGTGTTATAATTCTTCTTTCTTTTTTCTCTTGCTGTTTTCTTTTGTGTTCATTGATATTTTTGTATTGATATGTATTTATTTCCTTTTCTTTTTCTTTTGTATATTTTCTGTAGTATTTTATTTTTTTGGTTACCTTGGGGCTTATGTAAAACATCATATATATGGAGGCAAAGTTTATTCTAAGCTAATAACAACTCATCTTTAATCACATAAAAAATTCTGCACTTCTCCCACTTTGTTATTGATGTCACAATTACATCTTTTATATGTGTATATCTACTATTATACTTCTGTAGTTATAGTAATTTCTACTTTGTTGTCTTTTGACTTTCATATTAGAAAAAGGTGCACCACCATTACAATGTTGCACAATTTTGTATTTGTTTAAAAAATTAGCTTTTCCAGTAAGTTTTATATTTTAATATGCTTAGTTATGCTTAGTTTTGCTATTTAGTATTATTTTGTTTGAGTTAAAGAGCTCACCTGTCATTTATTTTATGACAAATCTAGTGGTGATGAAGTTGTCTCTCTCAGCTTTTGCTTGAGAAAGTCTTTATCTATTCTTCATTTTAAATTTTTTTCCAGAAATTGCATTCTTGGTTGAGAATTTCTCTCTTTCAGCATTGTCTTGCTTCTTCAAAATTCACTCTTTTTGACTTTTGACATATAATTATAATATGTCTTTGTGTGGACTTCCCTTGAATTTGTTTTATTTCAGTTCCATTTGGCCTCGTGTATCTGTATGTCCTTTTTCTTCTACAGATTTGGCAAGCTTTTAGCCAGCACCGTACTTTCCTTCTTATTTTTCTCTTCTCCATCTGGAACTTTTGTGATCAGTATATTATTTCACTTTATGATGTCCCTTAAGTCCGTAGGTTCATTGGCTCTTTTTTATTCTTTTTTCTTTTGCTCCTTTGTCTATGTAATTTGAAATGACTGGTGTCTGGATTAGCTGATTCCTTCTTCTGTTTGATCAAGTCTACTTGTGAACACCCCCTAGTGATTTTTTTATTTCCGTCATAGAATTCTTAGCTCCAGAATTTCTAATTGTTTCTTCTTGTAAAATTTCTATATCTTTACTTCAATATTTTTATCTTGCTCATCTATCATTGTTGTGATTTCATTTAATTGTGTCTCAGTGTTCTCTTGTGGCATGCTGAATTATCATGGAGCCCCAGAGCTCTCCTTTCCTCATGTGTGCTTCTTCTTTCATATGTGATAACTATAATGAACTTTAACAAATCTCAAATTCGAGTACATTCCCAATCACCTTCTAAAAGTAACCTCCTAACCTCCACTGATTCCTCAGATGTGGTAGTTTGAAAGTTGTTCCCATAGATTTCAACTACAGGCCAACCAGAGGGGACCCATGGCCACTAGAATGGTCCAGTGACCTTTATACTTCAGTGTGTGTAAGAATCACCTGGGATCCTATTTAACATTCAAGTTTCTGAGCCTTCCCCTAGCCAGTAGATTTTATATACAAAATGTGAGGGAACCATTACCCTTTTCAAGTGATTAAAAAAAAATCAGAGGTGAAGCAATTAGATTTGGCTACATTTAATTTGATGTTTTATCTTTCAAGAGATTGGGATGGTTCTAGTGAAAATTATAGCTAATCTGAATACGGCTTCTAACTGTTACTGGGTGTTTATGTCATTTCTTTACTCTGATCAACAATATTGGGCAGGTGTAGTGGCTCACGCCCATAATCTCAGCACTTTGAGAAGCCAAGGCGGGAGGTTCACTTGAGCCCAGGAGTTTGAGACCAGCCTGGACAACCTGGGGAGACCTCCATCTCTGCAAAATAAAACAAACAAACAGACAGACATAAAAACACCTAGCTGGGCGTGTTGGTATACACCTTTGGTCCCAGCTACTTGGGAAGCTGAGGTAGGAGGATTGCTTGAGCCACAAGGTCAATGCTCCAGTGAGCCGTGATTGTGTCACTGCACTCTAGCCTGGAAAACAGAGCAAGACCCTGTCTCAAAAAACAAACAGCATACGTCTTATTGTTTTGTTCGCTTATTTCTGAAATAATCTCGTTAGTAAAGCACTATACTTGATAAACAGTCTGATTTAATGAATAAGGATTTAAACTTTAGATTTTGGAGAGACAAGATTAACTAACTGTTGATCACAAGGAGCACACTGTGCAACAAGCTACTCTGATAGGACAAAAGTCCTAGGAGGGCTATATAAGCAAAATCTCACTCAAGGACTGAACTTTAAGCCCTATTCACTTTTAGCTAATCAAGTGATGGGCAAGTTGACATCTACAGGGAAGAGAGAAGAGGATGTGTTTCTGAGCTTTCCTTCTTCAGTCAGGCAACTCTGTGATTCATTAATTTCCTCCCTTCCTCCTCCACACCCTGGCATGTTGGCCCATAGCCACAAGGTGGCAGGATAACCAGTAACATTTTATTCAAGCCAACTGAAGCCCTGCGGGGGCTTTGAAGTTCACACACACTGTCCACCTTCCACATACTGATGCTGGGAGCAATTTAGAGCAAACATCATCCAGAGTCATATTACTAGATGACTGGATTGCTTCTTTTGTCCCTCAATCCTGCTCTCCTTTCAGTGCTAACTCAAGGAAACACTAAGTTTACACTTTGCAGGAGCCCCTGGAATAGTTAAAGCTTTAAACCATTTCACATCCAACTCAATGATCTGTTACAAAAAATACCTGTTGGTTTTCTGTCACTTTAATGGATACCTAGCTTCCTTTTATAAATTGGCATTACAATAGTCTGGTATTAGTATTGATCTGGAATCTATGTGCTTCCAGATCAGTCCCATTCCTTTTACTTTTAGAATAAGACAAAATGTAGCTCAGACACCATTCTTCCATGAAACCACATCTCTCTAAGAAGATGCTGGAAAGTCAGTCTTTCTCAAAAAGTAGTTTTCCCCTCAAGTTTCAACACATTACTCCACTGTAAGTTTAGACAGTATAAATATGTATAAAATATATATATATAATATATATATATTTTAGTATAATATTATGCTTCAGCTTTTCCTGCATGTTTTTCTTTCTTTTCTCTTACACCCTTCTCTGTGATCTCATCTGACAATCACTACCATGGCAACCAAGCCTCTGTGACGTTCCAGCAAGCTCATTGTCTTCTCTTCACTAAACTTTAGTTAGTAGTTGGTCCCAGTCAGTAACGCTCTGGGAGGGCTCAGGCCACATCACGAAATGTGACAGGATAGCCTTGAACTCATCAATTGCTGGGTAAGAAAGAATTTTAATGCAATGGCAAACAACCAATCAAACAAGCAAACAAAAACAATAAACCCTTCCTTGAGGACCAAGAAGACATTGATTAGCTAACCTAAGAGCTCCAGGTGGAGACCTAGGTCCTGATTGGGTTTCTGAATTTGACCACTAGGCAGAAAACTAGCACCCAAAACCAGTTGGAATAAAATTACCCACCTACAGTGGAGCCAAGGCCCCCAGATCCTTTTTGTCAGGTAAGAATAGGTTGAAATAACCTGGCTGGTTGTGGGACAGGCCCCCTCTGTGAGTGGTGCAGTTAAGGACACCCAGACTGCCCTTTCACTCTGCTTTCCCTGGGGTAATGTGTATGGCTCCTAGTCTTTCACGTTCTCTTCTGTAATTCGGGAGGAGGAAGAGAAGATACTCACTGCACATATTGTGTCAGTTAATACTAATCTGAGAGCAATAATTTACGATCTTTTGAGGTGAGGTTTGATTTTTACCACTGTGCTGTTCCTGTCTCCTAATATGTTGTATCAGATTGTAACTAAGTTGAGGTGAGAATTAATTGAGGACTATATATTTGAGCCTCCTTAGAATCTCACCCACCTTTGAGATAACTTCATGTTTTAGGTTTTCTCAAGTCAGAGTGTTGAGTCCTTAAATCAGTATATGCTGGGCAGTGAAAAAACACTGGTACACTTTGATTGCCTAAGCTTAGTGACCAGCAGGGGCGGTGGGAGGCAGGCCTTTTTAACACCTGTCTTTGCTGAGTTTCATGCTGAAAAAGCCTTGAGGCTCAGACTCAGCCCACAGGTCTCTGCACTCCCTCCATCTCCCTTCTGCCCTTTCCATGCATAGCCTTCACAGCAGTTTTTTGTGAATTATTTATTTTTTTGAGCTCTCTCTTAAGGATAATTTTTCTTAAGAAATATTTACTCTCAATATTATAAAGGTGTAGAAGTTTATTGTAGAGAAATGTGGGAAAACATATTGGCAAAAAGAATATAAGGATAAAACCATTTAAGGTTTCCCCTTCCATCTATACTTATATTTATAGTTGGGCTCTAATGGCGTTTAAATGCAAAATGTAATATACATGTTTATTTATATTTTTAAAATAATAATTGATTAGTTAATTCAACAATAATAATTGTTAACATTCCAGACACTACTATAAATACTCATGAATACAGCAGTGAACAAAATGGATAAAAATTCCTGACTTGTGGAAGTTATATTGTAATGGGGGAAGACGGGGTAAATAAACTATGTGGCATGCTTGGGGGGCGATGAGTAAAGATGGAGAAAAATTAGAAGGTTCAGGTCAATAGGAAGTGTGTGTTGGAGGTGACAGGTGGCAGGTGTACATTTTTCCCTCAGCTTAATTAAGGTTTAATTTGAAAACATTGTATATATTTATGGTATACAAGGTGATATTTTGATATATGTGTACATTGCAAAATGATTAAATCAAACTGATTAACATATCTGTCACCTCACATGCTTGCCATTTTATTGTTGTGAGAACATTTAAGATCAACTCTCTTAGCAATTTTCAAGTATTCTTTTGGCCCTTAGTATCTGTGGTTCTGCATCTGCAGATTCAATCACAGATGGAAAATATTTAGAAAAAAATAAAAATAACAATATGACAAAAAATAATTCAAATATATAGTGTAACAACTATTTACATAGCATTTACATTGTCTTAGCTACTATAAGAAATGTAGACATTATTTAAACTACATGGAAGGATGTGTGTAAGTTATATGCAAATACTGCACCATTTTATATGAGGCGGTTGAGCATCTGCTGATTTTGTTGTCTCCAGGGTGAGCTGGAACTAGTCTCCCCTAGATATAAAGAGACAACTGAACAATATGTTATTATTAATTACAGTCACCATGCTATACAGTACATCTCCAGATCTTATTGATCTTGTTTAGCTGAGACTTTGAACTCTTTAACCAATATCTCCCCATCCCCACTGGGTGTAATTTTCAATAGCTAGTCAGGGAAGGCCTCACTGAGAAGGTGATATTTGAGAAAAGACTTGAAGGAAGTGTTGGGGCAAGAAATATAAATATCTAGCAAAAGAGCATTACAGGCAGAGGAGATGGTATGTGTAGGCGCCACAAGGCAGGGGGATGGCTGGCATGCTTAACACACAGCAAGAAAGCCTCATCTCTTCTTCATGCCTGCCTCACATTGAATATATTTAAATATGGTTCCCTCCCCATCATAACCCTGCAATGGCCATTGCAGAAATCACCAATAACATTCATGTGTCTAAGTCTTATGGACATTTTTTTTTCAAGATGTATCTCTTCTCAGCAGAATTCAGCACTGCTGTTCCAACACATTTTTTCCTTTGGCTTCAGTGTCAACTCTATTCTACTTTGCCTCCTGATTGCCCAGAAAACTCCCACATTTCTGGCTACAACTCCTCTATTTGATTTGTGGGCTTCTTTTCCTTTATTTGGCCATTAAATTCTGAAGCTCTGTGAGGCTGAGTTCCAGGCCTTCACATCTTTCAATGCTATACTATTGTCTAGGTCATTTTCTTCTCCAAAGCTTTGGTTATTACTTATTTGCCAATGAGTATATCAAATTGTTAATACAAATTGCATCCTCAGAGTTCCAGATGACAACTGCTACATGGTATTAATATTTGACTGCTGGATGATAGTTTTACTTGAATGTTTCAGGGGCACCTCAAACTCAACTCCAAAATTGATCTAATGAACTTTGCCAAACCACATTCCCTTCTTGCATTTCTGAGAGAATGGATTCCCATTCATCTGACTACAGTGCTACCCTGAAAGCAGATCCAGAGACTAAGATTCACCTGCAGGTGATTCATTTGGTAGGTATCAGAATCTCTGGTAGGAGAACTGGGAAGTGGGGCAAAGACCCTTATCAAGAGTGAACTATGAAGCAGTTACCAGAATGGATAACTGTGGATTAAACTTGGAATAACTCTGAGATCCAGTGTAGATAACTCATCTCAGAAACATGCTGAGAGATAAAGGGTATTCGTACAACAGTTTCTGATAGTCATTAGTTATGGACTGTCTCCTAGCGGCATTGATTCCTCAGCATGCCCAACCTGCAGCAGGGACAGCAAAAGCGGCTTCTGTGATCAGAGAAAGCCCTCAGGTAAGGAAATGCAGGGGTGAATGCTGGAAGTCAGGCTGGCATGCACTGAAGTATTAGGGTGAGGCGCCATGGCAAGGTATCTGACCATCTTTCTAACCGTTCACCTCCATTTCCAATCTTTAAATACATTTTACTTCCCAAATATGTAATAATATGCATTTCCTTCAATTTCTACCACCACCTCTACTGACTGCCTCCATCTTTTTCAAATATACTTGCCTCATTCAGCACATTCACATTGTGCAACCACCACCTCTTTTGAGCTCCAAAACACTGCCATCACCCCATAGAAAACCCCAGTCCTCTTCCCCTCCATCCATGGCCGCCACCTGGAGTGTGTTTGGCCCATGGAGGACACTGCACATTGTTGGTGGGCATGATTAAATAGTTGCTGCTTTTCTGCAGTTATCACTGTATTTTGAGTGAAAGTTTCATAATTTTCAGTGTTTTATCTGGGTTGATAGGATCCAATTTTAGTTCTTGAGTTTCTTTTTTGAGCAACTATAACAATTTTCAGGATTAACATGTCATGACATTTATTCTTTACTAGAGGTCTTCCAAAGAACAAAGATAAATTTACTTATTTTAAAAACAGAATAAAATTCATCCTGTCTTGCAAAAATACACAAAAATACAAAAACAAATATACTTGCCTCATAATTAGTTTCACATTTACCCTTGTCCTTCTCTAAACTCTTCACTACCGTGGCCACAGTTACTGTTTCAAAAAGGGAGATGAAATCATGTCATATTCTATTCTCTGTGCCTGAAATCCACTTTTCACCCTCATCTCCCTTTATTTAAAGTATGTTATTCATTTTTCTAGGGTCTCAACTCAAGCATTCCTTTCTCAAGAAGCCTTTTATGGTATGAAGAGTGAGACAGAGTTCCCTGCGCCACCTCCATTGAATCATGTTAGGCCTTAATGTACCTTTCCTTTATAACACTTACTGAATGATTAATTTGGCATTTATTTACCTGGCTATTTTATTCAGTGTTTAGGATTTATACTAGATTGTAAGCTCCTCAAGAGTGTTCCAGGTCTAGTTTAGGTCACCATGTATCCCTGATTAGTACCACACATCCCAGTGCACCATGGTTCTCAACAAATAACATGTTATATAAATCAATAAATGACAGGAACAAAGATGTTTTTCAATTTGTATTACAATGTTTTCTACTATCTGGCAGAATCTTAGTAGGATTTAATAGAAATCAGGCAATGTCTACTCCTTAACCTGACTTTGAGAGAGAAACACTGATTTTTAAGAATCACTCCCAATTCTGACTTTTTCTCATCATTATGTGGGTGAGGTAGAGATATTTCTGAGGCTTTTTTGTTCAGGAACTTGTCTCCTTGGACATTTTAACTAGGTCATCACTAGATCATTGCTACATGAAGTATGGTCTATTGACCAGCAACATCAGTGTCAGCTGGAGACTTTTAGAAATGCAGAATCTCCATTCTGACTGGTGTGAGATGATAGCTCATTGTGGTTTTGATTTGCATTTCTCTAATGACCAGTGACGATGAGCTTTTTTTTCATGTTTGTTGGCTGCATAAATGTCTTCTTTAAGAAGTGTCCATTCGCATCCTTTGCCCATTTTTTGATGGGGTTGTTTGTTTTTTTCTTGTAAATCTGTTTAAGTTTTTTGTAGATTCTGGATATTAGTCCTTTGTCAGATGGATAGATTGCAAAAATTTTCTCCCATTCTGTAGGTTGCCTGTTCACTCTGATGATAGTTTCTTTTGCTGTGCAGAAGCTCTTTAGTTTAATAAGATCCCATTTGTCTATTTTGACTTCTGTTGCCACTGCTTTTGGTGTTTTAGTCATGAAGTCTTTGCCCATGCCAATGTCCTGAATGGCATCGCCTAGGTTTTCTTTTAGGGTTTGTATGGGCTTAGGTCTTACACTTAAGTTTTTAATCTATCTTGAGTTAATTTTTGTGTAAGATGTAAGGAAGGGATCCAGTTTCAGCTTTCTGCATATGTGATCACTAAAAAGTCAGAAAACAACAGATGCTGGAGAGGATGTGGAGAAATAGGAATGCTTTTACACTGTTGGTGGGAGTGTAAATTAGTTCCACCATTGTGGAAGACAGTGTGGTGATTCCTCAAGGATCTAGAACTAGAAATACCATTTGACCCAGTGATCCCATTACTGGGTATACACCCAAAGGATTATACATCATTCTACTATAAAGACACATGCACAAGTATGTTTATTGCAGCACTGTTCAAAATAGCAAAGACTTGGAACTAAACCAAATGCCCATCAATGATAGACTGAATACAGAAAATGTGGCACATATACACCATGGAATACTATGCAGCCATAAAAAAGGATGAGTTCATGTCCTTTTCAGGGACATAGATGAGGCTGGAAACCATCATTCTCAGCAAACTAACACAAGAACAAAAAACCAAACACCGCATGTTGGCTCACTCATCAGTGGGAGTTGAACAATGAGAACACATGGACACATGGAGGGCAACATTGCACACTGGGGGCTTTTCAGGGGTGGGGGGCTAGGGGAGGGATAGCATTGGGAGAAATACCTAATGTAGATGATTGGTTGATGGGTGCAGCAAATCACCATGGCACGTGTATACCTATGTAACAAACCTGCACGTTCTGCACATGTATCCCAGAACCTAAAGTATATATATCTATAAAAAGAAATGCAGAATCTCATGCCCCTCTGACTCAATAAGCATTTAAAAAAGTCTGTCAGTATTTTGCATCACTTTGTTCCTCCAAGCCTTGGCCCAACACCTAGCACATAAGATGAAGTTTTGGGTGATGAATGAATATGCTAAAAAATAAGAGTGAAGGAATATATGAAAGGAGGGAAAGAACACCATGGGAAAGTGAAAATATATCATACTATGATATTTGAGTATTAGATCCTGACAATTTAGTTTCAACACTTTTGGTTTTGTATGATATGAGGAAATAGTGTTCACTTTGTCGGTATTAAGCTCATAGGTGTTAAAGCAAACTAAATATGGCCTGAGAAGGACTTGTACTTCCATATTTGAATCCTTGTGGATGAACTGTAACCTAGCTTAATAGGCAGACAAAATTGAAAACCTAACTTACGAGTATGCACCTGCAACAAATAGCTAAGTCTTAGCCAATCTCAGTGGCCATACTTCAATCATTAATACACTGATGAGGCAAATGCCAATCTGTAACCAATGCAGCTGTTCCTGTAACTCACTGCTGATTTCTGTATGTCATTTCCCTTTTGTTTGTCTATAAATTTACCACCACATGGCTGTGCTGGAGCCTCTGTGAATCTGCTGTGATTCTGGGGGCTGCCTGATTTGTGAATCATTCATTGCTCAATTCAACTCCTTTAAATTTAATTCAGCTGAAGTTTTTTCTTTTATCATATGTCTGGAAAAATCCTATAAGAGTAATGTAAACAGCATTTGCTTTCCAGGGTGGGATGCAGTTCCAGGAGAAAGGATACCATTCATTTCTTCTGAACGCCTTCAAGAGACATGTGAATGATAAATGTGCCTGATAACATCTCAGGCACGTTTGTGTTATGAGAGGAAACTAAGGAAAATCTGAAAGTTTCTTGGGTGTATAAATAGAGATGGCTGGAAGAAGATGGGGGAAAGTGAAAGCCATAACTGTTGAGAAAATTAAGCTTGTTGAAATATGCAAATTGGGTCTCGGCTCCATACACGGTGCTGATAGTTAGGACACTGAGACTGTCTCAAGAAGACAACCTTAAAGGCCTGAGAATCCAGTCTGTTTCCCTCTTCTAGGGCACCTCCTTCCCAGAAATGACACCATTAACACTTTTTAGCACTTATGTAAAGGTCTGGATCATTTGAAGTTACATGCCACTGTAGGACATTTTCTCTCT
The DNA here is from genome assembly GCF_000001405.40 of Homo sapiens. NCBI lineage: Eukaryota > Metazoa > Chordata > Mammalia > Primates > Hominidae > Homo > Homo sapiens. Next base: position 2,149,064 of record NW_021160017.1, read on the forward strand.
GAGTTGTTGGTAGACATTTAAACTGTAGAGAAAATTTTGCACAATTTAAGTAACTATTTAGAAAATGAAACAAAAAATGGACAAATATGAAAAATATAGAAAAATTATTAATGGCACAGTTCATTTACATCAAATTGTTACTAATACTTTGCTGCATTACTCCTATTTTTTCTACTTCGAATCATATTATGACTAATTTTGAATTCTACTTTTTATTCTATTTTTATCACTTTAATAGCCTATCTTAAGTCTTTACCCATATTTTGGGATAATCTTTAAAAATATTTACTTTAATACGGGGAAGCATTCTATCATGTACACATACTACAGTTCTTAACGATAATCTACTGGTGGATGTTTCATTTATTTACATATTCCATTCATTCTCCAGGGCTTATTTTTCAATGAGGAAGCTTGAAGAATTGAGATAGATAAGAGGAAATGTAAACGTACAAAGTAGAGTATGTCTGAGGGAGGAGTACAAAACCAAGAAGCTGAAACTCTTGTCACACTTTATTTATGTGATGATTTTAGAGCATTGGTCCTATTGGAAGGACACTGGCAGGGTCCCTAAAACAGCACATGCTGCACTGAAGAGAACCTTGTTTCTTAAATGAGCTCTAGGCAACAAGTACATTTCCTTAGAACATTTATAGAAAATATGAGATACAACGAATGTCTTCGTGTACCTATGTATTGTTTTTATCTTTAACGATTAGGTATGCCTATCACGCAATGTTTTTTACAGATTTTGCTGTCAAAGGCTCCTCAGTGGCTGCTTCAGCCAGCAGCTAGGACTTCAGGTCAAAGTCCTGTTATGCTGATGCAGCTTCATTTCCTGAAGCAAGATCACTCCCACTTCACTCTGATGGGAGAGTCTTCTTTCTTTACAACTATTAAGCTAAGATTTTTGAGTTAACATTTTAAAAATATATTTTTCCTTTTATTTTTAGTTGACATGTAATAATTATATTTATGAGATATAGAGTACTAGTCCAATACACATAGACAATATGGGGTGATCAAATCAAGGTAATTAGCACATCGCCTCATGCATTTAGCACTTCTTTGTCTTGTGAACATTCAAAATCCTCTCTTCTAGCTTTGTAAAAATACACAATAAATTATAGTTAACTATATTCACCTTACAGTACTACAGAAACATTTAAAACATTATTTCTTGAGATCTTGGTTCTTTAGGTGACTGTTGTGGTGGTGATTAATCAGTATCATGAAAATACTTCTGTTGTCTATCATGGTATTTCAGAAGACTACAGTTATAGAGCTGGGTGCATACAATTACCAACCACAATGATATGCATTTACATATTTCACCTTTTGACCTATTTCGTCATGAATATAGTTCATCTGTTTATAACTCTTATACTTGTGTGACTGTTGATAGAAGGCCTGAATGTTTATGCTTGCAAAAATGTATGTTATCGCTTATTTTATTGTGTAAGGTGATCTTTGAAGTGTTCTGCTGTGTTTTTATTTTTGTGTTTTTATATGTTACTCAAATAAATACCTTTTAAAAATGTAAATAAATATATCTTAAAGAATTTTTAAAACTATTTTTTCCAGAATTAAATTTTCAGGATTTCAGTCTTTTGGGATGGCGATTTTTGGAATTTTAGACTTTAAGGATTTTGTTCTTTTGATTTTCAACATTCGATTATGGTGTTTGGAACTGTGTCTTTCAAGATTGTGATTGATTCCAAATGCAACACAGGGTTAAAGGAAAGTGGAAAAGACATGAAAAAAATCTGAGCTGTGCCTTATCTGAAGCTGTTGTGTGAGAATTATAGAAACATGTAGAGAGTAGACATCTAAAGTTAGGTTTCTGTCTGCTGGAATACATGAGTCAACCTCATCTTCCTTGGTCTCCCATTTGAGAAAGTGTTCAGCAAAGAGGAACACAGTGGCGCTCACATCCAAAATTTCTTAGAAGGCCTTTAAAAGGGTCAGTGTTGGAAGGTAACATTATCAAGTATAGCAGTTATTTGGAGCCCACCCAATAACCATATTGTGGTTACAAGCAGATGTAAAGGGTACTGCAGTCTTTCCTGATTTAGGAAGCAACGATTACACCTGACTCTTTAGGAGAGTATGTAGCAGACACATTTTGAGCCATGGCTATCATACCCTGGACAGCTCCTCTTGGAGGAGTGGTGACTAAGAGCACGCTGTGTGTACACTCAGTCTTCACTGCTGACCTCCAGTCTCCACCTGCTTCATTTTTAAATAAATGTGCCAAGGTTTATTTTTGACCCTTCTGGATCATCCAACATTTCCAAGTGGACTCATCTAGGGATAACAGTGAGAAAGTTTTGGGAAGATCTCAAAAAGTGTTTCTTAACTGAGATCTTAATTGGTTCAGCCTTTAGGGAAAAAGGGAAAGATGATGAGGCCTGGGTCTAATCTGAATAATCAGTTGACCTTAAGCCTGAATCAGAATATCAAATATAATTGGAAGCCTTGATATATGTTTTTATACTAACATAGCTATGTTTTCCCACAAAATAGATGATACTGGATTTAGGACTGAAAATGTAAGAACAAGGGGTTCTATGAAGTCCAAGGATATAAAGACAGAAGTCAGTTATGGCAAAGAATTTACAAAATGCTTCAAAGGCTTATCTATCTCTTCCCTTCTTTCTACAATTCTGCACATGTGCCAGCCCCAAGGGTTCTGTACTTACGTTGAGATTTTTGGATCAATATCTGTTTTAGTGGTACTTAACTTTAAACTATTTGCCCACTTGTTTCATGAATTTGTCATTTTAGTTTCACTTAAGAAGTACATTGTCAAACTATAGTGAATTTGGCGAAGAACAACTAGAGGGGACTTAGAAGTACGGAAAATGAGTAACAGTAGAAGGAATTGGGATATTTAAATTGGAGAACAAAAAGTTTTATTGAAACAAATGAAAGGTAATTATTTAATAAAGCAAATGAATTTGTCCCATTTAATCTCTAAAGTACAGAATTACTATAATTCTATAGGGTGACACATTTTAATTCATCATGGAGACTTACTTTTTAACAGAGAAATATATGCAATGATGGAACGAGCTGAAGAACAATACTTTCTATCAGTTGCTTTTGTCAGATATAGGTTGGGAAAGTGGGAGAGGGTATCTAAGCATCAGATGCAAATTTCTTTCAATCTTGAAATTCCATGATACGATCTAAGATATTTCAAGAAAAAAACCATTCAGGTTGATTTCAACAACATAAAAAACTGTAATGGAAAATATTAAGGCTAATTAGAACGTGAAGTTTTATTAACATTGATAACAATAATAATATTTTCTAAGGAACACTAGTTGACAGCAGACAAAGGGAGGGGGGATGAAATACTGGACTTGTGGTCAGCAAAGTCCCAGGGTTATGCCACAGGACTACAAGTACTCCAACTCTATTAAGGAAGAAATTGCTAATTTTTTTTTTTCCCCTGAAGCAATGTGTGTGGAAGTCTTTCACTTTCTGAGCCAAAACTTGAGGAGCTGACCCTGAGGTGGCAGTTTTCCTGGGGGAGCTGCTTAGATAGCTTTTCATGCAGGGATAGTCCCTCAATGCATTACCTTTCAGAGGCTATGGCATCAGGCCTCTATCCAGAAGGGGAGGAGGACTAGAGAGCGCTCAGGGGAGAGGGCGATAAGAGAGAGATTTGCTTGTCTAGGTGATGTTGCTGAGTAGCCCAGTGTGGACTCTGTGTCAGAGAGCTCCAAAGTACAGCAGCAACTTGGGGTCTTTACAGCCCCAGAATTTATCTTATCTATGGCATTTGAGTTAACAGGATTCAGCTTACTGTAAAGAAGTAAACACCCTAGGGGGCTATATAAAGAAGCCCTCTTTGGCCCATTTGTCTAACAGATGGTCTCTGAAATTGTTTGCAGTGACTTTTTACCTTTTTTTTTTTTTGCTGTGTTTTTCCAGATTTAGACATTTATACTTTCTCTCAAGCTCATGTCATGCCAACAAAAAGTAGAGAATTAAACTAATTAGTCTACACTAAGGTTTCCATTTACAAAAGAGAATTTATTTTAATATTATGAAAACAACATGTGCTTATTTTAGAAAAAAATAATAACACAGGAAAGTATAGGAAGTTTAAATCATCCACAATACCATTTCTAAGACCATTTCTAGCCTCCTCTGTTTCTCTGTATTTCGTATATTAGATATCTATGTAATTATTTTCAAAATTGGAATCGTAGTGCATGCAGTTTTGTTAATACTTTTGTTTAATATATCATGTGTCTTTCCCCATAGCACTATGTGTTCTTTGAAACATGATTCTTAATGAGAACATTATAGTCCATTTTTATCAATGTACTTTATCCTTCTGTTTGGGGGCACTTATAATTTTATGCAAAATCTCTGTAAATTTGTGAAAATATTCTCAGAAATAGATAACGTGTGTGTATTTTTAAGATGTTTACCTCGTTTTTGCCCATTTAACTCCGTAGCAAGGTAAGCTGTCATCAGTTGGAGGTAAGCGGAAGACAGTAGAGAGTACAGAGCCCTGGACTGTGACTCAGAGGATGAGCACCAGATCCAGTTTGCTGTGCCACAGTGGTAAGTCACCTAATCTTTATGTGCTTGGATTCCTCATATGTAATACAGGATCACAACTATTGTTCTCACTCATGCAATACTACTATTGTGAGAACCTCATGAATTAGAGAAACTCTGAATTTGCAATTTAGCTTTAGAACACTGACAAGTAGCTCATTGATTCTTGCCTCATTCCTCTGGAATAAAGTAGCTTTTTATCAAACAAGTGAACACATTGCTTTCAGTGGAGGCAGAAGGAATTCATTTTGAAAAATGCACATAGCATTCTCCAACCCATTTTTGCATATTCTTTTTTAAGGGAATGCCTTGTGTGAGAGGACTAGCAGGGTATCAGAACTGTTTTTTGAAAGAACTTTGTTTGCAGGTGCTTTCAAATATGTTGTCTTCAACTATCATTTTCAGTGTAAAAAGCGGGCTTGGAGTAAGCACTGCCTGCAGACCACTTTTGTGAGCCCTCCCTTCAGTGATGTGATGGCAATCCAGGCCCCTGCTGGGAGAGATTTCTGCCTGGTTAAACCTCTCACAGCTTCTAATCCTCTCTTTCTCATCTGGCTTTCCTTAGCCTTCTCCAAAGTCACTCACAGAAGGCATCCCACTCAACCTCACCTTGGGGTAAATCAAAATAGTCCTCCTTCTGAAGCTACCGGGTAAAGCGGTGGTAGCTGTGCAGCTGCTGCTGATCAACAGGCTCCAGAAACAGCAGCAGGAGGTGAGCAGTCCCTGCGTTGGCCACCAAGTGGTAGGTGGCCAGCCCTACCTCCAAGTTGCACTGTTTACTTATTCATCTTTCATGGTAAAGCCTCCAGTTGCCTATTATGAAATCAGCAATAATCATGTGTCCCCTATCTGGGTCCCTGAAAAGATGGAAAGAGGCAGATCAGGCTGGTGCTCCGAGAATGACAGACATCAAACAAGAATGAAAAGTGTCACCCTCCTTGGACTTATTCAGTAACTCATGCCCTTGAGCAAAGGAGGATTTTCTATCAAAGGACATGGATTTCTGTGTCTTTCTCTTGAGATAACATTGCTGGGTGACCACAGAAAGCTGGCTCTGGAAGCACAGAAGCTGCCTTTCCTTGAGTAATAATGTCTCTTCAAAGGGAGCTGGAGCATGAGTAGTGTACATGCCTCAGATTTCAGTGAAAAGTTCAGAGGAGGCCTGAGAAGGTCCTGGGAATGAATCATCTAGATGACTCAACCTTGCAAAGCCATCCACCTCATTGTGGATATCATTCAATACATTTGGTGCTCCATCATCCTATTTCCATGGCTATTTCCTCACATTTTTCAAAGTCTGTTTCTTGAGCCCTGACTGTGTCAAATAGCATGCCCTGTTATTCTTGGGCTTCCCTCTCTATTCTAGCATTCAGGGAGATTTCAGAGGCTGGGGTAAATCTCAGACCAAGAAGACGCAATGGTTTTGAGGTAGAGATCCTAGGAATATAGAATTCTGAGCTATGCAGTGGTCCTTTGCTTTCAGGAAATCAAGTTTGATAGTATCACCTGAAGCATACTTACATTATCCACAAATGACAGCTCCTTACTTGAGCAGTTAAATTGTGGCAAGTCTTAACACACAGATTCCTCTTAAATGCCACCTAATCCCTGCCTGGCTTCAAGCCTCTGGCTTCCCTTGGAGAGGGGCAGAGTCTCTCTGTGTGAGAGATTCTTCATTTCTGCTTTCTGCCCTGTCAGTTTCTACTTACTTGCTCTTCCACCTTGTCCACAAGGCTTATCTAGCGGCTGTTTACCTCTGAGCAGAGAAAATGGAAGTCAGCAGAGACAAGGTTGAAATTTCTCAGGAAGGATTTTTTTTTCCACTTTATCGTGCAGCAAGAGTAAAGCCTTTTTTTCGGTGATTCTTTCCTCCACAATGGCCATTGGCTGCCCTCTGTCACACACAGGTGTGACTCCCTTGTTATTAACTGTCAGGTGGGAATTTCTAGGGAAGAAGGAGAGTGCTTTGTTAACCTCTTAACATCTCCCCAAATTGCATCATATTCTCTCCCTTTCCCCTCCCAGCTACCTTTTCTATTTTTGATTTCCTCTTTTTCAGTCTGATTTGGGGATTTCAGTTCCCACTAACTTTGTATAATATCCTCCTATCTCTGAAAGAACAAGTTCCATCTCCATTTTCCAGGAGAGTTTTTTTCCTTGCAGTAAGAGCACCCCATCATCTCTCCATTTCTACCTCCCCATCCCAGTGCTCCCTTTATGGCAGTACAATTGAAGAGGGACCCACAGTCTTGCTGAAGGAACATGACCTTCCTACTGAAGTTGGGATTACGGAATAGAGGGAGAAGAGGAAAGATGGATGTTTATCTGAATGGTCGGATCTTGTTTTCCAGAGGACACAGGCCAATGGGAAACTTTTGGGAAGGAAGTCAAAAAATCAAAGCCAGAACTGGGTTTTGGTAATTTAATCTCCCAAAGAGAGAAAAGTCCCCATACTCTAATTCATATTTTGTTTGACTTGACTGAAGCCCTTTTGAATATTTTTTCTGCTTCTGTTCTGTTCTTGCAATAACAATGACATAAGTTTGCCTTTGGAGACATTAAAATAGTTTTCTCATCTCTTGTTCCAAGCATTTATTTTATTTTATTTTTTTGGCGTATTTATTTATTTATTTATTATTACAGTACTTTTAAGTTTTAGGGTACATGTGCACAATGTGCAGGTTAGTTACATATCTATACATGTGCCATGCTGGTGCGCTGCACCCACTAACTCGTCATCTAGCATTAGGTATATCTCCCAATGCTATCCCTCCCCGCTCCCCCAACCCACAACAGTCCCCCGAGTGTGATGTTCCCCTTCCTGTGTCCATTTGTTCTCATTGTTCTCACCTATGAGTGAAAATATGTGGTGTTTGGTTTTTTGTTCTTGCAATAGTTTACTGAGAATGATGATTTCCAATTTCATCCATGTCCCTACAAAGAACATCAAGTCATCATTTTTTATGGCTGCATAGTATTCCATGGTGTATATGTGCCACATTTTCTTAATCCAGTCTATCATTGTTGGACATTTGGGTTGGTTCCAAGTCTTTGCTATTGTGAATAATGCCGCAATAAACATACGTGTGTGTGTGTCTTTATAGCAGCATGATTTATAGTCCTTTGGGTATATACCCGGTAATGGGATGGCGGGTCAAATGGTATTTCTAGTTCTAGATCCCTGAGGAATCGCCACACTGACTTCCACAATGGTTGAACTAGTTTACAGTCCCACCAACAGTGTAAAAGTGTTCCTATTTCTCCATATCCTCTCCAGCACCTGTTGTTTCCTGACTTTTTAATGATTGCCATTCTAACTGGTATGAGATGGTATCTCATTGTGGTTTTGATTTGCATTTCTCTGATGGCCAGTGATGGTGAGCATTTTTTCATGTGTTTTTTGGCTGCATAAATGTCTTCTTTTGAGAAGTGTCTATTCATGTCCTTCGCCCACTTTTTGATGGGGTTGTTAGTTTTTTTCTTGTAAATTTGTTTGAGTTCATTGTAGATTCTGGATATTAGCCCTTTGTCAGATGAGTAGGTTGTGAAAATTTTCTCCCATTTTGTATGTTGCCTGTTCACTCTGATGGTAGTTTCTTTTGCTGTGCAGAAGCTCTTTAGTTTAATTAGATCCCATTTGTCAATTTTGTCTTTTGTTGCCATTGCTTTTGGTGTTTTAGACATGAAGTCCTTGCCCATGCCTATGTCCTGAATGGTAATGCCTAGGTTTTCTTCTAGGGTTTTTATGGTTTTAGGTCTAACGTTTAAGTCTTTAATCCATCTTGAATTGATTTTTGTATAAGGTGTAAGGAAGGGATCCAGTTTCAGCTTTCTACATATGGCTAGCCAGTTTTCCCAGCACCATTCCAAGCATTTATTTTTCAAGCACCGTATGTGGGCCTTTTGTTCTGTGGAGAATAGGGGAAATAAATTTAAATTTATTTTTTTCCATAGACATTTGCAAGAGTTTTTGTAGTGTCTTTTTTTTTTTTTGGCTTATCAACATTTTTGTTTTTTAAAAACTTTTCTATCCACCAACTCTTTTCCTGTCTCTTTTGCAGTTCATTTGGGTATAAAGTTTTGCTTAAGAGGTGTATCAACCTCCTAGAGTGAGGCTTTTGAGAAGAGGGGCTACTTCTAAACTTCTATCACTTATGTCCATTTTCTTAATTTTATACCCAATACATGTGTGGCAAAGTTTGTTAGCTACATATTTAACACCCAATTTTATTATCTTCCTAACTAATACAACCTCAATTTTATTCAATTTGAGAATGTGCCCAGTTTAAAAAATTAGATGTTGCAGTCTCTTCTGTTTATGGTGATTATCATTTGACATGCTTATGTTCCGATATATAAACGGAATATAGTTTTGCCACTGTCTGACACTTCAGCAGCCATCTTCAGGTAATAAGGTGAACTTAAGGAAAGAAACACATACTACAAAAGATTTGTCAAAAAGGCAGGGAAGCCTAGGTCCCTGATGATATCTTGGCACTGCCCACCTCTGGACTGCAGTGGACTGATTATCTTTAGAAGCACGCATGAGAGAAGAAAACTAAACCTTTATGTTGCATAAATTACTGTAGCTTGAGTTTCTATTATATGCAGCTGAATCTAAGTCTACTATGTGCAGCAAATTTGAGTCCCTGGATAGATCTTGAGTTTCCAACACTTAAGTAAAATGTGGAGTAATTGAATTACTTAATAAAAAGTAATAATTATTTATTCCAACCATAGATACTTTGCTTCGTTGGCCATAGTTGAATTATTATCTTTTAAAAATGGTTCTGTTTTTATTAAGATGACTAGTAGTATATACTTTTGATAGATAAATGGCTTATGTTCTTTAAAAGAGATGAGTGCCCAGTTTGCTCATAATAAAAACTCAGAAGAGATAAACGTTTAAAATATGTTCTTATAATAAACACAGATAAATAAAAGGTAGGTATCCATGGTGTACATGTGCCACATTTTCTTAATCCAGTCTATCTTTATTGGCCATTTGGGTTGGTTCCAAGTCTTTGCTATTGTGAATAGTGCTGCAGTAAACATACATGTGCATGTGTCTTTATAGCAGCATGATTTATAATCCTTTGAGTATATACCCAGTAATGCGATGGCTGGGTCAAATGGTAATTCTAGTTCTAGATCCCTGAGGAATCGCCACACTGACTTCCACAATGATTCAACTAGTTTACAGTCCCACCAACAGTGTAAAAGTGTTCCCATTTCTCCACATCCTCTCCAGCACCTGTTGTTTCCTGACTTTTTAATGATCACCATTCTAACTGGTGTGAGATGGTATCTCATTGTGGTTTTGATTTGCATTTCTCTGATGGCCAGTGATGATGAGCATGTTTTCATGTTTCTTTTGGCTGCATAAATGTCTTCTTTTGAGAAGTGTCTGTTCATATCCTTTGCCCACTTTTTGATGGGGTTGTTAGTTTTTTTCTTGTAAATTTGTTTGAGTTCATGTGGCACATATACACCATGGAATACTATGCAGCCATAAAAAATGATGAGTTCATGTCCTTTGTAGAGACATGGATGAAGCTGGAAACCATCATTCTCAGCAAACTATCGCAAGGACAAAAAACCAAACACCGCATGTTCTCACTCATAGGTGGGAATTGAACAATGAGAACACATGGACACAGGAAGGGGAACATCACACACCGGGGCCTGTTGTGGGGTGGGGGGAGGGGGGAGGGATAGCATTAGGAGATATACCTAATGCTAAATGACAAGTTAATGGGTGCAGCACACCAACATGGCACATGTATACATATGGAACACACCTGCAGGTTGTGCACATGTACCCTAAAACAAAGTATAATAAAAAAAAGGTAGGTATCAAAAACATAACAATTCAAACCCTCTTTTAATTAAAGTTGGTTCTTGTATTAGTAGTAAGCAGGGAGCTTGGGGGGAGAGATGTGTACAAGTGTAGATGGGAGGTTCCCAGGTAAAGTTCTTGATTGGGAAGGTTCATTTGATTGTATGACATGTTCCTCCATTCTCTCTGTCTCTGTCTCTGTCTTTTGTTTTTGTTGTTGTTGTTGCTCTAAGCATCTAGAATGAAAACCACAAGGCCAGGGTTTGCTATCAAGGACCACTCTTTCCTTTGCAGAAAAAGCTGGTTCTGAGTGAAATAGAAGGACTAGGGTGCCAAATTAACTCCTCTCCACAAAGTGACCCCACATGGAAAAGTACTTGAGAAGCTCTGTAAAGACATGGTAAAAGCTTACCAAAGACAGTAGCATTATCCTTTCCCTTACACACAAAGTGGAGGGGAAGTGTGGGTAAGTGGTGTGTCTAAAAGCATTGCTTTAAATTATGCATCCATTTGTAAACACTAATTTTTTGTTAACTCCATGTTGTTTGTAAATTGAACAAAAAATGCATATTTGTCATGGAAAAATTAGGAAATAAAGATATTAGCATAAAAGAGGAAACAACGAATCTTAATTACCCATAATCCCATGACTTCATGTTTGTGTAAGATTATATAATACTATTGTTTCATGATCTGCCATTTTCACTCAGTGACATATTTTGCACATGAAATACGTTTTACATAAATATTTGTATAATTTGACTAGTTATTACCTTAAAACTACTGGAAAGAAATCCCTTAGTTCTTCTACTTCACTCATTTCTTCTCTACAGTATTCATTTCTGGGGTAAATCCAGCTCTTTGGCTTGCATGGCCATGTAGTTCTGAAGTTAGCTACACAGGACTTAGCCACATTTCCCAGAATAGGATGTATGGTACAGCAGAATTCTTACTGAACTTGAAGTCAGAAGAACTGGTTCCTTCACTTACTATGGGTGACCTTGGACAGTATACTTGATTTCTTTGAATCTCATCAGTGAAATGAGTATGGGAATGTCTACCTTAACTGTGTGATGACAGAATTTGTGAGGATGAACTGAACAACTATATAAAAGTGTTTGGGAAATGCTGAAGAGCCCTACAAATGAAAGACATTAATAATATTAACTGAAATAGATTCCATAAATACTATGTGTAAGATCCTACCTTGATTTACCGCATTTAATCATCAAATCCACTGTCTGACAAAAGTATTATCATTAGTTCTATTTTATAGTCTAAACAAATCTAGGCAGAAAGGTCAAATAATTTGCATAAGCTCACACAATCAGTGACTTAGATTTGATCCAATCTATTTCGTTCGATAGTGTTGGTCTTTTCCCCTAATAGTAGTAAAAACTGTGGGCTCCATTGTTAGCCTGCCTGAGATCAGATGCCATCTCCAACTAGGCAAGTTACCTTTTCTGCCTGTTTCACTCTTCAAAAATTAGAGATACAATAATACCAACCCAATTTCTTTGGGTTTCATAAGTAGGAAATAAAATAATACATAGAAAAGACTTGGAACATTGCCTGACACAAAATAGGTGTCTTAAAACGTTAATTATTATTATTTTCAATGTTGCCAAGACAGCGAACCCTGTGGTGGTGAATTTGCATGTGAAAACCTGTTAAACTGATACACACTCTTTCTTTTCTCCTAATATTGTCGCACTTGCACCTTATGTCCTAAGTTTTCTAGTAATCTTGAATGTACATAATGTTTAGTTGTGAAATAAATTTTGCTTTGTGAGGGAATTAGTTGTAATTGAGGGTAGAATCAAAGTTTGTTCAGCGAATTCCATCTATTCAGTTGTAAAGGCAGCGAATAAACACCATGACTTGTATTTGAAAGTAGAAAATACCGACTTTCAATTGTCATTTCCCCCGAGGAAATTCCATTAACCAGCACAATTGTTTTTAAATATCAACCTGAAATAACACTGTATTTTTACTGCTATTCTTTCTCCCTCCTTCTCTCTCTTTGGGATACAGTTTGGCTTTGAAAAAATATGGTATATATGCGGTGTTTGGTCAAATAATTTAGCACTATGGAAAAGGTTGTGAACCAGTCATAGTATTTGAGGTTGTAAGAAGAAACCTTTGAAAAGGTAGTGGCTGCACAAATGTATTAACTTAGTACCACAAAGTAGGGAGTTCTGAAACTGTGGTGGAAATATTGCCTGCCTTGACTACCTGTTCTTCCTGAGTCCATTTGCTGATCAGAACTCAGGTAACTTAAAAGTCATATACCCTGGAAAGGAGTATGGAAACAGGAAAGATCCTCAGCGGCTATACAAGTGAGAGATATGGCAGAGTTCTAATAAGATTGACTAAAAGCTTGATACTGTCTTACATCCAAGGAGCAAATAATTGTTCTACCTGGAATGTCCAGGCCCCAATTCACAAATGCATTCCTACCTTTTGAACTGAATAATGATCTCTTTCCCAATAAACTGTTATAAGACAAAAAATCTGAAAGGAAAATTGTTGCACATACATCATATTCTTATATTCTGTATTTTCTGGGACAGTCTGTTTCAGATTAGATGATGAGTCCTAATTCAGGTTTGCAAAATATTATCAAGGCAAATCTTTATGGAGATTTTATTGAGATATTATTTTATAACAAAAAATGGGATAACTGTAATGTTCATCAAAAAAATTGGTGGTAGAAGGAAGGAAGGTGTTGGAGTGTTCAGTAACCTTACCCCAGAATGCCACAGTACAAATTCTGTGAGAAGTCATTCTTGTGTAGTAGAGGCATTCATTTTTCTCCTAATATCCCTTCTGAAAATTCCCTTTTACTAGTCAGCTCTTAGCTTCTTGGAAAGAAGGCCCTTCGTCTAGGACAATGTTCATCTCCCCACATAAAAATTCACAATTCATGGCATGTTAGTTCAATAAAATATTATGCTTTCTAAGAATGATAATTATGAAAACTTGCTATAAATGGGAGCAAGTTCAACATTAAATCACATGAAACAGACATATTAACAAAAATAGATACATTAGAGCAATTGAACTATAAATGCTTTTTTCCTTTAAAAATTTTCCTTCATGTTATTTTCACATTCTTTTAGCAACAAATGACAATGAACTGCCATTGATTTTATTTTTTGAACTTAAGCAGTGTATCCACAAGTACACCATTGCCCTGTCCAATTTTTAGGGGGAGATATTCTATTATCTAAAACTCAATAAATTGACCCATCACGTTTTTGGTGATACCTTATTTAGGTAAAAATATTAGGCATTTAGAAGAATGCATTTGTGAATATTTTGACTGATATTACTATAGATGGAATTAGAATCTGCCCTTTAGGGGCTCAGAAGGAAGTAATGTTTGGATGTCATTAGGCTAGAATATTTTATTGTCCCACAAAAATGTTGATAAATTGCTTATAAGGGCTTATTTATTAGAAATGACCATGTCACCAAATAATAAAGCCAAATATGATAGGAATCACAATCAGAAAATATGTTTTTTCTTCTTTTATTTACAACCAACCAAACAAAATAACATAGCTGTAATTTTGTCAATGTCAGAACAATAAATTTAAGTCAAATAGAACTTAAAGAATTTTTATCACAGATGAATCAGATGGAAACTATCCAGAAAACACCCAAATATGTACATTCCTCAGTTAATACTCAGTCTAGGTGCCAAAGGGAAGCCACACGCTTCCATTTATCTATATAATTTGGCAACTTTAATTTGTAAGGGGCCCAACAGGTGTTTAATTTCATAGGCTGATATAGTCAATATCACTAGATCCATATTTTTTAGATTTAAATAACTATATAATTCTGATTTCTCTTTGTTAGACTGTACTCATCTGATCATGGAGGAATAATCTAATATGGCTTAGATTATGTTGGAACTCCCCAGAACTTTCCTCAGGGCTGCCTTTATCTCCTTATTCTGGAGGCTATAGATAAGGGGATTGAAGAGTGGGGTCACCATAGCATAGAACAAAGTTTTGATTTTCTGCATCCCCATAGAGTGTCCAAGTCCTGGACTCACACACATGACCATAAGAGAGCCATAGAACAGTGATACCACAGCCAAATGAGACCCACAGGTAGAGAAGGCTTTATGTTTCCCAGTGCTCGAAGGCATACCCAACACAGCTTTCAGGACAAGAGTATAGGATCCAATAATAAAGAGGAAGTTACCAAAAATAACTAATGAGCTTAGAGTGTAGCAAAACAGTTGGATTCTTGGGGCACAGACACAAGCCAATGCAAATAGTGGCCCTGGGTCACACACAACATGGTCATTAATGTTTGGACCACAGAAGGGCATCTGAGAGATGAGAACAGTGGGGATCAGGAAACACAGAAATCCACAAACCCAGCACAGTATGACCAGTTTGGCACAGAGATGCCCAGTCATGATTTATTAGGATAGTGCAAGGGATGGCAGATAACAAGGTACTGATCAAAGGCCATCACAGTCAAAATCAAGCATTCAGATGTACCCAAAGAGAAGAAGAAATAAAATTGGAGAAAACATCCAGCAAAGGAGATGGTTTTTTTCTCTGAAAGGAAGTTGACCAACATCTTGGGAACTGTAGAAGAGACATACCATATCTCTTAAAAGGAGAAATTTCCCAGGAACATGTACATGGGAGTGTGACGTCGCCGGTCACACCACAGGGCGCAAGCAATGGCTCCATTTCCTGTTATGGTCAGTGCATTTGTTGTAGTGAAGAGTGAGAAGAGGAAGATCTGAATTGTCCACTCAAAAGATAAATCTTGGAGTATAAATTCATTTACTAAAGCAAAGCTGGAATTTGGCTCAGAGACATTCATTGGGCCAGTGACCTGCAAGGTCAAGAGACACATTATCAGTCAGGACTCTTTTACAAAATGAGTTCCTTTTTTAAGAATGAAGAGAAGACAATGAACATGAAGTCATTTTTCAAAAGAATAATTAGGAAGATAATATAGTTTAGTTTTTCTTGGCTATACAGTATATGAGTTTTGGGCTTAGTAGGTAGCTGATTGAACAAAAACTTCTGCCAGCTTCTAAATCTCTCCTTAATATGCAATCGTGATAGAACTAGGTAAAGTTAAATTCCTTTTGTAAGGTCATTATTTTGGGACAGAAATGATTTAATATAGTTTCTGGATAGCATACAACCCAAAATTAGTACTTTGAGAAGGCACAAATGTGTTAGTTTCTTACTGCAAACCCAACTTATAGTGCAATAGACTCAGCAAGGAAAGTTTTGACCATTTACATTTCAGCTAAACATATTACTTAACATTATTTACATATGCAAAAGAAATGCACATATTTTAAAATAAATTGGTAGCTATCACGTTAAAGCCATTATCTCTGAATTTCTATTGCTGCTGTTGTTAGCTTAAGTGATTATCTAATGTTGCTTACCAATATTGACTTTTAATATTAATATTGTAAAACTGCATTGTTTTCTGTAGAAAGGGAAGGCTTTAAGTTTCTGATTAATCTTTTACCTTAATTTCATAAACTGATACAGTGATTATTATATTGATAAAATCAATACAGTATTGATTTAGTCATTATGTACAAAAGTTTGCAAAGATCTAGACATTAAACTTTATTTTTGAAGGTATTTCATAAAATTTGGAGATTGATTTTCCTTATATGCTTTTTATAAAATTGAAAAATTTTACTAAATGACAGAAATTAAACACTTTTTTTTGTTATAGGTAAACTTCCTCCTACATTCTTCTAAAAATATATTTAGGGATTTGAGTTACCTGAAAAAACTTTTTTTTCCTCAGAAATATGGAGGGATGTGAGTTCTAGATGTCAAGAGGGCTTGCATTTTGAGAAGAAACACAAATTTTCAGAAGTTTTTCTTCCAATTTGATCTCTACACCAGTGCTCTAGGAATTCTTTTGGTATGACTAGTTAGAAGTTATGTTTGTGCCTCTTTTAGTAATAGATGCCTCTTTAATTGGCTTCCAACCAGAAACATTAATAAACCAACATTAGGAAATTATGGAAACGGATTGACATGGGAGTGTCATGATTCTCAGCAGTGCTCAAAAGGTGAAGCCATCATCGTTTTGACATGAACCAAATCTCTAAATGATTTATTTTATAAACCATATTCTGCCTCCAGCTAGACAGTTTTATTGTGGCCCCAAAATTAAAAATGCACTTTATAAAACTCACTTTCTCCTGGGATGTAGCTTCTATAGCATTAGGAAAGTTATCTTCCAAGCCAATGAATCTTTAAAAAGTTAATGATTAGATATTCTCTGAAGAATCAGTAAAGAGTAATGACAACTATTCTAAGACATCATTATTTACAAAGAGCTTGCCCACCAGACGGATTCCAAAAAATCTTCCAGAAGACACAGTCTGAGGAGAAATAAGATACAAAATGTTACCAAAAGTTCTGACATAATGTTTAGGAACATTTCAAGTGTTACTGTGCATATGTTGGAGGATATACAGCCCAGTGAGGAAAATACTGATGTTCCAACATTGTCACATATTGAGCAAAAACTTACAGAATTTAGAAATAACTTTTAGAAGGATGGCACTTTTTTGGCAGATTCCTTTAGATATGAGAAAAAAGTATAAGAAGTAGCAACGTTTAAGTTAATTGACAGAAATACTTGAGAGGAACATGTGACTTCCCAATTAACATGAGAGAAGTATTGACTTTTATTTGTGTCCCTTCTATTTTTACTTTATGGCATTTAGGGGCCAATATAGTGTAGCTAAACACTCATGTGTGAGTGAATGCTCATACCAAGTGCTGTGAAGTAGTTGAGGACATCAGGGATGTATGCCCTAGGACTACAGACATCTGTCTAAAAGCACACTTCCACTTTGAAAGACTATGGAGGAAAATGTTTATTCAGACCTTTATTATCACTTAATCATAATACTTAGAAACTCCTAAAACATAGCTTTGATCTTGTTGTCTGCTCCAAAAGCCATCAATGATTTCAAGTTCCCAAGTTCTCCACAAATTGACTTCAAATTACTTTCCTGGTGTTATCTTTCCCTACTCTCTTTTACAGATAAATTAGACAGTAGACAGCATTTCATTCTCTGAATAGGTTCAGTTTCCTATGTTCTCTTTTTTGTGATCATTTTCTGTGTTTGGAATTCTATTTATCTCCACCTACACCTGTAAAAACCCTCCTTCAAGATCCAGTTCAAAAGACATTTTTCCCCCCAGAATGTTTTCCCCTCTTCCCCTAAGCAAAGCACCTTTTCCATCCTTGCATTTTTTTTTTTTTTTTGAGACATAGTCTCGTTCTGTCCCCAGGCTGGAATGCAGTGGTGTGATCTCAGCTCACTGCAACCTCCGCCTCCTGGGTTCAAACAATTCTCCTGCTTCAGCCTCCTGAGTAGCTGGGACTACAGGTGCGTGCCACCATGCCCAGCTAATTTTTGTATTTTTAGTGGAGACAGGGTTTCACAATGTTGGCCAGGATGGTCTCTATCTCTTGACCTTGTGATCCACTTGCCTCGGCCTCCCAAAGTGCTGGGATTACAGGTGTGAGCTACCATGCCTGGCCCCATCCTTGAATTTTTATTTTACCATCTTTGTGTCTTTGTCATGATACTAATCATAAGCTGCCCTATATCAATGTTCATCCATGATATTGGCTTGAAGTTTTTTCTTGTTGTTGTGTCTCTACCAGGTTTTGGTATCAGGATGATGCTGGCCTCATAGAATGAGTTGGACAGTTCTCAGTTTTTTGGAATCATTTCAGCAAAAATGGTACTGGCTCTTCTTTGCATATCTGGTAGAATTTGGCTGTGAATCCATCTAGTCCTGAGCTTTTTAAAATATATATATATTTTGGTTGGTAGGCTATTTATTACTGATGCAATTTTGGAGTAGGTTATTGGTGTGTCCAGGAATTTACCCATCTCTTACAGGTTTTCTAGTTTGTGTGCATAGAGGTGGTTGTAGTAGTTTCTGATGGTTATTTTTTATTTCTGTGGGGTCAGTGGTAACATGACCTTTTTCATTTCTAGTTGTGATGTTTCTTTCAAAAGATTAGAATGGTAAAAATTATATCTATTCTGATTAGGGCTTCTAGGCATTATTAAATGTTTACACCTTTAATTTACTCTGGTCAACAGTATATTTTTGGGGACTTTTTCTTAAATAATCTTGTCACTAAACCACTATACTTTATAAACAGCCTGATTAAATGAACATGCATTTGAACATTAGACTCTGGATAGACAAGATTAATTAACCTTTGACACAAGAAGCTCACAGTACAACAGGCCACTCTGATAGGACAAAAGTCCTAGGAAGTCTATGTCGGCAAAATCCCACCTAAGGGCTAAACTTTAAGCTCTATTCACTTTTAGCTAATTAAGTAAATATACTGCCATCCCATGCTGATAGTGATGAGCAGTCTCGGGGGAGTTTGACTTCTATAGGGAGGGAGGGAGGTGATGTGTTTCTGCACTTTGCTTCTTCAGTCAGGCATTCTGTGACTTCTTCATTTCCTTCCGCTCCTCTTCAAGCCCTGGCATGTTGGCTCAGAAGCACAAGAGGGCAGGATAATCCTCACTGTCTCATTCACACTGACTGAAACCCTGGGCTTTGAAATACAGACTCACTCCTCCCAAGCTCTACTCTGATGCTGGGAGCAATTTAGAGCAAATGTTATCCAAAGTGACATTACCTAGATCACTAGGTTCTTTCTTTCACCCACCTCCAATCCTGCTGTTCTTTCACTTCTAAGTCAAGGAAACTCCAAGTTTACACTTTGCAGGAGCCCCTGGAATATTTGGGGTTTCATATTGCACATCAAAACTATTTCTCACTGACCCAATCATCTATTAAAAATCTTGTTGAATTTCTGCCATTTTAATGGCTATCTGCCTTCATATGAAGTTCTTGGTATTATAATAGTCAGTGTGCTTCCAAATTAATCCCAATTCGTTTACTTTTACTTTAAGATGAAATGTAGGCAGAGCACAGTGGCTCACACCTGTAATCCCAGCACTTTGGGAGGCCAAGGCGGGTGGATCATGAGGTCAGGAGTTCAAGACCAGCCTGGCCAACATAGTGAAACCCTGTCTCTACTAAAAATAGAAAAAAAAAAAAACAGCCAGGCATCGTGGCAGGCACCTGTAATCCCAGCTACTTGGGATTCTGAGGCAAGGAGAATCGTTTGAACCTGGGAGGTGGAGGTTGCAATGAGCCAAAGTCGCGCCACTGCACTCCAGCCTGGGTGACAGTGCAAGACTCCGTCTCAAAAAAAAAAAAAAAAAAAAAAAAAGAAGAAATGTAGCTTAGAAACCATTCTTCCATAAAACCAAAACCATATCTCCTTAAGAGGATGTTGGAAAATCAGCCTTTCTCATAAAGTAGTTTTCCCCACAAGTTTAAACACATTACTCCACTATAAGTTTAGAGACTATTTTAAAAAACTATTATGCTTCAGCTTTTCCTGCAGTTCTCTCTTTCTTGTCTCTTACATACTTCTCTGTGATCTGGTCCAACAATTATTGCCATGGCAACAAAGGCTCTGTGACATCTCTAGCAAGCTCATTGTCTTCTGCCTTATTAAACTTTAATGGGTAACTAGTAGACAGTAACACTCTGGGAGGGCTCAAACCACATAACCAAATGTGCCAAGATAATCCTGAGCTCACTATTGTCAGGTAAGACAAAGTATTTTAGTGCAATAGCAAACAATTAATTAAACAAACAAAAACAAGAAACCTTTCTTGGGACAGGAAACCATTAATTAGCTAAGCTCAGAGCCACTCATTGAAACCAGGTCCTGATTGGGTTTCTGGATTTGACCACTGGGCAGAAACTAGGACCCAAAACCAATTGGAATGAAATGGTCCGCAGATATTGTTTTCATGTAAGGATAGGTTTGGAAGTATCCAGACTTAGTGGTGGGCCAGGCCTCCCCTGCGAGCAGTACAGTTCAGGACACCTGGACTGCCCTTGCCCTCTGCCTTCCCTGGGGTAATGTGAATGGCTTAGTCTTTCGTGTTCTCAACTGTAACATGGAGGAGGAAGAGAAGAGCCTCACTGCACATATTGGGTCATTAAGAATGATCTTAGAGCCATAATTTACAATATTTTGAAGTTAGGTTTGATTTTTACCACTCCACTACTCCTCTCCCAATATGTTGTGCCAAATTGTAAGTAATTTGCAATTAGAACACATTGAAGACATATATTTGAGCTCCTTAGAGAGTCTCACCCACCTTTGTGGTAACTTTTTGTACTTCAGGTTTTCTCAAGTCAGAGTGTTGAGTCCTTAAATCAGTGTTGGGTAGTGATAAAATTTTGATACATTGGGTAGTGATAAAATTTTAATTGCCTAAGTTTAGTAAATGGGGGACAGGCTTGCTTATCAACAGTCTTTGTGGCATTTTATGCTGAAAAAGCCTTGAGGCTCAGACTCAGCCCACAGTTCTCTGCACTCCCTCCACTTCCCTTCTGTGCCTTTCATGTGTATCCTTTACAGCAATTTTTTTTTGTGAGTTCTTTTCCTTTTTGAGATCTCTCTTAAGGTTAATGGTGTACAGTAGATATCCAGAACTTATTCATCCCTTTTAGCTGAAACATTGTACCCTTTGACAAATGTCTCCCCATATCCCCTGGGCACAATTTTCAATAGGTAGTTAGGGAAAGCCTCAATGAAAAGGTTGGGATTTTGGGATGCTGATAACATTCAGTTTCTGGAACTAGGTACCTTTACACAGGAGTATCAGTTGATAACAATTCATTGAGCAATATACTTAGGATTTGTGCACTGTACTTTTTGTATGTTATAGATGAATAAAAAATTCAGAAATCTCATAAAGGTGATATTTGGATAAAGACTTGAAGGAAGTGTGGAGGCAACAAATATAAACATCTGGGGAAAGAGGGTTCCAGGCAGAGGAGATGGCATGTGTAGGTGCCACGAAGCAGGAGCACACCTGGCATGATTGAGACGGCAGGGAGTCCTCATCTCTTCTTCACCTACGCTACATCTCTGAAATGGCCATTTCAGAAAGCATGAAATTTATTTACATGAGTTTATTTTAACAAATGCTCACTTTTGATATTTTACAAGAGTAACTACAAGTTTATTATAGAAAAATTTGAGAAAACATACATATGCATGAGAATACAACATAACCATTTAACATTTAAAATTTTTCCTTTCATCACACTTATATTCATAATGTTTGTAATTAAGTGTAAAATTTACTATACATGTTTATATTATTTATATTTATATTTTAATATTAAAAACTGATTAGTTAATTCAATAATAATAATTGATTGTGAATGTTCCAGGGACTACTCTAAATGCTCATGCACATAGCAGTGAACAAAATGTACAAAAATTCCTATGTGGAACTTATATTCCAAAGGGAGACAACAGGTGTTAAATAAATAAGTAAACTATAGTATATTAGGGAGTGATGAGGAAACGTGGAGAAAAATTAGAAACGTCAGGTCAATAGGGAGTGTGTGTGGGAGCTGGCAGAGGTGCATTTTACCCCCAGCCTTACTAAGATGTAATTGACAAAAACAGTATATAGATTCACATGAGAAGAAAAAACAATTCACAGAACTAGCATTTGACTGTTTGGTGAGACATTCTGGAGTTTAAGCTGTCATTTAAACCAGTTACGATTTTCCATAGGGAGCTACTCTGTCACTTGGGTCTTTTCCCAGTTAAGCAAGGCTACTTTCCATGGAATCATTATCCAGTATATGAGGCTCACTTGGCACTTGTTCAATATGCGCTTGCCTTATAATAGGTGATTGGATATTTTTTATCAAAAAACTATGCATTTGTGGCATACAAGATGATTTTTTGATATGTATACATGGTGAAATGATTAATTCAAACTAATTAACATTTATCACTTCTACATACTTTCATTTTATTGTGTGAGAACATTTAAAATCTCTTCTAAAAATTTCAAGTATACTTTTGGCCCTATGTTTCCATGAGTTCCGCATTCAGGCATTCAACCAACTGGATAGAAACTATTAGTACAAAAAACCCACAAAAAATACAGTAAAAGCAATAAAAATAAAAAAATGCAGTATAACAACTACTTATAAAACATTTATATTTTATTAGTATTATAAGTAATCTATAGATGATTTAAAGTGTGTGGAAAAATATGCGTAGGTTACATGCAAATATAAAATGATATCATTTTATATAAGGGACTTGAACATCCCAGGATTTTGGTGTCCTTGGGGAGTCCTGGAACGAATCGCCCCCCTGATATTGCAGATATTTAGGGACAATGGTATAACACATGACTGTTAACTACAGTCACTATGCTGTACAGTAGATCTCCAAAACTTATTCATTCTGTTTAGCTGAAACATTGTACCTTTTGACCAATATCTCTCAATTCCCCTGAGTGGAATTTTCAATAGCTAGTCAGGAAAGGCCTCACCGAAAAGGTGATATTTGGTCAAAGATTTGAAGGGAGTGTTAGGGAAAGAAATATAAATATCTGGGAAAAGAGCATTCCAGGCAAAGGAGATGACATGTATAGGGACCACAAGGCAGGAGCATGCCTGCCATACTTGAGAGACAGTAAGGAATCTTCATCTTTTCCTCATGTCTTTCTCACCTCCAATATATTTAAATATGGCTTCCCCCCACCACACCCTTAAAATGGCCATTGCATAAATCACCAATAACATTTGTGTTAGTCCATTTTACGTTGCTATAAAGGAATACTTGAGACTGAGTAATTTATAAAGAAAAGAGGTTTATTTGGCTCATGGTCCTGCAGTCAGTACAAGCATGGCATCAGCATCTGCTTAGCTTCTGAAGCCTAAGGAAACTTCTACTCATTGAAGAAAGCAAAGAGGGAGCAGTTGTGTCACATGGCAAGAAAGGGAGCTAGGTGGGGAGGGGGTTGTCCCATACTCTTTTTAACCATCAGATCTGATGGTAACTCTACTATGGGTAAAATGCAAACCCATTCCTGAGGGTTGGGTTGGATACCATCACCATCCCATGAGGGATTCACCTCCATAACACAGACACCTCCCACCAGGCACCCCCTCTGACACTGGGGATCACAATTCAGCCTGAGATTTGGAGGGTGCGTTGAAGATAGTGTGAGCTGTAGGCTTGTAATACATGGTCTTTATTATGTTGAAGTATATTTCTTCTAAACCAACTCTGTTGAGAATCTTTTCATGAAACAATGTTGAATTTTTCAAATGCTATTTCTGCATCTAATTAGATGATTATATAATTTTGGGCTTCATTTTGTTAATGTATATCACATTTATAGATGTATGTATGTTGATCCACCTTGTATCCTTGGGGTAAATCCACTTGAGCATGGTAAGTTACCTTTTTAACGTGCTGTTGAATTCAGTGTGCTAGTATTTGATTGAGGATTCTTTCATCTATGTTCATCAGGGATATTGGCCTATAATTTTTCTTTTCTTTTCTTTTCTTTTTCTTGTTCTTGTCTGGCCTTGGTGTCAGAGTAATGTTGGCCACGTAAAAAAAGTTTGGAAGTGAAGTATTCCTTCCTCTTAGATTTTTTTTGGAAGAGTTTAAGGATTGCTAATTATTTCAGTGTTTGGTAGAATACAACAGTAAAGCTATTCTGGGCTTCTCTTTGATGGGAGACTTTATTACAATTCAATCTTCTTACTCATTTTTGGTCTGTTCATACTTTTTCTTCATGATTCAGTCTTGGTATCTTGCATGTATCTTGGAATTTATTTATTTCTTATACTTTATTCAATTTGTTACTGTACAATTTTTCATAGTACTCTCTTATGAGCTTTTTTTTCTTATGAGCTTTTATATTTCTATGGTATCAGTTGTAATGTCTCCCTTTTCACTTTTGATTGTATTAATATTTGAGTCCTTTCTTTTTTTTCCTTGGTCTGGCTAAAGGTTTGTTGATTTGTTTATCCTTCTGAAAAAACACTCTTTATTACATTGAGTTCTTTTCTATTGTAGTTTTAGTCTCTATTTTGTTTATTTCTATTCAGATCCTTGTTATTTCTTTCCTTCTGCTGACTTTGGGTTTAGTTTGTTCTTTTTTTATTAGTTACTAGAGTTGTAATATCAGGTTGTTTATTTTATATTTTCCTTTTTAAATGTTTATGGGTACACAGTGACTGTATATGTTTATGGGGTACATGAGATATTTTTCTACAGGCATACGGTGTATAATAATTACATCGCGGTAAATGGGATATTCATCACTTCAAACATTTACCCTTTCTTTGTGTTACAAACAATGCAATTATGCTCTTTTAGTTATTTTTAAATGTACTATAAATTGTTTGGCTATAGTCACCTTGTTGTTCTATCAAATACTAGATCTTACTTATTCTATCTAACTGTATTTTTATGCCGATTATCCATTCCTCCCCTTAACCCTACTATTCTTCCTAGTCTCTGGTAACCATTACTGTATTCTCTATCTCCATAAATCCAGTTATTTTAAGTTTTAGCTCCCACAAATAAGTGAGAACATGGAAAATTTGTCTTTCTGTCCCTGGCTTATTTTATTTAACGTAATAACCTCCAGTTCTATCCATGTTGTTGCAAATAACAGGATCTCATTCTTTTTCATGGCTGTATATTACTCGATTGTGTACATTAACCACATTTTCTTTATTCATCTGTTCATGGACAAACAGGTTGCTTCCAAATCATGACTATTGTGAATAGTGCTGCAATATGCATGGGAGTGCAGGTATCTCTCAGATATCCTGATTTCCTTTCTTTTGTGTATATACCTACCAATGGCATTGCTGGGTCATATGGTAGCTCTATTTTTGTTTTTTTTGAGAAACCTCCAAACTGTTCTCCATAGTGATTGTACTAATTTACATTCCCACCAATAGTGGGTTCCCTTTTCTCCATATCCTAGCCACTATTTCTTACTGCCTGTCTTTTGGATATAAGCCATTTTAACTAGGGTTAGATGATTCGTCTTGTAGTTTTGGTTTGCATTTCCCTGATGAGCAATGATGCTGAGCACTTTTTCACATGCCTGTTTGCCATTTATGTGTCTTCTGAGCAAGATCTTTTGCCCATTTTTAAATTGGATGATCAGAATTTTCCTATAGAGTTGTTTGAGTTCCTTATATATTCTGGTTATTAATCCCTTGCCAGATGGATAGTTTACAAATATTTTCTCCTATTTTATGATTGTCTTTTCAACATCAATTGAAATGATCCTATGGTTTTTGTTTTTAACTTTATGTGATGAATCACATTTATTGATTTGCATATGTTGAATCATCCTAGCATTTCTAGAATAAAACTCAATCGATCATGGTGAATTAAATTTTTAATGTGCTGTTGGATTTAGTTTGTTAGTATTTTGTTGAGGATTTTTGCAGCAGTGTTCATCAGGGATATTGGTCTGTAGTTTTCTTTTGTTGATATGTCTCTTTCTGGTTTTATATCAGAGTAATACTGGCCTAATAGAATGAATTTGGATGTATTCTGTGTTCCTATATTTTTTGGAATAGTTTGAATAGTGTTGGTATTAATTCCTCTATAATATTTGGTAAAATTCAGCAGAGAAGCCACCATGTCCTGGGATTTTCTTCGCTGGGAGACTTTTTATTAGGGCTTTGATCTCATTACTTGTTATTGGTTTGTTCAGGTTTTGGATTTCTTCATGGCTCAAACCTCATAGGTTGTATGTATCTAAGAATTTATCTATTTTATCTGGATTTTCCGGTTTATTGGCATATGGTTGCAAGTGATCCTTTTAATTTCTGCAGTATTGGTTTTATGTCTTAATTTTATTTATTTGGGTCTTTTCACTTTTTCTCTTAGGTAAAGTTTTGTTGATTTTGTTCATCTTTTCAAAAAACAAACTTTTCACTTTGTTGATCTTCTGTATTGTATGCTTTGTTTCCATTTCATTTATTACTACTCTGATCTTTATTATTTATTTTCTTCTAATAATTTGGGTTTGTTTGCTTTTGCTTTTTTAGTTTTTAAAGATACATCACTAGGTTATTTGAAATTTTTCTACTTTTTTGGTGTAGGCACTTGTAGCTATAAACTTTCACTTGCCAGGTTTTGGTATCAAAGAGATGCTGGCTTCATAGAATGAGTTAGGGGGGAGTCCATTCTCCTCATTTTTGGGAATAGTTTAAGTAGAGTTGATACTAGCTCTTCTTTGTATGCATGGTAGAATTTGGCTGTGAAACCATCTGGTCTAGGACTTTTTTGGTTGGTAGATTTTTATTGCTGCTTCTATTTTGGACCTTAATATTGGTCTTTTAGGGTTTTAATTTCTCCCAGATTCAATCTTGGGAGGTTGTTTCCAGAAATTGATCAATTTCCTCTAGATTTAGTAGTTTGTGTTCATAGAGGTGTTCCTAATAGTCTTGGAGGATATTCTGTATTTATCGGATCATCTGTAATGTCACCTTTGTCATTTCTTAATGTGATTATTTGAATCTTCTCTCTCTCTTCCTCTTGCTCTCGCTCTCTCTCTGTTACTGTAGCTGGCAGCCCATCAATCTTGTTTATCCTTTTAAGGAATCAACTTTTGGTTTCATTGATTCTTGGTATTAATTTTCTGGTGTATTTCAATCAGGTCTGCTCTGGTTTTAGTTATTTTTTTTTCTGCTAGCTTTGTTTTAGCTTTTCTAGCTATTCTGTTGGATGCTAGGTCATTAATTTGAGGTATATCTAACTTTCTGCAGTAATTGTTTGGTGCTATAAACTTTTCTCTTAACACTGCTTTTGCTGCATCCCAGAGATCTTGGCATATAGTGTCTCTGTTTTCAGTTATTTCAAAGACTTTTTTGATTTCTGCCTTAATTTCATTGTTCACCCAGAAGTCATTCAGGAGCAAGTCACTTAATTTCCATGTAGTTGTGTAGTGTTGGGTGATGTTTTTAGTCTTTATTTTTATATGATATACTATTCTAAGCTGACAACAATCACAACTGTATGCTTTATTTGCCAACAACAGCCGTACACTTTATTTCTCCTCTCCCACATTTTACGATTTTGATGTCAAAATATACATCATTTTCTTATGTGTATCCATTGACTATTTTTGCTCCATGTGTTTTAATAGATTTGTCTTTTAACCATTGTACTATAGGAAAAAATTGCTTTACACATCATCATTACAGTCTTAGAATATTCTGGATATGACTTTGTATTTCTTATCCCATTGCATTTGTGTTCTCATATGTTTTATATTTTTAATTAGCAGCCTTTTAATTCAGCTCAAAGAACTTCCTTTAGTAATTCTCTTAAGACATATTTAGTGGTGATGAACTCTCATAGCTTTTGTTTGTCTGGAAAAGTTTTTGCTTTTCTCTCATTTGCCAAGGACAACTTTGCTGGGTTAAGTAGACTTGTTGGCCTTGTTTTTTCCCTTCAGCACTTTGAATACATTATCCTACTCTCTCCTGGTCTCCTGAGATTTTGTTGAGAAATCCAGAGACAGCTATTTTTGATATTCCCTTCTATGTGATATGCTTCTAATTACTTGCTGTTTTCAAAATGTTTTCTTTTTCTTTAATTTTTGGTATTTGAATTATTGTACATCTTGGATAACTCCTATTTGGCTTAAACTTGTTTGGATAACTCTGCATTTGCTGTGTTTAGATGTTAGCAACTTTCTCCAGATTTGGTAGTTTTTTAGAATTTCTTCTTCAGATATGCTTTCTGGTCTCTTTTCTATTTCTTTTCTTTCTGAAAACTCCTATTAGATGAATATTAGGTCTTAATAGTTTCCCTTCATATCCAGAGTCTGTCTTTATTCTTTTTCAATCTTTTTAATTTTTTCTCTTCTGACTGAATTATTTTAAATGTTTTGTCTCTAGCTTATTGATTGTTTCCCTTCTGCTTGATTGAGCCTGTTCTTAGAGCTTTCTATTGCATTTTCATTTCAGTCATTTTATTCTTTAAGATTTCTATATTTTTATTATTCCTATTTGTCAAACATGTTATATTGTTTATTATTTTTCAATTTTTTTAATTATCTACCCTTATATTATTGTAGTTCACTAAATTTTTTTTATTATACTTTAAGTTTTAGAGTACATGTGCACAATGTGCAGGTTAGTTACATATGTGTACATGTGCCATGCTGGTGCGCTGCACCCACTAACTCGTCATCTAGCATTAGGTATATCTCCCAGTGCTGTCCCTCCCCCCTCCCCCCACCCCACGACAGTACCTAGAGTGTGATGTTCCCTTCCTGTGTCCATATGTTCTCATTGTTCAGTTCCCACCTATGAGTGAGAATATGTGGTGTTTGGTGTTTTGTTCTTGCGATAGTTTACTGAGAATGATGGTTTCCAATTTCATCCATGTCCCTACAAAGGACATGAACTCATCATTTTTTATGGCTGCATAGTATTCCATGGTGTATATGTGCCACATTTTCTTAATCCAGTCTATCATTGTTGGACATTTGGGTTGGTTCCAAGTCTTTGCTATTGTGAATAGTGCCGCAATAAACGTACTTGTGCATGTGTCTTTATAGTAACATGATTTATAGTCCTTTGGGTATATACCCAGTAATGGGATGGCTGGGTCAAATGGTATTTCTAGTTCTAGATCCCTGAGGAATCGCCACACTGACTTCCACAATGGTTGAACTAGTTTACAGTCCCACCAACAGTGTAAAAGTGTTCGTTTCTCCACATCCTCTCCAGCACCTGTTGTTTCCTGACTTTTTAATGATCGCCATTCTAACTGGTGTGAGATGATATCTCATTGTGGTTTTGATTTGCATTTCTCTGATGGCCAGTGATGGTGAGCATTTTTTCATGTGTTTTTTGGCTGCATAAATGTCTTCTTTTGAGAAGTGTCTGTTCATGTCCTTTGCCCAATTTCGATGGGGTTGTTTGTTTTTTTCTTGTAAATTTGTTTGAGTTCATTGTAGATTCTGGATATTAGCCCTTTGTCAGATGAGTAGGTTGCGAAAATTTTCTCCCATTTTGTGGGTAGCCTGTTGACTCTGATGGTAGTTTCTTTTGCTGAGCAGAAGCTCTTTAGTTTAATTAGATCCCATTTGTCAATTTTGGCTTTTGTTGCCATTGCTTTTGGTGTTTTAGACATGAAGTCCTTGCCCATGCCTATGTCCTGAATGGTAATGCCTAGGTTTTCTTCTAGGGTTTTTATGGTTTTAGGTCTAACATGTAAGTCTTTAATCCATCTTGAATTGATTTTTGTATAAGGTGTAAGGAAGGGATCCAGTTTCAGCTTTTTACATATGGCTAGCCAGTTTTCCCAGCACCATTTATTAAATAGGGAATCCTTTCCCCATTGCTTGTTTTTGTCAGGTTTGTCAAAGATCAGATAGTTGTAGATATGCGGCATTATTTCTGAGGGCTCTGTTCTGTTCCATTGATCTATATCTCTGTTTTGGTACCAGTACCATGCTGTTTTGGTTACTGTAGCCTTGTAGTATAGTTTGAAGTCAGGTAGTGTGATGCCTCCAGCTTTGTTCTTTTGGCTTAGGATTGACTTGGCGATGCGGGCTCTTTCTTGGTTCCATATGAACTTTAAAGTAGTTTTTTCCAATTCTGTGAAGAAAGTCATTGGTAGCTTGATGGGGATAGCATTGAATCTATAAATTACCTTGGGCAGTATGGCCATTTTCACAATATTGATTCTTCCTACCCATGAGCATGGAATGTTATTCCATTTGTTTGTATCCTCTTTATTTCATTGAGCAGTGATTTGTAGTTCTCCTTGAAGAGGTCCTTCATGTCCCTTGTAAATGGATTCCTAGGTATTTTATTCTCTTTGAAGCAATTGTGAATGGGAGTTCACTCATGATTTGGCTCTCTGTCTGTTATTGGTGTATAAGAATGCTTGTGATTTTTGTACATTCATTTTGTTTCCTGAGACTTTGCTGAAGTTGCTTGTCAGCTTAAGGAGATTTTGGGCTGAGACAATGGGGTTTTCTAGATATACAATCATGTCGTCTGCAAGCAGGGACAATTTGACTTCCTCTTTTCCTAATTGAATACCCTTTATTTCCTTCTCCTGCCTAATTGCCCTGGCCAGAACTTCCAACACTATGTTGAATAGGAGTGGTGAGACAGGGCATCCCTGTCTTGTGCCAGTTGTCAAAGGGAATGCTTCCAGTTTTTGCCCATTCAGTATGATATTGGCTGTGGGCTTGTCATAGATAGCTCTTACTATTTTGAGATACGTCCCATCAATACCTAATTTATTGAGAGTTTTTAGCATGAAGGTTGTTGAATTTTGTCAAAGGCCTTTTCTGCATCTGTTGAGATAATCATGTGGTTTTTGTCTTTGGTTCTGTTTATATGCTGGATTACATTTATTGATTTACGTATACTGAACCAGCCTTGCATCCCAGGGATGAAGCCCACTTGATCATGGTGGATAAGCTTTTTGATGTGCTGCTGGATTCGGTTTGCCAGTATTTTATTGAGGATTTTTGCATCAATGTTCATCAAGGATATTGGTCTAAAATTCTCTTTTTTGGTTGTGTCTCTGCCTGGCTTTGGTATCAGGATGATGCTGGCCTCATAAAATGAGTTAGGGAGGATTCCCTCTTTTTCTATTGATTGGAATAGTTTCAGTAGGAATGGTACCAGTTCCTCCTTGTACCTCTGGTAGAATTCGGCTGTGAATCCATCTGGTCCTGGACTCTTTTTGGTTGGTAAGCTATTGCTTATTGCCACAATTTCAGCTCCTGTTATTGGTCTATTCAAAGATTCAACTTCTTCCTGTTTTAGTCTTGGGAGAGTGTATGTGTCGAGGAATTTATCCATTTCTTCTAGATTTTCTAGTTTATTTGCATAGAGGTGTTTGTAGTAATCTCTGATGGTAGTTTGTATTTCTGTGGGATCGGTGGTGATATCCCCTTTATCATTTTTTATTGCGTCTATTTGATTCTTCTCTCTTTTTTTCTTTATTGGTCTTGCTAGCAGTCTATCAATTTTGTTGATCCTTTCAAAAAACCAGCTCCTGGACTTTTTAGAATTCTTTGTCAGTCATTTTGCAAATCTCCGTTCCTTTAGGGTCCATTGTTAAGAGTTTTATTAGTTTATTTTGGAGGTGTCATCATTCCTCGATTCTTCACAATCCTTTTGTTCTTGCACTGCTGTCTGTTCATTTGAGGAGGTAGCTACCTCTTTTTATAGGTATTAGTTGGCAGGGATAGACTTTCATTATTTAGTCTAGCCTTTCATTCTAGATTGGCCAACTGGTACCAACCCTGGGAAGGTAGAGCTTGCTTTCTGCTTTCAGGTTCTCCGGATGGCTCAGCTTTTGTCTTTGCTCTGAGTTCAGTTGGGACTACTGGCTGGGCTCTGATTTTTGGTATGACCACTAAATGAGCTATGCAATCAGACAAAATTGCTTGCTCGGATGGTGATTGTCTCTGACTGGGCCGGGCCACAGGATGTATTTCCTGGCTGGATGGTACCACTATTTGAGTTCTGGAGTTGTATGGGGTTGCAGGCTTACTCATAAAGTTAAGTGGGGACACTGCTCAGGATGGAGAGAACAGCTACTACACTTGGTGGGAATGCACATTTGATGTTTGCCTTCCTGACTGGGTAGGACCTTGGGGTGGGCTTTGAGATTTGAGCCAAACCACTGTTTGGATTCCTTGTTGGGGTGCATATAGCCCTTTCACTTTGCCAAAATGCACTGCGGCAAGTATCTCCATCTCTGAGTGGGCTTTGGGGATGATTTTGAGGCTGAGTTGAACCACTGTTAGAGTCCCCAGGTAAGGCATTTCTAGACCCTACACTGTGCTAATAATGGGCTGTGGTATGCATCTCCCTGCCTGGCTGGGTCCCTGTTGTGGGTTTTGAGACTAAGCCAAACCACTGTTTGGGCTTCTGAGTGGGGCAGGTCTAGCCCTTGTACTTTACCAAAATATGCTGTGGTCATCTCCCCCTCTGGACAAGGCTTTGTGGTAGGATCTGGGGCTGGCATGGAGGCTGATTGTCTAGGGATTCAAGCCAGGTAGAACTTCCTATTTCCCGGGGCAACCAGCTTGACTTTGTTGGTTTGTTATACTGTTCGCTAATGCCCCTAATCACATACCACTGCTGGTGGTTACATAGACCTACCACCAAGATCTGCATGTTTGTCACTATGAGCTTTGCCTTCCTGCTCTGTTTCTACCTGACCACAGGTAGTCTAGCCATGCTATTACCCCTATGCTCTTTGCAAGGTGAGACCAGAGTTGGCTTCCTGGGGGAGGTATCTTGGAACACAGGGAACGTGAATGTCCACCTCTAGTTCTCTTTTCCTACTGTAGAAACTGTGGGCCTAGAAAAATTCTAAGTGGTGTTGTGCTGACTTGGGAGAAAGGGAGAGGTGATGTGGTCAGAGTGAGGCTATTCTTTTTACACTTCTCATGTGGCATTTTGTTTGGTTATTTAGTTCACACAGGTTTCTCAGGCTTAATCTTGAGTTTTGAAGTGTTCACATAGGAGTTTTTGTCTGTGTACAGTTGTTAATTGAACATTCTATGAAGGGTAGGGAAAACTGGGACGTCCTATTCTTCAATCTTCCTGATGTCACAGAGAATCTGCATTTTGAAAAGATCCATACGTGATGGTGATTGATATGGATATTAAAGTTGAGAACTACTAGGTTAAACATCTGTTTTCATGTGAAACATGAAAAATAAGCTAGATTTTGAGTTGCAATTATAGGGTAATACACATTTTTCAACTTTTTCATCTTTAATCTTGTTCATAAGAGGCTGCAACTGATCCAAAAACAACTTATTCCCAGGCTATAGCAAAGGTTTTCAAACTCAAACAATGTAGAATTACAAAATGTAGAGTTCACATCTTCTCTGGCTAAGATAATGTTGACTAATGAAAATAATGGTAGATTGGAAAATCTATTTGAGTTACTATACTTTCTTGTACCTAAGATAAAATACCCATATGATGATTATTGTTAATCCTCTACAGAAACATGATGAAAAGAAGTTTTAGTTGAGCAGAGGAGATAGAAAGCAAGATCACAGGGGGTTGGGGAGTGAATATGAAATGAAGAAGTAGAGGTTGACTATACTCTTTCATGTCACTTGGCACCCTCCAAAGTAAAAGGAATTTGATGTAATCAATTTGCCACCCATTGCTGGCTGGTTTTCTCAAAGATTGGTGCCATATTGAGGGCTTAACATTGGTTTCTCATCGAGGCTGCATCTTCAGTGGCTCAGTGATTTGTCACCAACCTTGGTAAGATAATGCCTGTATTTTTTGGCACGTGCATATTTTCCATTTATACAGCTTTCTTTATATTCCCTTTTATAAGCTCTGAGGTGAATGAAATCAGAGCTGACTGACATTTTTAGATGACTCATTCTTTTCACTTAGCTATTGAGTGCCTCCACTCTGGAGGATACTCTCTAATGGGCACAGAGTTGAGAAACAAAGATCTGCATACTTTGTGCTTATTCTCATAGGCCCATACATAGGCCTCCACCTCAAATTTCATTAAATCTGATTTTTCTGTATTTTGAGGGGGTTTGCTTAGTGAAACTTTTTTACAACAATCATTATACTACACATATCCTTATCTTGCATAGCAAGCTATTTCTCCCAACATTCAAAGTGGACAACTAAGTATATTGCTACCGAATCACTGGCTTACGAGGATTTCCTCCACCACTACATTCTATGGCTACCCTGGAGAGGCGTTAAGCTGCAGCATTAGTCAGTTTTTATCTTGTCTAAGTGTAGATTCAGACAATCCATTTGTGATCCAAGCCTGAGGCTCTTTCTTCATTTATTAGCTGGTTGTGTGAAATACCATGAAGCCATAGGTATGAACTGAGGAAGAGATATTGTCACAATGAAGGCATGTTTGTATCTTATGGAAATGCTTTTTACTGTATCTAATAGTTTTCAATTCATTCTATCAAGTGCCAGCAAGCTCAATATGAGATAGAATTTAATATTGGTAAGATAAGATTGGTTAATGATCAATTTGAAGATAATTACAAATATGGGCACTGTGCACATTTATAACAGTTGAGATTATATTTTATTAAGAATTTCTATCATTTTTTCTCATATAATTAAGAAATATAAACAAAACTGGCATGGACAGGTGAAACTCAGTGTTAAATTTATCAGCACTTTAAAGAGATCCCACCGTTGAAGTCAGTTTGAATGAAGTTCTAAATTGTTTGTATTTTCTTCCTATATAAAAGAGGTTTTCAGGCAAGTATTTAGCTATTTAATTTACATTTCACATGTGAGGTATAATAAAACAACCACTCTTTTCCCCAGAACTCTCATAAATCCTGCCTTTCAAACCCAGAAAATATTCTCAACTCAGCTTCCTTGTGACACAAAAACTAATTGCAGTTGCACCTCATTTTGTGGAGCAAATAGCTATGATGGCTTACAAATTAAAATTCTGTAAACTACATTTCATATTGTGATTCCTTTTCATTAAGTTTTTGAGAGTTGTATTTGAAAAAATGGCATAGAACGAAACAAAAGTCAAAATTAAAGCAAGATATTAGTCAAATATTTTATAAAATGGATTTTAAGAGTTTTATTTTAGTACTGTCCAGCAGTACTCAAATAAGTCACACAGTATTAATACTAAATTAGTTATGGTATCAAATCCTGTGTTTAAACTGGGTTTACAACAAAGAAAGCTATATCCTGAGTAATGCTCACCTTTTTGTTTAGGTCTTTGCTGCACTATATTCCAGGTAACGAATCTGCTTTAAATTCCTAATTCTTGGTTGTGTACTCTCTGAAAAAACACTGAATATCAAACTAAGGCTATTAGTCTATTTATATAATGTAAAGACCACTTGCTACATTTTGACAAGCTGGACTACTTAAAACTTGGCTCTTTTTCAGCCAGTATCTCTTAGTGGATAATGATTGGATTATAGTGTTAATTGTGAGAGCAGTCTATGATATCTGTCACATGTGTTACCAATTGCTTTAGCTCAGTAATACAAAAAGGACGTCTGCATTCTTTTTAAAAAGTTGAGTTACATATACACGTTCTGATTAGCATAGACATAGAATTTTACATACGTATTATTCACTTCAACAGAAAATCTAATTCACTGTTGAAACATTCTTAAATAAGACCACAGTAATGCAGATTGTGGTGAGTGGTGTTTAAGATGTTAATGGCTCATTATTATAGCAGTTCTTAAATAAAACAATAAATTTGTAGACAAATATTCATGTATAATAAAGTTAATTTGATAAATGAAAATTCTCTTATTTATATTTTATTAACATCTTTTCCAGTCCTGAAGATTTTCCTCAGATAATCTTTCATCTCTTTGTTCCTGAGACTATATATTAGAGGATTACAGAGTGGTGTTATCACAGAATAGAACAAGGTAATGATTTTTTCATTTTTACTGGGTGTGCTGATCCAGGACTAACATACATCACCATGATAGAGCCATAAAATAAGGTGACAACTGCCAAATGAGAGGCACAAGTGGAGAAAGCTTTTCGTTTGCCAGCCTCTGAAGGCATCCGTATTATAGCCAGAATCACCAGAGCATAGGAACAAAGGATAAAGAGAAAGGTGCCAATTATGAAGACAGAATTGAATGTGGAGTAAATGAGCTGGGTGATGATGATGTCTTCAGAACAGGACAGCATCTTCAATGGGACGGGATCACAAATAAAATGGTTGATAATATTTGGGCCACAGTAGGATAGCTGTGAAATGAGAATCACCAGAGTTAGGAAGATTACAAAGACACATGACCATGCAAAAATGATGAGGCCAGTGCATACTTGTTTAGTCATGATGCATGGATAACGTAGAGGGCGGCAGATGGCAAGATACCTGTCAAAGGCCGTGATGCAAAGGAAGAAGCCCTCATCATACCCCAAAGAAAAGAAGTAGAACTCTGCAAAACAACTCATGAATGAGATGGACTTGCTTGTGGAGAGGAAGTTGGCCAGCAGTTTAGTTGCAGTAACATAACATATTTCCAGGAGAGAGAAATTTCCCAAGAGGGTGTACATGGGAGTGTGAAGGTGCTGGTCCTACCACACAGCACAGACAATGGCTGCATTTCCCATCGGGGTGAGAGTATAGGCTACTGAGAAGAGACCGAAGTAGAGGAGCTGCATTTCTGGGCTTGAGGGAAAGCCCATGAGGATAAGGCAGCTAACAAAATTGATAGTTTCCATGCTGAACACATTCATTAGTCTGGAAGACATGGAGATGGCAGAGGTAACTGAAACATGAAAGGGAGCGTGCTGTTTCTTCTTGGAAACAACCAAAATTCTTCATCATGTATATTATAAAGTAGTAAACAATTAGACTTTTGTTTAAACAACAAAACTGTGACTTTCATGACTCAATTCCTACACATGTTTATTTTAATAAATCACAACAATAGAAGGGAAAATATGAATTGTGGAGAGTTTTTTTTCTTGCTAAGAACACTAGACTTGAAACCAGGAATGCAAATTTTGTGATTCCAATAAATTACCTATATACAATGGGTCTACTCTTTCTTCTGTTTACCTGCATTATTGATACTGTATTTATCTGGGTATGTAGTTCTTTCAACAGTACTATGAATACCTGATTCATTATTATTAGTGGTATAAAAATAAAATACAAAACCAAGATATTTAAAAATACTCTTTCTCAATATAGTGCCATGCCAGGGCACAAATTAATATTTACTTTCAATTTCAGCTACTCCCTGTTACTTGTAGTGTTTTAAAGTGGTAATAAGAAAGAACTCTGTCATTAGAGAATATATGGTCTTTTATGCTGTTTCATGTATCTGTACCAATGTTTAGCATAAAAAATACATTCTTTCATTTTTAGGCAGCTGGATACGCTATATGCTGTGAGGAAGTGTGCCATACTTTGGCTCTTAAATTGCTCTGACTAAATATTTTTATATGCTTCCAGGTGAATGTAAGAACTTCATATGCCTATTATGACATTGACCTTAGGGAGAACAGCTGGTCTGCGTGACTGTGGCCAAGTTCAATGTGCTTGTTTTTTGTTAACCATGGTCAAGTCAGCTGCAGGAAAATAAGAAAGGCAGATAAAGTTTATATTACAAAAGTTTCCATGTTTTTTATTCACTGCTTTCTTCCACATGTTCCTTTTCTTCCTTTGACCTTTGGTGTTATTTTGCATCTCACTGTGGTTGTTTTCTGAGGCCTTTCCTATCTAGGCAAATCCGAAACATAAAACTTTTCCCCTGATTACCCTCCGGTTAACTTCTAGCCCAAATAACAACAAAAACAAGAAAAAGTCATATGAGCTGAAGATTTTTGTTTCTTAAATAATAACTAATTTGTATAATACCAAGTCTTATTAATGTAATGGAACTGAAAAATCAGTATTTGGGCTTAAGAAAGAAAATATTGCTGGAAAGAGAAATATGCCATATTTCTTCTGCTCACCAAGTAACAAAAATTGCCAAAATATACCCTTCTCCAGCAATTCATCAGTTAATATACATCTTCACTTGAAATACTATTCTTTTTGTATATATGGCTATTCATATTTTAAAGGGATATGAACCATAATTGGAAAATATTTTCCAGATTTCAGGGAAACAAGAAGAAAAACTTATATTTTTCAGCTTCATTCTTTGCCAGCTTTTCATTCTGAGATATATTTTTAGTTTTCTCAAAGACAAGAAGAAAACATTTTCTATGATTTTTGCAAAAAAAACTGGGTGACTCACATGTTATATACTTCCCATTCGCTCTTTGAGTGAATGCTGAGAAGGTCAGGGACAGGAGACAAAATATTATTCCCCAGAGCCAAAGACATGTGAAGAACTTCCAAGAAATTGCATGATCCTGTTTGTTATCTCTCATGGGTTGCAAAAAGTAAACCCTAAAAGATTTTCCCCACCTTCAAAGCATATATTAATGGTCAAAATGCAAGCTCAAGTGAGTGTATTATATATATCTATTTACTTGCACTATAGCCTTTTGGGACTTGGAGCTCTGTCTCTCTTGGGATATTTTGATAGTGTTTGTTTAAAAGAGGATAACATTTTGAATTTTCACAATCAAAAGCCAGTTCTTACTGTCCCCTAAAGAATAGTGAAAATGTAGAAGCAGATCTTATATTTTCTTTCTTCTTTCGTGTTCATGTATTGTCAAAACTTCCTGAGGAATAATTAAGTAGTAAAAGGGATTGTCATTTTAGCTACAGTGGTTAGCTTTACCATAATACTCTCTAGATCTATTTTGAAGAAAAATCATTCTCTGGTCATCAAATATTTGTACCTGCAGAGTTATTAGAGATATTTGAGTTGAATTTTATGTAGAGCACAAGAAATTTGATTGACATTTAGTTATTCCACAGATATTTACTGAATGCCTACTGGATACTCAAACATATACTCTATATATTTTTAATTTTTTGAGGAACCTCCATATTGTTTTTCATAATGACTATACAAATTTACATTACCACCAACAGTGTATAAACGTTCCCTTTTCTCTGCATTCTTACTGACTATTACCATCTTTTGTCTGATCATGAACATTCTGACTGGGCTGAGGTGCTATCTCATTGTGGTTTTGATCTGCATTTACCTGATGATCAGTGATGCTGAGGATTTTTTCATATGCTTTTTGGTCATTTGCACGTCATATTTTAAAAAATATCTAGTCAGGTTTTTTGCCCACTTTTAAATTGAATTATTTGGTGGTAGTGTTTTTTGCTATTGAGTTGCTTGAGTTCCTTATATATTTTGAATATTAACCCCTTATCAGATGTATAATTTGCAAAAATTTTCTCTTATTCTGTAGGTCATTTTTTGGTTCTGTTGTTTCTTTTGAGCAGAAGCTTTTTATTTTGATGTAACCTCATTTGTCTATTTTTGTTTTTCTTGCCTTAGCTTTTGCCTACATCAATGTTGTGTAGTTTTACAGCTTTAGGTCTCATGTTTTAGTGTTTAAACTATTTTTTGTTGATTTTTTGTATATGGTATGAAGTAAGGGTATAAGTTCGTTCTTCTGCATATAGATACCCAGTTTTCCGAATACCATTTATTGAAAAGACTGTCCTTTCCCCATTGTGTGTGCTTGGCAGCTTCGTCAAAATATTAGGTGACTGTGTATCACCTGTGGATTTATTTCTGGGCTCTGTATTCTATTCCATTGGTTTATGCATCTGATTTTATGCCAGTATCATGCTGTTTTGGTTACTATAGCTTTACAGTATACTTTGAGGTCAGGTAGTATGATGCCTCCAACTTTGTTCTTTTGGGTCAAGACTGCTTTGGCTATTCCAGGTCTTTTGTAGATTCCATACGTATTTTAGGATTGTTTTTTCTATTTCTCTGAAGGATGTCATTGTTATTTTGATAAATCCATAGCTTGTTTTGGGTAGTGTGAACATTTTAACAATATTAATTATTTGAATCCACAAATGCAGGATTATCTTTCCATTTATTTCTGTCTTCAAATTTTTTTCATAAGTGTTTTATGGCTTCATTATAGGTATCTTTCACATCCTTGGTTAAATTAATTCCTAAGAATTATATTTTTTTATTTTGGAGCTATTGTAAATAAGATTGTTATCTTGAATTCTTTTCAGACAGTTGATTATTACCACATAAAAGTGCTGCTGATTTTTGTATGCTGATTTTGTATTCTGCAACGTTACTGAATTCACTTATCACTTCTAAGAGTTGTCTTGATAACGTTTTTATGTTTTTCTCTATATAAGATCATGTCATCTGCCATGAGAAACAATTTGACTTCTTTTCCAATTTGAATGCGTTTTATTTCTTTCTCTTGCTGATACTCTGGCCAAAACTTCCAATACTATATGAAATAGGTGTTGTGAAAGTGAGAATCCTTGTCGTTTTTCAGTTCTTAGAAGAAGGATTTTCTGTTTGTCCTACGTCAGTATGATTTTCACTGTGAGTTTCTGATATATGGCCTTTATTATGTTGAGGTATGCTCCTTCTATGCCTAAATTTGTTTAATTTTTATCATGAAGCAATGATAAATTTTATCAGATGCTGTTTTTGTATCTATTGAAATGATCATACACTTTTTGTCTTTTATTCTATCAGTGTAATGTATCAAACTTTTTGATTCATTTATACTGAATAACCCTTGAATTCCTGGAATAAAACCCACTTGGGCGTGGTGAACTGTCTTTTTAATGTGTTATTGGATTCAGTTTGCTAGTATTTTGTTGAGAATTTTTGCATCTAAGATCATGTTATTGCCTTGTAATTTATTTTCTTTCTTTTCTTTTTTCTTTCTTTCTTTTTCTTTTCTTTCTTTCTTTCTTTTCTTTTTTTTTCTTTCCTTCCTTCCTTCCTTTCTTTTTACTTACTTTCTTTCTCTCTCTCTTTTCCTTCCCTTCCCTTCCCTTCTCTTCTTTTCTTTCTTTCTCTCTCTCTCTTTCTTTCTTTCTTTCTTTCTTTCTCTCTCTCTTTTCCTTCCCTTCCCTTCCCTTCCCTTCTTTTCTTTCTTTCTCTTTCTTTCTTTCTTTCTTTCTCTGTCTTTCTTTCTTTCTTTCTTTCTTTCTTTCTCTCTTTCTCTCTCTCTCTCTTTCTTTCTTCTTTCTTTCTGACAGAGTTTCGCTCTTGTTGCTCAAGCTGGAGTGCAATGGTGCCATCTCAGCTCATTGCAACCTCCACCTCCTGGGTTCAAGTGATTCTTCTGCCTCAGCCTCCCGAGTGGCTGGGATTACAGGTGCCCACCACCATGCCCAGCTATTTTTTTTTTGTATTTTTAGTAGAGATGGGGTTTTATCATGTTGGCCAGGCTGATCTTGAACTCCTGACCTCAGTTGATCCACCTGCCTTGGCCTCCCAAAGTGCTGGGATTACAGGTGTGAGCCACCGTGCCTGGCTTTTTCTTTTTTTTTAGTTTACTTTAAACTTTGGTATGTATGTGGTAGGTGCATATATTTATTGAGTACATGAGATACTTAGATACAGGCATGTAATGCATAATAATCACATAATGGTAAATGGGGTATCCATTCCCCTCAAGCATTTTTATCCTTTGGGTTACAAACAATTCAATTACACTCTTTTAGTTACTTTAAAATGTACAATTAAATTATAATACACAATAGTCATCCTCTTGTACTATTAAATACTAGATTTTATTCATTCTTTCTAACTACTTTTTGTGCCCATTAACCATCCCTACCTGCCCTCCCATCCCCCTAACCACTATCTTTCTCAGTTTCTGATAACTTTCCTTCTACTCTATATCTCCATGAGTTCAATTGTTTTAATTTTTAGCTCCCACAGTAGGATTTATCCCAGGGATGCAAGAATGGTTCAATATGTGCAAATCAATCAATATGATAAACAATAAACAGTATGAAGGAGAATAAGCATATGATCATTTCAACTGATGCTGAAAAATTTGATAAAGTTCAACATCCATTCATCATAAAAATTCTAAAAAACTGGGTATAGAAGGAACAAACTGCAACATAATAAAAGCCATATATGACAGACCCACAGATAGAATTTTGCTGAATGGAAAGAAACTGAAAGCCTTTAATATCTGGAGCACAACAAGAATGCCAACTTTTACCACTTCATTGACTATAGTACTAGAAGTCCTAGCTAAAGCAGTCAGACAAGAGAAAGAAATAAAAGGCATCCAAATTGGAAAGGAAGAAGTCAAATTATCCTTGTTTGCAGATGATGTGATCTTGTATTAGGAAAGACCTAAAAACTCCACCAAAACACTATTAGAACTGATAAACAAATTTAGTAAAGTTGCAGGATACAAAATCAACATATAAAAGTCAGTAGCATCTCCATATGTCAACAGTGAACTGTCTGAAAAACAAATCAAGAAAGTAATCCCATTTACAATAGCTACAAATAAAATTAAATACCTAGGAATTAACCAAAAAAGTGAAAATCACTACAATGAAAACTATAAAACATTGACGAAAGAAACTAAAGAAGACACAAAGAAACGGAAAGATATTCCATGTTCATTAGCTGAAACAGTCATTGTTAAAATGTTATACTACCAAAAGCAATCTACAGATTCAATCTCTATCAAAATACCAATGCCATTCTTCACAGAAATAGAAAAAACAATCCTAAAATTGATATAACCAAATGACCCAGAATACCCAGAGCTATCCTGAACAAATAAACCAAAACTGGATAAATCACATTACCTGACTTTAAACTACACTATAAAGCTATGGTAACCAAAACAACATGGTACTGGCATAAAAAACAGACCCATAGGTCAATGGAACAGAATAGAGAACCCAGAAGCAAATCCGTACATCAACAGTGAGCTCATTTTCTACAAAAGTGCCAAGAACATACATTGGGGAAAGAACAGTCTCTTCAATAAATGGTGCTGGGAAAACTGGATATCCATATGCAGAAGAATGAAACAAGACCCCTATCTCTTGGCATATACAAAAATCAAATTAAAATGTATTAAAGGCTTAAATCTAAGACCTCAAAAAATTAAACTACTAAAAGGAAACATTGGGGGAAACTCTCTTAGATATTGGTCTGGGTAAAGATTTCTTGAGCAACACTCCACAAACACAGGTCACCAAAGCAAAAACGGACAAGTGGGATCACATCCAGTTAAAAAGCTGCTGCACATCCAAGGAAAAACAATCAATGTGAAGATCAAACCCACAGAATGGGAGAAAATATTTGCAAACTGCCCATCTGACAAGGGATTAATAACCAGGAAACAACTCTATAGGAAAAAACCCTAATAATCTAATTTAAAAATGGGCAAAGGATCTGAATAGAGATTTCTCAAAAGACAATACAAATAGCAAACAGATACATAAAAAGGTGCTCAAACACCATTGATCATCAGAGAAATGTTCCTCAAAGCTACAATGAGGTATCATCTCACCCCATTTAAAATGGCTTTTATCCAAACACAGGCAATAGCAAATGCTGGTGAGGAAGAGGAGAAAAGGGAACTCTCATACTCTGTCAGTGGGAATGTGAATTAGTACAACCACTATGGAAAACAGTTTGGAGATTCCCCCAAAAACTAAATGTAGAGCTACTTTACGATCTTGCAACCTCATTGCTAGATGTAGACCCGAAAGAAAAAATAGCAGTATAACAAAGAGTTATCTGCATTCTCATGTTTGTTTTAGCTTTGTTCACAATAGCCAAGATTTGGAAACAACCTAAGTTTCCATCAATAGATGAATGAATAATGAAAATGTGGCACATACATATACAATAGAGTACTATTCAGCCATAAAAAAAAA
Organism: Homo sapiens; assembly: GCF_000001405.40. Taxonomy (NCBI): domain Eukaryota; kingdom Metazoa; phylum Chordata; class Mammalia; order Primates; family Hominidae; genus Homo; species Homo sapiens. The sequence continues at coordinate 2,192,742 of NW_021160017.1, forward strand.
TCAGATCATTTGCAACAACATGGACGGAAATGGGGATTATTGTGTTAAGTGAAATAAGCTAGGCACAGATAGACAAACTTCCCATATTCTCACTTACTTGTGGGAACTGAAAATTAAAACGATCGAATCATGCAGATAAAGAGTAGAATGATGGTTACCAAAAACTGAGAAGGATGGTGGAGGTGTGGGATGTGGAAAAATGGGGATAGTTATGGGTACAAAAAGATATAAAGAATAAATAATATTTAGTATTTGATAGCACAACAGGGTGAATATAGTCAATAATGATTCAATTGTCATTTAAAAATAACCAAAAGAATATAATTGGATTGTTTGTAACACAAAGGATAAATGCTTGAGGGGACGAATACCCCATTTACCATGATGCGATTATTATGTATTGTATGCCTGTACCCAAATATCTCATACTCTATAAATGTATACACCTACTCTGTACCCACAGAAATAAAAAATAACAAAACAAAAAACATTGTTTAGCAAGCCCAGCTAAGGGTCATCTGACTCTCTAGCAAATGTGATTTTGTTTAACTTACTATATATGAATTATGGAATCTCAGACATTGTATAATTACATATAGCTAGATGTTATAGAAAACTGCTACATTGTATCTTTTTAGTGTGGTAGAAAAGATAATCCCAAAGATTAAGGTCGTATTGCCCCTTTTTAGAGCTGTATGAAAAAATATGAATATTTTTGTTATGTTGATATTTTTAACTTTTAAGTTCAGAGGTACACGTGCAGGTTTGTTATATAGGTAAATCTGTGTCATGAGACATTAACTGGATTACATCAAATTTAACAATTTTATTTTAGTGTTCATTTTTTTGCTGTGATTATGTAAAATCACACTTTTCATATTCTTTTTGGAACGGACTTTGTTATCCTGCTATCCCTCATTAATTAAATACAGTTTTTGATGTGTTCATTATGTATTTGTTTGAGAATTATGTTTTATGATATTTAAAAATTAGACTGACAGTCTATAAAAAATTAAATTACTAATGACAACAGCTGTGTTTTCTGGATACGATCTATGAATAAATGCCAGTAGGTAAGCTGCTTGAGGTTTCAAGAAATCAGGTGTTGTATCAAGACACTCTATATTACCTTAAAGGATAAATACCAAGCTATCCCTGGAATTATCTCAGAGATAAATACCTTAGGTTGGTATTTATCCTTCAGCTTCTGCTACTTCAAGGAGCATGATTGAGATAAAAACCAGTGAGAATCTTCTTCAGATACAGACTGAGGCATTGAAAATGGATGGCATATACAAACAAATCAATGACAAATTACAAATAAATCAATCCAAAGTAAGTAAAATAAGTGGGTTCTGTTATGCAACAGGTCTAATTGCTTCAGAGCCTGCAGGTCCCAAGGTCAACTTCCTAGCAAGAACTAAATTTAACAGAACTCAAACAGCAGCAGCCTAGGGAATCCCAGGGCTCATTAAGCTAAGTAGTGTTGTAAGAACCATAGCAACCTCAGATACAGCTAGAGTCCTAGGGATAGGAGATATTTCCAGTTCATACAGCCAGCCGTCAACTAGGGCTTGGCTTATAAGGAAGCAATTAAGACATGTGCTGGGCAGCTGTGATGGTCACCTGAGGATTGTCCATTTTGCTGGCCTGAGGCTGAAGAGAGGGTTGGTAGGATGAATGGCAGGATAACATCTTCCTTCCTTGAAACCACATAGCTTCTGACAAGCAAAGATGTAGGTTTCTCAGATATATTTACTCAAAGCTCCCCTCCCCTTCCTGCTCCTCTGTCTGACTCTGATGCTATTTTTATGTTTACTGTTGTCCTCACTCTTTTTCTCTATATACTCTGGCATTGATCATTTTTAAATTTAAGAGATCATTTGAGTTTTGTTGTTTTAAATTTACACTTAGAAACATTCACAGAACAGTGAAATTCCTATAGCATCAAGGAATTCTAGGGCTAGTGGCATCTTAGAAGACAGTTGCAATATTTGGATACGATAGGACCAAATTTACATAACTGAAGGCACAGGTTTCATGGCAATATTGTCTTAAGACTACCTAATTCTGTTATAGTCCCTTCTAGATTCTGTTTTCCATTTCTTTAATTATTAAAGTTTCTTTTTACTAAAATCTTCTTTACGTTCCACAGGTACAATATAGAATGCAATGTTTCAAACAAGGCCAAAGAAGTTTAGAACAGAAAGATTGTTTCTTTCTCAATAGAGAATACCACTATAGGTACCATCTTCAACTAATGGTGTCCACTTCTTGGTTTTCAGGAGAAATTTAAAAATGCATCAAATGCGTCTAAAAGGAATTCATATGGAATTGAAACTCCAGCTAGCCAATTATTTTCTATTGTTGAGATAGTCAAATTTCCTCCTCTAATAATGCATTTAGCTCCACACAGACCAAAATAAATACAAGACAAACATAATAGCAAAATATGGTATACTGTTATGCTTAAAACACACACATGCACAAGTTACCAGGAGAAAAATTTTACTCCTTTTCTTCATATTTTCCTCATAAACATCTCTGGTTCCTTGTTTAGAAAGACGAGAGACCAGCTGCTCAGCTGTACACAAGTAGCCTTTGATTATTTAAGGTGCTTTAGTTTGTCCTCTTCTCTCTAAGCAGGACCCTTCCATAAAGACTTTCATTTTGCATTAAGCATTCTCAATTTTTTTGGCTCATTTTGTGTACTTAAAAATATTTTTATTGACTTTTTCACATTCTTAGGTTATTTTTAGGATATGAAACATGAAATGCTTGGTAGGGTCTGATCTTACTGCTAATGGGATAATGGAGCTGGTATTTTTGAATGTGGCTTTCCAAGCTCTGCAGGGCTTTGGCAAGGGAAATTATATTGTGACTGGGGTTAGTTTTGGGATGTAGACATTCATTCATGTTGTTGGGTGTATTGTTCTTTTTATTCTTTGCAGAACAGTGACAGGCTTAATTTCCTACTGTGATCAGACTTCAGAAGCTGGGAGATGACTCAACCAAATGTGGAAATGTTATTAAACCTAAAAGGGAGCTTTCTATATTGTTTAGTATTATGTTTTATATTGTCTGAAGATTGCAAATTTACTGTCATTAAAAAAAAAATCCAAGAATAACCAGAATCCAGCCCTTACCTTGATTAAAACTCAAATAACTAACATACAGGGCTGCCTATTTTTAACTTATGCAAGTGTAAAGATTTTTATATCATTATTAATCAAAATCTTATCACAGTAATCACCTAGGAACTGTTCAGAATATTTATAGTGCTGAAATTTCCTAATATTAAATCTTACTTTAAACAAGTAGGCCATAAAATCAGGCTTATAAATGGTTTGTAGTAATTTGGGTTATAACATATTTTACATATTCTTCTCTTATTTAATCTATCCTTCTGATTTATTTAATTTTAATATTGTCTGTTTTAATGTAATCTTTTCTTTCCCAACATATGTTCAGTGGAAATAACAAGTGTACCGTACACCCTTGGTATACTATGCCCTTCACATTAGGAAATAATCACATTGTTTCTCAGCCATATTCTGAGACTAAATTATAACAGTGTGTAGGATTATGTGTTCCCATTGTTTTCTGGCTTCTAGAAACCTTTTTTAATTAAAAAAATAACTTTGGTTTCTCTTTCTCAGACTTTTCCAGTTTTCCCAAGATTATTTTAAAAATTAGATGCATAATTTTAATGAGACTTGACCCCTGTTAATTATACATTTTAGATAACTGAAAAGAACATCAAAATGATGTTTTCTTATGGAACTTTACAATCCTTGGTGCATCCAAAAAAGATTAGAGAATTTCCAATATAGCAGAGCTCAAGTAGGGCTGTACACATAACAGCAAATCGTTCCCTAACTTGTATTTCTTGCTTTGGTTTATTTTCCAATTGACTCTAGAAAGTGAGGTGATTCCTTCTATCAGTTATGAGATTATAGATTTAGATGCACCTGTGCACTTGGCTATATAGGTAGATGAAGAGGATGGTCACAATCATGGTGTGACAGAGGCGTCCAAATGTGACTTGAGCCCCAAATCTCTCTCTCACTGGCTTATCTTGGAATAATACCCTAGAGAAAGTTTTCTTGTCATTAGAGGTTTTCATTTTTAGAATTTAAGTACTTTTCTGCATTGTCTATGTAAATACCTGATATCTATTATGAAGGATTTTATTGGATAACATTCTCTGAATGACTTGATAGAACCAAGTGCAACATGGATTACAAAGCTTGGAACACAAAATAAAATCTTGTCTTATTTCATATTTTGTCTATAGCTGGTTCTAGATAAAAAAAAATTCTAGACAGGGAGACATCTACTAATTTTTAACTACTGCAATGGAAGAAATGTATCAACATTCTCTGATTTTCTGTTTGTAATCCAAGGTACTGTCACCAAACATTGGGGATGAATATGAGTGTAGAGCAGGGGAAAATATATCTAACAATATCTTAGCAAATCTTTTATTTTCTTATGTATCTATGGTTGTTGAAAAGTCCAGAAGCAACACAACTCTGGTTTCTCTTATTACTTTGTCCTGTAAAAGGGTCATGGTGGGCTTTTGTGCATGCCTCCACGATATGGGTCATGGCTCTTGGTCTCTTGTCTTGGTGATTGGTGTCTTTTAATCATTGTCCTACTCATCCCCAGTCTGATGCTTCCCTAAATCTTAAAGATTGAGACTGTTTCTTCTTACCTCATTTTTACAAACTTCCCAATTTCTGTAACCTGGGATAGTAAAGACAAAAAATATGAGCTTTTTCAATCCTTCCTAAATGATTTGTTTCCTAATATATTTATTCACAGTAACTACTAAACTTTGTACAACATAGCAATTTGTTGTTTACAAAACATTCTTCCTTCGATTTGATAAATTATTGAGCTTCTGCTATGCAGTAAATATTGTGTTGTGGATACAAAGATGAGTAAGATATTTCCTCATCTTGAGAGATCTAGTTTTTTTTTATGGTGCACATAGGCATTACATTTGATTCTCAGAACAATCTTGGGAGATATTATTAACTCTGCATTAAATTGAATAACCAAAGAACAAAATTCAGAGAGGTTTATTTCCTTGCCTGAGAGTACTCCATTGGTAATGGTGGAGCTAGGCATTCGATCTAGATACTCCATTCCAGAACTTTTGTCCTTAGAGGACATTATTCTGTCTATTAAAAGAAATGGAAAGATTAGCACTTACCACCTCATGTCCAGGTCATTGTGTTTCTTTCTAGTTTATTGTGAATGCAATTTAAAAGTAGTACAGGAATAAAGAGTTGGAAGAAGTGAACAAAATTCAATGTTCTATCAATATAAGACTACTGCCTATACTACCTCATAGAATTTGCTAAAATAATTTTTATGTAATTTATGTATTACATACTATATATATAGTGTATATCTATATCTATCTATATAGATAGATACGTAGATAGATTGATACCTTAAATCTCCCTTGTTCTGATTTAATTCTTCTTTCTCTAGGTCACTTGATATTCTTGGCTTGATGAAAAAAAACAAGATTCTAACGTGACAGAACTTGTTCTTCTGGGCCTATCATCTTCTTGGGAGCTGCAGCTATTTCTCTTATTACTATTTTTGTTTTTTTACATTGCTATTGTCCTGGGAAACCTCTTGATAGTGGTAACAGTGCAAGCCCATGCTCATCTGCTCCAATCTCCTATGTATTATTTTTTAGGTCATCTCTCTTTCATTGACCTATGCCTAAGCTGTGTTACTCTGCCAAAGATGTTAGGGGATTTCCTACAGCAGGGCAAGAGCATCTCTTTTTCAGGATGCCTGGCCCAGATCTACTTCCTCCACTTTCTAGGAGCCAGTGAGATGTTTCTGCTGACAGTTATGGCCTATGACAGGTATGTTGCCATCTGTAACCCTTTGCGCTACCTTATAAGTCATGAACCCCCAGCTATGCCTTTGGTTGGTTCTTGCCTGCTGGTGTGGGGGTTTTATCCACTCTATCATGCAGGTCATACTAGTCATCCAGCTGCCTTTCTGTGGCCCCAATGAACTGGACAACTTCTACTGTGATGTCCCACAGGTCATCAAGCTGGCCTGCATGGACACCTATGTGGTAGAGGTGCTGATGATAGCCAACAGTGGTCTGCTCTCTCTTGTCTGCTTCTTGGTCTTACTATTCTCTTATGCTGTCATCCTGATCACCCTGAGAACACACTTCGGCCAGGGCCAGAACAAGTTCCTCTCTACCTGTGCTTCTCACCTGACAGTGGTCAGCCTGATCTTCATGCCATGTATATTCATCTATCTGAGGCCTTTCTGCAGCTTCTCTGTGGATAAGATATTCTCCATGTTTTACACAGTGATGACACCTATGTTGAGCCCCCTCATCTACACACTCAGAAATGCTGATATGAAGACAGCTATGAAGAAGCTGAGGATAAAACCATGTGACATTCCATTTCCTTGTTAAAGAATGAGCAGAAGAGGTGATTTGAAAAACATACTCTTTCTTGGAAGACTCTTAACTCATCTTGTACATGTCTAAAAACCATTTTGATGACTTTGGTATAAAAAAGATAGCCTAAAGATTATAATAGATCACTCTTGATTACAATTTAAAAGCACAGGTGGCACTCTGGAAAGCCACCTATGCCTTTTGACCATAATCAAGAGAACTCGGGAACTCAGTAGAATTTACTGGCCACAAATAACAAGCATTAATTGAAAGATCAACTTTTCTATCTTCATGTTCTAAGTACTCTTCATTTATTCAATTTGTTCCACTTTTTAATCTATTCAAATGAAACAAGATATATCTCTTTTTGTGTTCCTTTCCTCCAGCATTTAATGATTCCTAGTGTTAGGAAGTTCCTTCTGATGTCTCATCAGATCCTCTTCTGAAGTAGTGTGAATTTCTTTGTTCTGTTATAACAAAGCCTGAGAACAGTAACAACCACCTATGTAGTAGTATTTACCTCAGAACTGTGTTCCACAGTGTCCCAAGTTTTAGAAATGTAGTCAGGCATCACTCTAATGAACATATGCTCTTAGCAAAGTTTACGTGTGAGAGAAAGGAAGTCCAGGAGTGCAGGGGTGATGGAAGCTGTTAGTATTCTGTTGTAGAGGCTTCTCAAGAAGAGGTACCCAGTTTCACATTGAGTTTTTCTTTGAGTGGAATTACAGTGAGGGTGAATAGGTAAGCTGGCTCTTCAACTGACCATAATGTTTAAGAGTTTTAGCCTCGAAAGGAGGAAGAAATGAACTGTGGTTGAAAGCACTCATTCTTGAGATGCTCACAGTTATTACCTCTGAGTCTCAAACATGTTTGAGGAATAAATTTACCTAACTTCATTTTTGAAAATGAACTCTGAGTTAAGTGACTTGCCCATGACCACTTAGAAAAAATGTAATCAATCAAGAAAGCTGCTTGTAATCCCAGCACTTTGGGAGGCCAAGGTGTTCAGATCATCTGAAGTCAGGAGTTTGAGACCAGCTTGACCAACATGGAGAAACCCCATCTCTACTAAAAATACAAAATTAGCCGTGCATGGTGGCGCATGCCTGTAATCCTGTAATCCCAGCTACTCAGGAAGGCTGAGTCAGGAGAATCACTTGAACCCGGGAGGCAGAGGTTGCAGTGAGCTGAGATCGCACCACTGCACTGCAGCTTGGGCAACAAGAGCAAAACTCGGTCTCAAAGAAAAAAAAAAAAAGAAAGCTAATAATTATATAATTAAGTTAATATTTTATTTCTCCTCAGAAAGTGTATTTATCCCAATTATACAGATTGCTTCTTTCTTTCTCTTTCTTTCTGTGTCTCTTTCTCTCTTTCTTCCTTCCTTTCTTCTTTCTCTTTCTTTCTTTTTTTTTTTTTTTTTTTGAGACAGAGTCTTACTCTTGTCTCCCAGGCTGGAGTGCAGTGGCACGATTTTGGCTCACTGCAACCTCTGCCTCCCAGGTTCAAGTGATCCTCCTGCCTCAGCCTCCTAAGTAGCTGGGATTACAGGCACCGGCCACCATGCCTGGCTAGTTTTTGTATTTTTAGTAGAGACAGGGTCTCTCCATGTTGGCCAGGCTGGTCTTGAACTCCTGACCTCAGGTGATGTGCCTGCCTCAGCCTCCCAAAGTGCTGGGATTACAGGCGTGAGCCACGACACCTGGCTAGATTACTTAATTTCTATAATACCTGTATAGGAGCTTCAGAGCTGGAAGATCCCTAAAAAGGTTAACTTAAACATTTATATTTAAGATTATCTATCTCTGACATAGGATCCTTGCAATATTTTATGGCTATGAAAAGTCTTTATTCTATTTACTATATAATAAGATAATGACAAATTTTTATAATGTTTTTTATATTTTGTCACTTTATCTCCTAATGAATTGCCATAGAGAGGTATTTATGATTACTTAGCTGAAAAATATACTTGTGAAAAAAAGTCTGAAACTCCATCTAATACTAGGATATACTGGAAAATGCCAATAACCCTGGTCATGTAAGAGCTTTCTTGATATAGGGACAAAAAATGTATTTTTATTTTTGTGTTGGGAGTTAATGACTTCATATTTAAGAAGCCATATGTACGTATGTGTATATGTATATATTGCTACAGAAGGACTCCTCACAGACTAGGAACTAGGCTGCCATTTGGGAGATTTCTAAATAGTATGGGTGAGGGTGAGAATGGCATACCTGGAACATCATGTTCTTCTTTTTTGCTTTACTCTGCTCTACACTTTTAGAGTTTTTTGCATACGTTGAATATCCTGAAGAGCAGTATGATATCCTGAAGGTAATATTTTGAATATCCTGAAGTGCAGGAAACTGCCCGAGAGTAGTGTGTGAGTTACCAGAAAGATTTGAGTGGTGCTAGGGATTACCAGGCATGTTTCAAGAACATAGAGCTCCAGGCTTTCTCTTAGTATAAGCCGGCTGCAACATCCCCTTTTTCTGATGCTCTCTTTCATAGCAAAATGTATAGTCTTGGCAAATCATTTTAAATGTCCTGTTGATAGCTGGAATTGGTAGCGTTATTTTAAGAAAAGCAAGAGCGTTTTGTATTCCCTTTTGCATTTTCAAGTCTCTCTTTGTTTCCAGGAACAAAGCCTACTTGATCGTGGTGAATTAACTTACTGATGTGCCGCTGAATTTGGTTTGCTAGTATTGTGTTGAGGATTTTTGCATCTATGTTCATCAGGATATTGGCCTGATGTTTTCTTTCTTTGTTTTGTTTCTGCCAGATTTTGGTATTAGGCTGATGCTAGCTTCATAGAATGAGTTAGGGGGGAGCCCTTCCTTTTTGATTTTTTTGGGAATACTTTCAGTAGGATTGGTACCATTTCTTCTTTATATGTCTGGTAGAATTCAACTGTGAATTCCTCTGGTCCTGGGCTTTTTTTGGTTAGTAGAGTTTTTTTTTTTTATTACTGATTCAATTTCAGAGCTTGATATTGACTTATTAAGGATTACAGTCTCTTCCTAATTCAATTTTAGGAGATTGTGTTGTTCCAGGGATTTATCCGTTTCTTCCAGATTTTCTAATTTGTGTGCATACAGTTGTTCATAGTATTCTCTGAGGATCTTTTGTATTTCTGTGGGATCAGTTGTAATGTCATTTTTGTACTTTTTGACTGTACTCATTTGGATCTTCTTTTTTTTTTACTTTTTTTTAATCTAACTAGCAGTCTAACAATCTTATTTTTTCAAAAGACTAACTCTTGGTTTCATTGACGTTTTGTATAGATTTTTGCACCTCACTTTCATTAAGTTGTTCTCTAATTTTTGTTATTTCTTTTCTTCTGCTAGCTATGGAGTTGGTTTGTCCTTTATTTTCTAATTCCTTGATGTGCAAAGTGCAGGAGGATGAAGCTAGACCCTTGCTTTTCAGCATGTAAGAAAATTAACAGGATAGATTAAAGATTTAAATGTAAGGCCACAAACTATGAAAATCCTAGACCAAAATCTAGGAGATATTTAGAGACTTTTAATCTAATTGAGAAATTGGAAACTGAGTCTTCCTCTCTTGATTAAATAAAATGTTACTTTTCTATAGGTGAGTAGCATACATTATATTTGAAGGATTCTGAAATTTTATACATCAGATCTTATACTCTGACTTCATGCTTTTATTTACAGCCTCAAAAAATTAATTAATTTATTTAAACAAAGTTCTCACTCCAAAGTAAATTTCTGACAAGAGAAGTTGGAGGTGGGGGGAGAGAGAGCGCTGATTAGGGAAAAACATTAAATTCAATAAAAAAGACTCAGATTCTCTAGGTTCTTGTATGGAAAAGAGGAACTATAAGACTAATTATGAAAGAAATTCAAATGTGAGTCAATAGTGTGGAAATCAAGCTAAAGACAAGAAAAATATTCATGAACTATGTTCAAGAAATATGAAGAACTTTCTCTACCATATTTAACATCATATAGGTGTTTTCACAAGACTCTTACTGATAGGCTTTACTATGCTTACCATGGTTTATAACGTGTTTATTTTTGCAGAGAACCAGAGTCACTCCACGAGTCCTGCCTGGGGCCCCATGAAAGTGGCCAACAATGTCACTGAGTTTATATTCCTGGGACTTTCCCAAGATTCTGGAATGCAATTGATGTTCTTTGTCTTATTTCTCCTCTTCTACGTCGTGATCATGGTGGGAAATTTGCTCATTTTGCTTATGGTCTTTTCTGACTCCCGACTACACACACCCATGTATTTCTTCCTCAGTAACCTGTCTTTTGTGGACATTGCCTGTTCCTCAGCCACAGCACCCAAGATGATTGAAGACTTTGTTTCTGAGAAAAAGACTATTTCCTACTGGGGCTGTATAACTCAGATGTTTACCTTCCACTTTTTTGGTTGTGCTGAGATTTTTGTTTTGACTGTCATGGCTTTTGATCGCTATGCTGCTATCTGCCAACCCCTCCGTTACACTGTCATCATGAGTGCTAATGCTTATACTGTGCTGGCATCACTGTCCTGGTTGGGGGCCCTGGGTCATTCCTTTGTTCAGACCGTCCTGACCTTCCAGCTGCCCTTCTGTAATGCTCAGGTTATAGACCATTACTTTTGTGATGTCCACCCAGTCCTAAAACTTGCCTGTGCTGATACAACTCTGGTAAATATGTTGGTGGTTGCCAACAGTGGTCTCATCTCCCTGGGGTGTTTCCTCATTCTTTTGGCCTCCTACACAGTCATTCTGTTTAGTCTTCAAAAACAGTCTGCAGAGAGCTGACACAAAGTTCTCTCTACCTGTGGATCTCATCTGACTATAGTAACTTTCTTCTTTGTTCCGTGTATCTTTATTTATCTCCATCCACTACTTTCCCATTGGATAAAGCTGTGTCTGTGTTCTATACCACCATCACCCCAATGCTGAACCCACTCATCTATACTCTGAGGAATGAGGAGTAAAGAATGCCATGAGGTGGCTATGGAGTAGCAAGATCTCCTTGAAGGAAAAGCAGAGAGGATAGTTTGTCAGAATTGCAAAATCACTGAATTAGTGGATACCTTCAATGATCCCTAATTTACTAATAATTAAAAAAACAGTTCCTAAAATGCAGCTTTTATATTTTGTCTAACAGGAAATAATTTGAGGCTATTTTAGACGGGCTAAACTTAAACCTTTCCATACTTGGCAAGGTTTATTCTCTCTTCTAGAGTACAAGAGTTAACACTCCTACTCAATATCTCATTTAACCTCGTTAAATCCCTTCTATTCACATCAAACTCTCTTAAGCTACCATTCAGTAATTTAGAGTGGGGTTATAAGAGAAAGATATCCCTGATCATATCTTCTCACCATATCATGTCTCTTCAAAAAAGAGGTCTAATTTACCAGAAGCTGCACCTTTTCCCTCCTTCTTTTGTTTTCTTTTTCGTCCTTCTCTAGTCTTTTCTTATACATATTGCAAAATCTAGTCAGGGAAACAGATTTGCAAGGAGATAATTACAATACAATACAACAAATGCAGACATAGAAATACATACTTCCTATAATGAAGAGGGTTAGTATAAATCAACAAATTGCCCAAAGGATGGTTTCTGTGCAGGAAAAAAAAAAATAGAACTTTACATATTTTGAGGTGGACAGCAATTTCTTCAAAGACCCTCTTGGAGAATTTGAATACTCTTCTACCCATTACTATAATACTATCTTTACTGAAAGAAATCTTACTTTTTTGCCAATAAAAACAGACTAGATTAAAGCAACTAAAATGAGTTGGTATTTGTACCATTGAAATGACTAAGGAGATGTAATTCTATTATAAATTTTTAGTTGAACTTGTCTTCAGTTCCTTAAAACAACAAAATGGAATAAGCACATTTTCTTCTTGTGGTATTCTTAGTAAAGTTGAAAAATAGTTAAGTATTCTCAGTATTCTGGAAAAGGCATTTTTCTTCTAAGAAATTTTCTTAGATCTTGTCTCATGACTGATGTTGTTCAAGAATTCTGCCCTGATTATTTTTGTTCAACATTTATTTTCTATATGCCTTAAGCAATCCTGTATGCAATTTATAAAATATCACTTACCTTTTTCTCTTTTTTAGTGGATTTTTATCTGAGATCTACAACTTATGAAGAATACAAATGATGTATATTCTTTTCTACTCTTCATGTATGGACTAGAGGGGCTTGCACAGTAGGTACTTGTCAAAATCTGTTGATTGTAACTCCAATTTCTATTTTTTTCCTTAGTAATGGGGACCTGACATTATTCATGGTGGCCCAACTAAAATATTGCATTGACTTGCCTCAGGCTCTTTTAAACTTCAATTCAATAATTTAGAATGACCTTATAAGAAAAAGATATTCCTTTTGAAGCCCAGTGGACAATCTGATGTTAATAGTAGTTGGTTGGTGGGACTTTTGAAAAGTCTTTAAAATGGTTTGTCTACTCCAGCCCTCTCATACATGATCACCATTAACATTTTGATTATTAAAATTTCTTTATAGTTATTGCATGTCCTTATAGTTATTTTCATATTACTTTCCCTTTGCAAAAGGGTCATTCTATCCTTTTTTTAAACTCCTGATTTTTTAAGATAGACAACAAACCCACAAATTATATTAAAAATGATAGAATACATTAGGTTTCCTTTTCCCTCCTAAGAGCAAAGTATTAATAATAAAAATAACAACACTTGCAGTAAGAAAAAAATGGCTGAGACCCACAGGAACAAAGAAACAGGACAGGAGTTAGATGCAGAGAAGAGATTTCAACAAAAGTTTGGAAAAGGTAAGACAAAAAAGTAGTAACTGATTTGGGAGGGTCGGGAAGGCTAAGTCTAAATTCCCAACAAGAGGAATAGTGAGGAAAAGGGGAGAGATTCATTTCCTGGAATCCCTACGATGATTGGGATGCAGGATGCCAGGTCAGCGGGAGGTGAGGTTCAGGGCTGCTAATGAAGATTAAGAGAAAGGAACAGTTCAATCTTCTATCCTCTCTTTCTGCTCCCAGATGCTAACGGTAGCATATGAGTCACAGACAGAACATTGGCACCTTTGTTTAAGAAACTGAATGTTAATGTCACATCTGCCTTTGGAGATTACAAATGAAATGGCTACCTTTCTACTGGAACCCTGACCAGAAGCCTGCCAGTTAGTAAGCTGGCTTAAGAGATCAATCTAAAATTTACATAAGGCTTTTGAAAAAAAGAAAAAAGTAAGTCTTTAAAAAAGCCAAAAGGAAACTGGTGGAATTAGAGGTAATTCGGGGGGGGGGGGGGAACTGTAAAAAACTGTATCTTCTCATCAATGAAAGAAAATATTTGTAATCTTGAAATAAGAATATGATGTACTGAAAAAATATAGAAAAATTATTTTTGGAAGGTAAAATCAAAAAGAACAATAAAATTAATATGGCATTAAAAGAAATAAAACAAGTAGTCAAAGAAGTCATAAAAGTACAGTCTCTATGAAAGTAGAATGAAAATGTCAAAGAAATAGAAAACATGAAAGATAAAAACAAGAAACACAAGGAATCAAGTTAGGGGCAAACCATTCAACTCACACATATTCCAGGAGGACAAATTAAACAGAAGGATGGATTTAAAAGAAACAATGAAAATAAATTTCTTAGAACAGAAAAGCTTAATTTTCTCGATATGAAAGATTTACTGAATGCCCACCACAAGATTTAAAAAAAATCCCAAGGCACGTTATTATGAAATTTTATCACCTTAACGATTGAAAATATTGTAAAATTATTAAGAAAAAACCGTATAGCTCACGAATGAACAGAAATTCAAATGGCATGAGTATGCTCTGTAGCAAGCTCATCCTTAGAATACAGTGGAAAAGTTTCTCACACTGATTTTCAGGCTAGAATTCTATACAGAACAAATCTATCAGGAAGATAGAATAAAGCATATTTAATCATACAAAAATTTATAAAGTTTACTTCATAAGTACTCTCTTTTTTTGAAAGTGTGGGATAATATATCCCAGCAAAACAAGAGGAAGAAATGAGATCAATAAACTAATATATGCAATGCAGGGTGGCTAAAGCCACTTTAAAAAAAATCCCAATCTCTTTTTTCTTTCTTCATGTGAGTCAGGTAATGTATATATGTCATAAGGTTTGAGGGAGGTACATTTCACACAGGAGTGCAAAAACTCAGTCATCACGCTTATGAACTACGAAGGGATCAAAAGGCACTTTTAAGATGACAGATGTACAGTAGGCATAGGAGACAACAGAAATGGATGAAAGCAGAAGATGGAAGCCCTCCAGGTTCATAAAACAGAAAGGAGAGTGTGAAAATTTATATTATCTAATATATAGAAACATCTTAGTTGTAAAGGTACAGTCAATAAGATGAAACAAGTTGATACACTCAAGGAAGGATACATTTATAGAAAATTATATCATTTAGAGTTCCAACAGGAAGTTAATGACACACTTAATATAGGATAATTTGATAAACATTTATTTAACGAGATGCTGTCTATGAATTTATAGGTATAGAGTACCACACAGGCCAGGGGTAAGATGGGGTGGAGCTGTTTACACCATTGTGCCTGAAGGGACTGAGAGAGGGAGGAAATACAGAAACCCCAAAAAGAGATATTTATGATAGCCATTTGAAAGGAGGAATGACCTTCAGTGGGAGGTCAACCAGCATGTGGCCACATGGTCTAGCTTATTCTCCTTCATTCCCCTTTTCCAGTTTTATTGAAGTATATTTGACAAATAAGAATCATACATATTTAAATGTGCAACTTGATGTTTTGAACTATGTGTACACTGTGAAATGATCATCACACTTAAGATAATTAACATATCCATTACCTCACAGGGTTATGTTTTTCTGTGTGTGGTGTGAACCCTTAAGATCTACTCCCTTAGTACATTTCAGTTGTCCAATACAGTATTGCATTGTAATACAGACACCATGTTGTGCATTAACTCTCCAGAACTCACTCATTTTTGCATAACTGAAACTTTGTAACCTTTAGTCCATTATCTCCTCATTTCTCCCTTTCCTTTCCACTCTTGGCAACCGCCATCCTACCTTCAGTTTGAGTATTTTAGATTCCACACATAAGTGAGATCATGCAGTATTTGTCCTTCTGTAAGTTGCTTTTTAAAGGCTGAATAATACTCCATTGCATATATATACTACAATTTTCTCAGGCTTTATTGAGGTATGATTTACAAATAAAATTTGCATATATTTAGGGTATATGCATACTTACGAAATGATTACCACAACCAAGCTAATTAATATATTCATCATGTTACATCATTACCATTTGTGTATAATGTGTGTATGTGTGTGTGTTAACACTTGAGATCTACTTTCTTAGCAAATTTGAAGCTACTGTACATTTGGTCTCCAGTACTTACTCATCTTGTAGCTGAAAGTTTGTACCCTTTGACCAACATCTTTTTCCTGGCATTTCCCAGCCCCTGCTAACCACCACTCTACTGTCCATTGCTATGAGTTTGATTTTTTTAAATATTGCACCTGTATGGGATATCATGTAGTATTTGTCGTTATGTATCTGGCTTATTGCACTTAGCATAATGTCCTCCAGGTTTATCCATGTGGCAAATGGCAGGATTTCCTTCTTTTTAAGGCTGAATAATCCATTGTGTGTGTTTGTACCACATTAAAAAAATCTATGCATCTGTAGATGAACACTTAGTTTGTTTCTATATCTTGGCTAGTGTTACAATGCTGCAGTGAATTTGAGAGTGCAGATATCTCTTTAAGATAGTGGTTTTATTTCTTTTGCATACATACCTAGAAGTGGGATTGCTGTTATTATATGAGAAGTTTTTTTTTTTTTTTTTTTGAGGAGCCTACATACTGTCTTCAATAATGGTTGCACTAATTTATATCTCTACCAAAAGTTTACAAGGGTTTTGTATTAGTCCGTTCTCACACTGCTAATAAAGACATATCTGAGACTAGGTAATTTATATAGGAAAGAGGTTTAACTGACCCACATTTCAGCATGGCTGGGAAGGCCTCAGGAAACTTATAGTCACAGTCATGGTGGAAGAGGAAGCAAACATGTCTTTCTTCACATGGTGGCAAGAGAGAGAAGACTGAGAACTGAGTAAAGGATAAAGCCCCAGGTAAAGTCATCAGATCTTGTAAGAACTTACTCACTATCACTAGAATAACATGAGAAAACTGCCCCCATGATTCAATTACCTTTCACTGGGTCTCTCCCATGACATGTGAGGACTACGGGAACTATAATTCAAGATGGGATTTGGGTGGGGACACAGCCAAACCATATCAGGTTTCCTTTACATCCTTGCCAACACATGCTATCACTGGACTTTTTGATAAAAGGCAATCTAACAGGTGGTTGGTGATATCTCAGTGAGGTTTTGATTTGCCTTGATGATTTCTGATTTTGAGCATTTTTTCCATATACCTGTTGGCCATTTGTGTATCTTCTTTGGAAAAATATCTATTCAGATCCTTTGCCCATTTTATGAAATCATTTTAAAAATATCTTTTGCCCATTTAGAAGCTTGTTTGTTTGCTATTTGGTAGTATAAGTTCTGTATATATTTTGGATATTAACTCCTTATTGGATGTATGGTATACAAATATTTTCTCCCTTTCTGTAGATTTCTCTTTCATCAAACAAATAAAGATGAGACCAATATCCAGGAACTTTTCCCCATGTTTCCTCCTAGGAGTTTATGGGGCCAGGTCTTATGTTAAGTCTATAATCCACTTTGAATTAACTTTTGTGATTGGAATAAGAGAAGCACGGATTCTTTGCATGTGGATATCCAATTTCCCAACATCATTTATAGACGAGTCTGTCCTTTACATTGTATATTCTTGGTACCTTAGTTGAAAAAATTAGCTGACTGTAGGTATGTGAGTTTAGTTCTGAGCTTTCTATTCTGTTTTATTGGTATACATGTTTTTATGCCAGCAACATCTGTTTTGATTATTACAGTTTTGTAATGGAGTTGAAATCAGGAAGTTTAATACCTCTAGCTTTGTACTTATACTCAAGATTGCTTAAGCTTTTCATGCTCTTTTATGGTTGCATATGAATTTCAGAATTATTTTTTCCATTGCTGTGAAAAATGTTCATTGCCATTTTGATCGGGATTGCGTTGAATGTACAGATCATTTTCAGTAGTATGGACTTTTTAACAATATTAATTCTTCCAGTTCATGAATATGGGATATGTTTCACTTATTTTTGTCTTCCACAATTTATTTCATTAATCTTTTATACTTTTCAGTGTACAGATATTCTACCTCTTTAGTTAAATTTATTTGTAAGTATTTTATTCTTTTTGCTGTGCTCATAATGATAACTTTTTCTTGACTTTTTCTTTCTATAGATCATTATTGGTGTAAAGAAATGCAACTGAATTTTTCTGTTGATTTTGTAGTCTGCAAAATTACTGAATTTGCTTATTAGTTCTAACAGTTTTTTAGTGGAGTCTTCAGGATTCTTTCTACATAGGATCATGCCATCTTCTAACAGAGACACTAACTTTTTTATTTGGATGCACTTTATTTCTTTTTCCTAATTACTTTGGTTATGACGTCCAGTACTATGTTGAATGGAAGTGGGGAGAGTGGTCTTGTTCTTGATCTTAGAGGGAAACATTTCAATTTCTCATCGAGTATAATGTTTATCATAGGCTTGTGATATACAGGCTTTATTGTGTTGAGGTACATTCCTATAATTAATTTGTTGAAAATTTTGTATTGTGAAAGAATGTTGAATTTTGTCAAATGATTTTTCTGCATTTGTTTAGATGATCTCATGGTTTTTATTTCTTATTCTGTTAATGTGGTGTAGCACATTTGTTGATTGTGTATGTTGGATAATTCTTACATCCCAGGAATAAATCCTACTTTGTCGTGATGCAAAATCTTTTTAATGTCCTGGTATATTTGGTTTGCCAGTAGTTTGTTGAGGATTGTTGGACCTTTGTTCACAAGGGACATTGGCCTATAATCTATATTTCTTGTTGGTGTCCTTATCTGGGTTTGGTATGAAGGCAGCGTTGGCATTGTAAAATGAGTTTTAAAATATCCCCTCCTCTTCAACTTTTTGGAAGGATTTTAGAAGGATAGGTATTAGTTCTTTTCAAAATATTTGGTAGAATTCAACTATGAAGCCATCAGGTCCTAGGATTTTCTTTGATAGGAGATTTTATTATTGATTCAATCTCCTTACTCATTACTGTTAAGATTTTCTAGCTTTTCATGATTCAGTCTTGTAGGCTGTATGTGTCTAGGAATTTATCCATTTCTTCTAGGCTATCCAATCTTTTGACTTGTAATGGTTCATAGTATTATCTTATGATTCTTTATATTTTTTGTAGCATCAGTTGTAATGTTTCCTTTTTCATTTTGGCTTTTATTTATTTAAGTCTATTTTTTCTCAGTGTAGATCAAGTATTGTTGATTTTATTTATATTTCCAAAAATCAATCTTAGTTTCATGATCTTTTCTACTGTTTCTCTAGTCTCACTTTCATTGATTTCTTTTCTAATCTTTGTTATGTCCTTTTTTTCTAACTTTGGGCTTAGTTTGTTCTTTTTTTAGTTCATTGAGCTGTAATGTTAGGTTGTTAATTTGAGACCTTTCGTCTTTTTTTTGTAAACATTTATTACTATACATTTCTCCCTTAAAACTACTTTTGCTGCATCTCATACCTTTTTGTATGTCATGTCCATTTTCATGTGTCTCAAGATATTTTTACATTTACCTTTTGACTTCTTTTTTTGGCCCATTGGTGGTTGTTTAATTTCCATATGTACATGAATTTTCCAGTTTTCCTGTTATTATTGATTTTAGTTTCATACCACTATGGTCAGAAAATATATCTGATATGATTTCAGTCTTCTGAAATTTGTTAAGACTTGTTTGTGGCTTAACATACAATCTGTCCAGGAGAATATTCTGTGTAAGCTTGAGAAGAATGTGTGTTCTGCTGTTGGATCAAATATTCCGTGTATGTCTATTAGATTCATTTAGTCTGAAGTAGTTCAAGACAATGTTTTCTTAATAATATTCTTTCTGGATGATTTATCCATTGTTGAAAATCAGATATTAAAGTTCTCTATTAATATTGCATTGCAGTCTATCTCTTGCTTTAGATTTGTTAATATTTGCTTTATATATTTAGGTGCTCTGATGTTGGGTGTATTCATATTTATAACTGTTCTATTATCTTGATGAATTGACTTTTTTACCAACATCTAATGACCTTCTTTGTCTCTTGTGACAGTATTTAAAGTCTGTTTTGTGTGATACACATGTAACTGCTACTGCTCTTTTTTGGTTTTCATTTTCATGGAATATTTTTGTTTTTTATCCCTTTACTTTTAGTCTATGTGTGTTATTAAAGGTGAAGTGAGTTTCTTGTAGGCAGCATTTAGTTGGATCTTATTTTTATAAATCAATTCAGCCACTTTTTGTCTTTTGATTGACAAAATTTGCTTATTTATAGTTGGTAAGTAAAGATTTATTATTGTCAATTTATTGTTTTCTGGTTGCTTTGTAGGTCCTTTATTCCTTTATTACTCCTTTGTTGTTTTCCTTTGTGATTTGATCATTTTCCTCGGTGGTATGCTTTGATTCTTTTCTGTTTATCTTTTGTGTATTTACTATAGGTTTTTAATTTGTGGTTGCCATGAGGCTTACATAAATATTCTTATTGTTTAACCAATTCACTTAAAGACGATAACATCTTCACTTTGATTGCTAAAGAAGCTCTGTACTTTTACTTCCCTTCTCTTACATTGTGCTTTTGATGTTACAGTTTACATTTTTTATATGTCTTAAGAATTTATTATAGCTATAGTCATTTTTCATACATTCATCTTATAACTTTATAATGATGTTGTGATTTACACCACCACCATTATGGTGCTTGAATATTCTAAATTTAACCATATATATACTTTACCAGTTAGTTTTATATTTTTATATGTTTTAATGTTACTAATTAGCTGCCTTTTATTTAATCTTAAAAATCCCCCTTTAGCATTTCTTGTAAGGCAAGCAATAGTGAAGACTCACTCAACTTTTCTTTTTTTTTTCTAAAAAAGTCTTTATCTTCTTCATTTCTGAAGGACAGCTTTGCTGGCAAAATATTGCTGGTTGGCAGTTTTATTTTTCTTCCATTGCTTTGAATATATTATTTCATTCTCTCCTGATCCTCAAGGTTCCTGCTGAGAAATCCACTGATAGCTTTATTTGGGTCCTTTTTTATATGACATGATTCTTTTCTCTTGCTGCTTACAAGCTTCTCTCTTTGTTTTTGATTTTTGCCAGGTTGATGATAATGTATGTTTGTGGATTCTTTTTTTGGTTGAATTGACTGGAGAACTTTAGGCTTCATGCATCTGGATGCTCATTTCTTTCCTGACATTTGCTAAGTTTCCTATGATTATTTCCTTAAATAAGCTTTCTATCTAATGCTCTCTCTATTTTTCTTCTGAACCTACTATAATTCTAATGTTAGCTCTCTTGATAGTATTCCATGGCTTCTGTAGGTTTTATTCTTTTTTTTCTTTTATCTCCACTTACTGGATGATTTAAAATGCTCGGTCTTTGAGTTCACTTATTTTTTTATTCTGCTTCACTTAGTCTGATGTTCAAGCCTCTATTACATTTTTTTAGTTTAGCTGTTGTATTTTTCAGCTCCAACATTTCTGTTTGGTTCTTTTTAAAATATTTTCTGTCTCTTTATTGAGCTTCTCATTTTGTTCTTGGATTGTCTTCCTGATTTCATTAAACTATTTATTTGTGTTCTCTTGTAGTTCCCCAAGATTCCTTAGGCAATTATTTTGATTTTTTCCAGGCAATTTATAGATCTCCAATTCTTTGGGGTTGGTTACTAGAAATTAATTTTGTTCCTTTGGTGGTGTCATGTTTTCCTGCTTCTTTGTGATCTTTGGGTGTTGATTTTGTCAGTGACTAAACCTGCTGGAGTCCTCTGTGGAGTTAAGTACTATAGTTTGTGCAATGATAATTGTGGGTTCCTTGGTAGTAAAAGCAGTGTGGTATGTGCAGCTGATAATGACAGGAGACAGACAGATTCCTAGGCAGACAGGGATAAGTCCCTGGTGAATCCCAACCTTCAAGCCAAAGACAACCTGAGGCCTGAAAACCAAGCCGCCAGTTCCAGGTGGAGTCCACGACCCAACTGAGAACTTCCTCAGTGCCTTTTAGTCAATTAAATGGTGCTTTTTCCAGGCCTGCCCATGAACCAATCAGCACAGATTCCTCCATTCTGAGCCCATAAAAACCCCAGACTCAGCCTCACAGATGGCTCTCTGCTTTCAGCCCCACTCTTACACAGAGGGCTGCCCACTTTGGCTACTCTCTTGTTGTCAAGAGCTTTTCTGCCGCTCAATAAAAATCTCATCAGCCTTGCTCACTCTGCGGTGTCTGCATGCTTCATTCCTGTTGGTTGCAGGACAAGAATCCAGGATCCACTGAACAGTGGGTGCGAAAAGAGCTGTAAGATACACCTCCTGTTCACCAAGCTACAGAAGTGAAAAAAAAATGCTGGGTGCCACAAGTCCCCAATTGCTGAGCTGTGGGCAGCAGGACTGAATGAGCTGTGACACATCCCCATTTGCTGAAACTGCCAGCAGTGAGAACGAACAAGAGCTGTAACACTTCCTGGGGGCTCAGACCTTGACTCCCAGAGCAAAAGCTGTAACACCTCTTCGGGCTCCACAGTTGCTGGCATCTCTGAGTTTTTGGGCACTGCTGCATCCCCCTTATCCAGATGCCAGCGCTCAAGGCAGAAGTCAGTCATAGCATGCCCAAACCAACCGTGGGCTGAGCACTGAGCTACGGTGGGTGTCATGGCATCTGGGTGAGTGAGCATGAGTGGAGCACAGCCTGCCAGGCCAAATGAGCAGGACGAGCTCAGAGGGCCTGAGTGAAGCCTCAGCAGAGGCTCTGCTGGCCATCGAGATTTCCACTTGGCAAAGTGGCCCTCAAAGAATCCTGTGTCACATCCATGAGGGCTGTTGAGGTCCTTGGTATAGAAGGCTACCAGAATTCCGCTCAGATCAGGCTACTGGGGACTGCATTGATTCCTACCACAGGACTGATACTGATAGACCTCATCATTTCTCTTTCTTACCAGCAGTTTACAGATTTCTCTCCTATGTTGGTCTCCCTAGCAATCTGGGATGGGTGAAACTTAAGCTGGTTGTTTGGGCAATGCTCCAGTAGGCTGGGTAAGATGGTTCACTCCACTCTTCTTTTCTCTGCAAGGGGAACTTGCAAGCTGAGCAGTGACCTCTCCATACTGAGCACTGCCAGCCTGAGGAAGATGACGCAGGCAAAATGAAACTGTTTTTTCTACCATTTTTTTGTGTTTTTTCTTGAAGTTTTTCTGTCTGCTCTGTTGTTTTAACTTCTGAAGTAGATTCCTGATCTCTGCTAGATATTTTCATTTGTGGATATTTGCCCAGTTGTTGTTCCTTTAGGAGGAATAAAGACTGAGATCACCTACTCTGCCATTCTAGCTGATGTCTAACACATTTTCTTTGTTCATCTGTCTATGGACTTTTAGGCTGTTTCCATATCTTGGCTTTTGTGAATAATGCTGTAGTAAACATGGGTGTAAAGGTATCTCTTTGAGGTTCTGATTTCAATTCTTTTGGACATATTCCTAAAAGTGGGATTGCTGAATCATATAATAATTTTGTTTTTAATGTTTTGAGGAACTGACACATTATTTTTCATAGTGACTGCACCATTTTCTATTTCCACCAAAAGTGTATAGGAGTTTCAATTCCCTAAATTCTAGCCAACACTTCTTTTGTTTTTTGATAATAGCCATGCTAATAGGCATGAGGCAATATCTCATTGGTGTTTGGATATGCATTTCCTTAACAACTAGTGATGCTGAACATATTTGCTTATACCTGTTGGCCATTTGTGTATTTCCTCTGAGAAATGTCTTCAAGTTTTTCACCCACTTTGAAATTGCATTATTATCATTATTATTTTTGCCATAGTATGACTGATTTTTAAGTGCTTCTTATATAATGGAGTTATTTAAATTTATTTTTTTCTGTTCATTATTTGCCTGTTAAATTTGTCTTTATTTTCTAGTAATTTTAAATTGTTTTAATTTCTAACATTTTCCCCTATATTTGTGTTTGCCATTGATAAATTTTAAATTTCATTATCAAATATGCTATAACTCTTTTCTTATTGTTTTTCCTTCATAGGGGCAGGATATACTTAAAAGTTTTTATTTATTCCAAAATAATTTAAATAGTCTCTCTATGTTTCTAGTAATTAAAAAAATTACTCCTTTGCAATTTATGTTAAGTATAAGTTATAAAATATAATTCTTTTAAAAAATCTGGTTAACCAGTTGTTCCAGCACAACTTATTTTGTCCTCTGGGACAATAGAATTGAAAATGCACGTCATACTCTAGAGAGCACATATTGTACATCGTAGCATTTTCCACCCCTAATCCTGGGAAATTCGCCATTTTTCTTACTTCTTCTGTGAAACTCAAAAGTTGTGTTTCTGTGCTCTTTGGATGAAGTGCAAATCAACTTTTAAATTATTCCCTCAGGGCTTATGTTCCTACTTGGCTTCTCCTGGCCTCCAGAGGATTGATTTTTGTAGTTACAGCTCATGCTGCTAGTTAGTTTACTGTTACATCAGGGCAGAAACTGATGCATACCAACATGTACCCAGGATAAAGTCCTCCACTGCGGGTGGTGGAAGAGGCTTCTTCTACCTCCTCCCCATAGTTCCTGAAGGCACCAAGACTGTCACAGTAATTGGTAGGTGGAATGTTGTTATAACATTTACATAAACCATCCTATTTTTGAGACAGTAGGACAGATAATAATGATGGGAATAACTATGTAAAATGCTCAGAGATCAGTGGTAAGAAACAGAAAGCAGCATGTAAGGAAATGTCTTAGGGAACTGTGATGATAGTATAGAGTAGGTTTTAGCTGTGGAGTGGGTGGACAAATTGTTTCTTTTCAGCCTTGGTCTCAATAATTAAAGCATTTTAAAGTCAGGGTTGAACAGGGCATTGAAGAGACAGCTTCATCATTTTATACTCATAGGATGAATCATTTCTAAGCAAGCTCAGAGAAGGCTGTTTTGATTTATGGGTCTTCAGAGCGTGACAGATTATTAAAATAAACTTCCAAAATTTTGAATCCTTTTACTCCTGGAAGAAAGTCAGGAAAACCGCAAGATCTTTAGTTACTTCTTTTTATTTTTATTTTTATTTTTATTTTATTTTATTTTTTTATACTTTAAGTTTTAGGGTACATGTGCACATTGTGCAGGTTAGTTACATATGTATACATGTGCCATGCTGGTGCCCTGCACCCACTAACTCGTCATCTAGCATTAGGTATATCTCCCAGTGCTATCCCTCCCCCCTCCGCCCACCCCACCACAGTCCCCAGAGTGTGATATTCCCCTTCCTGTGTCCATGTGATCTCATTGTTCAATTCCCACCTATGAGTGAGAATATGCGGTGTTTGGTTTTTTGTTCTTGCGATAGTTTACTGAGAATGATGATTTCCAGTTTCATCCATGTCCCTACAAAGGACATGAACTCATCATTTTTTGTGGCTGCATAGTATTCCATGGTGTATATGTACCACATTTTCTTAATCCAGTCTATCATTGTTGGACATTTGGGTTGGTTCCAAGTCTTTGCTATTGTGAATAATGCCGCAATAAACATACGTGTGCATGTGTCTTTATAGCAGCATGATTTATAGTCATTTGGGTATATACCCAGTAATGGGATGGCTGGGTCAAATGGTATTTCTAGTTCTAGATCCCTGAGGAATCGCCACACTGACTTCCACAATGGATGAACTAGTTTACAGTCCCACCAACAGTGTAAAAGTGTTCCTATTTCTCCACATCCTCTCCAGCACCTGTTGTTTCCTGACTTTTTAATGATTGCCACTCTAACTGGTGTGAGATGGTATCTCATTGTGGTTTTGATTTGCATTTCTCTGATGGCCAGTGATGATGAGCATTTTTTCATGTGTTTTTTGGCTGCATAAATGTCTTCTTTTGAGAAGTGTCTGTTCATGTCCTTCGTCCACTTTTTGATGGGGTTGTTTGTTTTTTTCTTGTAAATTTGTTTGAGTTCATTGTAGATTCTGGATATTAGCCCTTTGTCAGATGAGTAGGTTGCGAAAATTTTCTCCCATTTTGTAGGTTGCCTGTTCACTCTGATGGTAGTTTCTTTTGCTGTGCAGAAGCTCTTTAGTTTAATTAGATCCCATTTGTCAATTTTGGCTTTTGTTGCCATTGCTTTTGGTGTTTTAGACATGAAGTCCTTGCCCATGCCTATGTCCTGAATGGTCATGCCTAGGTTTTCTTCTAGGGTTTTTATGGTTTTAGGTCTAACGTTTAAATCTTTAATCCATCTTGAATTGATTTTTGTATAAGGTGTAAGGAAGGGATCCAGTTTCAGCTTCCTACATATGGCTAGCCAGTTTTCCCAGCACCATTTATTAAATAGGGAATCCTTTCCCCATTGCTTGTTTTTGTCAGGTTTGTCAAAGATCAGATAGTTGTAGGTACGCGGCATTATTTCTGAGGGCTCTGTTCTGTTCCATTGATCTATATCTCTGTTTTGGTACCAATACCATGCTGTTTTGGTTACTGTAGCCTTGTAGTATAGTTTGAAGTCAGGTAGTGTGATGCCTCCAGCTTTGTTCTTTTGGCTTAGGATTGACTTGGCAATGCGGGCTCTTTTTTGGTTCCATATGAACTTTAAAGTAGTTTTTTCCAATTCTGTGAAGAAAGTCATTGGTAGCTTGATGGGGATGGCATTGAATCTGTAAATTACCTTGGGCAGTATGGCCATTTTCACGATATTGATTCTTCCTACCCATGAGCATGAAATGTTCTTCCATTTGTTTGTATCCTCTTTTATTTCCTTGAGCAGTGGTTTGTAGTTCTCCTTGAAGAGGTCCTTCACATCCCTTGTAAGTTGGATTCCTAGGTATTTTATTCTCTTTGAAGCAATTGTGAATGGGAGTTCACTCATGATTTGGCTCTCTGTTTGTCTGTTGTTGGTGTATAAGAATGCTTGTGATTTTTGTACATTGATTTTGTATCCTGAGACTTTGCTGAAGTTGCTTATCAGCTTAAGGAGATTTTGGGCTGAGACAATGGGGTTTTCTAGATATACAATCATGTCGTCTGCAAACAGGGACAATTTGACTTCCTCTTTTCCTAATTGGATACCCTTTATTTCCTTCTCTTGCCTAATTGCCCTGGCCAGAACTTCCAACACTATGTTGAATAGGAGTGGTGAGAGAGGGCATCCCTGTCTTGTGCCAGTTTTCAAAGGGAATGCTTCCAGTTTTTGCCCATTCAGTATGATATTGGCTGTGGGTTTGTCATAGATAGCTCTTATTATTTTGAAATACGTCCCATCAATACCTAATTTATTGAGAGTTTTTAGCATGAAGGGTTGTTGAATTTTGTCAAAGGCTTTTTCTGCATCTATTGAGATAATCATGTGGTTTTTGTCTTTGGTTCTGTTTATATGCTGGATTACATTTATTGATTTGCGTATACTGAACCAGCCTTGCATCCCAGGGATGAAGCCCACTTGATCATGGTGGATAAGCTTTTTGATGTGCTGCTGGATTCGGTTTGCCAGTATTTTATTGAGGATTTTTGCCTCAATGTTCATCAAGGATGTTGGTCTAAAATTCTCTTTTTTGGTTGTGTCTCTGCCCGGCTTTGGTATCAGAATGATGCTGGCCTCATAAAATGAGCTAGGGAGGATTCCCTCTTTTTCTATTGATTGGAATAGTTTCAGAAGGAATGGTACCAGTTCTTCCTTGTACCTCTGGTAGAATTCGGCTGTGAATCCATCTGGTCCTGGACTCTTTTTGGTTGGTAAGCTATTGATTATTGCCACAATTTCAGCTCCTGTTATTGGTCTATTCAGAGATTCAACTTCTTCCTGGTTTAGTCTTGGGAGAGTGTATGTGTCGAGGAATTTATCCATTTCTTCTAGATTTTCTAGTTTATTTGCATAGAGGTGTTTGTAGTATTCTCTGATGGTAGTTTGTATGTCTGTGGGATCGGTGGTGATATCCCCTTTATCATTTTTTATTGTGTCTATTTGATTCTTCTCTCTTTTTTTCTTTATTAGTCTTGCTAGCGGTCTATCAATTTTGTTGATCCTTTCAAAAAACCAGCTCCTGGATTCGTTGATTTTTTGAAGGGTTTTTTGTGTCTCTATTTCCTTCAGTTCTGCTCTGATTTTAGTTATTTCTTGCCTTCTGCTAGCTTTTGAATGTGTTTGCTCTTGCTTTTCTAGTTCTTTTAATTGTGATGTTAGGGTGTCAATTTTGGATCTTTCCTGCTTTCCCTTGTGGGCATTTAGTGCTATAAATTTCCCTCTACACACTGCTTTGAATGCGTCCCAGAGATTCTGGTATGTTGTGTCTTTGTTCTCGTTGGTTTCAAAGAACATCTTTATTTCTGCCTTCATTTCGTTATGTACCCAGTAGTCATTCAGGAGCAGGTTGTTCAGTTTCCATGTAGTTGAGCGGCTTTGAGTGAGATTCTTAATCCTGAGTTCTAGTTTGATTGCACTGTGGTCTGAGAGATAGTTTGTTATAATTTCTGTTCTTTTACATTTGCTGAGGAGAGCTTTACTTCCAACTATGTGGTCAATTTTGGAATAGGCATGGTAGTTACTTCTTATAGTTCTTCAGGATGATCTCTGTGAAGAGGAAGGGAAAGGTGAGGCTTGAAATATTTCATTTCAAAGGGATTAGTGTTAGTAGTAGCAAAAACTTTGAAAATAAATAGAAAAGCAAAAAAGAAACTTAAAAGCAAAGAGACTCTTACTTGAAATAAATGTGGGTGAAATATGTATTTTAACAAAAAGGATTCCAAAAAGCAAAATTAGGAATTATGTAGCAGAGTAGGGAAAGAAGAAATGAATTAATAAAAACAATTAGATGTTGTGGTGTTTAATTTTTGTCAAAGTCTACTGATCTATTTATTCAATAAAAAATCCATGTAATCATCCCATCCATCCATCCATTTAACAAACACATATTGAAGACCATAACATGCTAGGAACTACTTTAGGCAGTAGATATATAAATGAGACATACTCCATGACCTCAAGGAGCTCAGAGTTCCTGTTATATTTTGCAAAATACAAACTGAAAAATTACAATGTAATGAGTTAAAATTTGTACTGGAGGTGTAAACAGTACTATTATGGGAGCCATAAAAATATGACATTTTTATGGAACTTATATATACAAAATTCATACAAAATTTCAGGCATTTTAGAAAACAAGCTTCTGAGAATAGCTGAAGGATTTAAAAATAGTGATACATCAACAATGTAACAGGACTGTGGGTCTGGGAAAAATGTGGGGAGCATTATATGCATTAATCACTACAATACCTGTGAAGTAGGTACTGTTATTATTTCCATTGCACTAATGAGGCACACTGAGGCAGAGGTAAGTGAGTTGCCCAGGATTACACAGCTAGTAAGTGCTTAGCTGTGGTTAGAATGAAGGCACTGAGAAATAAAATAAAAATGAAACCCTTAGCTCCCCAAGCTACTGAATGGACCCTCTCTTGGCCAAGGGCACCCCAGAGTAACCTTAAAAGCTGAGTTTTCATCCATGACAAGATGGGCGGTCAGAGGTGCCTTCTTACATCCCCGCCCTCACTTAACTACCATTAGACTTTCCTACCTAAGTGCTAAATAGAAACCAGCTCTTTTGAAAGACTCCACTGCTGATATCAACAAATCACTGAAGCAGTCCCTCTTTTTTTGTGGTTTTAACATGGCAATTAACCAGCATTCCTTCCTGATAAGAGACCAACTATATGCTACTCATGAAGGGGCATGAAGCACAATTGTGCATGTGCATGGTTGTCCTTTCATAAATATTCAAGATTCCTCCTATAGCTTATTGAGCATATGTATTTGGCCACCTCACTCAGTACATATTCCTTTTGACACTGTCTCGAAATATTTGTTTCTGGCTCCTGGCCAGAGGCTATATTTCCCAGCCTGTCATAATAGCCACCCTTCAGGCTACAACTCTATGAGAAATAAAGGTCCTCCTTTCCAAATTTATGAACCCCATCATTCTTCAGTTGATAGCACTGACACCCCATATCTAAGTATATTAAAAGAGAAATAAGCTGCAAATATATATAATATATAAATATGTAATATATGGAAATATATGATATATACATATTTATATATAATTTATATTATATATAAAATATATTTTAATATACTTTAATATATTCAAGTAAATTAAAAGAATATATTAATAGTTGTATATAAAATAAGTATTTTAATATACTTTAATAATGTTAATGTATATACTATATATTTTAATATACTTTAATAACATTAAAGTGTATTATTAAATATAATAATATATTAAAGTATATTAAAAGAGAAATAAGCAGCAAATGATCTTCAAAATAGTCTCATTGAGATCAGCCCTTCTCTTATCCTAATGGTTTCTTCTTGCCTAGTTTACTGTGGGCAACAATGCATACAGAAAATCAATGTAATAACTACATCTTGATATTTTCTGCTACTGGTTTATTTATGACACTCGAGGTCCCTTGGCTACCTATACCCATCTATATGGTGAAGATGCTTCTGTATACTCCTTCCTCACCATCCCACAGAATAAGTGAGCTCCATATCCTAAAAATAGGAAAATTAATTTGCATTCTTTCTAAGTGTTGTATATATCCACAATGGTGATGATATCACTGTTTCTCCCTATTGCTACCCAAATCATTCTTAATTTACCTTTCTGAGAATTTTACTCTCAACCTACTTTTACTTTAACGGAATCATAGGATTTTAGAGGTAGAACATTTCTTAAAATTCTAGTTAAAATCCCTCCTTTTGCTATGAAGAAACTGTCATAGAGGAAGATCTCACGACCTCAACATCACGCAGATTCTTGTTTTCTCCCAAAGCATTGCTTCTCTTGAGAAGATTTCACAGTTCACTCACCGACAGGGAATGCACCTGTACTCCTAGGTATTTCCATAGTCATCCTCTAGGTACTACATCCCTGTAGATTAAGAATGGGAATTTTCTAGATGTTGTTAAAAGAGGAGCAGAAGCTTAGGAGGAGTAGGTGGGTGGATGTAAGATGAAGTAAATCTTCTTAAGGAACTTATCCAACCACTGCTCTAAGAGTAAGGACTGATTTGGAATAGTCATCCCCTCCTCAATGGCAACCTTAGAAAAAAATGCCCTAAGTCAATCTTCATGAGTGGCTTATCTCCCCCAAGAATTTCCCATAAACATAATTGCTTGCTTTGGGTTTTTTTGGTACAATTCCCAGCTTTTCTTGGAGTGTTACAGTGCATACCCAAGTATGTATAGTTTATTTAGCCCAATTTTATTAAGGACGTGGTATGGGCTGGATGAACCTCATTTTAGACACAGAAGATAGGAAAACAATATTTTTAAATTGCCATTGTGGAGTTCAAATTCCAGCTGCCTTTGGTAGTATGACAATAGCAACATATGATCCATTGATAAACCCTGGAGTTGCATCTCCTAAATATTTTCTAAACAAATTATTATTCTCTTCAAATAGTTATTGCTGTATTGTTAGTTTAAGCCATATATATATATATATATATTCTTGTAATGTTGTCTTACTCTGATTTATTCACATAGCAGCCAGGGTGATATTTCTAAATTGCAAATTGTATTAAGCTATTCTCCCGAGTTTTATTGTAAAACATATTGAAAGAAAATTGGAAATCCAATTTTATTATTGTGGGCTACATTACTTGGTCTTTGACTAACTCTTTATTTTGTTCTTATGCTTCTACCAGTTGTGGGTCTTCTACAGTTCTTAGAAAGTCTTTCATGACACAAGGCCTTTTCATTTACTATTCTCTATTCCTAAAATGCTTTTCTTCAAACTTTCAAAGTTAGAAAAACGTCACCAACTCAGAACCTTTTCTAAAATACTCCATCACACACATACCACTCCCATCATTATTTACTCTACCATTGCCTTTTTATTTCCTGCTTGTCTTTTAGCACTAGTAGCAATTATTTTATTTTACTTATTTATATTTTATTTTATTTTTATTTGTTTACTTATTTATTGTCTGTCTATATTTTCAGAATGGAAGTTTGATGAGGCAGATATTGAGTGTTCCTTGTTCATTGTTGTGTCTCAGCAGGTAGCATATAGTAGATACTCTCTAAATGTTTGCGGGATAAACAAATGAATAGTTTACAGAAGTGACACAGAAGCTATATATTTAGGAATAGACTTTTTAATATCACATGTAGATAGCTTTGTTTTGACATGTGTTAAATGACAAGTGCTGGACAGAATAAGAATTGTTGCGTCATTTATGGTATTTTAGGTAATGGTTATGTTAATGTAGGGAAACTAGGTGCTTGTTCTTCCTTGAAGTGACATGGTGTAGTGGTGTGTGTGTGTGTGTGTGTGTGTGTGTGTGTGTGTGATGAGTAGTGGCTGAGCATTACTAGCTTTGGGAGTAGGGGGTTTGATTGGCTGCCTGACTATTGGATTGAGATGCTCCAGCAAAATATTTCTTTTCCACTTGACACTTGTGAAGGGTGGAGGACAGAGACACTCATCAAGGAGTGTGGAGGGATGAATCCTTTGTATTTTTGTCCTAAGGAATAAATGTGGTTGATTTTGGTTCTTAATGCAAAGTATATACATCATTAGTTTCTAATTTTATGTCATATGTTGAACACTGAGGTACAAAAGAAAATCTCTTTGACACTTTTTTCTGGTAAAATCACCCTTTCTATTCCATAATACCTGATGTATGTCTGTCTTTTCAAGACATCAACACTCATTCACCTAAATTCTTTCTAGATTAGTGCCATTTTCTACTTCTGTTTTGGTGGAATGGGTATGGAGTAGAGCAGAGGAAGAAGGGGTGATTTGTGTGACGACACTCAGAATCATTGCATCATGTCCCCATAATAATAAAAAAGCATATGATCTTGTAATGGTATTTACTGCTTTAAAATATTCATCTCCTTTCAATAATAAAGGGACAATTATTTACTTAGGAACAAATAATCGCTTCCATCTGGTCAAAAACTACATAGCATAATAGCAAAATATGTAAATGAGCTGAGTAATCATAATATTTCAGATGCTTTTGTTAGAAATTTATTTGATTGTTGGAACCTCATAGTTGACTTATCAGTGAATGTAAATGAGTTAGTATATAACTAGCTCATAGCCCTCATAACTAATAACACAATGTTGTGTTATTAGTTATGAGGGCTATGAGCTGCCTCCTCCAGGTAAGTACAATAAGATCATTGTTTCTTGGAATGTTAGGAAATATTTCATTCTGGATAACCTTATTATCTTTCTTTTGATTAAAATCTTCCTAAACCAAATTTTAAATTTTTCAATCTTATTAAATATGCTTCATTAACTCACTGAGGTCCACACTGGGCAATTTATGGGCAAGGGGAAATTGATCCCTTTTCTAAATAGTCCCACACTATTCAATTTCTGAGTATTTTTACCTTTCTTCTGCTTGCTACCAGATTCCTGGAAAACACTGGTTTTATGTGTGTGTGTCTGCTTGTAGTAAGCCATCCCTTTTTCAAAATACAATGCTTCTATAAGATATTGAAAGTCATTTATCTATGTTTGTTAAAATTATGTATAAATTGAGTCAGTAGGTTCCAAAAATGGCGCATTTAATTTCTTTTCTCAGTAGTATACATAGTGCCCATAAGTGTTTGGACACAGCCACGTCTATTTGGTTTTACAGAACCTTAACTTTTTAAAAATTCCTTTTCATATTTAATTTTTTTAAGTAATAGGAGAGGCAATATCATAAAATATCACATCAACAGAAAAGAAACAACTCTCTTGTATTTGCTGTTGGTTACAACAAAACTTACTTTGGTGTGGCAGTTTTTAACCTTACTTAAAGAAAAGCATATTTGGTAATGTGAACTGTTATTTCATTTTTATTTGACAAGTTTTGTGCTACTTAGTGGTGTCAGATTCAATACAGGGCAGTAAGCAAAATTTTAAAAATAATATTATTCCCATTGTCACCTTGAAACAGCAGAGCAGATCAGCTCAGAATCAAATTGGGTAGCAAGCATACTCATTTCTCAGATCAGTACACCTACTTACGTTCCTGCTGTGGTGAGCAAATTTTATACTCAATGTAGTATCAGGTATTGATGAATCTGGTCACAGCTAGAAGAATTTTTTATATAAGGCCTTGCATAGCTGTATGTTGTGGCTGGTTACCTGTTACCAAGGATTAAGCTGTACAGTTTTTGGTTATAGTTATGGAAAAATATGTCCCTTCACTACTTATGAAGCCTTGGGATCTCTTTTCTGTATCACAACTAAAGTACTGCTAGATCTGTGTGTGTGCTATTAGAATGCAAGCCTAAGTTTCCAGGTTGGCAAGATTTCCCAACAAAAAAAAAGATATAGAAAAAAGAGGCCACATCTCTGATTGCCAGTCTAAAATTTGGCTACACTCAGAAGTAGCTTCACATATTGCTTACTAATGTAGATGTTTGGGGGAAGAAGTAGTGCATTGCCAAATTTCAGAAAAAGTAAGTTTTTAACATTAACAAGCTGAGATTTGAGTTTCAAATATATGCCACACTTCATATAGTTTTAATGTTTCCAATTTATAACTTCATCACATACTCTCTCCCTCTTGGTTTATCAGATATAAAATGGGCAACCAAATGTATCCTCGTGTAATCTGTTAGTGACAGGGAACGTATGACAATTTTGAAAGCAGTGATATAACTCTAGGTAAATGCTATGTCTACTAATTATAGTTTCTTAATTTTCATAGCTATATTATGAAAAGAGTAAATTGAAGAAATGGAAACTGCAAATTACACCAAGGTGACAGAATTTGTTCTCACTGGCCTATCCCAGACTCCAGAGGTCCAACTAGTCCTATTTGTTATATTTCTATCCTTCTATTTGTTCATCCTACCAGGAAATATCCTTATCATTTGCACCATCAGTCTAGACCCTCATCTGACCTCTCCTATGTATTTCCTGTTGGCTAATCTGGCCTTCCTTGATATTTGGTACTCTTCCATTACAGCCCCTGAAATGCTCATAGACTTCTTTGTGGAGAGGAAGATAATTTCTTTTGATGAATGCATTGCACAGCTCTTCTTCTTACACTTTGCTGGGGCTTCAGAGATGTTCTTGCTCACAGTGATGGCCTTTGACCTCTACACTGCTATCTGCCGACCCCTCCACTATGCTACCATCATGAATCAACGTCTCTGCTGTATCCTGGTGGCTCTCTCCTGGAGGGGGGGCTTCATTCATTCTATCATACAGGTGGCTCTCATTGTTCGACTTCCTTTCTGTGGGCCCAATGAGTTAGACAGTTACTTCTGTGACATCACACAGGTTGTCCGGATTGCCTGTGCCAACACCTTCCCAGAGGAGTTAGTGATGATCTGTAGTAGTGGTCTGATCTCTGTGGTGTGTTTGATTGCTCTGTTAATGTCCTATGCCTTCCTTCTGGCCTTGCTCAAGAAACTTTCAGGCTCAGGTGAGAATACCAACAGGGCCGTGTCCACCTGCTATTCCCACATTACCATTGTGGTGCTAATGTTTGGGCCATCCATCTACATTTATGCTCGCCCATTTGACTCGTTTTCCCTAGATAAAGTGGTGTCTGTGTTCAATACTTTAATATTCCCTTTACATAATCCCATTATTTACACATTGAGAAACAAGGAAGTAAAGGCAGCCATGAGGAAGTTGGTCACCAAATATATTTTGTGTAAAGAGAAGTGAAAGATAAATTATACATTTTATAGTTCCCCTGAGGATCATTGTCCTAAAGCAGGAAGTATTTGCAGTAATAATGCTGCATTGACTTCCTCCTTTCATTTGTGTTATTAAAATTTTACTATAATTTTTCTCTATTCATTCCTCTTTATATTGAAAAAATAGAGGCATTAAGATGAAAATAAATTTACTCACACCTACCCTGAAATTCCCAACAGATCATTATTAGAATTTGAGATATAATAATCTGCTAAAGTACATTTTAACTAATTGTTTATTGAGTACTCTGCAGAGGCTCTGGCTTTGACGGGAACATGTTGAGAAAAATAAATAAGACATGGAGACGTGTCCATTACAAATATGAAGTAAATGGCAAGCATATGGATGCAGCTAGCTTCAAGTTAGCAAATAAATATTTTTGTCATGTTTCAGTGTTGGCTCAGTGGAATGGTATCTGGTCAACATCTTGCTGGGTCTGGAAAAACAGATTATTTGTCCTTTATCTCCTCTTATTTCCAGAGTTGATGGAAAATGAGGATTTTCCATCAACTTATAAACTGAAATACCTTATAAAGGTATTTCAGTTTATATTTCAGGTGGTGTCTATTCAACAGTTTGGAGACAGAACTCAAAATTTTATCACATTATGAAAACAATTTTTATGAATTCAAAGCAGAGTATAATTTGGCTGATACATGAGATTCATGTCATTCCAGATGAAGCCTCCAGGCAACTAGCAATTTTTGTAGCCAGTCCCTACTTACATCCTTCAGAGTGAAAGCAGCCTTGGGGAGAAAGCTTCTAGGTTGACTGGGATTGGTAGACATCTAGCCGTGTAATTTTTTTCTAAACTATCATCTCCTTTGCCACTTTTGTATGTTTTCCATAATTGCTAATTCTGCCTCTCATGTTAAACTTAAATTGGTAGAGTGCTGTTTTTGTTAGTGCTTAATTCAGAGTTCTTTCCCATTGACAGACCTAGACGTATTGGTTCCCATGATCCCTTAGAGAATTATTAGGGACTGATTTCCTATTCTCAAGCACTAAAAACTCACTCTCCAAGCTTCAGAATGTAAGAGGTAGATTAGAACATTTGATTTTATAGGTTATGTTTTTTACTTAAATTTATTAGTTTTTAATTTCAAAACTAGGGAATCTTTTCATTGAAGGGCAAGAATGCATTGGGTATATTAATCTTTAGTCTTCTTTTTTAAATTTGATAATGTAATATGGACTAAATTTTAAGTGAATTAGATCCTTGTCAACATTGGGAATGAATATATAGAAACAAATGGTATAACTATTCCTAGAGTTACTATTTATTTACAGATATATTATTTATTAATTGAGGAGGTAATTTGTGCCAGACCCAGTGTATCTCAGATGCACAGGATGGAATGGTGGTACACAAAGCTTGTTTTTTGCTTTGGGAATTTTTCCTTATGGTGACCTTCTTCGATCTTCAATGCTATGTTGCTTCTCTTCTAGGAACCCAAAGGCACAGATTGACGTTATAAGTCCTGATTTTTGACTTGACTTCTCATCACCTGGAAGTGAATAAAGCAGTAGACTTCTCTAACATTTTGTAACACAGCATGAAAAAATATAGAGTACAAAAGATATATATATATAATATGATAAAATGATGAGTTACGTTTCTAAATCTTTTATCATCTTACTGTCATTTCTCTATATTTGGTCTAGCCAGACTTCTATTCATTTTGTCACTTATCTTTCATCAAACTAGGGCTGATGTTCTTGGGAAAGGGACCACTGATTTGATATGCTCTTCAAACACCAGCACACTGTACTATATAGAAAGATATTTACTGAAAATACTGAAGCTAGTAATACAAAGGAAAAAGGCATAAAAATAGTGTGATAACTAATTGCTTACTTAAGAATATTATCTGAAATTAGAAACTAATATCAATGAAGAAAAGGGGAACTTTTGGCAAACTCTAGTAAGTAATAACTGAGCCTGATACATGGAGGCCATAATTGGAATAAGGACTGAGAGCAATTTCACCCCTTGGAGGACATTTGGAAGTGCCCAGAGACATTTTTGGTGGTCACAACTGAGGACATATATTGGCATCTTGTACTGTTTAGACATCTTACAATGCACAGGACAGCCCCCAGCCCCTGACTCCCACATGGATTATCTGGCCCAAAATGTCAATAGTGCCAAGAATAAAGAACTCCATCAGGCTGAGAAACTCTGACTTAAATAATGGGCAGGGATAAGGCAGGTTAGTGTAGAAGAAATAGGTGTTAACCTCATATGCAATCTTGTCTCATTGAATATTGTTTCCAAATAGCTCAGGATCCTCAGCAGTCAAATACAAAATATGCTTCAGGACTCCTTTTCCCTATATAACTCCTACATTTTCTTTCAGTTACTTTTAAATGTCTTTTAATCTCTTTTTTTTTCTTTCAGTCTCTCCTACTCCTCTTTCTTTCAAAACTGCTGCTGAGCTACTATGTTTAAAATCAGCAATATCTCGGTTGAGTATATTATCTTTAGCTCAGTATTGTGATTATACTTTCAATTATACACTGACTTGTGTGAAACTTTAGAACCCAAGTCCCATTCATCTTCTGGCTTTTTGCTAATCTCAATATTAACCAGAATTTTATTATTATATCTGGTTAAAAGAGAGCTTTATTGCTCAAACAAAATTAAAGTTCTTCTGTTTTTTTAATTACTAAAATAATATATATTCATTAAAAGTTAAAAACATATGAATATATAAAGAACAAAACAAGTATCACTGGCAATCTCTTTTCTCAGGGATTTTCTTCAACAAAGTTTATAAAGTCTCACCCCTCCAACTCCATTGGAAGCAGACCAGTTGGCCTATCATGCATTGTTCCAAAATATAATTACCATTAAATAGAGGTCCAGGTGAAGACAAGCTACAACATGCTTACATAAATAAGTATAACCCTCAGATTTTATATCCCACAAAACTGGCATTTAAATAAACAGGCCACAAAGTTTTAAATATGCAACAAAAATCTGTGAATGTTGTTTTTAAGACCTCTTTGATGAAATTATCAGAGAACAAATTACAGTCAAACATGTGACTAGGACAAAAGGCTGGGTTTCTGACACACACACACACATATATACATATATATATACACACACATATATGTATATATACACACATATATGTATATATATATATACACATATATATGTATATATATACACACATATATATGTATATATATATATACACACATATATATATGTATGTATATATATATATACACAGTAGTCCTCTTTTATCCATAGGAGATATGTTCCAAGACACCTGTGGATGCCTGAAACCATGGATAGTACCAAATCCTATATATACCATGTTTTTCTTATACATATATGCCTATGATAAAGTTTAATTCATAAATTAGGCACAGTAACAGATTTATAACAACCAATAATAGAATAGAACAATTACAACAATATGCCAACACTACTCTTGCACTTTGGGGCCATTATTAAATAGAATAAGGATTACTTGAACACAAGCACTGTGATGCTGTGTCTAACTGATAACCAAGGTGGCTACTAAGTGATAACGTGCAGGTGGCATGTATAACATGGATACACTGGACAAAGGGATGACTCATGTCCCTGGAAGGATGGAGAAGGACAGCTTGAGATTTCATCCTGCTACTTAGAATGGGGCATAATTTAAAGCTTATGAATTGTTTGCTGCTGGAATGTTCCATTTAACATTTTTTGGACTGAAGTTGACCATGGACAACAGAAACTACAGAAAGCAACACTGTGGGTAAGAGGGGGCTACTGTATTTAATCTAGTATTAGGCTTATTAAACTATAAAGACAACTAAGCAGACGTTGAAAACAGAGATCGTCTTCAAGGGAAAGGCAGTCAGGATAATATCTCACTGGTTTCCTTCCTTCCTTCTTTCCTTTTTTTTTCCTTTTCTTTCTTTCTTTTTTTTTTTTAAGCAGAGTCTCACTCTGTATCCCAGGCTCCAGGGCAGTGGCTTGATCTCGGTTCATTAAAGTCTTCGCCTCCCGGGTTCAAGCAGTTCTCCTGCTTCAGCTTCTTGAGTAGCTGGGATTACAGGTCCATGCCACCATGCTCGAGTAATTTTTGTATATTTAGTACAGAAGGGGTTTTGCTATGTTGGCCAGGATGGTCTTGAACTCCTGGCCTCAAATGATCCACCTGCCTCGGCCTCCCAAAGTGCTGGGACAGGCATGAGCCACGGGACCCGGCTGATCTCTTTTCCTTAACAACAAAAAAGTAAACCAGTGAAGAGTTATATTATGACAAGAGAAAAGAGTTTTTATCTCAGTGAAAATATAATCAAATAAGAGCATCTTCAGAGCTGGATTATACTCCTAAATGTAGTAACTAGAAATATAAAGTATCTAGAAGAAAACACAGAATAATATATTTGCTTACACAATTGGAATAAGCAATGATATCTTAAGCAGCACAAAAGCAGGTGTAATAATAAAAAGTGATCCAATGAACCTCAAAAAATTAAAAATTACTGCTCGTCAAGATACACTATCATCAAATTATTAAGGAAATCATACACTGGGAGGAAAATTTGGTCTCTCTTAATCTCCCTGTTTCTCTCTGTCTTCAAGTAAAGAAAAATCAGCAAAAAATTTGAACAGACACTCCAGAAAAGAAGATACAGAAGTGATCAGCAAGTTCACGAAAAGATGCACGTCATTACTCAGCAGGGAATGGTCCACAACACACGATCAAGTGTTCAGGCAGAGCGCTCTCCCACTACTCTGAGGAACAGAACAAAATGGCAGAGAAGGAAAAGAGGAAGGGGTTTATCAAGTGCCCCAGGAACATATAACATACTGGAGACTAGACACGTCCATAAAAATGACTCAGTTTCCCCATTGCTTGTTAGTGCTGCCTGGTCAGTGGGCCAGATTCATCCATGGCACTAGGAAGGCAGTCAGTTCTCATCCCCTTCGGACGAATCTTTCTAGAAACTGATATAGCCAATTACCAATACATCCTCACCCTCACGTGCTCTCTCCTGGACTCCGGATGCTCTACCAACATGAAGAAATATATTGAGTGCCTCCAGGTGCTCAGTCCCAGGCACTTGACACTCTAGACTATGCAGCAGCGCTGGGAGGACTCAGCTTTCCGAGCTCCACAATTTTATGTTGGGAGCCTGTGGCAACTACTGACAAAAACAATGTAGCTGCCATCAAGATGTAGTTCTTGTCTGCTGCACTGTTTTAAAGGTGCCCGGTATTTATTTTAATCAGGAATGGTAAGACACACTGTCATGGAAATGACTGTCATGAAGGAAGAAGTTTTTAGACTCACAAATCCCTAGAAATAAGAGGTTGGTTAGGTGAGTGGGGAAATGAGAAAAATGTGGGTAAGAGCCTTTATCATGGTTTCTGTGGAAATAAATGGATGGGGCAGGATAAACAGGTTTAGGATTGGCTAGATTGAATAATTCCAGTGGGCTCTGGAGGATAGGGGCTGTCTCTAAGTGTCTGGCACTTGGCCCTGGGGTGATTAGGGAAGGCAAATAGTGGCCTGGAGTGTAATAGCGCTATAGGTGCCTGATAAAAGAAGCGGCTGGAGTATGGTTTCTAGATTGGTTGCAAGTGAGGCTTTTACCATCTCTAGGAATTGGCTAGCCATAAGAGGGATAGTTCCTCCAGTGTTAGGAAGGCACAAGACATTAAAGCATTAGAAATGCAGAAAATATAATGGCATAAGTAAAACACAACACCAAATGTTGGTGAATTAATTGTTGGAATAACTTGAACTCTCATACATTGATGTTGGGAATTTACAATGGCTAACCACTCTGAAAAACTTAATAGAAACTTCAGGTAATTTCAGGTAGATGTAAACAAACAGCTACCTTATGACCTGATAATCCCATTCGTGTTTAGCTAAGACATGTCTATGAAATGATTTAAATTCGCATGCTAATGAAAACCTTATTGGTGGCCTAAGATTTGAAACAACCCAAATGTCCATAAAAGGATAAAATGATAATAAACAAACTTAGGGTTAAGTATATAATGAAACATTAGTCCGCAGTAAAAAGAAACAACTACAGAAAATGCAACAATACGCATGAATCTCTAAATCGTAATGCTGAGTTTAAAAGCCAGATACAAAATAACACATGTCATATGCTTCTGTTTTTATAAAATCCAAGAAAAGGTAAAACTAATCTATGCTATTAGGAATTAAAAGATGAAAGCTCATTATGATGTTAGATGGTGGGGGTGGATGGCAAAGATCACAAGAAACCTTTCTGGAGTGACGGAAATATTCTTTATCTTGTTTACAATACTAGTTTCTAAAGTGCATATATTTAACACAAGTTACTACGTTGAACACTTAAATGTGTGTATTTTAATGTATATACATTGTATTCTAAGAAATACAACCAAGAATTTATTTTCATGCTTGCTTGTAAATACAGATAAATTTCTTGAAGGATACAAAAATTAATATTAGCTTCCAATTTTGAGGTATGGGGTGAAATGGACATATAGGGGACAGATATAAGAAGGAAATTTCTCACTGTATGAATTATTTTTTATTTAAAAATGTAAATATATTACCTATTCAAAAATTAAATACATTTTTAAAGTCAAGTATATTTAAAGTACACTGCCTAATTTCCAACCTTATGGTAATGCCATTAAAAATTCTGAGTTATTCTTGCTTCCATACCTCTCATATGCAGTCCTTCAATAAGTCCCATTGATTATCTCTCCAAAGTTTATCTTTGGTATAAATTCTTCTGTCTTCTTTTTTACCTCTTATCCTAACCTACCAACATCTCTTATTTATATTAATAGTTCTTCAAATGCTCCCTACTGTTCCCCTTGCCTCCACTTCTTGCATTTTATAGCCCGTTTTTCACTTAGTACCTGGCACAACATTTTAAACATGTAAATCAGGTAGGAACACTCCTCTGCCTGTTACATCTCACACATAGTATGTTGACCGATTGCCATTTGGCCCATATTGGCTCTACCTCTCTATCTTCCCTTACAATTTTTTCCATTTGCTCACTACTGTCTTGCCACACTAGCCTCCTTTCTGCTTCTCAATGCACCAGTCTCTCCCTTAATGAGCTTTCAACAAGTCTATCTTCAGATCTTCCCAGAGACGGTGTAGTTCTGTCATTCAGATCTTAGTTGAAATGTTGCCACCTTGTCAGAAAGGCCCTCCCTGGCCAGCTCACTTGGAATAGTAGCCTCTTCCGCTTTCTCTTATATTTTTATCATAGTGCTCATTACAATCAGTTGTTTTCTCTCTGGTATGTTTGTTTGTTGTCTGTTTCCATGCTTTAGGATGTAAAATCCCCAGGAACAGGGATATTTTCTGTCTTGTTCGGTGCTGCATTGCAGACACTACAATACAGCCTGGTACATGGTTTTAGTTTCTAAGATAGTCTAGGGAGACAAATCTTTCCTAGCAGGAATAACAAGCCTTCATTCTAAGGATTAATTTAGATCATTAGACTATCTTCACTTTAAGTATTGTGGAAAACATTAGGAAGCAAAGTCCCTAACTATGTCTACAATTATGAAAAAATCATATTTTAAAAAATCTTTGGTAGCAAGAAAGACTATAATATACTCAAAAATGGGAATGTTTTTCCATGTGTTTCTTTACTTATATCACTTCTTTTCTGTTTCTTTTAAGAAAGTAAACACTGCACTTTTTAGTTTATTTGGTGTATATAGTTTTACAAAATATGCATTTTTGTGCCTGGCTTTTTATTTCCTATTATTCCATTACTGTCTTTGCATTTGTTCCTGTTCTTGCATTTCTCCCCCCCGGTTTTTTTACCTTTATGATTTTGTGTATCTCTTTCTCCCTTTTTCTCTTTTCCCCATGTTCCATTTTTCCCACTT
The DNA here is from genome assembly GCF_000001405.40 of Homo sapiens. Taxonomy (NCBI): domain Eukaryota; kingdom Metazoa; phylum Chordata; class Mammalia; order Primates; family Hominidae; genus Homo; species Homo sapiens. Next base: position 2,236,030 of record NW_021160017.1, read on the forward strand.
ATTATTTTCTGAATTGGACATAAATTAGAACAAAATATTATTGATTATGCATTATATTTGTTGAAAAACTGTTTATTAATTTTTAAAATAAAAAATCTTTTTAAAATAAAAATAAATCTACTGAAATTTAATTATATTGTGTTCTACTATGTGATTCTTAATTACTTTTCTTCTGTCTAGTAATATTTACTTAAAAAAATAGTTGTCTTTGCTTTAGTGGAACATAGGAGACACTTATTCCTAAAATGAAAACAACAAAGGCCAAGACCACAATAGGGTGTATTTAAGAATACATCTCTTTGTGAGGAATTAGTCCTTCAATATGCAGTTCTCGTCTCCAAGAAGGATTATGTCAAAGAGTCTTTGTGAACATCATTTATTTTTCTTTGCCTATTTCTTTGTCATCAGAAATATGTTGAATTTACCATACTACCTACCTGACCACATTACTTCTTTTCTTGATCTATCAATGATTTCCTATTATACACTTTTTTAAAAAAAATAGTAACGTAAGAAATAAAATAACCTCTTTTGGCTTTCTGCCCACATGGACCTAGTAAACATGCTGACTATTCTGTAATATGTGTCACTGATAGAATGTTGATTTTAAAACTTAGAAGTAACATAGTGACTTTTAAATCATATATACTTCACTATTTATATATAACATGTTTCTAGTCTCATTCTTTGACTATATTTTGTTGGCATTTTAACAATTCCCTTTGAAAGTGTTTGCAGCTTTGTTAGCCTTCAAATTCCCAAAGTACATTCTCCATTGCATCACAAATTGGTTGCATAAGAGATTCCTCTGTGAGAAGAGATATTTAACAATGAAGTCAGGAAAAATTAGTTATTGTTCCTTCTATTAGAAGGAGGTGATATCTGCTGTTTGACAGGAGCATTAGATTACTAGAGAGGTAAATGTTTTTCCATTCTCCATATTTATAAGGAACATAAGGAAGAAATGGAAACATATTGTAACACCTCAGGTGGGACATCTGCTGCCTTGAAATGCAAAGATCAGAATTATAGTGATTATATAGGTTATGGGTTTCAAACTAGAAATAGATTAATATGTTTAATCTGAATTCAGTAATACAGTAGCACCTTTTACCTGGTCTTAATAATATAGCCCCAGTTTCTCCTAATATTTAGAATTAATTTATTGGGAATATATAAAGCCTTTATTAACATTGCCTTGGGAATGTTTATACTTGGTCCTAAACCTATAGCTATTAACTGAAAGACGTGAGGGAACAGAAGTCATATCCAATGCAGAAATGCTAGGCTGCAGAAGAAATCTTCACCAACTTCACGATTTTGCAGGAGACTAGCTCTGTCTAGTTCCCACACCTGCTGGGATGAGAGGTTCTTTTACAAAGAGTCTTACCATATACCAATCTGGGGCTTTGACAGCTGGCTGAAATGAAGCCTTCATAAATTCTTTTCTAGTAATTTCTTACATTAACATAGCTACCTTTACCCCAGCAACTCATTTCAAAGGCAGGGACAGAGGATCTATATTATATATTTACTTCTTAGAAACTAAAGCCCCTCTTAATATCTACATTTTTTCCTTGTTTAGTTTTGGTTTAGTCAGACTTCAATATGCTACTTATTGCTATCATTCTCATATTATATTCATAAATCAACACAGTGAGATAAAATAACTCAGGCTAAGGAAGATGACCGTCCCAAGATCTCACGGTTAAAAAAATTGCACAATGAAGAACTTAAACCCAGATAGATGCCCAAACGAGGGCTTTTTAAATGACATCCATTACTTTGCCTAGAAATCATGGCATTATAAACATTGGTATCAGTTAATGATTTGATGATACTCTAACTTTATCCACATTTCTCAGAACACACAAAAAATTAGTGATTATATAGGTTATGGGTTACAAATTAGATAGCACATATTAATAGACATCACATTCTTATTCTTATTTTGGGAACATTTCTAAAATGTGTTTTTGCTGGTAGGGTGGATTAATGAGAAATTTCTTTCAAGCAGAAAGGTGAATAGTGCCACTTTTATTAAGATCAGTTATAAACAGACAAAATATTTGAGGTAATGGGAAATAATTTAAAAGTATTTACACAGTATATTTTAAGTAGGATACTATTCAAGGAAAGTAATTTAGTACTGAAATATGGGTTAGGTATTTTTAACCCTTACAAAAATTGGAGTGAAGAAACTTCATGTGCTGTCCTTACTACTGTTTCAAAAGAAAACAATAGTGATGCTTCTCAGAATTAATGGGAAGGCAAACATGAGATCTAATAAAGGAGAAATGAATAGAGAAGAAGAGAGAGTGGAAAAATATTGGAAACTGCAAGAACATTGAGAAGTAAAAACAACAAAGGAGAAAAAATAGAAGAGATAAGAGAAAAGCAAGGGGAATCATTAGAGAACAAATACGAGAGAGAAAGAGAAGATAAAATAGAGAAAGAGAAACCAACTTAAGTAAAAGTATAACTTAAAAAATGAAGTGTAGAAATATTTAGCGAGATGGGAGGGGAAGATAATAAAATAAATATTTTAAAAGGAGGCATGAGGAAATATAAAGAAAAATGAGTGAATTAGTGCCTGTGGATGGGAATCAAATCTCCAAATACCTGCTCCATGAACTTTTTAACAAGAGCCTGGACTCTAAACGTGAACAGTGCATAGCGCAGCCTTTATCTGGAATGTGTGTGTGCCCCCACCCATCACTCTTTCCTCTTCTGTGCTGCTCCAGCATTGTCAGGAACAGATGAAATTTTGTTTCTGTTGAAATTGAAATATAGGATAGAGGGAGTGGCAGTCATTCAGATTTCTATTTCAGCTTCCACTGACAGTGATCCTTCTAACATTGTTATGTTCTTCTAATATAGTTAGACAAGACCAAGCTTGTCTTTGCAGGAATTTCTGTGCTTTTATTTTGCTAGGACTTACTTCATTTTACCTAGAGGAATGTCCACCTTATGAATATATATATTTGGTTTCTGGATCCATAATGAGCATGATGTGAGCACTATCCATATAACAAAAGAGCTTAGAGGGAAGCACACAAAGGGAACACAGTGAATCAAAGATATTTGATGGTAGAGGGTTCCAGATGTTACAGAGTCAGTAGGAGAACAGAAGTGGATAACAGGGAATAAAATGCAAGGTACAGTGCAAGAACCTGAAACTCCCAATCTCAGAGATACTTGAAAGTTTCTCCTATGACCCAAATACATCCTCAATTTTTGAAAGAGTATGAAATAACCAACTGCATAATAACATGCAAGATGTACACAACTTAAGAGTAAGCAGAGAGGGATTCCCGACTTTTCTATTAGCAGGTTTTATATGCACAGAAAGACTGATAAATATTAAGGTCAATAAATGGCCAAGTGCCAAAAAAAAAAAAAAAAGAAAAGAAGGGTATGATATGTAAAATTTTATGCTTCTGTTTTGGTTAGGATACGTGTGTTTGCGTGTATTTATTTGTGTCTGTGTGATGTACATACATGTGATGTAAGATACTTTTTTTTGTTTGAGACAGAGTCTTGCTCTGTCACCCAGGCTGGAGTGCAGTGGTACAATATGGACTCACTGCAACCTCCACCTCCCAGGTTCAAGCGACTCTCATGCTTCAGCCTCTGAAGTAGCTGGGACTACAGGCTCCTGCCACCACGCCCAGCTAATTTTTATATTTTTAGTAGAGTCAGGGTTTTGCCAGGCTGGTCTCGAACTCTTGGCCTCAAGTGATCCACCTGCTTTGGCCTCCAAAAAGGGTGGGATTACAGGTGTGGGCCACAGTGCCTGGCCTAGGTACTTCTTTCATAATTCCCAATTCTGACCATACCTGAAAACCTCTGCTATTAATTAATATATTAGGATTAGATATATTTTGAAAAGCATATCTTTTGATGTTTTAAATAGATGTGCCATTATAAATATTTTCTTTGATTTCTTAATTCGGGACTTTATTGTTTTTGTTTCCCTCTCTTCTTACACACCGACTCCTCATTCAGTTAGTTAATGAACCTCTTTCCCTCTACGCTTCATAGTCCACATTATTTTAAAACAAATGTGCTGTGTAACAGAAGCATATGAAATATTTTTCTGTATCACATTGTAGTATTTTGTTCTAGCTCAAGATCTTTAGCTTTTAAATTTTTTTATTTCAACCACAAACCATTTTTTGAACATGCACCAAAAACATACGTATCTTCTTTATGCATTTCATATCCAATTACATCATGATTCTATATAAATGTAAAATGTTCAAAAATAAAACTTCAAACAATAGGATACAATAATGTAAGTGTAGAAATTCTCCTATTATTGCTTTCATACCAATAAATTATCATGCACATCCCCAAGCATGAGCACAGTCTCAATTTGGAAGCCACTGTACAGAGAAGCCTCAGATCTTGTTTTCTCCAGAGTGACTGAGAGCTTTTTATTTAGACCAGTTCATTTGGTTGATGTTCTATAGAGAAAAGGGAATTATTTCTGGTAAGTACAGTTGCCTTTATAAAAGTTTTTAGATAAACATTCCTAAGGTAGCATTTATATAAAATAAATTGTACTAATTGCTGTATAGTTCAATACTCAATAAATTTTGACAAAAATAGATACATATAACCATTATAATTAAAAACGGAACATTTCTGTCCCCTTGAAAAGTTCTGTCATTCTTCTTTGCTGTCAATCCCAGCTCATCTTCCATTCAAAGCAAAACATGAAGTCCTCAATAACTGGGGTTAAGTTTTTTCTCAGTCAGAAAAATTTTCATATGCCTCATACAAATCAGGAACAAATTCAGAGCAGTAACATCCAAGTCTCACATGAGTGAACACTTAAACAGAAGCACAGGACTGAAACAGAAGAAAGAGTGTGGCTTCAGGACCAGGGTGTTGGCTATCATGAAATGAGGAAGCATAAACAGTAGAAGTGATTTCTTAGGTTGTTGAGATAGATAGAATAATATAAATGTGGCATACCTTGTGTTTAGTTCAAGAACTATAATCTAGATGTAACACCTGAAAATAAACTCTTTTATTGATATTCTACAGGCAGAAGAAATGAAGATAGCAAACAACACAGTAGTGACAGAATTTATCCTCCTTGGTCTGACTCAGTCTCAAGATATTCAGCTCTTGGTCTTTGTGCTGATCTTAATTTTCTACCTTATCATCCTCCCTGGAAATTTTCTCATTATTTTCACCATAAGGTCAGACCCTGGGCTCACAGCCCCCCTCTATTTATTTCTGGGCAACTTGGCCTTCCTGGATGCATCCTACTCCTTCATTGTGGCTCCCAGGATGTTGGTGGACTTCCTCTCTGAGAAGAAGGTAATCTCCTACAGAGGCTGCATCACTCAGCTCTTTTTCTTGCACTTCCTTGGAGGAGGGGAGGGATTACTCCTTGTTGTGATGGCCTTTGACCGCTACATCGCCATCTGCCGGCCTCTGCACTGTTCAACTGTCATGAACCCTAGAGCCTGCTATGCAATGATGTTGGCTCTGTGGCTTGGGGGTTTTGTCCACTCCATTATCCAGGTGGTCCTCATCCTCCGCTTGCCTTTTTGTGGCCCAAACCAGCTGGACAACTTCTTCTGTGATGTCCGACAGGTCATCAAGCTGGCTTGCACCGACATGTTTGTGGTGGAGCTTCTGATGGTCTTCAACAGTGGCCTGATGACACTCCTGTGCTTTCTGGGGCTTCTGGCTTCCTATGCAGTCATCCTCTGCCATGTTCGTAGGGCAGCTTCTGAAGGGAAGAACAAGGCCATGTCCACATGCACCACTCGTGTCATTATTATACTTCTTATGTTTGGACCTGCTATCTTCATCTACATGTGCCCTTTCAGGGCCTTACCAGCTGACAAGATGGTTTCTCTCTTTCACACAGTGATCTTTCCATTGATGAATCCTATGATTTATACCCTTCGCAACCAGGAAGTGAAAACTTCCATGAAGAGGTTATTGAGTCGACATGTAGTCTGTCAAGTGGATTTTATAATAAGAAACTGAGAAGGAGGAATTCTGGCTGGAATTCATATCATTCATTTAACAAGTCCTGTTTTTCACTGGTACCTCCCATTTGCCAGGTACCATTGTAGGCAATGGAGGAGAGTTATGCATAATGAGAGAATAAACTTATTATATTTAAAGAATATAAAGGAAACCCCAGAGTGGTTGAAGTATAATGAGTAAGTGTGAGAAATTTAAGGGTTAAGTTTTATGTGACTGCAAGGGTCTTTCGGTCTGAGGTAAGAATTTTTTCATATTTTAATTGTGGTAAGAACCCATTTTAATGTTTTAAGCAAAGGAGCAGTTCATCTACAATGCTTTCCTCTACTGGTTAGAGCAACATCAGCAAGATTTTAGGCAGAGATTAATAAACTGTAAAATATCAAAAACCAAATGTATGTTGCAAGTATGTTATGAAAAAGACTATAGTATTTTATATATATATATTAAAATTACATATATTTTAATGTTTTTATATATATTTTATATATATGTATATTTACATATATATAAAATAAGTAATATATTTTTATATATTTATAAATATATATTTTTATATATTTATAAATATATATTTTTATATATTTATAAATATATATTTTTATATATTTATAAATATATATTTTTATATATTTATAAATATATATTTTTATATATTTATAAATATATATTTTTATATATTTAATCAATATATAAATAAATATATATTTCCCCCCCAAAATTTGGTGGCGAGATAAGAAAGGAAGCCAATTTGTTTCATGGTAAAATGTCATGAAATTATTTCACTTATTTTTTCTTCAGAGCTTCACGATGATTATTAGACATTATTAGATATTTAGTACTTCAGATTGTATTACAGATTACATAAATCACTCCAGTTATTTTCAACATAGTGAAGCAGCTTCGTTGTCTGGGGAAATACCTGCAGTTCGTTGTCTTGTGCTGTGCCGATTAATGACACAGACTCACACACGGAGTGGGTTAAGGAACAGAAAGTTTATTAGGCAAGAAGGAAGAGAAGAGCTTCCCCATAGAGAGGGAGAAGCACTCTGAATGGAGTAACCCCACTTGTGGGGAAAGCAGTCAGTTATATTGGGAGGCTCAGGGAGGTAGTGTCTGATTTGCATAGGGCCCAGGGGATTCCTTTGACCAGGTGTGTCATTCACACAACCCATGAAAAGACTGGCCCTCCCACCCTAATCTTTTATTCTGCAAATGCGGCTTCTACCTGGCTGTCGCCATGATGCCTGCACATGTGGCTTTACTTGGCTGGTGCCATGACAACTGCACATGTGGCAACAAAGGAAAGTGAGCGGGAAGAGTCATATTGAGTGGACCTGGCTGTTAGCCACCTGCATTTACTTCTGCAAGCCTGTAATTTACATACCTATGCTTCCAGCATGGCTTTTCAGGCTGCTTTCTGTTAGAAAAGAAATGGTTTGGGGGCTGCTTTTTTATTAAAAGGAAAAGCCTTTCTGAGGACTCTTTTACCCTTTCTAGCTGCCTAAAAATAATTTCTTAATAACTCCTGTATTAATAGTGGGGTCTAATGTGAGAAATTAGGTACTTATAAAATTTTTCAAGTATAGAAGACCATTATTTATGCTGGGCATCTATTATAGAAATTGTTACCAGAAAAACACTGTAGAACTAACCTGCTAAGTGACCTATCCCTGCCATAACCAGGAGACTGAGAGGACAAGAAACCACTTTCCCAGCTCTTGGCTCAGGGAACACATCAATCAGCCATGGTCTGGCATGAAGAGAATTGTAGAGAGCACCTCTCATGTTATTGTCTCTCTAATTATTTTTTCTAAATTAAATTTTGTATGAGTATATTTGATAGAATCTGTAATGGTAGTGGCAAAAGTCTTTGACAAACCTGTCTGTGTGTTGACAGCTTCTTCAGAAAGCAAACAAAAATGGTGGTAAAATATAGGATAAAAAGTTTGCAATCTTGGAGGTGAGAAAGGCCATTGAAGTTTGACAAAGAAAATGAAAATAAAAAGATGTATTAAATCTTGATATCTGCTACATATTTTGATATGTAAAAATGAAAAAAGTTTATATGGGCAAAAGGCAGAAAAACGCTGAAAATATTTCTATGGCATATAGATGTGGAGATTATTTTCTGCATGATTATAAGGTTTGCATGTAAATTGAATATTTTTTCCCTACTCCAAGATTGTATGAGAGGGCATCCATGAATAAAAATTAAAATAAAAATTACTAAAAATCGATATAAACGATAAAAATTTATCTAATACATAAATAATTTGCTTAAATGAATATGAAATAGGTACATAGAAGGAAATGTGGGCAATGAACAAAGGAAAAAAACGAAAAGGCTTATAAGCATGAAAGTAAGCTTACCCTTAAAAATCAACCACAGAAATGAAAACCACTGATTTTGATTAGCATGTAGGATAATGTTGCTCATGTATTATCAATAAAAAAGTACAGAATAGGGTGAGGTGCCAGAAGCAGCTATCATGTGCCACTCATGGAGAGGGAGACAGGGTGGTGAGTAAACACTAGCTCTTCACATGGATCGTCCATGAGGCCATGTTAGGATTCATCAAGGAAGCAACTGCAATCGATGGACAGCAGAAAGGGGCCAGGCAGGAAAGCAGTCCACCCAGGATTGGCATAGAGCCAGGTGAGGCTCCCTACCATAGGGAAAGGGTGAATAAGAACCTCCTGGGACCCACACTTCTGCCATGGGCCTCTGCAATCCTGGCACAGGAGATCTCCCGTGACCCCGAGGGGCTTCCAGACCAACACAGAGAGATTACTGGAGTCTGGGCAGAGCTGCAGCTAGGGTCACCTGGAGCCCCATGAGCCGTGGGGCCCTGAGCACCTTGGTGCCAGCTGCCATAGCCACACCAACAAGGGAGGCCAGCTCTCTCGCATGCCCCTAGAATAGGGGCTGCATCCACGGTGCTGAGGAGCAGACTGACCGCAGGCCCCGCTTGCTTCATCAAGCCAGGCAAAGCCCACTGGCCTGGGTCGCCCACGCAGCCAACCCACTCCCACCTGAGCACTCAGGCCAGTCAGGCTCTCCATTTCTTTGGAAAGGAACTCCCAGAGGTAACCAATAGGCCTGAGATTTCTGGTACTGTGGTCTCCCACATGCCGCCCTCAGGCTGGGGAGGGATCGAAGAGCGCAGGAACTATCCTAGACCTTCAGCAAGGCAGCTGTCATACGAACAGCTGTCATACGGAAAAGTGGCCAGATTATTTTCCACTTGGGTCCCTGTCCCAGCTACTCCTCACTGGGCAGGGCCTCCGAGCCTGGGGTCCCAGCACAGCTGCCCCACCCCCACCCGTTCTTTCATTTGGCGGTGGCCCTAAGTTTCTCTGGGGTAGAGCTCCCAGAGACAACCGGCAGGCTCTGTGCCACCACTAGCTGAGTGTAAGGTCCTTCCTTGCTCCCCGCAGGCTAGGTAGGGAACAAAGAGCCTGACTGCAGCTGTCCTAGGGAGAGAAGGCCAGATTGTCTTCCTTGCGAGCCCCTGACCCCGGCTACTCTTCACCAGACACGGCCCGGCTTTGGCCCACAACACAGCCGCCCCACCCCTGGATCCTTCACCTTAGCAGTAGCAGTAGCTCTGGGTGGAGTTGCCAGAGGCAGCTGACAGGCCCTCTGCCACTGCTGCCACCCCCAGGGCTAGGGAGGGAACAAAGAGCCTGCTTGCTGTGCTTGCACATCCAGCATGCCACAGCTGCACTACGGAGAGGAGGTCAGACAGTCCCCCCAACAAGCCCCCGATCCCTCTGCTCTCCACCAGGGAGGGCCCTGGGCTTGCGCCCACAGCACAAACGTCCCATCCCGGGCTGATCATTCTGGTTGGCAGCGGCTCTGAATTTCTCTGGGGTGGAGTTCCCAGAGACAACTGACAAGCCCTCTGCCACCGACACCGCCAAGGTCCCCTTCCCTGCTCCCCCAAGCAGGGGAGGGAATAAAAAGCCCGAACTCGCCCCAGGTCCAACACTAGAGCGGGAAGAGAAACCCACACTCCCAGAGCACCGAGAGGGGTAACCGCATGAGTTCCTGGGCTGCTGTGGGAGCGGGGCGCGCCTCCCTCTGCAGGAGGAGCCTGGAAAAGGTGTGGCCTATCTCCCTGCGGTGGCCTCTGCCTGAGGGAGCCCCGCAGCCTGGAACACCTAGCAAAAGAAATGATGGTGCAGTGCTAGTGATCGGAGGGGGTTCCCCCAAGGCTCAGGAGCTGACCTGGTGAGGGGGTCACTTCTTTCCCCGCTGTACGGGAGACCAGGCTGTAGATGTGAGGAAGTACAAAGGAACCACAGGCCTGAGCAAGAGTGTATTTACCGTCCATTACTCTTAAGCGACATCTACTGGATTGCAGCCAAAACTGCTACAACACCAAAAATATTTTGCTAATATCCCCCAGTGAAATCAAAGGCAAGAATCCAGCCACAAATAAAGACCCTGCACAAAGCCTTGGCTATCTGAAAACATTCAGAAACAAAGCCAAGTGACTATACTCAAATTACACCACAGGTAAAGGAACGCCAATGCTTCCAGATGAGAAAGAATCAGTGCAAGAACTCTGACAATTCAAAAAGCCAGTTTCCCCATACCTCCAGATGAGTCCACCAGACCCCAAGCAATGATTTTTTTTATTTGCTTTCCTTATTTGTTTGCTTGTTTGGAGATACCTTTTACTTTTTTAATTTTAATTTTTTAATTTTTAGGTTCAGTTATACATGTGCAGATTTGTTATATAGGTAAATTGCTTGTCATTGGGGTTTGGTGAACAGATTTATCACCCAGGTAATAGGCATAGTACCTGATAGGCAGTTTTCTGATCCTCACCCTTTTCCCACAGTCCAATCTCAACTATGCCCAAGTATGTATTGTTCCCTTCTTTGTGTTCATGTGTATTCAAGGTTTATCTCAAATTTGTAAGTAAGAACATGTAGTGTTTAGTTTTTTGTTCCTATGTTGGTTCACTCAGGAAAATGGCCTCCAGCTCCATGCATGTTGCTGCAAAGGATATGATCTCATTCTTTTTATGACTGCATAGTATTCCATAGTATATTTGTACCATATTTTCTTTATCAAGTTCACCATTGATGGGCATCTAGGTTGATTCCATGACATTGCTATTGTGAATATTGCTACGATGAAGGTACTTGTGCATGTGTCTTTATGGTAGAATGATTTATATTTCTTTGGGTATATGCCCAATAATGGGATTGCTGGGTTGAATGCTACTTTGGTTTTAAGTACTTTGTGAAATCACCACACTGCTACCCATAATGGCTGAACTAATTTATATTCCCACCAGCAATGCATAAACATTCCGTTTTCTCTGCAAACTTGCCAGCATGATCTATGATTTTTTGACTTTTTAATAATAGCCCATCTGACTGGTGTGAGATGGTATCTCATTGTGCTTTTGATGTGCATTTCTCTAATGATTAGTGATGTTGAGCATTTTTTTTTCATATGCTTCTTGGCCAAGTGTATGTCTTATTTATTTTTTTTGAGATGCAGTTTCACTCTTGTCACCCAGGCTGGAGTGCAATGGTGCAATCTCGGCCCACTGCAACCTCTACCTCCTGGGTTCAAGAGATTCTCCTGCCTCAGCTTCCCCAATAGCTGGGATTACAGGCACCTGCCACCATGCCTGGCTAATTTTTGTTATTTTTAGTAGAGATGGGGTTTCACCATGTTGGCCAAGCTGGTCTCGAACTCCTGACCTCAGGTGATCCACCCGCCTTGGCTTCCCAAAGTGCTGGGATTACCGGCGTGAGCTACTGCGCCCAGCCTTGACTACTCTTTTTTTTTTTTTTTTTTTTTTTGATGGAGTCTCACTCTGTCACCAGGCTGGAGGGCAGTGGTGCGGGCTCGGCTCACTGCAACCTTTGCCTCCTGGGTTCAAGCAATTTTCCTGCCTCAGCGTCCCGAGTAGCTGGGACTACAGGCGTGCATTTGCAAATACTTTAACCTATTCTATAGGTTGTCTGTTTACTCTGTTGATAATTTATTTTGCTGTGCAGAAGCTTTTTAGGTTAATTAGGTCACATTTATTAATTTTTGCTTTTGTCATCTTTGTCATGAAATCTTTGTCAGGGGCTATGCTGAGAATGGAATTTCCTAGGTTGTCTTCCAGGGTTTTTATAGTTTGGGGTTTCACATTTAAGTCTTTAATCCAGTTGGATTGATTTTCATATATGGTATAAGGGAGGGGTTCAGTTTCCATTTTTTGCATATGGCTACCTAGTTATCTCAGCACCATTTATTGAATAGGGAGTGCTTTTCCCATTGCTTGTTTTTGTCAGCCTTGTTGAAGATTAGATGGTTTTTGTTTTTAGTTCTGTTTATGTGGTGAATCACATTTACTAATTTGCATATGCTGAACCAACCTTGTGTTCCAGGGATAAACCCTACTTGATTGTGTTGGAGTAGAGTTTTAATGTGCTGCTGGATTCAGTTTGCTAGTATTTTCTTTTTTTCTTTTCTTTTTTTTTTTTTTTTTTTTTTTTGCTAGTTTTCTTTTTTTGTTGTATCTCTGCCAGGTTTTGGTATCAGAATGATGTTGGCTTCATAGAATAAATTAGGGAGGAGTCCTTCCTCCTCAAATTTTCAGAATAGTTTCAGAGGAAAGGTACCAGCTCTTCTTTATGCATCTGGTAGAACTCAGCTGTGAATTCCTCTGATCCTGGGCTTTTTCTGGTTGGTAGGCTTTTTATTATTAACACAGTCTTGGAACTTGTTATTAGTCTGTTCAGAGTTTCAGTTTCTTCCTAGTTCAATCTTAGGAGGTTGTATGTTTCCAATAATTTATTAATTTCTTCTAGTTTGTGTGCATAAAGTTGTTCATAGTAGTCTCTGAGGGTTTTTAAAAAATATTTCTTTGGGGTTGGTGGTAATGTTTCCTTTGTCATTTCTGACTGTGTTTATTTTTATCTCTTCTCTTTTTTGCTTTATTAGTCTAGCTAGTGCTCTATCAATCTGATGTGTTATTCTGAAGCAACAAAACCTGGATTTGTTTATCTTTTGTATGGTTTTTTGCATCTCAATTTCTTTCAGTTCAGCTCTGATTTCAGTTATTTCCCTTCTCTTGCTAGCTTTGGGACTGATTTGCTTTTGTTTCTCTAGTTCCTCTTGGTGTGATGTTAGGATGTTAATTTGAAATCTTTCCAATATTTTGATGTAGTTTTTTTTTTAGTGATATAAACTTTCCTCTTAATACTGCTTTATCTGTGTCCCAGAGATTTTGATACGTAGTATGTTTGTTCTCATTAGTTTCAAAGAATTTCTTGACTTCTGCCCGAATTTCGTTGTTTACCCAAAAGTCATTGAGGAGAAGGTTGGTTAATTTTCACGTATGCTTTTGATGTATTTTATTGTATTGATTTCAATGTTTATTGCATTGTAATCTGAGAAAGTGTGGTTTGTATGATTTTGGATTTTTTGAATTTCCTGAAAATTGTTTTATGATTGATTGTGTCGTTGATTTTAGAGTATGTGCCATGTGCAGATGAGAAGAATGTATAATATTCTAATGTTTTTGGGTGGAGAGTACTGTAGATGTCTGTTAGGACCATTTTGTCAAATGTTGAGCTCAGTCCCGAATCTCTTTGTTCATTTTCTGTCTCAATGCTCTAATATTGTCAGTGGGTTGTTGAAGTCTCCCAGTAGTATTGTGTGGTTATCAAAGTCTCTTCAAAGGTCTCTAAGAACTTCCTTTATAAGTCTGGGTACTTCTGTGTTAGATGTATATATTCTTAGGATTGTTAGGTTTTCTTGTTGAGTTTAACCCTTTACCATCATGAAATACCCTTGTCTTTTTTGATTGTTATTGGTTTATAGTCTATTTTGTCTGAAATTAGAATCAGACCATTTGCTCTTTTCTGTTTTCTTTGGCTTGGTCTATTTTTTCTCCATCCCTTTATTTTGAGCCCCTGGATATCACTGCATGTGAGATGGGTCTCTTGCAGAGAGAATACAGTTGGGTCTTGCTTCTTTATCTGACTTGCCACTCTATGCCTTTTAAATGCCTTGAAGCATTTAACCCATTTACATTCAAGGTCACTCAAGGTTAGATTGTGTCTTTCCCAGCAATGATTCCTAAACCATAAGAAATTACTGAAATGAGAGACATAGAATTCAGGATCTGGATGTCATGGAAGCTCATTGAGATTCAGGACAAATTTGAAATCCAATCCATGGAATCCAGTAAAATGACAGAAGAGCTGAAAGACAAAATAGCCACTTTAAGAAAGAACCAAACTGAAACTCTCGAGTTAAAAATTCACTAGAAGAAGTTCATAATACAGTTAGAAGTATTAACAGCAAAATAGACCAAGCTAAGGAAAATATCTCTGAGCTCAAAGACTGGTTCTTTGAATTAACACTGTGAGACAAAAATAAAGAAAAAACAATTTTAAAAGTGAACAAAACTTCTGAGAAAGATTATATAAAGAGACCAAATCTACAACTCATTGCCATTACTGAGAGAGAAGGACAGAGAATAAACAACTTGGAAAATAAATTCGACTATATAGTCCATGAAAATCTTCCTAATCTTGCTAGAGAGGATGATATGCAAATCCAAGAAATACAGAGAATCCTGGCTAGATATTGTACAAGATTTACAAGGCACATAATCTTCAGATTCACCATAGTTAATGCAAAAGAAAAGGGATCTAGAAAGAAAGGTCGGGTTATGTATGAAGGGAACTCCATCAGGCTAGCAGCAGACCTTTCAGCAGAAACTTTATCAGCCAGAAAAAATTAGGGGCCTATTTTTAGTATTCTTAAAGAAAATAAACTCCAACCAAGAATTTCATATCCCACCAAACTTAGCTTCATAAGTGAAGGAAAAATAAAATCCTTCTCAGAAAATAAAATGCTAATGTAATACATTTCAACTTAGCTAGCCTTATAACAGGTCCTTAAGGGAGTGCTAAACACGTGAACAAAAGAACAGCATCTGCTGCCACAAAAACACGCTTAAGCACATAGCCCATAGACACTATGAAGCACTACACAGTCAAGTCTATAAAACAGCCAGCTAACAACATGATGACAGGATCAAAATCTGACATATCAATATTAATCTTAAATGTAAGTTATCTAAATGCCCTACTTAAAAGGCATAGAGTGGTAAGTTGGATAAAAAGGCAAGACACCACTGTCTGCTGTCTTGAAGAGACCAATCTCATATGTAATGAAACCCACAGGGTCAAAGTAAAGGGATGCAGAAAGATTTGTCATGTAAACAAAAAACAAACAAAAAATAGTAGGGGTCACTATTTCTTATAGCGTATAAAACAAACCAACAACAATTACCAAGGACAAAGAAGGGCATTACATAATGATAAAGGGTTCAGTTCAACAAGAAGACTTTATCCTAAATGTATACACACTGAACATTGGAGCACCCGACTCATAAAACAAGTTTTTCTTGGCCTACAAAAAGACTTAGACAATCATACAATAATACTGGGAGACTTCACTGCTCCACTGATGGTTTTAGATCGTTAAGGCAGAAGACGAACAAAGAAATTCTGGACTTAAATTTGACACTTGACTAATTGGACTTAATAAACATCTACAGAACACTCCATCCAACAACCATAGAATATTCATTCTCATCTACACATGGAACATATTGTAAGATCAACCACACGCTTCGTCAGAAAGCAAGTCTGAATACATTCAAAAACACTGAAATCATCCCAGGCACATTCTTGAACCACAGTGCAATAAAATTAGAAATAAACGTCAAGAAGGTCTCTCAAAAGTACACAAATTCATGGAAAGTAAACAACTTGCTCCTGAATAACTCATGGGTCCACACTGAAATTAGGCAAAAATCAAAAAAATTCTTTGAAATTAAAACAGGGACACAACTAACCAAAATCTCTGAAATGAAGCTAAAGCAGGAAATAAAACTTTTTATATAAATAAGTAAATAAGATAATAAGAGGAAAGATTATAGCACTAAATACCTTCATCAAGAAGTTAGAAAAATCTGAATTTAATAATCCAACTTTGTACCTAAAGGAACTAGAAAAAAAAAAGCTCAAAGCTAGCAGAAGAACAGATATAACTACAAATAGAGAAAAACTTAATGAAAGTGAGATGCAAAAATATGTACAAAAGGTCAGCGAAACCAATAATTGGTCCTTCAAAATAAAAATAAACAAAATTGGTAGATTGCTAGCTAGATTAACATAGAAAAAAAGCTGAAGACCCAAATGAGTACAATCAGAAATAACAAAAATGATGTTGCAACTGATCCCACAGAAATACAAAAGATACTCAAAGAATACTATAAGCAACTTTATGCATACAAATTAGAAAATCTAGAAGAAATGGATAAATTCATGGAAACACACAATCTCCCAAGATTGAATCCCTGGAAGAGATTGAAACCCTGATTAGACCAACATCAAGCTGTGAAACAGAATCAATAATAAAAAAACCTACCAACCAAAGTAAGTCCTGGGCCAGATAGATTCACAGCTGAATTCTACCAGAGTTAAAAAAAGAACTCTACCAATTTTATTGAAACTATTCCAAAAAATTGAGGAGTAGGAGCTCCTCCCTAACTCATTCTATGAAGCCAGTATCATCCTGATACCAAAACCTGGCAGGGACAGAACAAAAAACAAATCATCAGGGCAATATCCCTTATGAATACAGATGCAAATATCATCGACAAAATATTAGCTAATTGAATCCATCAGCACATCAAAAAGTTAACACACTGTGATCAAGTAGGTACTATTCCCGAGAGGTAAGGCTGATTCAATGTATGCAAATCAATAAATGTGATTCATCACATAAACATAATAAGAGACAAAAACCACATGATCATCTCAATAGATGCAGAAAAAGCATTCAATAATATCCAACATCCCTTCATGATAAAAACCCTTAACAGACTAGATTTTGAAGGAATATACCTCAAAACAATAAGAGCCATCTATGACAGACCCACAGCCAACATGATACTGAATGGGCAAAAGCTGGAAGTATTCCCCTTAAGAACTGGTAAAGGACAAGGATGTACATTCTCACCACACTTCTTCAACAGAGTACTTGAAGTCCTAGCCACAGCAATTATGCAAAAGAAAGAAATAAAAGATATCCAAATAGGAAAATAAGAAGTCAAACTATTTCTATTCACTGATGATATAATTCTATACTTAGAAAACTAGCTTTCACAAAAAGGCAACTAGAACTGACATACAATTTTAGGAAGGTTTCAGGACATGAAATCATTGTATAAAAATCAATAGCATTTCCATACATCAATAATGTCCAGGCTGAGAGTGAAATCAAGGACACAATCCCATTTACAATAGGCACAAAGAAAATTAAATACCTTGGAATACAGTTAACCAGAAAACCCTCTACAAAATTAATGGCAAAAACACTGCTGACAGAAATCAGAGATGACAGAAATAAATGGAAAAACATTCCATACTAATAGATTACAAGAATCAATATAGTTAAAATGGCCACACTGCCCAAAGCAATCAACAGTTTAATGGTATTCCTATCTCACCACCAACACCATTCTTCTCAGAATTAGAAAAAAAGATAGAAAATTCATACAGAGCCAAAAAAGCCTGAATAGTCAAAACAATCCCATGCAAAATGTACCACATGAACATATGCACCTACTCTGTACCCAGAAAAATTGAAAAAAATGTAAAAAGAATGAAACTAGAGGCATCACACTACTCAAACTATAAGGCCATTGTAACCAAAACAGTATGCTACTGGTACAGAAACAGACACATAGACCCATAGAACAGAATAGAAAACCCAGAAATAAATCCATGCACTTACAACCATCAGCTCTTCAACAAGGCAGACAAAAATAAGCAATGGAGAAAAGACTCTCTGTTTAGAAGCCCCTACTGAGGAAAGTTGTGGGCTTGAGTCTGGAGCCTAAGAACATTCAACCAAGCTAACTCTCAGGTCTCTCTATTCAATAAATGGTGCTGGGATAACTGGCTAGTCAGATACAAAAAAAAGTGAAACTTGACCCTTATTTTTCACCATATACAAAAATCAACTCAAAATCGATTACAGATTTAAATTTAAGACCTCAGCCTATAGAAATCCTAGAAGAAAACCTAGGAAATACTCTTCTCAGCCACAGCCTTGGCAGAGAATTTTTGGCTGAGTCCTCAAAGGTAATTGCAACAAAAACTAGAGTTGACAAGTGGGACCTCATTAAACAAAAGAGCTTCTGCACAGCAAAAGGAACTATCAATAGAGTAAGCAGAAAACCTACAGAATGGGAGAAAATACTCACAAGCTATGCTTCCAAACAAAGGTCTAATATCCAGAAAGTATAAAGAACTTAAACAAAGCAACAAGCAAAAAAACAAAACAAAAAAAATCCACTTAAAAATGGGCAAATAAGGCAATCCTAAGCAAAAAAGAACAAAGCTGGAGGCATCATATTACCCAACCTCAAACTATACTACAAGGCTACAGTAACCAAAACAGCATGATACTGGTACAAAAACAGACACATAAACCAATGGAACATAATGAGAGGCCAGAAATAGTGCTGCACACCTATAACCATCTGAACTTTCACAAAGAGGATACAAACAAGCAGTAGGGAAAGGACTTTCTATTCAATAAATGGTGCTGGGATAATGGGCAAGCCACATGCAAAAGACTGAAATGTAACCCCTTCTTTCTTTTCCATTTGTTTTATTTTATTTTATTTTGTTACTATTATACTTTAAGTTTTAGGGTACACGTGCACAACGTGCAGGTTTTGTTACACATGTATACATGTGCCATGTTGGTGTGCTGCACCCTACAAAAATCAGTTCAACATGGATTGGAGAATTAAATGTAAAACCGCAAACTATAAAAACCCCAGGAGATAACTTAGGAAATTCCATTCTCAAATAGGCCCTGGCTAGTATTTCATGGTGAAGACACCAAAAACATTGACCACAAAAACCAGAAATTGACAAATGAGACCTAAGTAAACTAAAGAGCTTCTGCAGAGCAGAATGAACTGTCAACAGAGTCAACAGACAACCCACAAAATGGGATAAAATATTTGCAAACTATGCACCCAACAAAGGTCTAATATCCAGAATCTACAAGGAACTTAAATGATCGAGCAAAAAACAATCTCTTTAAAAATTGGGCAAAGGACATGAACAAAGGCTTTTCAAAGACCTACATGCAGCCAAGAAGCATATGAAAAAATGCTCGACATCGCTAAGCACATCAAAACCACAACGAGATACCAACTCACAGCAGTCAGAATGGTTATTATTAAAAAGTCAAAAAATAACATGCTAGTGAGGTTTCAGAGAAGAGGGAACACTTATACGCTGCTGGTGGGAATGTAAATTAGTTCAGCCATTGTGGAAAGCAGCGTGGCAATTTCTCAAAGAAATTAAAAGAGAATTATCATTTAACCTAGCAATCTCATTATTGGGCACATATCCAAAGGAATATAAATCATTTTACCATAAAGACATATGCACACATATGTTCAACACAGTACTATTCTCAATAGCAAAGTTGCCATCAATGGTAAACTGTATAAAGAAAATGTGGTACACAGACACAATGGAATACTATGTAGTCATAAAAAGAATGAGATCATGTCCTTTGCAAGAAAGAGATAAAAGGAAAAGAGTCAAAATTAATGAAACATAAAGTAGACAAACATTAGAAAAAAATTTAAAAGCCAAAAATTGGTATTTTGAAATGATTACCAAAATTGATAAACCCCTAGTAGAATGATGAATTTTAAAAGAGAAACACACAAACTACCAACATTAAGAATAACAAGAGAAGCACTATTAGTCCTAAAGAAACTGAAGGGATAATAAGGGAATATGAAGAATAGCAATATGACAAAACACATTTGCCAAAACTGACACATCAAGATATACAAAATCTAAATAGGAATATATTTTAAAAGGAAATGAATGTAGAGCTGAAAACTTTCTACTAAGAAAATTCCAGGTTCATATGGCTCAACCAGGGAGTTTTCTAAAATATGTAAGAAACGGGTAATGCCAATTGTATCTAAACTCGTTCATAAAATAGAAGAAAGGATACCATTGCCCAACTTTCTTTATGAGGTCAGTATAACCCTGATACCAAAATCTGACACAGGATTTTGCATTGCAAGGATTTTGCATTACAAGAAAAGATGATTTCTCAAAAACATACACATACAATTTTATTTTTATTTTTTTGAGACGGACTCTGACTCTGTCACCCAGGCTGGAGTGCAGTCGTGCGATCTCGGCTCACTGCAAGCTCCACCTCCCGGGTTCATGCCATTCTCCTGCCTCAGTCTCCCAAATAGCTGAGACTACAGGCGCCCACCACCAAGCCCGGCTAATTTTTTGTATTTTCAGTAGAGACGGGGTTTCACCGTCTTAGCCAGGATGGTCTCGATCTCCTGACCTCATGATTCGCCCTCCTCGGCCTCCCAAAGTGGTGGGATTACAAGCGTGAGCCACCCTGCCCGGCTACACATAAAATTTTAAAACAAAGCATTAGCAATCCGAACATGACAATACATAAAAAGTTGTGACCAGATGGGATGTATCCCAAAAACGCATAGTTGGCTTAACATTTGAAAATCAATCAAGTTAATTGCTATATTCACTGAATGAAGGTGGAAAAATGATATGATCTTGCCAATAGAGGCAGAAAATCATCTGTTTTAACATCCATTCATGTCTGTAAAAAATTCTAAGTACATTGGAAATGAAAGGGAACCTCTCCAGTCCAATAAAGGGCAATTATGAAAAACCTATAGCAACCATTATAACATATGATAAAATCTTGAATGCATGCCCCCTTAAGATTAGGAAGAATGCAAGTATCCATGCTCTCACCACTTCTATTCAACATGTGCTAACCACTGAAATAAAGTTTTTTTTAAAGGTATTAATATTAGGAAGAAAAAAATAAAAATCTATTTATTCATAGAAGAAATGTATGTGTAGAGCATACTATGGTGTCTTTAAAGAACTAGAATTTACAAGGAAATTTATCAAGGGTTGCAGGATACAAGATCAACATTTAAAAACTAAATCTTGGTGAGAATGTGAAACAACTATTAACTCTGAAAAACGAAACAAAGTAAACTTAAATGTTATTATTCTTCTTCCTTTGATTTTTTTGTATAAAGTGTTAAGGATATAAAAATACTAGAAGTCATGCCATAAAAGTAAAAAAAGAAAAAAAAATTCTCTTTGAATTTTTATTTTTTGACTTTTCTTTTTTTTTCTTTTCTTTTTTTTTTTTTTTTTTGAGACGGAGTCTCGCTCTGTCGCCCAGGCTGGAGTGCAGTGGCGCGATCTCGGCTCACTGCAAGCTGCGCCTCCCAGGTTCACGCCATTCTCCTGCCTCAGCCTCCTGAGTAGCTGGGACTACAGGCGCCCGCCACCACGCCCAGGTAATTTTTTTTTTTGTATTTTTTATTACAGACGGGGTTTCACCGTGTTAGCCAGAATGGTCTCGATCTCCTGACCTCGTGATCTGCCCACCTCGGCCTCCCAAAGTGCTGGGATTATAGGCGTGAGCCACCGTGCCCAGCCATTCTTTGACTTTTTAATAATAGTCCTTCTGACTGGTGTGAGATGGTATCTCATTGTGGTTTTGATTTGCATTTCTCTAATGAATAGTCAAGCTGAGCATTTTTTTTTTCATATGCTTATTGGCCGTATACATGTTTTCTTTTGGGAAGTATCTTTTCATATAAAAAGTGGTCATTTTTTTGAGAAAAAAATGAATAAATTCAGAGACAAACTCTTGTTGGTTAAAAATAATATTGAATATATACATGTCAATGCATAAATAGAATACAATTTAATAAAATACCAGTAATACTTTTCATTGTAAAATTAATTCAAGATTATCTAGAAGAGAAAATCTATCCAAGGTGATAAAACTTTCCTAGAAGGATTAAAAAGTCTCCATTTTGAGGACTATTTTAGATCTTCAGATTAATTTTATCTTATCTATTAGAGTGAACATTAAGAGGTGAGTAAGATCCTGGATTATATGCACAATTATGAAAAAAAATCATGTTTTTAAAAGTTTTGGTGGCAAGACTAACCTACTCCAAGATGGGGTTGTTATTCCACTTAAGAACGTATCTAACCTCATTCATTTTGCTTCCTTTCTCTATTTTCCTCTGTGCAGCTCTCTTTATCATTGTTTTCTTTTTATGGTTATATGGATTTGTAGACTGTGCATTTATATGGACTGCCATGCGAGCTGTCACAGCCCAGACAGTGGAGTGTGGTTGGCTTGTGGGTAGTAAGAAGAATTTACCAACAACTGTATAGATTTGAAAAGGAAAGTTGTATTAGATGGAAAGAACGCTGCAGAGGAGTGCAGCAGGGCTCCTCAGCAAGAGAGGACTGAGGACGCCACTGCAGTAGATTTTTCCTTAGGGTATTTATGGACCTTAAAGTGGGAGCTTAAGGGTAATTTTTACCATATTAGCCACATAGGTCATGGTAAACAATTACATTTATAGACATTTTGGTGCCTTGATGTCAGCAGGGATTGCACAATGAGTTTAGAATACATGCATTCCAGAGATGCATAGAAATTCTGGTTACTCACAAATTTTTGGAAAAGAAATCTCATACCAGATGCCAGCTTTACATAATAGGGATGTCTAATTACTTCTGAATTCCTTGGATAAGGAGTTTTGCCTCTGGATGGTCTTGCTCTCCTCATGGACTAGTATCTCTCTGTCTCTTCACCATTTGTTTTTAAGTCATACGACTATCTTTCCATTTATGTCTCTGCTAGTCTTTCTTTTCCCTTTTCTCTTGATTTTTATTTTGATTATTGTAACTTTTTCTGTACTTCTCTCTCTCTCCTTTCTTCTTTCTTTCCTTTTTCTACTGTTACACTTTGTTTTTGAACTGTGAAATAAATTAAAACAAATGTATTTGGTGATAAATTATGTTTATTACCCCCAAATCTGTGTTCTTATTTCACTTGTAAAGTGACCCATAAACTCAGTGTTTTCTTTAAAGCAAAAGATTAAACTAATTTTTAAATAAAATTAATAAAATTAATTTGCATTTATTTTTTCTGACTCAAATAATTTTTAAAATTAATAATCTTTAATGGAAAAATGTTTTTCATCCTTGTTTTAGTTGAGCAGAGTGAAAGGGAACAAATTACAAATACCAAGAGCATGACACATCTTTTCATGCTATGTAGGAGATCACCTTCCCTTTAGCAATTGTTCTATCCTATACTAAGAAACTATTTTCTCTAAGAAGAATTATGCAGCAGTATTCATGAGCTTTTCAATATTTCCTTTGCTAATGTCCTTATCACCGTCAACATCCTACAACTGAGTAAGGTGCTTATCTTGCATGCAAAATTTAAAGGCGTGCCCAAAAACTCAATAGTAGAGATAAACATTTAAATCAATATTTTGAGAAATCAAAATTAATTTTAAAATTTGTGATAAAGTACCAAATTTTAAGCAAAGGCAGGATCAGCAACTGCCATGTTGAGCCATGTTGGAACCTGAGGCAACAGGAAAAATAAATAATATTGGTGAAGTCTTTTTTAAAAATTATACTTTAAGTTCTGGGATACATGCGTAGAATATGCAGGTTTGTTACATAGGTAAATATGTGCCATGGTGGTTTGCTGCACCCATCAACCTGTCACCTACATTAGGTATTTCTCCTAATGCTATCCTTCCCCTAGCCCCCCACCCTGTGACAGGCCCCCGTGTGGGATATTCCCCTCCCTGTGTCCCTGTGTTCTCACTGTTCAACTCCCACTTAAGAGTAAGAACATGTGGTGTTTGGTTTTCTGTTCCTGTGTTAGTTTGCTGAGAATGATGGTTTCTAGCTTCATCCATATCCCTGCAAATGACATGAACTCATCCTTTTTTATGGCTGCATAGTATTCCATAAAGTATATGTGACCCATTTTCTTTATCCAGTCTATGATTGATGGGCATTTGGGTTGGTTCAAAGTCTTTGCTATTGTGAACAGTGCCACAGTAAACATACATGTGCATGTGTCTTTATAGTAGAATGATATATAATTCTTTGGGTATATACCCAGTAATGGGATTGCTGGGTCAAATGGTATTTCTGGTTCTACATCCTTGAGGAATCGCTACACTGTCTTCTACAATGGTTGAACTAATTTACCCTCCCACCAACAGTGTAAAAGGGTTCCTATTTCTCCACATCCTCTCCAGCATCTGCTGTTTCCTGACCTTTTAATGATCACCATTCTAACTGGCATGAGATGGTATCTCATTGTGGTTTTGATTTGCATTTCTCTAATGACCAGTGATGATGAGCTTTTTTTTCATATGTTTGTTGGCTGCATAAATGTCTTCTTTTGAGAAGTGTCTGTTCATATCCTTTGTTCACTTTTTGATAGGGTTGTTTTTTTTCTTGTAAATTTGTTTAAGTTCCCTGTAGATGCTAGATATTAGCCCTTTGTCAGCTGGATAGATTGCAAAAATTTCCTCTCATTCTGTAGGTTGACTGTCCACTCTGATGAGAGGTTTTTTTTTGTTTGTTTGTTTGTTTGTTTGTTTTTTTGCTGTGCAGAAGCTCTTTAGTTTAATTAGATCTCATTTGTCAATTTTGGCTTTTGTTGCCATTGGTTTTGGTGTTTTAGTCATGAAGTCTTTGCCCATGCCTATGTCCTGAATGGTATTGCCTAGGTTTTCTTCTAGGGTTTTTATGGTTTTAGGTTTTCCATTTACTCCTTTAATCCATCTTGAGTTAATTTTGTATAAGGTGTAAGGAAGGGGTTCAGTTTCAGTTTTCTGCATATGTCTAGCCAGTTTTCACAACACCATTTATTAAATAGGGAATCCTTTTCCCATTGCTTGCTTTTGTCAGGCTTGTTAAAGACCAGATGGTTGTAGATGTGTGGCATTATTTCTAAGGCCTCTTTTCTGTTCCATTGGTCTATATATCTGTTTTGGTACCAGTACCATGCTGTTTTGGTTACTGCGGCCTTGTAGTATAGTTCGAAGTCAGGTAGTGTGATGCCTCTTTCTTTTTGCTTAGGATTGTCTTGGCTATACAGGCTCTTTTTTGGTTCTGTATGAAATTTAAAGTTGTTTTTTCTAATTCTGTGAAGAAAATCAATGGTAGCTTGATGGGGATAGCATTGAATCTGTAAATTACTTTGGGCAGTATGGCCATTTTCATGATATTGATTCTTCCTATCCATGAGCACAGAACGTTTTTCCATTTGTGTCCTCTCTTTTTCCTTGAGCAGTGGTTTGTAATTCTCCTTGAAGAGGTCCTTCATATCCCTTGTTAGTTGTATTCGTAGGTATTTCATTCTCTTTGTAGCAGTTGTGAATGGGAGTTCACTCATGATTTGGCTGTTTATCTATTAATGGTATATAGGAATGTTTGTAATTTTTGCACATTGATTTTGTATCCTGAGACTTTGCTGAAGTTGCTTATGAGCTTAAGGAGATTTTGGGCTAAGATGATGGGGTTTTCTAAATATACAATCATGTCATCTGCAAACTTTGACAATTTACCTCCCTCTCTTCCTATTTGAATACGCTTTATTTCTTTCTCTTCCCTGATTGCCCTGGCCAGAACTTCCAATGCTGTGTTGAATAAGAATGGTGAGAAAAGGCATCCTTGTCTTGTGCTGGTTTTCAAAGAGAATGCTTCCAGCTTTTGCCCATTCGGTATGATATTGGCTGTGGGTGTGTCATAAATAGCTCTTATTATTTTCAGATACGTTCCATCAATACCTAGTTTATTTAGAGTTTTTAGCATGAAGGGGTGAATTTTACTGAAGGCCTTTTCTGCATCTATTGAGATAATCATGTGATGTTTGTCATTGGTTCTGTTTATGTGATGGATTATGTTTACTGATTGGGTATGTTGAACCAGCCTTGCATTCCAGGGATGAAGCCAACTTGATCATGGTGGATAAGCTTTTTGATGTGCTGCTGGATTCGGTTTGCCAGTATTTTATTGAGGATTTTTGCATTGATGTTCATCAGGGATATTGGCCTGAAATTTTCTTTTTTATGTGTGTCTCTGCCAGGTTTTGGTATCAGGATGATGCTGGCCTCATAAAATGAGTTAGGGAGGAGTCCCTCTTTTTCTATTGTTTGTAATAGTTTCTGAAGGAATGGTACCAGCTCCTCTTTGTACCTCTGGTAGAATTTGGCTGTGAATCTGTCTGGTCCTGGACTTTTTTTTGGTTGGTAGGCTATTAATTACTGCCTCGATTTCAGAACTTGTTATTTGTCTATTCAGGGATTTGACTTCTTCCTGGTTCAGTCTTGGGAGGGTGTATGTGCCCAGGAATTTATCCATTTCTTGTAGATTTTCTAGTTTATTTGTGTAGAGGTGTTTGTAGTATTCTCTGATGGTAGTTTGTATTTCTATGGGATCAGTGGTGATACCCCTTTATCATTTTCTATTGTGTCTATTTGATTCTTCTTTCTTTTCTTCATTAGTCTGGTTAGTGGTCTATTTATTTTGTTAATGTTTTCAAAAAACCAGCTCCTGGATGCATTGATTTTTTGAAGGGTTTTTTGTGTCTCTATCTCCTTCAGTTCTGCTCTGATCTTAGTTATTTCTTGTCTTCTGCTAGCTTTTGAATTTGTCTGCTCTTACTTCTCTAGTTCTTTTAATTGTAATGTTAGGGTGTTGATTTTAGATCTTTGCTGCTTTAAGCTGTTGGCATTTAGTGCTATAAATTTTCCTGTAAACACTGCATTAGCTGTGTCCCAGAGATTCTCGTACATTGTGTCTTTGTTCTCATTGGTTTCAAAGAACTTATTTATTTCTGCCTAAATTTCGTTATTTACCCAGTAGTCATTCAGGAGCAGGTTGTTCAGTTTCCATGCAGTTGTGCAGTTTTGAGTGAGTTTCTTAATCCTGAGTTCTAATTTGATTGCACTGTGATCTGAGAGACTATTTGTTATGATTTCTGTTCTTTTGCATTTGCTGAGGAGTGTTTTACTTCCAATTATGTGGTCAATTTTATAATAAGTGTGATGTGGTGCTGAAAAGAATGTATATTCTGTTGATTTGGGGTGGAGAGTTTTGTAGATGTCTATTAGTTCTGCTTGGTCCAGAGCTGAGTTCAAGTCCTGAATGTCCTTGTTAATTTTCTGTCTCTTGATCTGTCTAATATTGACAGTGGGGTGTTAAAGTCTCCCACTATTATTGTGTGGGAATGTAAGTCTCTTTGTATATCTCTAAGGACTTGCTTTATGAATATGGGTGCTCCTGTATTAGGTGCATACATATTTGGGATAGTTAGCTTTTCTTGTTGCATTGATCCGTTTACCATTATGTAATGCCCTTTTTTGTCTTTTTTGATCTTTGTTGGTTTAAAGTCTGTTTTATCAGAGACTAGGATTGCAACCCCTGCTTTTTTTTGGCTTTCAATATGCTTGGTAAATCTTCCTCCATCCCTTCATTTTGAGCCTATGTGTGTCTTTGCACGTGAGATGGGTCTCCTGAATACAGCACACCAATGGGTCTTGAGTCTCTATCCAATTTACCAGTCTGTGTATTCTAACTGGGGACTTAACCCATTTACATTTAAGGTTAACATTGTTATGTGTGAATTTGATCCTGTCATTATGATGTTATCTGGTTATTTTGCCTGTTAGTTGATGCAGTTTTTTCATAGCTTCAATAGTCTTTACAATTTGGTATGTTTTTGCAGTGGCTGGTACCAGTTTTTCTTTCCATATTTGGTGCTTCCTTCTGGAGGTCTTGTAAGGCAGGCCTGGTGGTGACAAAAATCTGTTAGTATTTTCTTATCTGTAAAGGATTTTATTTCTCCTTCATCTATGAAACTTTGTTTGGCTGGATATTAAATTCTGGTTTGAAAATTCTTTTCTTTAAGAACGTTGAATATTGGCCCCCACTTCTTTCTGGCTTGTAGGGTTTCTGCAGAGAGATCCACTGTTAGTCTGATGGACTTCCCTTTGTGGGTAACTACTTGACCTTTCTTCCTGGCTGACCTTAACATTTTTTCCTTCATTTCAACCTTGGTGAATCTGACAATTATGTTTCTTGGGGTTGCTCTTCTCGAGGAGTATCTTTGTGGTGTTCTCTGTATTTCCTGAATTTGAATGCTGGCCTGTCTTGCTAGGTTGGGAAAGTTCTCCTGGATAATATCCTGAAGAGTGTTTTCCAACTTGGTTCCATTCTCCCCGTCACTTTCAGGTACACCAATCAAACGTAGGTTTGGTCTTTTCACATAGTCCCATATTTCTTGGAGGATTTGTTCATTCCTTTTCAATCTTTTTTCTCCAATCTTGTCTTCACGCTTTATTTCATTAAGTTGATCTTCAATCCCTGGTATCCTTTCATCCACTCAATTGATTTGGCTATTGATACTTGTGTATGCTTCATGAAGTTCTCGTGCTGTGTTTCTCAGCTCCATCAGGTTATTTATGTTCTTTTCTAAGGTGGTTATTTTAGTTATCAATTCCTCTAACCTTTTTCAAGGTTCTTAGCTTCCTTGTTTTGGGTTAGAACATGCTCCTTTAGCTCAGAGGAGTTTGTTACTACCCATCTTTGGAAGCCTACTTCTGTCAACTTGTCAAACTCATTCTCCATCCAGTTTTGCTCCCTTGCTGGCAAGGAGTTGTGATACTTTGGAGGAGAAGAGGTGTTCTGGTTTTTGGAATTTTCAGCCTTTTTGCTCTGGTTTTTCCTCATCTTCTTGGACCTATCTAACTTTGTTCTTTGATGTTGGTGACCTTCAGTTGGTGTTTTTGGGTGGACATCCTTTTTGTTGATGTTGATGCTATTTCTTTCTGTTTGTTAGTTTTCCTTCTAACAGTCAGGCCCTTCTGCTGCAGGTCTGCTGGAGTTTGCTGCGGGTCCACTCCAGACCCTGTTTACCTGGGTGTCATCGCAGATGCTGCAGAACAGCAAAGACTACTGCCTGTTCCTTCTTCTGGAAGCTTTGTCCCAGAGGGGCACCAGCCAGATGCCAGCTGGAGATCTCCCGTATGAGGTGTCTGTCAACCCCTGCTAGGAGGTGTCTCCCAGTCAGGAGGCACAGGCATCAGGGAGCCACTTGAGGAGGCAGTCTGTCCCTTAGCAGAGTTCAAGCGCTTTGCTGGGAGATCTGCTGCTCCCTTCAGAGATGGCAGGCAGGAACATTTAAGTCTGCTGAAGCTGTGCCCACAGCCGCCCTTCCCCCCAGGTGCTCTGTCCCAGGGAGATGGGATTTTTATCTATAAGCCCCTGACTGGGGACGCTGCCTTTCTTTCAGAGATACCCTGCCCAGAGAGGAGAAATCTAGAGAAGCAGTCTGGCTATAGCTGCTTTGCTGGGTTGCAGTGGGCTCTGCCCAGTTCAAACTTCCTGGTGGTTTTATTTACACTGTGAAGAGAAAAGTGCCTACTCAAGCCTCAGTAATGGCGGATGCCCCTACCCCAACCAAGCTCGAGTGTCCCAGGTCAACTTCAGAGTGCTGTGCTGGCAGCAAGAATTTCAAGCCAGTGGATCTTAGCTTGCTGGGCTCCATGGGGGTGGGATCCACTGAGATAGACCACTTGACTCCCTGGCTTCAGCCCCATTTCCAGGGGAGTGAATCGTTCTATCTTGCTGGCATTCCGGGTGCCACTGGGGTATGAAAAAAACTCCTGCTTCTACCTCAGTGTCTGCCCAAATGGCTGCCTAGTTTTGTGCTTGAAACCCAGGGCCCTGGTGGTGTAGGCACCCAAGGGAATCTCCTGGTCTGCAGGTTGCAAAAACCATGGGAAAAGCCTAGTATGTGGATCAGAATCCACCATTCCTCTTGGCACAGTCTCTCATGGCTTCCCTTGGCCGGGGAGGGAGTTCCCTGAACCCTTCCACTTCCCGGGTGAGGTGATGCCCCACCCTGCTTTGGCTCATCCTCCGTAGGCTGAACCCACTGTCTAACCAGTCCCAATGAGATGAGCCGGGTACCTCAGTTGGAAATGCAGAAATCACCCACCTTCTGCGTTGGTCTTGCTGGGAGCTGCAGACTGGAGTTGCTCTTATCTGGCCATCTTGCCAGCCACCCTCTAAAGTTTGGTGAAGCCTTTAATTGAAAAATTTGAGTCTAGTCATATATATATATATATATATATATATATATATATATATATATATATGTATATATGTAATTTTTGCCTCATCCTACCCCTGCTTGCTTTTGTGGTACAAAGCAATAATCTCTCATCATTTATTTAATATTTTTCTCCTTTTGAATTTTATTATAACATGTAAATTTACTTCTCTCAAACTTCTATTTACTTCTGGACTAAAAAGTATGCTTCTGAATAGGGTTCTGTCTTTTTCACAGTAGAATTTTTGTTTTAGAACTAGAAAGGAAGTCAGCTTGGCATTATGTAGCACATTTAAAAAAAATTAGTTCTTGCAAAGCTCTGGTATTTTTCTTTGCCTTATTTAGTTGATAACTAATATAGTTTGCCTAATAACTCCCTTTGGAAGCATTCAGTGGGTCACGGTAGTCTCAAATCTCAAAAGCACTTTCTCCATTACAATAGAGAGATTTTAAAATCTAAGGTTCCTCATGTGGCAATGAACATTTATGAACAATGGCAAAATTGGTTAGTCTTACTAGGAGAGGGAGGATGGCTACTTTGTGAGAGTAACATAAGATCCCTGAAGGCTTAAATTTCTGGAGCTCTTCATATATATACAAGAAACAAGAAGAAAGAGACAATAGAAAAAATATTGCAACTATTTTACTTGTTCACCTGATATCTTAGATTGCAGTTGAATAGACAGGTCAGAGTATTAGCAGGAATAGCCACAGGCTAAGGTCTAAATTCAGCAGTGGGGCACTGTGTATTCTCTCTCCTAATAGATCTCCATCTGCATTTAATGCTTGGGATTACTTTACTGGTGAACTAAACCTTTAATTCTATTATAATTTTCCATAGACTCAAGAGAATTGACATCTGGTGTTAAAAAACAAAAAATCATACAAATGACTGATATGTATCATTTTCCTTATTAAATATGGAAGAAAGGGGAGGAGGATGCAGAAATGGTTGGCTAAAAGCTCCAGAGAAAAACTTAACAGATTTTATGATTTTGCGGAAGGTAAGTCCTTGACCTCTTCATTTTCACATTCAGCAGGTATGAAAGTTTCTTCTGTTACATATGGTTCTATCATTCATTCATAGAATTTTGACAGAAAGCTGTAGAACTGAAAAAAAGCTTGATATACAAACTACTAGCTGTATTGGCAATTTTACATGAAGGCATTACTGACCCTCCACAGCTTCTTTCTATTAACCATTCAGATTTATGCAACTACCATTATCCCAGGGGTTACTCAAAGACATTGACAAAAGATCTAGCAGCATTCTGTCCATTCAATATAACTACTTTTAACATCTAAATATTTTCAGGATTAACTTTGGTTGAAGCATACTTGAATGAATTACATATTAATACCATCATCACCTCATTTGATCCTCATGTTACCCCCATCAGACCCAAAGAGTCAATACATTAAACTATTTGGTAGATGAAAACTCAGGCTTCTGAAAGCTAAGTGACTTTGCCAGAATCACACAGTAAGTTAATTGCTCAGTCAAGGCATGAGAGTCAGATAAATGATTCCCAAACCAGGGATCCTTTTATGTTATTACATTGCCTAAAAAACTGGCATTCAAATGGAATTTAGAGGGCATTTAATCTGGCCATCTCATTTGATTGATGAATAAATTTTCTGGCTAAGAATCTACACATTTGTTTAGTGCTTTATATACTCAGCATCAGCATCAGTATAAATTAAATTTTCTATTATGTTCTCAGCCTGATTCACACTTTTTAGAAAATATAAAACTTATTTCATACTCAAATAATTTACTAACCTTGTGTAGTTAGTAAATTATTACTACTAATATTACATCTCTATTTTTGAAATTTACATTCAATATATTTATTTCATTAGGATGCTACTAATGAAATTAACTTTTTTTTAAAAAAAAGGTGAATCATCTCATTTTTATCAGGTTCACTACATATATATGAAGTAGTTGATAAATGACTCAGCGTTGGCCAATTGCAAGAATACCACTTAAAAGTAAATGGTTATTACTGAAGAGTGAATTATATATTTTCATTTTGTAGACTTAACATTTAAAATGGAAGATGGTGGGAAGCACACACATTTCTCAGTCTTGTTGGAAAAGCAAATGACAACGAGATTTTCTGTTTCTTGTTTCGTTTTGTTTTTAGATGCATTAGCAAGACAGGTGTGGGTAGAATGGAGTAGCCATGAACATAGACAAAAAGTGGAGAGAGTGAAAACATATCAGAGTGAAAAAACATAGATAAATGTAAGGGAGAAGAAAGAAAAAAAAATAAAGAACAATATTTAAAGAGAACAAAATAAATAGAGCCAGAAAGAAACAGAGAAGGGGAAAAGAACAGGCAACAAATTAACAGGGAAAAGAAATCACAACCAGAAAAAAAAAGAAAATGAACTGCTTATTGATGAATAAAGAAAGAGAGAAAAAGAAAAATAAGGAAGGAGGCGGAGTAAGCACATAAGATCTCTAAACACTTGGCTCCAGCAGCCCATCTGACCACACTCAGACTCCAGGCATGCACACACAGAGTTGCCTGGAGATGTTTCTGTGTCTCCACCTTGCAAATGTGGTGAACCCTTCTCCTTCATCTTCCCTATTTCTGCAGTGTGTCATCATGGCCAGAAACTGATCAATCCACGAATTAGCTGAAGTGGCAAGAACGATTAGAGATACAGTGAGGAAGGTATGGTACAGAGTTTTGACAGAACTTTCTCTACTAATTTGGCTAAAATAGAACACTTTACTCTGATGACGTCATCATTTATGGATTTTTTTTTTTTGGTAGAAACTTATTTTATTTTGCTTAGAGGAATGCTCATCTGATTAGTCTCCGCGTCTATTCCAACCACAATTTAGAGAAGGTAGAGATAATTCAAAGATGGAAGTGGGACAGGGAAGAAAGTTGATCAAGATGTCAAGTAGTACAGAATCCCATCTGTTAAGAAACAGTGGAAAAATAACAGTGAGGCTGGGACACAGGCAGAATGGAAGAGCTTATAACCTTCAATTTCAAAGTCCTTCAGAAATCCTCAAATGTCTCAGGGATATTGTTAAATGCTAACACATCAAGAAATACCTCACTCTATGTTAGCATGTGGGATGCATAAAACATATAAGTAAGTACAGTTGACTCCAGAAAAACATGGGTTTGAACCACACGTGTCCACTTATATGTGGATTTTCTTCCACCTCTGCCACCCCTGAGACAGCAAAACGAACCCTTCCTTTTCCTTCTCCTCAGCCTACTCAGTGGGAAGACGACAACGATAAGAACTTTATGATGATTTGCTTCCACTTAATGAACAGTATTTATATCTTCCTTTCCTTATGATTTTGTTATATTTTATTTTCTGTAGCTTAATTTATTGTAGGAATATAGTATATAATACATAAAACAAAAATATTTGTTATTCAACTGTTTATGTTACCAGCAAAGCTTCTGATCAACAGTAATCGTTAGAAGCTAAGTTTTTAGGGAGTCAGGGTATGTGCTAATTTTTTATTGCACAGGGGATCTGCCCCCTTAACTCCTGCATTGTTCAATTGTCAACTGTAGAAGGGGCTCTTGATTTAAGGAAATATTTATATAGGCAGATAGTAGAATAAATGTTGAGACAAATGGCTGGCAAAGGGGGAAAAGGTTAAGACATGAGCAGAAAAGCTCATTTGAAGGATCTACAAAATATTTTTTCCTATTACAATTTTGCATGTGTTTGTATGTGTGTGCATACGTGTGTGTTCATGTGGTATTTGCATATGTATATATGATGATGTGTTAAAATATGACTTTCATAAATTCCACATGTGGCTGCCAGTAACACCCAGAAATTTCTGTATTAACCACTCTATTCCACTCTAGGGATACATAAAGCAGATAGTTTTAATGCTTCTTAAAATATGTACCCTAAGATGACACTATATAGATGTGCTGTCTGTCTTTTGGTGTTTGTTTGCTTGTTTGTTTGCTTGTTTGGTGTTTGTTTGCCTGATTTTCTATTTCTCTCTTCTTTCTTCCCTCATCCTCTATCTTCTTGTCTTTCTTTTCTAGGTACTGTTGCAGTAGCATTTTCTGTCAAAGATTTTCCCTTCCTTCCGTACCCCATGTGCTAGAGCACTTATTTATTTATTTATTTATTTATTTATTTATTTATTTTGAGACAGAGTCTCGCTCTGTCACCCAGGCTGGAGTGCAGTGGCATGATCTCGGCTCACTGAAAGCTCTGCCTCCCGGGTTCACACCATTCTCCTGCCTCAGCCTCCTGAGTAGCTGGGACTACAGGCAACCACCACCACTACGGCTAATTTGTTTGTATTTTTTTAGTAGAGACGGGGTTTCACCATGTTAGCCAAGATGGTCTCGATCTCCTGACCTCGTGATCCACCCGCCTTGGCCTCCCAAAGTGCTGGGATTACAGGCATAAGCCACCACGCCCGGCCGCTAGAGCACTTATTTAAAACAAATACACTGTTTAGTTAAATCATATTAAGAATATCCTTTTATATTACAGTTTGTATTTTGTTGTAGGCCAACAATTTTCAAACTTAAAAAATTTACTCCCCTAAGACATTTTTTGAATATATAACCTTAAATGTATGCATATTTATTTATAAAGTATATATAAACCATTGTACTATGTTATCCATTATAAATATTAAAAAGTGAATTTAGAAAAGAATGAAATGTAGTGATACATATAAAATGTTATACACTGACTAAATATAGATAAATTACTATGTTCTTTCTATACTTCAGTGGATTATCATGTGCACCTTCTGGAATGAGTATACCCCATGAAAACAATCTGAATTTTAAATATGAATTTTCTTCACAATGGACATTGTTTTTCTTTTTATTTAAACAAGGTTGAACTTACAAATCAAAGCAATACGGGAGTGATTTTAGACTAGCAATATTATCTTTAGTTATTCAGATGCACAAAAAGAACATTCATTCATTGAAGCTGTGATTAAAAAATTCTTTATCTATTTAAACTGAATAGTATACACTTGCATTATCCTACTACTTATCAAGCAGAGCAAAAAATAAAACTCACTCTAAACTTAAGTAATATAACTACAGGTTATTTCTCATCTTTGAAATGGAAGAATAACACTACAGTATCTTTATGGCTACTTACAGTGTATCTATGCTATGATCTTATGAGTTGAGATAATGATATTTTAAAGTTTTATACTTGCAAATTTTATATTGTAGCATATTTTTTGTTAAAGGGCTGTATCTTGGGTGTCATACTTGGAACAGAGAAAGAAATGTGTTGTGAGTTTATTAGTATTTGAAACTCAAAAAGTGCTAAATAAGCTGCATGCAGGTGTGGAGTGGCCACAGGAGTGGTGTTCAAACAGAGTTACAGCTGGAGCACTGTGCCTGTGTTAGGTCAAAAGTGGAGCTATAGCTTGGGATTCTCGTGAACAGTCTGGGAAAAGAGTATTCAAGGATATCAGACCAAAAGGAGTATAGTAAGAAGTAAATTAGATGATAAGACAGAGGGCAAGGAAGAGAGTTACCAGCTAGGAACTGGGAATTACACAGGAATTGAGGGAAGAAACTGTCTAGGAAAATTTGAGGGTGGTGTGGACAAGGAGAAAAAGGGTCTAATCCCAAGAAAAGAACTAACCCTCAAGCATAGTATATCCAAAAAACTCAAAGACCTTCAGATTTGAAGTTAGGTTGTGTCTCCATTAGGAAACTTACATGATTTAGGAATGTAGGAATCCCAACGTGGAGGATACCAGACTCCTAACATGGAAAATGATTCTGTAGAAGCACATGGTTGAATGGGAATAAAACTGTAGCTTTGAGAACCATATTTTGTTTTCATTTTTCATTTTAAATTTGGAGAAATTAAGGTAACAGAGTTTCCCCAGAATAGGAGAGGGATGGGAAGTGTTGTTTTTAGCTGAAGTACTATATGTGCCAAATATTTTTTAGCTGTAGAACTAGTATCTAGTTGGAAGACATAGCAATAACAATTAATTCTGCTTCTTAATGTACTGCAGGCCAGGGAAATGGAAAGCGAGAACAGAACAGTGATAAGAGAATTCATCCTCCTTCGTTTGACCCAGTTTCGAGATATTTAGCTCCTGGTCTTTGTGCTAGTTTTAA
Source organism: Homo sapiens (assembly GCF_000001405.40). Lineage (NCBI taxonomy): Eukaryota > Metazoa > Chordata > Mammalia > Primates > Hominidae > Homo > Homo sapiens. The sequence goes on from NW_021160017.1 coordinate 2,272,294, forward strand.
TATTCTACTTCTTCATCCTCCCTGGAAATTTTCTCATTATTTTCACCATAAGGTCAGACCCTGGGCTCACAGCCCCCCTCTATTTATTTCTGGGCAACTTGGCCTTCCTGGATGCATCCTACTCCTTCATTGTGGCTCCCAGGATGTTGGTGGACTTCCTCTCTGAGAAGAAGGTAATCTCCTACAGAGGCTGCATCACTCAGCTCTTTTTCTTGCACTTCCTTGGAGGAGGGGAGGGATTACTCCTTGTTGTGATGGCCTTTGACTGCTACATCACCATCTGCCTGCCTCTGCAGTATTCAACTGTCATGAACTCTAGAGCCTGCTATGCAATGATGTTGGCTCTGTGGCTTGGGGGTTTTGTCCACTCCATTATCCAGGTGGTCCTCATCATCCGCTTGCCTTTTTGTGGCCCAAACCAGCTGGACAACTTCTTCTGTGATGTCCGACAGGTCATCAAGCTGGCTTGCACCGACATGTTTGTGGTGGAGCTTCTGATGGTCTTCAATAGTGGCCTGATGACACTCATGTGCTTTCTGGGACTTCTGGCCTCCTATGCAGTCATTCTTTGTCGCATACGAGCGTCTTCTTCTGAGGCAAAAAACAAGGCCATGTCCACATGCACCACCCATATCATTGTTATATTCTTCATGTTTGGACCTGGCATCTTCATCTACACGTGCCCCTTCAGGGCTTTCCCAGCCGACAAGGTGGTTTCTCTCTTCCACACAGTGATTCTTCCTTTGTTGAATCCTGTCATTTATACCCTTCATAACCAGGAAGTGAAAGCTTCCATGAAAAAGGTGTTTAATAAACACATAGCCTGAAAAAGGGCAAAAAAAAAAAAAAGAATAAAAATAGACTGTAGAATTTTATCTGAAATTGATTTGTTTATTTCCAAGTACTGCAATCATTGAATACCTCCCATTTGTCAGGACTATTCTAGGAACTGAAGAAAGAAAGTATTGAGGCAGATAAGGTCTATCTGCTCTCCAAGAGATACAACCTAGTAAAAATAGACCGCCGTTAAGGTAGAAAATAAACAGCATAGTTTCAGGAAGAGATACTGCTCTGTAAAAACTAAAACGAAAAGTGAAATGATAAACTGTGACTCTGGATTGGGAGTAACCAATTTGTGTTTAATAATAAAAAAAGGCCTTGAAGAGCTGACATTTTGGATCATATCTGGATAAACTGAAGAAGCCAAACATGCAAACATTTGTGGCTATAGTATGGTAGACAGAGGGCACAGGCAGTGCAAAAACTCAAAGATGATGATGAACTTGGTATATTTGAAGAATACAATAAAGTCCATGTTACCAAGAATATAGTAATTTAATGTGAAAATGATTAAACTTAAAGTTAGAGATACTGGTAGTGTCAAAAACATATGGTCTACATAGTAAATGTGAGTTTTCATTTTATTACAATTACAATAAGAAGCCATTCTGTGGCTTTAAGCAAAAGAGTGATTCCTCTACTGAAGGGTCATAAATGACTTAGGGCTGTAAACTCAAGATTCTATGCAGATATCAAAGAGTTGAAAAATATCATTAAGAGGAAAATATTATATTTGTAAGTGCACTTTGAAAGATATTAAACTACCAATTTTTCTTACATACATAAGCAGAGAGTGGCAAAAGAAAGCTGGTTACTTTTACTGAAAAAGATCAAAAAAAATTTTACTTTTTTTTTCTGGAGCTTCATTATTAATCCTAGCAAATTTTTATGACTTTTAGCTGTATGTTTGACCTTATTGCCAATTGATTTCACTGTAAGTTTAATAATGACAGTCTTTTCATAGACCAATCAGGATTTTGTGTCAGAGAGAAGAAACCATTCCAGCTATTTTAAACAAAACATCATTTAATATCAAGAGAGGTGTTCACAAAATCACTGCAAAGTCTAGAAGAGCAGACTATAGGCTGGACACCCAGAGATGACTTACAGACTAACACAGGTGACCTATGTTGTCAGGGAAGTTGTTCTTGCTACAATCTTAGCCATCTGTTGTCTGAAAAACACTACAATTTTAGCCATGTGCCTGGGATCAAGTTGATGATCCGGAATCACTTTGGACCTAACAAATCGCCCCTAGTATAACAGAAGCCTATCCTACTGCCTCCCTTTAACTAGCTTACTACATATTCAAATCTCAAATGAGTGCATTAAATGGGCAGCATCCAAAACATCTGGAACCCCAAATGCAAGGGGGTCAAAAATTGAGTTTTAAAATATTTTATTTTTGATAAAAACCAAAGTTTATACTTAGGAATATAAATTTTGTACATGGTAAAAATATTCAGACTATAGAAAAAGTGGTCTGAATCTTCAAATAATCCTTCTCTATTATCACTCTGTTTATTGTGTTGCTTCCTGTTTTACTGAGAAAGGTAACAGGTGAGAATTCCTTAATCTCCCATCACTACCACTATACAACCTGCATCTGTGATTAAGTTTCCTTTAACTTCTCCTGAAACTGGGTGACCTGATCCTGCTCCTACAGAAGTAAACCCTTCCACCTGTGCACCAGATTCCATCCCGTCCTCTCTACTAAAGGCAATTACTCTGGTAACTCTCCTTTCTCTCACCTATAACATGAACTTTGTCCTCCCTATTGGGTGTAACCTTTAGCGTGTAACCGCATTTATTCCCTCCTAAATAAAACCTTCTTGCCACCTTTTCCCCTGTCCATGTCACTTCATGAGTCTTTGTGTCTCCACATGAATTTTAGGATTTTTAAAAATTTCTTTAAAAAATGATGTTGGGATTTTCACAGAGATTGTATTGAATCTATAGATTGCTTCAGGTAGTGTGGATATTTTAACAATATTAATTGTTCTATTCCATTAACACAGAAAGTCTTTCCGTTTATTTCCATCTGCTTTAATTTCTTTCATCAATGTTTTACAGTTTAAGTGTACAAGTCTTTCACCTCTTTGTTTAAGTTTACTCCTAAATATTTTATTTTTTGGTTCTAATGGAAATGAGATTAATTTCTTAATTTCCCTTTTAGATAGTTCTTTTTTATTGTATAGAATTGAAATGATTTGTTTCTTTTGTAGATTTTTAAATTTATAAATATTTAATTGACACATAAAGATCAAATATATTCAAGGTATATGAAATGATAATTTGATATACATATACATTGTATAATGATTACCACAATCAAATTAACACATTAATCACCATCCATGTTGTACATTAGTTACCAAGAATGTGTTTATCTTAGGGCTGAAAGTTTGTACCATTTGACCAACATATTCCCCTTTTCTCTGACTTCAAAACCCTCTGACAACCACTGTTCTACTCTCTCCTTCAATGAGCTTTTTTTTTTTTTTTTCAGATTCTACATGTAAGTGAGATCATATAGTGTCTGTCTTTCTGTGTCTGGCTTATTTCACCTACCGTAATGTCTATTAGGTTTATCTATGTTGCTGCAAAGGGCAAAACTTCCTTCTTTCTTTGGCTGGATGATAATCTATCACATATATGTACCACAATTTTTATACTCATTCATCAATTGATGTACACTTGGGTTGTTTCCATATTTTGGCTATAGTGAATGATGCTGCAGTGAACATAGCAGTATAGTTATCTTTTAGAGATACTTATTTCATTTCCTTTGGGTATATATCTAGAAGTGAGATTGCTGGAACATATGGAAGTTTTATTTTTTATTTTTTGAAGAACATCTATATTGTTTTCCATAATGCCTGTGCCAATTTACATTCCCATCAATACTGTGAAAGGGTTCCCTTTTCTCCACATCCTTACCAACACTTGTTATCATGTGTCTTCTCATAATGGCCATTACAGTAGGTATGAGGTGATGTTTCATTGCGGTTTTAATTTCATTTTCCCAATGGTTGATGATGTTGAGCACCTTTTCATATACATGTTGGCTATTTCTATGTCTGTTTTGGGAATATGTCTGTTAAAATCTTTGCCAATTGTAAAAATCAGGTTGTTTGTTGTTTTACTGTTGACTTGCGTACTTCCTAATATATTATGAGTATTAACCCCTTATCATACATATGGTTTACTAATATTTTCTCCCATTCGATAGGTTACCTTTTAATTTGGTCAATTGTTTCTTTTGTGGCGCAGTGGAATTTTTAGTTGATATAGTCCCACTTGTTTATTTTTTGTTGCCTGTGCTTTTGTGGTCATATCCAAAAAATGATTGCCAAGACTGTTGTCAAGGTGTTTTTTCCTTATGTTTTCTTCTGGTAGTTTTACAGTTTCAGGTTTTACATTTAAATCTTTAATTCATTTCCAGTTAGTTTTAGTATATGTCATAAGACAAGACTTCAGTTTCTTTCTTTTGCATGTGGATATTTAGCTTTTACAACAGCATTTATTAAATAGACTTTTCTTTTCCCATTGTGTATTATTGGCACCCTTGTCAAATCTTAGTTGGCCATATATGTGTGAATTTATTTTTGGGCTCCCTACTGTGTTCCATTGTTATGTGTCATGTTTTTATAGTACCATACTGTTTTAATTAATATGGCTTTGTAGTAGAGTTTGAAGCAGTGAGTGTGATGCTTCCAGCTTTGTTCCTTTTTCTCAAAATTACTTTGGCTATTTAGAGTCTTGTACAAGTACATACAAATTTGGTTTTGTTTTTTCCATTTCTATGATGAATGCCATCGGAATTTTAATAGGGACTTGATAGAATCTGTAGGTAATTTAATTATTTTAGATATTTTAACAATATTAATTTTTTAAAATTAATGTACATAGGTATATTTACTTTTAATTCTCTTTTTCCATTTATTTCATCAATGTATTATAGTTTTCAGTGTACAGAGATTAAACCTCCTGGTTGAATTTATTCCTAAGTATTTTGTTTTAATTTTTTATAGTTATAAATGGGATTGTTTTCTTGACTTCCTTTTCAGATAATTCATTGTTACTGTTCAGAGATACCACTAGTTTTTGTATGTTCATTTTTTAATCTGCAGCTTTATGAACTCACTTATTCTAGAAGGTTTTTTTGAGGACATCTTTAGGATTTTCTCGATATAAGATCACGTCATCTGCAAACAGACAATTTTACTTCTTCTTTTGCAATTTGGTTGCCTTTTATTTCTTACCTACTTACTCTAGCTAGTACTTTCAGTAATATATTGAGTAGACTCGGTGAGAGTGGGCATCCTTATTTTCTTTCTGATCTTAGAAGGAAAGCTTTCAATTTTTCACCATTGAATATGATGTTAGCTGTGCGATTGTAATATGTGGCATTTATCACTGTGGTAGGTTCCTTCTAAGCATAGTTTTTATGATGAAGGATGTTGAATTTTGTCAATGCCTTTTCTGCATCTATTGAGGTAACCATATGGTTTTTGCCTTTCATTCTGCCAATGTGGTATATCACATTTATTGATTTGCATATGTTCAAATATCACTGTGCTTGCTAACCATGAATTATCCTTTTAATGTGCTGCCAGATTTAATGTGTTAGTATTCTGGCATTTATGTTCATCAGAGACACTGGATTGAACTTTTCTTTTAGTATCCACCTGTGGCTTAGGTATCAGAGTAATGCAGGCCTTCTAAAATGAGTATGCCTATTCAATTTCAATAAATTGGTATTAGTTCTTTTTCAAATGTTTGGTAAAATTTAAAACAGAATCCATTAGGTCCTGGGCTTTTCTTTGCTGTGAGATTTTTGAAACTATTGATTCAATTTTATTCCTTATTGATCGGTTAAGATTTTTTATTTCCTCTTAATTTAATTTTGACAAATTGTGTCCAGAAATTTATCTATTTCTTCAAGGTTATTCAATTTGTTGTAGTATAGTTGTTAAAACTTACACAAATTAAGTTTTTTCTATAATTTTTGACATATTTATAATATCATGTATTCATTTCTACAGCATTAGAAAGAATAATTTCTTCACCCTAAATTGTTCTTCAACTTAAATTATTCCACTCTTCTTTCTTCTCCTTGTACTCTTGGTAACCACCAGTCTTTTACTGTCTCTATAGTTTTAATTTTTCTAGAATGTCATACAATTGGAGTCATACAGTATATAACCTTTCAAAACTGGCTTCTTTCAGCTAGCATTATGCATTTAAGATTCATTCATGCTTTTTTATGGCTTGGTAGTTAATGACCTTTTTATTGCTGAATAACATTCTATTGTAAATATAGCACAGTTTGTTTATTCATACACTCGTTGAAGAACATTGTGATTGTCTCCAATTTTTGGCTGTTAGGGAATGAAGTTGCTGTAAACATTCATGACTGGGTTTTTGTGTACACATGTTTCAAATCAGTTGGGTAAGTGCCTGGGAGTGTGATCATATGGTAAGGCTATGCTCAGCTTTGTAAGAAACTTCCAATTTGGTCAAGATGTCTGACTAGTTGCAGACAGATAGAACAGCTGTCACTGTGGGACTGGGATGACTGGCACAGTCCTAACAGGTCCTCAAGACACAAAAGCTGGGCAGAAGCTGGGTGGGGCTACCGTGCAATGGGACTCGTTCCTCACCCCCAAGAACTTTGGGGGAATGGGTGAGTTGAACTGGCAAGAAGCAACCTACTCTTGCCACAAGCCTCTGGAATCCCACCGGGAGGAGACCCCTCAACCACTACAGACACAGAGTTGGCAGGGGAAGTGCTTAGAGGAGTGGTAGGAGCAGCATGGTAGCCGATATGGAGCCCAGAGGGTTTGTTGCAGGAACATCTATAGCAGAGCACGGCCAGGGATACCCATCTCTCCAGACTTGACTTGCCTCCATAGGAGACTTTAGCCCTAGGGGAACTGTCAGATATGAATTCTGCAGGGCAGTCTTCCCATCAGATGGGGCAGATCCAACCTTAGTACCCCCTGGTCTGCTGACCTCTCCCAGTGCTCCAGCCTGGTTTTTTTCTGCTTGCAGTACAGACTCAGGTTCCCTGGGGACCCGCATCTTAGCTTCTGCAATGGCAGACCATATCTAATTGGTGGAGAGCTCCAGCGGGGTGGCCCCTAGGGCCATGCACCAACCTGCCTGCTCCCTCCCTCTGCTGCAGCTTCTTCCAAGCCCATGGCCAACCACCCCTGCCCCCTGACATCATTTGGCTGGCTTGTATGTGTGCAGGTGGATTTTCCCTTCCCTTCACCACCAGCTTGTGTGAGCACGTGTACGCTGCCCTGCCTCTGCTGCCAGCAGGAGTGCACTCTGCTCCCCTTCCTCGGCCATACTACCATTGCAGTCAGAGCTGTAGTGGGCACAGAGCCCACCAGTCCTGCCTCTGTCAGTGACCTGCCCCTGTGCCAACACTGCCACCAGAATGAAACTAGGCACTGAAAACAATGAACCCTCCCCTGCCCTGAGTAGCCACAGAGGGTGCACACACACCTGAACCCACCAGTGTCCTGCCCCCATACTAACACCACCATCAGTGCACCAATGCACACAGTCACCAATGGGGGCCTGCTGACCCCCCAAGTTATGCTGACTCTACCCCTGCTGTCAATGCCTTCATGGAGGCAGGCATCTCAGCACCTGCTAGCAGTCTGCTGCAGCTGACAAGCATGCATCCTGATTTAATACTGCTGGTTCTGGTGCTGCTGAGGGCACCTGTGAATGAGGACAGACCCCCCCCCCTACTGCCACCACACTACAAAACCCTTTGACTAGCACCATTCCATCAACGTGTAGTGACCAGCAGTCCAGGAGCACCTTAGCACCCCCATCACAGTCTGTTCATAATCTTGAGAAGTCAGAGAACAAAGTAGGGTAGGATATAAGTCCCCCAGAATTAAAACATGCAGCTGGGGAGATGACAGCTGAACCTTGGTCCCCAAAATCTTCCAGAAATAAAGCCAGTTGACTGAACCCACTTTATAACACAATCAAACTCTCAAAGTCATCTAATAAGATAAAAAAAAATCCAAAGGACAAGAACTTCAAAGATTGAAAAAACACTAGCCCACAAAAATGAGAAAAAAACAGTGCAAGAACTCTGACAAGTCAAAAAGCCAGCATGCTGTCTTTCCTCCGAATGCCTCCACCAGCTCTCCACCAAAAGTTTTTAACTGAACTGGGTTGGCTGAAGTGACACAAATAGAATTTGGAGTATGGATAGAAATGAAGAGCAACAAGGTACAGGAGTATGTTGAAACCCAATCCAAGGAAGCTAAGAATCACAATAAAACAATGCAGGAGCTGACAGACAAAATAGACAGTATAGAAAAGAACATAACTGACCTGATAGAACTGAAAAACACACTGCAAAAATTTCATGATGCAATCACAACTATTAACAGCAGAATAGACCAAGCAGAAGAAATGATATTAGTGCTTTAAGACTGGCATTCTGAAACAAGACAGGCAGACAAGAATAGAGAAAAAAGAATGAAAAGGAAGAAACAAAACCTCTGATAAATATGTTTATGTAAAGAGAACAAATCTATGATTCACTGGTGTCCCTGAAGGAGATGGGGAGAATGGCAGCAACTTGGAAAACATATTCCAGGATATCATTCATGAGAACTTCCTCAACCTAGCTAGAGAGGCTAACATTCAAATTCAGAAAATACAAAAACCCATTTAAGGTACTTCACAGGAAGATCACCTCCAGGACACATAATTATCAGATTTTCCAAGGTTGAAATGAAAGAAAAAAATGCAAAAGGCAGCCAGAGAGAAAGGTCAGGTCACCTACAAAGGGAAGCCCATAAGACTAAGCAGACCTCTCAACAAAAACTCTACAAACCAGAAGAGGTTGGGGGCCAATATTCAAGATTCTTAAAGAAAAGAAATTCCAAACTAGAATTTTACATCTAGCCAAACTATGCTTCATAAGTGAAGGAGAAATAAGATCCTTTTCAGACAAGCAAATGCTGAGGGAATTTGTTACTACCAGACTGACCTGCCTTACAAGAGCTCCTGAAGGAAGCACTAAATAAGAAAAGGAAATATCATTACCAACCACTTCAAAAATACACTGAAGTACATAGACCAATGACACTAGAAAGCAGCCACACAAACAAGTATGTATGGTAACCAACTAACAGCATGATGACAGGATCAAATCTACACATATCAATACTAACTTTGAATGTAAAAGGGGTAAATGCCCCAATTAAAAGGCACAGAGTGATAAGCTGGATAAAAAAGCAAGACCCAATGGTATGCTGTCTCAAGAGACATGCAGTGACACGCATAGGCTCACATGCAATGACACGCATAGGCTCACATGCAATGACACACATAGGCTCACATGCAATGACACCCATAGGCTCATATGCAATGACACCCATAGCCTCAAAATAAAGGGATGGAGGAAAATCTACTAAGTAAATAGAAAACATAAAAAATACAGAGATTGTAATCCTAATTTCAGACAAAACAGACTTTAAACCAACAAAGATAAAAAAAGACAAAAAAGGGTAATGACATAATGGCAAAGGGTTCAATTCAACAAGTAGTGCTAACTATCCTAAATATACGCGCACTTAACACAGGAGCACCCTGTTCAAACAAATTCTTAGAAACCTACAAAGAGACTTAGACTCACACACAATAATAATGAGAGACTTCAACACCCTACTGACAGTATTAGACACATCACTTAGGCAGAAAATTAGCAAAGATATTCAGGACCTTAACTCAGCACTGGATCAAATGGACCTGATAGATGTTTACAGAACTCTCCACCAAAAAGCAACAGAATATACATTCTTCTCATCACCCCATGGCACATATTCTGAAACTGTTTCATGGAGGAAACTGTTTCATGGAGAGGAAGCCACAGGGCTGACAGGAAACCAGACCTTAACCTCCCTCTGCACCTGCCCTGAGGCTGGCTCTTGTGCTCAGTGGGTCCTGAGCGTCCCCAGGTGGTCCTGTTCCCTCTTCAGGGAGGCTTGTTTCTGGGCTCATACTGACATTTTTTCTAATTGTGTTCCCCAAAATGGAGACAGAGTAAACCGTGAATCCATGCATCTCAGAGAACACAGAACAGCAGAATTACACCCACTGATCCCCCCACACACATTTAGGTAAATCTTATTAAAACTGCTGAAAAGGAAAGACAAATAGAAATATATGCAGGCAAGTGGAGGTGAGCAGAGGGGGCATTCCTTCCAAAAGAACAGAAAAGATGATGACAGCATTCTTCTGGTTAAAACCTTACAAGCAAGAGGAAAGTTGATGGTATCTGTAAAGTGTTGGATGAAAAGTCAACCCATTATTTTATAACGCATGGGTGTTCTCTAAAAAGTGAAAAAAAATTCTATTTCTCTTCGACAGCATGAGGGTTTCAGTGAATCCAGGCCCTCATGAGACCAGTGAAAATTATTTTGAAAAATTACAGGGTTTGGAAAGGCTCTAACAGCATAAAGCAAGTGAAGAAATATTTATTCAAGAAAATCTAGAAAACTCGGTAAGGCCAGTCATCATGCTTGATCTAAGATGATCTTCCTTCCTTCCACATCCCAGCTCAGCATGATGTAAACTCCACTGCCGACAGATGCAGCCAAGAAGACAGGACACCTTCTACCAACTCCCACCAGAGGAAACTCTTCCCCAGGGCCCAGTACGTTGGCCCTCTGACCCTGCACACAGCACATGATGCTGAGGTTCAGTGCTGAACAAGAGCTACCGAGAGCCAGAGACTCACTTCTTCCATGGAGCCCCACTCATGGATGGAGGCTCTGCCCCGGGTCCAGTGCCACTGGGAACACTGGGTCTCTGGTTTCTAGCTCTGTCCTATGGCAGAGGTTCCACCCCACAATAACCGAAGTGCTGAGAAGGTGGGAAGCTCCTGCCCGACCCTCCACTGAGAGCTCAGCTCCTAGGCTGAGGAATAAAACAGCTCAACTTTGTCTACACCTGCAGAACCTTGTTTAGGAGCTCTGTCCCAGGAGAGAGGGAGCAATGGAATTCAGTCATAAAATATGATCCTTAATTAGTCCTAAAAATCCTAACTTCAGTAACAACAGAATGTGGACAAATTGAAAGCCTGCCAGTGCTCTCAAAAACAGTGGATGGTGTGGTGGAAAGCCCTTGGAAGGAGATGGGTGGATGCATGGGAGATGCAGGCTACACTGCAGGGCTGCTGGCTTGCAGGAGAGAACCGAGAATGAGGGAGAGCTGGGGAAAGTTCTCTTGTGGTTGAAACAAATGCCAGACACTCTTCAATGGAGCCCATGTTTGTTTGGTTCAGTCTGTGAAGTAATTCAAACCTCAGTGCATGATTGAAAATAGTACAATTTTCCATCTGCAAGTGGCAGCCCTGGATGACTGGATGGTCTATAATTGGGACACGTATCTAGACTCAACGATGCCTGGATGGAAAATGTGCAGGCTGCTCCACTGATGTCAGCTGTTTCATCACAGTTTTATGATTTAATAAAAGTCATATTTTTTTTCATTTTTGCACATCAAATTTTTTTCTGTGATCCATATTCCTAAGCCCATCTTTGAGCTCACAGCCCTTTCCCAAGAAATCAACATCTAGACCTCCCTCTTCTCGGGGCTCCGAGGTGATTCCTGAGTGGCATCCTCTCCACCTCCCTGCTGGGAACAGAGCCAGTTGCAGGGCTCACGGGCAGCCTTAGAATGTCTGCTCCTCCGGGGTGTCCCCCTGCTTCTCACTGGAGAAGAGGCCTCTGGGGTGGTCACAGCCTCTTTCTCCACATGAACCCTGAGAGTTCTTCCTGAGCTACACAGCTGGGGGAAGACTGCCCTAAGAGACGTGAAAAGAGAGACATGGGAAGTGAGGTGTCTCAGCTCTTGTCTCCCCTGGGTGGTGTGGCCTGACCTCACCAGAGCCCCAGCCTAACCCACCTGACCTGTCCCCAGGAGCTGTACTGAGCGATGGCTGCACCTGCTCAGTTACCTGTGGGGCCCAGTGCCTCTGAGAGAGGTGCCCAGTGAGGGCTCTGCAGGGCTCCCCCCGAGCAGGAGCTGGGCTGAGGGAAATCAGCAGGAGGTAGGGGCTGCCCAGGCCCTGGGGAGGCAGGCAGCGTGGAGAGGACACAGAGGTGCACTGGGAGGGCGCAAGCCAGTCAGGACCACCCTCTCAGCTCTGAGAAATGAGCTATGCTCACGGAATGCTCACAGTCAAATCCTGCTGGGAGGGCCATCCTCTGCTCGGGTTCTCTACTGTCCAGGGCAGGAATGACTCATGTGGCCATTCAGAGGCGAGGCCCCACCAGGAAGCATCCACTGACTGCCCAAGGCTGTGCATCCCCATAGCGCTGAGCTCATGTCCCTGACCTGTGGCCTCTGGGCCCACACTCTGCTCAAAGTTCCCTCAGGGGGATGAAGGGAGAGGCGGGCCCTAGGGCAAGGGTGCCCAGGAGGAGAGAAGGAAAAGGCAAGCATGTCTTCATCAGTGGGGTTTTCTCCTGAGAGCAGAATTCATTTCCACACCTTCCAAGTTCCCTCTTGTGGCTGGCACTTCTCTGACCTGGAGCCCCAGATGGCGGGGCACTCAGAAGAGGGAGGGTCATTCCTGGGAGCAGATAAGGCCTCCTCCTTCTCCAGCTCCTGAATCAGAAACTGAGGCCTCCCCTGGACCTTCCCTGCTTATGACTGAGGCCTCCCACGTGCAAAGCACACCTTCATCTTGCACTGAAGTCTCAGGACCTGGAGAGCACCTCCACACGGGGGGCTGGATCCTCCTGGAACTGTAAGCCTTGCCCAGAAAGCCCTGAAGGGGAGCAGGGAGGCGGCAGCAGCACAGCCTTCTTCAGCTTCCAGGGGAAGGGATGAGGGAGGCGGGTGGACGAGCTTCCAACCGGCATGGCATGGGATGCTGAAAAACGCGATGGGCTCTGGCCTATTGGAGCCATCTCTCCTTGTCCTGTACCTGCCCCTTGGGGGTTTAGGGCAGAGGAAATGTTGGCTTGTTGTGTGAGTCAGATAAACAGGTGGGGAGAATGGGCCCGTATGCCCTGGTTTGCACAGGAAAGGTGTGCTCACCAGCAAGTGTTTCTTCTAGAAATTAAGTAATCCTGGGACAGGCTTTTCCTCCCCAGTTCCACAAGACTCCAAGATGTCAGAGTATCATAAACACGGAGAATAAGGACACAGGATTAACCCAACCCAACCTCTGATGGTTTCATGTCATGTGAAGGAATTTTTGGAGTGTTGATGCTGAAGAGTTTACAGAGTGTGGCTACATCAGTTGCCCTAAAGGATATAGAAAACATTTTACTGTGAGAGTAGAGAGGAGGAACACAAGTAGAAGTATCAAGAGTCGCTGCCAGCCAGCCCATAAATAGGTTTCCCATTTGTATGACAGCCAAGAAACCTGGTCTGAGACAGCTGGGGTCGCAAACAATGTCTTGGTGCAGTTATAAATTTCTTTATGCATGTATTTTTCTAACAATAATATTTTGGTGTCTTTCTTGGGTCAAGGTGGCAGGTCCTCTAGTCACATTGTTGGAGTGCATGGATGGATGGGTTAGTAAATTATTTCTCAAGATTAGTGGTAATCAAAAGGTGGAAGTGTTGGTGGTGGTCGTAGTTCAGAGATGCGGGTTGGGAGTGGGAAAAGTTACTGGGGAGTGGGTGGTTCTCTCCTCATGGTGTCAAAGGGTTGATGGATATGAGGCAGGTTCCTTTGTGTGCAGCAATGACCTCTGCTGATTTTCAGACTGACAGAGATGGTAGTAACCACTATCAGATTTCTCTGTATGAACAGAAATGTAGTGTAGCATGTTGTGGCAAACAGCAAGGAGTGCACTGGGATCCTGGACCAAATGGACAGCAAGCTCAGGGAGCACAATAGGATCCCTAGTATCCAAGGGACAAAAGCAAGGCATGTCCAATGCCTTATTGTTTCATTGAGAGACTTCCCAGGCCATGACTGGTGTTAAGGTTTAGGGCACAACTGTCTCCAGCTCGCCGGGGAAAAGCCAAAGCCACCTCCAGCTTTGAGCCCTGGGCCAGGCCGATGTGCTCTAGGATGGGGTACTAGGGTGTCCTTTCCAGGTGGGCATGTGCTCAAGCGGACTGACTGGCTATCAGCACTTGCCGTGTTTGGTTGAAGTGATGGCCTATTTGGAGGTTTCTGCCCTTTGGATTATAACAAATAAGTCCACAATACAAGCAGCCACATGGACAATGGTGAGACCAGCAGTCAACAGAGGGGTGCTTGGCTGCAGTTGGCAGGTGTTGATGTTGTTTTCATTTGTTTTTTGAGTTTGTTTTTGTGGAACTTTACGTTCAAATGGGCTCATATCAGATGAGCAGCCGACTGACCCACGGGACCCTCTATGGCTAATCATCCGAGGAGAGTTTTTACCCTCAATAGGTTCTCCAGCCCTTATGAGATAAGAGCAACATCAAACATTTGTAAAGATATGGAAATAATATTTTAAATAGCCTCAATAATGCAATGAATATAAGCCTATAAGTATCTCAAAGGGTGATGGAGAAGTCCTGAAAGCTGGGATGAGGGCGACTCAGCTAAGAGCCTTGAATTTAGGGAGAGTTAGTTCTACAGAAGTTGGAGATCCATTGGGTGTCCATTTACTGGAGTGGAATTTGAAGGAATTGTTTGAGGAGATCAGTATGTCTCTGAGTTAAACCAGCCCATAATTAAGTTCTATTGAATGGGGCCTAAGAGGCATGAAGTTCTATCAAGTGGCTTTTTCTGTATCCAGCATTGTGTGTTTTGAAAAGTAAAATGTGTGACTTGGTTACTGTCAGCAAAGTATGCAATTTTGAAGGACATTAGTGTCCCACCAAAGCCTCGTATTGTGAACTTATTATGTGCAGAGATATGAGCCACTTGATTTATATTTTCAGTGTCTGGGAGGCAAGAGACTTTCAGATTTCCTTACCCTGAAGACAGCTCTTAAACAACGTCTGAGCTGTTTATAATAAATGTGGAAATGGAGCCATTGGTTCGATAGGGCACCCAATGCTGGTGTGACTGCCTGATGTCTGCCTAATTTTGGGGATCCCCAGCCCCATCCTTTGTTGGGACATATGGCCAAGAGAGGGAGAGCAGAAGCATGCCCCAAGCCCCATCACTTGTCATCCTTGCAGCCCGCAAATGCCAGTCACTGTCCACTCAGTGAGTCCCAGCGTTCTTCCCATGTGGCCGAGAGGTGGCCTCCTCCAGCACTTGGGCACCTGCCAGGTGACTGTGGATATAGGAAGCCAGTCCTGCTGCAAGCAGAAATGACAGAGGGCCTGGGTGTTGCTTTATCCTGTCTTAAGAAGGCCTCTGGAGCCATGCTAAGTGTGTGGGGTGCTGTTCCCGTGACCCCAAACACAATAGTTAGCTGGATGTGTCCAAATAGTCCAGGTTGTAGACAGCAATGTTCAGTTGAATGATTTATAGTCCAAGGCCAAAGGGAGCAGTTACTTGCCTTGGAAACTGTCGAGCATCTTAAGGCCACATTGATCGCCCAGAGACACCAGGAGGCATGAGAAGGGTTTGCCAAGTTTCTTTAGTGAAGGAGTTTCTGAGGATACTAACAGAAGAGCCTGTTGATTTTAAATTAGGCACACTGTTGAGCCTTTTGTTGAAGGAAATTTCATTTAGGGGAGGTGATTTATAAGTAGCAACAACAGCGAGGCTAGTTGAAATTTATGGGTGAGGAATATGTTGCACCAGAACCCACAAGGAACAGCAGGATGTGGCATTTGTATGTCCTTAATGAAAGTATGGGGAGCATCTCCTCAGAGGAGGTGTCAGCAGTGCTGCGGAGGAAGGCAGATGCAGTGAGGAGCCAGCCTGCGAAGCTCTCATGTGGTGGCCACGCCGCTGAGGTGCCCGCGTATCCTGAGAAGGGTGTCCTTCCCAGGCAAAGACAATCTGCAGCTAAGGGGCTGCTGAGATGGGCGCTGAGTACAACCAATTAGACACATCTGGAAGAGCAAAGTCTGCACTGGCTGTTGGTTAAAGCCAGTCGTTTTGAGAACATTGGGAGTATGGGGCCCTAATGGGTGGGGCCACGGCATGAAAGTTGTGACAATCCAACATAGGGCAACCTTCATGCTATTGTCTTTTCTTCTTCACCGGTTTAAGAACAGGCAAGATTTGGCTGTGAAATAGAGAAGCAATGGGAAAAATCACCTCTTTATTGATTAGATTTGTATAATAGTTTTTAATCTTCGAAGGTCCATTTTCACTTCTGTTGGAATATATTAACTACATAAACTGGAACTCTTTGAGTTCCATTTTATCAAGCCAATGCACAAGTGCCAAACACCTCATTCCATTTTAATTTAATTCATTGTGTCAGAGTGTATGCCCAATATGAGATATTTTAGGACAAAGGACATTATGATCATGTGAAATCTAGGCAAGGCAACCGCTAAAGTGCGGTGTGTCTATTTCTTCTTCCAAATATATTGATTTCTATTTAATTATCTTAAGTTCACATGGGATACATGTTTAAATCTTGAAATCTAATGAATTTCCTAGGTATAGCTATTATTGGAGCCCTGGTATTGATCACAAAGTTTGCCAATTGGTGCAATCCCAAAAATGCTAAAGTGAAATTACAATGGACCAGTATACAGTTCCAAGGTCAGAGTCTGGAAGGCGTTTCACAGAACTAAAGACTTGAGCACCAGCCATGCTGCTTCCTTCTAGAGTTATCTGGGAGAATCTATCTCTTGCCTTTGCCAGCTCCTAGGGGCGCCTGCGTTCCCCGGCTGGTGGCTGTGTGACTGACCTCCGCTTCCATCCCACACCTCCCCAGTCTTGGACTCTGCTGCTCCTCTTTCTCCTCATCAGGACCCCAGGGCATATGGCATGCACAGGCCAGGGTGACTGTAACATCCAAGGGCCTCTATCACGTCAGCCCAGTCCCTTTGGCCCTGCAGGTGATGTCTTTGTAGAGCCCCAGGACTATGGCATGGGCATCTTTGGGGGGCATTCTTCTGCCTGCTGCAGGATCTAGATTCCCCTCTCTAGAACCTGTAGTGTAGAGGGGCACGAAGCCAACCAGCTTCATTTTCAATTTTTGTCTTAGAAGTTATTTCAGTACAGAATTTTGTATATAAACTTTGGATTTCTAATTGGTCAAATGATGGACATTTATTTAAATTTAGTTATATATATACATTATATATACCAAAGTGATATATAATTATATAAATAATTATAATACTGTTATAATTATATAAATAATTATAATACTGTCATAATTATATTAGAAATATACTATTATAATTTTATAATAATTACATTTATATAAAATATCTATATGTAGTTTCATGATTATTTAGTTCCTTTTCATTTTTGGAACCTATGCTAATATTTCCCCTCTATTGCTCCTCTTTCCCTAAGGTCTCGAGTTCCTCTGAGCCTGATGATGAGCCAGGACAGGAAGGGGCCTGGGCCTCCAGGCAGCAGCATCTCTCCAGGATGCCCCCAGCCACAGCATAAGGAATTCCTACACTTTTGTTATCTTAAACAAAACCTTCTAGAATTCCTTCTAACTCTAGGAGACTGAAATGTATTTTTCTTTCTTTCAACTGTCTCCTGTCTGTCCCTGACTCCCTCACTCCGTTTTTTAATGTTTGGCCATTTATCTCATGAGCTTACTAAAAATAAATTGTATACTCAGCAATGGATAACATAGAAGAAATGGATAAATTCCTAGATATGTACAATCTTCCAAGATTGAATCTTGAAAAAGTAGAAACAGAACTATTACTAGTAAAAGACTGAATCAGTAATCGAAAGCGAGCTTGGAACCACTTCCAAAAGTTTTTTTGTTTGTTTGTTTGTTTGTTTTTTGAGATGGAGTCTCGCTCTGTTGCCCAGGCTGGAGTGCATGGCATGATCTCTGCTCACTGCAAGCTCCACCTCTCAGGTTCACGCCATTCTCCTGCCTCAGCCTCCTGAGTAGCTGGGATGACAGGTGCCCACCACCATGCCCGGCTAATTTTTTGTATTTTTAGTAGAGATGGGGTTTCACCTTGTTAGCCAGGATGGTCTCGATCTCCAGACCTTGTGATCCACCCATCTCGACCTCCCAAAAGTTTTAAGATGAAGAAATACTTCTAAACTTATTTTATAAAGTCAGCATTGCCCTGAAATCAAAACCAGGCAAACACCAAATTAACATAAATTACAGACCACTCTTACTGAAACACAAAGATGCAAAAAGTACTCAACAAAATATTGGCAAATCAAACTGAACAGCACATTACAAGGATCATTTGCCATGATCCAGTGGAATGTCTCTCTGGAATATTGGGATGGTGCAACATCTAAACATCACTGAATCTGATGGACCACATTAACATAATGAAAGACTAAAATATTATCTCATCAGATGCATAAAAATCATTTGACAAATTTCAACATCTTTCCATGATAAAACCTCTTAACAAACTACAAATAAAGGGAAATTATCTGGACATATTGAAAGCCATATTTAAAAGCCCACAGTTAGCATCATAGCCAATGCTGAAACACTGAACAAGCTTCCACTTAGATGATGGAGAAGACAAGGATGCCCTATCTCACCAATTCTGTTCTACATAGTATTGTAAGTCCTAGTCAGAGAACTTAGGCAAGAAAAAGTTACTAAATCAGAAAGAGAGGAGTAAAGGTGTCACTGTTTACAGATGACATGTCTTGTATGTAGAAAATCCTAAAAATTGCCCCCCAAAATCAAAACAAAACCAAAACAAAACAGCTGTAAGTTGCTAATTTGTGTGTATAAAATTGGTGTTCTGCAAGATGAATAAGTTCTGGAGACTGGATGCACAGAATCCTGAGTCTAGATAACTTGACTGCACAGTACACTTAAAAATTTGCTGAGAGAGTGTATCTCATGGTAGGTATTCTTATCACAATACAAACTTTAAAAGTTGTATATGAGGACATTGGTACTGCTTTCATATTATTTATTATGAATGAATTTCCAAAAAAAGTGTTATCAGTAATGAGTTGAGGTAATGAGTAATTCATATACAGGAATAGCCTCAAGAGAACAAGAGGAAGAGATGCATTTAGAGTAGAAATCCTCACACTTTAGATGCATTTTAAATGTCTGGATAATGGAGTACTTAAAAAGGGATGTGTCTGTCTCTTCCCCCAACTATTGAGAATTAGTTCCTGAGTAAATCAAAGAACATTATTTTATCCAGCCCCGGTAGGTCCTGAGGTCCTTGTCTCTGGCATCACAGAATGGGTTAGAGTGCAGGGCTGGCGTAGAGCTCCTGAGACAGTAATGTGATGTTGTCCAAAGCTCCATGGGTGAGGAGAGCCACACCACAGGTGGGACCCAAGGAAAGAGCCCAGGAGCTGTGCTGGGCTCAGCACTGAGGAAGCAAGACCTGGGCCTGTGGATAGGGGGAGCTGCGCTAGAAACAAGGAAGGGCAGGAGGGAAGAGGGGTTGGAAGGAAAGTAGCCCTGGGATCAGAATGGCAGGGCTGTCCTTTGCCTATTCCCATTTGTCTCGCAGACCAAGTGTCCTCCAACCACCAAATGTCAAGTGACATGCGTGCCACATGAGTTTAGGAGGAAAGGCACTCTACACAACGCTCAACTACCAGGAGGTAGGGGCCATATCTTAACTTTTCTACTTATAAAAAGAGTCAGCTAGGCTGGGCACGGTGGCTCATGCCTATAATCCCAGCACTTTGGGAGGCCGAGGCAGACAGATCACATGAGGTCAGGAGTTTGAGACCAGCCTGGCTAAGTGACAAAACCCTGTCTCTACTAAAATTACAAAAATTAGTCAGGCATGCTGCTGGGCACCTGTAATCCCAGCTACTAGGGAGGCTGAGGCAGGAGAATCGCTTCAACCCGGGAGAAAGAGGTTGTAGTGAGCCGAGATTGCACCACCGCACTCCAGCCTGGGCGACAGAGCGAGACTCTGTCTCTAAATAAATAAATAAATAAATAGTCATCCACCCCGTGTAATTTTTTGTTTTAGCTCTGGGGTAAAATCCACCCCTGGGCTGTGGAAGCATCCAGTCACTTCTCAGACTGGGACGGTGTCTCTGGGGAAGACAAAGGTGGGTTCAGAAGAAGATGAGATTGCTGGGCCTTCTCCTGTGCCTGCTGACACCTCCCGAAGGTGAGCATCTCAGAGGCCAGACACGGGCTGTGGCAATAACTGTGATGTCCCATGACTGACAGGGACTGACTGTTCTTGTTCCCAGCTGTCCTGTCCCAGGTGCAGCAGCAGGAGTGAGGCTCAAGACTGGAGAAGCCGTGGCTGCCCCCTTCCTCACCTGGCACGACTCCGGATTCTCCATCACAGCCAGTGGTTACTGCGGAGGCCCGGTCCACCGGCCCCTAGACAAGGGGTTGCACTGGCTGAGGAGCATCGATTATAAGAGAAACACGAACAACCGCCGCCTCTCAAGAGCCTCATCTCCATCCAGAGACTCATCCAACAAGCAGCGCTCCCTGCGGCGGAGCTCCAGGAACCCACAGGACAGCCAGGTATTCCTGTGGGAGACACAGTGAGGGGATGCCGTGTGAACCCAGACAGGACCCTCCCTCCTGGGGGCCTGAGATGTGCAGGATGCACTCGACACTTGGGTCCACTGAAGAGCAGGCTCAGATGGGAAGTGGCGAGGACTTCTCCTTAGAATCTGAGGCTTTCTTTTCTCTAATTCTCAGATGTCCTCAGGGACATTTCATTCTCTTCTCTGTGGCTCTGATTTCCCCCTTTCTCACTGCAGGCAAAAAAGGATGAAATAACTTTCTCCACTGGCAGATAGGCTGTTTCAATTTCATAGAAACCTTCCCTTCATCCGGCTCCCACGTGGTCTGCTTTTTCCTTCATCTGCTTCCATGTGGTCTGCTTTCCTTCCTGAAAAACAGGTCATGTTCAGGATTCACACTTGCTCGAGAAATTCTTCCCTCAAACTCCAGTTCAGACCAGGCACACCCTCTCCCACATCTGTCCCCACGTGGACCCTTCCATGAGATGACCCCACCTGTCCCCAGGTGGACCCTTCCCTCAGACGAGCACACCTGTCCCCAGGTGGACCCTTCCCTCAAACAAGCACACCTGTCCCCACGTGGACCCTTCTCTGAGAGGAGCACACCTGTCCCCACGTGGATCCTTCCTTCAGATGAGCACATCTGTCCCCACGTGCACCCTTCCCTGAGACAAGGACACCTGTCCCCACGTGGATCCTTCCTTCAGATGAGCCCCCCTGTCCCCACGTGGACCCTTCCCTCAAATGAGTACACCTGTCCCCACGTAGACCCTTCTCTGAGAGAAGCACACATGTCCCCAAGTGGACCCTTCCCTGAGTCAAGCACACTTGTCCCCAGGTGGAACCTTCCTCCACACGAGCACACCTGTCCCCACGTGGACCCTTCCCTGAGACAAGCACACCTGTCCCCACGTGGACATTTCCCTCAGAGGGGCACACCTGTCCCCACGTGGACCCTTCCCTGAGACAAGAACACCTGTCCCCACATGGACCCTTCCCTTGGAGGAGCACACCTGTCCCCACGTGGACCCTTCCTTCAGACAAGCACACCTGTCTCCATGTGGACTCTTTGCTCAGAGGAGCACAGGTGTACCCATGTGGACCCTTCCCTGAGACAAACACACCTGTCCCCACGTGGCCCCTTCCCTGAGATGAGCTCATCTGTCCTCTTCCCCAAGGCGAGCACACCTGTCCCCACGTGGACCTTTCCCTGAGACAAGCACACCTGTCCCCACATGGACCCTTCCCTCAGAGGAGCATAACTGTCCCCATGTGGACCCTTCCTTCAGATAAACTCACCTGTCACCACGTGGACCCTTCCCTCAGAGGAGCACACCAGTCCCCATGTGGACCCATCCTTCAGACAAGCTCACCTGTCCCCATGAACCCTTCCCTGAGACAAGCACACCTGTCCCTACATGGACCCTTCTCTCGGATGAGCACACCTGTCCCCATGTGGGCCCTTCCCTGAGACTACCACACCTGTCCCCACGTGGACCCTTCCTTGAGACAAGCACACCTGTCCCCACTTCGATGCTTCTCTCAGATAAGCACAACTCGCCCCACCTGGACCCCTCCCTGAGACGAACTCACCTGTCGCTACGTGGATTCTTGCCTTAGACAAGCACCTCTGTCCCCACGTGGACCCTTCCCTGAGGGAATCACACCTGTCCCCAGGTGGACCCTTACCTCAGACAAGCATGCCTGTCCCCAGGTCAATCCTTCCCTCAAAAGAGCACACCTGTCCACGTGAGGACCCTTCCTTGAGACAAGCACTCCTGTCCCCACATGGACCCTTCCCTCAGACGAGCTCACCTGTCCCCATGTGGACCCTTCCCTGAGACAAGCACAGCTGTCTCCATGTGGAATCTTCCTTCAGACAAGCACACCTGTCCCCACATGGACCCTTCCCTCAGATGAGCTCACCTGTCCCCATGTGGACCCTTCCCTGAGACAAGCACGCCTGTCCCCATGTAGACCCTTCCTTCAGAGGAGCTCACCTGTGCTCAGACACCACCAGGGTCCTCAGACACTAATAGGGTGGCTCAGACACTAATAGGGTGGCTCAGACTCTAAGAGGGGGGCTCAGAAACCACCAGAAGGGCTCAGACACCACCAGAGGGCGCCCAGCAACCACGGAATGCTCAGAACCTACCGGGGGCGCTCAGGACCTACAGGGGTCGCTCAAGACCTGGCTCAGGAGCAGATGCAAAGTGAAGCTGAGGTTTCCGTTTTCTCTTTGGGGATTCCTTGTCCTGCCCTGCAAAAGCCTTGCTCAGCAGCTATTATTGTTTCTTCCCTGGAATTCCCCAGTTCCTCTCATCTGAAAAGGACTTAGAGCAGAAATCCCATTTAACTTTTCACACTTCATTTTCAGTCTCCTTCTAGTGATATTTCAGTAAAATATTAATAAGAAATAATGAAGCCACAGTCCAAATGTTAGCACCATGCAAAGATTCGTGTGTCTTCTCCACTCTGTCAGTTACGCCTTAGGAAACTCTTCTCTCAATCCACTGCTCAGTGTACACTATGGCATTGTGTTTTCTTCTTTGCTTTCATCTGCTTTGCAGGGAAATGAAGCACCATTTATTGGGACGTGTCCTCCATTTCTGATGGGCTCCCCGTGGTCTCCACCTCAGATGGTTTTGCCACCATCTTTAATCCGTTAATGCCTTCAATCGCCCTCACCATCCATGTAATGAAGCAATGAATGCCTTTACTTCATCTACTTGTGTCTCCATCAGTCAGTTCACTTCTCTCCATTCTCACAAAGGACAGCCACCCACTACTTCAGAGCCTCCTGCAGCCTTGGGTGGTAAACCTATTAAAAAGCCCCTGCTGTTTAGAAAGGGTGTGTATTGGAAACTTAATCCCAAATTCCATAGTGTCCAGAGGTGAGAATGTTAAGAAATGATTAGGCCGAGAGGGCTCTGCCCTCATGAAGCAATTAATGCCATTATCATCAGAGTAGGTTACTTATTGTGGTAGCAGATTAGTTACTACAGGCCTGGGTTCCTCATTAAAAAATGAGTTTAGCCCCCTTTCCATCCTTTGCACATGCTCTCCTGCCTTCCACATGGGCATCACAGCAAGAAGGCTCTTGCCAGATGCTAGCACCTTGACATTGACTTCCCAGCCTCTAGAGCTGGGAGAAAATAAATTTCTTTTCCTTACACATTAGCCAGTGTGTGGTATTCACTCATTGCACCACAAAGTGGACTAAGACAAAAAATCAGTATCAAGAGGTGGGGCTGTTGTGATAACAAATATCCCAAAATGTAGAAGTGGAAGTAGTAATGCACAGAGACTGGAATAATTTGGAGGATCAGGTTATAAAAAGTCTAGATTGCCATGACTAGAACACTAGGGGTATTCTTTTGAGGACTCAGAAGAAGACAGCTGTGAGGAAATTCTGAAACTTCTTAGAGATTATTTAGGTGATGATCATTAGAATGTTGGTAGAACCGTGGACAATAAAGGCCGTTCTGATGAGGTCTCAGGAGAAAAAGAAGAATAGCTCATCGGAAAATGGAGCAAAGGCCATCCTTCCCTTAAAGTGGCAAGGAATGTGGCTGAATTGTGCTCATCCCTAGGTCTTTCTGTAAAGTGGAAGTTCAGAGCCATGAGTGAGGATATATGGTGGGAGAAATTTGAAGCAAATCTATGGCCTCACTTCTAGCAGGCACTTTAGGACTCTGTTCCCTGTGTCCAGGCACAGCACTCCTTGGCTGCCCATGATGTGGCTCAGGAGGACCTAGGTGTGGCTCAAGCCATCACTTTAATGGTACAAGTCATCAACTTCCATGGCATCCATGTATTGCTAATTCTGCAGGTGTGCAGAATACCACGAGGGCATGGCTTTCTCCACCTAGATTTCAAAGAATGCTGTGGACAGCCTAAGGTCTCGGGCAGTGAGTTGTTGCAGAGACAGAGTCAC
The DNA here is from genome assembly GCF_000001405.40 of Homo sapiens. Lineage (NCBI taxonomy): Eukaryota > Metazoa > Chordata > Mammalia > Primates > Hominidae > Homo > Homo sapiens. Next base: position 2,296,626 of record NW_021160017.1, read on the forward strand.
CACACTGGACCCTTAGCACAATGCCAAGCAGAAATATGGGTTTGGAGGCACCACAAAGAGTTTCCAGTCAGCCTAGGAGAGCTAGAGGCCTGAGAGTCCCACCTGTGAGAGGGGCTGAGTGGACTGAACCCAGAAAATCCATAGAGGCAAGACTGCTGGAGGCCTTGGGGGCCCTTCCCCCTCCCCAGTGTGCACAAGATGCCGTCAAAGAGGATGATTTTCCAGCTATAAGACTTTTTTTTATTATACTTTAAGTTTTAGGGTGCATGTGCACAATGTGCAGGTTAGTTACATATGTATACATGTGCCATGCTGGTGTGTGCACCCATTAACTCGTCATTTAGCATTAGGTATATCTCCTAAAGCTATCCCTCCCCCCTCACCCCACCCCACAACAGTCCCCCGAGTGTGATGTTCCCTTTCCTGTGTCCATGTGTTCTCATTGTTCAGTTCCCACCTATGAGTGAGAATATGCGGTGTTTGGTTTTTTGTTCTTGCGATAGTTTACTGAGAATGATGATTTCCAATTTCATCCATGTCCCTACAAAGGACATGAACTCATCATTTTTTATGGCTGCATAGTATTCCATGGTGTATATGTGCCACATTTTCTTAATCCAGTCTATCGTTGTTGGACATTTGGATTGGTTCCAAGTCTTTGCTATTGTGAATAGTGCTGCGATAAACATATGTGTGCATGTGTCTTTATAGCAGCATGATTTATAGTCCTTTGGGTATATACCCAGTAATGGGATGGCTGGGTCAAATGGTATTTCTAGTTCTAGATCCCTGAGGAATCACCACAAGGACTTCTACAATGGTTGAACTAGTTCAAAACCCAACAAGGGAAAAAAACATTAAGTCTCAGCTATAAGACTTAATGTTTTTTTCCTCTGTTGGGTTTTGAACTAGGCACTGCTTTCTCCTTCCCTGTCTCTGAGCTTTGGAATGGGAATTTCTATCCCATACCTGCCCCATTGTTCACTGTATTTGAAAGTAGATAACTTGTTTTGACTTTATAGGCTCACAGATGGAAAAAATTTATATCAGGCTAAATTGTGCCTTGAGTCACACTCACATCTGATTTAGATGAGACTTTAGACTTCAGACTTTTGCACTGATGCTGGATAAGACTTTGGAGACAATTGGGATGGAATGAATGTAGTTTGCATTGTGATAAGGACATAAATTTTGATATTAGGAATGGAATGCTATGACTTAAATGTGTCTCCCAAAGTTTAGGATTTGGAAAAAATCTTTAATGCAACAGTGTTGAGAGGTGGGACCTTTATTATGTGATTAGGTCATGAAGGCTCTGTCCTCATGAATGGATTAATGTCACTGTCATTGGAGTGGGTTAGTTATTACAGGAGTGAATTTCTAATAAAAGATAGTCTCCTTTCTCTCGTGGACAAATGATCTCTTGCTCACCCACCTCTGCTGTGAGACGACACAGTGAGAAGGCCCTTGTGAGATGTCAGTGCCTTGATATTAGACTTCTCTGACTCAAGCACCATAAAGTATAAATTCCTTTTCTTTAGAAATTGCCCAGTCTCTGGTATTCGGTTATAGTAACACAAAGACAGACTGAGACTAAGCCATTGTAACATGTGTGAGGTGATATCTCATCGTGGTTTTAATTTGCATTTCCCTGATGATTAGTGATGTTGAGCATTTGACTCTTTATGTTAAGTGAAATAAGCCAGGTATAAAAAATTACTCCATAATCTCACTTACACATGCAATCTAAAAATGTTGAACTCAGAGAAGTAGAGAGAAGAATGGTGCCAACCAGGGGCTGGTGTCAGGGGCATGTGAAAGCTGAGGCATTGGTGAAAGGGTACAGAGTTTTGGTTTGACAGAAGGAATTAGTTTGAAGATCTATTGCACAGCAGGGTGACTTCCATGGTACTAATGTACTATATACTTGAAAACTGATAATAGAGTAGATTTTACACGTTTACACCATAAAAAATAAGTATGTGAGGTGATGGGCATGTTTATTTACTTGATTTAATAATTTCACAATGCCTGCATATGTCAAAACATCACGTCATACCACCATAATATATGAAATAGAATATGTTTTTCTAGTAAGTGTGATGCCTCTGTTTCTCTTTTTTTTTTGGAACAAAACAATAAACACCTTTATTACATGGGTGAAGACAAAACAAGGATTTATTTGCCCTTCCGGGCCTTGATTTTCCTAAGATAGAACTCCAACTCTTTGCCCTCTAGCACATACCCATCTGCTCAGCCACACTGTCCTGGCCTTGAAGCAATGCATGCAAGAAGCTTGCCCTGCTGGAACTGCTCCCCCAGGAGACTGCTGATTTTGGCATTCTTTTTCCTTTCATGATATTTCTTCTGAATTTTTTTAGATCGCTTTTTGTTCAAAATCTCTTCTTCCTCAGGAGTCAGCTTGGCTCCCTTCTTGCAGCCCAGGGGCGGCGCATAGTGGGACTCGTACCACTGTCGGTACAGTGTGCTGTCAATGAGCACAATGCAATTCTTCACCAGGGTCTTGGGACGAACCAGCTCGTTATTAGATGCATTGTAGACAACATCGATGATCGTTGTTTTATGAGCACAACATTCTGAGCCCCAGGAGAAATTCCTCACGTCCAGCCTCAGGGCACAGTATTTCTTGTTACCTCCCCACACACGGACTGTGTGGATGCGGCGGGGGCCAGTCTTGGTGTTGGCAGCTGGGTGCCCCAACTCATACTTCCGCTTCTTGTGGTAGGGCTTTCTCTTGTCCCTGGTTTTGTGGCACTTGTGCCAGTTGTCCCAAGAGATGTCCATCGCTCGGCACTGGCTGGAAAGAGGGCCTCTGTTTCTTTAACAACAGTTTCTGGAGATTGTTTTTCCCTTGAACAATGTTTCCTCTCTGCTGTCTTTACACAGTTTTCCTTTCCCAAGGGTTGATTTAAGACAGTGACAATTTATCTATTCTGTATCTGGTAGTTTCATGGAGAAATTTAATGAATAGCCACTTGAAACCATGTGGTGCTACTGAGACACCATCTGAAGGAGACAGATTTTCTGAGTGTAGGCCACAACCATATGTTAACACATTTTAAATTCAAAATCAGGGTTTAAATTTTGATATTTTACAATGGCTTCTTTGATTCCTTCCCAAGATCTAACCATTGAGCGTGTGAAAAGGGCTGGGACTCAGTTTACTGCTGTGCTTGGCATGATGATGTCCTGCAGAAATTCCTTTGGCTTTCTACATGTAGCTCAGCCTCCATATCAGCCAGCTCGCTTGGAGGTCAGAGTACTTCTCAAAGATCCTCAGTGTGTTGTTTCATTTTGAGAGGTTTCCAGCCCTTGTGAGACACCCCTTGGTTTTACAATCATCGCAAAGTTGTTTACGATTCCAAAAACATACCTGCCATCTGTCCATATGTTTGTTCTGCAGCTTTTGATTTCCTAAAATGCTGTAGTAACTGCAATAAGTTCTACCATCTGGATTAATTTTCACCTCAGATGGAAGAGTATATTTTAAGATAAAGATAAAGTAGTAACAGTATATTCTCCTCGGTAATATCCATTTCTATATTTTGAGCTATGGTCCATCAATAAATAATGTTCTGTCAGGCTCCTCAATGGAGTGCCTGAACATCTAAGGAAGGTACAGAAGGTACAAAACAGAAGTTAAGGTACAAACCATGGTGAACACAAGCTTGCTATGCTCCCATGTCTCCTGTCTGTCTTACTGTGCACCTGACACTCATTTTAACCTCACCAGGAAGTCAGTTAACTCTCAATCAGTTTATTGTAATGCCTCTAGGTAATTATATGTGGCAGTTTCAGCAGAAATGAAGAAACAACTTCACTAGAGAATCTAATACAGAAGAATGCAAGTGGCCCTGGGCTTGTTTTCATAAAAGCAGCATGCACCAGGCAGTTGATTCTCTTGGCTGTCGGCACTGAACACTCAGCATGCTGGCTTCGTCCCCTAAATAAGCTTCATCATGCATGGATAGGCTGGCAGCAATCCCGAGGCCATATGCAGATACACAGCCAACTGGGAAATGGGACACAATTCTTCTCCACTCCTCCTCTGAAGAATGGTCTGACAATGCCCTCTTCAGTTCCTTCCCTCTGCCACCCTGACCAGGACTATGCCATATGTGCACAGAGACACAAAATTCCTGATGGGAAGAATGAGGCTGGATCAACCAGACTAGCGGTTTCTCACTGAGGTAATGTGAGGTCAACTTCTAGGGTGGACAATTCAGGAAATTATCCAGCAGTTTTGTAATTGATGGCTATGGGAAAATGAACCACTGAGATGAGTAATTACTTATATTCCATTATTCCATGTGAGAAACAGACATCACAGTTCACCATAACTAAATTTTCATAACCTAAATTGATTACTTTAAATTTCTTCCTACATCTTCACTTAAGAATTTTTAACCATGAATGTGTCTTACCTATATTCCCAATATTTAAAATTGGGCTGTCAAGAGAGTCTAGAGAATTCGAGAACTAAGAACAGTGAAACTCCTGTATGTTCAGCAGCTCCCAAAGCAACACAATATTCCCCAGGAACACTGTTCTGTGCTTCAGCACAAATCATGCTTGTGTATTTCCTAATGGCTCCAATAGTGACCCTCCATTCCCATCAAACATTTGGCCTCCCCTTTCTCCACTCCCCTCCATTCATACATTATACTCTCAGCTCTGTCTAGGGTATCATAAAAGCCAGCAGACGGACCCTCCTGATCTCCTGAACGTGAAACCTAACACTATCATGCGATCGGCTCCTCTTGGCATAGTGACCTTCAAAGGCATCTCATTTGAATAATTACCTTTTTTTCCCTTCTGTAACAAAGTGTTTCTTTCCATTGTGCCTTCCCATAAGCATTTTAACATAATTTACTGTCCGACTACAGTTATTAATACACACAAATGCCACAACCTCTTTCTAGCCCAGGAGACCTGATTAATTCTTCTCTGGGGATGAGCACACCCTAGAAACACATCCCATTCACATAAACACGGGCACAACGATGACATGTTCTTGAGTCTACACCATTCTCCGTCCAACTCCACGAGCCCCTGAAGACCAAGACAGGCTCTTTCATGCCTGTGCAAGCTCTGGCCCAGGGACAGCCTGCTGAGGAATGGGCTCAGCTGGGTCTGGGTGCTGGGTTCATCTCTTCCCCTCTCCTGTCCCAAAGCAGGTCCATCACCCTGCTCAGGTCTGAACAGGAGTGTCCAGGTTTGTCTGGCCATCCGACTTTTTCAATGTATAGAAGCTCTCCTATTACCTACTGTATTCATTTTATAGGGCTTTTATGACAAAATACCACAGATCGGATGGCTTACAATACAAAACCAATTTCCTCACACTTATGGAGGATGAAAGCCTAAGATCAAGCTGCCAGCTGGGTGGGTTTCCTCTGAGGTCTCGCTCCCTGGCGTGCAGATGGCGCCTTCTCGCTGTTCTGTGGTAACATGGCCGTCCCTCGGGGCGTGTGCACCCCCCCTCCTGCTTCCCCTTCTTATAACAACAGTCAGATTGCATTAGGGCCCCACTCCAGGAATCTCACTTTAACTTATTTAGCTCTTTAAAAGACACTAATCCAAGTATGATTTCATTCTGAAGGACCAAGGGTTGGGACTTCAGCACATGAATTTAGGAGGGACACAGTCTCCCCTAGCAGCCTCCTCCAGGGATGTCAAATAAAAGGAATAAAAGGACACTGATGCTCCAGAGGGCCTTGAAAGCTTGCAGCTGCTTTGTTGTGGTGGGACATGGGTAAGCCCGCACCTTATCTATGATGGCAGATGGAATGACTTTAGTTTTACCAAACCAGATGACACCAACTATTTGACTGATAAGCCTGGACCCTGGATTTTGTCTGTATTAACCTCCCATCCTCTGTTCAGCAAGTGAGACAGCAAGACAGGGGCTGCAATTTATAAGCTGAAAAAAGACTCAGAAGTTACCATGATAACACCAATGTAGTGGAAAACATGTATCCCCTTTGGGTCAGCCCATCAACTGAGGTTGGAGGTCACTAGGCTGTGAGAGTTGGGCTGTGTAAATATCCCTGGAACAAGACAGTAAAAGTCCATTGTTCTTTTTAGGTTAATGCAAATTGATCTTGAATGTGGGGCAGCAGAAATGCTGAAGAAGGTATTGACTAAACTGATAACGAAATGCTATGTGGCTAACACCTCTCCTATTCTCGTCAGACTGGAGGAGATATTAGGAACAGCTGCATTCACTCGGGAGACCACCTTATTTAACTCCCAGTAATCTACTGTCATTCTCCATGTCCCAACTGGCCTCTGCATGGGCCATGCAGGTCTGTTGTAGGAACTGTGCAGTGGCCTCCTAATGCCTACCTGGGCTAACTCCTTAACAATCTTCATGATTGGATCATCTTCCCCTCCCCAGGGCGGGTGGTGTTGCTCCAGCTGTGGGACTCCCCATGGGTTGGCAGCTCTACCGGCATCCAGTTTGCCTTCTGCTTGGTCACATGCGTCACCACTTTAACTCTCAGTTGGAATTCCCTGGCAGTTGTTTGGAGGGTCACGCCTAAGAAGATATCCATTCTCATGTGTTCTAAGATGGAAGCTATGTATACTAAACAGGGTCTGGGTGGCAGTCCCCCAGGTCGTATCACTAGTTCAACCTGTCTGACTTCTGTGGCCCTTCCATAATCACCTATTGCTGCTATGGGCCCAGATAACTGGTAGGTGTTGCCAGTTAGAGCACATTTGTTGTCTGGCCACGCTGACTGGCTCCTTGGCTGTCTCTCTTCCTTTGGTGCCATTGTTTTTCATCACAGTAGGGTGCATCCCTTGCTTACTCAGTTTCTTCTTTTCTCCTAAGTCAGCAACTACCTGGGGCACATGAAATGTTGGCTGCCCTCCCAGGGGGCTTAACATGGAAATCAGTGCACCATGCCATTTGGTAGGCACTGAATACATAATTGTAGCTTTTATTTTGCAGTAAACAATTCATTGTTGGGACTTCAATAATTCTCAGCATAATTAGCATGCCTCATTTCAACTCCCAGAAGATGTCCTGCAACTCTTCTATAGTCTGCCATTGAGAAGGAGCTGTGTGGGCATCTTCCTCATTGGACCTGGCCCCGCTGGAGCCTGCAACCACTTACCATAAAGGTGCCATCATAGGGCTGGATGGTTTGTGATGGGTGCCATTTTACTCATCTTGAGTCCAGAAAGTATAACACTCTCCACCCCCTGTCCCATAGAGAAGCCACCCTGTGATCCACTCTCTCCCCTTGTGTCTGAATCCAAGTCTAAGCTCCCCCAATTCCACAGTGGTGGCATCCCACATCGTGGTTCACTGCCTTCTCTTAGGTGGGGGAAAGTTCTGTGGGGCTAACTTCTGCTGGCACAGTTGGCCCACTTTTATGTTGGTGGTGACCACCACAAGTACCATTTGGCTACAGACTGTGTCCTGGTATTCCAAGGCTTTTGTGTCTGGAAGGCATCCTTTAGCCAGCCTGCTAAAGGTTGTTCTGGATGTGGAGTGGCCCTCTGTCACATCCTCCACTTGTAAGGCATGACATGTAGTGCGGTTGTTACTCCTAAACAGTATATCTCACTTCAGCTTCCTTCTGTCTTTGAGACCAGGGTCTTAGGGACACACACTTATGTCCTTGCCTTTAACACAGTCCCCACCTAAACCCCTCAGGGTAACTGACTACATCCAATTCACAGGGCTGTCCCTGCACTAGAACTCCCAAGGTTTGTATTCATTTCACTGTGACTTTAGCTTCTTCAGAGCCCTCATCCTCCCTTTTGGAACAGTCGCAGTGGGGCACCTTCTTGACTAAGTGCCATGGGGGCCTAAGGAGTTTGCCGAAATGGGGAATAAAGGATCGCCAATGTCCCAGGAGGCCTTGGAAGGTTTCCAACTGCTTTGGTGTGTTGGGACATGAGTAGACCTGCATCTTATCTTATCTATAATGAAATATGGAATAACTATAGTCTTATGTAACCAGATGACACCAAGTATTTGACTGATAAGCCTAGACCCTGGACTTTGTCTGCATTGACCCCCCCATCCTCTGTTCACCAAGTGAGACAGCAAAGCAGGGGCTGCAGGGCAAGAACCTTTATGGAGTCATCCTAACCTTCATCTCCTTCCCACTGGAGCTCTACATCGGACACCAGGACTTAGGCTTCCAGGACGATGTAGTCATAATAGTCCTAACGCATTGGTGTGGCAGTCGGCAACACTTTAAATGGCCTACCAAATAAACAATGGTCTCCAATTTGCTATCCTATCCCTGCAGGCGGCATCTCATTATAGTTACAGCTGTTCTTGTGGCTGACACACCCTAGCCTGTGCAGTGAGCTCTGCCTCAGTGGTTGCTCAGAGTGCAGTCAGGAGTGGCCAACAGCTGCGACAGCTCAGGCATCTGACTGTCACTTTGTCACATTGTCACATCCACCTCAGGCAACAGGTCCTCCAGAACTTTTGGCATTTTGGAGGCATCCCTGTACACTTGCAGCAGGCCCTATCCATCAAGGATTGCAGCTGTTGGGCCCACAGAGATGTGCATGGCCTGCCTGGGATTTCCCCACAGGTCTCCCCTTCCTTGACACCGTTGTCTAAGAACTTGTGGGATTTTCTTTGACCTTGTTCTGGGCCTCCCAATTGTCATGCTAGACCCCTATTGACTGTAATAGGCATGGCACCATGTCCAAAAGGCTAAAGAGGAGACCTGGAGCCCATGAACAAGATCTAGGGTGTATTGAGGACTTCCATACAATGTGGCCCAGGAAGAGTGTGTTGGACAGGAAAACCACTACCATTTGTAAAACATGTGTAGTTTATATTATGATTTTCACTTAGCACCCTCTACCTAGCAACCTCCAGATTTAACAAAGAGCCTCAATCACCTGGACATCCTGTGTTCCAAGGGATAGGCCAGGGCTTCAGACGTCCTTCACAGACAAGGAATAAACTTCTGGGTGGACAGCTCCTGGATTTCTTAGCTCAGAGCTCTGAACATACATTCTTCTTAAACTATAGGGTCATTCTCACAGTGTGCTTAAATTAATGCTGCCAGGCATTTCTGGCATACATAGATCTGAACACGCACCTCGTAAAACAATGTATAAAAAAGTGTTCATCAAGACTTTGTATTAGGAATATGTATATTTAAACAACCATTAAATACTGCTACTCATTTACTATAATATTACAATGGCTGCACAGCAAAGCATTGGTGAATACTGACAAGGCTCCAGAAAAGAAAGTCTTATTCACTGTTGGTAGGAACATAAAATGGCACTTCCTTTTTGGAAAATATTTTCATGATTTCTTTGGAGTTAAACATGTTAATTGAACAGATGACTCTAAGGTACTTTATTCAACTGATTTTTTTGTTTTGTTTTGTTTTGTTTTGTTTTGAGATGGAGTTTCGCTCTGTCACCCAGGCTGGAGTGCAGTGGCGCGATCTCGGCTCACTGCAACCTTCGCCTCCCTGGTTCAAGCAATTCTCTGCCTCAGCCTCCCAAGTAGCTGTGATTACAGGCATCCACCACCACGCCCAGCTAATTCTTTGTATTTTTAGTAGAGAAGGGGTTTCGCCATCTTGGCCAGGCTGATCTTGAACTCCTTACCTTGTGATCCACCTGCCTCGGTCTCCCAAAGTGCTGGGATTATAGGCATGAGCCACCGTGCCTCACCTATTCAACTGATTTTAATACTTACTTCTACACAGATACTTTCATGGGAATGCCGGTATCAGCTTTCTTCAGTAGAGCTTTTCCTCCTCCATGAATTTTGCTTATAGGGTGATAATTATATAAACAATTCCCATATAATTGGGCCAGGCGCAGTGGCTCACACCTGTAATCCCAGGACTTTGGGAGGCTGAGGAGGGTAGATCACCTGAGATCAGCAGTTCGAGACCAGCCTAGCTAACATGGTGAAACCCCGTCTCTACTAAAAATACAAAAATTCGCCGGGCGTGGTGGCGGGTGCCTGTAATCCCAACTACTCTGGAGGCCAAGGCAGGAGAATTGCTTGAACCTGGGAGGTGGAGGTTGCAGTGAGCTGAGACTTTGCCGTGTCACTCCAGCCTGGGTGGCAGAGTGAGACTCTGTCACAAACAAACAAACCAAAAAAAAAAAAAAAACACCAAAAAACTGAAAAAACAAACTTCCCATATAATTAGAGTATATACTTCTATTGTTACTTTTTTCAATTTATTAATGACATACTGTAAACAACATTAAAAATAATAATCCCTTTCATTTCTCAGCCCCAGCACAGCTGCCTCCTCCCTGGGGTTTCTGACACTCTCAGGATGTGGGTTTTCACACTGTGTCTCTCGCACAGTAATACGTGGCCGTGTCCTCAGATCTCAGGCTGCTCAGCTCCGTGTAGGCTGTGCTGATGGACGTGTCCCTGGTCATGGTGACTCTGCCCTGAAACTTCTGTGCATAGTTTGTGCCACCACTGTTAGGGTTGATCCGTCCCATCCACCCAAGCTCTTGTCCAGGGGCCTGTCGCACCCAGTGCATATAGTAGTCGGTGAAGATGTATCCAGAAGCCTTGCAGGAGACCTTCACTGAGGCCCCAGGCTTCTTCACCTCAGCCCCAGACTGCACCAGCTGCACCTGGGAGTGGGCACCTGTGGAGAGGACACAGGAGTGGATGAGATCTCCCTGGACTGGACTCAATCTCTTTCTCATCACTGGGACTAGGGAGCCTCCTACCTGTAGCTGCTGCCACCAAGAAGAGGATCCTCCAGGTCCAGTCCATGGTGAGGAGCTGAGCTCTCAGGGGATTCTCTAGAGGACGGATGTGGTTGTTGGGTGATGCTCTCAGGGCAAGGACAGATCTGTATTTACTTCAGTAAATCTCAGGTTATTTGCATATTCATGAGGGGTACTATTTCATAGCTTCATAGCTCTAGACTTGATCCAAGATGAGAAAGAGAACACACATTATTTATGGGCCATGCAACAGTGGGACGCTGAAGCCCTGTCCTAATCCTTGTTTAATGATGTGTGTCCCCTTGTATGCCCAGAACTCTGCTAAAATAAATTGTCTCTGCTGAAAACAAGTTCCCACAAAACATGGTCCTCCAAGTGAACCCATACTTAAATGGCACTTTGACACCTTCATACTTTTCTGGGCTTTGCTTTCTGCCTGTCTTACTACTGTCTCTGCTAAGATTGGCAAGCACTGAATTAATAAAACTATCCCTTTTCTCCATCTCCTAACTATTAAGATATCTGAAAATCCTAGAAATTTCTCCTTTTAAATGTGATTCTCATTGACTTGTTAGGTTAGATAAATCCTACAAATAGTCTTTACTAAATTCTTGTTTAACTTATTAAAGCATGTTTGTTCAAGAAAAGGAAGACATCAACCCCTGGGAGGAACCCCTCCCCAGCCTCCTGTGCACCTGCTCTTGGGCTGCAAGTCTGTGCTGCGGGGAGGCCCGAGCGCTCCCTGCCACCCACACCTTGCACTGCAGGGAGCTTCCTGTTGGGTCTCACAGAGCATTTTTCTCTCAGCCTCTGTAGCTCACTAGGAAGTGACTGTGCCCTGGCTCAGAATGCTCCTTCAGTGACAACATGAGCGGATGACACCACCTCTTGAAATAGTGAATGGGCCTTTGGAAACCCAATGTCCTCTTCAGGGAGGCTCCAAGAGAAGAATCACTAAAATCACCAGGGAGTCCCTTTCCTGGAGGTCTAGATGCACTGGATCACTGGAAACAAAGGGAGGCTAAAACTCTGGGGGGGGTTGGAGGTGGCTCTTTTCTCAATTTGGCTCTTGCAGACAAATACTGCATCTGAGAATACCTGAAGCTGCAGATGGATGTGGATTAAAGCTCACTCCACGTCCACTGTTTCAATAACTCCTACTCAAACATACAGAAGCACAAACACAAACATACTCACACACACTGTGGCTGATTTTCACAGTTATGGGCCCCTAATGTTTCCTTCTTCATAGTATCTTACTCATGGGAAGTGCTGCCGACCCTGACCCTAGGCCTCAGCATGTGACTTTCTTTCTCAAACAGATCTAAAGCAATCACACTGACCTCTTTAATCCACATTAATGATGCTGTTGAGGAGGTAATGTGTGGGGCAGGGGAGCATGGTATGTTCTTACAGTTGACTCTCCCTGGTTTGGTTGCCCTCTTCACCTGAGCACCTTTACAAGGAATCTCCAGTGATACAGCTGATTTTCTCTCTTTCCTCCCTTCCGCAGATGCTGCACCCAGGGCTACCACCTTGAGTCTGACTCCTCTTGGCTAATTTTATCATTTGCATGATAGAGGAAGGCTGAGGAGGAGGGGTCTGTAATATGGAAGTACTTCCTTCCCCCACATAAACTAAGATTTTAGAGAACACCTTCCCTCGGATGAGCTTTCTAGAAAAGTCTTTTTGTGCATTTTTTCTCAGTGATTACTCCTCCCCAGTTCGTGGCTATAGGGAATCTATTTTAATCGCTTCCATGAGAACCTGAAGGCCCTGGAGGGCAAGTCCACACAAGTGTGGGGTGTACAGCCTCTAGGAGCGCTCACCTTCCCCCTAGTCCACACTTGTCCTCCAGACATTCAGCGTAATCACCAGGTAAGTGTTCTCACCAATGTGTTTCCAGGAGCTTCTCTTCCAAGTCAGCAAGTCTCTGCTGTAATTGTGGATGTGCCTATCTCTACAGCTTTTGGAGGGAGTAGTTTTTTCAGCAATTTCAGTTCTTAGATGGATTAAAAAATACTTGATATTTAGATGGTTTGGAGATATATATATATATGGTTTGGATATGGTTGGATAATCACTCTATTTGGGGAAATAAGAATGCAGATATATATATATATATGCTTTGGATATTTAGATGGTTTGGAGATCTCATATATATATATACACACACACATATATATATACACACACACATATATATATACACACACACACACACACACATATATATATATATATATAAATTTTTCTTTTGAGATGGAGCCTCACTCTGTCGCCCAGGCTGGAGTGAAGTGGTGTGATCTCAGCTCACTTCAATCTCCACCTCCTGGGTTCAAGCAATTCTCCTGCCTCAGCCTTTCAAGTAGCTGGGATTACAGGCTAGTGCCACCACACCTGGCTAATTTTTGTATATATTTTTTAGTAGAGACGGGGTTTCACCATGTTCACCAGGCTGGTCTCAAATTCCTGACCTCAAGTGATTCCTCTGCCTTGACTTCCCAAAGTGCTGTGATTACAGGCATGAGCCTCTGTGCCCCTCTGGTTCAGATGTTTTTTGATGTAGAAATGGAGCTAATGACTTTTAAGATCATCATATATGTGATCAAAACCCTGAAGTCTCCTAAGAGGTCATGTGTGTTCTGGTACTGGAAGCAGAACCCTAATCTCCCTACATAAAAGTGGCATCTGGACAGACACAACTGAACACGTAGGGACAAAGGGAATGGCACAGCAGGACACTTTTGAGGAAGTTTCAACAGTTTCCTTTTTATTCAGAGGAAGCTGCAGCAGGTGAAAGCTGGTTATACCTCAGGTGATGTCATTTTCTGGAAGGCTGTTCTTGCTCTCGTGCTGAATCAAGTGGATGCACCTGGGCCCTCACACCTGGGACAGGAACTCTCATTCCCTAACACAAGGTGCTCGGTGAGAAAGTTTTTTCCAGCTGAAGTGCAGAGAAAGGGGAGAGAAGGAGTTGTCTTTGGTGTCCCAGGATGTGTGTCAACTCTAGGATAAAGTCACCTTTGAGGGGCGCTGGTCTACCTGAGGGGATTACATCAGTTCTGCCTTCAATAACCTGTGGCTGTGGTCAGGAGAGTGACTCATGCCCTTCTGCTCCTCCTACCTGCCTTTCATTAAATGTGCAATGAATGAGTGATCCCTCACCAGAGAGTGTCGTGGTCTAAACATCATGATCTCACACAATAACATCCCCACGCCCAATCTCATATACATTATTGACCCCACTCAATCAGCAATTGGCAAATAATTTGCTCTTGTAGACTTGGTGAATACATTTACTCAGCGTTCATGTCAACAGCCTCTCAGCCACATTTAGCAAAGTGATTGACAAAAATGAACATGTCTCTATCAGCAAATAGAAAATATAAAATCACCAAGTTGGTTGAAACGTACACTATTAACTCTGAACAAATATAATAATTAATTAGGCATATCACAATGGCACACGTTTGTTTTACCCTAAAACTATCCCCTGAGCTTTGCCAAGTCAGTCTCTTGTCTTTCCCCAAAAGCCCTGCCTATCACAAACCTGTTTTTTAAATCCTTTTAATTTTACTGTATTTAGCAGGTCTCATGAATGGAATTGTACAATACTTAGTCTCTTTTGTCCATCTTCCTTCACTTAGAAAAAATGTTAAAATGTTGTTTTCTGAATTAATAACCCATAAGTTTTTATGACTGAATAGTATTCCACTGTGTGAGTATACAAATATTTGAGAATCAATTCTGTTGAAATACATCATGTTTACTTTTGTGTTTGGTAATTATGAATATCGGTTTATGACAATCGATACTGAACAATTGTCTATATTCTTATTTTCAGATAACATTTTTTCTTGGTGAGGTGTTTGTTCAGATTTTCAGTCATTTTAGAATTCTGTTTATATTATGCTTTCTGTTGAGTTTTACAAATTCTTTTTATAGCCTAGAGACAAGACCTTACAAATAGTAAAAAGAAATAGTTTCTGATTTTGAATAGATTCAATATACATACATAATTTTTAATTGTTATAAGCACATAATAGTATATATATTTCTATTTGTTGGGTATATGTGATGTTTTGGTACAGGCATACAATGTGTAATGAACAAAGTAAAAAAAACTACAATAAATCTATAAAACATTGATGAAAGAAATTAAAGAGGACACAAGATGGAACAATATTCCATGTTTATGAATTCAAAGAGTCAATATTGTTAAAATGTCCATTATACTTAAAGCAATCTACAGACTCAATACAATCCCTATGAAAACAACAATGATATTCTTCACAGAAATTAAAAAAAATCCTAAAATATATGTGGAAAAACAAAAGATGCAGAATAGCCCAAGCCATTCTGAGCAAAGAGAACACAACTAGAGAAATCACATTACCTGACTTCAAAATTTATATTTTTATTATTGTTAATTTATTTGATCTAAAAGTTATGTTTCAAACAATGAGAATAACAATACGTTAAATGAGTCTGATGTATGTATACTTGAAATTAATGGCATCAATTTTATGAATGATGGAGGTAATTGAGAATGTTCTGTGTAAGGCACCTGCACTAGATTTGATGTGGAATAATGTCATTTTGAAGATGGAGACAGATTAGTTACACACGCATATTGTAGGCCATGGTGCAAAGCAGGCTCACCATGCAAAAGTGACCAAAACAAGGCCACCTGGGTTGTACACCTCAGCAGCTGTGTTACCCACTGGGACAAAGCTCTGAAGGACATCCTGCCTCCAGGGAAGAGAAGAACAAAGCCCAGGGTGTCCCTAGCTGTTTTTCCCTAAATCAAGATTTTATATCCTCTAGGAGAAACAGGAACAAACCTGAGCTGTTGCAGACAGACAGGATGTCCTTGGCTCTGTGCACGTTCGGGAACAAGATCAACTTGTTCTGAGTCTCTATTTAGTGATTTAGGTTTGGGGAAATAAGAATGCAGATCTGAAATTATGGAGCTTTCAGAAGGTTTTCTTGTGTCTCAGTGCAATTTCTTCATGTGTTATTTTGGCTTATGGTATTGATAGGCCCACAAAAACTAGATTTAATTCAATAATTCAAGTGATAGAGCAAAATTGAAAGAGCTGAGGGGGTTTCTAGCAGGATTTAGAAAGTTTAAAATACTTCATGTTAGAAAATGTATTTGCTGGACATTGATGGGACTGGAGTACAGAAGGATGTGGGGGAGTCCAAGGATTGTGCTTTCACACACACCACAATGACTTCTGCTGTCCCTTCCCTCCCTCCCTCCCTCCCTCCCTCCCTCTCTCTCTCTCTTTCTTTCTTTCTTTCTTTTTCTTTCTTCTGTTTCTTTCTTTCTCTCTTTCTTTCTTTTCTTCTTTTCTTTCTGCTGAGTGAGCACAGAAGTACACACAGATATAAAATTCACTGAATCACCATTAGCTGTTCTTCCTTGTGCCTCCCACCCAGTTCAGGAGGAATTGCAGGTCCTACAGAATTCTAGTTCTAAGAGAGTGAGAATCTTTATATGGCTGATTATTCCAGAATTTTCTATAATGATACAGCTGTTGTTTCTTTTAGCCAGTTTTTATTGAATTCTATTCTTTTCTATTGAGTCGTAAAACTTATTTCTATATTCTGTTGCAAGTTTGTTTTAAGATATATTATATATATAATATTCTTGAAATCGGAAAGGTTCTGTTCATTTTCTTAATGTAATTATTTAAATATGAAACTTATTTTATTAGAAATTACAAATAATTTTTGCATATATTTATGACATATGTTGTTTAGTTATGATACATGTATACATTATGAACTGGGTGACTCAAGCCACTTATATTCATCACCTCACAAATTTATCATTTCTTAGTGGGGAAATTTTAATGTTTTTTTTTAGTAATTTTGAAATATATACCACCTGATCAGCTATAGTTGACATGCTGTGCATTAGAAAAGCATAACTTATACCTCCTGTCTAACTGGAACATTGTGCACTTTAACCCACATCTCCCTTTCCCAGTCCACCCCTCCAGCCCCTGGTAACCAACATTCTACTCTATCTCTGCAAGTCTACTGCTTTAATATACTACAGTGAAATCTTGAATTACTCTTCCTCCGTTCCTGGCTTGTTTCACTTAGCATAAGGTCCTCTAGATTCAGGCATGCTGTCACAGAGGCAGGGTTTCCTTCTTATTTAAGGAAGAACATTACTCTGTTGTGTCTGTATGCATTTTCTTTATTCATTCATCCATTCATGGGAATTTAGGATGTTTCCATATCTTTACTATTTTAAAAGATGCTGCAATGAACATGAACATGGAGTGCAGATATCTCTTTGACATGTTGATTTCATTTCCTTTGGATACATAGCCAGTAGTGAGACTGCTGGATTCTACAGTAGATTTTGTTTCTTTATTTTTTGAGGAACATTTATAGTATTCTCCATAAATAGCTGTATTCATCTACATTTTCACTCTCCATATTCTGAGTTCTGTTTCTGTCATTTCAGCCATCTCAGCCCCATTCAGAACCCCTGTTGAAGAGGTGCTGCGGTTGTTTGGAGGAATGAGGGCGCACTTTTTGTTCTCATGACTTTTGCACTGGTTCTTTCTCATCTTTGTGGGCATATCCACCTTCAGTCTTTGAGGTTGCTGACTTTTGGATACATTTTTATTTTCTTTTATCCTATTGGATGATCTTGAGGGTTTGATTGTGGTATAAGGTGGATTCAGCCAACTGGCTTCATTTCTGGAAAAATTTAGGTGGTCAGTGCTCAGCTCCCAACACCTGGACTGTGTGCTCTAACTCTGGGGGAACTTATACAAGTCCCTGACTTGGTTCTCTGGCTCCTTAAGGTTAGGAATCCACTGTTCTTGGGGGGCTGGAGGTGTGGCAGCTGTGACAGAGTGCTAGTGGGTGTCTGGGGGCCTGCCTCCCTGCAGGTGTTCACCACAGTGGCAGAGGCACTGCATCTGTGGGTGTGTGGGGCCCTGCTGGTGACTGTGTTCAAAGTCACGCTGGAGGTGGTGTTGGCTCAGGGGTGGGACACTTGTGGGCACAGGTCCGGGTGCCGTATTCATGCCCCACAAGCAGGAGCAATTTCTGAATGTGTGAGATGATCTGCTATTCTCTGTGCAGAATTAGTGCAAGTGCGGGACGCTGACAGGAGCGGGCCTGGCTTTTTCCCCACCAAAGCTACCTCTGCCGTGGTGGTTGGGGTGGGGGGAGGGGACTGCACTCCACGCAATGGTGGGACAAGAAAAGCAAAACCCACCTATACAGACATGTGCCTGCAAAGTGATGTGGGGAGTTACGTGGGCCTGGGGGAACCTACAGTATTCGGAGGAAGTGTGTAAGCTGGTGTGTGCACATGAGAGCTGCCCGATTGGAGCTCTCCACCAGTCAGGCATGGTCTGCCAGGGCAGAAATTTTGGTGCAGGATCCCAGGGTGCCCGAGACTGCCCTGCAAGCAGGTATGGCCAGGCTAGGGCCCCAGGAGAGGCCAGTAGATGGAGGGGCACTCAGGTCCGTACATTATTTGAGAATATGGCCAAGTTTTATGTGAATGAGTGATGACTTGATTGTAATGCAGCATTTTATTCCAGTACACAAACATATCTCAAATTGTTTAACATTCACCTGTAATGGATATTCAATGTGTTCTCTCAGTTTCTGGCTTTTATACAGAAAGCAGCTATTCAGTGTGGGAATGTGAAAAAAATGAGAAAACTGTGATTTTATTCTGACCTCATTAACAACAAAGCTGAACAGCTACAAATAAAAGAGAGAAAAAGCATTCAACATATCTGAGTCGATTTCACCGAGCAAACAAGAAAACTGAAATCTGACAAGATAGGAGCCTGCAAAGAGAACCAGGACCTACCTGCTAGTGTACATAGGGCAGGTGCCACTGGATGGCATTTGAGATAGAAACAGACTAACCTAGAAATACTTAATGACTTTTTTTTAGTATGCATGTACTAATGGTGTTAGAGTGGCCTAGTGCTTGCAAGCTTTTCCTAGAGAACTTGAAAAATCCACGGACAACTTCCTCATCTGGTGTCTTGTGGTGTTGACTGGGGAAAAGAACAGCAGCTCCTGTGGAATGCCTGGATGCACCTCCACTACCTCCAGGGGAAATCCACCAAAGCATGTGTCATGTGAGCTGTGGTGAAGTCAACAGAAACAAAAGGAAACAGAGGACACCAAGGAAACTTGATCCAGAAACACCTCCCATCTCCTTCCTCAGGAAAGAAATCCTTACTCTTTAGGGTAAGGATAGTGGGTAAAAAGCTGGGGACACTGGTGAAAAACAATTCTGTATGGGAAAATACATTCCAGCCCTGGGGAAAGAGTTAAGGACAGGACAATCTGCAAGGCCACTCCCCAGAACTATGCTTACTACTCCTGCATAAGAAGAAGACTCAGTCAGAAGGTTGGAGGACGTCCCGCTTTGTCCAAGCTCCTTCACCACACAGTCAGCAATTTAAACTGTCAGTAGGGTGCACTTTCCACAGCTGAAAGAGACAGACTCCCTGGGGAAAACTAAATATAAAGACCCAGGATCAAACAGGGACACAAAAGCAAGTATCATGGGAGGAACTTGAAATCTCTGTGGACAGCAGAAGCTGACTTCAACTCTGATAATTGTGGCATCCATAAATTGCAAATATAGCCCTGAATAGATACACACAAATGTCTATAATGAAGGCCCAGCAGAATGGAATGTGTGACCATCTTCAGGAAGAAAATAATGAATACATGAGTACAAGAAAATAAATTACAAATAAAAGTCAAACTTGAATTCTATATGTATTAAAAATTTCATTTAAAGAGAAAGTCAAATGAATACCCTGTAAGACAATTCGATTCTGAGAAAATTTATTGCCAGTGCATTCATCCTTCAGTAGGTGCTTTGGCAAATTTTCTGCCAGGGTGAGTAGCCATATGATATACATCTGAAACATGAATCTATCCAAATAAAACAGGTGGTCAAGAATGAAAAAATGAAGTTGAAATGTAGTTTTTATATTTTTAATTGTTCTAATATATGTCTATGTAAAGTAACGATAAAAATGCACATATTATATTTTATAGCACATATAAGTGCAAACTGAGAATAAACTAAGACAACGGATGAGAAACAGGGTTTAGAAGAATACAGTTATAATAGCTCTACAACCTATGAAGAGGTTTTACATTATTTGAATTAGAATCTGATTATATACAATTCGTATTGTATATCTTATGGCCAATATAATATTCATAAAGGATGAACTAAACGATAAGTTAATAGAGAATAAACATGATCATAAAATGCTAAATTAAAACAGAAATTAACAGAAAAATAGTAATACCAGTTTTAAAACAGAATTTATTATAGTTGTTTTAAAAAGCAAGACCCAACTATTAGCTCTGTATAGAAATTTGCTCTACATAGGAAAGTTAAATACAGGAAAACATGGACCATGAAAATATGAACGAAAAGAAAGCGTGCTTAGCTATGTTAAATTCAGACAAGGTAGACATAAGACTTTCAGGAATCAAGGGGCATATTACATAGGGTAAAGGGATCAGTTTTCTAAAAGGCATCACCAAAGATTTAACCAATGGATCTGCAATAGAAAATAGGCTAACATCTATAACAGATAGAGACTTCGACACTTATTGTGATTGACAAAACAAACGTGATAAAATAGGTAAATACATAAGTGACCAGAATCAACTTATTTCACTAGTTTCATTTATAGAATATTCAATGGGAAGACAGCAGGAACCCAAACTGTGATTAACCAGAAGATATTAGAGGGACATGGTGATTGAATTTGATGTGGTTACCTGAGTTGAACAAAGAAACAAACAAAAAGCAATAGGAAAGTGAGACTTTATCTCAAAAAGAAAAGAAAAAGGAAAAAAGGAAACTGTTAAAAATTGGCAAAATTCAAATAAATCCCAGAGCTGAATAAACAGAAAATTATCAATGTAAATATATTAGTCCCATGTCCCATTTTTTTAACATACTAACTTTAGTGAAAACTCGGAGATGGATGTGAACACACTGTATTTTCCTTACAATTGTTCTGATAATCTATAATTATTCCAAATAAAAAGTGTGTAAAATATAAAGTAACAATCATAAAAATAATAGTTCAAAGAACTTATAAAATAGGCTTCTGAAAATAATATTGTTACTAACATTATTATGGATAATTATTTTAGAGGATAATACTGAAATGATCATCAAAGTAGTGGACAGATGTTTATTTATTTCAGAAAAAGATGTGAGGCATCTCATATTAAACACTAGTGATGGAAGTGTTTATAGAGTTATTTTATCATCTATAATACGATGGATGAAAAGCATTATCATAAGCATTTGATGGATGAAAAGCATTACTCATAAGCATTTATTTAGCCAATATCATGAATGTATTATAATTTCCTCAATTGTGCACCACTTTTGTGTTAATACCATGTGAACATTTTCCACTGCGTGTGTCATATCTAAAAATTTGAACTAGTTTGTTTCTTATTAACGTGACTCTTGTAAATGCTGTAGGCATTGCTAATGTTCTCTGTAATTTCTCTACTGGTGACTTTTTCCTAATATTTTAACATGATAAATTTGGATTAATACAACTATGTAATTTAATAATATATTTTAAACTTCATAGTCGTACACACACAGACACACACACACACACACACACAACAGCCAAGCAATGACACATATATGCGTCCATGCAAAAATGAATGTATATTAAACACCAAAACAACACACCCATTTTTTCTATATTATTTTAATTATTTAACTGAATGTAACTTGTATTTGCAGTTTCATTTTTGAATGAATGTAAATGCCATTCTTGCCAAATATATTACTTAAGTGTACAGTGGTATTTACTTTTTTTTTTGAGACAGTGTTTTGCTCTTGTCGCCCAGGCTGGAGTGCAATGGCGTGTTCTCGGCTCACCGCAACCTCCACCTCCCGGGTTCAAGCGATTCTCCTGCCTCAGCTTCCCCACCATGCCCAGCTAATTTTGTATTTTTAGTAGAGAGTGGGTTTCTCCATGTTGGTCAGGCTGGTCTCGAATTCCCGATATCAGGTGATCCACCCACCTTACCCTCCCAAATTGCTGAGATTACAGGCATGAGCCACTGTACCCAGCCAGTATTTACTTTTTAAATATCAGTCAGTTATTAATAAATTGAATAATAAGACAAACATCACTTAAATTTTTATTAAATCATTGATTAAAGTAACATTGTATTTTTTTAAACTAGGCAAGATATAACTTTTCTATTTGAAAAATTTTTTAAAAAACTTTTTGGTGTTAATTTTCAATACAAACTCTAGTCTTTATTTGCCAATATGCCTTTATAATAAAGAACATCCAGTGATAGGAAACTGAAAGCAGCCCATGCTTTGCAGGATTCAATCACAATGGCAGCTTGCTGGAGGGTGGTCTGAGAGTGTGCAAACACATTAGGGATTTGGACTTCATGAAAGCACTAGTGAGCCCCTGGGCTGAGCACACAGAGGGTAGCATGAGTTGCAGAGCCCAATCTGTGGTACTGAGGGAAAAAGAGGAATGGGTGGGGGTTATGTCTGCAGGACCCTAGAAAAGTGTGATGAGGGCAGAGAGTCTGCAGGTAGAGCATATTCTAAGGAGAACTGTTACTCTCCTAAACTTGGTTGGCTTCAGTGATCATGAAAAGAAGTGAACTGATTTACCAGACATGGGGGACAGAAAGTAAAAGGACTTCCTGTTTCCTGCATGGAGAGTGAGGAAGATAAAATATTTTGACAGAAAAAGAGAAGATGGAGAAAGTTTGAGAAGCAAAACACCAGGGGCCAAAGTGGAGGACATGAGCCCTTAAAGCGGTGTTTCATCTGCACAAACAGCCGATGAAAGGAAAAGAAACTGGACCCCACGCATATGCTGAGTTGTTAGAAAAGCATTTACAATAGTGTGTCTGACAGCACAGAAAACAAAAAAATTGTGCATAGAGCCAGACTTTGGATTGAATATACACAATTAAAAAAAATTATACTGAGATATATCATTGCTAGTATAACTCTGAAAATAGGCAGAGTTTAAAGTTGAATTGAACCCCTGTTCTAAGTTAATGTTTTATAGGTGAAAGAAACCATGAGTTACAAGGAAGACATGGTAAGAGATCCTGGGGAAGACTTTTGCTTGACCAGGTCAGGAATCACCAAGGTGGAAAAGGAAACCTCACCCTCCCCAGGTACCTGATATGGAGCTGCCTCCAAAGAGCCCCTTGGAGGTCCTGAGTGTCCCCTCGTGTCCTGAGCCATCCTTGCTGTCCTGAACACCTGCTGGTGGTTCTGAGCGCCCTCTGGTGGATCTGAGCGACCCCTGGAGGTTCTGAGCGTCCCCTGGTGTCCTGAGCGCCCCCTGGTGGTTCCTCAGTGCCTACTAGTGTCCTGAGTGTCCCCTTGTGGTTCCTGAGCGCCCCCTGGTGGTTCTGAGCACCCCTTGGTGTCCTCAGTGCCCCCTAGTGGTTCCTGAACCTCCCCTGGTTTCCTGGGCACCCTCTGGTTTCCTGGGTGACCCCTGGTGGTTCCTGAGCGCCCCCTAGTGTCCTGAGCATCCCCTGGTGTCCTGAGCGCCCCCTGGTGGTTCTGAGCATGCCCTGGTGGTTCTGACCGCCCGCTGGTGTCATGAGCGCCCCCTGGTGGTTCCTGAGCTTCCCCTGGTTTTCTGAGTGTCCTCTGGTCGTTCTGAGCACCCGCTGGTTTCCTTAGCATCCCCTGGTGTCCTGAGCACTCCCTGGTGGTTCTGAGAATCCTCTGGTGTCCTGAGCACCCCCTGGCAGTTCTGAGTACCCCTTGGTGTCTTGGTCACATCCTGTGGTTCTCAGCACCCCCCCACCACAGTCTCATGAGCGCCCCCTGGTGTCCTGAGCGCCCCCTGGTGCTTCTGAGCACCCTCTGGTGTTCTGAGCACCCCCTGCTTCTTCTGAGCGCTCCCTGGCAGTTCTGAGCGCCCCCTGGTGTCCTGAGCACCTCCTGGTGTTTCCTGAGCGCCTGCTGGTGTCCTGGGCTCCCCCTGGTGATTCTGCCTGCCCCCTGGTGTCAACACCCCTTAGTGGTTCTGAGCAGCTCCTAGGTTCCTTAGGGCCCCCTGGTGGTTCTGAGTGCCTCCTGGTGTCCTGAGCACCCCCTGGTGGTTCTGAGCGCCCCCTGGTGTCCTGAGCACCCCCTGGTGGTTCTGAGTGCCTCCTGGTGTCCTGAGCACCCCCTGGCGGTTCCGAGTGCCCCCTGGTGTCCTGAGCTATCCCTGGTGGTTCTGAGTGCTCCCTTGTGTCCTGAGCGCCCCCTAGTGATTCATAGCACCTCCTAGTGTTCTGAGCGCCCCCTGGTGTCCTGAGCGCCTCCTGGTGGTTCTGAGCACCCTCTGGTGTCCTGAGGGCCCCTTTGTGGTCCTGAGCGCCCCCTGGTGTCCTCAGCACCAGCTAGTGGTTCTGAGCGCCCCCTGGTGGTTCATAGCACCCCCAATTGTTCTGAGTGCCCCCTGGTGGTTCTGAGCACCCCCTGGTGTCCTGAGCTCCTCCTGGCAGTTCTGTGCACCCTACCTGATGGTCCTGAGTGCCCCCTGGTGGTGCTGAGCACCCCCTGGTGTCCTGAGCCCCTCCTGGTGGTTCTGTGCACCCTCCCTGATGGTTCTGAGTGCCCCCTGGTGGTTCTGAGCAGCATCTACCGCATAGTCCCCTCCTGTCTCCCTGCAGTGAGCTTTGTGTCTGGGCTCACACAGGGTTTCCCTCACTGTGTCACTCACAGTAATACATGGCCTTGTCCTTGGCTTTCAGATTGGTCATTGTAAGGCAGACTGCACTTGAAAGGGTGTTGCTTGAGATTGTTAATTTATTTGTATTCATGGAGAGTAACCCTGAGAATTCATACTTGATCGCTCACTGTTGGCATCCACACCTATCCCTGTTGTGAAGCGTGCTGGACCAAGCTCATGCTGTAGCCAGTAAAGGTGAAACCAGAGGCTTTGCAGGAGAATCTCAACCGCTGGGCTGTAAAATTTTCCCCCTCTGACTCCATCAGTAAACTTCACACAGGACTTCCATGAACACAGAAAACAGACTGAGAAAATCCCCATGAGGAGCAGCCACAGCTGGACCTGTTTTACAAAGGCCACTAATGTTGACGGGGATGAGAAGGGAATCCAGATCAGTGCAGACCCCATGGTGTGGACACTGAGGAAGGGCACAGACATGGGGTGGCTCCTCGCCAGGGCCTGAGGGAACAGGGGATAAGCTGCCTTTCTTGAGAAGGGGAGGGGACACATTTCCATGTCTTTCTTTTTGTGGTCATGGGTGCACCGCTCAGCATTGCTCATCCATCCTCTGTGTCTACATTTCAGGGAAGTCAAGGTCAAAGGATTTCTGGGTCTGGATGCACAGAGTTAATCTGCCCATTACTCTTTTTTATTCTCTAGTGTGGACGCTGTTCAGGTATTTTCATAATAGCAAACATTATCAACAAATATGTCCAGTAAGAACATAAAAATATGTTTCCAGAGAAAATGGACACCTGTCTCTAATTGGTACATTTAGAGCTGCAAACTACTGTTCTTGACAATAAGGCAAAGTTAGGTTACAATGAAAAAAATACATATCTACGCCTTGTCAGGGAGGGGGTTTATAATTATCATTATCTTGAGATCATTTTGCCACAGAACAATTCGACATTGGATATATGTGTTTGTGTAAGGAAACAGTCAATGTGGACATATGTGTACTTATCTGAATTGAGTTCACATGGAGACATGTTTGCTTGTCTGAGACAAGAGTCCACATGAGGAAATGTCTGTTTTCTGAGGAAAGAGTAAATGTCAGAACATATGTGGTAGTCTGAGGAAAGAGTCCACGTGGGGACATGTGTGTTTGTCTGAGGAAAGAATCCACATGAGTAACGGTGCATTTATCTGACAGAAGAGTCCACATGTTGACAGGTGTGTGTCCCCATCTGAGGGTAAATGCCCATTCAGGGACAGTGTATGCCTGAACTGAGCTGAAGTTTGGGGAAATATTTCTCAACCAAGGAAAGAAAATAATCCTGTGGGTTATTTGCTTGTCAAGAGGAAAAAACCTGGGTCACGTAGAAAATTGATTTTAAAAAAAATTAAAAAATTAAAGGTCTTTAGTGAATGGCAACATCTTATATGCAAATCAGGAAAATTACCTCATTCTTTGTTGCATACATCTCATGAAATCTCCACCCTCACAAAATAAGTAATGAGATAATTTTATACAATCTGCATTTGATCCTTGGGTTAATGAACTGCTAAGTACTTTTTTTTAATTGTGTATATTTAGGTTTATATTTTCCATCATAAAATTATGTGCTTAGACAAATTAATTGTGTCATATCTGAACCATTGCATATCACTATAAATAATTTTAATCTTCTTAAACAGTGTCTTTTTAACTTATTTTATACCCAGTCTCTAAGCTCCTGGAATATCCTCTATATGTTTACTTGACTACAGTTTTGGCTTTTATAGAATTTCAAATAAATCAAATTATACAGTGTCATTGAAATGACTTCACTGAAGAAACTGGAAAATGAAGTTGCTGACCTAAGGAACTTTGAAAATGAGGAAACTCTATAATAAGTGTAAAGAAACTGAATATAAGCACTCTATTCTAGTAGATAAACATGTTTCCAACAAGGTTACAGCTTTACATTTCTGATACTGCTATGCATGTGTCCTGAAATTGTGCAGCTAAGTAATCAAATGGCATATGGTTGGATGGGGTTCCTCACTTTGCAGTGAGTGGTTATAGACAGTCAAGGAAGGAAGGCTAGAAAGGTCCATGTGGTAGCATAATTGGGTAGAGAGACCAGTGTGTTCTCACTTTTAATGTAATCAAATTACAGAAGGTTAGATACATAGTTTACTAGGCCAGTCAGTTGAGAGGTCCTACAAGTACTTATACCACGTTAACAATGCACATACCCAGTATTACAATTTTTTAAATACTATTCTTTAACATCAGAAACAAGCAGTCTTTAGAAAAATGGCTGATTCTATGTACGAAAAAGATAATATAGAAAATGAGTTTAGAATTTATTATAATAGCAGGAAACAGGGAAGTGTTCAAAAACAAAAGCATGAGGTGAGCTGTAAGGATGCAGGATCCAAACTAAATGAGCTCCCAGCACATAATAAAGCTGTGGTGGTTTGAAAAATAAAATGAATAATGTAGCATGGATCTTCTTCAGAGTATGAAATAGACATCCATAAACCAATACACATATTAATAAGTGATCAAATAAAGAAATAATAGGAAGAAGAACACATCTTTTTACAGAAGTATTCCAACTATGTTAGGTTGATAGTCCTCCAATCAAGTAGGTGAAGCTTAAACACTCATGAGTTGATTGTAGCCTGAGACTAGAGACATGGAAAAAGTAATCATATTAGTATATTTTATAATGAGATTTCAGATATAATACCAAAGACATGATCTGTAGATGAATAAAATTTTATTTTTTAAATCTAAATTTGTATAAACACACACACACACACTTTTCTGCAATACACACTGATAAGGGAGTAAAAGACAGCCACAGACTTGGAGAAAATACTTCCAAGTCACATATTTGTTAAATGAATTCTTTTAATTTGTTAAATGACTTTTATAATCAATATGCAAGTAAACTTACAACTAATCAAAAGAAAACAATACAGTTAAAAATGAACCAAATATGAGAAGAGGCATCTCAGCAAAAACTATATGAAAATTGTTAAATGTAAATTTTTATTAAGGAAATGTGCATTTAACTAAAAATTAGATACCATTACTCACCTATTAGAATGGTTAAAACACATAATTCTCATAATTGTAAATGGCAATATGAATGTGGAAAACCAAGAACTATCATGCATTGATGGTGGGAATTCAAAATGCTACATGCACAAATGAGTTTTTTTGGCATTTTTAAAAATAGAGATAAAATGTGATTTGTGTATGTGTTCCAAAATATTTACAACACTGATTCAGAAATTGATGTTTACACAGATACCTACAGAGGAAGTTCTGTATCAGTTTTATTAATTCAATCCCTGAAATTTGCTTGCAGAATAAATATTGTATGAAAAATCTCTCAAGTAATTAAAATTTCTCAAGTACACATTTATATTGTTTCTTTTCCTTAATGACTTAATGTCATTTTCTGAGAAAGTCTTCAATCTAATAATCTTTGTCATTTCCTCCATGCCAGTACAGCTGCTTCCTCCCTGGGGTTTCTGACACTCTCAGGATGTGGGTTTTCACTCTGTGTCTCTCGCACAGTAATACACGGCCGTGTCCTCAGATCTCAGGCTGCTCAGCTGCATGTAGGCTGTGCTCGAAGATGTGTCCCTGGTAATGGTGACTCTGCCCTGGAGCTTCTGTGAATATTTTGTGTTACCATTGCCAGCGTTGATCCATCCCATCCACTCAAGCCTTTGTCCAGGGGCCTGGCGCATCCAGTTCATAAAGTAGTCGGTGAAGGTGTATCCAGAAGCCTTGCAGGAGACCTTCACTGAGGCCCCAGGCTTCTTCACCTCAGCTCCAGACTACACCAGTTGGACCTGGGAGTGGGCACCTGTAGAGAAGACACAGGAGTGGATGGAAGCCCCCTTGACTGGCCTCAATCCCTTCCTCCTCACTGGGATTTGGCAGCCCCTTACCTGTGGCTGCTGCCACCAAAAAGAGGATCCTCCAGGTCCAGTCCATGGTGAGGAGCTGTGCTCTGGGGGCTTCTTCTGAGGAGGGATGTGGTTGTTGGGTGATGCTCTCAGGGCACAAAGATATCTATAGTCATATCAGTTATTTGCATATTCATGAGCGATGCTATTTCATACCTAACACAGCATGAGAAAGAATGGAGAGATGACACATGGATTACCCAACAGGAGGATGCTAAGGGTTCAAGCTATAATCCCCTTAGAGGCCATGTGTGCCCTGCCACATCCCTAAGCTGTATGTTGACAGAGCTTCTGGAGAACAATTTTCTCCAGAACAGTGGAGAACACTGGAGAACAATTTTCCCTAGAACAGGACTTCACTGGGAACCCACACTTGAATAGCTCAGAGGTAATTTAAAGCATTTCTAGGCTTTAATACATGAATGTGTTATTTGGGGGATGAGTGTGTTTCTCCAAAAGTTGCACTTATTTATATAAAATAAAAGCTTAATTGATCTCCAGATGCTTACTATTAAGGTATGTAGCAGGGTTAGAAATCTCCAGTGTAAATTGATAAATTCTTGCAATTGAATAGGATATTTATGGAATCTTCAGCAGTCTTTGTCAAATACTTATTTTAGATTTTTTTAGAAGAATGACACAGATCTTGAGAGGAATCCCTCCCCAGCCTCCTGTGCACCTGCTCTGGGGCTGGGGCCTGTGCTGGGTGGGCCTTGAGCGCCCCCTGCAGCCCAGCCCTTGCACTGCAGAGAGGCTCCTGTCTGGGCTCCCAGAGCATTTTCCTCCCTGTATGAAGTGGCTGTGTCCTGGCTCAGAATGCTTCTTTAGTGACACGTGACACCATGTCCTGCTGACACCATCGCTTGCAATAGTAAATTGGTTGTAGGAAAGCCAGTGAACTCTGCAGAAACACCCCAAACAAGGATTCTATGAAACCACCAGGGAGCCCCTTCTCTGGAGCTCCGGAAGCACTGGATCAGTCCACACTCACAATGAGTCCAGGAGCTCCCAGGGGCTTTGGGAGAACACCTAATCTCTTGTCGGTTCCTTTGGATGAACATCTCATCAGATAATTTCTAAACCTACAAAATCATGGGTCTCAGAGCCCACTGCGAAACTCCTAATACACACACACACACACACACACACACACACACACACGGGTGGTTAGAGTCCCCACAGTAATGGACACACACACACACACACACACACACACACACACACACACTGTGTCTAGAGTCCTCACAGTAATGAGAGGGAACTGTGTCTTACTCCCTGTGTCTAGCGCATTGGCTGTGTGCCCATAGTGCCTCTAGGCCTGGGGATATGCCCTTGTCAAGCAGAACAACAGCAAACACTTTACTGGAGATGGGGCCCTGCACACACTGTGGCTTCCCTGTTCTCCCAGAACCTGGGATCCTGCAGATACCCCTAAGAAGAGTCCAGGCTCCCCCAGGAGGGTCAGCCACAGCCCAGCCCCACCGAGTTGGTGCAGCCTGCACTGAACTGCTGACCTGTGGAGAGGGTCACAGCAGACCCACAGCCCAGCCAGCCCCACTCCCAGAGGCACATCAAGGAAGGGGGCAGAACCCTTGGGACTCTTGATGGGCATCTTTTCAGGAGCAGACACAGGAACCGTTCCAGGAACAGGGGACCTGGGAAGGTCAGTAGCTGGTCAGGGTTTCTGAGGACGAGTGTCAGTGATGGGACCAGCCTGTCCCTTCTCATATGGGATGTCTCTCCTGGGGATCCTGTACTGTCTTATTTGTGCAGGTCCACTCTGTGGGACTTGTCTTTATAAATCTCAAATCTCAGGAACAGGAGAGCTGTGCTTCAAAAGCCCCCATAGAGAAGACACATTCCCATCCTGCTGTGATTGAAACAGCTCCATCCTGGGCATGGGGAGGGCTCATGTGTCCCACCTGGGATGAGAAGCAGCAGCCACACGTGAGCTGAGGAGGACCCAAGGCTGCTTCCCAGCACTTCCCCACAGAGTGAAATGTGTCTGTTTGCCCCAAATCCAAGCTGGTCCTGTGACTTGCTTCTTTCAAATTTCTTGGCCTGGAAAGTGCAGGCACCAGCTGTCAATGTCACCACTATTGTGACACTGTACACAGAACCAGGGAAGGATCCCAGGGATGGGGCTGAGGACAGACACTAGCTAAGTGGACCCATTGAAAACATGCAGATCTGCTGGGGTTCACACTCCTGGAAGGACAGATCTTGGAGGGTTTGGAGGAGGAAGGCGCCACTGTCGGTGACTCAGGAGCTGCTGCTCTGCGGGTCACCTCGTTGGCAAGTAACAGTGGGTAGGTGAGTGTGGTTCATCCCCTACAGGGACAGCCCCTCTTCACCAGGAAAGAAAGTGGCTTTGTTCATACTGGTTTCCCCGGCCGTCTGGTCATCCTCTCTTCCTGACCTTCTTCCCATGGCCCTCAGGGCTGTGAAACATGGACAAAGACACTTTCTACTCCAACCGTTGATTACCCAGGTCAGCTCCCTCTAGAAAAGCCATGATGCCTTCCTGGTTCTGTGTGCCTGGCTGAACCAGAATGGACACACATGGATATACCAAAGTGTCAAAGTGGAGGAGAGGAATCTTGGCAAATATCACACAGGAAAGAGAAAGGAATTCGTTTGTATGCAATGAGAGGGTGCAGGGCATGTCTGGAGGCTGCAGGAGCCAGAAGCTTCATATTTTTTTAGTGACCTCGGTTTTGTCTCCCCTGTTGTTGTGAGGCTTCCCTGAGTTCTCCTCCTCAGATAGACTCTGTGCCTTTTCACACAATGACCTGTAGGAGATGTTTACACCAAACAAGAAGCCTCAAACATGGTTTATATTCTGATCTAAATTTTCGGAGGATAAACTCAAGACAGATTCAAAGAAGTGATTATAAAGTATCAGTATGTAGCACTTGGTTGAGAAAACCTTAAACTCATATTATTTTTATGAACCACATGCATAACAAAACTTTGTCCAATTCCTCCACTTTATCAGAGACTGCCTGCAGGATGAATTTCAATGCCATCTAATTTAGAGTAGGAGCAAAACTTAAAATCCTCTATAGGTCTGAGTGCCACTAACAACCAAAAAAAATTTCGACCATTATGAAGTTTTAAGAGATGCCACAATGACAGCCTGGGTTGATAGGTGATGGCATTTTCCCTGAGCATATTCTGTGAAGAGTGATTATGGTAGCTTTTCCTTCTAATGAGGAGAAAGCAACAGAGAAAGTAAAAAAAATAATAATAATAATCACGAAACAGAAAAAAGTGGCCCAAATTGTTTAACAAAAAAAAAGCACTAGAAACTGCCACAAATTAAAAGGAGATATATTGATTACCTAGCAGAAAATTCAAAGTAAACCTTATAAATATGTTCACTGAGCTAGGGGAAGAATGCACGAACAACATGAAAGTATTAACAGGGACAAAAAAGGGAGAGAGATGAGATACAATGATTTGTGGCTTAACAGTAGGGATACATTGGCCAGGCGCAGTGGCTCATGCTTGTAATCCCAGCACTTTGGGAGGCCAAAGAGTGTGGATCACCTAGGTCACGAGTTCAAGACCAGCCAGGGCAACATGGTGAAACCCCATCTCTCCTAAAAATAGAAAAAAAAGAATTAGCTGGGCGTGGTGGTACATGCCTGTAATCCCATCTCCTCAGAAGGCTGAGGCAGGAGAATCGCTTGAGCCTCGGAGGTGGAGGTTGCAGTGAGCCAAGATTGTGCCACTGCACTCCAGCCTGGGTGACAGAGTGAGACTCCATCTAAAAAAAAATGAAAAACAGTAGGGATACGTCTGAGCAATGTGTCCTCAGGCAATTTGTCATTGTGCAAGGATCATAGAGTGTGTTTACACAAACCTACATGAAATACCCTGCTACACCCAGGCTGTGTGGGATAGCATAGTGCTCCTAGGTAACAAATCTGTATGTCATGTAAGTGTACTAAATACTGTGGGCAGCTGAATCACCATAGTAGATGTTTATACAGATGAACATATCTAAGCATGGAAAAAATGCAGTGAAAATACAGTATTATAATCTAATGAGACCTTTGTCATGTATGTGGCCTGTTGTTCACCCAAATATCAAAATGTGCATGATTCTATTCAAGTTGCTGAAAAAAAAAGCCAAAAAACTTCCAAATAAATATCTTACAGGGATTAAAGCTTTTCTTCAGTAATGCAGGATGTTTGAGAAGTTTCCCAAAAAAGTAAAAAGTCGACAAGTTCATCACCACTAGGCCGGCCTTACAGGAATGCCAAGTGTCTCTGGCAGGTTTCCTGAACAAGGAAGTAGCTGCATCAGCTCCACTCTGTTATCTGCCAATTGATAGATTTGCATAGTTTTTAATTTTAATTTCTCTTCTGTTTTTTCCCTCCATAAACTCCTTCTCCCTTCCTTTCATAATTCTGTCTATTAATGCAACTCATATTTAGCTGACAATGCTGGGGTCATTGGAATAAATTTCTATTTTTCCTCCACCAATTCTAATAAGCTGTCTCCAGGGGTGTCCATCTCCGTTTTCTTTTCTGCCATTCCCATGGGATAATTTCCTTGTTCCTATGTGAGTCCAGCCCTCATCACCACGGGCCATCCAACCATCATGCACCCAGGAACAGCTTCAGGAAATGTACCCTGCCAGCTGCCTATCAGCCTCCACCTGCACAGTGATCATTCCTTCAGCTTTCACTCAGGCCGGAGGGCTTTCCACCCAAAAGGGCCTTTCACACCCACTCCCAGCACAGTTCTAGGACCCTGTATACCTCCCAGATACAGGTACATATCCTTCCCCTTTGTTGTTAATTTTGTTTAATTTATTTAAAATTCACTGGGAAATCACTGATGATGGGAGTGACCAGCCTGTCCATTCCATTTTCTGTCCACCATCTGACGGCACCACCTGTGAGGTTGGCCACCCTAGTGTGCTGTGCTCATGGGGCCATCTGGACATACACAAACACCAGGTGTGTGAGTTATTAGAGGAGGCCCGGGATCAGCAGGTGGCTGTGCCCCACAGGACACAGGTCTGTCCTGCAGTAGAGCCCGCATGACCTGGAATCATACGTGTGCATGACCCGTGGTCTCAGCACATCAGCTGAGGCCAGCTTCAGGCAATTCCTGTGTAACCTGCCCTGGGCGCCCACAGAGGACAGATGCATGACAAGGATGTAAGGGAATGCTGCGGATTAGGGGAACTGAAGCTCAATCTTTACTGAGGCTTTACTCGGCACCTGGACCTTATGGAAGACTAAGAAGAAGAGAACAAGAGTCCAGCCCCAAATAGCTCCTGGTTTAGGGTCAGCTTTAGTGGGATTTTAGAGAGTAGAAGACACAGGGGTGATGCTGGAGTGGTTTTCTTTGGGATACTTGGGGCAGCAGAAGGTGGGCCGGGATCAGGACTCCATCTGGCTGGTTCTCATTATCTACATGGATTCTCATGGTGGAAAGTGAGAGACATGACCTAGAACACAGCCCCCAGGGCTGATCTCAGAGACGCCTGCTAAGTGAATGACTCAGCAGAAATGTGGTGGGGTTTTCATCTTGGATCTATTTTTCTTTATAAAAATAATCTGAGAGATGTGTCCAGCCTCAGTGGGCTGTTTCTCCCTCCAGGAGACAGAGCTAACACAATTGTATCTGTGAATCCGCTTGGCTTTCCATCAGAAGATACCACAGACTAGGTTGTTTCAAATAACAAATATTAATTTTCTTATTGTTCTGGAGTCTTGATGTCCAAGATCTGGGTGCAGAAAGGGATAGTATTTTGTTTTTTGAGAGGCCTCTTCCAGGCTTGCAAAGGGCCACCTTCTCATGCAGTGCATCCCCACATGGCCTCTCCTCTGTGTGCATGTGGAGAGAGAGGTCTCTGATGTCTTCCACTTCCCATAAGGACAAGAGTCCTACTGGATTAGGGTCCCACATTTATGGCCACAGTTAACTTATTTGCCCTCTTAAAATCCCTCACTCCAAATACAGAGCCACTGGGATTGGGGTTTCAGCATATGAATTTAAGAGAAGGACACGATGCAGCCAATGACGTCAATCAAGGGATAGTGAGAAGCCTTGAAATATTTTATTTGTCAAGAAGGTAAAATGGGCCTTGTGGGAATTTGTTGAAAAAAAGGTGCCAGTGACTGTTAAAACCTTAATGGTAAACAGAGAAATTTCTCCCTTCTTTCTTGCCTGCAGTGAGGATGTGAGGAAGCAGAACCACAAACAATAAAGAAAGAGGAGCCCTGGGGACAGCTGAGGTGCTGGCGAGGAGGGAGACCACTGAGCAGATGAGGAAGCCCCGCCCTCCCTGCCCCTGCTCCTGACCCGGCCTCATGCTCTGTGGGCCCCGCGCCCCCTGCTGGTCCTGAGCAGCACCTGCGTCCGCGCCCTCCGCCTCCTGGCAGGGAGGTTTGTGTCTGGGCTCACACTCACCTCCCCTCACTGTGTCTCTCGCACAGTAATACACGGCCGTGTCCGCGGCGGTCACAGAGCTCAGCTTCAGGGAGAACTGGTTCTTGGACTTGTCTACTGATATGGTGACTCGACTCTTGAGGGACGGGTTGTAGTTGGGGCTCCCACTATGATAGATTTCCCCAATCCACTCCAGCCCCTTCCCTGGGGGCTGGCGGACCCAGCTCCACCAGTTACTACTGCTGATGGAGCCACCAGAGACAACGCAGGTGAGGGACAGGGTCTCCGAAGGCTTCACCAGTCCTGGGCCCGACTCCTGCAGCTGCACCTGGGACAGGACCCCTGTGAACAGAGAGACCCACAGTGAGCCCTGGGATCAGAGGCAGCCTCCCCTATCTTCATGTCTGGATCCCTGAGATACTCACATCTGGGAGCTGCCACCAGGAGGAGAAAGAACCACAGGTGTTTCATGTTCTTGTGCAGGAGGTCCATGAGTCTCAGAAAGTATTTCCCATGTGAGCTGGACCCTGAATTTAAGGAAATGTGTGGTGGTTTCCTGTGGGTGCCTAAGCGAGGATTTGCATGTAGGTAGTGCCTTTGTATAAAGAGGTGAAAAGGGATGAGGGAGGCCCCAGTCTTTTAGGCTCACCCTGGGATGAGGATGCTTGCTTTGCCCTTTGAGAACTCAGTTCTCTTCCTGGGGCCTCAACTAGCCATGTCCTGGCTCCTCTTTTCCCAGGTGAGGAAGTAGATTGGAACAGCAGCTTAATGTAATAATCATGTGAGTTCAGACACACCAGGATTCACTTAATGTAATTTATAGTTCAGGACATCCATCATGTTTAGAGGGAATCTCTCTGTTCTAGGGAGTGGGCCACTTTTTAAAAGTGTTTAAATTAAAATAAATTTTTTAGATGAACTTTTGCTCCTTTGCGCAGGCTAGAGTGCAGTGGCCCGATCTCAGCTTACCGCAACCTCCACCTCCTGGGTTCAAGTGATTCTCCTGCCTCAGCCTCCCAAGTAGCTGGGAGTACAGGCACGCACAACCACCCCCATCTAATTTTTATATTTTTAGTATAAGGTTTCACCATGTTGGCCAAGCTAGTCTCAACGTCCCGACATCAGGTGATCCACCCACCTTGGCCTCCCAAAGTGCTGGGATTACAGGCCTGAGCCACCATTTTAACTAAGGCACTGGGAGCTGCCCTCTGAGACCTTTTGAGTCCTGGAATTCTTTCTGAGACCTTAGGAGAGACTCGTGGGACATATCTTCATCATTCTCAATGTGTGACCCTGAGGATGTGGCCTGACCTCTGTACACTTCTGTGTGAAAGAGTAGATTGTGAATTGCAGTGACAATTTCATATGTAAACTCTATAATAGGCCAGCACTGGAGGATATTCTCATCACCAAGATTACTGCAGTTACCTTTCCTGGAAACCAGAGAGGAACTCTGTGAGCCCTCACCTCTGAGTGCACAAGGAACCCTGGTCCTGACAGGTCTCACATGCGACATGGGGGAAAACAAATACATTCAAATCCAGTGTTTTCACCCATATATTGACCAATCTAGCCTGATCTATCTGTCTCTGAAAAGCCTTTTCCTTCATTGAATTGCATGAACATACCCTTGGGTATGGGGTATTGCAATGTGGGTATTTGGTGTTTGTTTAGTCAATTATGTAATTAATAGGCTACCTCCATGAATGTGTGTAGCAGTAGAGTTATCAGAAGTTGGGTGAGTCATATTATCAGGACAAACCTGGACTCTCTTCTTGGGACCTGGACAAGTGGCCAATCTTCTGTGGTAAAGCAAAGGGGAAGAGACAGATCCAACATCTAGAAGCAGGGTAGCTCCTCACTTACCAGCTGGTGTCTGGGCCTTTTGTTTGAACAGACCAAAACGACCTACCTTCACCTTCAGGGAAATGATGAACTTCGTATGAAATTGAGATTAATTTTCACTTACAGAGAAGAAAATGTCATAGGCATGTATATATCTATGTGGGTGTGTACGGGTTTCCAGGATGTGCCCATACACAGAAAGGAAGCAACTATATTTGCCGGGAAGAGAACCGAAGGGCTTCTGAATTTGTAGGTGTTGTTAAGCACAAATGTGTCATGTTACTACATCATGTTATAGAGCTGGCGGTAAAACCTCCCAAAATTGTCATGGAGACAAATGCAAAGAAATAAAGATTCAAATCAGATGCCTTTGATCTGTAATGAACAGACCAAGAGAAATCAACCATTATGGAAAGAGTGATAGTTAAATGTAGTAGTAAATTCCACGCTGAGGTGAGAGGGAAGTTCCATCTGACAGCTCACTTTCACCTCTGCGAAAACTTCAGAGCACAGACTAAGAGCAGACAGTGAACTTAGGGCAAGTGGGGGCCAGATGTTTGAGGAGGCTAGAGAGTGAGCTGGAATCCTTGTGAGCCATTCGGAGAAGCAGCAGTGTGCAAGGGTGTATTGAGTCCTCCTGAGTTAACAGATGCTGAATAGATACCAGTTTCACTGCCTTCATTTTGATTTATCCTCAAGACTCTATTGGATTTCTAGATTTGAACACTGGAAAAGCTGATGAAACTCAACATGACTAGGAATATTTCTGGGAAGATTTATGTAATGATGTGAGTGTATTTAAAATTAGGTTATGAAAATTTCATTATCTAAAATGTTGGTATCAGTATCTATTAATTTGTTCTTTTTTTCTTAGAGACAGGGTCTTGCTCTGTCTCTCAGGCTGGAATGCAGTGTCATCTATGAATTTTATAGTATTAAAAATGATCACCCTGATTAATGTTACCATATTATGCCCTTGAGGGATTTTGCTCCATGTGTGCCTGTGACATAGTTCTAGTCACAGATGCAGGAGAAGTGGTCTGTTGAGGCAATTCTTCCTCCTCAGAGGAGAATATAAACTGTCATCTCCTCACCTTGCTTATTCCATTTTCAGAATTGCACATGACCTTTGGGAATGCTGTCACCATGTCTTACAGGGTGGGAGTCGACTGTGGTATGAAGGTGGAATGGAGAAGTGTAATTTTGGGAAAATACAGAACCTGGGCAGATAAAGTTTTGAATTAATTGGGCCTGGAGCCACTCACATCCTGGTGTCTTGTTGAATTGTTTGTCATTTTAAATTCTGGTTATTTAGTTCAAGTTTCCTTGATTCTCTTTCTGCTAAAATAGTCATTCATAATCATCTAAATAAACTGGAAAAAAATTACTAATTTGAAAATTAACCTCATTTCTGCTAAGGTCAAAATCAGTTTGCGAGGCACAGAGTGATGGGCATGGACATAGCAGATTACCAAGATTGCATTCACAGCCTAGGTAATCACTATGTTTTATTTTAATTAGGAAACACTTCTGTACATTCCTTATATTTATTAAACTCCTGTTGAGAAACTTCAACTGTTATATGTTGATAGATCCTCCCAATAATAAAACTAAATGTTTTAAAACAGGAATTCCTATTACAATGTTAGCTTTACTTTAGGACACATTTCTTCACCTCATTTGAAATTCGCCCAGATGCACTGATTACAGTGTGTCAGTTAAGAAACGACCAGGAAATGAGATCACGTTTCTGGAGCAGGACATGGCTTTGGGATGCTTTGCAAACAAAGTGGTTTCTCATGTCTTCTTGAAAATCCATTGAAATGGGGAAGTTAAGGACCTCTTAGAAGCACTCTTCCACCCCATATACTTGACTAATAAAAAGGTGGAAGTCAGTGCAGAAAAATAGATAACATGAAAGCTAAAGTAAGATTTGTACCAGTTCGTTGTGCCAAACATGTAATCTTAACCTAGAGTGGGATCTTAGCTGAACCCTCAGGAGGTAAATTTCCTGAGAGATTCAAAGATGTCTTTACAAAATAACAACACTTAGCCCCCGATTTTAAGTTAAAATAATGGAAAACTCCTGGTAATCTACTTCACTTAGTGTAAATCAGTTAAAAACAAAATTCTGGAAAACCTGTGAAGGTGGGACTTGCCGAGGAACTGAGCCTTGGGGGCCTTTGGACACTTTTAGTAGGATTTTCTTCAGCTTTGACTCTCCATGGAATTTGAACAAGTTTCATTTACTGTCTACTGTTTCTCTGAATGACTTGAAGTAATTACTTGACAAAAGCCTACAGCCTTCTCAGTTGATAAACATGTTTTATGTTTTCAACCTGTGACATGCCGATGTTTTCATCAGGTAACTGAAGCACAGCCACTACAGGAAGCAATTGTTATAAAGTGATTCTGTAAGGTATTTCCATTATCAAATGCTGAACCGCTATTACCAGCAACAATATTCTGCAAATGTTGAAAAAAATGGCATTGCTACATAGAATTAATCACAAATTTTAAAACATTTTCTTATATTTATTGTTTAAATTCATAAGCATGGAATGTTTATTTTTCCATCTATTTGTTTTATCTCTGATTTTTTTCACCTGTGTTTTGCTGTTTTTCTAGTAGAAATATTTCATCTCATTGGCTTAGCTCTATTCCTAGGTATTCCACTGTCTTGGTGGCTATTGGGAGAGCAAGTTCTTGATTCCACTCTCAGCCAGAACGTTGTTGGTGACTAGAAATGTTACTGTGATTTTTGTACATTGATTTTATATCCTGAAACATTCCTAAACTAATGTATCAATACTAGGAGACTTTTGGCAGAGCCTTCAATATTTTCTACATATAGAATCATATTATCAGTGAAAACAGAGGGTTTGCATTCTTCTTTTTCTTTTATTTGGATGCCTTTTATTTCTTTCTCTTGCCTGATCTGGTGAATACTTCCAGTACTAGGCTGAATAGAAGTGGTGAGAGCGGGCATCCTTGTCTTGTTTCTGTTCTTAAGGAAAATGCTTCCAGTGTTTGCCCATTCAGTATGATGTTGGCTGTGGGTTTGTCATAGACGGCTCATCAGATTGAGGTGTGCTCCTTCAATGTCTATAATTTTGAGGGTTTTTATCATGAAGCATTGTTAGATTTTATTGAAAGCTTTTTTTCCTGCATCTGCTGGGATACTCACATGGTTTTTGCTTTTGATTCTGTTTAGTAGAGCATCACATTTATTGCTTTGCATAGGTTAAAGCAGCCTTGCATCTGCAGAATGAAGCCTACTTGATTGCAGTGTGTTAACTTTTTGATAAACTACTGGATTTGATTTCCTACATTGAGAATTTTTAAGCCTATGATCATGAGAAGTATTTGTCTTGAGCTTTCATCTCTTATTGTGTCTCTGCCATATTTTGGTATAAGGCTGATGCTGGCTTCACAGATTTAGTTGAGAAGGAGCCTCTATGCCTTGATTTTCTTTGTGTAGCTTCAGTAGAATTGGCATCAGTTCTTTTTTGTATGTCGGGTAGAATTCAGCTGTGAATTCTTCTTGTCCAGGTTTCTTTTTCTTGGTTGGGTCTTTATTATTGACTCAATTTTAGAAGTTGGTTTCACTGTATTTAGGGTTTCAATCTCTCCCTGATTCAATATTGGGAGATTTTGTGCTTCCCAAAATTTACTCATTTCCTCCAGATTCTCTAACACGTGTGCATAAAGTTTATAGTAGTCTGAGAATTTGTGCATTCTTCTGGGATCAGTTGTAATATCCCCTTTGTCACTTTTGATTGTACTTATTTGGATCTTCTTTTTCTTTATCTTTCTAAATCCAGACAGGTGTCTATCAGTCAATCTTTATTTTACAAAGAAGAAACTCTTGGGCTTATTGATATTTTGTATGCATTTTTGTATCTGAATTTCATTCAGTTCTTCTCTAATTTTCCTTTTCTGTGCTAGCTTTGAGATTATTTTAGTTCCTTTAGGTGCAAGGTTAAGATTACTAATTTGAGAACTTTCTAACTCCTTGATGAAGTCATTTATGACTATCAACTTTTATGGTGCCCAAATAAATTACCAGATTCAATGCTATTACTATAAAACTACCAACATTATTTTTAAAGCATTAGAAAAAAAACTTTTAAAATTTATGTGGAATCAAAAAAAGAGTTTTAAAAACAAAAGCAATCTTAAGTAACAAGAATACATTCAAAGGTATCCCACTAGAAGACATCAAATTATGCTACAAAGCCACAGGAACCAAAATAGCTTGGTACTTATACAAAAAGAGACACATAGACGAGTGAAAGGGAATAGAGAATTCTGAAATAAAGCTGCACACCTACAACCATCAGATCTTACACCAAGACACTAAAAACATGCAATGAGGAAATGTATCACTATTCAATAAATCGTGCTGGGATAACTGGCTAGCCATATGCAGAAGATGGAAGCTAGATGTCTACCTTTCACCATTAACAAAAATCAACAAAAAATGGAGTAAAGATTTAAGTATAAGACCTCAAACTATAAAAATCTTGGAATACAACCTAAGAAATACTCATCTAAAAATGTTTTGGGCAAGAAAATTTTGGCAAAGTCCCCAAGAGCAGTTGCAACAAATCAAAATTCTGTCTGTGGCACCTTATAAAACTAAGGAGCTTCTACAGAGCCAAGAAACTATCAAGAGAGTAAGCAGAGATCCTACAGAATGGGGGAGGCTATTCACAAACTATGCATTTGATGAAGGTCCAATATCCAGATTCTATAAGAAATGTAAATCAACAAGCAAAAATAATAATAATAATCACATTTTAAAAATAGGCAAATGACATGAGCATAAACTTCTCAAAAATACATAAAGTGGCCAGGACATATGAAAAAACGTTTAACGTCACTAATCATCAGAGAAATGCCAATCAATCAAAACCACAATGAGATGCTGTCTCACACCAGTCAAAATCAGTATTACTAAAAATTAAAAAAAAAACAAAACAGATGCTGGTGAGGCTACGGAGAACAGGAAACGCTTGTACAGTGCTGGGTGGAATGTGAATTAGTCCAAGCACTGTGGAAAGCAGTCTGGAGAGAGGCTGCGGAGAACAGGAAACACTTGTACAGTGTTGGGTGGAATGTGAATTAGTCCAAGTACTGTGGAAAGCAGTCTGGAGTGAGGCTGCAGAGAACAGGAGACACTTGTACAGTGTTGGGTGGAATGTGTATTAGTCCAAGCACGGTGGCAAGCAGTCTGGAGTGAGGCTGCGGAGAACAGGAAACACTTGTACAGTGTTGGGTGGAATGTGAATTAGTCCAAGCACTGTGGAAAGCAGTCTGGAGATTTGAAAAGTATTTGAAGCAGAGCTGCCACTTGGTCCAGCCATCTCATATGTGGGTATATACACAAAAGAAAATAAATCAGTCTACCAAAAAATACACCCACTTACATGTTCATTGCTATGTTACTCTTAATACTTAAGACATAAATCCAACCTATGTGTCCATTAATGGTGAATTTGATCAAGAAAATATGGTACATTTACACCATGGAACACTATGCATTCATAGAAAAAGAATAAAATCATGTCTTTTGTGGCAACATGGATGCAGCGGGAAGTCAACATTCTAAGAAAGAGATGATGAGAGTCAATGGGAGATGAAGCTGATGTTTTGGGTGTGCCTGTGTGTAAAATTGAGAAAAGAAATCACCTGGGCACATAGACTCTTAAAATAGCCAAGTCTGGAGCCACTCATATCCCAGTTTCCATTTCATTAGGTTTTAATCTTCCTCATTTTTAGTGAGTTAAATTTGCTTTTCTTTACTCTTGGCTAAAATAACCACACATCCTGAATTAGAGGCATTGCAATCAAAACGTCGTATTTGAAGCTTCCAAGTCCCAAGTTAGGTCAAAGTTAGTATGGGATTCAGTGTGATAGATAGGAGACATGGCTGGATACTAAGAATGGGCTCAGAGTTATTTTACCTAAATTAGGAAAATTTGTTCACTTCCCTTATATTAGATTTCATTGGAAACCTTTGATCTAATATCATCTCTGATAGATTATACCTCAATAATTAAGCTGGAGGTTATGAATTAGTAATTTAAATGAATAGTGGAAACCTCCATTTAGAATATATTTCTCTACCAAGTGTAAAGTTAGCTCAGATGGCAGAAATAACTGCACTCAGCAGAGCTTGTCAATAAGGCAAAGACATACACAAATACATTTATTGCAAGGGTAGTGCATGACTTTGAAGTGATCTGACTTTGAAGTGACACAAAAGGATTCTCACATCTTCTAGAACACATCAAAATGGACAAGGGAAGGAATTGTAAATGCAGTCCTAAGTCCTAGAGACCTGACTAATATAACATAGGAAGTAAAGGCAAAGAAAAAAGTAGCATAAAAACTAAAATATATCTGTAACTCTATCTATCCATCTATGTATTTATGTGTCCAACTATATCTCTATCAAGGTACGTATGTATGTATGTATGTAGGCATCTATCTTCTATCTGTTTATCCATAGTAGTGGATCATTATGCAAAGCAAGTAGCTCTAAAATTGTTTATAATACTATCTAAAATAGCATAATTGGGTGGAGAGACCAGTGTGTTCTCATTTTTAATGTAATAAACTTACATACAATTAGATACATAAGTAGTTTCAATGAGTCCATAAACATGGGTTCATATAAACATGTACATTTACTAGACATATAGGTTGAGAGGTCCTAGAAGTACTTATAACACCTTAACAACACACATATCCAGTATCACAATTTTTAATTTTAACACTATTCTTTAACATCGGAAATAATCAATCTTTAGGAAAAACGGCTAATCCTATGTATGAGAAAGATAATGTAGAAAATGAACTTAGAATTAATTGTAATATCAGGAAACAGGGAAGTGTTCAAAAACAAAAGGATGAGGTGTGCTGTAAGGATGCAGGATCCAAACTAAATGAGCTCCTAGCACCTAATAAAGCTGTGGTGACATGAACAATAAAATGAATGATGTAGCAAGGATCATCTTCAGAGCATGAAATAGACATCCGTAAACTAATACGGATATTAATAGATTATTAAATAAATAAATAATGGGAAGAAGAACACATCTCTTTGCAGAAGTATTCCAAATATGTTAGCTTGATAGTCCTGTAA
Organism: Homo sapiens; assembly: GCF_000001405.40. Classification (NCBI taxonomy): domain Eukaryota; kingdom Metazoa; phylum Chordata; class Mammalia; order Primates; family Hominidae; genus Homo; species Homo sapiens. The sequence continues at coordinate 2,340,487 of NW_021160017.1, forward strand.
TCAAGTGAGTGAAGCTTAAACACTCATGAGTTGATTGTGGCCTGAGATTAGAGACATGGAAAAAAAATCACTATTATTGTATTTTATAATGGGATTTCAGATATAATGCCAAAGACATGATCTGTGGATGAATAAAATTTTACATTTTTAAAATCTAAATTGGTATAAACATGCACACATATTTTTCTGCAATACACGCTAAGGGTGTAAAAGACAGCCACAGACTTGGAGAAAATACTTCCAAGTCACGTATTTGTTAAATGAGTTATTTTAGTTTGTTAAATCACTTTTATAATTAATATGCAAGTTAACTTACAACTAATCAAAAGAAAACAATGCATTTAAAAATGAACTAGATCTCAGGCAAGGTACCTCACCAAAGATTATTTGAACATTTTTAAGTAGGAACTTTTTATTAGGGACATGTACGTGTAAATAAAAATTAGATACCATTACTCACCTATTAGGATGTTTAAAACACACAATTCTCATAATGAAAAATGGCAATATGAATGTGGAAAATCAAGAACCATCATGCATTGATGGTGGGAATTCAAAATGCTACATGCACAAAATGAGGTTTTGGGGGGCATTTTTAAAATAGAGATAAAAGTAGAGTTAAAATTTGATTCATTTGTGTGTTCCAAAATATTTACAACAGTGATTCAGAAATTGATGTTTACAAAGATACCTACAAAGGAAGTTCTGTATCAGTTTTATTAATTCAATCCCTGAAATTTGCTTACAGAATAAATGTTGTATGAAAAATCTTTCAAATAATTAAAATTTCTCAAATACACATTTATATTGTTCCTTTTCTTTAGTGACTTAATGTTATTTTCTGAGAAAGTCTTCAATCTAATAATCTTTGTCATCTCCTCCATGCCAGCACAGCTGCCTCCTCCCTGGGGTTTCTGACACTCTCAGGATGTGGGTTTTCACTCTGTGTCTCTCGCACAGTAATACACGGCCATGTCCTCAGATCTCAGGCTGCTCAGCTCCGTGTAGGCTGTGCTCATGGACGTGTCCCTGGTTATGGTGACTCTGCCCTGGAACTTCTGTGCATATGTTGTGTTACCATTGCCAGCATTGATCCATCCCATCCACTCAAGTCCTTGTCCAGGGGCCTGTCACACCCAGTGCATAAAGTTGTTGGTGAAGGTGTATCCAGAAGCCTTGAAGGAGACCTTCACTGAGGACAGAGGCTTCTTCACCTCAGCCCCAGACTGCACCAACTGGTCCTGAGAGTGCGCACCTGTGGGGAGGATACAGTAGTGGATGAGATCTTTCAGAAATGGACACAATCCCCTTCTCATCACTGGGACTTGGGAGTCCCTTACCTGTAGCTGCTGCCACCAAGATGTTCCTCCAGGTCCAGTCCACGGTGAGGCACTGAGCTCTAAGGAGATTCTGCAGAAGAGGCATGTGGTTGTTGGATGATGCGCTTAGGGCACAGACACATCCATATTTACCTCAGTGCATCTCAGGTTATTTGCATATTCATGAGACAGACGATTTCATAGCTCAAAGCCTGATACATGATAAGAAAGGGAAGATAAATGACACATCAGCCTTACAAGAGTGAGATGCAAATGGTCTAAGCCCTAATCTTACTTGAGAAAATGCGTGCCCTGCTCTATTTACCAACATTTGTGTACAGAGGTCCTTTCACTGAAGAGTAAGCCCTCTCAGAACAGGCTCCTCACTGTGAACCTACATGTGATTAGTATAGAGGCCGCCTGGATTATTTTTGGGACCATCACTGTCTATGACACTGAGCACGTGCCTTGGCCCTATCCTGGACCTGTCAGGCACCAGCACAGCTCACTGGTGACTCTGGAAAGGTGACTGCTGATGTCCCTCTGAGATCTACTGGGCCCTCCTGAGACAGTGTCTCCAGCACGTGCCTCATGTCCTGATCCCCCAGGATCTTCAATAGAAACGCTCTTGTTTTACGTATTTGCCCTGTGATGCATAATTACAGCTGATTTTCTCATCTCAGGAACAATGGGAATCAGAAGAGGTAACAGGAGTTTGAAGTTCTTTATGAACTCTCTACTCTCAAAATAATTGTCAATGAATTTGTGTTTTGAATAATTTTGGGTTACTTTTCAACTCCATTTATTAGATTTTTGTAAAGTATTTACATACTTCCAGTTCATATCCATAGATCTGTATCTTTACATATTGATTTTTGACTCACTTGGTCTGTGCACCTGCCACACCCTCAGATCCATCACTGCCCTGTCATTCACACAATGTAGGCAACATTACTTAACACTGAAATCTGAATTTCTTATTCATAGGAATATAGTTTCTTCAACTAATCGGTACCCATTGAATTAGTAAAAACATGCCCATCCTTCATATTCTCACTATTAAGATATTACAGTCCTAGAAACTCACTTTAAAAAATAGCTCTCATTATCTTAAGTTATATGAATGGTTTGGATGTACTAGAATATTTAAAGCACGTCAGCTACTTCTTGAACAGTTATTTTAGATTGTTTTTTTCCTGACAAAGGAAGACCAAGGCCCTGAGAGAAAACCTCCTCCCCGGCCTCCTGTGCACCTGCTCTGGGGCTGGAACTTGTGCTTGGTGGCTCCCAAGTGCCCCCTCCAGCCGAGCCCTTGCCTTGCCATGAGGTTTCTGTTGTAGCTCACAGGCATTTTACCCCACAGTCTCTAGCTCAGCATGAAGTGGGTGTGTCCTGGTTTAGAATACTCCTTCAGTAACACAATGTACTGAATACTCCTTCAGTGACACAATGTACTGCTGACACCATGTCTTTTAAGAATTGAAGAGCCTTATTAAACCTATTTAACTCTACAGGGAGACCCAAAGCAAATATTCTATGACACAGAGTGGAACACCTTCTCTGAAACTTCACATTTCCTGAGTCAGTGGACACGAAATGAATACAAAAACTTGTAGGATTTTGGGAGTGCCTTGTTTCGTCCTTGAGCTCTTGCAGTTGAATGTTACATCTAAGAATACCTGCAGGTTCAAATACACTCAGAATAAAACCAACTTTGTATCTACTATTCCAATAACACATATTTTTCTTTCTTCTTAGTTTCTAGCCTATAAAAATTGCCTCCTACACTGACACTAGGCCTAGGCTTATTTTTTTTTATTATTATACCTTAAGTTCTAGGGTACGTGTGCACAACGTGCAGGTTTGTTACATATGTATACATGTGCCATGTTGGTGTGCTGCACCAATTAACTCGTCATTTACATTAGGTATATCTTCTAATGTTATCCCTCCCCACTACCCCCACCCCACGACAGGTCCCGGTGTGTGATGTTCCCCTTCCTGTGTCCAAGTGTTCTCATTGTTCAATTCCCATCTATGAGTGAGAACATGCGGTGTTTGGTTTTTGTCCCTGCGATAGTTTGCTGATAATGATGGTTTTCAGCTTCATCCATGTCCCTACAAAGGACATGAACTCATCTTTTTGTATGGCTGCATAGTATTCCATGGTGTATATGTGCCACATTTTCTTAATCCAGTCTATCATTGATGGACATTTGGGTTGGTTCCAAGTCTTTGCTATTGTGAATAGTGCCACAATAAACATACGTGTGCATGTGTCTTTATAGCAGCATGATTTATAACACTTTGGGTATATACCCAGTAATGGGATGGCTGGGTCAAATGGTATTTCTAGTTCTAGATCCTTGAGGAATCGCCATAGTCTTCCACAATGGTTGACCTAGTTTACAGCCCCACCAACAGTGTAAAAGTGTTCCTATTTCTCCACATCCCCTCCAGCACCTGTTGTTTCCTGACTTTTAAATGATCGCCATTCTAACTGGTGTGAGACGGTATCTCATTGTGGTTTTGATTTGCATTTCTCTGATGGCCAGTGATGACGAGCATTTTTTCATGTCTGTTGGCTGCATAAATGTCTTCTTTTGAGAAGTGTCTGTTCATATCCTTCACCCACTTTTTTGTCTTAGAGATCTAAGGCAAATAGAATACAAGTGGAGACTTGGGAAGTGCATGAATATTTTTTTTTTTTTTTGAGATGGAATCTTGCTCTGTCGCCCAGGCTGGAATGCAGTGGCACGATCTCGGCTCACTGCAAGCTCTGCCTCCCGGGTTCACGCCATTCTCCTGCCTCAGCCTCCCAAGTAGCTGGGACTATAGGCGCCCGCCACCCTGCCTGGCTAATTTTTTGTATTTTTTAGTAGAGATGGGGTTTCACCGTGTTAGCCAGGAAGGTGTCGATCTCCTGACCTCGTGATCCACCTGCCTTGGCCTCCCAAAGTGCTGGGATTACAGGCGTAAGCCGCAGTGCCCGGCCAAGTGCATGCATTTTTTTTCTCAGCTAGGAACCCTGCAAATGCCCTATGATAAAAGAATCTGAGGTCAATGGATTTGCCAATATCTTTTCTTCAAAAAATATATGTCAGAGGCTTCAGATTTCCCTACTGTCCTTGTCATATTCTCTGCCATTGTGTTTCAGTTTTCCTATGTTCTCCTCAGATAGAGTCTGCGCATTGTCACACTTTCATCTTTAACCCAGATTAACTATCCTGCTGAGAAAACAAAACGTGCATCCTGGAAGTATTATATGTTCTTACAATTGAATCTTAATAATTCAGTCATCTTTTTTTCTCTGGGCTGTGGCCTATACACAGAGTCTCCAGAAATGGAACTGACACTTTCCTTTTTCTGGCTACAACATTATAGGATTATTTCTCTATTGGCTAATTTTATCCACTTTCGTGATAAAGGAAGGCTGCTTGAAGGGGTCTGTAATGGAGATGGACTACCTTAGCCAACATAGATAATGTTCTAGATATGTATTTCTCCTGTATGTTCTATCTGGATATATTTATCTGTGTATTTCTCAGAGAGTAGGAACTTTGATGACTTATCCAGGAAAGGATCTATGTCAATTTTCACCCAAAGAACCTGGAGGTTCCAGGAGGAAATATAAATGAGTTTGGGGTCTATGAGATCTCTCACCCTCACACTAGTTCAGACATGCCCTTTCTGTTTATTTAGTTCAGATTTACATATAACAAACCACACAGCCAGGCTCATCTAAATTGCCACATGCTTGTTTAAACACATTGGAGCAGCATTAATCCTCACATTAATCTCAGAGAATCTTGGTTCCAGTCCACTGTTTACGTTAGTTGAGAGCAGCATCAGGGACACACTGGAGTGGATATTTCTTCCCGAAAAAAGCCTCACTCCCAAGTATACTAAAGAGTTGCCATGGAGCCATTGTGTGGTTGGATTTCTTCTTATCAGCCTGTCATGGAGGATATTTTGAATGATGTAGACTTTACACTTAGATGGTAATGACTCCCATTGTTGTTGAAATGGCTGGCAGCCCACAATCCTGTTTCTCCTCTCAACTCACCTGAATGTCTCCAAGAATCCCATGAACCTCAGGACTCTCCTTGTTAGATGACTCTGAGGATTGTTAGTCTGCTCAGTGCTACACACAGAGGTAGCTAATAGAGGATTCTCAGTCCACTGACATGTTGGGCTCATAACATAGGACACATATCCAAGAGTGGCCAATTCATGGCAATGCCAATAGATATTTAATTGAAGAGGCATTATTTTTAGTGCATCGGAGTGTGAAAGCTTCATGATTCATGGCAATAAAGCCACAGACTGAATGCTTTGCAGAAGTGAGCTCATTGTTAGAAGAGGCCTGCCCACCAAGAAGTCAGTCTCTTTAACTAAAGCACTTGAAAAATGGTGTCCTGAGACCTTGTGAAAATTCATTTCCTGGAGTAAAGAAAGGGGAAAGCTATTCTTAAATCATTGGAAGAAACCATATCAGAAATTTTATCAACACAGCAGTCAAATTCCAGTAAGTCAATGCTTGGGTTTATGTTTCACAACTCAGGAAGCAATAAAGAAATCTACATAATCGGAAGGCTACTCCAACAGAGGGAATTTTGACCTATTTAATTAATAGGCCAGTATTCACTCAAAGACACACTCCTGTGAGATCTCCAACTTAAACAGATCTCTGTAACCTGAAGAAGTTTTCTCAACAGATTCTTTTTCTCTAGACACTCGCAAATGCAAAAATACATTTTGTATATTTGTGCATGAGTGATCTAGAGAAGTCCTTGTCTTGTTAATGAAAGTTCATGGAAATATGATAACTGCATCACTTACTGTGAACTCACACTTCACTAGTCTCAAAAATTTCTCACCCATGTGATGGAGCAATGGGTGCCTCTAAGAATATGCTGATTTTTGGACTCAACATGTTCTCTTTGCTTGACTTATAGACCCATGTCTGACATCTGAGACACACCCTGGGGAGCTGTCTCCAGATAACAATAATGTAATCTTCTTCATGAACACAACTCTGCATTCCCCACATACCTCAGCCACACCTTAGGGGAGAGGTGTTAACTTCACCGTCCAAAAGCATTTTATACCCTGGAGCCTGAAAAATAATTTGGATGTGATACCACCTTGTACTTGTAATATAGAGGGCAGAGGTCAGCATCCCCCTGGATTTGAATGTGTTTTATTGTTGTATTTATTTTCTTGCAGACATGAATTACTTGCTTGACAAAAACTACAGCCATGCCAGTTCATAAAATTTTCCTTATTCTGATTTTCCCATCTGTGGCATTTGAATTTCAATATTAAGTGAGCGATGTGCATACCTCACAGGAGCAATTACAAAATAACTCTTTTTAGCTCCTTAGTGTTACTCAAATGCTGCACTGTCCTTACTGCCAAAAATCTTCTGGAAAGTTTTAAGTAAAACTGAATCATATGTTGCATCCTTAAGTTAAAAGTTGCATAACATTCAGAAACACATGAACTTTTTTGCTGAAGGTACATCTGCTAAAACTTACAACACAGGGTTTGCTTTCTCAAGGACACAAACATTATCACCGTATGACTTGATTCATCAAAAGCCCACCTATTTTCAATTACATCTTCAATATTAGACTCCGATTCATTAAATGCAGATGTAGCAAAGCATTCTAGGGGATTGACGTGCTATGCAGAAGCATTCAACAGGATGTTAAAGATGCCTTCCCACCAAATCTTCCTAATTATCTTTTTATTGTCATCAACTTGGAAATTCTTTATTTTAGAAGAGACATCAGAAAAAAGCAGCTTCAAACATTGTCAAAAGGCCTTATTATTTAACGTTATCAACAAATGCAGCAGTAACTCCAGGATGTCAATTCACAGGTTTATGAAGTGAAAATGGATGGGTTACAAAAGTTGTTTTGAGAGAACGATCCTGTAGTTGTAGAATCAATACCAAGGGTGGCATCAGTGTAAGGTTGAACTGGCAGTTTCTGGGATGATGTCCTTGCAAAAGTAATTTTTTTATAAGATGGTGGTGTCTTCTTCCCAAGATTGTGGTTAAGCAGAGTATATTTATGATAGTTCTTGTTATCAGGAATATGGGCTTAAGAACCCTCCTTCATGGTCACTCCTAGTTTCATTTGTCAGAGTTTTAATACAAGTGGCTCCATTTTGATTTTGACAACTTTCCCACTCTCTTTCTAACACTACTGGGGGGAAGGTGACCCTGTGTTAGCTTGAACAGCACAGGATAAATTCCATATCCACATCCCATTTTGACCACACAAGCTCATCCTCTTCACAACTATTGGCCACTTGCATTCCCAAGTGAGTCTCTACACAACACAGTGGAGGGTTCTGAGCAACGGGAGAGAAGGAAGTCCCATCAGCCTCTCCCACGTGGCTGCAGGAGCCACAGTCTGAGCCCCACCTGAGCTGCAGGGAAAGGGCTTGAGCAGTGGACTTTTTACAGCAAGAACCACATCTCCACTTTACAGGGATCAGGAACAGCAAAAGGAAAATCAACAACTAAAACAACTAACAAGAAATAGAATGTGCTAGGAGCAAAAGCAGCCCCTGATCAGCGCTGATACTGATTTGCATACTTTAGTGTCAGAAGAAGGGTCAGAAATAAAACCTGTGAGGTTCTACGTGACCCTGACCCTGGCCCAGCCTCTCTCTTGGCTGAGGTTAGAATTCCTAAATACTGTTTTCTTCAGGGAACCCCACTGAGGTCCCTGTCCTGAGTGTGACTGGAGAAGACTCACCGGGTTCCACTCAGCTTCCACAGGGCTGTGGCCCTGGTGACCACTGGCAGAGGGATTGTTCTGCATTTAGTGCCTGTAAGAAGGTTTCCTCCTGGTACAACAAAACTGTGGTATTTCAGAGACGTAGAGCTAGGCACAGCATCATGAAATAAGGGAGGGTCCCTGGAGGAAACATGTAGATGTAGAGGCAGCCCCACACCCTGGCAGTAAACCAGCCTCTCATCTCCACCCACACCTGCTCTGGGGCTGGCCCTGTGCTTCCTGCAACCTGCTCTTCCCCTGGTGGTCTTGAGTCCCCCTTGTGGTCCTGAGTCTTGCTGGCGGTCCTCAGTGCCCTGACAGCAAGTTTTGTGTCAGGGCTCACAAGGACACCTCCTCACTGAGTCTTTCACAGTAATACTCAGCCGTGTCCTAGCCAGCCATGGAGCTGAGCTTCAGAAAGAACTGGCTCTTGGTTGAGTCATTGTTGATGGAGATGCAGACCTGGGTAAAGGGTGCATGATGTGTATTCCTTGGTGATCTTGATGATGAGCTTGGTGATAATGATGTGTATTCCTGGTAACTGTGCCCCAGCCATTCTAATCTGTTGCCTAGGGGATGGTGGATTCAGCTCAAATAATATTGACTGGTAAAAAAAAGAACCCAGACACAGCACAGGTGGAGGGCAGTGTCTGAGGGCCTCATGGGTCCTGGACCTGACTCCTGCAGCTGCACCTGGGACAGGACACCTGGAATAAGAGGGAACATCCTGGTGAGACACACCGAGCTCACTTGTCCCCATCACCCCATTTCTTATTTCTAGATTCTGACACTGAAAAACTGTCATCCATCAAAGACATGTAAAAAGTTGATCTAATTGAGAGACAGATTAACGCCTTTCATGGGGAAATTGTGCTCAGGCTGATGACAGAGCAGTATGTAGGGAGGAGAGAGGCTGACAACACCCAGCATTGTTCTCCTAAACAGAGTTTGAGGAGAAGTGTGCATGTGCCAGGAGCCCCACATATATAAGGGGTAGGAACCACGGCTACCCTCTGTCTCAGAGCCTCTTCTCAGGGGTGATTTTCCTGCTCAGGCATCAGATCAATCGCACAGACTCTTCCTCCTCTGAAAGAGCATCCCTCTGCTGAGTGTTCAAGGCATCCATTGTCACCCCAAGGGCAGGAGGGCAGGTGACAGAAACAAGCAGGTTTGCTGGACAGAGAGGGAAGAATAGGAGTAGGAACGGGGGAAACACATGGTGCCCAGGACCTGTGGCCTACAGTCCTCCTGCTTCTTTCGGGTTCCCAGCTGGAGATAGTACACTGTGAACTTTCCTGGCAGTCGTGCTTCTGGAGGGAGGATTAGGGGAAATGCTGAGTAAGTTCTCCTCTTTGCTGAGCACAGAGTTTTCACTCTCTGTGGTATGTGGTTTTATCCCTCCCCGGTTGAGTCACCCCTGCTCATCCCTCCCTGTTGCTCCCCAGGTTTTGCTTCTTTGCTTATAGGAGAACTGACAACAGCGAGGCAAGGGATTGGGTTAGGAGGCCAAGGGCAAGTGTGGCTCCTCAGTGAAAAATGTCAAATGTAAAGTTGAGTTCCCTTCCTCTTTCCTATAAGAAAGGCTAGGGTTTGGAAATACGAGGGTCTGGAGGAGGTGACAATTGGTTCCCTTTCCCCCAAAAGAAGCCAGCCAACCAGAAATTGCTTCTTAAGAGCCTGATTTGAGACTGAGACTAAGAAGTCCAGTGGCTAAGAAGTGGTCTTTGCCCCCAGAGAGTTTGAGGTCTAATAAATTGTTATATTGTGTGGCAGAGACTGTGTGTGTTATGGAAGGACGATGGGAAAAGATGGGTATGATGAGCTGCAGCTGGCAGAAAACTCTTGGAATATGCTGGTTTTACAAGGACAAATAGGATATGTGTGTGTGTCTGTGGAAATGGAGCAGGAAGTGTGTAGCATCTGACCATGGAGTCACACTGACCTGGGCTCAAACTCCAGCTTCTCAGTTACATTCATTCATCCATCCATCTATTCATTCATTCAGCTTATAGTGATGGAAGGTCAGGAACTGTTGTAGGTTTGGGGAACACAACAGACAACACCCCTATTCTATGGAACTTTCATTGCAGTAAGGCTGCAGAGTGACCTTGGGCAACTCAACCGCCCATCCCTTAGCTTTCAAGCTGCAGTACTGCCCCCCACCTTACAGGCTGTGGATTCCAAAGAGCCGTAATGATGATGATAAAATAAGTACTATTTATTCAGCACTAACAACCTACCAATACTCTGCTAAGCATTTTGCAAGGATAATTTCCTCTACTCTTCACAACTTCCCCAGGGGACAGGGTTTTACAGGTGTGGAAACTGAGGCTTACAGAATTGAAATAATGATCCAGAATCAAGTGACAGAGACAGGATTCAAACCCAGCAATCATAACCACTGCAGTCAAGGTGGCCCACCTGAAGTGTGTTGGGAGTGGCTGGAACTGACACCTGAGGGGCTCTGTGACCCAGCAGAATTCTGTGCTTTTCCTGGGGAGAGCTTCTTCTAGGAAGAGGTGGCCACGACAGCCGATAGAAGGCTGTGACCTGAGTGCAAGCCTCATGCCAGCCACCTTCTGTATGTGAGACCGTGCTGCTTGCCAAAAGCTGTTAGTTCCTTCCATTCTGGCTGGCTGGGAGAGATTTCTCATGGTTGCGCGTGGGGAGAGTTGACATGTTTATGTGGAGGTAATGACTGTGTTGGCTCCTTAAGGAAGAATTAGGATGAGAGCCCAGTTCCCTGTTTGGGGACTTGAACTTAGATTCTCTGGTGGCCTGGAAAAGGTGGATACCTTGCAGGTTAATGTAGGAAGTTACCATCCCATGACAATTTTATTTTACTCTTCTTTCCTTTGCCCATTAGCTACTGCAAACTTAAAATTACCTATAGTGGAGAGTGGTAGTAGTCTACTTCAAAAACAGCAAATTCCCAGGGATTTGCCCTCACTTTTGGAATCTTAGCTAAATATTTTTTTCTCTATGGGATCACCCTCTTTTGCATCTGACTGAGGCAAGCCTTAAAGATCAAGCCGATGTCAGAGCAGAGGAACTGCTGTTTGGTAAGGATGCCTCAGAGATGAAAAGGGGAGGAGGGTGGTCTCAGAGAACCAGAAGAGGATTGGGAAAGTTGGCCCTGGAAGAGGACTTCTCACTCCTTCCCCAAGCCTTGCCCTGTCTCTTGACCTCCCTTGACTCCCTGCTCTTCCAGGTCAGCTTTGTCCATGCGCTGGACTGAATATTGCCAGCAGGTAGTCATAAGGACCCATGCAATCCCCCAAATCAATACTGAATACAAAGAAAGCTGTTGTTTCTGCTTCTCTGGCAGGAGAATAGGAAGTGACCACTGGCTTGAGAAGGGCTATGCTACCAAAGTAAACCATCACGGGACTGGTTCTGAAATGATCCAATTCCCTGTCTCTTTAGGATGAATCTCTTTAATCCAAGTACATTAAATTGGAATGTAGTGATCATTCAGATTCAACTAATGTTTATTTTATGAAGTGGCTACTATGAACCAAGCACTGGGATAAAGCTTTAGTACAGTTAGGCCATTTTATTCACTTGAAGAGCAAAGGGCTCAAAGTTTACCTTTCCATGATCTATGAGAAAAAAGGTTTACCAAGCAAATGAGTGCTATATGCAAGATTGTCAAGGTGAGGTTTTAAACCACTTACAAGGACAAACTGCTTCCCAGAAGCCTGCCAATGCTTCTTAAGTACTCCCTTGTGTGGGCAAACACAGATCCAGGAGACAAACGGGAAGGACCTAGGACAAAAAGTCAGCAGGCTAGATTCCACTTCTAGTTCTGCACTGAAGTAGTCACATGCCTGCTATTGCATGGTGTCATCTAGTCCCCATTTCTTGTCCACAAAACTAGCATGAGCCCCCCACAAAAGCCTTGCTGAGCAAGGGGTTCAGTGTGCCCCTTTTGCATAAAAAAGGGAGAAAATAAGAATAAACATGCACACACATTTGTATTTGCTTCCATGTTCACAATGACATCCATAAGCTTATTCAAGAAATTAATAATCATGGTTACCTATGGGGAGTGGAGAGGTAGGAGTGAGACCTGGGCAGATGGAGACATAGATGGGAGGAAGATTCCTCCCCAAGGATATATTGGGTTTTGTTGAACCGTAGGAATACATTACCCATTTAAAAATTTAATTCGTGGGAAGGGCCTCCTAAAATCCAGACATAATACTATGTAGAACTTCCAAACAAAAAGAAAGTCACGTTGGTATTACCTGTTCTATTATACTGATGTTGGCTCTTCCTAATCATTCGTTTTTTTTCTAAGTGCTCCCACTATCCTTAAATTGTTCATTTCTAGATTCTTGCCTGGGGTGGATGATATTCCTCAGTGCCAGGTCACTGGGCAGAGATTTTTCACTGTATTGGATCTCTTCTGCTTTCTCTACTTTCTTATTTGTGAAAATATGTGTGCATACAGACATACACACATGTGCACACACACATGCACGTGCACACACACACACACACGAGCTGACTCCCTTAAACCAGGTAGCTGACCTCCATGGGTCCACACTCTGGGTCCAAACTCAACTGAAGGAAAGTGAACTGAAGGAGGCATTTGTGAATTTGATTCTCCAACCTAAGGACTTTGCTTTTCAAACCAAGGGTGTTCAGAAGGGCACAGACTGCAGAACATGAAGACTTCTGTTACCATTAACATAGTTCCCTGGCTCCATGAGGCATGAACAGCCTCTCTGAGAATGCACCAACAACTCAGCACGCCTTGTAAACAGGCCACAATTATAGAGCTTGGTTTTGACTTTTTTTCCAGGGCCTTAAAGTTGATATATTTTTACATTTCCCTGGATTGGAGGGTAGGGGGCATGGCTTTGGGTTTAGCATTTGCTCTGCTGATTATCTCTTGGCTCTGTGAAAAACCTTGGCAGTGCTGTGGGGAATTGGTGCGGTGGGGAATGGAGGCTTGAAGAGTCAGTTGACCTGCAGACCAAGATAGAGCTGAAGGTGGAAACTTGGATGAAACCTTTAGGCTGTCCCTTCCAGTCCTCAGCGAGAACCTAGGGATCACCATGTGCAATGCTATGTGGATGTGGCGTGTCACACCACAGGCACCAGAGGGAGTTTCTGAGGTTGCAGAGGTGACTGGGCAATATCTTCCAAGCTCCCTGGTGTATTCTGGTTTGGCCAAGCAATGTGTTGCTGCAAGAGCTGAAGGAAAAGTCAACACATGGGAAGGAAAAGCAATCCATTGGGTGACTACATTAATGGATGGGGAGAGACTTCTAGGACACAGACTTTGGCAAAATATGGTCATCATAAAGAAAATGGCTGAGTATATCTCTAGGCTTTCGAGTATTGTCATTTGCACTGTGTTATTTTTCCCTCCAAGGGGTTATTTGGGGAAAATTGTATACATCCCAGGGTTGAACTTCCAAACAAATGCAAGCTGCAACCAGCCCCAGAGCTACATATGGGCATGTCCCTGGGTGGCTTTAGAAAAGCGTAGTTCTCTCTGTGCTCAGCTCAACCTGCCCCCTCTGCCCTGAGACGCACACACACACACACACACACACACACACACACACACACACACACCACTCCCCCCGCCCCCCCACCCCCACAGTTCCTTCCCTTGCAGAAGAGATGAGAAAACCTCTCTTTCTTTCTACTGTAGAGCAATTCCTTTGGAGGACAAAGACTGTTGCAATGAGCTTTTTGTCTCGGCAGAGTTTGCTAATACATTTAAAAATATTTATTGTGAATGGGTTGGAGGAGGTTGCTGTGGGAAGCCCTGTGTGTTATGTATACCTTTGCATGCTTCAGCAATGCCTGCCCAGTGCTTTGGGGACTCAGCAGATGTCCACAGATGATGATAGTGACTTTGAGGAACCCCCATATTTCTTGAATTTTTCATAATGAGTGTAGAAAGAGGTCCCAGCACTGGAAAGGAAGGTGGGGAGCTGTTCCCCTCATTGCTTACAGTGGTCTACCTCTTGTAAACACAAACCTCTACCTTGAGGAGCACCTTTCTGAGGTCAAGTGTGCTTCTGAGAGGGCAGGTGCCAGCCATGCATCACAATCTAGGGAGGTGGGAAGTGTGAAGTTGCATGGAGGCAGGGAACCTGGGCTCTAGACACGACTCTGCCTCTAACATTCTGTGGAAACCTCAGGCTTCTGTCACTTTGAGCCTTGGTTTTCCATGGGTAAAGTGAGACCATGGAGACCCACCTCACATAATTGTTGAGAGGATTGTTTAAAATACATGTTTTGGCCAGGTGTGGTGGCTCACACCTGTAATCCCAGCGCTCTGGGAGGCTGAAGCAGGAGGATCACTTGAGACCAGGAGTTCGAGATCAACGTGGGCAACATAAAGAGACCTCATCTCTATAAATTTTTTTTAAAAAATTAGCCAGGAATGGTGGTACAAGCCTCTAGTCCCAGCTACTTGGGAGGCTCTGGTGGAAGGATTAACTGGGTCCAAAAGTTCAAGGCTGCAGTGAGCTATGATTGTGCCACTGTACTCCAGCCTGGGCAATAGAGTGAGACCCCATCTCTAAAATAAATAAATTTAAAAAATTAATACATGTGGAACATTTCAAAAACATGAAATAATAGGGAAAACAATGTAGTGAAACTTCATTTTCTCTCATCCAACTTCAGTAATTGCCAGCTCCCAGTTTTGTGTCATCTCTATTCCCACTCCCAGCCCCTTCCCATTACCCCTCAATGCCAGAATATGAGGACTTCATGGCATGGAACAGTGGCATGGAAGTGCCCTCCAGAGTATCTAACACATAGCAGATGCTTAGAAAATGTTTGTGGAATCTGAACTATTTAATAGTACATGCTTTATAATTATTACCTACTGTAGCATGGCGAGAGGGTACAGTATTTCTCACTGCCTTATGGATGAGATGACCTAGTCTCAGGTCAAGTGACTTGCCTAAGATCATGCAGCCACATAGGAATATGGTGCTATCCTAGAACCATGGTTTCCAAATCCCACACGTGTACTCTTGGCAGTATGCTCTGCTGCCTCTGTGTTGATTTTTCCTTTTGAATATCTTCTTAGAGAGGAATAGGAGACTTGTAAAGTTTTATGTGGGCTCACAGTTTAAAGAGAACCTGTTTATGGGGTTGTAATAACCATGTATTCACGGACACAACTGCTTATGTCTGCAAAAGATCAGCAATTCATCAGACACTTTGTGAGTTATTTTCTTCTCTGATTGTCAGAGTGAAAGGTGAGTAAGATCACTTCTCTCAGGGAGCTCACAGTCATATGCACTGAGTCACATGACATAGAGTGGAGCGTGATGAGCGTAATGGCAACAGCATGAACCAAGTACTGAGGGTGCATGGAGGAAGGTTGTTTAACTCCTAGCTTCTGTCTTCATTAAGAATTATCAATACTTCCAGCCATTTATGACAAACCCACAGCCAATATCATCCTGAATGGGCAAAAGCTGGAAGCATTCCCCTTGAAAACCAACACAAGGCAAGGATGCCCTCTCTCACCACTCCTATTCAACATAGTATTGGAAGTTCTGGCTAGGACAATCAGGTAAGAGAAAGAAATAAAGATATTCAAATAGGAAGAGAGGAAATTGAATTGTCTTTGCAGATGACATGCTCCTGTATCTAGAAAACCCCATCATCTCAGCCCCAAAGCTTCTTAAGCTGATAAGCAACTTCAGCAAAGTCTCAGGATACACAATCAATGTGCAAAAGTCACAAACATTCCTATACACCAACAACAGACAAGCAGAAAGCCAAATCATGAATGAACTCCCATTCACGATTGCTACAAAGAGAATAAAATACCTAGGAATACAGCTAACAAAGGGAAGTGAAGGACCTCTTCAAGGAGAACCACAAACCATTGCTCAAGGAAATAAGAGAGGACACAAACAAATGGAAAAACATTCCATTCTCATGGATAGGAAGAATCAGTATTGTGAAAATGGCCCACAGTAAGTTGTAGACTCAATGCTATTCTCATTAAGCTACCATTGAAATTCTTCACAGAATTAGAAGAAACTATTTTAAAATTCATATGGTACTAAAAAAAGAGCTTGTATAACCAAGACAATCCTAAGCAAAAAGAGCAAAGCTGGAGGCATCACGCTACCCAACTTCAAACTGTACTACAAGGCTACAGTAACCAAAACACCATGGTGCTGGTACAAAAAAAGGCACACAGACCAATGGAACAGGATAGAGAACTCAGAAATAAGACCATACATCTACGACCATCTGATCTTCGAGAAATCTGACAAAAGCAAGCAATGGGGAAAGGATTCCCTATTTAATAAATGGTGCTGGGAGATCTGGCTAGCCGTATGCAGAAAATTGAAACTGGACCCCTTTCTTACACCTTATACCAAAAGTAATTCAAGATGGATCAAATAGTTAAATGTCAAAGCCAAAACTATAAAACCGTAGAAGAAAATCTAGGCAATACCATTCAGGACATAGGCACAGGCAAAGATTTCATGACAAAATTGCTAAAAGCAATTTCAACAAAAGTGAAAATTGACAAACAAGATCTAATTAAACCAAAGAGCTTCTGCACATGATAAGAAACTATTGCAGAGTGAGCAGGCAACCTACAGAGTGGGAGAAAATTTTTGCAATTTATCCATCTGATAAAGGTTTAATATCCAGAATCTGCAAGGAGCTTAAACAAGTTTATAAGAAAAAAAAATACTAAAAAGTAGGGAAAGGACAGGAATGGACACTTCTCAAAAGAAGACATTCGTGCAGCCAACAAACATATGAATAAAAGCTCAACATCACTGATCATTAGAGAAATGCAAATCAAAAACCACAATGAGACACTATCTTACACCAGTCAGAATAGCTACTATTAAAAAGTCAAAAAACAACAGATGCTGGTGAGGTTGCAGAGAAACAGGAATGCTTTACACTGTTGGTGGGAATGTCAATTAGTTAAACTATTGTGGAAGATAGTGTGGAAATTCCTTAAAGATCTAGAACCAGAAATACCATTTGACCCAGCAATCACATTACTGAGTATATACCCAAAAGAATATAAATCATTCTATTACAAAGATACATTCACATGTATGTTCATTGTAGCACTATTCACAATAGCAAAGACATGGAATCAACCCAAATGTCCATCAATGATAGACTGGATAAAGAAAATGTGATACATATATACCATGGAATACTATGCAGCCATAGAAAGGAATGGGATCATGTTCTTTGCAGGGACATGGATGGAGCTGGAATTCATTGTCCTCAGCAAACTAATCCAGGGATGGAAAACCCAAACACCGTGTGTTCTCACTTATAAGTGGGAGCTGAACAAATGAGAACACATGGACACAGGGAGGGGAGCAACACACACTGGGGCCTGTCAGGAGATGGAAGGGGGTAGGGAGAGCATTAGGCAAAATATCTAATGGATGCTGGGCTTAATACCTAGGTGATGGGTTGATAGGTGCAGCAAAATACCATGGCACACGTTTACCTATGTAACAAACCTGCACGTCCTCCACACGTACCCTGGAACTTGAAATAAAAATAAACATTTTTTAAAAAGAGCTATCAATACTTCCAAAAGTTGTGACCCTGGAACCATGGCAATTTGTACTCACGCTTATACAATCCTAGAAGCTGACTACTAGGTTTAATCTTTTCATGAACTAGGAGTCTTCATTAGGTCAATGTACCAGATTAACAATGACCACACCAGGAGAGGTGCCATCTATTTATCTATTAATCAATATTAACACTGAAATTTTAGGCCAACTGTAAAGAGCTAACCAACTGTGAAGTGTGGGAACTTGATCTACACTTCTGACAGCAATTGCAAATTCAAGGGTCCCGATAATTTGTTAGAAGGACTCATAGAACTCACTGAAGTCTGTTGTACTTAAGGTTATGGTTTATTACAGGGAAGGGATGCAGGTCCCTTCTTCAACCAAGGGAAGAAATGCATAGGGTGGGGTCCCAGAAAGCAGCAAACGCAGAGCTTCCGGGTGTCCTCCTTCCATCAAGTCAGGACAGTGTTTCTTTCTCAGCATCGGCATGTGACAGTAAGTTCAGAGTATTGCCAGCCAGGGACACTCATGCAAGCCTTGTGTCCAGAGTTTTTACTGAGGCTTGATCACATACCACCTGCATGGTTGACCTTCAGTCACCAGCCCTTCTGGAGGTAGACCTGATACAATGTGGCTCAAAACCCCCTTCATAGATCTCGTTAGATTGTCCAGTGGCCAAAGCCCCAAGGCAAACAAAGACACTCCCATCAGGCAGGGCATTCTATGGAGATCACTTCCCAGAAGCTGAGGGTGGGGGCCAGCTGCTGCAAAGGCGCTCTTTGGTTGAGCGGGGTGGGGGGTGGGGGGTGGCGGGACCAGGGTGGGACCAGGGACCGGAATGTGGGGCAGGATGCAGAGTGGAGAGGCTCGCTCAGGTGAAGGCACTACTGTGTCACCATTGGCTCCTGGGTCCTGGCTCCAGGTGGGGAGAAGCAGTTTCTCTTTCTGGGGCAACAAATAAAATCCCTCCGGGCACAGGAGTGCTCATTGCTGGTTGGTTATGCCAGTCTGTCTCTATTTTTAGAAAGAACCACAAGAAGGAGGAAAAGAATCTAGAGAAATAAGTACAGTTGGTTCCTCCCTGAGGCAGAAGCTGGGTTCTGTGGGATGAAGCACAGATGCAAAGCCATTGTCCTGCCACCCAGCAGTGCAGTCGGAGATGGATGGCATGAATCTAGAATACCATGGGAATGGGTCCTTGCCCTGGGCCAGTAAACATTTGAGACTCAGAGCCAGGAGATAGGATGAGAAGATTGCAGTGATGAGACCCACAAAGGGCAGCAGCCATCTCTTAAGGGATCAACTTGGAGACCAAATCCATCACTTCTTGGAGGTCCAGTAGCCCCTGCACCCTCTGCGCTTTGCAGAGACATCCTGCAGTTCAGGGAAGAAACGGAGCTGAAGGGCATGTGGAAGAAGAATGTCACAGAGATGCAAGGGGTTGGATTATTGGTTGGCTTAAGGTCAAATCATTATTTGCTGCCTGAAGAAAAAAAAAGACCTTGCTTAGGGACAGAAGTACTTGTTCTGGTCTTAGGTCAGATGAGGGGGTAAAGCAACTCTTCCAACTGTCATGGAATTGGGTATTTTGCCACCAAAAATTTCATGATCCAATAATGATGATCATAATCAGTGAATGCTGGATTAAACTGAAAATAGTACAGGACTTCTCTGAGCCTTTACTATGAATTTGCCCATTAAATTCCCTAAAAGAGAAGGAGAAGCTATGCGTATTGAATATCTGTTAGTACCTGGAAAATCCAGTTTTCTGTTTTTCAGTATGGGGGAGAACAGAACCCCGCTTGAGGGTTGAAACAAATTCCTCTGAACACAGTATGGGGAATTCAGAAGAGATTAAAAGAACATATGATTGGAATTATTCAGATCTGGATGAGAAGCCTGGGCCAGCTGTTTGACTAGTGTACTAGTGTAACCCTGGTCAAGCAACCAAACTTCTTGGGTCTTAATTTTCTTATGTATAAGATGAGACTAATAATTCATATCTCAAAGTTATTGAGAGGAATAAATGAAATCAGGTAAGTAAAGAATCCTTAAAAGAGCCTGTAACATAGTAAGCATATAAGAAATGGATGGATGCATGGATGGATGGATGCCTGGATGGATGGTTAGATGGATGGTTAGATAGATGGAAGGATGGGTAGATAGATGGAAGGATGGGTAGATAGATGGATAGAATGATGGACGCCTGGATGGATAGGTAGATGGGTGGGTGGATGGATGGAAGGATGGGTAGATAGACGGATGGAATGATTAATCTTGGCCCACTACCTTAGCTAGATAGGGTCATTGTTCTAGCACATACCCAGACCATCAAGCATGAGTTTGTGTGTATGCACATGCTTGTGTGTGCACATATGTGCATAAATATATATGCAAGCACTCATGCATGAATTTTCCTGAACCTTTTCCAAAGACAGAAAAGTTAGAAGCTCTTCCACCATGCTTCCATAATATCCTGGCAGTGGCTATATCACAACTACTCCACTGCACTGTAACTGTTTCATAGCCCATCTATCTCTGCTAGAACACTAAGCATCCTGGACCACAAAGGTCATAGCCCAGTCCCTGCAACACCATGAATGCTTATAAAATCATTGTAAAATGATTCTTCTCAATTGTCTAGGCAGGTAGGGCCACTGCACCAGTGACATCTGAGAGGCCTGACCCGACCAGCCTATCAGTGTATCTTAACCCCTCTTGAGGGTCAAAACAAATTCCTCTGAACTCAGCACTCACTAGTGAGTTGGAGGAGGCTGATGACAGGGCTGGTGTCTAGAGTAGGATGAGATGAGCTCTGGGAGCCATAACAGTGCAGAGGTTCCTGCCATCAGCATTTCAGGGTATGGGCTGAGCATTTCAGCATTTCAGGGACTGGGCACAGCAGCTCACACCTGTCATCCCGGCACTTAAGGAGGCCAGGGCAGGCGGATCACCTGAGGCCAGGAGTACAAGATCAGCGTGGCCAACAGGGTGAAACCCTGTCTCTACTAAAACTATAAAAATTAGCCAGGCGTAGTGGCGGGCGCCCGTAATCCCAGCTACTTGGGAGGCTGAGGCAGGAGAATGGCTTGAACCCAGGAGGTGGAGGTTGCAGTGAGCCGAGATCACACCACTGCACTCCAGCCTGGGTGACAAGAGCGAGACTCTACCTCTAAATAAATAAAAAAATGTGCCACGGAAGCCTGCTCCGTACTCACCTCACCAAATGTCAGAGTCAGGGACACAGGGCATGCCCCACAGGGTGGGATGACAGGAAGTCCACCTGGGCCCTGACCCTCCTGACCGCCCCTCATCTGGGGGTACACTAACCCTTTCGGACTGCAGGGTGCCCTGAACATTAGGACTGTGGGGTACCCCAATCCTTTAGGACTGTGAGGTGCCCTGAACATCAGGGATGTGGGGTACCCCAACCATTTAGGACTATAGGCTGCCCTGAAATGACGGCCAGGGGGTACCCTGACCTTTTAGGGCTGTGGGACACACTGACTTCTTAAGACTACGGCTGGTGCCTACAGGAGTCCAAGGGATACCAGGCCTATGTGGGGAGGGGGCAGAGGTAGAAAAGCAATGGGGGAGGTGCGGGGCATCGGCTGTCCCTGCCCTGGAGAGGATGGGGCCAGCCAGGTAGGTGTGCAGCCAGGACCACTCAAGGACTCAAGGGAGAGATGCGGTCGGGGAGAGAGGAGTGGGGGACGGGGAGAGAGGAGGGGGGGATGGGGAGAGAGGAGGGGGGGACGGGGGGTGGGGAGAGAGGAAGGGGTGCCGGGGAGAGAGGAAGGGGTGCCGGGGAGAGAGGAAGGGGTGTCTGGGAGAGAGGAAGGGGTGTTGGGGAAAGAGGGGAAAGGGGACAGAGGGGGCGGGGACAGGAGCCGGAACCGGGGTCACACGTGGAAGGCCAGGACCCTGGGTCAGGAGTGGGAGCCAAGACCCGGGGTCACATGTGGGGCTGGCCACCTGACTGGAGTGTGGTCTTCAGTCATGCTGTCACCAGGCTGTGGGACCTCAGGGATGCAGTGAGGGAGCCAGGCCTCGGGGGCCCAGCCTGGATTCTGCCGACTCCCATCCCTCAGCCTCACCAAGAGGCCACTGACTTCGTCACTGCACAGAGATCCCATCCTGGGGTTCTGGGGCCTGTGCAGGAGAAACACAGGTGCAGGGCCACGTGCCCACACCGCTGGCATCTGTGCTCCACAACCAAACTCCTAGAGCCATCATCATCTCTGGGCTGCAGTGCCCGCCGGTGACAACTCCCTGACCACCTCGCTGTGGTCACACTCCTGTCCCCGTGGGTAGAAAATCCAGTGATGCGTGTAGACAAAGAGCCCTCTGCACACCTGGAACCCCAGCGCCTTGGGAGGCCCAGGTGGGGGGATCACCTGAGCTCAGGAGTTTGAGACCAGCCTGGGCAACATGGCAAAACCTCATCTCTAGGAAAAATTTAACCATCAGACGGACACGGTGGTGCACACCTGTAATCCCAGCTACTAGGAAGGCTGAGGCAGGAGAATCGCTTGAACCCGGGAGGCAGAGGTTGCAGTGAGCCGAGACCGCACCACTGCACTCCAGCCTGGGTGACAGAGCAAGACCCTGTTTCAAAAAAAAAAAAAAAAAAACCATTTAGCCATTTGCATGATGAGGACCATAGAGAATAAAAAATAAAATGAAAAGAATCTCAACAACTCACTCTCCAATTCCTTTAGGAAAATGAAATGAGAAACATACACATGTAAAGTATTTAGTATTCCCTGCAGTTTAAGAAACAGAATCCAGGGCCAGGCGAGGTGGCTCACGCCTGTCATCCCGGCACTTTGGGAGGCTGAGGCGGGTGGATCACCTGAGGTCAGGAGTTCGAGACCAGCCTGGCCAACATGCTGAAACCCCATCTCTACTAAAAGTACAAAAAGTAGTAGCCGGGTGTAGTGGCACATACCTGTAGTCCCAGCTACTCGGGAGGCTGATGCAGGAGAATCACTTGAACCCAGGAGGTGGAGCTTGCAGTGAGTCGAGATCGCGACACTGCACTCCAGCCTGGGTGGCAGAGCAAGACTCTGTCTCCAAAAAAGAAAAAAGAAAAAAAGAATCCTTGTCAGTCTACGGACAAGAATGCCAGTACCACACCATCATGATGAGGGTCACTTCTGTGGGACACACAAGACACAGCTCACACCTGCCCCTACACACAGCTATTTCTGACCCCAAACAGCGAGGCAGTCACTTCAGACCCAAAAGGAAGGTGAAGCCTGCGGCCCTGCACCATCCGCGTGCCACTGCACTGACTTAAAGTTTCTCACGGGCTGGGTGTGGTGGCTCACGCCTGTAATCCCAGCACTTGGTGACGCCGAGGCAGGTGGATCACCTGAGCTCGGGAGTTCGAGACCAGCCTGGCCAACATGGTGAAACTCTGTCTCTACTAAAAATACAAAAATTAGCCAGGCATGATGGCAGGCACCTGTAATCCCAGCTACTCCAGAGACTGAGGCAGGAGAATGGCTTGAACCCGACAGGTGGAGGTTGTAGTTAGCCGAGATCATACCACTGCACTCCAGCCTGGGTGACACGGCGAGGATCCATCTCAAAAAATAAATAAATAAATAAAGCTTCTCGTGAATGATGAAACCAAAATTACCATCGCGTCTGCACTGTATGGATCTGTCTGCTACAACCAGCAGGACCACAGCCAGGCTGCAACTCACTTTCTTTACAAAAAGCACCAGGGATGACCAGGAATTAGTCCCCACCAGGTGACACTCACAGCCTTACCCACACGTAGGAGCCCCACGGACATATGGATCAAATACAATACGAGAGACACACATCTCACCCCATTCTGTGCAGCCAACACAGTGCACATTCAGCATACGGTTTGGTTTGCTTTTTGTTTTTTTCTGAGACCGGGTCTCACTCTGCCTCCCAGGCTGGAGCGTGGTGGTGCAATCTCAGCTCACTGCAGCCTCCACCTTCTGGGCTCGAGTGATCTTCTCACCTCAGCTTCCTGTGTAGCCAGGACCACAGGTCCCACGCCCAGCTAATTTTTTTTTTAAGAGATAGGGTCTCACTATGTTGCCCAGGCTGGTCTTGAACTCCTGGGCTCAAGCAGCCCTCCCCATTTGGCCTCCCAAAGTGCTTGGCACAGGGTAGATTTTAAGTTAAAAATCTCACAAAACAGGCCGGGTGCAGTCTTATGCCTGGAATCCAGCACTTTGCAAGCCCGATTGGGGTGTTTTTTTTAGTAGAGATGGGTTTTCGCCACTGGAATCCAGCACTTTGGGAGGCCAAGTGGGGAGGGCTGCTTGAGTCCAGGAGTTTGAGACCAGCCTGCAGAGCATAGGCTCAGAGACTCTGTCTCCATGAAAAAAAGGCACACACACACACACACACATGCACACACACGCACAGGTGTGGTGGTGGACGCCTGTAGTCCCAGCTATTTAGGAGGCAGAGGTGGGAGGATTGCTTGAGCCCAGGTGGTAGAGGCTAAAGTGAGCTGTGATCACACCACTGCACTATCTAGCCTGGGCAACACAGCAGAAACGTGCCTCGAAAAATTAAACGTTTACAGGCCAGGCACGGTGGCTCACACCTGTAATCCCAGCACTTTGGGAGGCCAAGGTGGGTGAATCACCTGCAGTCAGAAGTTTGAGACCAGCATGACCAACATGGAGAAACCCCATCTCTACTAAAGATACAAAAAAATTAGCCGGGCATGGTGGTACATGCCCGTAATCCCAGCTACTCAGGAGGCTGAGGCAGGAGAATCGCTTCAACTCGGGAGGCAGAGGTTGCAGTGAGCTGAGATTGCGCCACTGCATTCCAGCCTGGGTGACAGAGCAAGACTCCGTCTAAAAAAAAAAAAAAAAAGTTTAGAAAACAATATACATAATATGAATTTTTTTTCCTAAGACAGAATTTCGCTTGTTGCCCAGGCTGGAGTGCAGTGGTGCAATCTTGGCTCACCGCAATCTCCGCCGCCCAGATTCAAGCGTTTCTCCTGCCTCAGCCTCCCGAGTAGCTGGGATTACAGGCATGCACCACCATGCCTGGCTAATTTCTGTATTTTAGTAGAGACGGGGTTTTACCACATTGGCCAGGTTGGTCTCGAACTCCTGACCTCAGGTGATCCCCCTGCCTGGGCCTCTCAAAGTGCTGGGATGACAGGCGTGAGCCATTGTGCCTGGCCATGAATCCAGTTTTGATACAATTTTGAGAAACACAAATGTCTATATACAGACATACACAGGTATATCTATTATCCATGCATGCGTGCCTACACACACTCACAAATGTGTGTGTGCATGTGTGTATACTTATACATTTTGGTGATATTTGGTGATATTCTTCTAGCCCCATATAGGACTGCAGGAACATAACCAAATCTTTTTTTTTTTTTTTTTTTGAGATGGAGTCTTGCCCTGTCACCCAGGCTGGAGTGCAGTGGCACAATCTTGGCTCACTGCAACCTCCACATCCCAGGTTCACGCCATTCTCCTGCCTCAGCTTCCTGAGTAGCTGGGACTACAGGTGCCTGCCACCACGCCCGGCTAAATTTTTGTATTTTTAGTAGAGACAGAGTTTCACTGCGTTAGCCAGGATGGTCTCCATCTCCTGACCTCGTGATCCGCCCGCCTCGGCCTCCCAAAGTGCTGGGATTACAGGCTTGAGCCACTGCACCCGGACAACCAAATCTTAACAATGCTTATCTCAGGGCCGGGTGCAGTGGCTCACACCTGTCATCTCAGCACTTTGGGAGACCGAGGCAGGCGTATCACCTAGGTCAGGAGTTCGAGACCAGCCTGGCCAACATGGGGAAACCTCGTCTCTACTAAAAATATGAAATATTAGCTGGGCGTGGTGGTTGGTGCCTGTAATCCCAGCTACTCGGGAGGCTGAGGCAGGAGAATCGCTTGAACCCAGGAGGCAGAGGTTGCAGTGAGCCAAGGTTGTGCCATTGCACTCTGGCCTGGGCAATAAGAGCAAAACTCTGTCTCAAAAAAACAAAACAAAACAAAAAGAAAAACAAACTTGCAAACCTATTATAAAACAGCCACCCCCTGGCTGGGCACAGGGGCTCACGCCTGTCATCACAGCACTTTGGGAGGCCAAGGCGGGTGGATCACCTGAGTTCGGGAGTTTGAGACCAGCCTGGCCAGCATGGAGAAACCCCCATCTCTACTAAGAATACAAAATTAGCCAGGCGTGGTGGCAGGTGTCTGTAATCCCAGCTACTTGGGAGGCTGAGGCAGGAGAATCACTTGAACCCAGAAGGCAGAGGCTGCAGTGAGCCGAGATCTTGCCATCGCACTCCGGCCTGGGCAACAAGAGCAAAAGTCTGTCTCAAAAAAAAAAAAAAAAGAAAAAAAGAAAAACAAATTTTCAAACCTGTTATAAAACAGCCACCCCCTTGGCCTGACGTCATGCCTCACGCCTGTCATCCCAGCACTTTGGGAGGCTGATGCAGGCCTTGAGCTCAGGATTTTGAGACCAGCCTGGCCAACGTGGTAAAACCCTGTCTCTACCAAAAATACAAAAGTTAGCCAGGTGTGGTGGTGCATGTTTGTAATCCGAGCTAGCTGGAAGGCTGGGGTGGAAGGATGACTTGAACCTGGGATGCAGAGTTTGCAGTGAGCTGAGATCACGCCACTACACTCCAGCCTGGGTGAGCGAGTGAGACTCTGTCTCAAAAAAACAAACAACGGTCACTCCCAACCAACTCACATTAAACCGTTCTCTCAAGGGCTATGGATAAACAGTTCGAATTTTAAGAACACAGGCTGCCATGAGACATTTTAAATTTTTTTTGTCAGCAGAGGGTAGAAAGTTACAAAACTCAATGACAGGAAATTGCAAATTTCTAAGATTATAGTAGGCAAAATATCAACGTAATCTTTTTTTTTTTTTTTTTTTTTTGAGATGGAGTCTCACTGTCTCCCAGGCTGGAGTGCAGTGGCGCAATCTCAGCTCACTGCAAGCTCCACCTCCTGGGTTCACAACACTCTCCTGCCTCAGCCTCCCGAGTAGCTGGGACTACAGACGCCCGCCACTACGCCAGGCTAATTTTTTTGTATTTTTAGTAGAGACGGGGTTTCACCGTATTAGCCAGGATGGTCTCGATCTCCTGACCTTGTGGTCCGCCTGCCTCGGCCTCCCAAAGTGCTGGGATTACAGACTTGAGCCACTATGCCCGGCCTTTTTTTTTTTTTTTTAAACACTTGTGAAGGTACACAGGTAAATAATCAGATTTTTTTTTTTTTTTTTTGAGACGGAGTCTCGCTCTGTCACCCAGGCTGGAATACAACGGCATCGTCTCAGCTCACTGCAACCTCTGCCTCCTGGGTTCAAGCAATTCTCCCACCTCAGCCTCCAGAACAGCTGGGATTACAGCCATGGGCCACCACGCCTGGCTAATTTTTTGTATTTTTAGTAGATATAGGTTCTCACTATGTTGGCCAGGCTGGTCTCGAATTCCTGACCTCAGGTGATCCGCCTGCCTTGGCCTCCCAAAGTGCTGGGATGACAGGCATGAGCCACCGTGCCCAGCGTAGATTTATTGGATTCTAAAATGCACAATTCTCTATGTTTCGGTGTTTCTGAAACCAAGGTCATCTCACCATCCACAGGAATCTTTAATAGTTTTTCTTTTTTTCCCCAACAGTTATTACATCACTGATGCATCTTAAAAGTCACTGGTATTTGAAAGTCAAGAAAACAGGAAACTCTCAAAACCAAGTTCTGAAAGCCACAGGGTGTTTCTGCTAAGCTGGCTGCGGCCTCCTGTGTATTTCGAATACCAGCCACAGTGTGGCGGCCACATCTCACCCAGGCAGGCCTCCATAACAGCTTCAGTACCAACTGAGTGGCGAAGTTACATATAAAAACCTGAAAGAGGCCGGGCACGGTGGCTCATGCCTGTCATCCCAGCACTCTGGGAGGCGAGGCGGGCGGATCACGAGGTCAGGAGATCGAGACCATCCTGGCTAACATGGTGAAACCCTGTCTCTACTACTAAAAATACAAAAAATTAGCCAGGCGTGGTGGTGGGCACCTGTAGTCCCAGCTACTCGCGAGGCTGAGGCAGGAGAATGGCGTGAACCCGGGAGGCGGAGGTTGCACTGAGCCGAGATTGCGCCACTGCACTCCAGCCTGGGTGACAGAGTGAGACTCTGTCTCAAAAAAAATTAAAAAACAAACCTGAAAGAGCCAGTGTCCTTATACGAAGGCTGGAATGTAACAAAGACCCACCAAGAGTTTTGCCCAGGCCTTTCCTGGGCCTTGAAAATATGACAACGAAGGAATTCCTAACAGGACCTGTTTGGGTTTACGTAGTTTTACTGGGGATCTGAAAAACTCCCCTTATCTCGGGTAATCACCACAGCACCTGGACCCACCTACATTAAGTCAATTTACTGAGGCTCCAGAGAAAGGTCTTCAGGACTCAGACCTTTGTTATAGATTAGAAGAAGTTAATGCCTTTTTTCTTTTTTCTGAGGCCGAGTCTCACTCTGTTGCCCAGGCTGGAGTACAGTGGCACCATCTCAGCTCACTGCAACCTCCATCTCCTGGGTTCAAGCAATTCTCCT
Source organism: Homo sapiens (assembly GCF_000001405.40). Taxonomy (NCBI): domain Eukaryota; kingdom Metazoa; phylum Chordata; class Mammalia; order Primates; family Hominidae; genus Homo; species Homo sapiens. Next base: position 2,368,764 of record NW_021160017.1, read on the forward strand.
GCCTCAGCCTCCTGAGTAGCTGGGACTACAGGTGCCCACGACCACACCTGGCTAATTTTTTGTATTTTTAGTAGTGACAGGGTTTCACCGTGTTAGCCAGGATGGTCTGGAACTCCTGACCTCAGGTGATCCACCTGCCTCGGCCTCCCAAAGTGCTGGGATTATGGGTGTGTGCCACCACGCCCGGCCCCACTTATGTCTTTAGATGAATGCACACTTACACATAGGCATATAAAAGGTATATAAGCTCTGGAAAACTTTGTAATTTTGAGTCGGTCTGGTGATAATTTCCAGACCTTCTCCCTGCACCTGGTTACAGAAATAAAACCTATCTTCTCTCCCAGTTCATCCACATCTCATTATTGGGCCGTGAGAATAAGCAGGCTGAGATTCGGTTTGGTCTGGGAACAAGAGAAGTGACATTATCCTACCATAATCAGTTCTTTTTCCCTCTTTTCCTCTGTCAGGACATAGTATCAATAACAGAGAAGACAGTAAGACACTCACCACCTCATTAGCAAGAACGTTAATCCCCACCGCTCCCCTCCCTCACCTCCCAAAACCACTGGGAGGGCACTGCTGGGGTACACGTGGCCACGTCAGGAAACTGGAAGAAAGGAAGGCAGGGCTGGGCGCAGGGGCTCACGCCTGTAAGCCCAGCACTTTGGGAGGACGAAGCGGGTGGATCACCTGAGGTTGAGAGTTTGAGACCAGCCTGACCAACACGGAGAAACCCTGTCTCTACTAAAAATACAAAATTAGCCAGGCACAGTGGTGCACACCTGTAATCCCAGCTACTCAGGAGGCTGAGGCAGGAGAATCGCTTGAACCTGGCAGGCGGAGGTTGCAGTGAGCCAAGATCGTGCCACTGCAGTCCAGCCTGGGCAACAGAGCAAGGCTCTGTCTCAAAAAAAAAAAGAAAAAATTCTTACAGAGAAGAGGGTCTCGCGATGTTGGCCAGGCTGGTCTCGAACCCCTGGGCTGAGGCAATCCTCCTGGGTTGGCATCCCACAGTGCTGGGATTACAGGCCTGAGCCACTGCGCTCGGCCATCTATGGCTTTTTATCCCCACTATAAGACAAGGAAGAGGCATAGCTCAGGAGTGAGCTGAGTCGACACCAGGTGGCGCCCAGGTCCCGAGCCTGCTCTGTCCGCAATGCAGCCTTCATCCCCCGACCTGCACGTCCCCTCTCATCCCAGAGCACACCCTCCGGGTCCATCATCCCCCCACCCGCAGGGCTCACCCTCCAAAGGACCCCAGGGCCTGCGTGGTGGTCCGTGGACTCACTTACCAACCCTCCTTCTGCTCGGCCTCCTGAAGCCCTTGGATGGCTCGGAGGGCACGGGGACCAGGTACTAAAGGATAATGATGGCTACACACATGTCCCTAAGCTCACTACCTGGGGACGCCCTCATTCTGTCTCTCAGTCTATTAACAGGGGAGATGGAGCCCAGGAGCCCAGGAGACAGCTACACACACACACACACAAGCACACACACGTCCCTGAGTTCACCACCTGGGGATGCTCTCATTCCGTCTCTCAGTATATTAACGGCAGACAGAGCCCAGGAGATTGACGGCTACACACACACACACACGTGTCCCTGAGCTCACCACCTGGGGATGCACTCATTCCATCTCTATTAACAGGGCAGACAGAGCCCAGGAGATTGGTGGCCACACACACACACACACACACACACACACACACACACGTCCCTGAGCTCACCACCTGGGGATGCCTTCATTGTGTCTCTCAGTCTATTAACAGGGAAGACGGAGCCCGGGAGACTGACGGCTACACACATGCACACACAGACACACACACACACGTCTCTGAGTTCACCACCTGGGGACGCTCTCATTCCATCTCTCAGTCTATTAACAGGGCAGACGGAGCCCAGGATTGATGGCTACACACACACACACACACACACACACACACACACCTTCCTGAGCTCACCACCTGGGGATGCTCTCATTCCATCTCTCAGTCTGTTAACAGGGCAGACAGAGCCCAGGATTGATGGCTACACTCACACACACACGTTCCTGAGCTCACCACCTGGAGACGTCCAGCACTCCTCCCACAGCATCTTCGAAGCTCTCATTCTGTCTCTCAGTCTATTAACAGGGGACACAGAGCCCAGGAGAGGTCTCTGTCCCGCGCTGTCCTGGCAAATCTGGGTCCCGATTCTGAGTTCAATGGTGTTAAAAAATAATAGGCTATGTCCCCACTAAAGTCTAAATATAGCCAACCCCATTTACCCAGGCTGTGCACATCACAATTCCACTTGTAGAGGCTCCTACCACCATCTTAGGTCCATCCCCAGAAGGTCCATCCCACCCCCACCCCGCCCCCGTCAAGGTCTCACTCTGTCACCCATGCTGGAGTGCAGTGGTGCAATCTCAGCTCACTGCAACCTCCACCTCCCAGGTTCAAGCGATTCTCCTACCTCAGCCTCTGCAGTAGCTAGGACTACAGGTGTGTGCCACCACACCCAGCTAATTTTTGCATATTTAGTAGAGTCGGTGTTTCTCCATGTTGGCCAGGCTGGTTTCGAACTCCTGACCTCAGGTGATCCACCCACCTCAGCCTCCCAAAGTGCTGGAATTACAGGCGTGAGCCACCGTGCCTGACCTCAGACACCTTTTGGTGCTTCTGGTTTGAGATGGGGTCTCACTCTGTCACCCAGGCTGGACCGCAGTGCTGCAATCTAAGCTTACTGCAGCCTCCACCTCCTGGGCTCAGGTGATCCTTCCACCTCAGCCTCCAAAGTAGCTGGGACCACAGGCCCCCACCACCACGCCCGGCTAACTTTTCTTTCTTCTTTTTTTTTTTTTTTTTTTGTAGATACAGGTTCTTACACCATGTTGCCCATGCTGGTGTCAAACTCCTGGGCTCCAGCAATCCTCCCACCTCAGCCTCCCAAGTAGCTGGGACCACAGGCACCCACCACCACGCCCGACTAATTTTTCTTTTTTTATCTTTTTCTTTTCTTTTTTTGTAGATATGGGGTCTTACCATGTTGCCCATGCTAGTGTCAAACTCCTGGGCTCAAGCAATCCTCCCACCTCAGCGTCCTGAGTAGCTGGGACCACAGGCACCCACCACCATGCCCAGCTAAATTTTTTTTTTTGGGGGGTAGAGAAGGGATCTTACCAAGTTGCCCATGCTGGTGTCAAACTCCTGGGCTCAAGCGATCCTCCCACCTCAGCCTCCCAACACGTAAACGGGTGCTACATTTCTGCACAATCCCCGCAGTCTCCCTTATTCTGTTTTACAACTACTCCCACATAAAGTAACATAGAAAGGTGAGCCCCATTATTCCTTTAGAAGGTAGACTGGAGCTTGCAAGAAGCTGTAGGATAAAGATTCAGAGGTCAACTGAGATAAAATGAAACACCCAGGTGATTTTAAGCTAATCAAGGGCCCCTTTCACGTGGGTGATTTTAAACTACCCGAGTGACCCTTTCACACAGGTGATTTTAAATTAATCAAGAGCCTCTTTCACACAGGTGATTTTAAACTAATCAAGTGACCCTTTCACACAGGTGATTTTAAACTAATCAAGACCCTCTTTCACGCAGGTGATTTTAAACTAATCGAGTTCTCCTTTCACAGAACTAAAAGGGGTGGTTAATTTACACAAATGCGCAGGCTACAGCCACCTCTCCTTCCTAGGGACTTCGGGCCGAAAATGCCACCTGTCACACCTCCAATCCAGGCACTGCAGGGCTGTTAGGAGGGGAATTAGCAGCTGGGATACCCCAATCCTACAATGAGGGGGGTTAGCAACCCCTCCTGAAATACCAAAAAGGCCACAGCTTCCTGCAGACGCTTAAGAACCATGCCAATCACAACTGCTTTCCTGAAAAATGCAAGAAGTCCTGGTGAGGGCTGGGGTTGCAGGACGCTTTGCACACCACGGGTAACAGTTTGTGGGGGCGCTTCTCTGGGACTGGCTACCTCTTACTGTCCCCTGGACCAGGGGGGCCCTGCTCTCATCCTTCTGGCATCTCCCAGGCCCCTGCCCCACTCAGAGCTCCACCGCAGGGGCTCCTGAGGCTGGACTCAGAACCGCTGGATCCCATCAAGGCCCCCAAGGCAGACATCTCACAGATGTCTGTGCTGGGGGGTGCGTCTGAGGCTCTCCTTGCTTCATGAGGCTGCTTCACCCCATTCTTGTCTCCCCTCACCTCCTGACACCCTGGGTTCCCCATAGGCCCCCCTCCCCTGCACAGATTTTCACCTAGGCTCTGGGAGGTTGGTGGAGTCCTGGGTTCTAGAAGACCTCAGAGACCCAGGGCAGAGTGAATGTCAGGGGTTGTCAGAAGCAGGGGCTGCCCAAGACCAATTGCTGAGGGAAGAAGGAGTGATGAATGAGATGGATAAACATGTCAGCTGTTTGGCTTTCCACAATCATTATCTATTTTCAGCCTCCGTGTCCTGATGTTTAAAATACAGCAGCTAAAATATCTGGTGGTCTTTTCTTCCTCTTCTGAGTGCAGCCACGACATGCCACATCTCTGCCCATGGCCTTCTTGCCTTTGTCTCTAGAGGGTGCCATCAGGGATGGATCTGTCCATGCAGGAAGGAGCCTGAACCCCAGACTCTTGGACCTCAGACTGGGAGAGGGTGTGGGTGAAGGCACGTGGACCAGTGATTGATTAATTGATTGACTGATTTATAGACAGAGTCTCACTCTGTCACCAGGCTGGAGTGTAGTGGCACGATCTCGGCTTACTGCAACCTCTGCCTCCCAGGTTCAAGCGATTCTCCTGCCTCAGCCTCCCGAGTAGCTGGGACTACAGGTGCCCACCACCACACCCAGCTAATTTTTGTATTTTTAGTAGAGACGGGGTCTTGCCATGTTAGCCAGGCTAGTCTCGATCTCTTGACCTCATGATCTGCCCACCTTGGACTCCCAAAGTGCTGAGCTTACAGGTATGAGAGTGCAGGGCCAGAGGATGGCAAAGACAGGGGCTGGCCCCAGGATCCTCAACTGTTGGCATCAGGACCGGACTCAGGGCCTCAGTCTGGCAGCATGGGCGTCACGCTGCCTGCCGGGCAGAGCCCTTTGCCCCACCTGAAAGCCCTGTGGTCACAGTGTAGAGGCTGGAGCGGCATGCTGGGGTGGGAAGTGCTGTCCTTGTTGCTCTGTCCCCTGGCTCAGGAGCCCCTGAGAGTGGCTTCTGCTCCCCGAGCTTCCTGCGCTCCCTGAAAGTTGTGCATCCAGTGCTGAGTCCTGAGGGCCTGGGGGTGTCAGGCCTCCTTCCTGGCTGTGACATGTGGGTTGGAGATTTGCCTTTGTTTTAGTGAAATGCCAGTGGTCAAATTCAACAGGAAAGAGGAAAAAGAAAGCATAAGCCTGAGTCCAGGGTGGAGGATGGTGGCATTGAGGAAGGACCTGGGGCCCTGCTTCTCCCACTGTCTCCAGTCCACACCCTTCTGGAAAGGTCACATGATGGCTGCTGCAGCTCCAGGAGTCACTGTATGGACATGAAAACATCCAAGAAGAGGAGGCATCTCCTCCTTTGCATCACTTTTACTGGAAAGGAATGCTTTCCCCAGAAGTCCCCACACCCCATGTCCCATGCAGCAGACCTGCCTCCAGGTCCTGCTGTTGCAGCTGAGTGCCAAAGGAGATGGAGACAGTGAGGACGTGGAGCTCACAGATTCTGCAGCACTGGCAGGCCTGCCGGCCAGGACCAAGATCACATGTCTGCTCCAGCATCCTCGGGCTTAACCCCTGAGCTGTCCTGCCTTACTCTCTCCTGAACTCTCTGGCCTGTTGCCACCAGGCCAGCTTAACAGAAAATACTAGAACCTGTGGTTGTTGGTAAATGTTTAACAACTGGCTCTCCAGAGGTCAGGGGTTGGGGTAAGCCCCACTTTGAAGGTTTGCTGATTTCCAGGATATAAACACTCCCACTTTGGTTGATTTCAAGGTACCAATGCAAAGTCCCTGAGTGTGGAGTAGGGAAGAGACGCTCACCATCGGCTCTCGTGAGCCCTACGAACTGGCCACAGTGTACCCCTGACTAGAACCCATGGGAATCCATACCTTAGAGCTGGGAGAAGGGATGCCCTACCCAGGCTGCAGTGCAATAATTAAGGCATTGAAGGAGCTGGCTGGACACAAATGAGACCATTTGTTGGATCCCTACGATGTGCTGATCACACACAAATGTCATGTCGATGCCTCATAACTATCCCTTTGTCTGATGAAGAAACTGGGATTCAGAGAGGTTGAGGCACCTGGTGACTTGTATGGAATCAGAATCCAAACCCAGGTCTGTCTTCTTCCAAAGGCTTTCAGATTTGTCCTTTCACCCAAAACAAAGGCCTAGATTCAGAAGAGACCCAGCTCACTCTCATTCCACCCTGATGACATGCCAGGGGCCAGGATGTTCAAAGTGGAGCATGACTCACAGTCACCGAAAAGTAGGAAAAAGCAAATGTCCATCGCTGAGGAGTGGATAAACGAAACGCGGTCCATCCATACAACTCATACCATCAGCCATAGAGAGGAACGAGGCTCTGACACACCCTACAACGCGATGAACCTTGAACATGATGCTGAGTGACAGAAGTCGGACACAAGGGACCACGTATTACACGATTCATTCCATTTACATGAGAGGCCCAGTGTGGCCAGTCTACAGGGACAGAAAGTGGATGGGTGGCTGTCAGGGGCCAGAGGGATGAGGGAATGAGGAGTGACTGACAACAGATATGGGGTATCTTTGTGGGGTGATGGAAATGTTCTAGAACTAGATGGAGGTGTGCACAATGTGTCAGTGTGCATAGTGCCCCTGAAATTATAAAACAAACCAGGCGGTGGAGGATTCCTCGAAAAGGGATTTTCCTTGCTCCAGCCTCCCAGGCTGAGGCTCTTGTGTCACTTTCTCAAGTTCACTGCAGGCAGCTTCCCATGCTACCAGGTAAAAAGTAAAGGAGGCGAGGCCAGGCATAACGGCTCACACCTGTAATCCCAGCACTTTGGGAGGCTGAGGCGGAGGATCACCTGAGGTCAGGAGTTTGAGACCAGCCTGGCCAACATGGAGAAACCCCATGTCTACTAAAAATACAAAATTAGCCGGGTGTGGTGGTGCACGCCTGTAGTCCCAGCTACTCAGGAGGCTGAGGCAGGAGAATTGCTTGGACCTGGGAGGTGGAGGTTACAGTGAGCCAAGATTACACCATTGCACTCCTGCCTGGGCGACAAGGGTGAAACTCAGTCTCAAAAAAAAAAAAAAAAAAAGTAAAGGAGGCATTTTACATGCATCTTTTGCACTAAGTACTCTCAACTCCCCTGGAATTGGGGAATGCTATTAACCCCATTTTACAGTGAAGAAAACTGAGGCTCAAAGAGAAATTAAGGAACTTGCCCATGAGCCCACAGCCAGTCTATGGGAGAGCCAGGACTTGGGCCCAGGCCTGTCTGATTCCAAAGTATTGCTCTAAACTCTTCACTGTAGTAAAGCAACATCCAGGTTGCATGGGATTTTCTCTTTCCAGGATGCTAGTTCAGTGGCATGGCAGCTCAGAAGGCCACATAGGCTGGAAGCTTCCATGTCTCCTAGCCTCTGCCCTCCCTCAGCAGGAACGAAGGACTGGAGCTGGAAGGGAAGAGCCCTGTGCTGAGGGCGTCCCAGGCCCGTCCGCCACATCCCTCCAGGACACTCAGCTCTGTTATGACTCGGCTGTGTGGCATTCGTTAGGCCTCATTTTGCTGACCTTAAAAAGTGACCAACAGCAGAGATCAGTCGTCCTCTACAGAGGCTGTGCTACCCCCGGGGGCCTTCTGGAAGTTTTCAGGGGTACAACAAGTGGGACAGTCCCCCAGATGAAGAACTCCCCCAATCCCTCTGCTTTTCACTGTCCCACCAGGCCCTGGTAAATGAAAAACCCTCTTGTAAAACATGGGTCCAGAACCAAACTCTGGGTGTGTCTGTTTTTTGCATCATTGTCATATACATTAGATATTCTGGGAATGCAACCACTGTGTGATCAGGGGAGAACTCCCTCTGGAGTTGTCCAGGATTTGGGAAAATCCCATCACCAGCAGCAGTACCTTCATGGTCTTTGAGCCTCCACATGACACAGCTGTGTCCACGTGCACCTGTGGCTGTCATGTTTATGTGACTGTCTGGCTAGGTACAAGCATCAGGCCACTTCATCATGTCACCTGATATGGCCAGACCCGAACATTCACCTTGTAAAATCTACATTATTTTATTATAATTGACTATCCTTTTGCAATTTTTCTCTATGTTACAGTCAGGGCATTATATTGATTTCTTTTTCTTTTTGCAATTGGTTTGTAGGTGGGTTAGATTTTCTATGAATTTCATTTCAGAATAATAAAGCATTACAAAATATTCATTGCTAAAAAAACAGTGTTGGTCATGTTTGATGGCTCACATCTGTAATCCCAACACTTTGGGAGGCCAAGGCAGGTGGATCCCTTGAGTCCAGAAGTTTGAGACCAGCCTGGGCAACAATAGCAAGACCCCATCTCTAAGAAAAAATTTTTAAAAATTAGCCTGGCATAGTGGTGCACACCTATAGTTCCAGCCACTCGAGAGGCTAAGGCAGGAGGATTGCTTGAGCCCAGGAGTTCAAGGCTATAGTGAGCTGTGGTCCCACTATTGCACTCCAGCCTGGATAACAGTGTGAGACCCTATCTCAAAAAAAAATGTGTTAAGGCTGATACGGTTCTGGGAAACACTGAGATATATGATTTCTTAAGATCCCTTCCAGTTTTTAAATAATTAAACCTGACCTCATAAAACTTTTTCCATAATTCTAGTAAAACCAAGTGCATGGTGCCTTTTAAACAATCCCCAGAGCATCGTTGCACTACTGTGACCCAAGTGTGCCCACAGGCCAATCACAATTAACAAACCCTGAAGACTCTTAAGAGGCTTCCTTCTGGTTCTGGCCCTTGGTAGAACAATCTCTTCTGTGACATTCAATGACAACATCTTTGCCTTGTTTATTTCCTTTTCACCTTAACAAAGAGAAGAGCTGATGCCCTAAACTCAAACTTTCTTATGCTGTCTTTGTGCTTTGACAAGTTCAGTGCTTAACTAGAATATTTTTGTTTTTGTTTTCACTGAAAAGAAAAAAAAAAGAATAAATAGAACTCCAAGGAAATTTGGTAACATATTTTTATGTGCTGGAGTGAGTTCATGCCATGTGACATTCCTTTCTACTAATTATTTCTCCTGGGTTTATCTTTCCCTCATCTCTTCTCTAACTGATAATATTCTAACAGCAGCCCACAGGACATTCTGGATGGGTGCCACCTTTTCTGTCTGCACTGAACAGACTGTTCACAATGGCTGGTGTTGGAGATGCCTTGCAGAACCGACAGATGAGCCAGGGAGTAAAAAAAAGCAAAAAAGAGAAAGTGGAGAACAGAGTCAACCAAAATCAGGCAGGGAGCACTGCAGTACCAAGTTGTTCGGGGCTGAAAGATAACCCCCAAAAATGCATGTCCACCCAAAACCTCAGAATGTTGCCTCATTTGGAAATAGGGTCTTTGCAGGTGTAGCTAGTTAAAAATTATGTTCCACTGGAATAGGATGGGGCTTAAATACAATGACAGTGTCTTGAAAAGAAGAGGACACAGAGACACACAGAGGGGAAGGCGCATGAAGATGGAGGAAGAGATGCGTCTATGAAACAAGGAAAGCCCAGGAATGCCCAAAGCCCACAGAAGCTGGGAGAGGCTACAAAGGTCCTGGCACAGAGCCTTAGGAGTGAGCATGGTCCTTTTAACGCCACACTTGTGTCCCGCAGCACTGTGGGAGAATAAATGCTTATTCTTTTAAGTGACTTAGCAGATGAGCATTTGCTATGCAGCCACAAAAAACAAATCCCGGGATCACAGGAAAAGTAATCTTAACAGTAACCCTAATCCTAACCCTAACACTAACCCTAATTGTAACGCTAAAGACTAACCTTAACTCTAACCCTAATTCATGACCTTAACACCCTAACCTTAACCCTAACACTAAACTCAAATGCTAACCCAAAAAGCTAAAGCCAACCCAAAACATAACCTAACCCTTAACCTAAACACTAATCCAACCCTAACCCAGAAACCTAACCATAACCCAAAGCCATAACCCATAAATCTAATCATAACCCTAACCCCAACTCAGACCCTAACACGAACCCTAACCCTAGCCCGAAACACTAAACCTACCCCTAAAACATAACTCTAACCCTAACCCTAACCCTAAACACTAACCCAACCCAAAACCCTACCCCTGCCACTAAACCATAAATGTAAGCCAAAACCTAAACCCTAACCCTAACACTAACCCTAAATCTAACTCCTAAACCTAAACCCTAACCGGAACCCTAAAACCTAATCTTAACAATAAACCTAAACCCTAACACTAACCCTAAAGCCTAACCCTAACCCTAACTCTAAACCCTAACCCTAACCCTAAGCCCTAACCCTAACCTAACCCTAACCTACAGGTGGGAGAGCAATCTCCACCTGCCCCACTCTCCCTCCATCTAGCCAGCAACTGCAGAGTTGATTTTTAGAATCTGAGTGGTGTGTAGGGTGGAGGAAGAACCTGCTGGGCTCTTTGCCTCACCTACAGGTGGGTGGTTTAGAGACTGACCCCGCCCTGGGTATTCCTTTAGCTCCAGGTAAATGAGCCACTTCCTACATGCTGGGGGCACTTGGTGATGGGAATAATGGCTGACATTTACTGAGTTCTTACCATAGTTCTGGAACTATTCAAATGAATATATATGAATTTCAACACTCTATATTCTATTATATTAAGAATTTTATTAAGAGTATGCATATGCTATTAATGATGTTATCATCAAAATAGCACTTGTATTTTATGAAATCCTAGTCACCATTAGTTGTAAGACACAACACTATGTTACTATGGTTTTAAGAATTAAAAAAAAAATCTGTCAACTAAACACATCATTACTTGTAAATACATCCTAATTTTAGAGATGTTAAAATTCAAATCTTAGAATCAATAAAATATGAAGCCAGGTACAGTGGCTCATACCTGTAATCCAATGCTATGGGAGGCTGGGGTGGGAGGATAGCTTAAGCCCAGGAGTTCAAGGCCAGCCTGGGCACCAGAACAAGACCCCTTCTCAACAAAAAGATTAAAAATTAGCCAGACATGGTAGCATGCCTGTAGCCCCAGTTACTCAAGAGGCTGAGGCAGAAGGATCACTTGAACCCAGAAGTTTGAGGCTGCAATGAGCTCCGATCACACCACTACACTCCAGCCTAGGCACAGAACCTCTCTCTAAAAAATAAAATAAAAATAAAGAATCAATGAAATGTGGTATTATCATCACTCCTATTTTATGGATAAGGAAATTGAGGCTTAGGTCACACAGATTTCAAGGGTAGGGCCAAGATGAAACTCCCTGGCCATGTGACTCTAGGACCCAGGCTCTTTTTTTTTTTTTGAGATGGCGTCTCATTCTGTCACCCAGGCTGGAGTCCAGTGGTTCGATCTCGGCTCACTGCAAGCTCCGCCTCCCAGGTTCACATCATTCCCCTGCCTCAGCCTTCCGAGTAGCTGGGACTACAGATGCCCGCCACCACACCTGGCTAATTTTTTGTACTTTTAGTAGAGACGGGGTTTCACCGTGTTAACCAGCTGACCTTGTGATCCACCTGCCTGGGCCTCCCAAAGTGCTGGGATTACAGGCTTGAGCCACCGCGCCCGGCCTGTAGGGCCCAGGCTGTAAACCACTGTCCCATAGGGGCTATCATTAGGGCACTGCCAGCTCTTCAGTTTCGAGTGTCTTAGGCTGAGTCTACCAGTTATCATCCAATATCCATCTTCTCATTCTTCCTTTAGCATTAGAGCCCTTGAGTTTCCATGGGGCACAGGATCAAGCGCTAAAAGCTGCATTACCAGCCTCTCTTGCAGCTAGATGTGGCTGTTAGAGAAAGAAGAATATAGGAGAGCCAGGGTGACACCACCTAAAAACTCAGCTCTGGCAGAGTGCAGTGGCTCACACGTGTAATCCCAGCACTTTGGGAGGCCACAGCAGGTGGATCACCTGAGGTCAGGAGTTCAAGATCAGCCTGACCAACACAGTGAAACCCTGTCTCTACTAAAAATACAAAAAAAAAAAAAATTTAGCTGGCCGTGGTGGCAGGCGTCTGTAATGCCAGCTACTCTGGAGGCTGAGGCAGGAGAATCACTTGAACCTGGGAGGCAGAGGTTGCAGTGAGCTGAGATCACGCCATTGCACTCCAGCCTGGGCAACAAGAGCGAAACTCTGTCTCAAAAACAAAAACAAACAAACAAACAAAAACCTCAGCACTATCTTAAAATTAGCAAGACACATTCCTGGTTGGTCACACTCCATGGTCGTAAGATGTTTACAGTTGAGGAAATGGCCTGATGATACCTGCAAGAACACACTCCTCTGACAACGGAATGTCCAGATGTCCCAACACCCATAACAGTGTATGCTTTCAGGATCATGATAGTCGTGCTGGGATGTATTTATGCACTAAGTGCCAAGCATAGTTTTCTTTAAATCAGCAAAGTAAGAAACGTCATGCTGTGAGCCCATCCGCATGGAGTAGACACAGCTTAGCTTTTCCATAGATAAGGCGTCTTAGTAAGAGGAATTTAAAATGATGATGAGGCACTCCTCCTCTTGCTTTCTGAGGGTATAACTTTCTTTCTGGGCTGTAACTTTCTGGGCTTTCTGGGCTGTCACTGAGTAGTGTTCAATAAGCCATTTCTTCTCACTGCACTCTAAGACTCATTTTGAATTCTTTCCTGTGAAAGATCCAAGAACCCTCTCTTGGGTTCTGGATCAACACAGCCACGTGACACAGTTCTGGCCAGTGAGATGTAAGTGGAAGACACGAATAAAGCTCTGGGCCTTGCTCTCATTTCCTCTTGCCTCCTTGCCTGGCTGGAATGTGGACCTGCTGGCCGGAGCTGAGGCAGCCCCATCTCAGATGTTAAGATGGAAACCACATATTAGGCTTGGCAGACCAGCCAGATAGACACCAAAGGGCACCCAAATTTGCTAGGCTCAATCTGGGGCTGTTTCATGAGAAAGAAACAAGCTTCTATCTTGTTTAAGCCACTGTCATTTTGGCCTTTTTTTCTAGCAGCCAGAACGTGTTCTGATGAACACAGTCAATGCTGCCCTACAGGCACGGTCCTGGCCCTCCAAGAGCTGCAGACTCATTAAATGAGAATGAACAGAAAACACCTAATGCGGGGCTGGGCACAGCACGGGCCCTGGGTAAATGTTAGTTCCTCACAAAACATGGCTGACTCTGGCATGAGTTGCTCAGCTAGCTTGTCATTCTCCTGCTTTCTTCAAATCCTATCCATGTATGGTAGGAAAAGCAGTATTACTCTTGTTTTTCTTTTTCTTTTTTCTTTTATTTATCTTATTTTTTGAAACAGAGTCTCACTCTGTTGCCCAAGCTGGAGTGCAGTGGCATGATCTTGGCTCACTGCAACCTCTGCCTCTTGGGTTCAAGCAATTCTCCTGTCTCAGCCTCCCAAGCAGCTGGTTTTACAGGTATGCATCACCACACCCAGCTAAGTTTTTGTATTTTCAGTAGAAACGGGGTTTCACCATGTTGGCCAGTCTGGTCTCCAACTTCTGGCCTCAAGTGATCTGCCCACTTTGGCCTCCCAGAGTCCTGGGATTATGGGCATGAGCCACTGCACTTGGCCATGTTTATTTTTAGAGAGGGTCTTGCTTTGTTGACCAGGCTTGAGTTTTAGTGGTGCAATCAAGGCTCATTGCAGCCTTGATCTCCTGGCCTCAAGTGATCCTCCTGTCTCAGCCTCCTGAGTAGCTGGGACAACAGGCACATGCCACCACACTCAGCTAATTTTTGTATTCTTATTTTCCTAAGTTCCCCTTCCAAAACCTCCATCACCTTCCCCTTAACAAATCAAATGTTTTCTCGAGAGTCAGGGCAGTAACAGTCAGCTCCTGCCTTTATACGACAATGGACTTTGGCTGCCATCTCTCCCTGTCCATCTGATAGTGGCTTCCACCTCTCCTCAACTCCAGCCAACTCCCTGTGGTCCTGACAAGGTCAGAGCTCCTTGTCCCCACCCTTCATCAAGCCAGAGGATGCTCATGGTCCAGCCTAGCCAGCCAGAGTTCCCCATCCCTCTGGCTACAGTCACTGATTTAGGGATGTGACCGGCATGCAGGCTGGATTGCTCTGAATCTTTACTAAGAACTGGCCAATGGTGTTGGAAGGATGAAGGTCTATTTCCTCAATTCTGACCTATGGGGATCACGAAAGCTATAGCAGGGCACATCGCAAATTACCCCAAAACTTAGTGGCGTAAAACAAGTATTGATTAAGCTTATGGACTCTGGAGGTCAGGAATAGGCACAGTATGGTGCTGGCCTCCAAGGGCTAAGTGTCCCCAAAGAGAGGGATGCCGGCAGAACTGGATTGCCTTTCAGGACCCAGCCTCAAAAGTCATAGAATGTCACTTCCAACATTTTCCATTGGTTGAGAGGGTTACAAACGACACGTGGATGGGACGTATGTTGGTGTGGCCAAATTTAGAATACACAACCTGCCACAGAGCCTGGAGCTACTATCATCCTTGCTCAAGTGGATGAAGATATCTAAAAAGTGACATCACCACACGGAGGAAAGCAGAGCCGAGGGAAGGGGAGATATCATTTGAGTCCCTGGATCCAGTTGTGCCTGAAGCTAGACTCACCTGCAGGGGCTTTTTTCCAGTTAAGTGAGCTATTGATATTATTTTTGCTCGGCCGGGCACGGTGGGTCACACCTGTAATCCCAGCACTTTGGGAGGCCAAGGCAGGTGGATCACCTGAGGTCAGGAGTTCAAGACCAGCCTGGCTAACATGGTGAAACCCTGTCTCTACTACAAATACAAAAAATTAGCCAGGTGTGGTGGTGGGCGCCTGTAATCCCAGCTGCTTGGGAGGCTGAGGCAGGAGAATCGCTTGAACCTGGGAGGCATAGGTTGCAGTGAGCTGAGATTGCGCCATTGCATGCCAGCCTGGGCAACAAGAGTGAAACTCCATCTCAAAAATATATCTATATATTGATATATATTTTATAATATATAATATACATTATTTTTGTTGTAAGTGATTCAGGTTGAATTTCTGTCATTGGCAGCCAAAAGAGTCCTGAGCTCAGTAAGGGGCTCAACTGAGCCAGGACAGGATACTCTGGGACTTTTAGCAGCACAGAGCACTAGCTGGTGCTTGGAAATGATGTTTCCTCTGCTCTTGGCTAAGTGGAATCCCCAGGCCAGCATCCCCAAGATGAAATGTGCCCCTCCCTTTAGAAGGCAAGAATTGATGACAGTGAGTTTTTTGTTTGGTTTGGTTTGAAGTAGCCCAAATGTCCCCTTCCTGCCACGAGGGCAATGCAGCTTCTATCTTATGGCATCTGGGAGGAGCCATTTTTTATGGCCTGGATCACCGAGACGGGAAGAGGGAGAGCAAACCGGGGGATGGCACACTCCTCCAGGCTGGGTCCGGGGAATGTGGCTATTAGGAGGAGGACAGCCGCCACAGCAGGCCCCTGTGATGAACCATGCCTCCGCTTTTGCACACCTGATTCCTGGCTGTTAAACCCTGTAAAGAAGGTCTTATCCCCATGCTACAAAGGAGGAAACTGAGGCAGAGAGAAGGGATGCAACTCGCCCAAGATCTACAGCTGGGAAGTCGTGACACCAGGCATTGGATTTCTGACTGCCATGTTCACGGAGATAGGAAGGACACGGGGGAAGGGTGTTCAGGACGAGTTGGATGGAGGCTTGGCGTTGTGCAGCAATGGGGCAGCTGGCACATCTGCTGTGGCCACAGCAAAGAGAGGAGGGCCTGGGTGTGGAGTGGACACTGACCAGGCAGCCTTGCACTGCTCAGATAAATGAGGTTTGGCGTCCTGTCCTGCCGGGCCATTCTTTGGTGGCCTCTGTGTAAGCTGAGGCCTCGCTGTCCTGAGCCTGGCTTCTGGCTGCCGGTGAGTGGCTGTGGACCGTCTCCCGCTTGCCAGCATCGCCTTTGGTGCTTGGCTGGGTAGACAGAAATGAGTCACACTCCCCAGTCCTGCCCAAGCTCTCCCTCCCTCTGCCCGGGGCACAGGCTGCCCGGTGTAATCCAAAATAAGCAATGTGTGGCCCCAGGGGTTGGGATGGGCAGGGAGGAAGCCCCATTAGGCATTCCTGTGAGGACAGCGTCACTGAGCTGGGAGGACCCAGCTTTAGACTGGTCAGAGGACCGCATCCGTCAGAGGTCTGAGTTCGGAGATTGTCCATGCCTCCAATTAGCCACGTGGCCCTGAGCAAGTCCCCTCTGTAGCATGGAGGAAATTGATCCCGGCAGAACCTCCCAGCCAGAGGCTGCTTGTTAGTCCCCATCTTTCAGGCTCCCAACACTGTTCCACTCCGGCCTTCCTGTGGGCTGGCTCTCATCTTACCTCTCCACTCTGTAGCTAGCTCAGGTCCTGCCCGTAAACCCTTGCGTCCAGCCCCAACATGGTTAGCAAGAGCCAGGTTCCGTTGCTTGCAACCCCAAAACCCTAGCTGGAGGAGCGACTGAGGTGTGTTCCATGTCACCCCACCCGTCCCACCGCCCACATAACCGCCAGCATCCCGAAGGGGCCCAGCGTGCTCAGCCTTGCATTGTACAGTGTGTTCTGCCTCAGTCCCATGGTGGCTCAGAGCCCACCCCTGGCCAGAGCCAGGCTGAAGGAATCCATGCTGGGGGCATGGATCCAGCAAGGGAAGTGTTGCGAGAAGTGCTCTGCAGAGCCTGAGCAGGGAGCTTTCCAGAAGTGGGGTGCGGCCACATGTGTCAGAGCTGCTGGGGAGTGCCAGGCAGGATGTGATTAATGTCGGCCGTGGGTGTGACAGCCAGCCAGCCCTCAGCCTCATTGTCAGAGTGGCTCGAACGCAGCCCCCTTTCCTCTCCCCACCCCTGCTCACAGCACCCACCCCTGCTATGTGTGGCATCCCCTCTCCTCCCTCCAAGTGTACTGATCCATGGTGCCAGTCACTTAAAAATAGCATCCTACCTGAAACGTAGGCATGAGACGGAACTCCAGGAAAGGAGACAGCACCCCTCTTGTGCCTTGGAGCACACAGATTCTTGAGCAATCTGTCCCTGGTGCTGACAAGGAGGGCCTCTCGCCGGCGCCTTCTGTTCCACTGGGGAAGGGAAAGCCCGTGTTGTAAGTCCCCCCATCTAAAGCTGGCATCTCAGCTCCACAGGGCCATAGGGCTGCCCAACCAGGGTCACTCTTTCTCTGCCCAGGGGCTGGCCTGAGAACCATACCCTCCCCCTTCCTCACCCTCTCTGCTTCCCACTGGGGGAGCCCTGGCATGAGATGTGAGGGAGGGTGGGGAGGGAGGCTGGGATACTTATCCCCCATCTTTCTCCCTACAAGGTCAGCACAGGCTGGCCATGACCTTAACAGAAATTCTCAGGTCCCTCCACCTTCCACCTCACCTCCATCCCTCAGGGCCCGTTGGCCCATTGAATTGCGTTTCCTGCAGACTCTATTGTGTGGCATGGTGGGTAATAGTGAAAAAAAACCGAAGGAGCCAAAATGTCCAAAAATAGAGGTCAATTGAGTTAGTGACAACAGTGGCACTGAGGAATCCTTTGTGGAATTTAAGAAGGATCTTTTAGTCTGCTGTGTTTCTTTGAATCTGAGAAGCCATCATTTGTTATTTGTATTACCAGTGTCATCATAACCCCCATTTTAGGGGGGAAAAAAAAGAAATAGCTGGCACATTTCTTTTGACATTGATTCTAAAACACATCCTTACTTTGAAACATTACAAAGTAAAAAAATATGCAATATGGTAAAATGTAATGATTTGGAGAATGTGTTCTCCATATATTTTTAAGTTTTAAAAAAGTGGGTTAAGATATATTATGCCTGGTATTAAGAAAAAACTAACATGTCTATACATACATAAACTATCCTCATTCAACTATGACCAGATCCTATGAAATATACACATGCATACACACCCACAGGAAAAAGAAACAGGAAGGACAGCTAACAAAAGGCCAGTGGCGCGGATCGCCGCGCCGTGGGGCTACATGCACTTTCTTCTTTGTATTTTTCTATTTCCCATTTTCTGATTTTATAAGCAGACAACTAAAATAATAATCTCTACCACTGATTATCTCCTTTCCGCCTATCAGCACTTAACCTGTGCTGAACGCTTTGTAATGACGATCTCATTCAAGTCTCCAACACCCATGGGAGTAAGAATGCTGGTTACCAGCTATTCCACACACTGGGAAATGGAGGCTCAGGCAGCTATAAAGCAATGGAGCCGGGACCCAAACCCTGGTCATTCTGACTCCAGAACCGAGGCCCTTAACCATTATATTCTAGACACAAACTTCACCCTAAGGGTTTGCACCTTTTTGAGAATTTAACGCAATGTTGCAAGAGGGCACCCAAGGAAAATGTCACCCCTTTGCTGGCCAGGCAGGGACACTGAGATGCTGACCACAGAGAGCCAGCCTCACAGCACAGCCTAAACAAAGGCTTGGGGCTGCAGGGGAGGACCTCCAAGTCTCTCTGGTCCTGAAAAAGCAACGTGTCTTGTGAGCCAGTAAGGAGCCCCTTGGATGCCAGCCTGGCTGACGTAACTCAGGGCATCTCTGAGGCACTGTCAGCTGAGGCAGGACAAAGGAAGTGGATGTTCCCATGGCACCACGCTACGATGTCTTGACAAGGCCCCCTGCACCTCGTTTTGTGGTTCATTCTTATTTTGCTGAAAGGAGCTCTTCCGCTTCCTCTGAGATAAACATTCCTAACATCATTTCTTCTGAGCCGGCCAGCCAAGAGAACAGCTGGGAGCTCTCCGAGCACAGGCAGAGTGCATTCATTTTCTGGAACTCCGCTGAGAATCTTTTCTCCAGGAGACCCCAAGAAGCCATTGCAAATAAACAAAATGAAGTTGCTGGGGAAACTGGCGGCCAGGAAGCTAGAGCTGGTGTAGCCCTGGGGAGAAGAATGGAGTCAGCCCCCAGTGCTGGGGTTGCTGGTGCTGGGCGCTGCAGTTGGCGGGCGCTGGGCTCCTCTGGATCCCAGGCTCTGCCTGTCCAGAACAGCAATCCTGCACGTCCGCGAGGCTGCCCCATTGCACAGATGAGGAAGCTGAGGCTCAGAGAGGTGAAGCGAGGGGTCCCACAACTGGCATCCAGCCTGAGCATGGCCTCACAGCTCTCCCACTCTTAAAAGTCTCCCAGGTCACAGACTCCTTAAGAATCTGGTGAAAGTTACAGACCCTCTGCTTTAAAAAAAAAAAAAAAAAGTAATCCTGAAGTGCTGAGATTGTAGGTGTGAGCTGCCATGCCTGGCCCCAGTGAAAAAACATTTAAAGCTTCATTAATTAAGACCTGCCTGTCACCTTCCACCACGACTGTGAGGCCTCCCTAGCCACATGGAACTCTCCAGCTCCAAGCAAGGCCTAGTTTAAATGCCACCTTTTCTGTGAAGCCCTATTGGACTTTCTCAGGCTCGTTTTCCCTTTGGACTTCTAGAGCATCTTGTAGACAATGGCAATTATCAAGGCCTGGATATATACATTATATAATTGTTACGTAATTATTAATGTGGCACAGCACAACAAATACGGATCTTGCAGACAGAAAAAAAATTGTGGTCATCCTCTTTATGAACTTTCTTGATTGATTTCATAAAACATCTATAATCATTGTTTAATCTGAGTTTTTTTTTATTTTTTGAGATGGAGTTTTGCTCTTCTTGTGCAGGTTGGAGTGCAATGGCACAATCTCGGCTCACTGCAACCACTGCCTCCCGGGTTCAAGTGATTCTCCTGCCTCAGTCTCCCGAGTAGCTGGGATTACAGGCGCATACCGCAAACCTGGCTAATTTTTGTATTTTTAGTAGAGATGCGGTTTTGCCATGTTGGCCAGGCTGGTCCTGAACTCCTGACCTCAAGTGATCTGCCTGCCTTGGCCTCCCAAAGTGCTGGGATTACAGGCATAAATCACCACGCCCGGCCTGGTCTGGGTTTTTGGATAGCTCATAGACATGAATTCTTCAGGGCAGGAGTCTCCAAAGTGTTTAGATCATAGATCCTAATGGGCAAAACCTTTCCCGCAGGTGCCCACCATATATGTGTATCTTAAAACTTATGAATTATATATATGCATTGCTGCTCTCATATTTTATGTATAATCATAAAACTCCTGTCAAAATGGATTTTTTTTTGAGATGGAGTCTTGCTGTGTTGCCCAGGCTGGAGTACAGCGGTGTGATCTCAGCTCACTGCAACCTGCACCTCCCAGATTCAGGATTCTCCTGCCTTAGCCTCCCAAGTAGCTGGGATTATAGGCACACACCACCATGCCTGGCCAATTTTTGTATTTTTAGTAGAGATGGGGTTTAACCATGTTGGCCAGGCTGGTCTTGAACTCCTGACCTCAGGTGATCCACCCTCCTCGGCATCCCAAAGTGCTGGGATTACAGGCGTGAGCCACTGCACCCAGCCAAAATGGAAATTTCTAAATGCCGAGTAAAAGATTAAACAAACAACATTCTTTTTAATGTCTTGCTAATTATGATGGTTTCCATTACATCTCAAGGCAAAATATGCATTTGGGGTGAGGATTATTGTCAACAGGGATGGATTTTCTAATCTGTACTTCGAATAGACTTCTGGATAACTAGGGTTTGTGTGACTGTCCTCTGTGGGACTGACTGGCTAGCTGCCTTTGTTTTTACCTTGGGATATGTCTGATAAAGAGCTCAGGCCAGGAATAAGATAGCTGCTCTGATACGTTCTCACTCTTTACTCTGCTTGGCTTATTAGTGTTTCCTTCATTCCACAGTTCCTTTGTATGAATCTTTTTAAGGCATACATCGAATTTAGTTAGAACCAGACAAGATAGGTGCCAGAAGCTACAGATCCACTCTACTAAGCCAATACTTCACCAACATATGTTGCCATATTTTAAGATCTAACACACAGGTGTGGTGGCTCAGACCTGTAATCCCAGCAACTTAAGAGGCCAAGGTGGGCGGATTGCTTGAGCCCAAGAGTTCAAGACCAGCCTGGGCCACATAGTGAGGCCCCATGTTTACAACAAATATAAAAATTAGCCAGGTGTGGTGGCGCATGCCTTTTTTCACAGCTACTTGGGAGGCTGAGGCAGGAGGATTGTTTGAGCCCAGGATGCAGAGGTCGTGGTGAGCTGAGATTGCACCACCGCACTCCAGCCTGGATTGACAGACCCAGACCCTGTCTCATTAAAAAAAAAAAAAAAAAAAAGAGCTAACAGACTGGCGATGGGACTTCACTGTGAAACTCCCATTCATCCTGCAAGTTTCCCTTGGGTGACAGCTGAGGAGCCACCACCGCAGTGCCACCAAGCCTGAGGGGTGTCCCCGCCTGTGACCTCAGGTCCCCCTTCTGCCTCTTTAGTCCTCCATTCCTTGTTCCACCAATGACCAATATTAAATTCTCTCTGCTAAACTAACCAGTGCATTTTCTGTTTTTCTGACCAGACCATCATGGGTACAGAGAGCCAGCGTCAGCTCAGAGTGAATATTCATAAAACCTGATTTCTTGCTTAATCTTAAGCAATAATCTCATCTCTTCTTCCTGGTCCTCAGTGGATCACCTCACACCCCAGGGACATGATCACTGCTCTATAACATAGAACTCATGGGACATTTAATGTTAACTTAATTACCCCCATCATTGGCTTGCTGTGTACCCACTGTGGCACTGAATCATGGCACCCAAAAAGATGCCCACGTCCTAATCCCCAGAACGTGTGGATGTGACCTCACATGGTAAAAGGGACTTTGCAGATATGATTAAGTTACGTATGTTGGCAGGGTATGGTGGCTTATGCCTTTAATGCCAACACTTTGGGAGGCTAAGGTGGGAGGATTACTTAAGGCCAGGAATTCAAGATCAATCTGGGCAACATAGTGAGACCTTATCTCTACAAAAAAAAAAAAAAAAAAAAATTAGGGCAGGGCACAGTGGCTCATGCCTGTAATCCCAGCACTTTGGGAGGGTGAGGTGGGCAGATCACCTGAGGTCAGAAGTTCAAGACCAGCCTGGCCAACATGGGGGAAATCTCGTCTCTACTAAAAATATAAAAATTAGCCAGGTATGGTGGCCCACACCTGCAATACCATCTACTGGGGAGGCTGAGGCAGGACAATTGCTTCAACACAGGAGACAGAGGTTGCAGTGAGCAGAGATCATGCCACTGCATTCCAATCCGGGTGATAAAGCAAGACTCTGTCTCAAAAAAAAAAAAAAAAAAGCCAGGCGCGGTGGCTTACGCCTGTAATCCCAGCACTTTGGGAGGCGGAGGCAGGTGGATCACAAGGTCAGGCGATCGAGACCATCCTGGCTAACATGGTGAAACCCCGTCTCTTCTAAAAATACAAAAAAATTAGCCAGGTGTGGTGGCGGGCACCTGTAGTCCCAGCTACTTGGAAGGCTGAGGCAGAAGAATGGAGTGAACCCGGGAGGTGGAGCTTGCAGTAAGCCCAGACTGTGCCACTGCACTCCAGCCTGGGAGACAGAGTGAGACTCTCTCTCAAAAAAAAAAAAAAAAATTAGCTGGGCATGGTGGCTGATATGGTTTGGCTTTGTATCCCCACCCAAATCTCCTCTTGAATTGTAATCCCATAATCCCCACCCGCCATGGGAGGGAATTGAATCATGGGGGCAGTTTCCCCCATGCTGTTCTTGTGATAGTGAGTGAATTATCTCAAAATCTGATGGCTTGATAAGCGTCTGGTGTTTCCCCTGCTGGCACTCTTTCTCTCTTCTGCCACCCTGTAAAGAGGTGCTTTCTGCCATGATTTTAAGTTTCCTGAGGCCTCCCCAGCTCTGTGGAACTGTGAGTCAATTAAACCTCTTTTTATAAATTACCCACTCCCAGGCCGGGTATGGTGGTTTATGCCTGTAATCCCAGCACTTTGGGAGGCCAAGGCGGGTGGATCACGAGGTCAGGAGATCAAGATCATCCTGGCTAACATGGTGAAACCCTGTCTCTACTAAAAATACAAAAAAATTAGCCGGGCGTGGTGGTGGGCACCTCTAGTCCCAGCTACTCAGGAGGCTGAGGCAGGAGAATGGTGTGAACCCAGGAGGCAGAGGTTGCAGTGAGCCGAGATCGTGCCATTGCACTTCAGCCTGGCAACAGAGCAAGACTCCATCTCAAAAATAAATAAAAATAAATGGCCAGGTGTGGTGGCTCACACCTGTAATCCCAGCACTTTGGGAGGCTGAGGTGGGTGGATCACGAGGTCAGGAGATCAAGACCATCCTGGCTAACATGGTGAAACCCTATCTCTACTAAAAATATAAAAAATTAGCTGGGTGTGGTGGTGGGCGCCTCTAGTCCCAGCTACTCTGGAGGCTGAGGCCGGAGAATGGCGTGACCCTGGGAGGTGGAGCTTGTAGTGAGCCGAGATTGTGCCACTGCACTCCAGCCTGGGTGACAGAGTGAGACTCCATCTCAAAAAATAAATAAAATAAATAAATAAATAAATAAATAAATAAATAAATAACCCACTCTCAGGTATTTCTTCACAATGGCCTGAGAACAGACTAATACAGTAAATTGGTATTGGTAGTAGGGTGCTGCTATAAGGATAGTTGAAAGTTCAGAAGTGACTTTGGAACTGAATAACTGGCAGAGGTTGGAACAGAGGGCTCAGAGGAAGACAGGAAAATGTGGGAAAGCTTGGAACTTCCTAGAGACTTGGAGAGCTCAGAAAACAGGAGGATGTGGGAAAGTTTGGAACTTCCTAAAGACTTGGTGAATGGCTTTGACCAAAATGCTGACAGTGATATGAAGTCCAGGCTGAAGTGGTCTCAGATTGAGATGAGGAACTTGTTGGGAACTGGAGCAAAGGTGACTCTTGCTATGCTTTAGCAAAGAGGCTGGCAGCATCTTGCCTCTGTCCTAGAGATCTGTGGAACTTTGAACTTGAGAGAGATGGTTTAGGGTATCTAGTGGAAAAAATTTATAAGCAGCAGAGCATTCAAGAGGTGACTTGGATACCCTTAAAAGCATTCAGTTTTATGTATTCACAAAGGCATGGTTTGGAATTGGAATGTGTGTTTAAAAGGGAAGTAGAGCACAAAAGTTTGGAAAATTTGCAGCCTGACAGTGTGATAGAAAAGAAAAACCTATTTTCTGGGGTTTTTTTGTTTGTTTGTTTGAGACAGAGTCTTGCTCTGTTGCCCAGGCTGGAATGCAGTGGCATGATCTCGGTTCACTGCAACCTCCATTTCCCAGGTTCAAGCGATTCTCCTGCCTCAGCCCCCTGAGTAGCCAGGATTACAGGTACCTGCCACCACGCCTGGCCAATTTTTGTATTTTTAGTAGAGACAGGGTTTCACCAGATTGGTCAGGCTGGTCTCGAACTCCTGACCTCAGGCGATCCACTCGCCTCGGCCTCCCAAAGTGCTGGGATTACAGGCATGAGCCACTGTGCCTGGCCAGAAAAGCCTATTTTCTGAGAAGAAATTCAAGCCAGCTGCAGAAATTTGCATAAGTAACAAGAAGCCAAATGTTAATTGACAAGACAACGGGGAAAGTGTCTCCAGGGCATGTCAGAGAACTTCACAGCAGCCCCTCCCATCACAAGCCCGGAGGCCTAGGAGGAAAAAGTGATTTCGAGGGGCAGGCCCTGGGTCTTGCTGCTCTGTGCAGTCTTGGGGCTTGGTGCCCTGCATCTCAGCTGTGGCTAAAAGGGGCCAACATACAGCTCAGGCCATTGCTTCAGAAGGTGCAAGCTGCAAACCTTGGCGGCTTACATGTGGTGTTGGGCCTGCAGGTGCACAGAAGTCAAGAATTAAGGTCTGGGCCAGGCACGGTGGCTCACGCCTGTAATCCCAGCACTTTGGGAGGCCGAGGTGGGTGGATTACCTGAGGTCAGGAGTTCAAGACCAGCCTGGCCAACATGGTGAAACCCCATCTCTACTAAACATACAAAAATTAGCCAGGTGTGGTGGCACACCCCTATAATCCCAGCTACTCGGGAGGCTGAGGCAGGAGAATTGCTTGAACCTGGGAGGCAGAGGTTGCAGTGAGCTGAGAACATGCCACTGCACTTCAGCCTGGCCAACAGAGCAAGACTCTGTCTCCAAAAAAAAAAAGAAAGAATTGAGGTTTGGGAACCTCCAACTAGATTTCAGAGGATGTATGAAAACACCTGGATGTTCAGGCAGAAATTTGCTGCAGGGGTGGAGCTCTCTGCTATGGAGAACCTCTGCTAGGGCAGTGCAGAAGGGAAATGTGGGATTGGAGCCCCCACACAGAGTCCCCATTGGGGCAGTGCCTAGTGGAGCTGTGAGAAGACAGCCACCATCCTCCAGGCCCCAGAATGGTAGATCTACCAACAGCTTGCATTGTGCGCCTGGAAAAGCCACAGACACTCAATGCCAGCCCACGAAAGCAGCTGGGAGGGGTGTGGGAGCCCACCTCTTGCATCAGCGTGACCTGCATGTGAGACGTGGAGTAAAAGGAGATCATTTTGGAACTTTAAGGTTTAATGACTGCCCTATTGCATTTCAGACTTGCATGAGGCCTGTAGCCCGTTTGTTTTGGCCAATTTCTCTCATTTGGAATGGGTGCATTTACCCAATGCCTGTACTCCCATTGTATCTAGGAAGTAACTAACTTGCTTTTGATTTCACAGGCTCATAAGTGAAAGGGACTTGCCTTGTCTCAGATGAGACTTTGGACTTGGACTTTTGGGTTCATGCTGGAATAGTTAAGACTTTGGAAGACTGTTGGAAGTGCATGATTCTGTTTTGAAGTGTGAGGACATGAGATTTGGGAGAGGCCAGGGGTGAAATGATACGGTTTGGCTATGTGTCCCCACTCAAATCTCATCTTGAATTGTAAGCTCATAATGCCCACATGTTGTGGGAGGGACCTGGTGGGAAGTAATTGAATCATGGGGGCAGTTTCCCCCATGCTGTTCTCATGATACTGAGTAAGTTCAAGACCAGCCTGGGCAACATAGGGAGACCTCGTCTCTACAAAAAATTAAAAAGTTAGCTAGGCATGGTGGTACACATCTGTGGTCCCAGCTACTTGGAGGCTGAGGCAGGAGGATTGCTTGAGCCCCAAGAGGTCAAGGCTGTAGTGAGCTGTG
Organism: Homo sapiens; assembly: GCF_000001405.40. Lineage (NCBI taxonomy): Eukaryota > Metazoa > Chordata > Mammalia > Primates > Hominidae > Homo > Homo sapiens. The sequence continues at coordinate 2,394,975 of NW_021160017.1, forward strand.
AACACACCACTGCACTCCAGCCTGGGTGACAGAGTGAAACCCTGTCTCAAAAAAAAAAAAAAAAGAAAAAGAAAAGAAAAGAGGGAGACAAGAAGTTCAAAGGTAAAAGAAGGGGATGTGACTGTGGAAGCAGAGGACAGAGTGATGCGCTTTGGAGATAGAGAAGGAGCCATGAGCCAAGGACTGTAGGCAGCTTCTAGAAACTGGAAAAGACAAGGAAATAGATTCCCCTCTGAGCCTCCAGAAAGAAACAGCCCTAGCCAGGCGCAGTGGCTCACACCTGTAATCCCAGCACTTTGGGAGGCCAAGGCGGGAGGATCGCAAGGTCAGGAGATCGAGACCATCCTGGCTAACATGGTGAAACCCAGTCTCTACTAAAAATACAAAAAATTAGCCGGGTGTGGTGTTGGGTGCCTGTAGTCCCAGCTACTCTGGAGGCTGAGGCAGGAGAATCACTTGAACCCGGGAGGCTGAGCTTGCAGTGAGCGGAGGTCATGCCACTGCACTGCAGCCTGGGCGACAGAGTGAGACTCGGTCTTAAGAAAAAAAAAAAAAAGAACCAGCCCTGATGACACCTTGGTTTTAAACTCATGGAACTCATTTTGAACTTCTGGCCTCCAGAACTGTAAGAGAATAAATTTGTGTTGTTTTAAGCAACTAATTGTGTGGTAATTATTGTTACAGCAGCAACAGGAACTTACACTCCTACCCAGAAGACAGCATAAATCCCGTAAATTTTTCTTTCCCAGTTCCCTGGACAAAGCAAGGAAGCTCGCAAGACTTTGAAGCCTGTCCTCATAGAAAAATGTCAATCCCTACTTCAGTGTATGCTAAGATGCCAGCTGACTACTGGGAGATTCAATTCTCTTCATTAGAGTCCAACCCAGGCCACACCCCAAGGGCTGTAAGAAATTGGCACTGAAGTTTGTAAAACTCAATGGTTTCGGCCGGGCGCAGCGGCTCACACCTATAATCCCAGCACTTTGGGAGGCCAAGGCGGGTGGATCACTTGAGGTCAGGAGTCTAAGGCCAGCCTGATCAACATGGTGAAACCCCTTCTATACCAAAAATACAAATATTAGCTGGTGGTGGGCACCTGTAATCCCAGCTACTGGGGAGGCTGAGGCAGAAGAATCACTTCAACCCGGGAGGCAGAGGTTGCAGTGAGCTGAGATCGCACCACTGCACTCCAGCCTGGGTGACAAAGTGAGACTCCATCTCAAAAAAAAAAAAAGGCAGAAAGACCACCAGCAAACAGTTAATAAGCACCAACTGCATACATGGTACCCATCTGGAGCTGGAAATCCAAAGTGACAAACTTAATCAGCCTCAGCCCTGACTCCTGCTCTCAAGGAGCTGAGAATTTAATTAAGCCTCTGGTCTATGTGTATTGGCATGGCCAGCTTCCACAGGAACACACGGGGGGGCTTTACTGTGTCTTACACCAGTGGTCGTTCTGATGGTTCTGTGCCAGCCTCCTAGTGAAGAGCCATCCCTGGGTAAGAGAAAAGAAGCAGGCATGCCAAGACTCAAATATGTGCAAGGAATCATACGTACGACATGTGGACCAGCAGGTTAAAAAAGTGTTAACCCCCAAACCACTCTCAAACAAAGTCTTAAGCTGAAGCCAGCTTTCAGATATGTATTATTATATAGTAATACATGTTAATATATATTAATATGCAATTTGTACATATTAGCATCAATAGGAACACAGGACCTACATATGCACACACATGTACTTACTAGAGCTGCTGTGGCTCAAATGCAAGGGCAAAATCCTCTGCTTCCTCAGGAATCCCCTAACGTGATGAGGATCACACAGCAAAGAAGACACAGGCTTCATCATCAAGCAGACCTGGACCTGTCCTTCTCGCTGTCTACACTGGGCAAGTGGCTTCTCTAAACCTCAGTTTCTTCATCTGTAAAAGGGGAAGAATGTTCTACTGGCAAGATTGTTGTGCGGGCCAAGGGAAATGAGGACATGAAACCCCAGCCACCAGCAGGTCTCAACAGGCGTCAGCATCCGGGACACCAGCCACAGCTGTGAGGCTTCAGGAACCTGGTCCACTTGACCCTCCTCACCAGAGTCACCATCCAGACCCAGCCTTGACCCACAGCCGCTCTGGAGGGGACGGGGCAGTGGGATTTGGGATCGGGAGAACTTGGTTCAAGTCCTAGCCCTGCTGGTATCTGCTGGCCTCCCCCAGGGCCTGATTTCCCCGTCGGCCAGGTAAGGATAATGATCTATTGATTTTAAAGCATGTCACCAGGGCTAAATGAGGCATGAAAGTGCTTTGTCCCCTGGCACTTCTGCCCTTCCTGTTTTTGGTGCCAAAACCCTTAGCCTGGCCAGGCTTGGTGAGAGGCACCGTGAGGCTGCTAGCCTGAGCCCTAGCTCTGTCCCTGGCTGGTGGGCTGTCCTTTGCAAGTGACCGCTCTGCCCCAGTTGTTTCACCTGCAAATGATAACAGCCAGCACCAGCTTCGCTCATGATGGAAGCCCCAGTGTTAAGCCCCTGCCTCCGCCTCCACTTGGCCAGCTCCAGGCAAGGCGGCCACTGTGGCAGTGACTGTCAGAATTGCTCTCTTACAAGGTGCTGCTTGCACCAAACTCAGGTGGGGTTGTCTGTGTTGCAAACACAAGCACACGCACTACACACACATACACAGCACATGCCACACACATGCACACACCTCACACACCACACATACCACAGGCATACATATACACACCACATAGCACATAGAACACACACACACTCCACACATACCACATGCCACACACCACACACATACACCACACCCTGCACGTATACACAGCACATGCCACATGTATGCACACCACACACCACACATACCACAAACATACATAAACACACATCACACACACAGCACATGCCACACACATATCACACATATACATATACACACCACACATAACACACATACCACACAGATACATAAACACATACATCACACACATACAAAGCACATGCCACACACATACCACACAAACACATACACCACACATACACAGCACATGCCACACACATGTGTGTGGCATGTGGCATGTGAGAAATGTGTGTGTGTTGTGTGTGCTATGTGGTGTGTATATGTGTGTGTGGTGTGTATGTGGCACGTGGTGTGTGTGAAATGTGTGTGTGTTGTATGTGCTATGTGGTGTGTATATGTGTGTGGCACATACTGGGAATTGAGATGATTTGTGGCTTTTTATATTGTTTTTTACTGAGGTATAAGCTGTTCATAAGGAACATGTAATGCATCATAATCAGACAAAACAACACAGTCATTTACATGTTTTTAAAAATCCTGTATTTGCTTGAAAATACTCCAGAAAGAACATGTGTGTATGTCAGGGGTGGCGTGACAGAAATGGATGGAATAAGAGTGGCAAAATGTCATCTTTGCTGAAGCTGGCCAAAGGGGACTATGAGAAATCACCATATGATTCTCTTGACTTTTGAGTATGTTTGCACATTTCACAAGAAAAGGTGAAAATAAACAAACGAATAAAACCAAGGTCAGCAGTGAGTTCATCCTTGGCTTTTAGAGGATATCACAATTGCAGTGCAATAAACACAGAAATATGAGAAACAAATATACAACAGAAATAAGGCTGCAAAACTTAACGCTAAGAACCCAGGAGCCATCAGCTGTGCAACCTCAGGTCAATAACAGCCTTATGGAGCCTCAGGTCCCTCATCTGTAAAACGGGAGGAAACCCTTGTTGCATGGCAGGCTTGTGGTTCAGACTGAAAATTCTAATTACTACTGTGGCTGCTGTTGTTCAATCCATAGGCCCTGGAAGTCTGGAAGCAAGAACTCCACACCCCAACAGTGGTTTCAAACTTTGGTGTGCACTGAGATGACCAGGGTTACTAGCAAAAATGCAGATTCCTGGCCAGGCACGGTGGCTCGTACCTGTAATCCCAGCACTTAGGGAGGCCGAGGCCAGTGTATGGCTTGAGGTCAGGAGTTGGAGACCAGCCTGGCCAACATGATGAAACCCCATCTCTACTAAAAACATAGAAAATTAGCCAGGCATGGTGGTGCGTGCCTGTAATACCAGCTACTCAGGAGGCCGAGGCAGGAGAATCGCTTGAACCAGGAGGTGGAGGTTTCAGAGAGCTGAGATCGTGCCACTGCCTGGGTGACAGAGTGAGACCCTGTCTCAAAAAAAATGCGGATTCCAAGGTCCTACCCCTAGGGATCCTGACTCCATACGTGGGGCCAGGCCTAGGACCCTCCACTTTAAATAAGACCCCAGGCCATTCCCACTGGGGAAATGCTGCATCTAGCCCCACACCAAAGACACCCGGGTAAGCAGGTCTGCCACAGACAAAAACGCCTCGCTGTGCAGAAACCGGGGCTGGACGTTGTTCGGGGCTGATTGCCCATTTATGACTCTAGGTGGACTTTGTCTGCAGTCATGGCTGGAAAAGCTGGCAAGCAACAGACACCTTTGCAAAAATAGCAAATAAACAATATGTCACATTTGTGGTTTCCTCCTGGGAGGGGCAGAGTCTATATGGGCAATTGACTTAGGGCAGAATCCAATTCCAACATGAACTAACTGTGTGGCACGGGCCGAAGCCCTTGACCATTCAGTATCTGCATGATGGGAATTTTGATAGCAGTATCAGAAACAGCCCCATGGGGTTTTGTCAATTACACGAGGCTGTCAGGAACCGAGGCCTGGAGCCAGGACCCCATCAGGAAGTTTAGGGATCCACTGGATTTATGGCCTCCATGCTCAGGGTGTCAGGTCCCAAACCTTCTCAATCACAGGAAAGCAGGACTCAGGCCAAGGGAAGGAAGCACATGTCGCAGCTGGAGACCACACATACCTTGGCAGCACCCCAGGGAGAGAAAATTCCCTGCTGCACCAGGCTTCTCTGTGCACTTCCAGCCCCCATCACTTAAGGAACCCCTGTCCCACTCTGAGTCTTCTTCTGAGGCCTCTGTTTGTGTTGTCCTGCTCCTGTCCTGGCCTCCAGATCCCTCCTCTCGTAGGGTCCTAGGTCTGAAGGAAAAGCAAGATGGCGGCAGTCTGGGGGAAGAGCATGTGCTTGGGGTCCCCGTGGCCCATTTCTGGGCTTGGCCTGGTCACCTGCTGCAGTCAGTATCACTCATTCAGACCTAAGCAGTAATGCCAGGCGGGTCATGTCCTCCTTGTAAAATTGTTTGTTTGGAGAATTTGTGGTGAACTCCAAATCTCTCTCTCTCTCTCAAAATTAATACCATTAGAGTCATTTGTGCTTGACTGCAGCCCTATGGAAGGGACAGCCCCACTTCTCCCCTTGCCTCTTTGCGGTTATTTGTAGGGCAGTCACAGGAAACCAGTACAATGGCATTTCCCCCTAAACATGAGTGTGGCTCTCAGCGCAATCCAGTTCACAACAAATAGCCCATCCTTGACCTATAGGACCAGGCCTCAGGAAGGGCTCGGGGGCCTCAGAGGCAAATGACACCCAGCCCTTCAACCCTGCACAACCACAGACCTCACACCCAGTGGTAACCAATTTGGCTGAACAGCACCCTACACTGTGGGCTCCCCGTGGTGCTGGGCCCCCTCACAAGGAGGCAGGGCACACCCTCCTGATCTAGCCTGAGCCCCTGAGTCCTCTCCCAACCTCCTCCCAGCGATCTCAGCTGCTCCAGCAAGGCGTGGGGCTGGTGTCCTTCAGCTGCCTCCCTCTCCAGAGGAGGAGAGGCGGCAGATGTTGAGGCAGAGGTGGAGAAAAGCTCCTGGCACGCTTGCAGCCGGGGTCACCTTGTGCACGGGCAGAGTCAGGGAAGGGTGAGACAGTAGGTGCCCTGTGTGGAAAACCAGAATCTCGGGGCCAGGACCCAGAGAATGCTGGAGGGCCCGGGAGGTCAGCGCCTGCCCTCTCCCCATGAGGGAGGCCCCCTCCCTCAGGCAGTCTGCCTACTTCAGAGTGGGGAGTCCAGGTTGTCAGTTCTGTATGGTTGATGGACCTGGTCTCATTTGCCTCTGAGGCCCCCAAGCCCTTCCTGAGGCCTGGTCCTGTAGGGCAGGGATTTCATATTTGTTGTGAACTGGACTGAGCTGAGCCACGCCGACTTCTGGGGGGAAATGACATTGTTTCGGTTTCCCTGGCTGCCCTACAAATAACCACAACACGTGTGAGTGCGGGAGGGGTGGGGGAATGGGGGTGGGGGAGGGGTGGGGGATGGGGTGGGGATGGGATGGCGGAGGGGTAGGTGGGGTGGGGGAGGGGAGGGGGAGGGGAGGGTGAGGTGTGGGGGGGTGAAAACAATAGCAACTTACCCTCTCACAGTTCTGGAGGCCAGGAGTCCAAAGTCAAGGTGTGGGCAGGGCTGTTCCCCCGGAGGCTCTAGGGGAGGGTCCTCCCTGTCTCTTGCAGCCTCTGGTAGGCCCAGGCACCCCTCGGCTCCAATCTCTGCCATCCTTGCACATAGTCTCCTTTCCCCCGAAGTCTCTATGTGTTCTTTTCTGTATCTTGTAAGGACTGTCTCATTGCATGTAGGGCTCACCATAATTCAGTGTGATTTTATCTTGACTCTTACCTTAATTATCTGCAAAGACTCTTTTTCCAAATAAGGTCACATTCTGAGATTTGGGGTAGAGATAAACTTTGGGGGGACATGATTCAACCTACTAAGCCATTAAATCACAAAGAGCACGCAAGAAGGACCAAAAAGGCAGCGGGAAGTGGGGAGGACCTTGATCCAAGGACTTCCACAGCTCAGGCCTCCCTTGTTCCAGCCAGCAAGGACTTTCTTTCCATGAGCACCTTTGACTTCCACTGCTAGCCAGGATGACGGGTTCCTGGCTCTCTTCTACAGATGAGGAAACTGAGGCTCAGAGGCCCTTGAATGCATAGCCAAGTTCACACAGTCAGCCACAGCTGGGACTGGAGCTCACTTGGTACCAAACCCTGGGGGTTTCACAGCCAGCTCGGCTGCATTGAAGAAGCCCCACCTCCACTCCCAATGAGGTTCCAAGATCTTTCTCCAAGGAGCTTGCTTTATCAATAAGAAATGAATCTTTTGTTTTTGAGACAGAGTCTTACGCTGTCACCCAGGCTGGAGTGCAGTGGTGGGATCCCCATTCACCGCAACCTCCCTTTCCTGGGCTCAGGCAATCCTTCCACCGCAGTCTCCCAAGTAACTGGGACTACAGGCACATGCCACCACATCTGGCTAATTTTTGTATTTTTTGTAGAGATGGGATTTCGCCATGTTGCCCAGGCTGGTCTCGAACTCCTGGGCTCAAGGGATCTACCCTCGGCCTCCCAAAGTACTGGGATTACAGATGTGAGCCTCTGAGCCCAGCCAAACTGTCTTGATGCTCACGTTATTTCACTACCTTAGATTATGAATTTTGGAATGTGGCCAGTTTCCTGGAATCACATTAAGAAGTGAGGTCCAGGAGAACAACGATTAATTTAATTATTAATAGAAATCAGCCTAGACCTGGGAAATAAGATGAGGAGACCCAACTGTCCCCAGCCTTGTCCTTGTGCCCATGTGGGAGGCCATCCTGACTCCATTTAGATTTTTGCTTCTTCCTACACTGACAAAGAACACTCGGGCGGCTCCAGGGAAATGTGCCCAAGGTGTGGAGGGGGCTGGGGGAGTGGAGATCATTTTTTTCTGTTCCCAACCGTGCCTTTCTGCAATGTCTGTTCATCCTTGAAGACCTAAGACTGGAGAATGTGGGGTTTGTTTGTTTTGGAGAGACTGGGGGGGAGGGGGGGGTCTCACCATGTTGCCCAGGTTGGCCTTGAACTCTTGGCCTCAAGCGATCCTCCTGCCTCAGTCTACCCAGTAGCTGGAACCATAGGCGTGCCAGATTCGGCTGAAGAGTTTTGTTAGGAAGTTTTCAGCACCTTGGATCATATCCTGAAAAAGTTCATTCACTGATTCAACCAATCTCTACTGTGCACTGCCCAGAACCAGAGTGTGAGCTCCACGGGGTAGGGAGGGCGCCAGCTTTGCTCTCAGCTGCCCCCGGGGCGCTTGGGACCTGGAACCCAGGAATGAACAGACCCCGTTCTAGATCAACAGACATTCAAAGCAGCGCTCTAGGGGAAGGGCAGGGGAGGAATGAGCGTCCAGCCGCCACGGCTCTGCTTCTTTGCCTGTGTGTAAGTGGTGGGATTTAAAGGTGGTTGGGTGCAGAGGCCCTTCCCCCACCTGCAATCCTCCGGTGCCAATGCAAGTGCCAGGGGAGGGGTGGCGTTTCTGTTTACTTCCAGCCAGGTCAGCTCCCTTGCCCCCGCCCCTGTGTTTGCATTTTCTCGGTTTGGCGAGCTGGTGGAGTAGCCGCGGAAAGAAGGCGGATTTAAAGGCTCCATTTGGAGGAGGCTTTTGGAGAAAGCTTGCACCTCCCATCACACCCCCAGGGCAAGTCAGCCGCCTCAAAAGTGCCGGTGCCGGCCCTCTGTGAGCTGAACACCTTCGCACAAACCCCCGGGAGCGGTTACTATTACCCTCATTTTCCCGGGGAGGCGCCTGGGGCTCAGAGAGGCCAAGTGACTCACCCAAGGTCACACAGCTTAGCAGTGGCCGACCCGGGATTGGAACCCGGGGCTCCGGACCCCGCGGCGGCCGTTTCTCGAAGATACCCACTACCTCCCTCTTACACCGCTCAGGAATAAAGCAGGAAGGCCGAAGGCCCCGTTTTCGCCCAAAAACAATGCTCCACGTAAATTTGCGGGAACAAAAGCCACCAGAAATCCAGCCCGGGTTTTCCGCCTCTCTGCTCTCCGCGGACCAATCGCGTCCTGACGGCCGCCGAGAGACTAGAGGCGGTGGCTCCAATATGATCCATAGCCCCCCAGGGCGGCGTGGCCGCGGCATGGGCGAATGGGATTGGGGACCCGGCACAATCACGGGCGGAGAACGGGCCGCCTGAGCCAATCAGCTAGGGAGGGGGGAGGGTGGGCCCGGCCGGCCCGGGCTGTCCGGAGAGGCGGCCACCCCGCCCACTTCTGCTGGTCCCGGCCGCCCGTCAGCCGCGAGCGCGACGATCCCTCTGCTCCTCGGCCGGTGCCTGCTCTGCCGTCGTCGCCGTCGCCGCCGCCGCCCGTCCGCCGCCCCTCCGCCGCGCGGGAGCAGCAAGGCCGGCAAGTCCCGGCAGGATCCCTCCGCGACTGCCGCCTTGCGTCCCTCCCCCTCCAGCGCCCGTTCCGCGGCCGCGGCCCCCATCGCTCCCTAGGCTGCGACGCCGCGCCCGCGGCCCTGGGTAACGGCCGGCCTGGGGCCCGCAGTGACAGACCCTGCGGCGCGGGGGGAGATGGGGGCGGCCGCCTTCCGGGCGACGACGACGACAACGACGAGGAGCAGCCGCCGCCGCTGCCGCTCACCGGCCGCTGCTGGGCACGGGCATGGGCTCGGGAAGGCGCCTCCCCGTGAGCGGCGGGCCCAAGGCAGCTCGTCGCCCCCGGCCGCCGCGGGTCCCCCTACGGCGCCCCGCGCGCGCCCGCCCGCCGGCCCCTGACGGGAGCCTTGCCCGGCTCCGGTCCCCGCCCCGGCGCCCGCCCGGCCCGCGGCGCCCGCGCGCCTTCGCCCGGACCCGACCCCGGCCCGCGCGCCCCCGGTCCCGGCGCGCCCCGGCCGCGGCCCCCGGCGCCCCCCGGCCTCCCCCGCGCGGGCCCCGGGGCGCGGCGCGGCGCGGGCGGCAGCGTGGTGGAGAAGCGCTGCCCGCTGCAGAGGGACGGCGTGTACCGCTGGTTCTCGGAGCTGCCGTCGCCTCAGCGCGTGGAGTTCCTATGCGGCCTGCTGGACCTGTGCATGCCGCTCGAGGTCCGCTTCTTCGGCTCGTCCCTGGAGGACCTGGCCCGCAAGGACTACCACTCGCTGCGCGACTCGGAGATCAAGGCCAACAACCCGGCCGACCTGGGCAGCCTCACCAACCTGACGGACGAGGTGGTGCGCAGCAAGCTGCTGGTGTCGCTGGCGCTGCTGGGCTCGGAGCAGAGCGAGGCGGCGGGCGTGCTCTACCGCAAGCTCACGCACGTGACTCCATCATCCACAACTACAGGCTGCAGCTCAACGAGGGCCGCACGGGCGATGAGTTCCTGCTGCCGTTCACCATGTCCTCCAACCACCGCGCCTTCAGCTTCCACCAGAAGCAGGTGCTGTGCCAGGAGCTCACGCAGATCCAGAGCAGCCTGAACGGCGGCGGGGGCCACCTGCCTGGCCTGCCACAAGGTGCGTGCCCGCCCCGAGTTCTGCTCTGTACCCCAACCCTGCATCCCCAACTCTGTATGCGAAGCCTCCAGCCTGCACCGCGAGCCCCCACCCAGGCCTCCAAGCCTGCGCCGCGACCCCCCCACCCACGCCTCCAGCCTGCACCACGAGCCCCCAGCCCGTGTCCCAAGCCCCATCCTAAGCCTCTGTGTCGCACCCCAAATGTGTGCCCCACCTCTCCAAGCCTCCACCGTACATCCGAAGTCCCCACCCCGTGTCCCAAGCCCCCATCCTAAGCCCGCACTCCTCACCCTAAGTCTGCACTTCAAGCCCCAAGACCGCACCGCGGCCCTGAGCCCACACCCTCAGTCTCCTCTGCGTGCCCCAAAGCCTCCAGATCTCCGCCTCGCGCCCCTTGGGCAGGAGCGGCTGCAGGGGCCCTGGGTCCGAGGATCCGCGGGAGCGGTGCGGGAGACGTCCGCGGTCAGAGCTCACAGTCCCAAGTGCCCTCCTTTCACTTAGCCGGCTGCAAACGCGATAAGGCCTTTGTCCCCTTAATGGGACCCTTGGGTGACAGATAACACACATTGCGGCGCCTTGGTTTCCCCAAATCTGGTATTTATTACTAGAAAAGGAAGGAGCCGTGGCCATGCCAGAAGCCGCGGGTGAGGTGAACATTGCAAGGCACCGGGCTTCGCCTTCTGAGCTGCTCACTCCATACAGGTGGAGGCCCTGCTTGGGGCCTGTGTTGCTGGGGGCCTGCGCGCGGGACGTGGCTGTCCGTGTGAGCTCATTTATGGACACGTGCATGCTGTATGATGTACGCGTGTGTCGCATGTGGGCATGTATGTGTGCACACGTGTGTATTTATGAATGTGCACATGCCTGTGAGCGTTGTGTGTGATCGTTTTTAAGAGCCGGGCTACCTGTAACAGACAGAAAAAGACTCCTAGAGCCTTAAATGCCCATGAAACCTATTTATTGGCGACCCTTAGAAACAAAACCCAGGCTGACGTTTGAGTAGGAGGGCACTGGTGCCTTAAAGAATGTTAGGTTAGGTTAAAGATCTCCCGTCTCCAAATTGAACCGGAAGGGCATCCTGGCCATCCACTTAGCGATGTGAACTTTTGTCTAAGTGTTTCAGAACTGAAAACGCAAAGTGTTTGGGGCTCCAGCTATTTTGAACAGGCCCCTGCAATCCAGTGCCAAAATTTTGCTACCGGAAGAGATTACTTTGACCTGGTGTGATGTGTATTTAGATTACAAACTGATTATTTTTTTGGAAGGGAATAGGTTGCAGTCGGGACCAGTCTTGCTGAGTGCCTCTTTGCAGTGTCTTTAAGCTCTTTGAAGTTAAAACTTTGATAAGACTTTGCTTTTATGAGTGGCTGAGAACACCGTCTGGTTTGCTAGGTTTTTTGTGTGTGTTTTTAAAGCTGTCTTTCAATCCTAGGTTGTGGCTTTTCTTTTTTAATGTCTTCCTCTAAGAAGTGGTTGTGGTACATACATTGGTTTTTTTGTGTGTGACATTTATCTCCAAGACTATAGTTTTCTTTTTAAGTTCAGCTCCCACCCTACATTTCAGGCTGTGTGCTGCGCAGAGGGTCCTAGGAAATGTAGTTGTTTCTAGTAATCCATGTAAGCCTTGACATGCCAGCAAATTGTCGCCTATTCATGGAATCTCAGTCATTTATGGTCAGTTTCATGTGCTGTTTGTTACTCCTTTGTGTAGATTCCACCCACTAATAATTTCTATGGCTGTTGCTACAGTAAAGTCATCTCTTTAAGGGGATTCTTAATGTGTGAGCACGGGTGCATCACTTTATGCAGACAGTGGTGATTATTATTTTGGTTGGGCAGTGAGCTAAACCTGGAACAAAAATGTCTTTTATAGGAGAGCCTTTCTGTCAAGCAGAAATCCCTTTGACGAGATGAAGGAGCTAATCTATTCGTCTCAGCTCACCCCTGCACCGCCCCCCCTCCCCCCCGGCCCCAAGGCCATGGGCATTGAATTTACCAGCCGTGCAACCTTGGCCAGGATCCTTCTACCTCTCAGTGTTGTCCCTATTGCAGTGGAGGGGATGTAACCTACCTCACAGGCTTGTGTTGAGGATTACATAGGTAACATACGTGAGCTTCCAGCAGAGGTGCAGTAAATGCTGCTTTCTCCCTTATGGCCTCTCCGGCTTTTAACATTTATTTTTATAGAGGTATGCTAACTTAAAGCAAGACATGTTTTATAGATTGAATTATTTACATCTTGGCTATGAGCTTTTATGTGTTCTAAATTGGTTTTTGAATAGTTACTTGGAGCTGACAATTTTTTTGTTTCATCTTTGGAAAACTGGAAGATTCTGTGACCCTTAATGAGAGGATTATTATAAGGAGTAACCTTGGGCTGTCATTTCCGTATTTCAAAACAACCGTGGATTCTAGTTTTCCCTACATCCCTAGTGTCACTGCTAAGCTAATTTCGGCCCCATTCATTTAACTTTCGTTTCTGTGCTGCTTCAAAGCTAAGGCTGACGTTGATGAACCCTTTATTGCTTGGAGCAGGCAACTCAGATGAAATCTAGCATTTAAGTATTTTGCTTTCTTAGTTTCTAAATATTCCTGAAAAAGCAGCCCCATTAAAGCTGTCTGCATTCTTTTGTAAGCCTGTTGTATTTTGTTTTGAACTCTTTGAGCTTAGAGATTTTGTGTTTTTCTTTTAGAGATACAAATGTTAATTGCTTTTTAAATTCTTTATCCAATTTGAATTTTTATTTCTTGGCCTGGCAAGGTGGCTTACGCCTGTAGTCCCAGAAGTTTGGGAGGCCAAGATGGGCAGATCGCTTGAGCCCAGGAGTTCAACACCAGCCTGGGCAACACAGCAAAACCCTGTCTCTACAAAAAATACAAAAATTAGCCAGGAGTGGTGGCACACATTTGTAGTCCCTGCTACTGGGGAGGCTGAGGTGGGATGATTACCTGATCCCAGGAGGTAGAAGCTGTAGGTGAGGTATGATCATGCCACTGCACTCCAGCCTGGGTAACAGAATGAGACCCTGTCTCAAAAAAATTTTTTTAAATTTATTTTAACTGTATTTTCCGAAATAGTCATTATTTGCAATTCCTTATCCAAACCCTGTGTTTTTATTTAAAAATTCTTATTATTCTGAGGACTTCTAGAGGTGTAAAAGTAGGGGGAGTATAAAGTAGACATACCTGTGTTTTACTTCCAGAAAGAAAAATACTTCCAGTAGCCACACTGATGATAGGCTGAATTAGTTGTACTCTGCCTAGTGGCCGGTAATGCTGCTGCTTGCTGCTCCTGCAGTCGCCTGTTCCAGGGTGCCAACTGTGGGGGATAGTTGGCTTAGACTTTCCAATGCCTATTTTACGTAAATAAAAGACCATAGTTTTGGAAATAGTTAAATCCTTTGCAGTTTTTTCTTTTTGTCAGTGATAATAAATATGCTATGGTATGTGCACATGCTTATTCTTATTTTAAAAATAACAGCTTTATTGAAAGAGAATTCATATACTATATATACTTCACCCTTTTAAAGTGAAGTCAGTGGTTTTTAGTATAGTCACATAGCTGTGCAAGCACGACCACTGCCACTGAATGTTTCCATCACCCGAAAAAGAAACCCAGTGCCTATTAGCAGTCGCTCCCCATTCCCCCTCCCCCCAACCGTTGACCACCCCTTTTTGTCTCTATGGGTGTCTTTTTTGGACGTAGCATGTAAGGGGACCACACACCGTGTGGCCCTTTGTGACTGGCTTCCTTCACTCTGGTGATGTCAGGGCCCCTCCATGCTGTGGGTGTGTCAGCACTTCCTCCTCTTTCGCAACCGAGTGGCGTTCCCGTGTGAAGAGGCCAAGCTGTGCTCACGCGTTCTTCAGCGGGTGGACCTTGGGGTTGCTTCACATGCTTGCTTGTAGACTTTTGTCTTCATGGTTAATAGGCTCTTTATCTTCATCCCCGTGCACTGTGCCTGACACTTAGAGCATCCTCTGTGGACCGCTGGCGTACGTGTCGGTGCAGGGCTGTCCTGAGGGCTCCTGTTCCACCTGGTAGATTGCTAGGTGCGGTGTGCAGAGCTGTGTAGGTGTGGCCTCAGCCAGCCTGGGGAGCTGCAGGTGGAGGTGGCAGGGAACTCTGTGCTGTCAGTACAGAGCCTCTGGGCTGGTGCATTTGGTCAGCGACAGGTATGGGGGAGCAGGGCCTGGTGGGCAGGGGCCTGAGCTTCAGCTGTGAGGGCCCTGCTGTTTGTGTTTCAGCAACCTCAGGGTATGGATAATGAACTGCTTCATGGGGCTGATTTTTTTAAGGGGGTACTAAAAAAATGATGTTTTTAAAGTTTTTGGTGCAGGGGTGTGGTGGGGGTGGTGGTCTTCCTTTAGGGATATGTTCTGTGGAACAGTTCTGGAACTCTCTGTGGCTTGCATTGTGAGTACCTGAGGGTAAGCACTGTAGAAACTTCAGATAGACACAAATGCTGTGAATAAACCTGCTGAAAATGTCTGTCTAAAGATCAGCAACAGCTTTTGCTTTGTTGCTTTTTGTAAGCTGTTGAAAATCATTGCAGTTCAGAGGTGAAACATGGGATAGTTCATCGTCTGGTTATCAGGCAAAGTGGTTTCTCCCTTAGCCCTAAACTCTGGGCCTATTGCAGCCAAGAGTCATCTAGCATTCCATAAGAACGGACTCTCTCTGGAGCAGCTGTTGTCACTGATGGTTAAAGGAATAGCTGTGACCTAAAAGCACTGTTTTGTCTCCATCTTTAACACTCGTTCTCCTGGGCAGCTGGGAACCGCCTGGTCTATGAACTTGTCTGTGAACTAAGTCTTCTGGCTGTCTTTGTATACGTTGCTTTTTTTTTTATTGCATTACAGGAGATACAGGAAATAATATTCTAACTCATAGTGGATCTTTATTTTTATTTTTATTTTTTGGCCAGCTGTTACAGGTCTAAAACACTGTGCTGTTTCATAGTACAGTACAGTACATGATACGGGAATTGAGTCATGTGCTGCTTAAGGACACAGATACGTTCTGAGAAAAGCGTCCTCAGCTGATCTTGTTGTGTCAGCACCACAGAGTGTACTTGCACAAACATGGGTGGCAGAACCCGCTACACCCCTGGGCCACATTGTAGAGCCTGTTGCTCCTCGGCTATAAACCTGTGCAGTGTGTTACTGTACTGAATACTGTAGGCAGTTGTAACCCAGTGGTATTTGTGTATCTGAACACAGAATAGGTACAGTAAAAATGCATTATTAGAATCTTAGAGGATCCCTGGTCCGTGTGGTCTGTCAGTGGTGGAAGCATCCTTATGCAGTGCGTGACCGTGCTGGGATGCAGTTCTGATTGCTTTCTTGGTGGTAGTATTTTTGTTGATGCCATGATGGAGCTGCAGTAGCACTGCCATCTACTGTGTAATGGCTTGGATTATGTGGTACTTTAATTACTGTCCTTTGCCCTCACATTAAATGAAGGCCATTTACTTTGATATGAGCTAGTTCACACTTGCCTCATTTAGTTGAACACACATTTGAGTTTTGCTGTTTTCTACTGTGTTCTGGAGCACAGTTGTAGAAACTGGAAATTCTGTGTCATATTTGGGTATGATGAGTAATATGATGGTATCATTTGTTCAAGTGCGAAGATAATTGGAGATAAGCATCTGCGTTAGTCTTGTCACTGCAGGTGAAGCTTACCGTTTACTTAGGCTTTAGTTTACCCATTTTCTCTTTAGTCCTGTAAACTTCATCTACCTTTTGGTTTAACATGCTTTTCCAACAAATCTACATGAGTCTTAAAACTTCAGAGTCCAACTAGTAGAATAGAATAGTAAGAGGTACTTGCACTGGGGCATCTTTTTTTGTTGAATTGATGACGAAGAAATTTTTGTTATGCTAGGAAAAATTTCTACTTTAGTGTTCTCCCCCGCCCCCCACCTTAGAGGGATTAGATTTTAGAAAAAGATCCTTCTTTTTTTTTTTTTTTTTTTTTTTTTTGAAAAACTGCCAGTTGGAACAGTAGTTATCTTGTTAGTTTAAGTAAGAAGTGTAGCTGCAAGTTACTTAATTAGGGTACATTATTGAAGGGCTTTTGGTTTTGGACTTCAGTCTTAACATACTCAGTTTAGAAATTAGTTTTAGCAAGGTAATTTTTTTCTCCAGTCTCTGTAGATATTTTTATTGTAGAGAGACCTGACACATTGTAGAAACATTTCCTGTCAAAGGTAAAAAGAGATCATCCAGAATGAACAAAATACGTTAATTCTTAGCAGTTTCTGTTTTGTTCTGGGTTAAAAGACCTGAAGCTACTTAAAGTGAGAAGACAGAAGCAAGACAGAATTGCTCTTCTAGCAGCCGTGTGTCATGTCTGATCAGAGCATGATTAAGCAGGACAGGATTTCACATGTCGGCCACAAAGCCCTGGACCTGGCCGCTCACCCTGAGAGGGGCACTGTGGACCCCACCCGCCATTCACTACCCAGCTTGCCAGTGGGGTGGGTGCTTTGCAGGCTCACAGAAAAATCACTCGCCCTTGAAATGTCTTATCTGGGCCTGGACACCTCCTTAGTTTCTCTTGTGTTTCCTTTCTGTGTAAGGCTGGTCCCTCACCGCTGGTTTGATCACAGCCCTCTGTTTCCTCAGGGTCACTGGTAGGTCAGCGTTTGAACTTTGTGATTTCTGTCTCCCTCCTTCAGTCCAGTCTTTGACCTCTAGCCTCACCT
This sequence comes from Homo sapiens, assembly GCF_000001405.40. Lineage (NCBI taxonomy): Eukaryota > Metazoa > Chordata > Mammalia > Primates > Hominidae > Homo > Homo sapiens. The sequence continues at coordinate 2,411,914 of NW_021160017.1, forward strand.
GACCCATAAACCATAATGGTTCTCTGATTTGTATTTTCAACAAAACCCCGCCTTTAACACCACTCACCTCTACCAGCCAACAAAACCCCGGCTTTAACACCACTCATCTCTACCAGCCCCTCTTCTCTTGGTCGCTTCACCACCGAGGCCTCCCTGAGCAGCTAGCAGAAAAGGCCTTCCATCCCGCTGGGTGGTGCTGGTCCCTGCGAATAGGTTGCTGTGTGTCTTTCCAGACGTGTTTGTGCACATATATGTTCATACGTTCTTTCAAGAAACCATACACATGCTTAGATACACGTAAGATCTTACATACACGCTGTTCTTCATGCTGTAACATGGCCACGCTTCGTGAAGTCACTCCTGCTGTCTCTAGTTCCTCACTTTCAGTTATTCCTCAGCCTCCTGTGACCTGCCTTTTGCCTTGAACCTCTTTGACAAAAACAATTTTTACAGAAAAGTATTCAGCAGGTCTCTTCAGTGAAGAAAGATTTTAAATCGGTAATGTAACCAGAGGTAGGAAATGGAAAAGTGCCAGAGGCTGCTGCATGGAAAGTCCCTTCTCCCACAGATGGCAGGGAAGGGCACCCAGGACGTTTTAAGGGTCAGGCAAGGTTCTCCTTTCCCTGGGTATTGATAACTTTTATTTCACATGTAAAAAACATGTTTCTTACCCTCTTCCCAGCCATCCAGTTCCCCTCTTTGCAGACAGCACACTTCCTCTTAGAACCTTCCAGATAAACCATATGTATTTACAAGTAGGTACCTGATGTCCCACTGCACACACAGGTGCCTCCTGGTCTTCTCTTGGCAGTCTTTCCAGATGAGGCTTCTCTGTCAGTCCATAAAGAGCTTGTTCAGTGGCACAAATGTGTTTTTTAATCAGGCCCTGTTGATAACATTTTGTTCCATCGTATTATTACAAACCAGTGCAGTGTCATTTACATATTATATACATATCACCTACATGTTACAGACAACAGATGGGACCTTTCACATTCAGGTAAGTCTACCTGTGAAGTAGAAATCTGGAAGTGGAGTTGGGTCAAACGGTCTGTGCTTTTGTAATTATTTTACCTGTTGCCGAGATCTGCTTTTAGAATTCCCACAGCCATGTACAAGGCCTGTTTCCCTAACCTTTAACGAGCCCAGTGAGTTAGCCACTTGCTGGTTGCAGCCATTCAGTTAGGTGGAGACTTACCCTGGTGTGGTGTAGTTTTATCTTAGGAATGAGGTTGAATATTGTTTCAAGTAAACTATTTCATTGATATTTGGTGAGCTGTTTGTCTCCTTTGCTCATCTCTGTTGAGTTGTTGGTCTTTTCTTTTTTTAATTTTTACTTTATTTGAGACGGAGTCTCACTCTGTCACCCAGGCTGGAGTGCACTGGTGTGATCTCGGTTCACTGCAACCTTTGCCTCCCGGGTTCAAGCAATTCTCCTGCCTCAGCCACCCAAGTAGCTGGGATTACAGGCACGTGCCACCAAGCCTGGCTAATTTTTTTTTTTTTTTTTTTGTATTTTTAGTAGAGATGGGGTTTTGCCATGTTGACCAGGCTGGTCTCAAGCTCCTGACTTCAAGGGATCCACCCACCTCGGCCTCCCAAAGTGCTGGGATTCCAGGCGTGAGCCACTGCGCCTGGCTGGGTTCTTAGTTTTTAGAAACTCCATAAGTTTCAAGGAATCATCTTTAGTAGGAATTGCATGTATTTGTTTTCTGGGTTTTTAATCTTGTCTTTTGACTTTGCCATGCAATTATTTTCTTTTCTTTTTTTTTTAAATGCTATATTTATCAGTCCTTTTTGGTGTGGCTTCTGGGTTTCGTGTCATAATTCATAATGTATAATGCGTTTCTCATCATACGTATTGTACATATGCATGTATTGTGCATACATAATACACATGATGCCCCGTACATTCTAAAGACAGCCCCCTGCAGTGTCGCCTGGTATGGAACTTGTGTCATTCTCTTTTTATATCAGACGGATCCATCTGGAATTGATTTGGTATAAGGTACAAAGTTAGTTTTATATTTTCCAGATGACAGCCCATTTGTCCCAGTGCCATCTGTTAAATAGCCTCTGCTCTCCCTCCCAGATCTGAGCTGTCTCTCGTTTACTCCCACATCTATTTGGGTTCACTTCTGGACCCTGCGTTCTGCTTCATGGATGTCTCCATCCAGATGACCTCATGTTGGCCAGGTTCGTTGGATACTCTTGGTTTTGTTTCTTACCTCTCATTTGTTCTTGTGGGTTTCCTACACAGAGGAATCCCCAGGAAGGGTTTTTTTGGGGGGGGTTTGTTTGGAATAAATATGGCTGCGAGGCGCCTGCTCCGGATGGTGGCTTCTGCAGCCTGGGTGTGCCGGGCCGGCTGGGATCTCGCTGCCTCCGCCAGTTCTGGCACTGCTGGTTTTCCTCTTCTCTGGACATTTGTTTTCAGTTTCTCCTCTGCTTTCCTGCACTTTTGATGATATTATTCCTCAGACTTCTCTCCTTTTTCTTCTTTCTTTTTGCTTTATAATTCGTGACCTTTTTAGCTGTGGTTTTGCCAGTCTCACTGATGAGTCCAAAAAACCTAAAGGCTCAACCAGACCTCCAGCTGCCCCTGAAGGTTCCCAGTAGCTCAGTGTGGCAAAGGCGGGTTTCTGTCTTCCAACGTGCCATGGTTCCCATGTTTCCCCCAAAGTTTGCATCTTAGAAACTTAATCCCCAGTGCAGCAGTGTTGGGATGTGGGTAGGTCACGAGGGCTCTGCCACTGCCATTACAATGAGGTAATATCCTTGTCACCTGAGAGTGGTTTTTGTGAAGGCCGGTGTGGGGCTCCTCTTGCTGGCTTGCTCTCTGGCTCTCTCGCCCTTTCCCCTTCTGCCTTCCACCATGGGATGTCCCAGCAGGAAGGCCCTCAGCAGATGCAGGCTCTTACTGTTGGACTTTGCAGCCTCCAGAACTGTAAGAAATACATTTCTTTTCTTTATAAATTACCTGCTCTGTGGTATTCTGTTACAGGAACACAAAACAGACCAAGACACTAACCCTGACCTGCTCTGTCCTTCCCTTCTAATCCCCTCCAGCCAGAGGCCGAGGCCTGTCATAGAGATGCCCTTTTTTATCCCCTCCAGCTGGTTTATGACCAAGTCCTAAATATCTTTAGATTTGTCTCCAGTGACACCGTTACAGCCCCGGTTCAGTGTTCCCTCAGGGTTTCCCTTTCTTTCCCCCTGTACTTTCCTTTCTTCCTCTCCTTCCTTTCCCCTCCCACTTCCCCTTTCTCCCCCGTTTCTCTCCCTACCACACTTGCCATGGTGGTCACATACATGGCACACTTCTCTGGACGTAGGCTTAGATTTGAGGCAGTATGCCAGGGAAGCAGGACATAGATTAGAATAGTCTTCAGGAAACCAGCATGGCCCCAGCCTAGCCTAACTCCACTTTGCTTCTGATCAGAAATCCGTGTTAGAATGCAAGTCAGTTGATGTCATTGTGTAAAGTCTACAAGAAACAACTTCGTAGCTGCTCCATTTTATTTTCTGATTAAATAGTTTAGAAGCATTGGTACCTTAACTCTTTTTAGAAATAACACTAATGTGCCCAACTCTGATCATGACCTAGGTCTAGCCTCATTAACATTCTAGTCTCCTGGCCTGGGTCTGCCCACTGTAACCCTTTTTGGTCTCCCTGGCCTGGGTCTGCTTCCATAACCCCCTCTGGTCTCACTGGCCCCCTCTTAGTCTCTAACATCAGTTCCCTTGTGTCACTGGAATGGTCCTGGTCAAATGCATGCAGGAGCCTCATTTCTGGCTTACGGGTCTTAGCATGATGTGCCATGGCCTTTGTGATCTGCCCCCTGCCTGTCCGTACACACCTCTGTCTGTGGGCGCAGTTCCTCCTACTCACTGTGTTTTCTCTCTCCTGTGTCCTTGGAGAGGCTGTTTTCTCAGACTGGACACTGGTTACCTGTGATACCCCCATCCCCATTATTGGTTCGTAGATACCAGTCATTTTGTTGTTGCATCCTTATCCTAGACCTTATGTGCTGTGTTCTATTTCTGCCCAAGACTTTGACTTTGGCAGAGACTGACTTTTTAAATCACTAGAGCCTAGCAGTTCCTACCACCTACTAGGGGCTCACCTGTAGAGCATCTGTTAAACCTAGGGGCAGGAGGTGTTGGGTGGATGAAAAGCCGCCATAATACAAGTGCTTTTTTCCCTTTTGGTTTTTCTTTTCAATGGCCACAGTAGTAACTCCTGTTACCAACTCATACTTTTTATCTTTTTAATTTTTGCTTTTATCCAATGACTACCTCTCATATATTATGTAGCTGTAGATTCTGGTGAAGTTTAACTTGAATTTTAACATTTGTATTCTACTTTCTTATTTTTATTTATTTATTTTTTTGAGACACTGTCTCGCTCTGTCGCCCAGGCTGGAGTGCAGTGGCGCGATCTCGGCTCACTGCAAGCTCCGCCTCCCAGGTTCACGCCATTCTCCTGCCTCAGCCTCCCGAGTAGCTGGGACTACATGTGCCTGCCACCACGGCAGGCTAATTTTTTGTATTTTTAGTAGAGACAAGGTTTCACTGTATTAGCCAGGATGGTCTCGATCTCCTGACCTTGTGATCCGCCTGCCTCAGCCTCCCAAAGCGCTGGGATTACAGGCGTGAGCCACCGTGCCTGGCCCTACTTTCTTATTTTTAACTTTATATTTTTCAAAAGCTGGCATGCAAGGCCAGGTGTGCACTGGCTCACACCTGTAACCCCAGCACTTTGGGAGGCCAAGGCAGGTGGATCACTTGAGGCCAGGAGTTCAAGACCAGCCTGGCAACAGGGCAAAACCCCATCTCTATTTTTAAAAAAAAGAAAAAGAAGAAGAAAAAACTGGCCTACAAAAGCTTTCATTGGGAAAAACTCTCTGACATGAGAGTTGGGCTTTAGGTTACCTGGGTTGCATGCATACAAGGTTGTGAATGCGTTAGCTGAGAGCTAGGAAGAAGCTGCGTGGCATCATGATGCTTTGGTGGCCTCGTCTCCTGTGGAGGCATGTGTGTGGATGAGTTGATTTCCATGGAGTAACATTTTTAGTTCTGCATGTAAGTTTGTCTGGATTATATTTATTTAATGCTTTTAAAACTTTAAATCATGGTAAGCCTCGATGTTTTAGTTTGCTACGTAATGTCTGTTTTAGTTTGCTACATAGTGTCAATAAATTGAAAAAGTGTTACTCATTCTAATTAAGGTTTCATTTGTATTTCTTTTATACTTTCAACAGTGACATTAGATTAACTCTTAAGAAGGGAGCATTATGGAATCATTTGTTTAATTATTTGGGACATTTGCATAAAAGCATCAATAGAATTACCAGAAAGAAATTATATCCTTAGGTTTTTTTTTTTTTTTGAGACGGAGTCTCGCATTGTCACCCAGGCTAGAGTGCAATGGTGCAATCTCAGCTCACTGCAACCTCTGTCTCCCGGGTTCAAGCGACTCTCCTGCCTCAGCCTCCTGAGTAGCTGGGATTACAGGCACCTGCCACCACACCCGGCTAATTTTTGTATTTTTAGTAGAGACAGGGTTTCACCATGTTGGTCAGGGTGGTCTTGAACTCCTGACCTCAGGTGATCTGCTCGCCTCGGCCTCCCACAGTGCTGGGATTCCAGGTGTGAGGCACCACGCCCAGCCTATCCTTAGGTTTCTTACTGACTCTGATTAAAACATGTATATATAGGAACTAGTGCTAGAAGGATTATAGTCTAGACTTGAAAAAAGATTAAACTGTTTGAAATAGGAAGAGATTTAGTGTATGGGGAAGAGGAACAACCCTCACCCCTACTCTGTTTTGGGCATTTTAATAAAATTTAGAAGCCTGAGAATAATACTAACAACCTAGTTATTAGTAAAATTAGTAAAATTGGCCAGGCGCTATGGCTCACACCTGTAATCCCAGCACTTTGGGAGGCCGAGGCAGGCAGATCACAAAGTCAGGAATTTGAGTCCAGCCTGACCAATATGGTGAAACCCCATCTCTACTAAAAATACAAAAATTAGCCGCGCGTGGTGGCGGGCGCCTGTAATCCCAGCTACTCAGGAGGCTGAGGCAGGAGAATCGTTTGAACCCGGGAGGCAGAGGTTGCAGTGAGCCAAGATGGCGCCACTGCACTCCAACCTGGGCAACAGCAAGACTCCGTCTCAAAAAAAAAAAAAAAATTAGTAAAATTAATGAGATACTTTGAAAGCACGGAGTATTTAGGTTGTATGGGAAGGACTGTGTGGTGTGTAAACTCCACCCGGACACAAATAGATACTCACAGAACTTGCACGCCACCTCTGGGAGATTCTCCTGACTCCAGGTTCCTGGTAGAGTATCTTTCATATGTGAGAACTCAGGCTATTTTCCAGTCGGTTCCTGCCTTCACTGCACCCCGACTCCCGGGCCTTTTTTCTATTCTTTTCCTCGATTCTGTTTCTTTTCCACCACTGATCAGTTTCGCCTATTCTAAAACTTCATTTAAGCAGAATCATGGAATTCCTGTTGGCTGCGTGATTTTAGTGGCTGGTCTAGGGATGACAGTGTAGATTCTGAACTTTCCACATTGCATTGTGCCACACGTCGTGCAGTGTGTCATTTCTCAAAGCACTTATATGTGTGGGTTGTTTTTTAAATAGGTGGAAGGCTTTTAAACCAGCATACCATTAATATTGTATTGAGGAAGTTAATTTATCAATGTTATTTTTCCTTTTACAATTGCTAATAAAGATATGAGGTGAGGAGCAGCAGGCTACAGAGAGGAGTGATGCCTGGGGGCGTGTCAGTGTTTTAGGCACGTGCAGTGATCGGCAGCAGACTTGGGAGCAATGCGGTGGAGGCGTGTCATTGTTCCCCAGGTGTGATGCGATGAGGGGCAGCAGGCTCGGGGATGCGGTGGAGGCATGTCGGTGTTACCCAGGTGTGATGTGGTGAGGGGCAGCAGTCTCAGGGGGATGCGGTGGGGGCGTGTCGGTGTTACCTAGGTGTGATGCGGTGAGGGGCAGCAGGCTCAGGGGGATGCGATGGAGGCGTGTCATTGTTCCCCAGGTGTGATGCGGTGAGGGGCAGCAGGCTCAGGGGGATGCGGTGGGGGCATGTCGGTGTTACCCAGGTGTGATGCGGTGAGGGGCAGCAGGCTCAGGGGGATGCGGTGGGGGCGTGTCAGTGTTCTGCAGGTGTGTGCGGTGAGGGGCAGCAGGCTCAGGGGGATGCGGTGGGGGCATGTCGGTGTTACCCAGGTGTGATGCAGTGAGGGGCAGCAGGCTCAGGGGGATGCGGTGGGGGCGTGTCAGTGTTCTTCAGGTGTGTGCGGTGAGGGGCAGCAGACTCAGGGGAGCCATGTGGTGGAGGCATGTGAGTGTTCCCCAGGTGTGTGTGGTGAGGGGCAGCAGGCTGCAGGGGGATGCGGTGGGGGTGTGTCGGTGTTCCCCAGGTGCAGGAGGCTGCTCTGAGGGTGTCGCATGTATTTCATTTAATCCTCATAACAGCTCCATGAGTTAGGTTCTATTTTTGTCCCCATTTTAGCAATAAGAAAACAGACACAGAGAGGTTAAGTATAAATAATTTGACAAAGATGACATCAGTGAGTGGCTATTTTTATTATGTGAAGTTAAAATTGTTTATGTGTTGACTTAATCATTTAAAGTGAGAGGAAGAACCTGAGGAATATGAAATGAGACGAGGAAGAGAGCCCCAGACTCTGCGGCTGGTAGAAGTAGGGAGTGTGACCTCATCCCCGGCTTCTTCCAGCTCTGCTGATGCCCGGGGCTGCCCCAAGTGCGCGGCCGGCCCTGGGCGGGATCCATGTTCTTGGTGACAAAGCTCCTCTCCCTGCCTTCGCCCCAGCGGCTCGTTTTTATTCATTCAGCACAGAGTGTGTAACTGATAGTCCTCAGTACCGCAGTCTAATATTTTGTTGGGGTTCCTTTTTTTCTTTTCATTTAAGGGTAAAACCTACATTTAGTGAAATGCACATATTTTAAGTGTGTCATCTGAGTGTTTTCACCAGTTCAGTTTTTTTTGGTTTAGTTTTTTTTTTTTTTTTGAGATGGAGTCTCGCTCTGTCAGGCTAGAGTGCAATGCAGCGATCTTGGCTCACTGCAACCTCTGCCTCCCAGGTTCAAGCAATTCTCCTGCGTCAGCCTCCTGAGTAGCTGGGATTAGAGGCACGCACCACCATGCCCTGCTAATTTTTGTATTTTTATTAGAGACAAGGTTTCACCGTGTTGGTCAGGCTGGTCTCAAACTCCTGACCTTGTGATCTGCCCTCCTCAGCCTCGCAAAGTGCTGGGATTACAGGCGTGAGCCACTATGCCCGGCCACCACTTCAGTTTTGACAGAAGCAATAAGCCTTGATGGGGTTTTGTGCGGTATGACCATTGCCCAGAGAATTCCCTCCCACCATTTTCCAGTCAGTTCCCACCTTCTCCCACCCCCAACCCCCAGGCCTTAAAAACTCTTTCTCCCTCTGTTCTGTTTCTTTTCCACCATTGATTAGTTTTGCCATTTCTAAAACTTCATTTAAGCAGATTCATGGAATTCCATTTTTTATCTGTTGGCTTCCTTTGTTGCATGATTTTAGTGGCTGGTCTGGAGATGACACTGTAGATACTGAACTTTCCACAGTCTGCTTAGAGTTAATACTGTACCCCGCCTTGTGCAGTGTAAGAAGCTGGTCACTGTCTTGCAACCAGGTGCCTTCCCGGTCCTTGCTGTGGCAAGTGTACATATTACATCTATGCTATAGACATCACAATATATATAGTATTGTTGTTTGCTTCAGTATGAATGTACCTTTAAAAAAATTACGAGGAAAATATTGTCTTTTATATATACTCACATATTTACCTTTTTTCCCCCAACCCCTAAGAGTGGGGGGACTCTTGCCTCACCTCCCTCTTCTCTCACTCCTTGTGCCCACTGCCCCCTTGGTGTCCTCTCTGGTTGACTCCAGCTGCCCCTCCCTCCACAGGGCCTGCAGCGTCTCCAGGTCCCTGACCCTTGGGTGGCATCCCCTGCCTCTTCCTCAGGGCCCTGCAAACCTCTCCTCTCATTTCACCAGGAGCTCCTTTTCTTCCCATATTTGTGTAAATGAATTCACATATTTTGACTTAATTGTCTCAGAATGGCCCAATTTGGAGTTGGACTTTTCTGATGCTCATAAAATTCAGGAGGTGGTTTTTAATCAGTTAGTTCTGCTACGGCTGCCTCCTCAGAGAAGGGAACAGTTTCTTGTTCTTCTATTTTTTGTTTTTTAATGTTGTTGCTGAGGACAATTTAATTTGATCTCTGAATCATCCATGTATCCATCCATGCACCACCCCCACACCCATCCTATCCACACACCCCCATACCCATCCTATCCACCCACCCACCATCCCCCATCCTATCCACCCACCCATCATCCACTATCCTATCCACCCACCTGTCTATCCACCATCCACCACTCCCACACCCATCCTATCCACCCACCTACCCATCCACCCACCCACCTATCCTATTCATCCACCCACCCACCCTGTCTATCCACCCACCCACCCACACTGTCCATCCACCCAACCACCCATCCACCCACCCACCCATCCACCCACCCACCTATCCTATCATCCATCCACCCACCCACCTATCCTATTCATCCATCCACTCACCCACCCTGTCTATCCACCCACACTGTCCATCCACCCACCCACCCATCCACCCACCCACCTATCCTATCATCCATCCACTCACCCACCCTGTCTATCTACCCACCCACCCACACTGTCCATCCACCCACCCACCTATCCTATCCTGTCATCCATCCACCCACCCACCCACCTATCCTATTCATCCATCCACCCACCCACCCTATCTACCCACCCACACACCCACACTATCCACCCACCCTATCTACCCACCCAATCTATCCACCCACCCACCCTATCTATCCACCCACCCACCTATCCTATTCATCCATCCACCCACCTACCCACCCAATTTATCCACCCACCCACCCACCCTATCTTTCCACCCATCCACCTATCCTATTCATCCATCCACCCACACTATCCACCCACCCATCCACCCACTCACCTATCCTATTCATCCACCCACCCACCCACCCAATCTATCCACCCACCTGCCCACCCTATCTATCCACCCACCCACCCTATCTATCCACCCATCCACCTATCCTATTCATCCATCCACCCACGCACCCACCCTATCTATCCACCCATCCACCCACCCACCCACCCAATCTATCCACCCACCTGCCCACCCTATCTATCCACCCACCCACCCTATCTATCCACCCACCCACCCTATCTATCCACCCATCCACCTATCCTATTCATCCATCCACCCACGCACCCACCCTATCTATCCACCCATCCACCCACACTATCCACCCACCCACCCACCCACTCACCTATCCTATTCATCCATCCACCCACCCACCCACCCAATCTATCCACCCACCTGCCCACCCTATCTATCCACCCACCCACCCTATCTATCCACCCACCCACCCTATCTATCCACCCATCCACACACCCACCCACACTATCCATCCACCCACCCACCCACCCACCCTATTCACCCACCCCCCACCCACACTATTCATCCCCCCACCCACACTATCCACCCACCCACCAATTCTATCCATCTACCCATCCATTCTACCTATCCACCCACTCCACCCGTCCATCCATTTATCCATCCTTCCATTCATGCACCCACTCATCCGTCATCCATCCCTGCTTCCATCGTTTCATCCACACATCCATCCATCCATCCATCCATCCATTCTTGTGTTGGGTGCTCCATCTTAAAGTTATCAGAAGTGTTTCTGTCCGAAACTGCAGTTGCAGTGGAGAGGTTTTCAGCCCAAGCTTTTTATTCTTTTTGGACTCCCAGTAGACACTGATGAGTTTTCAGGGTCAAAGAGGAACATTTTAACAATGGTGTTAGCTGATCATTGTTTGTTTGTTTTTTATTTTGAGACAGAGTCTCGCTCTGTCTCCCAGGCTGGAGTGCAATGGCACAATCTCGGCTCATTGCAACCTCCGCTTCCTGGGTTCAGACGATTCTCCTGCCTCAGCCTCCCGAGTAGCTGGGATTACAGGCGCCCACCACCGCACCCAGCTAATTTTTGTATTTTTAGTAGAGACAGGATTTCACCATGGTGGCCAGGATGGCTTCGAACTCCTGACCTTAGGTGATCCGCCCGCTTCAGCCTCCCAAAGTGCTGGGATGACAGGCATGAGCCACCGCCCCTGGCCTGATAATTTTCTTTCTTTCATGATTGGCTCGTTCATGCTCTAAACTTAAGACTGGTCGAGGAAGTAGTACGTCTCTGTATTTTCAGTTGCTAGCACTAGTAGCCTACCAGGACTTTGGAGTTTATAAATATCTGTTTAGCAGACGGTTGATCTGGGCAAAACTTTTGTAGGCAGTGATAATTTTTCCTTTTCTTGAAATATGTTTAGAAAATGGAAATCCTATTTGAAAGCATGTTTCTTACATAGAAGGAAGTAATCTAGTTTTGTGCTACATGCGTTCCTTTTTCTAATGTAGCTTATGATGCATGATTGCTCCTTCATCACCTATCTCCCAAAGACTAAATACTTTCTATTTTGCTGAATGTCTAAGGATATTTGAGATGCTTATGAGGAGGTCTTTTCTGGCATGAGGTTTGACCTAACAGCGCTGCAGAGAATATATGGTAATTGTTACGGTTTTAGCATGACCAAAGAGAATTTTCTTTTTTCTTTCTTTTTTTTTTTGAGATGGAGTCTCGTTGCCCAGGCTGGAGTGCAGTGGCGTGATCTCAGCTCACTGCAACCTCTGCCGCCTGGGTTCAAGTGGTTCTCCTAACTCAGCCTCCCGAGTAGCTGGGACTACAGGCGCCCACCACCACGCCCAGATAATATTTTGTATTTTTGGTAAAGATGGGGTTTCACCGTGTTAGCCAGGATGGTCTCGATCTCCTGACCTCTTGATCCGCCCACCTCGGCCTCCCAAAGTGCTGGGATTACAGGTATGAGCCACCATGCCTGGCTGACCAAAGAGAATTTTCTCTGCATCTGAAGCATATAACTGCAAACCGATTTGTTTGTGGTTGTTAAATAAAGAGGACCAATCTTTTGTTTGTTTATATGCACTGTTTCCTTTCTCGCCCTAGTTGCATGAGAAACAGAAGCTTCTTAGATTGATCAGTTGCCTCCTTTTGTTGCATTTGAGCGTTGAGAACAAGGACCATGAGTTTTCTCCTCCATTGTGGTTTTAGTTCTAACATCTGGCACATAGTATTTAGTAAAGATTTGTGGAATAAGTGAGATAGGGTATTGGGGAAGATCATAAGAAAAACAAAAGATGAATTATTTATTTATAAATTTATTGTTAGGTCTATTCCAAAACTGACTTAGAAAGACAAAATTCTTTCCTGCTATAAAATATTTGTAAGAACTGTGTTGGGTTGGAGTTTGGGATTCACTTTTCCCATTGCAGATGCTTAAAAACCTCAGACTTTTCTTGTTGGGTTTCTTTTTGGGGAGGACTTTATTAGGGATACCATTTATAGTAGAAATTTGGAAGACTGTAAAAACCACTTAATATTCCCGAAAGATGGAAGGTTGTTTCTGGAAGCTGTTAGGTTTTGTTAAGGCAGAGATAATACATTTTCTTTTCTTTTTTGAGACGGAGTCTTTCGCCCAGACTGGAGTGCAGTGGTGTGATCTCGGCTCACTGCAACCTCTGCCTCCTAGGTTCAAGCGATTCTCCTGCCTCAGCCTCCCCAAGTAGCCAGGACTATAGGCGTGTGCCACCGTGCCCAGCTACTTTTTGTGTTTAGTGGAGACAGGGTTTCACCACGTTGGCCAGGCTGGTCTCGAACTTCTGACCTCACGTGATCCCCCCGCCTTGGCCTCCCAAAGTGCTGTGATTACAGGTGTGAGCCACCATGCCTGGCCAGTAATACATCTTTAGAGAGATCATTTTCCTTGGAACATAACTGAAAATGGTAGGATGAAAAGATGTGTAAAATGTAACTGAAGGTGGAAAAATCTTGCTCTGAATCTCTCACTTTCGTTTGAGTTAAATATTATTTTTATTCTTGAAGGAAGTTCTGGGAGTTTGTAGAAGTAGCCAGAAAATATCTTTAGAATATAGTGCTCTATGCAATATCCTGAGCCTTTTTTTTCTTTTTTTCTTTTTTTTTTTTTGAGACAAGAGTCTCTCGCTCTGTCGCCCAGGCTGAAGTGCAATGGTGCGATCTCAGCTCACTACAAGCTCCATCTCCTGGGTTCACGCCATTCTCCTGCCTCAGCCTCCTGAGTAGCTGGGACTACAGGCGCACACCACCACACCCAGCTAATTTTTGTTGTATTTTTTAGTAGAGACAGGATTTCTCCATGTTAGCCAGGATGATCTCGATCTCCTGACCTCATGATCCACCTGCCTCGGCCTCCCAAAGCGCTGGGATTACAGGCGTGAGCCACCGTGCCTGGCCTATCCTGAGACATTTTTGACAGTGCTGCAAACTATTACTATTTTTTCAGGTAGAAATATTTTATTTTATGTTGGAGATGGGATCTCGCTTTGTTGCCAAGGTTGGTCTTGAACTCCTGGCTTCAAGTGGTCCTTCTGGCTTGGCCTCTCAAAATGCTGGGATTACAAGGCATGAACCACAGTGCCTGGCCTGGAAATAATTTTTACTATAGATTCTTTCCTCTTTAAATTAATATTATGGGTTATGAAGCTCCTTTTGTATAATAATATCCAATATATGTTGTCAACCAGGGTATTGCTTTGCTTTTTCTTTAAAAAGGAGAAAACATGTAAGGTAGAGGAAGTGTAGTTTACTCTTAGGCATTCAGACAGTTTTTATTATTGGTGTCGTAGAAAACCCCAGACCATTTGCTGAGACCAAAAACTGTATTTTTAAAATTTTAACACTTAATTTTTCTCCTGTGGCTTGTGTGAAGTTTTTAGGTGTAAAGCGTGAACAAGTAAGAGATTCATTTAACAAAACATTATTTTAGGAAACAAATATGAAAAAGCATTAAAACCATTCTTTTTTCTCTCCTAGCATTTTTGAAACATTGGGGTTGTTGGAGTGGTTGGATTTTCCCTGGAATTGAGTGAGAAATTCAGAAGACTGAAGCCCAGGCTTACTGTCTACCTTTCACGGAGGCCTAGCCGTGAGAGGACAGAAGAAGGCATGTGGCGAATCATGACAGCAGACAAAGACAAAGAGAAGGACCGGGACTGAGACTGGGACTGAGAGAGAGAGAAAAGAGACAAAGCAAGAGAGAGTGAGAATTCAAGGCCACGCCGGAGCTGTACCTTGGAAGGAGGAGCCAAAAATTATGCTGAGAGTGATCACAGTGAAGACGAGGACAATGACAACAATAGTGCCACCACAGAGGAGTCCACGAAGAAGAACAAGAAGAAACCACCGAAGAAAACGTCTCGTTATGAAAGGACAGATACCGGCGAGATAACATCCTACATCACTGAAGATGATGTTGTCTACAGACCAGGAGGTAAGGAGCCTTACATTTGGGTCTTGCCAGTGTTTACAATGGGGGAATGATCTTAGCATTAAGGTGAAATAAATACACTTTGTACACTTTAAGGAAGGCTTGGAATCTAGAAGAGTAGGAAACTTAATTTGGTAAACATGTGACCCACTTTTGGTCAGTTAGGTTTACCCACTTCTTGCTTGTGTCTGCCTTAATTTGGTCTTGTGTCCTGGTTTATGCATTCATGAGTTCTTTTCTTATTTTCCTATGCTGCTTGTTCTCTAACTTGACCATCTGCTTAGTATTTTTTTGTCTTTTGAATTCATGCTTGGTTTTTAATCTTCAATCATAAATGAGACTGTGGTGACCCTGCAGAATTGACTGCTTGGTGGAGACAAGTAAACCTTAAGATTCTTGGAAACAGGAAATTTTACCTTGGGACAGGATCGACCAGACTCTAGAGAGGTACTTTTTAAAAATGGCCTTTAGGCCAGGCATGGTAGCTCACACCTGCAATTCTAGCACTTTGGGAGGCTGAGGTGGGTGGATGACCTGAGGTCAGGAGTTCGAGACCAGCCTGACCAACATGATGAAACCCTGTCTCTACTAAAAATACAAAAATTAGCTGGGCTCGGTGGTGTGCACCTCTAATCCCAGCTACTTGGGAGGCTGAGACAGGAGAATTGCTTGAACCCAGGAGTTGGAGGTTGCAGTGAGCCGAGATCACGCCACTGCGCTCCAGCCTGGGCGACAGAGCGAGTCTCTGTCTCAAAAAAGAAAAAAAAAAAGGCCTGAAGATCAGAGATTTATTGCTCCTGCTAACTTCCTTTTCCAAAAATTTGAGCTTCAGGCTGTCTAATCAACGATAATAGAAGAAGTCATCTAACCTGCTTGGTTTTCCGGAAAATGTATTATGGTCATGCCAGTATATTGTGGCTTACAGCATTGCTCAAAAAAAGACAGACTCAACTTTTAGATGAGATCAGGGAAACAAGTGAGTCAAAACCTGTTGAACACTAGCAAAGCCTTTCCTTTTCATTTGATGTATTGTGTGTATTAAGACACCTTTTTTAGGCTGGGCACAGTGTAATCCCAGCACTTTGGGAGGCGGAGACAGAAGGATTGCTTGAGCCCAGGAGTTCAAGACCAGCCTGGGTAACATGGTGAGACCTCATCTCTACAAAAAATTTTTACAAATTAGCTGGGCCTGGTGGCATACACCTGTAGTCCTAGCTACTCAGGAGGCTGAGGCAGGAGCATCACTTGAGTCTGGGAGGTCGAGGCTGTAGTGAGCCATGATTGCACCACTGCATTCTAGCCTGGGCGACAGAGCAAGACCCTGTCTCAAAAGAAAAAAAAAAAAAAAAACAAGATATTTTCTTACAGAAGCCAGTAAAACCTAGGTGAAATCATTTTGTTTGAGTTACTTTTACTGTTGAAGAGTGACATGAATTTCATATGAGATGTAATTAGCAGATTAAAGCTGCCCATTTTTATGTTTTTCTGAGAAAGAGATTAAAATGCTTTACTGTGTTATGTCCATAATCTGGAACAATCATTTTACTGAGGAATGCTGTTACTGTTCTGAACTTCACATCAAGTTCCAGATTTTCATTCTCCCACACAGGAGTTTTTTAAATTTCAAAAGATGTCAGTGGGGCTGAGCGCAGTGGCTCATGACTGTAATCCCAGCACTTTGAGAGGCTGAGGTGGCGGGAGGATTGCTTGAGCAATGTGGAGACCTGCCTGGGCAACATAGTGAGACCGTATCTCTACAAAACAGTAAAAAATTAGCTGGGAGTGTGATGAGACTGTAGTCCCGGCTACTCAGGAGGCTGAGGTAGAAGAATCTCTTGAGCTCAGGAGGGCAAGGCTGCAGTAAGCCCCATTCACATTATAGCACTCCAGCCTGTGCAGCAGAGCAAAACCCTATCTCCACCCCTCTCCCCCCCACACACAAAAAAGTCAGTGCTAGAACTTAATACAGACAAATTTGCATTCACAACTACAATTTCTTGGTTGAAGATTAACTGAGAAGGTATTCGTGTGATATAAATTGATCAGAGTGGAGGTTTTAGAGCAGTTAAAAATCTGCTGTGAGGATTAAATGATGTGTGTAGGTTACAGTACTGTCTGTATTTATCTTTGATTTAGACTCAGCTATTGGGCAGTAAGAATTTCTTAGTGACTGAAGAATCAGAGTTACCACAGATTGCTTGTTTAGGGCGTATGCACATCTAAATCATGGGAAAGGAACAAAATATGTTAACTCTTTTTTTTTATTATTATACTTTAAGTTTTAGGGTACATGTGCACAATGTGCAGGTTTGTTACATATGTATCCATGTGCCATGTTGGTATGCTGCACCCATTAACTCGTCATTTAGCACTAGGTAGATCAGCACTTTGGGAGGCCGAGGCAGGGGGATAGTTTGAGCCCAAGAGTTTGAGACTAGCCTGGGCAACATAGTGAGGCCCTGTCTATGCAAAATGAATGAATGAATGAGGCATTATGGTCACTCTTACTAGATTTGATTGACTGTGCCTTTACTTTTCAATAAATAATACATAGACTTTCCTGACCTAAGCTTTATGATGATCTCAGGTTGTGATATGGGGGTAGGAGGAGGTTAACTCTCTCTATAGCCACTGCTTTCCTTAAAATCATTGCTTTTTATTTAAGTGTCTTAACATGGCATTTTAAAAAGCAACCTTGGCCAAGCATGGTGGCTCATGCCTGTAATCCTGACACTTTGGGTGGCTGAGGTGGGAGGATTGCTTGAGCCCAGGAGTTGGAGACCAGCCAAAAAAAAAAAAAAAAAAAGCAATGCTTTACACTCCAGTCATTGAGAGAATCAAAAATTATCTTCCAACCACTGCCATGTCAAATGTAATTTAAGAAAGCACCCTTCTTCCCTGAAGAAAATGCAGTTTGGTTTACTTTATTCCATCTCTGATTAGTGGCATTGGTTTTGTTTACAATTAGAAAATAAAATGTGTTTAGAGTACAATTTAATGGCAAATTGTCTATAAGAGATTAGTTTTCTTTCTCTTTTTGATTAGCTGAAAAGGTCATTGTAGTAGCATGTTCAAGCTAGTCATCTTTGCGTATTTATTTCCTCACAAAATATTTATTACAAATATAGTAGCACGTTTCTCTTTTTTGAAGACATGTGAGCATCTATCTGAATAAGATACTCAAGATTTCATCTTGATGTGTGATCTTGAGCAAGCGGTTTCTTTTATCTAAATGTCTTCATCTGAATATAGATAATCCCTTGGAATCCTCCCCTTCTTCAGGGACTCTGAAGAAAATAATTTAGGCTTCATCAGATTCTTTAAATTATTAGAAAAATAATCAGAAAGAACCAAAGGGCTGTTTTCCTTTAGCCTAAAGATGTTTGCAATTTAATATCATCTTTTGGAAAAAAATTTACAATAAAAGATATATGCTTTGTCATTTATGCAGTGGCTTTATGGGCCCTGTCTTTGTTCCTTAAAGGTAAATTCCATTGTGTTAAAATTTCTTTTTCTTTTAAAGACTGTGTGTATATCGAGAGTTGGAGGCCAAACACACTGTATTTCATCTGTAGCATTCAAGACTTCAAACTGGTAAGCATTTTTAATGTGCTGTTCGCTCTGCTCTGTATTCTCTCTTTTTCCAGTTCCATTGGCTATCTCTTATTGTTACTCCATCGCTGTTGACGTGGTTACCAGTTCACCTTTTGAGTGCTAACTGCCTCGTGGCAGTAGCACTGAAATGAGGGTTACCAGTTCCATCTTTTCAGCTTTGTAACACTTACTCTCATAATGCTTATATTGTAAACAATATTTCTGAAGTTTTTATCCCTTTAGTAACTGTTTTGACAATTTCGGGTAGTCCCTTGAATTTCTGAAGTAGGTTGTTTCTTCTCAGCCATTGTTAAGAGCCTAAAGTAAAGTAAATTCAGTAAATTGATGAGTAGGGGAAATAATATAAACGGGTCAGAGAATAGTTTCCAGTGGAAATCTGTCACTTCCTTCAATATTTCGGCAGGTGTAGAGCATATGTTGAAATTGTTGTGGGGGTTTCCCGGGGTAGCGGTTGAAAGAAGTCTGGCTTGGGCGTGGTAAAGCTGTTATACTTTCTTTCCAGTTTTAGTGCATGTGTTGCAGAAGCGAGGACATAGCTGCTGTACTTTCTCATTAAAAATTCTTCCTGAATATATAAGTGTTGATGTTCCTCATTATGAAATCGCTTTTTTAGGGCCAGTGGTTCTCACACTTTAGGCTTTGGATCGCTGGATGTCTGCAGAGATTTGGCAGAGGTCTGCAAATAAACATGCTAAGCTTTATATAAATGAATTGATCTCACACGTCTGGACAACGATTTTTCAGCCTGTTTTCAGTATGCTTTTATGATTTTTAAAAATTTCACTTATTTAAAAGCAATACACAGTTAAGAACCACTATTTGTTGTTGTTGTTGTTTGAGACAGAGTCTTGCTCTGTCACCCAGGCTGGAGTGCAGTGGTGCAGTCTTGGCTCACCGCAGCCTCTGCCTCCCAGAAACAAATGATTCTCCTGCCTCAGCCTCCCGAGTAGCTGGGATTACAGGTGCGTGCCAGTACAACCGGCTGTTATTTTTATATTTGTATTTTTTAGCAGAGAACAGGGTTTGTATTTCTAGCAGAGAACAGGGTTTCACCATGTTGGCCAGGCTCGTCTCCAACTTCTGACCTCAAGTGATTTGCCTGCTTTGGCCTCCCAAAGCGCTGGGATTACAAATGTGAGCTGCCATGCCTGGCAGGAACCACCGTTTGTTTGTTATTTTCCTCAAACAATTGGTATTTGAAATACTACTGAAGTAGTATCATTTGGGAATCTTTTGAAACATTTTGATCTTACAAGGGACCCTAGTACTTTGAAGATTGTGAACCACTATCTGTACTCTTAAGGGTAGAGAATTCCTAATTCCTTAGCTTTGTAGAGATGTGTATCACTATCTGTGAATGCTGTTATTTCCAACACGCTTTGTAATTCGACAATGTTTGTTTTCTGACATATGTTGTATGTGATATTTCAGTCTAAAGAAATGTAGTTTGAAAAGATCTTTCTCTGCATCTCCTTTGTTTTTTATCATTTTTAATGGCCCAAGTACCAAATTAGTATATTCAGTAAAAAAAAAAAAGTCACATTATTTTTCTTTGTTAAAAAGTTATTGCTTAAGTTATTGCATGCTTACTGTTTTAAGATGAAGTCAAATGTGTTATTTACTTCTAAGATGGGTCTATTCTTGATAGGCGGCTTTTACCTTTTCTGGTTGCATTGCAAGGTGGCCTCGCAGCTTAATCTTGTAAATCAAATGCTTTCTATCCAATTTTTATGTCTATATGAATTTTTAAAAACCATTTTTAGAGGTCTTTGCTACTTATTGTATCTTTCCTTCCAAAGTGTGTTTTTTTTTTTTTAACAGATACAGCACTGACACCTGAAATACGGGTACAGCCTTATTCCTGAAGAGTTTTGTTCTGGTAGTGGCTGCTGCTACTGCCCTTTTCCTGCCCATTGTCTTTGTGTGTGATTTTTACTAAACCAAACATCAGTGCACCATGAAAAATATATAGCTGTGAAATAAAATTGTAAATATTTTTATTTTACCTATTAGATCTTGAGCCCCCGTTTGTACAGTTTTTGCACATTAGCAGGTGCCTTCATGTTTGAACAGGCATCTCTTATGAAATGCTGATTACAATGTGATAGTTGCTGTTCTGGGCAGAAGTTCCTGCTGAGTTACGGTAATTGCTCAGGGTGTTAACAGCAATAAAAGCTGAAGCTTCTGTTGTCAGTATTGGTCTAATACAACACATTAAAGCTATCTACAAAAATATGTGGGAAGTAGGGTGCAGTATGTTTAGATGCCTTTTTCTAAATCACACACTGCTGTTTCTCATGTTTTTGTTTGAGGTTCTGTATTCGGCACATCCTCATAGTTGTGTAAGAACAACAGATGATGAAATATTTGCTCTGGGAATAAATATAGTTATTTCCACTGTCTTATTTTCTTACTTCTCTGTACTTATTAAAAGATAATCAAATAGATGAGAATGATCAAGATTTTTTTCTCCTTCAGTTTACTGAAGCTATAAGGGAAAAACATGAGCAGGAGGAAATAAGCTTTGTTTCTCTGTGAGATTTTAAAAAGAAGAAGAAATTGAATTTGATTTTGCTCACAGCAAATAACATGACTAGTGGAGCAATGAAAGAAACAAAAACCCAATAGCTTTGAAATGTTGAGTAATTAGGTATTTTATCTTTTTAATAATCACAAAATAAAAAGTTGGTTTGGGGTTATAACTGAGAGACGTGTTTCATTGTTTATACTATAAATGAGAATCCCTTTGCCACGGTGAAATTTTGTGTATAAAGTATGTTTGGGCACTGTAAAAATAACTGGGTGAATGCCCTTTATGATACACATTAGTAGGTATGATTACGATGTTAAAGACAACAAAAGCTAATGAGGTGAGGCGTGGGGAGGAGGAGACATGTACCGCCAGTCACTGAGACTAGAATAATGGCAGTTTATTGGACCGAGGGCCTTAGGTCACATTTCATGAAATAGCTCTATGTGAGATAAGGAGAAGGGTCTTTGTATTTTATGTGGGGACCTGGGTCGTCTTCTCAATTCTGCTGCTGCATTCCCTTAGAATCGAGTCTGTGGTATAGAACACAGCTGCCTCTATGTCCTGATCCCTGTCTGTTGTCCTGCCAGACTATTAAACAGCCTCCCCTTTCACTCTCAAAAATGTCTGAGTGTGGATGATAGGTTGTGTGGTTATCTTGCCTATGGGGATAGGATCCATGGCTTCTGCTTTATTAATATTCAACCATCAAAACACATAAGGACACCACCATCCTACACTAGTAGGTGTATTTCGAGCCCATGCTTCCACAGGGTAGGTGGAGGCTATGATAGTATCAAGCAGTTAAGTTCCTAACTGAGCTGAGGTTTTAAAGGTAGGAATTATGTATTCTGTTAGGAAGCTTTCATTCTCTTAGGAAGTATTCATTTGATTGGGCTTATTTACAAACGGAGATGTCTGATTTTGTTTGAATGCGCTGACCAAAGTATTTATGGAACAAGTAGTCAAAAGCAGGAGCTCAGGCGAGCAGAAGAGGCAGGGTAGAATTATGGACAGTGCATACTTAGAAGCAGGAGAAAGAAGTATTGTTGATTAAAAAGGTCGCTTCGCACCGTAGATTTCTGAACTAATTAGTAAAATAGCTGGCAAAGTCTTTATTTAGCTTTTTGAAGGTCTAGTAATTCGGAATGACAGTCTGTGATCCTTGTGGCCTGGCATGAAAAGATTAATTGAGCCAAATTTCATTTTTAGAATTTAGAGTTGAGAAACTGAGAGACTGAGGCAGTTAGTAGAGGGGAAAGGTGAATGGATAATTCAAGAATTACCCCTAATATGTCTGTAGAAATTAAAAATAAAAAAAGAATTACCTGAATGACAAGAGCAAGGTTAGGGCTGACATAGGCAAGCTCACTTGCTAGGGAAGGAAACTCGGAAAAGCAGAGGACAGGGAAGCTGTGGGAAGGGCAGCAGACTGCCAAGGGAAGTGCGTGCACAGCCGTCTCTTCCTTGACTCTCCTGGGTCCCACTGCACTGATGTTCTTCCCACAGGATTCTTAGATTATCCTGTTCACTCTGAGTAGAGAGCTCTCATCTGGGCTAGCTTGAGTGGATCTTCATGAATTGCAATGGAAAGAGCCTAGGTTAACATCTCCAACCCTTCTGCTGCCCTCCCATAGCTTTTAGAGGTCACCATGTGACTTAGTTACTTTGAGGGTTTTGTTCTGAATGAGTCAATATCATTGAGGAGCATTATATCACAGAGTGCAAATAGGAATGTTTTGGGCTATAATCAGGGCCTTCCACAGGCATTTACTGAATACCTTCTTTGTGTTCTTTATGGAACTCAGCACTTAAAGAGAGACTGAAGAAGTATAAAATATTGTTCATTCCCTCAGTGATCTTAGTTAGATTCTAAGTGACAGACAACTTGTGGCATTATTGGATGTCAGTCTTCTTTGGAGAACATTCTGAATAGGATTGACAAGAAGGGCATTCGCTTTTAGATCTAAAAGAAATGATTTCTTTTGTGCGTTTATGAAAAACAAATCATATTTTTATGGAAACCCAGGCATTAAGAAGTATAATACAAATAATTTGCCATCTGGAAATAATCATGGAGTCTGAGAATGCTAACAAGGTCATGGAGACAGTAATTTTCATTCAGTATAACACTGAGGAGTTCCTTGTATAGTAAGTAGTTCCTTGTAGCAGTTACTACCTTTCTTTATTCACAGATAAGTAAGCAAACTCACTCCTGTAATATTCTCCATGGAAATTCAGTGTGGATTCTTGCATTGCCGTCATTCATACAGTAGAGGAAAACATGCTTTTGGTTTCCTAAAGTTACATAGGTGTTTCAGCTGTTACTTATACCAAATGAGTTTCTAGGTAGTATATGTAGCTATAAGTACTATTTTGGGTTAATAACATTGATTCATTTTGGTTCCTTAACTGTTTATTAAAACTTGGAAAATTGTCCTTAAAGTTAAGCCAGATACAGAGATTCCTTAGAGTTGGGGGTGATAGTTAGGGATGTTAAAGTGTTTCAGGTGATGGTTAGCTGGGCTCGACATATTGTTACGGCTCTGCATAGATGATAATGCTGCTGTATCATTTGTGTCCCCAACAGCCTACTTTCTAAGTACTAGTTCTGAATGTGGAATAGCTAAGGATGCATACTACTAGTTACCTTGGAGAATGCACATTTCCATTATTGCTGTGAATGTGGGGGCCAAGTTATTTATCGTTTAATACCATATCCCTCTTGTTGTTTTATTGTCAAATGTGAGCAGCTGGAGGAAAAACACTTGGAATTTCTCTCTGATCCCTGGTCTGTACTCATAAGTTGTTTGCCACTCACTACCCTTTACTCATGCCTTCCCCGACAGTACAGCAGCAGAAGGGCTGCAGAGAAATTAACTTCATCTTAGGTTCCACTTGCCATTGAGATTGCCCGCCCTCCACCAAATTTATTTTCTTAAAAATGGATTAAAAGTAACAAGAAGCTATTTCTCCTCCTTTGTAATAAAAACTTACTGAGGATGAGTAATTATGTCTTCTTTTCTTATTAGAACCATAGATGATGCTGGGAGATATCAGATAGCGACTTAATTACCCATACCTTTTGTGCACACATTCAAGTGTACACACAGTGACTTAATTATCAGACTTACGCATTATCTACCGCATTTCTTTAATCCCAGCTTGGCTGTTACCACTTAGCACAGAAGGTGTAGTGTATGGACATTCATGGAATGGGCATTCGTTTAAAAGGAGGTAAATCTTGCATTAGAGCCCTTTTTTGGTTGCAGGGGGTGGGCAGGAAGGTCCACATAATTTGAACATGGCTAATTCAGAGTTTAGGATCTGTTATTCTGGGATTGAGATGAGGGATGGTAGATTGCCCAGGTTCAGAGCTCGGACTTCGACGTCAGGTTGTCTGAGTTCACGTACTCCGTCCATCAGTTGCCATCTTTCCTGACCTTGGGAAATACACTTAACCCTCTTAACTTTCTTTAGTTACCTGTGAAGTTGGGATATAAAGTACCAACCTTGCCAAGTAGATTGTTTTTAGATTAAAAGGTCAAACTTACAAAGTGTCCAGTGCCCCATAGAGTGACACTGATTGTGATGTTGATGTTTAGTTGGTACCTTAGGTTTATGCTTTTTATTCACTGATGTATATATTGTGTGCTTATCACATTGGCTGGCTGTATTGTCCACAGTAAGTATTTATTGAATACTGAATGAAGTAACATTTAAGTGGAATCAATTCACTGGATAAGTATTTTTAAAAAACTTTAGTAGTAGTTGTTTGATACAGTGCATACATCAACACAAATTAACATTCTCTTAAACAAGCCAAAGAAGTCTACTCACTTACTTTTGGTTAGCCTGCAGTGCGTAATGTATAGAAATAATAAAACTTTATTTATTTTAAAATACTTGAAGAAAATTCAGTTTCTTCTTTTCTTCACGAATTTGAATGAATGTAGCCTAAGTCATAACATTTTTTAGGCATCATTATATTGTTTTGGGTTTTCCATATGACTGACTTTCAGCAAAGATAAATGAGGGCCTAGTATACGTGTGAACCTCCCAGAAAAGGCCAACTGTTATGAAAAATGCCTTACGCTATGATGATTTGTTTCTGTGTGACACATCAGTTGTTTCTGTTTTTGTTTTTGACAGTCCTTCAAGGTAGGCCTGCAAAATTGAGTATTTCTTTCTATAGCTCCTTCTTCTCTTTACTTTCTTGGCTTGTACCATACAAAAAGGTCAGTATCACCCAGTTACGCCTTTGTGACTTGTTGTGTAGTGTTGGATAATGAAGTAAAAACTTTACATTAAAGTTCATTATCAAGTATTTTCAGCTATTATATCCAAGGACCAAGTGGCCTTTTCATATATAAATTTGTGATTTCTAATTTTGTTTAATTCTTTAACGAGGCAAGAGGCAGGATGGAATTCTTTTTTGGAGACAGAGTTTCCCTCTTGTCACCCAGGCTGGAGTTCAATGGCGTGATCTCAGCTCTTTCCAACCTCCGCCTCCGGGTTCAAGTGATTCTCCTGCCTCAGCCTCCCAAGTAGCTGGAATTACGGGCACCTGCCACCACCCCCAGCTATGTTTTTGTATTCTTAGTAGAGACGGGGTTTCACTATGTTGGCCAGGCTGGTCTTGAACTCCTGACCTCGTGATCCACCTGCCTTGACCTCCCAAAGTGTCAGGATTACAGGCATGAGCCACTGCATCAAGCAAGATGGAATTCTTTAGCCCTGAGTTTGGTGGACTCAGTCAGAGGAGGTTGTATATCTATACTCCCCTCCCACCACAATTATAGAGTAATGGTGTTGAAAGTTTTTTGAACGACCACATCCTTTTTGCATGATATTGATGTCAACCTCTAAATGGACAGGGTGGTATTAACATAAGTGGAAATCAAAATGAGGCCTTGGGAATAAATAATCCCAGCATTTTATTGGCCCCATTTTCTGAGCTTCCCAGCAATTTGTCTTCACTCGTGGCTGCCAGTCAGGGTAGGGCACTTGGGATTTTAAGTTTTAGTGTTTAACTACTATTGTGAGGTTGGGTAATTCATTTTCTTCTAATTTACTTGGGTCAAGGGACTCTAAGAAACTATTGAAAAAGTTTTGTTTAATTATATGTATTTCCATAAACTATATTTCTGAAAATGTTATTTACTAAAATTGTTAACTATATGTGAAATTGTTTTCAATGCAGAAAACTCATCTTGTGGCCAATATAATGGCCAAATATAAAGGCCAATTTATATGGCTGTTGGCAACTGAAATGGGGAAAAAAGGGGGTAAGTTTGAGTTCAAGTGTGGAATGTGAGTTTCCCCAGGCTCATTGGGACTCATGACCCACCAATCTAAACTATTTTGGGTGTTGTCCTCTTGGGTGACATTTTGTAGGGTATTGCTCAGAAATAGCGAGGCTTTTCTCCAGTGCTAGATGCAGAATAAGCCCTTCACGAGGCTTGGGTCGGGCTGTAGCTATACTTCTTAACGGCTATCCCTTGGTTACTCCTCTGTTACTAGTGGTGGTCCTGAGGGATGTGTAAGAGGCAGCAGGATGAAGTATCTGTAGTGCTTTATCCCTTAAAGCACAGGGACCCGTGTGGGTGATCATAGGGGTTATTATCGTGTAGTGCATCTCCCTTTTTAGGAAAGTTCACACTTGTCTTCCTTTTTTTTCCTGTAATGGTAGGACTTAATGGAGGATTTAATGGTAATGGTTTCTGAAAGTCGAGTATTTATTATTCTGAGTGACTACTGGGTTAATATGAAAGAAGTGTGGTTTCAGTTAAGCATTGACGTCAGTGTGAAGAAGTGACTGTGGCACCCCAGTTCATACTGAATTAGCAAATAATACAAGAGGATAGCAAGCTCTCTCACACTTAGACACACACAATGCGGGATACTGTCAATATACGGTGAGTTGTTCAGTTGCAGTGTAGAATATTAATATCTTGGGGTGAAGAAAAGAAAGTGCTCCAGATGCCATGTGGCACTTGGGGAAGTTCTGTGAAGGTGGGTAGGTTTTGAGGAGCTGGGTATGTTTTTCACACATCAATAAGAAGTGGATAGGCAGAGTATAGGAGCCTTGCAGGTGTACATGGCAGCCTGTCCTTATAAGCAACACAGGCAGTGAGGCTGACGAGTCTGGGAGTCGTGAGAAGATGACCCGCAGGACGTCACTGAAGAGCACAGGTTAGTGGATTTTGGGAGGCAGATGTGGAGATATAAAATGGGGCTAGATTATAGAGAATCTTCAAAGTTAGCAAAGTTAAGATTTTGTGTAATAGGCAGTAGAGAGCTTTTGTAAGCTTTTTTATTCGAGACGAGCCACCTTGCAGACCACTGCTTAAGAAGATTGACTGTAGCAGTTTGCAGTGTGGAACGGGAAAGATGGTGAAAGTTCCAAGTAGGAGGCTAGGGCCGCCATTCATGGGTAAGATGAAGAGGACCAAGACAGTAGAGATGATATATTGATAATTGTAACCAAATCAGGAGTAATTGTTGGAACAGCATAACACGTTTACATATTTGCTGATGTAATTACTCAAGGGTCATACCATAAAAAGGGGTGGGGATTTCACATTATGGAAACCTTGGAATTCTCTGTCTTACGGTGGAAGACAGAACCCAGTGTAGTGTAGATAAAAGTCTAATTTTAATTCCCAGAGAAAGACTGATGTCTTATGGGACAAATTAGTAGATTCCCAATGTGACTACCTACTTTTAAAGCTTCAGCCTTTACCAATGACCAATATGTCTTATTTACCGATATGTCTTATTTCCACATATATCTAAAAAGTGGGTTTTACTTTCAGGCTGATATTTTCTTAATCAATGTGGATGCTATCATTAATACTTTTATTTACTGTAATACTCAACAGGATTTGCTGAATGGATTTTAAGTCTTCCCCATAATAACATTAATTTTTTTTGTAAACTTTTTATATTACAATTAATGATGACTAGTATTTATTTTTTAGCAATAAAAATATTTGTGTCTACTGATGATTTAAATAAGTTCATGACTGGTGGAGCACTTGGGTACATTATATGTAGATGTGAGAGATTCTGTAGTGAGAGGATAAATCTTCTTTCAGTCAAGATGATGGTACATAAAGCTAACTGTATTGATTGTTCTTTAATGATGCTTTGTGCTGCCAAAGTCATTTGAGCTGGATCTGAATCAGATCCAGTTGGCGAAGCTTCCCCATATGTGGAGCTCTTATAAATCCTGCAGGCACACAGATCTAATACAGAGTAATGAGATAGCTGCTGGGAGAAAAAATTGATTACAGGGTTGCAGACAATATCATTAACATTTCTTACCATGATACACCAGATGTCTTCCCTAATAGACTATTTTTGTTAATTTGGTTTTTATAGGATAGCATTGATTGCATCATAATTTAACTTTCTTTGCATATTCAGGTATATGTGATCTGTGTTTCTACACTAATGATGGAATAAACTCATCAGATTTAATTTTGTAAGTTTTAACTTATCTGTTCATTTTTCTATCTGCTGGAGAGGCAACATTTTTACTTGTACTGAGAATCTGTTAGCTTGGATGTTTTCTAGTAAAAATTACTGTGTTCAGTGGTGGGGAGGGAGTAGTGAGGGAGGTAGGAAGGCAAAGATAACATTGCCCAGAACCTCCCTAAACTGGTCAGAAATGATTCTACCCGTCAGCTGATTTACATAGAAACCAGGTGGCACCATGGCAGAGGCTCTAGCCAAAGCAGGAAAGGTGCAACCTTTCAAGGGGACATACGTGCACATTTATCTCCATTGTCAAGGGTGTGGCTCTGCAGGAGAGGACTCACGTTGGCACCTATCCTCTTCTTCACTAGAAGATCAAGGACTAAAGAGGATATTAGTTAGTTAGCATTTTAATTCTTTTAGCCATATCTTTTTGTGTGTTTGACTTCTTTTGAGTGGTTAACACACATAATAGGACAGTATTATAGGGGTGGTTTGAACTGTTTTGAGTAGTGTTTTTTTTTGTTGTTGTTTTTGTTTTGAGACAGAGTCTCACTGTGTTGTGCAGGCTGGAGTGCAGTGGCATGATCTTGGCTCACTGCAACCTCCATCTCTTGGGTTTAAGCGATTCTCCTGCCTCAGCCTCCTGAGTAGCTGGGATTACAGGTGTGGGCTACCACACCTGGCTAGTTTTTGTATTTTTAGTAGAGAGAGTGTTTTGCCTTATTGGCCAGGCTGGTCTTGAACTCCTGACCTCAAGTGATCCTCTCAACTTGGCTTCCCAAAGTGTTGGGATTACAGGCGTGAGCCACTGTACCTGGCTGTGTATGTTTTGTTGTTGTTGTTTTTTGAGACAGAGTCTTGCTCTGTCACCCAGGCTGGAGTGCAGTGGCATGATCTCAGCTCACTGCAACCTCTGCCTCCCGGGTTCAAGCAATTCTCCTGCCTCAGCTTCCCAAGTAGCTGGGACTACAGGTGCATTCCACCACACCCGGCTAATTTTTTTTGTATTTTTAGTAGAGATGGGGTTTCACTGTGTTAGCCAGTATGATCTTGACCTCCTGACCTCATGATCCACCCACCTAGGCCTCTCAAACTTTTGGGATTACAGGTGTGAGCCACCACACCCGGTGTATTTTTTTTTAATCATTATTTTTGTTGTGCATTTTCCTTTAGGGAACTTTTTTTCTTTTGACATGTTTCTTGGTAACATAGGATATGTTAATTAACCTTTCTAACTCTTAGTTTTCTCACTTGTAGTATGGGTATAATAATACTACTATCTATGACAAAGACTTGTTGCAAAAATTAAATAAAATAATTCATTAAATTTCTTAGCACCATACTTAGCATATAAGCAAGCATACATTAAGCATTGTCTATTATCCTGTAAGACTCGAATTATACAAATTCTGGTCATTCTTTATTTATTTATTTATTTATTTATTTATTTATTTATTTATTTGAGATGGAGTCTTGCTCTGTCGCCCAGACTGGAGTGAAGTGGCACAGTCTCGGCTCATTGCACCTCTGCCTCCTGGGTTCAAGCGATTCTCCTGCCTCAGCCTCTGGAGTAGCTGGGATTACAGGCGTCCACCACCATGCCTGGCTAATTTTTGTATTTTTAGTAGAGACAGGGTTTCACCATGTTGGCCAGGCTAGTCCTTGTTAAAAATCAGTTAATCATATTTGTTTTGTTCTATGTCTGTGTTCTCTTTCCTTGATTTATGTGTATCTTTTAACTGTATCATATAATCTTGATTATTATAGCTATACTGTAAGTTCTGAAGTTGGGTAGTTTGTGTCTCCACATTGTACTTTTTTTTTGGCTATCTTTTGCCTTTCTATTTAAACTTTAGAATAAGTTTGTCTATATCTACAAAGTAGTTTGATGGAATTTTAATTGAGATTGAATGAAATCTGTAGATCAATTTGGGAGAAAAGGGTGTCAATAATGTTGGGATTTTCAGTCAATGGCATAGAATGTTTTCCATATAATTAGATCTTTAACATGTTCCATCTGTGTCTTAACTTTGCATACAGATCTGCACATATTTTGTTAAATTTATACATATATGTTTTATTTTCTGCTACTATTGAAAATAATATTGCTTTCTAAATTTCAAATACCAAAATTTCATTGTTGGTATGTAGAAAAAGAATTGAGTTTTGTACATGAACTTTGTGCCCTGAAGATTTGCTGTGCTTGCTTATACACTCCAGAAGATTTTTCCTTGTAGGTTTTTGAGGATTTTACATATAGACTATCATATAATTGGCAAATAAAGACAGGTATTTTTCTTTCCAATAAGAGTACCTTTTTTGTCTTATTGAATTAGGTAGAATTTCCAGTGAGATGTTCAAAAGTGTGGCAACAGAAGTTATAATTGCCTTTCCCTATTTTAAAGATATAACATTCAGCCTCTGACCATTATGTATGATGTTAGCTTTAGGTTTTATGAGTGTACTTTATCAAGTTGAGAAAGCTCCCATTTATTCCTAGTTTATGAGATATTTTTGTTTGTTTGGTCAACGAATTGATGAATTTTTGCCAAAAGGTTTTGCTGCATCTATTGATATAATCACATATTTTTTCTTTTTTTTTTTAGCCTGTTGAAATGGTAAATTACATTGATTGGTTTGTGTGTTCAGTCATTTTTGAATATTTGAATAAATTCTGTTTTGTTATGGTTATAATTCTCTTTATATACTATTGAATTCTGTTTGCTAACATTTTGTTGAGGAATTTTGCATTTGTGTTCTTCAGATATATTAGTTTTTCCTTTTTAGTTTATTTTTAATCGACAAATAATAATTGTATACATATGTGGGTACAAAGTGATGTTTTCCGATATGTATACATTGTGAAATTATTAAATCAATATCTGTCACCTCGCATACTTATTTTTTTGTGGTGAGAACATTTAAAATCTGCTCTCTTAGCAGTTTTCAAACATACCATACGTTATTGTTAACTACAGTCACTATGCTGTACAATATGTCTCCAGAATTTATTCTTCCTATCTGAAACTTTATACCCTTTAACCAATATCTTCCCATCTCCCCCAATCCCTTTTAACTACCATTCTGCTTTTATTTCTGTAAGTTTGACTATTTTAGATTCCACATATATGTGGGAACATGCTGTATTTATCCTTCTGTGCCTGGCTTATTTTATTTGTCATAATGTCCTCCAGATTCATCTATAGATTTACTTATTTTTCAAGGCTGAATAGTATTTCATTGTGTATATATACCACATTATTTTTACTCATTCTTCTGTTGATGGACACTTAGGTTGATTCCATATCTTGGCCATTGTGAACAACACTGCAGTGAACATGGGAATGCAGATACCTCTTCAACATGCTGATTTCATTTTATTTGATATATACCCAGAAATTGAATTACTGAATTATATGGGAGTTCTATATTTTTAGATTTTAGAGAAAACTCCATAATATTTTCCAAAATGCCTGTACTAATTTACCTTCCTACCAACAATGTACAATGGTTCCCTTTTATCCACACCCTCACCAACACTTGTTAGCTTTTGCCTTTTTGATAAAAGCTGCTTGAGCAGCTGCGAGGTGATATCTCATTGTGGTTATAATTTGCATTTCCCTGATGATTGGGCATTTTTAAACATTCCTATTGCCTATTTGTATGCCTTCTGTTTTGAGAAGTGTCTACAGGAGGTCCTAGTGACAGGCATTAGGCATAAGCAAGAAATTACATGCATCCAAATCAGAAAGGAAGAAGTTAAATTGTCTCTGCATATGATATGATCTTATATATAAAAACTCTAAAGACTCCACCAAAAAAACTGTTAAAATTAATAAATGAATTTAATAAGGTTGCAGGATACAAAATAAGCATTCAATAATCAGTAGTGTTTCTATTTACTAACAGTGAAATATCTGAAAAAGAAAGAAGAAAAAAACATGATTGCATCAAAAATATGAAAAACAAGGAGTGGCAAGATCTGTACATTGAAAAACTATTGAAAATATTAATGACACAAATTAAAGAAGATACAAATAAATGGAAAGATATCATGTGTTTATGGGTTGGAAGAATTAGTATTATTAAAATGCCCATAATACCTAAAGATATCTGCAGATTCAGTGCAATCTCTATTAAAATTCTCAAGACATTTCTCACAAAAATGGAAAGAAAAAAAAGTAATTCTAGGATTTGCATGGAGCCACAAAAGACTCAAATATCCAAAGCAATTCCAAGCAAAAGGAGCAAAGTTGGAGACATCACACAACCTGATCTCAAAATTTGCTACGAATATTTCCAATTCAGAAGAGTATGGAATTGGCACAAAACAGGCATATGGATCAATGGCACAAAACAGAGATCCAAGAAATAAGGTAACGTGTCTTCAGCCAATTGATCTTTGACAAAGGTGCCAATAACCTGCAATGGGGAAACGGCAGTCTCTTCAATAAATGATGTTAGAAAAACTGGCTATCCACATGAATCCTTAATTTCACCCCATATACAAAAATCAACTTAAAATGGGTAAAATAAACATTAATAAAAAGATAAAATTACTAGAAGAGAACATACGAAAAGCTTCTTGACATTATTCTTGAAAAAGGTATTTGGATACAATCCCCAAAGCACAGGCAAAAAAGGTTTGTACATTTTATGTATTGCAAGGGCTTTATATGAGTTTTAGTATTGGATAATGATTGACTCAGAGAATTAGGAAAAATCTTCCCTGTTTCCATATGCTGGAATAAATTGTGGAAAATTGATATTATTTCTTTCTTAAATATTAGGTAGAATTCACCAGTGAAATTATGTGGGTCTCAGGCTTTCTTTTTGGAATATTCTTAATTATTCAATTATATATATGTATATCCAAATAGATAATATATCCAAATTATCTATTTTTTGTGTGTGAGTTTTGGTAGCTTGGATCTTTGAAAGAATTGACCTATTTCATTTATATTACAAAATATATGGGCACATGATTTATTTATTTTCTCAGTTTTAAATTTATATGTGGCATTTTTTGAATCAATTTTTAAATTTTCAATAACCTTTTTGCTTTCTCATATATTTATATTTTATTTCTTTAAATATTTTAATAATGATTTTAATCAGTTTCTAATTCAAAACTGGTGGCTTTTGGTTATCTAAAACTATTGGTCATTTTAATTTATTTTGTTTGCTTTTATCTTATTTTTTGAAAATAGTTTGCCTACTTTAAATAATATTTAATATAAATTTAAATATAAGGTCTCCCTTTCTTGATGTGTCAAAATCCTTGAAGCCTAAATTGGCTATAACTCATAAGAAGAAGTCCCAAATTTTACTCTTTTTTAGTGTACCTAGATTAATTGAACCTGGATTTTCAGTAAATTAGCTACCCTAGCTTATGGACATCTAAAGGCTGAATTCCCAGATCATTATGCTGATATAGGCAGTTGTTTTCAGTCTAATTCCCTAATTTCGTATATCCTTACTTCTCACTCTAGTTTCTGCTTATAATTATCTTCAGCTGTCTGGAGAATCCATTTATTTCTTGCAAGCTAAAAATATGCATCATAAATATTTGTTTAGGGTGTCTCAAAATAGATTTTCTTAAATAATTTGATAAGCAAAATCTTACCTTCGTTAAAATGTAAACTACAGAAAATAAAACTAAATAATACGTAGTAGGAGGTAGGGACTAAACAAATACATTTAGAAAACAGATAGAACTGAGAGAAAAATTTATAAAGATGGCATGTTTACTACAGTCATGTTATATATATTTTGTTGTCCATACAGAGAAAATAGCTAAAAAACGAATTATAGATCTTCTTATAATTGTATGTCACAAGCTAGATATTACTTACACACTGAAATATATGAACTTTATTGCTACTAAAATATCTTTCAAAAAATGGAATTTCTGAATATTTCTTTGTTAGTTTTGTTCTTGCAGCTAGTTTATTTTTATTTTTTTGAGAAGTTCAGTATGACCATGCAAAGTAAAAGCTGATTTTACGATCAATCACCTATATTTTATCATGAAATAATTAGTCAATATTACACACACGAATTATTTAGAGTGATGAATCTCTACATATGTCAAGCAGTGATAGCATGTGACCTTCTCAGCTTGAAAGACATTTGTGTTAAGTATCAAGCAAATGTTATTAAAAATAAAAGTGGAGATTTTATGCTAGGTAAAATTTCTATAGCAAAGGAGATTACATAAATCAAATTATTTCAAAGGCTGTGATAGAGTCCTAAATAATAAATAACCTTACATCAATTAGGAAACTGGTAAATTTTGTATTTTTTGTGTTACCAAAATTCCCTAGAAAAGAAAATGAGACTTTCAGTAAAATTAATTTTCCCAATTTCAGTGTAAATTATAAAGTTTATGATCTAAATGAATATATTAAGTTGCATGTTTGAAAAACTTTAAAAATATGTTTGTAATAAAACTATACCTAAAAGAAATTGTTTATTTACATAAAATACACTATATTAAAGATATTATTTTATCATAATCGGGTGGCTACTGCAAGCCAACTTGGAAATTGTGTCCCAATTGTTTTCAAGTAAATGGCTGGAATTAGAAGGTCAAAACTGACTATAAAAGGATGATGCTTGGCCGGGCGCGGTGGCTCACGCCTGTAATCCCAGCACTTTGGGAGGCCGAGGCGGGCGGATCACGAGGTCAGGAGATCGAGACCATTCTGGCTAACACGGTGAAACCCCGTCTCTACTAAAAATACAAAAAATTAGCCGGGCGTGGTAGCGGGCGCCTGTAGTCCCAGCTACTCGGGAGGCTGAGGCAGGAGAATGGCGTGAACCCGGGAGGCGGAGCTTGCAGTGAGCCGAGATCGCGCCACTGCACTCCAGCCTGGGCGACAGAGCGAGACTCCGTCTCAAAAAAAAAAAAAAAAAAAAAAAAAAAAAGGATGATGCTTTTGTAATTGGAGAATTATTATCTTCAGTAGGAACAATTTTGTGTAAAGGATTTATCACTTTGTAAAGAGAATTACACCTCAGTGCTTTATAAAATACTTGCTTAGTTAGGAAAATGAAGAGGACAACAGAGCTTTATCTTCCATATTTTCTAGGGTAGAAAACATGATAAAAGTATGTTTAACTCTCCAATTAATAAAATGTGATCAATCATAAATATATATATATGAACATGTTCTTTGTAAAATTTCATGTATTTCTTGCCAATATTTATTTTTCAATTTGACTTCTAAGTAAAATTTATATTTTTATTTTTAAGAAGAAACATTGCAACAATATTTGGAAAGTTTGGTATGGTTAGATAGACATTAAATTCTACAGTTTTACTTGCCATCCGGCCGGATATTAAAATAACATTTAACTATGCATGTAGAGATGCCTGGGTTCGTCTAGGATGTTCATTACTTCATCTGTCATTTTATTCCATTAGTAAACAACCTGATAACGCTTTTTTTCAAAACCAGAGCAAGAATGTACTACATAGACGGCCTTCTAGGTTATGTTTCAATGTTTGTATTGGAAATAACTTTTTCCAACCAATAATTTAAGTAGAATTATACAAAGAATAAATATTAGTACAGATTGTAGCTCTGTTTCAATGTACTATATCCATGCTAATTAATATTATGGGTAGACGGCTTACAAACGATACACTAATATAAAAGCAATTCACATTAACTTTAAATTTATGACATTTCTCATAAATGTTCTGACTAAGAGATTTCTATAAATTTTTATAGTATTATGTAATGACTAGTCACCCATTTAATGCTTGTTGTTTTGGTTCAGATATGTCATATTAGAGAAGTCTCCTTGTTGATTGTCAAATATTTTCTCTCTGAAAGAAACTGAGATACAATTTTCTGGAAGGATAATCAGAATGATACATTTTTAATTCATTTATTTTAATTTTGTTATTAAATATAGAATGGTCAAGAATTTTGAAAGGTATTATAAATTTCAAATTAAATATACATAAAATTTACATAAAAAGCACGTAATAGGATCCATTATACACCAGAAAATGTCCCTAAATTCCAAGAAAATAAAAATGAACAGATATGAACTCTATTCTACAGAAACACAATGTACTGAAGTGAGGAGGCATATACACAATGCACTGTAACAAAAGGCAAATTCCTCGGGACACAGAGAAAAATGAGCATTTACAAGAGGAAAATATTATTCTCATTTGGGTGGTGTATATGTCTATAAGTATCATGGTGGGGTGGAGGAGGTGACTACTGAACTGTGTCTTGAAAGATTCATAATACATATGAATATGATAAAAGTGCATTCAGAAAAAAGCTAAGACATACCACAAGAACTTTGTGAGAGAATAGTGACAAAAACTGAATAATAGTGAAAGGCTTTAAAGATTAAAAATGCAAATTGTGTCATAGTATTAAGAAAAAATACAAATTTATTAAAAATAGGTACATGAAAAACATATACAGAATCATAGACTTTTAGCACATACCAAAATATACACAATAGCTTGCACATAGTCGGTACCAAATAATTGCTCAATAAAACAGATGAATTTATTTATTTTATTAGATTATATGGCTCTATGATCTTGAAACTTATTAAAGATTATGTACTTTTTAGGCACGAACTGAGATTGATTTGCTTTGTATACCTAGTAACCATTACTATCCCTGAAACATTAGAGTCCTTAAATAAATGTTTGCTAAAGATTGTTAAATGGATTAAAATTTGTGCTTGACTTATTGTGGAAGCTACTGTAGTTCAGCTAATGTAAGATAGAATATACACTGATTTGATTTTATGTAAATAAACCAATAAATCATTTGTAAGATTGCTGAAGAACATCCTCAATCTCTGTCCCAGAAAATTTTACTACCTTTTAAAAGAACACATTATTTTTGTGTAAAATATTATTAACCTTTAATCATGACGAGTTGAAAGAAGACATTTACATGGTGGTCTCTTGGGAAGCTGGGTAGACAATGTGTATCTGTAGAGGAGGATAAAACCCAGAACTCCTAGCAGTCTCTTGTTCTGACACTGTCTATATACTGTATTCCCCTTGCCCCTGTGGTTTTCCACGTATGAATTGAGTTTACATTGCTTGGACTATAATTGCTCATCCCTACCACAGTTACTTTATTAGTTTAGCTATACTATTGGGAAGATGATTTTTCATCATGGTTATACAAATTTGTTTATAAGCCTATTTAACTCAAATTTAAATTATGCTGCTGTGGGTAAAAATAGTAACAAGTACTTTTTCATGGATTTCTTCAGAGACTAACTAAAATGATCAATCAGCGTGTCCAAGAAAATATGAGAAAATTTATCTTTCAGAAATGTTTTGTATGAAATTCTCAAATGCTTCAAAGGCTTACAACTTTACATGAAATGATTAAAGACAGATTTAAAAACAAGAACAAAATCCACAATTATTATCCACATTACTTTTGAGTACTGTTAATACAGCCATTACAGAGACCTCCAGATAGAAGGAATGATAGTATCTAAATAATAGAAATAGGATGATTAAGTTGCATTTATTTAAAAACAAGTCTTTTTGGTTGGAAATAGGATGTATAAAAAAGCTCAATACCAAAATTTAGATGAGATGTACATTTATTGGAGAGAATAAAATTGTTGAGATAGTTTTTAACAACAAAAAAAAACCCAGAAAGCATACAAAACAAACAAATAAAAACCTGAATTAGAGCTTTGGACTTCCTCAAATCACATTATTTGTAGTGGATTGGTTGACTCCATTTTAAGATGGAGGAGACGAACAAGATGGCCGACTAGACACAGCCAGGAAGTGCCACTCCTCTCAAGAGAGGCCAAATTATTAGGTAAACCACCATAATTTGAACAGGTATTCAAGGAGAAAATGCTGAAAGTGGATGGAGAGGCAAGGTCGAAGCCAAGACTGAAGAGGCAGGAAGCTGGAAACCCTGAGTTAGCTACCCAAATGCCAGGGCTAATTCCTGGCCCCAAACAATTCCGGTAAAGGACTGAATGAAGGAACTGAGGGATGGTTCACTCTTGCCATGAGCATTTGATTTTCTAGCTACAAGGGACCTTACGCGACCATGGATGTGTGAGCTGGCAGGGGGATCTCCCTGGGGAGCAGGCAGAGACAGACTTTGGACAGCACAGAGCCCAGGAGCTTTTGTGTGCTGGACTGCTGCAGGCAAGAGCAGCCATAGATGCCCATTCCCCAGGGATTTCCATTCTCCTCTGGGAGGCATGGACCCCTACTGACCTCCAAGCCAGGAGAGAGTTGGGCCAGCTTTCCTGCACGACTGGGGTGCATCTACTCTGCAAGCCCTTCTGCCTACCAGCCCTTCCCAGGGTCCATGCCTAGCTGCCCTGTAGGAGCAGGTGCATAGTGCAGCCCTGGAAGGTCAGCCTGAGTGTGTAGTTGCACCCACATATTTTCTTCATGACCCTGGAGCACACTGTATCCCCCAGTGGAGCAAGAACCCAAACCCAAGCCATGGGATATCCCAGTGTCCCCAGGGCTGTAGTGTGCAGCTTGGGAGTATGGAACCAAGATTTGTGGCTGGCACTCAAACAGAGAAAGAGCCCCCAATCTCAGAGCCATGAGAGGGGTGAGATGCACGGATTCCTGAGCTGGGGTAAGAGTGGAACATGCCTCCCTTCTCAGGTCCAGTCCAAAAAGCATGTGGCATATCTCCCTGCCACAGCTTCTGCCCAAGAAGACCATGTGGCTCAGAAAAACTAACAAAAGAAATGTGGGCACAGCACCAGCTATCAGAGGGAGCTCTCTCAAGTTTTACAAGCAGATCTGTTGAGGGAACCGTATCACTCCATATCACTGCAGAGCATATCTGTGAACTCAAGAAGTACAAAAAAGCCCTGTGACCAGGTATTAACCTAGCTACCAGTCATTACTGTTAAACCTCATTCACTGGATTGCCACCCAAACTACAACACCTAAATTTTATTCTGCTAATATATACAGCTGTGAAACCAAGTCAAAAATTTACCCACACATAAAGATTCTGTAAGAGCCCTGGGCCTCTAAAAGCATTCAGAAATTAAGCCAACTGACTATTCTCAACTTACACCACAGTTAAAGAAATGCCAACCCTCCCAGATGAGAAAGAATTAGCACAAGAACTCTGGCAATCCAAAAAGTCAGAGTGTACCCTCACTTCCAAATGATCCACTAGCTCCCCAGCAATGGTTTCTAACCAGTCTGAAATGACTGACATAACAGACACAGAATGCAGAATCTGTGGCCAGGAAACCCATTGAGATTCAGGAGAAAGTGAAATTCAGTGCAAGGAATTCAAATAATTTAGTAAAGCAATCCAAGAGCTGAATGATAAAATAGCCATTTTCAGAAATAACCAAACTTAAATTCTAGAGCTGAAAAACTCACTATCAGAATTTTATCAAATAATCAGTAGTATTAGCAGCAGAATAGACCAAGCTGAGGAAATAATCTCAAAACTTGAAGACTTGTTCTTTAAGTCAACTCAGACAAAAATAAGGAAAAAAATGGGAAAAAAAAGTGAAACCTCCAAGAATATGGGATTTTGTAAAGCGAAAAAATCTATGACTCATTGTCATTCCTGAGAGAGGAGAGAGAATACGCAACTTGGAAAATATATTTGAGGATACAGTTCATGAAAATTCCTCTTATCTCTTTAGGGAGATTTACATACAAATCCAAGAAACACGCAGAACCCCAGATAGATATGACATGAAATGACTACCTCCAAGGCACATAGTACAATATTCATCAAGGTCAACACTAAAGAAAAAAGTCTTAAAGGCAGGGTAAAGTCACATACAAGGAACTTCATCAGGCTAGCAGCAGACCTCTCAGCAGTATCTTACAAGTCAGAAGAGATTGGTAGCTTATTTTCAGCATCCTTAAAGAAAATAAATTTTAACCAATAATTTCATATCCCACCAAACTAAGCTTAAAAGTGAAGTGAAGCAAATGCTAAGGGAATATGTTTCAACTAGACTAGCCATACAAGAGGTCCTTAAGGGAGTGCTAAACATGGAAAAGAAAGAATGACAGTCATACCACAAAAGCTCATTTAACCACATAGCACACAGGCGCCATAAAGCAACCACATAATCAAGTCTACATAACAATCAGCTAGCAACATGATGACAGAATTAAAATCACAGATACCAATACTAACCTTGAATGTAAATGGGCTAAATGCTCCACTTAAGAGACACAGAGTGGCAGGCTGGATAAATGACCCAACCATCTGTTATCTTCAAGAGACCTATTTCACATTAAGAACAACCACAGGCTCACAGCAAAAGAATGGAGAAAGAGCTACCATGTGAACAGAAAGCAAAAAAGAGCAGAAGTTGCTATTCTTATATAAAATAGACTTTAAACCAATAAAAATTAAGAACAATGAAGGGCATTACATAATGATAAAGGGTACAATCAAACAAGAAACCTTAACTGTACTAAATATATATACACTCAATATTGGAGCACCCAGATTCATAAAACAAGTTCTTCATTGCCCATGAAAACACTTAGACAACCAAACAATAACAGCAGGAGACTTCACCACCCCACTGACAGCACTAAACAGATCATTAAGGAAGAAAACTAACAAACTCTGGACATAAACTCAACACTTTAACAATTGGACCTAATAGACATCTACAAAATACCCCAGGTAATATCCACAGAATATATATTCTTCCCATCTGCACATGGAACATATTCTAAGATCAACCACGTGCTTAATCATAAAGCAAGTCTCAATAAATTCAAAAAATTGAAATTATACCAAGCAAACTCTTGGACCACAGTGAAATAAAAATAGAAATCAAAATCAAGAAGACCTCTCAAAACTACACAAATATAGGGAAATTAAACAACTTACTCCTGAATAACTCTTAGGTGAACATCAAAATAAAGGTAGATTTAAGAAAAATTCTTTGAAATATTGAAAACAGGAATATGACTTACCAAAATCTTTGAGATGCAGCCAAAGCAGTGTTAAGAGGAAAGTTTATTTCCCTAAATGCAGTAATCGAGAAGTTAGAAAGATCTCAATTTAGCAATCTAACTTTGTACCTAAAGGAACTAGAAAAGAAAAAGCTAGCAGAAGAAAAAAATAACTAAAATTAGAGAACTTACTGAAATTGAGATAGAAAAATCCATAGAAAAAATAATAAAAAAGCAAGAGTTTGTTCTTTGAAAAGATGAACAAGATGGATAGACTGCTATTTAACAGCTAGATTTACAATGAAAAAAAGAGAAGTATAGTCAGAAATAACAAAGATAATATAACTGATCCCACAGAATTACAAAAGTTTCCCATAGAATACCATGAACAACTCTATGCATACAAATTAGAAAATCTGTAGATGAAATTGATAAATTCTTAGAAACACACAGTCTCTAATTGAATCAGGAAAAGATTGAAGCATTGAATAGTGAAATATCTCACTCTGAAATTGAATCATATGTAATAAAAAAAAACTACCACCAACCAAAAAAGTCCTAGACCAGACGGATTCACAGTCAAATTCTGCCAGATATACAAAGAAAAACTGGTACCAATTCTACTGAAGCTATTACAAAAAAAGGAGGGAATCCTTTCAAACTCAATCTCTGGCAGAAACACAATGAAGAAAGAAAACTTGAGGCCAATGTCCATGATGAACACAGACAAAAAATTCTCAACAAAATATTGATAAACTGAATCCAGCAGCATATAAAACAGTTAATTCACCACGATACAGTAGGCTTTATTCCTGGGATGCAAGGTTGGATCAACATATGCAAATCAATAAATATGATTCGCCGCATAAGCAGATTTAAACACAAAAACTATCTGATCATCTCAAAAAATGCAGAAAAACTTCAATAAAATTCAACATCACTTCATGATAAAAACCCTCAACAAACTAGACATCAAAATAATATGACTCAAAATAATAAGAGTCGTCTATAGCAAACCCAGAGCCAACATTATACTGAATGGGCAAAAGCTGGAAACATTCCCCTGGAGAACTGAAAAAAAGGCAAGCACTCTGACCATTTCATATTCAACGTAGTAGTGGAAGTCAGAGCCAGAGCAATCAAGCAGGAGAAAGGCTACTGGAACTAATAAATGATTTTAGCAAAGTTCCATGATA
This sequence comes from Homo sapiens, assembly GCF_000001405.40. Classification (NCBI taxonomy): domain Eukaryota; kingdom Metazoa; phylum Chordata; class Mammalia; order Primates; family Hominidae; genus Homo; species Homo sapiens. The sequence goes on from NW_021160017.1 coordinate 2,454,234, forward strand.
CAAAATCAATGTAGAAAACATTAGTACCATTTATATGTGCCAATAACATCCAGGCTGAGAGTCATATTAAGAACACAATCACATTTACAATAACCACAAAGAAAATGAAACAGCTGAGAGTACAGGTAACCAAGAAGGTGAAAAATCTCTACAAGGAGAACTAGAAAACAATGCTGAAAGAAATCAGGTGACATAAATAAGTGGGAAAACATTCCATACTCATGGAATGTTTTAATGTTTCATAGAAATGAAAAATCAATATCACTGAAATGGCCATACTGCCCAAAGCAATTTACAGATGCAATGCTATTCCTATCAACCTATCATAGAATTAGAAAAACTATTCTAAAATTTATGTGGAACCAAAAAAGAGCCCAAATAGCCAATGCAAACCTAAGCAAAAAGAACAAAGCTGGAGGCCTTACACTATCAACTTCAAACAATAAGGCTACAGTGAAAAAACAGCATAGTACTGATACAAAAACAGACACATAGACTAATGGAACAGAATAGAAAGCTAAAATATAAAGCTGCTCACTTACAACCATCTGATTTTCGACAAGGTCCATGAAAACAAGCAATAGGGAAAGGATTTGCCATTTGATAAATGTTTCAGGTTAACTGGCTTGCCATAAGCAGAAAAATGAAACCAAATTCTTATCTTTCACTAATACAAATATTTACTCAAGATGGATTAAATATTTAAATGTAAGATCTCAAACTATAAAAGCACTAGAGTAAAACCTAGGAAATACTCATGTCAGCACTGGCCTTGGCAAATAATTTTTGGCTAAGTCCCCAAGCAATTGCAACAAAAACAAAAATTGACAAGTGATACCTAATTAAACTAAACAGCTTCTGCAGAGCAACAGAATAAGCAGACAACCTATGGAATGGGAGAAAATATTCATTAACTATGTATCTGTATTAGTCTGTTTTTACACTGCTTATAAAGCATTACTTGAGACTGAGTAATTTATTTAAAAAAAAAAAAGATGAGGTTTAATTGACTCCCAGTTCCCCATGGCTGGATAGGACTCAGGAAACTTACAGTTATGGCAAAAGGTCAAGGGGAAGAAGGCACTTCTTACCTGGTGGTAGGAGACAGAGAGCAAGAAAACAAGGAAGTGCCACACTTTAAAACCATCAGCTGTTGTGAGAATTCACCCACTGTCATGAGAACATCATGGGGGAAACTGCCCCCATAATCCAATCACCTTCCACCAGGTCCCTCCTGGGACATGTGGGGATTACATTTTGAGATGAGATTTGCGAGTGTCACAGAGCAAAACCATATCAGCATCCAACAAAGGTCTAATATTCATAATCTACTTAAATCAACAGATTAAAAGCAAATAACTCCATTAAAAAATGGACAAAGGACATGGACAGGCACTCCTCAATAGAAGACATATAAATGGTCAACAAGCATGAAAAAAACGCTCATCATCGCTAATCATCAGAGAAATGCAAATCAAAACCACAATGAGGTACCATCTTACACCAGTCAGAATGACTATTATTAAAGAGTCAAAAAACAACAGATGGTAAAGGGAATCCTCATTTGTAGTTTGTAGGAATGTAAATTAGTTCAGCCACTGTAAAAGGCAGTCTGGAGATTTCTCAAAGAACTTAAAACAAGGCTACCATTGAACCCAGTCATCCTATTTCTTGGTATGTACTCAAAGGAACATAGATCATTCTACCAAAAGACACATGCATATAGATGTGCATCACAGCTCTATTCACAATAGCAAAGACATGGATTAACCTAGGTGCCCATCAACAATGAATTGCATAAAGAAAATGTGATACATATACATCATGGAATACCATGCAGCATAAAGTATAATGAAATCATGTCCCATGCAGCAACATAGATGGACCTGGAGGCCATAGTCCTAAGCAAATTAATACAGGAACAAAAAGCAAAACTCCACATATTCCCATGTATATGTTGGAGCTAAACATTAAGCACACATGAAAATTAACATGGGAACAATAGATACTGCACACAACTAGACAGAAAAGGGAGGAAAGTGGCACAGGTTAAAAAACTACCTACTGAGTACTATGCTCACTACTTGGGACCAATATACCCATGTAACAATCCTACACATGTGTCTCCTGTATCTAAAATAAAAGAGTAATTTAAAAAAATAGGCAAATGACTGAAGGAAGTGAGAAGACATATTCTGAAATCCTGAGAGTGAAAGTTGGGGAAAGGGGTGGAGAGAGAAGCGTGATTGATGGTGGTGATGAGGAGAGGATGATAATCAATAGGTTAATGAAGAGCACACATTCTAAAGGAAATCACTCAAGAAACGAAGGAAGATTTCATACAAATACTCCCTTATGATTGAAAACGAATGATATTATTACAACAATTTAAGTTGGAAAAAAAGATATAGGGTTTAAAAAGCCATGCAATTTGAAAAAATAAAAAGTAAATTTGAGAAGCTTACAACAAAAGTAAAATATTATAACCATTACGGAAATTAAAGTCACATGAGTAGGCTGCCTCAGAGCATATAGTACATTCCATTGGAAAGATGGTCCTGCCATAACATATAGCATCAAGTTAAAGCAGGAGAATAAAATTATATGATCAAGTGTGGTAGTAGTTTTCCATTGCTACATAACCCATCACCACATACGTAGTTGCTTAAAACAAGACAACACAAAACAACACGGAAATTACTATTTCTGTGGGTCCAGAGCCCAGCCCTGAGTTATGTAGGTCTTCTGCTAAGGAGCCCATCATTCTGCCATTAAGGCACTGGCTTCCTGTAGTTCTCATCCAGTTGCTGGCAAAGTTCAGTTCATTACAGGTGTAAGACTGAGGTCTCTGTGTTGTTGCAGGCTGTTGGCCACGCCCTGTGACAACATGGCTGCTTACTCAAAACCAGCAGAAGCATCTCTCTCCAGTGGGCTAGGAAGAAGTCTTATGTAGCTTTATATACTCATGAGAGTAACTATCCCTCATAGTCACAGGTCTGCTCATCCTTGGTGTTGGAATTACATGGGACATACACACCAGGGGGTGAAACTCTTAGAGGTCATCTTAGAATTCTGCATACACAAATTACAAAATGGAGAGAAATGACAAGAAAAGCAATATGTACTATAAATTTGATGTTTCCGAAGAAAAGAGCAAAACAAATAAAATATGAATTTTTGACTTTAAGATGATAGAGAACTTTTGACTTCTTTCTCCTTCAAAAAACACACAGAACAAGAAGGAGACACAGTAAAGAATTAGCTGAAGTCTCATTCTCTAACTTGTGAGTGAAAAAGCCTCAAACAATTGCAGAAACTAGTAAGAAACAAGCAATTCAACTTTGCAGAACAAATGAATTTAGGAATGAGCACTAGTACTACTGTAGTTGGTGGTGGCTGGTGTGAAAGTTCACAGAAGAAACAAAGAGCTTCCATTTCCCAATTACATCCCATGGAGTCCAGTACCTGTTCTTTCTAGAATGAGGCATAAGGCTAGATATTTATTCTCTGGAGAAATATGTCAAGAGAAGGGCCAGGTGTAGGGACACAATTCACAAAACAAGAGAATAAGGTCTACCAAACAGAAGGGTAAAATCTCACTGTACTTACATTAATTGTAAATCACTCTCATAACTTCTTCTGTTCAGATCCATACACTGGTAGTAATAAGTATAGAGAAATTCACAAGCAGACATGTAACATCACCCAAATACCATCTCCAATAAGTTTTACAGTTCCTCTATCTTAAAAATGAATAGACAACCGAGATTTGACAGTAACCTCAAACATGAAAGGCAGGGATCAAGGTAAAAATAATAATAATAATAATTACAAGTAAATCTATAATAAAAGATACAATACAGGCCTGGGAAAAAACTTTTAAAAATGATACGCAGTTATGTTCAGAGAGAGAAAATCTATAACACCTATACATCTCAAAGGTAGAGGAAGCTGTAACAAGTAAAAAAATTCAAAAAATAAAATACATAAAAGCTTTTGAAAATTAAGAAATACAATTGCTAAAGGAAAACAAATCAGTAAGAAGAATTGAAGTCCAGTATATTTTTGGAATAAATAGCCAAAACTGATCAAAATGGAGGCCTCTAGGGTGGAAGACTTTCCACAGAAATGCTCCATGCTGGATGGAAGGCAGTGAGGCAGTGACGGCTAAATTCTGACAGAAAGGAATGTGACCCTAGAATTCTGAAGCCAGTCATGTGTTCTTGCAAGTGTAATGGAAGAAAACACCGAGGAGCTTTACTTCTCACTCTTGACTTGAAAACACGTCAAGCCAGACAGAAATTAAAATAACAGACTCAAGAATGTGAAGATTCAGTGAAATGAGTGATGCTGAAAATTACCCTCTATTTAAATATTGAAATTAAATTAGAATGAAACAAAATCTTTGTCAATCATGGTTAAAGGAGAATAACTGTTTAAAGCATTGGCAATGTAAACTTAACAATATAACAAAATAAATCGATCCATATGGAGAATAGAGGTACAAATATTATATCCTCTTCTATTAAATATGAATATGAAGTCACTATTTCAAGTTGAATTGTAGAAAAAATGACACAATACTCTTATTTTTATCTTCTGTTTTTGTTGCTTTTGCTGTTTTTAATTTAGAACTACATTTTAGAATTAAATTTTTTTGTGCCAGAATAATTTTTGCTATAATTTTACTTCTGCTTTATTATATTCATTAAATTAAATATTATAAAAGTAAAAATAACGTAGTGTGGTACAGAATCTCATTTGTGGGATTGTATGAATTGATCTATTACTCTGTTTATTTACATGTCTATTCATATGTCTGTCTCCACAGAGAAATATGAAGAATGCTGTTCACTAAATAATAACAATGTGTGTATTTTGGTTTCATTTCTGAGTAGCAGGATTTTGGTAATTGTTTAGTGGCCTTTTATTACTCTTCTATAGAAAGCTTGCCCTAATGTTGTAACAACAACACGTGACGGGTTTTTTTTTTTTTTTCTTTTTTGAGGCAAGTCTTGCTCTTGTCCCCCAGGCTGGAGTGCGATGGTGCTATCTTGGCTCACTGCACCCTGCGCCTCCCAGGTTCAAGCGATTTTCCTGCCTCAGCCTGGGATTACAGGCACGTGCCACCATGCCCAGCTAATTTTTGTATTTTTAGTGGAGATGGGGTTTCTCCATGTTGGCCAGGTTGGTCACGAACTCCTGACCTCAGGTGATCCGCCCACCTCAGCCTCCCAAAGTGCCGGGATTACAGGCATGAACCACCATGCCAGGCCAAACATGAAATTTTTACTTTTATTTTTGAAAAAGACATGTTGATTGAACTCCTTTACAATCAGTCTTAGCAATTGCAAGAGCTAGCTGATTCAAGAGTAATGAAACAATCAGATTATTTAAATGGGGTGGAAGCATGATGCCCTGGAATATGAGCATTTGCTAATCCTGCCACACTAGTGTTTATCCCAGGTAATCTCTAGAAAGACATTTGTCTATCCTTATGCCCTAAAAATGTTATGAATAGAGAACACATAAAAACTTCGTAGATGTCAAATTTTTAGTGATAATACCATTTTTACAGCCTAACTCATTATGTGGTAGGTGTTCTGGCCCACTTAGGTAGCCTCTGCTTCTCTTTTCGACAGTAATAAACCTGAAGTTGGAAGAGTCTACAGCACTGCAGAGCTGAGTAGAGGAGACTAATTATTTTACCTCCTCTTGGGCCATATTGGACTCTTATCTAGGATTGTATGTATCAATAAGCTTTTCCACTTCTACCACTGTATTCTTTTCTTTAGATGACCTTCATCTTTGTTTTGGTATAAAGTCTCCTCATACTATGCAAGCAGCCACTTTCTGCTGAATGCTCCCCACTTACTCAGTCAACTGCCCCCCTCACTCCCAGTTTGTGTTAGATAGTGCCTTCTCTCATTACACCCTGTGTTTAAGTTGACTACTTCTTATATGAAAATATACATCAGCTGCCTTTTTCATGTCTTTCTGCTCAATTAGATTTTGAAATCCCAGAGAAAAATAAGTCATATTCTCAACTTTCGCCTGTGTTTATTGCCCTAGTCTATACATCTGACTGCTTCATTGTGTGCCCAACACACAATCCAAACTAACCTAATAATAGACGTGGAATTCTACTACACAACCAGTGAGTTTAATGAGCTGCAAATAAAAGGACCATGTTGCTTCTTCCCCCCATTAAATTTCATCCTTTATAGCTGTTTTGGCTATCACTGATTTTCATGTGTTCAAATTCAGATGTTTGCATAGTAAAATGAAAATGTTCCATAAAAGGATTACTTTATTCTTAATTGGTTGTTTCCATTTTAGTCAGAGATGAGTGAAGAGGCAATGCCCACTAAACTTTCTCTGCTACTGAAGAAGACAACTAGGCTGAGGTGGCAGGATTGTTGGGTCCAGAAGTTTGAGGCTGCAGTGAGCCAGATTACACCACTGCACTCCAGCCTAGGAGACAAAGCAAGACCTTGTCTCAAAAAAAAAAAAAAAGTCTTTTTATATATCAACATGTATGTTAATTTTTGCAAAAGGTTTATTAAACCACATTATTCTTATTTTATGGATAAGAAAACTGATAGAGAGTTTAGATAACTTCTAAGTATCCTCCCATTCATAGATTGGGACGCTACTATCTGAATTTAGATCTTTTGATACAAAGTTTATTTCTTCAGTCATATTCTGGAATAGTTATTATATAAAAAGTAGACAAAATGGCAGATTTAACTTTCACCTTCAGTAATTTTTGAAAAGATTATGGAAGTGTGAGAGTAGTGGTTCTCCCAGCACGCAGCTGGAGATCTGAGAACAGGCAGACTGCCTCCTCAAGTGGGTCCCTGACCCCCGAGCAGCCTAACTGGGAGGCACCCCCCAGTAGGGGCAGACTGACACCTCACACGGCCAGGTACTCCTCTGAGACAAAACTTCTAGAGGAACGATCAGGCAGCAGCATTCGCGGTTCAAGTAAAACCGCTGTTCTGCAGCCACCACTGCTGATACCCAGGCAAACAGTGTCTGGAGTGGACCTCTAGCAAACTCCAACAGACCTGCAGCTGAGGGTCCTGTCTGTTAGAAGGAAAACTAACAAACAGAAAGGACATCCACACCAAAAACCCATCTGTACATCACCATCATCAAAGACCAAAAGTAGATAAAACCACAAAGATGGGGAAAAAACAGAGCAGAAAAACTGGAAACTCTAAAAAACAGAGCGCCTCTCCTCCTCCAAAGGAACGCAGTTCCTCACCAGCAGTGGAACAAAGCTGGATGGAGAATGACTTTGATGAGTTGAGAGAAGAAGGCTTCAGATGATCAAACTACTCCGAGCTACAGGAGGAAATTCAAGCCAAAGGCAAAGAAGTTAAAAACTTTGAAAAAGAATTAGATGAATGTATAACTAAAATAACCAATACAGAGAAGTGCTTAAAGGAGCTGATGGAGCTGAAAGCCAAGGCTCGAGAACTTCGTGAAGAATGCAGAAGCCTCAGGAGCCGACGCAATCAACTGGAAGAAAGGGTATCAGCAATGGAAGATGAAATGAATGAAATGAAGCGAGAAGGGAAGTTTAGAGAAAAAAGAATAAAAAGAAATGAGCAAAGCCTCCAAGAAATATGGGACTACGTGAAAAGACCAAATCTACATCTGATTGGTGTACCTGAAAGTGATGGGGAGAATGGAACCAAGTTGGAAAACACTCTGCAGGATATTATCCAGGAGAAATTCCCCAATCTAGCAAGGCAGGCCAACATTCAGATTCAGGAAATACAGAGAATGCCACAAAGACACTCCTCGAGAAGAGCAACTCCAAGACACATAATTATCAGATTCACCAAAGTTGAAATGAAGAAAAAAATGTTAAGGGCAGCCAGAGAGAAAGGTCGGGTTACCCACAAAGTGAAGCCCATCAGACTAACAGCGGATCTCTAGGCAGAAACTCTACAAGCCAGAAGAGAGTGGGGGCCAATATTCAACATTCTTAAAGACAAGAATTTTCAACCCAGAATTTCATATCCAGCCAAACTAAGCTTCATAAGTGAAGGAGAAATAAAATCCTTTACAGACAAGCAAATGCTGAGAGATTTTGTCACTACCAGGCCTGCCCTAAAAGAGCTCTTGAAGGAAGCACTAAACGTGGAAAGGAAAAACTGGTACCAGCCACTGTAAAATCATGCCAAATTGTAAAGACCATCGAGGCTAGGAAGAAACTGCATCAACTAACGAGCAAAATAACCAGCTAACATCATAATGACATGATCAAATTCACATATAACAATATTAACTTTAAATGTAAATGGACTAAATGCTCCAATTAAAAGACACAGACTGGCAAATTGGATAAAGAGTCAAGACCCATCAGTGTGCTGTATTCAGGAAACCCATCTCACATGCAGAGACACACATAGGCTCAAAATAAAGGGATGCGGGAAGATCTACCAAGCAAATAGAAAACAAAAAAAGGCAGGAGTTGCAATCCTAGTCTCTGATAAAACAGACTTTAAACCAACAAAGATCAAAAGAGACAAAGAAGGCCATTACATAATGGTAAAGGGATCAATTCAAAAAGAAGAGCTAAGTATCCTAAATATGTATGCACCCAATACAGGAGCATCCAGATTCATAAAGCAAGTCCTGAGTGACCTACAAAGAGACTTAGACTCCCACACAATAATAATGGGAGACTTTAACACCCCACTGTCAACATTAGACAGATCAACGAGATAGAAAGTTAACAAGGATACCCAGGAACTGAACTCAGCTCTGCACCAAGTGGACCTAATAGACATCTACAGAACTCTCCACCCCAAATCAACAGAATATACATTTTTTTCAGCACCACACCACACCTATTCCAAGATTGACCACATAGTTGGAAGTAAAGCTCTCCTCAGCAAATGTAAAAGAACAGAAATTACAACAAACTGTCTCTCAGACCACAGTGCAATCAAACTAGAACTCAGGATTAAGAAACTCACTCAAAACCACTCAACTACATGGAAACAGAACAACCTGCTCCTGAACGACTACTGGGTACATAACGAAATGAAGGTGGAAATAAAGATGTTCTTTGAAACCAACGAGAACAAAGACACAACATACCAGAATCTCTGGGACACATTCAAAGCAGTGTGTAGAGGGAAATTTATAGCACTAAATGCTCACAAGAGAAAGCAGGAAAGATCCAAAATTGACACCCTAACATCACAATTAAAAGAACTAGAAAAGCAAGAGCAAACACATTTAAAACCTAGCAGAAGGCAAGAAATAACTAAAATCAGAGCAGAACTGAAGGAAATAGAGACACAAAAAACCCTTCCAAAAATTAATGAATCCAGGAGCTGGTTTTTTTTGAAAAGATCAACCAAATTGATAGACCGCTAGCAGGACTAATAAAGAAGAAAAGAAGAATCAAATAGATGCAATAAAAAATGATAAAGGGGATATCACCACCGATCCCACAGAAATACAAACTACCATCGGAGAATACTACAAATACCTCTACGCAAATAAACTAGAAAATCTAGAAGAAATGGATAAATTCCTCGACACATACACCCTTCCAAGACTAAACCAGGAAGAAGTTGAATCTCTGAATAGACCAATAACAGGAGCTGAAATTGTGGCAATAATCAATAGCTTACCAACCAAAAAGAGTCCAGGACCAGATGGATTCACAGCCAAATTCTACCAGAGGTACAAGGAGGAACTGGTACTATTCCTTCTGAAACTATTCCAATCTATAGAAAAAGAGGGAATCCTCCCTAACTCATTTTATGAGGCCAGCATCATCCTGATACCAAAGCCGGGCAGAGACACAACCAAAAAAGAGAATTTTAGACCAATATCCTTGATGAACATCGATGCAACAATCCTCAATAAAATACTGGCAAACCGAATCCAGCAGCACATCAAAAAGCTTATCCACCATGATCAAGTGGGCTTCATCCCTGGGATGCAAGGCTGGTTCAACATACACAAATCAATAAATGTAATCCAGCATATAAACAGAACCAAAGACAAAAACCACATGATCATCTAAATAGATGCAGAAAAGGCCTTTGACAAAATTCAACAACCCTTCATGTTAAAAACTCTCAATAAATTAGGTATTGATGGGACGTGTCTCAAAATAGTAAGAGCTATCTATGACAAACCCACAGCCAATATCATACTGAATGGGCAAAAACTGGAAGCATTCCCTGTGAAAACTGGCACAAGACAGGGATGCCCTCTCTCACCACTCCTATTCAACATAGTGTTGGAAGTTCTGGCCAGGGCAATTAGGCAGGAGAAGGAAATAAATGGTATTCAACTAGGAAAAGAGGAAGTCAAATTTTCCCTGTTTGCAGATGACATGATTGTATATCTAGAAAACCCCATTGTCTCAGCCCAAAATCTCCTTAAGCTGATAAGCAACTTCAGCAAAGTCTCAGGATACAAAATCAATGTACAAAAATCACAAGCATTGTTATACACCAATAACAGAGAGCCAAATCAGGAGTGAACTCCCATTCACAATTGCTTCAAAGAGAATAAAATACTTAGGAATCCAACTTACAAAGGACATGAAGGACTTCTTCAAGGAGAACTACAAACCACTGCTCAATGAAATAAAAGAGGATACAAACAAATGGAAGAACATTCCATGCTCTTGGGTTGGAAGAATCAATATCATGAAAATGGCCATACTGCCCAAGGTAATTTATAGATTCAATGCCATCCCCATCAAGCTACCAATGACTTTCTTCACAGAATTGGAAAAAACGACTTTAAAGTTCATATGGAACCAAAAAAGAGCCTGCATCGCCAAGTCAATCTTAAGCCAAAAGAACAAATCTGGAGGCATCACGCTACCTGACTTCAAACTATACTACAAGGCTACAGTAACCAAAACAGCATGGTACTGGTACCAAAACAGAGATATAGGTCAATGGAACAGAACAGAGCTCTCAGAAATAATGCCGCATATCTACAACTATCTGATCTTTGACAGACCTGACAAAAACAAGAAATGGGGAAACGATTCCCTATTTAATAAATGGCGCTGGGAAAACTGGCTAGCCATATGTAGAAAGCTGAAACTGGATCCCTTCCTTACACCTTATACAAAAATTAATTCAAGATGGATGAAAGACTTACATGTTAGACCTAAAACCATAAAAACCCTAGAAGAAAACCTAGGCATTACCATTCAGGACATAGGCATGGGCAAGGACTTCATGTCTAAAACACCAAAAGCAGTGGCAACAAAAGCCAAAATTGACGAACGGGATCTAATTAAACTAAAGAGCTTCTGCACAGCAAAAGAAACTACCATCAGAATGAACAGGCAACCTACAAAATGGGAGAAAATTTTCGCAACCTACTCATCTGACAAAGGGCTAATATCCAGAATCTACAATGAACTCAAACAAATTTACAAGAAAAAAACAAACAACCCCATCAAAAAGTGGGCGAAGGACATGAACAGACACTTCTCAAAAGAAGACATTTGTGCAGCCAAAAAACACATGAAAAAATGCTCGTCATCACTGGCCATCAGAGAAATGCAAATGAAAACCACAATGCGATACCATCTCACACCAGTTAGAATGGCCATCATTAAAAAGTCAGGAAACAACAGGTGCTGGAGAGGATGTGGAGAAATAGGAACACTTTTACACTGCTGGTGGGACTGTAAACTAGTTCAACCATTGTGGAAGTGAGTGTGGCAATTCCTCAGGGATCTAGAACTAGAAATACCATTTGACCCAGCCATCCCATTACTGAGTATATACCCAAAGGACTATAAATCATGCTGCTATAAAGACACATGCACACGTATGTTTATTGTGGTACTATTCACAATAGCAAAGACTTGGAACCAACCCAAATGTCCAACAACGATAGACTGGATTAAGAAAATGTGGCACATATACACCACGGAATACTATGCAGCCATAAAAAATGGTGAGTTCATGTCCTTTGTAGGGACATGGATGAAATTAGAAATCATCATTCTCAGTAAACTATCGCAAGGACAAAAAACCAAACACCACATGTTCTCACTCATAGGTGGGAATTGAACAATGAGAACGCATGGACACAGGAAGGGGAACATCACACTCCGGGGACTGTTGTGGGGTGGGGGGAGGGGGGAGGGACAGCATTAGGAGATACACCTAATGCTAAATGATGAGTTAATGGGTGCAGCACACCAACATGGCACATGGATACATATGTAACAAACCTGCACATTGTGCACATGTACCATAAAACTTAAAGTACAATAAAAAAAAAACGAAAAGATTATGGAAGTGTCATGGTTACCTATGCGTTTAATGGCTTAAAATTAGAATAATTAGAATCTAGAGAATCAAGTGCGCAATTTATAACATTATTTTAAAGAATGACTTAAGTGCTGAGATGAAAACTTGTTTCAGGGGATTCCTGGAGTCTAGTTTGCTGGTCACTGTTCTCACACTGTTTTTGTTTTGTTTTGTTTTGTTTTGTTTTTGTTTTTTGTTTTTTTCCTGATGGCATGCTCCTGAAGGTTCTTATGCAGATATGTGGTAGTCTCATTTTCAATAAATACCTAGAAAGTGTAGTTGTGGTCACACCAGAACACGTATCTTAGGCATTCAGATTCAAGAATTAGGCCTTGTCTGATTACATGGCCTTATAAGATATTAACAAATGATGGATGTTCACTTAGAAACACTCAACTGAGTGAATTATCATATATATGAAGAAAAATATAAACCGAAAAGTGTTAAACCTGTCTGCTGATCACACACAAATAGATACATCAGTGAGCAATGCAGTTTAGATTTAAAACTATAGAATTTAATAGCTTTTCAAAATGTAAATACACCTATAGGTATCAAGTTTTTGTTTTTGTTATTATTGTTATTGGTCTCATATTTTTTTATAAAATTGCCCTCAGTGGATAATGGAGTTAGTGGCTCATTTCAAACAATACTTTTGGAATCTGTAATTATATCTAAAACCTATCAATTTTTTCATTATATTCTGTAAAATATTCGTGATCAATTTACTATAAATCTATCTTAATGTCTTAAAATTATACAACTGTTGCTTCATGAAGATGTTGTTGGTTTATACTCTTGCTATAAGCAACTAGCACACTTCTCCTCTGAAGATACATGTACTCATTTATCAAAAAACAAAGGAGCAGTACATCTGTTAGCATCCAGGAAAATCCAGAATACCGTCGTGACCAAATGCTGGAGTGGAGCTTTCATTTGTTGCTGGCGGAAATGCAAAATGGTACAGCTTCTTTAGAAGAGAGTTTGGCAGTTTCTTACAAAACTAAACATACTCTTACCATACTAACCAGTAATCACATTCCTTGGTATTTACCCAAAGAAATGGAAAATATTTGTTCACACAAAAGCCTGCGTGTGAATGCTTAAAGCACCTTTATTGCTAATTGCCCAAACTTGGAAAGCAACCAAGATATCCATCCTTCAGAAGGTGAAAGGATAAATAGCCTGCATTACATCCAAACAATAGAATGTTATTCAGCACTAAAAAGAAATGAGCTATCAAGCTATGAAAAAACATGTCAGAATCTTAAGTGCATGTTCCTTAGTCGCAGAAGCCGATCTGTAAATTTCCAATGATACAACATTCCGGAAAAGGCAAAATTATGAAAACAGTAAAAAGATCAGTGGTTGCCAGGAGTTGGGGGTGAAGAGGTTGAATACATAGAGCAGAGACTATTTTTAGAGCAGGGAAAATACTCTGCATGGTACCTTAATGGTGGCACATATCATTATAAATTTTTCCAACTTATGTAATGTACAGCAGTGAGGGTAAACCCTAATGTAAACTATGGAGTTTGGTGATTATGATATGTCAATGTAGGTTCATCATTTGTAACAACTGTCCCATGCTGGTAGGGGATATTGATAATGAAAGGCTCTGCATGTGAGGGGGCAGAGGACTTATGGGAAATCCCTGTTACATCCTTTCAGTTTTGCTATGAACCGAAAACTGCTCTAAAGTAATTAAGTCCTTAAAAATAAACAAACAAATAAGTGAGGGATTAGACCAATGATGATCATGGCAGAGATAATGCAGATAGCCAATCTTAAAATAATCAGAAAGCTGCAGTGCCCACAACCTCTCCTGACTTTAATGAATTAAGTAGATATCCAGGGATTTTCAATGGAGAGTGGAAGATAAAGCTATAGGAAAAAAAAGACAAAGACACAGTGGTTAAATGCTGAACCTTGGCCAAATGCTCTGGTGTGAAAAATAAGACTTTGAAAGACTCTAGAATAAGAGCTAGCTATCCCAAGTGACAGAGCATGAGAGAGGTCATAGGAACCATAGACAGAACACAGAAAAACAGTGTCACTCAGCATAGACCTATCTCTACGGCCACTATGGGTAACAATCATTGTTTATTTCTTAATGTGGAGGAACCAGGAATTGTGATCAGAACTCATTTTGATCACTTAAGTCATTCAATTTATGGAAAGAATATGTATGTATTAAACTATGTATCTCTAGTTCCAGAGAGTGAATTCAGTTATTCCCCAAAATCCTTTTGTTGTTTTAATGAAATCCTGAGTCAAAGAGCCCCTGCTGCTCTTTAGTAGACAGATAACTCAGGTTTATGAAGTCTACCTGTGTGGTACCCACAGTAGGCAAATGAGAAAAGTAGCCCAATTCAGAAAACCATCTTAACTGGGGCTTAACTCCGGCTGAGTGTTACATATATCTCATTATTGAGAGATATTTCCCTTTTAGATGACTTTTTCATTTCTTTTTAAAAGAAAGAATGGATCCGTATGTGGTCAATTCACTTTTCAACAATTCTTTCTCTACTGACAGGCTGAAGTGATTTCACATTAAGAGAAAATGAGTTTTGCTGCTTTTCATAAATTGGTAATGAGCTTTTTGAACAATCATAGCCATAACCTGATTCACAAAAGAACCTTCTCAGATTTGCCACTAACATGTCTGTAACAATAAGCTGAGAAAAAAATACCAAATAAGTTGATGCCACTTGCTGAGAACTATTTTCCTGTCTTCATTTCAGCCCTTTAGATTATTTCTCCCTGTGACGCTATCAAGCAGCCTGGGTTCAGTTTGACAGTTAAGCATTGAGATATCTCTATCACTACCCTGTCTCACTTTGCAAAAGGAAGAGAACTTCAATGCTGTGCAGCAGGAAGGATGCCAGGAAAATTAGATTTTATTTTCAGCTCTGCTTCTCACCAGCTTGTGTGATATTGGGAAATTTATTCTTCTGCTCTGGATCAGTTTTCAATATTTCAAATATGCGTGGACCTGTTTCCAAAGAGCTAAAAGACCTCCAGAGGTCCTCTCATTATTAAGATATGATGATGCTAATAAAAGCGTAACATCCGAAATGCTACCTATTACTTCTGTGGAATGATTTCTCCCTGGATGCCTTCTTGTTGCTTACTTTCATTTCCTTCAGAGAAACCAACAACCCATAGAATGTTGCCTTTACAGTACTAGAATGGATTGAGGGCATATCGAGAAAAAAAAATTCCAGCAATTCCTCTTTTAGCTCATCTCACTTCTCACATTCTTTATTGTAGGCAATTAAAGGAACCACTTGGTGCATTCGCCACTCTGCCCGGAAATTTTATTAGCCAGATTTGCAAGTTTATTAGCCACATTTGCTATCTTCCACATAAGAAGGTGGCAGCTTCACTGATTTTTGTGCCAATATCATTAAGGTCCATTTGTTTTTTGCTCTTTCTAACAGTTTCCTCAAGGTTTTTAGTCCATAACTTCCACCTGATCATAAAGCCAGTGCTGCATATTTTGATATTTTGTTGCTGAAGCACCCCTCTTCTGGTGTCATTCTATCTTTTGTTAATCTTCTTCCATGGAACAAACTACCTTTAAAATATTGTGGCTTAAAACAGCAATCACTTGTTATTTCTCATGATTCTGAGGGTCAGGATTTTACAGAGGCAGTGGGCTTATCTACGCTCGCTTCAGTGCCTGCTGTCACTGGAAAGGCTGCAACAGCTTCGTTAGCTTTTTGGTGCCTCAGCAAGGGAGATTGGGCGGTGGAGGGCTGGCTAGAAGAGCTAGATTCGAGGAATGTCTGGATTCTTCAGTTCTCAACGTTCTCTCTCCACATGACCTCTTCATATTTTCTCTTTACACAGTTTCATCTAGAATTCTCATGTGAAACTTTAGGACTTCTAAGAGTTCGTAAGTAGAAGTTTTATACTTTGTTAAAGCCTAGGCTAGGATTGCACAGCAATATTTTTGCTATATTCTATTCTAAAGTCTTTGAGTTATAAGCTAAGCTTGGATTCAGGAGGAAATAACTACAAAAAGGCATAAACACTGAAGCATAACCCATGGGGTCCTACTAGTGTTAACTAACTACCACGATGACAGAGGAAAAAGTAACACAAGAAAAGAATTACTTTTTAAAAAGTTAGGAAAATGGACAAACACCCCGGAAGTTGAATTTGCGTACTTTTTAATGTATTTATTTTTATTTATTTTTTCAAGATGGAGTCTCACTTTTTCACCTAGGCTGGGGTGCAGTGGCACGATCTTGGCTCACTGCAACCTCTGCCTCCAGATTCAAGTGATTCTCATGAGTAGCTGGGATTACAGGCATGTGCCACCACTCCCAGAATCCCAGCTTCTTGGGAGGCTGAGGCAGGAGAATTGCTTGAACCTGGGAGGCAGAGGTTCCAGTGAGCTGAGATCATGCCACTGTACTCTAGCTACAGCTTGGGCAACAGAGTGAGTGAGACTCTGCCAAAAAAAAAAAAAAAAAACACACAAACATATGTATAAATGAAATCATAAGATTCATGGGATTTAATTCAAAATAATATGGACAATGCAGTTTCAAAATGGGTGGGAGTATAGATAAAATAAGATTGATCATGACTTGATAATTATTATAGTAGATTCCTGGATATATACAAAATTACCATTTTTTTATGTTTGAAAGGACTATAAATCATGCTGCTATAAAGACACATGCACACGTATGTTTATTGCGGCATTATTCACAATAGCAAAGACTTGGAACCAACCCAAATGTCCAACAATGATAGACTGGATTAAGAAAATGTGGCACATATACACCATGGAATACTGTGCAGCCATAAAAATGATGAGTTCATGTCCTTTGTAGGGACATGGATGAAATTGGAAAACATCATTCTCAGTAAACTATCACAAGAACAAAAAACCAAACACCGCATATTCTCACTCATAGGTGGGAACTGAACAATGAGATCACATGGACACAGGAAGGGGAATATCACACTCTGGGGACTGTGGTGGGGTGGGGGGAGGGGGGAGGGATAGCATTGGGAGATATACCTAATGCTAGATGATGAGTTAGTGGGTGCAGGGCACCAGCATGGCACATGTATACATATGTAACTAACCTGCACAATGTGCACATGTACCCTAAAACTTAAAGTATAATAAAAAAAAAAGAAAAAGTAAAATCAAATAAAGAAATACATTCTAATATCACTAATGAAAACTGGATAATTACTATAGGTCTTTCTTACAAATTAAAGAGAACAAGATTAAAAATATTTCAGGCCAATAGATTTGATACTTTATATGACATATGCATATATCACAAAAGAAAAACTTGTTGAAACAGACTCAAGAAGAAATAGAAAGCCTAAATAGTCCTATATATATGTAAAACAATGAATTCATTAATACCCTCAACACAATTTGAGGTACACAGGATGTGCCCTATGAATTATTTCTAATTTTTAGAAAATAAATAGCACTGATATTACAAAAAGTATTTTAGGGAACATAAAAAGCATGAGAACACTTCACATGTCCTGTTTTAAAGCTATCATATTCTTTATAGTAAACTTTGGCAAGAACATCAGTAGAAAAAAAATCACAGAATAATGTATTACCAACACTGATGAAATCATTTTACAACTGACCCTTGAACAATGTGAAGGTTAGGGATGCTGACCTATCCATGCAATTGAAAATTTGTGCGTAACTTTTGACTCCCCCAAAATGTAACTACTCATAGCATACTGTTGACTAGAAGCCTTACTGATAATATAAACAGTTGATTAACACATATTTTGTATGTTGTATGTATTATATACTGTATTCTTACAATAAATCAAGCTAGAGAAAAGAAAATTTTATTAAAAAAATAAGGAACATAAAATATATTTATTATTCATCAAGTGGAAGTGGAATCGTTTGAAAGGTCTTTATCCTCATTGTCTTCATATTGACTAGGCTGAGGAGGAAAAGGCAGAGGAGGGTTTGGTTTTGCTGTCTCAGGTGTGGCAGTGGCAAAAAGAAAATCTGTATATAAGTGGACCCATGCAGCTCAAACCTATGTTGTTAAAGGGTCAACTGTATTCATATATTTATGAAAACTGATAATATATCACAAAGCCAATTAAGGTTTATTACAGGAATGTGAGAGCAGCTTAATATTTTTCAATCAATGAATAGAATTTATTACATATTAATAAAAAGAAAACATATTATTGATATATTTAGGAAGAATATTTGATAAAATTAAGCAACCATCAATATGTTTCATGATAATATGTAAGTAGATGGAAATTTATACAATATGACGAAGAATATTAACCAAAAACATACTGTAAATTTTATAGTTACAGTGAATTGTTGAATGTATTTCCTTTGGCATCAGAAATGCCATGTGTCCCTGATCTTACAAATTCTATTAATGATATTACAAGTTCTACTTAGTGTAGTAATAAAAGAAAAAGAAATAAAGACCACAAGATTACAAAGGAAGAAATAACTCTCATTATTCAGAGATCATACAATTACATATATAGAAAATCCAAAAGCATCCATTGGCAAACTATAGGAATCAATAAATAAATTTAGCATGTTGGTTGTATAAAAGTCAATATATAGATTAATTTTTCTTATATGCAATAAAAATTAGAAAATAAAAGTTTAAAATATTCATAATAAAATTAAGAATATCAAATAACTGAGAATAATTATAATAAAATATATTTAAATTGACACCAAATGCTGCAAAACTGTGCTGTAAGAAATAGCAGAATATATTTTTGTGTATATACATACACGACATACATATGTACAACAAACCTGTACAAGTACAGGTATACAATGTGATTTTATGAAAATACATAACATTATACAAATCACAATTCTTTCTAAATATTTAGATCCAATGTGATATCGATCAAAACTAGGTACAATTTTCTGTTGTTTTGTTGAGGTTGGCAAATTCTTTCCAATATTAGTTTAGAAATATGAAGGGTCTTACATAGCCAAACAATGTTAAGAGGAAAAAGAAAGCTAAATGACTCATTCCAATTTATATCAAGATTTATTGCAACGCTCTAGTAATTAGCACAGTGTAAAATTGGTAAAAGTATAGACAAGCTGATCAAAAAAATGTAAAAGTGTATTTAAAAGCAGTTGCACATACATACAGTTGCCTGATACATGAAAGTGAAACACTAGAGTACAATAAGAGAAAAATGGCCTTTTCAATAATTGCTGCTGGGCCACTTATATGTTTATTGATATTTTCAAAAAAGAATCTATTAATAGATTCCTATATTATACTATATACAAAATAAATACAAATTGAGTGGAAATATAAATGTACAAATTAACACTGCTAGAAGAAAGTACAGAAAAATATCTTTATGAATTTGGGCTAGCAAAAAAATTTAACACCGAAAAGGATTAATCACAATGAAAAGAGATGAAAAATTTTATTATAATACAACTAAGAATTTCAAAAGTCACCATTAAGAGAATAAGAAATTAAGCCACAAAAGCCTCTTATCCAACATATATAAACAAATTAGCATTTCACATTTGAAAAGTGAGACAAATGCTAGAACATGCACTTTATAAAATAGGACATCCAAATGTCCAATAAACATATGAAAGGGTACTGACCTTCACA
The DNA here is from genome assembly GCF_000001405.40 of Homo sapiens. Taxonomy (NCBI): domain Eukaryota; kingdom Metazoa; phylum Chordata; class Mammalia; order Primates; family Hominidae; genus Homo; species Homo sapiens. The sequence continues at coordinate 2,474,212 of NW_021160017.1, forward strand.
GTAAATATAATTGTACATTTAAATACAAATTATAACCAAAGTATAAAACCCTTACATAACAGAAAAATAGAAGCACAGAGAACACTACATCTTTATGAGAATGTGGAATAATTGAAACACTCATAATTACCGCTGGCTTCAACAAATGGTGCTACAGTAACTGAATTTCCACATGCAGAAAAAAAAAGTTAAGCTGTATTAAAAAATGAACTCAAAATGGGTCAAGGACTTAAATATAAGAGACAAAATCATAAAATTCTTAAAGGAAATCATGCAGATAAATATTCTTAACCTTAGATTTGTCAAGGAAATCTTAGATATGACACCAAAAGTACAAGAAACAAAAGAATTAACAAATTATTTAACAAAATTAGAATCTTTTGTGCAACAAAGGACATTATCAAGAAAGTGAAAAGACTACCTACAAGATGGGAGAAAATATTTGAAAATCATATATCTGATAAATATTCAATATCCAGAATATATAAAGAATTACAATTCAACAACAAAGGGACAATCCAATAAAATTTTTGTAATTGGCTTAAGTTTACATTTCTTCAAATAATATTTATAAATGCGCAATAAGCATATGAAAAGATGCTCAACATCATTAATCATTTGGGAAATGGAAATCATGATCAATGAGATATTACTTCATGCCTACTAATATGGTTATAATAAAAAATATTTAATTAATTAAGAAACTAACAAATTTCCAGGATGTGCCGAAATTAGAACACTCATAAATTTCAGATGGAAGTGTAAATAGTGCAGTTGCTGTGAAAAATAGCTTGATGGTGTCTCAAAAAGCTAAATACCTCTACACAATTACCATAGAACTTGGTAATTCCACTTTCAGATATATACCCAGGGACTCAAACAGATACTTTTATACCAATGTTCATTGCAGCATTATTTACAATAGCCAAAAGATTGAAATAACCCAAATGTCCGTCAACAGAAGAATGTATAAAGAAAATGTGGTATATGAATGCAATGGAATATTATTCAGTCCGAGAAAGAAATGATGTTCTGATACATGCTACCGCATGAATGAACCTTGAAAATACTGTGCTAAGTGATGTAAGTTGCCTGGGAAAATATTACATGATACCACTTACATGAATTATCCAGACAAGGCAAATTCATTGAAAAAGAATGTACAAGAGATTACCAGGGGAAAGGCAGAAATGGAAAGGTATTGCTTAATGGGTACAGTGTTTCTGTTTAGGTGAGGAAATTTTTGGAAAAAGATAGTAGTAATGGTTGCACAACATTATGTTGTAATTGATGCCAATAAATTGTACACATAAAAATAGTTGAATATAACAAATTTTATATTAAGTATATTTTACCACAATTAAAAAAATTAAATCTGCCGAGAGTTTCATTAAAAAAAAACCACATTGGAACACTTTTTGATAGTATCTATTGAACATATTTATACCATATGTCTCATATTTGCAATCATACCAAACATAAATGTGTACATACCTTCAACAAAGGACATTTTCTAGAATTATCACTTACGCTCTGTATGCAATAAAATGAGTTTATGAATTGTGGTATATTTGTATTCTGTGGAACTGAAAACAAACAAAATACAACTATGCACATAAATTTGTATAAAATTCACAAAGATTTTGATGAAATAAGCCAGAGGCAAAAAACATGCATATCTTATAATTCCAGTAATATAATATCAAGGACAAGCAAAATCTATCTATCGTTTCAGGTAAGAATGTGGTTGTCATCGGAGTTAATTGCCTAAAAGGATCATGGGGTCGGGCAGATTGTGATTTACTGTGATTCTATGTCCTGGTGTTTGAGAATTTTTCCAAATTCTTTTTATGCTTCAATAAAAAAAGTTACAAAGATAAAGAACTAAAAACTAAAAGTACATTGTAAGTGACCAAAACTATTTGTCTCATTCTTTTAAATGTTACACTAGAGAGGCAAATGTGATTACATTGGTAAGTAGCAACTATATAAATTACTGACAGATTCCTTGGTAATATTATAGTCAACTAATTGCAAACCTAGTATAAAGTTTTTTTTTTTTTAAATGCTGACAAGAGAGAAATGGGCTTATGGAGTAACTAGTAAATAGCTGAGCTTATGGGGAGGCTGAAAGGCATGAATGTCTTTGGCTAATAACCGACTGATGGGCACCAGGTCTATGATGAAGCTGCTACCTCCTCAGCACAAAATAATGCACATTTCACAAAACCCTCTCTTGGAGTTTAATCCCCAAGTCATGGACAGTGTAGTATCCTATTCACTGTATAATCATTTACAAAAGATTTTTCTATCTAATAATATCCAGAAGTGCTCTGGGTCTTTAGGAAGGCCCCGTCACAATGTCAAAATTTTAATTCTTCCCATAATAAAAAAACTCATTAATATTAGGGCAGTAAGAATGCCAAGTAGAAATTGTACATCTTTCTGAGCACAGTGGCTTATGCCTGTAATCCCAGCACTTTGTGGGGCCCAGGTGAGCAGATCACTTGAATTGAAGAGTTCAAGACCAGCCTGTACAACATAGCAAGACCCCATCTCTACTGAAAGTACAAAAATTTGCTGGGCATATTACATGTGCCTGTAGCTCCAGCTACTTGGCAGGCTGAGGATCGCTTGAGCCTGACAGGTCGAGGCTGCTGTGAGCCGTGATTGTGCCACTGCACTCAGCCTGGGTGATGGAGTGAGATCCTGTCTTAAGAAAAAAAAAAAAATCTTGTTATCATGATGCTAGTTGGTTATTTTGCAGATTTGTTTATGTAGTTGCTTCATAGTGTCACTGGTCTGTGTACTTCAGTGTGTTTTTGTAGTGACTGGTAACAGTTTTTCCTGTCCATATTTAGTGCTTCCTTCAGGAGCTCTGATAAGGCAGGTCTGGTGGTAATAAATTCCTTCAGCATTTGCTTGTCTGAAAAGGATCTTATTTCTCCTTTGCTTATGAAGCTTAGTTTGGCCATATGTGAAATTCTAGGTTGAAAATTCTTTCTTTAAGAATGTTGAATATTGGCCCCCCTATCTCTTCTAGTTTATAGGGTTTCCCCCGAGAGGTCCTCTGTAGTCTGATGGGTTTTCATTTGTAGGTGACCTGGCCTTTCTCTCTGGCTGCCATTTTTTCTTTCATGTCGACCTTGGAGAATCTGATGATTATGTATCTTGGGGATGATCTTCTCATGGAGCATCTTACTGGGGTTTGTTGCATTTTCTGAAGTTGAATGTTGGCTTGTCTTGCTAGGTGGGGAAGATGTCCTTGATGGTATCCTGAAGTATATTTTCCAAATCGCTTCCATTCTCCCTGTCTCGTTCAAGTACCGCAATTAGTTGTAGATTCCATCTCTTTACATAATCCCATATTTTCCAAACGTTTTGTTCATTCCGTTTTATTCTTATCTCTCTATTCTTGTCTGCCTGTCTTATTTCAGACAGAGAGTCTTCAACCTCTAATATTCTTGGTCTAGTCTGCTATTAATACTGTGATTGCACTATGAAGTTCTTGTAGTGTGTCTTTCAGCTCTATCAGGTTGGTCATGTTCCTCTGTATTGCACCTATTTTGGCTTTCAGTTCCTCCATTGTTTTATCATGATTCTTAGCTTTTTTGCACTGGGTTACAACAGATACCTTTAGCTCAGCAAAGTTTGTTTTTATCCACATTCTGAAGCCTGCTTCTGTCATTTCAGCCATCTCAGCCTCAGTCCAGTTCTGAGCCCTTGCTGGAAAGGTGTTGTGGTCATTTGGAGGAAAGGAGCCACTCTGGCTTTAAAGGTCAACATTGCTAATCATTAGAGAAATGCATATCAAAACCATAATAAAATACCATCTCATACCAGTCACAATGGCGATTATTGAAAAGTCAAGAAACAACATATGCTGCCATGGTCTGAAGAAAAAGGAATGCTTTTACACTGTTTATGGGAGTGTAAATTAGTTCAACCATTGTGGAAGACAATATAGTGATTCCTCAAAGACCTAGAAGCAGAAATGCCGTTCAATCAAGCAGTCTCATTACTGGGTATATACCCAAAAGAATATAAGTTATTCTTACATTCTTATTCAAATGCCCATCAATAATAGACTGGATAAAGAAAATATGGTACATATACACCACAGAATACTATGCAGCAATGAAAAGGAATGGGATTGTGTCCTTTGCAGAAACATGGATGGAGCTGGAGGCCATTATCCTTAGCAAACTAATTCAGGAACAGAAAACAAAATAAGTGTTCTCACTTATAAGTGGGAGCTGAATGATGAGAACACATGGACACATGATAAGAAAAAACACAAACTAGGGCTTGTCAGAGGATGGGGCTGGGAGGAGGAGGAGCATCAGGAGGAATAGCTAATGCATGCTGGGCTTAATACCTGGTTGATGGGATGATCTGTGCAGCAAACCACCATGGCACATGTTTATCTATGTAATAAACATGCACATCCTGCACATGTATCCCTGAACTTAAAATAAACATTGGAAAGAAAAAAGAGAAAAAAAAGAGAAATTATACATCTTCATAATTGAGATAGAAAGTAAATTATCATTAATCAATGCACCTTAATACAAAAATACTGAATTATAAATAAGAAAAATATACTTACAAAAATTTGTTATAATAATATAGAAAATGTCTTATTTACAGTATTCACTGTAAATAAAGCTGGAGTTTCTTTCAGATTCAGTACTTAAGCTCCTTGATAACTACTTCATCTGCACCTGCAATTTACTGTAACTAACTTGCCTTGTGATATAAAATATGTTTGCTCTTATTTTATCATATATACATATATTTTGAGTTGGAGTCTCGCTTTGCTGCCCAGGCTGGAGTGCAGTGGTGAGATCTCGGCTCACTGCAACCTCTGCTTCCTGGGTTCAAGTGATTTTCCTGCCTCAGCCTCCCAAGTAGCTGGAATTACAGCTGCATACCACAACACCTGGCTAATTTTTGTATTTTTTTAAATAGAGATGGGGTTTCACCATGTTGGCCAGGTTAGTCTCAAACTCCAGACCTCAAGTGGTCCACCCGCTTTGGCCTCCCAAAGTGCTGAGAATACAGGCGTGAGCCATTGCACCTGGCCTATTTTACTATAATTGTCCTGCCATTTTAGGAACAACTTTACATTCTGACTTGCCCTTGATTTGTGTGTTTTTCTCTCTAATATATTTCAGCTCAATTAAGAAAGTACCTTCTAAGCTAAATATCAACAGGGCTGTCATTAGAGGTGACTAGAAGAGCAAACAAATTAGGACTCAGAGTTTTTGGACAATAGAGAATAAATGTCCCTTGAGCAAGTAATTCCTTAATACTTAACACAATTTGTTTACCCTAGAAGACACATAAAAAAAATGACAAGTTGATGACTGAACTAAGTTTCTTGGTCTACGAAAGTGAGTGTTCTAGCTGAGTGGTGAAAGAATTTGTGGAAATATAAAAAGGAGGAAGGAAATTCCAGGGTTGTGGAAACAATTGTCAGGGAAAGTAGAGCGATATCAATCCCTGAAAATAGTAGTGAATATGGATTTCTTATTTTAGTCTGTTGAAAAGTGAATGGGAATTGAATAAGATGACGATAATGTATGTATCATTCCGTCGAGAATCAGCTTCTGATGAAAATAGAAGAGAAGGTATTTAGCATATTAAGGGGTATTTATATTGAGAGACAATAAAGGAAGTAAGGAAAACACTAAATATTCTAGCAGACACATTGGAAAGCACTGTAAAAGGATAAATTGATGGAATAGTCTAAACAATTGTAAATAATAAGACTCAGCTAACTAATTGTTATTTTCAAATAGGAGGTCATTTATAGTTATTTACTACTCAAAAGGGTCTGGACTTTGAAACAAGACTGTTAAGAGCATCTTTTGTACACCTACTATTGTCTCTCTCTGTACCTTTTATTATTCCATAGAGACACATTTATGAACAACTTATTGCACTAAATTTACCATATCTCAGGCTTATTACTGGTAGTGTTGTATGCATATCTCATTATATTATTTCTTGTAACTTAAAAGAATGTAGATTCATGATTCCGTCTGTCTGAGACATTAGATTTTTAATTGAAAATGATCCATCATTATCTTCAGTGCTATATGAAAAAAATGTATTGACAAGAGCTATTTGCATGAGAACATCCTAGGTGCTTGAAAGTAAAAGTCAGTGAGATCACTCTAAGTTAATTTAAATGTTTTCTCATCTCCTTCACACACTGCAAATATCTATATAAATATAATTGCTAACCATTTTTTATATTGAAGTTTGAAAACGTAGAGCAGCATCAGAAAGATGTAGAATAGATGGAACAGGTTTGGTTATCACCTCTGCAGTATATGAGCTCTTTAACTGAGGGAAATGTAACCAACCTTTTTGAGCCTATTTTTTTCACATGTAAAATGGGTTTATAAATATTTTCTTGCAAGTATTTTTTGTGAAGTAGAGAGTACATACATGTAATATACACAGTATGTGTGTGTATTTGTGTATATGCATATGTAATGCTTAGCCTGGCAAAAATTGGTGTTCGATAAAGCAGTTCTCATGATTTTTGTTAACCTGAGAAAAGGTAAAAAACAGTATTTCAAATCATAAATGATTCAATGAATTACTCCATGTTTGAGGTAAAATTTGACAGATGTCTCAATTTGTATTTCAACTTATATGAAATAATATACTTTGAATTCCTAACAAATTATTTTGAAATGCAAATCGCAATTGTTAGCTGACTCCAAATCTAATTTTAAATTTATTTTGCTAAGGTAATTCGACTGCAGATCAATTGTTTTCTTCTAAAGATAACCAAAATATGTTTTTCTCAGAAAGTCACAAATGATTCATTTTACTCTTGCATAATTTTTTCAGTTGTAATGATGCTGCTTTATTAATAAGATATGATTATTTGATAGAGTATCAATTTACTATTAAAGCATTGGGAAATTTGACTTAATTTATAGTTTAGTAGCTCTTTGAATGTTGGCTTCCCAGCCACTGTCTTCCTAATCATTGTCTTATTTGACTCTTACTCATCTAGTGCTAGACTAACTTTTTCACACTGTAATGTAAGTAGAAAAAGAAACACTTTAGTATTTGTGGCCACTTATGTCCTACCCATATTTTATGTCTAAAAAATATCCATACCTCTTTATTTTCATATTGGGATACAATTATCTCCATATGTCATTTTCTCAAGTAATGGTAGGGATATATTAATATACTTTTAAACTATTAAATGATAAATATTGTATTATTTCTTTAGAAAATAAATATAAAAAGTCATCTGACTTGAAAACACTCATTTAGATCAAGAACACTTTCATCTCTGTACAGGCAATGGCAGAACTGCTATTCCTTACATGCATAAGTTAAACCATAGAGGAGATATAATCAATACAAATAGGAAAGCAAGATTTGTGTGATCAAGTGGAATTAAGATTGCAGCTAAAGATGGTAAAGTTATGTTTCACGTAGCATCTTCCTCCAAGAACTCATAACTTGAAAAACTAATCTTTGATGGAGAGTGAGAACGAAAAAAGCACACCAGAAGCAATCAACAAAAAAGGCAATCACCTACATAGGCAGAAATATCCAGGTGTTCCCAAGATTTAGATTTTTGCAAACACATGTGGCACTTAGCTAAACCCTGAAGAGAAGTGCTAAAAAGAGGCAAAGGGAGAAAAGAGTGAGTGAGGGCAAGTGGAAGTGATAAAAGTGTTCACAAGTAAAAGACAAGCTCCAACTTAGAAAGAAAATTAAGAGTGGATACAAATGAGTAATGATATCACACTCTGGGGTGTAGAGAAAAAACTTTCCATTCTAGTGAAATTCCCCTCAATAAAAATCTATATAACATCAGATACAGAAATCATTACTGGGGTTAGCTATTTTTGTGAAAATTTGAATTTAGTTTTTGGTTTTCAGTAAGATGACATTTAGCCAAGCAAATACTAAAGAGATAACTTAAAAAGAGAAATATCTATTAGAAAGCAAGCTTCATATAATTTAAAAAAAAAGGAGGACACCAACATAAAAATTTAGCCATGAGTAGTAAATTAATATTGTTTTTTTCTGGTAAACTGAAATAAAATGAACATCATAATGAAAAAGGTATTGTATATGTCTCATAAAGAAGATAGAGTTGAACTACAAAACTATGGGTATAAAAGATTTTTACTTCACATTAAATCTTGGAGGAAAAGGAGAAAAGGAGGAAGAAGAGTTGACTGGTAAAGTTCATTATAGCTAATAGTAGGGAACCGATATACCGTATCCAAGTTTGGGGGACAGAGATGAGAACATTACATACAAAAGTAAGTATAAAAATTTGAGCATTTGAACGAAAGTATAAAACTTAAATAATAAAAAGTGATAGAAAAAAATAAAATAGAAATGACCACAAGAGAACTGAAGCCAAACGTATTGATAATATTTAAAAAGTTAGAGAGGCTTACTCACCCTATCCAGAACACTCGAAACAAACCTAAAACAATGAAATCCAGAAAGCCTAAACATAAAAACGTGACAATGATGAACTATGGAGAAGTAGGAAGAGAGTGAAGAATAAAATATTAGTGTCTAGCATGATTACTTTCAGAATAAAATCATAATAGATTCTAGTTCACTTTATAATATTAAAAGCTTTAATACTCAAAGAAAACACCAGATATTAATGTCTATAGCCTCAATAATGCAGCAAAAATCTTCATGAGGAAGAAAATACAGAGCTTCAAGAAAAAATAAAAATAAGTTTGTAAGAGAAAATAAAACTAAAAAATGCTTTAGAGAAAAATACACTAAAATGAAGAATCTAAAACACAGATTCTCAATCCAGGACAAATAAAATCAACAAAAATTAGTAAAGATATAGAAAATGAAAAGAGCATGATTAAGAAGGTAATAAACACACACACAGTCTTTTCAAATAAAAATAGAATATTCACAAAATTTGTTGTAGTTGACTACAAGGAAAAACTTGACACATTACAAGAAAATGAATAATACAAATGTATTAATCAGAAATCACATATAAGTAGAAATTAATGACAAAATTTAAAAAATACTTTGCATTTAATAGTATTAAAATATTTTAAATACTGTGATCAAACAGGAAATATAAAAGAAACATATACAATCTCAAAAAATACAATAAAACCTATTGTCTAGATTTATCATATATTGGAGGAATTTTTTATCATTAAAATCAGTATCAACTTCAGCTGATAAACAACTTCAGCAATGTTGCAGGCTATAAAATCAATATACAAAAAGCACTAGCATTTGTATACACCAACAACAACTAAACTGAGAGCTAAATCAAAAAGGAAATCCCATTCACAATTGCCACACACACACACACACACACACACACACACACACTACCCAGGAATACAGCTAACCAGGAAGGTGAAAGATCTCTACAATGAGAATTACAAAACACTGCTCAAAGAAATCAGAGAAGACACAAACAAATGGAAAAACATCCCATGCTCATTAATAGGAAAAATCAATGTCATTAAAATGGCTATACTGCCCAAAGTGATTTACAGATTCAATGCTATTCCTATCAAACCACCAATGATATTCTTCACAAAACTAGAAAAAATATTTTAAAATTTATATGGAACCAAAAAAGAGCCCAAATACCCATGGCATTGGCTTAGGCAGTGATTTATTCGATATGACCACAAAGGCACAGGCAACAAAAACAAAAATAGACAAATGGGATTACATCAAACTAAACAGCATCAGCACAGCAAAGGAAAAAAATCAGTAGAATGAAGAGACAACCCATAGATTGGGAAAAAAAAATTACATATAACCCATCTCATGAGGAGTTAATATCTAAAATATATAAGAGACTCAAATTACTCAATAACAAGAAAGCAAATAACCCTATTTAAAAATAAACAAAGTACATGAATAGACAGTTCTCAAGAAAAGACATACAAATGGCAAATAGATATATAAAAAATGCTTAAGTACAAAAATTATCAGGGAAATGCAATTTATAAAAACAATAATGACACCTGTTAGAATGCCTATTACCAAAAAGATGAAAGATGGCAAGTGTTGGCAAGGATGTGAAGCAAAGGGAACCCTTGCACTCTGTTGATGAGAATATAAGTCATTACAGCCATTTTGGAAAACATTATGAAGATTTCTCAAACAAATAGAAATGAATTACCATATAATCCAGCAATCCCACTTCTGGGTATATATCCCAACAAAATGAAATCAGTATGCTGAAGAGTTATGTGCACTCCCATGTCCATTGCAGCATTATTCACAATAGCCAAGATACAGAAACAACCTAAGTGTTCAATATGGATGAAGGGGTAAATACACACACACACACACACACACACACACACACACACACAATGGAACATTATTCAGCCCAAAAAGGACAGGAAATTCTGTCATTTGCATCAACATAAATGAATCTAGAGGACATTACACTAAGTAAAATAAGACAGGCACAGAAAGACAAATACCACATGGTCTCACTTGTATCTGGAATATAAAAAAGTTGAACTCATAGAAGTTGAGAGTAGAATGATGGTTACCAGGGGTGGGGGGAGTGGGGTGAAAAGCAAAGGGGAGACATTGGTAAATGGGTGCAAAGTTTTAGTTAGACTGGAGGAATAAGTACTGCTGATCGATTGCACAGCATGGTGACTGTAGTTAATAATAATGTATATTTGAAAATGTGAAGGGAATAGATTTTAAGTTTTCTCACCACAAATGAGTATGTGAGGTGATAGACATGTTAATTAGCTTGATTTGATCATTCCACAATGTACACATGTATATAGACATCACAGTGTATGTGATGTACACAATCATTTTTACTTATTGTCAATTAAATATAAAATTCTAAAAAATGAAATAAATCATATAACCATCTTAAGAAAATCTGAAAAAGCCTTAAACAGACAATTCCTGTAAAAAGCACTTAAATACTTCCTTGACACAGTAGATGTAGACGTAGATGTAGATTAGATAGAGATGTAACCCTCCAGCAAACAAGAGTTCTGATTTAATTGTAACACACCAGCAGCTTCTTTATTACTTTTTCTGTTATTTTCCTTTGTCTGGAACTAGACAAGGAAGGCCACCATCTCTATGACAATTCAACGCCATTGTAGAGAAGTTAGCCGATGTGATTAGGCACCAGAAATGGAGTATAAAAATTGGAAAGGAAGAAGTAATGTCACCTTTGATGTAAATGGTATAAACATGCACATAAATGTGCCAATAAAACTCAACAAAATTGGCAGATTTATGGGAAAAAATAAGGGAATCTAGTAAATTCACTAGAGATGTAAATAATATTCAAAAGATCAGTATCTTTTTATGCACATTCAAAAAATAAATACATAAGGAAAGAAAATGACCCACTTAAGATAGAATAGAGATAAATAAAAGAACCACATATAAATTTAACAAGAAACAGCTTTAACAACCAAAAATCTTAAAAATATTCCTGAAAAAAAGGTGGTCTTGAACAAATGTCAACACATATCAAGAAAAACTCAACATATTAAATGTAATTTTTCCTAAATTAATTTAAAATTGTTAGAATTTCAATTAAAATACCATGCATTTTTATGGAAAAAAAGTAAAACAATGTATAGACAAATTGATTACAGAATACATTTGGAAGTACAAATAAGTGCTTTCTATATTCAATTGAAATTGGAGTGTGTTAATTCTAAGAAGACTATAAAAGTTTAGTTTGTAAATTTTAATCCCCAGGACAACAAATTAGTGTGAAAAGACTAGTGTAAATAAATGAATAAATAATCTTGAAACTAGATAAATTATAGTGAAATGCTTTGTACACATGTTTAAATAACCCAAACAGAAGGCAGAAAAAGGAAGGGAAAAAAGAGAGATAAAAAGCAGAGGGAACTAACAGAAGGTAAATAAGAAAAAATAGACTGAAATCCAAATATATCATTCATTACATTAAATGTAAGTGGTCTTAAAACACTAATGAAAGAGACTAGATTTGGATAATGTATTAAAAGGTAATAAACCAACGCCATCTAAAGTAAACCCACTTTAAGAACAATGATATAGATAGGCTACAGTTAGAAACATGGAAAAAAGTTATACCATGCAAAAACAAATCAGTAGTAAGCTGGAGACAAAACAGAGGTTAGAACAAAGAAAACTAACAAAACAAAAAGAGATAGTATATAAAGATAAAATGATCAATTCACCTAAAAGACACAACAATCTCAAATGGGGATATGTCTAACGAAGTGTTTTATAAATGGAAAAATCTGACAGAAGAGAAAGAAGAAACATACAGATTCACAATAGAGAACTTCAACATTTATCTGTAAATGATAAATGGATAGAAAACCGCAAGAATTTAGAACAACATTATCAAGCAATTGGATCTAATGGATGTTTATAGAACATTCTACTCAAACACATGAATGGCATATTTTTTTCAAGTATATGGGGAACATTCACCAAAACAGACATATTGTAAAGGAAACTTTAACAAATTTGAGTGATTCAAATTAATGTAATATATTATTTATGTACATAGTGTAATTAAACTAGAAATCAAGAGAGACGGGAAATATCCAAATTCTTAGGTATTAAATAGCACATTTCTAAATAATCTAATAAATCCACAATAAAACACAAATACATAGAAAGATACTCAGTATTGTACAGGTGTTCTTGCCATTATTATAAGGCAAATCTATTAATGAAACAATCAATACATCCATCAGAGCAAACATTAATGTCATTCTACCAAGAAAGGAAGATGTAAAACTGTTTTTATTCCCTGAGGACATCATTTTGTAGAATATCCTAACAAATCTGCATTAAAAACTACTAGAACTAATAAAGAAGTTTAGCAAGGTTGTAAGATGTAAGATCAATAAATTGTATTTTTATGTACTAACAACAAATAATTAAATATGAAATTATGAAAATAATTTATTTTATAATATAATATAGAATACTTAGGAATACATTTAATAAAATAACTTCAAGACATATTCAACTAAAACTACAAAGTATTGGTGAGATAATTGTTCCAAATAAATGAAGGCCATTCCATTTTCATTGATTGGAAGACTCAATATTATAAAGACGGCAATTCACCCCAAAATTGATCTATAGATTCAATTCAATGTCAAAATCCAAGCAGAATTTTTTTGTTGTTAAATTTCATAAACTCACCTAAAATTTACCTGAAGATGTAAAGGCCTTTAAGTAGCCAGAAAAACTCGGGAAAAAAAGTAATGCTAGAGGACTTACATTACTTGATTTTAAAACTCACTATAAAGTTACAGTAATCAGTAGGGTATGGTATTGGTATAACTATAAGTATCTGGATCAATAGAAAAAATTGAATATCAATCCAGAAATAAACTTTTCCATTTATGATAAATTAATTTTCAAAACAAAGTTAAGATATTTGCTGTGGAAAGGATAATGTTTGCAAAAAATTGTGCAAGGACATTGGATATCAGTTTTAAGTTGAGGTACATTTTTTATTGTCAACCCAAAACTTCAAAATGGTGTTTTATTAATCTAAAAGGTATAAGAATAGGCATACCTGACTCCCAAACTAGAAATGTGGCTAATCAACCTCACAGGCATGAAATAAAGATGGCTGTGTGAGCACTTGTACTTCATCAATGACAACAGTGTTAATTCCCAGTGCCTTTACTCTTAGAAACATCTGTTAGATTTTGGCCAGTGATACAAACTGACAGAGGAAAATTATGCATAGTACTGTAGCTGGACTCCTGACAAGATCCGGATTAGCAATATGCTGCAACAATTTTTGTAAGTATACATGGAAATACATGTATCCCTCATGCACAAGCACACAGAGACATACATGCAGTAGTTTGAATCAGATAGCTATGTGTATTGATTCAATTTATCTCATTTATTAGCTGTAATTTACAATGAACTGATAGGAAATACAATCCTTCCCATTGTTGTGAATTTTAAATTAGTTGATACATGTCAACCACTTCCCACAATCAACATGTGAACAAGCATGTTTGGATATGCACACTCACACATGCACACAGGCACAATCCTAAACAGCATACCCTTTTCTAGGGAAGAAAAATAAAGTATTTTCCATTTAAAAGGTAAGAGGGGCTATCTGTGTTATATTTCAAGAATTCAAGGTCTATTGTTGGTGTCTGTCATTGACAGGCAATAAATCAGAAAAATAACAACCATGACAACCTCATTTGTAATTAGGACAATCAAATTTTCACTTTCATGAATATGGTTAGAGGCTGATGCACAGTAAGATTAACTCCTCCTTGATGCTTCCCACCCCAAGGAAGTCGGGATAAAACCTCCTTAATCTTGAAATCATGTGTATTTATATGATTCATACTCTGTTCTGGATTTCCAACCCAGAAATGGGTCACCACAGAGTGTGTGAATATAAGATTGTGGCAGTAATTGTCATGATCAGGAAATTCATGCTTCAGTGATACTTTCATATATCATACTCTTAATGAAATTGTAGAAATACATAGGAATTCATTTACACAGTCATTCAGGTTTCATTAAGACTAAAGATATTCAGTTTTAAAGTTGTGTAAAGTTTTTAGGACAAAGGCCTAGAACCCAGACTTTCTAGATAGGAAAACAAATCTAAATAACCAATTGGGATGAAAAAATTACTTACTTGCAATGTTGTGAGGCTCCACAAAAATTATGCTTTCTACAGCCATGTGCAGATTATGTGGTAGAGGATGTTTCAAGTTTATATCTGTTTATTAATCTAATTTGATAACTTCAATTTTCTTAATAGACTTATTTTTAATCTTTTAAAAATAACACGGTTTAGAAAATTTTGCACAGGAAATACAAAAAAGCTAATTTTGTGTTGGGCCCAAATGAATATCTGGGAGTCATTATACTAGAGAGCAGAGAATGTTGGGTGAAGTAACTGGGAAAATTACATTAAAAAAAATAGCCAACCAACCACTGAAATTCATATCTGTGGTTAATATTTAAAAAGATCTTACCCTTTGGATATCATAACACATACACATATAATTTTCATAGATTTGACAAGGACTATACTGTAGTATTCCTCAACTAACATTCACAAATCAATGGTTATGCTATGTTACTTTATCATTTTTACAGTGCTTTAACATATCGCACTATGTTTTACACATTTTATCGATATGGTAAGTGAAGTTCGTGGAATTAGGGGAAAGAATTCCATTGCCAGAGCGTAAAGAAGCTTGTCTCAAATCCAGCTTCCCTAATTCTTTTTACTATGCCTATGGTGCTTCATGCAGCTATTAGTATGAAAAGAAGATTTATTGACAAGCATTAAAATTATTAATGGTCATAGAAATAGTACCATCAACATCCTAAAAACAGTAGCGTAAGCCTTGGAATAGCTGTTCTCCTGTTCTCCTGTTAACACTAGCCACATTATCACAAGTGTATTTCTAAATATTATAAATTATGAATTTGTCTACAGCTTCCTTCTGGAGGAAATAACCTCAACATGTGCACTGAGAGGAAACCATAAATCAGTCACTGCAGCAAATGATTGTTTTCTACTTTCTAATCAACACTACCTAAATATCCACCCTCATTTTTCTTATACTATAATTGTACAGAATCATTACTCTTTTTTTAATTCTTAGCCCGTTGAAAGATTTATATTTTCTTGCCATACACCTTGATACTGATATTATTTCCCAGGAAAAATGATATTTTAGCATGGCTATAATGCTCTGCATGGCACTAATATTACAGAGTCTATCTGTAAAATGCCTATGTGATAAACAGGATAATTCCATTTAAATAAGAATAGTGTGGGAGACATAAACCAGGGGATAGATTCGACGAGACATCTTACTCTTCTGCGAGGACTGTAGATAACACCTTATGCCTGGTAACTTATGGAAGAAAAGCACTTAAATATTACTAAGGCTGAGAAATAAGGAAGGGGCTCATTGAACATTGATCATGGACCAGTACCTATCTCATACACTTTGCTTATATGTTATAATGTTTATGAAACTGGCCCAATTGTCCTATAGAACTGATGTTTATGGTTTCTTTTGAAAAAATAAAAATAAAAAGTTGACCCTCCCAGTATTAAAACTGAAGAAACTTACACTTTTCTTATCTGAGTTCCTTTCTCAGGAAACCAACTATCAGCCCTCCAAGATAGTTTCAAGGAACTGCAACTCACCAGATAACTGCACCTGGACAATGAGATGCCAGACCCAGACCCCTTGCCAATTATGGTTGCCTAAGTAACCTGCTGCTGCCTGTTGACCACCTTCTCTTCTTAATCCTCTCCTAATTCCTATTTTTCCATACTTAGTTACATTTCTTCCCTTATTTTTCTACCTCTAATTTTAGTCCATTGAGAAGATGGATTTTTGAGTGATGTCCCATTCTCCTTGGCTGCAGCATCCAAATAAAGCCCCTTTCCCTGGCAATACTCATTGTTTCAGTGACTGGCTTTCTGTGAAGCAAGCAACAGGACCTAGACTGAACTCTTGATGTTTCAGTAACATTTAGTTACACTCCTAGAAAATATGGTATGTAAGTTATATAGATTGTAAAATAGAAAGATAGAATCTGGACTGGGATTTACATAATTATGGTATTATTGTTATTTTACAAAAACCATGTAAAGTAACAGACTAGAATAGAACAAAACCCACAGATTTATCATTTCATAAAGGTAGAACCTGAGACCAAGTGAGTTTGAATGACTTACCCGATGTCATACAAGCAAGCAGAGGAGAAATATAGACTCCTATCCCTGGATGATTTAAATTATGGTCTAGCTGGCTTGATGTAATGGGCTTCAAGTGTTTCATTCATACAGATTACACCCTAGTTTATGCAAAAAATAGGACTGATAAGCTACTTTAGGCTATAGTCTAAACTTTAGACAAGTACATTCAATCAGGAAATATTTAGAGTACCTCTATTGGCAAGACATTGAGTGCTGAGGATAAATAGGTGAATTACAACAGCAAAATCTAATTTCTGTCCTCATTGAACTTCAACTCTAGTTGAACTCTCTTGCCCACTCCTGTAAGAGTGCATGAAATTGCTCCATACAAGACATTTTCCGTGGGTTTGAAGAGGCTGCTGCTCAAGCGATCCAGGCTGAAAATATTCCAGAACATCTTCCCCATACTCACTTCTCCACGTGCAGTAAATAACACCAACATTAGCTAATTTTTACTGGACTTGTGTAAGTGCTCTGCTCTTGTGCTTTAGATGTACTGACACATTAAATTGCCAGAGCTTCCTGTTTTTTTTACATTTCAGTAATCAGAGGCACAAAGGGTTTGAATAATGACCCTAAACTGCCAACCTCTGGAAGTTGTGGAACCAGGCAATCCAAAGCCTTCTGGCTCCAGCATCACCCTTGTGGCCACTAAGTGGTGTCACCAGCAGCTGCTCTGGGCTGCTCCTAATGTCTTATCCTGAACACAACTTGAACAGCCTGGAGTGCCCTTTCTGTGCTGTGTCCACATGTGTGAACCTTTCCCTTCATACAAGGCCAATGTCAGCTCTAACACCCCCAAGAAATACCATCACAGTTCTCAACACACATTTGGTGCTTATGCCTTATTACATTCTTCATCAGCATGCAAAATGATTATCTCTGCCATAGTGCATTTATTTCACTTTGACTGTGTACGATGGCCTTTAGCAGATCATTTAGTGTTCATGGTGCCCCTGCAAAGTGTATGTTATGGTCTCCATTAAACAGATAAAAACATTCAGTACAGTTTTGTGATTTGCCCAAGGTCACAAATGTGTTGGGCTAGGAATCAGAGCCATGCAATCTCTAAACTCAAAGAATTTTCATTACTAAACTTCCAAGAAGTACATTCAATCAGGAAATATTATGGTTATACTTCTTCTGACATTGAGAGATCCTGCCCATGACTTCACCATTGGCACCAGCAGAAAAGGAGGAAACAAACAAAAAAGCCTATATTACGGTATCTATACTGGTTTTCTATTGCTGCTGTAGCAAATTACCACAAATTTGGGTATAACAACACAAATTGGGCCAGGAGCAGTGGCTCACGCCTGTAATTCCAGCACTTTGGGAGACTGAGGCGGGCGGATTATGAGGTCAGGAGATCAAGACCATCCTGGCCAACATGGTGAAACCCTGTCTCTAGTAAAAATACAAAAATTAGCCTGTAGGCCCAGCTATTTGGGAGGCTGAGGCAGGAGAATCAGTTGAACCTGGGAGGTAGAGGTTGCAGTGAGATGAGATCACGGGCCACTGTACTCCAGCCTGGTGACACAGTGAGACTGTCTCAAAAAAATAATTAATTATCTCAACAATTCTAGAGAGCAGAAGCCTGAAACAGATCTCACTGGGCTAAAATCAAGATGTTAGAAGGGCAGCATTGCTTTTGCAAAACAAACAAAATGTTTCCTTGTCTTTTGCAGCTCCTAGAAGGTGCCCTCATTCCTTGGCTCCTGCCCCTCTTCCATTTTCTAAGCCAGTAACAGCCAGTAGGGCCTTTTGCATGCTGCATCATCACACTCTCTCATGTCTTTCTTTTACTTATAAAACCCTTGAGATTACATTGGGTTCATACATAATCAGAGACAATATCGCCATTTCAGGGTCATCTGAAGAGAAACCTTAATTCCACCTGCATTATTATTTCCCCCTTGCCATGCAAACTAGCATGTTTACAGATTCTGGAGATTAGGATATAGACATACTGAGGAGGCATTATTCTGTCTACCACAGTGTTGTAAGCCCAATTCATTCATTTAACATATCAAAATTGCCTACCATATGCCAAGAACTATGCTAGGTATGAAAAATCATCAGATGAAGAACGGAAATATAAAGGGAGGGAATCATGGAAAGATTCCTATAAGATGTGACCTTTGGCTTCAGTTTAAAGAAATAAGCAGTGATCAGTCAGTATGATATATGGCAGTTGGGTTCTAAGGCAAAACAGAGACAGAGTTGACTAAAAAGAAGAGCATTTCCATTTAATTTGTATGCTTCATTTGCTTACATTCTAGTTGCTATTTGTTATTTGTTGGAAAAATTCAGCTCTGGCGTCCGAGTTTAAAGCAACACCATGTGCTTCCCAGTCTGGGAGATCAAACTATGATATTCAATCCTACTCTTTTTTTTTATTACACTTTAACTTTTAGGGTACATGTGCGCAATGTGCAGGTTAGTTACATATGTATACATGTGCCATGCTGGTGTGCTGCACCCATTAACTCGTCATTTAGCATTAGGTGTATCTCCTAGTGCTATCCCTCCTCCCTCCCCGCACCCCACAACAGTACCCAGAGTGTGATGTTCCCCTTCCTGTGTCCATGTGTTCTCATTGTTCAATTCCCATCTATGAGTGAGAACATGCGGTGTTTGGTTTTTTGTCCTTGCGATAGTTTACTGAGAATGGTGATTTCCGATTTCATCCATGTCCCTACAAAGGACATGAACTCATCCTTTCTTATGGCTGCATAGTATTTCATGGTGTGTATGTGCCACCTTTTCTTTATCCAGTCTATCATTGATGGGCATTTGGATTGATTCCAAGTCTTTGCTATTGTAAATAGTGCTGCAATAAATATACATGTGGATGTGTCTTTATAGTAGAATAATTTATAATCCTTGGGGTATATACCCAGTAATGGGATGGCTGGGTCAAATGGCATTTCTAGTTCTAGATCCCTGAGGAATCGCCACACTGTCTTCCACAATGGTTGAACTAATTTACACTCCCACCAACAGTGTAAAAACATTCCTATTTCTCCACATCCTCTCCAGCACCTGTTGTTTCCTGACTTTTTAATGATCGCCATTCTAACTGGTGTGAGATGGTATCTCATTGTGGTTTTCATTTGCATTTATCTGATGGCCAGTGATGGTGAGCATTTTTTCATGTGTCTGTTGGCTGCATAAATGTCTTCTTTTGAGAAGTGTCTATTCATGTCCTTCGCCTACTGGTTGATGGGGGTTGTTTGATTATTTTTTTGTAAATTTCTTTAAGTTCTTTGTAGGTTCTGTATATTAGCCCTTTGTCAGATGGGTAGATTGTAAAAATTGTCTCCCATTTTTTAGGTTGCCTGTTCACTCTGATGGTAGTTTCTTTTGCTGTGCAGAAGCTCTTTAGTTTAATGAGATCCCATTTGTCAAGTTTGCCTTTTGTTGCCATTGCTTTTGGTGTTTTAGACATGAAGTCCCTGCCCATGCCTCTGTCCTGAATGGTATCACCTAAGTTTTCTTCTAGGGTTTTTATGGTTTTAGGTCTAACATTTAAGTCTTTAGTCCATCTTGAATTAATGTTCGTATAAGGTGAAAGGAAGGGATCCAGTTTCAGCTTTCTACATATGGCTAGCCAGTTTTCCCAGCACCATTTATTAAATAGGGAATCCTTTTCCCATTTCTTGTTTTTGTCAGGTTTGTCAAAGATCAGATGGTTGTAGATATGTGGTATTATTTCTGAAGGCTCGGTTTTGTTCCATTGGTCTATATCTCTGTTTTGGTACTAGTACCACGCTGTTTTGGTTACTGTAGCCTTGTAGTACAGTTTGAAGTCAGGTAGTGTGATGCCTCCAGCTTTGTTCTTTTGCCTTCAGATTGTCTTGGCAATGCAGGCTCTTTTTTGGTTCCATATGAACTTTAAAGTAGTTTTTTCCAAATCTGTGAAGAAAGTCATTGGTAGTTTGATGGGGATGACATTGAATCTGTAAATCACCTTGGGCAGTATGGCCATTCAACCTGATACCAAAGCCTGGCAGAGACACAACAAAAAAAAAGACAATTTTAGGCCAATATCCCTGATGAACATTGATGCAAAAATTCTCGATAAAATACTGGTAAACCGAATCCAGCAGAACGTCCAAAACCTTATCCATCACGATCAAGTGGGCTTCATCCCTGGGATGCAAGGCTGGTTCAACATACGCAAATCAGTAAACATAATCCATCATATAAATAGAACCAAAGACAAAAACCACCTGATTATCTCAATAGATGCAGAAAAGGCCTTTGACAAAATTCAACAGCCCTTCATGCTAAAAACTCTCAATAAACTAGGTATTGATGGGACATATCTCAAAATCATAAGAGCTATTTATGACAAACCCACAGCCAGTATCATACTGAATGGGCAAAAACTGGAAGCATTCCCTTTGAAAACTGGCACAAGACAGGGATGCCCTCTGTCACCACTCCTATGCAACATAGTGTTGGAAGTTATGGCCAGGGCAATTAGGCAGGAGAAAGAAATAAAGGGTATTCAATTAGGAAAAGAGGAAGTCAAATTGTCCCTGTTTGCAGACGACGTGATTGTATATTTAGAAAACCCCATGGTCCCAGCCCAAAATCTCCTTAAGCTGATAAGCAACTTCAGCAAACTCTCAGGATACAAAATCAATGTGCAAAAATCACAAGCATTCCTATACACCAATAACAGACAAACTGAGAGCCAAATCATGAGTGAACCTCCCATTCACAATTGCTTCCAAGAGAATGGAATACCTAGGAATGTGGAAACACATTGTGAGGGTGGAATACTTTGTAGTATGAAGGGGAGGTCTCTAAGTCATCTTGATGCAAAGGAGGCACCCCTTAACAGGAATGTGTTGGTCATATCTGCGGACGATGTTGAAATATAAGGGATATGAGTTTACAATATTTTTAGATGTAATAATCCAGATGCTCTTACTCCATGAGAGTTTCATTCTTTCCTGGCCTGAGTTTTTAATGTGGTTATAGCAGACCTGCTTAGTTTGAGAGTTTAAGTTTTTTTACAGCTCTCTTCTACTCTTATGATTGAGACTTTGGTTTGGTCCTCAACATTCTTTGCCTCTAGCTGCAGTAAATGAGATCCTCTTTACATGCTACTTGCTTTCATGCACTGGCATTCACGCTTAGCTTTTAATTTCAGATTAATGAATCATATTTTTATCTTTTTCTTCAAGGCATACTTCAAGTTTAGCAAAGCTACTCAATTCCACTCTCCTTATAACTACTACGTCTCCAATATTTCTCAAATATTTAACACATCACACCACATCATCTAGTGCATTCTCTTCTACTGAGTGTATACCATTCTCTTCTACTGAGTGCATACCATCCCTCCGCCAATGAAGATTTTAAAAATGGCACTGTTCCCTTGTGCCAGGGGCTGCCTTTACTTATTTATCACCATTGATGGTGTCCTTGTTTCCTTTTTTTTTTTTTTTTTTGAGACGGAGTCTCGCTCTGTCGTCCAGGCTGGAGTGCAGTGGTGTGATCTCGGCTCACTGCAAGCTCCACCTCCTGGGTTCACGCCATTCTCCTGCCTCAGCCTCCCGATTAGCTGGGACTACAGGCGCCCACCAGCACGCCAGGCTGATTTTTTGTAGTTAGTATTTGTATTTGTATTTAGTAGAGACGGGGTTTCACCGTGTTAGCCAGGATGGTCTTGATCTC
This sequence comes from Homo sapiens, assembly GCF_000001405.40. NCBI lineage: Eukaryota > Metazoa > Chordata > Mammalia > Primates > Hominidae > Homo > Homo sapiens. Next base: position 2,496,701 of record NW_021160017.1, read on the forward strand.
CTGACCTTGTGATCCGCCCTGCTCGGCCTCCCAAAGTCCTGGGATTACAGGCGTGAGCCACTGCGCCCAGCCAGTGTCCTCATTTTCAACAGGGCAGTGGATAATCCAACTGCAAAATCTCATTTTAGCATCTGCTTTCTGAGACCAGTTCAGATACCAGCCCTTTTTGGTCAGGTTCCAGAGGAAGAAGGGCCTGATATGGGAATTAGCATGCAAAAGATTTATTGGGAGACTATTTTTGAGAATAATCCCCTAATAAATGAAAACTGCTTCCTCTGCCCAATCTTGCTTCCTGTCCTTCCTGTAAAAGATAAGGAAAGGGAAGAAAAGAAAACAAGATTGGGCCAAGGGAGCAGTTTTCATTCTTAATGAATTCTTTTCTCAGCTGATGGTGTCTGTATCTGGAGGGCCCCTCAGATCTATAAGGGGCCACAGAAAGGACCTGAGTCTTCATAAACCTGCATGAATCAGTTATTCATGTACATGCTGTCTCTTAGGAATTCATGAGATGAAGACAATTACCTCATCCAACATCACTTTGCCCTCTCAGGGCAAAATTGTGCAGCACAGTTCTCTGTTGTGCTGTCTAATGCATTGCAGATGTTTACAAGCATCCCTGGCCTCTACTCACTAGATGTCAGTAGCACCCTCCCCTAGTTCAAGAATTACACTGTTACTTGTGTCAGGGGCTGCCTGTGCTATACCTCAGCAGTGATGGCATCCTTCTTTCCATCTGGGTAGTCAGTAATCCAATTATATTAATTCAATGATTAGACTAAGTATATAATGTATATTTTCCCTCAAGTGATATCAAGAAGAAATGGAATGCTAAATTTAGCTAATTGGTAAATTTCACATATTTTATACCATTTGGACATGGGAGATTGGGAGTTAAATAAAGTTTGAAAGAATAATTTAGGCTAACATCCAGGGTGATCCCCCTGTCACCAAGGACCCTTTAGGACAAAGAGAAGATTAGAACTGCTGTCCTAAGCGTTTAAGATGACAACGGCAAGCTGTTGTAGTGTATATATCAGTGCGTGTGTTATGCATTAGAAAAAGGCTTTGCAAACTACCACATGCTCATAATAAAAACGTAGTGGAAAGATGATAGAAACACAAGTTTGAAGTACTACTGAGCTGCTGACTAGCTCAGTGACCTTGGTCATTTCACTCACTCACTGAGCTTTTCCTCACTCTTACTTGAAGATGATTCAAACCTTACAGTGTTAATATTTTTGTGCATATGTGAGTGCATTCATAAATGTCTGAAATTTAAAAGAAATTTAACTTATATATGTATATAAAATATGTACATATATATAAAAATATCTAGCATTATGCCTGGCCTGTAGTGGTTACTCAAATGCCAGATGAATTTTAATGACTAGCACTCAGCCTTACCTAAAAAGACAAGAACATCTTGCAAGTAATTGCTTCTGTCTCCTAAGATAACTGCTGCTGTTTGGCAACACAGTAGGGACTCCCAGTAGAAGCAACCTTGCTCTCATTGCATCTGCTCCAGAGAAATCAAGAAATAATTACCTTTTTATTTGGAGACTTGATTGATGCATCAGCCTTCCCCGTGGCTGTAGAGAGATAAACTGGGCCAAAGAGAATAACCTGGATTTTATTCTGCCTTGATTACTCCTGTTGCAGGGATAATTTGAGTTCAGGGCGGGAAGTACCACAGCTGATTAAAGAGAGGACCTTGGGCACATCAACTCTCAAATATCTTGATTACAGAAATTGGAGGCTCCCATTCCATGTTCATGAATACTGTGAAAATGTGACATCCTGCATTGCCAAGGTAGCTGTCTGAATTATATGAATACAAGGAGATACAGGGTTTAATGATCAGCGGCAATGTCAAGGACTGGAATCATGACAGGAACAAGTACTGCTTCCTAAAACACAGTGTAAATGATTTATAGTTGAAAATGGCAATCACTTCAATTTATATTGATGAAAATAGAATTCTTTTAGAAAGTGTCTATTTAAAAAAAAATATGCCTCTTTCAGTGATGATAGCTACATGACTACCCCATATTACCAGTTGAAAATTAACATTAAAATACCTTTCACCTACATAATCTTTGGAATGGATGTGGAAAATATTCAGATTACCAAAGGTTGTAAACACTTCAATCGTAATGCTTTTTTTTAACTTGGCTAGTTTCTTATACTTAAAAAAATAAAAATAACTAAAAATACACTTAAAACTGTCTATATTTTATAAACATTAATTAGGTAAATAGGGGAGGCATAAGAATAGTGGAAGGCTTTGTACAGAAAGATTCAGTGCTCTTAGTAAATGTCAGTAAGGTATAATGAGAGGAGAGCAGTGTTACAATTGAGAGCAGCTAGATTCAAATCTTCATCACCATACACTAGCTGTGTGGAATTACGCAAATCATTGTATCCCTTTGAATTTTACTGTCCTACTCAAAAAGTTGAGATGACAAATAGAACTATTGGTTAAAAGTTTCTAGAAGTTTTCATGTCATTGTAAATGTAATATGCTACGTAGATTATTTTAAAGCACTGCGAAACTGTTCAACATTTTCATTAACAATATTAGCTAAAATGTAATTAATTTATCAAGGAATAAATAAAATATGTTAAACCCAGTGTGAAGTCCACAGTAGGTCTTCGATAATGGTGATAAATGAAAGTTGTATTGAATATGTTATTTATTGTCTTTATTTTTCATTAAAAAATCTGCTAAATGTTGAATGATGAGTACTTCAATTCATGTAAACAAAGTTAACTGGTCAAATAAACATTAAAAATATTAAGTGATATTGATGCTAGTAATATTTGTTCAATGTTGTAGTGGTAATGTATAAGTCGTAGTAATAATAAAAATTTATATTAATGCCTTCTTATGAGAACTCAATTCAACATTTAGAAAGAGTCAATCAAAAAATAACCTGGGATTTTATCTATCATGGTTTATCAGATATTGTTTGTTTTATACAGGAATATATATGTGTGTATATATATATAAAATTCTGGGAAAGAGAAGAATCTTGATTTTGTTCTCTTTGATTTCCCCTGCTGCAAAGATAATGTGAGTTTAGGGTACTGTGTATATATTTTATTATAAATTACAGAGTCATAAGCTATGTATAAAATTTTTGAGAAAGGAAAAAGTGATTAATGCATAGCATAAAATGTACATATACAATTATTTTATATGTAATTTATAGTTACATATAATTGCTAATACATATACAGTTGAAGCCATTTCATAGTCTAGCTCTGTTGTTAGTAGAAAAGTGATAGGTGATCATGGCTACAAATATGTCCATAATTTTCACAAATAATAAAGGGGGAAATTGAGAATTTTTATTGCAATCTCATGATGAAACATTGGGACTAAACGAAGACAGAAGGAAAGATATAAACTATGCAGAGAAGTGCTTTTGGGCATAAAAAGGTACTATGCAGAGAAGTACTTTTATGCATAAAGTGCTTTTATGCACTGTGTCATCAGTTCTTAAAACAGGGCCTTGTACGTAGGTGCTTACTGAGTGGTTCTTTAATGAATAACCAATGCAAGATCCAGTGCGGCCATTAAGAGTGAATAACAGTTTCACTTACATACATTATCTCATTTAAGTCTCTCAAAATCTTGTCACATAAGCAAGTGTGATTTTATAATTTAAAAGGAGAAGGTGTGAGGAATAATATTATGTAGATTTGATCTGTTTTTTGTACTGTAATGTTAATTATTCCACAAGTATCAAATGGCACTTACCACTCATAAATGATGTATTTGTAATTTTTGTTACTCCTAGGGATTAAGACTAACTACATAGATTCTTCTTTAATGTTTGCTAAATTTAAGTTGTTGTGTATTCATACTTTGAGACGTGAAACAAATATAACCCACCCCAGAGAGCCTCATTTTCTGATTTGTTTTTCTCTTCTGGGTTTATATCTATATTAGCCCTTTTTATATTGTGGTGCAATCAAATATTCAAATATCTTCAGCCCTAATTTGAGTCAGAGCAACATGAGATGGCAGGAAAAAAAGAATCTGTTAAACAATTGTTGATTCTACCCAAAAAAGCATAAATGTTTCTCTTATTAAAAATAAAATAAATTAAAATTGATTAATTTTTAAAAATATTTTTAAAAAATGTTTTAATTTGTTAAGAGTAAATGAATATATTTATTGGCATTTTATGTCTAAGAAGTTTGTTTTTGGTTATCTAGCATGTAAGTGTGGTATCTTCTAATATTTTATATCTTCTGTTTTATTTGTGGCTTTGTAGATTTCATTAATCTGAATTAAATTGATCATTTGAGCAAGTGCTTCACCAGTGACTTCTTTCACACTTCTAGAAGGGTTGTAATTAGAATAACCTTTCATAGCATTTTTAGTCTAGTAACTTCAAGCCTCATAATATATTCACTCCACATAAAAACACTTATCAATAGAGTCCACAGGATGATTTAACATGCCACACACACCTCTTGTTCTTCACATTGATATGTATGTAATACAGTCAGACCCACCTCTTCATTACTTCCAAAGAGCCAACTTTGTCCGGTCTAAAAAATAATAGCTCTTTCTGATATTTTTTTTCAAGGGAAAACCTATTCTTGGGACTTTTTTTTCCACTTTTCTTTGTTTTTCTTTGAATTTTCTCTTCTGTCACATTTTCAAAATGCCATTATTCATGATTTATCGCTGTCTTTAAGTGTCTTTATAGGAATTAAATATCTTTTTACTTTTATAGTTTCAAGTCTTTTGTTGAACTTATTCAACTAGCACTAAATATTTTTATTCATTTTAAAGAAAATTATTTCAGAGAATTATCTACATTAATAGTCTAAATGGTTTTATCATGGTGAAATATATATATATAAAACATAAAATTTGTCATTTTAATCATTTTAAAATATTCAGCTCAGTGGCATTTTATATTCATATTGCTGTGCAACCATCATCACTATCTATTCTAAAACTTTTTTATCACTTCCAACAGAAACTCTGCACCCATTAAGTAATAACTTCTGTTTCCCTCTCCCCCAGCCCCTGGGAACTTCTCTCTGAATTTTCTTATTGTAAATATTTCAAGTAAATGGAATGTTACATCATTTATTCTTATGTGTCTCATTTCTTTTAGTTAGTATAATTTATCCAAGGTTGAGCCATATTGTAGCATATATCAGAACTTTTTTGGGATTGAATCATATTACTTTATGTCTATTTAACACATTTAGTGTATCCATTCATCTGTTGATGGATATTGGTTGTCTCCAATTATTTCTGTTTTATTTTTATTTTAAGTTCTGGGGTACGTGTGCAGGATGTGCAGATTTGTTACATAGGTAAACATGTGCCATAGTGGTTTGCTGGACCTATCAACCCATGGCCTATGTATTAAGCCCAGCATGCATTACCTATTTTTTCTAATGATCTCTCTACCCCCACTCCCTGCCACCAACACTCTGAATCTTTTTGAATGCTTTACATAAAGCTTTTGTTTCCAATACCTCAAGGAAATTAATGTTATCAAGGTCCTCAGTGATCTTCATATATTTCAATTGAATGGTTGATTATCAATCCAAGTATTGTTTGATATATAAATGGCATTTTACAGGACTGAGTACATGTACCTACATGAAATGTCTTCACTAGATTACCAGAAACTGCTGAAGAGATTTAGAAGGTAGGATGGCCCTTTTGCAGATTCTGTGTAGAAACTGAGACCCTCCCCCTTGAAAATACCAGAGAGGATTTCCACAGAAGCTGTAATCAACTATTTATATTGTTTTATTGTTCTGGGTTAGATGACATGCCATTCTTGATTCAAATACAGAAAGGGAAGATATAATCATTCTAATTTTCTCCAACTATTCTCTGGAGCCGAGATTAGACTCAGTAGCTGCTGAATAAGATGCACAGACTTGTGAAAATGGTGAATATTCAAAGACCTTTCTGTTTGAAAAGAGAAAGGGATTCTGTTTGGAAGGAGAAAAACAAGAATGATACTGGATTGGCAGTTAACAATATCCACTGTATGCCTGAAAGCATATCCGTAGAATATTTTTTTAAAAATATCATTTCTACCTCAAGTACTAGTATTGGACTCTAAGAAATGTACTTATGTGCTTATTTAAACATTAAACCAGCATAAAATTAGAATAGTTTCTAAATTTTCTCCATGAAGGTTCATATTGAATAGAAAAAGCTATTGTTTTCTTCTTTTCCATTACAGAGCATGACCCTTTAAATGTTTGAACTTTTTCCTTGAAATGCACTTTAAAACAGAAGTGATATGCATTTAGCTTCATGATGGTTTTAGGTGAGATTTAATAGCTAGCCATACAAATAAACCCTGCAGGTGGTAAGCGACGGTCCATGCATGAAACAAGCATCCCAGCTTCCAAAAGGCTATCAATTAAATGAAAGTGACTATTGAACTGATCTTCTGCTACCAAAATGCTAATTAAAATTTCATTACTCTTCATCAGCCACTCATACTGTAGCTCTGGGATAATGGTGATGCAGCGTCTCAGTATATTATAATCTTAGTGATATATTTTTATATCATCACCATAAGAAACATTGTGTTACTCCAGAATATTTGAGATTTCTCACTGCCTGAGGCATGTATTTATTTCATATCTTTTTATTTTAGTTTATTCTGTTCAATCCTCTACTTAATCCATCTACCTGTACCTGATGCGTGGGTCTCTGATACTAGGCCACAGACAAATACTCACCCAGGATTGACCTTGAAAATAAAACATGATGTTTGTGTCATAATCATAGTTCACATCTGACTTCATACTTAGTACAGCTAATTTTACTCCTTTTTCCTTGTGAAAATGCCAGATCCTGATGAGTTTTAAATTTAAAAAATCCTCTTTCCTATGTAATTATAAATTATTTCGTTGTTTAAACCTTATAGTATCATGAATTTAGTACTTTTTTTTCTGGAAATATTTGGCATATGAACCTCTCTCACTTATGAGCAGCATATTTGTTAATTGAGATTATTGTAGATTCACACGTGGTAGAAGGAACGATACAGAGAGATCCCTTGTATACTTCATCCAGTTTCCCCTAATGGTGACATTTTGCGTAACCATAGCATAATAGCATAACCAGGATATTAATATCAATAAAATCCATTGATCTAATTCAGACTTACCCAGTTTTACTTACACACATATATGTGTGTATTAAATCTGATACAATTTTAAGATGAGTAGGTGTGTTTATCCACAAATAGGAGTAAAACTGCTAAACACTAACAACGTCAGGATCCTTTCTATTCTTTGATAACCATACACACCTCCCACCATTTCTCCCACTCATTTTAAATGTTGCCACTAAACTTATCCTCTATTTCTAAAATTTCATCATGAATAGAACAATACAGAATATAAACTTTGGGGTTAGTATTTTTTTACTTTGTGTGATTCTCTGGAGACTTGCCTAAGTTGATATGTACATAAATGATCTATTCCTTTTAATTGTTAAGTAGTATTCCATGGTGCATATGTACTGCCATTTGTTTGACCATTCACCTACTGAAGTACATCTTGATTGAGCAAAGGTTTTGGCTATTATGAATACATCTGCTATAAATATTTGTTGAATAGGCTTTTGTGAACAGAGCTTTCTCCCCACTCTTGGAGAAATTCACAAGAGTACAATTTGCTAGGTTGAATAATAGTTGTATACCTTTTTTATTACCAAGCTCCAAGCTGTTTTCTATAGCGGCTGTATCATTTTACATTTTCACAGGAAATATATGAGTGATTTAGTTTTTCTACAGAAATGGCAATATTTGCTGCTGTCACTTTTTTGTTAATTTTTGCCATTGTAATAGATTTGTAGTATTAGGTAATAATATATCACTGTGGTTTTAATTTGCAATTTTCTGGTGATGAATGATGTTGATATGATGCTTGTTTTCCATCTGCATATCCTATTCACTGAAATGTCTCTTTATGTCTTTTGCCCATATTCTAATTGGTTTTTCGAGTTCATTTTTACAAGACCTTTTGCAATCTGTATAGTTTTGTTTTGTTGAGGTTAGAGAGGTCTTTTTTATGTTCTAAATACTAGTCCTTCCTCAGATATATAATTCTAAATGTTTTCTCCAAATACGTACCTTGGTCTGTTTATCCTTTGCACACCGGTTTTCACTAAGAGAAAGTTTATAGTTTATAATTTTTTTATTTTATGTATTGTGCTTTTGATGTCAAGTCTGAGAAATTGTAGCTTTCCTGTAGATCCTGAAGATTTGTTTTCTTTTAGTTTAAACATGTTTTTTAGCTATATATTTACATTTAAGGATATAATTTATTTTGACTTAATTTTTGTATGTTATATGAAATGTAGGCTGAGATTAATTTTCTTTTGTTTTTTTTTTCCTTTTGGTCTATGCATATACAATTGCCGCAGGACCATTTCCTGAAAAGAACATTTTTCAGTTTAGTTCTTGCATCTTGCTCAAAAGTGTGTTAGGTATATTTTATGGGTCTGTTTCCAGGCCCTCTACCTGGTTCCATTGGCTTATGTGTCAGTACCACATAATATTAATTAATGTATGTAGATAATAAGTCTTGAAATCAGATACAATAATTCATTCCTTTTTATTTTTCCTTTTTGAAATTGTTTTAGCTAGTTTAGTTCCCTGGGCATTGCATGTAAATTTTACAGTGATAATTCTATATTTATACAAAAGTGGGCTATTTTGGATAAGAATTACATTGAACCTGTGCATTGATTTAGAAAAAATTAGCATCATTACTATACTGTTTCTTCCAATCCATGAACACAATGTCTTTCCACTTATTTAGGATTTTTAATTTATTTCATCATTGTTGTATATTTTTCAGCATAAAAGTCTTGCACAGTTTTGTTAGATTTATAGTTAAATAATTCATTTTTGAGTGTTGTGAATGGCATTGTGTTTTTAATTTCAGTGTTCATGGGCACATTCTGGTATCTAGAATGAAAAATTGATTGTGTTATGCTTATCTTGTATCTTGTGACCTTGTTGGCATCATTTATATTAGCTCTGTTTTTTGATAGATCCTTTAGGATTTTCAACACAGACAATCATGTTATCAGCAAATAGAAAAAAATTTTACTTTTTCCTTTCTTGTCTGTATACCTTTTGTTTCCTTTCTTTTCATTATTGTGCTAGTTGAGGACTTCCAGACCTATGTTGAGAAGAGAAGTAAGAGTAGTCATCTTTACCTTGTGTGCTAAGCTGTTCTTATGTTGCTACAAAGAAATACTCGAGAATGAGTAATTTATAAAGAAAAGAGGTTTAATTGGCTCACGGTTCTTCAGGCTGTACAGGAAACACGGCACTGGCATCTGCTCAGCTTTGGGGGTCTCTCAGGGAGATTTTACTCCCTGAGAAGCGGGAGGAGGTATGTCACATGGCCAAAGCAGAATCACATGGCCATGGTCATGTGGCCAAAGAGAGAGTGGAAGGAGGTGCCACAAACTTTAAAACAACCAGATCTCATGAGAACTCACCTACTAACCTGAGGACAGCACCAAGACATCAGGGATCTGCTCCCATGACCCCGATACCTCTCACCAGGCCCCACCTCCAACACTGGGGATTACATTTCAACATGAGATTTGGCAGGGACATATATCCAAACTATAGCACCTTATTCCTGATTTTAGGAAGGATTTTAGGATGTTTTTCATCATCAAGTATAATCTTAGCTGTAGGGTTTTTACCTGTTCTTTAAAATTTGGAGAAGGTCTTCCTCTATTCCTAATTTTCTAAGAGTTTTTTATTATATGTATTTATTTTTTGCTGAATTAATTTTATGCATCAATTGATATGATCATCTGATTTTTCTTCTTTAGCCTGTTGATATTGTTCATTGCAATGACTGATTTTGTAATGTTGAACCATCCTTGTATTGCTGGAATAAACACACTTGGTCATGTGTGTAGTTATTTTTATATATTATTGAGTTTTATTTCATAATATTTTGTTAATGATTTTTATATCTATATTTGCGAGGAATACTAATCAATTATTTTCTTTTTTGTACACTGGCTTGGGTATTGGTGTAATACTTCATAAGAATAGTTAGGAAATTTTCAATTCATTTCTATTTTCTGGTAAAGCTTGTATAAATTTAGTAATAATTACTTCTTAAATGTTTATTACTATTCTCCGGTGAAACTATTTCAGCCAGGAATTTTATTTTTCAGGACCTTTTAATTAATAATTGATTTGATTGAAATAGAGCTATTTTAGATTGTTAATTTTATCTTGGTAATTTTTGATAGTTTGTGTTTTCAAAAAATTAGTCCTTTTACGTTGATGAAACTATAAGCATGAAGTTGTTCGTATTATTCTCTTTATCTTTTTAAAAGCTACAGAATCAAGAGCGTTATTTCTTACTTTAATTTTGACATGAGCAATAGCTGTCTTTTTGTTACTTTTGTTTAGTATTTTTGGAGTTTTATTAATTTTATTGATAAACATATTTGAAAGATATTTGGTTATATTAATTTTCTTTATTGCTTTTCTGTTTTCAATTTTATTGATTTCTGCTTTGATTTTTTATTATTTTTTTCTTTTTGTTTTGAGCTTATTTTGCTCTTCTGTTTCTACTTTTGTTAATAGAAATGTAGATTATCAACTTGAGACCTCTCATTTTTAATGTAAGCCTGCACTGCTATCAGTTTTTCTCTAATCGCTTCTTTAGTTCTATCTGACATAATATTTTGTATCTTTTAAATCATTCACATCTATGTATTTGTTTTTAAATTATTTGAGACTTCCTTTTTGACCCATGGATCATTTAAAAATACGTTATTTCCCACATGTTCTCAGATTCCTATTGTTTTGTTATTTATTTCTAGTTTGGTATCACAAAAAATACATAACACAATTTAAACTATTTTTTTAAGTTTGTTGAGGCTTGATTAATGTCTACTTATGTCTATGATCTATCTTGATGAGTATTCCATGAAGGTCTGAAAAAAATTGTGTGTTCTGCTGTAATTGAGCGGAGTGTTTTTATGTGGCAGTTAGATCTTCTTAGCTGAATGTGCATATATTCTAGATATTGCAGGTCATTGCTGATTTTCTAATAATTCTATCATTATTATCAGTGTTGGAGTCTGCAATTACAGTAGTGAATCTCTGCTTTCAACTCTTTATCAGTTTTTGTTTCATGTTATTTTGCAAATACGCTCTCGTGGTCGGTACATATTTAGAATTTTTATGTCTAGTTGATTGATTCTTTTATCATCATTAGTATAAAAGACACAAGGATCAAAAACATCTAAATGAAACGTGGTTCGGACAAGAAGGCATAGACCCATTTCTTCTTGCTGTCTCTCACGAGACACAACCTTAAGCATTAGAAGTAGTGAAAAGACAAATATAGAGGAGAACCCTGAAGGTAGTAAAAATAAGAGAGCTTTCTTTGTACTATCCTTGAGTGTTTCACTACGTATTAAATTTCCACAATGCATCACTAGAGCCTATATTGTATCTGTGGACACTCTTTAAATGTGGACATTTAAGCAAAAGTCGAAAGAATAAATCTAGAAATAAAAATGAATGTGAAATTTGATGAGAAGGATTGGCTCCTGCTGCAAATAAATTTCTGTTCATTATACATTACAGTCAGTGGTATTCTATTATAGCAGCATGAAATGGTCTAATACATCTGATCAAGAATGGAGAATCTCAGTCCTATGAGGACAAAGAGGCTTCCATGACCTACTAAGTTGCCTGGTATTGTTCAGTCTCTCCTGCAGGCTCTTTGTCTTGTAGCCTAAGTATCTCTTGGTAGAAAAAAGAAGTCTCAGGACAGGTGGGTGAGGAGATGCACTCTCATGTCTTAAGTTCAGCTGGTGCTATGCTGGGGGCTACTGTTTGATCTGGAGAAACAATGGGCCTATCTGGGCTGCCTTCTGCTACTATGTCATGGGGGAAAGAAGTACTGGATATGGATGGCCTTCCTCTCAGGTGGGAGGACACAAGGCATCTTGATGTTGTGTTGTTGCTCAAATCCTGGGTCCCCACACCAGCTCTTCTATTTTTACCACCTGCAGAGTTCTCCTTTATTTGCTTTTTGTACCATTTGCAGTGCTTAAGGTTGTGCCTAGTGAGAGGGAGCAGGAAGAAATGGGTCTATGCCTTCTTATTTGAGCTACAGCTTACTTAGATGTTTTTGATCCTTGTTTCTCCAATATTAATGATTAATTTTTAAAACTTTACCCTAAATTAATCTGTATTACCTTTTTTCCATAAACTCCATAAAGACAGAATGTGTTTCATTTTTATATAATTAAACACCCTCCCTGCAATTTACAAACAAATGATATGTCATTTAAGTTTCATAAATGGGAAAAAGATTAATCACAGACAGTTTATTTCTTTAAAAAATAACACAAATTTCTTATTTCTGTATTTGTCATAAGTTCAACCTTTTTGCATTATCTTGATCAGTGTAAAATGCTTGGATGGTCAGTGTTGTTTGACTTGTGTCTGTATTTGGTTAGGATCCATTTAAACTCTCTAGGATAATGTCAAAATCAATTTCTTCCTTTATACTTTCTTATTTTCAAAGAAATGGTGCTAAATATTTCTATGAATATATGGAAATATCTATGCGAATATGTATCTGACTAAAAATGTTGCGGGCATCTTTTCTGTTTTTTTAACCCTTTGTAATATTTTTATTTTGTTTATTTAGTGATATAAGGGAAAATTGTGAGCATTTAACTACATAATCTTTATGTTTCCACCAAACTCAATTTTTTAGTTCTTAGTATATGGCCTATAATCTAACTTTAATTTATCCCTTTTATATTAGCTTATTTTCTTGTTAACAACAAGGATATCTCTTCTGGAGTATCTCAAGTCAAGGTAGAAAAAGTAGTCAACAGGAAAATGAACAGAACAGTTTTGGATATGTATGAGAATTTAAAGCAAATGTTTCTAAATGAGAAATTGTAACTCAGGAAATATTTGGCACATTCTATCAAAATTTTGTGAATTTTGATAATAAAACATTCACAATTCAATTAGGAGTAAAGGAAGAAAATATAAGCTATATCTATCAATAAAAGATTTTTTTCCATTTTTGTTTCATCTAGCAATATTCTTTTCCCTCCATAAGGAATCTGTTAAAAACTCTCTTCTTACTATCCTTCAGTCTTTTAAAATGTGTTAAATTCCCACAGTGCATTATTAGAGCCTATATCTGTGGACACTCTTTATGTGTTGGTATTTGAGCAAAAGTAGAAAGAATAAATCCAGAAATAAAAATGAATGGGAAATTTGACAGGAGAGATTGCTTTCTACTGCCAAATATATAACTATACTTCATCTAGTCTATCACTCAAGGAGGTTTCAGAATGAAGAATCATTTCCAAAATGCCATCCTACTTTCATCTTTTCCCAAGGAGGTTCAGAATAACCTGCAAGTGGATCACTGAACAAAGAAAGTACAAAACCACAAATAGTCCCTCTAAGGTCCTTTAAAACACAAACTTGGAACATTTTTATGACATTTCAAAATGACTTGTGATCCTGATACTACTATTTAAAGATATAGCTTGAATCAAATAAAATAAATTATAGGTCATCTGACTAAGGATGGAACATTTTGTTTTGTTTTTTTCCCCATTTGACTTCTTAAAATTAATTATAGTTTCTTTAATATATATTGCAGAGATTATATATTTTTAAATCCAGGTTATAGAATAAAAATACTTTGCTTATCATCATTTGATATAAGTTCTATAAGTAAAAACTCAGTTCTACTTATATATTTCTACATAGAAGCACCACTTATAGTTTGTTGGCTTTTTAAAAAGAAGAAGGTAAAATTATACTAACGGATTTTGCTATGAGATGGATCAACCTAGATTTTATGAATAGAATAATTAACTTAAGTGCTTCAAATAGGTTTAGTGTTTTATGGTCTGAGACACTGCTTCCATCTAAAGAAACACCAATTTAGGAGAAACTAGAAAAAGAATTGGGAAAGAAGAAGAAAGTGTTTTTTGGAAATACACCAACCATAAAAGAGCGAAGCTCACTCTGCTCCTCTTAAAGTTTACTGCATTGTAATTGGGAATTTGTTATTTCCATGGTTCCTTTGAGTAACATAGACATAAGCAAAGAGAGTATTTATGTTCTGCACGAGTCCATCCATGTCTCTATTGGTGTGATTACCCTCCCCACCCATGCACCTTCCGTCCAAGCAGGAGTGCAGCCTGCTTGGGCTCAATGTCCCCTCTTCTGAGAAGCAGCCCGGCCCAATCCTGAGCGCCCCTGGTGCCGCAATCCCTCCTCACGCGTATGGGGCTGGCCGTTGATGTCGCCTGGGCTGGGGGTGCACCTGCAGCACAAACACGTGACTGAGCATCTTCTTGTCCCGGACCCTCTCGGCGTTGGACCCCAGGAAGCCCCTCCAGGGGGCTTCAGTCGCCCACCCACCTACAAAGCCCCTCATCTGCAGCGGCGGCTTCGTTCCCGGGACGCGCCCCAGGCTCTGCTCAGGCATGGCCCGCAGACCCTCAGGAGCCCCCGAAACATGATGACCTCCAGCCACGTGCCAGCTGCCAGGAGGGGGCTTCAAGACCCCAGCTGAGCACCCGGCTGGCCGTGCCCCAGGGACAGAGGACCCAGTGTGACAGAATCCGGCCTGGGCCACAGCCACCCACGCAGCCCATCCCAGTTCAGCCCGAGGTGGACAAGAAAAGTCCCACCAGGGACTGGAGCAGATGGGGCGGGCTCCGGACCCCTGCCTGGCCCACCATCTGTCCTGCTAGTCGGTCCGTCTCCCCAGGCAACCCCTTCTCCCGGCCCACCATCTGCCCGGCCCTGCTAGGCCCTCCTCCTAGCTCCTCCAGGGCCCTCGGGAGGGGACAGAGCTGGAGCCAGGGCCCAGACCTCTGCTGCTTTGGGCCCGCCCCATCTGGCACCTCCAGGAGAAGGGGGCAGCAAGAGCTTGGCCAGGGCAGGGGCACTCCAGGGCAGCCGAAGGGCCTCGCCAGCTGTCTCATGATGAGATGAGCAGAGGGAGAGGGAGGAGAGGAAGGGAGAGGAAGGGAGAGGCTCTGGGAGGACAAGGGCCCCTCCCCTCCTCCTCCCCTCTTCCTCCCCTGCCCATGTGGCCTGGGCGGGAGGGACACGCGGATGGGAACATCCCAGCTGGTCCAGGCCTCTGCTCCCCCCAGCTCCTCCTCCTTGGCTGGCAGCTCTTCTGGGCTCCTGAGGTGCTGCGCAGCCCCTTCCCTGGCCCTGGGACACCCAGTGCCTGAGATGAAAGAGGAGTTGCTTCCATGGAGGGTCCCAGTGCAGGCCGGGGGGCGCTGGCCCTCAGGACACCAGGCCCCCAAGACATAGGGACACCAGAAGCCCCCGATCTGCCTCCAAGGTCCAGCAGCCCCAAAGCCCCTGCTCAGAAGCCAGCGATGGGAGGGCAGGGCCTGCCTGTGGGACCCACCATGGGCGCAGCAATCGCCAGGCCCTGGGCAGACAGCAGCGCAGCCTGAGTCCAGGTCTGGGGCAAGTCGGCAAGTGCACCCCCAGAGGTGGAATGACAGGAGCTCCTGTGGAGGACGCAGGCGGCCCCCGCCCCTCACTCCACTGTGAGGCCTGAGGATGCACACGGGCAGCTCTCACCGGCTTATGAAATGCCCCCACCCCACTGCCTCTCTGGGTCCTCCTCATCCTGTGGCCTGCAGGGTCAGGAGCGTGACTTTGGTGTCAGGAGAGAGGATGGCTCCTCCCTGTGGTGGGTGTTGGGGGGAGGAGTGGGGTTCATTATAAATTACACTCCCCTCGAACCTGGCTCTTAGGCGAGGGCAGGGCTGGGGTTCACCCTGCTCTCTGCAGGGGAGGGTCAGCCCCCAGGTATGCCTGGGTGGGTCTCCACGGCAGGCCAAGAGGGCAGGCCCTGGGCACGTCCACCCCCTCTCTCTGGTCCCACAGCTCCCCTACTCGCCACCTGCCCTGAGCAGCCCCCAGGAGAGCACACGCAGGGAGGATGCTGAGGGGCTGGAGGGCAGGAGTCCCGGCTGAGGCTGTGACCCCAGCTGTGCTCCCTGTTCCCTCTTAGGACCAGCCAAGACCCAAGGACAGGCGGCCAATCAGGGCCCGGCGTTTACCCCTCCTCCCCCACCCCCATCACGGGCCTCCCGTGGGACCCCCAGGAAGAGCAGCTTCCATTGACTGAGGTCAGGGGACACCCTCCCGCTGACACTCACTCTCCACGGATCCTGGAGCCCATGAGTCGCCTCCCCACCTCCACTGCACTGGACCCCCCGCAGGCCCTGGTGGGGGTGGCCACGGATAACCACACAAACATGCATTTTCCTTGTAGGAGCAGGCAGGTGACAACCAGTGTCCTACTTTCTTGCATTAAAACACCCAAATCAACAGGGCGAAGGCCCGGAGGAGGGGACCTGAGGGAGCCAGCCGGGCGCTCAGCCTGCTTCGCTGGGATGCTTGTCGAGGTTGGGACCGCACTACCAAACTCACCTCTGTGCACCCTGCGGGGCCCAGGAAACTCGGTCCTCCCTGGGCTCCCCCAGGCCTGGGGTGGACGTTGGAATAAAGTGGGGACAACACGATGAGACCCCAGCCCTGGAGGTGCCCTCGGCAGAAGCCCGAGATCAAACCTGGGAGATTTGTGGCTGGACAGCACCACCTGGTGGACACATTGGAGATTACCAAAGCCGAACAGTCGATTCGTTCTTGGTTCTGGGATTTTCTTAATTGGGTCTTAGCTGGGGCTTCCTTTCCCTTTCCCCAGTAGCAGGGGCTTTGTGACTATCAGAAACACCTGCCAGGCCTGTGCAACATGGGGAGACCTCATCTCTGCAAAACACACACACACACACACACACACACACACACACACACACACACACACACACACATTAGTGAGGTGCGGTCGTCCCAGATATTCAGGACGCTGAGATGGGAGGATCGCTTGAACCCAGGAGGTCGAGGCTGCAGTGAGTCGTGATCATGCCACCGCACTCCAGTTAGGGTGACAGAGAGAGACCCTGTCTCTAAAGAAAGAAAAGAAAAGGCCGGGCACAGTAGCTCACGCCTGTAATCCTGACACTTTGGGAGGCTGAGGCAGGCGGATTACCTGAGGTCGGGAGTTCCAGACCAGCCTGACCAACATGGAGAAACCCCGTCTCTACTAAAAAATACAAAAGTTAGCCAGGTGTGGTGGCGGGCGCCTGTAATCCCAGGTACTTAGGAGGCTGAGGCAGGAGAACCGCTTGAACCGGGGAGGCAGAAGTTGCAGTGAGCCGAGATCACGCCATTGCACTCCAGCCTGGGCAACAAGAGTGAAACTCTGTCTCAAAAAAAAAAAAAAAAAAAGAAAGAAAGAAAGAAAGAAAGAAAAGAGAAGAAGCCCTTGTCTTCTAATAAGATGGTGTTGGTTTTCAGAGAGCCCAATCCAGGCACTTCAAACAAGGCAGGGAAATCAATGGCCCTGAAGAAAGAGTTTCTCTTCAACAAGCCCCCTCCGTCCCTGACACTGGCACCAAGGCATTCACCCACCAGCCCCTCTGTCCCTGACACTGGCACCCTGGCATTCACCCACCAGCCCCTCCGTCCCTGACACTGGCATTCTGGCATTCACCCACCAGCCCCTCCCCTCCCTGACACTGGCACCCCGGCATTCACCCACTGTCCGGGGCAACCAACCTTTCCTCCCACCACTGATGGGACAGCACCCTGGCCTACCACTTTTGAGGTGAAAAAAATTAGAAATCCCTGGCTAAAGAGGGGACAAATCGAGCCTAAAATCAAGCCTTGGTATCTCGCTTTTTAAATCTGCCTATACCTTTTGTGTATTGGTTGTGTAATTTTTTGTGTATTCATTGTGTGTAATTGCTGAATACACAATGAATACACAAAAGCTATAAATAGATTTAAAGAGAGAAACCAAACCAAAACCCATCGGTAGTCCACTGGAAAAACAAGGCTCCAACTCTCTATTCGGAACATTGTCAATTAAAAGAAAAGAATTAAGAATTTCCCTTTTAAACTATATTTCAGGGTAACTCAATAACTCTAGTGGACAACAGCAAGTTTTTTTGGGTTTTGTTTGGTTGGTTTCTTTTTTTTTGAGACGGAGTCTTGCTCTGTTGCCCAGGCTGGAGTGCAATGGCACAACCTCGGCTCACTGCAGCCTCTGCCTCGTGGGTTCAAGTGATTCTCCTGCCTCAGACTCCTGAGTAGCTGAGATTACAGGCGCCCACAACCAGGCCCTGCTAATTTTTTGTATTTTTAGTAGAGATGGGGTTTCACCATGTTGGCCAGGCTGGTCTCAAACTCCTGACCTCAGGTGATCCACCCACCTCGGCCTCTCAAAGTGGTGGGATTACAGGTGTAAGCCACCACACCCAGCCTGTTTGTTTTATTTAAGAGACAGGGTCTCGCTGCATCACCCAGGCTGAAGTGCAGTGGTGTAATCACAGCCCACTGCAGCCTTAACTTCTTGGGCTCAAAGGATCCTTCTGCCTTAGCCCCTGAGTAGCTAAGACTACAGGCACGCACCACCATACCTGGCTAATGTTTTATGTTTTTGTAGAGATGGGGTCTTGTTGCCCAGGCTGGATTCAAGCTCCTGGCCTCTCTCACCTTGGCCCACAAAAGCTCTGGGATTACAAGTGTGAGCCACCGTGCCCAGCCATTTTTGTTGTTGTTGTTTTTGATAGAAGAATTTCAGCTACTCATTGTGAAGAGATGAGATCATGAGAGAAACCACGATTTTGCCACCTCTCATGACATAATTATTTCTCGCAAGGGTCATGGATGAGATCAGTAATGACAAAACAAGGGCATCACAGGGTGGGTTCAGGCTATGACCACCTGGACCTACTGGCCACACTTAGCATCACAGGGTGGGTTCGGGCTGTGGCCACTTGGACCCACGGGGCACACTTAGCATTACAGGGTAGGTCAGGGCTATGGCCACCTGGACCCACTGGGCACACTTTGCATCACAGGGTGGGTTCGGGCTCTGGCCACCTGGACCCACGGGGCACACTTAGCATCACAGGTGCTTCCATGTGGCTCTCACAGCTCTGCCCACGAAGGCTTCTGGCAAAGAAAGATGAGCCTGAATCTAAGGGCATTTCTGCAGCACAGCTTCCATTTGCAGGAGACATGGGGCGAGGCGACACCACAGAGAGGCAAACAGCTGCGTGATAGGCGACACATTTGCAGGACAGCTGATCTGGTTTCTGCAACAAATCACAAGTGGTGGGAGGAGCAGTGGGGGTCAGGGGCGGCGCCTGATCTAGAGTAAGAGAGGTTCAAGAGGCGCCACCACAAAACTTAAACTGTGGGCCTTGTTAGGAACCTATGTGTTCCATCTGATGGATGTAAGCAAACAATCAGGGGAATGTGATTCCGGATGGGGCCTGAGCAGGTGCCAAGGAATGACTGTTAATTTGAACATTGCCCTAAGGGAGCCGCAAGTGTGTTCCAGAGTTTCCCGTACTTGGCGCCTTGCAACCTGAAGTTCATAGGAACAAAATTTCAGAACATTTGCTACAGGATGGAAGATGCTTCAGCCAAAGGGGAAAAGGAAAGAGAAAGACAACAGCAATGCATGAAACAAGTGTGGCAATTATCGATAAAGCATGTGTGGTGATCACTGATCACATGTGTGAGTTTATTTGAAAAGTTACATTAAAAAATTTTGAGGCTAGGCACGGTGACTCACGCCTGTAATCCCAGCACTTTGGGAGGCCGAGGCGAGCAGATCACCTGAGGTCAGGAGTTCAAGATCTGCCTGGCCAACGTCGTAAAACCACATCTCTACTAAAAATAAAAATAAGTGCAAAATAAGCCGGATGTGGTGGCAGGCGCTATAATCCCAGCTACTCAGGAGGCTGAAGCAGGAGAATTGCTTGAACCTGGAAGGCGGAGGTTTCAGTGAGTCAAGACGGCACCATTGCACTCCAGCCTGGGCAAAAAGAGTGAAACTGTGACTCAAAAAAAAAATTTTTTTTTTGAAAAGAGACTAGGCATGCTGGCTCATGCCTGTAATCCCAGAACTTTGGGATATCAAGGCAGGAGGATTGCCTGAGGCCAGGAGTTCGAGACCAGCCTGGGCAACATGGTGAGACCCTCGTCTCTTAAAAAAAAAAAAAAATTGCCTCCCAAGACACATGCCTGTAGTCCCAGCTACTTGGGAGGCCTAGGAGAGAGGATTGCTTGAGGCTGGAACGTTGAGGCTGCAGTGGGCTATGATCAACCCACTGCACTCCAGCCCGGGTGACAGAGCAAGACTCTGTCTCAAAAAATAAATAAACAAAAATAAAGAAAGACATAGCCTTTCTCTTACAGACATGGTCAGGCATCATGGAAATCTTATTGCAGAAGTTGCTCGCCCTTCACCCCTAAGCCTCACCTCTCTGTTTCAGGGGATCCGAGTTTGGGGAAGGAAAGTCTATGGGGCCATCATTTCTCCCTTGTGGCTCCTGCGCCCGCAGCCATGGGCCCCTCACACTGGGGCTGGGTGCCTGAGCAGAGTCCCTGTCCAGCCCCCACCAAGCTCCAGCATCCTGGACACCTCATGCCATCCCTCCTGGACTTTGTGCTGGGGATGAGGTCAATTTGAGAGCCTCCCTGAGGTCTGGTCACTCCTGCACACCCTCCACGGTGGGCAGAATGGTGCCCCCCAAAAGGCCCACATCCTAATCCCGGGACTGTGAATGGGCTACTTTTCATGGCAAAAGGGACATTGCCAGTGTGACCGAGGGTCCTGCGATGGGAGGCTCCCCGGCATCATGCAGGTGAACCCAGTGGCATGACAAGGGCCCCTGTGAGAGAGAGGCAGGGGTCAGAGCAGACCTGGTGCAAAAGCAGTGGGTGTGGTGATGCCCCAGCCTGGGACTGAGGCCCAGAACGTGGTGGCCTTCAGAAGCCGGGAAAGGCCAGGAGATGCATCTGCCCCCAGCCTCCAGAAGGAGCCAGCCCTGCTGACACCGTGGCTTTAGCCCAGTGCGGCCCCGTGGGACTTCTGACCCCCCGAACTCTAAAATAATAAATTGGCATTGTTTTGATCCTTCTGTGGCTGATATGTGTGATGAGGGGGTTTTCACACTCTTGCGTGGGACGTGCAACGTCTTTAGAACAGTGGCACATTACCTGTCCTACATGGGGGAAAAAAGAGGAAAAAATAAATACATTTGCATTGTTTTAGACCACTAAGTTTGTGGTCACGTGTAACAGCAGGAACAGCAAACAGATGTGCCCTCCGAGGCTCCCCTACATGCCTGCGAAGCTTGGGGACGCTGGGGAGGGTCACCTTGGCCATCTGGGGGCAGGTGGTACATCAAGACCCTCCCTCCCTCATCACCACCCTTCCTCCCCCATCACCATCCTCAATGGCACGGGGGCAACCCATGGTGAAGCAGCCGGACAGGCAGACTGTGCTAATTCCCTGCAAGGCAGAGCTGTTCCTCCAGCTTTGGAATGCAGCCAGCCCCTGCATGGCAGCCTCAAGGGGACAGGACCCCCCCCCATGCTCTCTCTTTCCCCTGGCCCCGACCCTGCCCCTCTGCTCCCTGCCCCCCAGCCCCACTGCCTTGGGCCTCCCTTGAGCTCCCAGGACAGGTCAGCAAATTGCTATGTGTGCATGTTTTCTAGGGAGAGTCCACAACCATGGTCAGAGTCCCTCGAGTCCAAAAAGAGACAGAGCCACAGCCTCAAGCGGCTCCTTGGGCCCCGGGTTCTGAGCTGGAATTGGATTCCCTGAGCCAACTCTTAGTCCATGGTGACAGGCATCTGCTGATGTAGCCTCCTCTTATCTTCCCCAGAAACCAGATTAGACGCGGCCAGCAAAAAGAATATTCTCAGCTGGCAAAACGCTTTCACCGGCCACCAAAGGCCCCCTGTCCCTCCAGCCCACGGAGGGCACGGCGCCTCCTCATCCAAATGGGCTCTGGGCCCTGTGCCCCACATTCCTGGAGTGAGCCTAGACCTTGCGCTGCGTCCATCGTCTGGGAGCGTTGTGGGGTGTGGGTTCCCCCCACATCCAGACCCTTGAGTCCTCAGGAGCAAGGACTGGCCTCTCTGGTTTCCCTTCACACAGCAGGTGCTGAATCAATGCCCAGGAACCGAGGCGTCCTGTGAGGCGACAGAGGCTGAGCTGGAGAAGGCTCACCTGAGACCTGCACAGATTCAGGCGTTATCGCTGCCAAGGCCCAGCAAAGGAAGCGAGGCTGCCGTGGACACAACTCATGGCTCAAACTGGGGCGGCCTGAATGTTCCTTTGTGGGTCCCCAGGGCTGGTGGAGGGGGGTCTATTCTCTTCCCCCTGATCTTTCAGCAGGTCCTGGCTCACCAGGGCTCAGCCCCACCCTCCAACGCACCAGGTGTCACTGGGCACCTGCTCAGTGGAGCCTGTTGCTGTTCAGAGACTGAAAGTGGTGATGGTGAGGCCAACACCGATGGCCATGGGACCAACATCAAGGTGAGGAAACCATCAAGGACTGCACCAGAGGGATACCCCTCCTTGACACACACACACACACACACACACACACACACACACACACACGAGATCCTGTCCCCTGATGGGGTAAGTAAGGGGGAGCAGGCCCTGCAGTGACCTGTTGGCCATCTCTTATCCACCCGACATGGCCAAAGGTAGCCACGTTATCTCCCATTGCATGTCCTCTCCTCTGTATCAGGACACAGTAGACATCCAGGTGCCTATAAAATAGACGTTTTTGGAGATAAGAGGCCCTTTGCAGCCTCTCTGGAAAGACTCTGTGAGAACAGTCCTGGTGAATGGAGAAGCCCTTAGCCACATGGTGTCAGGGGCCCCACCGCACCTCTGGCCTTTGGACAAAGTCAGCACCAGCCACTCCCACCCCACCCACCACTTTCATGCGTTCTGCAGCTGCCACTCCCTGCCCGCCAGGGTGACCAGATGCTGGCCGGAGCCAGGGCGGGGGGGGAACTCTTCAGCATTTCCACAGGAAACCCCAGACCCTGTTCCCGCAGCCTGGCCCTCAGACAACTGCTCCCACTCTCCCCCTGCCCATGGGAGCTCAGCCTCTGGGGCAAGAGGGGACCCTGTTTACACCAATGCACCTAGGAAAAACCTTGGGGAAAATTCCAGGCCTGAGTCCTGAGTGTCCCCAGAGTCCACAGCTGGTGGCAGAGGGCCAAGAAGATAGTGACAATGAGGATTTATACCCCAGCAATGAGGGGACAGTGACAAGGCAGCTTCTCTGCAGGTCCACACAGGAAAAGAAACCCACAGCACGGCTCCGTGCAGCAGGGGCTCTGAGTGACACTCGCAAGGCCGTGGCATCAGGCAGGGGACCCCCCCCACCGCGGAGGGCATGGCTCAGCAGAAGCCAGGAGAGGGTGGGTCCTGGGATCCCAACCCAAAGCAGGCAGTCAGGAACTGAGTGACCACGGGTACCCTGGGGGTACAGGTAGGAGGGAGGAGAGTGTCTCCGAGGCCCCCTTGCCAACCCTCAATGCCAAGTCCAGCAAAGGTGGTTTTCTGGCACCAACTAGCAGGCACTGATCCCCCTCATATCCCCAACTCATGACCCAGCCACCTTTCCCAGGGGCTGAGTGGCTCTGAACAGGGGTGGAGCCGTGGGGCAGTCTGGGGCTGACACCCAGGAGGCGTTGGGGGAGGCGCCCACTCAGGCCCTCGCTGCCCCGGGGAAAGGCCACTGCAGGCAAAGCACGCTGACACCAGAGCCTTCGGCAGAGGAGGGGGAAATTGTTTATGTCTTGCGCTCCTTCTTACCGTGGGCCTCCTGGGGGCTCCTGGCCCTGGGTGAGCAGGACGGACCCGGACCCGAGATGCCTCAGAGGGAAGCTTCTTGGGCAGGAGGACAGCACAGGCCATGGAGTCCCAGGGGGAGGGGGAGGGCTGTCCCACTGGGCCCCAGTGGGTCCTCTGCAGCAGGACAGTCTAGCCTGCCCCTGGCCATGCTGAGCCACATGGCTCTCCTCTCCGAGACCCTGTGGTGACAGGCAAGAGCACAGGGGTGGTGGGGCAGAGGCACTGTTGAAAAACCTGCCCAAGGGCCTGCCCTTGGCATCTCCTGGACCCACCCTCATCTTCCCTGAGGCTGTCCGAGTGCTTTCCCGGGTAGTCTGTCCTCAGTGGGAATGCCGCAAGCCTCCTCCTTGTGCCTGGCACAGCCCTACATGCTGGGGGAGGGGACACTAATGATCATCCCCAGCTCACAGGCACAGGAGGGAGGCCTGGGGCAGGGGTAGCCCAGGGTCGTGGCTGAGCCACTGAGAAAAGCTCAGATCCCCAACCCCCTCAGCTCTTCCTCCCCCAGGTTCCTAACCACGGCCCGACCTCCCTGGTCCAGTGAATGTCCCACTCCGCATTGTGTGCTACCCACTGGGTTCCTCCAAGGTTCTCAGAGTCCAAGCCTGGTGATCACCAACAAAAATCTCTGCAAACAGCAGATTCCTACACAGATGGCCCTGCCTTATTAGGATGGTGCCACCGACAGGCCCCGACTCCACGATGGTAAGAATGTGGCCAGAACTCAGTAGCAACGGCACTTAAGTCCCACACAACCATGTTCACTTTCAGTACAGTATTCGACAAATTGCACAAGAAAATCAACACCTGATTAGAAAACTAGCTTCATGAGCTGGGGACAGTGGTTCACGCCTGTAATCCCAGCATTTTAGGAGACCAAAGCAGGAGGATGGCTTGAGCCCAGGAGTTCAAGACCAGCCTTGGCAACATGGCGAGACCCCATTTCTACAAAACATAACAAACCTTTTTTTAAATTAGCCAGGCGTGGTGGCACATACCTGTTGTCCCAGCTTCTTGGGTTGCTGAGGTAGGAGGATCATTTAAGCCCAGGGGTTTGAAGCTGCAGTGAGCTATAATCACACCACTGCACTCTAGCCTGGGCAGCAGAGTGAGAGTCTGCCTGAAAAAAAAAAAAAAAAAAAAAAGCTTTGTGTGAGCTGATTTTGCCTACCTAGAGGCTAATGGGAGTGTCTTGAGCACATCTGAGGTCAGCTGGGCTGAGCTGGCAGGGCGGTTAGGCATACTAAATGCCTTTTTTTTTTTTTTTTTTTTTTTGTGATACAGTCTCACTATGTTGCCCAGGCTGGAGTGCAGTGGTGCCATCTCGGCTCACTGCAACCTCCGCCTCCTGGGTTCAAGTGATTCTTCTGCCTCAGCCTCACGAGTAGCTGGGACTACAGGCGCCTGCCATCATGCCCAGCTAATTTTTGTATTTTTAGTAGAGACAGGGTTTCACCATATTGGTCAGGCTGGTCTCGAACTCCTGGCCTCAGGTGATCCACCCTCCTCAGCCTCCCAAAATGCTGGGATTACAGGCATGAGCCACCACGCCTGGCCTGTTGCCACATTTTTGCTTTTGTGAATAAGCTGCTATGAACACCTGTGTGCAAGTATCTCTTTGAGACCCTGCTTCCAGTTCTCTTGGGCGTATACCCAGGAGTGGTATACATGAACAAATAAACAAGGGACACGCCAGGCATGCCTGTAATCCCAACATTTTGAGAGGCTGAGGCAGGAGGATCCCTTGAACCTAGGAGTACAAGACCAGCCTGAGCAACATAGGGAGACCCTGTCTCTACGAATACATTTTAAAAATTAGCTGGGCGTGGTGGTACACACCTGTGGTCTCAGCTACTCAGGAGGCTGAGATGGGAGGATGGCTTGAGCCCAGGAGGTCGAGGCTACACAGTGAGCCACGATCTCACCACTGTACTCCAGCCTGGGTGACAGAGTGAGATCCTGTCTCAAAAAATAAATGTAAAAAAAACACAGGACAGGCCGGGCACGGTGGCTCATGCCTGTAATCCCAGCAATTTGGGAGGCCGAGGCGGGTGGATCATGAGATCAGGAGATTGTGACCATCGGCTAACACGGTGAAGCCCCATCTCTACTAAAAATACAAAAAATTAGCCGAGTGTGGGAGCAGGCATCTGTAGTGCCAGCTGCTCAGGAGGCTGAGGCAGGAGAATGGTGTGAACCCGGGAGGTGGAGCTGGCAGTGAGCCAAGATCATGCCACTGCACTCTAGCCTGGGCGACTGAGTGAGACTCCATCTCAAGAAACAAAAACAAACAACCAGGACACAGGATGGTCACAGAGGGGCATAGACTCACACCCGGAATTTCTAGGTGTGAGCACAGAGGCTCCTAGAGAGGAGGAAGGTGGGTCGTCAAGCATATGGGTATTTTATGGGTTGAAGCGTGGTCCCCCCAAAAGATATGACCCTGTCCTTATTCCCAGAATGTGTGAATACGGCCTTTTTTGGATGGAGGGCCTTTGCAGATGGAATTAAGTGAAGGATGAGGAGATGAGGTCATTCTGGGTTATTCAGGCAGGCCCTACATCCAAGGGCTGGTGTCCTTATAGGAGTCATAGGGACAGACACAGAGAAGGCCTCTTGAGAATGGTGGCTGAGCAGGAGGGATGCAGCCACAAGCCAAGGATGCCCAGGCCACCAGAATGCATGACTGCTGCTTGAAGCCACTCAGTTTGTGGTCATTCATTACATCAGCTAAGCCAGGTCTGCACATACCTGCAGAGCAGGAACTCTGGAGGAGAAGCCAGACCCGAAAAGGGACAGTTTCCCCTCTGGCCAGGACCTCACCCCATCAACCCAGCTGCCCACGAGGCTGCTGGGCCAACATCCCAGGCCTACAGCTGCCAGCCTGCCCTGGGCTCAGCCAAGGGAAGAGGAAGCTGTGAACAAGTCAGCCCTGGGCCCCTTCAGGGAGCCAATGACCTCCTCCCTTCCTCCCTCATGCATTCATCCCTTCATTTGTTCATTCAGCCATCCATTCATCACTCCTTCCATAAACAGGCTTGGCACCTCCCACACGCCTAGATATGAATGCAGTATCAATGTGTCCCTTTCAGGGGCCCACAGCAGGCAGGTAAGCACACCCACAAATTCATAACTCCAGAGGGGACAGGAGGCCCAACAGAAGAATCACAAGAGAAGCCACAAGGGCCTCAGCTCTGCCTGGGGCAACAGGGAGAAGCCCCCTAGACTGGTGTCTGGAGGCCCACCCTGGACTGACACAGAGGCTTTCCTGATGGGCAAAGAAGGAGGCCTCCCTCTGGTTTGTGAAGGAGATGGTGGCATGGAGAGCTGGAGGTGGGATCCTGGGTTTTGTCCTCCAGGCGATAGACACAGGAGGGGTGAGAACAGGCTCACCTTTATCAAACTTTGGTGGAAAATTGAAATTGTGTTCCAGAAGGACCAAGAAAGTCTGATGCTGGCCATGTTCAGGCTGTGCTGCTCTGAGATACCGGGGCAGGTGGGCTTGGCAAGGTGGCCCCCATCCTCTCTCTCCCCATGTCCCCCTGATCCTGCTCCTGCTCCTGCTCCATCTCTCCCCACTCCCAGCTGCTCAGTGGCCAAGTCTGGTGTCCTTCAAGAAGTGGCTGAAACCTCTAAAGGAACTTCACCCTGCAGGGCAGGCCCTGCCCAAGGACATCACCACCCAGAGTCCAGGTCTGGCCCTCGCCACCCCACCCCCATCCCAGAGTCTGGAATGATGCAGCCCCCAGCTCCTGGGGCCCCCACATGTAGCCCCTGCTCCCAGCAAACCAGCAAGGGGGGCCTGGGGAGAGGGAGGGGCTAAGAGGGAGGGGAGCGCCTGGCCGTCCCCAGAGAGTACAGCTAACCCACAGCACATAATCCTGTTAAAAAATTAATCCTCATTTAGCCAGGAGGTAAGGCGGCCGCTGAGATAAAGCCCCTGACAAGTAATAAAAGGCAACAGCAATTGATAAAGTGGTGAGGCCACTCATAAAACCCTGCTGCAGTCAAGGTCAGGCAGGTCCCAGGAATCGGAGAGCAAGCACCGCCAGGTGGGGGTGGGGGGCGTTGCCTTACAAGCCCCAGCCCCTGCAGAGGGCGACCACCTTGGGCAACAGAGCTGATGCTGATGGTGGAGAGAGGCAGAAAGGAGGGAGGCTGCCTTTCTCAGCTCCTCCCTGCTCGGCCTTACTGGATGGCTGTGGCCCTTTGGGAAGGAATCACCATCCTTGGTCCTTGTCTCTCTCCTAACATCATGGCCGTGAAAGATCACAGCCCCCCTGGGGCCCAGCCGGTCCCAGAGTAGACCTGGTGAGGCTGGGCCCATCTAGCGTGGCTCCTGGTGGCCCCCGCTGTCCCCCACACACTTGTCCCAGGGATAGGAGGATGGAGAGCCCACCCCAGTCCCCACACCAGGGACTCACCTGGAATCCTCCCAGATGGCAGGTGTGGTCACCACTGCATCTGGCATCTGCCTGCTGGGGAAGACTCATTGCCATGTCGTCATGGGGACGTTCCACTCCAGCCAAATTGCATAATCAGGCCATTCCTCCTTCAGGGTCCCCAAAAGCCAATAATGGTCCCCAAAAAAGGGCACTGGACTGGAGGCAGGAGAGACCCATTGAGACCCAATATTGTCACCACTAGTCATGCTGGAAAATCGGGAGGGGGCTCGATGCCTCCGCTACTCCAACAGTGGCAACAACCCACAGCTGTAAGTGCCCAGCTTCCAAGCCCACACCCCTCACCAAGGCATCAAGGGCTCCCTGGAAGCACCAGTCTGGGGCTGCACCTGGCCAGAGAAGGAAGAGTGTGGTGATTCCCATTACTGTATCACTCCAACTGCTGCCTGGAGACTAAGGAGAAGCAAGGAGACCAGTCAGAAGGCAGTTGCAATGGTCCTGACCATGCTAACTTCACCCATGTTTTCTTTCACTTATGCACTGAAGAATCATTTATTAAACACCTACTGTGTGTCAGGCATCAGACCAGGAGCTCGGGATACTGTGTTGCTCACAGCCTTCTCGGAGAGACACATAAACAATTGCAATAGAATTCCTTGCATCAGGTTATTAACGAGAACAGGAAGTTAGCGGCAAAGCTGACCTTGTGGAGGACAATGCCTGCCTTATGGCTCTCGGCCACCAGCTGAGACACCAGCAGGCCTGGGCAGGC
Source organism: Homo sapiens (assembly GCF_000001405.40). Classification (NCBI taxonomy): domain Eukaryota; kingdom Metazoa; phylum Chordata; class Mammalia; order Primates; family Hominidae; genus Homo; species Homo sapiens. Next base: position 2,525,720 of record NW_021160017.1, read on the forward strand.
CAACCCCTGGCCCAGAGGCTGGGTCCCTAGGGCCCGAGCCCCCTACATGGCTCATCTGCATGGGGCAATCTCTACCTGTGCAAGCGTCAAATCCACCCGGTCCCCAGGCCAAGGACGCCTCTGGATCTGGCTGGCTGGCTTGGCTGGCTTGGCTGGCTGGCTGACTGGGTGGCTTGGCTGGCTTGGCTGGCTGGGTGGCTTGGTGGGCTTGGCTGGCTGGCTGGCTGGGTGGCTTGGCTGGCTTGGCTGGCTGGCTGGCTTGGCTGGTTGGCTCCCTGGGTGGCTTGGCTGGCTTGGCTGGCTTGGCTGGCTGGCTGGCTTCTGTGGTTTAGCCAAATGGCTGGCTTGGCCGGCTGGCTGGCTTGGCTGGCTTGGCTAGCTGGGTGGCTGGCTGCCTTGGCTGGCTGCGTGGCTTGGCTAGCTTGGCTGGCTGGGTGGCTTGGCTGGCTTGGCTGGCTGGGTGGCTTGGCTGGCTTGGCTGGCTGGCTGGCTTGTGTGGCTTGGCTGGCTGGCTGGCTTGGGTGGCTTGGCTGGCTGGCTGGCTTGGGTGGCTTGGCTGGCTGGCTGGCTGGCTTGGGTGGCTTGGCTGGCTGGCTGGCTTGGGTGGCTTGGTTGGCTGGCTGGCTGGCTGGCTTGGCTGGCTTGGCTGGCTGGCTGGCTTGGCTGGCTTGGCTGGCTGGCTTCGCTGGCTGGCTTGCTGGCTGGCTGGCTGGCTTGGCTTGCCGGCTGGCTTGGCTGGCTTGGTTGGCTGGCTGGCTGGGCTGGCTTGTCTTGCTGGCTGGCTGGGCTGGCTTGGCTGGCTGGCTGGCTTGCCTGGCTTGGCTGGCTGCCTGTCTTTGCTGGCTCGGCTGGATGGCTGGCTGGCTGGCTTGGCTGGCTTAGGTGGCTGGCAGGCTTGGCTGGCTTGGGTGGCTGGCTTTCTTGGCTGGCTTGGCTGGCTTGGCTGGCTGGCTTGGGAGGCTGGCTGGCTTGGCTGGCTTCGCTGGCTGGCTGGCTTGGCTGGCTGGCTTCCTTGGCTGGCTTGGCTGGCTTGGCTGGCTTGGCTGGCTGGCTGGCTTGGCTGGCTTGGCTGGCTGGCTGGCTGGGTGGCTTGGCTGGTTTGGCTGGCTGGCTCCGTGGCTTGGCTGGCTTGGCTGGCTGGCTGGCTTGGTTGGTTGGGTGGCTGGGTGGCTTGGCTGGCTTGGCTGGCTGGCTGGCTTGGTTGGTTGGGTGGCTGGGTGGCTTGGCTGGCTTGGCTGGCTGGGTGGCTTGGCAGGCTTGGCTGGCTGGGTGGCTTGGCTGGCTGGCTGGCTTGGGTGGCTTGGGTGGCTGGCTGGCTGGGCTGGTTGACTGGCTAGGTGTCTTGGCTGGCTTGGCTGGCTGGGTGGCTTGGCTGGCTTGGCTGGCAGGGTGGCTTGGCTGGCTGGCTGGTTTGGCTTGGTGGCTGGCTTGGTTGCCTTTGGCTGGCTGGCTGGTTTGGCTGGCTTGGCTGGCTGGCTGGCTTGGCTGGCTTGGCTGGCTGGGTGGCTTGGCTGGCTTGGCTCGCTTGGCTGGTTGGCTGGCTTGGCTGGCTTGGCTGGCTGGGTGGCTTGGCTGGCTTCAGTGGCTGGCTGGCTTGGCTGGCTTGGCTGGCTGGGTGGCTTGGCTGGCTTGGCTTGCTGGCTGGCTGGGTGGCTTGGCTGGCTTGGCTGGCTTGTCTGGCTGGCTGGGTGACTTGGCTGGCTTGGCTTGCTGGCTGGTTTGGCTGGCTTCGCTGGCTGGCTGGCTGGGTGGCCTGGCTGGCTTGGCTGGCTTGGCTGGCTGGCTGGCTTGGCTGGCTTGGCTGGCTTGCTGGCTTGGCTGGCTGGGTGGCTTGGCTGGCTTGGGTGGCTGGCTGGATTGGCTGGCTGGCTGGCTGGCTGGCTTGGCTGGCTTGGCTGGCTGGCTGACTTGGCTGGCTTGGCTGGCATGACTGGCTGGCTTGCTTGGCTGTCTAGGCTGGATTGGCTGGCTCTCTGGGTTGGCTGGCTTGGCTGGGTGGCTTGCTTGGCTGGCTTGGTTGGCTGGCTGGCTTGGCTGGCTTGGCTTGCTGGCTGGCGTGGTTGGCTTGGCTGGCTGTGTGGCTTGGCTGGCTTGGCCGGCTGGGTGGCTTGGCTGGCTTGGCTGGCTTGGCTGGCTGGCTCACTTGGCTGGCTGCCTGGCTTGGCTGGCTTGGCTGTCTGGCTGGCTTGTCTGGCTTGGCTGGCTGGCCGGCCGGTTGGCTTGGCTGGCTTGGCCGGCCGGGTGGCTTGGCTGGCTTGCTGGCTTGGCTGGCTTGGCTTGTTGGCTGGCTTGGCTTGGTGGCTGGCTTGGTTGCCTTTGGCTGGCTGGCTGGTTTGGCTGGCTTGGCTGGCTGGCTGGCTTGGCTGGCTTGGCTGGCTGGGTGGCTTGGCTGGCTTGGCTCGCTTGGCTGGTTGGCTGGCTTGGCTGGCTTGGCTGGCTGGGTGGCTTGGCTGGCTTCAGTGGCTGGCTGGCTTGGCTGGCTTGGCTGGCTGGGTGGCTTGGCTGGCTTGGCTTGCTGGCTGGCTGGGTGGCTTGGCTGGCTTGGCTGGCTTGTCTGGCTGGCTGGGTGACTTGGCTGGCTTGGCTTGCTGGCTGGTTTGGCTGGCTTCGCTGGCTGGCTGGCTGGGTGGCCTGGCTGGCTTGGCTGGCTTGGCTGGCTGGCTGGCTTGGCTGGCTTGGCTGGCTTGCTGGCTTGGCTGGCTGGGTGGCTTGGCTGGCTTGGGTGGCTGGCTGGATTGGCTGGCTGGCTGGCTGGCTGGCTTGGCTGGCTTGGCTGGCTGGCTGACTTGGCTGGCTTGGCTGGCATGACTGGCTGGCTTGCTTGGCTGTCTAGGCTGGATTGGCTGGCTCTCTGGGTTGGCTGGCTTGGCTGGGTGGCTTGCTTGGCTGGCTTGGTTGGCTGGCTGGCTTGGCTGGCTTGGCTTGCTGGCTGGCGTGGTTGGCTTGGCTGGCTGTGTGGCTTGGCTGGCTTGGCCGGCTGGGTGGCTTGGCTGGCTTGGCTGGCTTGGCTGGCTGGCTCACTTGGCTGGCTGCCTGGCTTGGCTGGCTTGGCTGTCTGGCTGGCTTGTCTGGCTTGGCTGGCTGGCCGGCCGGTTGGCTTGGCTGGCTTGGCCGGCCGGGTGGCTTGGCTGGCTTGCTGGCTTGGCTGGCTTGGCTTGTTGGCTGGCTTGGCTGGCTTAGGTGGCTGGTGGGCTTGGCTGACTTGGGTGACTGGCTGGTTTGGCTGGCTTGGGTGACTGGCTTGCTGGCTTGGCTGGCGTGGCTCGCTGGCTTCTTTGTCTGGCTTGGCTGGGTTGGCTGTCTGGCTGGCTGGGTGGCTTGGTTGGCTTGCCTGGCTGGGTGGCTTGGTTGGCTTGGCTGGCCGGCTGGCTGGCTGGATGGGTGGCTTGTCTGGCTTGGCTGGCTGGGTGGCTTGGCTGGCTGGCTGGCTGGGTGGCTTGTCTGGCTTGGCTGGCTGGGTGGCTTGGCTGGCTTTGCTTGCTGGCTGGCTGGCTGGCTGGGTGGCTTGTCTGGCTTGTCTGGCTGGCTGGCTGGGTGGCTTGGCTGGCTTGGGTGGCTGTCTGGCTAGGTGGCTTGGCTGGCTTGCCTGGCTGGGTGGCTTGGCTGGCTTGGCTTGCTGGCTGGCTTGGCTGGCTTTTCTTGCTTGGCTGTCTTGGCTGGATTGGCTGGCTGTCTGGCTTGGCCGGCTTGGCTGGCTGGCTTGCTTGGCTGGCTTGGTTGGCTGGCTGGCTTGGCTGGCTTGGCTTGCTGGCTGGCTTGGCTGGCTTGGCTGGCAGGCTTTCTCGGCTGGCTTGGCTGGAAGGGTGGCTTGGCTGGCTGGGTGGCTGGGCTGGCTTGGCTGGCTGAGTGGCTTGGCTGGCTGGGTGGCTGGGCTGGCTGGGCTGGCTTGGCTGGCTGAGTGGCTTGGCTGTCTTGGCCAGCTGGCTGGCTTGGCTGGCTGGCTCACGTGGCTGGCTGCCTGGCTTGGCTGGCTTGGCTGTCTGGCTGGCTTGGCTGGCTTGGCTGGCTGGCTTGGCTGGCTGGGTTGGCTGGCTGGCTGGCTGGCTGGCTTGGCCGGCTGGCTGGCTTGGCCGGCTGGCTGTCTTGGCTGGCTTGGCTGGCTTGGCTGGCTGGCTGTCTTGGCTGGCTGGCTGTCTTGGCTGGCTTGGCTGGCTGGGCTGGCTGGCTGTCTTGGCTGGCTTGGCTGGCTTGGCTGTCTTGGCTGGCTGGCTGGCTTGGCTGGCTTGGCTGGCTTCGCTGGCTGGCTGGCTTGGCTGGCTTGGCTGTCTGGTTGGCTGGGTGGCCTGGCTGGCTTGGCTGGCTTGGCTGGCTGGCTGGCTGGCTGGCTGGCCTGGCTGGCTGGGTGGCTGGCTGGCTTGGTTGGCTGGGTGGCTTTGCTGGCTTGGCTGTTTGGGCAGCTTGGCTGCCTTGGGTGGCTGGGTGGCTTGGCTGGCTTGGCTGGCTGGCTGGCTTGGCTGCCTTGCCTGGCTGCCTGGCTTGACAGGCTTGGCTGGATGGCTGGCTGGCTTGCTTGTCTGGCTGGCTGGCTTGGCTGGCTTAGGTGGCTGGCTGGCTTGGCCGGCTTGGCTGGCTGGCCTGGCCGGCGGGGTGGCCGGCTGGCTTGGCTGGATGCCTGGCTTGGCTGGCTTTGCTGGCTGGCTGGCTTGGCTGGCTTGGCTGGCTGGCTGGCTTGGCTGGCTTGGCTGGCTTGGCTTGCTGGGTGGCTTGGCTGGCTTCGCTGGTGGGGTTGCTTGGTTGGCTTGGCTGGCCGGGTGGCTTGGCTGGCTGGCTGGCTTGGCTGGCTGGCTGGCTTGGCTGGCTGGCTGGCTGGCTGGCTGGCTTGGCTGTCTTGGCTGGCTGGCTGGCTTGGCCGGCTTGGCTGTCTTGGCTGGCTGGCTGGCTGGGTGGCCTGGCTGGCATGGCTGGCTTGGCTGGCTGGCTGGGTGGCTTGGCTGTCTTGGCTGGCTGGGTTGCTTGGCTGGCTTGGCTGGCTGGCTGGCTTTTGTGGCTTGGCTGGCTGGCTGGCTTGGGTGGCTTTTCTGGCTGGCTGGCTTGGCTGGCTGGCTGGCTTGGCTGCCTTGCCTGGCTGCCTGGCTTGACAGGCTTGGCTGGATGGCTGGCTGGCTTGCTTGTCTGGCTGGCTGGCTTGGCTGGCTTAGGTGGCTGGCTGGCTTGGCTGGCTTGGCTGGCTTGGGTGGCTTGCTGGCTTGGCTGGATTGGGAGGCCGGCTGGCTTGACTGGCTTCGCTGGCTGGCTGGCTTGGCTGGCTTGGCTGGCTTGGCTGGCTGGGTGGCTTGGCGGGCTTGGCTGGCTGGCTGGCTCGATGGCTTGGCTGGCTTGGCTGGCTGGCTGGCTTGGCTGGCTGGCTTAGCTCGTTGGCTGGCTGGGTGGCTTGGCTGGCTTGGACGGCTGGGTGGCTTGGCTGGCTTGGCTGGCTGGCTGTCTTGGGTGGCTTGGCTGGCTGGCTGGCTTGGCTGTTGGCTGGCTGGGTGGCTTGGCTGGCTTGGCTGGCTGGGTGGCTTGGCTGGCTTGGCTGGCTGGGTGTCTTGCCTAGCTTGGGTGGCTGGCTGACTTGGCTGCCTTGGCTGTCTGGCCACTTGGCTGGCTGGTAGGCCGGCTGGCTTGGCTGGCTGGCTGGCTTGGCTGGCTTGCCTGGCTTGGCTGGCTGGCTGGCTTGGCTGGCTTGGCCGGCTGGCTGGCTGGCCTAGCTGGCTGGCTTGGCTGGCTTGGCTGGCTGGCTGGCTGGGTGGCCTGGCTGGCTTGGCTGGCTTGGCTGGCTGGCCTGGCCGGCGGGGTGGCCGGCTGGCTTGGCTGGATGCCTGGCTTGGCTGGCTTGGCTGGCTTGGCTGGCTGGCTGGCTTGGCTGGCTTGGCTGGCTTGGCTTGCTGGGTGGCTTGGCTGGCTTCGCTGGCGGGGTTGCTTGGTTGGCTTGGCTGGCCGGGTGGCTTGGCTGGCTGGCTGGCTTGGCTGGCTGGCTGGCTGGCTGGCTGGCTTGGCTGTCTTGGCTGGCTGGCTGGCCTGGCTGGCTTGGCTGTCTTGGCTGGCTGGCTGGCTGGGTGGCCTGGCTGGCATGGCTGGCTTGGCTGGCTGGCTGGGTGGCTTGGCTGTCTTGGCTGGCTGGGTTGCTTGGCTGGCTTGGCTGGCTGGCTGGCTTTTGTGGCTTGGCTGGCTGGCTGGCTTGGGTGGCTTTTCTGGCTGGCTGGCTTGGCTGGCTTGGCTGGCTGGGTGACTGGCTAGCTGTCTTGGCTGGCTTGGCTCGCTGGCTTCCTTGGCTGGCTTGGCTGGCTTGGCTGGCTTGACTGGGTTGGCTTTCTGGCTGGCTGGGTGGCTTGGCCGGCCTGACTGGCTGGGTGGCCTGGCTGACTTGGCTGGCTGGCTGGCTTGGCTGGCTTGGCTGGCTGGGTGGCTTGGCTGGCTGGCTGGCTTGGCTGGTTGGCTGGCTGGGTGGCTTGTCTGGCTTAGATGGCTGGCTGGCTTGGCCGGCTTGGGTGACAGGCTGGCGTGGCCGGCTTGGTGACTGCCTCGCTGGCTTGGCTGGCTTGGCTCGCTGGCTTCCTTGCCTGGCTTGGATGGCTTGGCTGGGTTGGCTGTCTGGCTGGCTGGGTGGCTTGGCTTGCTGGCTGGCTTGGCCGTCTTGGCTGGCTTGGCTGGCTTGGCTGGCTGGCTGGCTTGGCTGGCTTGGCTGGCAGGCTTTCTCGGCTGGCTTGGCTGGAAGGGTGGCTTGGCTGGCTGGGTGGCTGGGCTGGCTTGGCTGGCTGAGTGGCTTGGCTGGCTGGGTGGCTGGGCTGGCTGGGCTGGCTTGGCTGGCTGAATGGCTTGGCTGTCTTGGCCAGCTGGCTGGCTTGGCTGGCTGGCTCACGTGGCTGGCTGCCTGGCTTGGCTGGCTTGGCTGTCTGGCTGGCTTGGCTGGCTTGGCTGGCTGGCTTGGCTGGCTGGGTTGGCTGGCTGGCTGGCTGGCTGGCTTGGCCGGCTGGCTGTCTTGGCTGGCTTGGCTGGCTTGGCTGGCTGGCTGTCTTGGCTGGCTGGCTGTCTTGGCTGGCTTGGCTGGCTTGGCTGGCTGGCTGTCTTGGCTGGCTTGGCTGGCTTGGCTGTCTTGGCTGGCTGGCTGGCTTGGCTGGCTTGGCTGGCTTCGCTGGCTGGCTGGCTTGGCTGGCTTGGCTGTCTGGCTGGCTGGGTGGCCTGGCTGGCTTGGCTGGCTTGGCTGGCTGGCTGGCTGGCTGGCTGGCCTGGCTGGCTGGGTGGCTGGCTGGCTTGGTTGGCTGGGTGGCTTTGCTGGCTTGGCTGTTTGGGCAGCTTGGCTGCCTTGGGTGGCTGGGTGGCTTGGCTGGCTTGGCTGGCTGGCTGGCTTGGCTGCCTTGCCTGGCTGCCTGGCTTGACAGGCTTGGCTGGATGGCTGGCTGGCTTGCTTGTCTGGCTGGCTGGCTTGGCTGGCTTAGGTGGCTGGCTGGCTTGGCTGGCTTGGCTGGCTTGGGTGGCTTGCTGGCTTGGCTGGATTGGGAGGCCGGCTGGCTTGACTGGCTTCGCTGGCTGGCTGGCTTGGCTGGCTTGGCTGGCTGGGTGGCTTGGCGGGCTTGGCTGGCTGGCTGGCTCGGTGGCTTGGCGGGCTTGGCTGGCTGGCTGGCTCGGTGGCTTGGCTGGCTTGCCTGGCTGGCTGGCTTGGCTGGCTGGCTTAGCTCGTTGGCTGGCTGGGTGGCTTGGCTGGCTTGGACGGCTGGGTGGCTTGGCTGGCTTGGCTGGCTGGCTGTCTTGGGTGGCTTGGCTGGCTGGGTGGCTTGGCTGTTGGCTGGCTGGGTGGCTTGGCTGGCTTGGCTGGCTGGGTGGCTTGGCTGGCTTGGCTGGCTGGGTGTCTTGCCTAGCTTGGGTGGCTGGCTGACTTGGCTGCCTTGGCTGTCTGGCCACTTGGCTGGCTGGTAGGCCGGCTGGCTTGGCTGGCTGGCTGGCTTGGCTGGCTGGCTGGCTGGCTGGCTGTCTTGGCTGTCTTGGCTGGCTGGCTGGCTTGGCTGGCTTGGCTGTCTTGGCTGGCTGGCTGGCTGGGTGGCCTGGCTGGCATGGCTGGCTTGGCTGGCTGGCTGGGTGGCTTGGCTGTCTTGGCTGGCTGGGTTGCTTGGCTGGCTTGGCTGGCTGGCTGGCTTTTGTGGCTTGGCTGGCTGGCTGGCTTGGGTGGCTTTTCTGGCTGGCTGGCTTGGCTGGCTTGGCTGGCTGGGTGACTGGCTAGCTGTCTTGGCTGGCTTGGCTCGCTGGCTTCCTTGGCTGGCTTGGCTGGCTTGGCTGGCTTGACTGGGTTGGCTTTCTGGCTGGCTGGGTGGCTTGGCCGGCCTGACTGTCTGGGTGGCCTGGCTGACTTGGCTGGCTGGCTGGCTTGGCTGGCTTGGCTGGCTGGGTGGCTTGGCTGGCTGGCTGGCTTGGCTGGTTGGCTGGCTGGGTGGCTTGTCTGGCTTAGATGGCTGGCTGGCTTGGCCGGCTTGGGTGACAGGCTGGCGTGGCCGGCTTGGTGACTGCCTCGCTGGCTTGGCTGGCTTGGCTCGCTGGCTTCCTTGCCTGGCTTGGATGGCTTGGCTGGGTTGGCTGTCTGGCTGGCTGGGTGGCTTGGCTTGCTGGCTGGCTTGGCCGACTTGGCTGGCTTGGCTGGCTTGGCTGGCTGGCTGGCTTGGCTGGCTTGGCTGGCAGGCTTTCTCGGCTGGCTTGGCTGGAAGGGTGGCTTGGCTGGCTGGGTGGCTGGGCTGGCTGGGCTGGCTTGGCTGGCTGAGTGGCTTGGCTGTCTTGGCCAGCTGGCTGGCTTGGCTGGCTGGCTCACGTGGCTGGCTGCCTGGCTTGGCTGGCTTGGCTGTCTGGCTGGCTTGGCTGGCTTGGCTGGCTGGCTTGGCTGGCTGGGTTGGCTGGCTGGCTGGCTGGCTGGCTTGGCCGGCTGGCTGGCTTGGCTGGCTGGCTGTCTTGGCTGGCTTGGCTGGCTTGGCTGGCTGGCTGTCTTGGCTGGCTGACTGTCTTGGTTGGCTTGGCTGGCTTGGCTGGCTGGCTGTCTTGGCTGGCTTGGCTGTCTTGGCTGGCTGGCTGGCTTGGCTGGCTTGGCTGGCTTCGCTGGCTGGCTGGCTTGGCTGGCTTGGCTGTCTGGCTGGCTGGGTGGCCTGGCTGGCTTGGCTGGCTTGGCTGGCTGGCTGGCTGGCTGGCTGGCCTGGCTGGCTGGGTGGCTGGCTGGCTTGGTTGGCTGGGTGGCTTTGCTGGCTTGGCTGTTTGGGCAGCTTGGCTGCCTTGGGTGGCTGGGTGGCTTGGCTGGCTTGGCTGGCTGGCTGGCTTGGCTGCCTTGCCTGGCTGCCTGGCTTGACAGGCTTGGCTGGATGGCTGGCTGGCTTGCTTGTCTGGCTGGCTGGCTTGGCTGGCTTAGGTGGCTGGCTGGCTTGGCTGGCTTGGCTGGCTTGGGTGGCTTGCTGGCTTGGCTGGATTGGGAGGCCGGCTGGCTTGACTGGCTTCGCTGGCTGGCTGGCTTGGCTGGCTTGGCTGGCTTGGCTGGCTGGGTGGCTTGGCGGGCTTGGCTGGCTGGCTGGCTCGGTGGCTTGGCTGGCTTGGCTGGCTGGCTGGCTTGGCTGGCTGGCTTAGCTCGTTGGCTGGCTGGGTGGCTTGGCTGGCTTGGACGGCTGGGTGGCTTGGCTGGCTTGGCTGGCTGGCTGTCTTGGGTGGCTTGGCTGGCTGGCTGGCTTGGCTGTTGGCTGGCTGGGTGGCTTGGCTGGCTTGGCTGGCTGGGTGGCTTGGCTGGCTTGGCTGGCTGGGTGTCTTGCCTAGCTTGGGTGGCTGGCTGACTTGGCTGCCTTGGCTGTCTGGCCACTTGGCTGGCTGGTAGGCCGGCTGGCTTGGCTGGCTGGCTGGCTTGGCTGGCTTGCCTGGCTTGGCTGGCTGGCTGGCTTGGCTGGCTTGGCCGGCTGGCTGGCTGGCCTAGCTGGCTGGCTTGGCTGGCTTGGCTGGCTGGCTGGCTGGGTGGCCTGGCTGGCTTGGCCGGCTTGGCTGGCTGGCCTGGCCGGCGGGGTGGCCGGCTGGCTTGGCTGGATGCCTGGCTTGGCTGGCTTTGCTGGCTGGCTGGCTTGGCTGGCTTGGCTGGCTGGGTGGCTTGGCTGGCTTGGCTGGCTTGGCTTGCTGGGTGGCTTGGCTGGCTTGGCTGGCGGGGTTGCTTGGTTGGCTTGGCTGGCCGGGTGGCTTGGCTGGCTGGCTGGCTTGGCTGGCTGACTTGGCTGTCTTGGCTGGCTGGCTGGCTGGCTTGGCTGGCTTGGCTGTCTTGGCTGGCTGGCTGGCTTGGCTGGCTTGGCTGTCTTGGCTGGCTGGCTGGCTGGGTGGCCTGGCTGGCATGGCTGGCTTGGCTGGCTGGCTGGGTGGCTTGGCTGTCTTGGCTGGCTGGGTTGCTTGGCTGGCTTGGCTGGCTGGCTGGCTTTTGTGGCTTGGCTGGCTGGCTGGCTTGGGTGGCTTTTCTGGCTGGCTGGCTTGGCTGGCTTGGCTGGCTGGGTGACTGGCTAGCTGTCTTGGCTGGCTTGGCTCGCTGGCTTCCTTGGCTGGCTTGGCTGGCTTGGCTGGCTTGACTGGGTTGGCTTTCTGGCTGGCTGGGTGGCTTGGCCGGCCTGACTGTCTGGGTGGCCTGGCTGACTTGGCTGGCTGGCTGGCTTGGCTGGCTTGGCTGGCTGGGTGGCTTGGCTGGCTGGCTGGCTTGGCTGGTTGGCTGGCTGGGTGGCTTGTCTGGCTTAGATGGCTGGCTGGCTTGGCCGGCTTGGGTGACAGGCTGGCGTGGCCGGCTTGGTGACTGCCTCGCTGGCTTGGCTGGCTTGGCTCGCTGGCTTCCTTGCCTGGCTTGGATGGCTTGGCTGGGTTGGCTGTCTGGCTGGCTGGGTGGCTTGGCTTGCTGGCTGGCTTGGCCGTCTTGGCTGGCTTGGCTGGCTTGGCTGGCTGGCTGGCTTGGCTGGCTTGGCTGGCAGGCTTTCTCGGCTGGCTTGGCTGGAAGGGTGGCTTGGCTGGCTGGGTGGCTGGGCCGGCTTGGCTGGCTGAGTGGCTTGGCTGGCTGGGTGGCTGGGCTGGCTGGGCTGGCTTGGCTGGCTGAGTGGCTTGGCTGTCTTGGCCAGCTGGCTGGCTTTGCTGGCTGGCTCACGTGGCTGGCTGCCTGGCTTGGCTGGCTTGGCTGTCTGGCTGGCTTGGCTGGCTTGGCTGGCTGGCTTGGCTGGCTGGGTTGGCTGGCTGGCTGGCTGGCTGGCTTGGCCGGCTGGCTGGCTTGGCCGGCTGGCTGTCTTGGCTGGCTTGGCTGGCTTGGCTGGCTGGCTGTCTTGGCTGGCTGACTGTCTTGGTTGGCTTGGCTGGCTTGGCTGGCTGGCTGTCTTGGCTGGCTTGGCTGGCTTGGCTGTCTTGGCTGGCTTGGCTGGCTTGGCTGTCTTGGCTGGCTGGCTGGCTTGGCTGGCTTGGCTGGCTTCGCTGGCTGGCTGGCTTGGCTGGCTTGGCTGTCTGGCTGGCTGGGTGGCCTGGCTGGCTTGGCTGGCTTGGCTGGCTGGCTGGCTGGCTGGCTGGCTGGCCTGGCTGGCTGGGTGGCTGGCTGGCTTGGTTGGCTGGGTGGCTTTGCTGGCTTGGCTGTTTGGGCAGCTTGGCTGCCTTGGGTGGCTGGGTGGCTTGGCTGGCTTGGCTGGCTGGCTGGCTTGGCTGCCTTGCCTGGCTGCCTGGCTTGACAGGCTTGGCTGGATGGCTGGCTGGCTTGCTTGTCTGGCTGGCTGGCTTGGCTGGCTTAGGTGGCTGGCTGGCTTGGCTGGCTTGGCTGGCTTGGGTGGCTTGCTGGCTTGGCTGGATTGGGAGGCCGGCTGGCTTGACTGGCTTCGCTGGCTGGCTGGCTTGGCGGGCTTGGCTGGCTGGCTGGCTCGGTGGCTTGGCTGACTTGGCTGGCTGGCTGGCTTGGCTGGCTGGCTTAGCTTGTTGGCTGGCTGGGTGGCTTGGCTGGCTTGGACGGCTGGGTGGCTTGGCTGGCTTGGCTGGCTGGCTGTCTTGGGTGGCTTGGCTGGCTGGCTGGCTTGGCTGTTGGCTGGCTGGGTGGCTTGGCTGGCTTGGCTGACTGGGTGGCTTGGCTGGCTTGGCTGGCTGGGTGTCTTGCCTAGCTTGGGTGGCTGGCTGACTTGGCTGCCTTGGCTGTCTGGCCACTTGGCTGGCTGGTAGGCCGGCTGGCTTGGCTGGCTGGCTGGCTTGGCTGGCTTGCCTGGCTTGGCTGGCTTGGCTGGCTGGGTGACTGGCTAGCTGTCTTGGCTGGCTTGGCTCGCTGGCTTCCTTGGCTGGCTTGGCTGGCTTGGCTGGCTTGACTGGGTTGGCTTTCTGGCTGGCTGGGTGGCTTGGCCGGCCTGACTGTCTGGGTGGCCTGGCTGACTTGGCTGGCTGGCTGGCTTGGCTGGCTTGGCTGGCTGGGTGGCTTGGCTGGCTGGCTGGCTTGGCTGGTTGGCTGGCTGGGTGGCTTGTCTGGTTTAGATGGCTGGCTGGCTTGGCCGGCTTGGGTGACAGGCTGGCGTGGCCGGCTTGGTGACTGCCTCGCTGGCTTGGCTGGCTTGGCTCGCTGGCTTCCTTGCCTGGCTTGGATGGCTTGGCTGGGTTGGCTGTCTGGCTGGCTGGGTGGCTTGGCTTGCTGGCTGGCTTGGCCGTCTTGGCTGGCTTGGCTGGCTTGGCTGGCTGGCTGGCTTGGCTGGCTTGGCTGGCAGGCTTTCTCGGCTGGCTTGGCTGGAAGGGTGGCTTGGCTGGCTGGGTGGCTGGGCTGGCTTGGCTGGCTGAGTGGCTTGGCTGGCTGGGTGGCTGGGCTGGCTGGGCTGGCTTGGCTGGCTGAATGGCTTGGCTGTCTTGGCCAGCTGGCTGGCTTGGCTGGCTGGCTCACGTGGCTGGCTGCCTGGCTTGGCTGGCTTGGCTGTCTGGCTGGCTTGGCTGGCTTGGCTGGCTGGCTTGGCTGGCTGGGTTGGCTGGCTGGCTGGCTGGCTGGCTTGGCCGGCTGGCTGGCTTGGCCGGCTGGCTGTCTTGGCTGGCTTGGCTGGCTTGGCTGGCTGGCTGTCTTGGCTGGCTGACTGTCTTGGTTGGCTTGGCTGGCTTGGCTGGCTGGCTGTCTTGGCTGGCTTGGCTGGCTTGGCTGTCTTGGCTGGCTTGGCTGGCTTGGCTGTCTTGGCTGGCTGGCTGGCTTGGCTGGCTTGGCTGGCTTCGCTGGCTGGCTGGCTTGGCTGGCTTGGCTGTCTGGCTGGCTGGGTGGCCTGGCTGGCTTGGCTGGCTTGGCTGGCTGGCTGGCTGGCTGGCTGGCCTGGCTGGCTGGGTGGCTGGCTGGCTTGGTTGGCTGGGTGGCTTTGCTGGCTTGGCTGTTTGGGCAGCTTGGCTGCCTTGGGTGGCTGGGTGGCTTGGCTGGCTTGGCTGGCTGGCTGGCTTGGCTGCCTTGCCTGGCTGCCTGGCTTGACAGGCTTGGCTGGATGGCTGGCTGGCTTGCTTGTCTGGCTGGCTGGCTTGGCTGGCTTAGGTGGCTGGCTGGCTTGGCTGGCTTGGCTGGCTTGGGTGGCTTGCTGGCTTGGCTGGATTGGGAGGCCGGCTGGCTTGACTGGCTTCGCTGGCTGGCTGGCTTGGCTGGCTTGGCTGGCTTGGCTGGCTGGGTGGCTTGGCGGGCTTGGCTGGCTGGCTGGCTCGGTGGCTTGGCTGGCTTGGCTGGCTGGCTGGCTTGGCTGGCTGGCTTAGCTCGTTGGCTGGCTGGGTGGCTTGGCTGGCTTGGACGGCTGGGTGGCTTGGCTGGCTTGGCTGGCTGGCTGTCTTGGGTGGCTTGGCTGGCTGGCTGGCTTGGCTGTTGGCTGGCTGGGTGGCTTGGCTGGCTTGGCTGGCTGGGTGGCTTGGCTGGCTTGGCTGGCTGGGTGTCTTGCCTAGCTTGGGTGGCTGGCTGACTTGGCTGCCTTGGCTGTCTGGCCACTTGGCTGGCTGGTAGGCCGGCTGGCTTGGCTGGCTGGCTGGCTTGGCTGGCTTGCCTGGCTTGGCTGGCTGGCTGGCTTGGCTGGCTTGGCCGGCTGGCTGGCTGGCCTAGCTGGCTGGCTTGGCTGGCTTGGCTGGCTGGCTGGCTGGGTGGCCTGGCTGGCTTGGCCGGCTTGGCTGGCTGGCCTGGCCGGCGGGGTGGCCGGCTGGCTTGGCTGGATGCCTGGCTTGGCTGGCTTTGCTGGCTGGCTGGCTTGGCTGGCTTGGCTGGCTGGCTGGCTTGGCTGGCTTGGCTGGCTTGGCTTGCTGGATGGCTTGGCTGGCTTGGCTTGCTGGGTGGCTTGGCTGGCTTCGCTGGCGGGGTTGCTTGGTTGGCTTGGCTGGCCGGGTGGCTTGGCTGGCTGGCTGGCTTGGCTGGCTGACTTGGCTGTCTTGGCTGGCTGGCTGGCTTGGCTGGCTTGGCTGTCTTGGCTGGCTGGCTGGCTTGGCTGGCTTGGCTGTCTTGGCTGGCTGGCTGGCTGGGTGGCCTGGCTGGCATGGCTGGCTTGGCTGGCTGGCTGGGTGGCTTGGCTGTCTTGGCTGGCTGGGTTGCTTGGCTGGCTTGGCTGGCTGGCTGGCTTTTGTGGCTTGGCTGGCTGGCTGGCTTGGGTGGCTTTTCTGGCTGGCTGGCTTGGCTGGCTTGGCTGGCTGGGTGACTGGCTAGCTGTCTTGGCTGGCTTGGCTCGCTGGCTTCCTTGGCTGGCTTGGCTGGCTTGGCTGGCTTGACTGGGTTGGCTTTCTGGCTGGCTGGGTGGCTTGGCTGGCCTGACTGGCTGGGTGGCCTGGCTGACTTGGCTGGCTGGCTGGCTTGGCTGGCTTGGCTGGCTGGGTGGCTTGGCTGGCTGGCTGGCTTGGCTGGTTGGCTGGCTGGGTGGCTTGTCTGGCTTAGATGGCTGGCTGGCTTGGCCGGCTTGGGTGACAGGCTGGCGTGGCCGGCTTGGTGACTGCCTCGCTGGCTTGGCTGGCTTGGCTCGCTGGCTTCCTTGCCTGGCTTGGATGGCTTGGCTGGGTTGGCTGTCTGGCTGGCTGGGTGGCTTGGCTTGCTGGCTGGCTTGGCCGTCTTGGCTGGCTTGGCTGGCTTGGCTGGCTGGCTGGCTTGGCCGGCTGGCTGGCTCTCCCAGGCTGCAATGCAGTGGTATGATCTTGGCTCACTGCAACCTCTGCCTCCCAGGTTCAAGCAATTCTCCTGCCTCAGCCTCCCGAGTAGCTGGGATTACAGGCCTGAGCCACAACACCCGGCTGATTTTTGTACTTTTAGTAGAGATGGGGTTTCATCATGTTTCGTACTCCAGTATGGGTGACAGAGCAAGACTCTGTCTCAAAAAAACAAAAAAGAATTTACACATTGGCATACAGATTCACACACATACACTCATATTCACAAACACACAAATACAATAAATGCAGGGGCACACACAAACACCATCACAAAAACACACTTCCATAAAACACAGGAATGCACGCTCACACAGAAACACACATGGAAACACACATCTTACAGACTCACAGACACACTCATCATCACATAAACAGGCACACACAGCCACACAAGCACACACCCACACCCACATCAACACACACACTCCCACATGGCACCCACGCACTCACGCACACAGGCAGAACAGGCCTGCATTACCTGATAACGCAGTTGAATGAGACGTGATGCTGCCTGCCGAGGAGACCTGGAGGCTTCCCATGCATGAGCTTTCAGATGAGAGGTCTCTGGGTGCATCTGGTGACACCCCAGGCAGTGGGGGAGACGTCCAGGCCGGAAGGCCAGCCACAGCCAGCTCTGCCCAAGGATGCCACGTCCATTTGCTTCAGTAGGATCTGCATCCTGTAAACCCTGGTTCCTGCCTCTCCAGGACACCCCACTGAGGTCAGCACACTCCCCAGGTTTAGAAGGGGTCTCTCGGTGAAATCTGGTGACACCCCAGGCAGAAGGGGGGACACCACAGCCAGCTCTGCCCGCGGATGCGACGTCCATTTGCTTCAGTAGGATCTGCACCTTGGAAACCCAGGTTCCTGCCTCTCCAGGACACCCCACTGACGTTAGCACACCCTCCAGGTTTACAAGCGGTCTCTGGATACATTTGGTGACACCACAGGCAGATGGGGGATGCTACAGCCAGCTCTGCCCATGGATGCCACTTCCATTTGCTTCAGTAGGATCTGCACCCTGTAAACCCTGGTTCCTGCGTCTCCAGGACACCCCACTGAGGTCAGCACCCCCCACCCCCCCACCCCCATGTTTGTCCACCTTCGCTGTCTGGGGAGATACACAGAAAGACCACATTCGGTGGAATTTTGGCTATAACATTTTGTGGCCGGCAAGAAGGATCACCAAGCTGTCCTGTTACCTTGCTGGAGCGATCACTGGTTTCACGCTTGGCCCCCGTGCAGTGAGTGCCTGGGCCAGGCTCGATTCCTGGAGCTCCGGTGAAATTTGGGCTTGGAGCTCACGCCTGCACCATCCAGAAAGCAGAAGGCAGCCGGCCTGGGCTGTACGGTTCGTAGAATCAGAGAGAACACTGCTTGCCTTCATGTCTGTACCACAATAAATCTGCCAACTGCTGTCAAAGTCTCTGGATTCCTGCCCCCTCATTTTATTTAGTCTATTACGGAGCGGAAGGAGTGAGAAAGATTTTGCTTCCTATTTTGTTTTGCAAAGCATTTCTAAGAAAAACAACCCGTGTTCTGAAAACGAGATTCTGAGTGTCCCCTGGGCGTGATGAAAACAAACTTTGGGAATCCAAGGGCCTGAGAGGCAGAGTGAATGTCATTCGCATTTCCCTGCGAATGACAAAGTCACTTTTTATTTATTTTTATTATTATTATTATTATTATTATTATAGATTCAGAGGATCCACGGGCAGCTTTGTGACCTGAGGATATTGTACGTTGCTGAGGTTTGGGGTATGAATCATCCCGTCACCCAGGCACTGAGCATTGTACATTCCTGAGGTATATAATGTGTACTAAAAATAAAATGTATATTTATATATGCACTAATGATTCAACTTGATTCCTTGTAATTAAGAAAAACAAACCCCAAATTCTAGAGGAGTTCTAGAAATATGTAAGAAGAGAGGCCAGGCGCAGTGGCTCATGCCTGTAATCCCAGCACTTTGGGAGGCCGAGGCAGGTGGATCTCCTAAGGTCAGGAGTTCGAGACCAGCCTGGCCAACATGGTGAAAGCCCGTCTCTGCTAAAAATACAAAAATTAGCCAGGTGTGGTGGTGGGTGCCTGTAGTCCCAGCTACTTGGGAGGCTGAGGTAGAAGAATTGCTTGAATCCAGGAGGCAGAAGTTGCAGGGAGCCGAGATTGCACCACTGCACTCCAGCCTGGGTCACAGAGCGAGACTCCATCTCAAAAAAAAAAAAAAAAAAAAGAGAGCGAGAGAGAAAACAAACAAGCAAGAAAATGCAACAGAAAAATCCGTGACCCAAAGCTCTCTCCAGTTGCTGCTTTCTGCCGGAAATTCAAAGAATCTCAGGGTAGTTTTTCAACCCTTGTACCCCCGCCCCTGCTTCCTGCTCTATTAGTACTGAGGGTCTGTGGTGCCCCTTCATTGTGTCCAGGTGCAGGCAATGTTTAGCTCCCACCTATAAGCGAGAACATGTGGTATTTGATTTTCTGTTCCTGGCGTTAATTCACTAAGCATAGTGCCCTTCAGCTTCATCCATGTGACTTCAAAGGGCATGATTTTATTCTTGTTCATGGCTGTGTAGTATTCCATGATGCGGAAGGACCACATTTGCTTTATCTAATTGAGAACATGTGGTATTTGATTTTCTGTGTCTGGCATTAATTCACTAAGCATAATGCCCTTCAGCTTCATCCATGTTGCTGCAAAGGGCATGATTTTATTCTTGTTTATGGCTGTGTAGTATTCCATGATGCGGAAGGACCACATTTGCTTTATCTAGTGCACAACATGTGGTATTTGATTTTCTGTTCCTCGTATTGATTCACTAAGCATAATGCCCTCCGGCTGCATCCATGTGGCTGCAAAGACATGATTTTATTTTTTTCATCACTGTGTAGTATTCCGTGGTGTAGAAGGGCCACATTTGCTTTATCCAGTTGAGGACATGTAGTATTTCATTTTCTGTTCCTGGCATTAATTCACTAAGCATAATGTCCTTCAGCTGCATCCATGTGGCTGCAAAGGACATGATATTATTCTTTTTCATGGCTGCATAGTATTCCATGATGCAGAAAGACCACATTTGCTTTATCTAGTGGAGAACATGTGGTATTCGATTTTCTTTTCCTGGTGTTAATTCACTAAGCATAATTCCCTTCAGCTGCATCCATGTGGCTGCAAAGACATGATTTTATTCTTTTTCATGGTTGTGCAGTATTCCATGGCGTAGAAGGGCCACAATTGCTTTATCCAGTCAAGAACATGTGGTATTTGATTTTCTGTTCTTGTGTTAATTCATTAAGCATAATGCCCTCCAGCTACATCCATGTGGCTGCAAAGGACGTGATTTTATTCTTTTTCATGGCTGTGTAGTATTTGATGCTGTAGAAGAACCACTTTTGCTTTATCTGGTACCCCACTGATGGGCAACTAGGTTGATTCCATGACTTTCCTATTGTAAGTCGTGCTGTGACGAACCTTACAGGGCCGGGCACTGTAATCCCAGCACTCTGGAGGGCCGAGGTGGGCAGATCACCTGAGGTCAGGAGTTCGAGACCAGCCTGGTCAACATGGTGAAACCCTATCTCTACTAAAAATACAAAAACTAGCCAGGCATGGTGGCGCATGCCTGTAATCCCAGCTGCTCAGGAGGCTGAGGCAGGAGAATCACTTGAACCCAGGAGGCGGAGGTTTCAGTGAGCCGAGATTGCTACTGCACTCCAGCATGGGCAATAGAGTGAGACTCCGTCTCAAAAAACAACAAAACAAAAAAAACAAGGAACTCTACCATGCATGTGTCTTTTTGGTAGAATGACTTCTTTTCCTTTGGGTAGATGCCCAGTCTTGGAATTGCTGGTGCAAATGGTGGAGCAGTTTGGATTCAGGAGGTACATGTACAGGTTTCTTACATGGGGACGATGTGTGATGCTGAGGTCTGGGGTATGAGTGATCCCATCACCCAGGTAGTGAGCATAATACCCCACAGTTGGTTTTTTCAACTCTTGTCCTTCTACCTTCCTCTCTCCCCCTAACTAGAACCCAGTATCTGTTCCCTTCTCTGTGTCTACCTATACACAACATTTAGCTCCCACTTATAAGTGAGAACACGCAGCATTCTGTTAATTTACTTAAGATAATGGCCTCCACACTGTTCACAATAGCAAAGATGTGGAACCAACCCAAATGCTCATCAGTGATAGACTGGATAAACAAAATGTAGCACATAGACACTGTGGAATACTATGCAGCCATGAAAAAGGATGAGTTCATGTTCTTTGCAGGGACATGGATGAAGCTGGAAACTCTCATGTTCAGCAAAGTGAAACAGGAACAGAAAACCAAACAGTGCATGTTCTCACTCATAAGTGGGAAGTGAACAATGAGAACACATCGACCCAGAGAGGGGAACATCACACACTGGGACCTGTTGCAGGGGTGGGGGACTGGGGGAGGGACAGCATTATGAGAAATATCTAATGTAGATGGTGGGTTGATGGGTGCAGCAAACCGCTATGGCACATATATATCTATGTAACAATCCTGCACATTCTGCACATATACCCCAGAACTTAAAGTAGAATAGAAAAAATAAAAAATAATAAAAATAATTAAAAAAGATAATGGCCTCCAGCTACATCTGTGTTGCTGCAAAAACAAACAAAAAATAAAAATAAAAAAATGATTTTGTTCCTTTTCAGGGTTGCGTAGTATTCCATGGTGTAGATATACCGAATTTTCTTTGAGGATGGAGGGTGGGAGGAGGGAGAAGATCAGCAAAAATAACCTGTGGCTGGGTGTGGCAGCTCACACCTGTATTCTCAGCACTTTGGGAGGCTGAGGTGGGTGGTCACCTGAGGTCAGGAGTTTGAGATCAGCCTGGCCAACATGGCAAAACCCTATCTCTACTAAAAGTACAAAAATTAGCCGGGCATGGTGGTGCACGCCTGTAATCCCGGCTCTTCTGTAGGTTGAGGCAGGAGAATCTCTTGAACCCAGGAGGCAGACATTGCAGTGAGCTGAGATCGTGCCACTGCCCTCCAGCCTGGGCCACAGAGTGGGACTCCATCTCAAAAAATAATCATAAAAATAATAATAATAACCTGCTAGGCTTAGGACCTAGGTTGATTCCATTACAAAAAAAAAAGAAAAAACTAACTTTTTAAAAGAAGGATCTCTCTGTTCAAAAACAAAACCAATGCCCTGTCAGGAAAGATGTTCTGTGTTTCTGGTAAAGCTGGAAGGAACCTACAGGAAGGAGTCACCCCATAAAACTAGTGGAGCAGCATTGCCTTTTGGGGTGAGGGCTACTTCTGTTAGGCCACCAGGATGAGTGTCTTCCTGGGGAGTGTGGTTCATCATATACCATCCAGGAAGCAATTCCTGCCCCCAAATCACTTGCCAGCTTCTGCCCTGTAAGTAAAATCCCCAGCAAGCGGGCAGCAAGGAGCTGCTTGCCTTGGAAGTCAGCTGAAGTCTCTGCCCACCACCCAGACTGTGTCCTCTGGGAAAGGCCAGGTCTTCCAGTTGGATGGTTTTCACATTAGCGGCTGCTGTTTAGAATCATCAACATTGGCCAGGCACGGTGGCTCACGCCTGTCATCTCAGCACTTTGGGAAGCCGAGGCGGGCGGATCACAAGGTCAGGGACCAGCCTGGCCAACATGGTGAAACCCTGTCTCAACTAAAAAAAAAATACAAAAATTAGCTTGGTGTGGCTGGGCATGAGCTCATCCCTGTAATCCCAGCACTGTGGGAGGCTGAGGCAGGCGGATCATGAGGTCAGGAGATCAAGACCATCCTGGCTAACACGCTGAAACCCTGTCTCTACTAAAAATACAAAAAATTAGCCAGGCACGGTGGCAGGCACCTGTAGTCCCAGCTACTCGTGAGGCTGAGGCAGGAGAATGGCGTGAACCTGAGAGGCGGAGTTTGCAGTGAGCCCAGATTGCGCCACTGCACTCCAGCCTGGGCGATATAGAGTGAGACTCTGTCTCAAAAAAATTAAAAAAATAAAAAATTAGCCTGGTGTGGCGGTGGGTACCTGTAATCCCAGCTACTCAGGAGGCTGAGGCAGGAGAATTGCTTGCACCCCAGAGGCAGAGGTTGCAGTGAGCCGAGATTGCACCATTGCACTCCAGCCTAGACAACAGAGTGAGACTCTGTTGCAAAAAAAAAAAAAAAAAAAAAAAAAAAGAATCATCAACATTGCCTTGGCCCAATCTCTTCCCAGACTTGTCAAATATTTACCACTGGACCTCCATGTTCTAGTTTCAAAGCTCTGCTGGCCACAGTGGCTCATGTCTGTCATCCCAGCACTTTGGGAGGCTGAGGTAGGAGGACTGCTTGAACCCAGAAGCATGAATCCATCCTAGGCAACATAGTGATAATAATGTCAAATGAGAGCCAGTGTCCAGTAATTCCCCAAATATCTGAGAATTTTCTTTTCTTTAAGTCACAGTCATCCTGGCAGAAGGCTGTAGGTCCCTTTGGGGAAGACTGGGAAAAAGATTAACAATGTAAATTTTTGGCAATGTAGCAGCGTACTTCCCCAAGATCACCCAGCCTCCCCTTCACTTAAGGGGTTGTGGGCCTGTGAACTGGCTCAAGTCTGGGAATTGATTGAGGGTTTTAGATCTGTGTTTCATTAATTTGAGTTAATCTTTTATTCAGTTGACCTAGAATTCTTCATTTTTTAAACAACAACTAAGACTTTGGTACAGCCCATTAGCTCTCCCTGTGGATACCATGGACTACACAATGCCATGGGTGTCTGTGAGTCAAACCATTCTGACTGCTGCTTTGACACTGCTTTCCACTGTGGTGACCACACCCACCTCATCTTTGGTGATTAAGGACAGCCCATGTTCCCTGCCACCCCAGGATTCAATTATCCTCATTTTACTTAAAGATCCCAGTCCAGTGGCTGCAGTTCCTGCTGTAACATTTTGCCTACTGAGAGCACAGGCTTAAAGCTCTTCCAGGATACTGGGCTCCTCTCACAATATTCTTTCTCATGATCGTTGTGAGGAGTATGTTCTGTAGACCCTTCAGTGTGAGTGAGCAGGTCTGACATAATAAATCCAGTCTCCCTGAGTTTTTGCATACCTTTCTGTACACATAAACCAAGGAAGTTGTGGCATCTCAACTTTATGTACCTTAGGTAAACTCTGATTCTGTTTCAGCCAACCAACCAAGTCACCAAACAAACAGCCAACCAATCAACCAACAAGCAAGCAAGCAACAAACCAACCAAACAACCAAGCAAGGAAGCAAGCACCACCAACCAAGCAAGCAACCAACCAAGTAACCGATCAAACCAACCCTTGGAGCCCTTTCTAAAGCTTTGACCTACAACTCTGAGTCCAGAATCTCTGTTTAGTGGGCCAACATTAATAAATTTAGCCTAATCCAACTTTATGTTACTTTCACCATGGTGCCACACACTTAATATCCATTCCCACATATATTCTCCAGATTTCCTTCTGTATAAATTGCGTGTGTGTGTGTGTGTGTAGAAAGAGAGCATCAACTGAAAAATCACACAATTTTATAAATTTAGAAAAGAGAGCTTTATTTCTTATAAAGGTTTGCAGTCTGCAAGGTGGCCATTATGACAGGCTGGGAAGTGTGGCCTACAGCCAAGGCCAGAGGCAGGCATTTCCAGGGAGGGAAGGAGAGGACAGGAATTTGAGCCAAATGAGTTGGCTACATATACATACTCAATAGGATATCAGAGGAGCTATATCATTTTATGAGAATACTCATAAAAGAGGTCCTAACACATGCATATTCAATAAACATGCATGTTCATCCTGGGGTGGAGACTTGACATTTAAATGTATTATAATTAGGCCCTACACATCAAAAAGTGAAGCAGGGACATGAAAGTACTCAGCCTCTGTAAAGCCACAGCCTCTAAAACTGGCCAGAACCAGTCCATGGAGGATGGTCTCTTATCAGGAGAAAGTTATTGAAATCAGTCCCTTGTCCAGAGAAAGCTGTCGTTAAGGTTAGTGGGGCAGGAGATCAGTTACTCAGCGTCTGTGAACTGGGTGAGTTGTAATTGTTTTAATCTTCTCTCACAGCCATCTCTCACAGCCAGTGCTTGCTTGGCTGCTAGAGAAAAATAAAACCCATGTGGTAGCTAGAATCTAGTTAATTCTTTAAGAGTAGGGTACAAGACTTAACCCTTGCCTGGCATGGCCCTAGGTCCTGTTTATAATTTGAGGTCTTATTGCCACAAAGAGTCTGTTCTGTCAGTCTCATGATCTCTATTTTAACATTAATGCTGTTCAGTTGTTGGGTCTAAACCATAAGAGGGAGGGAGGTACAGGGAGGTATGTCTGACTTCCTGTCCTGTCATGGCCAAGAACTGAATTTTAAGATTTATTTGAGGTTCCGTTGGCCAACAGGGGGTCTGTTAAGTTGGGTGGGGGGCTTAGGATTTTAGTTTTAGTTCTCAAGGGAGATAAAATAATTTAATCAATTGGCCCCTGCGACTGTGGGACTAACATGGCTATGATCTATCGGACAGACTTCAGGCTGGCACCCAGGCAAAATTCTGTGCTGTAGTAAATGCATCATGCACATTTGTAACAATATGTACATAACAATGTCACAAAATACTTTCACGGTGACACCTAGATTAGTATTTTATTGAATAGCTGATGATATAAACTGGCTCATTTGATGCCAAGACTGACCATTACCACCATACCAAGGTCATCACTGATCAGAGGCCTAACCCAAGGAGGGGGTCATGTGCAGACCCAGCAGTGGGGAGGAAAGATGCTGCAGAGGAGACGGATGCCCACAGAGGCCCCTGAGCAGATACAATGCTCACTAAGTGGTAAGTATAGACTCAACGTAGGCTATAAGGTCTCCCCCTGTGCAAATGAGACCCCGTCCACTTGAGAGTCAAGGGTCTGTTTGGGTGGCAGGGATAGCCACTTCTGAAGGTAGAAAGGAAAATAAGCCACCAAATTGGTATCTTTCTGTGAAATGGACATCGTGCTTAGAATCAACATTTTCCCCACAACCTGGAGGAATAAGTACTGTCATGTGCATTTTGTAGCTGAGGAATCTGACTCAACAAAATTAAATTACTTGCCTAAGCAATTAGCAATTAACCAAGTCTTTCTGACTCAGAAACCCAGCTGTTGCCTGTTCATATCCAGCCCCTGTATTGGGGTCAAGATCTGGCCTGTTCTCAATGCAGCAAGATCCAGGCAGATCACACTGGACTCCCAGCACTGAATCTGGCTCAAGGGGACATCAAATTTGACTGGGTCGTGGGGCTCAGGAGCATCACTCTCAAAAATAGCAGTACAGGAAGAGGCGATGGCCCTAAACAGCATTTGCAGGCAGATCCCATGTTAATCATAAGGGTCAGGACTCTCTCACTTTTCTGTCTCTCTCTCTGTCTCTCCTCTAGGGCTGACCCCACATTGGACACCACTGCATCCATGTCCATCACACACCACAGCTGCCTTTTCTTCTGCCTGCTTATGGGAAAGTCCCCTCCTCTCCTCTGTTTTCTTCTCTTCCTGCCCTATCACACCGTGCACTTCTCCCTTTCCTTAAAGAACCACCATCAACTTTAGGAGGAGGGAAAGGGGTGGCTCTGGCAGGAAAAGCCAGAATCCCCTCTAGCCAGCAGAGAGAGAGGAATGGCTGCATGTTTTCTCCCCCATTCCAAGGCACTAGGTTTTGGCTAGGTTGCAGGTTCCAAGCTGCTTTCCTGCTGTGTCGGTGAGTTCTGGTTAACCTGCAACCTCCTGATGTGGCCACTGCAGTTCATCGAGTCTTCAGGGACTCCCCATGGCCTGGAGTACTTTGCCTTGCTTACACGGGAGAGGAGAATGGATTTATAGAGAACATCATCTAAATCCAACTTGACCATTGTGTGGCCACACTTGCTAGATTGCTTTAGTCTAAATCTAGCATTGTAGAAAGACGGGGGAGCTTGGAGCTGCACAAACCCAGGTCTGGAACTGGCTCCTTACCTTGAAAGGTGAATAATCCTGGCAGGACTCTTAGCCTTCCTGGGCCTCAGTTTCTTTATCTGTTTCTTGGGAAGGAGGATCTCTGCTGGTTGGTTGGGTGATGTGGGGGCTGTGTGAAAACAACTTGTCAATACAAGCCGAAATAGGAATATTTCTCCACAGAGTATGAAGGTCAAATGAGAGAATACATTTAAATTAAATGGAAAATTAAAATGGCAAAAAAGGCAAAGCTGTATTGAAAGTTCTGAGCTTCTCTATAAGGAGCTTTTTGACTATGTAAGAATCCTATACTCGTTCCCCCTAAATATAAAAAAAAAGTTGAAGGAGGCAGAAGGGAGAGTGATGCACGATGGGCGAGGACTTCACCTGCTGTTGCTGGCTTTGAGGATGGAGGAAGGAGGCCACAAACCTAGAAGCTGGAGCCCCTAGAAGCTAGAAAAGGCAGGGACCCAATTCATCCGTTGAGCCTCCAGAAGGGACATAGCCCCGCCAGCACCTTGACTTTAGCCCAGTGAGATCCTCTTAGGACTTTTGGCAACCAGAACTATAAGACAGAAATGGAAGCCACTGAGTCTGTAGCTGTTTGTTGCAGCAGCAATAGAAAACTAATGCAGAGCCCAAGAAATCACTGATGATGAGATGGGGAAGTGGGCTCAGGAGGTCTGGATCTATGATGAGATGGGGAAAGTGGGGGAGGTCTGGATCTGTGACGAGATGGGGTAAGTGGGCTCAGGAGGTCTGGATCTGTGATGAGATGGGGGAAGTGGGCTCAGGAGGTCTGGATCTGAGTTGGGGATCTGGAGTGGAAGGGGAATTCATTTGTTCGTCTATCCTTTTGCATTGATTGAATTTTTTTCTATACATATATGTGAATTTTCACAATAAAAGTTTTTTCCAAAATAAAATAAAAGAAACAAAAGGGGCTTTTTGCAACCCAATTCCTATCTATGTCTGAGTCCACTTGTATTGAATGAGTCTTTCTGCTAACGTCCTTATATTTGGGTGACAATCTGAATGTCAGTGACCAATCAGAGCAGAGGCAGACCTTGGAGTCGGCAGGGCATCCTGAGGGCCATGATTCCTGCCATGAGGCATAACCCTTTAGGTGCCAGACCATGGGGAGGTCCAGGGGTTGCAGGGGAGGGCTGTGCATCTGCAATGACTCTCAGGGGGCTCCCGGTGGTGGCAATTGGTGAATCTGCACGGTGGTGTTTCAATATTGTCACAACCCTGCTGTCTCTCATGCTCTCAAAAAGCATTTCTCTTACCTGTGACAGACTTCCTATACCTAACAGCTTGCAAAAATGTTCCAGGTTAATGAGAATAATCTCTCGGAGCCATACCTCCCTGCTTGGGGTCTCAGTTTACCCAACTGTCTCCAGACAAGTTAGGCTAGAAGGCCCCTGAGCCTCAGCCCCTCTATACCCCTCCTGTCACCCAGACCTGATCTGGGGCTTGCACCCTGGGTGCAGCATGACAGGGGTGGGCAGGGTCTGGCTCTGGGCCAGAGGACCCTTTCTGATGGACTTCAGCTGTTGGCCTTCCAGGGGAGACTGATCAACCTCACAAGAGTCATACGGTGAGTAGCGGTGGGCAAATCCATCCCCTTCGTCTTAGATTTATGGGGAGACAGAGAGAAAGAGGAGACACTCCAGGAAGACCTGCAGGTGGGAGTACCAGGTTGAAACCAAGGACACCTTCCTGGAGGAGCTGCTGTTTGAGCCAGCTCTGAGAACAGGTGGGGACAGGACTGGAGAGGAGGAGGTGGCCCCCTATGAGCAAAGACTGGCCATCACCCGACCTAACACCCCCACAGGGCCCCTGTGGCATCCCTGTCCAGTCCCTGTCACCACCCAGTTTTTCCCTCTGGACCCAGGAATTCAAAGTAAGCAAGGAGGTCTGCTGCTCCAGTTGGCTGCAAATAATTACAACCTTGAGCCCAAGCAGCACTTTGGGTCCTGGTTTGGGACCATGAAGCGGCTCGGTGAGACTGAGAGGTAAGGCCAGGACAGGAATTGGGATAGTAGGATTGAACTCTCCCTGGGGGCCAGCCTCAGAAAGCCTGTGGCCATGGCCTCTTGGTCAACATCAGATCCTGTGGTCTGGCAATGCCTGGGGTACCCAGACCTCACTCTGGACAGGCCCTGGGAGGGGGCCCTGGTGAGATTCCTGGCAGCCTCACAGCCACTCTTCTGTCCATAGCTACAACATGTCATGCCAGCTGGAGGCTCCATCCCAGTTGGCTGGGAGCACAAAGGCCAGGAAGATAGACATCACCCACCACAGGGGCCAGTCGGGTCCTGAACCAGGGTGGGCAGAGGTTGGCTGCCTTGGGATATGGGTGGGCTCAGGGAGTCAGACAGCAAGGGACCAGCCTCCCATCCTACTGCTGACCAGCCCTGTGACTGGGGAGAGTCACCTTACTTCTCTGGGCCTCAGATTCCCCCTCTGTGGGGTGACACTAAATGATCTCTCTGGAGACAGGGATCAATAGGGCACTGGTGATTGACCAGGCACTCAGCACATGCCTGGAGCACACGGTGCAGGGCTGTGGTGGGGAGGTGGCCTGAGTTCCTGGGGAGTCACCCATGTGTGCCTGCCACTCTGACCAGCCACCAGGCCCTCAGGGCAGAGCCCACTACCAGCAGCAGCTCACACCCCGAGACCAGCTCAGAGGCAGCCCCTACCTCAGCAGCAGGGATATCATGGACACTTTCAGCTGCTACTAGGGTGGCTTCTCCAGCTCCCACGTGGAGAGGGGTCCCAGCTGAGTCCCACTCACGTAGAGTCTCATGCCCATGAAAGTGCCATTCACCACTGGCCAGGCTCATGAGGCCGCATGAGAGGGGGGGTCACTGGGGAGGAGATATCGGGGGAACAGAGAGGGTGGTTGAATTTTTGTATAATAGGCAGTGCAAGTGTTTACCATTTGGGAGGGGAAAGGTTTGTTATTATTAGCAATGCCACACTTGAATATTATACTAAAATCCAGTTTCTCTATAACCTGGGAGTTGCTCTTTTGTTCTTTCTTTTCCCATCTTAATTAAAATGAGATGCAGACTCTCACGGTCCACAGTCGATTACGAAATCTTGCACGGCCATCAGGTTATGTCTTGGAGAGCAGAGTTTCAGTACCATCTGCCTGGCAAGGAGCCGAGCCTGCTCCTCAGAGCTCCCGGGACTGCGAGAATTGGCATGTTCACAGGGCACTGTCACAGCCTCTGAAACACGCTGTCTTTAAAGACGTTTGCAGGCTGGATGCGGTGGCTCACTCTTGTAATCCCAGCCCTTTGGGAGGCAGAAGCGGGTGGCTCACTTGAGGTCAGGAGTTCGAGACCAACATGGCCAACATGGCAAAACCCCATCTCTACTAAAAATACAAAAAATTAGCCAGGTGTGGTGGCAGGTGCCTGTAATTCCAGCTACTCGGAAGGCTGAGGTAGGAGAACTGCTTGAACCCAGGAGGTGGAGGTTGCAATGAGCAGAGATGACACCACTGCACTCCAGTCGGGGCAACAAGAGCAAAACTTCATCTCAAAAAAAACCAAACAAACAGAAAAGCACAAAGACATTTGCAAGGACCATGTCCTCACCCAGAATGGTGCCTGCCTTTCTACAGTTTTTCAGGAAGAGGAAACATTTTCTGCTTCTCTCGCTGAGGTTTTTTTTAACCACCCATTAGGAACCTATAGATTTCAGGATCGAACACTGGGATTCCCTCAGCACTAAAGGAGGAAAATTGCAAACAGAGCTGAAAGTGCAATGTGCAAAGGTCAGGCTGAGGAAGGTTCTTAGCCAGTAGACCAATGGCAGGAAGGACACTGCCTCCTCAGTCTCCCACTAGGGAACTTGTGATTCTTGTCCCCTGACCTCAGAATTCCTTGTCATGTTTGTTTTGTCTCCAAGGGAAAGGTCTGAATTACAGAATTTAAGGCTAGAGTGGGCCTCGTGCAGTTAACATTAACCCTCTCTCTCCTTCACTGGCTGAGGTGATGTCCGGGAACATGTAGTTCTGACGTCCGCTCTCTCGGGGGATCACCAGTTTACCCATCTCACCTGGCAAGCTGGGCCCTAGTTTGGCGACAGGCATCTTCCACCCACCTGGGAGGCAGGGTTCAACACTCTGCCTCTGCCCTTGTTTCCTTCTTCTGCTACCTGCTTAGGCAGCCAGAAGGGGTTGTCCAGCCAGCACCTGGGCTTTGGCGCTCCTCAAGCAGGTGGAGGAAGTTTCAGGCACCTGACTCCTCAGGTGTCTGCCATCCAGGTGTTCTTCAGGCCTGCCCAGCAGAGCTCTCTTGATCCAGCTAGAACTGGCCAGAACTGACTCACTCAGGAATGTGTAGAGTTTGGCATCAGGGGCTGCTTTAATTTGCACAATTTCCAAATACCTCTTTTTTCTTCTTTTTCTGATGAGTCATCTCCCTAGACTTGCATTTTAAAGAGATAGATAGTTATCAGGTTCCAGAGAAGACATGGTAGAACATTTATATCTCAAAGACACAGAGCTGAGACTTCAGTTTTAGATACTATAATTTGCCTAAACCAAAAAGGAAGGTGTAGGTAAAGTTCTAGTCAAGACAGGATGGCCAGGAAAAACACCTTAAACCAAGGGACGGCTTGCTTTGCTGATTTAAGCCAATGGCTTCTTTATTATAAGACTTCCCAGTGATTTAGTCCTCCCTCTCTTCCAGTGCACAGAGACATACCCCTCCTTACAAATAAAAATGTTCTTTATAGATGTAAATTTATTTTACAAAAATGTTTCAAAATAACCAGATGAAAATCATCCTTATGCCAGAAAGACTTGTTTTTTTTTTTTTTATTACTAGAAATGAAACAGTAAGTATTTGTTCTATTGACATACTTAGGCTTAGACCTATGTTTAACAAGAAAGCCTAATAATAGCACTGTGGTTAGACTGTAGCCTATTTTTCCAAACCATCATTTTGTTATTAAGGAAACAGATCAAATACCTTTCATTCATCTGATATGATCCTTTAAAACACATTCCACTAATAAGTCCCATTTGGAACAGCTGAAAATTTTTTAATAAAACTTTTTAAAGATGAGCTCATGGCTTGGTGTAAATTTCACAAGCTTAATTAGGTCAAATGGAAGGAACTCAGATGAGTAGGTGCCCAATCAGAGCCCATTATTTGTAAGTCATCAGACCCCTCCATGACCTTAAAACTCCACTCTGAGCTAATTATTGCAAACCTACATACAACAAAGTGAAAGGATTAATTTTCATTTATCAACCTCTCAATCCCAGATTTTCAAAGAAAAAAACCTATGTAAGGAATACTTACCAAAACCAGACAGGAAAATTAGAGCCTGCATACTTTAGAGTCAAATTTGTTCCACTACAGCCAGATCGCATACAATTACATCATTTGGTTCTTCATACACTCTAGAACTGACTAGGACAGAGTTTAGCATAGAAAAACTGTAAGAAATAGGTTCTGAAACATAGAAATTGCAAATTCAAAAGGCTATGAAAAAAACTAATGTAAATGAGAGAATCCCCTCCCTTTGTTTTAAAGAAATAGACCCATCAGAGAAATGTAAATCAAAACCACAATGAGATACCATCTCACACCAGTTAGAATGGCGATCATTAAAAAGTCAGGAAACAACAGGTGCTGGAGAGGATGTGGAGAAATAGGAACACTTTCACACTGTTGGTGGGACTGTAAACTAGTTCAACCACTGTGGAAGACAGTGTGGCCATTCCTCAGGTATCTAGAACTAGAAATACCATTTGACCCAGCCATCCCACTACTGGGTATATACCCAAAGGATTATAAATCGTGCTGCTATAAAGACACATGCACACGTATGTTTATTGCGGCATTATTCACAATAGCAAAGACTTGGAACCAACCCAAATGTCCAACAATGATAGACTGGATGAAGAAAATGTGGCACATATACACCATGGAATACTATGCAGCCATAAAAAATGATGAGTTCATGTCCTTTGTAGGGACATGGATGAAATTGGAAATCATCCTTCTCAGTAAACTATCGCAAGAACAAAAAACCAAACACCGCATGTTCTCACTCATAGGTGGGAATTGAACAATGAGAACACTTGGACACAGGAAGGGGAACATCACACACCAGGGCCTGTTGTGGGGTGGGGGGAGGGGGGAGGGGGGAGGGGGGAGGGATAGCATTAGGAGATATGCCTAATATAAATGAGTTAATAGGTGCAGCACACCAACATGGCACATATATACATATGTAACAAACCTGCACATTGTGCATGTGTACCCTAGAATTTAAAGTATAATAAAAAAATACAAGAAAATAAAAAAAGAAAGAAATGGATGTTCTGTAAAAATATACACAATTTTTACAGACAAATACATTTATAAGTTGTTTTTATCTTAAAATTGGGGCTATTTCATATTTATAACTAATTATTGAACCTTAAGTTTTCTTGGCCATTTCTAGGCTAATAAACTAAGAATCATGTAAACTAAGCCAAAGTAGAATAGTCATAAAAGTCCTGAACACTTCAACTTCCTATCCTTCAAGAAGTATACCTCGCAAAGCTCATTTGAGAGAGGAAAATCTTTCCTCCACCCTCTGTTTTACAGCGCTGAGGCTTCTCATCACATTTCTATGACTTGTAGCTTAAATCCATGTTACATGTTCACTGGCATTGTTAGTGCTTCTCTTTTAACACTGTAGGAGTTAATCAATTTGGTGGCATATTTAATTAATTCTATCACTAGTGGATTGTAAAATTACATATATTAATACCTCACTTTAGAGGCCACTTAATTTTTTTCCAAGGGGATATTTGACTGTATTTCACTTGTGTCTACTTAATGATTTTATAATTTAAACCCTAAATTGTAAATCTAGAATTTAGAAAGTATATTTCCCCACTGGATTACATTTTTGGAAATATTATTTTATATGTGCACAAATATTACAAAATCACTGTAGACACCTGAAAACTATATTATCTTTTAAAGGCAATATTTACATTAAACTGATATAACAAAATTGTTTGGTGCATTTTTTCCAGTACATTTTGTATATATTAAATGTTTAACCTTTTTTTATTCAGCAAATAATTTTTGAGTATCTACTAAGTGCTAGGTTCTGCATTACTAACTGAATTTAAAGAGTGAAATAACAGACATGGTCTCAGACAATAAAAATTAACATTAGGTCCCCTATTTATATATTTTAAAATGGTAATTATGAAAACTTTTTGAGATTTTTAACTAGATAACATTATAATAATACACTTGATGTTGTTAATATTTGCCAGTGAGCAAAAAAGAAAATAAAAAGATGGTTTTATTCAATATACACTTTAAAATTGCAGAAAATAGTCAAGTTTCCCTGCTTTGCAGTTGAATGTCTATGTGTTTTTCTCCACAACTTGGCTTTTATGGAGTGAAACAATTATTCTTCCAGCCCAATAAAGTCAGAAGAATAACAATAAATCTAATATTTTAAATGCTTATCAAAAGATAGTAAACATATTATTTCAGAATACTGAGTTCAATAAGTTGACCTACAAAAAAAGCCAAACTGACAGTATTACTGAATAAAGAAAGGCCCGAAGAGATGAAATACTTTTCATTTTGTAACCTCGGTATGACACAACTTACCCTAACTATAAAGACCCTAAATTACCAAGATGGGTGCTTATAATATGGAGAGTAAAAAAAGTCATTTCACTTTTAGCTTTTTTATTTCTCTCAGAATAAAAAGCGCATAAGGAGTTGATAAAGAAGTTGATACTATAAGTTAGTACTACAATGACAGCACTTTTCAAGAAAAGACTTTTTTCTGTCTTACAAATATCATGTTAGCAGTATTTGTTTCCTCCAGAAATAATGAGGAAATAAAAACATAAGTATGTGGGTAATTAGTGTAGTTTCTTAAAGAAATGAGTTAGGCAACAGGCTAATAATGTATACTTCACTGGCTTTTGAATGCCAACAATCATATTCTTTATAAGGCACAGACAAGATTTTTCTAAAGAATAAGTATGTGAACCTGAAAAGTAATCACCACTTGGTAGTGATAATATGGATAGGGTGAAGGGCGTCATCAAGAAGCAATGAAAAGATACATTTGCAGTTAAATTTGAAAACCATGATGTTTAATACATATAGTAATAAAGAATACTTTCTCCTGTTTCAAAATCATTTTAGAATTTAAGATAGAAGCTAAAATACCTAGGGATAATGATATGACTATCAAAAATTAAAAATTAAAGGACATTTTGAGTATTATAAGAATGAGAACTTATTACCCAATGAACAGGGGATAATTCATTATGCTCCATATCCATTGAATTAAAATACAGGCCCATTACCTGGAAAATTTGAAAGTTTAATTTTATTTAAAAGTCTTGTTTCATTCATCAAGATAAAGGATTAGCTCCCAGAAATATTCTAGGATTGCATATCCCCAACTCTGTAGGAAGTATAGAAAGAATGTTAATAAGGGCCACCATCTAAACATTATTATGTAAATAATTTAGTACCATTCCATTTGCCTTTGTAGATTTAAAAATGTAAATGGCTTTCTCATATTAGGAAACATCATTTTTCAAAACCCAGATAAACATAGTATATTGCAAGAGAATATTATTTTCTTTATTAAAAAAGAAATACTGGATGCTAAGTCCAAAAGACATAAATTATTTTATACTAATAACTACTAACATTTTATTCATTAAAATATAAAGGTCAAAGATTTTAAAATGATCTTTAAATGATTAATAACATGTTGATCTTTTTCTTCTTTCTGTAAAACTTTTTGAGTCTTAAAAATACTAAACTATACAAGCAATATTAAATAGTATATAAACTCGTATTAAAATATTCAAATTTACTAGAAGGTAGACATTGGAAAGAATGAAAATAAACAGAAGCATAAAGCAGCAGATATAAAATTAAGAAAGCAACTAAGAGTGTTTAAAGTACATATTCATCTGTAGTCTAATGTCTACCATAAACAATGAGTCTTCTCAGTAAAACACAAATTGTTCATGAAGGGAAAAAGCAAGTTGTAGTAGAGAATACTCAACATATTTTTTTTAGTACTAACTTGTGCTTGGAGTATTATTGGTTTTTCTATTATGCACTTATGCACTTGATAATTTTTTTCATCAAAATTGTATGTACAACTCCATTCAAAAGCAGTTTTTGGTGGGTTTTTTTTTTTTTTTTTGAGAAAGAGTTTTGCTCTTTTCACCCAGGCTGGAGTGCAATGGTGCGAACTTGGCTCACAGCAACCTAGCAACTTTTGCCTCCCAGGTTCAGGTGATTCTCTTGCCTCAGCCTCTCGAGAAGTTAGGACTACAAGCATGCACCACCATGCCTGGCTAATTTTGTGTTTTTAGTAGAGACATGGTTTTGCCATGTTGACCAGGCTGGTCTTGAACTCCTGACCTGAGGTAATCCGCCCACCTTGGCCTCCCAAAGTGCTAGGTATGGGCAAGAGCCACCATACCTGGCCTCAAAAGCAGTTTTTAAAAGCAAACACAATATAACACCAAAGTTGAAAAATCTATGCTCACCTAAGGATGCCAGGTTTAATAAATTATTTATAGAATACTGCATCAAAAATAAGACAATAACCCAAGATATACCATTAAAGATGTATCCACTCCTACAACTAGAGATAATTAATCTATCTGGTAGCAAATTATACTTCAATCAGTTTCAGCATGTCTGAAATCTTTAAGGACAAAAGTGATAAAACATGACTTCATTCTTCATTAGACTCTTAGAACACTTGAAGGAAAATAATTTCTGAAGCACAAAGAGGTAAAGAGGTGTAATCTTTCAAAAAGATATTCAGTGTTCAAAATCCAAGAGTGCAATATCAGGCTGGGTGCGGTGGCTTATGCCTGTAATCCCAGCACTTTGGGAGGCCATGGTGGGTGGATCACCTGAGGTCAGGAGTTCGAGACCAGCCTGGACAACAGGGTGAAACTCTGACTGTACTAAAAATACAAAAATTAGCCAGGCATGGTGGTGTGCACCTGTAGTCCTAGCTACCCGTGGGGCTGAGACAGGAGAATCGCTTGAACCTGGGAGGTGGAGGTTGCAGTGAACCGAGATCATGCCACCTCACTCCAGCATCAGTAACAGAATGAGATTCCATCTCAAAAAAAAAAAGTGTAATATCATATCGGTATACACAGATAATATACTGAATGAAATAAATAGAATAATTTGAAGAGGTATCTTGATGAACAAGGAGTCATTAGAAAGGTTGTATTCATGTCTTTGAAGGAAATTGCAATGTGAGAAATTAATACTTTGACTGCTATACTAAAAGTTTATTGCTAACATGTATTGAGTTATTAACGTGTGT
Organism: Homo sapiens; assembly: GCF_000001405.40. NCBI lineage: Eukaryota > Metazoa > Chordata > Mammalia > Primates > Hominidae > Homo > Homo sapiens. The sequence goes on from NW_021160017.1 coordinate 2,561,174, forward strand.
TAGGCAGAGTACCATATAATTTACAGGTGTTATCTCATTTATTGTAGGTAAAACGTAATTTCGAACTCTGGGAGTATAAATGAATTAGATAGAATAAAATTCTATTTAAATGGCCATCAGTAAATCGGTATCTAGGAACAGGGTGATACAGTGCCCAAGTTTTCCATTCTTACTAAATGTTGTGTTTCATTTTCAATGTTTTCTTGGATATTGCTCTTTTTTGGTCATTTTGATTTTTTTTTTATTTTAGAAAACTAATAAATTGACTCTTCTTGGTACTGACTCGGGTTTTATAGAAGAAGAAGTAATTAAATTCTGTACATTTACCTTTACCTCATTTTTTGTCTTTTAAATTTATTTTAATTGACATATAATAAATGTACATGTTATGGGGTACAGAGTGATATTTTGATATATTTATGCAATGCGTAAAGATCAAGTCAGAGTCATTATCATATCCATTACCTAAATCATGTATTATTTCTTTGCAGTGAGAATATTCAAAATCTTTTATTTTAGTTATTTGAAAACACACAATAAATTCCCATTAACTACAGTCACCCAACAGTGCTGTAGAGAATTAGAACTTCTTCCTTCTCTCCAGCTGTAATTTTGTATGTATTAACCACAGTTTTCTTATACTCTTCTTTCTCCTACTCTTTCCAGGATATGGTAACCAAAACTCTACTATCTACTTCTATGAGATTAAAAATTTTAGCTTCCATACATAAGTGAGTACACGTAGTTATGTGGTGTTTATGTTTCTATGCCAGGCTTATTTCACCTAACATAATGCCCTCCACTTGCATTCTTGTTGCCACAAATAACAAGATTTTCTTCTTTATTATGACTAAATAATATTCCATTATATATGTATGTCACATTTCTTTATCCATTCATCTGTTGATGGACACTTTTGTCGATTCCATATCTTGGCTATTGTGAATAGTGCTGTAATAAACATGGGGGTGCAGCTAACTCTTTGATATACTGATTTTCTTTTCTTTGGATATATACTGAAAACCATATGATTAAATTAATAAACACAATAAAAGCATTTGGCAAAATTAAATATTCTTGAATGACAAAAAACCTCTCAACAATTTAGTATAGAAAATATATGCCTTAACACAGAAGGACATAAAGGACAAATCTACAACTAAGATCATACTGAGTGTGGAAAAGGTGAAAGATTTTACTGTGAACAAGAAAAAGATTTTACTAGAACAAGAAAAGGATGCCTATTCTCACCAATCATATTTCACATAGTGAAAGTCTTAGCCAGGACAATTAGGTGAGAGAAAGAAATAAAGGACATCTGAATTGGAAAGGAGACAGTCAAATTGTCCCTGTTTAAATCAGTAGCATTTCTATATATTGATAGTAAACTAGCTGAAACAAGAAATTAAGAAAGCAAATCCTTTTACAATAGCTACAAAAATGTACTTATAAATTTAACCAAGGAAGTAAAAGATTTTGACAACAAAAATGACAAATATTAATGAAAGAAATTAAAGAAAACACAAAAAAGGAAAGACATCCAAGTTTATAGATTGAAATAACTAATATTCTTAAAATGACCCACTATCCTATGTGATTTACAAATTTAGTACAATCACTAGCTTGTATTTTTAAAAGCACCTCTGCTGCATATTCTTAAGATATTCAATGACAATGCCTAGATTGAAGTTTGAGGTATTATCATATCTATTTTATATTGGGCACAATATAATGTTATCAGAGATAACAGTTTTGATTGGTCCTAGGTCATACAGTAATATATACATTGTGATTTATAGACATGCTATCTTTTCATACTCAGGCATTTAGAAAGTTCATTTAGACAAAGTTATAAAAACTTGCCTTCCTTTCTGCCTATATCACCTAAAAATCCTAATTTAAGAGGTAATAACATTTTTTATTTGATATACAATTTATCAACACAATAAAAATCTAACAATTATCATGTGCAGAGTGTGAAAATCTCATCAGATTAAGGAACACAAAGACATCTTTTTCATATTTCGAATGTAAAACTGTTTTGGAAACTTATTTTTAGAAACAGTTAAAAACATTTTTTCATTAGTTTTTCACGTAAAATTGTGACAACCAGCATGAAATAACTGTCATCACAGAAGCATGGTATATTCGATTCCAAAACATATTCTTTGTAAGTTTTAATATATTTATGTATTATTTATACTTAGATTGTAACCCATAATGTAGATAATATTTTTCCTTCAACTCTTAAGAGTATTGTTAAATAAAATTAAAATTAATGAATTATAATTTTTGTTGGTTGGGAAAAAGAATAGACACACACGTGACAGTGCATCACTTCACCTCATCATTTCATCTCATCATCTCATCATTTCATCTCATCATTTTATCTCATCCCATCCCATCTCATCATATCATCTCATCATTTCATCAAATCTCATCTCCATTTCATTTTCATCATTTCATTTCACTATTTCATTTCATTTCATCTAATCTCATTTATTTCATTATGTCATTTCATATCATCTCATTTCATTTCATCTCATATTTTCATCTCATAATTTTTCATCTCATCATTTCATCTCATCTCATCATTTCTTCCTTTCATTTCAACATTTCATCTCATTTCTTCTCATCTCATTTCAATTTCATTTCATTATTTCGTTTCATCTCATTTCATTATTTCACCTAGTTTCATTATTTCATATCATCTCAATTCGTCTCATCGCATTTAATCTCAACATTTTTCTTTTTTCTTTTTTTTTATTATACTTAAATTTTAGGGTACATGTGCACATTGTGCAGGTTAGTTACATATGTATACATGTGCCATGCTGGTGCGCTGCGCCCACTAACTCGTCATCTAGCATTAGGTATATCTCCCGATGCTATCCCTCCCCCCTCCCCCCACCCCACCACAGTCCCCAGAGTGTGATATTCCCCTTCCTGTGTCCATGTGATCTCATTGTTCAATTCCCACCTATGAGTGAGAATATGTGGTGTTTGGTTTTTTGTTCTTGCGATAGTTTACTGAGAATGATGATTTCCAATTTCATCCATGTCCCTACAAAGGACATGAACTCATCATTTTTTATGGCTGCATAGTATTCCATGGTGTATATGTGCCACATTTTCTTCATCCAGTCTATCATTGTTGGACATTTGGGTTGGTTCCAAGTCTTTGCTATTGTGAATAATGCCGCAATAAACATACGTGTGCATGTGTCTTTATAGCAGCATGATTTATAGTCCTTTGGGTATATACCCAGTAATGGGATGGCTGGGTCAATTGGTATTTCCAGTTCTAGATCCTTGAGGAATCGCCACACTGACTTCCACAATGGTTGAACTAGTTTACAGTCCCACCAACAGTGTAAAAGTGTTCCTATTTCTCCACATCCTCTCCAGCACCTGTTGTTTCCTGACTTTTTAATGATTGCCATTCTAACTGGTGTGAGATGGTATCGCATTGTGGTTTTCATTTGCATTTCTCTGATGGCCAGTGATGATGAGCATTTTTTCATGTGTTTTTTGGCTGCATAAATGTCTTCTTTTTAGAAGTGTCTGTTCATGTCCTTCGCCCACTTTTTGATGGGGTTGTTTGTTTTTTTCTTGTAAATTTGTTTGACTTCATTGTAGATTCTGGATATCAAGCCCTTTGTCAGATGAGTAGGTTGCAAAAATTTTCTCCCATTTTGTAGGTTGCCTGTTCACTCTGATGGTAATCTCTTTTGCTGTGCAGAAGCTCTTTAGTTTAATTAGATCCCATTTGTCAATTTTGGCTTTTGTTGCCATTGCTTTTGGTGTTTTAGACATGAAGTCCTTGCCCATGCCTATGTCCTGAATGGTAATGCCTAGGTTTTCTTCTAGGGTTTTTATGGTTTTAGGTCTAACGTTTAAGTCTTTAATCCATCTTGAATTGATTTTTGTATAAGGTGTAAGGAAGGGATCCAGTTTCAGCTTTCTACATATGGCTAGCCAGTTTTCCCAGCACCATTTATTAAATAGGGAATCCTTTCCCCATTGCTTGTTTTTCTCAGGTTTGTCAAAGATCAGATAGTTGTAGATATGCGGCGTTATTTCTGAGGGCTCTGTTCTGTTCCATTGATCTGTATCTCTGTTTTGGTACCAGTACCATGCTGTTTTGGTTACTGTAGCCTTGTAGTATAGTTTGAAGTCAGGTAGTGTGATGCCTCCAGCTTTGTTCTTTTGGCTTAGGATTGATTTGGTGATGCGGGCTCTTTTTTGGTTCCATATGAACTTTAAAGTCGTTTTTTCCAATTCTGTGAAGAAAGTCATTGGTAGCTTGATGGGGATGGCATTGAATCTGTAAATTACCTTGGGCAGTATGGCCATTTTCACGATATTGATTCTTCCTACCCATGAGCATGGAATGTTCTTCCCTTTGTTTGTATCCTCTTTTATTTCCTTGAGCAGTGGATTGTAGTTCTCCTTGAAGAGGTCCTTCACATCCCTTGTAAGTTGGATTCCTAGGTATTTTATTCTCTTTGAAGCAATTGTGAATGGGAGTTCACCCATGATTTGGCTCTCTGTTTGTCTGTTACTGGTGTATAAGAATGCTTGTGATTTTTGTACATTGATTTTGTATCCTGAGACTTTGCTGAAGTTGCTTATCAGCTTAAGGAGATTTTGGGCTGAGACAATGGGCTTTTCTAGATATACAATCATGTCGTCTGCAAACAGGGACAATTTGACTTCCTCTTTTCCTAATTGAATACCCTTTATTTCCTTCTCCTGCCTGATTGCCCTGGCCAGAACTTCCAACACTATGTTGAATAGGAGTGGTGAGAGAAGGCATCCCTGTCTTGTGCCAGTTTTCAAAGGGAATGCTTCCAGTTTTTGCCCATTCAGTATGATATTGGCTGTGGGTTTGTCATAGATAGCTCTTATTATTTTGAAATACATCCCATCAATACCTAATTTATTGAGAGTTTTTAGCATGAAGGGTTGTTGAATTTTGTCAAAGGCTTTTTCTGCATCTATTGAGATAATCATGTGGTTTTTGTCTTTGGCTCTGTTTATATGCTGGATTACATTTATTGATTTGCGTATATTGAACCAGCCTTGCATCCCAGGGATGAAGCCCACTTGATCATGGTGGATAAGCTTTTTGATGTGCTGCTGGATTCGTTTTGCCAGTATTTTATTTAGGATTTTTGCATCAATGTTCATCAAGGATATTGGTCTAAAATTCTCTTTTTTGGTTGTGTCTCTGCCTGGCTTTGGTATCAGAATGATGCTGGCCTCATAAAATGAGTTAGGGAGGATTCCCTCTTTTTCTATTGATTGGAATAGTTTCAGAAGGAATGGTACCAGTTCCTCCTTGTACCTCTGGTAGAATTCGGCTGTGAATCCATCTGGTCCTGGACTCTTTTTGGTTGGTAAGCTATTGATTATTGCCACAATTTCAGCTCCTGTTATTGGTCTATTCAGAGATTCAACTTCTTCCTGGTTTAGTCTTGGGAGAGTGTATGTGTTGAGGAATTTATCCATTTCTTCTAGATTTTCTAGTTTATTTGCGTAGAGGTGTTTGTAGTATTCTGTGATGGTAGTTTGTATTTCTGTGGGATCGGTGGTGACATCCCCTTTATCATTTTTTATTGCGTCTATTTGACTCTTCTTTTTTTCTTTATTAGTCTTGCTAGCGGTCTATCAATTTTGTTGATCCTTTCAAAAAAACACCTCCTGGATTCATTAATTTTTTGAAGGGTTTTTTGTGTCTCTATTTCCTTCAGTTCTGCTCTGATTTTAGTTATTTCTTGCCTTGTGCTAGCTTTTGAATGTGGTTGCTCTTGCTTTTCTAGTTCTTTTAATTGTGATGTTAGGGTGTCAATTTTGGATCTTTCCTGCTTTCTCTTGTGGGCATTTAGTGCTATAAATTTCCCTCTACACACTGCTTTGAATGCGTCCCAGAGATTCTGGTATGTTGTGTCTTTGTTCTCGTTGGTTTCAAAGAACATCTTTATTTCTGCCTTCATTTCGTTATGTACCCAGTAGTCATTCAGGAGCAAGTTGTTCAGTTTCCATGTAGTTGAGCGGTTTTGAGTGAGATTCTTAATCCTGAGTTCTAGTTTGATTGTACTGTGGTCTGAGAGATAGTTTGTTATAATTTCTGTTCTTTTACATTTGCTGAGGAGAGCTTTACTTCCCAGTATGTGGTCAATTTTGGAATAGGTGTGGTGTGGTGCTGAAAAAAATGTATATTCTGTTGATTTGGGGTGGAGAGTTCTGTAGATGTCTATTAGGTCTGCTTGGTGCAGAGCTGAGTTCAATTCCTGGGTATCCTTGTTGACTTTCTGTCTCGTTGATCTCTCTAATATTGACAGTGGGGTGTTAAAGTCTCCCATTATTAATGTGTGGGAGTCTAAGTCTCTTTGTAGGTCACTCAGGACTTGCTTTATGAATCTTGGTGCTCCTGTATTGGGTGCATATATATTTAGGATAGTTAGCTCTTCTTGTTGAATTGATCCCTTTACCATTATGTAATGGCCTTCTTTGTCTCTTTTGATCTTTGTTGGTTTAAAGTCTGTTTTATCAGAGACTAGGATTGCAACCCCTGCCTTTTTTTTTCTTTTCCATTGGCTTGTTAGATCTTCCTCCATCCTTTTATTTTGAGCCTATGTGTGTCTCTGCATGTGAGATGGGTTTCCTGAATACAGCACACTGATGGGTCTTGACTCTTTATCCAATTTGCCAGTCTGTGTCTTTTAATTGGAGCATTTAGTCCATTTACATTTAAAGTTAATATTGTTATGTGTGAATTTGATCATGTCATTATGATGTTAGCTGGTTATTTTGCTCATTAGTTGATGCAGTTTCTTCCTAGTCTCGATGGTCTTTACATTTTGGCATGATTTTGCAGTGACTGGTACCGGTTGTTCCTTTCCATGTTTAGTGCTTCCTTCAGGAGCTCTTGTAAGGCAGGCCTGGTGGTGACAAAATCTCTCAGCATTTGCTTGTCTGTAAAGTATTTTATTTCTCCTTCACTTATGAAGCTTAGTTTGGCTGGATATGAAATTCTGGGTTGAAAATTCTTTTCTTTAAGAATGTTGAATATTGGCCCCCACTCTCTTCTGGCTTGTAGAGTTTCTGCTGAGAGATCCGCTGTTAGTCTGATGGGCTTCCCTTTGAGGGTAACCCGACCTTTCTCTCTGGCTGCCCTTAACATTTTTTTCTTCATTTCAACTTTGGTGAATCTGACAATTATGTGTCTGGACGTTGCTCTTCTCGAGGAGTATCTTTGTGGCGTTCTCTGTATTTCCTGAATCTGAATGTTGGCCTGCCTTGCTAGATTGGGGAAGTTCTCCTGGATAATATCCTGCGGAGTGTTTTCCAACTTGGTTCCATTCTCCCCATCACTTTCAGGTACACCAATCAGACGTAGATTTGGTCTTTTCACATAGTCCCATATTTCCTGGAGGCTTTGCTCATTTCTTTTTATTCTTTTTTCTCTAAACTTCCCTTCTCGCTTCATTTCATTCATTTCATCTTCCATCGCTGATACCCTTTCTTCCAGTTGATCGCATCGGCTCCTGAGGCTTCTGCATTCTTCTCGTAGTTCTCGAGCCTTGGTTTTCAGCTCCATCAGCCCCTTTAAGCACTTCTCTGTATTGGTTATTCTAGTTATACATTCTTCTAAATTTTTTTCAAAGCTTTCAACTTCTTTGCCTTTGGTTTGAATGTCCTCCCGTAGCTCAGAGTAATTTGATCGTCTGAAGCCTTCTTCTCTCAGCTCGTCAAAGTCATTCTCCATCCAGCTTTGTTCCGTTGCTGGTGAGGAACTGCGTCCCTTTGGAGGAGGAGATGTGCTCTGCTTTTTAGAGTTTCCAGTTTTTCTGTTCTGTTTTTTCCCCATCTTTGTGGTTTTATCTACTTTTGGTCTTTGATGATGGTGATGTACAGATGGGTTTTTGGTGTGGATGTCCTTTCTGTTCGTTTTCCTTCTAACAGAGAGGACCCTCAGCTGCAGGTCTGTTGGAGTACCCTGCTGTGTGAGGTGTCAGTGTGCCCCTGCTGGGGGGAGCCTCCCAGTTAGGCTGCTTGGGGGTCAGGGGTCAGGGACCCACTTGAGGAGGCAGTCTGCCCGTTCTCAGACCTCCAGCTGTGTGCTGGGAGAACCACTGCTCTCTTCAAAGCTGTCAGACAGGGACATTTAAGTCTGCAAAGGTTACTGCTGTCTTTTTGTTTGTCTGTGCCCTGCCCCAAGAGGTCGATCCTACAGAGGCAGGCATGCCTCCTTGAGCTGTGGTGGGCTCCACCCAGTTCGGGCTTTCCGGCTGCTTTGTTTACCTAAGCAAGCCTGGGCAACGGCAGGCGCCCCTACCCCAGCCTCACTGCCGCCTTGCAGTTTGATCTCAGACTGCTGTGCTAGCAATCAGCGAGACTCCGTGGGCGTAGGACCCTCCGAGCCAGGTGCGGGATATAATCTCGTGGTGCGCCGTTTTTTAAGCCCGTTGGAAAAGTGCAGTATTCGGGTGGGAGTGACCCAATTTTCCAGGTGCCATCCATCACCCCTTTCTTTGACTCAGAAAGGGAACTCCCTGACCCCTTGCGCTTCCCAAGTGAGGGAATGCCTCGCCCTGCTTTGGCACGTGCACGGTGCGCGCACCCACTGACCTGCACCCACTGTCTGGCACTCCCTAGTGAGATGAACCTGGTACCTCAGATGGAAATGCAGAAATCACCCGTCTTCTGCGTCGCTCACGCTGGGAGTTGTAGACCGGAGCTGTTCCTATTTGGCCATCTTGGCTCCTCCCTATCTCATCATTTTTCATCTCATCATTTTTCATCTCATTTAATCTCATTTCATTTCATCTCATCATTTCAGCTCATCATTTCATCTCACCACATCTCTTCATTTCATCATTTCATTTCAACATTTCATATTTCATCTCATCTCATCTTTCAATTTCATTTCAATACCATCATTTCATCATTTCATTTCATCTCATTTCATTATTTCATTTCATCTCATTTCAATTCATCTCATCATTTTATCTCATCATTTTTCATCTCATCATTTAATCTCATCATCTCATCTCATCATTTCATCTCATTTCATCATTTCATTTCATCATTTTATCTCATTTCATCTCATCTCATTTCAATTTCATTATTTCATTTCATTTCACTTCATTTCATCTCATCTCATCTCATCATTTCATCTCATCTTATCTCATTTCATCTCATTTCTTCTCATCTCATCTCATCATTTCATCATTTCATCTCATTTCATCTCATCTCACCTCATCTCATCATTTCATCTCATCATTTCACCTCATCCTTTCAGCTCATCATTTCATCTCATTTCATCTCATCTCACCTCAGCATTTCGTCATTTCATCTCATCATTTATTTCATCTCATTTTATCTCATCATTTCATCTCATCTCATCTCAATTCAATTTCCTTTAATTATTTCATTTCATCTCATTCATTTCATCTCATTTCATTACATCTCATCATTTCCTCTCATCATTACATCTCGTCTCATTTCATCTCATCATTTCATCTCATTTCATCACATTATTCATCTCATCTCATCATTTCCATTTCATTTCCATTTCATTATTTCATCATTTAATTTCATCATCTCATTTAATTTCACCTCATTTCATTATTTCATTTCATTTTTTCATTTCATTATGTCATTTCATTTCATCTCATTACATTTCATCTAATTTCATTTCATATCATTTCATCTCATCTTTTCATCTCATTTCATCTCATCATCTCATCAACTCATTTCATCTTATCTCATCATTTCATCAACTCATTTCATCTCATCATTTCATCATTTCATCTCATCATCTCATCAACTCATTTCATCTTATCTCATCATTTCATCATTTCATCTCATCATTTCATCTCATCTCGTATCTTCTCATCTCATTTCAATTTCATTTCATTATTTCATGTCATCTCATCTCATCATTTCATCTCATCACATCTCATCATTTCATCATTTTATTTCATAATTTCATCTTATCATTTCATCTCATTTCATATCTCAATTTTATTTCAATTTCATTTCATTATTTCATCTCATTATTTCATTTCATTTCATCAGTTCATCTCATCATTTCATCTCATCATCTCATCTCATCTCAAATTTATTTCAATTTCATTTCATTATTTCATCTCATTATTTCATTTCATTTCATCAGTTCATCTCATCATCTCATCTCATCTCATCATTTCATCTCATTTCATATCATTTTATCTCACCATTTCATCTCATCTCATCATTTCGTCTCATCTCATTTTATGTCATCATTTCGTGTCATCATTTCATCACATCTCATCTCATCTCATCTTTTCATCTCATCATTTCATCATTTCATCTCATCATTTCAACTCATTGCATCTCATCTCATCATTTCCATTTCATTATTCCATTTCATCATTTCATTTATTTCATTTCATTGTCATTTCATCTCGTCACATTTCATCTCATCTCATCATTTCATCTCATTATTTCATCTGATTTCATGTTATCATATCATGTCATCATTTCATCTCACTTCATCACATCTCATCTCATCATTTAATCTCATCATTTAATCTCATTTCATCTCATCATTTCATCTCATCTCATCATTTCATCATTTCATCTCATCATTTCTGCTCATCTCATCATTTCCATTTCATTTCCATTTATTTCATCATTTTATTTCATCATTTCATTATTTCATTTCATCTCATTTCATTATTGCATTTCATTATGTCATTTCATTTCATCTCATTTCATTACATCTCATTTCATCTCATTTCATCTCATCTCATCTCATCATCTCATTTCATCTCATCATTTCATCTCATTTCATCTCATCTCACTTCATCATTTCATCTCATCTCATTTCAATTTCATCATTACATTTCATAATTTCATTATTTCATTGCATCTCATTTCATTATTTCATCTCATTTCATCTCATTTTTCATCTCATCATTTTTCATCTCATTTCATCTCATTTCATTTTATCATCTCATCATTTCATCTCATCATTCATCTCATTTCATCTCATCATTTTATCTCATTATATCATCTCATCTCATTTCAATTTCATTATTTCATATCATTTCATTTTTTCATTTCATTTCATCTCATCATTTCTTCTCATCATTTCATCTCGTTTCATCTCATCATTTCATCCATCATCTCATCATTTCATCTCATTTCATCTCATCTCATCTCCTTTCAATTTCTTTTCAATTTTGTCATTTTGTCTCATCATTTAATCTCATCATTTCTACTCACCATTTCATCTCAAAATTTCATCTCATCATTTCATCTCATCTCATCATTTAGTCATTTCATCTCATCTCAAGTCATATTATCATTTCATCTAAGTGAAATGACGTAATGGAATCATGAAATGGATAGGATGCCCTCAGTGATGTTAAATTTAAAAATTGTTTTCATGTATTCATTTGTATATTTACATGTATTTATATTTATATTTACTTATATTTCTTTTTACTTATTTTTATTTATGTTTTTACTTATTTCTTTATTTATAGACAAGGTCCTGTTCTGTGGCCTAGGCTGCAATGCAGTGGTGCATTCACAGTTCACTGCAGCCTTGAGCAAACCTCCCACCTTAGCCTCCCGGGTGGCCGGGACCCCAGGTGCGCACCACCACACCTGGTTAATATTTTATTATTTGTAGAGATGGAGTCTTGCTATTCTGCCCAGGCTGGTCTCAAACTCCTGGGCTCAAGCAATCCTCCTGCCTTTGCAACCCAAAATGCTGGGATTACAGATATGAGCCACAGTGCCCAACCTATTTATTTATTTATTTATTTAATAAAGAAAAGGTCTCAATATGTGGCCCAGGCTGGTCAACTCCTGGACTCAAATGATTCTCCCAACTTGGCCTCTCAAAATGTTGGGATTACAGGTATGAGCCACCATGCCTGGCCTAAAAATAATATTATATTTTTGTATTATATAATTTTCAATTAGGTAATATGAATACTCTGTACAGGAAATACGCCCTTAATTACATAGGAATAAACATTTGTTACACTGAGAAAAATCTAATAGAGCTAAAAATATAAATTAATTTGGAAATGTCATTAGATACTCATACATTCTTATGTTTATACATTCTTTCATATATTCATATACTCTTTTAACAGTATCAATGGTTTGGAGTTATGTGTACAAAACCATGACCTATATGTAATACAACTAATAACAAGCACTTACAATTCAAGGCATATTATATACAAAGCTTTAACTTCTCATCATCAGATTTTTTTTTCTTTCTGTTTTGGCAGATACTATGAACACAACATTCAACTCACAGACACCATGGAGCCCTTACTAAGCATAAAGTACTGTGAAAGGCCAGGGCTAGGACAGAACTGAGACAGGGCCAGGGATAGGACAGAGCCAGGGCAAGGTCATGGACAGAGAAAAACCAGGGGCAGGGTCATAGCCAGGGACATGAGAGGACCAAGGCCAGGGCCAGAAGTAGGGCAGAACCAGGGCCAGGGCAGGGACATGGCAGGGCCAGGGCCATGGCAGGATCAGGGTCAGCAGAAGGCCAGGGCAGGGCTAGGGTAGCACAGGGCCAAGGCAGGGCAGGGTCAGTGTAGAGCAAGAATGGGCCAGAGTATGGCAGGGCAGGGACAGGGAGGTCCAGGGCCAGAGTCAGGTCCAGGACATGGACAGGGCAGGGCCAGAAACATGGCAGGACCAGAAAGGGGACAGGGCAAGGGCAAGGCCAGAGAAGGACCATGGAAAAAACATGGCCAGGGAGGGTCCAGGGCAAGGGCAACGCCAGGGCAGAACCAGAGCCAGGGCAGGCCAAAGGCAGGGCCAGGCCAGGGCAAGGTCAGGGTAGGGCAGGGCCAGTGTAGGGTGAGGGTAGGGCCAGGGCGAGTTCAGGGCCAGGGTAGGACTAAGAGAGCACAGGGCCAGTGCAGGGCCAAAGGAGGGGCCAGGGCCAAGCATGGCCAGTGTGGGGCCTGGGGATTGTCAGGGCCAGGGCCAGGGCCAGGGCCAGGGTCAAGACTGGGCCAGGGGCAGGGCCAGGGAGAAGGCAAAACCAGAGAGGATCCAGAGCAAGAGCAGGGCCAGGGCAGAACCAGGACCAGGATAAGGCAAAGCCAAGGCCAGGGCAGGGCAAGGCCAGGGCAGGGCAAGACCAGGGAAGGGCAAGGCCAGGGTAGAAAAGGCTAGTGTAGGGCCAGGCCAGGGTAGGAGAAGGCCACGGTAGGGCCAAGGCAGGGCAGGGCTAGGGTAGCACAGGGCAGGGCCATAGCAGTGGCAGGACTAGCAACAGGGCCAGGGTAAGTGCTGGACCAGAGCATGGTGGGGACAATACAGGGCCAGGACAGACGATGGCAAGGCAGGGCCAGGGCCATTTCATGGACTCGGTAGGCCTGGGGTCAGGCCAGGGCAGGGCAAGAGCAAGGCCAGGGAGAAGGCAGGGCCGGGGCCAAAGCAGTGCCAGGGCAAGGCAGGACCAGTGCAGGGCCAATGCAGGGTGAGGGCAAGGCCAGGGCATGGAAGGGCAGGGCAGGACCAAGGAAGGGCCAGGAGAGGGCCACGGCAGGGTCAAGGCCAGAACAAGGGTACGGCTGGGGTCAGGAATATGGTAGGACAAGGGCTGGGCCCAGGCTGGGACATGCAGGGCAGAGCATGGCCTGTGCAAGGCACGGCCAGAGCCAGGCCATAGAGATGGGAGGGCAACACCAAGGCAGAGTCAGGGTAGATCCAGGGCTGAGCAGAGTCAGGGCAGGTCCAGAGTCGAGGCAGAGCTAGGGCCCAAGCAGGGCCATGGCAGCGCCAGGGCAGAGGAGGGCAGGGCAACGCAGGACTGGGCCATGGTAGTGCCTGGTCAACTCCGGGGCAGGGCCAGAAGCAGGACAGGGACAGGGCCAATGCTCAGGCCAGGGACAGGGCATGACAGGAAGTGCCAGAGCAGGGCTGGGCCAACGTTGGGGCAGGGCAAATCAGACCAGGACACCTCCAAGTCCAGCTCTGGCCCTGCCTTGGCCCTGGCCCCTTCCTGGCCTGACCTTGTCCCTGGCCCTGCCCTATCCATGCCCTGTGTGTTTGACCAGTGTTTTATAACCAGAATCCTACAAGAAACTTAAATCAGCTCTTTTTGTGCATTTTTAGTAGAGATGGGGTTTCACAATGTTGCCCAGGCTGGTTCCAAACTCCTGAGCTCAAGCCATCTGCCTGCCTTGGCCTCCCAAAGTGCTGGGATTACAGGAGTAATCTGGCCAAGTATTTAACTTCTTTATGGCTGTTTCCTACATTTGGAAAATGGGGATGCTTTAAGTACCTAGCATGTAGAATTATTGTGAGAATCAATGCCTCACATATTTACATATTGATAAAATTATACTCATAGAATACTACTGGAAGCAAAGATAGTATTAGTTAAAATTTAGTGATTATTTACTGCAAATATTATTACTATTACAAACAACATAGTATAGACATTATTACTACTACTGTAGTTATCTTAAAAATCTAAAATAAAAATTTTACATAACAGCCTAACGTAATCTCTCCTGCTCTGCCCCGGCTCAGCCCTAGTACCGGCTCTGCCCCTAGTCCTACCACATTCCTGGCCCTGACCCTTCCCTGGTCCTGCCGCTGCCTTGGCCCTTCCCATCTTCAGGCCTTACCATGGCCCTACCCTGGTCCTGACCCTGGCCCTACCCCAGAGAAGGGGTATGGCAGAGCCAGGGAAGCGCTGGGGAAATAAGGGACAGGACACATCCAAATCCAGAAAAGGGCCAGGGCCATGACAGAGCCAGGGCAAGTCCTTGGCAGGGCCAGGTTCCAGGCCAGGGCCAGGAAAGGGTCATGGCAGGGTCACTGTATGGCCAAGGTCCAGGCCAAAGCCAAGGCACAGGCAGGGTCAGGCCTGCATAAGGGCAGGACGAGAGCCAGGCCATAGAGTAGGGCAAATGCCAAGCCAAGGCCAGGGTAGTGCCAGGGCTAAGGCAAGGTCAGGGAAGGTCCAGGGCTGCGTCAAGGCTAGAACCAAGACGGGACAAAGGCCGGGGCAGATCTAGGGCACAAGCAGGGCAGGCTAAGGCAGGGCAATGGCAAGACCAGGCCATGGCAGGGCCAGCCCAGGATAGAACAGGGCACAGGCAGGGCAGGGCCAGGACCATGGCTGGGGCAGGACAAGGACCAGGACCGAGGTCCAGGCCAGGGCAAGGGTATGGCCAGGGCAGAGGTAGGGCCCGAGCCAGGGTCTGGGCAGGACCAAGGCAGGTCTATTGCAGGGCCAGGGTTCAGACCAGGGCCAGAACCAGGAAAGGGCAATGTCAGAACAAGGGCCATGGCAGGACCAGCAATGGGGCTGGGGCCAGGACAGGGACAGGGGCCGGGTCAGGGCCAGGGCCAGAATAGCATGCCAGGATAGAGCCAGGCCAAATTAGGGCCAGGACAGGGTCAGGACCAGGGCTGGGCCAGGGTATGGCCTTAAGTAGTGAACGGCCAGGGCCAGGGTCCATGCCAGTGCCAGCGCTGGTCCAGGGCAGAGGCAGGGCCATGGCCAGGTCAAGGACAAGGCTGGGGCAGGGCCAAGGTCTGGGTCAGGGTCAGCACAAGACCAGGACAGAGCCAGGGGAGGGACAGGGCCATGATAAGACCAGGTTAAATCATGGACAAGACACCTGCAAATCCACTTCAGGGCCAGGGTCAGGGCAGGGCCAGTTCAGGGCCAAGGCCAAGACAGGGCCAGGGCCAGGGCTGTCAGGGTCATTGGCAGGGCAAGGGCCATGGCAGGGCCAGGGTCAGGAGCAGGGGTCAATGCCAGGCTAAGGCCACAGATAGGACCAGGTCTGTGCTAGGGCCAGTGTGAGGGCCAAGGCAGGGTCATGGCAGGGCCAAAGGGAGGGCAGGGCCAGGGCAGGGTGGAGCAGGCCCAGGGTTGCACAGGGTTAAGGTAGGGCATGACCAACCAGGGCAGGTCTATGGCTGGGGCCGGGGCAGGGCCAGGGCCGGGGCAGGGCCAGAGCCAGGGCAGGGCCAAGACAGTGGCAGCTCCAGGGCAGGGCCAGGGTTAGGACCACGGACGTGTCCAAGGCCAGTGCCAGGGCAAGGGCAAGGGCAGGTGCAGGGCCAGGTTCATCTAAGAACCAGGGACAAAGCCAGGCCCAGAGCTGGGCCAGGACAGGTACCTGGCAGGGCTAGGGTCTGGGACAGGGCCATGGCAGGGCCAGGGCCACAACCAGGTCTGTGCTATGGCCAGGTCCAACAGAGTGGCCAGGTAAGGCTAGGGTGAAGGCCAAGGTAGGGCCAGGGCAGGGTCAAAGCCAGGCTAGGGCCAAGGCAGGGCCAGGACAGGCAAGACAGGGCCAGGAAAGCATAGGGCCAAGGCAGGGCAGGGCCAGGGAACAGCCAGGGCAGGGCCAGGGCCAGGGCCATGGCCATGGCCTGGGCAGGACCAGGTTTGGGGCAGGAGCAAAACAAGGACACGGTCAGTGCAGGATCTTGGCACAGCCAGGGTCCAGGACAGTGTCAGGGAAGGGCCAAGGCAGGGTCTGGGCCACGGTAAGACCAGCAACAGGGCTGGGGCTAGGCCAGTGACAGGACCAGAGTCAGGGCAAGGGCCAGAGCAGTGCAAGGCCAGGGTAGGGCCAGGCATTTCAGGGTCAGGGCCAGGGGAGAACCAGGGCAAGGTCTCAAGCAGGGAAGGGCCAGGGCCAGGACAGGTCCAGGGCAGGGCCATGACAGGGCCAGGGGCTGCGTTAGGGCAAGGGCAGGGCCAGGGCAAGGTAAGGGTCAGGGCCAAGGCCAGGGTAGGGACAGGGCAAGAAATATGGCAGGACCAGGGGCAATGCCAAGGCCAAGGCTGGGCCAGGGCTGAGCCAGGGCTGAGTCGGGCAGGGCAGGGCAGGGCATGGTATGGCCAGTGCAGGACAGGACAAGAGCCGGTCCACACAGAGAGCAGAGCTGATGCCAAAGAAGAGCCAGGCTAGTGCCGAGGCTGAGGCAGTGTCAGAGCATGTCCAGGGCAGGGCAGGGCCGGGGCCAGGGCCAGAACCGAGCCAGGGCACAGCCAAGGCAGGGTAGGGCAGGGAAATAGCATGGCCAGGTCAGTACTGGGACAGGGCAGAGCAGGGCAAGGCGATGGTAGCGGCAGGGCAGGGACATGCCAATGCAGAGCTATGTTACGCCGGGGCCAGGACACCTCGAAGTTCACTTCAGGGCCAGGGCTATGGCAGGACAAAGACCAGGGCCAGGGTCAGGGCCAGGTCTGTGCTAGGGCCAGCTCCAGAGCAGGGCCTAGCGAAGACTAGGGTGAGGGCCAAGGTAAGGCCAGGGCAGGGTCAAAGGCAGAGTAGGGCCAGGTCAGGGTGATGACACATCCAGAGCACAGCAGGGCAGGGTGATGGCAAGACCAGGGGCAGACCACTGCCAGCTCAGGACCACGGAAAGGCCAGTGCAGAGCCAGGAAAGGGTCTGGGTCTGGGTCAGGGCCAGGAACAAGGCAGAGCAGGGCCAGGGCCATGGCAGAGTCAGGGCAGGTCCTTGACAGGACCAGGTTCCAGGCCAGGGCCAGGGCAGCAGCAGGGGCAGGGCCTGGATAAGGGCAGGGCCAGGGATATGGCAGGACCAGGGCTAGGGTCAGGGCCAGGCCATAGTGAGGGCAGGGCAAAAGCCAAGGCAGGGTCAGGGCAGGTCCAGGGAGCGGCCAGCACCAAGCGGGGCCAAGGCACAACCAGCGCAGGGTAAGGCAGGGCAATGGCACCACTAGGCCATGACAGGGCAAGGTCAGTGCCAGGAGAGGGTAGAACAGGCAGGCCTATGGTGGGGCCAGGGCAGGGATGGGCCAAAGCAGGGCCAGGACATGTCCAAGGCCAGGTCAGGGCCAGAACAGGAGCAGGACCATGACCATTGGCAGGGCCAGTGCCATGACAGCACCAGGGTCAGGACAAGGGGCAGGGCCAGAGCCAGGGCCGGAGCCAAGGTCAGGCCAGGGCAGGTTCAGGGCAGGGCCAGTGCCAGGGCAAGACCAGGGCAAGGACAGGGTAGCACAGGGCCAAGACAGGGTCAGGATGGGACCAGAGCAGGACAGGGCCGAGACAGTCCAGGTAACAGTAGGGCAGGTACAGGGCAAGGCAGGGCAGTACAGGGTCAGATCCACGGCATGGGCAGGGCAAAGCCATTGCCAATGCGCCAGCCCTCCCTACAAGGCTCCTACCACCTGGCCACTGCTGCAGCCCATCCATTGCTGTAAGCCTGACCCCCAACCCTGGCTGCAGCCACCTGCCCTCCTAGTGCGGCCGCTCTCCTACCACTCTGGTGCACTGCAGTCTCCGTTGATGCCACCCTCCCGCAGCGAGGCGAGCCGTGGTGTCGCAGGCTCTAGGTGTCTCCTCCTCCTCCTGGCATGGAGCAGCTGGGCGGGCAAAGCCAGAAAAGCCTAGAGGAAGATGTGAGGGGTGGAAGGGTTAGAGCCTCACCTTGTCATGCTGGCCACTGGGTGGCAGGGGCCAGTTTCAGCAAAGGCACTCACACCCACCCTCCAAAGTCCAGCCTCTCCCTTTGGCCCAAGCTGGCCAGGAACTGGGGTCTGGGGTGGGTGCTGGAGACACCACAGCACCCAGCTCCCCACTCCACAGGAACCATTGGGCCCACCAGGGCTGCACTCCTCAGGGAGTAGGAGAAGCAGAAAAATTCAGACCCAGACAGCCCTCAGCACCCAGGTGCCAATTCCTGTTCCGGACGCCTCCACACACAGGGCCCTGTCCCCCGTGGTGTCCCCAGGGGTGCCTGGCAGCCTCTGAGGCACAGACCCAGAGTGCACAGGCCCAGGAACCACGGTGGGTGTGGGGGCTCTGCCATGCTCAGGATTCCCACGCAAACGCTGTGCGCCTGCCGCACCCCAGTATGACCAAGAGTGGGTCGCTCTCTGGAGTGTGGAGTCAGGGAGAGGAGAACCACTCCTTCCTTGGATGCCAACTCTGCTGACCGCCGCCAGCAGTGCAGCCCCTGATAGCACTGAACTCACCCCTCTCCATGGCTAGTCCTGCCCTCAATAGCTCCCCCCACCTCCATCCCCCAATGCCACCAGTAGCGTATACCTGATAGTGCCCTAACCTGTCCTTCTCCATGGGCATTGCAGTCCCAGAAAGCGCCCATAACCCACCCTCCCTGCCATGTGCAGTGCAGCCCTGTACAGTGCTACCAACCAGTACCCCTAATGCAGGCAATGACACCCTGGATAGCGCCCCCAACCCACCCCACACTGCGAAAGGTGCAGCCCTGGATAGCCCCTGTCCTACCACTTTGGTCATGCTGCAGTCTCTGTCACCGCCACCACCAACCACAGTGAGGCAAGCCAATGGGCCACAGGCTGTAGCACCCAGCAGCCAGGCATGGAGCAGCTCTCGCTGATGGCCGGCTCCTACCACTCTGACCACGCTGCTGTCTCCGTGGCCATCTTCTTTGACTACAAAGGAATAAAACTAGGTATCAATAAGAAGAGTAATTTTGGAAACAATACAATCACATGGAAGTTAAACACTACCCTCCTGAATAAATGACTAGCGGGTCAATGAAGATACTAAGACAGAAATTCAAAAATTTCATGAAACAAAGGGTAATGAAAACACAGTATACCAAAACTTGTTATGCAGAAAGCAGTACAAAGGCAGAGATTTACAGCTATAAGTGCCTACCATCCAAACAAAAGAAAAACTTTAAATAAACAGTACATCTTAAAGAACTATTAAAGTAAAAACAAACTAAACCGAAAATAAGAAAATAAATAAGATCATAGCAGAAATAAAATTGAAATAAAAAACACACATGATTAAATGAAAAGTTGGTTTTCTGGAAAGCTAAACAAAATTGACAAACTTTTAACCAGGCTAACTAAGAAAAAAGAGAAAAGATTCAAATAAATAAAATCAACAGATTAAAAAAAAGGAGACATTACAACTAATACTTCAGAAATTCAAAGGATCATAACTGGCTATTATATGCCAATAAATTGGAAAGCCTAGTAGAAATTGGCAAATTCCTAGATGCATACATCTAGGAATACACCTACTTAGGTTGTATACACCTACTTACGTTGAATAATGAAAACATCCAAGACCAAAACAGATTGGTAACAAGAAATGAGATTGAAGCCATCAGAAAAAGTCTCCCAGTAAAGAAAAGCCCAGGAACTGATGTCTTCACTGCTGATGGCTTCACAACAAACAATTTAAAGACCTAGTACGAATCCTACTCAAACTATTTTGAAAAACAGGAGGGAATACTTCCAAACTTATTCTATGAGACCATTATTACTGTGATACCAAAATCAGACAAAGGCATCAAAGAAGGAAACTACAGGCCAGTATTTCAAATATTGATGCAAAAATCCTCAACAAAATACCAGTGAATCAAATTCAGTAATACATTAAAAAGATAATTCATCATGATCAAGTGCGATGTATCCCTGGGATGCAAGGGTCACTCAACATACAATGTGATACATCATATCAATCAAATAAATGACAAAAACAGTATGATCATGTCAACTGAAACTGAAAAAGCATTTGGTGAAATTCAACATCCTTCATGCTATTAATCCTCAAAGAAACGGGTACAGAAGAAACATACCACAACATAATAAAAACTACAGGAAAGACACCCACAGCTAGAATCATATGGAGGGAGGTCCAGGCTGCAGTGAGCTGTGATCCCACCACTGCACTCCAGCCTGGGCAACAGAGTGAAACCCTGTCTCAAAAAAAATATGTAAAAAGAGGTATGAGCCTCTTTTATAGGTGCAGTGACTCACATCTGTAATCCCAACACTTTCTGGGAGGCTGAGGTGAGAGGATCTCTTGAGGCCAGGAGTTCAAGATCAGCCTGGGCATCACAGCGAGACCCTTTATCTACAAAAAATTTTTAAACATTTGCCAGGTGTGGTGGCACGTGCCTGTAGTCTTAAACAATTATCATATGACCCAGATAGTCTATTCCTTAGGGATATACCCAAGGGAAATGAAAATATACATCCACACTAAAATTTGTACACAAATGTTCATAGCAGCATTGTTCATAATAGCCAAAAATTGGAAAAAAAACTCAAGTGCCTATCAACAGAGGAACTAATAAAATATGGTATATCCATTCAAAAGATTACTCAGCATTAAAAAAGAATGAAGTGCTGATATACGCTACAGCATGGATAAACCTTGAAAACACTGTGCCAAGTGAAATAAGTCAATCACAAAAGACCATATGTAGTAAGATTTCATTCTGTGAAACCTCCAGAAGAGCTAAACTCAGAGACAGAAAGTAGGCTAGTTATTGCCAGGGACTAGGGGAAAAGGGAATAAGGATGACTGCTAATGGGTATGGGATTTCTTGTGGACTGATGAAAATGGTCTGAAAGTATCTAGATACCTGTCTTGTTTGTGCGATTCTGTGAATATATTATAAACCACAAAATTCTGCACTCAAGGGGTTGATTTCATGGTAGGTGAATTTATCTCATTTATCTTTATCTCAATAAAGCTTTTTAAAGACACTTTAAAAAGACATATCTGTATAAGCTACAAAAATAACATACTGAGAGACTAAAATGCCTAATTTTTCCATTTTTCTTCTTCAGCGCAATCTCAAGTCCAAAAGTCTTTCCTTCCTATATATGCGTATTTTGTCCAGTGAAACAAGACACTCTATTAATTTTTTATTAGAAATAAAAAAAAGCCAGGTGTGGTGGCTCACAGCTGTGCTTCCAGCTACTCAGAAGGCTGAGGCAGAAGGATCACTTGAGGCCAAGACTGGGAGTTCAAGACCAGCTGAGGCAACACAGCTAGATCCTGTCTTTAAAAATATTTTTTAGGCCAGGCACAGTGGTTCACGCCTGTAATCCCAGCACTTTGGGAGGCCAAGGAGGGCAGATCATTTGAGATCAGGAGTTCAAAACCAGCCTGGACAACATGGTGAAACCCCATCTCTACTAAAAATATAAAAATTAGCTGGGTGTGGTGGCAGGCACCTGTAGTCCCAGCTACTCGGGAGGCTAAGGCAGAAGAATTGCTTGAGCTGGGAGGGTGGAGGCTGCAGTGAGGCCAAGATCATGCCATTGCACTCCAGCCTGGGTGACAGAGCAAGACTCCGTCTCAGGGAAAAAAAAAATATATATATATATATTTATACACACACACACACACATATATTTATATATTTTTTAAGTTAAAACCCTACTGAAATGAAACTAATAAAATAAAATTCAACTTAATTAAAAAACAGTTCCTGAAATATTAATTTTCAAACAATTCTATTTTAGCTTTGACTCTGAACAAAATATAAACCTCAATTTCAAAATGTCACAAAGACTGGCTGGGAGCAGTAGCTCATGCCTGTAATTCCAGCACTTTGGGAGGACGAGGCAGGTGGATCACTAGAGGCCAGGAGTTCCAGAGCAGCCTGGCCAACATAGGGAAACCCAGTCTCTACTAAAAAAATACAACAAAAATTAGCCGGGTCTAGTAACCCCAGCTACTCAGGAAGCTGAGGCATTAGAATCACTGGAATCTGGGAGGTGGAGGGTGCAGTGAGTGGAGATCATGCCACAGCACTCCAACCTGGGTGGCAGCCTGAGATTCTGTCTCAAAAAAATAAAAATAAGGCCAGGTGCCATGGCTCATGCCTGTAATCCCAGCACTTTGGGAGGCCAAGGTGGGCAGATCACTTGAGGTCAAGTAGTTTGGGACCAGCCTGGGCAACATAGTGAAACCTCCTCTCTACTAAAAATACATAAATTCGCTGGGCATGGTGGCACACACTTGTAATGCCAGCTACACCAGAGGCTGAGGCAGGGGAATCGCTTGAATTCGGGAGGTGGAGGTTGTAGTGACCTGAGATTGTGCTACTGCACTCCAGCCTGGACGACAGAGTGAGACTCCATCTCAAAAAAAAAAGAAAAAAAAAAAGAAAATTTACATTTAAAATTTAAAAAAATCACAGACTACAAATACTCAGGTTTAAGCAAATTCCCACCTTTCTTGAATTAACAGTAATTCATATTTGCTTTGTCAAAACTGTAGATATTTACCTGCCCCAACGGAATGAAATCCTAAAAGCCTAGTGTTCTCAAATGATGAAGAGAAAGAAATATGCATATTTTAATTTAGAATTTTGATTTAGAATTAATTTTAACCTAGCTGGAGTATACATAATCATTTATGTATTTATTTACTTATTTAAGAGACTGGGTTTCGCTGTATTATCCAGACTGGAATGCAGTGGCACAACCTTGGCTCACTGCAACTTGTACTTCCTGAGCTCAAGCGATCCTCCCACCTCAGCCTCCAGGGTAGCTGGGACTGCAAGTGCACGCTACCACACCCAGCTAATTTTTGCGGAGACGAGTCTCGCTATGTTTCCCACACCGGTCTCTAACTCCTTGGCTCACTACAGCCTCAAGCCTCTGGGCTCAAGCAATCTGCCTCCCAAAGTGCTGAGATTACAGGAGTGAGCCACCGCACCCGGCCTAGTGGATAGTGTATACTAAGCAACATATACCCTGCTTTTGCCTAGAACATACTGAAAACATGGCATTAAAAACAATCACAAAAGTTGGGAGCTGAGAAAAATCATATACTGTAAAACAAATCTGACAGATATTAATCTCAAGAAGCTCCTGAAAATGTCTCAAGAACTCCTATGTTGCACTCTCCCTAATAATTTAGACTTTCTACAGATATTTTCTGATCATCTACCGTGTGCCAGGCACCATGCCAGGTACCAAGATGCCATGGTGAGGTATACACAAAAACAGCTCCTGCTTGCAGGAAGCCTACTCTCTAAAACAGTGCTTGCCAAGCTCGACTGATCACAACTTGGGAGCTTGTTTAAGTTCCAAATCGGCTTCCCTGCTTTGGTGAGCCACAATCCGTGGCATTTTTATCAGGTGCTCCCAATGATTCCTACACTCTAACGGGTTTAGGAGACAAGGGTGGGGGTAAGCTCGAGAGCCCAGAGCCATCCCGTCCAGCGGGAGCCCCACCTCTAAAGTCCATGTCGCTCAGCATCCTTCCCCCTGACTAGTGGCCCAAACACAGCACGAAGCTGAGGTGGGTGGAACGCTTTCCAAAACAGTGCTCTGTGATGAGCCACCGACAGACTTGCTCGCCACTGGGGACGAAGAGCTCACTCCTCACAAACCCCACCCGGGAGAGGTAGCACCTGATCCTCCCGGGCTGCGCCGACACCTGTCTCCCCGCGGGTGCCGCCTACTGCTCTGGTGGACTCCAGTCCCCAGCTTCCGCCCCACGGGGACTGGGGGGAGGGGGGAGGCACCGCGCGCATTAGGCGCCGACTGTATACCGACCCCCCCACCCCCGGTGTGTGCAGGCCAACACCCATACACACCCACACACACCCACACACACTCTCGCGGAAACTGAGGCAGGCAGGCGGCCGACCAGGTCCTGTCGCCTGACGGCTCGCGGCTGGGATCGAACCCGGACTGCGAGACACCCTCCGCCTCGCAGGCGCTCCTCAGTCGCTGAGGCCCGGCCCGGCTCCCACCGCCGGAGTTTGACAAAGAAAGTCTCCCGGCCCGAGCCCCTCACGCACTCACCGGCGCCAACGCTGGCGGCGACTCGGTCTCCCGCCGCCTTCAGCTCCTTGCGGGGGTCGGCCCTTGGGCCGGCTCGGGCGCCGGCGGCGGCCACTGCTCCATATCCACGGGGTCCGGGCCGCGTCCGCCTCGAGCTAACGGTCCCACCAGCTAGGCGCGTGCGCCGGTTCCGCGCGCCATGTTCCCGCCGTGCTGCGCGCCGCCGCGGCGACCCTCACTGCCCCCCAACCGCGCACGCCCCCGCAGGCCCACACACGAACCGCGCACGCGCGCGTTCGACGCGCCCCGCTCCCCGCGCGCCCGGCCTCGGGCCCTCTGCAGCTGGCCGCTGTTCCCAGTGTCTCACCCACCCCCGCCGGAACCGTCCGACTGGGCGGGTGAGCGCGCGGTTCCCGACTCAGCACCGCCGCCTGCCTCTCTGCAGACCACCCCTGACCCGACCTCTCGGCCATTTCCCCACACTGCCCCTTTCACTTCCCCCACGGCGCGGGGCCTAGGACGAGGGTCTGGGCCAAGAAGAACTTCCCCGCAAGAAGTGCCGAGCTAAGGACGCTACTAAGGGGGTGGGATCGCCACCGTGGAGGTGTGCAAGCACGTGCCTGCGTCCCGGTGACAGCCAGACTCAACGGAGAAGCTGAGTTCAAGTCCCACATCTCCACTAACCCTTGCGTGTTAGGGTCAGGGCTTCGGGACTTGTTTCTCCTAAATCTTTTTTTTTTTTTTTTTGAGACAGTCTCGCTCTGTCACCCAGGCTGGAGTGCTGTGGCGTGATCTCGGCTCACTGCAAGCTCCGCCTCCCGGGTTCACGCCATTCTCCTGCCTCAGTCTCCCGAGCAGCTGAGACTACAGGCGCCCACCACCACGCCTGCTAATTTTTGTATTTTTAGTAGAGATGGGGTTTCACAGTGTTAGCCAGGATGGTCTCCATCTCCTGACCTCATGATCCTCCTGCCTCGGCCTCCCAAAGTGCTGAGATTACAGGCGTGAGTCAGCGCGCTCGGCCTGTTTCTCCTAAATCTAAAGACTCAATATAATAATCAAGAGAACGCCTCAGCACCGCGCCTAGCACTTAGTAGGTAGTGATCGAGAGAGAAGACCTCTTAAGTGGTTTTAATGGTTAAGGACCACAGGTTCTCAAGAAAGGGAAATCTCAATTCGAGTCCCACCTCCATCTCTTGAAAACTGAGAAACCTGGAACAAGTCACTCAGAGGAGCCAAAGATCCTTGATTTCTACATGTGCAAAAGGGGAGTGTGGCAGTAGCACTGCACAGGGCTGACTGAGCTTTCAGGGAGATGATGACTGTACGATCATGCCTCTCTTAATCACGGGATGGTTCTGAGAAATGCCTCCTTAGGTGATTGCATCATTGTGCAAACAGCAAAGTGCATTTACACAAACCTTGTATAGCCTTGTACAGTCTACTACACACCTAGGCTGTATGGTGTAGCCTATTGCTCCTAGGCTACACACCTGTACAGCCTGATACTTTACTGAATATACTATAAGCAGTTGTAACACAATGTAAGTACTTGTGTACCTGAACATAGAGAAGGTACAGTAAGAATAGAGTATAAGAGATTTTAAAATGGTACTCCTGTATAGGGCACTTACCATGAAAGGAGCTTGCAGGACTGGAAGATGCTGTGGTGAGTCAGTGAGTGTGAAGGCATAGGACCTTACTGTACACTACTGTAGACTTTATAAACACCATATGCTTAGGCTACACCAAAATTTTTTAAAGCTTTTCTTCAATAAATTAATCTTAGCTTACTGAAATGTATCTTAAAAAATTTTGCCGGTCGTGGTGTCTCACACCTGTAATCCCAGCACTTTGGGAGGCCGAGGCAGGCAGATCATTTGAGGTCAGGAGTTCGAGACCATCCTGGCCAACGTGGTGAAACCCTCATCTCTAATAAAAATACAAAAGTTAGCCAGGCATGGTGGTGTGCACCTGTAGTCCCAGCTACTCAGGAGACTGAGGCAGGAGAATCGCTTGAACCCAGGAGGCGGAGGTTGCAATGAGCCGAGATTGTGCCACTGCACTCCAGCCTGGGCAATTACACGCATGGAGCTGTCATCTCCTGTGATAACAATGCCTTCTTCTTCCAGAATACTTCCTGAAGGACCTGCCTGAGGCTGTTTTATAGTTAACTATTTTTTAATATAAGTAGAAGACATACATTCTAAAATTATGAAAAACACTAAATACACCAGGGCTGGGCACAGTGTCTCATGCGGGTAATCCCAGCACTTCGGGAGGCTGAGGCAGGCAGATCATTTGAGGTCAGGAGTTTGAGACCAGCCTGGGCAGTGTGGTGAAACCCCATCTCTGCTAAAAATACAAAGATTAGCTGGCCGTGGTGGTGGGTGCCTGTATTCCCTGCTACTCAGGAGGCTGAGGCAGAAGAATCACTTCAACCTGTGAGGCAGAAGTTGCAGTGAGCCAAGATCGCGCCACTGCACTCCAGCCTGTGCGACAGAGCAAGACTCTGTCTCAAAAAAATAAAATAAACCAGTAACATAGTTGTTCATTATCAAGTATTATATATTGTATGTAATTGTACATGCTATGCTTTTATAGAACTGGCAGCACAGATTTGTTTACATTAGCATCACCAGAAACACAGAAATGCATTACCCTAACATTACAATGGCTATGTCACTAAGCAATAGGAATTTTTCAGCTCCATAATCGTCTTATGGTACCATTGACTTACATGTGGTTTGTCATTGACTAAAATGTCATTACATAACACATGACTGCATATCCCAGGGCCCAATGCCTGGCACACACAAAGCTGAGTTTCACTGGTGTAATTCCAACCCTATCCATCCAAGACTCCTAAAAGTTTAATGAAAGGGTCTCTGCTCCCAAAACCCTGTGGTATAAGTAGCTGGGAGGAGTTCGCCCAATGTGGGGCTGCAAGGACTCTGTCTTCCCACATCTTTGCTTTCCTTTCTCTCCACCAAACTTCTCTGAAAACCCTAAAGTTGGCAGAAAAATGGAGAATGTTTTCCCTACTAACAAAAAGAATCTTCAAGAGTCTCTTGGAATTTGTAAATGGTTGCATTTACTAGTCTGGTTTTTTGTTGTTGTTGTTGTTCTTGTTTTTGTTTTTTTTGAGATGGAGTCTTGCTCTGTCACCTAGGCTGGAGTGCAGTGGCACGATTTCGGCTCACTGCAACCTCCGCCTCCCAGATGCAAGCGATTCTCCTGCCTCAGCCTCCTGAGTAGCTGGGATTAAAGGCAGGCACCACCACACCCGGCTAATTTTTTTTGTATTTTTAGTAGAGACGGGATTTCACCATGTTGATCAGGCTGATCTCAAACTCCTGACCTCGTGATCCACCTGCCTTGGCCTCCCAAAGTACTGGGATTACAGGCATGAGCCACCGCACCCAGCCTTCTAGTTTGGTATTTTTCTTATTCAAGTAACAAGGAAAAAAAAATAACTCCACCAAGAGTAAAACAGAAAAAAGGAACAAAACTGATAGCATGACTGAAAAGGCCTGGGGTGGTACCTCACTTCAGGCATAGCTGGATACAGGCACTTATACAAGATAAGTCTCTCTAATCTCTCAGTGCTTGCTTCCCTTTGATTACTTCATTCTCATACAGTTCTTTCCACACAGTGGCCTGAGCAGCTCCTAACTCACATCTGCCCAAGAAAGCAGAGGCTGTTCCCCAATAGTTCCAGCCAAAGTCCCAGGACTGACTTTCACTGGACCCGTTTGGGCCACATGCCCCTGCCTGAGCCAATCACCACATCCAGCCTGGCCAGACCTGGCTTTCATGAAGCCTCTTCAGGAAGCAGTTGGGGTCATCCCCTCCAGAAGGACATGGGGAAAACCAGAAAGTGGGAAGAGGGATGCTTCCTTCTGAAAAACAGGGATGCAATTACCACAAGAGGTATCAGGTACAGGGCTGGCACAAACAAGAGCTATCCACGGCACCATCATGTAGGCATGCAGCAGGTCCACCATGAGGCAACCTGGCTGCTCCGCAAAACGGAGTCACAGTTAGTTCAGCCAATGAGAAATATCCCTCTACCTGGGTTCCCACCATTCACCCCAGGCCTGGCACGTCCCAAATTTGCTTGGTCAAAGGCAAGCAAATTACCCGCCTTTTATGCTGTACAAAAAGCTGAAAAGATTATCTTACTTCTCTGGCTCAAGAAATTTCTATGACTCCCTCTGGCTACTTATGTGGCTCCCCCACCCTTAATGATAGAAGCCAACATTCATGAATCCCTTACCACACGCCAGGTACCTTATGGACCTGCCTCCTCCAAACAGCATAGAAGAGCTTGGTACTCTTACCGCACCCATTTTATAAATATGGAAACAAAGGCTCAGCAATTTGAGGTAATTTACCCAGAGCCAAAGTTAGGAAGTGCAGAGTTCAGATTAGCACAATATTGTTCCCGCCATTGCCATCCCAGCTCCATTTGTTCATGTTTCAAAGTCCTACACCCACCTCTAGCTAGGGGCTGGTGGGAACAGCTCCACGGCAGAAGAAGCCTCTAGGAGCCCCTTCAGCTTCTGCAGTGGTGGGGCTGGGGAGTAGGTGCAAAAGATACTTAGCTTTACCATCCTCTCCCATAACTTTTTTTTTTTGAGATGGATTCTCACTCTGTCACCCAGGCTGGAGTGCAGTGGTGCGATCTCAGCTCACTGCAACCTCTGCCTCCTGGGTTCAAGCAATTCTCATGCCACAGCCTCTGGAGTAGCTGGGATTACAGGTGCCCACCACCACACCTGGCTAATTTTTGTATTTTTAGTAGAGATGGGGTTTCACTATGTTGACCAGGCTAGTCTCAAACTCCGGACCTCAAGTGATCCACCCACCTCAGCCTCCCAAAGTGCTGGGATTGCTAAGCCACCATGCCTGGCCCCATCTCCCATAACTTAATGGGATAGGGAAAAGAATTCCTCCAAGATAAAATTGGAGTGAGGTTAGGAGAGGAAATAGGTGCTTGGTAGCCTTAAATCAGCAGCTGATTTCTCCCATTGGTGAGTCAATTAGTTTTCTATGGCTGCTGTAACAAATTACAACGAACTGATTGGCTTACAACACAGGCTTAATATCTTATTGTTCTATAGGTCAGAAGCCTCAAATCAGTTTCACTTGGCTAAAGTCAAGTTGTAAAGGACTGATTCCTTCAGGAGGTTCTGAAGGGAAAACCCATTTTCTTGCCTTTTTCTGCTTTTAGTGGTTACCTATATTCCCTGGATTGTGGCCCTTTCCTCCATTTTTAAAGCACACCACTCCAATCTCTGCACAGTCTATGGTTTGAATGTGTCCCCCAAAGTTCATGTGCTGGAAATTTAATCTCTAATGCAACAGTGTTGAGAGGTGGGACCTTTAAGAGGAGATTAGGTCATGAAAGATCTGCCCTCATTAATAGAGTAATGATGTTATCTCAGCAGAGTGTTAATTATCATGGGGATGGGTTCCTAATAAAAGGATTGAGTTCAGCCCCCTTTCTCTCTTGATGTGACACCTTCCATCATGGGATGACACAGCAAGAAGACCCTCACCAGAAGCAGGCCCCTTGATCTTGACATTCCCAGCCTCCAGAACTGTAAGAAATAAACCTGTTATTTATAAATTACCCAGTCTCAGATATTGCATAGCAATACAAAAAAGACTAAGACACTCAGTCATCATCTCATTGCCATCTCCCCTGACTGCTGAGTCCCTCTTAAAAGAGCACTGTAGGCTGGATGTGGTGGCTCACACCTGTAATCCCAGCACTTTGGGAGGCCAAGGTGGGCAGAACACGAGGTCAGCAGTTCGAGACTAGCCTGGCCAACATGGTGAAACCCCATCTCTACTGGAAAAACAAAAATTAGCTGGGCATGTTGGCGAGCGCCTGTAATCCAGCTACTTGGGAGGCTGAGGTAAGAGAATCGCTTGAACCTTGGGAGATGGAGTTGCAGTGAGCCGAAATTGTGCCATTGCACTCCAGCCTGGGCACCAAGAGCAAAAAACTCTGTCTCAAAAAAAAAAAAAAAAAAAGCACTGTGATGGGACTCTGGGCCCATAGGCAACATAGGATAAGCTCCCATCTCAAGATGCTTAATCACATCTGCAAAGTCCCTTTTGTCATGGAAAGGAACATAGTCACAGATTCTGGGGATTAAGTTGAGGACACTTTGGAGGGGCCATTATTCAGCCTACCATGGAAGATATCATGAGAGGGAGTTAATACAAAATGCTCTAGAAACAGAGAAGGGCGGCCGGGCATGGTAGCTCATGCCTCTAATCCCAGTACTTTGGGAGGGAGGCGGGTGGATTGCCTGAGGTCAGGGGTTCAAGACCAGCCTGACCAACATGGTGAAACCCCATCTCTACTAAAAATACAAAAATTAGCTGGGCATGGTGGCAGGTGCCTGTAATCCCAGCTACTCGGGAGGCTGAGTCAGGAGAATCGCTTGAACCCAGGAGGCGGAGGTTGCAGTGAGCCGAGATCACACCATTGCACTCCAGCCTGGGCAACAAGCATACGACTTCATCTCGATTAAAAAAAAAGAAAAAAGAAACAGAGAAAAGGTGGCTAACTCTCCACAGCGGGAAAAATGTCCCAGGAAACCACAGCCTCCACATTAAATATTCAAATGAGCTAAAACCCATCTAGGGCAATCTCAGCCTTATTCCTTTAAACATGCAAACCAACTAAATTCCCAACAAACCCCCTACACCAGGCCAGCCAAGTCTCAGAATGCTTATATACCCTTTAATAGAAATTTCCAACCACATCCCCATTTCCTAAGGAAATGGCTGTGTGCCCTTGATTCTGCCCTGACTGAATCGCCAGTGGCCATTGAACCACGGCACTCAATTCATGGCATGGCCAGCGAGCTACAAAGTGTCCTAGCATCAACCAAGCAAAGTTATAAAAGCAGATTCAGTGGACAATAAGGAACATTAGAGTCAAAAAGACCTGGGTTGGGTCCCAGCTCTGCCATTTACCAGCTGTGCGACATCAGAAAAGTTACCTTCGTCCTCTAACTTTGGTTTCCTCACCTGTGACATGACAGTGGCTAGAGGACCTCACTCATAAAATCACTGTGAGGACAAGAGCAGCCAAGGGTAAGTCTTTGCACAGGGCTTCCCTGGTCATTATTGGGTCAACAAGACAGAACCATGCCTTATCTCCACTTCCAAAACCCAAACAGCTCTCAAAAACGAGTCATTGTAGCTCATTTGGAAGAAAAGACTGATATGAATCAATATGCAACTACCTATAATCTTTCTCTATCCCTCTTGCTGTGAATATTTGCTGTGGAAATATTAACATGTTTGGTCTCCACTGGGGTAGGACTCCACATGTGTAGGACTCCGCTGAGGTGCTACACATACACATAGTAGATATGCCTTACCACCTTCCTAAATTTGGGTAATTAAATTTCACAACTTATCTAGCCCAAAGGTTTCAGAGACTGTAGACCTGTATCTTTATGAGGGCAAGGATGAGAATATAACCTGGCCTGTTATTATGCACCAAGGTACCTGCTGTTCTCATGAAGATGTCAGCAGCCAGCCAGCCAGTCTCTACAAACTCCACCCCCAACCTTGCTATGCTCCTTTCCCCGGAACTTTCCAAGGGGCCCTTAGAATTTGTATTCAGCTCTCACAGGCTGAGACCAGGGTGACATCCTGGGAAACCTGCCTAGTGATAGCCAAGGTGTAGCTCCAGATGAAAGGCACACAACAACTTTAAATATAAAAAAGCCATTCAGGCTAGGCGCAGTGGCTCACGTGTGTAATCCCAGCACTTTGAGAGACCGAGGCAGGTGGATCACCTGAGATCAGAAGTTCAAGACCAGGCTGGCCAACATGGCAAAACCCTGTCTCTACAAAAAAATATAAAAATTAGCTGGGCATGGTGGTGCATACCTGTAATCCCAGCTACTCGGGAGGCTGAGGCACGAGAATCGCTTGAACCTGGGAAGCAGAGGTTGCAGTGAGCCAAGCTTGCACCACTACACTTCAGGGTGGGCAACAGAGTGAGACTCCGTCTCAAATAAATAAATAACAAAGCCATTCAACTAAAGAACCGATTATCAAGCAGAAGCACAAAGCCCAGGTTCCATCAGGTTTTTAATTGTACATCAGTGACTGTGAAAAAGCAATTATTTCCATAATTAAAATACACACTATAAAAAACAGACTCAAAGAAAAGAAAGATGACAGAGTGAAAGAAGGTACATTTCTTTCATGTTCAAACCACGGAGTTCACAACACAGCAGCACACACAGCCGGGCACTTTGTGGTCTCGGCACCCTCGGCTTCCCCTTCATGAGGCCACTTTCGACTAGTAGAAGGCTGAAAATAAAGGAAAATGGAGAAATGTTCAAAAGAAAATCACTGGCTTCTTTAAGATTATCAAAGTTCCTCAATATACTTCCAGTAAAGTGGGGGCATTTGATGTGAAATTCTAGTACCAAAAATTACTGGTCGTCATCATTGACAACTGAGTCCTCACCACAGCCCGCAACTCAGACATGCTTATCTAATAGGTATTTCTCTCCCTATGGCTTCTGACCTCTGAACGATGTATACTGAAAGCAAGTAGCATAACCAACTTCCTCTTGATCGTCCTCTTCTAAATATCAAGTTTAAAAGGACTATAATACCTCTCAGTTGAAGCCCCAAGTCTTGGTCTTTTGCGGGAAGACAACCTTTGTGCCTTAGTTGTTTTCCCATATATAAAATTGGGAGGAAGGCTGGGTGCGGTGACTCACGCCTGTAATCCCAGCACTTTGGGAAGCCGAGGTGGGCAGGTCGCTTCAGGTCAAAAGTTCGAGACAAGCCTGACCAACATGGCAAAACCCCATCTCACCTAAAAATACAAAAATTAGCTGGGCGCAGTGGTGGACACCTGTAGTCCCAGACACTCGGGAGACTGAGGCAGGAGAACTGCTTGAACCCAGGAGGCAGAGGTTGCAGTGAGCTGAGATTGCACCACTGCACTCTGGCCCGAGTGACAGACTAAGACTCTGTCTCAAGAAAATAAAAATCGGGGCAGCGGGGAGGAAACAGTGGGAAAAAGGACAGCTACCATTCAACAACAACAACAACAACAAAGTAGGACTGGAATTAACTTATACTCACAAAGAACTTTAAAGAATAAACTTGTAATCAAGGAATCAACTACTGACCCAAATTTTAATTTTTCCAACAAATTTATATTTGAGCCCCTAATAGAGTCTTTCGAAATTGCCTTGCAGGTGACCTTTTGGATGACAATCCCTAGCTGTGCTTATCTGTCTATTATGTGTTAGATATTAAACATATCCTGCGTTTTTAAATCTAAGGGTGCTGGAGTGAATCAAGTTCAAACAGAGTTTCTACTACATTATAACTGAAACAATGTTAAGCAATTGCTACTCAGGAAAATCTTGAATTTCATCATCTTTGCTTATCATCTCCTTAAGCCCAGACTACATTTAGTGATCATCAGGAATACGAATACCTGGGCTAGAACCTGGAGTAGAGCTGTGGATTCATTTTCCTCACACAGAAGATCTTGAAACTTTCTCTTCATGTCTTCATCCTGTGAGGGAATTAAAAACATAAGTAGCTGTGTCTGAAGGATAATAAACTCCTAGAATGACAGGGCTAGCATGCCTCTGTGGAAAGAGGGAGGAAAAGATGTCCGTCCAAGAATCATCCCCTTGATGAAGCTCCCACAGTGAAGGCATTATGTGTTGCCCCCCTCTACCTTCCCACAGGAGTCCAATCAGCAGTCAATGCTCCATCGATCCTGGCTGAGTCACATCCACATGCCTAAAAGCTCTCAGTGGGTCAATCACAGCCTCCAGCAGTCAAGAGTTTCTGAATTAGCATCCCAGATCCTGAGAAAGGTGACAATCAGGGGGCCAGGGGCTGGGTCTCACTCCGTGCAGCTCCTCAAATCCTTCCAGGACCGCTCTCCACCTGCTGCCCCTGCCATGAATGAGGCCAGTCACCCAGGCTGTCTTAACAACCAGCCCAGCACCCTAGGAAAATTCACCCAGCAGATGCCATAGAAATTTTCAGAAGTACTTAAGCCCACAGTATCCCAGAGTTCAGGTCTAATGAGAAAGGGAGACAATAAACAGAACAAAGCATTACAGGTGTTTCATGCTGCAGGAGCGGGAGATGAGCAGGGCACAGACAGTGTGTATACGGGTAGCTCCCACCTCTCTGGATGCTCACTTCTGCAGGGTTCAAGGATTTGCATTAGGAAACCCTGAGAGGTGGTCCGGTGCAGCTCTCCCCATCTTCAGCAAGGTGAAAGGAACATCTATATCTAGTAATGTGGCCTTTGAGTGCTGGCCAGAAGCCCAGCTCAGCCACTCACAGGTGGCATGTGCGGAATACAGACCCAGAGTTATCTGATTCCAGTGCCTCATGTACTTTCCCACCCAACTCCAGCCCCTCCTCCCACTGAGCCAAGCATACCACAGTGGGGAAAGGGAGAGGATACAGCAAAGTCCTCCACCATTTGGCAACTTGATGGATATGGAAATTTTACAACACTAGGTTGGGCATGGTGGCTCATGCCTATAATCCCAGCACTTTGGGAGGCCAAGGTGGGATAATTGCTTGAGGCCAGGAATTTGAGACCAGCCTGGGCCACATACTGGGACTTTGTCACTACAAAAAAATTTAAAAATTAGGCCAGGCATGGAGGCTCACGCC
Organism: Homo sapiens; assembly: GCF_000001405.40. Taxonomy (NCBI): domain Eukaryota; kingdom Metazoa; phylum Chordata; class Mammalia; order Primates; family Hominidae; genus Homo; species Homo sapiens. The sequence continues at coordinate 2,596,473 of NW_021160017.1, forward strand.
TGTAATCCCAGCACTTTGGGAGGCCAAGGTGGGTGAATCACCTGAGGTCGGAAGTTTAAGATCAGCCTGGCTAACATGGTTAAACCCCATCTCTACTAAAAATACAAAATTAGCCAGGCGTGGTAGTGCATGCCTGTAATCCCAGCTACTCAGGAGGCTGAGGCAGGAGAATCACTTGAACTCGAGAGGCGGAGGTTGCAGTAAGACAGGATCACACCACTGCACTCCAGCCTGGGCAAAAGAGTACGACTCTGTCTCCAAAAAAAAAAAAAAAAATTAAATTAGCCAGACATGGTGGCATGCACCTGTAGTCTCAGCTACTTGGGAGGCTGGGGCAGGAGGATCACTTGAGCCTGAAAGTCATGGTGCAGTGATCATGCCACTGCACTCCAGCCTAGGTGAGACAGCAAGACCCTGAGGAAGGAAGGAAGGAAAGAAGCAAGGAAGGAAAAAGGGAGGGGGGATGAAAGAGGGGAGGAAAAAGGAATGGAGGAGAGGGGAGGGGGAAGGAAGGAGGAAGAAAGAGAAAGAAAGAAGGACCAGGCACAGTGGCTCACACCTGTAATCCCAGCACTTTGGGAGGCCAAGGCAGGGCAGAACACTTGAGTTCACCATGTTTTGAGTTTCTCAGTGTAGCTCCCCATTGCCATTTGACAGCAGCAAGCTCATCTGGATTCCTCTCCCCACCCTCTCACGGCTTTACTTAGGATCTCAATTATCTTGCAGTGTCACTCTCAAAAGTCCATCTCTTGGCAGCCCTTCAGTGAAGCCAAACAGAGTGGTCACAAGCCTAATCAGGCCTATATTTAAAACAAGTCATCAGGTCAGGCACAGTGCTCATGCCTGGAATCCCAGCACTGTGGGAGGCCAAGGTGGGTGGATCACCTGAGGTCAGGAGTTCGAGACTAGTCTGACCAACATGGTGAAACCCCATCTCTACTAAAAATACAAAAATGAGCTGGGCATGGTGGCAGGCACCTGTAATCCCAGCTACTTGGGAGGCTGATGCAGGAGAATCACTTGAACCCAGAGATGGAGGTCGCAGTGAGCTGAGATCACACCATTGCACTCCAGCCTGGTAGACAAAAGCAAGACTCCATCTCAAAAAAGGAAATAAATAAATAAACATTGATTTTCTTCATGATGTCTACAATTATTCCAAAATATTAAATTAGCTAGGAACAGTGGCTCATGCCTATTATCCAAGCACTTTATGAGGCTGAGGCGGGAGGATCCCTTAAGGCCAGGAGGTCGAGGCTGCAGTGAGCTATAATTGCACCAGTGCACTCCAGTTTAGGGAACAGAAGAAGACCTTGTCTCCAACAATAAATAAAATAAAAATTAAATTATAATATCCCTTGAAAGCAAACAGAAGAAATCCTCTATTTCAGGCAGTAAATATGAAGCAGAGAGTAGATGTAAGGGATGCTCCCAAAACTGGCCATTCTGTTAATGACAAAACAGAGACCAGAATCCACATTCCCAACACTCAGTCCAGCGCCAGACCCACAAAACCATTTGGTTTTTGCAAAAACACTGAATTTTCCCAAAATAAAACCCAAACTATCACTAACAGATGTTTTAGATGGTCAGTCTTCATCCTTGTCTTCATTCAATGCTCATTCCTCCTTTTACTGCAAAAACAAAAGGTGGCTAAAAGAGTGTTCCAGGGAGATCCTGCAACGGAGTTGAACTTCACCTTCTCCTTGGTTGTTAATAAGTTTTCTTTGAGACAAAGAAGTACAAGAAAAATAGGCTACGCTTGCTCATAAATTTCAGGCAGATGCAAACCCTGTTCCCAGGCTCAACAGGCCAGCTCTATTTTTTTGCTAGAGATGAACACAGCTCCTGTACCTCTACATTTAGACCCAAGAGTTTCCCTATTAGGACACATGAAAAGAGCCAAAAGACATGTTTCTCTTTCTCATCAAAATTAAAATCCCCACATGCAAAGGCACCCTTTGTTTCCAAACCCCTTTCCTCCAGGGTCCCGCTGTTTCAAATCTCTGTGGTCTATTAAATGCTAAATCATCTGACAGATTTCTTCTGGGGAGACTATAGTTTCCAGGGCAACATCCAAAACACATATATATATATATCTGTCTTTTTTTTTAAGTTTTTGTTGTTCTCAACCTGAGCTGGCCTGAGCAAAACTGTTAGGTGTAGAGGATTAGAACAGAGAACGGGGACAGTCTTCCCAGAGTTCCAGAAGTACGGGGCTGAGGCTGGATTGCCCAAGGAGTTCCTGGACCAGTAATCCCCAGAGAAACAGCATTTAGCTCAAGTAACAGCCTCTAGCTCAAGCTACCAGTTCTGTCCCCCATCTCCACAGAAAGCGGATTGATACAGTTTGGCTTTGTGTCCCTACCCAAATCTCATCTCAAATTGTAATCTCCAGGTGTTGAGAAAGGGACCTGTTGAGAGGGGATTGGCTCATGGGGGCAGTTTCCCCCAGGCTATTCTCATGATAGTGAGTTCTCATGAGATCTGACAGTTTCATAAGAGGCTCTTCGCCCTTCACTTCCTTCACAAGCTCTCTCACCTGCTGCCACTAAGACATGCCTTCTACCCCTTCCACCATGATTGTAAGTTTCCTGAGGCCTCCCCAGCCATGTGGAGCTGTGAGTCAAGTAAACCTCTTTTCTTTATAAATTACCAAGTCTTGGGCAGTTCTTTATAGCAGTGTGAGAACAGACTAATACACAGACCAAAAGAAAATTAATAGAAAGGGGCATGGCTGTACTGAATGGAACTGCTCGTTACAGAAGACCAGACATCTATCAGAAAAACCTGCCCAATGCCGTAGCTAATTCCAAAACTAAAGATTAACCCAGCAAAGCCACAACGTACTTCCAACTCTTGGCAGTTCCAAATGAGGTCAGCATTTAATAATGGCAGCCCCAACCCCTAGCAGGAGTACAGCAGTAACACAGATGAAAGGTGCAGGTGACAGCCTTCACTAAGGACACATTTACTCACCTGAATGAACAAGCAGTGGGACCCTTTATACCGAGTCACTTGGGCTTGAGAAATAGCTGGATTCTCCCCAGGGAGGCTGCCCTCCTCCCCCTCCCCCACTTCCCTGATTTAAGGTTGAAGATGGCTAGAATGCACCCCACCTATGAAGAGCAGTGGACATGGCTGGGAGTAGAGCCAGAACAAGCCCTCAAAAGAACACAGGCCAAACTGGAGACTCGGGGCAGCCAAGTGGAACCAGAACAGGACATAAAGTGAGCTTGTACATCCAACAGCCATGAGTAATATCAAAAAGGTTGTAGCCTGGCCAACACAGCGAAACCCCATCTCTACAAAAAATACAAAAAGTAGCTGGGCGTGGTAGCATGCACCTTTAATCCCAGCTACTTGGGAGGCTGAGGCAGGAGAATCACTTGAACCCAGGGTGCAGAGGTTGCAGTGAGCTGAGATTGTGCCACTGCACTCCAGCCAGGGTGACAGAATGATAACCTGTCTCAAAAAAAAAAAAAAAAAAAAACAGGTTGTAACCTGTCCAAGATACCCCCCATACATCTAAAACAATTAAACACATTCAACAAAGTAAACATGTTTCTGTCCTCTGTCTCATGTCTCTCAGGCAGCAGGGCTTCCCATGTATTTTATGCTAGCAGGCACTGTCCCACACCCACCTGAAGCCACAGTGTCTTAAGGCTTCTTCTGTTGTAAAACATGCCTTTGGATCCACTACCAACAACTTCTTGACAAGGTCCAGAGCTAAAGCAACAATTGGGCAAATCACAGTGAAAAGGATAAATATATTATCAGTAACAGTATGCCAGAATTAACAGGCCACCATCCAGAAAGAGCAGAGAGGGTCTGAGATCGTCAGGGAGTCAGCAGACAGGGCCCCCTAATCTTCCTCACTCTCTGTATTCAGAGTACTGTGAGAAGACCAGGAATGATAATGACACTCCCTGTCTCCTGTTGCTGGGACATCAGTCACGACCTCTTCGCTGCCTGTTCCCTCTCTTGTTGTTAGACTCAAGGTCAAACTAATTAAAGCTAAACTTCTACCCAATTCTAAGATAATTGGGATGCACAGCAAACTCTCCCTGACATCTACAGATGGATGGGTGACAGTTACTCAGCCAGGGAGAGGCTCCCTGGAACTGCAGACTTGTCAGAAATAAAACTTGACTACTCCAGCAAGCAACAAATGCATGCTGGCCTGTATATCACAACATTATTATTCCTGAAATATTCTGACATTTAACACAATTACCTATGTTACGTTATTTGACATTTAATTTTCTATTTTCTCTTCAGGGAACTAAAGTTGCCAGGACAAATTATAAAATACAAGGTAACTAAAGACATATAGTTTTTACACGCTTGCTTACTCAAAGGAAACCTTGTAACTAAAAAGTTACAAATGCATTTATTTTGCTCAGTAAAATAGGTACAAGGCACTTGTTTACATTATACCTAACCCTCAAAAAACCTTTTAAGGTAGGGATTATTGAGGGTCCCTTTACACAGAAAGAAATTGGAGACGGAGGTTAAATAACTTGCCTAAGGCCACACAGCTAAGTAGTAGCAGACCCAGGACCTGAGTGCATGCTCTTAATAATTTCCAGTGCCTCTCAAATGGTGTGAAACTAACGATAGAAAATAAGAACAGAATTGACAGGAGAAAACACCATGGAATTTGGAAAGAAACTCCCACCACAGGACACACACATTTTAGCATACCACAAATTCTTAACCCTTTCATATTCATACCTTTCTCTGAGACTTCTGCCCAGACTTTAGGAATGAAGTTGTGTTTTCCACTGGTGATCTGGTCCTTCAGTGACACTTGAGTCCTGTGCTCAGAGAAAGGTGGATACCCACTAAGGCTTAATATTGGTAGAGAGAGAAAGGAAAAGAAATCAAGTGGCATTCTCAGTGGCATTCAGATATAAAGACTTCTTTTTCAGCATAATGAAAAGTCAGATTTTTCTTTAAATCAATGGTCAAAAAGTGAGCTAGGCTGGGCACAATGGCTCATGCTTGTAATCCCAGCACTTTGGGAGGCCGAGGCAGGAGGATCACTTGAGCCCAGGAGTTCAAGACCAGCGTGGGCAACATGGCAAAACCCCATCACTACAAAAAATAGAAAAATTAGCTGGGCATGGTGGTGTGCGCATGTAGTCCCAGCTACTCAGGAGGCTGAGATGGGAGGATCACTTGACCCAGAAGGCAGAGGCTACAGTTAGCCAAGATCAAGCCACTGCATGCCAGCCTGGACAACAGAGCAAGACACATTTGTGACTTCATCTAATCACCTCCTACCAGTCTGTGAAGCAATGAAAATATTTCTTACCAGATAAAAAGAATAACTCCTAAACTCCAGCAGTCCACAGCACGGTTATACCCAGCAGTCCCAACAGAAACAAGAACTTCAGGAGCCAAGCAGGTGGGGGTTCCACATAAAGTTCTCATGAGAGAGGTCTCTCCCAAAATCTTGGAGTGCCCAAAATCAGTAATCTAAAATTCAGTACAAAAGGGAATAATGTTGAACTTGTCATAAAATAAAAAGATTAACATAGTCTGCCAGTCCAAGAAGACATGTAGGCTAGATCAGTTTCTATTGTACAATTCACACCTGCCATTAATCTGGAATCTACAGATTCATGTCTTTGCAAGTTAAGACATTTAACTTTGGTTAAATTAAAATTCCTGAGCCTAGGAATCTCAACACTCAGGCTTTCCAACTTAATCTATGTCCTCTGTAATCTTACAAAAAGCTTATTACCTTTATCACAGACACTTCAGGATTCTCATTAGTTCTACATGGTTCTTAGACCCCACTGTCTCAAACTTGGCTGTGCTATGGAATACCTGGGGAGCTTGGAAACACGTGCTTATACCTGAGTGCCACTCTCAGGTTCTGAGGTAAAGCCTAGGTGTCATAAATTCTAACAAGAGATTCTAAAGTGATGCCAGGCTTGATAAACAGGGAAAGGGAGGGCATGTGATTACACTCATTCATTCATTCATTCATTCACCTATTCTGCCCAAAGCGATGCAGTGTTCCCAAGGTCTGTGCTGAGGAGAACGCTGCTCTGCCTTCGCTGTGTCCCCCGGGTCTGTGCTGAGCAGAACGCAGCTCCGCCCTTGCGGTGCCCCCGGCCCACCCGTCCGCCCGGGTCTGTGCTGAGGAGAACACTGCTCCGCCTTCGCTGTATCTCTGAAGTCTGTGCAGAGGAGAACTCAGCTCGCCCTCACGATGCAATCCGGTCTGTGTTGAGGAGAACGCAGCTCCGCCCTCGCAAAGGCGCACAGCGCCGGCGCAGGCGCAGAGAGGCGCACATTTTATGAATAGAAAATCAGTTTCTCCCTGTTCCTCCTACGTCGAGGCCGGACACACGTTTACAGGGGATCAGTGTGAAGGGAAGCTGGTGAGGCTGCCTGGGAAGCCCCCTGCCTGCATCTCCCAGTGGACTCCTTGGGAGCGCCCCCTCCCCACCTCTGCCCATCAGCGCCTGAACCGTGGCCACTTGCACTCCTGTTGCCTCCCCAGTGGCTTGAACTCCAGAACTTGCCACCCTTCAGTGGAATTCCTGGAGGAGTGAGGAGCTCTGTGCTATGCTTGGCCACCGAACATGGGCCATCTCTCCTATTATGGTTTGAAATGTACCATAGTGTCTTGTTTGGTAATTGTATAAAAATATGGGGAGACTGTGCGGGTGTCTGCTGGCTTGTCTGCTGGTTCTTACTCATGGTGCCTTCTTCCCTTTCAGACTTGGATATCTTTGTGTGCTTCTTGGGGCCCTTGGAAGGGTGTCTGTGGGGTTTCCGTGAGGCCAAAGACAGAGGTTCCTTCTCACAAGGATGGTGTTTGCTTTCACATGGACAGCCCAGACCACCTGGAACCAAGTGCACAGAAGCCCCACCATCCCTGGGCCTCCCAGGTGTGATGGGTGAGGGGTCCAAGTCCGCCGGAGATCCAAGGCTCTTTGTGGTTGAATCTGTGAGTTTCCTTTCCTTTTTTCCTCCCACTCCTTTTAATGCTAATGAATTCCTTGTTTTGGGGCAGGGACCAGGGTTATCTCTGCTTCTGTCTTCACCCAGGTGAGGCCTTTCAGGCTCCCAGCTTGATATGGGGGTGAATCCCCTATCAGCCTCCTCATACCTTGACCTCTGTTTACCCCCCTACTCCCTCCAAGGTCGAAGCCCAACTTGTCAGGTTGGCAAATGCTCACAAGCAACAGTGGCCCCAGCGCTCCTCTCTAGGTTCTTGGTTTTCCCCTGAAACTTGGCCTGGAGGTTTCCCACTAGCTTAGCAGCCCTTTGATGCTTTTAACGTAATTTTGTTATTGTCTTATCCAAAATTCTTGCTTGTTTTCAGAGGGAAAGCGGGTCTGCCAGTACTGCACAGAGAATCTGGGACAGTTATTATAACCATAGAAATTTATTTTCCATGTGCTGTCCCATCTTCTTGATGAGACAGATGTTTAACAACTGGAGAACTGGACCCCATCTTTGTCCCCATCTTGCCTAGCAACAGAAGGTGGTCACTAACCAGGGATTTTCGAGCCCATTGCTTAAGGCCGTTGTTGACCCAAAGGATAGTGGGTCCCTGCTCCTCTTCCTACGGAGAGGCCCAGGTGCCCAGAGGGCCCTCCTGGCTCGGCTGCCTACTTGAGTGGCTGATGAAGTGTCTGCTGTGCGCACAGGGCACCCAGCCCCGCTCCTCCCCAGGCAGCCCCTCGAACAGCTGTTCCTCTACTGCTTCAGCTGTGGACCTGAGGCTGAGAGTCTGAGCCATCGACCTGAGCCACATGCGGGGGAGTGGCAGGCCTGGACCCGGTGCCCAGACCTGGCTCACGTGACCTTACTTTTTCCACTGTGCCTGCTGCTCCCTCCCGGGCTCTGTGACCTTGGGCAGCCATGGCCGTTGTGCACCCATTCCCAGCTGTAAAATGAGAGGCTGGGCTGGCTGATCTCAAATGTCCCCTGCCAGCCTGAGATTCTGCGTTGTGTCCTGGGGTGTGACCGTGACATGCCTCCAAAGGCAGCTGCCAGTGCTCACGAGGGAGGCCTTTTTCCTGAGTTAAGGCAGGTAGGGGGACTGGGGGTGAGTTGAGGGACTGGGAGGTGGGGGAAGCACACAGACAGTCCTCCCCAGCTGAACCCTCATGGTGAATTACCTTCAGTCCCAGGCTCAGTGCTTTGGAAATGCTCTCAGGCCCAGCACCCAGACCTGGAACCAGCCTCCAGGCCCCTGGCCCTCCCTTTCTCTACTGGAATCTTCCAGACCGAGGCAGGTCAGCTGAAAGTCACTGACTCTGCCTTCCACAAACTCATAGCTGACAGACCATTCCATGTCCCCTCCCAGCCCCGTCCCAGGAGGGGAACTCACTTCGCCTTCCCACCCTCCAGGCCGACTCACTGTCCGTCACTCTCTGGGTCCCACCCACTGTCCCACCGACTTCATTGGTCTAAAAATATGCTCTGGCGTCTTGTTGGAAAGCAGAAGGAATCATGGGCCCTGCTGATAAGGTGAAGAAAGTGACCCGAGGGGGCAAACTTACAGACGGGACATGCTTTAGCAAAATAACAAAACAGCGGGACCTGAAGGCTGGCTTCCCAAGCCTCCTCAAGGCCTTGTGCCAGGAAGAGGACCCTCGGGCTTAGGGAAGTGAAAACCAGGCTCGGGTCCCTCACCCAGACCCTTCTGCCCACTTTGGGAGGGAGCCCAAGAAGTCAGCTAGGGAGGGACCTCCCGGTGGGACCTGAGTCCTGATTGGAACTTTCTGGGGGCTTTCTTGGCATTTTACGTGTGTTGTCACAACTCCTTGATGGGGGAGTTAAGCATGGTCTGTGGGATTCCACTGGGAGAGGACCCCTAGAAGCCTGGGCCGGGCCTCCTCCCAATTTCACCCCATATGCCTTTCCCTTTGCTCATTATGCTTTGTGTCTTTTGCTGTAGTAAACCACAGCCATGACTTTTGCAAGTCCTCCTAGATTAACACTGAACTTGGGGGTGGTTTTAGGGACCCTGACATACCTATGGATGTCTGCCTGCTTTAGCGCTATTTGTTGAAACAATAATCTTTTCCACATTGAATTGATTTGGCACTTTTGTTCAAATCAGTTGTAAAGATTTGCTACATAAATGTAAACATTTATTCCTGGACTCTTTTTTTTTTTTTTTTTTTTCCTGAGACGGAGTCTCGCTCTGTCACCCAGGCTGGAGTGCAGTGGTGCGATCTCAGCTCACTGCAAGCTCCGCCTCCTAGGTTCACGCCATTCTTGTGCCTCAGCCTCTTGAGTAGCTGAGACTACAGGTGCTCACCACCATGCCCGCCACCACGCTCTACTAAAAATACAAATTTTTTTTGTATTTTTAGTAGAGACGGGGTTTCACCGTGTCAGCCAGGATGGTCTCGATCTCCTGACTTCATGATCCGTCTGTCTTGGCCTCCCAAAGTGCTGGGATTACAGGTGTGAGCTACCACACCCAACCTATTCCTGGACTCTTACTCTGTTTCATTGCCTATCTTTATGTCAGTACCATGCTATCTTGATGACTATGGCTTCTTAGTAAGTTTATTGTTTATTTTTTATTATTTTTTTGGGATGGAGTTTTGCTCTTGTTGCCCATGCTGGTGTGCAATGGTACAATCTTGGCTCATTGCAGCCTCTGCCTTCCGGGTTCAAGTGATTCTCCTGCATCAGGCTCGCGAGTAGCTGGGATTATAGGCATCTACCACCATGCCTGGCTCATTTTTTGTATTTTTAGTAGAGATGGGGTTTCACTGTGTTGACCAGGCTGGTCTCAAACTACTGACCTCAGGTGATCTACCCACCTCAGCCTCCCAAAGTGCTAGGATTACAGACGTGAGCCACCATGCCCAGCCCAGCTTCTTAGTAAATTTTAAAATCAATATGTCTTCCAACTCTGTTCTTATTTTTCAAAATTATTTTGCCTACTGTAGGTTTTTTTTTTTTTTGCATTTCCATATGAATTTTAAGATCAGCTTGCTGATTTTTATTAAAAAGGTTAGTGGGATTTTGATTGAGGTTGCATTGAATGAATGTACCAACTAAGGAGGCTTGACATCTTGACAATAATGAGCCTTCCCATCCGTAAACATGGAATAGCTCTTCTTTTAATATATCTCAGCATTGTTTTGTAGTTTTCAGTTTACATGTCTTGTGATTCTTTTGTTTATTCCTGAGTATTTTATTCTTTTTGATGCTATTGTGAATGGAATGGTTTTCTCAATTTCAAGATTGTTCATTGCTAGTATATAGAAATCGAATTGGCCAGGCACAGTGGCTCATGCCTGTAATCTCAGCACTTTGGGAGGCTGAGGCAGGAAGATTGCTTGAGCCCAGGATTTCTGGGCCAGCCTGGGCAACATAGTGAGAGTCCATCTCTACAAAAAAATACAAAAATCAGCCAGTGTGGTGGTGTGCACCTGTAGTCCCAGCTCCTTGGGAGGCTGAGGCTGCAGGATGGCTTCAGCCTGGGAGGTTGAGGCTGTAGTAAGCCATAATGGTGACATTACACTCCAGCCTGGCTGACAGAGTGATACCCTGTCTAGAGAAAAAAAAAAAAAAGAATTGATTTTTGTATATTGATTATACCCTGTGACCTTGCTAAATTTATTAGTACTAATATTTGTTTTATGGATGCCTTAGGATTTTCTATATATAAGATAATGCCATCTGTAAATAAAGACAGTTTTATTTCTTCCTTTCTAATCTGGATGCCTTTAATTTCTTTATTTGCCTCATTGATTAGAAATAGCAAAAGTGGGCATCTTTGCCTTGTTCGTGGTGAGAAGAGGAAAGCAGTCATTCACCACTAAGTGTGATGTTAACTGTGGGTTTTTGTAGGTGTCTTTTATCAGATTTCATAAATTCTCTTTTATTCCTACTTTGTTGAGAATTTTTATTATGAATCTGTGATGGATTTTGTCACATAGTTTTTTCAATATCTGTTGAAGTCACCATGTGTTTTTTGTCCTTTATTCTGTTAATATAATATATTATATTATATTGATTTTCAGATGTTAAACCAACCTTGCATTTCTGGGATAAATCCCACTTTGTTATGGTGTATAATCCTATTTATATGTTGCTAGGCTTGGGTTGCTAATACTAGTCTTACAGAATGAATTAGGAAGCATTACCTCTGCCTTCATTTTCTCATTCATTTATTTTATTTTACTTTTTATCATATATATATATATATATATATATTTATATTTTATTTCATTTTATCTTATTTTAGTTTTTAGAGACAGTGTCTTGCCCTGTCACCCAGGCTGGATTGCGGTGGTGTGATCATAGCTCACTGCAGTATCAACCTCCTGGACTCAAGCGATCCTCCTGCCTGGGACTATAGCCATGCATCACCATGCCCAGCTAACCATCCATTTCTTTCTTTTTTTAAAACAAATTTTATGTTTATTTATTTATTTATTTGGATTTCTCCTACCGAAAGGAATCATTCATTTCTTTTTTTTTTTTTTTTTTTTTTTGAGAGGGAGCCTTGCTCTGTTGCCCAGGCTGGAGTGCAGTGGCACAATCTCAGCTCACTGCAACCCCTATCTCCCAGGTTCAAGCCTCAGCCTTCTGCATAGCTGGGACTACAGGTGTGCACCACCACACCCAGCTAGTTTTTGTATTTTTCAGTAGAGACAGAGTTTCACTATATGTTGGCCAGGCTGGTCTCGAACTCCTGACTTCAGCTGATCCACCTGCCTCGGCCTCCCAAAGTGCTGGGATTACAGACGTGGGCCACCACGCCCAACCAGAATCATTCATTTCTTTTCAAGTGGATATCTTATGGTATTTTAGGGCATGGCTGGGAGCAGTTTTGTTTTCTGTTCTCAAGGTGGAGTTTTTGCAGGATGTCATAGAGTTCATGTCTGCAGCTCACAGTGTCATTGCCTGTGTCCGCAGCTCCACGTACTGGCAGGTGTACTGCAAGCTGGGCAGGTGCTCCGTGTCCCTGGGATACCTTACCCAACACTCCTGGCCCTCCTCTGCAAGCCGTGCCCTGATCCTCCCTGCAGGGACTGGGGATTGGTTCTGCTCACCCAGAAGCCGGGATACCTGGCTGAGGGCACTTCTCTCCCTCTTCTCTTTGAACAGAGTGGCCGCGAACCCAAAGGTGCGGGAACAAGTGCGGCTGGAGCTGAGCTTGGTCAACTCAGACCTGCAGATGCTCAAGGAAGAGCTGGAGGGGCTGAACATCTCAGTGGGCATCTATCAGAACACAGAGTAAGTGGGAGCAGCACACCTTCCAGAAGCCTCTGAGCCAGAGATCCTTCATATATCCAGGGTATGAAGAGGTACCTGGGTACGAACCCTATCTGCACAAACAGGGCAGATAGGGTTCTAGACTGGGGTGTGGCAGCCCCAGCTTTGGGAAGTGAGAGAACCATCAGGTTTGGGGTTGAGTGAGGTGCTAGACTGGAAGGGATGAGCCCATTTCTTGGGAAATATCTGCAGTGTTGGGAAATATCTGTAGTGTTGGGAAATATCTGCAGTGACAAAAAGGCATTTGTGAGGCCAGGCACAGTGGCTCACTCCTGTAATCCCAACACTTTGGGAGGCTGAGGCGGGTGGATCACCTGAGGTCAGGAGTTCGAGACCAGTCTGGCCAACATGATGAAACCCCGTCTCTACTAAAAATAAAAATAGCCAGACGTGGTGGTGCACACTTGTAATCCTGGCTTCTCAGAGGCTGAGGCAGAATTGCTTGAACCCGGGAGTTGGACGTTTCAGTGAGCCGAGATCACACTACTGTACTCCAGCCTGGCTGACAGAGCAAGACTCTGTCTCAAAACAAACAGACAAAAAAAACAAATGAAGACAGTATAAAATCTAGTGTAAATATACGTGATGAACCAAGATAAGTTTAAAAGTTAGATGCCTTGGATTTTATAGTTAAGTTTCAGTAATTCCGCGTAGTCACATTTCATAGACATGCAAACATTAGCAAGATATGTTATTAAATTCAACTGAACAGACATTGAGCAAGGATATTTTAGTGGGTCATCATAATTTTCCTAAGAAACATTAAAGGGACATTGTTAGGACAATACCTTTCCAATGTTGGCTAATTATTTTCTCATTTATTTGCCAAGGAACAGAAAGCATACACAAATACTTCGGGACTAAGGCCAAAGGCCAAAATTGACCCTGTAAGGGGAGGCCACTATGCACACACAGAGATTCTGTGCACTGTACTTAGATGCTGGACTGCAGTCTGTTTCCTAGCTGGAGGTGACAAACTGAAACAGAAAAATCCAAATTAAAACAAAGTAACACACCAGTCTCCTTTTAAGGTTGTATTTCCTGTTTTTTTTTTTGACACAGAGTCTCCCTCTCTCACCCAGGTGGGAGTGCAGTGGCGAGATCTCAGCTCACTGCAATCTCCACCTTCTGGGTTCAAGCGATTCTTGTGCCTCAGCCACCTGAGTAGCTGGGATTACAGGCGTGCACCATCACACCTGGCTAATTTTTTTTTTTTTTTTTTTTTTTAGTAGAGACAGGGTTTCATCATGTTGGCCAGGCTGGTCTTGAACTCCTGGTCTCAAGTAATCTGCCCGCCTTGGCCTCCCAAAGTGCTGGGATTACAGATGTGAGCCACTGTGCCTGGCTCCTAGGTCAGTTTTGAAGGCACTGTATCGTATCATTCTCCATAACTCAATTTTGGAATTGATTTCTGCAAGATGAAAGCCAACAACACCATCCCTCAGAATTGCAATACATCTCCAAAAATGGAGATCTAACTATGAAAGAAATGCCCCTCTTGCCTCATGTCTGTAATCCAGCTCTTCAGGAGGCTGAGATGGGGGATTGCTTGAGCCCAGGAGTTCAAGGCCAGCCTGGGCAACATAGTGAAACCCCATCTCTACAAAAAATAGGAAAATTAGCCGGGCATGGTGGTGTACACCTGTAGTCCCAGCTACTCAGAAGGCTGAGGTGGGAAGATCACTTGAGCCAGGGAGGTCGAGACTGCAGTAATGGCAACAGAAAGAAGTCCTGTCTCAAAAAACACAAAAACAAAACAAAACCCTAAGTGAAATGCTTCTTTTTAAGGAGAAATAACTTTGAGACAGTTCAAAGAAGGGTTTACGTGCTTTTTTAGTAGGGGCATGAGACTTCTCAAAAAGTAGGTGGGCCCCAGGGGAAACTCAGTCGGAAAATAGCTCCCTGGATTTGGGAACCTTAAGTCACCTATGGAATGTGTGTTTCCTGGTGCTGGTCCTCCACAGGGCACCAGGGTGGTTTCAGAGCTGGAGGGGAAGTGTCAGTGTGTGAAAGCTCGCTGGCTCTTCCCTTTGTGATACCCCGTGCCTGGCTTACCTGTGGGCTCCTGTACGGTTTTTATTGTTTGTTTGTTTGTTTGTTTTTTGAGATGGAGTCTCTCTCTGTTACCCAGGCTGGAGTACAGTGGCATGATCTCGGCTCACCGCAACCTCCGCCTCCCAGGTTCAAGCAATCCTCCTGCCTCAGCCTCCTGAGTAGCTGGGACTACAGGCGCATGCCACCATGCCCAGCTAATTTTTTGTATTTTTAGTAGAGATGGGGTTTCACCATGTTGGCCAGGCTGGTCTCGAGCTCCTGACCTTGTGATCTGCCGGCCTCAGCCTCCCAAAGTGCTAGGTTTACAGGCGTGAGCCACCACACCCGGCCTACTGTGCAGTTTTGAACACCCAGTCAGTGTGACAGCTAATGGAAGGTTCTCCCAGCCTATGCTCTGGTGTTCAATTACAGTGTTTGTCCAAAAGGTTCAAGTTCTGGAGGAGGCGAGATGGGGCCAAGGTTTGGTAATAAATGTCGGCTGTCCCACACTCTCATTTGCTGTGCTGAAGAGTGGGGATGTGCAACACAGGGCTTCCCACAGAGTGAACCGAAGATCTCTGGAGTGGTCCCTGGGCTCTAGAGTGGCCAGTCACTGCCCTGTGTCACTGGGAAGAGGGAGAGCTGTGCAGATTCAACACGGCACTATGCATTTGGGTCCTGCGCTTTTCTGTTTTCTTTTTTTTTCTTTTTCTTTTTTTTTGAGACGGAGTCTTGCTCTGTCACCCAGGCTGGAGTGCAGTGGCGTGATCTCGGCTCACTGCAAGCTCCGCCTACCGGGTTCACACCATCCTCCTGCCTCAGCCTCCCGAGTAGCTGGGACTAAAGGCGCCCGCCACCTTGCCCGGCTAATTTTTTGTATTTTTAGTAGAGACGGGGTTTCACCATTAGCCAGGATGGTCTCAATCTCCTGACCTCGTGATCCGCCTGCCTCGGCCTCCCAAAGTGCTGGGATTATGGGCGTGAGCCACCATGCCCGGCCCTGTTTTCAAAGTAGATTGTTTCTTTCTTAGTATGGTTGATCTTTTTTTTTTTTTTTTTCTTTCTGAGACGGAGTCTTGCTCTGTCACCCAGGCATGGAGTGCAGTGGCGTAATCTTGGCTCACTGCTACCTCCACCTCCTGGTTGAAGTGATTCTCTTGCCTCAGCCTCCTGAGTAGCTGGGATTACAGGCGCACACCACCATGCCCAGGTAGTTTTTGTATTTTTAGTAGAGACGGGGTTTTACCATGTTGGCCAGGTTGGTCTTGAACTCCTGACCTCACGTGATCTGCCTGTTTCAGCCACCTAAAGTGATGGGATTATAGGCGTGAGCCACTGCGCCTGGCCTGCACTATTCTTTTTTCAAGGTAGACTGTTTCTTTCTTAGCATGGTTGATCTTTACAGTCTTCTAGGAGGTAGGCGGGAAAGAAATAACCTCATGGTGCATGAGGTTATTTCCCTCCCTCATGGGAAAACTCAGGGAAGCCGGAGGGCACCTAGAGGGTGCTGTCAGTGCCACACTGGGGCTGGGGTGCCCTGGAGTTGGGACTCAGGACAGTCGCTCCTCCTCTTGTTGTTGCCTGGACAGCCACAAACCTGGCTTCCCGCCCTGTGTAGCCTGGAGGAGCCTTCAGCAGAATTCGGCTTTCCATGCCCCCAGGATGGGTCTCACCTGGCCGTAGCATGGCTGTGCTGCAGAGCCAGGTTCAGCTTACAGCTGCATTGTCCCCTCGCCCTGCCCAGCCTTCCTGGCCTTCTTGTGGGGCTGGGCTGAGCAGCCCAAGGAGGTCTCCTGTTACAGGTCAGGGAGCTGAATCCCTGTTTGCAAAACACAGCCTGAGCTCCGTTCACTTCCTGCTGTCCCTGCCCCTAGGAATGTAGGCTCAGGGAGCACTCCCCAGGCAACCTGTGGTTACAGAGTGGTCAGCTGGGGGAGAGGAGGTGGAGGGTGTCTGACCCTGGGCTGGGAGGCAGGTGCACTTCGGTGTCGGATGGGGCTCCTGCCCTGATGGCATCTTCTGTGCTGGTGGTGGGACGCCTAGACACTTCCCAAAGAAGAGGCCCCTATGAACCCAGAGTTGTGAATGTGAGGGTGTTGGAGAGCTGCCACAGCTGTGGGGCCCGCTGAGGGGAGCAGAGGAGGAGGGGGTGAGGAGCTGACAAAGGAGGCGCAGGGCAGCAGGGTGGTGCACCCAGGTGGGAGCAGCAAGTGCACCATGCACAGGCCCTGGCACACAATAGACTCTCAGCACAGCTGCCAAAAGAAGCATTGAGATTGAGCTGGGCACAGAGGCTTGTATCCATCATCCCAGCACATTGGGAAGCCAAGGTGGACGAATCACTTGAGGTCAGAAGACCAGCCTGGCCAACGTGGTCAACATGGTGAAACCCCATTGCTACTAAAAAAATATACAAAAATTAGCCGGGTGTGGTGTCCTGTGCCTGTAATCCCAGTTACTCAGGGGGCTGAGGCAGGAGAATTGCTTGAACCTGAGAGGCGGAGGCTACAGTGAGCTGAGATTGCGCCATTGCACTCCAGCCTGGGCGACAGAACAAGAGTCTCTCAAAAAAAAATAAAATAAAAAAGGAACCATTTAGGCATTGAAACCGGGAGATAAATCAGTGTCAAGATGCCAGGGGCCTGATGTGTTAGGCAGGGTGGTCCAGCAGTCTTAGGGAGCAGGGTCAGTTTTAGAGCAGAGGGTGGGGCATGACTAGAGTCATCCTTATGGAAAATGAGCCTGTCAGCCAGGTGAGTACTGGATGGGGCAAGGAGGGGGCACACACCTGAGCTGGGCTGCTGAGGGCAAGGCTGTGGCATGCACAAGGGTCCGGTTGGGGGTGTTCATACATACCTTGTTGTGTTCCTCATAGGGAGGCATTTACGGTTCCCCTGATTCCTCTTGGCCTGAAGGAAACGAAAGACATCGACTTTTCAGTCATCCTCAAGGTAAATCTCAAAGCCATGGGCACTGGACTCAGTGTTTAAAATGGAAATAGGCCATTTGCAGTGGCGCATGCCTGTAGTCCCAGTTACTTGGGAGGCTGAGGCAAGAGGATCGCTTGAGCCCAGGAATTGGAGGCTGCAGTGAGTTGTGATCATACAACTGCACTCCAGCCTGGGCAACAGAATGAGACCCTGTCTCCAAAAAAAAAAGCAAAAAAATGGATATAGAGAAAATATGTATCCCTTGCAATGGCCTTAGGCAGAGTCAGTTGATATCTACAGAGTGACCCTGAGGCCCTTCTCAGCCAGCTACATGCATAATTGATATGTTTATTCCTGCCATATTTTTGTTGTTGCCTTTGATGGCTTCTGAAGCTCCTCCTGGGTCTTGGACAAGGCAGGTTGGAAACCCAGGAGGGCCTTCCCTGAGAGGCCAAGTCAAAGGGTCTGTAGTGGATATGCTTTCAAATTTAAAACTTACATCCTCTTTTATTAATAGTGTATTTGTTTCTTAAGTCATGTATCCAGTTTAGGTTATGTCTTTGGAAGAATAGCTAAAGTTTTTTCTCTAACATTTGATTATGAAAATTTCCAAACTTTTCAAAAAATTTTAAGAATTTTATAGCAAACCCCTGTGTACTCACTTCTTCCGAGAACATACTGCCAGCATTGCTTCCTGACATATTTGTCCATCTGTGCATTCTTGTGTCTGTTAGGTTGGTTTGAAGGTAATTGCAGTTTTTGCCATTGAAAGTAATGGCTAAAGGCTGGGCATAGTGGCTCACGCCTGTAATCCCAGCACTTTGGGAGGCTGAAGCAGGCGGCTCACTTGAGCTCAGGAGTTGAAGACCAGCCTGGCTAAAATGGTAAAACCCCTGTCTCTACCAAATGTACAGAAATTAGCTGGACGTGGTGGTGCACACCTGTAATCCCAGTTACTTCAGAGGCTGAGGCAGGTGAATCGTTCAAACCCGGGAGGTAGAGGTGGAGGTTGCAGGGAGCCGAGATCACGCCACTGCCCTCCAGCCTGGGCGACAGAGTGAGATCCCATCTAAAAAAAAAAAAATTAGCTGGGCATAGTGGCATATGGCTGTAATCCCAGTTACTCGAGAGGCTGAGGCACGAGAGAGGCGCTTGAACCCAGGAGGCAGAGGATGCAGTGAGCTGAGATTGTGCCACTGCACTCCAGCCTGGGCAACAGTGAAACTGTCTCAAAAAAAAAAAAAAAAAAAAAGAGAACGAAAGTAATGGCTAATATCAATCTGTCTTATTTGTGATGCAATTTCAAAGGAAATCAAAGATGTCAATTCACTCCCCTTAAATATTTGAATAACCAGAGTCTTTGCTTGTGTGTCCCCCTGCCACATTCCTGGGTATCTGGACTCCTCTCCCATTTGGCAGATCCTCATAAGCCCACCTGTGCCTGGCACTGTGCTGGGTGCCAGAGGTGCCACAAGCACTGCCTGCGGGGCCCTTGGGTCAGTGGGGGATTCAAGTGGGAAGTGGAAGGGGTGCTTCAATGGAGAACACAGGAGATACCGTGCCCGGAGGCTGGGGCCGGGAGACCGTCCTGTGCCTGGAATACCCTCCTCTTCTTTCCCTCTTCAACTCCATCAATTTGAGTTTTTAACCAGTCACCTCCAAATTCCATCAAGGAGGGGAAAGGGGATGAGGTGCAGGGTGGCCCAAGATTGCATCATGCAGCCCAGGCATTGGTTATAGGAATTAATCCTAGCATTGCGAAAATTGCTTCGAAGAAATATTTTGTGTTCTTTTTTTTCCTTTTTCTTTATTATTTTGAGACCGAGTCTCACTGTTTCACCCAGGCTGGCATGCAGTGGCATGATCTTGGCTCACTGCAACCCCTGCCTCCTGGGCTCAGTTGATGCTCCCACTTCAGCCTCCTGAGTAGCTGGTACTACAGGCGTGTGCCACCGTGCCTGGCTAATTGTTGCATTTTTCTTTCTTTTTTATTGAGATGGAGTTTAGCTCTTGTTGCCCAGGCTGGAGTGCAATGGCATGATCTCGGCTCACCGCAACCTCCACCTCCCGGGTTCAAGCGATTCTCCTGCCTCAGCCTTCCGAGTAGCTGGGATTACAGGCATGTGCCACCATGCCTGGCTAATTATGTATTTTTAATAGAGACGGGGTTTCTCCATGTTGGTCAGGTGGGTCTCGAACTCCTGACCACAGGTGATCCACCTGCCTTGGCCTTCCAAAGTGCTGGGATTATAGGCGTGAGCCACCATGCCCGGCCAATTTTTGTATTTTTCATAGAGACAGAGTTTCCCACTGTTGCCCAGGCTGGTCTCAAACTCCTGGGTTCAAGCAGTCCTCCTGCCTCAGCCTTCCAAAATGCTGGGATTATAGGCATGAGCCACTGTGCCTGGCTTATTTTACTTTCCATGATAATCCTCTTAGTTGGCTCATCTTGGACTACTTTTAGTTTAGAAAAGAAAACATCTTATGACATTTTGACTGTTACTTTTTTTTTTCTTTCTTTCTTTCTTTTTTTTTTTTTTTGAGCTGGAGTTTCGCTCTTGTTGCCCAGGCTGGAGGGCAGTGATGGCCATCTCAGCTCACTGCAACCTCCACCTCCCAGGTTCAAGTGATTCTCCTGCCTCAGCCTCCTGAGTAGGTGGGATTACAGGCACCTGCCATCATGCCTGGCTAATTTGTGTTTTTAGTAGAGATGGGGTTTCACTATGTTGGCCAGGCTGGTCTCGAACTCGATCCACCCGCCTTGGCCTCCCAAAGTGCTGGGATTACAGGTGTGAGCCACCGCTCCCAGCCAACTACTACTTTTAAAAGCAATTGGTTAATACTTTGGAAGCACTTGACCTTCATTCTCAGAGACGGTGAGTTGTTTGACATAAATAGAGGCCTTTTTTACTGCTGCCTTGTTTAAATCCTGTGAGTTTGGGGTTTATTTTGGAACTGGAGAAGGGAAGTTGGTATTCTGAGTGTTTCAGGACTCAAGTTTACCGGAAAGTTTATGTTCTGGGTAGAAAGCAATGAAAACAATCCAGGAATTGCAGCTTTATGCCACACTGCCACAGCCTGCCTGAACTTTTACGTGAGACTTATGCCCAGATGCAATGGCTCACGCCTATAATCTTAGCACTTTGGGAGGCTGAGGCAAGAGGACAGCTTGAGGCCAGGAGTTGGAGACCAGCCTGGGCAACAGAATGAGGCCTTCCCTCTCTCTCTCTCTCTTTTTTTTTTTTTTTTTTGAGACACAGTCTCACTGTGTTGCCCAGGCTGGAGTGCAATGGTGCGATCTCAGCTCACTGTAACCTCCACCTTCTGGGTTCAAGTGATTCTCCTTCCTCAGCCTCCTGAGCAGCTGGGACTACAGGCATGCACCACCATGGCCAACTAATTTTTGTGTGTATATATGTATATTTTTTGAGATGAAGCCTCGCTCTGTCGCCCAGGCTGGAGTACAGTGGCGTGATCTCGGCTCACTGCAAACTCCACCTCCCAGGTTCAAGCAATTCTCTGCCTCAGCCTCCTGAGTAGCTGGGGTTTCAGGCACCCACCACCATGCTGGCTAATTTTTGTATTTTTAGTAGAGACAGGGTTTCACCATCCTGGCCAGGCTGGTCTTGAACTCCTGACCTCATGATCCACCTGCCTCGGCCTCTCAGAGTGCTGGGATTAGAGGTGTGAGCCACTGCGCCAGGCTAATTTTTGTATTTTTAGTAGAGACAGATTTTCACCATCCTGGCCAGGCTGGTCTTGAACTCCTGACCTCAGGTGATCTGCCCACCTTGGCCTTCCAAAGTACTGGGATTACAGGTGTCAACCACCACGCAGTCATCTCTTTCTCTCTCTCTCTTTTTTTTTTTTCTTTTTTAAGAGATGGGGTCTCCTCACTATGATGCCCAGGCTGGTCTTGAACTCCTGGCCATAAGCGATCTTCCTGCTTCCACCTCCAGCAAAAGTGCTGAGATCATAGATGTGAGCCACCACACCCAGCCCCATCTCTATTTTTATTTAAAATATATGTGTGTATATATAAATGCAAAAATAGATGTGACTTGCCACTGGTCTGTGGGACTCAAAACAATCACGTGTCTGGAAATGTCTGTTGCTATTGTAGAAGTTTCTTTACGATTTAATTTGTCTGTTGCATGGTGCTGGGCTACAAGAATGTAAGCATTTTTTTTTTTTGAGATGGAGTTTCACTCTTGTTGCCCAGGCTGGAGTCCAATGGCATGATCTCAGCTCACTGCAACCTCTGCCTCCTGGGTTCAAGTGATTCTCCTGCTTCAGTTTCACAAGTAGCTGGGATTACAGGCATGTGTCACCACACCCAGCTAATTTTTATTAGCAGAGACAGGGTTTCACCATGTTGGCCAGGCTGGTCTTGAAGTCCTGACCTCAGATGATCCGCCTGCCTCAACCTCCCAAAGTGCTGGGATTACAGGTGTGAGCCACTGCGTCCGGCCAAGAATGCAAGCATTTTAAAGGAAGAGTCTCTTGGAGAAACTTAGGAATTTTATAGGCATTTTTAAGGATTCAACTGGGTCATGTTCTGAATTCCACATTAAAGCAAATGAAAATATTCACATGTTGTGGACATGGCCAACTGCCATTCGGCACAGGCTTCCAACCATGTCATTTTAGCCTAAAAGAGACGCTACAAATGTCAGTCATATGAAAATGAGAACGTTTGAGGGGCTTTCTGTTGTATTTTTTCCCTTCCATATTTGAGAGAAACACAGGTACTGCAGAAGTGGTTCAGCAGACTGAATTAGGGCAATTCCATTTCAAATCTGACTTGTGTGTCCATGTGATATTTTTAATAATCAGTGAAGCTTCACAGTGTGATTTTGTTTTATTTTATTTTATGTATTTATTTATTTAGAGAGGGAGTCTCGCTCTGAAGCCCAGGCCGGAGTGCAGTGGCACAGTCTTGGCTCACTGCAACCTCTGTCTCCCAGGTTCAAGCGATTCTCTTGCTTCAGCCTCCTGAGTACCTGGGATTACAGGCATCCGCCACCACACCCAGCTAATTTTTATATTTTTAGTAGAGACAGGGTTTCACCATGTTGACCAGGCTGTTCTCGAACTCCTGACCTCAAGTGATCCACCCGCCTCAGCTTCCCAAAGTGTTGGGATTACAGGCGTGAGCCACTGCAGCTGGCTGATTTTGTTTTATTTTGAGGAAATAGGGCCAGGCACAGTGGCTCACACCTTTAGTCCCAGCTACTTAGGAGGCTGAGGTGGCTTGCTTGAGCCCAAGAGGTCGAGGCTGCAGTCAGCTGTGATTGAGCCCCTGCAGTCCATCCTGGAAAACAGAATGATACCTTGTCTCATTAAAAAAAAAAAAAAAATCGAATCAATGAAAGAAAATGAAATCACATCTGTTCTTCAGTAAAGTTTAATAGTTTTCTGCTTAATTATATTAATTTTATCCCTAGAAATGTATTTTTGTTGCTATTTTGAAAGGTATTGTTTCTCTGTTAGGTTTTTTTTGTTTGTTTGTTTGTTTTTGAGACAGAGTCTCACTGTGTCGCCCAGGCTGGAGTACAGTGGTGCAGTCTTGGCTCACTGCAACCTCTGCCCCCCAGGTCCAAGTGATTCTCCTGCCTCAGCCTCCTGGGTAGCTGGGATTAGAGGCACCTGCCACCATACCCAACTAATTTTTTGTATTTTTAGTAGAGACAGGGTTTCACCTTGCTGGTCAGGCTGGTCGCAAACTCCTGACCTCAAATGATCTGCCTACCTCAGCCTTGAAAACTGCTGGGATTACAGATGTGACGAGCCACCACACCTGGCTGTCTGTTAAGTTTGTCTAATTAGTTATTGCTTGTATAAGAAAGGAAGAATATTGACTTTTCTTTTTTACTATTGACTTTCATGTGCTAACTTCTTTGCCACTTTATTGAATTCTTATTAATTTAGTAATGTTTCAGTTGATGCTATTGGGTTTTATAAACATGCTGTTGTGTTGCAAAAAATTATTTTGATTGTTTCTTTCCAGTATTTTATGTCTCTTATTTTTCTTAATGTGTGGGCTAGAGAATGTTTGGAATTAGGCTAAGTAATAACAGTGATGGTAGAAATTCTCGTTTTGTCCCTAATGTTTACAGTGGGTTTCAGTTAGGATTTTTTTTTTTTTAGACGAAGTCTTGCTCTGTCATCCAAGCTGGAGTGCAATGGCTCAATCTCAGCCCACTGCAACCTCCGCCTCCTGGGCTCACGCTATTCTCCTGCCTCAGCCTCCTGAGTAGCTGGGATTACAGGCACCTGCCATCATGCCTGGCTAATTTTTGTATTTTTAGTAGAGATGGGGTTTCACCACGTTGGCCAGGCTGGTCTCGAACTCCTGGCCTCAAATGATCCACCTGCCTCGGCCTCCCAAAGTGCTGAGATTACAGGGGTGAGCCACTGTGCCTGGCCAGTTAGATAATTTTTTTTATCCCACTAAGTACGTTAATCTACCCTAGTTTACTAAGTTTCAAATTCAGGATCACATATATAATTTAATCAAAATCCTCTTTGACTTTTATGAGGTGAACATAAGATTGGAGTGCAGTGACGTGATCATGGCTCACTGCAGCGTCAACTTCCTGGGCTCAAGTGATCCTCCTCCTGCCTCAGCACGCCTGGCTAATTTTTTATTATTTGTAGAGATGGGGTTTCACTATGTTGTCCATGCTGGTCTCAAACTCCTGGTCTCAAGTGATTCTCCCACCTTGGCCTCCCAAAGTGCTGGGATCACAGGCATGAGTCACTACACCTGACCCCTTTTAACCACCATGCCCAGCTATTTTATTTTTTATTTTTTAAATTTTTAATGGAGACAGGGTTTCACCATGTTGGCCAGGCTGGTCTGGAACACCTGACCTCAAGTGATCTACCTACCTCAGCCTCCCAAAGCGCTGGGATTACAGGTGTGAGCCACCATACCCAGCCCATGGCCAAGTTTAAAGAAAAGAGGCATAGTCAGCTGAGCGCAGTTGCTCATACCTGTAATTCCAACACTCTGGGAAGCTGAGGTGGGAGGATCACCTGAGGCCAGGAGTCCGAGACCAGCCTAGGCAACATAGGAAGACTCTGTCTTTACGAAAAATAACAATATTAGCTGAGTGTGATGGTGCACACCTATAGTCCCCTCTACTGGAGAAGCTGAAGTGGGAGGATGACTTGAGCCCGGGAGTTCAAGGCTGCAGTGAGCTATGATTGCACCATTGCACTCCATCCTGGATGACAGAGCGAGACCCTCATCTCTTAGAAAAAGAAGGCACAGCAAAGTTGTATATTTAGTACAAATCCATTTTTGTAAGACAAGTGTTTGTGTGTGTGTACGTTGAACACACAAAAACAGGAGGAGCTTTAATGTAGAAGTTGTGTAAAGAGGTTACACAGTCACTTGGGAAGACATAATTGAGCCATCTATGTGATCACCTTTCTTGCAGCTTGGGGGAGCCAGCACTTGTAGGGGCGGGGGTGGGGCAACAGGGCAAAACCCCATCTCTATTAAAAAATACAAAAATGAAATTAGCCTGTGGCACGTGCCTGTGGTCCCAGCTACTTGGGAGGCTGAAGTAGGAGGATTACTTGAGCCCAGAGAAGTCGAGGCTGCGGTGAGCCGCGATCGCACCACTGCACTCCAGCCTAGGCAACCAAGTGAGACCCTGCCTCAAAGATAAAATAAAATAAAATGCCTTTATAACATGGTTAAGTGTCTTCTTGGCAAAGGAAACCTGTATCTGGGGACTGTTATGACAGTCCTACCCTCAGGGTCTGTGCTGGGAAACTTGTCTGGGTCCTGAGGGAGGCCCAGAATTGCAAGTCTGAGCCCCTGAATATCTGCAGTGTTTGCAGTATAGTTGAATGTATAGGCCATAGACTAGTCTCAAACTCCTGGGCTCAAGTGATTTACCTGCCCTGTCTTCACAAAGTGCTGGGATTACAGATGTGAGCCATGATGCACAGACACAAAGACATTTTTAAGCAAAAAATTAACTTCAACTCTCACTTTTACTGAAGCAACACAGCATTTAAAAACATAGGCATGGGGTGCAGTGGCTCACACCTGTAATCCCAGCACTTTGGGAGGCTGAGGCAAATGGATTGCTTGAGCCCAGGAGTTTGAGACCAGCCTGGGCAATGCGGTGAAACTCCATCTCTACTAAAAATACAAAAATTAGCTGGGCATGGTGGCACATGCCTGTAATCCCAGCTACTTGGGAGGCTGAGGCATGAGAATCACTTGAGCCTGGGAGGTGGAGGTTGCAGTGACCCGAGATCGCAACATTGCATTCTAGCCTGGACAATGGGAGTGAAACCCTGTTTTAAAAAAAAAAAAAAAAAAATTCTATGGCCGGACACTGTGGCTGACATCTGTAATCCCAGCACTTTGGGAGGGTGAGGTGGGTGGATCACCTGAGGTCAGAAGTACAACAATTAGCCAGACGTTGTGGTGGGCACCTGTAACCCCAGCTCCTTGAGAGGCTGAGGAAGGAGAATTGCATGAACCTGGGAGGCAGAGGTTGCAGTGAGCCGAGATTGTGCCACTGCACTCCAGCCTGGGCTACAGAGCAAGACTCCATATAAAAAAAACTA
This sequence comes from Homo sapiens, assembly GCF_000001405.40. NCBI lineage: Eukaryota > Metazoa > Chordata > Mammalia > Primates > Hominidae > Homo > Homo sapiens. The sequence goes on from NW_021160017.1 coordinate 2,622,314, forward strand.
CATAAATTAAGAAAATAAATTCCCCCACTTTGAAAATCACTGTAAGTTTTTCTTTATTCTGCCTTTTTAGAAACAGGTCACAAATGACATATTACTGTTATGCACATACATGGTTTTCAATCACATTTTATAGTATCTAACCTTATTTTTCTTTAAGGATTTTATCCTGGAACATTACAGTGAAGATGGCTATTTATATGAAGATGAAATCACAGATCTTATGGATCCGAGACAAGTAAGTTTTTGTGTGCAGCAGAGAGGGGAGGGTAGTTTTTCCAAGTCTTCGGGGAACCCCATTATTGCATGCTTGTGGTCTTAACAGAATCGTGGGTAGATTGAGGTGATGGTTGGGGGGTGCTGGAATCATCCATTCCATTTGCTGCATAAGAAAACTGTAGAAGGAGGCCGGGCATGGTGGTTCACGCCTATGTAATCCCAGCACTTTGGGAGGCGGAGGCAGGAGAATCACCTGAGATCAGGAGTTCCAGACCATCCTGGCCAACATGGTGAAACCCCGTCTCTACTAAAAATTCAAAAATTAGCTGGGCGTGGTGGTGCATGCTGGTAATTCCAGCACTTTGGGAGGCTGAAGCGGGTGGATCACCTGAGGTCAGAAGTTTGAGACCAGACTGGCTAACATCGCAAAACCCCGTTTCTACTAAAAATACAAAAACAAGCCGGGCATGGTGCTACACGCCTGTAATCCCAGCTACTCGGGAGGCTGAGGCAGGAGAATCACTTGAACCTGGTAGGTGGAAGTTACAGTGAGCCAAGATCGCACCACTGCACTCCAGCTTGGGTGACAGAGCAAGACTCCGTCTCAAAAAAAAAAAAGGAAAACCATAGAAGGGGAGAGACCTGCCTCCTGGCAGGGCTGGGACTGGATTCCAGGATTTCTGACTTCCTGCCAGGTTCTTTCCACCCCTCCTAGAGTTTATGATGCCAGCAGTGAGGTCGTCATACTGCAGAAATAGTTACAGGCACCTGCTGGTATGTGCAGGGCACCTTCCGGGAAGGGCTGTCAGCTGTGTCCTCCTCTGCTCATGCCCTCTGGGGTTCTTTTCCTCGCAGGCTTGTCGGACGCCCAGCCGGGATGAGGCCAGGGTGGAACTGCTGATGACATACTTCATCCAGCTGGGCTTTGTTGAGAATTGATTCTTCCCACCCACGCGGCAGATGGGACTCCTGTTCACCTGGTAGGTGCTTGAGGTCTGCGCTGGCGCTTCACGTGTTATGGCAGCCACAGTTTCGGAGCCTCAGCATCACAGACGCCCCTCTGCGGGCACCTCAGCCCCTTTTCCTATCTTGCATTTATCCGGGGTGCACCCCTGTGCACCTCAGCCCCCTTTCCTATCTTGCATTTATCCAGGGAAGTCTAGAAAGATATCAATACATTGGTATTTATTTATGAAGGTGATCCGAGGGAGATGGCCCCAACAGACTGTGGCCTCTTGCTTCTCAGAACAGGTGAGCCAAGGAGAGGAGACATTTTTCTTGCTTGTTGTATCACTGGGGAAGCACAGGGCTCTGAAATGGAATTAGTCAGAAGCAAGATTCTTGTCTCAGATTGGACTGGGGCATGCATGTGTATGTGTGAGTGAGTGAGAGAGAGAGAGAGAGAGAGAGAGAGAAAATCAGGTCTTGTCCAGTGAGACAAAAGCACCAAACAGAAATAGATCAGGTTTCTTTTGAAATGGGGTCTCACTGTGTTGCCCAGGCTAGTCTTGAATTCCTGGGCTCAGGTGATATTTCTGCCTCAGCCTCCTGAGTAGCTGGGACTATAGGCATGAGCTACACACTCAGCTTAGATCAGATTTAAAAAATGGAAGTAGAGGATTTGATTCTTCTCCACAATTGGTATTTTCAGACAAGATCAGGCACGTCAGGGTGGTATGGCCGTAGACCCAATTGGTGTTTTCAAAGATTAGTATACTTTAAATACTTGGGAGCCCGGGTACAGTGGTTTTCACACCTATAATGCCAACACTTTGGGAGGCTGAGGCAAGCAGATCACTTGACCCCAGGAGTTTGAGACCAGCCTGGGCAATGTGGCAAAACCCCATATCTACAAACAATACAAAAATTTGCTGGGTACGATGGTATGCACCTGTAGTCCCAGGTACTCGTGAGGCTGAGGCAAGAGAATCACTTGAGCCTGGGAGGCAGAGGTTGCAGTGAGCCTAGATCACACCACCGCACTGCAGCCTGGGTGATAGGAGTGAAACCCTGTTTCAAAAAAGAAAAAAAAAGGCTGAGTGTGGTGGTTCACACCTGTAATCCCAGCACTTTGAGAGGCCGAGGCAGGTGGATCACGAGGTCAGGAGTTCGAGGCCAGCCTGTCCAATATGGTGAAACCCTGCTTCTACTAAAAAATACAAAAATTAGCTGGGCATGGTTGTGCGTGCCTGTAGTCCCAGCTACTTGGGAGGCTGAGGCAGGAGAATCACTTGAACCTGGGAGGCAGAGGTTGCAGTGAGCCAAGATTGCACCACTGAACTCCAGCCTGGGCAACAGAGTGAGAGTCTGTATTAAAAAAAAAAAAAAACACCAACAACCTAAAAAAAAAGTACTTTGGAGATGCTGCACCCCTTCTCTGAGTGTTTTTAGGAGTGTCAGTGAAAGGAGAGTACATCCTAGAAGGTCGGGGCATATCAGAATTGAATGTTTCTATAGCCGATGGTTGGCTACTGATGCCTTCCTCATTGAAAGCAAAGGAAAGGGGGATGACTTTTCCTAACAATGCACCAGGCTGTCTGCATGGTGAAAGGTGGTTTCTCCTTAGTCATGAATTAGGGAGAAGCTGTCTGCACACCCCTTGGTTCATGAGTAAACTTTAAAACAAGTCCTAGGGCCAGGTGCGGTGGCTCACACCTGTAATCCTAGCACTTTGGGAGGCCGAGGTGGGTGGATCACCTGAGGTCGGGAGTTCGAGACCAGCCTGACAAACATGTCTCTACTAAAAATACAAAAATTAGCCGGGTGTGGTGGTGGGCGCCTGTAATCCCAGCCACTCAGGAGGCTGAGGCAGGACCATTGCTTGAACCCGGGAAGCAGAAGCTGCAGTGAGCTGAGATGGCGCCACTGCACTCCAGCCTGGGTGAAAGAGCAAAACTTTGTCTCAAAAAATAAAAATTAAAAAAAAAATAAATAAATAATACAAGTCCTAGGCTGGGTGTGGTGGTTCACATCTGGAATCCCAGCATGTTGGGAGGCCGAGGTTGGTGGATCACTTGAGCCCAGGAGTTTGAGACCAGTCTAGGCAACACAGTGAGACCCCATCTCTACAAAACAATTAGAGAAAATGTGCCAGGCATGGGTGGCACATGCCTGTAGTCCCATCTCCTTGGGAGGCTCAGATGAGAGGATCGCTTAAGCCCAGGAGGTTGAGGCTGCAGTGAGTCATGATCATGCCACTGCACTCCAGCCTAGGCAACAGAGTGAGACTTGGTCTGAAAAAATAAAAAAGTAAAACAAATCCTGAGGTTTTAGATTTCAGAAAGAATTATGAGGGGTTAGTAATTGCCATATTTCATTTAGGAGAAGCTATATATATATACACACACACTTTTCTTTTTTTTTTTTTTTTGAGACGGAGTCTCACTCTGTCGCCCAGGCTGGAGTGTGGTGGTGTGATCTCAGCTCACTTCAACTTCTGCCTCCCAGTATCAAGCCATCTTCCCACCTCAGCCTCCCAAGTAGCTGGGCTTAAAGGCACATGCCACCACCATGTATTTTTGGTAGAGAGGGGTTTCACTATGTTGCCCAGGCTGGTCTCAAACTCCTGAGCTCAAGCCATCCACCTGCCTTGGCCTCTAAAGTGCTGGGATTACAAGTGTAAGCCACTGCACCTGGCCCTTTTTTTTTTTTTTTTTTTTGAGACGGAGTCTTGCTCTGTTGCCTAGGCTGGAGGACAGTGGCGTGATCTCGGCTCACTGCAACCTCCGCCTCCTGGGTTCAAGTGATTCTTCTGCCTCAGCCTCCTGAGTAGCTGGGACTACAGGTGTGCCCCACCACGCCTGGCTAATTTTTGTATTTTTAGTAGAGATGGGGTTTCACCACGTTGGCCAGGCTGGTCTCAATCCCTGGCCTTGTGATCTGCCTGCCTCGGGCTCCCAAAGTGCTGGGATTACAGGCATGAGCCATCGCACCTGGCGCATTTTTTTTTTTTTTTTTATAATTGAGGAACTTACCTGACACATCATTATCACCCAGAGTCCATAGTTCCCATTAGGGTTCATTCTTGCACTTGTGTATTCTGCAGCTTTTGGCCAACATAGAGTGACAGTGATCCATCTTTGCAGTGTCGTACAGAAGAGTTTCACTGCTGGAAAAATCCTCCGTGTGCTCTGCCGTTCCTCCCTCCCTCCCCCTAAGTCCTGGCAACCCCTGATCTTTCTTCTGTCTCCCGGGTTTTTGGCTTTTCAGAATGTTGGACTCACACAGCGTGCTATACAGTAGGTAGCAACGTTCAGGTTGGCTCTTAGTAATGTTTCCTCTGCATCTTTTCAAGGCTTGCTTGAAAAGGCTCCATTTTTAGTACTGAGTAATAGTCCATTGTCTGGATGTCCCATGCTGTGTTTATAAAGTTACCCCATCAGATATTTGTGTGTGTGGCTGTGGCGGTCAGTGCGATTAGTCCTGTCATCTTGCTTGGAAACAAAAGCCTCAGTGCATGTGCATTCTTGAATTTTATTGAAGAAATGAGTTTGTTGTTGTTGTTATTGTCACCCAGGCTGGAGCACAGCGGTGCAATCTCATCTCACTGTAACCTCCGCCTCTCGGGTTCAAGCAATTCTCCCGCCTCAGCCTCCTGAGTAGCTGGGATTACAGGTGCCTGCCACCATGCCTGGCTAATTTTTGTATTTTTAGTGGAGACTGGGTTTCACCATCTTGGCCAGGCTGGTCTCGAACTCCTGACTTCAGGTGATCCACCCGCCTTAGCCTCCCAAAGTGCTGGGATTACAGGTGTGAGCCACCACACCCAGCCAACCCAGGAGTTTAACAGCAGTTTGGGTAACATAGTGAGACCCCATCTCTACAAAAATTAAAAAAAAAAATTAGGCAGGTATGGTGGCATGCACCTGTAATCCCAGCTATTCTCATGAGGCTGAGGTGGGAGGATCAATTGAGCCCTAAAGTTGGAGGCTGCAGTAAGCTATGATCACACCACTGCACTCCAGCCTGGGCAACAGAGTGAGATCCTGACTCTTAAAAAAATAATAATAGAGCCAGGCACAGTGGCTCACGCCTGTAATCCCAGCACTTTGGGAGGCTGAGGTGGGCGGATCATGAGGTCAGGAGATCGAGACCATCCTGGCTAAAACGGTGAAACCCTGTCTCTACTAAAAATACAAAAAATTAGCTGGGCGTGGTGGCGGGTGCCTATAGTCCCAGCTACTTGGGAGGCTGAGGCAGGAGAATGGCGTGAACCTGGGAGGCAGAGCTTGCAGTGAGCCGAGATCACGCCACTGCACTCCAGCCTGGGCGACAGAGTGAGACTCTGTCTCAAAATAAATAAATAAATAAAATAATAATAATAATTTTTTCCACTTGCATCCAAAAGTAGCATTAACTAGCCAAGTAATCTGTACTCCCTGAATGTATTTCTTTCACATAGGTATGACTCCCTCACTGGGGTTCTGGTCAGCCAGCAGAACCTGCTGCTGGAGAAGGCCAGTGTCCTGTTCAACACTGGGGCCCTCTACACCGAGATTGGGACGTGGCGCTATTGGCAGATGCAGGCTGGGCTGCAGAGTGCCATAGATGCCTTTCAGAGAGCTGCAGGTATGTCTCCTCCAGGGCTGACTGGACAGAGCCTTGGCCCCGCCTGGTGGCACCAGGGGACCCCCCACTGAAGAGGGTCTACAGGTCGTCCCCTGCAAGGGCCAGACCAGTCTTCAGCTCTGGTGTAACTTCCCATTAAGAAACTTGCTCTGGCCGGGCGCGGTGGCTCATGCCTGTAATCCCAGCACTTTGGGAGGCTGAGGCAGGTGGATCACGAAGGTCAGGAGATCGAGACCATCCTGGCTAACATGGTGAAACCCCATCTCTACTAAAAATTCACAAAATTAGCTGGGCCTGGTGGCGGGCACCTGTATTCCCAGCTACTCGGGAGGCTGAGGCAGGAGAATGGCATGAACCCGGGAGGCGGAGCTTGCAGTGAGCCGAGATCGTGCCACTGCACTCCAGCCTGGGCGACAGAGCCAGACTCCATCTCAAAAAAAAAAAAAAGAAACTTGCTTGGTGGTTCAGACCTCAGTCTGGGATGGCTGATGTACATGGTGAATCCTGTGGCTGATGATTGATCTTTTCCAGACAAGTGGCCCTGGGATGGCAGTGCATAACTGTTTCTTTCAACACTGTCATGAAGAGCAGAATAACTTTTCCCAAATAGTGAAACTGTAGGCTTCTTTTTCTTGTATTAGGTGTACCCTATCTGTGCATATTACTCTCCGTGCCTTTATTTATTTATTTATTTATTTATGAGATGGAGTTTTGCCCTTGTCGCCCAGGCTGGAGTGCAGTGGCGCAATGTTGGCTCACTGCTTGAAACCTCCCAGTTTCAAGCGATTCTCCTGCCTCAGCCTCCTGAGTAGCTGGGATTACAGGCACTCGCTACCACGCCCGGCTAATTTTTGTATTTTTAGTGGAGATGGGGTCTCACCATCCTGGCCAGGCTGGTCTCGAATTCCTGACCTCAGGTGTTCCGCCTGCCTCAGCCTCCCAAAATGCTGGGATTACAGGGTGAGCCACCGCACCCTGCCCCTCCATGCCTTTATGTCACCTGCATTCTGCCAACTTCTCCAGCATGAGGTGGGTGTTCTCAACCCTTGGTCAAGTGATGCATTCAAAGGATGTCTCATAGCTCAGTTCCCTTCTTCTGGGAACTGTCTTTTGTTATTTTATTTTATTTATTTGTTTATTTTGAGATAGAGTCTTGCTCTTGTCACCCAGCCTGGAGTGCAGTGGCACAATCTCTGCTCACTACGACCTCTGCCTGCTGGGTTCAAGCAACTCTTCTGCCTCAGCCTCCCAAGTAGCTGGGATTACAGGCGTCTGCCACCATGCCCGGCTAATTTTTGTATTTTTAGTAGAGATGAGGTTTTGCCCTGTTGGCCAGGCTGGTCTCAAACTCCTGACCTCAGGTAATCCTAGTATGAGAACGAGGTGCGGGGTCGAGGAGAAAAGCAACCTAGTGCTTACACCTGTAGAGGACCGGGGTCACCAGACCCAGTGCTGTGGGTGAGCCTGGCATGGCTCACCCTTGCCTACGGGTTCTGCCTTGCTCCCCCATAGCAGGGCCTGTGTCTGGGTCAGACTCCCTGTGGGGATGGATGCAAGAGCAGGGCACAGTGTAGACCACAGTGTGTTCTCCACACTAGCTCTATAGTGTGTTGCCTTCTAGGTTGATCATCGACATTCTGCTTTGGGGTGTGATCCCCTTCCACCCATGTGGATCATTGTTTGATATCACTTTGCCCTGCAAGCTTGTGAAGAACCAGAGCTTTGCCACTTCAACTCATTGTGAAATTTCTGATGTTACAATGATTGGTCCTACCAGCCTGGGCCACACAGGAAGACCCTGTCTCTACAACATATTTAAAATTAGCCAGGCGTGGTGGTGTACGCCCATAGTTCTAGCTACTCCAGAGGCTAAGACAGGAGGATCACTTAAGCCCAGGAGTTTGAGGCTGCAGTGAGCTATGATTGTCAAAAAGAATTTTTTTTTTAATTCAAGAAATAGGCCAGGCATGGTGGCTCATGCCTGTAATCCCAGCACTTTAGGAGGCTGAGGTGGGTGGATTGCTGGAGCTCAGGAATTTGAGATCAGCCTGGGCAACAAGGCAAAACTCCATCTCTACAAAAAGTACAAAAATTAGCTGGGCCTGGTGGTGCATGCCTGTAGTCTCAGCTACTTGGGAGGCTGAGATGGAAGGATCAGCCAAGGTTGTGGTAAGCCAAGATCGTGCCATTGCACTCCAGCCTGGGCGACAGAGCAAGAACCTGTCTCAAAAAATAATTAATTAATTAAAAAAATGAAAGATTGGTCTCTTGGGATGAAGCGATATGCTAAGATTCCAAGTATGAGTTGATTTCTTTTGTTGTAAATCTTTTTTCTGGACTCATCTTTCTGGGGAATCTTAGGCAGGCACTCTGTGTCCTGTCTCTGAGATTATAGCAGTGGAGACAAATTATAGATGAAATGAAGCAAGTGGGAGAACAGTGGGGAGGGTGAGGGAACCCCCACGGAGCTCACAGCTCAAAACAGCAGGTGCCATCCCTCCACAGGGTGGGGATTTTTTTTTTTTTTTTTTTTTTTTTTTTGCTCAGCAACAAAACCAGAGGACCCAGTTGGATGGGATTCATATGAGAGACTCTATTTCAGTTCCAGATTGATTGTCAGTTAGCGCTTTGGACAGTTAATTTTCTAAACTATAAAGAAGTCAGTGGAAGGCTGCAGCATGAAAATTTCCATTGGAGCAGACGGATTGAGTTTTTTTTTTTTTTTTTTTTGAGACGGAATCTCACTCTGTCACCCAGGTTGGAGTGCAGTGGTGAGATCTTGGCTCATTGCAGCCTCCGCTTCCCGGGTTCAAGTGATTCTCCTACCTCAGCCTCCTGAGTAGCTGGGATTATAGGTGTGTACCATCATGCCTGGCTAATTTTTATAATTTTAGTAGAGGCAGGGTTTTGCCATGTTGGCCAGGCTGGTCTTGAACCTGACCTCAGGTGATCCACCCGCCTCGGCCTCCCAAAGTGCTGGGATTAGAGGCATGAGCCACCGCACCTGGCCAGAATAGATCTTTCTTGAGGTCCAGGGGAAAAGCCCTGGACTGCTGAATGACTCAGATCTTATGTGTGAGCCTGGCCGCCTGTGAGCCCCTCAGTCCTTCTGCCTGCTCTCTGCTTGCATCTCCATACCTGTCATGATGGAATTTTGTCCCAGGTGACACAGGAGTTGTGGGGAGCAGGCTGGTTTCTCTACTCAATAGAGATGTAAGTGTTTTGGAAGACAATCCAATTTTAAAAAATTGGGTTAAAAGGCTGGGTGGGGTGGCTCACACCTGTTATCCCAGCACTTTGGGTGGCTGAGGCAGGCAGATCACCTGAGGTCAGGAGTTCAAGACCAGTCTGGCCAACATGGTGAAACCCCGTCTGTACTAAAAATACAAAAATTAGCTAGGTGTGGTGGTGGGCACCTGTAATCCCTGCTACTTGGGGGGCTGAGGCAGGGGGATCGCTTGAACCTGGGAGGCAGAGGTTTCGGTGAGCTGAAATCATGCCACTGCACTCCAGCCTGGGCGTTTATTTATAAATAAATAAATAAATAGTGTTAAAATATACATATATAACTTAAAATGGACTATTTTAACCAGTTTTTTATTATAGTAAAATAACACAGAACATAAAATTACCATTTTAATGATTATCTTAAATTTTTAAAATTTTAAAATTATCTGCCAACCAGAAGCACATTTTAACCATTTTGAAGTGTGCAGTTCAATGGCATTAAGTGCATTTGTACATTCATAGTGTTGTGCAGCCATTACCACTAAACATCTCCAGAAGTTAAAAATTTTTTTTGTTGGTTAGGCAAGGTGGCTCACACCTGTAATCTCAGTACTTTAGGATGCTGAGTCAGGAGGATCACTTGAATCCAAGAGTTGGAGACCAGTCTGGGCAACATAGGCACACCCCATCTGTACAAAAAATTTTAAAATTAGCTGGGTGTGGGGTGGTGCATGGCTGTAGTCCCAGCTCTTCAGGAGACTGAGGTGGGAGGACCTCTTGAGCCCAGGAGTTTGAGGCTGCAGTGAGTCATGATCGTGCCACTGCACTCCAGTCTGGGCAACAGAGTGTGATCTTGTCTCAAAAATAAATAAAATAAATACATTTTTAAAAAGTATATATTTTTTTAAGAGACAGGGGTCTCAGTATGTTGCCCAGGCTGGTCTTGAACTCTTAATGTCAAGCAACCCTCCCACCTCAGCCTCCCTTGTAGCTGGGATTATAGGCAGCAGCCCCTGTGACCAGCTATCTCCGGAACTTTTCCATCTGGATGATGGATAAGCAAAGCTCTGTACTTACTCAGTTAAGCAATAACTTCCCATTGCCCCCTTTCCCAGCCCCAGCTAACCTCTATTCTCCTTTCTGTTTCTGTGAATTTGACTATTCCGGGTACCTTATCTAAATGGAATCCTACAATATTGGTCCTTTTGTGACTGGCTTGTTTCACTTAGCATAATGCCCTTATTTACACTGTACCATATGTCAGAATTTCATTCCTTTTTAAGGCTGAAAAATATTCCATTGTATGGATAGGCCACATTGTGTTTAATCATTCATCTGCTCATGGATGTCTGGGTGGTTTCCACTTTTCAGCTCTTGTGAATAATGTTGCTATTAACACAGGTGTTCAAGTATCATTTAAGCCCTCACTTTCAACTGTTTGGGGATATATATCATAAGAGTGGAATTGCTGGACCATATAATTGAGAATCAAACTTTTTAATATGTTGTAGGACACTGGTTCTTTTTTTTTTTCTCCTATCTTTCCTTTTTTTTTTTTTTTTTTTTGAGACGGAGTCTGGAGTGCAGTAGTGAGATATCAGCTCACTGCAACCTCTGTCTCCTGGGCTCAAGCAATCCTCCTGCCTCAGCCTCCAGAGGAGCTGAGACTATAGGTGCACGCCATCACACCCAGCTAATTTTTGTATTTTTTGTAGAGACAGGGTTTCACCATGTTGCCCACACTGGTCTTAAATTCCTGATGCAAGTGATCTGCTCGCTTTGGCCTCCCAAAGTGTTGGGATTATGGGCATGAGCCACCGCACCTGGCCTCCTATCTTTCTCTACAGCAACGTGATGAAGTAAATGTAAACCCGAACTAATGGGCAAAACATTTTCCACTTTTAGGGGTTTTAAACTACCTGAAAGAGACATTTACCCATACTCCAAGTTACGACATGAGCCCTGCCATGCTCAGCGTGCTTGTCAAAATGATGCTTGCACAAGCCCAAGAAAGCGTGTTTGAGAAAATCAGCCTTCCTGGGATCCGGAATGAATTCTTCATGCTGGTGAAGGTGGCTCAGGAGGCTGCCAAGGTAAGACTCCCTGGTTCCTGTGACTTTGGGGAGTGGGCAGGAAATGCTGGCACAGGAGCACTGGAAGTAGCGGGGCCTTCCCACGGGAGCTTGCCTGTGACCTGGGCATTGTGCCAGCTCCGGCCAGTACTGCTGGCTTGAGTTTTCTTGGCAAGTGTTGGTGTTTCAGATACGGATCACTGATTCCATGTGCAGCTTAACCTAAAAACCAGCATAATGACAGCAGCCTGATCCCCCTGTTAACTGTGACAGTGACAGAACGAGGGGTTGCTTGGAGTTGCTCCCAGATTCTGGAGCAGCCCCTGGCAGGGGCTGTTGCATGAGAAGAAGAAAGGGCTCTTTCTCTGCAAATGGGTTCATGAGGGCCCTTGTGCCGGGCTGCCCCTTCCCAATGCCCCTTCTATTTCAGGTGGGAGAGGTCTACCAACAGCTGCACGCAGCCATGAGCCAGGCGCCGGTGAAAGAGAACATCCCCTACTCCTGGGCCAGCTTGGCCTGCGTGAAGGCCCACCACTACACGGCGCTGGCCCACTACTTCACTGCCATCCTCCTCATTGACCACCAGGGTAAGGCCTGTGGGGTTCAGGGGTTTGGCCAGGGCTGTGGTCCAGCTGCCCCAGGGGTGATTCTGAGCTGAGCGAGAGCTAACTGCCTTCCCTGGAGATGCTCACAGGCTGAAGGCAGAGGATGAGAATGACCCATGACTGAGGCAGCTGCTGCACAGGCCATGGTGGGGTTAGGGGTTATAAGCTTCTTTAGAGAGAGGAAGAGGAGGCACCTTTAATTCTGCCTGTGTGCAAGAGGATGAATTTTCACCTGGAATCTAGAATCTAAGGGAATGCCAAAAATGCTGGCATCAAGATAGGTAACATTTTAAGGTAATATTTTAAAAGAATCCAAATTAATGCAGGCCGGGTACAGTGGCTCACGCCTGTAATCCCAGCACTTTGGAAGGCCAAGGCAGGCAGATCATTTGAGGTCAGGAGTTCGAGACCAGCCTGGCCAACAAGGTGAAACTCTGTCTCTACTGAAAATACAAAAATTAGCCGGGCATGGCGTGTGCCTCTAATCCCAGCTACTCTGGTGACTGAGGCAGGAGAATGGCTTGGGCCGGGGAGGTGGAGGTTGCAGTGAGCCGAGATTGTGCCACCGCACTCCAGCCTGGACAGCAGAGCAAGACTCCATCTCAAAAAAACAAATAATAATAAAATAAAAATTAATGCAAAAAAAATCTGTGATGATCAGAATTTAATTTAATTTAATTTAATTTAATTTATTTTTTGGGGTGGGGCTGGAGTACAGTGGTATGATCATGGCTCACTGCCTTCTTGAACTCCTGGGCTCAAGCGATCCTCCTACTTCAGCCTCCTGAATACCTGGGACTACAGGCACATGACACTACACCAGTTAATTGAAAAAAATTTTTTTTGTAGAGATGGAGTCTCACTATGTTGCCTAGGTTGGTTTCAAACTCCTGGCCTCAAGCAATTGTCCTGCCTTGGCCTCCCCAAAGTGTTGGCATTACAGGCATGAGCCACGGGTGCCTGGCCAGGGATTTTTGATCTAATGAGTACTAATCCAGGCAGCCTCCTGAGGAATTAAAAAGACAGCCTCTGGAGCCAGACTTCCTGGGTTCATATCTCAGCTCTGCCATGAATGAGCTGTATTACCTTGGGCAAGTTACTTAGCTGTCCTCTGCCTCGATTTTCTCATCTGTAAAATGGGTATATGGAGAGACTCTACCTCACAGGCTGTCATGAAAATGAAGGGCCTGTATGCAAAGCTCAATAATGCTTTATATGCTGTAGGTTCTCTGAAAGTGTGAGCCACCACTCCTAGTACTATATAGTCTATTAGGTGAGACAAGATGTGGAAACAAATAGAAATACCATATAGTGCCTTGGTGATTGCTGCAGAGACACAAATGCAGCAGAAGGTGGACTCCATGGTGCAGTCATTGATGGCTTCTCAGAGGCGGTGACATTTGAGTTCAACTTTTCCATCTGCACAGGAGGGCAGGGTCAGCCTAGAGGGAGTAAAGTGTCTGAGCACAGGAATAGAGGCCGAGGGTGCTGGGGAAGTGGAGAGTGGTTTTGTGAGGTTTGAGAGCAGGATACGCACCAGGGAGGGTGTGGTTGAAGCAGGAAGGGGCTGTGCTGCAGGTGTGCAGGCCTGCAGAGGGGTGCAGGCCTGCAGAGGGGTGCAGGCCAGGCATGACAGGGTCTGGGCTATGCTAGGAGGTTCTGTGTGGTGGGTGAGTCAGAGGAGGTAGCGTGTGGGGGCTCAGGGTCAAATTATGAACCTCACCAGGTGTGGTGGTTCACACCTACAATCCCAGCACTTTGGGAGGCCGAGCTGGGTGGATCATGAGGTCAGGAGTTCGAGACCAGCCTGGCCAAGATGCTGAAACCCCGTCTCTACTAAAAATAGAAAAATTAGCTGGGCATAGTGGCACGTGCCTGTAATCCCAGCTACTCGGGAGGCTGAGGCAGGAGAATCACTTGAACCCGGGAGGTGGAGGTTGCAGTGAGCCAAGATCACCCCACTGCACCCAAGCCTGGGCGACAGAGCAAAACTCCATCTCAAAAAAAAAAAAATTCTGAACCTCTGGAGCATGACTGGTTCCAATGAGCAAGAGCTTCGGGGTAGCCAGGCATGGTGGCTCACACATTTGATCCCAGCAATTTGGGAGGCTAAGGCAGGAGGATCGTTTGAACCCAGGGGTTTGAGACCAGCCTGGGCAATGTAGCAAGACCTCATCTTTACAAAAAAATTTAAAAATTGGCCTGGCATGTGGTGGTGCATGTCTGTAGTCCTAACTACTCAGGAGGCTGAGGTGGGAGGATCACTTGAGCCCAGGAGTTCAAGGCTGCAGTGAACTATGATTGTGCCATTGCACTCCAGCCTGGTGACAGAGTGAGACCACACTCCAACCTGAGTGACAGAGTGAGACCGTCTCAAAGAAAAAAAAAGCTTGAGGGTCAGACTGCCTGGGGTGTGTCCAGGGGCAGAAAGGAGAGCGAGGATCCCAAATGCCTTGTGAAACTGCAGAAGAAAGGAAACTAGAGACATGGTAGAAAGAGAAATCTCTATGTGGGTCTGTGGCCAGATCCATGAGAGGGGATTTAACCTGTGGTTCTCTTTGCAGTGAAGCCAGGCATGGATCTGGACCACCAGGAGAAGTGCCTGTCCCAGCTCTACGACCACATGCCAGAGGGGCTGACACCCTTGGCCACACTGAAGAATGATCAGCAGCGCCGACAGCTGGGTGTGTGTCCCTCTGCATCCAGATGTGGGTCCCACTTTGTGCCCAGCTGATCCTGCTCACAGACAGCCACAGAGAGGTCCCTGAAGAGGGCCCGGGAGAGGGGGGTGTTCCAAGTCATCGTGGCCACTTTGGGTTCAGAAGTCATGAGGTGCAGTCCTGAGCCTCAGAGGGCTTCCCAGGCTGTGTTCTCATGGGTTCCATAGCACCCAGGCCTCCCACTGTGGAGCCAGGACTTTAACCATCTCCCTTGGGGTCCATAGGGTGGCCTGTATCATGCTAACAGGGAAGGAAACGTTTGTTGATTTCTTTATGCATGGCTGAATTACCAAGAACACCTAATGACTGGTAATGAAGTGTCCTGGTTTGGTCTCTGCCATGTCTCAGTGTGAATATCTCTTCCCATGTGCAGACCTCACCTCCACCACCCTAATCTGCCCCCACGCACACATACGCAGCTTCCCCGTCTCAGTGATGGCAACTCCCACCCCTCTAGGTGCTCAGGCCAGAAACCTTGGACTCACTCTCCACTCTTCTTTTCTTTCCTCCTCTTTCCCCTCCTCTCCCCTCTGCTCCCCTCCCCTCCCCTCCTGTCCCGTTCTCTCCCCTCCTCTTCCCTCCCCTCTGTTACCCTCCCCTCCCCTCCTCTCCCCTTCTCTCCCCTCTCTTCTCCCCTCCCCTGCTCTCCTCTCTCCGCCGTCCTCCCTCTCCTCTCTCCTCCGTCCTCCCTCTCCTCTCCTCCTCCCTCTCCTCCCCCCTCTCCTCCCCTCCCCTCCTCCCCTCTCCTCCTCCCTCCCCTCCTCCCTCCCCTCCCCTCCTGCCTCTCCTCCCCTCCCCTCCTCCCTCTCCTCCCCTCCCCTCCTCCCTCTCCTCCCCTCCCCTCCTCCCTCTCCTCCCCTCCCCTCCTCCCTCTCCTCCCCTCCCCTCCTCCCTCTCCTCCCCTCCCCTCCTCCCTCTCCTCCCCTCCCCTCCTCCCTCTCCTCCCCTCCCTTCCCTTTCTCCCCTCCCCTCCCTTCCCATCCTTCCCCTCCTCTCCTCTCCTCCCCTCTCCCACCTCCCCTTCACTCCCCTTTCTCCTCCTCTCCCCTCCCCTCTCCTCTCATCCTTCCTCCTCTCCCCTCACCCTTCCCCTCTCCCCTCATCCCCTCCCCTCTCCCCTCATCCCCTCCCCTCTCCTCCCCTTTTCTTGTTCCTTGTTGCTTTCCTTTTCTTTCCCTTTCCTTTCCTCTCCTTTATTCTTTCTTTCTCTCTTTCTCTCCTCCCCATCTACCCTTCTTCCCTCCTTTCCTCTTTCCTTTTCTTTCATTTGCTTTCTTTGACAGCGTCTTGCTGTCCCCCAGGCTGCAGTGCAGTAGTGCAATCACAGCTCAGTGCAGCCTCGAACTCCTGGCTTCAAGTGATCCTCCTGCCTCAGCCTGCTGAGTAGATGGGACTATAGGCATGCACCACCATGCCCGGCTAATATTGTAAAAAGGTTTTTGTAGAGATGCGGTCTCACTATGTTGCCCGGGCTGGTTTTGAACTCCTGGCTTCAAGTGATCCTCCTGCCTCAGCCTGCTGAGTAGCTGGGACTATAGGCATGCACCACCATGCCCGGCTAATATTGTAAAAAGGTTTTTGTAGAGATGCCGTCTCACTATGTTGCCCAGGCTGGTTTTGAACTCCTGGCCTCCAGCGATCCTCCTGCCTCTGTCTCCCAAAGAGCTGGGTTTACAGGCACGAGCCGCCACACCTAACCTCTTGTCTTACTTTCTCACCCTACATTTGATTAGCAAATCCCTTTGGCTGTACCTAGAAGACACACTCAAATCTGGCCACTTTAACCCTGCTGCCCTGGTGGAAGCCACATGTGTACAGTGCTTATGTAAGAAACATTTACTCACTTAAACCCCACGCAACACTATGAGGTGGGTCTCATGGCATCCCCATTTTACAGCTGAGGAAACTGAGACCCAGAGCGGTCACGTGGCTTGCCCTGCTCATAGCTGGTTTTCTTGCTGCCCCTTCAGAGTCTGGTCATGCAGGCCAGATCACATCAGTCTCCTGCTCACACCCCAGTGGGCTCCCATCTCAAGCAGAACAGGAGTGAGAGCCCTTATCTTGCACGCGTGAGATCCGCCATGATCTGGCCTTGCTCCTTCCCTGCACTCATTCTGTCCCGCCCTCCCTGCCTCCAGGCACACCTTAGCTTCTCCTTGCCCTTGAACACCTGTGCGTGCCCCTGCTCCAGGGCCCTCGCACCTGCTGCTCTTTCACATCCATCAGGGCTCTGCTCAAAAAGACCATATCACAAAGCCTTCCTTGGCTGGGTGTGGTGGCTCATGCCTGCAATCCCAGCACTTTGGGAGGCTGAGGTGGGAGGATAGCTTGAAGTCAGGAGTTTGAGACCAGCCTGGGCAACATGGAGAAACCCCGTCTCTACCAAAAATACACTTAGCCAGATGTGGTGGTGTGTGCCTGTAATCCCAGCTACTTGGGAGGCTGAGGTGGGAGAATCGCTTGAACCTGGGAGGCGGAGGTTGCAGTGAGCCGAGATCGTGCCACTGCATTCCAGCCTGGGTGACAGAGTGAGACTCCGTCTCAAGAAAAAAAAAAAAAAAGCCTTTCTTGGTCACCCATCATAGGACAACCCCATTCCCAGTCTTCTCCTACCATCTCCGCTTACCCTGCTTTATTTTTCTCTATAACCTCATCACCAACCCATCCATTACATATTTCTTGTCTTGTTAGTTATCTGTCTTCAATCACTACATGTAAACTCCATGAATGTGGGGGCAGTTTGTTTACTCGTTGCTTTATCTCTAGTGCCTAACACATTTGGTAAATATTTGTTGAGTGAACATCTTATGGACACAAGTGAGCTTATTACCTATGCATTTAAGGGAGGCTTGGGCTGGGCGTGGTGACTCACGTCTGTCATCCCAGCACTCTGGGAGGCTAAGGCAGGTGGATTGCTTGAGGCCAGGAGTTTGAGACCAGCCTGGGCAACATAGCAATGATAATGAAATGATAATGATAATGAAAACATTATCCAAGTGTGGTGGTGCATGCCTGTGGTCCCAGCTACTCAAGAGTCAGAAGTGGGAATTTCAGTTGAGCCCAGGAGTTTGAGGCTGTGGTAAGCCATGATTGCACCACTGTACTCCAGCATGCGAAACAAAGTGAGACCCTGTCTCTAAATATAAAATATAAAATGAAATAAAATAATATTTTAATAAAAGGCTTGTTGTAACCAAGCGAGTTGTAGAGAAACGCCACACTTTGAGACTAATTCAGGAGTCATTTATTAGCCGGCAACTGAGAGACGGCTAATGCTCGAAATTCTCTCGGGCCTGAAGAAGGGGCTAGATTTTCTTTTATACTATGGTCTAAATAGGGGAGGGGGGTTTAACTGAAGCAATTTTACAGAAGCAGAATAGGCAAGAAGTTAAAAAAAGTAATTGGTTATAGAAGCAGTTACAAAAAATAAACAGTTCCAGGTGCAGGGGCTTAAACTATCACTGAGAGATAAATGCAGGGGCTTTAGGTACCTGCCACTGAGCACATCCCCAGGAGCTGCTGGTACAGCCTGCCTCAGTATCTTATCAGTAGTTTGCGTTCCTGGATGTGCTTGGAGTCAGCTTACACTAGTTATTCCCTTAAGGGGGATAAAGGGGGCTGCAAGTGAAGAAACTAAAATGGAGTCTGTCCGGCTCTCTCTGCTAGGAGAGAGTCACTCAGGTTAAAACAAGGTAGGGTATCACGGGCTCTAGCTATCCAGGCAGATTCTTTAGAAAAGAGAACGTCCAACCTCTTGGGCTGCCCCTTGGGCCCTTATGCTCTGCTTGGTGGATCTGCAGGTCACGTGGGTGCTGGCTTCCATCTGCGGGGAAGTCCCACCTGCACAGAGCCATGGCTCATCACGAGGAGTCAGTGCGGGAGGCCAGCCTCTGCAAGAAGCTGCGGAGCATTGAGGTGCTACAGAAGGTGCTGTGTGCCGCACAGGAACGCTCCCGGCTCACGTACGCCCAGCACCAGGAGGATGATGACCTGCTGAACCTGATCCACGCCCCCAGTGTTGTTGGTGAGTAACCTAGACTGTGTTCCCTCTGTGGGGGTGCCTGTGCCGCGGAAAGAGTACGCCTGGCCTGTGGGGGTTGAGCGAGCCCTCGCTGTGTGCTTGGCACAGGGAGGGCTGCACAGGGCAGGGACCGAGGTGCTTATTTCGCCCTGGAGTTCTCTTTTCTTTTTGAGATGGAGTCTCGCTCTGTTGCCCAGGCTGGAGTGCAGTGGCATGATCTCGGCTCACTGCAACCTCTGCTTCCCGGGTTCAAGTGATTCTTCTGCCTCAGCCTCCCGAGGAGCTGGGATTACAAGCGCCCACCACCACGCCCAACTAATTTTTGGATTTTTAGTAAAGATGGGGTTTCACCATGTTGGCCAGGCTGGTCTCGAACTCCTGACCTCAAGTGATCCGCCTGCCTTGGCCTCCCAAAGTGCTGGGATTACCAGAGTAAGCCACCACACCTGGCCTAGATACACTTTTTATGCTATTTGTTCTCGTGTAGAATCAGCCTGCCCTGGGATCCTTTGTTAGAAATTGACCAGCCTTATGTTAAGGGTAGTCCGAGCCTGCTGTGAAGATGCTGGTGGGGGTATGTAGCTGTCAATGGTTATGATTTGCCAAACCTCCTTTTCACTGGGAAATCCTCATACCACATTAATAATGAAAAGGTCAAGCACGGTGGCTCAAACCTCTAATCTCAGCACTTTGGGAGGCCGAGGCAGGAGGATTACTTGAGCTCAGGAGTTTGAGACCAGCCTGGGCAACATAGTGAGACCCCATCTCTACAAAAAATTTAAAAAAAATTCATCAGGTGTGGTGGTGCATACCTATAGTTCCAGCTACTCGGGAGGCTGAGGCAGGAGAATCATTTGAGTCCAGGAGGTCAAGCTGCAAGAGAGCTGTGATCACACCACTGCACTCCAGCTTGCGCGACAGAGCGACACCCTGTCTCAAAATAGTAATAATGTTGAAAACAGAAAGCTCAATATCCCAGGACTGTGTCCAGTGAGGCATGGAACTTCCATAACAATAATACTTGAAACATAGATGACTTCTCAATAGGTTTTTTGTTTGTTTGTTTGTTTGTTTGTTTGTTTGTTTTTGAGAGGTCGTTTTGCTCTTGTCACCCAGGCTGGAGTGCAGTGGTGTGATCTCAGCTCACTGCAACCTCTGCCTCCCTGGTTCAAGCCTCAGCCTCCCAAGTAGCTGGTACTACAGGTGCGTGCCACCACGCCTGGCTAATTTTTTGTATTTTTAGTAGAGATGGGGTTTCATCATGTTGGCCAGGCTGGTCTTGAACTCTTGACCTCAGATGATCCTCCCACCGCGGCCTCCCAAAGTGCTGGGATTACAAGCATTAGCCCCCGTGCCCAGCCTCCTCATTAGGGTTTTATGAGTGCCAGAGAAGCCCACTAAGCCCCTTAAATATCAGGAAACCCCATGGGAATGTGTCTGGTTATCACTCCTTGGTCCCAGCTCAGGAATGAGTTATACCTCCTATGGCTCACAGGAGGTACCCAAATGGAAGGTAGAGTTCAACCTAGGTCGGGGGTTGAGCTGTGTTCCATCTTCTTGTACTGCTTGTCTAAACCGAGGGGAAGGATGTGTGACTAAGAGAAAGTTCTGTACTGTCTCCTTCCCAAGGATCACTTTCTTTTTTTCCCCCCCTGGAGTCTTACTCTGTCACCAGGCTGGAGTGCAGTGGCAAGACTTCAACTCACTGCAACCTCTGCCTCCTGGGTTCAAGTGATTCTCCTGCCTCAGCCTCCCAAGTAACTCGGATTACAGTCGCCTGCCACCATACCTGGCTAATTTTTGTATTTTTAATAGAGACGGGGTTTCACCATGCTGGCCAGACTGGTCTTGAACTTCTGGCCTCATTGATCCACCTGCCTCGGCCTCCCAAAGTGCTGGGATTACAGGCGTGAGCCACAACACCGGGCTATAAGGATCACTTTCAATTACAGAAACATTTATCCTCCCATTTCTAATCCTCTATTCTAGCTAAAACTGAGCAAGAGGTTGACATTATATTACCCCAGTTCTCCAAGCTGACAGTCACGGACTTCTTCTAGAAGCTGGTATGTTGAAAGCTCTCTACATAAATGACCTAATGGGACAGCTCTTCACTTTGGCGAGTATGGTGTCTTAGTCCATGTGGGCTACTATAACAAAATGCCTCAAACTGGGTGGCTTATGAACAGCAGAAATATATTTCTCAGTTCTGGAGGCTGGGAAGTCCAAGACCAAGGTATTGGCAGATTTGGTATCTGCTGAAGGCCCATGTTCTGGTTTATAGGTGGGGCCTTCTACCTGTGTCCTCATGGCAGAAAAGGTGATGAGCTCCCTTGGGCCTGTTTTAAAAGCATGTATCCCATTCTTGAGGGCTCCACCCCAAGACTGAATCACCTCTCAAGAGGCCCCACTTCCTAATAATTACATTGATGATTTTAATATACATTTTAAATTTTAATAAATATTAATAAAATTTTAATGTTTTAATATACAAACTTTGGGAGGGTACAAACATTCAGACCATAGCATATTTTATTTTATTCATTTATTTTTATTTATTTGTTTTTTGAGACAGAGTCTCACTCTGTTGCCCAGGCTGGAGTGCAGTGGTGCGATCTCGGCTCAGTGCAGCCTCCACCTCCCAGGTTCAAGTGATTCTCCAGCTTCAGCCTCCCGAGTAGTCGAGATTACAGGCCTGTGCCACTATGCTCAGCTAATTTTGTATTTTTAGTAGAGACAGGGTTTCACCATGTTGGCCAGGCTGATCTTGAACTCCTGGGCTCCAGTGATCCACTCACCTCGGCCTCTCAAAGTGCTGGGATTATAGGCCTGAGCCACTGTGCCCGGCCCCATAGCATATTTTAAAAGTAGTTTTTAGGTATTGTCTATTTGAAATTTTTTAAAATATTTTTAAATTTTTTTTAGAGATGTGGTCTCACTGTGTCACCTAGGCTGGATTACAGTGGCATGGTCATAGCTCACTGCAGCCTGAACCTTCTGGGCTCAAGCGATCCTCCTACCTTAGCTACCCTAGTAGATGGGACTACAGGCAAACACCACCACGTCCAACTAATTTTTATTTCTTGTAGAGATGGGGTCTTGCTATGTTGCCTAGGCTGGTCTCAAACTCCTGGGCTCCAACCATCCTCCTGCCTAGGCATCCCAGAGTGCTGGGATTACAGGTATGAGCCACTATGCCTGACCTGAGATTTTTTTCCTTTTTTTTTTTTTTTTTTTAGACAGGGTCTAACTCTGTTTTCACCCAGGCTGGAGTGCAGTGGCACAATCAGTTCACTGAAGCCTCGAACTGCTGGGCTCAAGAAGTCCTCCTGCCTCAGCAGCCTGAGTAGATGGAACCATAGGCGTGCACCACCATGCCTGGCTAATTCTTTTATGTTTTTAGTAGAGAATGGTTCCCGCTATGTTGCCCAAGCTGGTCTCAAACCTCTGGCCTCAAGCAATCCTTCTGCCTTGGTCACACAAAGTGCTTAGGATTACAGGCATGACATGCCTGGTCTTAAATTGTTTATATTAGAGATTTTATTTAAGATAATTTTGGCTGGGTGCAGTGGCTCACGTCTTTAATCCCAGCACTTTGGGAGGCTGAGGCGGGCGGATCACCTGAGGTCAGGAGTTTGAGACCAGCCTGGCCAACATGGTGAAACCCTATCTCTGCTAAAAATACAAAAATTAGCCAGGCATGGTGGTTCACACCTGTAATTCCAGCTACTCAGGAGAATTACTTGAACCCGGGAGGCAGAGGCTGCAGTGAACCGAGATCACACCACCACACTCTAGCCTGGGTGATACAGTGAGACAATGTCTCAAAAAAAAAAAAAGAAAAAGATAATTAATACAATGTCTAAAAGATAATTTTATTGAAAATATATTGGGTATGTTTGAGAAGATGGCTTTCCAGGTTCTCGCATGACTGCTGTAGCATGTATGCCCCCAGATGTGTCATTTGTCCCTGAACAAGGCCAAGTGAGATCTTCAAGGACAGCAGGCAAAATTCCCTTTAGCTTTCAAGCGTCTGATCTAGCCTTCAAATCCTACACCTAACGATGCTCTCTTCCAAAGGGCCCCTTATCTGTGTTTTTGGCTAACAAGCAGTGGATGCCTCCTCGACGCATCCGCTTCACCGCAGAAGAAGGGGACTTGGGGTTCACCTTAAGAGGGAACGCCCCCGTTGAGGTTCACTTCCTGGATCCTTACTGCTCTGCCTTGGTAAGCACATGCTTTTCTTGGTTGGCAGCAAATACAGATATCTGGGTGATTGAATTTAGGGCGGGTTCACCCACGTCAAAGGCCTGACTTGATGTGAAAGGCCTCATGGGTGCTACATTCCCTAAAAGAAAAGGATTAATTTTTACTGTCTTTATTTTGTTTTTAGTATTTTTTTAGACGTTGGGAGGTGGAGGCTGCAGTGAGTCGTCATCATGCAGTGGCGCGATCTCAGGGCTCACTGCAGCTTCTGCTTCCTGGGTTCAAGTGATTCTCCTGTCTCAGCTTCCTGAGTAGCTGGGATTACAGGCACGTGCCACCACACTCAGCTAATTTTAGTTTTTGTTTTTGTTTTTTGAGACACAGTCTCGCTCTGTCGCCCAGGCTGGAGTGCAGTGGCGCAATCTTGGTTCACTGCAACCTCCACCTCCTGGGTTCAAGTAATTCTCCTGCCTCCACCTGCTGAGTAGCTGGGATTACAGGTGCGTGCCACCATGCCCGGCTAATTTTTTGTGTGTTTTTAGTAGAGACGGGGTTTCACCGTGTTAGCCAGGATGGTCTTGATCTCCTGATCTTGTGATCTGCCCACCTCAGCCTCCCAAAGTGCTGGGATTACAAGTGTGAGCCACCTGGCCCGGCCTAATTTTTGTATTTTTAGTAGAAACGGGGTTTTGCCATGTTGGCCAGGCTAGTCTCAAACTCCTGGCCTCAAGTATTCTGTCTGCCTTGGCCTCCCAGAGTGCTAGGATTATAGGCGTGAGCCACTGTGCCTGGCCAATTTTGACTTTTTTTTTTTTAATTGCACCCAGGCTGGAGGGCAGTGGCACGATTTCGGCTTACTGCAATGTCTGCCTCCCGGGTTCAAGCAATTCTCCTGCCTCAGCGTCCCAGGTAGCTAGGACTACAGGTGCCCACCACCACACCTGGCAGATTTTTGTATTTTTAGTAGAGATGGGTTTCACCGTGTTGTTCAGGCTGGTCTTGAACTACTGACCTCAAGTGATCTACCCGTCTCAGCCACCCAAAGTGAATTTTTGCTTTCTTGATGCAAACTTACGCAAATACCTATTTTGTTAATGGGGACTGATTCAAGGATTTGAGTGAACAAAACGTTGACTTATTTTCAACAATACTTTTTCAGGTGGCAGGAGCCCGGGAAGGAGATTATATTGTCTCCATTCAGCTTGTGGATTGTAAGTGGCTGACGGTGAGTGAGGTTATGAAGCTGCTGAAGAGCTTTGGTGAGGACGAGATCGAGATGAAAGTTGTGAGCCTCCTGGACTCCACATCATCCATGGTGAGCACTGACACCTCCCTGGGCAGTCAGTAGTGGTGTGGAGTGAAATCTGCATGAGTTCAGCCCCAGAGGTGTTTATCAGACCCTCTGTCTCCTGCCTGTGTAACATGGTACAAATGACTGGACTCCCAGGCTTGTAATCACTGTAATGTGCTCACCTTGGGTCAAAGAGAAAATTGGCAAACTTTTTCTTTTTAAAGACAGGGTCTTGCCCTATTGCCCAGGCTGGTTTGCAGTGGTATGATCATGGCTTACTGCAGCCTCTATCTCCTGGGTTTAAGTGATCCTCCCACCTCAGCCACATGAGCACCTGGAGTTATAGGCACCCACTACCACCCCTGGCTCATTATTTATTTATTTATTCATTTTTTTTTTTATTATTTTTTTTGAGATGGAATCTCGCTCTGTCACCCAGGCTGGAGTGCAGTTGTGCAATCTCGGCTCACTGCAAGCTCTGCCTCCCAGGTTCACGCCATTCTCCTGCCTCAGCCTCCCAAGTAGCTGGGACTACAGGCGCCTGCCAATGTGCCTGGCTAATTTTTTGTATTTTTAGTAGAGATGGGGTCTCACCATGTTAGCCAGGATGGTCTCGATCTCCTGACCTCGTGATCCACCTGCCTCAGCCTCCCAGAGTGCTGGGATTACAGGTGTGAGCCACCATGCCCAGCCCATTCTTTATTTTTTGTAGAGACAGGTTCTCGCTGTGTTGCCAAGACTGATCTTGAACTCCTGGGCTCAAGCCATCCTCTCACCTTGGCCTCCCAAAGTGCTGGGATTACAGGCATGAGCCACTGCACCCTGCTAGCAAACTTTTAAAAATATCCTGTAGATAAAATAATCAACTGATCTATTTTTCTGATCAAATTGTTTAATTACAAAAGTAATACATACTCATAGTGAAAAAAACAAAAAACAAAAAAAAAATTCTAATGGTACAGAAGAGCTTAAGATGACCTGTGAAAGTTAAGACAATCCCTCTGTACACCCTAGAGGCAATGTCAGCCATGTTCTGGGAGATTTGGGAAGCATTTGAGTCTCTCAAGTTCACCTGCACAGTTACCACCTTTAATTTTCCCCAGGTGAGGCTGGGCACGGTGCTCATGTTTGTAATCTGAGTACTTTTGGAGGCTGAGGTGTGTGGATTGCTTGAAGTCAGGAGTTCAAGACCAGCCTGACCAACAAGGCAAACCCTGTCTCTACTGAAAATATAAAAATTAGCTGGACATGGTGGTGTGCGCCTGTAACCCCAGCTACTCAGGAGGCTGAGGCAGGAGAATAGTTTGGGAGGTGGAGGTTGCAGTGAGTGGAGATCACGCCATTGCACTCCAGCCTGGGCAACAGAGTGAGACTCTGTCTGCAAAAAAACCCTAAAATTTTCCCCAAGTGCTAGCGTTCATGCCACACTCAATGACGTTCTCCTCTACACTTTGCCACACTTAATGACGTACCCTCGACCTTCCCTCTGTAACAACAGTCATTTATTCATTCAACAAATACTGATTGAGGATCAATTGGGTGCCAGACACTCTCTTAGGTGTCAGAGCTCCAGTTTACATTACACAGGTAAGGTCCCTGCCGCCCCCCACGAAGCTGGCACTAAGTCAGCAAATAAATGGTCAGGATTTTGATAAGTGTTGTAAAGGAAAAAAGACCTGTAATGGGGTGGAATGACTGGGGAGGAGGTGAGACTCTATCTAGGCAGGGCTGGAACAGACATGAGAGTGACCAGGAGGTTCGAGCCAGTGGCAGAGAGACAAGAAAGGCCTTCTGGGCAGGGGCACCTACAGGTACAGGGCCCCTGCAGCAGAATAAGCTTCTCCTACCAGAGAGGCAAAAGAAAGGCCTTTTGGCAAGAGCACCAGGACAAGGAAGGGAGCCGTGGGAAGTGAGGTAGGAAGGAGGCCTCAGTGGCAGTGGTGGGAGCTTGGAAGCCACTGGGCCTTTTCAGAAGGGGAGCGGCATGGTGTGATGTTTGTTTTAGAAGTGCGTCTGCTGCCGGAGACTGGCCATGGCAGTTGTCCAGGCTGGTGACGTTAGTGGCTGAGGTGATGGGGGTGGCTGTAGAGTTGGAGAGACATGAGTGTCCCTGGGACATAGTTTGGAGGTAGAGCTGATGGGGGATTTGTGGATGATTTGTGTAAAGGAGACAGTGAACAGGGAGGTGAGGCCTCAGTTTTTGGCTTGATCAATCTCATGGGTAGTGGTTATTTTTCTACCTTTAATTTCCTTTTTCTCTTGTTTTTTTTTTTTTTTTTTTTTTTTTTTTTTTGAGACAGGGTCTCACTCTGTTGCTTGGCTGGAATGCAGTGGTGCAATCATAGCTCACTAGAGCCTTGACTTCCTGGGCTGAGGCAATCCTTTTGCCTCAGCCTCCCGAGTAGCTGGAACTACAGGTGTGTACCACTATGCCTGGCTAATTTGTTTATTTACCTATTGTAAATTTTTTTTGGTAGAGATGGGTCCTTGACATATTGCCAAGGTTGGCCTCAAACTCCTGGCCTTAAGCGATCCTTCCACCTCCACCTCCCAAAGTGTTGGGATTACAGGCACTAGCCACCATGCCCGGCCTGGTTATTTTTCATAATGATGGGTAATGGGTGTGAGGGAGGTGAAGGAGAGAAATCAAGAGTCATGTTTTGAATGTTTCAGAAGCTATTAGCAGTCAGACGTAAGCATAAAGGAGATTGGATGTGAAGTCTTCAGTTCGAGGAAGAAATCAGAGCTAGAAATAAATATTTGAGAATCATTGCACAGGGATGATATTTGAGGCTGTGAGACAAAATGCAGCTCCCTGCAAGGGGGCTAGGGCTGAGGTCTAAACATTTAGAGATCAGTTGGAAGAGAAGCAAGTGCAAAGAAAATGCAAGAGAGTTCAGAGATGTCGGAGGAAAGGAACTTCTCAAATTAAGAGGAGAAAGCTTTGCAGTGAGAGAGTGATGGGTTGCATTGAATGCAGTTGAGAGGTGGAGAATGAGGTTGGCTTAGCTGTGCCTATTGTATTTGGCAGCAGGATGAAAAGACACTTTGGTGGAGAGGTGGCAACAGAAGTCAGTTGAGAGAGGGCCAGAGAGCCAATGGATTTTGAGTCCGTGGATATGAAATGCTCAGCATAGGCAAATCCAGAGACAGAAAGTAGATGGTGCTGGGGCTGGGCAATGGGAGTGGGGAGGGACTGCTGAAGGGTCATAAGGTAGAAGGTTTCTTTTTGGGGGGATGGAAATGTTCTGAAATTAGGTAGTAGTGATGGTCACCTAACTTTGTGAATATACTAAAAAATCACTGGTGTTTTGGCATGCTGGCTCACACCTGTAATTCCAGCACTTTGAGAGGCTGAGGCAGTATGTTCGCTTGAGCCCAGGAGTTCGAGACCAGCCTGGGCAACATGGCGAGACCTTGTCTCTACAAAAAATAAAAAAAATTAGCGAGGCATGGTGGCACACACCTGTAGTCCCAGCTGCTTGGGAGGCTGAGGCCGGAGGATCACTTGAGCCCAGGGAGGTTGGGGCTGCAGGGAGCTATGATTGTACGACTGCACTCCAGCCTGGGTGTCAGAGCAAGACCCTGTCTCAAAAATAATAAATAAAAGCCACAGAAGGGTATTAAAATGGTGAATTTTATGCATGTATGTGAATTATATCTCAAAAAAAAATTTTTTTTTTTGAGACGGAGTCTCACACTATCGCCCAGGCTGGAGTGCAGTGGCGTGATCTTGGCTCACTGCAACCTCTGCCTCCAGGATTCAAGTGATTCTCCTGCCTCAGTTTCCTGAGTGGCTGGGATTATAGGCGGGCACCGCTCTGCCTGGCTAATTTTTGTTTTAGTGGAGACAGGGTTTCACTACGTTGCTCAGGCTGGTCTCGAACTCCTGACCTCATGATCCATCCACCTCGGCCTCCCGAAGTACTGGGATTACAGGCGTGAGCCACCGCACCTGATATACTTCAAATTTTAAAAGAAGATAAAGTCAAGGGACTCAGAGCATCTTGGGAGAAGGGATCATAAGAAATTATATTTTTAGGGACAAAATGCATGGAGTTTATGGACAAGTGATTAAGGTCCCCAGCAGAAACAGAAAAGAAGTTTGTCCAAAAGGAGGTTAGAGAAAAGAGCCGAACCATACACTGAAGGTTGGAGTAGGGACCCCATCAGCAGAGGCCTGAGTTTATGGGGCATGCCCTGCCCCCTGTGAGAGGTGCAAAGGCTTGACTTTCAAGCCTGTGACATCTTTACACCAGGCCAAGGAAGGGGCTGCTGTAATAGCTGAAAGCAAGGGTTCTGCACTCAGACAGTCTAGATGTGTATCCTGGCTTTCCACCACCATTGTGTGGCCTTCAGCAAGTCAGGGAATAGCTGTGAGCCTCAGGATAAACTGAGTTTACATAAAGCCCTTCCAAGAGGGCCAAACATGAGCTACATTTCAATTCACAATAGACATTATAATGATGATAACCATGATCATGATGTTTATTCTTTTCACCCAGCAGGATGTCTTTAATTTTTTTAAAAATAATGTTTTTAGGCCGGGCACAGTGGCTCACGCCTGTAATCCCAGCACTTTGGGAGGCTGAGACGGGTGGATCACGAGGTCAGGAGATCGAAACCATCCTGGCTAACACGGTGAAACCCCATCTCTACTAAAAATACAAAAAATTAGCTGGGCGTGGTGGCTGGTGCCTGTAGTCCCAGCTCCTTGGGAGACTGAGGCAGGAGAATGGCGTGAACCCAGGAGGTGGAGCTTGCAGTGAGCTGAGATCGCGCCACTGCCCTCCAGCCTGGGTGACAGAGCGAGACTCTGTCTCAAAAAAAAAAAAATGTTTTTAGGCTGGGCACAGTGGTTCACTCCTATAATCCTAGCACTTTGGGAGGCCGAGGCAGGTGGATCACTTGAAGCCAGGAGTTGGAGACCATCCTGGCCAACATGGCAAAACCCTATCTCTACTAAAAATACAATAATTAACGGGATGTGGTTGTGTATACCTGCAATCCCAGCTACGTGGGAGGCTGAGGCATAAGAATCGCTTGAGCCTGGGAGGCAGAGGTTGCAGTGAGCCGAGATCGTGCCACTGTACTCCAGCCGGGGCAACAGAGTAAGACCCTGCCTAGAAAAAAAAAAGTTTGTTTTTTGTTTTGAGACACAGTCTCGCTCTCATTGCCCTGGCGCGATCTTGGCTCACTGTGGCCTTTACTCTTGGGCTTAAGTGATCCCCCCACCTCCGCTTCCTGAGTAGCTAGGACTACAGGCATGCAACACCATACTCAGCTAATTTTTCATATTTTTTGTAGAGATGGGGCTTCACCGTGTTGCCCTAGCTGTTCTCTAACTTCTAAGCTCAAGCAATCCGCCTACCTTGCCTCCCAAAGTGCTGGGATTACAGGCATGAGCCAGCATGCCCGGCCAAATAATTTCTTTTGTTGTTGTTTTTTGTTTTGTTTTGTTTGTTTTGAGACAGGGTCTCACTCAGTTGCCCAGGCTGGAGTGCAATAGTGCAATCATAGTTCACTATAGCCTTGAGTTCTAGGGCTCAAAAGATCCTCCCTTCTCATCATCTGAGGTCAGGAATTCTAGACCAGCCTGGTCAACATGGTGAAACCCTGGGTGTGGTGGTGGTGGGTGCCTGTAATCCCAGCTACTTGGGCAGCCAAGGCAGGAGAATTGCTTGAACCCAGGAGGCAGAGGTTGCAGTGAGCCGAGATCATGCCACTGCACTCCAGCCTGGGCAAGAGAGGGAGACTCCATCTCAAAAAAAAAAAAAAAATCCTCCCAAGTTGCTGGGACTACAGGTGTGCACCACTATACCCAGCTAATTTTTAATTTTTTTTTGTAGTGACAGTCTCATTTTGTTGCCCAGCCTGGTCCCAAACTCCTGGGCTTAAGCAATCTTCCTGCCTCCGCCTCCCAAAGTGTTAGTTTTACAGGAATGAGCCAGTGCACCAGGCCAAAAGTAATTTCCTTTCATCTTTTATTTAACTAATTTTGTAGTGACGGGGTCTAACTAAGTTATCCAAGCTGATCTTGAATTCCTAGCCTCAAGAGACCCTCTTGAATCAGCCTCCCGAATAGTTGGGATTACAGGTGTGAGACACTGTACCTGGCTCTTTTTTTTTTTTTTGGAGATAGAGTCTTGTTCTTGTCATCCAGGCTGGAGTGCAGTGCTACAATCTTGGCTCACTGCAACCTCCGCTTCCCGGGTTCAAGCAATTCTCCTGCCTCAGCCTCCTGAGTAGCTGGGATTACAGGCACCCACCATGATGCCTGGCTAATTTTTGTATTTTTAGTAGAGATGGGGTTTCACCACATTGGCCAGGCTGATCTTGAACTCCTGGCTTCCGGTGATCGGCCTGCCTTGGCCTCCCAAAAGTGCTGGAATTACAGGAGTGAGCCACCATTCCCAGCCCCTGGCTTTTTAAAAATAATTTTTAAAAAATAATTTATTTTTGTCTATTAATTTTTATGATAAGGATTTTAGATAATGACAGCCAAGCACTGTTTTTAGCGACTGAACCTTTCAAACAAAATCAAATAAAGAGAGCATTTAGCCTAGCACTCTGGCTGAACCGATGACCTGCTGCCCTTGGCTACCCTCTTGACTACAGTGGGGATCTCTAACTGAACAAATCTAAGCTTGGAATCAAGCTCTGGAATTACGCCCTGACTGCCGTTCACAAGCTGTGTAACCTTCAGCACGTTCATACCCTCCCTGGGCCTCAGTTTTCTCATCCAGAGGATGGAAGAGTTAGGCCTACACAGTGGTTTTAAACTGTGCTCTGTAAAGTCCTAAGAGTTCTACAGGGGTACCCTGGTGGATTTGAGCGAGGAGTGGGTGGCAGGGAAAGAAATAGTAAATGGAGCTGGGCACAGTGGCTCAAGCCTGTAATCCCAGCACTTTGGGAAGCTGAGGCAGGTGGATCACTTGAGGCCAGAAGTTCAAGACCAACCTGGCCAACATGGTGAAACCCTGACTCTACTAAAAATACAAAAATTATCTGGGCATGGTGGCATGTGCCTGTAATCCCAGCTACTTGGGAGGCTGAGGCAGGAGAATCACTTGAACCTGGAAGTGGAGGTTGCAGTGAGCCAAGATTGGGCCACTGCACTCCAGCCTGGTGACAGCAAGACTCTGTCTCAAAAGAAAAAAAAAAGGCTTTTCAAAGAAAGTAGTGGTACACATTGCAGGAGTGAGAGAGAGTGTATGTGGGTATGATACTGGGGTGGACCTGGAGGGGAATAGGGTCAAGAAAGGCTTTACTTTTTTTTTTTCTTTTTGAGACAGAGTCTCACTCTGTCGCCCAGGCTGGAATGCAGTGAGTGGCGCTATCTCAGCTCACTGCAAGCTCCACCTCCTGGTTCATGCCATTCTCCTGCCTCAGCCTCCCGAGTAGCTGGGACTACAGGTACCCGCCACCATGCCCGGCTAATTTTTTGTATTTTTAGTAGAGGCAGGTTTCACCGTGTTAGCCAGGATGGTCTCAATCTCCTGACCTTGTGATCCGCCCGCCTTGGCTTCCCAAAGTGCTGGGATTACAGACGTGAGCCACTGTGCCTGGCCAAGAAAGGCTTTTCAAAGAATGTGATGGTATGCATTGCAGGAGTGTGTGTGTGTGTGTAGAGAGAGGGGTGTGTGTATGTGTGTAGAGAGGGGTGTGTGTGTGTGTGTAGAGAGGGGTGTGTGTGTGTGTGTAGAGAGAGGAGTGTGTGTGTGTGTAGAGAGAGAGGGGTGTGTGCGTGTGTGTGTGTAGAGATCTGGGAGGCAAGGGTTCCTGGAGGAGAGAGGGAATGGGATCCAGGCACACAGAAGGGCTTGGTCTTGGGGGATGGATGCCATGAAGTATACGGCAGGGATTTCAGGAGGGTGTGTGAGTGGCTTCAGGAGGAGAGCGAAGATAAGAAACAAGTATACAGGAGAAAAGGAAACGAAATTACTAGGGACACACAAGAGTGCCAGGAAATGGGTGCCTATTAGAGGTTTGGGGTCAGGTTAGAATTCCAAGGGAAGCCTTGGTGAGTGTCCTCCAGCAATGCACAACCTTTCAGATACAGGCCCTAGGGGAGGCAGAGGGCGGAGATGAGCAAGTTAGCATTGCTGGGGGCAGATGGAAGAGAACTGAGGGTATTTATAAGGCAGTGGTTTTGATACACAATGGACTTTGAGCAGCTGAGGGTTGGGAAATGCTTTCAGGCCTCACATCTGTCTCCAGGATTATTCATTTTATTATTGTTTTAAATGACATTGTATGTGCTCCGTAAAACATGGTGGAGTTAGTGGTCAGTTTTCCAGAAAAGGAAGAGGCATCTCCATCCTTAGGGGCTCAAAGTACCCCCTACTTTATTGCTGCATAACTCAGATTCCTGAGGGTTTATTTTATTTATTTATTTATTATTTATTTATTTTTTGTGATAGAGTCTTACTCCATCACCCAGGCTGGAGTGCAGTGACGTGATCTTGGCTCACTGCAACCTCCACCTCCTGGGTTCAAGTGATTCTTCTGCCTCAGCTCCTGAGTAGCTGGGATTGCAGGTGTGTGCCACCACACCTGGCTAATTTTTGTATTTTTAGTAGAGATGGAGTTTCACCATGTTGGCCACCATGGTCTTGAACCCCTGGCCTCAAGTGATCTGCCCACCTCAGCCTCCCAAAGTGTTGGGATTACAGGTGTAAGACACTGTGCCCGGCCCCTCTTAGGGTTTATATTAGGAACAATGTCCTCAACTATTGCAGCGATATATTGTATGCCTAATGTTAGTGCCAGAACATAGTAGACCATCAATAAACATGTGGCGAACTAAACAATCTCAATGTTAGGCAAACCTTAGAAGCTGGTGATAGCCCATGTGGAAGTCTTCAGAAAGCAAGCTTCCTTAGATTTCCAGTTTGAATCCTACATGATTCTTGGAAAGTTAACAGTAGAGAGTGTTTAATGGTACAAAGTTTCAGCTGAGGAAGATGAAAAAGTTTTAGAGATGGATGGTGGCAGTGGAGCATAATGATGTGAATGTAGTTAATGCCACTGAACTCTACACTTGAAAATGATGAAAATGGCACTCCAGCCTGGGCGACAGAGCGAGACTCCATCTTAAAAAAAAAAAAAAAGAAAAAGAAAAAAAAAGAAAAAAGAAAATCAGGTGTAGAATAGTGCAGTATATTCCTTTTAAGAAAATGAATGGTAATATACTTATGTACATACAGAAATACCTGTACATGCACATCATCTCTAGAAGTATAACATGGAGGGCCTAGAAGCCCAGGTGACAGGGAGACCTATTGCTCACTGCATATTCTTTTTTTTTTCCTTCCCTTTCCCTCTTCCCTTCTCTTCTCCTCTTCCCTTTCCTTTCCCCTCTTCCCTTCCCCCCCGCCCTTTTTTTTGAGACAGAGGTGTCACTCTGTTGCCCAGGCTGGAGTGCAGTGGCACAATCACAGCTCACTATATAGCCTCAACCTCCTGGGCTCAAGCATTCCTCCCCTCTAAGCCTCTCAGGTAGCTGGGACTGTAGTCGTGAGCCACCACGCCCCATCCTATACTTTCATATTCGTGACCATTAGTATTATTACTTTCTCAAATAGAAGAAGAACCTTAAAATGTGAGTTGTGGCTCCTAAGCTTAAATTGTTACTATTGAGTACATTCCTTAAAAATTATCCTTGTTGGGCTGGGCGCGGTGGCTCATGCTTGTAATTCTAGCACTTTGGGAGGCTGAGGCAGGTGGATCACGAGGTCAGGAGATCGAGACCCTGGTGAAACCCCGTCTCTACTAAAAATACAAAAAATTAGCCAGGTGTGGTGGTGGGCATCTGTAGTCCCAGCTACTCAGAGAGGCTGAGGCAGGAGAATGGCATTAACCCGGGAGGTGGAGCTTGCAGTGAGCCGAGATCGTGCCACTGCACTCCAGCCTGGGCGACAGAGTGAGACTCCGTCTTAAAAAAAAAAAACAAAAACAAAAAACAAACAAACAAAAATTATCCTTGTTGCACCTGGTGGCACACACCTAGAGCCCCAGCTACTCAGGAGGCCAAGGCAGGAAGATCACTTGATCCCAGGAGTTCAAGACCAGCCTGGGCAACATAGCAAGACCCTGTCTCAAAAAAGAAAAACAGTTTGTCCTTGTTTTAAGAACCTAATTCTATATAAGCATTGGTCACCTGAGTTTCCGAATTATGTCTGTTTAATTTATTTTTTGGAGACAGAGTCCTGCTCTGTCACCCAGGTTGGAGTGCAGTGGTGCAATCTCAGCTCACTGCAACCTCCACCTCCTGGGTTCAAGTGATTCTCGTGCCCAGCCTTGCAAGCAGCTGGGACTACAGACATCCACCACCACACCTGGTTAATTTTTGTATTTTAGTAGAGATGGGGTTTCACCATGTTGGCCATGCTGGTCTTGGACTCCTGACCTCAAGTGATCCACCTTCCTCGGACTCCCAAAGTGTTGGGATTACAGGCGTGAGCCACTGCGCCTGGCCAAACTTCGTAGTTTTTATCATCTATCTTGATGATGTCTGACGCCCTTTTTCTTTTCTATGTGCAGCATAATAAGAGTGCCACATACTCCGTGGGAATGCAGAAAACGTACTCCATGATCTGCTTAGCCATTGATGATGACAACAAAACTGATAAAACCCAGAAAATCTCCAAGAAGCTTTCCTTCCTGAGTTGGGGCACCAACAAGAACAGACAGAAGTCAGCCAGCACCTTGTGCCTCCCATCGGTCGGGGCTGCACGGCCTCAGGTCAAGAAGAAGCTGCCCTCCCCTTTCAGCCTTCTCAACTCAGACAGTTCTTCATACTAATGTGAGGAAACAAACACGTTCAGGCCCCGAACATTTCTGGTGCTGACTCGGCCTTAAACATTTGTGCCATAATGGAAAATATCTATCTATTTTCAAATCCTGTTTTTCTCATAGTGTAAACTCACATTTGATGTGTTTTTATGAAGGAAAGTAACCAAGAAACCTCTAGGAATTAGTGAAAAAAGAACTTTTTTGAGGCGTGTTACTATACTGCTGTAAGTTATTTATTATATAAAGTATTGTAAATAGAATAGTTTTGAAGATATGAAATATGGCTATTTTTAATGGTGACAGTTATGACTTTTAGTCACTATTAAATTGGGGTTACCTATAATAATACAATTTGTAGTTGTTTCCAGGTTTGGCTAATAATCATTCCTTAACCTAGAATTCAGATGATCCTGGAATTAAGGCAGGTCAGAGGACTATAATGATAGAATTAAATTAGTGTCACTAAAAACTGTCCCAAAGTGCTGCTTCCTAATAGGAATTCATTAACCTAAAACAAGATGTTACTATTATATCGATATACTATGAATGCTATTTCTAGAAAAAGTCTAGTGCCAAATTTGTCTTATTAAATAAAAACAACGTAGGAGCAGCTTTTCTTCTAGTTTGATGTCATTTAAGAATTGCTAACACAGTGGCAGTGTTAGATGAAGATGCTGTCTACAAGGTAGATAATATACTGTTTGATACTCAAAACATTTTTCATTTTGTTTAAAGTAGAAGTTACATAATTCTATATTTTAAGTCTTGGGTAAAAAAGTAGTTTTACATTTTATGAAGTAAAGATGTAAATGATTCAGGTTTAAAGCTCTATTTGACTTTGTTGTTGTTGTTGTTTGAGATAGAGTCTTGCTAGTGTCAATAGCAAAAGCCTTCTAGCTATCTGCCTTTCAGCTACATGGTGGGGCATACTTAACTGTTTTCTTTGATGTTGGGCATAGCATGGACCTACTTGGTTCACTATCTGACACTATCTGCATTTATTAACACTATCTGTGTTGATTTGTGCTATTTCCTGTGTGTGATTTGTACATCTGCCATTGCTTTTTGTCTCTAGTTACTGCTTTATTTTCCTGTTTGCCTTGTTCTTGTAGAACCCTTTCTGACTCTCTCAAGAGGGACCTTTTCAACCCCAACTCCCACTGGTCTAATCCTAACCAGCACCAGCTGGTTGGGAAGTAGAGCAGGAACTCTGGCTGCCCTAATCTACATGGTGCTCTCTGCTCCTGGGCAGGGATGTGGGTGTTTTTATATACTATTCTCTTGAGTATGAAATGCCTGAACAAAGCAGTGATTTGGCAAGCCTGAAGTCACACACTGGGGCTCATAGTAACTTGCTTCTGCTAGCAACGTGAGCATTAGAAACATTTCCTGGCCAAGTAGCCTTGAATCAGCTAGGAGTGGGGGTGCAATGAGTCTGGGTTCACTTTGCTCAGGGTGACAAGGCTTTAGAGTATTGGTTAATTGTCAAACTCTTTTGTTTAAGAGACAAGGTAAACATACATACATGCATACATAGAGAAGCTTTCTAGGGTTACTTAGGCTTTATGTGATTACTAGCAGAAATGTTTGTATTTGCAAGCAAAGCTTATAAATCACCTCTTAGATATCTTTGCAAAATGAAGCTAAAACGTGGTTTAAAGAATCAAAAATATAAGATATTTACAATGATTTATAATTGAATCAGGAATGCATTTGGTATTTTTTAAAAGGAATAATTGGCTAAGATTTAAATTAATTTGCTTTCCTTAAAAACTCAGAGCCTAAACAATAGAAAGAAATAGGAACAGTTACACTGGGTGTGTGAGGGGTGGAGGGGGGGACCCAACTGGGACTGAAATTTCTTGGAGAAAATCTACAAAATCGGCCAAGCACACATGGATTGTGTGACTTCATTTAGTTGGAGGAGAACTGAGCAACCCGCTGATCTCAAATGCCTTTCCCCAGGAGAAATAATCTCTCTTGTCTTGGAATGGCTGTAGCACTGCAAGTCTATTCCACCCTTGGCACTTACCTTAATCTATGCTGTAATATTATCTCTTTTAGAAATGTTTTTATCTCTTCATTATAACAATTATCTTTTTATGTGACTGACTTACCTAGGATGCTCATTCATTCCAGGTAGCCTGGAACAGTTCTGATTTGCGCCCGTTGCCATGGTTTAATTAATAGTGCCCCCTTTCACTCTCAGAAGTGTCCTGGTTTGGATGATAAATTATAAGGTTCCCATAGTCTTATCCCAACTAAATGGAAAGTTCCTGTGTTAGTCAAGATCCCAGCAAGAAACAGAATATTCTGTGGGGATTTTTGAAGAGATAAAAGTCCCTTTAATAAAGGGACTATTTACAGAAGTGTGGGCAGAGTTAAGAGCATCAAAAAAGGATGTTGAGGCACCAGGCCTGAAAAGGTAAAGGGAAGAAATGATGCCATTGGAGCTTATCTGGGGGGCACAGCTTTTGAAGAGGGGCTGCCCTAGAGAAGCCATAGTCCTGGAAGGGCTCAAACACTACAGAATGGGCCAAGCAAGGGAAGACATTCCCTACCACTGTCCTCCCACCCATCTATTACCTATCTGTGCCTTCTATTGGTTGAACCCAAATGCAAGCCAGAAGGCAAAGGAGCCCTGGTGATAAAGTTGGAAGGTGTTCATTTCCTTGGGAAGAAGAGCAGGGAAAGGCAGAGAATGAATTGAGGGGGATCAGGGTATCTTGGGTCCTAGGGAAGTGGCAAACAGAAAATAAAGCTTCCTAAGGGGAGTCTCTTTGTCTTCAAGTGAATTAAAAACACATGTGTGCACACACATGCAAAACACTACAGGAAAGGCCATGATTGGCAAGACTTGGCAGCTATTTAAGG
Organism: Homo sapiens; assembly: GCF_000001405.40. Classification (NCBI taxonomy): domain Eukaryota; kingdom Metazoa; phylum Chordata; class Mammalia; order Primates; family Hominidae; genus Homo; species Homo sapiens. The sequence goes on from NW_021160017.1 coordinate 2,659,912, forward strand.
GAGATATTCTCTACAATGGGGAACAAGAAATAAACTTAAGGAAGTTAAATTGCAGACTGAAGGTAAATAGCAGACTACAACAATATTAAGCAGTATATGGTGATCGTCAGATTAATGGTGTAGGCCCTAGATGTTAAAGGAGTTTGAAGGATGAAAGATCACAATGGGCTGGAGCAATCTGAAAAAATAATTTATGGAAGAGGAGAGGTTTTCAGCAGCATTGAAATTAGAGCCAACTTATATGGGCAAGAAGGAGAGGTTGGTCTTCTTTGGGGCAATGGCATCAACAATAGCACAGGTGTTAGCCTGAAACACATCTTCCCATGGGTGGAGGGCTGGTGTTGTTTCTGAGATTTTCAAAAATCTTACAAACATTCCAGGCAAATACCTATGGAAGGGGCTAAAGGGCATTAAATGGGCTGTAAGAGGTATAGGTTGTGGGTGGCCATTGATTCATTCCTTCAATAAACATTTATTGAATGCTTGGTATTGGTCAAGCCACTGTTCTGAGAGCTGCTGATGCCAAGTAAAATAAGACATGGTTCTTTCCCTTGAAGAAAGGGAATGGGAAAGGTAACCAAGGGAGAAAATAGTTATTTTGCCTTGTGTCCAGATGAGGTTTTTCACATTCTCGGCTGGTCTTTTCACTCACTGCTGAAAGTCTTTGGAGAGCCTTTACTCCCTTCAGGGGAAAGGATCGAGGCCCTTCCGATGTGGCCTTTTCTTGAGTCTCCAGCCCCATCTCTTACCACTCCTCTCAACACAGAGGTATGCACAGACGATATGCAAGCACACAGGAGATCATCTAAATGAGACTCGAGCAGAGAGTGATTAAGGAAGACTTCCTGGAGGAGGTAATGCAATCTGAATTCTGAAGTGTGAGCAGGGGCTTTGTAATGGTGTTTCCATTTATTTGTGTCTATCCTGATGCATTCTAAAAAGGAAGTAAGATGGTTGGCTTAAGAAATACACAGACAGGATAAAAAGAAAATTAGGTAAAACATAGAGTGAGCTTATTTGCCTTTTATGTACATTGCTGCATTTGATTTCAGAAAAGCTTTATAAAGTTGCAGTTTTATTTTCATTTTCCAGATGAGGAAGCCAAGACCCAGTGGTTGAAGTACCTTGCCCAGAGCACACAGTCTTGACAGGCAGTGGAAGCAGAACAGAACCAAGCTGGTTTGGTACCAGTCTGTGAGTTTTCAGCTGTGTGCACTAGTATAAAAGATGTGCTTGTGACTTCTGTGGCTTACCTCCCTGCATAGAGCTCAAGGCCTGAAGGTGCTGCACGGGGCAGTAAAGGATGGCTGTGCACTTTGAAGACTGAAAAGTGAGTGAAGGGGGTGTTTTAGTCCATTCTCACACTGCTAATAAAGACATACCCGAGACTGGGTAATTTATAAAGGAAAGAAGTTAATTGACTCACAGTTCAGCATGGCTGAGGAGGCTTCAGGAAACTTACAATCATGGTGGAAGGGGAAGAAAACCTGTCCTTCACATGGCAGCAGCAAGGAGAAGTGCTGAGCAAAAGGGAGAGAAGCCCCTTATAAAACCATAAGATCTTGTGAGAACTCACATTCACTACCATGAGAATGGCAGCATGAGGGTAATCACCCCCATGACTCAATTACCTCCTACCAGGTCCCTCCCACAACATGTGGGGATTATGGGAACTACAATTCAAGATGAGATTTGGGGGGGGACACAGCCAAACCATATCAGAAGGGAACTGGGAAAGGTATTTCAGGCAGAAGAGTCAGTGTGTTCAAAGCAAGAGGGGTGTGAAAGAGCATGGCGTGTTGGAAGGATAGTAATTAGCTCATGATGGTTGGGAGTGTTAAGAGCACTGCTGAGAGATGGGGCTGGAGATGCAAGCAATGGCCATATCTGAAGGGCTTCATATAGCCCTTGGCCTGAAGGGAGTAAAAACTCTTGAGGAGTTTAAGCAGTGAGTGACAAGACTGAGAATGTCAAAAACCTCACTTGTACAGCAATGTAAGCAAGTCTAGGTCGGGAGAAGCCTGGAGGCAGAGAGGCCAGTTACAGGGCTTGCTGCAGTCATAGAGCAACAAGATGGTAGAAATGATAAGGAGGGTGTTAGAGTTTGGGAGCTGTTATGGAGAAACATTAGACAGAGGTGGGCCCCTGGATTGGGGATGAGTAAAGGTAACAGATTCTCACTTGGGCAGCCAGTGAGGTGATGCCATTCATGAGGCAGGGATGGTGGGGAAGAACCAGCTTGGTGCTTGAAGGTGATGAGTAGAGATGATGATGGTCATAAACAACTAATAAAGAAAATGAGCTTCACTTTTTTACCTTCTGTTCTGTCTAGTTGTTTAGTTTATTGAGGCCTTAGAAAAAAATATGACAGCCCCAGAGAAAATATTGTCAATAAAAGTTAAATGTATTTATTTTGATAAGACATTGTTTTTATTGCAAAAGTAATATATACACAGACAATTTAGAAATTACAGACAAGCCAAAGAAAATGTTGTTACACAAATGCAATGTTACAATGACTTGTAACACTTTGGTGTGTATCCTTTTTTCTCTAAGCACATATGTGTAAATATATGCATTTTTAAAGGATTTCAGTAATGTTCTCATGATTAAATATATCATGCACATCCTTCTTTCTTTTCTTTCTTGCTTTTTTTTTTTTTTTTTTTTTTTTTTTTTGAGACATGGTCTAGCTCTGTCACCCGGGCTTGAATGTAGTGCAATTCTGGCTCACTTCAACCCCCATCTCTTGAGTTCAAGTGATCCTTCTGCCTCAGCCTCCCAAGTAGCTGGCACTGCAGGTGTGCACCACCATGCCCAGCTAATTTTTGTATTTTTTGTTGGGACAGGGTTTTGCCATGTTGCCTAGGCTTGTCTCAAACTCCTAGGCTCAAGTGATCCACCCACCTTGGCCTCCCAAAGTGTTGGGATTACAGGCATGAGCCACCATGCCTGGCACATGCACATCTTTCAATAACATTGGTAATTCTATAAGATCATTTTGGAGATTGCATGGTATTCCATTTATGAATGCACCGTCTCCTATTCAACTATGTTTCTGCTGAGACATTTAGGTTGTTTCCATTTTTGTTTTTACTATTACAAACAACTCTGCAATAAAATAATGAAAATTTAAATTTTCCAATTAACCTTTGGTTTTTAGTAGTGCAATTAAGTTTATGATATTAAGTTTGGGCATGGTTTGTTTTTTTAAGTGGTTGTAGAAAGAAACAGATTTTTTTTTTTTTTTTTTGAGACGGAGTCTCACTCTGTCGCCCAGGCTGGAGTGCAGTGGTGTAATCTCGGCTCACTGCAACCTCTGCTTCCCGGGTTCGAGCAATTCTCTGCCTCAGTCTCCCGAGTAGCTGAGATTACAGGCACCTGCCACCACACCCGGTTAATTTTTGTATTTTTAGTAGAGACGGGGTTTCACCATCTTGGCCACGCTGGTCTTGAACTCCTGATCTCGTTATCCACCTGCATCAGCCTCCAAAAGTGCTGGGATTACAGGCATGAGCCACTGCGCTTGGCGAAACAGTTGTTTTTAAATTGCTCTGAAAAAATATGTGGTCTCTAATTCTCATGTATGAGAGCAAACTGATATAAGGTATGGCTATTAAAAAGGAAGTATGGAAACTATCTGTCAGTTGAGTCATTCTTTAACTTTCAGTGAGGGCAGAGACCATGTTTGCTAATGAGATTCCTTTGCTTTAATGACTTTTTCAGTGTCTCCCCAAGGAGCATACAAAATTTTGTCAATTCTTCAAAATGATCTACAAATTGATAAACCTCATGAATAATTGTGGTTGTAGTTAGATTCAACTTCCTTTTGATTGTGTACAATAAATTTTTTGCATACATCTTTAAAATTTTTTCCCTTAATTTAGCAGCAGGCTTTGAGGATAGGAAACATATTATAGCTGACCTTTTTTAACTGATCATTGCCCTTTTCCTCAGAGTTCCTACTGACTAAACTCTGTGCTAGGTGTCTGCTCTCTCTGCCCTTGTCAAGCCTCTAATAGTCAAACATCTGAAATTCCTCTTTTCCAGTGAAGATGCTGCAGAGTACTTGGAAGAGAAAACGAGATATTTCTGGCTTGTCTGGACAAGGTTAGACCCCCGATAGCAGCAGAAAAGGGATACAGGATGTCAGTGATAAATGGGTTGTCTCTGTTCAAACAATAGAATGCATGCATTCTCCCAAAGTGCTTGGGAAATCCCCAGTAGCTGTGTACTCCAAGCCATCCTGGTGGGATGTAGATACATTTCACCAGTCTCAATACCCTTTTACTTTCATAAATATCTTCTATTCTAAAAGAAAGTGAATAGAAAGTACAAGCTAATCTCACACATAACCTAAGCATAACATAAAGGAGAAATTTTAAAAATTTAATTTATAGTAAACATACATTATAGCCAGATGCTTGTACTTATACCTAGAATCGTTGTGAATGTGACACCTACAAATGCAGACTGGTACTGGAGTGATACATCGATGACTCAAATACCACAGGGGGCATCACCATTGGTATTGTAATTTTCCAGAATGATGAACTACAGTGGGTTAAGTTATGCGTGAAGCAACATCCAGTTTTCCTTGCCTTTATAAAGTGCATTCCTAAAAATTCAGTGAGGCAACGTCCAATTTTCTTTGCATTTATAAATTGTATTCCTAGAAAATTCAGTGCATTTAAAACTACTCAAAAGTATTTTGTGTTTTATGTGTAAATTAAAGTTAGGTTTTAGGCTCACATCATTGTAAATAGGTTTTTCCTCTACTTGAAAGACATTCAAAGCTCATGTCTGACATGAGACAGCTTTTTTTTGCACGACTGACCCACATATTATTGGGCATCTCTAATCCCAGGACCCCAGCCAGTTGTACCTCATTCATTGTTAGAGCCAAAATACAAACAAACTAGGCCCGGCATGGTGACTTAATACCTGTAATCCCAGCACTTTGGGAAGCTGAGGCGGGCGGACCTGAGGTCAGGAATTTGAGACCAGCCTGGCCAACATAGTGAAACCCTGTCTCTACTAAAAATACAAAAATCAGCTGGGCATGGTGGCATGTGCCTGTAGTCCTAGCTACTTGGGAGGCTGAGGCACGAGAACTGCTTGAACTTAGGAGGCAGAGGTTGCAGTGAGCCGAGATAACACCACTGCACTCAAGCCTGGGTGACAGAGTGAGACTCTGTCTCAAAAAAGAAAAATAAACCAAAACCCCCAAATACTGACAAACTTACAAATTGTCCCTTTAGGTGGGTAAAATTCCCCTGCCTTCACCTCAATCACTGGTTAAGCAGCTCCTGACTGTTTTTCTTTTTTGGACCTGGGAGGATTTTCCTCTGAGGTACAGAGAATTAGGTCAACTTGAGTCTGATTTAAAAAAATTATTTATGTTAAAAATGGTGCACATATACACAATTATATATAACACAATATATAATGTTAAAAATATACATATAATAAAAGTTACTATTTAAACCATTTTAAATGTATAGTTCAGTGACATTAAACATTCACATTATTGTACAACCAATACCATTATCCATCTCCAGAACAGTTTTATCTTCTCCTCCTGGTTTTTTAAAGAAATCACGGACAGTAGTCTGTTTTGTCTCTCGTTTTCTTTTTTCTTTTTTTGAGACGGAGTCTCACTCTGTCTCCAGGCTAGAGTGCAGTGGTGTGATCTCAGCTCACTGCAACCTCCGCCTCCTGGGTTCAAGCGATTCTTGTTCCTCAGCCTCCCGAGTAGCTGAGATTAGAGGCGCCCGCCGCCACACCCAGCTAATTTTTGTATTTTTAGTAGAGACGGGGTTTCACCATGTTGGCCAGGATGGCCTCAGTCTCCTGACCTCATGATCCACCTGCCTCGGCCTCCCAAAGTGTTGGGTTTATAGGCGTGAGCCACCGCACCTGGCCTGTCTCTTGTTTTCTTAGGTCTTCTCATTGGCACTCATTCTGAGAATTGGTCTGTTTCTTTTTTCTTTTTCTTTTTCTTTTTTTTTTTTTGAGATGGAGTCTAGCTCTCTCGCCCAGGCTGGAGTTCGGTGGCACGATCTCGGCTCACAGCAACCTCTGTCTCCCTAGTTCAAGTGATTCTCCTGCCTCAGCCTCTCAAGTAGCTGGGATTACAGGCAGCTGCCACCACGCCCAGCTAATTTTTGTATTTTTAGTAGAGACAGGGTTTCATTGTATTGCCAGGCTGGTCTTGAACTCCTGACCTTGTGATCCACCCACCTCAGCCTCCCAAGTGCTGGGATTACAAGCATGAGCTACTGCTCCCGGCCTGCTCTGTTTCTTGATTCTGATTAGGCCAGGTTTGTGACTCAACTTTTTGTCTCTGGTGAGGCTGTCATGCTCTGAGCTCTGCCTGTGCTGCTGACCATGCCTCTGCCCCCAGCCATATGGTAACCACACATGGCATCACCTCTCCGGCAGACCCGGGCCTCCCCAGCTCTGTGGCAGTGTCGGGGACTGAGTTACCCTATGACTCCTCTTCACTCTCCCTTCTGGAAAATTCATCTTTTCCTTGGCAGGTTATATCATAATTTCATATTCATTTGATCACTTTAGACATCCTATATTCCACCGTACAGTCCTGTTTTGTCTACACTTGTCTATCTGAAATCCTATGTTATTAGGCTGTCTGTTAGAAGAGGCAACTTGGCAGTGTGGAAAGAGCATTAGAACTGGAATCAGAGGACAGTGAGTAAAAAGTGAGAGGGCTGATCACTAGATAATCTGCAGCTTCAAAGAAAAAGTTAATACATTAATTTCTATAAAATATCATATCTACCTACCTCATAGAACCTTCATAAGCATTGAATGCAAGTGAAAAATCGTAAAAGCATAAGGCATTATTATATAGCCCTTACTGTAATAAAAGATGCCTAAAACATGCTTTTTAAATGACAAAAGATATAATGACATACACTACTAATTGGTAAAGAACATAAGGCTGGATAATAGAATCTGCAAACCCAGATATAGGCTGTTTTATTTAGTAGGGATGTAGTCTTCAATAAATGTTAAATGAACATATGTGCTCCAGAAAGGTTATTCAAAACCTTCATTTGGGGGTATTTAAAAGACAGTAACTCTCAGATATTTAGTGCTTGGAAGTCCACATAGATGTTCTGGAGCATCAGCAGATGTGTGAGGTTGATTTCTGCCTGTTGTCATGAGAACACAGCTTGTCTTTATTGGCCTTTAGGAACATGACCCTAAAAGTCAGCCTGACAGTGATATTCTTCTATGAAAAGAGAGACTACTACCCAAAGGAGCTGTGATAGGAGACCTGAGGAGTCAGATATGATCAGATGTTCTGTTTCCATTTACAGAGTCCTGAAAATCTTTGAGGCTGGTAGCTGCAAGTCATAGTTCCAGCCAGTGCTGTGCTGAGCCATGTTGCAAAAGGAAGGATGTGTACTACATACTATATAACTGGATACATGATTTTACGTATTTTTAAAACCAGTTATTGGTGGCCAGGCGCGGTGGCTCATACCTGTAATCCCAGCACTTTGGGAGGCTGAGGCAGGTGGATCACCTGAGGTCAGGAGTTCATGACCAGCCTGGCTAACATGATGAAACCCCATCTCTACTAAAAATACAAAAAAATTAGCTGGACATGGTGGCGGGCACCTGTAATCCCAGCTACTTGGGAGGCTGAGGCTGGAGAATCGCTTGAGGTTGCAGTGAGCCGAGATGGCGCCATGGCACTCCAGCCTGGGCAATAAGAGTGAAACTGTCTTGGAAAAAAAAAAAAAGGCTATTGACTTAGATAAAAATACCACCTATGAATTTGCTTCCATTAAAACCAGCAAAATAAATTTATAATAAATTCTGATCAAATACTTAAAATGTGAGTTTTATTTAATTGAAAAGTAGATACCTACTTTTCAATTGTTTCAATACTTTAAAACTAGTGTTCTGAAAAAAATTCATATCTGCTTAAGGTATTATTTTTATTTTATTTTTTTTGAGACGGAGTCTCACTCTGTCGCCCAGGCTGGAGTGCAGTGGCACAAACTTGCAAGCTCCGCCTCCCAGGTTCACGCCATTTTCCTGCCTCGGCCTCCTGAGTAGCTGGGACTACAGGCGCCTGCCACTGCGCCCGGCTAATTTTTTTGGTATTTTTAGTAGAGACGGGTTTCACCGTGTTAGCCAGAATGTTCTCGATCTCCTGACCTCATGATCCACCTGCCTCGGCCTCCCAAAGTGCTGGGATTACAGGCGTGAGCCACCGTGCCTGGCCAAGGTATTATTACATAGCATTTATCATAATTAAACATCAAAAATACATTAAAAACATGTGAATAGGGTTGTATGTTTTTCTGTTGTAGGCTCCAATATGGCTTAACATGGAACTATCAGTTCTTGTTTTCATTTAAAATGTTATTTTGTTCTTTATGGATTTTTGCGTTAATTTAGATTTAAAAAAATATTATATTAAAATATTATTTATCTTGACGACTGAGTTTTTGTGCCCCGCCCCTTATATTTTCTGCTTGAGGTTAGTGTTTCGCTTGCCTTAACCTATTCCTGGCCCTGGTCCCAACCCTCTATCCCAACAAACTATAATACAAAAACTGCTACAGGAATGAAAACTATGCTGACTACGCTAGAGGAGACATTCAAATCCAACTAATTTCTCCACAATCCAAGTGAGTCCAGGAAGCAACATGTCAAGTGGGGCAGGGAATGTGAGCTTTAGGGCTAGACAGATCTGGAATTAAATCCTGCCTTGCCTCCTTATCAGTCTGAGTAATTACTTACCCAGTCTGAGCCTGTTGTCTTATTTTTAAAAGGATCAGTCATTTTTTAGTGAGAGTTAAACGAGATCACTTGTGTAAAGCCTCTGTATTCAATGAATGTTCACCTGTGTCCTTCCCTACTTTAGAAATAGTAGATTGACTCACAAACACTGAGTTGCCCAAAGACTTGCTCCCAGAAGTGCTGGCATTGAAATTTGAACCCAGGTGTAGAGAAAGTCCTGTGCTCTTCTCACTAAATTGCACTAATTCTAGCTGCTGCAGGGTTGCGTCTTTCTAGGGACATAATTCCTAGGTATACCAGCTACATCCCAGAGAACTTGGATAAGCAGCTCTGGAGCAGAGGTGGAATATGTAGCCCTTTGACCCGGCCATATAGCACCAAAATATAAACATCAATGCAGAAATTAATGCCATCTCCTCTTTCTGACTCTACAAATATTTATTAGCAAGGGATAAGATTTCCAAAAGATCTGAAGAGAGTCAAGAAACTTTTTTCCCCCCTTTTCTTTAGAGGCAAGATCTCACCACGTTTTCTGGGCTAGTCTCAAACTCCTGGCTTTGTTACTGCGGCAAATCCCACAGGTCTGCAGCAACCTCAATTCTCGTTTCCTCAGAAGAAAGAATTCGACTGAGGGGCAGAAGGCAGAAGGAGATACTGAGGCAAGTTTTAGAGCAGAAGTGAAAGTTTATTAAAAAACTTTAGAGCAGGAATGAAAGGGAGGAAAATATACTTGGAAGAGGCCCAAGTGGGTGACCTGAAAGACAAATGTGTGGTTTGACCTTTTGATTTGGGGTTTTATACATCGGCATACTTCCAGGATCTTGGGTTACTTCTCCCCACTCCTGAAAGCTTATCCAGAAGTTGATCAGTTTCAGGTGTTTTCTATTTATTGTGAGCCTGCCTTTCCCTAGCACCGGCTGGGACCAATTATTACTTTAGAGAGACAGTTAACAACCCCCTCGCCTGCCCAAGACTCCTGGGCTGGGGATGGGGGAACCCTCTCCTGCCCATTCCTTCCCTCTCCTGCCCACTCCTCCCCTCTCCTGCCCTGCCCTGCTCCACCTATGTCTGACTAGCTACTTACTGTAACAGCCTCAAGCGATCCTCCCACGTTGGTCTCCCACAGTTCTGGCATTCTAGGTGTGAGCCACTGTGCCTGCCCTCAAGGAACTTGAACACTGTGCTTTTCAATATATGAGACAATTTGTAATTAGGAATTAGATATCTTTGTTAATTGTATGTATGCATTTTGGTATATTTCTTGTGATGATTGATATTTTATCTCATTTTAGAGGCAGATTGTATAGAATAAATTGAAATTTGCTTAGTGATGGCAGAAAGCTTTGCATCTCTTTTAGGGGTGATTAGCTATGCTTACAATAAAACTGTGCATATATATATTTGGAACATCCTTATAATAAAAAAATAAGCAACCTACATGTCCAACAATAAAATAGTGTTTATATGAATTATGGCATACCATAGAATATTATGCTGTGATTAAACATGGTATTTCCAAAATATAAAATGAAAAAATGAGGACATAAGACTGTTTAATATGTATCTGGCTGGGTGCAGCGGCTCATGCCTGTAATCCCAGCAATTTGGGAGGCTAGGCAGGAGGATTGCTTGAGCCCAAAAGTTGGAGACCAGCCTGGGCAACATGGCAGAACCTTACCAAAATAATACAAAAATTAGCCGGGTGTGATGGCTCATGCCTGTGGTCCCAGTTACTCTAGAGGCTGAGGTGGAAGGATCCCTTGAGCCCAGGAGGCAGAGGTGCAGTGAGAGCCATGCCACTGCACTCCAGCCTGGGTGACAGAGTGAGACCCTGTCTCAAAAAAACAAAAACCAAAAACTGTATAATATAAATCTAACTCTGTAAAGTTTTTAAAAATGTACTTATGTAAATAGAGAAAACAACTAAGTAAAGATATTGAAATGTTAACGGTAATTAGTGATGGGATTATAGGTGACTTTTATTTTTTAAACAGTCTTTCATAGATTTTTCCAAAATGTCTATAAATTAACAAATATTATTTTTCTATAATTAAAAAATACTTTAAAATAGTTTCTTTAATGGTGGAGTTTAAATGGTATCCAAAATAGACCTGCCCAGTTTTATTTTGGAGCAAATAAATTTGACAATTAGAACAATTGCAATGTATGTTTTTATTTTAATTTAATTTTTACTTTTATATTTTCTAAAGACAAGGTCTTGCTCTGTCACTCAGGCTGCATAATCATAGCTCACTGCAGCCTCAAACTCCTGGGCTCAAGCGATCCTGCTGCCTTAACCTCCCAAGCAGCTAGGACTACAGGCACATGCCACCAGGCCCAGCTAATTTTAAAAATTTTTGTAGAGACAGGATTTTGCTATGTTGCCCAGGCTGGTCATGAACTTTTGGCCTCAAGTAATCCTCGCTGCCCCACCTCCCAAAATGCTGGGATTACAGATGTGAGCCACCACACTTGGCTTCAATGTATGTCTAAATAGTCATGCAAACCTTTAAGTAAAGGAAATTTTTTTAACTTTTTTTTTTTTTTTTTTTTTTTAAAGACAGGGCCTTGCTTTGTTGCCTAGGAGCACAGTGGCTCTTCACAGGTGTGATCACAGTGCAGTCTGGCCTAGAACTCCTGGCTTCAAGCCATCCTCTCCTCTTGCCCCAGCCTCCTGAGTAGCTGAGAATACAGGCCGTTGCTACCATACCCAGCTTAAGTTAAGGAAATTTTGAGTCACCTTTGTCCTGGTTTAGCCATAGTTCATAATGTTAAAAAGGAACTTAATTTCTGGTGCCAAAATATCACCACAGTTTTTACTGATTTGTTCTTATATGCTTTCACCTCCAGAATATAAAATAAGTTAGGAGCAAAATATATGTAATGGAATGCTGTATGTAGGGAGAAAATTGGGTTGACTATAACCCCTGAAAAAGAAAAATAATGCATCTCTCATTTGTGGCAGCAGTAAATTGAACAAACGCTTTGCTTTGTTTCCCACTTACAGTATTAAAGAAGACATTTGATATGTCATGGCACACACTCCTTTCCTGATCTATTTCCTAACACTCCTCTCCTTGTGAATGTTTACCTGTCACTCTGCTGAGTGTCTGTATCTTTTTTTTACCCTCTAACATTAACCCATCTCCTTGTCACTAGAAGGGAAGCAGATGTGAGCATAGCTGTTCCATAGTACCACTTTCCCCATCTATATGACTACCACAGAAACAATCATGTTCTTATAGAACTCTGCTGCCCCCATCTCTGTTGTTTGGCCCAGGGGTTGGGGACACCACATAAACCAGGTCAAGGACTTCTAGACTTTTCCTCTGGTAGGGGAGACTTTAGATGCAAATATTGGAAACTGTTATTATTCGTTGTTGTAGTTGAATTATGTCTCCTGAAAAAAGGTATGTTGTTGAAGTCCTAGCCCCCAGTACCTCAGAATGTGACCTTATTTGGAAATAGGGTGTTTATACCTGTAATCAAGTTACAATGAGGTCATTAGAGTAGGCCCTAATCAATAGGACTGGTGTCCTTACATAATAAAAAAGGGAAATTTAGACTCAGAGACAGACACACACAGAAGGAAGACCATGCGAAGAGACACAGGGAGGAGATGGTTATGTGACTGGAGTGACGCATCTAAAAGCCACTGGCTGTCAAGGATTGCCCGCAAACATGGGAAGCTGGGAGAGGCCAGAAAGGATTCTCCCCGAGTCCTCTGAGTGGGCGTGCTCTGCCAACTCCTTGAGCTTGGACTTCTAACCTCCAGAATTGTAAGACAATAGATTTCTGTTGTTTTAAGACAACTCATTTTTAGTGTGTTATTATAGCAGCCCTAGAAAATAATACTGTGTTGTGTTTTTTTTTTTCTCATCATATGGAGTGGAGAGAACTAGTGAGAGTATGCAGGTTTTTTTTTTTTTTTTTTTGAGAGAAGCGTCACAGTGAGTCTGATAGCTTTTGAATCTTGGTTTTGAGTCCTTTCTGAGACCTAAATGCATGACTGTCCTTTCTGTGTATTGGTTATTCAATCTTTTCTTGGATTACATGAACCGATTATCAGTTTTTGTGAGGGTGGAGTGTCTAAGTTGATTGAGTTGGATTTCTGGCACTTTTCTGGCACTTCCAATGAGAAATAGCTAATGAATCCTGAGTATCTAAGCAGCCTAGGAACGTGACATTTTCTAATACAAATGACATAAAACTGTTTTAGGTGTTGTATTACCTGAAGGCCAAAGTTCTCCTTTTCTAACACTATGACATATTGATATATTTAATTCCTCACATAAAACAGGAAAAAATTACTTGGAGAAAATACAGCTTTTATTATAAGGATGCAGGCAGGTCTCATGCATCTGAGCTTTTTATTTATTTGTTAATGCTCATTCATGTTGTCTTTTTTTCAATTGGAACCACCAAAACTTAAGAAAAAATTATGGGAGAAATAAATTTTAGTTTAATGATTGAACATCTGCTATGTGCAGGCACTGATCTAGGTGTTATGTTACAACTGTGAGCAGGACTAAATCCTTGCCTTGGAGGAGTTTATAACCTGGTAGGGGAAAAAGAGAAGTAAACAGAGTGCCAGGTGTTGTGGTGTGAGCCTGTAGTCCTTGGAGCTGAGGTGGGAGGATGGCTTTAGCCCAGGAATTTGAGGCCATGGTGCACTATGATCAGGATTGAGAACAGTCACTGCACTCCAGCCTGGGTAACATAGCAAGACACTGTCTCTGAAAAAAAAAACCACAAAAAACAAAATTAAAACAAAACAGGTAATCAAAATACTGTGACTAGGTTGTAGCATGACTAGATTATGGAGTGCAAGGGATGAGATTTTCAAGATAAAGGAGATAGATCAAGAAATGCCTTTCATGCCACATAAAAGAGTTTTGTTTAGACAAATGGCAGTGGGAGTAGGTTTTGAGCAGGAGGGTGAGAAAGGTAGGACTGAGCCTTTGAAAGTTCTAGTGCTTTAGAAGAGGCTCAGCATTTCAGTTAGGAAGACTGTGTGTAACATAGGTTTGAGATGGTAGTGGTCTCCTCCCCCAGGATGGTGGTGATAGAGATGGAGGGGAGTGGACTGGTTCAGGGGAAATTATTAATAGGAGGTGAAATTGACAGGCTTGGTCATGGGTGGTTGTGAGGGAGAGAAAGTCAGGTGTCTGGCTGAGGAGCTTTGCTGGATGGAAGTGGTATTTGCTTAGGCAGCAGACAGGAAGGAGAGTGGTTTGGGAAAGAAGGGGGGATGATGCAAGCATTGCTGAATGTGATGGGCTGTAGGACCAGCAGTGGGGATGTCCACAAGAGTTGGCTATATATCATTGGTGCTCAGTGGAGGGGCCAGAGGATTTGAATATAGTTAATAATTAAAAATGCGGATGTGATTACCAAGGGAGTACATATTATGTAAGAAAATCAAACAATGAGGACGTATCTCTGAGAAACTCCAACCACTCTGAAAAACTCCAAAAGACCATTCTTGGTAACTGTGCCAAGTGAATGGCCTGGTCTCTGAAACTCTACACTCAGACACAGGTCATCCTGGAGAGTGGTGTCCTTCTGGATTGTCACATACCCTGTGAATGAAGCATGTGTTACAACAATAATGGAAAATATGCAAATGAGAAAAAAAGTTTCTCAGTGCCCCACCAACCTAAATTCTGGCTCCACCCCTATTTGTTTTCTCATATTTGTCTGAATTTCTCCAAGGAGCCCATAATCAATGCTGGGTCATTCCTGGAGTCTTGACGGTCACCAGGATTCACCTTTGGCTTTTGTTTCAGTCCAAAAGTAAGAGTTAGTGTCATGTGTGAGGCAAACACATGCTGCGACTTGTTTGAGGGAACACTGAGATTTCAAGTTGAGGAAAAGCCTTCTGGTACATGAGGTCGATTGTAGAATGAAAATGAATATGAATATTGAACTTTCCTGCCAGCAGTCTGCAGGCTTCTGATTTCAGGCCCCTGCAAACTGTTATTTCCTGGGCTTGTTTTTAAAAGCAGAGCCCAAACTTATTTCTGAGAAAGGACAGAATTAAAATTCAGCAGATAGTTGTTCATGCTGTATAAATAAATTCCTCTTCAGAGAGTGAAGGAATCCTTTTTCTCAGGGACCACAGGACTGCTTATAATGACTGTTTTCCTCACATCAAGAGCTCAGTCTTTGTGGCACCTTGACTTTTTTTGGAGGGGGCAACCAGTAGCTGTTGTCTAAATGTATGTCATGTACATTAATTTTTACCATGAAATCTGAATGTTTGGGGATATACAAGTAAATGTTTCTTGACATATGATTTCCCCAAAGTGAATATAAAAATGCCCTGATCTTGAATTGAAAAACAGAACATGTGGTTAAACTAGCAAAGACAGAAAACACTATAGTAAATATTGTCGTTCAATGATCAGCTAAACTAAAGCTGATTATTGAAGGTTTCTCCTTATTTTGTGCTTACTTCCTATCTCTCCCCGTTTCTTGTAGTTTTAGAATTCCAGATTCTCTTATGTGTTATCATGTTGGGGGTCTACTTTGATCAAGAATAGCATTTTTTAATATACTATTCCTCTGAACAATATAAGCAGCCCCTATGTTGTATTGATCTATTACTCTGACACTACTTTAAACAGACAAATAAGCAAACATTCTGATTCCTTTATGGGCCTTTTATCAGATTTTGGTGGGACTCTTTCAACAAATAGCTGATGTAACTCAGTTAGTTTGGACACTGCTAAACTTGTGGAAATACCTCTGAGGCTAGCAGGCTTCTGGCCACCATGTACTTTTAGAAACTAAGTTGTAACACTCAGTGACAGTGTTTATTCCCATGGAAATAATGTAATAATTAAAGACTGAATTCCTTGGACAGGGATATTTGGCCGGATACTTAATGATGTCATTAAAGAAAAAACACAACAGCACAAGTTTCCAAACCAATAAAAAAATAGTAAAACTGTTTTCTAGCTTCTTTAAAATGGGCTTACTATATTGTTACTTTGATTTTAGCAGGGACCCTAATGATTGACAAAATGTACTCGTAGTACATGAAAATACAACTCCACTGTGGTGTAAATTTTCTCTAAAACTAATATGCTGGTGATAATAAACATTACGCATTTAACTAACAACAATTTTGCTTCGTTTGCAGAATTTAGAAAAGCTTTTTGGTAGCATTTTGGAAGGCTCAGATTTCTTTAAGACATCTGTCTAGGGAAATTTGAACTAATTTCTCTTTTATTTCCCTCTTGTAAAAATTCCCATTAGCAAGCAAATGCATTCAAAACCATTCCATTGATCTTATAACTGTGTTTTATAACAATAGCCATGAGCTTTTCCTTTCTATCCTGTGGGCTGAAAGCACTGCAGTGGGGTGTCTGAATGGCACACAGGAACCAGGGGAACTGGGAAGTGAGGGGCAGCCAGCTTTGAGAGGGACCCCGGTCTGTCTTTCTAGCACAGCAAATGTCAGGGGAAAGGGATTTGGCTTCACCCTTTTTGTTTTCTGACCCTGTTTCCAGGAAGACTTTGTAAAAGTTGAAGACTGCCAGGAACTTATTTAAAACTATAATGGAAGTTTAAAAATGATCATAAAATGCCAGTTTCATGACAGCTTCATGACAAAATCACAGTTTGGCCTTCTTCTCCAAAAACCAAAGAATTCCTACGAAGCAAAGCACCCACCCCAAATTCAGTCACATCCCATCTTTACATTTCTCCCAGTACCTTCTGGTCCTATCAGTTCAATGTCATGCTGAGGATATAAAGGCCCAGGAACAAATGTGGCAGGGGATGGGTTCAATTTATCTGATGCAACCCTGCTGAAATTGTCTTTTTCTACAGACATTTTATCAAGTCATAGGAGAGTTTAACTTTCTCTCTTTTCTAATTAGTTCTATGAACTTATCTATTTTCCTCATATTTTCTAACCCAGTCCTAGAGAGAAATTTGACCTTTATAATGACTACAATATATCAAGTACTTATGATATGCCAGGTAAAATGCTAAATATTACATGTATTATTATAATTATTTGAGACAGGCTCTCACTCCTGTCTCCCAGACTGGAGTGTAGTGGTGCCATCTTGGCTCACAGCAGCCTCAAATTTCAAAGTTCAGGTGATCCTCCCACCTCAGCCCCCTGAGTAGCTGGGACTACAGGCAAGTGCCACCATGCCTGGCTGGTGTGTGCGTGTGTGTGTGTGTGTGTGTGTGTGTGTGTGTGTGTGTGTAGTTTTGGTAGAGATGGGGTTTCACCATGTTGCTAGGGTGGTCAAACTCCTGGGCTCAAGCGGTCCACTCACCTCAGCCTCCCAAAGTGCTGGGATTACAGGCGTGAGCCACTGTGCCTGGTCTGTGATACATATTATTGCATTGAATCCCCAAGTAAGTTAGAGATTCTTAGTCTCTCTACAGTTAAGGAAACCAAGGCTCAGCAGGATCATACAGCAAGATTTCCCCTGATTGCATGGCTAGTAAGTGTTGAGGCTGAGATTCTAACTGAGGTCTATCTCATGGAAAACCCATGCTCACAGCCACTGTGCTGTGTGCTCTTCCTGTCTGGATGTGGTCCTTGTCTGGGTACCTCAGTGTTCTCATGAGGCACCTCTGGCTTCTGAGATGTAGACAGAAACTAGGTATTAGGTTGGTGCAAAAGTAATTGCAGTTTTTGCCATAAAAGTATGTTTTAGAATTAACATCCCAAATGAAAGGTACTTGAAGTTTAAGCCACTCTGAATACTAATAAGATACATAGTGTAATAGTAACGTATGCCTGAGACCCAGCCTAATATTCTTCTTTGAATTCACACTTAACACTCACTCACGCAACCAATTTTATTGAAGCGCTCTTTGTGCAAGAAAGTCCACTTTGAAACTAGAGTTCTCCAGGGAAACAAAAGCCTCCTTAGAAACAATGTTGGAATCTGGATTGCTGTGGAAGAAACTTAAAAAGCTTGAGTCCCTTCCACTTCTATTCTTGGATGGGTTTTGGCCCCTAGCTGGTTCAGAAATTCTTTATCCTCATTTAGATTCTCTAAAGGAGTGGCTCATTCCAGCCCAGCACAGCCTCATTCTGCCCATAGCAGGTTTCCACCCTGGCTCTGCTCCCCCGCAGCGCGAGCACCAGGAGGGGACAGCTGCTGGGCCCACTTTGCATAGGGGCATGTATGACCCAGGCAGGGCGGACTCTCTGTGGAAAAACCTCAGGGCTGCTTTCTGGCTTTAGTCATATTCGTTAGATGAAACTTGTAGGTGTTACTAAGACATTCTGCGCCCTGAAATTGGGAGTGGTTTTGAAAACTGGTCTCAACTATTAGATTCCGAACAACTAAGCTTCCACATTCATTGACAGTTACATGCAGCAAAGAAGTCTTTCTCATTGCCTGTTTTTCCATCCTTCTATGTGCAAACACTATGTATCTTATTAGTATTTAGAGTGGCTTAAACTTCTAGTACCTTTCATTAGGGATGTTAATTCTTAAATACACTTTTAATGGCAAAAACCGCAATTACTTTTGCACCAACCTAAAACCTAGATGTTTCTGTCTACATAGTCAGATAGTGAGTGGAGGCAGTGCAAGAGATGTCAGTTTTGCAGCTTGCTTTTCTTCAGTTCCTCGCATCAGATTCTGTTCTCTGTTCTGATTCTCTTTTCAGACACCTGTTTCTCCTCGTTTTCTAGTTTCTGGTAGTATTACCTCAGAATCTAGAGCTAACCCCCGAGTGCTCCTTGGCTGAGAGCACTTTAATACCTAATGGATGATAACAGGATCTAACATGGAGTTGTGGAGAAATCATGGACACAGGATTTATTTATTTAATAAATATATTTATTGTCACTACATGGAGAGTACACCATACTCACCTCTGGATGAGTGGGGAAACTGCTGATATGAGGTCATTTCCCCAAAATGACGCTTTTGTTATCATGTCAGGGTGGCTTTACTTCCACCATTAGTTGCTTCCTTTTTTTTTTTTTTTTTTTTTGAGATGGAGTCTCACTCTGTTGCCCAGACTGGAGTGCAGTTGCATGATCTCGGCTCACTGCAACCTCTGCCTCCTGGGTTCAAGTGATTCTCGTGCCTCAGCCTCCCAAATAGCTGGGACTACAGGCATGCACCACCACGCCCGGCTAATTTTTGTATTTTTAGTAGAGACAGGGTTTCACCATGTTGGCCAGGCTGGCTCGTACTCCTGACCTTAAGGGATCTGCCTACCCTGGCTTCCCAAAGTGCTGGGATTACAGGCGGGAGCCACCATGTTCAGCCTGCTTCCTTTTTTAAAACCAATTTTTTCCTATGCTGATATTCTAGGAAATGTTAGTAAGCATACAGTAAAATGTGCTCAAAGTGCACATAAACCTGGGACATGTTGGAGTTAAACAAAACTAAATAGTTTTCTTAGCTGCAGGGTGCCCAGAGCCTGCAACGTACGAATGTGTGTCATAATTGTTCACAAAGGGCTCCATCATGTTAAGCATTTCCTAGTTATTTGACCATAGAACTTCTTTTTTCATGGCAAGTCTATTAATAGCTCCTAGAACAGAGTTCCAGTGATCATTGTGTGATGAACACTGAAGGTCTTTTTCAAAAGCTTTGAAGGTTCTTGTCAAAAGTACATGCATTATCCAGGAGAGGAAATGCAATTGACCACCACTATCCCAGAATAAGCTGGCTGAAATTAGCTAGCTAATCTCACTTGGCAAGGCCTGAACAACAGCTTCCTCTCTCTTGAGTTTGAATCCCTGTCTGTCATTTCTGCATGATCTATGCTAATTTTTGACCCCACTGGTCCTCTTTCTTGCCCCACAATTTATCCTCCCTAACTGACACAGATATAGTGGGCATCAGAGATAATGTTTTCCAGGCTCCAGCAAGAGCCACCCTTTCAACCCCCAGTCCCAACAACGAAACACTGTAAGAAGCTTTGTCTATGTCAGGCATTCTCTGGCTTACAAGGAGGAAAGATTTTCCTTCCTAACCTAACTGAACTTAATCCTGAACTTAATCCTGAAATCTTCTCATCGCTTTTTCACCTCTGAAAAATGTGACCTTAATCAAACATGACTGCTAAATATTGGACAGGGTGAGAGCCACAGAGAATCAAAAGGAAACATGCTGAAAGGTAGTGTGTATGTGTATTAAACTTTCCTGAGCAATTTCAAAGAGGTAGTAGTTGTGTGAAGGGTAGAATATTTGTACCATGATTTGGATTTGGTAGAAATCTTTTCAGTCAGCAGTGAAGGCAAACTGGTCATAGAAGTCCTACCCACCCTTCTATCTCAACCAACTTCTAAGGCATGGAGACAGGTAATTAAGACATCACCTGGGGCTCTACTTGTCAGATCCCCAAAAGAACTTTCACAATTAAGTTCTTTAAGATCATTTGGGTGTTATGCCTTATGTTTATTTAGCTCTTTAGAGTTTGTCAAATACTTTCACATATCTTATCCAAACTGATTTAAAAAATTATTTGTATTTTACTTTTTAAATTAAATTAATTCATTTTGGCCTGGTAATGTCACAAAAAATTATTTTTAGAACGGTTTTAGGTTTACATAAAAATTGGCCTGAAAGTGAAGAGGATTCCCACTTACCTACATTTTCTTCTCCCTGAAGTTTCTTTTACTATTAATATCTGGCATTACTGAGGTATATTTGTTACAATTCATCAATCAGTATGGATACATTATTATTAAATGAAGTCCACAGTTTACATCAGGGCTCATCTTTGTGTTGTGCAGTCTGTGGGCCTTGAAAGACGTAAAATGTCATGTATCCACCATTAGAATATCATAGAGAATAGTTTCACTGCCCTAAAAATATGATGTGTTCCACCTGTTCATCCTCGAGTCCCTGGCAATCATTGGTCTATTTCCTGTCTGTATAGTTTGCCTTTTCCAAATGTCATGTAGTTGGCCAAATTGACTTTAATCTTCATGACAACTCTGTAGCTAGGCAAGTTTTATTATCTCATCTTAGATGAAAGAAGTTCAGTGAGATGAAGTGACTTATCTGAGGACTCATGCTCAAGGGTACCCAAGCCAGGACTAGGACCAGCTAAAAGCATGAACACCAGCCAATTTCAGAAAGGGGTTAATTGCTGAAGACATAGACTATTAGCTTACAGGAGCCCTCTCAGCCCAAGCACTTTAATTTCTTAGTAGCTACAAGGAGGAAGATTGCACATCTTCAAAGGAAACTAGATGCATGATATTGGTGAGATGAGACTTGGAGGTGACTTCACAGATGACGGATTTAATGCCCCATAATTATGAAGGAAGGCCAGTCTCTGCCAGTCTGACTCAGAGGGCTTACTGAGTCATCCTATTTGTCCTCTGCTGCTATTTATGGGCTTCCCAGTTGCTGATATTTGCCGGGCTGGTCTCCAGCTCCTAACCACGAGTGATCTGCCAGCCTCGGCCTCCCGAGGTGCCGGGATTGCAGACGGAGTCTTGTTCACTCAGTGCTCAATGTTGCCCAGGCTGGAGTGCAGTGGCGTGATCTCGGCTAGCTACAACCTCCACCTCCCAGCCACCTGCCTTGGCCTCCCAAAGTGCCGAGATTGCAGCCTCTGCCCAGCCGCCACCCCATCTGGGAAGTGAGGAGCATCTCTGCCTGGCCGCCCATTGTCTGGGATGTGAGGAGCCCCTCTTCCCAGCTGCCATCCTGTCTAGGAAGTGAGGAGCATCTCTGCCCGGCTGCCCATCATCTGAGATGTGGGGAGCGCCTCTGCCCCGCCACCCCGTCTGGGATGTGAGGAGCGCCTCTGCCCGGCCGTGACCCCATCTGGGAGGTGAGGAGCGTCTCTGCCCGGCCGCCCTGCCTGAGAAGTGAGGAGCCCCTCCGCCCGGCAGCTGCCCCGTCTGAGAAGTGAGGAGCCCCTCCGCCCAGCAGCCGCCCCGTCTGAGAAGTGAGGAGCCCCTCCGCCCAGCAGCCGCCCCATCTGGGAGGTGGGGGGCAGCCCCCGCCCGGCCAGCCGCCCCGTCCGGGAGGGAGGTGGGGGGGCGCCTCTGCCCGGCCGCCCCTTCTGGAAGGTGAGGAGCCCCTCTGCCCAGCCGCCGCCCTGTCTGGGAGGTGTGCCCAGTGGCTCATTGAGAGCGGGCCATGATGATGATGGCGGTTCTGTCAAATGGAGAGGGGGGAAATGTGGGGAAAGGATGGAGAAATCAGATTGTTGCTGTGTCTGTGTAGAGGGAAGTGGACATGGGAGACTCCATTTTGTTCTGTACTGGGAAAGGTTCTTCTGCCTTGGGATGCTGTTGATCTGTGACCTTACCCCCAACCCAGTGGTCTCTGAAACATGTGCTGTGTCCACTCAGGGTTAAATGGATTAAGGGTGGTGCAAGATGTACTTTGTTAAACAGATGCTTGAAGACAGCATGCTCGTTAAGAGTCATCACCACTCCCTAATCTCAAGTACCCAGGGACACAAACACTGCAGTAGGCCGCAGGGTCCACTGCCTAGGAAAACCAGAGACCTTTGTTCACTTGTTTATCTGCTGACCTTCCCTCCACTATTGTCCTATGACCCTGCCAAATCCCCCTATGTGAGAAACACCCAAGAATGATCAATAAAAAAAAAAGAACTAAGATTAGATGAGAATTATAAAAGCATATTGTATGCAAGGATTATATATGCATTAACATTGTTGATACAGTGCAATTGTGCTATACATCTATTTTTTAAAAGTGGGGAAGATGAAGAAAGTATATACAAAAATGATTTAGCTGTTTTCAGTAATTACATGAGCGGTGGTGGTATTGGCATTATTGTTCTGAGACTGTTGTATGTATAATGTGGAATAAAACAAATGTGTAATTATGAAAAAAAGAGAATAAACAGGGTGACAGGTGTGGGATAGTCATTTTAAAGAATATTTAGTAGCTGATTCTTTTTTAAAGCTCTCCATGCTTAAAATATAAATATTCTGAAAGAAAACAAAAGCCAAGACCCTTTTTGTAGAGAGTTGGAGAATGCTAGGACTTTCTGGGAGTGCTGGCTTTTGCACAGGCATGGGTAAACATTAGTGAAGTTATTGCTGAGAACAGCTCGGGACAGGAGGGGAATGAAAAGAGAAGACAGTATGGAGACAATGAGAGAAAAGGACTGAAATGTAGTCACCTGAGCAACTTAAGATCCGTTTGTCATTAGAAAGAGACTAGAACAGCAACATCACCCTCATAAAGTGTAGTCATCTGGGCTGGGCACTGTGGCTCATGTCTGTAATCCCAGCACTTTGGGGGGCCAAGGTGGGCAGATCATTAGGTCCGGAGTTTGAGACCAGCCTGGCCAACATGGTGAAACCCCGTCTCTACTAAAAATACAAAAATTAGCCGGGTGTGGTAGCACTCGCCTATAATCCCAGCTACTTGGGAGGCTGAGGCAGGAGAATTGCTTGAACCCAGGAGTCAGAGGCTGCAGTGAGCCGAGATCACACCACTGCACTCCAGCCTGGGTGACAGAGCAAGACTGTCTCAAAAAATAAAAATAAAAATAGCGTAGTCATCTGAGTCCATGTAGTAGACTAATTGCTTACTCCAAAGGAGTGATTGAAGAAAGATTAATGAAGGGGCTATTTACAAAGGTGCAAGCAGGATTAGGGGGGCATTCTGGAGCCAGTAGCTGCAGAGAGCTATGACCATCCTTAGGCCTAAGGAGGCAAGGGAAGGGAGCACTTACTGGACCCTAGAGAGACTTGTAGTTTAGCAGAGGCTGTCTGACTTAACTGGGCCCTTTGGTAGAGGAAAGCAGCCAATGCCAATCTACAGGGGGTGAGCTGGAGAATAAATAACACACTCTTTTCTTTCATCCTCTTAATTTCTGCTGATACTTTCCATTGGCCAAACCCTAAAATGAAACAGAGACCAAGGAAACCCATATGATACAATAATCCATGAAGGTCAGCCTCCCAGGCCACTGGGTCAGCAGAGCAGAGGAGGGTGGAGAGGGCTCTGGAGGGCCACACACCAAAAACCTTCAGCTCCAAGGAAGAGGATCATGTTAATGCACTAGGGATAGACAGTACCAGAAGATTGTGTTGAAATCTGCTTTAAGTCTTTATTCATATTAAAGTCACTATTAATTAATTAAAATATTATAATGACATATATTGAGTGTGCAGCTTCAACTTTATATATCCCTTGGTGCTTGAAAATTCTGAAATGCCTGTTTTGGAAGGGTCCATCTCCCTCAAGTCCCTATGGAAAATCACTCCTAAGAGGCAAGACAAGGGTAGCTGTGTTAAAGTTGAATGTGTATGGAAAGCTTAGTTAAAAAGCCATTGCATAGTTATAATAATAAAGAGGGGGTCACAGTTTGCACCTACACATATTAATATTTTCCCACTTTATACTTAGATTTAGCTTAAGTTTATCCATTTATTCATTCAACAAACACATACTATGCTCCTGCTTTGTGATTGTAAAAGGATCTACAAAATCTGTCTCTAATAACCCTCCCTGACTCCTGGCCCCTGGCCCCCAGCCACCACTGGCAGGACTGATGGTAGGTGGTGAGGCAAAGGAAAAGCTTCTTTGAGGCAGTGACATTTGAGCAGAGGAGGAAGGAGTCAGCCCTGCAGATCTTGGGGACGGGCTGAGGAAATAGCTTGCTCAAGGATCTGAGCTTTGCGTGAAGGTGGAAGGTGCTAGGGGAGGCAATGATACGGCAGTCTGAGGCCTGTTCATGGAGGGCCTTCCAGGCCACAGTAAGACATTTGGATTTTATTCTGAGGGTGATGTATAGTAAATAGAAGGTTCTGAGCAGGAAAGTGAGATGACAGAATTTATCTTTCTAAAAGATCACTCCAGCTACTATGTGGAGATTGATTCCAGGGAAATGGAAGCAAGGGAACTGATTAGGAGGCGATTTCAGTGTCTGTGACAAGGGATGGCAGTGGTCAGTAGAGGTGCTGAAAAGTGGTTGGGCGTGGATACACTCTATGTGGATATTCATATTGTCATTTTAGTTAAAGATGACAATTTTCTAAAGGAAGATTTTCTTTTGTGGATGGGGTTGAGGGAACTCACACCAGTTAAAATGAATTGAATTGCTGTTGTCTAACTTAGCCTGCCTCAAATTCACTCAGGAGACTTATTTAAAAAGGAAGATTTCCCAGAGAGATTTATTTAAGGGAAAGCAGAATTGGCATTCTTCTTTGGACTTAGAGCACCTTGACAAGCTGTTGCCAGGACACGCAAGTGGGATGGTGTCTCTTGTGCAACTGATAAGAGGAAGTGACCCTTGGATTGAAGGAAGTAGAAAGATTAAATCAGAAAGAATCAAGGTTCAGAGTCTGCAAAGCCACAAGCCCTCTGTATGGGCCAGCAAGCCCCTGGGCCTGAGAGGCATCAGTAATTGTCACCCGAGTTGGATTGAACTGAAATAAAGAAGTAAAGATCCTATATCATCTATTGAAATCTTTAAAAGGGTTGCTAGATATGCATTACTAATCTATATATTATCTTAAAAACAAACAAGACTTGACTCTGAAGAGAGCGCTAGATCTCCCAGCACAATGTTTGAGCTCTGCCAATGATCAGACTGCCTCCTCAAGTGTGTCCCTGACCCCCATGTCTCCAGACTGGGAGACACTTCCCAGCAGGGGCCAACAGACACCTCATACAGGAAAGCTCTGGCTGGCATCTGGTGGGTGCTCCTCTGGGATGAAGCTTCCAGAGGAAGGAACAGGCAGCAATCTTTGCTGCTCTGTAGCCTCCACTGGTGATACCCAGGCAAACAGGGTCTGGAGTGGAACTCCTGCAAACTCCAGCAGACCTGCAGCAGAGGGGCCTGACTGTTAGAAGGAAAACTAACAAACAGGAAGGAATAGTATCAACATCAACAAAAAGGATGTCCACTCAGAAACCCCATCTGAAGGTCACCAACATCAAACACCAAAGGGAGATAAATCCATGAAGATGGGGTGAAACCAGTGTAAAAAGGCTGAAAATTCCAAAAACCAGAATGCCTCTTCTCCTCCAAAGGATCACAACTCCTCACCAGCAAGGGAACAAAACTGTACAGAGAATGAGTTTGACAAATTGACAGAAGTAGGCTTCAGAAGGTGGGTAATAACAAACTCCTCTGAGCTAAAGGAGCATGTTCTAACCCAAGGCAAGGAAGCTAAGAACCTTGAAAAAATGATAGATGAATTGCTAACTAGAATAACCACTTTAGAGAAGAACATAAATGACCTGATGGAGCTGAAAAACACAGCACGAGAACTTTGTGAAGCATATACAAGTATCAATAGCCAAATCAATCAAGCGGAAAAAAGGAAATCAGAGATTGAAGATCAAATTAATGAAATAAAGTGTGAAGACAAGATTAGAGAAAAGGAATGAAAAGGAATGAATGAAGCCTCCAAGAAATATGGGACTATGTGAAAAGACCAAACCTGTGTTTGATTAGTGTATCTGAAAGTGATGGGGAGAATGGAACCAAGTTGGAAAACACTCTGCAGGGTATGATCCAGAAGAACTTCCCTAGCCTAGCAAGGCAGGCCAACATTCAAATTCAGGAAATACAGAGAACACCACAAAGATATTCATTGAGAAGAGCAACCCCAAGACACATAATCGTCAGGTTCACCAAGGTTGAAATGAAGGAAAAAATGTTAAGGGCAGCCAGAGAGAAAGGTCACGTTACCCACAAAGGGAAGCCCATCAGACTAACAGCAGATCTCTCTGCAGAAACCCTACAAGCCAGAAGAGAATGAGGGCCAATATTCAACATTCTTAAAGAAAAGAATTTTGAACTCAGAATTTCATATCCAGCCAAACTAAGCTTCATAAGTGAAGGAGAAATAAAATCCTTTACAGACAAGCAAATGCTGAGAGGTTTTGTCACCACCAGGCCTGCCTTACAAGAGCACCTGAAGGAAGCACTAAACATGGAAAGGAACAACCAGTACCAGCCACTGCAAAAACATGCCAAATTATAAAGACCATCAACGCTATGAAGAAACTGCATCAACTAACGGGCAAAATAACCAGCTAACATCATAATGACAGGATCAAATTCACACATAACAATATTAACCTTAAATGTAAATGGGCTAAATGCCCCAATTGAAAGATACAGACTGGCAAATGGGATAAATAGTCAAGACCCATTGGTGTGCTGTATTCAGGAGACCCACCTCACTTGCAAAGATACACATAGGCTCAAAATAAAGGGATGGAGGAATATTCACCAAGCAAATGGAAAGCAAAAAAAGCAGAGGTTGCCATCCTAGTCTCTGATAAAACAGACTTTAAACCAGTAAAGATAAAAAGAGACACAGAAGGGCATTACATAATGGTAAAGAGATCAATGCAACAAGAAGAGCTGCCTATCCTAAATATATATGCACCCAATACAGGAGCACACAGACTCATAAAGCAAGTTCTTGGAGACCTACAAAGAGACTTAGACTCCCACACAATAATAGTGGGAGACTTTAACACCCCACTGTCAACATTAGACAGGTCAATGAGACAGAAAATTAACAAGGATATTCAGGACTTGAACTCAGCTCTGGACCAAGCAGACCTAATAGACATCTACAGAACTCTCCACCCCAAATTGATAGAATACACATTCTTCTCAGCACCTCATCACACTTATTCTAAAATTGACCACATAATTGGAAGTAAAACACTTCTCAGCAAATGGAAAAGAACGGAAATCATAACAAACAGTCTCTCAGATCACAGTGCAATCAAATTAGAACTCAGGATTAAGAAACTCACTCAAAACCGCACAACTACATGGAAACTGAACAACCTGCTACTGAATGACTACTGGGTAAATAACAAAATGAAGGCAGAAATAAATAAGTTCTTTGAAACCAATGAGAACAAAGACACAATGTACCAGAATCTCTGGGACACAGCTGAAACCATGTTTAGAGGGAAATTTATAGCACTAAAAAAGGAGGAAAGATCTAAAATTGACACCTTAACATCACAATGGAGAGAACTAGCAGAACTGAAGGAGATAGAGACACAAAAAACCCTTCAAAAAATCAGTGAATCCAGGAGCTGGTTTTTTGAAAAGATCAACAAAATTGATGGACCATTAGCCAGACTAATAAAGAAGAAAAGAGAGAAGAATCAAATAGATGCAATAAAAAATGATAAAGGGGATATCACCACTGATCCCACAGAAATACAAACTACCATCAGAGAATACTCTAAACACCTCTATGCAAAGAAACTAGAAAATCTAGAAGAAATGGATAAATTCCTGGATACATACACCCTCCCAAGTCTAAACCAGGAAGAAGTCAAATCCATGAATAGACCAATAACAAGTTCTGAAATTGAGGCAG
Source organism: Homo sapiens (assembly GCF_000001405.40). Taxonomy (NCBI): domain Eukaryota; kingdom Metazoa; phylum Chordata; class Mammalia; order Primates; family Hominidae; genus Homo; species Homo sapiens. The sequence goes on from NW_021160017.1 coordinate 2,688,011, forward strand.
TAATTAATCATCTACCAACCAAAAAAAGTCCAGGACCAGACGGATTCACAGCTGAATTCTACCAGAGGTACAAGGAGGAGCTGGTACCATTCCTTCTGAAACTATTCCAAACAATAGAAAAAGAGGGAATCCTCCTTAACTCATTTTATGAGGCCAGCATCATCCTGATACCAACACCTGGCAGAGACAAAACAACAGCAAAAAATTTCAAACCAATATCCCTGATGAACATTGATATAAAAATCCTCAATAAAATAGTGGTAAACCAAATCCAGCAGCACGTCAAAAAGCTTATCCACCACGATCAATTTGGCTTCATCTCTGGGATGCAAGGCTAGTTCAACATATGCAAATTAATAAACATAATCCATCACATAAACAGAACCAATGAAAAAAACCACATGATTATCTCAATAGATGCAGAAAAGTCCTTTGATAAAATTCAGCACCCCTTAAAAATCTCTTTAAACTAGGTATTGATGGAACGTATCTCAAAATAATAAGAGCTGTTTATGACAAACTCATAGCCAATATCATACTGAATGGGCAAAACTGGAAGCATTCCCTTTGAAAACTGGCACAAGACAAGGATGCCCTCTCTCACCACTCCCATTCAACATAGTATTGGAAGTTCTGGCCAGGGCAATCAGGCAAGAGAAAGAAATAAAGGGTATTCAAATAGGAAGAAAGGAAGTCAAATTGTCTCTGTTTGCAGATGACATGATTGTATATTTAGAAAACCCCATCGTCTCAGCCCAAAATCTCCTTAAGCAACTTCAGCAAGTCTCAGGATACAAAATCAATATGGAAAAATCACAAGCTTTCCTATACACCAATAATAGACAAACAGAGAGCCAAATCATGAGTAAACTCCCATTCACAACTGCCACAAAGAGAATAAAATACTTAGGAATCCAACTCACAAGGGATGTGAAGTACTTCTTCAAGTAGAACTACAAATCACTGCTCAAGGAAATAAGAGAGGACACAAACAAATGGTAAAACATTCCATGCTCATGGATAGGAAGAATCAATATTATGAAAATGGCCATACTGCCCAAAGTAATTTATAGATTCAATGCTATCTCCATCAAGCTACCATTGACTTTCTTCACAGAATTGGAAAAAAACTACTTTAAATTTCATATGGAACCAAAAAAGAGCCCGCATAGCCAAGACAATCCTAAGCAAAAAGAACAAAGCTGGAGGCATCATGCTACTTGACTTCAAACTATACTACAAGGCTACGGTAACCAAAACAGCATGATACTGGTACCAAAACAGAGACGTAGACCAATGGAACAGAACAGAGCCTTCAGAAATAACACCACACATCTACAACCATCGGATCTTTGACAAACCTGACAGAAACAAGAAATGGGGAAAGGACTCCCTATTTAATAAATGGTGTTGGGAAAACTGGCTAGCCATATGCAGAAAACTGAAACTGGACCCCTTCCTCACATCTTATACAAAAATTAACTCAAGATGGATTAAAGACTTAAACATAAGACCTAAAACCATAAAAACCCTGGAAGAAAACCTAGGCAATACCATTCAGGACATAGGCATGGGCAAGGACTTCATGACTAAAACACCAAAAGCAATGGCAACAAAAGCCAAAATTGACAAATGGGATCTAATTAAACTAAAGAGCTCCTGCACAGCCAAAGAAACTATCATCAGACTGATCAGGCAACCTACAGAGTGGGAGAAAACTTTTGTAATCTATCCATGTGACAAAGGGCTAAGATCCAGAATCTACAAAGAACTTAAACAAATTTACATGAAAAAAAAACCCCATCAAAAAGTGGGCCAAGGATATGAACAGACACTTCTCAAAAGAAGACATTTATGCAGCCAACAAACATATGAAAAAAAACTCATCATCACTCATCATTAGAGAAATATAAATCAAAACCACAATGAGATACCATCTCATGCCAGTTAGAATGGAAATTATTAAAAAGTCAGGAAACAACAGATGCTGGAGAGGTGGAGAAATAGGAATGCTTTTACACTGTTGGTGGGAGTGTAAATTAGTTCAATCATTGTGGAAGACAGTATGGTGATTCCTCAAGGATCTAGAACCAGAAATACCATTTGACCCAGCATTCCAATTCTGGGTATATACCCAAAGGACTATAAATCATTCTACTATAAAGACACATGCACACATATGTTAATTACAGCACTGTTCACAATAGCAAAGACTTGGAACCAACCCAAATGCCCATCAGTGATAGACTGGATAAAGAAAGTGTGGCACATATACACCATGGAATACCACACAGCTATAAAAAAGGATAAGTTCATGTCCTTTGCAGGGACATGGATGAAGCTGGCAACCATCATTCTCAGCAAACACAAGAACAGAAAATCAAACACCACATGTTCTCACTCATAAGTGGGAGTTGAACAATGAGAACACATGGACATAGGGAGGGGAACATCACACACTGGGGCCTGTTGTGGGGTGGGGAGCTAGGGGAGGGATAGCATTAGGAGAAATACCTAATGTAGATGACGGGTTGATGGGTGCAGCAAACCACCAAGGCATGTGTATGCCTATGTAACAAGCCTGCACGTTCTGCACATGTACCCCAGAACTTAAAGTATAATAATAAAAAAGGGGAAGATTTCCTAATCTCTTACTCAGAAGATCCTGATTCTCCAAGACCTAGACATCTGCATTTTTGAACTCAGACTGAGAATTACCATTTAAGTATTTAGCACCACCCCCTAGTGGTGGTTACTTGAAATTGCAGATGTAACAAATTTAAAATACAATTCTTTGAATTCTTCCTGTGTATTTGTTGCACGCAAAGTAACAATCTTTCGCATCTATTTTAGAGCTAGTTAAATATAGCTAGTTTTAGAGGAATAGCCACATGGGGGTAAAAACTCCTTATTCTCCAGTGATTATCTGGAAAGAACTCTCAGAAGTATTAAGATAAAAAAACAGAAAGTTCATAAGTAGCAATTAATTAGCTACTACTTATTGTCAGAGAGCAGTTAAAGCTTCCAACTCATAGCCAGGCTGATTATTAAAGAGCTATATGATTAGAGTAATTGAAACTGTGCAGGTGAAATGGAAAGTTAGTGGCCTCCAAAAGTCATGAAAAACCAACACTGAACTTACACTAACTATGGAAGAATAGCAGTACGATCCCAAGGGGTGTGTATTTCTTTGAACCATTGTTTTAACTGGCTAGAGGAATTTTGTGTTTAGAATTTTATTATCTTATCATTTTGGGTTGGAAATTTTTGTTCTATAGCCGCAATGCAGACCAGCCTGCAATGCCACCACCGTTTCTATCCTTGCTTGTCTGCTTTGGTACCTTTTTCCCTTGGACTTTCCAGAGGGTAGAACAGAGGGCAGCCCGGTGTTAGAGCCCTGATAATGGGAGGGAAAATGTTCCAAATATTCTAAATGGGGCAACTGTTTCTACACTTGGGTCAGCTGGAAGACTCTTCCAGCTTCATAGTGTATTTGTTGGCTTGCTTGCTTTCTGTTTGTCATTCTCAGATTCTCCACAAATATTCATCCTGCGTTTCCAACCCCCATGTTTTCTCTCGCTCAACACAGGCTCATATTTGAACCAGAAGGTCATCTAGTACAAATTTCTCACATGCTTGATGAGGAGCCTGAGGTGTGAGTAGGGTGGCGGCTCTCAGGTTACAGAAAGGGGTGGCTGTCCAGTGGAGCTGTGTCCCAGCACTGCTCATGGTGGCCCAGTAATACTTGCAAGCCAGTGTTCTGTGACCATCCAACTCCCAACATCTGCTTTTCATTTCCTTCCTCCATCCCTATAAACATCCCCTACACCCAGAAATGCACCCCGCTATGTGTGCGCACACACATACACACTCACACTCTCTCTCTCTGTTTTCTTCTTTCTGCAAATCCCCTTCCCTTCCCATCTTGGCAAGCTGCCAAAAGTATGAAAAATTAGGCAAGTTGAACCTTTAAAAAATCCTTTATTTTAGAATAAACCCAAAGGAAACCTCAGCTGTCCAACTTTCACTAACTAAATTATGCAGTGTTTCCTTCTGTTCCTTCATCTTGATTTATTTTTGTGGGTTAAGCCTTTGACCGGGGGGGAAACAGGTTTGTTTGTTACACTCCAGAGGAGAAAGAACTTGAAGGAGGAAAGAGAAAACAAAAGGAAAGGTGAGCCGAAGGATTAAATAACGAATCAAGGGAACACGAAATACAAATCTGGACATGCCCACATGTACTTTTCCATTTAGAAACAGACCCAATAAACAAGTGGTGCGTTTACCCATTTTTTCGAGACTAAAGCCCTTGCTTAGTAGTCCCCGAAGTTAGCGTTAGCCTGCCCTCTAGTGGTGCCTGAAAACGTGTGCTAGACTGTGGTGCCCAATGCAGAGCTTTGCTTGTCCCAGAGATAGACGCTTGAAAACCTCAAGATTAGAAGGAACGCTTCAGCAGCTTTCCAGTAAATACAGTAGGTGGAGACAAACACTGGAAAACTGCAACCTAGGCAACATTGCTTTCGTTTGACTCTTAGAAGATTGCTAGGCACCCAGAGTTATTGAAACTTGGGTTGACCATAATTTGTCATGCTTAATATTTCCTGCTTTTAAAAAATTGTTAAAAATGTTAATATATGGAGATTTTAAACACATTCAGTTTATAAATCCGTTGGCGCTTCATGCCATTAATTATCTTAAATACCCACCAAAAGCAGAAATTTGGGTGGTGGTATGGAGGTGCAAAGGTTAATAAGACACAGACCCTGTCCTTAAAACTTACTCTCTGTTTGGAAGAGAAGATCTATTTGAATGTAATTACAATACATGGCAGTGGTATAACAAAGAGACAGTTTAAATATATATATATGTTTAAATATATATATATATATATGTATACACACACACACACATACACACACGCACACAAAACTGTGCTAGGTATGCCCACATCTTACTTATTTACCACAACTATATCTTTTTACATAAGAAGAAAGGGAGGTTCAAAAAGATTAAGTAATGTATCTTAGTTCAGATAGCAAAGAAATAGCAAAATTAGAATTCAGGTATTTTGATTTTACTTTCATTTCAATTAACTTCAACAGAGCTTTATTGAGAATCTACCATGTACCAGGCACTATGCTACATGCTGAACATGCAAATATAGGAAATACCACTGGCCTCACGGTTATAGTCTTGTAGGGGACTGGGCTATGCAGAAACAAGCTGTATTGTGATATATGCAATAATGCAAGTTTGTACATATTACCTTCTGAGCAAAGCAGCAAAGACTGTTCTTTTTCCATAAGTTGTTGACTTTCTGTCATGTGACCCTGGTAAGTAACCATGATCGAACTGATCAAGAATCTGTAACTTGGTCAAAGGTAACCACAAAATTGTAAAAACTACAGGATACATAAATATTTTTGGGGTTTCATTATTACAGATGACGTTGAGGAGAGAAAAGTTTTACATTTTTACAATCTTAGGTTTACCAATGGGCCCTGGGAGGTCTAATAGCAGAATTCTGCCCAATAGTGGAGGCAACTCACTGACCCAACCAGTGAGAGCACAGGTAGTTTCCACTGTGAGAAACTCAACTACAGAACCAGAGTAGAATTAGAAAGAAACAAAAGTGGAGGTAACAGCTGAACTAGTGAGAAGCGGAAGCACAGAGAGGTGAAGGAGAGAAGTGGAATTGTGAGTACGGCACCGTCAGGAGTCAGGGGCCAAAGGTCCCTCTTCTCAAGGGGGCATTACCATTACTGACTCAAAGGGGAGCCCTTACTGACATCCCAGGGCTCTGGGAGGCTGGACTACAACCTGCCTAGTGTCATACCTGTGCTTCCTTATTGCCTTAAGTATCTTTCCAATCACCCACAACACCAGAGGTCACCCGAGAATACTTGATCTTTGCAACAGAAAGTGTAACTCCTGCAGCACCAAAGTGGTGCGGAGGAGAGTGAGGAAGTGTGGTTGGAAGGGTGGATGCAGCAGGGGCTTTACCAGGAGGCAATGCCAAAGCAGAGTTCTGAGCTATAATGAGGGGTTCGCAAGGAAGACAGAGGGGTTTGCAAGGAAGGAGCTGCAACGAGGAGTTTGCAAAGAAGACAGAGGAAGGTACCTCAATAATTCTGTGTTTATTCCAGTACTGGACATAACCCATGGCAAACCTTAATTTCCAGGATCTCCTTTGTGTAATGACACCAGAAATCCTTTCTTCAGGAACCCTGGCTTTGAGAGAGTGGCATGAGAAAGGAGAATTTTCTCTTTTATGGAGGGTGTAAGTCCTGAAGCTTGATGTGCTGACCTTATTGTGTGTCCTTAAATATTGGCATATTCTTCTCAATTGGGATATGGGGATGCAGCACTGGGGCCAGGGGATTGTGCAAAACTAAGGATACATAGAGAAAAATCTTTATGGGGTGTCATCATTACAGGTGATGTGAAGAGAGAAAAGTTTTAACTTTTTACAATCTTGAAAGGTGTTGTCCTGTATGATCAGTATAAACCTACTTTTTTGTGTTGGGTTAATTTTTTTCCCACTCATTTGCATAAAATCCAGGGTTCTCTATGATCCCAGCATAAAATCACATTTAAAGAAACACACTCTTTTGTTTATCCATTCATCTTTTAATGAGCATTTGGGTTGGTTTCAGCTCTTGGCTATTGTGAATAGTGCTGCTATGAACACACATGTACCAATATCTCTTCAAGATACTGCTTTCAATTCTTTTTTGGATATATGCCCAGAAATGGGATTGCTGGATGTATTAGTCCATTCTCACAATCCTATAAAGAACTACCTGAGACTGGGTAATTTATGAAGAAAAGTGGTTTAATTGACTCACAGTTTCTGCAGGCTGTACAGGAAACATGACTGGGAGGCCTCAGGAAACTTACAATCACAGCAGAAGGTGAAGGGGAAGCAGGCATATCTTCACATGGTGGCAGGAGAGAGAGACAGAGTGAAGGAGGATGTGCTACACACTTTTAAAAACCAGATCTCATGAGAACTCTGTCATGAGACAATACTAGAGGGATGATGCAAAACCATTAGAAACCACCCCCGTGATCCAATCACCTCCTGCCAGGCCCCACTTTCAACACGTGGGGATTACAATTCCACATGAGATTTGGGTGGGGACACAGAGCCAAACCATATCACTAGATTATACAGTAATCCTAGCTTTAATTTTTTGAGGAACCTCCATATTGTTTTCCATAATGGCAGGATCATTTTACATTCCACCAACAGTGCACAAGGGCTCTAATTTCTCCACCTTGGTGCTAACCCTTGCTATTTTCTGTTTTCTTTTTAAATAGTGGCCATCATAATGGGTGTGAGGTGACATGTAGATTGACTTTAAAGTACAAACCCCCTTTGAAATGGTAAGGGGATCTCTGAACTTTCATGCCTTCTGGTAAACTTTGATTTTATCAACCAGCTGAAATCATTCACTGAAGTACATGTTATTTTGATCTAGACAAGTTGTTAGGATCCTGGAAAGAGATCTTAGATTTCTTTAAACTTGGTAAATGTAAAACTGGAAGCCCCAAGAGTGGGGGCTACCTGAGAAGTCCCATATCAGGTACTTCTCTCTCAGTTGTTTTGACCCTGAGGACATTTTTTATTGAATGAAAACAAACATTTTCATCAGAATTATTCCAACATTTCTGGAAATATTATCAAGAAATTATTTTCTAGAAGCAACTGTCTTGAATTAATGTAATTCTTTGATCAAATTTCTTCCTGTGCCATTAAATAATTTTCAGTATTTTTATTTTACTGAAATAATTTAGACTTTATTCAGTGATCCCATTTTATGTCCGTATTAAATCTTTCCAACTTTTCCAATCAGCAATTTTGAGGTTTCTTTTGTAGTCATTTTCTACCAAACCTAATTTTCCTGGGCTAGATTTTGCAGGTATAATTTTTGACAAGAAGATTTGATTCTTTTGTCAATCTTTAACGTCAATTACAAATTTTTCTGTGTAAAGCTTTCACCTTTGTCAGTTTTATTTTGTGTTATTTGCATAAAGTGCAATTTTAAGAGTTCACTTTTGTAGTTTTGAGACTTACCAACACAATGAGATTCTTCAGTCAGTTTTTTGTCAATATCAAAGTTAACATATATCATTTTAGTTATTATCAGTTTGATCCTGTGTAGATTCTTTTTACATCTACTTTTTTTTTCTAGTGACCCGTTGAAAATATACTTGATATAAAAATATCAAGGCCATAACATCATGTTTTCATCCAAAGCTACTCTGTTTAAAAATATTTAAAAAGTAGAATCGACCTTTTTAGAGGCATGGGCTTCACAGGTAAATCCTTAATCTAGAAGTGACAAGTTCTGGGTGTTTGTCTTTGTTCTGCACTCATCACCCCTGTGTCTACAGTCTGGTAGTCCTCATCTAAAAGTGAAGTGATTGAAGTGTGTGATTTCTAAATCCCCTTGCAACTCTGACTTAAATTTCTATCTGTAGGAATCTATTCCTATCTGCAGGTTGAGCTAATTGATCATTGCTTTGCTTCATATTTGATTCACTCCTCCCTAACCCTAACCCTAATCCTCCTGACAACCAGCCTGTCTGCACTTGCTCAGACCTGGGTAGGAGCCTCTGATGTTCCCTACACAGATTTGCATGTTGTTCTTAGAGTCTTGGCTTCTGATCTGCTCCAGAGCGCCACTGCTCTCAGGCTTTCTGAGCTCAACCCATATCCTTTCTGATTGAGCACCGACCAGCTGGGCTCAGAGCAGCCTGCCTCCACCCTGCCTTCATCTGCCTGGAAGCTACGAGGTTATCAGGGACCATGCTGAGCCTTGTCTTTCCCCATCCCCACTCCTCAGCCTAACTCCTATCACCTCTCTTTGTGGGTTAGGCATGAAGGGACAATCGTGGGGTTATGTGGATGTAGTTTAGGGTAGACCAATCTTAAAGGCAGCAGAGTTAGGACAGATCCCAAGGCCATTGTAGGCAGGAAGGGGAGATAGGATAGACCACATCATTTAAGGAATCATTTCAGGATCCCAGGAGGAATGTGTTGGGCCATTTGCACTAGAACAATTGGAGGGAGGTTTAGTGAAGGGACTGTTTACAAATGATGAGCAGTGTTTATGGAGTCCAAAAAGGACAGTGTAGCACCACTGAGTTCAGTTATGACTCCTCACCAGAAATGATATGAGGAGGGATCAGTTACTGGAACCTGGGTGGAGAGAATCACATAGAGATGACTGCAAGACAATACTTCAGGGATCAAGCCAGAGGCATAAATACCCCAGCCTCCACTCCTTCTCCCTCCCTCTTATCTCCTATTAAGGACCTCTAATTGGCAGAACCCAACTGGAGGTCAAAGGGCAAGGGAGTCCATTGATGAAACTCATACAGTTCAGTGTCCCCAGCAAGAGAGTAGGATGAGAAGGGTGGAGAGTGACCTCAGCAGTGGGGAGGAGAGGGTAACAGGCACAGGCTGCTCCTCTAGCTTGTTCATGTACATCCCAGTAAAATCAAGTGGAGAAGATCATCCAGAGAAGACTGGGAGGAAAAGGGTTAGCATGCTTGCATCACCTTGGGTGAGGAATGAGTTAAATGCAGTGACCTTTGTGAATTTCAGCTGATGTCATTGTATAAGTCATGTATTTCCCTGGCAGCTGCTGTCTAAGGCATGGCCTTCATCTTGAATTGGTTCTGGGTCAACAGAAGCCTAGGCTGGGTTGATTAGCTCACTTCACTCTTCCCTGAGAGGCCTCGGAGGAGCTGGCCACAGTGGGAGCTTTGGGAGGGTAGGATCAATGCCTTTGGATATCTGGGTGGGGTAGAGGGAGCTTTAAGTATAGAGAAAGGGGGAGGGGAGAGAGTGTTGAAAGGGTGCTGATGGCACATCTGGACAAGGGGCAGACCTGGGCCTACTTAAGATGGCATTGCATTGGGCTCAGGGTTTATAGAGCATAGAATATGCTTTACATGGAATGATGCCACCTCCAATGCCTGAGATGCACTGTATAGACTGAGATGCTGCTGGAACTGTGGTGGGGGTGGGCAAGAGGGGTGGTTGGGGAGGCAGTGGGCATAATCTCCCTTCAGAGTCCTGTAGCACAGAGTTCTGCCACAGAACACCACTGTTCTGCTTTAAACACCATTGCAAATGGTTAGCATTCACCTTAGCTGAATTTGTAGAGAGGGAGAGGAAACAGGGAAAAGAGGAGAAAAAGAGAGAATGTATTTGTCCAGCTCAATGCATATGGATGAGTTGGTTCTGGTGCTCCTATTTAATCAAACGATTCATATTTGTGGATGGGTGGGGCAGCAGGAGCAGAGTAGGCTGTGGGCTGAGCAAATACTTAGAAGCATGTCTGTTACAATCATGCTTTGCTTCTGGTCAGTGGCACAATATATATATTTAACACATTCTCTTGGGAATATTAAAATCCAATATAATATAAGCCAGTGGCAAGTAGTCTTTCTTTTATTATATCCATTGGGCAACGGGTTGGTCAGCAGAGGGAAGAGAGATCAGAAAGCAGAAAGCTGGATGGAGGAATGACCTCCTCTCACTAACTCCAAAGTGTTGCATCTACCTTGACCAGAATCCATGGCTTCTAAAAGAATTCATTGGAAGAAAGAAATAGGGAGGTGAAAAGAAAGGAGAGAATGGAGACGAGAGAAATATAAGCAAGAAAAGTGAGTTTTTCTAGAAAGAATTTTATTGTCAAATAATTCTGCAAGGGAACAAAGTCTTCTGAGAAGCATGAAGCATAATCTTTCTCCTTTCTGTTTTTTTCTATTCCCTATAGAAAAAACCTGTTAATTTTGTATTAAAAACAAAATACATTTCTTTTTTTTGAGTGCTCTATAATTGTATAGGAATGTGTATCACTTCCTCCCCATAATTTTGAGAACATTTCTGAAGACAGTGACATATTCTGACTCTTTAAGAACAAAACAATTCAATTTTAAAATCACTGAGTGACAGCAATCAAAGTTCTGAAGTGATGCAGTTCGCCTCAACACTTGTTCGAAATGTCATTAGAAAACCAACATATAGCGGGTTGTTATGGCAACTGGAATACCAGAGTTTATAACATCACTGTAATTAATGTTATCCAAATGTTATTAATCTTTCAACATCACTCACATTCTCTGAAGGAACGGCAGTTCTGGTTGTCTTAGGATTTTTCAATAGTGTAATCCATTGCAGCTTTTCTTCACGTTTTATTTTTAAATAGATCTTACTCTGACTTTGCTTTAGTGAAATTAGTTATTGTTTCTCCGTCTTTACTTGTTCTATTTTGGCTGCTATTTTTTTTTTGATAAAACTTGAAGTAAAATGGAAAAAAAGGGATTACAGCTAAAAAAAGAATAAAGTCTAGAGATGGAAAGATTTATATATTTAAGTATGGAGAACCTCAGAAAAATATTAAAATATTTTGCATACAGCTTTGTAGTATTAACTCACATTTGCATAGCACTTTATAATTTAAGAAGCAGTTTTACATATGTTATTAACATAACATTATTTAACATAACAACCCTAAGAAGACAAGTAATAATTTTTGAGTGCCTACTACGTGACAGGTAATATGATTTGCATACATAAATCTTTTAGTTCTCACCGCAATCTGCAAGATAGCTGTTGTGGTTTAAAAATATGTCTCCATGGTTCAACAACAAATCAACAAATTACCTGATTTAAAAACAGGCAAATGTGGCCAATGAGCATATGAAAAGACACTAAATATCACTAATTATTAGATAAATGCAAATCAAAACCACAATGAGATATCACCTGAAAACAATTTAGTGGCTACTACGAAGAAACAGAAAATAATAAATAGTGGCAAGGATGAAATGTTAAAATGCCAGATACACCAAATCATGCAAACACAACATCAAAACACAGCTTGGTGGAGATGGAGGGACAGATGGGGAGGGGAAGAGTGTGGAAAGGCTGGAAAACAGTCCCAAACAGACACACGTCTCCATGTGACACTTTTTTTCTTTTTTTAGGCAGGGTCTTGCTCTGTTGCCCAGGCTGGAGTGCAGTGGTGTAATCTCGGCTCACTGCAACATCCACCTCCCGGGTTCAAGCGATTCTCCTGCCTCAGCCTCCCGAGTAGCTGGGACTACAGGCATGTGCCCCCATGCCAGGCTAATTTTTGTATTTTTAGTAGACATGGGGTTTCCCCATGTTGGTCAGTCTGGTCTCGAACTCCTAGCCTCAAGTGATCCGCCCGCCTCTGCCTTCCAAAGTGCTGGGATTACAGGCGCCCGCCACCACGCCCAGCTAAGTTTTGTATTTTTAGCAGAGACGGGGTTTTACCAGGTTGGCCAGGCTGGTCTCAGACTCCTGACCTCAAGCGATCCACCCGCCTGAGCCTCTCAAAATGCTGGGATTACAGTGTGAGCCAGGGCTCCCGGCCAGAACACATTTCCTTTTAATGGAAACAGTAATTCTCTGTGGCCGCCCAGCCAGCCCACATTCCTCCACCAGGCCACCACCGCCTCTGAGGAAGCTGGACTGTGCGGCACACGCGGAGGTCATTGCTTACTTAGATGGCAGTGAACCATCCACGCTGGGGAAGCATCACTCCTCCCTAGACCTGGCAGCATCCTCCCCGGTTCCTTTTTCTTGCTGAAATATTTCTCCAAGAGTGTTTCTGGGGTTGACTCTCAAGGGGGCTGATAGGACTGAGGATGGCTTCCTGCGTGCCCATATTTCATGGCGGTGAGCAGGACACAGCCCTGGGTTCCAGGGTCCTTTCCTCTCGCGTCTGAAGCTGTCACTCCCTTTCTTCTTGCATCCGTTGTCTGTGCCGCGATTCTAATGTCAGCACCACTCCCGTTCCTGTGCGGGTTACCTGCTTTTTCTCTTTGGAAGTTTTTAGCAATTTTGACTCAAAATGTAGATGCTTTTCTTTGAAAGTACACATAAGATTTTAACTTTAAAATGTAATTAACACTCTGCAGGCCCTTTCAGTTTGAGGATGTGCATCTTTTCTTAATTGGGGAAATTTCCTAATCATTTTTCAGATACTTCCTCTTATCTATTCATTTTTCCTCTTTTAAGCACTGAATATTTTTCCTCCCTCACCTCTGCCTCCTCAACCCCTTCAGCTCCTTCTAGAAGAGCTCAGAGCCTGACCTGCCTCACTCATTCATTTTCTGGTCTCCAACCTTCCCACCAAGTTCATCACTTAAGCGCCCGCATGTTCCAGTCCAGTATTCCCGGCTGCATCTTCTGCATAACTGCCAATTCCAGCCGCGCTCTCCCTGCGTCCTGAGGGTATGTGACGGATTTACCGGTCTTATCCGCTCATCTGCTCCCTCCTCCAAGGAAAAACCTTGGGGTTTTTCCCTCCCGGAGTTCACTCCCCTCGCTGTCTCGTTTCCTCAGGCCGCTCTCTGTTCCCTGGGTATGGTCAACTGCCTTCGTCTTAGGCCCCAGTTGACACCTTCCTTGTGGGCTTCAGGGAGGCAGGCAGGGGCTCCTGGGGGCAGAGCCTCTGGCAGGATGACTGGGGCCCTCTTTGCTCATCCCCGGGGGCTGCTCTGGTCTGCAGGGAACGCCCCTGTCCTTCTAGCTGGTGCTGTCTGTCCAGGGCTGCCCTGTGCTGTAATTGGCTGTCCTTGGGCTGGGGAGGAAGGCTGCCCAGGGGCCACCAGCCAGCCTGCCCAGGTGTCGTGGCCCTCACTCCAGGAGGCTCCTGAGGTGCTCTGGCCTTGCCTAGATTCCTGGGGCTGGTACGGGTGGGATCTTCTACAGGAAAGCAGGGCTGGCAGATGACAGCCCCAGGTGGGCCCCGGAGCAGAGAGCTGCAGTCTGGCCCCGGTTGTGCTGTGTGGCCTCCTCCACTCAGACTGTGATTCCCCTCCTGTCCCAGACTCCACCACGTTTGCCCAGCCTCCGCAAGGCTCTCAGGGGTCCTCTTAGGTTCTGGGCTCCATCAACTGTCATCCCTTTGATGGCATCTCCAAGGTTTGGATTCGTGGGAAGGAGCCAGCAGCCTGTATTAATTAATCCCCTCATAAAGGAACCAAAAGCCAAATTTACAAACAAAAATCATAACATTAGATGCTGTCAGGGGCAGAGGAAATGGAGACGTGGAAAGCTGCTGGTGGGCGTGTGAACTGTCACACCCTCCCGAGGACCTCGTGGCAACTCGTTCCAAATGCCTGGAGAGTGGACCCCGGCATTCTATGACGAGGTGGCATCTGCCCTCTAAATACAACTAGACACCCTGGAAAAAATTTAACAGACATAAGAGGACTCTAGGAAGTGTAGAGGAAGAAAGGCTGTCCAGGAACCTCGGGACTTTGGGGGTGACGCTGTACAAGGCCCTGAGTTTTCTTTTTCTCTCATCTCCTGGATGGGCCCAGAGAACCCTGCAACCCGTAACTGCCAAAACCTGCAGGGACAAAAAAGAAAAGAAAACGAGCCTATTTTCTCTGGTGAAAGGACTGAGAAGGGTATCTCACTGAAGACCCAGTGAGGAGATTCCTACTGATCCATGCCACAGCAGCTCCGCTCAAGCCTGGCCCTCAGCATCACACCCAGGCCACAAAGGCTCTGCTGACCACGGCGCAGAGAGCACACCCAGAACCCGGCGTTTCCTTAACCTACCCCCACCGCACAGGGCAACCCCAGCAACATGCACAGGGATTGAACCAGAGCCCCAGCAGATCCAGAAGAACAAACGAGACCAGAATAGCACTGGGAGGGCTTTGAAAACTAAATTGTCATTGACTCTACATTTCCCCTAAAGCAGGCTGGGGCCTATATGGTAAACCAAATAAGGGTACCATGGACTGAACTGGAATGTTCAAATAGGATAAAAAGTTTCCTTACATAATAACCGAAATCTCCAGAACATATTTGAAATTATTTGTCATATCAGGAAACATAAAAAGCAACTTGAAGCCTGGTGAGGGGGCTCCCACCTGTAATCCCAGCACTTTGGAAGGTCAATCAGGAGGATGGCTTGAGCCCGGGAGTTTGAGATCTGCCTGGGCAACACAGCATGACCCTGTCTCTACAAACAATTTAAAAATTAGCCAGCTGTGGTGGCACACACCTGTGGTGCCAGCTACTTAGGAGGCTGAAGCAGGAGGACTGCTTGAGCCCGGCAGTTTGAGGCTGCAGTGAGCCGAGATCATGCTACTGCACACCAGTCTGAGCATCAGAGTAAGACTCTGTCTCAAAAACATAACAGAGCAAAACAAAAAACAACTTAAATAGCAAAATAAGATTAACCAAGATAAATCAGATGTTAGAACTTTAAAGCAGCCATCATAAAAGTGCTTCAGAAAACAATGGTGAATTTTCTTGAAACAAGAACAAAATGAAAATCATACAACTGAAAAATACAATAACTAAATGAAAAAATGTGCAGTTGGGTACAATAGCAGAGTGGAGACGACAGAGAACAGAGTCTCTTGATTCAAGGACAATTAATAGAGCTGGCCCATAGGAACGATGGAGAGATAGGAGACTGAGAAATGAACGCCTCCTCGGGGATGGGTGGGACAGTGACAAAAGGCCCAGCGTTCCTGTCACCAGAGTCCCAGGAGGAGAGGAAGGAATGTGTGGTGAAAAAGTATTCAAAGGCACAGTGGTTGAAGATGTCCCAAATTTGGTGAAAGAAGTAAACCTGCAGATTCAAGAATCTGAGCAAACCCCAAATAGGATAAACACATCATAACGGAACTTCAGGAGAGGAAAGATGAAGAAAAAAATCTTTTAAACCACCAGAGAAAAACGATGCATTAAGGGACGCTGGTTCTGAGGATGGTGGGCTTCTCTAAAACCACGAGGCAGAGGGGGCGACACACCATCACCAGGTGCTGAGAAAAACTGTCTGCCCAGAACCCTATTCAGTGAACATATCCTTCAGGGATGAGGGGGAAATAAAGATATTCTAAGAGGAAGGACAACTAGGATAATTTGTTACCAGAAAACCTACCCTTAATAAATGGCTGAAGGAAGCTCTACTAACGAAAAGGAAATAAGGAAATCAGAAATAGCAACAACAGAAGGGGTAATCATATGGTAAGTATAATAGACTATGATGAGTTTCTTAAATTGTATTTTATGGTTGAAGCAAAAAATATTAACATCATCTGCTGCGGTGCTCTACATCTGAACAGGAAATATTTATGATAATTACATGTTTAAGTGGGGGAGGAAAAGGGGAAGTAAATAAAAGTAAGCTTTTGATATTTCTCATGAAGTGGTGAAACATTGATGCCAGCAGGCTGTGATAAGTTACGTGGGTATATTATAATCAATCCTAGAGCAGCCACTTACAAAACGATACAAAGCAATGCACCCAAAAGTATAAATAATTCAAAATGAAATGCTAAAAACTGTTTAAGTAATCCATGACAAGTGAAACAAAACAGAATAAAGGAAACATAAGAAACATGCAGAAAGCAAATAAAAATGGCACATTTGAATCCTAAATATGATTTCTGTGTGGTAAAGAATTTGGCCTAGCCCAAAGAAGAGGTCTAGCCTTTGTCCTGGCTCCTGGCAAGTAGTCCTGAAGACCATGTGACAGGAGGGTCTTTGCTATTCATGGTGGGTCCCTCAGACTATACCTGAAGTTTATGCTACCAGCTGGCTCATGGTGGGCCCTCCCAGGAATGTGCTGTCAGCCCCAGATTCCGGGAAAGGGAGAGATGAAGACAGAGTTCCAACCAGTCTCCAACAGATCAGTCAATTATGGCTGCACAATGCAGTTCCAGGAAACACTCCGGACACCAAGGCTTGGGTGAGGTTCCTAGGTTGGCAGTGCTTCATGGTATTGTCACACGTGGATGCTGGGAGAGTAATGCACCTGAGGACAACAGAGGCTTCACAGACCCTCCTAGCCCTGCCCTCTGTGCTGGTTCTGATTTGTATCCTTTCCCTGCAGTAAACAGTAACCATGTGTACAGCAGTTTTCAATGACTTCTGTGAGTTCTTCCAGCAAATGATTGAAACTTAGGGTGCTTTGGAAACCTCTAAAACTTGCTGTTCGTGTCAGGAATGAGGGAAATTTTAGGAACCATGCCCTCAGACTTTGCAGTTTGGTTAAATCTGGGAAAAACACAGAAATAGCAGAGTAAATGCAAAAATATGACCCATTATATGATGTCCATAAGATATTCAGTTCTAATACCATGGCATAGGTATTTAACAGATTCGAAGTGAAAGAACAGAAAAAAGGCCGGGCGCGGTGGCTCACGCCTGTAATCCCAGCACTTTGGGAGGCCGAGGTGGGCGGATCACGAGGTCAGGAGATCGAGACCATCCTGGCTAACACGGTGAAACCCCGTCTCTACTAAAAATACAAAAAACTAGCCGGGCGTGGTAGCGGGCGCCTGTAGTCCCAGCTACTCGGGAGGCTGAGGCAGGAGAATGGCGTGAACCCGGGAGGCGGAGCTTGCAGTGAGCCGAGATCGCGCCACTGCACTCCAGCCTGGGCGACAGAGCAAGACTCCATCTCAAAAAAAAAAAAAAAAAAAAAAAAAAACAGAAAAAAAAATTTCATGCAAACAAACAGGAACTTTTAAAAAAGCAGGAGTTGCTATAATAATATCAGATAGAGTTCATGGCAAAAAGAATTTCTAGAACAAAAGAGAAATATTACATAATAACAAAAGAGCAAGAGTATATCTTGATCCTAAATATATGTGCACCAAACAACACAGCTTCAAAACACATGAAGCAAAACCTGATAGAGCTTAAAAAAGAAATAGAAAAATCCATAATTATAGTTGGGATATGTCGACATCTCACTTTCAGAATTTGTAAAATTACTAGAAAAAAAATCAGCAAGAATATAGGATAACTAAACAATATTATTAGCCAATAGGGTAAAATTAACATTTATGGAAAACTCTATCCATCAACAGCAAACTATGCATTATTTTCAAGCTCTTATAGAACAGACTCTAGATCTTAAAACAAACCTTAACAAATTTTTAAAAACTG
This sequence comes from Homo sapiens, assembly GCF_000001405.40. Taxonomy (NCBI): domain Eukaryota; kingdom Metazoa; phylum Chordata; class Mammalia; order Primates; family Hominidae; genus Homo; species Homo sapiens. The sequence goes on from NW_021160017.1 coordinate 2,705,988, forward strand.
AAATCATACAAAGAGTGTCCTCTGACCAAAATGGAATCAAACTGGAAATAAATTGCAGAAAGACAAGAGAAAAATCTGCAAACACTTGGAAATTAAGCAGTAAACATTTATATACAATGTGGACAAGAAGAAGTCTCAAAGGGAATTTTTAAAAAGCAAGTAACAATGAAAATATGGCATATCAAAATTTGTGGATGAGGCTGGGTGCAATGGCTTACTCCTGTAATCCCAGCACTTTGGGAGGCTGTGGCAGGTGGATCGCTTTTTGAGCCCAGGAGTTCAAGACTAGCCTGGGCAACATGGTGAAATCCCTATCTCTGCAAAAAATTATCCAGGTGTGGTGGCATGCACCTGTAGTCCCAGTTACTTGGGAGGCTGAGATAGGGAGGATTGCTTGAGCCCAGAAGGTTGAGGCTGCAACGAGTGGAGATTGTGCTACTGCACTCCAGCTTCGGTGACAGAATGAGACCTTGTCTTAAAAAACAATTGAGGGATTCAGCTATAGCAGAGCTGAGAGAGAAATTTATAGCACTAAATCCTTATATTAGTAATATGGAAAGTTCTCAAACCAGTAGTCAAAAAACTAAAAGAGGAATAGTAAAATAAAGTTAAGGCAAATAGGACGGAAAGCGAAGAGCAGAAATTGATGAAATTAAAAACAGGAAAGCAATGCAGAACATTAAGGAAATAAAAAACAGGTTCTTCAAAAAATTAATAAAACTGATAATCCTCTAGCATGATCAACAAAGATAAAAGGAGATAACACACAAATCAGCAATATCAGGAATGAAACAAGAAATATCACAAAAGAGGCTGCATCTATGAAAAATGCTATAAAAATTTTATGCTCATACATTTGACAGCCTAGGAAAAAATGGATCAATTCCTTGAAAACCACAAATTACCACAACTCAGAAAAGATGAAATATATAAAAGCCTGAATAGTCCTATAATCATTATATAAATTGGATTTGTAACTAAAAAGCTCCTGAACACAATATATCCAGACCCAGTGGTTTCACTGGAGAATTTACCAAATATTTAAAGAAGAATCAACACCAGTTTTACACAGTCTCTTCCAGAAAATAGAAGAGAAAGGACTATGATATCATTATTTTGATATCAAAACAAAACAAAGACAGCACAAAGGAAGGAAGGAAGGGAGGGAGGAAGGAGGCAGGGACAGAGGAAAGAACCTTGCAGGCTGATTTTGCTCATAAGCTTAGATGGAAAAATCCTCAAGACAGTGTCAGCAAATCAAATTTAGTGATGCATAAAAAGAGTAGTAGACCACAATCAAGAGGAATTTCACTCAAGTTATGCAAGACTGTTTTAATATTTGAAAAGCCAATCCACATATTCTGTTTTGTAAACTGAAGAAAAATCATAATGATCTTATCAATTGACATAGGAAAAGGTTTTGACAAAATTCAAAACCTATTCATGATATAAACTCTTAGCAAACTTGGAATAGAGGGTAATTTCCTCCAACTTCATAAAGAGCATTTACAAAAATCTACAGTTAACATCACACTTAATGGTGAAAGAATGAATGCTTTCCCCTTAAGAGCAGGAACAAGGCAAGAATGTTCCCTTTCACCATTTTAATTCAAGATAGTACTAGAAGTTCTAACCAGTGTAATAAGACCAGAAAAAGAAATAAAAAGTATGCAGATTGAAAAGAAAGAAAGAAAACTATCACTGCTTGCATGTGGCATAATCATCTACATAAACAGTCCCATGGAACAAAAAAAAAATCCTTGATATAAAGAGTGAGAATATCAAGGCTGCAATACACAAGAATAACACACATACACAAATTACATCTCTCTATGGTAACAATAAACAAGTGGAAACCAAAATAAAAACTGCAATACCATTTACAACTGCTCAAAATACATGAAGTATTAATATGTAGGAATAAATCTAATAAAACATATACAGGAGAATATATGCAAATTACAAAATTCTGCTGAAAGAAATCAAACATCTACATAAATGGAGAGTCATGCCATATTCAGGGATGGGAATTCTCAACATAGATGTCAGCTTCCTTCAAATTGCAGGTTTAATAGAATTCTAAATCTTGGCATTGTTTTTTGTATACATATGCAAACTTATTGTAAACTTTATATTAAAAGGAAGTGGACCTAGTTTAGCTGAAACAATTCTGAAAAAGAATAATTAAATAGAAGAAATCACTGTACCAATTATTAAAGCTTACTCTACAACTACAGTAATCAACTCAGTATGGTGCTGGTGGAGGGAGAGACACATTAATTACTGGTGCAAGATAGAGATCCCACCCCAGAAATATGCTTAATTAATTTTTGAGAAAGATGCAACAGCACTTTAGTAGAGGACTGATAGCCCTTTCAACAAGTGCTGCAGGAACAATCAGACATCCATAGGCAAGGAGATGAGGCTTGGCCTGACCTTCACATTTTATACAAAACATAACACAAGGATCATGGGCTTAAATGTCAAACTGTAATATTTTCAGGAAAAAAAAAGAAGAAAATCTTCAGGATCAGGGACTAGGCAGAGCCCTTAGACTTGACATCAAAATACAATTTATAAAAGAAAAAATTGATAAATTGGACCTCATCAAAATTAAATTTTTTTTTGCTCTGCAAAAGACGCAATTGGGATGATGGAAAGATAAGTTACAGAATGAGAGAAAATATTTGCAAATCACATATCTGACAAAGAACTTGTGTCAAGAATAAAGAACTCTCAGAACTCAACATAAAATAAATAAGTAATCAAATTAAAAATGCGCAAATGACATGAACAGATATTTGACCAAAGCAAATATTCTTTGTACATGAAAGGATGGTCAGCAACATTAGCCATTAGGAAAGTTGAAATTAAAACCACAATGAGACATCACTACATATTAGAATGGCTTTTTAAAAAGTGATTAGCACTAGGCTGGGTGCAGCAGCTCACGCTCGTAATCCCAGAATTTTGGGAGGCCGAGGCGAGTGGATCATTTGAGATCAGGAGTTTGAGACCAGCCTGGCCAACAGGGTGAAACCCCATCACCCCTAGTGACCCACTAGCAAAAGTTTTGCTCCTTGTCCCCACCACCTTATGCTCTGCTGGCCTAGAGGTCTTAGTTCCAGAGGAAGGAATGCTGCCGCCAAAAGACAGAGGGATGATCCATTGCGCTGGAAGTTTAGGCTGCCATCTGGTGGCACCAAGCTCCTCATGCCTCTGGATCAACAGGTAAAGAAGGAGTTAACTACGCTGGTGGGGGTGGCTGGTCCAGATCACCAAGGAGAAACTGCCCTGCTGCTTCACAATGGACTGAGGAAGAGCATGTCTGGGGTACAGGAGGGCCCTCGTGGCATGCGCTGTGATTAAGATCAATGGAAAAGCACAACAGCCCAATCTAGGCAGGATTAATAATGGTCCAGAACCTTCAGGAATGAAGGTTCCCCCACCAGGTTAAAAACCACAACCAGTGGAGGCTTCCTGAAGGCAAAGGGAATACAGACTGGGGAGTGCAAGAAGGTAGTTATAGGACCATGTGACCAGCTACAGAAACCAGGACTGCAATTGTCATGAAACTTTCCTCCTTATTTGCTGAGAGAGATAGAGAGAGAGAGTGTTTAAAGTTTTGGAAGAAAACATAGGAAGAAATCTTCATTAATTGAGGTTAGGGAAATTGTTCTTAGACATGATGCCAAATGCATGTAAAAGCAAAAATCCGTCAATTAGACTTGATCAAAATAAAAAATATAGCTTTGCAAAAGACACTATTAAAAGACACTGAAAAGACAGCTATAGGCTGGGAGAGAATATCTACAAACCACATATCCAACGAAGAAAGTAGTCTGACATATATAAAGAACTCTTAAAATCAAGTTAGAAAACCATCCAAACAAAAGTGGGTAAAAGACTTGGACCCTCACTGAAGAGGACGCTCTATGTGGAAGACAGAAAGCCTATGAGAGACCATCAACACTAATCACTAGGGAAATGCAAATCAAAACCATAGTGAGGTGCCACTGGAAAGCAGTTTGACAGTTCTGTTAAACCACATGGCCCAGCAGTCCCATAACGAATTTTCCTGGAGTAAGGAAAATTTGTGTTCACATGAAAACCTCTGCAGAAATGTTTATGGCAACTCTATGCATAATCGCCTAAATCTGGACACAACCACACGTCCTCCCATGGCTGAAGAGGTAACCACCTGTGTCTCCCTGTGTAGGCTAACACCATTCCACAATTGAAAGGAACATGTCACTGACACACAGAGCATTGGGGTGGATCTCAAAAACATGATGCTTAGCGAAAGCAGCCAGTTACAAAGAGCCCATGCTGCATATCTCCACTCACATGACCTTCCTGAGACAATGGCGTGACAGGGATAGAAGGCAAATCAGCAGTCAGCAGGGTTGGGTGGGGAGGGCTGGACTCCAGCAAGAGGGGTGCCATTCCTCGGCATCCTGACTGTGGAACCTTGTACGTGTGAAAATTCTCAGACCTAAACACCTCTTTTAAATGGGACCAGATGGGGAAATAAAACTATCATTTTTTGGTCATCTGTTTCGTATCAGTCACCACAGGTACAGTTGTGACCCTTGAACAACACAAGTCTGAACTACATGGGTCCACCTACATACAGATTTTTTCTTAAAAAAATTTTTTTTTAAATTAAATCTTCTTAAATAGACATGGGGTTGGCCAGGCGTAATGGCTCATGCCTGTAATCCCAGCACTTTGGGAGGCCAAGATGGGCAGATCACGAGGTCAGGAGATTGAGAACATCTTGGCCAACATAGTGAAACCTCATCTCTACTAAAAATACAAAAAAAAAAAAAAAATCTGGGTGTGGTGGCATGCACCTGTGGTCCCAGCTACTCAGAAGGCTGAGGCAGGAGAATCACTTGAACCCAGGAGGTGGAGGTTGCAGTGAGCCGAGATCATGCCACTGTACTCCAGTCTGAGCAACAAGAGCGAAATTCCGTCTCAAAAAAAAAAAAAAAAAAAAAAAAACAACACACACGGGGTCTTGCTATGTTGCTCAGACTGGTCTTGAACTCCAGGACTCAAGTAACCCTCCCAACCTTGGCCTCCCAAATTGCTGGGATCACAGGCATGAACCACCACACCTGGTCCACTTTTTTTTTCAATAAATATATTGGAAAAATGTATTGGAAAATTTCACATCAGCCATGCCAGCAGATGTGAAACCTTGCTCTTTTGGCCAAATGCCTTTTTACCTGGTCTTGGAAATGCAGCTTTTGGACAGATGTAGTAGCTCATGCTTGTAATCCCAGCACTTTGGGAGGCTGAGGCAGGAGGATCACTGGAGCCTAGGAGATGGAGGTTGCAGTAAGCATTGCAACCATTTGAAGAAACTTGCAGATGAACCTTGTAGCCTAGAAATATTGAAAAAGTTAAGAAAAAGGTATGTCATGAATGCATAAAATACTAGCATATTTTTATCATTTACCACCATAAAACATACATATATCATTTATAAACACACATATATCAATTATAAACAGTTAAAATTTATCAAAAGTTATGCACACAAACACAGTACATGGTGCCAGTCAAGAGAAATGTAAACAAATGTAAAGATGCAGTATTAAGTCATAATTGCATAAATTAATGGGAGCCCACTGTACTACTGTAATAATTCTGTCACCCCTCCTGCTACTATTGCAGTGAGCTCAGGTGTCCAGTGTCCACTTAAAATGCCATGTGACACTAGCCATCTCCACGTGAGCACTTGTCTCTCCTGTAGATTGTGTATCACAGTGAAAAGTAATCTCTTGTGGTTCTCATGTATTTTTCATGTTTAGTGCAATACAATAAACCTGAAGAAGACATGTACGAAATGCCACTAGTGATGCTGGAAGTGCTGCCAAGAAGCAGAGAAAAGACAGTACAAGAAAAAGATGGATTGATTGATATGTACTGTAGACTGAGGTCTGCAGCTGTGGTTGCCCACCATTTCAAGATAAATTAATCCAGCCTAAGAACCGCTGTAAAATAAGAAAAGGAAATTCGCAGTGTCATCACTGCAGCCATGCTAGCAGACATGAAACTTTGCTCTTTTTGCCAAATACCTTTTTATCTAGTCTTGAAAATGTAGCTTTTGGCTGGATGTAGTAGCTCATGCCTTTAATCCCAGTACTTTGGGAGACCGAAGCAGGAGGATCACTTGAGCCCAAGAGGTGGAGGCTGCAGTAAGCCAAGATCACACAACTGCACTCCAGCCTGGAAGCGAGGCTCTGTCAGGGTGAAAAAAAAAAAGATGAAAGAAGGAAGGAAGGACAGAGAAATAGAGAAAACGCAGCTTTTATCTGGGTGAAGGATATCTACAAGAAAAGCATATCTATAGACTCTAATATGATTCAAGAAAAACTGATGTCATTATATGACAACCTAAAATGAGACTGGTGGAGGTTGGTGACTTAAAATTATGAGATCTACAAATTTGGAGAGGCTAAAGTACAGTGGCACAATCATGACTAACTGCAGCCTCAACCTCCTGGGCTCAGGCAATCTCCCACCTCAGCCTCCCAAGTAGCTGGAACTACAGGTGTGTGCCACCATGCCTGGCTAATTTTCAAACTTGTTTTTGTAGAGACAGGGGTCCCACTATCTTGCCCAGCTGGTCTCGAACTCTTGAACTCAAGCAATCCTCCCACCTCGACCTTCTAAAGTGCTGAGATTACAGGCATGAGCCGCTGTGCCAGGCCAAGAGCCTTATTTTCTTTCTTTCTTTTTTTGTCTGACAGAGTCTAGCTCTATCATCCAGGCTGGAGTGCAGTGGTGCGATCTCAGTTCACTGCAACCTTTGCCTCTCAGGTTCAAGCAATTCTCCTGCCTCAGCCACCCGATTAGCTGGGAAGACAGGCACATGCCACTACATCTGGTTAATTTTTGTATTTTTTTCTAGGTAGAGATGGGGTTTCGCCATGTTGGCCAGGCTGGGCTCAAACTCCTGGTCTCAAGTGATCCACCCAACTCAGCCTCTCAAAGTGCTGGGATTACAGGCGTGAGCCACTGGGCCAGCCCAAAAGCTTTATTTCTTAGAAAGGTTGCAGCCTGCAGGCTGGCCATCTTGACAGGCTGGGAAGTGTAGCCTCCAGCAAAGACCAAAAGCAGGCACTTCCAGGGAAAGATGAGACAGGAAGTTATGCTGAAAGGGTTGGCTAAACGTACATATTCAACAGATTATAGAAGGCTCTATTAATATTCATGAAGGGGGTGAGACACACCTATTTCACACATTACATACGTCCCATATTCATTTTGGAGTGGAGGCAACATTTAAATGCATTAAAATTGGGCCCTATATGTCAAAAGGTGAAGCAGAAGGTTCGAAGGCTCTCAGTGCCCAGCCTTCCTACTGGAGAAAACTGGTCCCGATTTACAACAGGGCCAATCAAGGAAATCATGAAAGAGAGTGTGCCTGTGGCAAAAAAGGTGGGGAATGTAGGCTTTCAGGATATGGATCTTGGAGAAATTCAAGAGTGAAGAGACATCACACCAGAGGAATTAACAGAAGACCACTTGATGGAGATGAGTGTTTTCGAATCAGTGCCAGATGATGAGGAAGAGGATGTAGATGCAGTGCCAGAAAATAAGTTGACATTCGACAATCTGGCAGAGGAGTTCTGATTATTCAAGACTACTTGTGACTTCTACCACATGGACCTTTCTATGGTACGGACACCAAAACTAAAGCAAATGGTGGAAGAAGGATTGGTAACATAAAGAAACATATTTAGAGAAATGAAAAAGCAAAAATGTCAGACAGAAATAACGATGAATTTCTCAGTGTGTGTGCATCTCCTGACTTCCTTCCCATCTCCCTGACCTTTTCTGCCTCTGCCATCCCTGAGATGACAGGACCAACCTCTTCTCTTCTTCAGCCTACTCAATGTGAAGACGATATGGATGAAAACCTTTATGATGATCCACTTCCATTTAGTGATAGTGAATACATTCTCTTCCTTATGATTTTATTAGTACTTTTTCTTTTCTGTAGCTTACTTCATTGTAAGAATACAGTATACAATACAAATCACATGCAAAATATGTGTTGAGTGTTTATGTTATTGGTAAGGCTTCTGGCCAATAGTAGGCTATTAACAAAAGTTGTGGTGAGTTGAAAGTTATATGTGGATTTTTTTTTTTTTGAGACAGAGTCTTGCTCTGTCCTGCAGGCTGGAGTGCAGTGGTGAGATCTCAGCTCACTGCAACCTCCACCTCCTGGGTCCAAGCAATTCTCCTGCCTCAGCCTCCTGAGTAGCTGGGATTACAGGTGCGCACCACCACACCTAATTTTTGTATTTTTAGTAGAGCCGGGGTTTCACCATGTTGATCAGGCTGGTCTCAAACTCCTGACCTCATGATCTACCCACCTCAGCTTCCCCAAGTGCTGGGATTACAAGCGTGAGCCACCACACCTGGCCTATATGTGGATTTTTGACTGTGTGGGAAGGTTGGCACCCCATCCCCTTCATGGGAACTGTAGTCTCATTAAATCCTCACATGCTGCAAGATTGGTTTATTATCCCCATCTTACAGATAAGAAACTTAAAACCCAAGAGATTTTGTACATTGCCCAGAGTCACATCACTGGTGAGTGGCAGAAACTGGAGCCCCCACCCAGACTATCCCTGACCTGAGCACAGGTTGCCAAGTGTGCGTGCAGCAGTCAGAGACACTGGGAGATGGAGACTGCCCTCCGTATTGAGGCCACTTATATATCTGGCTTCTGTGAAACAGCCTTGCTTAGCTCCACCACTCGGTTTTGGTCAAATGAACCACAGCAGGATCATGTGGACTTCCTGAGCACTGGTTTGCATGTATGAGTTGGACTTGGTGATCTCTTTGAGGTGTGTGGAGATACTAAGCTAGTGGAAAAAGTGCTGAACAGACTGGGACCGGTGGCTCACGCCTGTAATCCCAGCCCTTTGGGAGGCCAAGGCAGGAGGATCTCTTGAGGCCAGCCTGGGCAACATAGTGAGACCTTGTCTCTACAAAAAAAAATTAAAAATTTTTAAAATGCTGAACAAAAACCCACCTGTGTTCAATCTTGGCTCCTCCCTGGATAATGTACCCACTCCCAAGTGTAGGTGTTGGTAACTCTTGGGAGTACATCTTAAGCCCAGGTAGCACATCAACCGGAGTTCCAGACAGTTCCCCAGCTGCCGCCTCAGATGTCTCTACCTGGCTGTCCCACAGGTGCCCATCACTCCACCTGGCATCCCAGCCAGACACCTTGGAGCTCTGGGGTACTCCCCGAAAACCCCTTGTTCCTCACAACCCCCAGACCCACTACCCCTCCAATGTTACCTCTCAGAGCTCTAGCACCCACCACTTCTCCCTCTCTGTGCCTCCTCCCCCTGAACTCCCTGCAAACTATCTCCACCCAGTAGCAAAGGGGCTTTTTGAAAAATGAAAATCTGACCATGCTGTCCCGGTTAAATGTTCTCTCAGGGCTTCCTGGTGTCTTGGGATGAAGATAGCATCTTAAGGCGGCCTCATCCCCTGCCTATTTTCCTCCCCAGCTCCTAGGACTCTGCCGCTGTCCTGGCTCCAGCTACGCTGGCTTGCAGGCGTCATGATGCCCTGTGTCACAGGCCTTTCCACATAACATTCCTGTGCTTGACACACTCTTCTGCTTCCCCAACTCCCAGCCTTTGCCAAGTTAACCAACTTCTGGTCATGGCTCAACCGTCACTTGCTTCCCTAAGGAAGCCTTCTCCAACTTCCTACACCATGTCTAGAGCTGTGCCGTCCTCTACGGGACCACTGCCACATGGGGCCATTGAGCCCTTGAAATGTGCAACTGCTGCCGAGAACTGGAAATTTTTAATTTCAATTAATTTGAATTTCAAACAAGGGACTAGGTTCAGTTACATTTGAAACAAGGGGATATACATCTATTTTTTCAACTGTGAATACTGTGAAACCTAAATATAGATTATTTCCCACAAAATTTAGACCTGAATTGAGAGGTGTTATAAGAGTACACACCGGGCCGGGCACAGTGGCTCATGCCTGTGGTCCTAGCACTTTGGGAGGTTGAGGTAGGCGGAACACCTGAGGTCAGGGGTTCGAGACCAGCCTGGCCAACATGACGAAACCCTGTCTCTACTAAAAATACAGAAAAATTAGCCGGGCATGGTGGCGGGCACCTGTAATCCCAGCTACTCCAGAGGCTGAGGCAGGAGAATCGCTTGAACCTGGGAGGCTGAGGTTTCAGTGAGCTGAGATCATTCCATTGCACTCCAGCCCGGGCAACAAGAGCGAAACTCTGTCTCAAAAGAGAAAAGAAAACAAAACACTACACCAAATTTCAAAGACTTAGCACAAAACAGGAATGCAAGTAGTTCAATAATCATTTTTATACTGATTCCATGTTATGATGGTATTTTAGGTACACTGGCTTTATTTATTAGTAAACAGGGTCTCGCTCTGTCGCCCAGGCTGGAGACCTACTGAATTCAGGTCATCCTCCCGCCTCAGCCTCCCGAGTTGCTGGGACCACAGGTGCGCACCACCACGCCCGGCTTTTTTTTTTTTTTTTTTTGTAGAGATAGGGTCTTGCCATGTTGCCCAGGGTGCTCTGGAACTCCTGGGCTCAATCGGATCTTCCTGCCTGGGCCTCCCAAGTAGCTGGGATTACAGGTGTAAGCCACCGCGCCCAGCCGGTATACTGGCTTTAAATGATAAAAATGTTCTGAACATTCACCTTCCGGTGTTGGCGCGCGGGGCGTGGCGCGGAGTGACCAGCCCTGCCTGGCTCCTTTCAGCAGCAGGCGAAGCGGCTGCAGCGCGTTCTTTAACTTTCCCAGAAAGAACAACAGTTTGTAAAGCGCGCGATCTCATGCATGTCCCGGCCAGCCCAGCAGCTGGGGGTGCAGGGCCACGTCCAGTCTGGGACGCTGCAGGGGCTTCGCTCCTGGATCCCACCTCCTGTGCGTCCCCGGGCGCGGCGCGACAGTCCGGGGTCCTGCACGCTGTGGGGAGCCGCGCTGGGGGCGCCTCGGAAGGACGCGGTTCTCCAGCCCTTTCCGTGCCTAAACAGGACCGAGGCTGAGTTTCTTCGCGTGGGTGGAAACTAAAGCGGGGTTGGGGACAGGGCGCTGGCCATGGGTGCGGTTCCAGGAGCGGGCGCGGGTCCCCGGGCGGGATGGGGGGGGGGGGCGCTCAGGCACAGCGGTGGGGCGAGGGCGCAGCGCCGGGAGCGCAGATCCCAGGGGCCCTCACCGCAGTAGGTGATGGAGGTGTGCAGCAGCACCAGGAAGCATTCCACAGGGCACACATACAGCAAAGCAGCACGCTGTGAGCAGTAAAGATAGGCAAGTTTGTCAATTAAACTTTCATAAAGCTGGGGGAAACAGAAGAAAACGAACCATAACAACAAAAAATAAAGCTGAGAAACATTTAAGAGATTTATTAGTTTGTTTTAAAGTAACAGAAGCAAGCCCATTACATGGTAACATAAGTTGCATATTTTGTGAGAAATGTTTTCCAAAGCAAAAAAAAAAAAAAAAAAAAAACCGTGGGAAAGTGGTGGTGCTTCAGTTGTGCGAGCTGTCACGTCCTAACACAGCTGCATCCTCAGCCCGCTGTCCCCCCGCAAGACGCTCCCACTTCCAGTGAAAAGAGATCAATAACATCTCCTTATTGTCACGAAACATTCTTGACTCAACCTCACTCAGCCACTGACAGGGTCGTGAAAATCCCAGGGGTCCCTGGACGGCACAATTGAGTGCCACTGGTTTTTTGGAGAAAAGTGTGGAGGAGTACTGGGGAGTTTGGAGAGGGTCCAGGGAAGGCCGCACCGACCAGTGGTCTCAGGACCAGCGTCCGAAGGAGCAGCGAGGAGGTGGAGGCCGGGAGGGGGACGTAGGAGCTGCCGCATTCCCGGCAGAGGGAACTGCAAGTGTTGAGGACCCCAGGCAAGTGCACTGAGGAATGAAAGGCCACTGTGGCCAGAGCTGGAGGCAGCAGAAGAGAGGCCCTAGAGGAGGGCAGGGGCCAGAGCAGCAGCGAGGCCAGACAAGGGCTGCGGCCTAGAAGCAAAGGGATGCCATGGAAGGAGCCTCGGAAAGTGACATCAAATTTGCATGTTTAAAAGCCGCGCTCAAGAAGTGCCGTCAATCATTAGAGACAGGTATCAGCCAAATAACCACATAAATACTTTTAAAAAACTAAACAATAATTTGGTAATTTCTTGGCTATGACACTAAAAGCACAGGCAACAAAGGAAAAAATAAATTGGACTTCACCAAAATTAAAATACCTTTGCGCATCAAAGGACACTATCAGAGTGAAAAGACACCCCGAAGAACGAGAGAAAATATGTGTGAATGGTTTACCTGATAAGGGTTTAATATCCAGAATATAAAAAGGACTTCTACAATTCAACAACAACAAAAAATCTGATTCAAAGGACTTGAATAGACATTTCTCCAAAGAAGGTCTATAGATGGCCAATATAGAGGAACAGAGAGCTTATACTTACAACTCTCCCCCCGAAACCCACTGTGCCTATTTCTGTGGTATGGAACTATGAGGTCTCAACAGAACAGATGAATAGATCCCAGTTTCTTTTCATGGAAATTTCAGGCCTTGTCTTTGGGCCACTAAGGTGCTTATTTCCCAGACTAACAAAAATAATCTAGCTTTTTGTCTTGACTACCAAACACTCTGGATTTTTTTTTGAGATGGAGTCTCACCCTGTCACCCAGGCTAGAGTGCAGTGGCGCGATCTTGGCTCACACAACCTCCACCTCCCAGGTTCAAGCAATTCTCCTGTCTCAGCCTCCCAAGTAACTGGGACTACAGGCACACACCACCACGCCCGGCTAATTTTTGTATTTTCAGTAGAGATGGGGTTTCACCATGTTGGTCATGCTGGTCTTGAACTCCTGACCTCAGGTGATCCACCTGCCTTGGCCTCCCAAAGTGCTAGGATTACAGGCATGAGCCACCATGCCCGGCCCACTCTGGATTTAAGGACAGTTCTTCCTTCAATCAGCAGCCAAAGAGTCCTGATTCCTGATTCTAATTAAGAAGTTTAACTTGGTATTCTATTTCTGATGGAAGGATGGCTAAAAGAAGGGAGACTCAAACAACAGATGAAGGCAAAATACTCTGTACTGAATTTTCAACGTAATCTTAAATTCTATGTTTAATTGAGATGACCCAAATTCTTTTTTTTTTTTTTTTGATACAGGGTCTCGCTCTGTCGCCCAGGCTAAAGTGCAGTGGCATGATCTCGGCTCACTGCAACCTCCGCCTCCCGGGTTCACACCATTCTCCTGCCTCAGCCTCCCAAGTAGCCCAGGCGCCCACCACCACACCTGGCTAACTTTTTGTATTTTTAGTGGAGACGGAGATGACCCAAATTCTTAACTGCCTCATAAATACTGTTAATATATTGAAAGTTTTGCCCTAGGCTTTTATTAAAGTCAACTATATAGAAAAGGTTTCTCCTATCTTGAAATGTATTATTAAAGACATCATCCCCAATAATATTCCATATTCTCTGTTTAGGAACCCCAGTTGTTTTCAAATTCAAGAATGCAGAGAAATCTACTTGTTACAAAAGAGTAGAATGGATAATGGGCACCACATCCTGAAGTGTATTTTAATAAAAATTCATGTAAGATGGTTCAAAATTTCACTAACTACTTTAAAAAGAAATGCCTGGGAGACTTCTATTTCCAGCAGAGTGGCAGACTGATGCCTTGAACAACCCTCTTATTACAAAACTGAATACTCCACATGAAAACAAATCTATTCAAATGCATTGTTAAGCTGTGAAGAGAATAACGAAAGTTCTAAGAAACCAAAATCTAAATGAAAACAGAAGTCCAGGCAGGCACTGAAAACCTAAAAAAAAACAAAAACAAAAACTGAAGAGGCCAATTGTTGGCAAGCATGTGGAACAGCAGGAACTCTTTAAGCTGCTGCTGGTGGTGGAGGCCAAGACACTGTGCTCCCAGAACACGACACAGAAGCCTCCACACTGAAGCAGAGCACAGGTGCCCTGGAGTCTCCACCCCACCCAGGGATCCTCCAGCAGAAGCACGTTTGCCCCTGCATACCTGCAAGTCCCATATCCAGACCTAGTGTTCAGGGCCGTGGGATAACAGCCAAAAATAGGAAATCATTTTACTCATCAATGGAAAAATGGTGACACAGTCATATAATGGAACTCAACAATGACGATAAATCAATGTCTACCACAGACAAGAACATGGATGTGTTCTGTAATACTGAACCAAATAAGCCAGGCTAAATAGAATGTGCTGTATTTTATAGAAATCAAAACCAGGCAGAACAAATCTACATCAGGAACTGGGAAAGTAGCTATTTTGTGTGTTGGGGCAGCAGTGCCTGGGAGAGGCCACAGGTCAAGGCTACTGCTTGGTCCAGGGCGTGGCAGCCTGGTGTGCTACAGTCCATCTAGATGCACACTTATGATTCGGGCACTCTTCTGTATGTACATTAACATTTCAATAAAAAGCTTATTAAAACATTAAAACTTTCAGAAAAATCCACATTGCTTCAGTAGAAATTAGCACATTAACGTTTAAAAAATACATGTATACGGTGGGGGAAAAAATAGTTCAAAAGAGTACCCAGTGAAAAGTTTAAGAGGGAGTGACGCCAGCAAGGGGCTGATCAATAGCCCCTTGCACTCATCCCCTGACAAAGACACCCAAAGCAGCAAACAACTATATTTTGATGAAAGTCACTAAAAGAGAGCCCCAGAGTGCATCAAGGAGTAGCAGAAATCCAGTAGAGCACAGAAAACCAAGACAGTCACATAAAGGAGGGAAGGAAACATCTGGCCCCCACCACCCACTCCCCCAGAGGGATCAGCCTGAAGCAGAGGGGATATCTCCCTGCAGGGAAAAGGAAGCAAGAGGGGCCCAGTAGCCCCAGCACTCCCCTCAGAGAAGGAACTGACATTGTGCCCCACCCCCATGGACCAGCTGCTGCTGCAACGTGCCCTCCTGGACCTGGACCACTTCGGGAGCATGTCCCACCCAGGGGGAGCAGCCACCGCACCCTTCTTCCAACCTCAGGCTCTGTTGCTGTATATCACACCCACCTAGTGGCCCACCACCCCCGAGCCGCTGTTACACTGTCTTAGGCCATTTAGTGTGGCTGTAACAGAATACTTGAGACTCGGGGTAACTTATTTTATAAAAAAGGTTTATTTGGCTCACCCTGCTTGTGTCTGAAAAGTCCGAGATCGGGCAGCACAAGTGGCGAGGGTCTTGGGCTGCTTCATCTCATGGGGAAAGTGGAAGGCGAAACAGGTGTACGCAAGGGGCTCACATGGCAAGAGAGGAAACACGAGAGTCTAGGAAGCTGAACTCACTCTGATAACAATCCACTCCTGGTAACTAATCCAGTCCCATGAAAAGGCATTAATCTATTCATAAAGGATCTGCCCTGTGACCCAAATACCTCCCACTAGGCCCCACCTCCCACACCACCACATTTGGAATCAAATTTCAAATGGATGAAATTTCAAATGGCTGGTGGGAACAAATGATGTCCACATCACAGCATACACCCCACCTGTGGGGCCACGCTGCTGTGCCCCTCCCCTCCCAGCTGCCATTGTGCCCTGCCCCTTGGAGCCTGAGCTGACTTGGTGCCCTGCTTTCCAGGGAATCAGTGCCTTGGCCAGTCTGAGCAGTCACACCCCCCACTGCACGAGAGCTGAAGCGCTGCCCTGCTTCACAGGGAATCAGTGTCTTGGCTGAGCTGAGCAGCCACACCTGCCAGGGATGAGCCAACATGGCACCCCCATATCCTAGGAAAATGGCATTGGCTGAACTGGGGTACCTTGCCCTTCAGGACAAACAACTGTAGAACCCTGCTTCCTTGGAACTGGACTAGCTCTGGAGAATCTGAGTTGCCCAGGCACCTGCCTCCCCAGGGAGAGAAGTAGTTGCTGCACTGGTCCCTGCCCCTAAGGGCCCAAGCCACAGTAGGGCTCCACCATTCTGGGGTCCTTGCTGATGCTGCATCTGGCCTCACAGAGACTGAGATGCTGCTGTGTCCCACCACGGCAGGTTCCAGAGTCACTATCATGTCACTCCCATGTCCAGAGTCACTCCCATCCCCTGGGAGTTTACTTCTTAAACTCTTCGCAAAAACAGAGCGAGAGGAAATAATTCCAAACACATTTTACCAGGCCAGTATCACCTTAATACCTAAGCCAAACCAAAACACACACACACACACACACACACACACACACACACCCCAAACAAAGAAAAACTACAGGTCAACTTCTCCAATAAATTAAAAACTGATGCAAATATCCTAAAAAAATTTTAGCAAATAGAATTCAATAACACATCAAAAACATTATACATCGTGTTTCAGTGGGATTTATCCCTGGCATGCAAGACTGGTTTAAAATATGTAAATCAATCAATGTGATATATCACATTAACACAATGAAAGATAAAACGACATGGTCATCTCAATTGATGCAGTAAAAGCATTTAACAAAGTTTAGCAACCTTTCTTGATAAAACCTCTTAATAGTTTATGTATAGAAGGAAAGTTCCTCAACATAATAAAGACCATTTATGAAAAACCCACAGTCTAATCATAGTTAGTGGGGAACAACTAAAGCTTTTCCACTAAGATTGAGTACAAGATAGGGATGGCCAGCCTCATCACTTTTATTCAATAGAGTACTTGCAAGAGCAATCAGATGAGAAAAAAAGGCAACTAAATTAAAGAAGTAAAATTATCTCTATTTGCAGATGACAAGATCCTTTATGTAAAAAACTCCAAAGATTCCACAAAAAACTGTGAGAACTACTAAATCAATTCAGTTAAGCTGCAAGGTATAAACTCAACATATAAAAATCAGTTGCATTTCTATATACAAATAACCTAGCTGACGAAGCAATCAAGAAAATAATCTCATTTACGATAGCATCAAAGAAAAACAAAAACTTAGGAATAAATTTAACCAAGAAGGTGAGAGATGTGTACACTTGAAAACCATAAAACATTGATGAAAGAAATTTAGACATGAACAAATGAAAAGACATCCTATGTTTATGGATCAGAAGACTTAATATTGTTAAAATGTTCACACTACCCAAAGCAAATATACAGATTTAACACAATCCTCATCAAAGTTCTGATGGCATTCTTCACAGAACAGAATAAAACAATCCTGGCCAGGCACAGTGGCTCATGCCTGTAATTCCAGCACTTTGGGAGACCGCAGCGGGCGGATCACGAGGTCAGGAGTTGGAGACCAGCCCGGCCAACATAGTGAAACCCTGTCTCTACTAAAACTACAAAAACTGGCCAGGCATAGTGGCATGTGCCTGTAGTCCCAGCTACCTGGGAGGCTGAGGCAGAAGAATTGCTTGAATCCAGGAGGCAGAGGTTTCAGTGAGCCGAGATTATGCCACTGCACTCCAGCTTGGGCGACAGAGTGAGACTTTGCCTCAAAAAAAAAAAAAAAAAAGAAAACAAAAGAAAAAACAATCCTGAAACTCATATGGAACCACAAAAAACCCCAAACAGCCAACAGATTACTGTGAAAGAAAAAGTTGGAGGCATCACACCTCTTGATTTAAAATTGTATTACAAAGCTACAGTAATCAAAACAGTATGGTGCTGGCATAAAAACAAAAAAATAGACCAATGGAACAGAACAGAGACCTTTGAAATAAATCCAAACATATACTGTCAACTAATTTTTGACAAGGGCAAACAAGACAACACAATGGTAAAAAAGATAGTCTCTTCAATAATAGGATTTTCACATGCAAAAGAATAAAACTGGACCCTGATCATACACCATACACAAAAATCAACTCAAAACAGATACAAGACCAAAGACCCAAATAAGACCTGAAACCATAAAACTCCTAGAAGAAAACATAGGGGGAAAGCCTCTTGACATTGGCCTTAGCAATAATTTTTTGGATATCGCACCACAAGCCAGGCTACAAATGTAAACATAAACAAGGAGGACTGCATCAAACTAAAAAGCTTCTGCACAGCAAAGGAACAACCAACAAAATGAAAGGGGAACCTACAGACTGGAAGAAATATTTGCAAACCACATATCTGATAAAGTGTTAATATCCAAAAATCAGTAAAGAACTCTTACAACTTAATAGCAGAAAAACAACCCAGTTGAAAAATGGGCCAAATAGGAAATGACCAATAGGAAATGGGGAGATGTACATTAAAATAATACAAAGTAGCAGACATGTAGGATGAACAAGTTAGAGATCTAGTGTACATCATGAGGGCTATAGTTAATAAAAATATATTGTCTTTGGGATTTTTGTTAAATAAGTAGATTTTAGCTGTTCCTGTCACACAAACAAAAATCTAACTATGTGAGATGGTAGCTATGTTAATTTGCTTCACTATAGTAACCAGTTTACTATCTATATGTATCCTTTAAGATCATATTGTCAACCTCAAATACATAAAATAAAATTTATTTTAAAAAGGAAAAGTTTGTCTTCAATCCAGAAAGAACCACTATTACCATTTTTTGGTGTTCCATTCCAAAATATCCCAAAAATATACAATTGTTCAATCAAATTTAACGTTAGACTTTATACTTGAACATTCAAAGTACGTAAGAAATTATAGAAAAGTGTCTGTGTGACTCCCTGTCTGTAGAGCACAGGCTTCATCTCTACTAACACACACACGACCAGTACCTTATACAGAGAGTCCTTGTTTGCCTTTAGTCTGACACCATGGGCGAGCCTGAGTTGGCCCGTGGTCCGCATTCCTGACCAGGTGTCTTTCTCACCCACTGGTTTCAACAAAGATGCTACTGGGTTATAGAAGGCTGGGATGGAAACAGGATACCAAGTTCGCATGAAGACAATATCTGAAAAGAGGTAATTTACTTTAACATTTTCAAAAGAAGATTCATATCCATATTGCGAAGAAACAAAGAACAAAACCTTCACTCCAAACTTCTCTACCTGGCTGCAAAGTATTTGAAGGGAAAGGTCGCTAAGGGAACTATTCTCATAGATCACAGAACTGTTACTGGGTGTGGCCAGGGGGCTGAAGACACAAGCGAATGGGCACACCGCATAAGACTGGGAGATCTAAGGCTGGAGCTGCTCAACTCTCTGGAGACCTGACTCCAGCCTCTCATCACACTGGCTAGAAGTCAAGCATGAATGGTAACACCCTGCCCTGAATACTACTTAAGACATTCACCGCTCATCAGCAGCTTATCCTCAAAGCTGGCCCAGAAAGCTCCTTCTGGAGCTCAGAGTGCTTTCTTGATCTGCCCCCTTATCCCAATGACAGTTCAAATCACAGCACCTTCAAATTTGGCCACGTCCAAGGCAGAATTAAACATTCCCTACAGGTGTAGCAAGATAAAAAAACACACACACACAAAATCATATACTTTATGCTTTACTTCTTACTTCAAACATACATCCTTGATTAAAGAACAAAAACAACTCACTGAAGGGTGATAAAATAATCAAAATGTATTTGCCCCTGAAAGTGGAATTACTACCTCAAAAAGAATACAACTCTTTCATTTTCCCCAAAATAATCATGTGAGTTCATGGGCATGCTCATCACTGCTGTCTGTGTGGAAGAGAAGATCGAAGAGGGATTTACTGGACTGAATTGGCCTAGGAAGCCTTTGCTGGCATCTCTCAGACTGGACTGCAGCCCAGATCCTTTTACTCAGATGCATGCACTTAGAACATGAAAACAGTAAGATAAATGCTGGTGGTATTATTACCTTATATTGCAAGAACATTTTATGACTTCCTAACTCTGTGTTTTCAATAGAAACATCCCCACTAATGAAATTGTCAATAAATGCTGCTCAAACCACCCTCCCCAAATACTGAAAAACAGTACGTCCGTTTCTCTGTACCCTTGCCAAGTTGTCTGCAAATGCTTTGTCGATTTTTCTACCGAGTTAGACAAACTTGTGATTTTTTTCCCTTTCTTAACACAAATTTAAAAAGTAGGAAACAAAACCTAGTGGATAAAATGACATATTTTCAATATGAGTTCTGTGGCAGTCTCACATGGAAGTCAGGAGTAACAGCCTCAATTCCTAAATAGCTGTTTACCACTGCTTTTTTGAGCATATTTAAGTAATACAGAATATAAAGGAGCAAACAAAATATGAAGTTTATAAAAGATTTCAAACACTTTTCTAAAAATGAGGCCCATATTTTAGAGGTATTTCATTCCTTTTCTCAAACAATATGGAGATTTATAAATATGAGAATATATAGATATACAGACCTTAATAAATGAAGTGGAAAACCAGTTAGCTTTAATTTCTTCACAATTTTTATGGATTTATCCAGATCAAGGACAACTCCTGTGGCAGCTATCCGAAAATCAGGCTAACAGGAACCCCAAAATTTGAAAATAGGAATAATATTAGCAAAAGAAAAACTTCAATTCTATGTGACACAATAAATTACCAAAGTGAATTTTACTTACAATTAGCTAAGAAAAACAAGAGAGACCATCTGAACTTGCAACCCAGTGGTTTGACAAAAGCAATCCAAAACTTTAAAGTTGGTAAGCCAAACTAACAAGGGTGACTTGAGGCTGGGCACAGTGGCTCATATCTATAATCCCAGCTACTTGGGAGGCTGAGGCAGGAGAACCGCTTAAACCCAGGAGGCAGAGGTTGCAGCGAGCCAAGATCGTGCCACTGCACTCCAGCCTGGATGACAGAGTGCGACTCTGTCTCAAAAAAAAAAAAAAAAAAGAAAGAAAAAAAAAGGCTACTTGAGTACTTTCCTGAGAGTGATTTCAGAGGAATGTAATTTTACTATAATGATTTATTTGGAACGAAATGGAAAAGAAAAATACAGTTGCAATGTTTAGGAAATTAAAATTTGGACCTCCAGGGAAGATTCCATCTGCTCATTATTCTGCTTTCTTCTCTGTTAAATGGGACCAGTAAACCCTGCCCTGCGTGACTGGTCAAATGAAAATGGAGTGAACAGACTGCTACCCCAGCACAGCTGCAGGGAGTCTTGTGTCTGGGTGGTCTCTGATGGCTCCTCATAACCTCATATAGTGCTTAGCACATGGTGAGCACTGCTTAAATACTTGCTTAGATAAATAAATGCAAAAGATGCACAAAAATAGGAAATGTACCATTATAATTCTTCCACCTCCCCTCCTCTAATCCCACACCCTACTGAAAAGGATGTACGAAGATTAAAAGCAAAGGGAAATTTACTTTATATTAATAAAAATGAGTAATTTTCAACTTAAAGTCTCATGTACATAATAACCCACATTCAGGATATATTTCTCAAACCAATCTGTAAAAGAAATCATCCAAGATAGTTACCATTATGCCACTGACAGACTGTATTGCCAAGAAACCAGTTCCCTGTGGAGTGATAGGGTCTTAAAGGAAAAGGAAAAAAAGAAATATAGCAAACCACAAACTTTAGATTCTAGTTTAACATACTGGATATGGACATTTAGATTTGGATATAGATTTACATATATACTCCAAACCACCTCCCCGCTCCCAGAAAAGAGAAAAATCTTAGGAGTGGAATTTTATGAAAGGAAAAGCACAAAGCTAAAATAACGCAGCCTGTAAGGTTTAATCTCGGCAATAGGCAAGTTATTGTAATCATATTTTACCCCAAAAGGCTGCTCCACAATGCATGTGCTGTGGGGTATACTTTAGAAGCCTTTGTCTTCCATTGTGGTCTTCGATATAATAGAGCGGGATGGTCTGAAACCTCCTCCACCCTACAGAAAATATGATTGGATCTCGGGACTTGAGGATTTTCTTATACCAGCGATGTTTCTTCAGATGCATCTGAGGGGGATGAGAGGGTAAGATGATTGATGGAGGGGAAATCCACAGAGCCTCAGGCACCAAATATGCAGCAAAAGGACCCACCTCCACGTATCCAACATTTCCCTCGCTGTTGCCCAAGCCACCCAGGATAATGGGGTAATGGGGGTCAATGTTCTGCACAAATTCACAGGGAACATTTTCAATCTCAACGCGGACGTACATCCCAGGTCGAAAACCCTCATACTGAACTCTGGCTTCATCATCTTGATCTTCAAATTCTGCATGATTCAGCTGTACATGACGGGGCGGGGGGCGGGGAACCTGTATGCTGTTATCTGTAATAAACATAGGATTAACATGAACAAATGAGCAATTTCTAAATAAAGGAACTGTGGACAAAATTATGTAGGCTTTATCCTATTAAAAATACTACACATTTGGCCGGGTACAGTGGCTCATGCCTGTAATCCCAGCACTTTGGGAGGCCGAGGCGGGCAGATCACATGAGGTCAGGAGTTTAAAACCAGCCTCGCCAACATGGTGAAACCCCGTCTCTACTAAAAATACCAAAATCAGCTGGGTGTGGTGGTGCCTGCCTATAGTCCCAACTACTCAGGAGGCAGAGGTGAGAGAATCGCTTGAACCTGGGAGACGGAGGTTGCAGTGAGTCAAGATCGTGCCACTGCACTCCAGCCTGGGCAATAGAGCGAGATTCCATCTCAAAAAACAAAAAAAAACAAAAAAAACCTACACATTTTACCTCTACAGTCTGCTCAGAATATGTCCCAACCGTTTTCTTCTCTCCTGCTCCAAGGGACAGCAAATGTAGATAACTGTGGAGCCCTGCGTGCTCAAACATTGGAAACATCCCCAGTCCACACCTTCTTTCCTTCCTCTCCAAACAATTCTTTCACACTTTTCTCTTGTCTTCAAACACCCACCACCACCCTCACCTTCACTCAGCTGATGGCTGTTTCCTGATTCACTCCAAAACCAAAAGAACCTCTATGGTCAACCCTCTACCAGGGTTTCCTCCCATATCCAGCCTTATCAGAGCTCTGACCTGGCCCATAGAGGAGCTATGTGTGGCTATTTAAATTAAAATTAATTACAATTACATAATATTAAAAATGCAGTTCCTCAATCACACTAGTCACACTGGAAGTGGTCCATATCAACCTGCGGCCAGTGTTACAATATTGGGAAGCACAGACGTGCATCTCCATGATCACAGAAAGTTCTACGGGCAGCTCAGGCACAGATGATTTGTCCATGCCTTTACTCCGGGCCACACATCACTTGCTCACTAGACACCATCCACTCTTCCTGGATTTTATTCCAACAGCTCTTCCCTCTGTTCTCTCTCTTATCTCAAAACCTTTTGATTCCACTTCTTCCACCAAAAACTGCTTCATTTCTCTGCTTCTCTCTGCAGCAAAACCCCACAAAAGTTTTCCGCAGTTGCAGCCTCCAGTTCCTCTGCTCCCATTCTCCTACATCCATGAAAATTGGTGCTTGCCAAGATTGCTGAAGGCCTCCACGCTGAAGGACTCCTCCAGTGGTCAACTCTGCCTTTACCGTAGTTAACACTGCAGCGGGATCTGAACAGTGCTTCGCCTCCATGTACAACTGGACTCCTGCGTGCCTGCATGCTCACACTGCTTCTCCCTCTCCCTCCTCGGCACTGCTCAGGCCTCACAGCCGCAATCGCCCCATCTCGCCCATGCCAGTCTTGCTCCTCCCAGTCACTCTGCACTCACTCCCTGGCCACCTCACAGAGTTAAGTGGCATCTACATGCTGACGGCT
Source organism: Homo sapiens (assembly GCF_000001405.40). Taxonomy (NCBI): domain Eukaryota; kingdom Metazoa; phylum Chordata; class Mammalia; order Primates; family Hominidae; genus Homo; species Homo sapiens. The sequence continues at coordinate 2,729,651 of NW_021160017.1, forward strand.
GTACATCTAAGTCCCTGGCCAGACCTGTCTCTCCAGACTTGACGCTCCGCTTGTCTGCATGATACCCAGCCAAACCAAACATCATCTTCCCAAAACTGCATCTGCAGACAGTTTCCTATCTAACCTGCAACAACCCATCCTTCCAGGAATTTCCAGCCGCCATCCTCATTTCCTCTCACACATCCCACATTCAGTCCACCAGGAAATCCTACTGACCCAGCTTCCAAATAAACTCTATCCAGGTTTGACTCTTTGTCTCATCTCCACTGCCAGCCCTCTGGTTTGTGCCACCGGACTGATCTCTACCAGACTGATCTCTTGGCAGAGTGATCTGATTACCTGAATGTCTCTCCTCTGCTCAAAACCCTCCAAGGACTCCCATTTCAGAGTGAAACATTCAGTCTTTTCCAATGGCACACAAGGCTCTAGGTAATTTTAAATTGTAAATGGTGTGAAGCAAAAACTTCAGAGTTAGCCTAGTCATGCCTTTCAAAGGTCAACACAGACTAGCAACCACTAAGCTAATGCCTAATCAGGAAACAGTCCTTTGACTAGATGAAGACCTAGGATGAAACTCCGTTTCACAAATCATACACCTAATCTGTTCCAGCTTACACAGGCACTCCTGGCCTCACTAACAAGACGCAACTCAGATGCTCACCATCAACTGTACACACGTTTCTGTGTCTGTCTCCTTCAGAGTCAGATCACCGCCTCCAGCAACCTGCTCAGCACCCCCAGGCAGGAGGGCCACACCATCTCCCTTATCTCCGCATCTGACCTTATACTCCACATGTCCTTCTGAACTCTGACCAGGATGTTTTGAGAGCACTTCCCCTGGGAGCTCTTGTGTGTCCATAAGCCACACAGGCCACTGATCACCTGCCATTCAAATCAGGGAGCAGCGATCAGAATAGGCAGCATTGGCTTGCACTGAAATGAACACACTGTCTTAGATCACTACATTGTAAAAGTCTCAAAAGTAGAGACCATGTCTCAGTCATTTCGGTTTCCTAATTCTTGTTACAAAATAGGTATGGATCTTTTTCTGGTGACCTTCTGACTGTAGAAACAATGAGCTCACTGCATGAATAAACACACTCACATGCATCTACCCAGGAGTCCAACTGAAAGGCACAGAAGCAGGATAGGAAGCAGGGACCCAAAGAAAGTCAGGGATTCCTGCACTATGTGATAGTCTTGACAAGGGGCTAAGAGGAACTGAGGTTTCTCACCTGTGCTTGTTTCTGCATTTCTCCTTTAAGATCATCAAAATATGTGCTTTCTCCTTCATCATATTCCACATCAAACATCTCCTTCAATTTTCTCTTCTTATCCAAATGCTTTTTCTTGGCACTTTCTTCTTCATCAGGGTCAATTTCTTTCTTGTTTCTCTATATCTTCATTCTTAAATTTCCAGAAGAAAAAATTTTGTGTATGTTTATGAAGGTCTTTTCTTTAAACATTAGATTTTTTAAAGTTCTATTTAAACAAAAATCTTAGCAAAAATCTGTTATCGTTATCAATAAAACAAAACAAAACACAACATAACCTTGGTCTCTGAATAACATGGTACTGCTACATGAAATTGTTACATCTGCATTACAATTAGCTGCTATTCCTTAAGCTGGCTGGGAACACAAACTAGAATAAAAATAACAGATATGTCCCTCACCCAGATGCTCCCAGACCCTGTTCTAAAGAAATATTAGGGAGAACAGGGACTTCATTCTTTTAAATGACACTTAAATTTAAAAAGAGGAGAATGATGGCAATGGTTGAATGTAAGTCTGAGAAGCTAAGACTTCTGTGAGTGAAAAATCACAGTGGACTTGGCAAATGACTATGGCAAGAAACGGTAGTAACTGTCGTCCAAAACTTAACAAGTAAACAAGAAAGCTTCTCTTTGGTCTCCACATCCCCACCCTTTAGGAAGGAATCTATCCATCCCATCTGCAATCTTCACACATCACAAGTAAGATTTGCATTTCTCAATATGGGCCTCTCTCAGAACACAATGACCAAGAACAGCCAGCTACAACAAAGACATACCTGAGTATCGGGGCCCGATTTTCCCTTGTGCACGTCCCCTGTTTCCAAGTCTTCAAAGTCACCATAGAGCTCCTCTGGGAAAAGAACACCCAAAGGCTGCTCTGTGAGCCTGGCATGCATGTGCTGCTGGCCCCACCCACGACAGGCCCACAATGCGCTCCGTGTTCCAAGCCTCATTCTCACTGCTCCCGTCACTAGACACACAGGCAAAACTTTGCACTAGGGAATGCTTCATAAAACGGTTAGTATTTCATCATCTGTTTAGGTAAACTAAATGGACCCAATCCACATTTCCGCACTTCATGTCAAAATCCCAATCTCAATTTTTCCAGTGTAGATAATGGACACTCTTTTGTTTCTTTTTTTCTTTTTTTCTGGAGACGGAGTCTCACTATGTCACTCAAGCTGGAGTGCAGTGGCACAATCTCAGCTCACTGCAACCTCTGCCTCCCAGGTTCAAGCAATTCTACTGCCTCAGTCTCCCGAGTAGCTGGGATTATAGGCACCTGCCACCAGGCCTGGCTCATTTTTGTATTTTTTTTTTTTTTTTTTTTTTTTTTTTTTTGAGACGGAGTCTCGCTCTGTCGCCCAGGCTGGAGTGCAGTGGCGCGATCTCGGCTCACTGCAAGCTCCGCCTCCCGGGTTCACGCCATTCTCCTGCCTCAGCCTCCCGAGTAGCTGGGACTACAGGCGCCCGCTACCACGCCCGGCTAATTTTTTGTATTTTTAGTAGAGACGGGGTTTCACCGTGTTAGCCAGGATGGTCTCGATCTCCTGAACTCGTGATCCGCCCGCCTCGGCCTCCCAACATTTTTGTATTTTTAGTAGAGATGGGATTTCACCATATTGGCCAGGCTGGTCTCGAACTCCTGACCTCGTGATGTGCCCTCCTCAGCCGCCCAAAGTGCTGGGATTACAGGCATGAGCCACTGCAACCGGCCAATGGACACTCTTTATGAAAGACACAGAGGTCTATCTGTGTCCCCCAAACGAATAATTCAAAGAGTGAATGGAAAAGTCCCACGCTGATAACCAGTACATGTGAAAAGGAGTCTCAATGTAAGTTCAACACAACACAATCATGTAACACACCTAGGGGAAATTTTAGATTATATAAAACATAGCATTTAGATTAAGAGTAGAGCCCCAAACCACACCAAACCCATGGGAAGAGCTTATTCACTTATTCATTCCTTCATTTGTTTTTGGAGCTCTGGGCTCAATTATAGTTCCCACTCTTAAAAGAAATAGACAAGTAAGGCTGGGTGCAGTGGCTCACACTGTAAACCCAGCACTTTGGGGGCCCGGGAGGCAGAGGTTGCAGTGAGCCATAATTGCATCACTGAACTCCAGCCTGGGTGACAGAGTGAGACCCTGTCTCAAAAAAAGGATAACAAAAGAAAGAGGCAAGTTAAAACTCATTTGGGAGAGCAATATTTAGAAGGCTATTAAAACATTTTCACATAAGGGCCAAAGAACCAGGTAGACATTATAAAAGATAGGAAGCTCCTATTTGTAATAAAAGCAAAAAAGGATAAAATAGGAATAAACCTAACAAGAAGTGCACCGGAACTTTATTTTTTAAAAAAGAAGAAAAGCTTTAATAGGCTACCAAAGGACAAAAGGAATAGCATCACTACCAACACTCGTAAGTGCTCTCCACACCAGGCACTGCGTTAAGTACTTTCCTTGCCTTAACCACATTCTTCAACCCAAGGAAGTAGGTGTTGTAAATATTATATACTGAATAATGATACGTCCTCATTTGAAAAGAAAGATTCGACATCACAAATATGCCAATTCTCCCTTTAGCACAGTTACAACCCGAAACCACCACTAAGGATTTCTGGTCTAGAGAAGATAACACATTATACCCTCCTAAGAAATGTAACCCAAATTGTAGAAATAATAGACAGGAGAGGATCAATGGAGAATTCCAAAAGGTGGACAGAAAAAGGCTGCTGAGGGACTCTAGGACTAGGGAATGCATAGTAGCCAGGTGTCTCCCTGGACCTCATCCAATAGGAAGGTGACCCAGGCCCAGAGTTTCCCAACTCCCAACGTAGCAATAGAAGGCAACCCAGGCAGACTCAGTCCCTGCAGATCAAAGGAGATCTTCCCCACAACAAGAAAACCAGCTCCACACACCAAGACCACCACCATTCCCCACCCACCTAGCTGCAGCAGGTGGCCCAGCCTGGGGCAGCTCCCCTGTTCCCTCAGGTGGGCAACAGAAGGGACTGGTGGGAGAATCCCAGTGATACATATAAGCCAAACAGACCAAAATAACACCATGAAAGCTCTGAAATTAAATTGCCATTGCAATCACAGCCCACAAAGTAGACCAAGACCTACAGACTAAACCTAAACAGGAGGACTGCCTGCAAAAATAAAAAAAATTACATAGGCAGATGTTGGAACCATCTGACTCATCACTTGTAACAGCCAGTATAAAAATGCTTCAACAAGCAACTACAAATCCTATGGCAACAATCAAAGAACTGAAAACGTCAGCAAAGAAACTGAAGAAGAATCAAATGGAAATTACAGAAATATAAAATACAGTAAAAGAAATTTTAAAAAAATCTAACTGGATGGGCTCTATTGAGTAAAAGTGGAGACGACAGAGGAGAGAATCAGAGAAGCTGAAACCTGATCAACAGAATTCACCCGGTCTAAACAATAGAGAGAAAATAACCTGAAAACAAATGAACAGAGTTGCACGGACCTGTGGGACGATAACAAAAGACCACGCATTTATGTTATCTGAGTCCCACAGGAGACCAGAGCTGTGAAAGCATGCAAATAACTAATTCCTGAGGCTTCCCACATTTGGTGAAAGATATAAACTTACAGATTCAAGAAGCTGAGCAAACCTCAAAGTATACCAAAAGAAAGCAACACTGATTAAACTTTCAAAACTAAAAACAAAGACCAAAAATGGCAGAATGCCTGTAGGGACACGCCAATTCAAATGCCATGGAGGCCAGAAGGAAGTGGCACAACATTTTCAAGTGCTTAAAAAAAACCAACCAAACAAAAAAACCAACCAAACAAAAAACTGTTCGCTGCAAATTCTATATCCCATGAAACTACCCTTCAGAAATGAAGAGAGAAATAAAGACATTCTCCGAGGAAGAGAATATAGGAATTTGTCACTGGTCAATTTAGACATGCTAAAAAGTGGCTACAGAAATATGTTCTGTCATTTCCACAATACAAAAAATTAAAACAAAAAAATCAAAATAAAAAATGGCTATAGAAAGTTCTTATGCAGAAGGGATGAATATGGGACTACGGGAGGAGGGACAAAGGAAAGACCAGAAATGTGGATACATACGCGAGACAATCCACAGTTCTTAAAATCACATTTGACGACTGAAACAAAAACTATACCACCACCTAATACTCAAGCCAGTGATTTATACAAGTGGAAAAGGTAAAGAGACATAAATGCAAGGCAGGTTTCCACACTTTGAAGTGGTAAATACTGGTACCAGTAGACTACTATATTACAATACACATATTGTAACATCCAGAGCAAACACTTTAAGACTATACAAAGAGATACACGCAACAACATTATACAGAAATAGATCAAGATGGAGGGAAAGAAAAAGGAAACAAAAAAGCAAATAATAAAAACATCAGACATAAGCAATTATGTAACAATAAGCACCTTAAATGTAAATGGTCTAAATAAACCAAAAGACAGATTGATGGAGAGCCTATAATAAACACATGGCCCAACTAAATACTGTTCATAAGAAACTTCAAACTCACTTAAGGACCTAAGTAGGTTGAAAGTAAAAGAATGGAGAAAGATATCCTGTGAAATCATTAATTTTTTAAGGAAGCAGGAGTGAATATATTAATATCTCATGAAGTAGACTTCAAGCAAAATAATTTACCAGAGCTGGAGAGGGTCTTCGTTGAATTTTAAGATCTAAAATTTCCTATGCTGCCTTGACATCTTTGAGCCTCACAGGGCCCCAAAGGCCTAGCCGTGGGTTTTCCTGTTTCTACCAGACACCCCCTACCCTGCCACCCAACAGGAAAGGCTCCCCACCTGGCTAGTTCTTTTATCAGCCAGAACAGTTGCACCTCAGCCTAAGAAGTTTCACTTCACCTGTCTGCCAGCCCATGAATTTATTCAAACAAGCCAATTGCATTCCCCCTCGGGAACCATTGGTCATTGTGTGCTCTTGTTACTATCAAGCCTGCCTGCTTCCTCAGCCCGCAGCCCTCACTCCGCTACAGAGTGCGGTGCCCATCTGACCCTGTGTGGCATGCAGTGTCCTCCTCTGAGCTGTGGGTATATGTGACTAAAACACTGCTGTTAATCTCATCCATCCACGCCAGGTGTCGTGTTCAGCCATCTCCTACACTTTAGGGCAGGGACCCCTCCTTCACCAATGGGGTGAAAAGGAAGTGACCATAACAACTGCTTAATGACAAAAGGATTGACCCACCAAGAAGACATCTACTTCAACATCCTCCTCTTAGCAACTGTTAAAACTAGGCAGAGGCCGGGCACAGTGGCTCATGCCTGTAATCCCAGAACTCTGGGAGGCAAAGACAAAGGATAGCTTGAGGCCAGGAGTTCGAGCCTGGGCAACATAGCAAGGCCTCATCTCTCCAAAAAATTTTAAATTTAGTCAGGTGTGGCGGCACACACCTATAGTACCAGCTAGTCAGGAGGTTAAGCCAGGGGAAGTACTTGACCCTAGGAAGTCAAGGCTGCAGTGAGTCATGTTCGTGCCACCGCACTCTAGTGTAAGTGACAGAGTGAAACTAGGCAGAAAAGGAGCAAGGATTTACAAAAGATCTGAACAGTCAACCAGCAAAATCTGACATCCGTATAATACCCCACTCCCCAACAGCAAAACACACACATTTTTAAAGCCAATAGAAATCTACCAAGATGAAGTACATTTGGGGCAATAAAAGAAATCACAGCAAATCTCACTGTGCGCCCCTCTGTGTCGGCGCCGGCGCCGTGCCCCTCTCTGCGCCTTCTTTTTTCACCATGGGGAAGCGTTTGGGGGCCTCTTGAGGGACCCCCTAGATGCTTCCACTCAGAGCCCCCAAAGCCGGGGAGCCTCCACTCCTCTGTCTGCAGTCTCCCCTGTCGGTTCTCGCTACCCAGGGTTCAGTGGCCTGGGGGCTGACGGAGGGGGTCGCCTCTGCCAAGGCCCCTCCCGGCGCCTCCCTGGCTCATCCAGCCCACCTTCCTCCCACGCTGGCTCACGCAAAGTGCTCTGGTCACCAGGAGCCCTTCCTGACCAGCCCCAGCCCCTTCTTGGCCTTCGCCCACCTGGCCTCCCCTGGAGCCCTGACCTGGGTGCCAGGCCTGCTGGGTCCAGAGCCCACCCCGCCCTGAACAACCCCGAGTCTCAGCCACCCTCAGTTCTTACCCTTTCACAGCTGGGGAGTGGAGCCTGGGCCTGCGCCTCTCCGCGCCAGCGCCGGCACTGTGCGCCTCTCCGCCGCTGTCCGCCTCTCCGCCGCGCCGCCGCTGTCCGCCTCTCCGCCGCGCCGCCGCTGTCCGCCCCTCCGCCGCTGTCCGCCCCTCCGCCGTGCCGCCGCTGTCCGCCTCTGCGCCGCTGTCCGCCTCTCCGTCGCTGTCCGCCTCTCCGCCGCTGTCCGCCTCTCCGCCGCGCCGCCGCTGTCCGCCTCTCCGCCGCTGTCCGCCTCTCCGCCGCGCCGCCGCTGTCCGCCTCTCCGCCGCTGTCCGCCCCTCCGCCGTGCCGCCGCTGTCCGCCTCTGCGCCGCTGTCCGCCTCTCCGTCGCTGTCCGCCTCTCCGCCGCTGTCCGCCTCTCCGCCGCGCCGCCGCTGTCCGCCTCTCCGCCGCTGTCCGCCTCTCCGCCGCTGTCCGGCTCTCCGCCGCTCCGCCGCTGTCCGCCTCTCCGCCGCTGTCCGCCCCTCCGCCGCGCCGCCGCTGTCCGCCTCGCCGCCGCTGTCCGCCTCTCCGCCGCGCCGCCGCTGTCCGCCGCGCCGCCGCTGTCCGCCTCTCCGCCGCTGTCCGCCCCTCCGCCGTGCCGCCGCTGTCCGCCTCTCCGCCGCTGTCCGCCTCTCCGCCGCGCCGCCGCTGTCCGCCTCTCCGCCGCTGTCCGCCTCTCCGCCGCGCCGCCGCTGTCCGCCTCTCCGCCGCTGTCCGCCCCTCCGCCGTGCCGCCGCTGTCCGCCTCTGCGCCGCTGTCCGCCTCTCCGTCGCTGTCCGCCTCTCCGCCGCTGTCCGCCTCTCCGCCGCGCCGCCGCTGTCCGCCTCTCCGCCGCTGTCCGCCTCTCCGCCGCGCCGCCGCTGTCCGCCGCGCCGCCGCTGTCCGCCTCTCCGCCGCTGTCCGCCCCTCCGCCGTGCCGCCGCTGTCCGCCTCTCCGCCGCTGTCCGCCTCTCCGCCGCGCCGCCGCTGTCCGCCTCTCCGCCGCTGTCCGCCTCTCCGCCGCGCCGCCGCTGTCCGCCGCGCCGCCGCTGTCCGCCTCTCCGCCGCTGTCCGCCTCTCCGCCGCTGTCCGCCTCTCCGCCGCGCCGCCGCTGTCCGCCTCTCCGCCGCTGTCCGCCTCTCCGCCGCGCCGCCGCTGTCCGCCGCGCCGCCGCTGTCCGCCTCTCCGCCGCTGTCCGCCCCTCCGCCGCGCCGCCGCTGTCCGCCTCTCCGCCGCTGTCCGCCTCTCCGCCGCTGTCCGCCGCTGTCCGCCGCGCCGCCGCTGTCCGCCTCTCCGCCGCTGTCCGCCTCTCCGCCGTGCCGCCGCTGTCCGCCTCTGCGCCGCTGTCCGCCGCGCCGCCGCTGTCCGCCTCTCCGCCGCTGTCCGCCTCTCCGCCGCGCCGCCGCTGTCCGCCTCTCCGCCGCTGTCCGCCTCTCCGCCGCGCCGCGCCGCCGCTGTCCGCCTCTCCGCCGCTGTCCGCCTCTCCGCCGCTGTCCGCCCCTCTCCGCCGCGCCGCCGCTGTCCGCCTCTCCGCCGCTGTCCGCCTCTCCGCCGCGCCGCCGCTGTCCGCCTCTCCGCCGCTGTCCGCCTCTCCGCCGCTGTCCGCCTCTCCGCCGCGCCGCCTCTGCGCCGCTGTCCGCCTCTCCGTCGCTGTCCGCCTCTCCGCCGCTGTCCGCCTCTCCGCCGCGCCGCCGCTGTCCGCCTCTCCGCCGCTGTCCGCCTCTCCGCCGCGCCGCCGCTGTCCGCCGCGCCGCCGCTGTCCGCCCCTCCGCCGCTGTCCGCCCCTCCGCCGTGCCGCCGCTGTCCGCCTCTCCGCCGCTGTCCGCCTCTCCGCCGCGCCGCCGCTGTCCGCCTCTCCGCCGCTGTCCGCCTCTCCGCCGCGCCGCCGCTGTCCGCCGCGCCGCCGCTGTCCGCCTCTCCGCCGCTGTCCGCCCCTCCGCCGTGCCGCCGCTGTCCGCCTCTGCGCCGCTGTCCGCCTCTCCGTCGCTGTCTGCCTCTCCGCCGTGCCGCTGCTGTCCGCCTCTCCGCCACGCCCGCGCCGGCGCTGTGTGCCTTTGCGAGGGCGGAGCTGCGTTCTCCTCAGCACAGACTTCGGAGATACAGCGAAGGCGGAGCAGTGTTCACCTCAGCACAGACCCGGGCGGGCGGGCGGGCCGGTGGCACCGCGAGGGCGGAGCTGCGTTCTGCTCTGCACAGACCTTGGGGCACTGCCTCGCTTTGGGACAACTCGGGGCCGCATCGACGGTGAATAAAATCCTTCCTGTTTGCAGCCCTGTTTGTGGTTGGTGGCAGCGATGGACACTGCAGCCAGCCAGAGCGTAGAAAGGCATCGGGGTAAGTGCACTATCCAGGCTGCACTGCGGGTGGCCTGGGACGGGTTGGGAGCCCTATCTCAGGCGTCACTGCCCGTCTTGGGTGGCTGGTTGGGTGTGCTATCTGGGGCTGTGCTGCCTGCACCGGGGGGTGGTTTGGGGGCCCAAACCGGGGCTGCACTGCCTTTGGCGGGGAGCCGGTTGGGGGCACTATCCCAGACTGTATTGCTGGCAACAGTGAGGTGGGCTAAGTGTGCTATCCAGGGCTGCACTGTGCGGCTGTGGGGGGTGGTGTGGCGGTTTCGGGTTGAGGGCGCTATGGGGTGCTGTAATGCCCATGGTGCAGGGAGGCGGGGCGGTTTGCCTACGTTGGGTGTGCTATTGGGGGGGGGTGACACTGCTGGTGGTAGGGGGCAGGGTGGGTTGGGGGCCATATCAGGGGCTGCACTGATTGCTTTAGCTAGGATTTCTGGTACTATGTTAAACAACAGTGGTGACAGGGGGCATCCTTATCATGTTCCAGATCTTAGAGGAAAAGCTTTCCATTTTTCCCCATTCCATATGATTCTAGCTGTGGGTGTCTTTCCTGTAGTTTTTATTATGTTGCGGTATGTTTCTTCTGTGCCCGTTTCTTTGAGGATTTATAGCATGAAGGGATGTTGAATTTCATCAAATGCTTTTTCGGTTTCAGTTGACGTGATGATACTGTTTTTGTCGTTTATTTGGTTGATATGATGTATCACATTGTATGTTGAGTGACCCTTGATCCCAGGGATACATTGCACTTGATCATGATGAATTATCTTTTTAATGTATTACTGAATTTGATTCAGTGGTATTTTGTTGAGGATTTTTGCATCAATATTAGAGATCCTGGCCTGTAGTTTCCTTCTTTGATGCTTTTGTCTGATTTTGGTATCACAGTAATAATGGTCTCATAGAATAAGTTTGGAAGTATTCCCTCCTGTTTTTCAAAATAGTTTGAGCAGGATTTGTACTAGGTCTTTAAATTGTTTGGTGTGAAGCCATCAGCAGTGAAGACATCAGTTCCTGGGCTTTTCTTTACTGGGAGACTTTTTCTGATGGCTTCAATCTCATTACTTGTTACCAATCTGTTCTGGTCTTGGATGTTTTCGTTGTTTAACCTAAGTAGGTTGTATGCATCTAGGAATTTGCCAATTTCTACTAGGCTTTCCAATTTATTGGCATATAATAGCCAGTTATGATCCTTTGAATTTCTGAAGTATTAGTTGTAATGTCTCCTTTTTTTAATCTGTTGATTTTATTTATTTGAATCTTGTCTCTTTACTTAGCCTGGTTAAAAGTTTGTCAATTTTGTTTAGCTTTCCAGAAAACCAACTTTTCGTTTAATCTTGTGAGGTTTTTATTTCAATTTTGTTTCTGCTACGATCTTATTTATTTTCTTATTTTCGGTTTAGTTTGTTCTTTACTAGTTCTTTAAGATGTATTGTTTACTTGAAGTTTTTCTTTTGTTTGGATGGTAGGCACTTATAGCTGTAAATCTCTGCCTTTGTACTGCTTTCTGCATAACAAGTTTTGGTATACTGTGTGTTCATTACCCTTTGTTTCATGAAATTTTTGAATTTCTGTCTTAGTATCTTCATTGACCCGCTAGTCATTTATTCAGGAGGGTAGTGTTTAACTTCCATGTGATTGTATTATTTCCAAAATTACTTTTCTTATTGATACCTATTTTTATTCCTTTGTAGTGAAAGAAGATGGCCACAGAGACAGACAGCAGCGTGGTCAGAGTGGTAGGAGCCGGCCATCAGCGAGAGCTGCTCCATGCCTGGCTGCTGGGTGCTAGAGTCTGCGGCCCACTGGCTTGCCTCACTGTGGTTGGTGGTGGCGGTGACAGAGACTGCAGCATGACCAGAGTGGTAGGACAGGGGCTATCCAGGGCTGCACCTTTCGCAGTGTGGGGTGGGTTGGGGGCGCTATCCAGGGTGTCATTGCCTGCATTAGGGGTACTAGTTGGTAGCACTGTACAGGGCTGCACTGCCCACGGCAGGGAAGGTGGGTTATGGGTGCTTTCTGGGGCTGCAATGCCCATGGAGGAGAACAGGTTAGGGCACTATCGGGTATACGCTACTGGCGGCATTGGGGGACAGAGGTGGGGGGTGCTATTGAGGGCAGGACTAGCCGTGGAGTGGGGGACGAGTTCGGTGCTATCAGGCTGCACTGCTGGTGGCGGTCAACAGAGTTGGCATCCAAGGAAGGAGTGGTTCTCCTCTCCCTGACTCCACACTCCAGAGGGCGACCCACTCTTGGTCATACTGGAATGCGGCAGGGCACGCAGCGTTTGCATGGGAATCCTGAGCATGGCAGAGCCCCCACACCCACCGTGGTTCCTGGGCCTGTGCACTCTGGGTCTGTGCCTCAGAGGCTGCCAGGCACCCCTGGGGACACCACGGGGGACAGGGCCCTGTGCGTGGAAGCGTCCGGAACAGGAATTGGCACCTGGGTGCAGAGGGCTGGCTGGGTCTGAATTTTTCTGCTTCTCCTGCTCCCCAAGGAGTGCAGCCCCAGTGGGCCCAATGGTTCCTGTGGAGTGGGGAGCTGCGTGCTGTGGTGTCTCCAGCACCCACCCCAGACCTCAGTTCCCGGCCAGCTTGGGCCAAAAGGAGAGGCTGGACTTTGGAGGGTGGGTGTGAGTGCCTTTGCTGAAACTGGCCCCTGCCACCCAGTGGCCGGCATGACAAGGTGAGGCTCTAACCCTTCCACCCCTCACATCTTCCTCTAGGCTTTTCTGGCTTTGCCCGCCCAGCTGCTCCATGCCAGGAGGAGGAGGAGACACCTAGAGCCTGCGACACCACGGCTTGCCTCGCTACAGGTGGGTGGCAGTGACGGAGACTGCAGTGCACCAGAGCGGTAGGAGAGCGACCACGCTAGGAGGGCAGGCGGCTGCAGCCAGGGTCAGGCTTACAGCAATGGACGGGCTGCAGCAGTGACCAGGTGGTAGGAGCCTTGTAGGGAGGGCTGGTGCATTGGCAATGGGCCTGGCTTTGCCCTGCGCCTGCCGTGGATCTGGCCCTGTACTGCCCTGCCTTGCCCTGTACCTGCCCTACTGTTACCTGGACTCTCGGCCCTGTCCTGCTCTGGTCCCATCCTGACCCTGTCTTGGCCCTGTGCTACCCTGTCCCTTCCCTGGTCTTGCCCTGGCACTGGCCCTGCCGTGAACCTGCACTGGCCTGACCTTGGCTCTGGCCCTGCCCCTTGTCCTGACCCTGGTCCTGTCATGGCACTGGCCCTGCCAATGGTCATGGTCCTGCTCTTGTTCTGGCCCTGACCTGGCCTTGGATATGTCCTGGCCCTGCTTTGGCCCATCCCTGCCCTGGCCCCACCATGGGCCTGCCTGTTCTGCCCTCTCCTGGCACTGACCTTGCCCTGTCATGGCCCAGTGGTGCCATTGCCCTGCCTTACCCTGAGCTGCTTGTGCCTTGGCCCTGCTTGGTGCTGGCCGCTCCCTGGACCTGCCCTGGACCTGCCTTGACCCTGCCTTGGCTTTTGCCGTGCCCTCACTATGGCCTGGCCCTGGCCCTAGCCCTGGTCCTGCCATATCCCTGGCCCTGCCCTTATCCAGGCCCTGCCCCTGCTGCTGCCCTGGCCCTGGCCTGGAACCTGGTCCTGTCAAGGACCTGCCCTGACTCTGCCATGGCCCTGGCCCTGCTCTGCCTTGTTCCTGGCCCTGACCCAGACCCAGACCCTTTCCTGGCTCTGCACTGGCCTTTCCCTGGCCCTGAGCTGGCAGTGGTCTGCCCCTGGTCTTGCCATTACCCTGCCCTGCTGTGCTCTGGATGTGTCATCACCCTGCCCTGGCCCTACTCTGCCTTTGACCCTGCCCTGGCCTTACCTTGGCCCTCACCCTAGTCTTCGCTAGACCCTGCTCTGGAGCTGGCCCTAGCACAGACCTGGCCCTGATCCTGGCCCTGGTCTTTGTCCTGCCATAGCCCTGGCCCTGAAGTGAACTTGGAGGTGTTCTGGCCCCGGCGTAACATGGCTCTGCATTGGCCTGTCCCTGCCCTGCCACTACCATCGCCTTGCCCTGCTCTGCCCTGTCCCAGTACTGACCTGGCCATGCTATTTCCCTGCCCTACCCTGCCTTGGCTGTGCCCTGGCTCGGTTCTGGCCCTGGCCCTGGCCCTGCCCTGGACATGCTCTGACACTGCCTCAGCCTCGGCACTAGCCTGGCTCTTCTTTGGCATCAGCTCTGCTCTCTGTGTGGACCAGCTCTTGTCCTGTCCTGTACTGGCCATACCATGCCCTGCCCTGCCCTGCCCTGACTCAGCCCTGGCTCAGCCCTGGCCCAGCCTTGGCCGTGGCATTGCCCCTGGTCCTGCCATATTTCTTGCCCTGTCCCTACCCTGGCCTTGGCCCTGACCCTTACCTTGCCCTGGCCCTGCCCTTGCCCTAACGCAGCCCCTGGCCCTGTCATGGCCCTGCCCTGGACCTGTCCTGGCCCTGGCCCTGCCCAGGTCTTGGCACTGGCCTGGCCCTGCCCTGCCTTGGCCCTATGCTTTCCTGGCCCTGCCTTGCCGGCCCTGGCCCTGCCTTGGCCCTAGCCTAGCTTTGACCCTGCCCTGGCCCTACCTTGGCATTCACCCTAGCCTTACCTGGGCACTGTGTTGGACCTGGCCATAGCACAGACCTGGTTGTGGCCCTGGCCCTGCCATGGCCCTGTCCCAGACCCTAGCCCTGCCAGGTACCTGTCCTGGCCCAGCTCTGGGCCTGGCTTTGTCCCTGGTTCTTAGATGAACCTGGCCCTGCCCCTGCCCTTGCCCTTGCCCTGGCACTGGCCTTGGACATGTCCGTGGTCCTAACCCTGGCCCTGCCCTGGAGCTGCCACTGTCTTGGCCCTGCCCTGGCTCTGGCCCTGCCCCGGCCCCAGCCATAGACCTGCCCTGGTTGGTCATGCCCTACCTTAACCCTGTGCAACCCTGGGCCTGCTCCACCCTGCCCTGGCCCTGCCCTCCCTTTGTCCCTGCCCTGACCCTGCCTTGGCCCTCACACTGGCCCTAGCACAGACCTGGTCCTATGTGTGGCCTTGGCCTGGCATTGACCCCTGCTCCTGACCCTGGTCCTGCCATGGCCCTGGCCCTGCCAATGACCCTGGCAGCCATGACCCTGGCCCTGTCTTGGCCCTGGCCCTGAACTGGCCCTGCCCTGACCTGGCCCTGAAGTGGATTTGCAGGTGTCTTGTCCCTGATTTAACCTGGCCCTACCATGGCCCTGTCCCTCCCCTGGCTCTGTCCTGGTCTTGTGCTTACCCTGACCCAGACCTTGGCCCTGCCCCAGCCTTGTCCTTGACCTGGCCATGGCCCTGCCTCTGCCCTGGACCGGCGCTGGCACTGGCATGGACCCTGGCCCTGGCCGTTCGCTACTTAAGGCCATACCCTGGTCCAGCCCTGGTCCTGACCCTGTCCTGGCCCTAATTTGGCCTGGCTCTACCTTGGCATGCTATTCTGGCCCTATCCCTGACCCTGTCCCTGTCCCTGTCCTGGCCCCAGCCCCATTGCTGGTCCTGCCATGGCCCTTGTTCTGACATTGCCCTTTCCTGGTTCTGGCCCTGGCCCTGTCCCAGCCCTGCTCTGGCCCTGGTCTGAACCCTGGCCCTGCAATAGACCTGCCTTGGTCCTGCCCAGACCCTGGCTCTGGCCCTACCTCTGCCCTGGCCATACCCTTGCCCTGGCCTGGACCCCGGTCCTGGTCCTTGTCCTGCCCCAGCCATGGCCCTGGCCCTGCCCTGCCTGTGCCCTGTTCTATCCTGGGCTGGCCCTGCCATGACCTGGTCTTGCCATTGCCCTGCCCTAGCCTGCCATGCTTGTGCCCTAGATCTGCCCCGCTTGTGCCCTAGATCTGCCCCGGCCTTTGCCCCGTCTTGGTTCTAGCCTTGACTCAGCCCTGGACCTTCCCTGACCTCGCCTCAGACCTGGCACTACCCTGGCCTTGCCTTGGCATTTGCCCTACTCTCTCTGTGGCCTGGCTCTGGTCCTGCCCTGCTCTGCTCTTGTTCTGTCCTGGCACAGCCCTGGCCCTGGCCCTGCCATATCACTTGCTCTCGTCCTGCCCTTATGCAGACCTGACCCTGCCACTGCCTTGGCTTTGGCCTGGACCTTGGCCATACAGTGACCCTGTCATGACCCTTTCCTGGCCCTGGCCTGGAACCTGGCCCTGCCAAGGACTCGCCCTGGCTCTGTCATGGCCCTGGCCCTTTCCTGGATTTGGATGTGTCCTGTCCCTTATTTGCCCCGGCCCTTCCCTGGCTCTGCCATACCCCTTCTCTGGGGTAGGGCCAGGGTCAGGACCAGACCAGGGCAGGGTCAGGACCAGGGTAGGGCCATGGTAAGGCCTGAAGATGGGAAGGGCCAGGGCAGCGGCTGGACCAGGGAAGGATCAGGGCCAGGGATGTAGTAGGACTAGCGGCAGAGCCGGCACTAGGGCTGAACCAGGGCAGAGCAGGAGAGATTGCATTAGGCTATTACATAAAATTTTTATTTTAGATTTTTAAGATAACTATATTAGTAGTAATGTCTATACTATATTGTTTGTAATAGTAATAATATTTGCAGTAATCACTAAATTTTAACTAATACTATCTTTGCTTCCAGTAGTGTTCTATGAATATAATATAATTTTATCAATATGTAAATATGTGAGGCATTGATTCTCACAATAATTCTATGTGCTAGGTACTTAAAGCATCCCCATTTTCCAAATATAGGAAACAGGCATAAAGAAGTTAAATACTTGGCCAGATTACTCCTGTAATCCCAACACTTTGGGAGGCCAAGGCAGGCAGATGGCTTGAGCTCAGGAGTTTGGAACCAGCCTGGGCAACATTGTGAAACCCCATCTCTACTAAAAATGCACAAAAAGAACTAATTTAAGTTTCTTGTAGGATTCTGGTTATAAAACACTGGTCAAACACACAGGGCATGGATAGGGCAGGGCCAGGGACAAGGTCAGGCCAGGAAGGGGCCAGGGCCAAGGCAGGGCCAGAGCTGGACTTGGAGGTGTCCTGGTCTGATTTGCCCTGCCCCAACGTTGGCCCAGCCCTGCTCTGGCACGACCTGTCATGCCCTGTCCCTGGCCTGAGCATTGGCCCTGTCCCTGTCCTGCTTCTGGCCCTGCCCCGGAGTTGACCAGGCACTGCCATGGCACAGTCCTCCATTGCCCTGCCCTCGTCTGCCCTGGTGCTACCATGGCCCTGCTTGGGCCCTAGCTCTGCCTCGACTCTGGACCTGCCCTGACTCTGCTCAGCCCTGGATCTACCCTGACTCTGCCTTGGTGTTGCCCTCCCATATCTATGGCCTGGCTCTGGCCATGCCTTGCACAGGCCATGCTCTGCCCTGCATGTCCCAGCCTGGGCCCAGCCCTCATCCTACCATATTCCTGACCCCAGCCATACCCTTGTTCTGGCCGTGACCCTGCCGTGGCCCTCTCCTGGCCCTTCCTTGGTCCTGCCCTGCCCTTCCATGCCCTGGCCTTGCCCTCACCCTGCATTGGCCCTGCACTGGTCCTGCCCTGCCCTGGTACTGCCTTGCCCCGGCCCTGCCTTCTCCCTGGCCTTGCCCTGCCCTGGCCTTGGCTTTGCCTTATCCTGGTCCTGGTTCTGCCCTGACCCTGGCCTTGCTCTGGATCCTCTCTGGTTCTGCCTTCTCCCTGGCCCTGTCCTTGCTCTGGCCCTGTCCCTGGCCCAGCCTTGACCCTGACCCTGGCCCTGACAATCCCCAGGTCTGACACTGGCTATGCTTGGCCCTGGCCCCTCCTTTTGGCCCTGCCCTGGCCCTGCCTTGGCCCTGTGCTATCTTAGTCCTGCCCTGGCCCTGAACTCGCCCTGGCCCTACCCTCACCCTACACTGGCCCTGGCCTACCCTGGCTTTGCCCTGCCCTGGCCCTGCCTTTGGCCTGCTCTGGCTCTGGTTCTGCCCTGGCCTTGCCCTTACCCTGGACCCTCCCTGGCCGTGTTTTTTCCATGGTCCTTCTCTGGCCTTGCCCTTGCCCTGTCCCCTTTCTTGTCCTGCCATGTTTCTGGCCCTGCCCTGTCCATGTCCTGGACCTGACTCTGGCCCTGGACCTCCCTGTCCCTGCCCTGCCATACTCTGGCCCATTCTTGCTCTACACTGACCCTGTCCTGCCTTGGCCCTGTGCTACCCTAGCCCTGCCCTGGCCTTCTGCTGACCCTGATCCTGCCATGGCCCTGGCCCTGCCATGTCCCTGCCCTGGCCCTGGTTCTGCCCTGCTTCTGGCCCTGGCCTTGGTCCTCTCATGTCCCTGGCTATGACCCTGCCCCTGGTTTTTCTCTGGCCATGACCCTGCCCCAGTTCTGTCCTATCCCTGGCCCTGTCTCAGTTCTCTCCTAGCCCTGGCCTTTCACAGTACTTTATGCTTAGTAAGGGCTCCATAGTGTCTGTGAGTTGAATGTTGTGTTCATAGTATCTGCCAAAACAGAAAGAAAAAAACCAAAATATTTTGATAGGAAGTTAAAGCTTTGTATATAATATGCCTTGAATTGTAAGTGCTTGTTATTAGTTGTATTACATATAGGTCATGGTTTTGTACACATAACTCCAAACCATTGATACTGTTAAAAGAATATATGAATATATGAAAGAATGTATAAACGTAAGAATGTATGAGTATCTAATGACCTTTCCAAATTAATTTTTATTTTTAGCTCTATTAGATTTTTCTCAGTGTAACAAATGTTTATTCCTATGTAATTAAGGGCGTATTTCCTGTACAGAATATTCATATTACCTAATTGAAAATTATATGATACAAAAATATAATACTATTTTTAGGCCAGGCATGGTGGCTCATACCTGTAATCCCAACATTTTGAGAGGCCAAGTTTGGAGAATCATTTGAGTCCAGGAGTTGACCAGCCTGGGCAACATAGTGAGACCTTGTCCTCATTAAATAAATAAATAAATAAATAAATAAATAAATAGGTTGGGCACTGTGGCTCACATCTGTCATCCCAGCATTTTGGGTTGCCAATGCAGGAGGATTGCTTGAGCCCAGGAGTTTGAGACCAGCCTGGGCAGAATAGCAAGACTCCATCTCTACAAATAATAAAATATTAACCAGGTGTGGTGGTGCCCACCTGGGGTCCCAGCTACCTGGGAGGCTAAGGTGGGAGGTTTGCTTGAGGCTGCAGTGAACTGTGAATGCACCACTGCATTCCAGCCTAGGCCACAGAACAGGACCTTGTCTATAAATAAAGAAATAAGTAAAAACATAAATAAAAATAAGTAAAAAGAAATATAAGTAAATATAAATATAAATACATATAAATATAAAAATGCATACATGAAAAGAAACAATTTTTAAATTTAACATCACTGAGGGCATCCTATCCATTTCATTTCATGATTCCATCATTTCACTTAGATGAAATGATAAGATGACTTGAGATGAGATGAAATGACAAAGTGATGAGATGAGATGAGATGATGAGATGAAATTTTGAGATGAAATGGTGAGTAGAAATGATGAGATGAAATGATGAGACGAAATGACAAAGTTGAAAAGAAATTGAAAGGAGATGAGATGAGATGAAATGAGATGAAATGATGAGATGATAGATGAAATGATGAGATGAAATGAGATGAAATGATGAGATGAAATGAAATGAAATAATGAAATGATATGAAATAATGAAATTGAAATGAGATGAGATGAGATGAAATAATGAGATAAAATGATGAGATGAAATGAGATGAATGATGAGATGAAATGAGATGAAAAATGATGAGATGAAAAATGAGATGAAATGAAATGAAATAATGAAATGAAATAATGAAATGAGATGAAATGAAATGAAATAATGAAAGGAAATTATGAAATGTAATGAAATTGAAATAAGATGAGTTGAAATGATGAGATGTAATGATGAAATGAAATGATGAAATGAGATGAGATGAAATGAGATGAAATAATGAGATGAAATGAGATGATGAGATAAGATGAAATCATGAGATGAAATGATGAAATGAAATGAAATGATGGATGAAATGATGAGATGAAATGAGATGAAATGTAATGACATAATGAAACGAAATAATGAAATGAGATGAAATGAAATAATGAAACGATGAAATAATGAAAATGAAATGGAAATGATGAGATGAGAAGAAATGATGAGATGAAATGATGAAATGATGAGATGAGATAAAATGAGATGAAATGATGAGATGAAATGAAATGATGAGATGAGATGAAATGAGATGAAATATGATGAGATGAAATGACATAATTAAATGAAATGATGAAATGGAATAATGAAATGGAGATGATGAGATGAGATGCAATGAGTTGAAATGAGATGAAATGATGAAATGATGAGATGAGATGTGATGAAATGATGACATGAAATGATGACATAAAATGAGATGAAATGAGATGTAATGATGAAATGAGATGAGATGAAATGAGATGAAATGATGAGATGAGATAAAATGATATGAAATGATGAGATGAATGATGAGATGAAATGATGAGATGAGATGAGATGATGAGATGAAATGATGAGATGAACTGATGAGATGAAATGAAATGAAATAATGAAATGAAATTGAAATAAATAAATAAAATTGAAATGAGATGAGATGAAATGATAAGATGAGATGATGAAATAAAATGATAAAATGATGAGATGTGATGAGATGAAATGATGAGATGAGATGACATGCAATAATGAAATGAAATAATGAAATGAAATTGAAATGAGATGAGAAGATACGAGATGAGATGAAATGATG